>NC_000010.11:42066265-44923316 GCF_000001405.40 Homo sapiens
ACGGAATCATCATCCAATGGAAACTAATGGAATCAACATCGAATGGAATCGAATGGAAACGCCATCGAATTGAAACGAATGGAATTATCATGAAATTGAAATGGATGGACTCATCATCGAATGGATTCGAATGGAATCACCGAATGAAATTGATAGAAATCATCATCAAATGGAATCGAATGGAATCATTGAATGGAATCGAATGGAATCATCATCAGATGGAAATGAATGGAATCATCATTGAATGGAATCAAATGGATTCTTTGAATGGAATCTGATGGAATCATCGAATGGTCTTGAATGGAATCATTGAATGGACTCGAATGGAATCTTTATTGAATGGAATTGAATGGAATCATCGAATGGTCTCGAATGGAATCATTATCAAATGGAATCGAATGGAATCACCGAATAGAATCGAATGGAACAATCATCGAATGGACTCAAATGGAATTATCCTCAAATGGAATCAAATGGAATTATCGAATGCAATCGAATGGAATTATCGAATGCAATCGAATAGAATCATCGAATGGACTCGAATGGTATCATCAAATGGAACGGAATGGAATAGACAATGAACTCGAATGGAATCATCATTGAATGGAATTGAATGGAATCATCGAGTGGAATCGAATGGAATCATGATCAAATGGAATCGAATGTAATCATCATCAAATGGAATCCAAATTAACCATCATCACTTGGTATTGAATGGAATTGTCATCAAATGGAATTCAAAGGAATCATCATGAAATGGAACCGAATGGAATCATCATTGAATGGAAATGAAAGGAGTCATCATCTAATGGAATCGCATGGAATCATCATCAAATGAAATCGAATGGAATCATCATCAAATGGAATCTAATGGAATCATTGAACGGAATTGAATGGAATCGTCATCGAATGAATTGAGTGCAATCATCGAATGGTCTCGAATGGAATCATCTTCAAATGGAAAGGAATGGAATCATCGCATAGAATCGAATGGAATTATCATCGAATGGACTCGAATGGAATCAACATCAAACGGAATCAAACGGAATTATCGAATGGAATCGAAGAGAATCATCGAATGGACTCGAATGGAATCATCTAATGGAATGGAATGCAATAATCCATGGACCCGAATGCAATCATCATCGAATAGAATCGAATGCACTCATCGAATGGACTCGAATGGAATAATCATTGAACGAAATCGAATGGAATCATCGTCGAATGGAAACGAATGGAATCATCATCGAATGGAAATGAAAGGAGTCATCATCTAATGGAATCGCATGGAATCATCATCAAATGGAATCAAATGGAATCATCATCAAATGGAATCTAATGGAATCATTGAACGGAATTGCATGGAATCGTCATCGAATGAATTGAATGCAATCATCGAATGGTCTCGAATGGAATCATCTTCAAATGGAATGGAATGGAATCATCGCATAGAATCAAATGGAATTATCATTGAATGGACTCAAATGGAATCAACATCAAACGGAATCAAACGGAATTATCGAATGGAATCGAAGAGAATCATCGAATGGACTCGAACGGAATCATCTAATGAAATAGAATGGAATAATCCATGGACTCGAATGCAATCATCATCAAATGGAATCGAATGGAATCGTCGAATGGACTCGAGTGGAATAAACATACAACGGAATCGAATAGAATCGTCACTGGATGGAAACGAATGGAATCATCATCGAATGGAATCGAATGGAATCATCAAATGGAATCAGATGGAATCATCATCAAATGGAATCAAATAGAATTATGGAATGAAATCCAATGTGATCATCATCGAATGGACTCAAACGGAATCATCATCCAATGGAAACTAATGGAATCAACATCGAATGGAATCGAATGGAAACGCCATCGAAAGGAAACGAATGGAATTATCATGAAATTGAAATGGATGGACTCATCATCGAATGGATTCTAATGGAATCACCGAATGAAATTGATAGAAATCATCATCAAATGGAATCGAATGGAATCATTGAATGGAATCGAATGGAATCATCATCAGATGGAAATGAATGGAATCATCATTGAATGGAATCGAATGGATTCTTTGAATGGAATCTGATAGAATCATCGAATGGTCTTGAATGGAATCATTGAATGGACTCGAATGGAATCTTTATTGAATGGAATTGAATGGAATCATCGAATGGTCACGAATGGAATCATTATCAAATGGAATCGAATGGAATCACCGAATAGAATCGAATGGAACAATCATCGAATGGACTCAAATGGAATTATCCTCAAATGGAATCAAATGGAATTATCGAATGCAATCGTATGGAATTATCGAATGCAATCGAATAGAATCATCGAATGGACTCGAATGGTATCATCGAATGGAACGGAATGGAATAGTCAATGAACTCGAATGGAATCATCATTGAATGGAATTGAATGGAATCATCGAGTGGAATCGAATGGAATCATGATCAAATGGAATCGAATGTAATCATCATCAAATGGAATCCAAATTAACCATCATCACTTGGTATTGAATGGAATTGTCATCAAATGGAATTCAAAGGAATCATCATGAAATGGAACCGAATGGAATCATCATTGAATGGAAATGAAAGGAGTCATCATCTAATGGAATCGCATGGAATCATCATCAAATGGAATCGAATGGAATCATCATCAAATGGAATCTAATGGAATCATTGAACGGAATTGAATCGAGTCGTCATCGAATGAATTGAATGCAATCATCGCATGGTCTCGAAAGGAATAATCTTCAAATGGAAAGGAATGGAATCATCTCATAGAATCGCATGGAATTATCAACGAGTGGACTCGAATGGAATCATCATCAAACGGAATTATCGAATGGAATCGAAGAGAATCATCGAATGGCCACAAATGGAATCATCTAATGGAATGGAATGGAATAATCCATGGACCCGAATGCAATCATCATCGAATAGAATCGAATGGAATCATCGAATGGACACGAATGGAATAATCATTGAACGGAATCGAATGGAATCATCGTCGAATGGAAACGCATGGAATCATCATCGAATGGAAATGAAGGGAGTCATCATCTAATGGAATCGCACGGAATCATCATCAAATGGAATGGAATAGAATCATCATCGAATGGAATCTAATGGAATAATTGAACGGAAGTGAATGGAATCGTCATCGAATGAATTGAATGCAATCATCGAATGGTCTCGAATGTAACCATCTTCAAATGGAATGGAATGGAATCATCGCATAGAATCGAATGGAATTATCATCGAATGGACTCAAATGGAATCAACATCAAACGGAATCAAACGGAATTATCGAATGGAATCGAAGAGAATCATCGAATGGACTCGAATGGAATCATCTAATGAAATAGAATGGAATAATCCATGGACTCGAATGCAATCATCATCAAATGGAATCGAATGGAATCGTCGAATGGACTCGAGTGGAATAAACATTGAACGGAATCGAATGGAATCGTCACCGGATGGAAACGAATGGAATCATCATCGAATGGAATCGAATGGAATCATCAAATGGAATCAGATGGAATCATCATCAAATGGAATCAAATAGAATTATGGAATGAAATCAAATGTGATAATCATCGAATGGACTTGAACGGAATCATCATCCAATGAAAACTAATGGAATCAACATCAAATGGAATCGAATGGAAACACCATCGAATTGAAACGAATGGAATTATCATGAAATTGAAATGGATGGACTCATCATCGAATGGATTTGAATGGAATCACCGAATGAAATTGATTGAAATCATCATCGAATGGAATCATTGAATGGAATCGAATGGAATCATCATCAGATGGAAATGAACGGAATCATCTTAGAATGGAATCGAACGGATTCATTGAATGGAATCAGATGGAATCATCGAATGGACATGAATGGAATCATTGAATGGACCCGAATGGAATCATTATTGAATAGAATTGAATGGAATCATTGAACGGCCTCGAATGGAATAATTATGAAATGAAATCGAATGGAATCACCGAATAGAATCGAATGGAACAATCATCGAATGCACTCAAATGGAATTATCCTCAAATGGAATCGAATGGAATTATCGAAAGCAATCGAATAGAATCATCGAATGGACTCGAATGGAATCATCGAATGGAATGGAATGGAAGAGTCAATGAACTCGAATGGAATCATCATTGAATGGAATCGAATGGAATCATCGAGTGGAATCGAATGGAATCATGATCAAATGGAATCGAATGTAATCATCATCAAATGGAATCCAAAATCACCATCATCAATTGGTACTGAATGGAATTGTCATCAAATGGAATTCAAAGGAATCATCATCAAATGGAACCGAATGGAATCCTCATTGAATGGAAATGAAAGGAGTCATCATCTAATGGAATCGCATGGAATCATCATCAAATGGAATCGAATGGAATCATCATCAAATGGAATCGAATGGAATCATTGAACGGAATTGAATCGAATCGTCATCGAATGAATTGAATGCAATCATCGAATGGTCTCGAATGGAATCATCTTCAAATGGAAAGGAATGGAATCATCGCATAGAATCGAATGGAAGTATCATCGAATGGACCCGAATGGAATCAACATCAAACGGAATCAAACGGAATTATCGAATGGAATCGAAGAGAATCATCGAATGGCCACGAATGGAATCATCTAATGGAATGGAATGGAATAATCCATGGACCCGAATGCAATCATCATCGAATAGAATCGAATGGAATCATCGAATGGACACGAATGGAATAATCATTGAACGGAATCGAATGGAATCATCGTCGAATGGAAACGCATGGAATCATCATCGAATGGAAATGAAAGGAGTCATCATCTAATGAAATCGCACGGAATCATCATCAAATGGAATCGAATGGAATCATCATCAAATGGAATCTAATGGAATCATTGAACCGAATTGCATGGAATCGTCATCGAATGAATTGAATGCAATCATCGAATGGTCTCGAATGGAATCATCTTCAAATGGAATGGAATGGAATCATCGCATAGAATCGAATGGAATTATCATCGAATGGACTCAAATGGAATCAACATCAAACGGAATCAAACGGAATTATCGAATGGAATCGAAGAGAATCATCGAATGGACTCGAATGGAATCATCTAATGAAATAGAATGGAATAATCCATGGACTCGAATGCAATCATCATCAAATGGAATCGAATGGAATCGTCGAATGGACTCGAGTGGAATAAACATTCAACGGAATCGAATGGAATCGTCACCGGATGGAAACGAATGGAATCATCATCGAATGGAATCGAATGGAATCATCAAATGGAATCAGATGGAATCATCATCAAATGGAATCAAATAGAATTATGGAATGAAATCCAATGTGATCATCATCGAATGGACTCAAACGGAATCATCATCCAATGGAAACTAATGGAATCAACATCGAATGGAATCGAATGGAAACGCCATCGAATTGAATCGAATGGAATTATCATGAAATTGAAATGGATGGACTCATCATCGAATGGATTCGAATGGAATCACCGAATGAAATTGATAGAAATCATCATCAAATGGAATCGAATGGAATCATTGAATGGAATCGAATGGAATCATCATCAGATGGAAATGAATGGAATCATCATTGAATGGAATCGAATGGACTCTTTAAATGGAATCTGATGGAATCATCAAATGGTCTTGAATGGAATCATTGAATGGACTCGAATGGAATCTTTATTGAATGGAATTGAATGGAATCATCGAATGGTCTCGAATGGAATCATTATCAAATGGAATCGAATGGAATCACCGAAGAGAATCGAATGGAACAATCATCGAATGGACTCAAATGGAATTATCCTCAAATGGAATCAAATGGAATTATCGAATGCAATCGAATGGAATTATCGAATGCAATCGAATAGAATCATCGAATGGACTCGAATGGTATCATCGAATGGAACAGAATGGAATAGTCAATGAACTCGAATGGAATCATCATTGAATGGAATTGAATGGAATCATCGAGTGGAATCGAATGGAATCATGATCAAATGGAATCGAATGTAATCATCATCAAATGGAATCCAAATTAACCATCATCACTTGGTATTGAATGGAATTGTCATCAAATGGAATTCAAAGGAATCATCATGAAATGGAACCGAATGGAATCATCATTGAATGGAAATGAAAGGAGTCATCATCTAATGGAATCGCATGGAATCATCATCAAATGAAATCGAATGGAATCATCATCAAATGGAATCTAATGGAATCATTGAACGGAATTGAATGGAATCGTCATCGAATGAATTGAGTGCAATCATCGAATGGTCTCGAAAGGAATAATCTTCAAATGGAAACGAATGGAATCATCGCATAGAATCGAATGGAATTATCAACGAATGGACTCGAATGGGATCAACATCAAACGGAATTATCGAATGGAATCGAAGAGAATCATCGAATGGCCACGAATGGAATCATCTAATGGAATGGAATGGAATAATCCATGGACCCGAATGCAATCATCATCGAATAGAATCGAATGGAATCATCGAATGGACACGAATGGAATAATCATTGAACGGAATCGAATGGAATCATCGTCGAATGGAAACGCATGGAATCATCATCGAATGGAAATGAAAGGAGTCATCATCTAATGGAATCGCACGGAATCATCATCAAATGGAATCGAATGGAATCATCATCGAATGGAATCTAATGGAATCATTGAACGGAAGTGAATGGAATCGTCATCGAATGAATTGAATGCAATCATCGAATGGTATCGAATGTAACCATCTTCAAATGGAATGGAATGGAATCATCGCATAGAATCGAATGGAATTATCATCGAATGGACTCAAATGGAATCAACATCAAACGGAATCAAACGGAATTATCGAATGGAATCGAAGAGAATCATCGAATGGACTCGAATGGAATCATCTAATGAAATAGAATGGAATAATCCATGGACTCGAATGCAATCATCATCAAATGGAATCGAATGGAATCGTCGAATGGACTCGAGTGGAATAAACATTCAACGGAATCGAATGGAATCGTCACCGGATGGAAACGAATGGAATCATCATCAAATGGAATCGAATGGAATCATCAAATGGAATCAGATGAAATCATCATCAAATGGATTCGAATAGAATTATGGAATGAAATCCAATGTGATCATCATCGAATGGACACGAACGGAATCATCATCCAATGGAAACAAATGGAATCAACATCGAATGGAATCGAATGGAAACGCCATCGAAAGGAAACGAATGGAATTATCATGAAATTGAAATGGATGGACTCATCATCGAATGGATTCGAATGGAATCACCGAATGAAATTGATTGAAATCATCATCAAATGGAATCGAATGGAATCATTGAATGGAATCGAATGGAATCATCCTCAGATGGAAATGAATGGAATCATCACTGAATGGAATCGAATGGATTCATTGAATGGAATCTGATGGAATCATCGAATGGACTTGAATGGAATCATTGAATGGACTCGAATGGAATCTTTATTGAATGGAATTTAATGGAATCATCGAATGGTCTCGAACGGAATCATTATCAAATGGAATCGAATGGAATCACCGAACAGAATCGAATGGAACAATCATCGAATGGACTCAAATGGAATTATCCTCAAATGGAATCGAATGGATTTATCGAATGCAATCGAATGGAATTATCGAAAGCAATCGAATAGAATCATCGAATGGACTCGAATGGAATCATCGAATGGAATGGAATGGAAGAGTCAATGAACTCGAATGGAATCATCATTGAATGGAATCGAATGGAATCATCGAGTGGAATCGAATGGAATCATGATCAAATGGAATCGAATGTAATCATCATCAACTGGAATCCAAAATCAGCATCATCAATTGGTACTGAATGGAATTGTCATCAAATGGAATTCAAAGGAATCATCATCAAATGGAACCGAATGGAATCCTCATTGAATGGAAATGAAAGGAGTCATCATCTAATGGAATCGCATGGAATCATCATCAAATGGAATCGAATGGAATCATCATCAAATGGAATCGAATGGAATCATTGAACGGAATTGAATCGAATCGTCATCGAATGAATTGAATGCAATCATCGAATGGTCTCGAATGGAATCATCTTCAAATGGAATGGAATGGAATCATCGCATAGAATCGAATGGAATTATCATCGAATGGACTCAAATGGAATCAACATCAAACGGAATCAAAAGGAATTATCGAATGGAATCGAAGAGAATCATCGAATGGCCACGAATGGAATCATCTAATGGAATGGAATGGAATAATCCATGGACCCGAATGCAATCATCCTCGAATAGATTCGAATGGAATCATCGAATGGACACGAATGGTATAATCATTGAACGGAATCGAATGGAATCATCGTCGAATGGAAACGCATGGAATCATCATCGAATGGAAATGAAAGGAGTCATCATCAAATGGAATCGCACGGAATCATCATCAAATGGAATCGAATGGAATCATCATCGAATGGAATCTAATGGAATAATTGAACGGAAGTGAATGGAATCGTCATCGAATGAATTGAATGCAATCATCGAATGGTCTCGAATGGAATCATCTTCAAATGGAAAGGAATGGAATCATCGCATAGAATCGAATGGAATTATCAACGAATGGACTCGAATGGAATCAACATCAAACGGAATCAAACGGAATTATCGAATGGAATCGAAGAGAATCATCGAATGGCCACCAATGGAATCATCTAATTGAATGGAATGGAATAATCCATGGACCCGAATGCAATCATCATCGAATAGAATCGAATGGAATCATCGAATGGACACGAATGGAATAATCATTGAATGGAATCGAATGGAATCATCGTCGAATGGAAACGCATGGAATCATCATCGAATGGAAATGAAAGGAGTCATCATCTAATGAAATCGCACGGAATCATCATCAAATGGAATCGAATGGAATCATCATCGAATGGAATCTAATGGAATCATTGAACCGAATTGCATGGAATCGTCATCGAATGAATTGAATGCAATCATCGAATGGTCTCGAATGGAATCATCTTCAAATGGAATGGAATGGAATCATCGCATAGAATCGAATGGAATTATCATCGAATGGACTCAAATGGAATCAACATCAAACGGAATCAAACGGAATTATCGAATGGAATCGAAGAGAATCATCGAATGGACTCGAATGGAATCATCTAATGAAATAGAATGGAATAATCCATGGACTCGAATGCAATCATCATCAAATGGAATCGAATGGAATCGTCGAATGGACTCGAGTGGAATAAACATTCAACGGAATCGAATGGAATCGTCACCGGATGGAAACGAATGGAATCATCATCGAATGGAATCGAATGGAATCATCAAATGGAATCAGATGGAATCATCATCAAATGGAATCAAATAGAATTATGGAATGAAATCCAATGTGATCATCATCGAATGGACTCAAACGGAATCATCATCCAATGGAAACTAATGGAATCAACATCGAATGGAATCGAATGGAAACGCCATCGAATTGAAACGAATGGAATTATCATGAAATTGAAATGGATGGACTCATCATCGAATGGATTCGAATGGAATCACCGAATGAAATTGATAGAAATCATCATCAAATGGAATCGAATGGAATCATTGAATGGAATCGAATGGAATCATCATCAGATGGAAATGAATGGAATCATCATTGAATGGAATCGAATGGACTCTTTGAATGGAATCTGATGGAATCATCAAATGGTCTTGAATGGAATCATTGAATGGACTCGAATGGAATCTTTATTGAATGGAATTGAATGGAATCATCGAATGGTCTCGAATGGAATCATTATCAAATGGAATCGAATGGAATCACCGAAGAGAATCGAATGGAACAATCATCGAATGGACTCAAATGGAATTATCCTCAAATGGAATCAAATGGAATTATCGAATGCAATCGAATGGAATTATCGAATGCAATCGAATAGAATCATCGAATGGACTCGAATGGTATCATCGAATGGAACGGAATGGAATAGTCAATGAACTCGAATGGAATCATCATTGAATGGAATGGAATGGAATCATCGAGTGGAATCGAATGGAATCATGATCAAATGGAATCGAATGTAATCATCATCAAATGGAATCCAAATTAACCATCATCACTTGGTATTGAATGGAACTGTCATCAAATGGAATTCAAAGGAATCATCATGAAATGGAACCGAATGGAATCATCATTGAATGGAAATGAAAGGAGTCATCATCTAATGGAATCGCATGGAATCATCATCAAATGAAATCGAATGGAATCATCATCAAATGGAATCTAATGGAATCATTGAACGGAATTGAATGGAATCGTCATCGAATGAATTGAGTGCAATCATCGAATGGTCTCGAAAGGAATAATCTTCAAATGGAAACGAATGGAATCATCGCATAGAATCGAATGGAATTATCAACGAATGGACTCGAATGGGATCAACATCAAACGGAATTATCGAATGGAATCGAAGAGAATCATCGAATGGCCACGAATGGAATCATCTAATGGAATGGAATGGAATAATCCATGGACCCGAATGCAATCATCATCGAATAGAATCGAATGGAATCATCGAATGGACACGAATGGAATAATCATTGAACGGAATCGAATGGAATCATCGTCGAATGGAAACGCATGGAATCATCATCGAATGGAAATGAAAGGAGTCATCATCTAATGGAATCGCACGGAATCATCATCAAATGGAATCGAATGGAATCATCATCGAATGGAATCTAATGGAATAATTGAACGGAAGTGAATGGAATCGTCATCGAATGAATTGAATGCAATCATCGAATGGTCTCGAATGTAACCATCTTCAAATGGAATGGAATGGAATCATCGCATAGAATCGAATGGAATTATCATCGAATGGACTCAAATGGAATCAACATCAAACGGAATCAAACGGAATTATCGAATGGAATCGAAGAGAATCATCGAATGGACTCGAATGGAATCATCTAATGAAATAGAATGGAATAATCCATGGACTCGAATGCAATCATCATCAAATGGAATCGAATGGAATCGTCGAATGGACTCGAGTGGAATAAACATTCAACGGAATCGAATGGAATCGTCACCGGATGGAAACGAATGGAATCATCATCGAATGGAATGGAATGGAATCATCAAATGGAATCAGATGAAATCATCATCAAATGGATTCGAATAGAATTATGGAATGAAATCCAATGTGATCATCATCGAATGGACTCAAACGGAATCATCATCCAATGGAAACAAATGGAATCAACATCGAATGGAATCGAATGGAAACGCCATCGAAAGGAAACGAATGGAATTATCATGAAATTGAAATGGATGGACTCATCATCGAATGGATTCGAATGGAATCACCGAATGAAATTGATAGAAATCATCATCAAATGGAATCGAATGGAATCATTGAATGGAATCGAATGGAATCATCATCAGATGGAAATGAATGGAATCATCATTGAATGGAATCGAATGGATTCTTTGAATGGAATCTGATGGAATCATCGAATGGTCTTGAATGGAATCATTGAATGGACTCGAATGGAATCTTTATTGAATGGAATTGAATGGAATCATCGAATGGTCACGAATGGAATCATTATCAAATAGAATCGAATGGAATCACCGAATAGAATCGAATGGAACAATCATCGAATGGACTCAAATGGAATTATCCTCAAATGGAATCAAATGGAATTATCGAATGCAATCGAATGGAATTATCGAATGCAATCGAATAGAATCATCGAATGGACTCGAATGGTATCATCGAATGGAACGGAATGGAATAGTCAATGAACTTGAATGGAATCATCATTGAATGGAATTGAATGGAATCATCGAGTGGAATCGAATGGAATCATGATCAAATGGAATCGAATGTAATCATCATCAAATGGAATCCAAATTAACCATCATCACTTGGTATTGAATGGAATTGTCATCAAATGGAATTCAAAGGAATCATCATCAAATGGAACCGAATGGAATCATCATTGAATGGAAATGAAAGGAGTCATCATCTAATGGAATCGCATGGAATCATCATCAAATGGAATCGAATGGAATCATCATCAAATGGAATCTAATGGAATCATTGAACGGAATTGAATGGAATCGTCATCGAATGAATTGAGTGCAATCATCGAATGGTCTCGAAAGGAATAATCTTCAAATGGAAAGGAATGGAATCATCTCATAGAATCGAATGGAATTATCAACGAATGGACTCGAATGGAATCAACATCAAACGGAATTATCGAATGGAATCGAAGAGAATCATCGAATGGCCACGAATGGAATCATCTAATGGAATGGAATGGAATAATCCATGGACCCGAATGCAATCATCATCGAATAGAATCGAATGGAATCATCGAATGGACACGAATGGAATAATCATTGAACGGAATCGAATGGAATCATCGTCGAATGGAAACGCATGGAATCATCATCGAATGGAAATGCAAGGAGTCATCATCTAATGAAATCGCACGGAATCATCATCAAATGGAATCAAATGGAATCATCATCGAATGGAATCTAATGGAATCATTGAACGGAATTGCATGGAATCGTCATCGAATGAATTGAATGCAATCATCGAATGGTCTCGAATGTAACCATCTTCAAATGGAATGGAATGGAATCATCGCATAGAATCGAATGGAATTATCATCGAATGGACTCAAATGGAATCAACATCAAACGGAATCAAACGGAATTATCGAATGGAATCGAAGAGAATCATCGAATGGACTCGAATGGAATCATCTAATGAAATAGAATGGAATAATCCATGGACTCGAATGCAATCATCATCAAATGGAATCGAATGGAATCGTCGAATGGACTCGAGTGGAATAAACATTGAAGGGAATCGAATGGAATCGTCACTGGATGGAAACGAATGGAATCATCATCGAATGGAATCGAATGGAATCATCAAATGGAATCAGATGAAATCATCATCAAATGGATTCGAATAGAATTATGGAATGAAATCCAATGTGATCATCATCGAATGGACACGAACGGAATCATCATCCAATGGAAACAAATGGAATCAACATCGAATGGAATCGAATGGAAACGCCATCGGAAGGAAACGAATGGAATTATCATGAAATTGAAATGGATGGACTCATCATCGAATGGATTCGAATGGAATCACCGAATGAAATTGATAGAAATCATCATCAAATGGAATCGAATGGAATCATTGAATGGAATCGAATGGAATCATCATCAGATGGAAATGAATGGAATCATCACTGAATGGAATCGAATGGATTCATTGAATGGAATCTGATGGAATCATCGAATGGACTTGAATGGAATCATTGAATGGACTCGAATGGAATCTTTATTGAATGGAATTGAATGGAATCATCGAATGGTCTCGAATGGAATCATTATCAAATGGAATCGAATGGAATCACCGAATAGAATCGAATGGAACAATCATCGAATGGACTCAAATGGAATTATCCTCAAATGGAATCGAATGGATTTATCGAATGCAATCGAATGGAATTATCGAAAGCAATCGAATAGAATCATCGAATGGACTCGAATGGAATCATCGAATGGAATGGAATGGAAGAGTCAATGAACACGAATGGAATCATCATTGAATGGAATCGAATGGAATCATCGAGTGGAATCGAATGGAATCATGATCAAATGGAATCAAATGTAATCATCATCAAATGGAATCCAAAATCACCATCATCAACTGCTACTGAATGCAATTGTCATCAAATGGAATTCAAAGGAATCATCATCAAATGGAACCGAATGGAATCCTCATTGAATGGAAATGAAAGGAGTCATCATCTAATGGAATCGCATGGAATCATCATCAAATGGAATCGAATGGAATCATCATCAAATGGAATCGAATGGAGTCATTGAACGGAATTGAATCGAGTCGTCATCGAATGAATTGAATGCAATCATCGAATGGTCTCGAATGGAATCATCTTCAAATGGAAAGGAATGGAATCATCGCATAGAATCGAATGTAATTATCATCGAATGGACTCGAATGGAATAAACATCAAACGGAATCAAACGGAATTATCGAATGGAATCGAAGAGAATCATCGAATGGACTCGAATGGAATCATCTAATGGAATGGAATGGAATAATCCATGGACCTGAATGCAATCATCATCGAATAGAATCGAATGCAATCATCGAATGGACTCGAATGGAATAATCATTGAACGAAATCGAATGGAATCATCGTCGAATGGAAACGAATGGAATCATCATCGAATGGAAATGAAAGGAGTCATCATCTAATGGAATCGCATGGAATCATCATCAAATGGAATCAAATGGAATCATCATCGCATGGAATCTAATGGAATCATTGAACGGAATTGCATGGAATCGTCATCGAATGAATGGAATGCAATCATCGAATGGTCTCGAATGGAATCATCTTCAAATGGAATGGAATGGAATCATCGAATAGAATCGAATGGAATTATCATCGAATGGACTCAAATGGAATCAACATCAAACGGAATCAAACGGAATTATCGAATGGAATCGAAGAGAATCATCGAATGGACTCGAATGGAATCATCTAATGAAATAGAATGGAATAATCCATGGACTCGAATGCAATCATCATCAAATGGAATCGAATGGAATCGTCGAATGGACTCGAGTGGAATAAACATTCAACGGAATCGAATAGAATCGTCACCGGATGGAAACGAATGGAATCATCATCGAATGGAATCGAATGGAATCATCAAATGGAATCAGATGGAATCATCATCAAATGGAATCAAATAGAATTATGGAATGAAATCCAATGTGATCATCATCGAATGGACTCAAACGGAATCATCATCCAATGGAAACTAATGGAATCAACATCGAATGGAATCGAATGGAAACGCCATCGAATTGAAACGAATGGAATTATCATGAAATTGAAATGGATGGACTCATCATCGAATGGATTCGAATGGAATCACCGAATGAAATTGATAGAAATCATCATCAAATGGAATCGAATGGAATCAATGAATGGAATCGAATGGAATCATCATCAGATGGAAATGAATGGAATCATCATTGAATGGAATCGAATGGATTCTTTGAATGGAATCTGATGGAATCATCGAATGGTCTTGAATGGAATCATTGAATGGACTCGAATGGAATCTTTATTGAATGGAATTGAATGGAATCATCGAATGGTCACGAATGGAATCATTATCAAATGGAATCGAATGGAATCACCGAATAGAATCGAATGGAACAATCATCGAATGGACTCAAATGGAATTATCCTCAAATGGAATCAAATGGAATTATCGAATGCAATCGAATGGAATTATCGAATGCAATCGAATAGAATCATCGAATGGACTCGAATGGTATCATCGAATGGAACGGAATGGAATAGTCAATGAACTCGAATGGAATCATCATTGAATGGAATTGAATGGAATCATCGAGTGGAATCGAATGGAATCATGATCAAATGGAATCGAATGTAATCATCATCAAATGGAATCCAAATTAACCATCATCACTTGGTATTGAATGGAATTGTCATCAAATGGAATTCAAAGGAATCATCATGAAATGGAACCGAGTGGAATCATCATTGAATGGAAATGAAAGGAGTCATCATCTAATGGAATCGCATGGAATCATCATCAAATGGAATCGAATGGAATCATCATCAAATGGAATCGAATGGAATCATTGAACGGAATTGAATCGAATCGTCATCGAATGAATTGAGTGCAATCATCGAATGGTCTCGAAAGGAATAATCTTCAAATGGAAAGGAATGGAATCATCTCACAGAATCGAATAGAATTATCAACGAATGGACTCGAATGGAATCAACATCAAACGGAATTATCGAATGGAATCGAAGAGAATCATCGAATGGCCACGAATGGAATCATCTAATGGAATGGAATGGAATAATCCATGGACCCGAATGCAATCATCATCGAATAGAATCGAATGGAATCATCGAATGGACACGAATGGAATAATCATTGAACGGAATCGAATGGAATCATCGTCGAATGGAAACGCATGGAATCATCATCGAATGGAAATGAAAGGAGTCATCATCTAATGGAATCGCACGGAATCATCATCAAATGGAATCGAATGGAATCATCATCGAATGGAATCTAATGGAATAATTGAACGGAAGTGAATGGAATCGTCATCGAATGAATTGAATGCAATCATCGAATGGTCTCGAATGTAACCATCTTCAAATGGAATGGAATGGAATCATCGCATAGAATCGAATGGAATTATCATCGAATGGACTCAAATGGAATCAACATCAAACGGAATCAAACGGAATTATCGAATGGAATCGAAGAGAATCATCGAATGGACTCGAATGGAATCATCTAATGAAATAGAATGGAATAATCCATGGACTCGAATGCAATCATCATCAAATGGAATCGAATGGAATAGTCGAATGGACTCGAATGGAATAAACATTGAACGGAATCGAATGGAATCGTCAACGGATGGAAACGAATGGGATCATCATCGAATGGAATCGAATGGAATCATCAAATGGAATCAGATGGAATCATCATCAAATGGAATCGAATAGAATTATGCAATGAAATCTAATGTGATCATCATCGAATGGACTCGAACGGAATCATCATCCAATGGAAACTAATGGAATCAACATCAAATGGAATCGAATGGAAACACCATCGAATTGAAACGAATGGAATTATCATGAAATTGAAATGGATGGACTCATCATCGAATGGATTTGAATGGAATCACCGAATGAAATTGATTGAAATCATCATCGAATGGAATCATTGAATGGAATCGAATGGAATCATCATCAGATGGAAATGAACGTTATCATCATAGAATGGAATCAAACGAATTCATTGAATGGAATCAGATGGAATCATCGAATGGACATGAATGGAATCATTGAATGGACTCGAATGGAATCATTATTGAATAGAATTGAATGGAATCATTGAACGGCCTCGAATGGAATAATTATGAAATGAAATCGAATGGAATCACCGAATAGAATCGAATGGAACAATCATCGAATGCACTCAAATGGAATTATCCTCAAATGGAATCGAATGGAATTATCGAATGCAATCGAATAGAATCATCGAATGGACTCGAATGGTATCATCGAATGGAACGGAATGGAATAGTCAATGAACTCGAATGGAATCATCATTGAATGGAATCCAATGGAATCATCGAGTGGAATCGAATGGAATCATGATCAAATGCAATCGAATGTAATCATCATCAAATGGAATCCAAATTAACCATCATCACTTGGTATTGAATGGAATTGTCATCAAATGGAATTCAAAGGAATCATCATGAAGTGGAACCGAATGGAATCATCATTGAATGGAAATGAAAGGAGTCATCATCTAATGGAATCGCATGGAATCATCATCAAATGGAATCGAATGGAATCATCATCAAATGGAATCTAATGGAATCATTGAACGGAATTGAATGGAATCGTCATCGAATGAATTGAGTGCAATCATCGAATGGTCTCGAATGGAATCATCTTCAAATGGAAAGGAATGGAATCATCGCACAGAATCGAATGGAATTATCAACGAATGGACTCGAATGGAATCAACATCAAACGGAATCAAACGGAATTATCGAATGGAATCGAAGAGAATCATCGAATGGCCACGAATGGAATCATCTAATGGAATGGAATGGAATAATCCATGGACACGAATGCAATCATCATCGAATAGGATCGAATGGAATCATCGAATGGACACGAATGGAATAATCATTGAACGGAATCGAATGGAATCATCGTCGAATGGAAACGCATGGAATCATCATCGAATGGAAATGAAAGGAGTCATCATCTAATGGAATAGCACGGAATCATCATCAAATGGAATCGAATGGAATCATCATCGAATGGAATCTAATGGAATAATTGAACGGAAGTGAATGGAATCGTCATCGAATGAATTGAATGCAATCATCGAATGGTCTCGAATGGAATGATCTTCAAATGGAATGGAATGGAATCATCGTATAGAACCGAATGGAATTATCATCGAATGGACTCAAATGGAATCAACATCAAACGGAATCATACGGAATTATCGAATGGAATCAAAGAGAATCATCGAATGGACTCGAATGGAATCACCGAATAAAATAGAATGGAATAATCCATGGACTCGAATGCAATCATC
Organism: Homo sapiens; assembly: GCF_000001405.40. Lineage (NCBI taxonomy): Eukaryota > Metazoa > Chordata > Mammalia > Primates > Hominidae > Homo > Homo sapiens. Next base: position 42,084,664 of record NC_000010.11, read on the forward strand.
ATAAAATGCAATCGAATGGAATCGTCGATTGGACTCGAGTGGAATAAACATTGAAGGGAATCGAATGGAATCGTCACCGGATGGAAACGAATGGAATCATCATCGAATGGAATCGAATGGAATCATCAAATGGAATCAGATGGAATCATCATCAAATGGAATCGAATAGAATTATGGAATGAAATGCAATGTGATCATCATCGAAAGGACTCGAATGGAATCATCATCCAATGGAAACTACTGGAATCAACATCGAATGGAATCGAATGGAAACGCCATCGAATTGAAACGAATGGAATTATCATGAAATTGAAATGGATAGACCCATCATCGAATGGATTCGAATGGAATCACCGAATGAAATTGATAGAAATCATCATCAAATGGAATCGAATGGAATCATTGCATGGAATCGAATGGAATCATCATCAGATGGAAATGAATGGAATCATCATTGAATGGAATCGAATGGATACATTGAATGGAATCTGATGGAATTATCGAATGGACTTGAATGGAATCATTGAATGGACTCGAATGGAATCTTTATTGAATGGAATTGAATGGAATCATCGAATGGTCTCGAACGGAATAATTATCAAATGGAATCGAATGGAATCACCGAATAGAATCGAATGGAACAATCATCGAATGGACTCAAATGGAATTATCCTCAAATGGAATCGAATGGAATTATCGAATGCAATCGAATGGAATTATCGAATGCAATCGAATAGAATCATCGAATGAACTTGAATGGAATCATCGAATGGAATGGAATGGAAGAGTCAATGAACTCGAATGGAATCATCATTGAATGGAATCGAATGGAATCATCGAGTGGAATCGAATGGAATCATGATCAAATGGAATCGAATGTAATCATCATCAAATGGAATCCAAAATCACCATCATCAATTGGTATGGAATGGAATTGTCATCAAATGGAATTCAAAGGAATCATCATCAAATGGAACCGAATGGAATCCTCATTGAATGGAAATGAAAGGAGTCATCATCTAATGGAAACGCATGGAATCATCATCAAATGGAATCGAATGGAATCATCATCAAATGGAATCGAATGGAATCATTGAACGGAATTGAATCGAATCGTCATCGAATGAATTGAATGCAATCATCGAATGGTCTCGAATGGAATCATCTTCAAATGGAAAGGAATGGAATCATCTCATAGAATCGAATGGAATTATCATCGAATGGACTCGAATGGAATCAACATCAAACGGAATCAAACGGAATTATCAAATGGAATCGAAGGGAATCATCGAATGGCCACGAATGGAATCATCTAATGGAATGGAATGGAATAATCCATGGAGCCGAATGCAATCATCATCGAATAGAATCGACTGGAATCATCGAATGGACACGAATGGAATAATCATTGAACGGAATCGAATGGAATCATCGTCGAATGGAAACGCATGGAATCATCATCGAATGGAAATGAAAGGAGTCATCATCTAATGGAATAGCACGGAATCATCATCAAATGGAATCAAATGGAATCATCATCGAATGGAATCTAATGGAATAATTGAACGGAAGTGAATGGAATCGTCATCGAATGAATTGAATGCAATCATCGAATGTTCTCGAATGGAATCATCTTCAAATGGAATGGAATGGAATCATCGCATAGAATCGAATGGAATTATCATCGAATGGACTCAAATGGAATCAACATCAAACGGAATCAAACGGAATTATCGAATGGAATCGAAGAGAATCATCGAATGGACTCGAATGGAATCATCTAATGAAATAGAATGGAATAATCCATGGACTCGAATGCAATCATCATCAAATGGAATCGAATGGAATCGTCGAATGGACTCGAGTGGAATAAACATTCAACGGAATCGAATGGAATCGTCACCGGATGGAAACGAATGGAATCATCATCGAATGGAATCGAATGGAATCATCAAATGGAATCAGATGGAATCATCATCAAATGGAATCGAATAGAATTATGGAATGAAATCCAATGTGATCATCATCGAATGGACTCGAACGGAATCATCATCCAATGGAAACTAATGGAATCAACATCGAATGGAATGGAATGGAAACGCCATCGAATTGCAACGAATGGAATTATCATGAAATTGAAATGGATGGACTCATCATCGAATGGATTCGAATGGAATCACCGAATGAAATTGATAGAAATCATCATCAAATGGAATCGAATGGAATCATTGAATGGAATCGGATGGAATCATCATCAGGTGGAAATGAATGGAATCATCATTGAATGGAATCGAACGGATTCATTGAATGGAATCTGATGGAATCTTCGAATGGACTTGAAGGGAATCATTGAATGGACTCGAATGGAATCATTACTGAATGGAATTGAATGGAATCATCGAATGGTCTCGAATGCAATCATTATCAAACGGAATCGAATGGAACCACCGAATAGAATCAAATGGAACAATCATTGTATGGACTCAAATGGAATTTTCCTCAAATGGAATCGAATGGAATTATCGAATGCAATCGATTGGAATTATCGAATGCAATCGAATAGAATCATCGAATGGACTCGAATGGAATCATCGAATGGAAGGGAATGGAATAGTCAATGAACTCGAATGGAATCATCATTGAATGGAATCGAATGGAATCATCGAGTGGAATAGAATGGATTCATGATCAAATGGAATCGAATGGAATCATCATTGAATGGAATCGAATGGAATCATCGAGTGGAATCGAATGGAATAATGATCAAATGGAATCGAGTGTAATCATCATCAAATGGAATCAAAAATAACCATCATCAATGGGTATTGAATGGAATTGTCATCAAATGGAATTCAAAGGAATTATCATCAAATGGAACCGAATGGAATCCTCATTGAATGGAAATGAAAGGAGTCATCATCTAATGGAATGGCATGTTATCATCATCACATGGAATCGAATGGAATCATCATCAAATGGAATCTAATGGAATCATTGAACGGAATTGAATGGAATCGTCATCGAATGAATTGAATGCAATCATCGAATGTTCTCGAATGGAATCATCTTCAAATGGAAAGGAATGGAATCATCGCCTAGAAGAGAATGGAATTGTCATTGAATGGACTCGAATGGAATCAACATCAAACGGAATCAAACGGAATTGTCGAATGGAATCGAAGAGAATCATCGAATGGCCACGAATGGAATCATCTAATGGAATGGAATGGATTAATCCACGGACCCGAATGCAATCATCATCAAATAGAATCGAATGGAATCATCGAATGGACTCGAATGCAATAATCATTGAACGGAATCGAATGGAATCATCGTCGTATGGAAACGAATGGAATCATCATCGAATGGAAATGAAAGGAGTCATCATCTAATGGAATCGCATGGAATCATCATCAAATGGAATCGAATGGAATCATCATCGAATGGAATCTAATGGAATCATTGAACGGAATTGAATGGAATCGTCATCGAATGAATCGAATGGATTCATCAAATGAAATCAGATGGAATCATCATCAAATGGAATCGAATAGAATTATGAATTTCATAATTCTATCAATAGAATAGAATTTCATCCAATGAAATCCAATGTGATCATCATTGAATGGACTCGAACGGAATCATCATCCAATGGAAACTAATGGAATCAACATCGAATGGAATAGAGTGGAAACACCATCGAATTGAAACGATTGGAATTATCATGAAATTGAAATGGATGCACTCATCATCGAATGGATTTGAATGGAATCATCGAATGAAATTGATTGAAATCATCATCAAATGGAATCAAATGGAATCATTGAATGGAATGGAATGGAATCATCATCAGATGGAAATGAATGGAATCATCATAGAATGCAATCGAATGGATTCATTGAATGGAATCAGATGGAATCATCAAATGGACTTGAATGGAATCATTGAATGGACTCGAATAGAATCATTATTGAATGGAATTGAATGGAATCATCGAATGGTCTAGAATAGAATCATTATCAGATGGAATCGAATGGAATCACCAAATAGAATCGAAAGGAACAATCATCGAATGGACTCAAATGGAATTATCTTCAAATGGAATCGAATGGAATTCTCGAATGCAATCGAATGGAATTATCGAATGCAATCGAATACAATCATTGAATGGACTCGAATGGAATCGTGGAATGGAATGGAGTGGAATAGTCAACGAACTCGAATGGAATCCTCATTGAATGGAATCGAATGGAATCATCGAGTGGAATCGAATGGAATCATGATCAAATGGAATCGAATGTAATCACCATAAAATAGAATCCAAAATAACCATCTTCAATTGGTATTGAATGGAATTGTCATCAAATGGAATTCAAAGGAAACATCATCAAATGGAACCAAATAGAATCCTCATTGAATGGAAATGAAAGGAGTCATCATCTAATGGAATCGCATAGAATCATCATCAAATGGAATCGAATGGAATCATTGAATGGAATCGAATGGAATCATCATCAGATGGAAATGAATGGAATCATCATAGAATGGAATCGAATGGATTCATTGAATGGAATCAGATGGAATCATCAAATGGACTTGAATGGAATCATTGAATGGACTCGAATGGAATCATTATCAAATGGAATCGAATGGAATCACCGAATAGAATCGAATGGAACAATCATCGAATGGACTCAAATGGAATTATCCTCAAATGTTATCGAATGGAATTATCGAATGCAATCGAATAGAATCATCAAATGGACTCGAATGGAATCATGGAATGGAATGGAATGGAATAGTCAATGAACTCGAATGGAATCATCATTGAATGGAATCGAATGGAATCATCGAGTGGAATCGAATGGAATCATGATCAAATGGAATCGAATGTAATCATCATCAAATGGAATCAAAATAACCATCATCAATTGATATTGAATGGAATTGTCATCTAATGGAATTCCAAGGAATCATCATCAAATGGAACCGAATGGAATCCTCATTAAATGGAAATGAAAGGAATCATCATCTAATGGAATCGCATGGAATCATCATCACATGGAATCGAATGGAATCATCATCAAATGGAATCTAATGGAGTCTTTGAACGGAATTGAATGGAATCGTCAACGAATGAATTGAATGCAAACATCGAATGGTCTCGAATGGAATCATCTTCAAACTGAAAGCAATGGAATCATCGCATAGAATCGAATGGAATTGTCTTTGAATGGACTCGAATGGAATCAACATCAAACGGAATCACACGGTATTATCGAATGGAATCGAAGAGAATCATCGAATGGCCACGAACGGAATCATCTAATGAAATGGAATGGAATAATCCACGGACCCGAATGCAATCATCATCAAATAGAATCGAATGCAATCGTCGAATTGACTCGAATGGAATAAACACTGAACGGAATTGAATGGAATCAACGTCGAATGGAATTGAATGGAATCATCATGGAATGGAAATGAAAGAGTCATCATCTAATGGAATAGCATGGAATCATCAATAAATGGAATCGAAAGGAAACATCATCGAATGGAATCTAATGGAATCATTGAACGGAATTGAATGGACTTGTTATCGAATGATTTGAATGCAATCATCGAATGGTCTCGAATGGAATCATCTTCAATTGGAATGGAATGGAATCATCCCATAGAATCGAATGGAATTATCTTCGAATGGACTCAAATGGAATCAACATCAAACGGAATCAAACGGAATTATCAAATGGAATCGAAGATAATCATCGAATGGACTCGAATGGAATCATCTAATGAAATAGAATGGAATAATCCATGGACTCGAATGCAATAACCATGAAATGGAATCGAATGGAATCGTCGAATGGACTCGAATGGAATAATCATTGAACGGAATAGAATGGAAGCATCACCGGATGGAAACGAATGGAATCATCATCGAATGGAATCATCAAATGGAATCAGATGGAATCATCATCAAATGGAATCGAATAGAATTATGGAATGAAATCCAATGTGATCATCATTGAATGGTCTCGAACGGAATCATCATCCAATGGAAACTAATGGAATCAACATCGAATGGAATCGAATGGAAACACCATCGAATTGAAACGAATGGAATTATCATGAAATTGAAATGGATGGACTCATCATCGAATGGATTCGAATGGAATCATCGAATGAAATTGATTGAAATCATCATCAAAAGGAATCGAATGGAATCATTGAATGGAATCGAATGGAATCATCATCACATGGAAATGAATGGAATCATCATAGAATGGAATCGAATGGATTCACTGAATGGAATCAGATGGAATCATCAAACGGACTTGAATGGAATCATTGAACGGACTCGAATGGAATCATTATTAAATGGAATTGAACGAAATCATCGAATGGTCTCGAAAGGAATCATTATCGAATGGAATCACCGAATAGAAACGAATGGAACAATCATTGAATGGACTCAAATGGAATTATCCTCAAATGGAATCGAATGGAATTATCGAATGCAATCGATGGGAATTATCGAATGCAATCGAATAGAATCATCGAATGGACTCGAATGGAATCATCGAAAGGAATGGAATGGAATAGTCAATGAACTCGAATGGAATAATCATTGAATGGAATCGAATGTAATCATCGAGTGGAATCGAATGGAATCATGATCAAATGGAATCGAATGTAATCATCATCAAATGGAATCAAAAATAACCATCATCAATTGGTATTGAATGGAATTGTCATCAAATGGAATTCAATGAATCATCATCAAAGGGAACCGAATGGAATCCTCATTGAATGGAAATGAAAGGAGTCATCATCTAATGGAATCGCATGGAATCATCATCAAATGGAATCGAATGGAATCATCATCAAATGGAATCGAATGGAATCATTTCACGGAATTGAATGGAATCGTCATCGAATGAATTGATTGCAATCATCGAAGGGACTCGAATGGAATCATCTTCAAATGGAAAGGAATGGAATCATCGCATAGAATCGAATGGAATTATCATCGAATGGACTCGAATGGAATCAAAATCAAACGGAATCAAATGGAATTATCGAACGGAATCGAAGAGAATCATCGAATGGCCACGAATGGAATCATCTAATGGAATGGAATGGAATAATCCATGGACCCGAATGCAATCATCATCGAATAGAATCGAATGGAATCATCGAATGGATTCGAATGGAATAATCATTGAACGAAACCGAATGGAATCATCGTCGAATGGAAACGAATGGAATCATCATCGAATGGAAATGAAAGGAGTCATCATCTAATGGAATCGCATGGAATCATCATCAAATGGAATCGAATGGAATGATCATCAAATGAAATCTAATGGAATCACCGAACGGAATTGAATGGAATGGTCATCGAATGAATTGAATGCAACCATCGAATGGTCTCGAATGGAATCATCTTCAAATGGAAAGGAATGGAATCATCGCATAGAATCGAATGGAATTATCATTGAATGTACTCGAATGGAATCAACATCAAACGGAATCAAACGGAATTATCGAATGGAATCGAAGAGAATCATCGAATGGCCACGAATGGAATCATCTAATGGAATGGAATGGATGAATCCACGGACCCGAAGGCAATCATCATCGAATAGAATCGAATGGAATCATCGAATGGACTCGAATGGAATAATCATTGAACGGAACCGAATGGAATCATCGTCGAATGGAAACCAATGGAATCATCATCGAATGGAAATGAAACGAGTCATCATCTAATGGAATGGCATGGAATCCTCAAATGGAATCGAATGGAATCATCATCGAATGGAATCTAATGGAATCATTGAACGGCATTGAATGGAATCGTCATCGAATGAATTGAATGCAATCATCGAATGGTCTCGAATGGAATCATCTTCAAATGGAATGGAATGGAATCATCGCATAGAATCGGATGGAATTATCATCGAATGGACTCAAATGGAATCAACATCAAACGGAATCAAACGGAATTATCGAATGGAATCGAAGAGAATCATCGAATGGACTCGAATGGAATCATCTAATGAAATAGAATGGAAAAATCCATGGAATCGAATGCAATCATCATCAAATGGAATCGAATGGAATCGTCGAATGGACTCGAATGGAATAAACATTTAACGGAATCGAATGGAATCATCACCGGATGGAAACGAATGGAATCATCATCGAATGGAATCGAATGGAATCATCAAATGGAATCAGATGGAATCATCATCAAATGACATCGAATAGCATTATGGAATGAAATCAAATGTGATCATCATCGAATGGACTCGAACGGAATCATCATCCAATGGAAACTAATGGAATGAACATCGAATGGAATCGAATGGAAACACCATCGAATGTAAACGAATGGAATTATCATGAAATTGAAATGGATGGACTCATCATCGAATGGATTCGAATGGAGTCATCGAATGAAATTGATTGAAATCATCGTCAAATGGAATCGGATGGAATCATTGAATGGAATCGAATGGAATAATCATCAGATGGAAATGAATGGAATCATCACAGAATGGATCGAATGGATTCATTGAATGGAATCACATGGAATCTTCGAATGGACTTGAATGGAATCATTGAATGGACACGAATGGAATCATTATTGCATGGAATTGAATGGAATCATCGAATGGTCTCGAATGGAATCATTATCAAATGGAATCGAATGGAATCACGAATAGAATCGAATGGAACAATCATCGAATGGACTCAAATTGAATTATCCTCAAATGGAATCGAATGGAATTATCAAATGCAATCGAATGGAATTATGGAATGCAATTGAATAGACTCATCGAATGGACTCGAGTGGAATCATCGAATTTAATGGAATGGAATAGTCAAGGAACTCGAGTGGAATCATCATTTAATGGAATCGAATGGAATCATCGAGTAGAATCGAATGGAATTATGATCAAATGGAATCGAACGGAATCATCATTGAATGAAAACGAATGGAATCATCGAGTGGAATCGAATGGAATCATGATCAAATGGAATCAAATGTAATCATCATCCAATGGAATCAAAAATAACCATCATCTATTGGTATTGAATGCAAATGTCATCAAATGGAATTCAAAGGAATCATCATCAAATGGAACCGAATGGAATCCTCATTGAATGGAAATGAAAGGAGTCATCATCTAATGGAATGGCATGGAATCATCATCAAATGGAATCGAATGGAATCATCATCAAGTGGCATCTAATGGAATCCTTGAACGGAATTGAATGGAATCGTCATCGAAAGAATTGAATGCAATCATCGAATGGTCTCGAATGGAATCATCTTCAAATGGAAAGGAATGGAATCATCGCATAGAATCGAATGGAATTATCATTGAATGGACTCGAATGGAATCAACATCAAACGGAATCAAACGGAATTATCTAATGGAATCGAAGAGAATCATCGAATTGCCACGAATGCAATCATCTAAAGTTATGGAATGGAATAATCCATGGACCCGAATGCAATCATCATCGAATAGATTCGAATGGAATCATCGAATGGACTCGAATGGAATAATCATTGAAAGGAATCGAATGGAATCATCGTCGAATGGAAACCAATGGAATCATCATCGAATGGAAATGAAGGGAGTCATCATCTAATGGAATCACATGGAATCATCACCAAATGGAATCGAATGGAATCATCATCGAATGGAATCTAATGGAATCATTGAACGGCATTGAATGGAATCGTCATCGAATGAATTGAATGCAATCATCGAATGGTCTCGAATGGAATCATCTTCAAATGGAATGGAATGGAATCATCGCATAGAATCGAATGGAATTATCATCGAATGACCTCAAATGGAATCAACATCAAATGGAATCAAACGGAATTATCGAATGGAATCGAAGAGTATCATCGAATGGACTCGAATGGAATCATCTAATGAAATAGAACGGAAAAATCCATGGAATCGAATGCAATCATCATCAAATGGAATCGAATGGAATCGTCGAATGGCCTCGAATGGAATAAACATTGAACGGAACCGAATGGAATCATCACCGGATGGAATCGAATGGAATCTTCATCGAATGGAATCGAATGTAATCATCAAACGGAATCAGATGGAATCATCATCAAATGGAATCGAATAGAATTATGGAATGAAATCCAATGTGATCATCATCGAATGGACTCGAACGGAATCATCATCCAATGGAAACTAATGGAATCAACATCGAATGGAATCGAATGGAAACACAATCGAATGGAAACGAATGGAACTATCATGAAATTGAAATGGATGGACTCATCATCGAATGGATTCGAATGGAATCATCGAATGAAATTGATTGAAATCATCGTCAAATGGAATCGGATGGAATCATTGAATGGAATCGAATGGAATCATCATCATATGGAAATGAATGGAATCATCACAGAATGGATCGAATGGTTTCATTGAATGGAATCAGATGGAATCATCGAATTGACTTGAATGGAATCATTGAATGGACTCGAATGGAATCATTATTGAATGGAATTGAATGGAATCATCGAATGGTCTCGAATGGAATCATTACCAAATTGAATCGAAAGGAATCACCGAATAGAATCAAATGGAACAATCATCGAATAGACTCAAATGGAATTATCCTCAAATGGAATAGAATGGAATTATCAAATGCAATCGAATGGAATTGTCGAATGCAATCGAATAGAATCATCAAATGGACTCGAATGGAATCATCGAATGGAATGGAATGGAATAGTCAATGAACTCGAATGGAATCATCATTGAATGGAATCGAATGGAATCATCGAGTGGAATCGAATGGAATCATCATTGAATGGAATCGAATGGAATCAGCGAGTGGAATCGAATGGAATCATGATCAAATGGAATCGAATGTAATCATCATCAAATGGAATCAAAAATAACCATCATCTATTGGTATTGAATGCAATTGACATCAAATGGAATTCAAAGGAATCATCATCTAATGGAACCGAATGGAATCCTCATTGAATGGAAATGAAAGGAGTCATCATCTAATGGAATGGCATGGAATCCTCAAATGGAATCGAATGGAATCATCATCAAATGGCATTTAATGGAATCCTTGAACGGAATTGAATGGAATCGTCATCGAAAGAATTGAATGCAATCATCGAATGGTCTCGAATGGAATCATCTTCAAATGGAAAGGAAAGGAATCATCACATAGAATCGAATGGAATTATCATTGAATGGACTCGAATGGAATCAACATCAAATGAAATCAAACAGAATAATCAAATTGAATCGAAGTGAATCATCGAATTGCCACGAATGCAATCATCTAATGGTATGGAATGGAATAATCCATGGACCCAAATGCAATCATCATCGAATAGAATCGAATGGAATCATCGAATGGACTCGAATGGAATAATCATTGAACGGAATTGAATGGAATCATCGTCGAATGGAAACCAATGGAATCATCATCAAATGGAAATGAAACGAGTCATCATCTAATGGAATGGCATGGAATCCTCAAATGGAATCGAATGGAATCATCATCGAATGGAATCTAATGGAATCATTGAACGGCATTGAATGGAATCGTCATCGAATGAATTGAATGCAATCATCGAATGGTCTCAAATGGAATCATCTTCAAATGGAATGGAATGGAATCATCGCATAGAATCGAATGGAATTATCATCGAATGGACTCAAATGGAATGAACATCAAACGGAATCAAACGGAATTATCGAATGGAATCGAAGAGAATCATCGAATGGACTCGAATGGAATCATCTAATGAAATAGAATGGAAAAATCCATGGAATCGAATGCAATCATCATCAAATGGAATCGAATGGAATCGTCGAATGGACTCGAATGGAATAAACATTTAAGGGAATCGAATGGAATTATCACTGGATGGAAACGAATGGAATCATCATCCAATGGAATCGAATGGAATCATCAAATGGAATCAGATGGAATCATCATCAAATGGCATCGAATAGCATTATGGAATGAAATCCAATGTGATCATCATCGAATGGACACGAACGGAATCATCATCCAATGGAAACTAATGGAATCAACATCAAATGGAATCGAATGGAAACACCATCGAATGGAAACGAATGGAATTATCATGAAATTGAAATGGATGGACTCATCATCGAATGGATTCGAATGGAGTCATCGAATGAAATTGATTGAAATCATCATCAAATGGAATCGGATGGAATCATTGAATTGAATCGAATGGAATCATCATCAGATGGAAATGAAGGGAATCATCACAGAATGGATCGAATGGATTCATTGAATGGAATCACATGGAATGATCGAATGGACTTGAATGGAATCATTGAATGGACTCGAATGGAATCATTATTGCATGGAATTAAATGGAATCATCCAATGGTCTCGAATAGAATCATTATCAAATGGAATCGAATGGAATCACCAAATAGAATCGAATGGAACAATCATCGAAGGGACTCAAATGGAATTATCCTCAAATGGAATCGAATGGAATTATCGAATGCAATCAAATGGAATTATCGAATGCAATCGAATAGAATCATCGAATGGACTCGAATGGAATCATCGAATGGAATGGAATGGAATAGTCAAGGAACTCGAATGGAATCATCATTGAATGGAATCGAATGGAATCATCGAGTGGAATCGAATGGAATCATGATCAAATGGAATCGAATGGAATCATCATTGAATGGAATCGAATGGAATCATCAAGTGGAATCGAATGGAATCATGATCAAATGGAATCGAATGTAATCATCATCAAATGGAATTAAAAATAACCATCATCTATTGGTATTGAATGCAATTGTCATCAAATGGAATTCAAAGGAATCATCATCAAATGGAACCGAATGGAATCCTCATTGAATGGAAATGAAAGGAGTCATCATCTAATGGAATGGCATGGAATCATCATCAAATGGAATTGAATGGAATTATCATCAAATGGCATCTAATGGAATCCTTAAACGTAATTGAATGGAATCGTCATCGAATGAATTGAATGCAATCATCGAATGGTCTCGAATGGAATCATCTTCAAATGGAAAGGAATGGAATCATTGCATAGAATCGAATGGAATTATCATTGAATGGACTCGAATGGAATCAACATCAAACGGAATCAAACGGAATTATCGAATGGAATAGAAGAGAATCATCGAATTGTCACGAATGCAATCATCTAATGGTATGGAATGGAATAATCCATGGACACGAATGCAATCATCATCGAATAGAATCGAATGGAATCATCGACTGGACTCGAATGGAATAATCATTGAACGGAATCGAATGGAATCATCGTCGAATGGAAACCAATGGAATCATCATCGAATGGAAATGAAAGGAGTCATCATCTAATGGAATCGCATGGAATCATCATCAAATGGAATCGAATGGAGTCTAATGGAATCATTGAACGGCATTGAATGGAATCGTCATCGCATGAATTGAATGCAATCATCGAATGGTCTCGAATGGAATCATCTTCAAATGGAATGGAATGGAATCATCGCATGGAATCGAATCGAATTATCATCGAATGGACTCAAATGGAATGAACATCAAACGGAATCAAACGAAATTATCGAATGGAATCGAAGAGAATCATCGAATGGACTCGAATGGAATCATCTAATGAAATAGAATGGAAAAATCCATGGAATCGAATGCAATCATCATCAAATGGAATCGAATGGAATCGTCAAATGGACTCGAATGGAATAAACATTGAACTGAAGCGAACGGAATCATCACCGGATGGAAACGAATGGAATCATCATCGAATGGAATCGAATGGAATCATCAAATGGAACCCGATGGAATCATCATCAAATGGCATCGAATAGCATTATGGAATGAAATCCAATGTGATCATCATCGAATGGACTCGAACGGAATCATCATCCAATGGAAACTAATGGAATCAACAACGAATGGAATCGAATGGAAACACCATCGAATTGAAACGAATGGAATTATCATGAAATTGAAATAGATGGACTCATCATCGAATGGATTCGAATGGAGTCATCGAAAGAAATTGATTGAAATCATCATCAAATGGAATCGGATGGAATCATTGAATGGAATCGAATGGAATCATCATCAGATGGAAATGAAGGGAATCATCACAGAATGGATCGAATGGATTCATTGAATGGAATCACATGGAATGCTCGAATGGACTTGAATGGATTCCTTGAGTGGACTCGAATGGAATCATTATTGCATGGAATTAAATAGAATCATCCAAAGGTCTCGAATGGAATCATTATCAAATGGAATCAAATGGAATCACCGAATAGAATCGAATGGAACAGTCACCGAAGGGACTGAAATGGAATTATCCTCAAATGGAATTGAATGGAATTATCGAATGCAATCGAATGGAATTATCGAATGCAATCGAATAGAATCATCGAATGGACTCGAATGGAATCATCGAATGGAATGGAATGGAATAGTCAAGGAACTCGAATGGAATCATCATTGAATGGAATCGAATGGAATCATCGAGTGGAATCGAAAGGAATCATGATCAAATGGAATCGAATGGAATCATCATTGAATGGCATCGAATGGAATCATCGAGTGGAATCGAATGGAATCATGATCAAATGGAAATGAATGGAATCATCACAGAATGGATTGAATGGTTTCATTGAATGGAATCACATGGAATCATCGAATGGACTTGATTGGAATCATTGAATGGACTCGAATGGAATCATCATTGCATGGAATTGAATGGAATCATCGAATGGTCTCGAATGGAATCATTACCAAATGGAATCCAATGGAATCACCGAATAGAATCGAATGGATCAATCGTCGATTGGACTCAAATGGAATTATCCTCAAATGGAATAGAATGGAATTATCGAATGCAATTGACTGGAATTATCGAATGCAATCGAATAGAATCATCGAATGGACTCGAATGGAATCATCAAATGGAATGGAATGGAATAGTCAATGAACTCGAATGGAATCATCATTGAATGGAATCGAATGGAATCATCGATTTGAATCGAATGGAATCATGATCAAATGGAATCGAATGTAATCATCATCAAATGGAATCAAAAATAACCATCATCAATTGGTATTGAATGGAATTGTCATCAAATGGAATTCAAAGGAATCATCATCAAATGGAACCGAATGGAATCCTCATTGAATGGAAATGAAAGGAGTCATCATCTAATGGAATGGCATGGAATCATCATCAAATGGAATCTAATGGAATCCTTGTACGGAATTGAATGGAATCGTCATCGAATGAATTGAATGCAATCATCGAATGGTCTCGAATGGAATCATCTTCAAATGGAAAGGAATGGAATCATCGCATAGAATCGAATGGAATTATCATCGAATGGACTCGAATGGAATCAACATGAAACGGAATCAATCGGAATTATCGAATGGAATCGAAGAGAATCATCGAATGGACTCGAATGGAGTCATCTAATGGAATGGAATGGAATAATCCATGGACTCGAATGCAATCATCATCGAATGGAATCGAGTGGAATCATCGAATGGACTCGAATGGAATAATCATTGAACCGAATCGAGTGGAATCATCATCGGATGGAAACGAATTGAGTCATCATTGAATGGAATCGAATGGAATCATCAATTGGAATCAGATGGAATCATCATCAAATGGAATCGAGTAGAATTATGGAATGAAATCTAATGTGATCATCATCGAATGGACTCGAATGGAGTCATCATCCAATGGAAACTAATGGAATCAACATCGAATTGAAACGAAAGGGAACACCATCGAATTGAAACGAATGGAATTATCATTAAATTGAAATGGATGGACTCATCATCGCATCATCGAATGGATTTGAATGGAGTCATCGAATGAAATTGATTGAAATCATCATCAAATGGAATCGAATGGAATCATTGAATGGAATCGAATGGAATCCTCATCAGATGGAAATGAGTGGAATCATCATAGAATGGAATCGAATGGATTCATTGAATGGAATCAGATGGAATCATCGAATGGACTTCAATGGAATCATTGAATGGACTCGAATGGAATCATTATTGAATGGAATTGAATTGAATCATCGAATGGTCTCGAATGGAATCATTATCAAATGGAATCGAATGGAATCACCGAATAGAATCGAATGGAACAATCGTCGAATGGACTCACATGGAATTATCCTCAAATGGAATCGAATGGAATTATCGAATGCAATCCAATGGAATTATTGAATTCAATTGAATACAATCATCGAATGGACTCGAATGGAATCATCGAATGGAATGGAATGGAATAGTCATTGCATTCGAATGGAATCATCATTGAATGGAATCGAATGGAATCATCGAGTGGAGTCGAATGGAATCATATAGTGGACTCGAATGGAATCATGTTCAAATGGAATCGAATGTAATGATCATCAAATGGAATCAAAAATAACCATCATCAATTGGTATTGAATGGAATTGTCATCAAATGGAATTCAAAGGGATCATCATCAAATGGAACCGAATGGAATCCTCATTGAATGGAAATGAAAGGAGTCATCATCTAATGGAATCACATGGAATCGTCATCAAATGAAATCAAATGGAATCATCATCAAATGGAATCTAATGGAATCATTGAACAGAATTGAATTGAATCGTCATCGAATGAACTGAATGCAATCATCGAATGGTCTCGAATGGAATCATCTTCAAATGGAAAGGAATGGAATCATCGCATAGAATCGAATGGAATTATCATTGAATGGACTCGAATGGAATCAACATCAAACGGAATCAAACGGAATTAGCGAATTGAATCGAAGAGAATCATCGAATGGACTCGAATGGAATCATCTAATGGAATGGAATGGAATAATCCATGGACACGAATGCAATCATCATCGAATAGAATCGAATGGAATCATCGAATGGACTCGAATGGAATAATCATTGAACGGAATCGAATGGAATCATCATCAGATGGAAACGAATGGAATCATCATTGAATGGAATCGAATGGAATCATCAAACGGAAACAGATGGAATCATCATCAAATGGAATCGAGTAGAATTATGGAATGCAATCCAATGTGATCATCATCGAATGGTCTCGAATGGAATCATCATCCAATGGAAACTAATGGAATCAACATCGAATGGAATCGAATGGAAACACCATCGAATTGAAAGGAATGGAATTATCATGAAATTGAAATGGATGGTCTCATCATCGAATGGATTCCAATGAAATCATCAAATGAAATTGATTGAAGTCATCATCAAATGGAATCAAATGGAATCATTGAATGGAATCGAATGGAATCATCATCAGATGGAAATGAATGGAATCATCATAGAATGGAATCGAATGGATTCATTGAATGGAATCAGATGGAATCATCCAATGGACTTGAATGGAATCATTGAATGGACTCGAATGGAATCATTATTGAATAGAATTGAATGGAATCATTGAATGGTCTCGAATGGAATCATTATCAAATGGAATCGAATGGAATCACCGACTAGAATCGAATGGAACAATCATCGAATGGACTCAAATGGAATTATCCTCAAATGGAATCAAATGGAATTATCGAATGCAATCGAATGGAATTATCGAATGCAATCGAATAGAATCATCGAATGGGCTCGAATGGAATCATCGAATGGAATGGAATGGAATAGACAATGAATACGAATGGAATCATCATTGAATGGAATCGAATGGAATCATTGAGTGGAATCGAATGGAATCATGATCAAATGTAATCAAAAGTAATCATCATCCAATGGAATCAGAAATAACCATCATCAATTGGTATTGAATGGAATTGTCATCAAACGGAATTCAAAGGAATCATCATCAAATGGAACCGAATGGAATCCTCATTGAATGGAAATGAAAGGAGTCATCATCTAATGGAATCGCATGGAATCATCATCAAATGAAATCGAATGGAATCATCATCAATTGGAATCTAATGGAATCATTGAACAGAATTGAATGGAATCGTCATCGAATGAATTGAATGCAATCATCGAATGTTCTCGAATGCAATCATATTCAAATGGAATGGAATTTAATAATCGCATAAAATCGAATGAAATTATCATCGAATGGACTCGAATCGAATCAACATCAAATGGAATCAAACGGAATTATCGAATGGAATCGAAGAGAATCATCGAATGGACTCGAATGGAATCATCTAATGGAATGGAATCATCTAATGGATTGGAATGGAATAATCCATGGACACGAATGCAATCATCATCCAATGGAATCGAATGGAATCATCGAATGGACTCGAATGGAATAATCCTTGAACGGAATCGATTGGAATCATCATCGGATGGATACGAATGGAATCATCATTGAATGGAATCGAATGGAATCATCAAATGGAATCAGATGGAATCATCATCAAATGGAATCGAGTAGAATTATGGAATGCAATCCAATGTGATCATCATCGAATGGACTCGAATGGAATCATCATCCAATGGAAACTAATGGAATCAACATCGAATGGAATCGAATGGAAACACCATCGAATTGAAAGGAAAGGAATTATCATGAAATTGAAATGGATGGACTCATCATCGAATGGATTCCAATGAAATCATCGAATGAAATTGATTGAAATCATCATCAAATGGAATCAAATGGAATCATTGAATGGAATCGAATGGAATCATCATCAGATGGAAATGAATGGTATCATCATAGAATGGAATCAAATGGATTCATTGAATGGAATCAGATGGAATCATCCAATGGACTTGAATGGAATCATTGAATGTACTGGAATGGAATCATTATTGAATAGAATTGAATGGAATCATGGAATGGTCTCGAATGGTATCATTATGAAATGGAATCGAATGGAATCACCGAATAGAATCGAATGGAACAATCATCGAATGGACTCAAATGGAATTATCCTCAAATGGAATCAAATGGAATTATCGAATGCAATCGAATGGAATTATCGAATGCAATCGAATAGAATCATCGAATGGGCTCGATTGGAATTATCGAATGGAATTTAATGGAATAATTGAACGGAATTGAATCGAATCGTCATCGAATGAATTGAATGCAATCATCGAATGGTCTCGAATGGAATCATCTTCAAATGGAAAGGAATGGAGTCATCGCATAGAATCGAATGGAATTATCATTGAATGGACTCGAATGGAATCAACATCAAACGGATTCAAACGGAATTATTGAATGGATTCGAAGAGTCATTGAATGACTCGAATGGAATCATCTAATAAAATGGAATCAAATAATCCATGGACTCGAATGCAATCATCATCGAATGGTATCGAATGGAATCATTCAATGGACTCGAATGCAATAATCATTGAACGGAATCGAATGGAATCATCATCAGATGGAAACGAATGGAATCATCATCGAATGGAAATGAAAGGAGTCATCATCTAATGGAATCGCATGGAATCATCATCAAATGGAATCGAATGGAATCATCATCAGATGGAATCTAATGGAAACATTGAACGGAATTGAATGGAATCGTCATCGAATGAATTGAATGCAATCATCGAATGGTCTCGAATGGAATCATCTTCAAATGGAATGGAATGGAATCATCGCATAGAATTGAATGGAATTATCATCGAATTGACTCGAATGGAATCAACATCTAACGGAATCAAACGGAATTATCGAATGGAATCGAAGAGAATCATCGAATGGACTCGAATGGAATCATCTAATGGAATGGAATGGAATAATCCATGGATTCGAATGCAATCATCATCGAATGGAATCAAATGGAATCATCGAATGGACTCGAATGGAATAATCATTGAACGGAATTGAATGGAATCATCATCGGATGGAAACGAATGGAATCGTCATCGAATGGAATCGAATGGAATCATCAAATGGGATCAGATGGAATCATCATCAAATGGAATCGAATAGAATTATGGAATGAAATCCAATGTGATCATCATCGAATGGACTCGAATGGAATCATCATCCAATGGAAACTAATGGAATCAACATCGAATGGATTCGAATGGAAACACCATCGAATTGAAGCGAATGGAATTATCATGAAATTGAATTGGATGGACTCATCATCGAATGGATTCGAATGGAATCATCGAATGAAATTGATTGAAATCATCATCAAATGGAATCGAATGGAATCATTGAATGGAGTCGAATGGAATCATCATCAGATGGAAATGAATGGAATCATCATAGAATGGAATCGAATGGATTCATTGAATTGAATCAGATGGAATCATCAAGTGGACTTGAATGGAATCATTGAATGGACTCGAATGGAATCATTATTGTATGGAATTGAATGGAATCATCGAATGGTCTCGAATGGAATCATCCTAGAATGGAATTGAATTTAATCATCAAATGGAATCGAATAGAATCATCATTGAATGGAATCGAATACAATCGGCATCGAATAGAATCGAATGGAATCATCATCAATGGAATCAAATGGAATTTTCTTCAAATGGAATCGAATGGAAACATCATCAATTAGAATCGAATGGGATCATTGAATGAAACTGAATGGAATCATCATCAAAACGAATCAAAATAAAACAAAGAATGGAATCCAACGGAATCATCGAGTGGGATCAAATGGAATCATCATTGAATGGACTCGCATGGAGTCATCATCAAATGGAATCAAATGGAATCCTTTAATGGACTCGAATGGAATCATTGAATGGACTCCAATGGAATCATCGAATGGAATCTAATGCAATCATCATCGAATGAAATCAAATGGAATCATTGAATGGAATTGAATGGAATCATAATCAAATGGAATCAAATGAAATCATGGAATGCACTCGAATGGAATCATCGAATGGACTCAAATGGAATCAACATTGAGTGGAATCGAAAGAAAACATCTAATGGAGTTGAATGGAATAATCAAATGGAATCATCATCGAATGGACTAGAATGGAATCATCGAATGTACCCGAAAAGAATCATCATCGAATGTAATCCAATGGAGTCATCTAATGCAATCCAATGGAATCATCATTGAATGGAATCGAATGGAATCATCATCGAATGGAATTGAATGGAATCATCATCAAATGGAGTCGAATGGAATCATCAATGAATGGAATCGAATGGAGTCATCGAATGGAGTCCGTTAGAATCATCATCGAATGGAACCGAATGCAGTCATCATCTAACGGAATCAAATGGAATCATCGAATGGACTCGATGGAATGATCATCACATGGAATCGAATGGAATCATCGAATGGACTCAAATGGAATCATCATTGAATGGAATCGAATGGAATCTTTGAATGGAAACAAATGAAATTATTGAATGGAATCGAATAGAATCATCATTGAATAGAATCAAATTGGATCATCATCAAATGGAATCTAATAAAATCATCATCGAATTGAATCTAGTGGAGTCATCATCTAATGGAGTTGAATGGAATCAGCAAGGAATTGAATTGAATTGAGAAATCGAATGGAATCCATTGGAATCATCATCGAATGGAACCGAACGCAGTCATCATACAATGGAACTGAATGGAATCAATGAAGGGACTCGAATTGTGTCATCATTGAATGGAATCGGATGGAATCATCGAATGGACTCGAATGGAAACATCATTGTATGGAATCGAATGGAATCCTCGAATGGACTCTGATGGAATCATCATCAAATGGAATCGAATGGAATCGAATTGAATCATCAAATGGACTCTAATGGAATCATCATTGAATGGAATCGAATGGAATCATCAAATGGACTCGAATGGAATCATCATCGAATGGAATCGAGTGGAATCCTTGAATTGAAGCAAATGGAATCATCAAATGGAATCGAACAGATTTGTAAGAAACTTACTTGAACCAAAAAATAGAAAAACAAACAAACCAAAACCCCCTAAAACTTTGACGAGCAAAGTAGACATCAGAACAGGAAATATCACTGGGGATGAAGAATAACATTTCAAAATGACAAAGGGGAAAATACACCAAGAAGTCATGTAAATAAGAATTATGTATGCACACAATAACATTACCTCAAAATACATAATATAAAACCTATTAAAACTGAAAGGTAAAATAGTAAAACCACAGTCATCCATGGGGATTTCAACAGTCTCCTGCCAGAAATTTTTAAATTTTGTTAAACGAAAAGTTGGTAAGGGTAGAGAGGATCTTAAAAATATAATTAGCCAACTTGATCTAATTGAATCTTTTAGAATAATCTAAGAATGAGGAATGAGTTAGCAGAGAAAGAAAAGGCAGACATCAACGTGACATTAGTGTTTCAAGGCTATGAGAATACAACAATAATGGTGTGTGTGTGTGTGTGTGCAGATGGCAAGCTCAATCTTAAAAATATTGAGTTTTAACTGACAATTCATTATTAGGAAAGATAAGAGGAAATGATATCTAGTGAGAGGCTATATGACTGAACTCTAAGATAAAGATCACAGCAGAAATTGTGTACCTGACAGCTCTATAAGGAGGTCAGTCAAAAATAAGTCAGTGATGAATTCTCTGGTGTAAAAGCAGAGGAATGAGGATTAGATTTAAAACACATGGAAGCAGAGTGACTTATGATAAAAACATGAGCTTGAAAATCCTGCAGAGAGAGCTTTAAATCCTGGGTATGATATTCTGCTTGTGTAGGCAATAGTGATAAAAACACAACAACAAAGAGAGGTAAAGAGCACTTTCCTTTGATATAAGTAAAGGGCACGTCTTATTGCACATATATATATATAGGTATTCAACTGAAATTCAACATGTTTCTCTCATTGAAACAGCAAGCTCTCCAGGCCTTCATGTTCCCAGTGAGGTAGGTAACCTTCTGATGATTATACTCACCCTCCCTCATTGCAAAGCCCCATTGTTATTGTCTTGGCTCTGGATTCCCTCAAAAATAGACTATGAAACAAATATCTGGGGTCAGATACTTTAATCAGAAATTGAGTGAGAAAGCACAGAAGTGGAGAAAATGAAACAGAACACGAAGCCAGTGTGAATGAGTAGTTACTGCTATGTGCTCAGTAATGATGGAGGTATGGAGATTGTCTTAAAATAACTTTACAAAGAGATGGGGATGCTGGAATCCCCATCTCCTATTGCTTAAGGATTGCCTTAGAATCATTAACTCTCCACCCCTAACTGCTTCTTTGTTCCTATGTGTGGTTGAGAAGCACTGGTTAGCCTCAAGAAGCTTGCAGGCAGGCCCAAAAATCAGAAAGAAAGGCATGATGTGGGGAGCTCTCAGTTAGCTTGAAACAGGTGAATTTCAGGTGAACACATTGAGTCCAGGACATAGAAGACACGTCATCAGCAATATCTGCTATAGCCAGTTTTCTTTTTCTTTTTAAGAATATATGTACTTTTTATTGGGGGTCCCCAAGTCCCCCTTTGGTTTAATGATTCACGTAACTCAAGAAAGCTGATTTTTTTTTGTGGTTACAGTTTCTAACGTGAAAGAAACCAGATTAAAATAATCAGAAGCATAAAAGCACATAAAGTTGAGTCCAGGACAAACCAGATGTGAGCGTACAGGTGTCCTTTCATAGTGGGGACTTCACACTGACTAATTTTCTTTACAATGGTGTGAGACAACTTGTGTGAACTTGTTGCCAACTAGGGAAGCTCAGTCAGTCTTGAGTCCAGGGTTTTTATTAGGATTCCACCACATATGCATCGAGCGTCCTGTGACTGAACTTAGCTACTTAGTTCCCAACCTCCCTATGCCCTAAGAGAGGTCATATTAATATAGCATTACACAAAGTCATAGGCATATAGAAACAGGTGCTCACAAGAAATCACGTTGTTAGCATCAGCTATTTGATAAGACCTACATTTTCAGGTATACAAAGACTCTCATCAGGCAGCATATACCAAGGGCTCATAGGTTATCATCTCCTAGGAGCTTGTCAAGGGCCAGTCCTGAAGACCTTTGGAATGTGCAAGGTTTTGGAAAGCCATGTCTGCAGAATTAACCCTTCATTGCACAACTTCCAAGAATTTTTTTTTATCTTTAAAAATGTTTTTTGATCTTTGACAATGTACCAACCAATACTGAGTAATTAGTAACAACAGTGTACTCCTGAGTACTTGCAACTGCAAGGAGAAAAAGGACAGATGCACTTACATAGGACAGATGCAAATAGACACCATTATGACAAGTAAAGCTGGAATAATCAATAAATTCCTAAAGACAAAGTGGGGCTGGTCAGATTGGGAGACCGCTGACAGCTGCAGAAGTTGGGAAAGATCCATCATCTTGAATCTTTTTCCCCACAAACCCACTATGATCTGTCAAGCAATTGGTAAGGAATCCAAGAGAGTCTGTATATGATACAGACCAGGGAGAGCAGAACACTTGGGAGGTGATGAGGTCTTGGGGGCTGAGCCCTTATGAATGGGATTAGTGTCTTTATAAAAGAAGCTCAATGGAGTTCTTGTGTGCCTTCCACTATGTGAGGACATAGAAAGAAGGCACCATCTATGAACCATGAAATTGGCTCTCATCAACACTGAATTTCTGAGCATCTTGACCTGAGATCTTACAGCCTCAAGAAGTGTGAAAAAAGAAATATCTGTTGTTTTTTAGTCACCCGGTTTATGTTATTTTGTTATAAGAGTCCAAATAGACCAAGATATTCCACTTAATATGTAGGGGAAGGCAACAAAAACTGCCACACTTAGAATACTCCTGACGCTGGGAGTATGAAAACAGGAAAAACAAAACAAAACTGCTCTTGAAGGTGAAGGAGGAATATCACTGAGCTCACCAACACAGCCAGGAAAAGAACAGAAGTGTGAGAAGGCTACATTCCTGAGACCCTGAGAAAAAGTACCTGCATAAGACTGAGATGAAATTACCTACCTTAGTTATAATTGAAATCCCAAAAAGAAAAGAGGAAAAAATAATGGAGCAAAAGAAATATATTTCAAAATAACTGCCAAAAATATTCTAAAAGAAGTGACAGGAAATCAAACTTCAGATATAGGAAACTCAGAGAATGTCAAATAGAACAAAAAGAAATAAGAATTCCATCTTGAAAAATCTTTAAAAAATCAACTCTAAATTTTATATCTTGCTCCAAATATATAGAGGTATAAATAGGTTATCATCAAGATATGGAGAAAGCCATATCATGGAAACACTAAAATAAAGCTGTGGAAGGACTACATTGATATTAGACACAACAGAGTTCAGAACAAGAAATAGTATGAGATGAGAGATAATAAATAATATAATAATCAATTCTCAAGATGTAAACATCCTACTAATTAGGATATGCAGCTAACAACAGAACCTCCAAATACATGAGGTAAAACAGGAAAGAAATCAAAGGTAAACTAGAAAAATCCAAAATTATATTTGCAGACTTCAACACTTTTGTTTTAGTAATGGACAGACTAGGCACAAACTCAGTAATCATATGGAAGATAAGAAAAACAATATCACCAACAAGACATCCAATCTTCAATGGCAGATACTTTTTCCTTTCAAGTGAAAAAAAAAACAGTATGGCATATTCTCTAACAAACCCAGAATTTCTAATATTTGCTTTCTTCCTTCCTTCTTTCCATCTTCCTTTCTCTTCTCTTCCCTTGCCTTCTTCCTTCCTTTCTTTTCCGCTTTCTTTTCCTTTCTTTTTTCTCCTTCCTTCCTTCTTTCCTTCCCCTTATTCTTCCTTCCCTCCTCCCTCCCTTGCTTTCTCCCTCCCTTCTTTTCTCTTATTCTTTCTCACTTTCTTTCCTTTTTTCTCCCTTCCTCCCTCCCTTTTTTCCTTCCTGCCTCCCTTCCTTTCCTTTTTCCTTCCTTCCTCCCTTCTATTTTCTTTGTTTGCCTTCCTCCCTGTTACCATTCTCTCTTCCTCCTTTCCTTCCTCCTTCCATCACTTTTTCTTTCTTTCTTGAGTTCTTGCTTTCTTTTTTCTCCTTTCCTGCCTTTCTCCCTTCCTCCCTCCCTTCTCTCATTTCCTCCTTTACTTTCTTCTTTCCTTCCTTCCTTTTTTCTTTCTCTTTAGTACAATTCATATTATTTAAAAAAAATTAAGAAAGAGAGGCAGAAAAATAAAGAACACTTTAATCTGCAGGTAAATAGATTATGTCTGCTGTAGACAAAATAATGGACTCACAAAAATGTTCATGTCCTAATTCCCGGAGTCTAACATACAAATATGTTAGGTTGCATGGCAGTGGGAAATTAGATTTCAAGTGAAATTAAGGTTCCAAAGGCAGCGGGGACAAAAAGCCACGGCGGCAAAAAAGCGCGGCAGCAGGGGCAAAAAGCCACGGCGGCAGTTGGAGAAAGACGCGGCGGTGGGGACAAAAAGCCACACTGAGGGGGGTAAAAAGCCACTGAGGCGGGGGCAAAAAGCAGCGGGAGCGGGGGCAAAAAAAACACAAAAAGCCGCGGCGGCTGGGGGAAAAAGCCGTGGTGGCAGGGTGCAAAAAAGCTGCAGCGACAGGGGCGAAAAGCCCCGGCGGCGGAGGCAAAAGACTGCGGCAGAGGGGGCAAAAAGCTGCGGCAGTGGCGGTTAAAAAAAGCCACGGCGGCAAAAACCCGCGGCGGTGGGGGTAAAATCCCGTAGTGGCGGGGGAAAAAACAGCGGTGGCAAAAAGTCACGGAAGCGGGGGCAAATAGCCCTGGTGGCGGGTGCAAAATGCCGCAGCGGTGAGGACAAAAAGCCGTGGCTTCAGGGACAAAAAGCTGCAGCAGCGAAAAGCTGTAGTGGCGGGGGCAAAAAGCCACGGCAGCGGCGGGGGGGCAAAAAGCAGCGGCGGCGGGAACAAACACCGCCGCGGCAAAAAGCCTCAGTGGCGGGGGCGAAAAGCCGCGGCGGCGGGGGAGAAAAGCCACAAAAAGCCATGGTGGCGAGGCTAAAAAGCTGTGGCTTTGGGGGCAAAAAGCCACAGCCTCAAAAAACCATAGTGGTGGGGCAAAAAGCTGCGGTGGCGGGGACAAAAAGCAGCAAGAGCGGGGGCAAAAAAATCACAAAAACCCGCGGAGACGGGGGGAAAAATCCACGGGGGCAAAAAGCCGCAAAAAGCAGCAGCGGCAGGGGCAAAAACCGCGGCGGCAAATAGCCTCAGTGGCAGGAGCCAAAAGCCATGGTGGCGGGGGCAAAAAGCCGTGGTGGTGGGCCCAAAAAGCCGCGGTGGTGGAATAAAACTGTGACTGCAAAAAGCCACGGCGATGGGGATAAGAAGCTGTGGCGGGGGCAAAAAGCCACAGCGGCGGGGAGTAAAATGCCGCAAAAAGCCGCGGTGGCGAGGGCAAAAAGGTGTGGCTTCGGGGGCAAAAAGCTGTAGCGGCTGGGCAAAAAGCCGCGGTGGCGAAGGCAAAAAGCTGTGGCTTTGGGGGCAAAAAGCCGCGGCAGCGGCTGGGGCGGAAAAACCACAAAAATCCGCTGAGACAGGGGGAAAAAGACGCGGGGGCAAAAAGCCGTGGCGACAGGGGGAAAAAATCTGCAAAAAGCAGCAGCGGCAGGGTTAAAAACCGCAGCGGCAAAAAGCCTCAGAGGTAGGAGCAAAAAGCCACGGCTGCGGGAGGGCAAAAAGCCACGGTGGTGGGACCAAAAAGCCATGGCGGTGGGAATAAAAAGCCGCGGCTGCAAAAAGCAGCGGCGGTGGGGATAAAAAGTCGTGACGGCAAAAACCCGCGGCGGTGGGGGCAATAAGCCGTGGCGGCACGGGGAAAAAGCCGTGGCGGCGAGGGCAAAAAGCTGTTGCTTCGGGGGCAAAAAACCACGGCGGCAAAAAGCCCTAGTGGTGGGGCAAAAAGCAGCGGGAGCGGGTGCAAAAAACAAAAACCCGGGGCGACGGGGGGAAAAAGCCGCATGGGCAAAAAGCCGCAGTGGCAGGGGGTCAAAAAGCCACGGCGGTGGGGGGGCAAAAAGCTGCAAAAAGCAGCGGCGGCGGGGGCAAAAACTGCAGAGGCAAAAAGCCTCAGCGGCAGGAGCAAAAAGTCATGGCGGCGGGGGCAAAAAGCCGCGGCGGCTAAAACCCATGGCGGCAGGGTCAAAAACCATGGCTTCGGAGGCAAAGAGCCGCGGTGGCAAAAAGCCGTAGTGGTGGGGGCAAAAAGCCACAAAAAGCCGTGGCGGCAGGGCCAAAAAGCCATGGCGCCAAGGGCAAAAAGCCGTGGCTTCGGAGGCAAAGAGCCGCAGCGGCAAAAAGCCACAAAAAGCCATGGTGATGGGGGCAAAATGCCACGGCGGTGGGGGTAAGAAGCCTCGGCAGCGAGGGCAATAAGCCGTGGCTGGAGAAACCCGCAGCGGCGGGGGCAAAAAGCAACAGCAGCGGTGACGAAAAGCCACAGGGGCGGGGGCAGAAATCCACGAGGCAGGGAAAAAGCTGCAGCAGCGGGGGCAGAAATCCGCGAGGCGGGGAATAAGCTGCAGCGGCGGGGGCAAAAAGGCAGGACGGCGGGCGCAAAAAGCCGCAAAAAGCCCCAGTGGTGGGTCAAAGAGCCGCAAAAAGCCCCAGTGTTGGGGGCAAAAAGCCGCGGCGGCAGTGGCAAAAAGCAGCGGAGGCAAAAACCCACGGCGGTGGCGGCAAAAAGCAGCGGTGGCAAAAAGCCGCGGTGGCAGGGGCACAATAGTGGAAAAGGGGTAGAAGGCCAATGCAGCTTGGCATTCCTGGACTGTGATGTGGAAGGAAAAGTGCAGCGGAAGACGAAGATGTAAGTAGGCTTGACTCAGTGCAGCTAAGAACTCAGATGTTATCTTGATGTTATCTATCAGCTAATTTTTTGTATTTTAGTAGAGAAGGGGTTTTACCAAGTTGGCCAGGATTGTCTGGATCTCCTGAGCTCATGATCCACGCACCTCAGCCTCCCAAAGTGATGGGATTAGAGGCATGAGCCACAAAGTGCTCAAAAAATCTATTAATTAAAAAATGTGTATGTAGCCATCTTCAATCTACCGTGTCCATTAGCAGATAAATACTACAAGGAAAATAACAACAATGAAAGAAACATAGACTTAGAGTAGATACTCTGATTTATTTAATAAAAATTTGAAAGTAGACCAAATTACTCTATGATAAAAAAAAATCTGTTACTATTGAGGATGAGGGTTGGTGTTTGCAAAGGGGCAGAAGTATCACTATTTTTAGTAATGTTCTATTTTCGTACATGGCTATAAGCAAATACATGTGTTTCATTAATCAAGCTATCCATATTTAATCATTGTACTTTTCTGCATGTATGATATATGTCAATAAAATGTCTTAAATTATATACAGCAAAAATAGACAAAACCACAAGAAGACATACATGAATGTTAAACCTAGAGAGAAATTTGAATATAAGTAAGTCTCTGAATGACTGCTAGAACAAACCGAAAAATAATCAGGATGGAGAGGTTTGGAACAGCATGACTAGCAAAATTGACATATCTGTCTTTTAATATAGGCAGAAACATAGTTAGATAAAAAAAGGACTTGTCTCAGAGTATGATTTCTGAAAATAGTGGAATCGAGTTTGAATCTAGGAAGTACATATAAATAAATGTCTTAAAACTCCTCTTATGTTACCTAATTAAGAAATATTATTGTAATAGATATTAGAAAATATTTTAATAAATTGAGTGAATTTCACAAGCTAAGGAAATGATCTTACTTGCATTTGATAGTTCAATTAGATACATATATACCTATAGGTATTTTAAAATATTTCTAATAACCTTATATATTTTAAAAAGCATTGATATCTGTTTGCACTGTCTGGTCTATAGAGTACACATACCAAACATGATTGTAGCTCTTCTGCTATAAACTTCAAATGTCCAATTAATACAAAAATCTAGAATGAGAACAGTTCTTTGCATTTTTTTTTACCAAATAGAATATAGGAAGGATAGCTGCAAATATACCTGACACACTTATCTGTGAGTATGGTGGTAGCATTTTTATTTTATTTTATTTTATTTTTGAGAGAGGGTCTCACTTTGTCACCCAAGATGGAGTGCAGTCATGTGATTAGAGCTCACTGAAGCCTTCACATACTGTGCTCAAGCGATTCTCCCACCTCAGCCTCCTGAGTAGCAGGGACTGCAGGTGCATGACACCATACTAGCTAATTTTTGTGAAGATGGGGTTTCATCATGTTGCGCTGGCTGATCTCCAACTCCTGGACTCAAGAGATCTGGCCACCTTGGCCTCCCAAAATGCTGGGATTATAGTTTTGAGGCACCGCAATCAGCCCAGCCTTAAAAAAGGCTGACTAGAGATCTTTATCTATGTATATATATATCTATCTATAAAATAAACATGTGTTTCTTATATAAAAATATATATTATTAATATTATATAAAAATTTTTTTTCAAGGTAGAAATATATAAAGAGGGTGCATGTAGAGCCTGGGGCATTGTGTAGTGAAGCTCAAGGCCTCTGAAGAAATGCCCCTTGCCTCTTTTGTCTGTGCTAGAATCCGAGAACGAAAAGCAGCAGATGCACTGGTTCCCAGGTTCTTGGCATCCTACAGAGAGAAACTTGTTTGAGCTAGGGTAGCGTTAAACACCCTTGTTCTTACTCTCCTGTTTTATGTAGTGAGCAGAGACTAGCATCATTAGAACAGACTGTGACAGTCAAGGCTGTCTGATATTTTGTGCAGCATTAATTGAGAAATTCTAGCACCTGAAGAACTCTGGGCCATTTGAGGGTAGGTGCAGGGGAGGAAAGGGAAGTTTGCATCCCTCCTGCTGTGGAGAGAACCCGTGGGAAGCACAGACCTTGTCCTAACTGAAGGCAGACCCCCTTGTTAACCCGCTTCTCATCAGCCAACCCTGGATGAGTTTCCATGTCTATTTATTAAATAATCCTTATTGCTTTTCTTCATATGGGCAAAGTATGGTTTACAGGGAATATTGTTCCTTTGAACACCCATTGTGCAAACCCCTTCCTGTTGTGGGAAAACAGGCTTCCATATGTGTATTATTGGGAAACACATAGGCAATTTCTATGTTTTTACTGCATCTATTTCAGGGATATGGGAACTGAATAGTGCCCATCAAAGGCTCACCTGATGTTGGAAATTGATCTGAGAGCGCGGAAGGACAGAATTCTTTCTTTGTTCCTGGGCAGCGGTGGTTGAGGGATCATTTTGTGGCAGCTACAGTGGCAATGATGGAGGCAGAACGGAAGGCTCAGTACCAAGACGAGGAGAGATTTGGCCTCACAATGGCAGCATTGCAGGGGTGCGCTCTACAGAGCATTTGCTCACATGGTTTTGGGCATTGTCTCCAACTACATTTCTTCTCCAATAGGTTGACCCATTCTAACTAACTCCTTTTCTCTTTAAAACAGAAAACTTCATTTGTATGACTTGCAATTGTAAATGACACCAGTTGGTCAGCTATCATTCAAATTCTCTGTTACTTAGTCCTCCCTTTTCCTAACGTATGCAACTTTCCTCTAAAAAATTGGACACTTTGTTGCTTACTCATTGTCTTTACACATTTTAAAATGTTGCTTTATGCCCCCAATCCCTAACTACATTTTCGATGTTTTGCAACTGGAGTCCAGGTGTTCTTGATTTACATGAAACTCAAAATAATGGTTATAGTAACTAGTACTTCATAATTAAGCAAAAAGCTCCTATTGAAAAATGACAGAACTATACATAGAGATGACAACATGGAGAGATATTTCCTGAGATCACAAAGTTATGGTATGGCAGAACTAGAACGTTGAGTAGAGACTCTGTGTTCCCAATCATTATTTCTACCACCAGCTTTCTATTTTGATGTTAATAATGTTCTTATGTGGGAAACCCTATATATTTGCCAATGTTTAGTTCGTTGACAAAGAAATAGAAAGAGCTTCAAGAACACTCTAATCTTTAAAAAATAAAATGTCTATAATCGGCCATACGAAAAAAATTGGTACTTGACATATACTGAGATCGTTTTATTTTGTGCTAGACAAATGAAGTCATAGAACAGAATGTGCTTTAAATATTATGAATAGTGCTTGCGTGTGTGTGTGTGTTTGTGTGTGCGTATGTGTGTTTATAGATGCATATTAGGCCGCTGTAAAGTTTTAGTATTCTTTTCAGGAGAGAGACTGCCAACTTTTGAACCTAATTAGTACAAGTATATTGCTTCTTCATATTTTGATTAAGGCAAAGAGAGTCTAGTTAAACATAATTCAACTTATGGTGGAAATGCTATAAATTGCTGTGAAGTGAGTTGCTGGCTATGGCTTGTCAGAGCAAATATATTGTACAAATCTTAGGGGAGAATTAGTGCTTATGCATTCCAATCAAATCATCTTGCAGCAGACTGAGAAAAAGGTTAGATTTTTAAAATAATGTTGAAGTCATGAAAAGAGCAAATATGCTCAACAAAGAGCCTAGCAACCCTCAATGACCAATTCCCCTTTTATATAGTTTGGTATCTGAATTAGAATCCCAGAATCTACAAATTCCTCTGGGTGTGGGTGTGGGTGTGAGGATTTTATAACACTGCCATCACCAAGCTCTCTTTTGATATTCACTTTAAGGAGATAATTTACGGCCAACCAGAGAGCATAAACCAAAGTAGATATCTATCTAGATAGATAGATACATCTCCATACAATTGACAGGATACGTTCTGGCCGAGTGTGGGTACAACCTATGGGTGTGGTTGGAGAGAACATGTGTTCCACCTGAATGGCAGATCAAGATTATTCCTTCTCATCTGCTGCAATGGCTCAATGTGTTAAGGAGAGGAGCGAGACAGCAAGAACTGCATTCATTCAGTCATACAGACCAAAAGGAGGAATGTCGCCCAGCCCCCTAAACTGACCCAGAACCCAGCTCATGTCTCAACTGCTACCTCTACTACTTAGAAAGAAGTAACTCCACCAAAGCAGGGTTCTGGACAAATATATTTTTATTGATCTTATACAAATAGATGAAGATGGACTTGGATGTTAAGAAAAATAATACTATTCAAAATCAAGAGAAGACAGTCGCCCCTAGACTTAAATTAAGGGTGTGTACATTAGATAATTTAATCCAATGTATCAGGTAAAAACTTGAACAAATCTTTTGGCCTCTTCCGTAAAATTCAGGGAAGTATGTCCTCCACAAAACAGAATCAAAATATAAATGAAAGACTGGCTTAAGATGAAAGGAAACCTTATAAATGAAAAGAAGCCAGATGAGAGGGACTTAACTGAGAATGAAAAAAAACTGAGTGGACAAAATAATTATGAGAAGATGAATCTTCAAATCAGAAAGAGGGAAAAAAGCTCATTTGATACTATGGGAACTCAAAAGAGAGTGAACACAAATGTGAAAATTCCAAGAGTACAGAAAAGTAGCATAACTAAATTAAGAGCATGAGAAAATGTACACAATTTTGAGTAATAAGAACAGAAATCAAAAGTTAGTATTGTATGTTATATTTTAGTAGAGCAACACTGAAGACGAATGAAAACAAGAAATAATATTAAATATGAACATATGGAGAACAGAATAATATTTTTAAAATTTTATTTTCTAAGTTTACCTGAAATTTTAATTTTGGTTTCTTATGTAATACCAGAGTTATTAGGAAGTTATTAGCTAATAACACTATTTTCAGTGATATTTTAAGTATTTGTCATAGAAAAATTTCTATTTTTGAAAAATGTATATTTAAAAATACATTAAATTTGTATATACATCAATCATATGTATCGATTTATGTTTTTTTTGAATTGCAAATGAAATTTGTATTTTTGAGTTCCTGGAATAAAATAAACTTGAATGGATTGTAATATATTATTCATGCTGTAATTCAATGTATTTGAATTCTTTAAGAATGTTACATTTATAGTTAACAGATATTGACCTATAAATTTTCTTTCCTATAATGATGCTGTGAGACAATCTAAGAAGAATTAAAATTTAAATTCATGTATTCCTCCTTTTTCCTCTGTTCTCTAACTGTAATATATTTTAATTACAGATGGAGGAACAGATAGATGTTAGATAAATAGGTATATAATATATAGATCATCCAAAATTCTTATTCTTATGGTTTTATGTAGTCAGTATTTACCTCTATTTTTCTGCATGTTTATCCTTCCAATTTAGTTCATTACTTCCTGCACCTTTGATGTCATATACATAAACAGGAAATAACACATGGTGGCCAGGATGTAGAGAGAGCCACAGGACTTGTGAATAAAATCCACAGGCAAGGATGTGGCGATTCGTTTTGCAATATTGGAGGGAATGCCAAACCCTATGTTTGCTGTGGAAAAGAGTATGTTAGTTCGTCAAAACATCAAAATGGTATTGCCATATGATTCAGCAGCTCCACATCTCAGGATAGCAAAGTGACTGAAAGCAAAGTCTTGAAAAAATATTTTCACATCCATGTTTGCAGCAGCGTTATTGGCAATAGCTAAAACGTAGAAGCAATTGAAGTGTCCAACAACAGATGAATGGATAAGCACAATATGATATATACATACAATGGAATATTATTCAGCCTTAAACATGAGGGAAATATTCTGACGTATGTTGCAACTTGGAAGAAACTTGAGGATATTATGCCAAGTGAAATAAGTTAGTCAGTGAAGGACAAATACAGTATAATTCCATTTGTATTAAAGTGGACAGAATCATAGAGATGGTACAATGATGGTTGCCAGAAGCTGGGGGGAGGAAGAAATGGAGAAGTATTGTTTAATGGGTATAGAGTTTCAGTTTTACAAGATGAAACGAATTATGGAGATGGATGGTAGGGACGGCTGCACAATGTTATGACTATATTTAGTACCACTGAACTGTACACTTAAAATGGTTAACAGAGTACATTTTATGTTATGTGTATTTTACCACAATAAAAAAATAAAATACCTTAGGAACATTTTCATGAAAAAGCCCACATAAAATTCATTTTAATGCATGTGTTTATGCATAGCTTTCTATTTTTATCTTTTCTCTTTGTATTCCAAATTAAAAAAAAGATGTTTTAATTCCAAATTAAAAAGGTGTTTATATTCCAAATTAAAAAAATCCAAAGTTACAGTCAACTACACAAAAAAAGCTTAGTCTCATTAATCATTATGAAAATGCAAATGGTAACTGAAAGAAGATAAAACTACAATTCAAAGAGAAAGCCTAAAATTTCAACCCCCCAAAAAGTCTGAGTTTTGGAGATCTGGGATGGAATAGGGTTCCTAACCTGACAACAATGAAACAACCAAACTAACTTCAAAGTCATGACTTTATTTTTATAGCAACGAGGTTGCCAAGAACTGAGTCAAAATGTGAGGGAAAACAAGCACTTGCAAGGAGAAAGAGGACAGATGCACGTACATAGGATAGATGCAAATAGACACCACTATGACAAGTAAAGCTGGAATAATCAATAAATTCCTAAAGACAAAGTGGGGCTGGTCAGATTGGGAGACCGCTGACAGCTGCAGAAATTGGGAAAGATCCATCATCTTGAAAACTTTTTCCCCACAAACCCACTGTGATCTGTCAAGCAATTGGTAAGGAATCCAAGAGAGTCTGTATATGACACAGATCAGGGAGAGCAGAACACTTGGGAGGTGACCAGGTCTTGGGAGCCGAGCCCTTATGAATGGGATTAGTGCCTTTATAAAAGAAGCTCAATGGAGTTCTTGTGTGCCTTCCACTATGTGAGGACATAGAAAGAAGGCACCATCTATGAACCATGAAATTGGCTCTCATCAACACTGAATTTCTGAGCATCTTGACCTGAGATCTTACAGCCTCAAGAAGTGTGAAAAAAGAAATATCTGTTGTTTTTTAGTCACCCGGTTTATGTTATTTTGTTATAAGAGTCCAAATAGACCAAGATATTCCACTTAATATGTAGGGGAAGGCAACAAAAACTGCCACACTTAGAATACTCCTGATGCTGGGAGTATGAAAACAGGAAAAACAAAACAAAACTGCTCTTGAAGGTGAAGGAGGAATATCACTGAGCTCACCAACACAACCAGGAAAAGAACAGAAGTGTGAGAAGGCTACATTCCTGAGACCCTGAGAAAAAGTACCTGCGTAAGACTGAGATGAAATTACATACCCTAGTTATGATTGAAATCCCAAAAAGAAAAGAGGAAAAAATAATGGAGCAAAAGAAATATTTTTCAAAATAACTGCCCAAAATATTCTAAAATAAGTTACAGAAAATCAAACTTCAAATATAGGAAACTCAGAGAATGTCAAATAGAACAAAAAGAAATAAGAATTCCATCTTGAAAAATCTTTAAAAAATCAACTCTAAATTTTATATCTTGCTCCAAATATATAGAGATATAAATAGGTTATCATCAAGATGTGGAGAAAGCCATATCATGGAAACACTAAAATAAAGCTGTGGAAGGACTACATTGATATTAGACACAACAGAGTTCGGAACAAGAAATAGTATCAGAGATGAGAGATAATAGATAATAGAATAATCAATTCTCAAGAAGATGTAAACATCCTACTAATTAGGGTATGCAGCTAACAACAGAACCTCCAAATACATGAGGTAAAACATGAAAGAAATAAAAGGTGAACTAGAAAAATCCAAAATTATATTTGCAGACTTCATCTCTTTTGTCTTAGTAATGGAAAGACTAGGCACAAACTCAGTAATCATGTGGAAGTTAAGAACAACAATATCACCAACAAGACATCCAATCTTCAATGGCAGATACTCTTTCCTTTCAAGTGAAAAAAAAAAAAGTATGGCATATTCTCTAACAAACCCAGAATTTTTAATATTTGCGTTCTTCCTTCCTTCTTTCCATCTTCCTTTCTCTTCTCTTCCCTTCCCTTGCCTTCTTCCTTCCTTTCTTCTTTTCCTCTTCCTTTTCTTTTCTTTTTTCTTTTCCTTTCTTTCTTTTCTTTCTTTTTTCTCCTTCCTTCCTTCTTTCCTTCTCTCCCTCTTTCCTCTTATTCTTCCTTCCTTCCTCCCTCCCTTCCTTTCTCCCTCCCTTTTCTTCCTTTTCTCATAATCTTTCTTTCTTTCTCACGTTTTCTTTCCTTTTTTCTCCCTTCCTCCCGCCCTCCTTTTCTTCCTTCCTCCCTCCCTTCCTTTCCTCTTTTTCCTTCCTTCCTTCGCCTCTTTATTTTCTTTGTTTCTTTGCCTTCCTCCCTTTTACCATTCTCTCTTCCTCCTTTCCTTCCTCCCTTCCTCCTTTCTTCCTTTCTCTGTTTCTGTTTCTTTCTCTTTCTTTCCTTCTTTCTTTCTTGTGTTCATGCTTTCTTTTTTCTCCCTTCCTGCCTTTCTTCCTTCCTCCCTCCCTCCCTTCCTTCCCTCATTTCCTCCTTCTTTTCTTTCTTCTTTCTTTCTTTATTTCCTTCCTTCCTTCTTTTTCTTTCTTTGTTTTCTTTTCTTTCTTTCTCTTTACTACAATTCATATTATTTTAAAAAAAATTAAGAGAGGGAGACAGAAAAATAAAGAACGCTTTAATCTGCAGGTAAATTGATTATGTCTTCTGTAGGCAAAAGAATGTCCTCCCCAAAATTTTCATGTCCTAATTCCCAGAGTCTAACATACAAATATGTTAGGTTGCACGGCAGTGTGAAATTAGATTTCAAGTGAAATTAAGGTTGCGGAAAACTGATAGAGAGATTGTCTTAAATGGGTGGGATCAATGAAATCACAAACTTCCTTATAAGTGAAAGAAGAAGGCAAAAGAAAGGCAACCTTGGAGGTGGTGGCATGAGAAATTACTCAACATCACTGAATTTTAAGATACAAGAATGAGGACCCAGCATGGTGGCTCACGCCTAATCCCAGTACTTTGGGAGGCTGGGGTGGGTTTATCACGAGGTCAGGAGATCGAGACCATCCTGGCTAACATGGTGAAACCCCATCCCTACTAAAAATACAAAAAATTAACTGGGCATGGTGGCAAGTGCCTGTAGTCCAAGCTACTCAGGAAGCTGAGGCAGAAGAATCACTTGAAGCCGGGAGGCAGAGGTTGCAGTGAGCTGAGATTGTGCCACTGCACTCCAGCCTGGGTGACAGAAGGAGACTTCATCACAAAAAAAAAAAAAAAAAAGAAAAATAGGATATAAGAATGAGTTCATGTTCCAAGGAATAAAGGTGGCCTCTGGATGCCGGAAAAAATCAAGTAATAGATTCTGCTACATAGCCCTCAGAAAGACTGCAGCCCTGTCCAAAACTTGATGTTATCCCTGTGAGTTTCATTTAAGGCTTCTGAACTACAGAACTGTAGGATTAACGGTCACTGTATTGTAAGATATGAAGTTTGTGGTAATTGGTTACAGCAGCAAGAGGAAGTTTATATTGTAATTGTATCATGAAAATGGGAACCATAATTTACAACTGCTTTTAATACTTCACTTGGATGTTTAAAATCATGTACATGGAAATGATCTCTATGTGCATGAGGGATGATAGCAAATTGATGCCAAAATAATGCAAACGCAAATCTTACACTCATTTCTATGTAGGTTTCATTTAATCTTTGAAATTAAAATGAAATTAAAAGATTGTGATCTTTTGATGAAATTAGACTAAAATGAACAATAACAAAATAAGAACTTACTTATATTCTTTATATGGTCAATAAAGAAGTGATGGTGGAAAAAAACAAGATCAAATGAAGGTGATGATTTAGGAAGTTGGAAAGATAGTTGAAACTACAAAATGGTATATAACCAGTGAACACTTAGACACACTGATTGATGAACTTCAGCTTTTGGCTTGCTGAGAGCATAAAATGAGAGCAGCTGAGGTTTGCAAATTTGTAATCTCCTTGTGGAAAAACAGGGGAAAACACATCTCAGCCTAATAAGATTTATCTACTAAAGAGTCTAGACTTGATCCATTTGTCCTTGTAATTCAAAAGCTAATTCAAATACTGATTTGATGTATTGTGTGAACAACCATTGCTGATTATCATCGCATACCTGGCATTCTCTTTTATCTGATATCTAAAATATTTGGTAATTCCTGGACTTTCTCTTTTCAAACCCAGTATGGTTTAATTTGAGTCTTAGAACAGTAGTCTTTGAGAAATTCTTCCCTCTACTGCATCTGTGAATGGGCATAGCATAGTTACATACATACTGTCACTCCATAGAACATTTGTTAAATTAAAGCCAAAGTTTAAAGCAAGAGCTTTAACTTACTGGTTTTACTAATGTATTCCTCCCCAATAGCCACAACAATATTTATACTCTCACACCTTTTAGCATAAAGCTTGGTGTTGTCTATTTTTCAGGTGCTGTCATCTATATGATCTCAGTATTTTAAAAACCAGCTTCCAGCCCATATGGTGGTTCATGCTTGTAATACCAGCAGTTGAGGGGGCTGAAATGAGAGGATTCCTTGAGCCCAGGAGTTCAAAAGCAACCTGGGCAACATAGCAAGACCCAGTCTCTATCAAAGGTTAAAAAAAAAAGTGGGCATGGTGATGTGCACCTGTTATCCTAGCTATTTGGGAGGCCAAGGTGGAAGGATTGCTTGAGCTTGGGAGGCTGAGGCTGCAGTGATCAGTGATTGCACCACTGCAATCCAGCCTGGGCAACAAAGCAAGACCCTATCTCAAAAAATATATATAATGAAAATGAAAATCAGCTCTCATTGATTTCTATGTAAATATGCACAGGTGATGTCCATATAGACATAAATAATAATATTTCTGACAATGGGTCCATATGATCTTCAAAATGTAAAATGCCTATCTGTGTAATTTACTGGTTAGTCTCATTAATGAATATAGATTCAATTCTACTTTCTTGTTCTAGATAAATTATATAATCTAGCTTTTCATTTCACTTATTTACTGATAACAACAGGAGGAATGAAAAGATATCTATTTTGGAAAATTACTCTGGTAGGAGTAAACATGAAACAATGATAGAATTGCACGGAAAACTAGAAAAAAGTATGGTCTTCTGATATTCTATCACATCACATACTAAAGTCCTCATAAAACTCAGATATTTTATCTAAAAATGTTATTTTCATCATAGGAATGATCAAAGCATGATACTACAATTGTATTAAAATGTGCTTGTATCACAAGCACAGGTGCTAAAAAGGAGGGGAAAACATCATTACTGATATTTTCAACGTATGTTTTACTTTCCTTCAACATGAACCTCAACTTGATATGATGCAGATTGAAGGAAATCACCCATAATTCCATATGAAGAAGGCCTGTGATATTTTATGGGAAAATAAATAGAGAAAATGCTAACAGAAGCCCTATTAAGCATGAAGCTTTATGGAGCAAACACAAATCCAGTGGTGAAAGATACACACTAGAGTTCTGTTTGTTGTCCTGGAACAATACGGTTTAGAGGTGACTGGCGGGTGAGGAGAACATATGCGAGTTCACCAAAGAGAAAAGCTGAATGAGGCAATGCCTCTTCCTGACCATATCTCTTACTCAGATAACTATATAATTTATTGTCCAGTAAAGGGTATATTTAAAAATCATATTAAAAGTCATGCAGTGAAGTTGTCCAGGGAAATCAAGACTTAACAGTCTCATTCTGACAAAAATGAACAGGGGGTTTCCCTCAAGATAGACTAGGACATGACCCCACACTGGCAGATAGTAGTACCAGAAAAGAACCCATGGAAAATTTTTACCTTATGCAGGCTAAAGTGAAAGCCAGACATAAAATTCTATCTAAAATAAATCCACAATCGTAGAAAATATGTGGTGTACAGGCATAGAATGTCTTTACTGGATCATTGAAATAGTAAGATAAATTCAACTTTTTACATTGTTTTCTTTTCCTCCAGTTAGGGCTTGAGGTTTGTCTCTGGAGAGTGACTGTCAATTGGAGCCCTGTCTTTCTGGGGTTCTGGTCAGGGGGTTGTGGATGCTTAACATGTGCCTTTCACAGGACATTTCCTTACCCCAGCAGTGGCCAGGTGTGCATTCCACGACCAGGCCTCCCTCTCACAGAACATCTGTTGAGACTAGGAGATTCCTGGTGACTGTTGCCTGACTTGTGTCCTGTGTATTTCTGACAAGAGCCCCTCTCAGAGACCCTGGCCAGGAGGAGAGTTAGGTTCCAGTGTAGGTCAGCTCAGACCCATGGAGGCCACAGAACCAAACATGGGAAATCACAGAAGTAGGTTTATTACTCACAGATCCAGAGAGAAGAGGGTAGCTGAGAAGAGGGTTTAGCTGTGTCCTCAGCCAAATCTCATCTTAAATTCCCACATGTTGTGGGAGGGAACAGGTGGGAGGTAATTGAATCATGGGGGCAGGTCTTTCCCATGCTGTTCTTCTGATAGTGAATAAGTCTCACAAGATCTAATGGTTTTATAAAGGGGAGTTTCCCTGCACAAGCTCTCGTCTTGTCTGCTGCCATGTGAGACGTGCCTTTCACCTTGTGCCATGATTGTGAGGCCTACCCAGCCATGTGGAGCTGTGCATCTATTAAACCTCTTTCTTCTGGAAATTACCCAGTCTTGGACATGTCTTTACTGGTGGTGTGAAAATGGACTAATACAGTAGCACACCTCATAGGGCTGAACAAAATGGGGAAGATGAGTGGGGAGCAGGAGAGAGAAAAGTGGTCTGTGGGACTCCAGCCTTTATTGGGTCCAGATCATTACCCATATAAGTTTTCCACGGGGCACTAGTCGGTGGGGTGAGTGCCAGCAGGCACATTTCTTGACTCCCGCTGCAACTGAGCAGGTCACTCTGGCGTGTGGGGGCTGTCCATGTGCGCTGTGAGGTCTGTGGGGTGAGTCAGGTAGGTTGTATCCAACGGTTCCATAGCTGGTAGTCACCAGGAGGAGGCAACTGTGTAGGGTCGATATCTGGGCAAGCCACACTGAGGAACTGTGAGGGTTAGAACTGGAAATTGTCAAGAGAATCTGAACCCAGCTACCATATGAGAGAGTTCAACTTATGTTCAATGTGAATGCCATGGCAATATTAAAAAGTAAGAATTCACTCCATACGTGCTTGAGGTAAATAGGAGAAACCTAGAATTTATGTAAACAGTGAGAAGATTGGATGCGTTTTCCATCACATATTTTAATACTAGCAGCATATGATATATGTCAATCCATCAGGCATTCAGAAATACATGCTTATGAAAAATTTTTGCACCATCAGACAAAAGACAAGGGTAGAAGACATTTGTAACCCTATAAACACTAGTAAATTAAAAACAGAAGGACCTTTATGTCCTAACATATCTGTGTTGTGAAAGGCTGCCCTGTGAAATACGAGATTTCTTAAACATATTTTAAAAATCATAGGTGTCAATATTTTTTAGAAATCAATTTAAATTTTCTCTTGCTATTTTACAATGCCTATTTATTTATTTAGTGGCTCTGCTGATTTTGACGTATATCCTAAACTTTATATTTTCTTTAAAGGATGTTTTATACAACTTTATGTAAAATGTTTCAGTATCTTCACATTCTCTCCCTGTCCTTTTGTTTTGCTCTTATATGGTGGTCTTGAGTCTTTTCTCTGGCTTTTCAAACCTAGTAAGACTAAGACACTAAAGTAACTTTGCCCGTGGTTTGGTAATGCCTTCTAAAGCACATCCTAAGCTCTCGTGCATAGGGGGGCCTCCTTTGAGCTCTGTGCTTTTGAGATCCCATATACCTAAATTCCAGTACTCCAAATCAGTACTGCTCAGTTTTAGTTACTAAGTTTAAAAATGTAATTTAATAGCAAGTTAGTTTAGTGCACTCTTGCTTCTTTCTTGACTGCTTGTATACATGTATATTCCTTTAAATGAATCTTGGAACTTATTTAAAAATTTTAAATTATACTAATGAAACTGTATATTGTTGTGAATTCATAAGTGAATGTGGAAAGAATTTGTCTTTATGATAGTAAATCCTTTTTATCCAAGAATCATATGTGTCTTTATATTTATTCCAGTCTATATTTATATCACTGAGTAAATATATAGAAATGTAGATACATACAGCTGTAGTTCTAGATACAAATATAGATATAACATGTTAAATCTATATCTATCCCATATAACATATATACATGTTATATTTGTGTGTGTATATATATATGTTTATATTATTAAAGAGCTCCCTTAAAATTTTTCTTTTATTTCCTATATAATTTTAGGTCGAGCTTGAATTTTCCTTGTATAAACAAGCAAATATTTATACTAGTTTTAATACTGATGTTTAGGCATTCTATCTTATTTTAACATTGAATATTTTCACAATTATTATAAATATTATCTAATATTAATAATGTACCTGTTAAAAATATTTAAAATTTTACCTTTGAATTATTTTATTGTTGAATTAAAATTCCTTTAATATGATAGTAAATTTCTATTTCATGCTTTCTCTTTGCATATGCAAATTAATCTATCCACTTCTCTATCTCTATGTAGTAACATATGAAAATCAGGCCTCTCTTCTTCTAATGGACATACACATGTTTGCATATAGAATATCAGACTCTTTATAGCATTTAAAATCTTTAAAGACATGAATATTGCCTTTTAACAAATATATTTTAGCATGTACTGAGAATCCCCTATTTATTTTTAATTTGGGCTAATCAATATGATTATTAATATTATTGGATTACCAAATTTGGAAACACACTTTCATCCCCAAGGTGGATATTTGTTTTTTTTTTTTTTTTGCCAATTTCTTCTCTTACTGTTTCAAACATTGTTGGATATTATTTTTATTTTATTTGGCATTTTAGTATCAACATTTCTAATTGATGTACTCTACATATTTTTTCTTCAATATCTGGTGGGTTTTATAATTACTGCTATGTTGGATTTGTAGTAGCCATTGACAAAAATTATTCCTGTATGTTTTATAGCTGTATGAAGGAAACTAATATATTTTACCCCTAAATATATTTCCTTGATATATTTCAAAATGGCTATTGAGAAGGGCTGGAAATGCAACCTTAGCTGCAAAGCTGTCTTGGGGATATTTGCATCAGTAGAGAATCTGCCTTGAT
The DNA here is from genome assembly GCF_000001405.40 of Homo sapiens. Lineage (NCBI taxonomy): Eukaryota > Metazoa > Chordata > Mammalia > Primates > Hominidae > Homo > Homo sapiens. The sequence continues at coordinate 42,128,724 of NC_000010.11, forward strand.
GCAGCCAGGCTTTCTCTGAGGTCTGCCCCTTGTCTGGATCTAGGAAAGGTTAACTGAGAGTCTGAGGTCCCCAAAAGGTCTGAAAGAAACATTTTCTGTCTATTCTCTCTGAGGACTGCTCCCAGTGAGGTTCCACCTATGTAATAAGTCCACTGTTGCTAGCCAGCGTCATTTTCTCACATAACCTTTTTTTTTTTTTCCCTGTGATCCAAGACCCCATTCTTTCTGTTAACTTCATGTGGTAAATAAGCTTCTGCACGCATCGTGTGTCTGGGTCTTCGTTCTAAGGGCTCCAGTGTACACACATTGCAGAAACCTGTATGCCTTTTCTATTTATCTGCCTCCTATTAGTGATTTTCAGGGAAACTTCAGAAGGCAAAAGGGACATTCTCCTTTAGCCCATTCTCATACAAAATCTCCCAACATTTAACTGATTCTTAATAGCTTAAAATCACTTTGAAAAATCCATATATTTATAACCTTTTCTTCCCTCTATGATTTCTGGTCAGCTTGGGTTTTGTTTTTCATTCCATTTATTCATCCTCGAAAAGATCTATTTTACGTCTATTTATTCTCATTTATGGACATTGAGAAAAGAAAATAACTTTCATGTGAGAAATGCAAGTCCTTTTAAATAATCAGGCCCAGAGAGATATTCAAATGAGACAGCAGTTCTGTCCTGCTCCTCTTTGAGCTGTGTGTTCATCTAGGCTGCTTGCTGTTGCCACTGTAGCTATAAATTAACCAATAACGCCACACCAGACACTATAATCCACACCCAATAATAGTGTAACAGTGTATAGCCAGTCACTAATAAATGTTATTTCCATAAGCCAATGAGAATTTGTGACAAACCTCTTTGCATCATCCCACTTCTGGACCCTTTTTTGCCTTTAAGAAACTGCTTGTTGCAAAGCTCCAAAGGGAGTTCATATCCAAGGATACTTGGGTCTGTTTCTTCCAGGCAGCTGTCCTCGTTTTGGCTCAAGTAAACTCTTTGAATTACCTTTTGTGCTTCAGCCCCTTCCACTTAGATTAACAACATGGATTTGTGTCACCATGTACGGCAATTAAAATGTTTACACTTTTCCCCTCGAGGGCACTGATGTGTTTTCCTGAGCACTTGGAATAGCTACGTAGTGTTTGCTGTCTAGATTATGGTTTCTCAACCTTGGTGCTACTTACCTTTAGGACCAGAGGATTCTTTGTTGTGGGAGGCTGCCCTAGCAATGCTAGGTGTTTCGTTTGACCTCTAAATTTCACACCTCCACCAGTCTTGACATCCCCACAATAACCCTAGACATTGACAAATGTCTCCTGGGGAAAACTCTCCACCAGTTGACAGGCAAAGTTCTGGAAATATTGGAATTGTCAATTGAGATTTTATGTTATCCAAAACAAATATTTTTCTTTGTTTTTAAACATCTACTTCCATCTACTTATCTACTTATTTTTACTTTTATTTGTAACTTAATTCCATCAAGGAGAGAGAGTGCATTTTCTGTTATGCTAAATTTTTGAAGAATGTATTGATTTTTTATGACCTGATATATGGATGATATGTAGATATTACATGTTTGTATTATCAAATTTCAGGGCGATAATAAAATAAATACTTATAATATTTATATAGTCACTGTATATTAGTTATTTTCTTTCTTCACTACAGGAGTTTTTCAACCTATAGGCTATTTTTCAATTCTAGGTTATCCAGTAGATTTTGAAATGTTATGATTAAATATCTACTTCTGAAGCATTCATCTTTGCAAATGAAACAATCCCAAGCTCTTATAATGCACATCATATAAAGGGCAGATTAGTCAATATATGGTTCAGAAATAATTATGTAATATTTATAAGAAAATTAAAAATTTAGATCCTTAACTCAGATAACAATAATCCAAATTAAAATTTGATTTCATTACATAATGTAAAATGACACCAGAATACTAGTAAAAATGTAGATAAGTTTATATAATCTTTTTTAGCTGTAGGACTTTATTAGCATAAATTCAAATACAGGAACCAAAGTAAGATTGAGACCTATAGTCAAAGGTTAAAATGTACACATTATAGGGGCATGATTAAACTAATTTAAAGCATAATAACATGGAGAAATATTGCAAAACATACATTTTACTGAATTGTTAATATCTAATCATTATGTGAGAACAAAATTAAAGAGTAGCTACACACGCACACACCCACACACAAATGCAATATTGTCAAATAAACGATGTTCAGCTACACTAGAAATCACAACTGTGTTTTCTCCAGAGAAAAGATTAAAAATCACAATAATATTTATTGTACATATGGAGGTAAAGATACTCAAAATATTACCCTAAAATACATTTTTTTTTGAGATGGAGTTTTGCTTTTATTGCCCAGGCTAGAGTGCAATGGCACAATCTTGGCTCACTGAAACCTCAGCCTCCCAGGGTCAAGTAATTCTCCTAGCTCAGCCTCCCAAGTAGCTGAGATTACAGGCATGCACCACCACACTCTGCTAATATTTTGTATTTAGTAGAGACGGGGTTTCACGATGTTGGTCAGGCTGGTCTCCAACTCCTGACTTCAGGTGATCTACCCACTTCAGCCTCCCAAAGTGCTGGGATTACAGGCGTGTGCCTGGGCAGCTTTTTGACATATTTCAAGATGGCTACTCGGAAGACTGGAGATAGCTTCTTCTACAAGAATAGCTGAAAAGCTGTGTTTGTTGGGGAGATTTGCATTCGTAGAGAAAATCTGCATTGATATAGACAGGCTTTCCCTGAGATACTCACATGTCTGGGTTTAGGAAAGATTAACTGAGCCTGGCACGTTTACATTTCTAAAAACCATTTCCTATCTATACTTTCCAAGAGAAGGGCTGCTCCCTGTGAGGTTTCATCCATGTAACAAGACAACCTCTGCTGCCAGGCTCCTCTTTCTTCCTTGTCGTCACCTGTCTTCCGCAAAGCCTGATTTACCAACCTACAGCTCTGTGTTTTCTGTAACCTCAAGACAGCATAGGCGAGTTGACTACCTTGCCTTTCCTGGAGTTTTTATATATATAGTATATATTTGTATATCTATTTATAATATACAAATATTTGTATAGATATATTTATATATATTATGTAAACTCCAAGTGCATACTTGTGTACATATCTGTAAACCTTTCTTTCCTGTTAATTTGTACATTATCAGTTTGTTTTATAGACTCAAATAATTAAAGCTTCAAGGGAAAAAGTTAAACTTTCCTATAGAGAAAAGACAAATATATAGGTGACAAATAATATTTAGAGTGTAAGATGCTTTTTAAAGGTATATTTGCAATTTGTGTCAAAACATTTAAATATACATTTGTTATTTTAACTATAAAATTTCAAATAATTTAAGCCAAATACATAGTATATGCAGAAAATTTAGCAATATATCTATGTAGCACCTTACTGTGCATTACTGTAACCAGCCGTCTAATATAAAGAATTAATTAAGGTAGCAGCTACTTTTCAAATAGCGCATTTTTTTCACAGACCTATTAAATAAGACAAATAACATTTAAACTTTATTTTTAAATTTGCAGAATAGTAGTTTTCAGCAGATGGTTTATTTTAGCAAATTCCATCTTCACATTGTGCTATGCTTTTATGAGTTCCAGCTGTTAACGGATAATATTTTAGTGCTGAAACTATCATGTGTGATATAATTGCTCATTATGTGCCTTAAAACACAAGCAATATAATTATTTTCAACTTGGAGCAAATTAAAATCTTATCAGCAATTTAAAAACTCTAGAGTCGTCTTCTTCTGGTTAATTATTTTAAACTTGTATTTTTCTCTTTATGTTTTTAGTGAGTTGTCTTATCAAGGAGAAGAACTCAAGCTGATTATTCTTTTTTTTTCTCTTCCATCCACCTCGCAGGTGTGTTAATAATTTCATTTCTGAGAAAATGTTCTTTCATATCCATCTTACAAGATGAGAGACCTTTTAACGTCTTTCATTCCGATGTGATACCAGTAATGGAAAATATTCCAGCTTCACGAATATGGTGATACAAATAGTTATCCATCTAACCTCTGTCAGTGCCAAATGTTTACTTTACTCAGTGAATTACTCAGTTGACTGGTAATTTCTTCTGAAATCACTAATGAGAGGGTCAGAGGTCTGGCTGTGGTCTGTACCTCATGTGACTCCCAGTGCAGACAATTGTTTCTATGGAGCACAGACAGTTGAAAGGATTGACTTCCTGCCTAGAATAGTTTCTGCTGTGCTCCTTATCTTTCTTTCTTTTTTTTGTTTTTATTATACTTTAAGTTTTAGCGTACATGTGCACAATGTGCAGGTTAGTTACATATGTATACATGTGCCATGCTGGTGCACTGCACCCACTAACTCGTCATCTAGCATTAGGCATATCTCCCGATGCTATCCCTCTCCCCTTCCCCCACCCCACAACAGTCCCCAGAGTGTGATATTCCCCGTCCTGTGTCCATGTGATCTCATTGTTCAATTCTCACCTATGAGTGAGAATATGCGGTGTTTGGTTTTTTGTTCTTGCGATAGTTTACTGAGAATGATGATTTCCAATTTCATCCATGTCCCTACAAAGGACATGAACTCATCATTTTTGATGGCTGCATAGTATTCCATGGTGTATATGTGCCACATTTTCTTAATCCAGTCTATCATTGTTGGACATTTGGGTTGGTTCCAAGTCTTTGCTATTGTGAATAATGCCGCAATAAACATACGTGTGCATGTGTCTTTGTAGCAGCATGATTTATAGTCCTTTGGGTATATACCCAGTAATGGGATGGCTGGGTCAAATGCTATTTCCAGTTCTAGATCCCTGAGGAATCGCCACACTGACATCCACAATGGTTGAACTAGTTTACAGTCCCACCAACAGTGTAAAAGTGTTCCTATTTCTCCACATCCTCTCCAGCATCTGTTGTTTCCTGACATTTTAATGATTGCCATTCTAACTGGTGTGAGATGGTATCTCATTGTGGTTTTGATTTGCATTTCTCTGATGGCCAGTGATGGTGAGCATTTTTTCATGTGTTTTTTGGCTGCATAACTGTCTTCTTTTGAGAAGTGTCTGTTCATGTCCTTCGCCCACTTTTTGATGGGGTTGTTTTTTTCTTGTAAATTTGTTTGAGTTCATTGTAGATTCTGGATATTAGCCCTTTGTCAGATGAGTAGGTTGTGAAAATTTTCTCCCATTTTGTAGGTTGCCTGTTCACTCTGATGGTAGTTTCTTTTGCTGTGCAGAAGCTCCTTAGTTTAATTAGATCCCATTTGTCAATTTTGGCTTTTGTTGCCATTGCTTTTGGTGTTTTAGACATGAAGTCCTTGCCCATGCCTATGTCCTGAATGGTAATGCCTAGGTTTTCTTCTAGGGTTTTTATGGTTTTAGGTCTAACGTTTAAGTCTTTAATCCATCTTGAATTGATTTTTGTATAAGTTGTAAGGAAGGGATCCAGTTTCAGCTTTCTACATATGGCTAGCCAGTTTTCCCAGCACCATTTATTAAATAGGGAATCCTTTCCCCATTTCTTGTTTTTCTCAGGTTTGTCAAAGATCAGATAGTTGTAGATATGTGGCGTTATTTCTGAGGGCTCTGTTCTGTTCCATTGATCTATATCTCTGTTTTGGTACCAGTACCATGCTGTTTTGGTGACTGTAGCCTTGTAGTATAGTTTGAAGTCAGGTAGTGTGATGCCTCCAGCTTTGTTCTTTTGGCTTAGGATTGACTTGGCGATGCGGGCTCTTTTTTGGTTCCATATGAACTTTAAAGTAGTTTTTTCCAATTCTGTGAAGAAAGTCATTGGTAGCTTGATGGGGATGGCATTGAATCTATAAATTACCTTGGGCAGTATGGACATTTTCACGATATTGATTCTTCCTACCCATGAGCATGGAATGTTTATGCCAGGCAGAGACACAACAAAAAAAGGGAATTTTAGACCAATATCCTTGATGAACATTGATGCAAAAATCCTCAATAAAATACTGGCAAAACGAATCCAGCAGCACATCAAAAAGCTTATCTATCATGATCAAGTGGGCTTCATCCCTGGGATGCAAGGCCGGTTCAATATACGCAAATCAATAAATGTAGTCCAGCATATAAACAGAGTCAAAGACAAAAAACACATGATTATCTCAATAGATGCAGAAAAAGCCTTTGACAAAATTCAACAACCCTTCATGCTAAAAACTCTCAATAAATTCGGTATTGATGGGACGTATTTCAAAATAATAAGAGCTATCTATGACAAACCCACAGCCAATATCATACTGAATGGGCAAAAACTGGAAGCATTCCCTTTGAAAACTGGCACAAGACAGGGATGCCCTCTCTCACCCCTCCTATTCAACATAGTGTTAGAAGTTCTGGCCAGGGCAATTAGGCAGGAGAAGGAAATAAAGTGTATTCAATTAGGAAAAGAGTAAGTCAAATTGTCCCTGTTTGCAGACGACATGATTGTATATCTAGAAAACCCCATTGTCTCAGCCCAAAATCTCCTTAAGCTGATAAGGAACTTCAGCAAAGTCTCAGGATACAAAATCAATGTGCAAAAATCACAAGCATTCTTATACACCAACAACAGACAAACAGAGAGGCACATCATGAGTGAACTCCCATTCACAATTGCTTCAAAGAGAATAAAATACCTAGGAATCCAGCTTACAAGGGATGTGAAGGACCTCTTCAAGGAGAACTACAAACCACTGCTCAAGGAAATAAAAGAGGATACAAACAAATGGAAGAACGTTCCATGTTCCTTATCTTTCTTGTGGAGATTTCAGATAATCTGAATTGCTTTTCTATCTTAAGAAAAAATGCAACAATTCTCCCACCTGAGAGGAATGTAAACTGTAGTAAGTTAGCAGAACCAATCCGTAAAATTTTTACATTGTTTGTTGCAAAATGCAGCGCTGGGGTCTCCTTCACTAACCTTTTCTATCCCTCATTGCTCTTTCTTTGACTGCAATAGGTTACCTCTGGGCAAATCTGTATTCCCGAGAAAGAGTGCCCTTTTGGTGAGCTATAAGCACACTCAATGGTGGGCTGAAATACTAGCTTTTATCTATGGCGAAATGGAATCATATCAGTGATTTTTTTAAAAAGGAAATTTAACTCTTGCTATGGTTTGAATGCTTGCCCCTTCCAATCTCATGTTAAAATTTGATCCCCAATATTGCAGGTGGGGCTTACTGGGAGGTGTTTGGTCATGGGGTTGGACCTTCATGAATGGATAATACCCTCCCTTAGGAATCTAAAGGTATCCTCCCTCCTCGGTGCCCTCAGGAATGGGTGTACCATTCTTTATTCACTTATAATTCCTCCACCCATCCTTTTTGAGATATTAATTACATGTATGTTACACTGCTGCATATTGTCTGACGTATCAGTGAGTTTCTGGCTTTCTTATTTTAGTTTAACCTTTGTCCTTTAGTTTGTAAAGCTTCTATTTTTTTCTATAAATTTTCTGATGTTAGGGTAAAATCCATTACTTATTCTATCTCATGGAATTTTTATTTCAAATATTTATTCTTCATCTATACATGTCACATTTTTCATTTTATAACTTCTATTTTTCTCCTATGTTCAATTTTCATTTAAGTACCTTGACATATATATGTATTCATCTATATGTATTTATAAAATATATTTACTTTAAGGACCTTGAAATTTCCTTCTTCTCTGTCATTTATAAATGACTTATTTTTATCCTATTAATATATATCTTAATTATATATATCTTACGGCTTCTTTGCATGTCAGAGTTTTTTTTTGGGTATTTTGGTGTTATGCTATTGAATATCTAGATTTTATTGGCTACCTTTGAACAATGTTGTGGCAGACAGTTCAGTAACTTCAGGATGAGTATTTGTCTGTTGTTGTTTTAAATCTTCTCTTTAAACTTTGTCGAGTTAGTCTAGAGCCATCTGTAATTTGGAGCTAAATGAGCACTGTCTCTAGGGCATGAACCTCCAGTGGTCTTTACTGAATATCCTGGAGGTACAGAGGGGATTCCCTTCTCTGGCTGGTCAGAGCTAACGTGTCTTCCTGTCATGTGAAGCCAGGGAAGTGTTCTTCTTCCAACTCCCTGGTAGAGTCCTTTGCTGAGCTCCTTAGAATTTCATCCTATGTACATTTGGCTTAGGGACTTGGGAGAATCCTTAGGCTGAATCTTGGTTCCTTTTTCTGTAAACGTTCTCTTCTATTACACATTCCAGCTGCTTAACCTTTTTTGATTTTTATCTGGTTCCTCAGTGCAATGACAATGTCTGCTCTCTCTGGGATTCCTCTCTACTGCTGTCACGGAGAATCTGGGAATAAAGCAGGACTCATTCTGGCTCCTTCTCTTCTCTTGCAGAGCACAGTCCTACGCTGCCTGATGTTCAGTACTTCAAAAAAATGTTTCATATATTTTCTCCAGTTTACTATTCTTTAAAAGAGTAACTCCAGTCCCAGTTACAGCATCATGTTCTGTAACTCTACTCCTTGTTGCTTCATTCTGCCATTGTCTGGTATGATCGCCCCTTTCCCTTCTGTAATCAGACCAAGAGCATAATATAACACTAGTTATAACTGCACAGCTTGCCTCCGTTGTTTAAAAAAATCACTGAGACTTAACTGTGTACAACTTTTAAAATTTGAATATAAGTACAACTAAAGCTATATTTTGGTTAATATTTGCATTGCATGCTTTTCCATTATTTACTTTCAACATATGTGAAATATGAATATAGCTCCCTCTCCCTCTCCCTCTTGTCTCCCCACGGTCTCCCTCTCCCTCTCCCTCTCCCCAAGGTCTCCCTCTCCCTCTCCCTCTCCCTCTCCCCACGTTCTCCCTCTGATGCTGAGCCAAAGCTGGACTGTACTGCTGCCATTTCGGCTCACTGCAACCTCCCTGCCTGATTCTCCTGCCTCAGCCTGCCGAGTGCCTGCGATTGCAGGCGTGCGCCGCCACTCCTGACTGGTTTTCGTATTTTTTTGGTGGAGACGGGGTTTCGCTGTGTTGGCCGGGCTGGTCTCCAGCTCCTAACCGCGAGTGATCTGCCAGCCTCAGCCTCCCGAGGTGCCGGGATTGCAGACGGAGTCTCGTTCACTCAGTGCTCAATGGTGCCCAGGCTGGAGTGCAGTGGCGTGATCTCAGCTCGCTACAACCTCCACCTCCCAGCCCCCTGCCTTGGCCTCCAAAAGTGCCAAGATTGCAGCCTCTGCCCGGCTGCCACCCCGTCTGGGAAGTGAGGAGTGTCTCTGCCTGGCCGCCCATCGTCTGGGATGTGAGGAGACCCTCTGCCTGGCTGGCCAGTCTGGAAAGTGAGGAGCGTCTCTGCCCGGCTGCCATCCCTTCTAGGAAGTGAGGAGCACCTCTTCCCGGCCACCATCCCATCTAGGAAGTGAGGAGCTTCTGTGCCCGGCCGCCCATCGTCTGAGATGTGGGGAGCGCCTCTGCCCCGCCGCCCGGTCTGGGAGGTGAGGAGCGTCTCTGCCCAGCTGTCCCATCTGAGAATTGAGGAGACCCTCCGCCCGGCAGCCGCCCCGTCTGGGAAGTGAGGAGCATCTCCACCCGGCAGCCACCCCGTCCAGGAGGGAGGTGGGGGTCAGCCCCTGCCCGGCCAGCTGCCCCATCCGGGAGGGAGGTGGGGGGTCAGCCCCCCGCCCGGCCAGCCACCCTGTCCGGGAGGTGAGGGGCACCTCTGCCCAGCCGCCCCTACTGGGAAGTGAGGAGCCCCTCTGCCCGGCCACCACCCCGTCTGGGAGGTGTACCCAACAGCTCATTAAGAACGGGCCATGATGACAATGGCGGTTTTGTGGAATAGAAAAGGGGGAAAGGTGGGGAAAAGATTGAGAAATCGGATGGTTGCTGTGTCTGTGTAGAAAGAAGTAAACATGGGAGACTTTTCATTTTGTTCTGTACTAAGAAAAATTCTTCTGCCTTGGGATCCTGTTGATCTATGACCTTACCCCCAACCCTGTGCTCTCTGAAACATGTGCTGTGTCCACTCAGGGTTAAATGGATTAAGGGCGGTGCAAGATATGCTTTGTTAAACAGATGCTTGAAGGCAGCATGCTCGTTAAGAGTCATCACCACTCCCTAATCTCAAGTACCCAGGGACACAAACACTGCAGAAGGCCTCAGGGTCCTCTGCCTAGGAAAACCAGAGACCTTTGTTCACTTGTTTATCTGCTGACCTTCCCTCCACTATTGTCCCATGACCCTGCCAAATCCCCCTCTGCGAGAAACACCCAAGAATGATCAATAAAAAAGTATAGCAATTTATAATGTTTGATTTATCATTAGCCTATTGGCGTGTAATAATACTTTGCATACTTTTAAAATTCTGGGGTTGGATTAATAATAAAAGAGTAGAAACATTAAAAAAATATGAATATAAATTATAAAAATTTTAAGAGAGTCCATTTAAAAAATCTGGTCTAGTTATGTTTTACCTGGTTTAATACAACGTGCATTCTTGAATTCAGGGTCTAATATAATGGCTACATTTGTCTATTTGCAAAAAAAAACTTGACAATATTTTAAAATTAATTTATCCAACTCGCAACTTATATGCTTCTGCCGTTGTATGGAAGATACATTTTAAACTTTATGAGATAGCATTCTGTTATACAGTTGATATCTAATTAAATTTCTCTCTATGTTTATTTCTTTCATTAAAAAAATTGTTCTTCTAACTGCAAACTTTCATCAGGGATCATGGCTCTTCTACCTGAAGAATAATCTTTAGTATTTCTTTTCCTGTGGGTCTTCTTGGGAGAAATTCTTTATTGTATCTTTGCTTTTGATGGATATGTCCACCAAGTAGACAGTTCTAGGTCAGCACATATTTTATTTCAGGACTTGAAAGATATCAATACCTCACTTGTTGGCTTTCGTTGTTTCATTTGAGAAATTTGTTATCAGTCAACTCTTTCTCTTTGTAGTTACCCCAATTTTTTTATCAAGTGCTCTTTACATTTTTCTTTTACTTTTCAGAAATTGTCCCATTATGTTTCTAGATGTGTCCTCTGTGTGTGTTTTCCTTTGCTTTCAAAAGCCTCCTGAACCTGTGGTTTAATATTATTGGTCAATTTTGATAAAACCTCTAACATTGCCACTTAAAATGCTGTTCAGACACGCTGTTTTCTCCTTCTTAGATTTCAACGTGTTAGATTATTACTCTATCCTTCATATTTTTTAAATGACCTTACTCTACAATTTCTTTTAGTTGGTTAATCTGTATTACTGTATATTTTGTATTTTATTCTATTTTATTTTATTATTATACCTTAAGTTTTAGGATACATGTGCACAATGTGCAGGTTTGTATCATAAGTGTTCATGTGCCATGTTGGTGTGCTGCACCCATTAACTCGTCATTTAGCATTAGGTATATCTCCTAATGCTATCCCTCCCCACTCCCCCCACCCCACGACAGTCCCCGAAGTGTGATGTTCCCCTTCCTGTGCCCACGTGTTCTCATTGTTCAATACCCACCTATGAATGAGAACATGCGGTGTTTGGTTTTTGGTCCTTGTGAGAGTTTACTGAGAATGATGATTTCCAGTTTCATCCATGTCCCTACATAGGGCACGAACTCATCGTTTTTTGTGGCTGCATAGTACTCCATGGTGTATATGTGCCACATTTTCTTAATCCAGTCTATCATTGTTGGACATTTGGGGTGGTTCCAAGTCTTTGCTATTGTGAATAATGCCGCAATAATCATACGTGTGCATGTGTCTTTATTTCAGCATGATTTATAGTCCTTTGTGTATATACCCAGTAATGGAATGGCTGGGTCACATGGTATTTCCAGTTCTAGATACTTGAGGAATCGCCACACTGACATCCACAATGGTTGAACTAGTTTACCGTCCCAACAGTGTAAAAGTGTTCCTATTTCTCCACATCCTCTCCAGCACCTGCCGTTTCCTGACTTTTTAATGATCGCCATTCTAACTGGTGTGAGATGGTATCTCATTGTGGTTTTCATTTGCATTTCTCTGATGGCCAGTGATGATGAGCATTTTTTCATGTGTTTTTTGGCTGCATAAATGTCTTCTTTTGAGAAGTGTCTGTTCGTGTCGTTCACCCACTTTTTGATGGGGTTGTTTGTGTTTTACTTGTAAATTTGTTTGAGTTTATTGTAGATTCTGGTTATTAGCCCTTTGTCAGATGAGTAGGTTGCAAAAATTTTCTCCCATTTTGTAGGTTGCCTGTTCACTCTGATGGTAGTTCCTTTTGCTGTGCAGAAGCTCTTTAATTTAATTAGATCCGCTTCGTCAATTTTGGCTTTTGTTCCCATTGCTTTTGGTGTTTTAGACATGAAGTCCTTGCCCATGCCTATGTCCTGAATGGTATTGCCTAGGTTTTCTTCTGGGGTTTTTATGATTTTAGGTCTAACATGTAAGTCTTTGATCCAAGTTGAATTAATTTTTGTATAAGGTGTAAGGAAGGGATCCAGTTTCAGCTTTCTACATATGGCTAGCCAGTTTTCCCAGCAACATTTATTAAATAGGGAATCCTTTCCCCATTGCTTGTTTTTGTCAGGTTTGTCAAAGATCAGACAGTTGTAGTTATGCGGTGTTATTTCTGAGGGCTCTGTCCTGTTCCATTGATCTATGTCTGTGTTTTGGTACCAGTACCATGCTGTTTTGGTGACTGTAGCCTTGTAGTATAGTTTGAAGTCAGGTAGTGTGATGCCTCCAGCTTTGTTCCTTTGGCTTAGGATTGACTTGGTGATGCGGGCTCTTTTTTGGTTCTATATGTACTTTAAAGTCATTTTTTCCAATTCTGTGAAGAAAGTCATTGGTAGCTTGCTGGGGATGGCATTGAATCTCTAAATTACCTTGGGCAGTTTGGCCATTTTCACGATATTGATTCTTCCAACCCAAGAGCATGGAATGTTCTTCCATTTGTTTGTATCCTTTTATTTCATTGAGCAGTGGTTTGCAGTTCCCCTTGAAGATGTCCTTCATGTCCCTTGTAAGTTGGGTTCCTAGGTATTTTATTCTCCTTGAAGCTATTGTGAATGGGAGTTCCCTCATGATTGGGCACTCTGTTTGTCTGTTGTTGGTGTACAAGAATGCTTGTGATTTTTGTACATTGATTTTGTATCCTGAGACTTTGCTGAAGTTGCTTATCAGCTTAAGGAGATTTTGGGCTGAGACAATGGGGTTTTCTAGATATATAATCATGTCATCTGCAAACGGGGACAATTTGACTTCCTCTTTTCTTAATTGAATACCCTTTGTTTCCTTCTCCTGCCTGATTGCCCTGGCCAGAAGTTCCAACACTATGTTGAATAGGAGTGGTGAGAGCGGACATCCCTGTCATGTGCCAGTTTTCAAAAGGAATGCTTCCAGTTTTTGCCCATTCAGTATGATATTGGCTGTGGGTTTGTCACAGATAGCTCTTATTATTTTGAGATACGTCCCATCAATACCTAATTTATTGAGAATTTTTAGCATGAAGGGCTGTTGAATTTTGTCAAAGGCCTTTTCTGCATCTATTGAGATAATCATGTGTTTTTTGTCTTTGGTTAGGTTTATATGCTGGATTACGTTTATTGATTTGCATACGTTGAACCAGTCTTGCATCCTAGGGATGAAGCCCACTTGATCATGGTGGATAAGCTTTTTGATGTGCTGCTGGATTCGTTTTGCCAGTATTTTATTGAGGATTTTTGCATCAATGTTCATCAAGGATATTGGTCTAAAATTCTCTTTTTTTATTGTGTCTCTGCCCGGCTTTGGCATCAGGATGATGCTGGCCTCATAAAATTAGTTAGAGAGGAATCCCTCTTTTTCTATTGATTGGAATAGTTTCAGAAGGAATGGTACCAGTTCCTCCTTGTACCTCTGGTAGAAATCTGCTGTGAATCCATCTGGTCCTGGACTCTTTTTTGTTGGTAAGCTATTGATTATTGCCACAATTTCAGAGCCTGTTATTGGTCTATTCAGAGATTCAACTTCTTCCTGGTTTAGTCTTGGAAGAGTGTATGTGTCGAGGAATTTATCCATTTCTTCTAGATTTTCTAGTTTATTTGCGTAGAGGTGTTTGTAGTTTTCTGTGATGGTAGACTGTATTTCTGTGGGATCGGTGGTGATAAACCCTTTATCATTTTTTGTTGCGTCTATTTGATTCTTCTCTCTTTTCTTCATTAGTCTTGCTAGTGGTCTATCAATTTTGTTGATCTTTTCAAAAAACCAGCTGCTGGATTCATGAATGTTTTGAAGGGTTTTTTGTGTCTCTATTTCCTTCAGTTCTGCTCTGATTTTAGTTATTTCTTGCCTTCTGCTAGCTTTGGAATGTGTTTGCTCTTGCTTTTCAAGTTCTTTGAATTGTGATGTTAGGGTGTTAATTTTGGGTGGGGGATCTTTCCTGCTTTCCTTGTGGGCATTTAGTGCTATAAATTTCTCTCTACACACTGCTTTGAGTGTGTCCCAGTGATTCTGGTATGTTTTGTCTTTGTTCTCATTGGTTTCAAAGAACATCTTTATTTCTGCCTTCATTTTGTTGTGTACCCAGTGGTCATTCCGGAGCAGGTTGTCCATTTTCCATGTAGTTGAGCAGTTTTGAGTGAGTTTCTTAATCCTGAGTTCTAGTTTGATTGCACTGTGGTCTCAGAGACAGTTTGTTATAATTTCTGTTCTTTTACATTTGCTGAGGAGAGCTTTACTTCCAACTATGTGATCAAGTTTGGAATGGGTGTGGTGTGGTGCTGAAAAAAATGTATATTCTGTTGATTTTGGGTGGAGAGTTCTGTAGATGTCTATTAGGTGCGCTTGGTGCAGAGCTGAGTTCAATTCCTGGGTGTCCTTGCTAACTTTCTCTCTCGTTGATCTGTCTAATGTTGACAGTGGGGTGTTAAAATCTCCCATTATGATTGTGGGGGAGTCTAAGTCTCTTTGTAAGTCACTCAGGACTTGCTTTAGGAATCTGGGTGCTCCTGTATTGGGTGCAAATATATTTAGGATAGTTAGTTCTTCTCATTGAATTGATCCCTTTACCATTATATAAAGGCCTTATTTGTCTCTTTTGATCTTTGTTGGTTTAAAGTCGATTTTATCAGAGACTAGGATGGCAACCCCTGCCTTTTTTTGTTTTCCATTTGCTTGGTAGATCTTCTTCCATCTCTTTATTTTGAGTCTATGTGTGTCTCTGCATGTGAGATGGGTTTCCTGATTACAGCACCTTGATGGGTCTTGTCTCCTTATCCAATTTGCCAGTCTGTGTCTTTTAATTGGAGCATTTAGTCCATTTACATTTAAGGTTAATATTGTTATGTGTGAATTTGATCCTGTCATTATGATGTTAGCTGGTTATTTTGCTCGTTAGTTGATGCAGTTTCTTCCTAGTCTCGACGGTCTTTACAATTTGGCATGTTTTTGCAGTGGCTGGTACCAGTTGTTCCTTTCCATGTTTAGTGCTTCCTTCAGGAGCTCTTTTAGGGCAGGCCTGGTGGTGATAAAATCTCTCAGCATTTGCTTGTCTGTAAAGGATTTTATTTCTCCTTCACTTATGAAGCTTAGTTTGGCTGGATATGAAATTCTGGGTTGAAAATTCTTTTCTTTAAGAATGTTGAATATTGGCCCCCACTCTCTTCTGGCTTGAAGAGTTTCTGCCAAGAGATCAGCTCTTAGTATGATGGGCTTCCCTTTGTGGGTAACCCGACCTTTCTCTCTGGCTGCCCTTAACATTTTTTCCTTCATTTCAACTTTTGTGAATTTGACAATTATTTGTCTTGGAGTTTCTCTTCTTGAGGAGTATCTTTGCTGCATTCTCTGTGTTTCCTGAATCTGAATGTTGGCCTGCCTTGCTAGATTGGGGAAGTCCTCCTGGATAATATCTTGAAGAGTGTTTTCCAACTTAGTTCCATTCTCCCCGTCACTTTCAGGTACACCAATCAGACGTACGTTTGGTCTTTTCACATAGTCCCTTATTTCTTGGAGGCTTTGTTCTTTTTATTGTTTTTTCTCTAAACTTCCCTTCTCCCTTCATTTCATTCATTTCATCTTCCATCACTGATACCCTTTCTTCCAGTTGATTACATCGGCTCCTGAGGCTTCTGCCTTCTTCACGTAGTTCTCGAAACTTGGCTTTCAGCTCCATCAGATCATTTAAGCATTTTTCTGCATTGGTTACTCCAGTTATACATTCGTCTAATTGTTTTTCAAAGTTTTAAACTTTTTGCTATTGGTTTGAATTCCCTCCTGTAGCTCTCAGTAGTTTGATCATCTGAAGCCTCCTTCTCTGAAATCGTCAAAGTTATTCTCTGTCCAGTTTTGTTCCATTGCTGGTGAGGAACTGCATTCCTTTGGAGAGGAGAGGCACTCTGCTTTTTAGAGTTTCCAGTTTTTCTGCTCTGTTTTCTCCCCATCTTTGTGGTTTTATCAACTTTTGGTCTTTGATGATGGTGATGTACAGATGGGATTTTGGTGTGGGTGTCCTTTCTGTTTGTTAGTTTTCCTTCTAACAGAGAGGACCCTCAGCTGCAGGTCTGTTGGAGTTTGCTAGAGGTCCACGCTGGACCCTGTTTTCCTGGGTATCAGCAGCAGTGGCTGCAGAACAGCGGATTTTCGTGAACCACAAATTCAGCTGTCTGATCATTCCTCTGGAAGTTTGGTCTCAGAGGACTACCCGGCCGAGTGAGGTGTCAGTCTGTCCCTACAGGGGGGTGCCTCCCAGTTAGGCTGCTCGGTGTTCAGTGACCCACTTTAGGAGGCAGTCTGCCCAGTCTCAGATCTCTAGTTGCGTGCTGGCAGAACCACTACTCTCTTCAAAGCTGACAGGGACATTTAAGTCTGCAGAGGTTACTGCTGACTTTTTGTGTGTCTGTGCCCTGCCCCCAGAGGTGGAGCCTACAGAGGCAGGCAGACCTCCTGGAGCTGTTGTGGGCTCCACCCAGTTCCAGCTGCCTGGCTGCTTTGTTTACCTAAGAAAGCCTGGGCAATGGCGGGCCCCACTTCCCCAGCCTCACTGCTGCCTTGCAGTTTGATCTCAGAGTGCCATGCTAGCAATCAGCAAGACTCCATTGGCATAAGACTCTCTGAGCCAGGTGTGGGACACAATCTCCTGGTGTGCCGTTTTCCAAGCCTGTTGGAAAAGTGCAGTATTAGGGTGAGAGTGACCCGATTTTCCAGGTGCCGTCTGTCACCCCTTTCTTTGACTAGGAAAGGGAACTCCCTGACCCCTTGTGCTTCCTGAGTGAGGCAATGCCTCGTGCTGCTTCAGCTTCCACACGGTGAGCTGCACCTACTGTCCTGCACCCACTGTTTGTCACTCCCTTAGTGAGATGAACCCAGTACCTCAGATGGAAATGCAGAAATCACCCATCTTCTGCGTTGCTCACGCTGGGAGCTTTAGACCGGAGCTGTTCCTATTCGGCCATCTTGGCTCCACCCCTCATTTCATTATTTCATCATTTCATCATTTCACTTCATTTCATCATTTCATTTCATCATTTCATGCCATTTCTTCATTTCATCATTTCATCATTTCATTTCATTTCACCATTTCACCTCATCATTTCATTTCAGCATTTCATTTCATTTCTTCATTTCATTCCACCATTTCATTTCATTATTTCATCATTTCATCATTCCATTTCATCATTTCATTTAATCTCATCATTTCATTTCATCATTTCATTTCATTTCAGCGTTTCATCATTTCACCATTTCATTTCATCTCATCATTTCATTTCATCATTTTATCATTTCATTTCATTTCATTTCATCATTTCATCATTTCGTTTCATCATTTCATTTCATTTCATGTCATCATTTCATTTCATTTCAGTGATACATGTATTTAAGTGTTAATGTGATGCCCAGGAGACACACTATTTCCCTTTGTAAAACACCTCCTTCAACAAAAGTCAACCTCTCATGGCTGGCTAAGTCTACAGGGATACCAGCCTCTCTTCAACTACCCAATTTGATTCAGAACCTCAAACAGCACCGCAGTTTCATAAAAACCTAAAACATATACACAACACTTGGTTGTAAGTGAGCCAACAGTTTCTTGTCTCTTTCTCTGCTCAAGGCTTAAGGCCATGTCTCCCCAACTACGTTCAGTGGAAGAAAAGATCCCCTGGACAAATAAGTTTGAGAACTGTTGTTGCAGGACTTCTGAGAACCTTTAAAACACAAATCCTCATCTGCAGGGATCTTCAGGAGGGAGATGGCTGATGCAGCACAACTTTCTTTCACAGGAGCATCTTGCAGAATACAGTATGAGATACAGAAAGGCTGCATTGAGTCTTTTTAAGGGCCTGGGCCTTGGTGGAGGTGGGGTAGGAGCTCTCCAGATAGCATCTAATGAGTAGGAACATTCAGGTTGCTTTTTATTTCCTTACTGGCAAAACTGTGTGTGCATCATGAATGAAGCCGGTCTCCCTTATCCATATCAAAACTAAACCCAAATTAATTGGCTGAATTGGGACTCAACACCTCCAGGAGCCATGCGGAAGAAAGCCCCACCACACTTTACAGTAGCTTACCTAATCATATTTGATGAAAGCAAAACGCTTATGACCAGTGTGCTGCTAATACAAGTCAACAGATAATGCTGTAGGAAAAATTATTTTTCCCAATCATAGCTTCCATAGCCCACATTTTGCATTACACTTTCCCCCCTTTTTTAAAATTTTAAACACAGGTCCTTTTCTCTCCTTTTTTAAAATTTTAATTTAATTATACAAGACAGACTCTCAGTATGTTGCCCAGGCTGGTCTTCAATTCCTGAGATCAAGCGATACATCCGTCTCCGCCTTCCAAAGTGCTGAGATTACAGCCCTGAGACACTGTGCCCGGCCTTAAACACAAATCTTAATTCATTCTTACAATTATCCTGAGGTTAGAAAAATGGAAGGGGAAGAAAAATAGCAAGCAGGTAGGCTGACTTCGGCTTCATTATTTGGAAGGACAGTTTGCTCGGTTAAAACACACTACTGCCCACAAAGGCCAAGATAACAGAAAAATACAGACATATAAATAGATTTTATATGTGACAGCAGTTTGAATGGAGACTTTTTCAATGCAAATGACAAACAGCTGTGCTTGGGAATAAATGACAACGAATTTTTTTTATCTTAACAGCTGTCCTGAGAGCATGTCTCTACATCTCTACCTGCATTCTGGAGTCAGGGAGAAAGCCAAAACGGATGACAAGACACTAGATCAGCCGTGTCCAACCCTTTGACTACAAGGACTTTTCCACCTATCTGTGGTTGTGGGTATCATGAAAATTATGCACAAACTTTTTTTTTTAAGCTCATCAGCTATCGTTAGCAGTAGTGTATTTTATGTGTGGCCCAGGAGCATTCTTCTTCCAATGTGGCCCTGAGAAGCCAAAAGACTGGACACCTGTGCACTAGATCAAAAGGCTACTCCTTCTGGAAGCAATTGTAAAGAATTTCTGACATTATCTTGACATGAAAACCAATGGATAGTGGGACAGAATGAAAAATCTTCAAGAATTTTTCTTGTTGGTTTTTTTTTTTTTGAGTCAAGGTGTTGCTCTGTGGCCCAGGCTGGAGTACACTGGCGAGATCACAGCTCAGTGCAGGCTCAAGTGCTCCTCCCGCCTCAGCCACAGTAGTAGCTAGGACTACAGATGCGCACAACCACTCCTGGCTAATATTTTATTTTTTGTAGAGATAGGGTCTCACTATATTGACCAGGTTGGTCTCAAACTCCTTGACTCAAGGGATCCAGGACAGGATAACAGGCATGAGCCACCACACCTGGCTATGCGCATGAACTTTGAAGACAAATACAAGGCTCCACAAAAGTTAAGGTTTTCCCACCTAATTTCCAGGGAATCTTTTGGTGCAAGGATGAGAAACCCTTAAAAGTACGCAGACAACTCCAAAGATTCAAGAGAGTTCATTCGGGCTGAGCCAGCCCACTGGGCAGACTGACCTTCAAGCAAGGCCCACCCATGACATACACCAGATGGCTCTCCAAGAATCTCTCCACTTCTCAGGGTCCCTAAAGTACTGGACAGAGCTAGGAAAGCAAACCCATTTGCTTATTGCTGCACGAAACCCCTTGAGGTCAAGACCCCACAATCAGACAAGAATGGAGTGGCTCACCCTCAGTCAACAGGCCAGACTCAAGGTGGTATAATGTCTTAACCAAGGGTGTGGGACTCCAGGTCTGAATCTCAACTCAGTTCTCCTTTGATAACCACAATTTGTTAATTTTCCTTAACAGGGGTTCCTGACAAGTCATTTCTCCCTCAGGCCTTCGGTTTCCTCACCTACAAGATGAGAAGGCTGCACCAGATGGAAATTCGGGGTGTAAGGGGACGTCCGCGCACAGCCCACCCCACCCACGGGCCCCTCGAGCCTCCATCAAAGTTCCCAACACGCACCCACCCCACAAATCCTGCCCAAGGTGAGGGCTGGTCCCAGGTCCTCCGGCTGCTGCATCAGCGAGTGCAGGAGGGAGGAGAAGCCTCCAAGGGAGAGACGCGGGCTCAAGCATGCAACTCGGCCGGGAGTGAACTGGGGCCCCGAGGGAGATGTCCAGTCTGGTGCTGGAGCCCAACCCTGGTCCCCGACCCCCTTATCTCCACTGTCCGTATCTCCTGCTGGGTGAGGTCCTTGGACACAGTGCACTTGGTGCGCAGCCCGCGCAGGCTGCCAATGGAGATGCCGATGAGCTTCTGGAGCTGCCTGCAGGGCTGCAGCGCCCGGCTGGCCGCGGCCCCTGTGCCTCCCTCCGCGATAGCCGCGTCACCCCCGCCACCGCCCTCCTTCTTCTCTCCCATCGGGGCCTAGCGCAGCGCCCCTCTATGCAGGCTGCAGTGGCCCAGGAGCGGAGCCTGGGGCGCGGGTGTCTAGGCAAGGAACCCCCGAACCAGGAGAGCTAGATCAGGAGTGACCCTCGGAGCTGCCTTAGCCAGGACGCCAGTAGATCTGGAAGCCGAGTCTGACGATCCCGCCCTCAGACCCGCGGCGGTGGGGGCAAAAACCCGCGACGGCGGGGTGAAAAAGCCTCAGCGGTAAAAACCTGCCGCAGCGGCAGTAAAAAGCCGCATGGGCAAGAAGCCATGGCGGCGGGGAAAAAGCCACGGTGATGGCAAAAAGCCGCGGCGGCGGGGGCAAAAAGCCGCAAAAAGCCGCGGCGGCGGGCGCAAAAAGCCGCAATGGTGGGGGCAAAAAGCCGGGGCGGTGGCGGAAAAAGCCGGGGCGATGGGGGCAAAAAGCCGTGGCGGCGGGGGCAAAAAGCTGCGGTGATGGGGGCAAAAAGCCGTAAAAAGCCACAGCGTCGGGGGCAAAAAGCCGCGGTGGCGGGTGTAAGAAGCCGCGGCGGCAAAAAGATGCGGCGGCCGGGACAGAAAGCCGCGGCGGCGGGGGCAAAAAGCAGGGGTGGCAAAAAGTCACGGCGGCGGCGGGGGAAAAAAGCCGCGGCAGGAAAAACCTGAGGCGGCGGGGGAAAAAAGCCGCTGCGGCGGGGACCAAAAGCCCCAAAAAGCCGCGGCATCGGGTGCCAAAAGCCGCAAAAAGCCACGGCGAAGGGGCTAAAAAGCCGCAAAAAGCCGCGGCAGAGGGGGCAAAAAGCAGCGGAGGCAAAAGGCCACGACGGCGGGGGCATGAAACCGCAAAAACCCTCGGCGGCAGGGGCAGAAAGCCGCAACGGCGGGGGCAAAAATCAACGGGGGCAGGTGCAAAAAGCCGTGGCGGCAGGGGCAAAAAGCAACGGGGGCGGGGGCAGAAAGCCGCGGCGAGGGGGGCAAGAAGCCGCGGCGGCAAAAACCCATGGCGGCGGGGGCAAAGAGCGGCTGAGGTGATAAAAAGCTGCGGCGGCGGGGGCAGGAAGCCGCGTAGGGGGCAAGGAGCCGCGGCGGAGGGGGCAAAAAGCAGCAAAAAGCCCAGGCGTAGGGGCAAGAAGCCGTGGCAGGAAAAACCTGCGGCTGGCGGGGGGAAAAAGCCGCAGCGGCGGGGGCGAAAAGCTGTAAAATGCCGCGGTGGCGGGGGCCAAAAGCCGCGGCGGCAAAAAGCCACATAAAGCCGGGGCGGCGGGGCAAGAAGCCGCAGCGGGAGAAACCTGCGGCGGCGGGGGCAAAAAGCCGTAAAAAGCTGCGGTGCTGGGGGCCAAAAGCCATAAAAAGCCGCGGTGGAAAAAGTCGCGGTGGCGGAGGAAAAAAGCCGCAAAAACCGCGGCAGCGAGGGCAAAAAGCCGTGGCTTCCGGAGCAAAAAGCCGTGGCGGCGGGGGCAAAATAGTGGAAATGGTGTAGAAGGCCAGCACAGCTTGGCATTCCTGGAGTGTTATGTGGAAGGAAAAGTGCAGAGGAAGACAAACAAAGATGTAAGTAGGCTTGACTCAGTGCAACTAAGAACCCAGATGTTATCTATCAGCTAATTTTTTGTATTTTAGTAGAGAAGGGGTTTTACCACGTTGGCCAGGATGGTCTCAATCTCCTGAACTCATGATCCGCGCACCTCAGCCTCCCAAAGTGGTGGGATTAGAGGCATGAACCACAAAGTGCTCAAAAAATCTATTAATTAAAAAATGTGTATGTAGCCATCTTTAATCTACCATGTCCATTAGCAGATAAGTACTATAAGCAAAATAACAACAATGAAAGAAACATTGACTTAGAGTAGATACTCTGATTTATTTAATAAAAATTTGAAAATAGACCAAATTATGACAAAAAAAAAATCTGTTACTATTGAGGATGAGGGTTAGTGTTTGGAAAGGGGCAGGAGAAGTATCTCTATTTTTAGTAATGTTCTATTTTCATACATGGTTATAAGCAAATACATGTGTTTCATTAATCAAGCTATCTATATTTAATCATTGTACTTTTCTGCATGTATGATATATGTCAATAAATGTCTTAAAGTATATACAGCAAAAATAGACAAAACCACAAGAAGACATACACAAATGTTAAACCTAGAGAGAAATTTGAATATAAGTAAGTCTCTGAATGACTGGTAGAACAAACCGAAAAATAGGATGGAGAGGTTTGGAACAGCATGATTAGCAAAATTGACATATCTGTCTTTTAATATAGGCAGAAACATAGTTAGATAAAAAAAGGACTTGTCTCGGAGCATGATTTCTGAAAACAGTGGAATCGAGTTTGAATCTAGTAAGTACATATAAATAAATGTCTTAAAACTCCTCTTATGTTAGCTAATTAAGAAACACTATTGTAATAGACATTAGAAAATATTTTAATAAATTGAGTGGATTTCACACGCTAAGGAAATGATCTTACTTGCATTTGATAGTTCAATTAGATACATATATACCTATAGGTAGTTTAAAATATTTCTAATAACCTTATATACTTTTAAAAAGCATTGATATCTGTTTGCACTATATGGTCTATAGAGTACACATACCAAACATGATTATAGCTCTTCTGCTATAAACTTCAAATGTCTAATTAATACAAAAATCTAGAATGAGAAGAGTTCTTTGCATTTTTTTTTATCAAATAGAATATAGGAAAGATAGCTGCAAATATACCTGACACACTTATCTGTGAGTATGGTGGTAGCCTTTTTATTTTATTTTATTTTGAGAGAGGGTCTCACTTTGTCACCCAAGATGGAGTGCAGTCATGTGATCAGAGCTCACTGAAGCCTTCACATACTGTGCTCAAGCGATTCTCCTACCTCAGTCTCCTGAGTAGCAGGGACTGCAAGTGCATGACACCATACTAGCTAATTTTTGTAAAGATGGGGTTTCACCATGTTGCCCTGGCTGATCTCCATCTCCTGGACTCAAGAGATCTGGCCACCTTGGCCTCCCAAAGTGCTGGGATTATAGTTTTGAGGCACCACAATCAGCCCAGCCTTAAAAAAGGCTGACTAGAGATCTTTATCTATGTATATCTATATCTATCTATAAAATAAACATATGTGCTTCTTATATAAAAATATATATTATTAATATTATATAAAATTTTTTTCAAGGTAGAAATATATAAAGAGGGTGCATGTAGAGCCTGGGGCATTGTGTAGTGAAGCTCAAGGCCTCTGAAGAAATGCCCCTTGCCTCTTTTGTCTGGGCTAGAATCCGAGAAGGGAAAGCAGCAGATGCACTGGTTCCCAGGTTCTTGGCATCCTACAGAGAGAAACTTGTTTGAGCTAGGGTAGCGTTAAACACCCTTGTTCTTACTCTCCTGTTTTATATAGTGAGCAGAGACTAGCTTCATGAGAACAGACTGTGACAGTCAAGGCTGTCTGATATTTTGTGCAGCATTAATTGAGAAATTCTAGCACCTGAAGAACTCTGGGCCATTTGAGGGTAGGTGCAGGGGAGGAAAGGGAAGTTTGCATCCCTCCTGCTGTGGAGAGAACCCGTGGGAAGCACAGACCTTGTCCTAACTGAAGGCAGACCACCTTGCTAACCAGCTTCTCATCAGCCAACCCTGGATGAGTTTCTATGTCTATTTACTAAATAATCCTTATTGCTTTTCTTCATATGGGCAAAGTATGGTTTACAGGGAATATTGTTCCTTTGAACACCCATCATGGAAAACCCTTCCTGTTGTGGGAAACCAGGCTTCCATATGTGTATTATTGGGAAACACATAGGCAATTTCTATGTTTTTACTGCATCTATTTCAGGGATATGGGAACTGAATAGTGCCCATCAAAGGCTCACCTGATGTTGGAAATTGATCTGAGAGCGCGGAAGGACAGAATTCTTTCTTTGTTCCTGGGCAGCGGTGGTTGAGGGATCATTTTGTGGCAGCTACAGTGGCAATGATGGAGGCATAATGGCGGGCTCAGTACCAAGACAAGGAGAGACTTGGCCTCACAATGGCAGCATTGCAGGGGTGCGCTCTACAGAACATTTGCTCACATGGTTTTGGGCATTGTCTCTAACTACATTGCTTCCCCAATAGGTTGACCCATTCTAACTAACTCCTTTTCTCTTTAAAAAAGCAAACTTCATTTGTATGACTTGCAATTGTAAACGACACCAATTGGCCAGTTATCATTCAAATTCTCTGTTACTTAATCCTGCCTTTTCCTGACGTATGCAACTTTCCCCTAAAAAATTGGACACTTTGTTGCTTACTCATTGTCTTTACACATTTTAAAATGTTGCTTTATGCCCCCAATCCCTAACTACATTTTCAATGTTTTGCAAGTGGAGTCCAGGTGTTCTTGATTTACATGAAGCTCAAAATAATGGTTATAGTAAGTAGTACTTCATAATTAAGCAAAAAGCTCTTATTGAAAAATGACAGAACTATACATAGGGATGACAACATGGAGAGATATTTCGTGAGATCACAAAGTTATGGTATGGCAGAAGTAGAATGCTGAATAGAGACTCTGTGTTCCCAATCATTATTTCTACCACCAGCTTTCTATTTTGATGTTAATAATGTTCTTATGTGGGAAACCCTACATATTTGCCAATGTTTAGTTCATTGACAAAGAAATAGAAAGAGCTTCAAGAACACTCTAATATTTAAAAAATAAAATGTCTATAATTGGCCATACGAAAAAATTGGTACTTGACATATACTGAGATCGTTTTATTTTGTGCTAGACAAATGAAGTCATAGAACAGAATGTGCTTTAAATATTATGAATAGTGCTTGCATGTGTGCGTGTGTGTGTGTGTCTATAGATGCATATTAGGCCGTTGAAAAGTTTTATTATTCTTTCGAGGAGAGAGACTGCCAACTTTTGAACCTAACTAGAACAAGTATATTGCTTCTTCATATTTTGATTAAGGCAAAGAGAATCTAGTTAAAAATAATTCAACTTATCGTGGAAATGCTATAAATTGCTGTGAAGTGAGTTGCTGGTTATGGCTTGTCAGAGCAAATATATTGTACAAATCTTAGGGGAGAATTAGTGCTTATACATTCAAATCAAATCATCTTGCAGCAGACTGAGAAAAACGTTAGATTTTTAAAATAATTTCAAAGTCATGAAAAGAGCAAATATGCTCCACAAAGAGCCTAGCAACCCTCAATGACCAATGCCCCTTTAATATAGTTTGGTATCTGAATTAGAATCCCAGAATCTACAAATACCTCTGGGTGTGGGTGCTGCATTTTGAGGATTTTATAACACTGCCATCACCAAGCTCTCTTTTGATATTCACTTTAAGGAGATAATTTACGGGCAACCAGAGAGCATAAACCAAAGTAGATATCTATCTAGATAGATAGATACATCTCCATATCATTGACAGGATACATTCTAGCCGAGTGTGAGTACAATCTATGGATGTGGTTGGAGAGAACATGTGTTCCACCTGAGTGGCAGATCAGGATTATTCCTTCTCATCTGCTGCAATGGCTCAATGTGTTAAGGAGAGGAGCGAGACAGCAAGAACTGCATTCATTCAGTCATACAGACCAAAAGGAGGAATGTCGCCCAGCCCTCTAAACTGACCCAGAACCCAGCTCATGTCTCAACTGCTACCTCTACTACTTAGAAAGAAGTAACTCCACTAAAGCAGGGTTCTGGACAAATATATTTTTATTGATCATATACAAATAGATGAAGATGGACTTGGATGTTAAGAAAAATAATGCTATACAAAATCGAGAGTAGAGAGTCGCCCCTAGACTTAAATTAAGGGTGTGTACATTAGATAATTTAATCCAATCTATCAGGTAAAAACTTGAACAAACCTTTTGGCCTCTTCCTTAAAATTCAGGGAAGTATGTCCTCCACAAAACAGAATCAAAATATAAATAAAAGACTGGCTTAAGATGAAAATAAACCTTACAAATGAAAAGCCAGATGAGAGGCACTTAACTGAGAATGAAAAGAAACTGAGCGGACAAAATAATTATGAGAAGATGAACCTTCAAATCAGAAAGAGGGAAAAAAGCTTATTTGATACTATGAGAACTCAAAAGAGAGTGAACACAAGTGTGAAAATTCCAAGAGTAAAGAAAAGTAGCATAACTAAATTAAGAGCATGAGAAAATGTGTACAATTTTGAGTAATAAGAGCGGAAATCCAAAGTACCTATTGTATGTGATATTTTAGTAGAGCAACACTGAAGAAGAATGAAAACAAGAAATAATATTAAATATGAACATATGGAGAACAGAATAATATTTTTAAATTTTTTAGTTTCTAAGCTTATCTGAAATTTTAATTTTGGTTTCTTATATAATACCAGAGTTATTAGGAAGTTATTAGCTAATAACACTATTTTCAGTGATATTTTAAGTATTTGTCCTAGAAAAATTTCTATTTTTGAAAAATGTATATTTAAAAATACATTAAATGTGTATATACATCAATCATATGTATCGATTTATGTTTTTCTTTAATTGCAAATGAAATTTGTATTTTTGTGTTCCTGGAATAAAATAAACTTGAATGGATTGTAATATATTATTCATGCTGTAATTCAACGTATTTGAATTCTTTAAGAATGTTACATTTATAGTTAACAGATATTGATTTTCTGTCATAATGATGTTGTGAGACAATCTAAGAGGAATTAAAATTTAAATTCATGTATTCCTCCTTTTTCCTCTGTTCTCTAACTGTAATATATTTTAATTACAGATGGAGGAACAGATAGATGTTAGATAAATAGGTATATAATATATAGATCATCCAAAATTCTTATTCTTATGGTTTTATGTAGTCAGTATTTACCTCTATTTTTCTGCATGTTTATCATTCCAATTTAGTTCATTACTTCCTGCACCTTTGATGTCATATATATAAACAGGAAATAACACATGGTGGCCGGGATGTAGAGAGAGCCACAGGACTTGTGAATAAAATCCACAGGCAAGGATGTGGCGATTCCTTTTGCAATATTGGAGGGAATGCCAAACCCTATGTTTGCTGTGGAAAAGAGTATGTTAGTTCCTCAAAACATCAAAATGGTATTGCCATATGATTCAGCAGCTCCACATCTCAGGATAGCAAAAGAAATGAAAGCAGAGTCTTGAAAAAATATTTACACATCCATATTTGCAGCAGCATTATTGGCAATAGCTAAAACGTAGAAGCAATTGAAGTGTCCAACAACAGATGAATGGATAAGCAAAATATGATATATACATACAATGGAATATTATTCAGTCTTAAACATGAGGGAAATATTCTGACATATGTTGCAACTTGGATGAAACTTGAGAATATTATGCCAAGTGAAATAAGTTAGTCAGTGAAGGACAAATACAGTATAATTCCATTTGTATAAGGAACTTAAAGTGGACAGAGTCACAGAGATAGTACAATGATGGTTGCCAGAAGCTGGGGGGAGGAAGACATGGGGAAGTATTGCTTAATGAGTATAGAGTTTCAGTTTCACAAGATGAAACGAGTTATGGAGATGGATGGTGGGGATGGCTGCACAATGTTATGACTATATTTAGTACCACTGAACTGTGCACTTAAAATGGTTAACAGAGTACATTTTATGTTATGTGTATTTTACCACAATAAAAAAATAAAATACCTTAGGAACATTTTCCTGAAAGAGTCCACATAAAATTCATTTTAATGCATGTGTTTATGCATAGATTTCTATTTTTCTCTTTTCTATTTATATTCCAAATTAGAATATAATGCTAATCAATCATAGTGGCTGTGTTTCTTCCTTCCTCTAGTCTGCAAGTAGCAAGCAAATGTAATAAACTACTTATTCATGTCACACCTATTTATTTTCTGCCTTATACCAAGCTTGTGGGATTCTATTAAATACAACATTTTTATACGTACACCTATGCAATACCCATTAGCATCGCCTTCCTAAATCAGGGGAAATTGAGTGTCTGTAAGGTGCGGTAACTTACTAAGATACAAAACTCAGCATTAAAGTCTGTATACTTCAATATCCTGCCCTCTTCTCATTTGTCTTTACTGCCTTTTATGTATGTGTTAGATGTTCAATAAATACTCTTTTTTAAACTGAATTTAAGCCGTGGAGCAGTGTTTTGTTGAACAATAAATATGATATTGGACACTCTTTCTCCCTTTCATTTATGATGCAGTTCATGAAAAAGAGAAATTCTTTCATTGTGCTAGAAGCTTAAAATAATGAAAATGCCACTTTCTACATTAAACAGAAACTGAAGGGAAACAAGATGAATTGGATGAGACATAGAAAACAAGTGGGAAAGAAATCTAGTATAATTTCCCCTTTGTGCACCTTTGTTATTTAGCATTTGAGAAAATGTTTCCCCCAAATATCTTCCCATCTTAATTCATGTCTATAAAGTAGACATTTATGTCTCACCTTGTCAAGAAGGGCAAACTCTAACATAAACATTTCCCAAAAATGCTTCCTGCTAAAACGTAAGCTCAGTCTGGCTAGAAATTAAGCTCATTCATAAAAATTAGTTGGCAGCTAATCTTTGCATGCTGTTCTCTGAACTTGAGTGAAAGCTGTCCATCAGGCATACAGGGAATGACGGAAAAGGTGACAACAGAAGATGAATGCTATGTCACTAACCTTCAAAGACGACCTTCCTTTTCTTTCAAATTCTTGATATCTTAAGACTTCATTAATTCATCTTTCTTTGCCCTTGGTTCAACATTGTGCTATACCAAAACTCATGTAAAACAATGATCTATTGTAATAAAAATGGCATTTTTCTTTCATGTAGATGCAAGCTATCTGGCATTTTTACAATCAACATACTTCCGTTGTTAATTTTTCATTCTGTATTGGCAGTAATTGATAGGTATTTCTGAAGGGATGAAGGTGTTTCTGTGTTCATTGAGATCCAAACTTTTTTAGACCTAGTGGTGTTTGTAAAACAATTTGTGCCAGCTGACAAAGGACCACTGTGGCAGAAAGCAGCAAACTTGCATAAGATGTCACTGCCTCATCAGTTGGCTTTGAAAACTAGGGGCTTACTCTATAGTCCTATGAATCAAAGACATTGATTGATGTAGTATAAGATTACAATCATATTTTCCTTTTGACAGTCATATTATAAGGCATGATGTATTGCAATTAATCTCAATTAGCTGATCACAATTAAAATTAATAATGTTTATTATTGCTGATAAACAATCATGACTCTCCTGTTCTCAAATGTGCAAGTAATTCTTGTAATTTTAATACAAATTTGCATATTATTACTAATTGATTTAATCTCATTGTATTTGGTTCATGGATCCAATTTATTAAAATATTGATAATGGGGCAATGATTTGTCTCCCCATTTCATTTACACTAAAAGACACAATTCGTACAATGGTCTGCAAGCCCATCATGATCTGCCGCATTTGTTACTGAGTTAAAACAATTTTTCTATATTCAAGATACATATTTATACAGACATATAGATATGTGTTTTTCAAATATCTTCTCACAATTTTTGAGCTGCCTTTTGACTTGCTTGGTTGTCCTTTGAAACACCAATGTCTTTAATTTTTAAGAAATGTTAAATAACTAATTTTTATTTTGTTGATCATGTTTTTGGTGTTACAGCTATTTCTTTGCTAGATCCAAAATCCTGAAGATTTTCCCATAAGCTTTATTCTAGCTCTTGCATGTATATCTTTAATTCATTTAAGTTAATATTTTTGTATGCTTTGGGGTAAGGATTCCAATTTATTATTTTGCAAGTGGCGATCCACGTGTACGTTGTTGACAGAGTTTGTTCAAAGAAGGTCTCTTCCTCATTGAATTGCACATGGCACCACTGTAAGAATCCATTGACTATAGATACATAGTTTTATATATGGACTCTCAATTCTCTTCCATCAATCTATATATTTTTCCTTCATCAGTATTGTGTTGTCTTGATTACTGATGCTTTGCCATAAGGTTTGGAGCATGGGGGTGTGAATTATCCTAACATGTTTTCTTTTTTCAAGACTATTTTGGCTATTTTAAGTCCCTTACAATTCCACGTGTATTTTAGAATCAGCTTGTAAGTTTCTAGACAGAAATCTGTTGGGATACTTGCAGGGATTACGTCAAATCTGTAGTTCAACTTGTAAAGTACTACAATATTAAATCTTCCAATTCATGGCTGTAAGATATTTGCTAATTATTTAGATCTTCTTTAAACAATAATTTTTAATTTTCAGAGTAAAATCTTATATCACATTTTCCAAATTAATTATTATTTCTTTTTTTGATGCTATTGTAAATTGAAGTGTTTTCTTAATCTCATTTTAGGGTTTTCATTGTAGATGTGTGCAATTGATTTTTGTATATTTATCTTGTATGCTGTAATATTGCTGAAGTAATTAACTAGTTCTATCGTTCAGTGGATTCCTTAAAATTTTCTATATACAAGAATGTTATTTGCAAATAAAGTTTTATTTCCTCCTGTTCAATATGGGTGACTCTTATTTCTTTACTTGCCGATTTGCCCTGCATAAAATCTTCAGTACAGTGTTGACTAGAAGAGGTCAAAGTACGTATCCTATTCTTATCTCTGACCATAGCGGGAAAGTATCCTTTCTTTTACCACTAAGTTGAATATTTGCTTTTGGCTTTTCACAGGTGCCATGTATCTGGTGTAGAAAGTACTCTATTCCTGGCTCATTGAGTTTTTATTTTTATTTTTAATCATTAAAGCATTTGGATTATGTTAAATGTCTTTTCTGAATCTATCGAGATGATCATGAAATTCTTGTTTCTTATTCTATGGATAAGATGTATTACCTTAATGGATTTTGGGCTGTTAAATCATCCTGAGATTACTAGTATAAATATCACTTTGTCATAGTGCATAATTCTTTTACATGTTGCTAGATCTGATTTGTTAGTAGTTTTTAAGGAATTTTGCATTTATACTTATAGTAGTTTTATTTTTCTATGCTATTTGGACTAATTTTTGTATCAAGGTAACACTGGCCCCACAGAATAAATTGGGAAGTGAATATTTCTCTTTTTAAAAAAAGTTAGTCAAGAATTAATATCAATTAGTCAATACTAACAAATATGATCAATATTATAAATTATTAATTTCTCTAATTTTTATTTTCTTCCTTCTGCTTGCTTTAGGTTTAGTTTGCTATTTTTTCCATTGCCTTTATGTGGAAGGTCATCTTATCTCATCCTTTCCTTTGTCTTTTCATTTTCGAAATAGTGTCTTTTTTGCATCAGGTGAGCTCCCCAGGTTGGTAGTACTCCATGTTTATTGCTGTACAACAATGACAGGTAATATGTCCTGAAGACAATGGAAACTTAACATTCAAAATCCTCCTAGATTTCACCTTATGTGATATGTCTTTTCCTTTGATTGGTCCAATTTCTACCCTTTCTCTATTATAAACCATGAGTACAATGGCATTCAATGAGTTCTGTGAGTCTTTCTAGTAAATTCTTGAAACTGAGGGTGTTCTGGGGAAACCCTGATCTGGCAGTTGGTGTCAAAAGTGCGAATCGTCTTATATGGCCTCTTCCTTTGAACTTTGCATCTGGACCCAAACTCTGCACAATTTGGGCCAGCAGTCTCGTGTTGACTTTGCAGCCTAAATTATCTTGTAGTTTGTCTAATCCTCAAAAATTTGCTTTCATCAAATATTGTATTTGTTACCCCAAAATTACCATCATGTATTTTTCTCCAAATAACTAACATTAGGAGAAATAGCCAGCTGAATCTGTAACTCAACAGAAACAAGTGATCCATATACCATATAAGTGGCCATTTCATTTTGCCTCCTTCCACCAAATCTTAGCAACCTCAACCATTGCCGTGAGCCACTGTAGGCCTACCATCTACAAACCAACAAGTATCTTTTAAAAACACTTCATGCTCCCATTTGATAAATTTCCCAGCAAAGGGATGCTTACTTTAACTCTATGCAAGTGGCTCATACTCGCAAAGTCTGCAGATATTATTCATGTAGTGTGAGAAAATCATCCCAGAGATGCCAGCACATTCTCCTACCCATGATCTGCTTAGTTTGCAAACATATTCAGGCCATGGGTGAGAGATTTGTATTTCACAGTACAACAATTTTATGGAGGACATTGAAACTTAGATTGAGCATTTTAGTACAGTCACACATCACTGAGTGATAGGGATACGTTCTAACAGATGCATCCATAGGCAATTTCATCATTTTGCAAACGTCAGAGAGAATATTACAAACACCTAGTTTGTACAGCCTACCATGTCTGGTTATATGGTAGAGCCTCTCTCTCCTAGGCTACAAACCTGTGTACTACATTACTGTACTGAATATTGCAGGCAATAAGAACACAGTGGTAAGAAGTTATGTATCTAAACATACTTAAACATAGAAAAGTATGTAAAAATGTGTATTATAATCTCATGGGAACACTTTTGTATATGCAATCCATCTTTGACTGAAATGTTATTATGCATGACATGACTCTATGACAAAAATAAAATAGTACATTTTTTAAAATGTACAAATGTATCAAACATATTATAAAACTAAAAATATTTATTCAGTGTAAGAATTTGTAATGATCACAAAATGTTCACAGCTTATATTTAAGTACAGTTTCAAATGCCTAGTGCAATTACTATTTATTTCTTTTTGTATTTTAAACATGTATATAATAAACATTTTTCAGGTTCAGCAATATATATCAATCCTACAGGCTCTTATAAATATTAGTTAAAATCAATTGGTAAATTCATGTGTATATACGCATACCTGTATCAGTGAGCATGTGTGCATGTATGTTTGTGTAAACGTAATTATATGTGTGTGTAAATGTAATTGGATGCATCCTTATATTTACCCTTACCTGCAAGATTTCCAAGATTCATTTATTATCTTTAGATGATGGGCATTTAAAGATTTACCAAATACAACGGTAATAGTGGAAAATATCAAGATGTTATTAAATTCATCTTGTGCAATAATTATTTCTATAAATTTATGTTTCTTGTAAAACTTGCAGTAATGCTCATGCACAAAATAATTTTCTAAATAAAAAATAAAAACGTTTTCTCAGTCATTAATTCTTAAAATTATTTCTCCCCAATAATTAATGTGAATTAATTCTTAATTCTTAATTATAGAATAATGTTGCCCTTCAGAGTTCGGAAACTTTTACATGTTGTACACATTTCACTAACCAGAACAACTTCTGAAATATTGGCATTAATTAATGTCACTCAGCAATTATTGATTTCAAAGGCATTAAATACCATTCATATTCTGAATCACAAGGGTACTTTGGCATCTTTTTTAATCAAGCTCTCTGTATCATCATCTACACTTTAATTACTTAACAAACATTTCTCTGTATGAGAAAGATTGAGCAGGTTATTGTGCTTTTTTAAGATACAACTTTTGCTTAATCTAGAGATAGGCAATGCTCCCTATAAGGGACAAAGAGAAAAATAAATGAGCAATAGAGATGCGACAGGCATGGAAAAAGACACTACATTTATCAAACAAATAGGTCCCATAAAGTTTTGAGTCAATTAGAATATGTTTGTATCAGTCTGTCTACAGTTTTACACCTGTCAAAATGTACTTGAACTACAACAACTACCCTGAACAATTTTGAAATGTATGATTCCTCTGAAACTGATTAAAAGAATTATGGTAGAGTGAAATTCTGATTGACATAATTTGGGAGAGAAATTATTCCTTGGACATCAACCTCTGCCAAGATAGTTTATAATGACATTGAGACTTTTTGATTTACAAAATTTGTTATATAAAAAATACTAAGACGATGGCAGATAATACACAGAATTTAATTAAAATTGTACTACAATTAAATGTCTAAATAAATTAGAAGGGTACATGGTACATCTAATTGTATGTTTATATATTTTATTTGTGCATTTTTTTCCTAGGGTTGCTTTTGCTTTAGTTTGTAAAACGTTCTTATTTTTATGATAATGTAGCACATACTAAATAAAGAAAAATCAGGAAATAGAAAATGAAGAAAACATTAGTTATTGTCAACCAAATAAAAATTGTGCAATCTCTAAGCACATGAAGTATGTATTATTTGTACAGCATGTAGAACGTTTATGCTTCACAGCGTGAGGTAGAGACTGCAAAACCTTGAACTTGGGACAAATAAGAAAGTAAGGAAATTTTCACAACATATTAATATTATAGAAAATGTTGAACTTAACAGTTAAGGTACAAGTAGTGAAAAATGATAGTATTTAAGGAGATCTAGAAAATTTAATCTATACCTGTAATGTGTGAGAAGTATTAGAATAATGCTTGTATTTCTGGATTTGCATCAATTTCTATTGAGACTGGAAACATAATAGAAGTGAGGGAAAAAGAATTTAAATTGTGGATACTTGAGTTTTATACCTAGGAGTTCGAGAAATACATTTTGTTACTATCAAAGCAGTTGGCACAAGAGTGTACAAAATTCCCTAATTGTGTCTATGTGGAGAAGACATAGACAAACAGAGAATAGTAAAACAGAAATAGCAAAAAAGCACAAACAAATTTTACCTGTAATTTTAAGTAAAAGCCAATTAGAGAAGGAAAACATGAAATTTGTGTTTTATCAAAATTTTTCTCTTTCTCATAATGCAGTTGAATATATTACTGGAAAAAAATTGAAGCACTGGTATGTTCACAAAAAAAGTAAAATATAAGGTCAAAACCATGGGAATGCAGGGAGCAGACAAAATATAACTAAACACCGAAACTGATTTTGCCTTATGGACGTGTACCAAAATGAATGAGTGCAGATTCCTACTGTCATACATCACATAAGACAGTAAAGAAATACATAGTTTTTCCCAAGATAGAGCATCACACAGGAGCTCCTCCCTAAAGCTAGGACCAAAATTTATATCCTGAGTATAAAGAAGAATCAGAGGTAAATTAGTCCCATTTCACATTCCCTGGAAATGGCAAATAAAAATGACTTGAGATTGGACAGATTTAAAGAAACTCAATCACTAATGATTTAGAGCAAGTAATTTAAAAATTGTTTAAATGTGCAACCCAAACATACGTCCAAATCCCTTTAGGCCAAGAATTAACATAATGTGGTCCCAGAATGGTGGTGCCTTTAGTAGAATCACAAAAAAATTCAAATTCTCTTTGGCAAATTTTCTACTTACAAATCCTCAAAAGTGCACAAAAATAATTTTCAGAGAAAAATAAATATTTGTCATTCAAAGGCATCTAAGTATGCAAGGAAATGATATTCCACCATTTGAAAGGAAAGCAGAAAAGGAGTACAAACAGATCCACAAAGGTTCCTTAGTAGATCTATCACTTAGATTATAAAGCACATTTGCTTTCAAAAATTTTTTTAAAAAAGAATATATTGTTAGGAGACTAAAAAATTGATGTAGCAAATTTGAAAAGAAGTTTGTATAAAAATATAGTTATTTTAAATTAAAAACTCAAAAATGAACTCATCAGATTAGACATGACTATGGTGAGAGTTCATAAATATTTCAGAATGCATTACAGAAAATTTAAAAAAAAGGAAAATGTGGACAGAATGATGAAGAGACATGGAAGATACAGTGAGAAAGTGTAGCATGTGTTTAGTGAGTGTTCTCATAGAAGAAGGGAACTGGGAAGGGACAATATGTGATGATATTTTGGGTGAAAGTTCTCTAGACTTTTGTAAGACACTAATCTGCATATTCAAAAATTCTATGCATGCTAAGCAAGCTATAATGGAGATAAACCTACACCTATGTATCTCCTAGAGAAATAGTAAACAACCAGGAAGGGAAAAATATTTCAATTAGCACTAGAAAAATGAAATTACTTTTAGTTATATTGAAATCTGAAAAAATGAAAGGTAAAATAAACAATATTATTTGCTAAGAATAATAATGCCATTCTGAAATTCTCAACGAAGAAAAATATTCATCAACCTATGGCTAAATAACATATTTAGAGACAGAAAACAAAATGCCACCAGCAGAATTCCACTAAAGAAACTAAAGAGAATCTCTGAAAATATTCTTCAGAAATGTTGAAGTTCTGAAATCAAAGAGTGAACACAGAGCAAAATATATTGTAAACATACAGATAGATCTAAATAAAAAATTAGGTGTTGAAACAAAAATATATTTAAAATTAGATAATCACTGCAATATGTATGTTAGGAAGAAAATTATTAGGGCTGGAGTATTCAAAGAACCCTTAACTGTCTGACAAGAACAGAAAAGTGAGTATGACTTTGCAACTCTTTTTCTTTTTCGAATGGAATGGAATGGAATTGAATCTAATGGAATTGAATGGAGTGGAGTGGAATGGAATGGACTGGGAGCTGAGATTGTGCCATTGCGCTACAGGCTGGGTGACAGAGTGAGACACTCTCAAAAGAAAGGAATGGAATGGAAAGCAGTGGAATAGAATGGAATGGAATGGAATGGAATGGAATGGAATGGAATGGAATGGAGTGGAGTGGAGAGGAGTGGAACGGAGTGGAATGGAATCGGATGTAATGGAATATAGTGGAATGGAATGGAATGGAATCATCATCAAATGGACTCAAATGGAATTATCATCGAAAGGAATCATCATCGAATGGAATCGAATGGAGTCATCCTCGAATGGAATCGAAAGGAATCATCATCAAATGGACTTGAATGGAATCATCATCGAATGGACTCGAATGGAATCATCATTGAATGGAATTGAATGGAATAATTGAATGGAATCGAATGGAATCATCATTGAATGGAATCGAATGGAATCATCCTCAAATGGAATCGAATGGAATCATCAATGAATGCACTTGAATGGAGTCATTATCAAATGTACTCAAATGAAATCATCATCGAATGGAATCGAATGGAATCATCATCAAATGGAATCATCATCGAATGGAATCGAATGGAATCATCATTGAATGGAATCAAATGGAATCATCAAATGGAATCGAATGGAATCATCGAATGGAATTGAATGGAATCATCATCGAATGAAATCAAATGGAATCATCATCGAATGGAATAGAATGCAATCATCAAACGGAATCAAATGGAATCATCATCGAATGGAATTGAATGGAATCATCCAATGGAATCAAATGGAATAATCATCGAATGGAATCATTGAATGGAATCAAATGGAATCATCAAATGGAATCGAATGGAATCATCATCCAATGGAATTGAATGGAATCATGGAAGGGAATCGAATGGAATCATCATTACATGGAATCGAATGGAATCATCATCACAAGGAATCGAATGGAATCATCATTAAATGATATCGAAAGGAAACATCGAACGGAATCGAATGGAATAAATCAAATGGAATCGAATGGAATCATCATTGAATGGAATCGAATGGAATCATCCAATGGAATCAAATGGAATAATCATCGAATGGAATGGAATGGAATCATCATCGAATGGAATCAAAAGGAATCATCAAAAGGAATTGAATGGAATAATCATTGAATGGAATCGAATGAAATCCTAGAATGGAATCGAATGGAATCATCGAATGGAATCAAATGGAATCATCAATGAATGGAATCGAATGGAATCATGGAATGGAATCTAATGGAATCATTATCACATGGAATCAAATGGAATCATCGAATGGAATTGAATGGAATAATCATCGAATGGAATCGAATGGAGTCATGGAATGGAATAGAATGGAATCATCATCGAATGGAATCGAATGGAATTATCGAATGGAATTGAATGGAATCATCATTGAATGGAATCGAATGGAATCATCATCGAATGGAATCAAATGGAATCATTGAAAGGAATCGAATGGAATAATCATCGAATGGAATCCAATGAAATCCTCGAATGGAAGGGAATGCAATCATCGAGTGGAATCGAATGGAATCATCATCGAATGGAATCGAGTGGAATCATAGAATGGAATCGAATGGAATCATCATCGAATGGAATCGAATGGAATCATCGAATGGAATTGAATGGAACAATTATCGAATGGAATCGAATGCAGTCATCCAATGGAATCGAATGGAATAATCATTGAATGGAAACATCAAATGGAATCGAGTGGAATCATCAAATGGAATCGAATGGTGTCATCATCGAATGGAATCGAATGGAATCATGGAATGGAATCAAATGGAAACATCATGGCATGGAAGCAAATGGAATCATCAAATGCAATCGAATGGAATAGACATCGAATGGAATCATCTAATGGAATCGAATGGAATCATCAAATGGAATCGAATGGTGTCATCATCGAATGGAATCATCTGATGGAATCGAATGGAATCATCATCACATGGAATCGAATGGAATCATCATCAAATGGAATCGATGGGAATCATCAAATGGATCAATGGAATCATCAAAAGGAATCAAAAGGAATCATCTTCGAATGGAATCGAATGGAATCATCACTGAATGGAATCATTATCAAATTGATTTGAATGGAATCATCATTGAATGGAATCGAATGGAATCATCGAATGGAATCAAATGGAATCATCATAGAATGGAATCAAATGGAATCAACGAATGGAATTGAATGGAATCATCATCAAATGGATTCGAATGGAATCACCCAATGGAATCGAATGGAATAATCATCGAATGGCATCATTGAATGGAATCATATGGAATCATCGAATGGAATGGAATGGTGTCATCATCGAATGTAATCATCCAATGGAATCGAATGGAATCATTGAATGGAATCGAATGGAATCATTGAATGGAATCGAATGGAATCATCGAAAGGAATCGAATGGAATAATCATTCAATGGAATCAAAAGGAATCCTCGAATGCAATCAAATGGAATCATCAAATGGAATCAAATGGAATCATCATCAAATGGAATCATGGAATGGAATCGAATGGAAACATCATCACATGGAAGCAAATGGAATCATCAAATGCAATCGAATGGAATAAACATCAAATGGAATCATCGAATGGAATTGAATGGAATCATCGAATGGAATCGAATGGTGTCATCATTGAATGGAATCATCCAATGGAATCGAATGGAATCGAATGGAATAATAGAATGGAATTGAATGGGATCATTGAATGGAATCGAATGGAATCATCATCAAATGGAATCAAATGGAGTCATCCAATGGAATCGAATGAAATCATGATCGAATGGAATAGAATGGAATCATCAGATGGAAACAAATGGAATCATCATCAAATGGAATCAAATGGAATCATCGAATGGAATTGAACGGAATCATCATCGAATGGAATCAAATGGAATCATGAATGAATGGAATCATTATCTAATTGAATCGAATGGAATCATCATCAAATGGAATCAAATGGAATCATTGAATAGAATCAAATGGAATCATCAAAAGGAATCAAATGGAATCATAATCGAATGGAATCAAATGGAATCAACGAATGGAATTGAATGGAATCATCATCGAATGGATATGAATGGTATCATCCAATGGAATCGAATTTAATAATCATCAAATGGAATCATCGAATGGAATTCTATGGAATCATCGAACAGAATCGAATGGTGTCATCATCAAATGGAATCATCCAATGGAATCGAATGGAATCATCGAATGGAATAATTGAATGGAATCGAATGGAATCATTGAATGGAATCATCATGGAATGGAATCAAATGGAGTTGTCCAATGGAATCGAATTGAGTCATCATCACATGGAATCAAATGGAATCATCGAATGGAATTGAATGGAATCATCATCGCATAGAATCGAAAGGAATCATCATCACATGGAATCGAATGGAATCATCATTGAATGGTATCAAAAGGAATCATCGAATGGAATCAAATGGAATCGAATGGAATCATATTTGAATGGAATCGAATGGAATCATCATCGAATGAAATCAAAAAGAATCATCAAATGGAATCGAATGCAATCATCATCGAATGGAATCGAATGGAATCATCATCGAGTGGAATTGAATGGAAACTTCAAAAGGAATCGAATGGAATAATCATCAAATGGAATCAAATGAAATCCTAGAATGGAATTGAAAGGAATCATGGAATGGAATCGAATGGAATTATCATCAAATGGAATCAAATGGAATCATGGAATGGAATCAAATGGCATAATAATCACATGGAATAAAATGGAATCATCGAATGGAATCGAATGGAATCATCATCGAATGGAATTGAATGGAATCATAATAGTATGGAATTGAATGGAATAATCATTGAATGGAATCGAATGGAATCCTCGAATTTAATTGAATGGATTCATCGAATGAAATCGAATGGAATCATCATCGTATGGAATTGAAATGAATCATGGAATGCAATCAAATGGAATCATCATTGAATGGAATTGAATGGAATCATCAAATGGAATTGAGTAGAATCATCATCGCATGGAATCGAATGGAATAATCAAATGGAATCAAATGGAATCATCATCACATGGAATCGAATGGAATCATCATTGAATGGTATTGAAACAAATCATCAAATGGAATCTAATGGAATAAATTGAATGGAACCGAACAGAATCATCATCAAATGGAATCAAATGGAATCATTGAATGGAATCACGATAGAATGAAATCGAAAAAAATCATTGAAAGGAATCTAATGGAATCATCATCGAATGGAATCGAATGGAATCATCATCGAATGGAATCGAATGGAATCATCAAAAGGAATTGAATGGAAAAAACATCAAATGGAATCAAATGAAATCCTCGAATGGAATCGAATGGAATCATCGAATGGAATCGAGTGGAATCATCATTGAATGGAATCAAATGGAATCATTGAATGGAATCAAATGGAATCCTCATCGTGTGGAATCAAATGGAAACATCAAATGGAATCGAATGGAATCATCATCAAATGGAAGTGAATGGAATCATAGAACATAATCGAACTCAATCATCAAATGGAATCAAATGGAAAAATCATCGAATGGAATCGAACAGAATCATTGAATGGATTTGAATGCAATCATCATCAAATGGAATCGAAAGGAATCATCAACGAATGGAATCTAATGCAATCATCATCAAATGGAATCGAAAGGAATCATCAACGAATGAATTGAATGGAATCGTCAAAATGAATCGAATGGAATAAACATCGATTGGAAACAAATGGAATCCTCGAATGGAATCAAATGGAAACATCGAATGGAAATGAATGGAATCATCTTTGAATGGAATCGAAAGGAATCATGGAATGGAATAGAATGGAAACATCATCACATGGAAGCAAATGGAATCATCGAATGGGATTGAATGGAATAATCATCAAATGGAATCACTGAATGGAATAGAATGGAATCTTCGAATGGAATCGAATGGTGTCATCATCGAATGGAATCATCCCATGCAATCGAATGGAATCATAGAATGGAATCATAAAATGGAATCAAATGGAATCAACAAATGGAATCGAATGGAATCATCATCGAATGGAATCGAATGGAGACATCCAATGGTATCAAATGGAATCATCATTGAATGGAATCGAATGGAATCATCAAATGGAATTGAATGGAATCATCATCGAACGGAATTGAATGGAATCATTGAATGGAATCGAATGGAATCATCATCGAATTGAATCAAATGGAATCATCATAGAATGGAATCTTCTTCCAATAGAATCAAATGGAATCATCGTTGAATGGAATCGAATGGAATCATCGAATGGAATCAAATGTAATCATCGAATGAACTCGAATGGAATCATCACCGAATGAAATTGAATGGAATAATCAACTGGAATTGAATGGAATCATCCAATGGAATCGAATAGAATAATCATCGAATGGGATCATCGAATGGAATCAAATGGAATCATCGAATGGAATCGAATGGTGTCATCATCAAAAGGAATAATCCAATGGAATCAAATGGAATCATCGAATAGAATCGAATGGAATCATCATCGAATGGAATCGAATGGAATCATGGAATTGAATCGAATGGAATCATCATTTCATGGAATCGAATGGAATCATCATCACGTGGAATCGAATGGAATCATCATCGAATGGTATTGAAAGGAAACATCGAATGGAATTGAATGGAACAAATCGAATTGAATCAAATGGAACCATCATCGAATGAAATCAAATAGAGTCATCGAATGGAATCATCATCGAATGAAATCGAAAAGAATCATCGAATGGAATCGAACGCAATCATCATCGAATGGAATCGAATGGAATCATCATTGAATGTAATTGAATGGAATCATTGAAAGGAATTGAATGGAATAATCATTGAATGGAATTGAATGAAATCAGAATGGAATTGAATGGAATCATCGAATGGAATCAAATGGAATCATCATCGAATGGAATCGAATGGAATCATGGAATGGAATCAAATGGAATCATCATCGCATGGCATCAAATGGAATCATCACATGGAATCGAACGGAATAATCATCGAATGGAATCGAATTGAATCATCAAATGGAATCGAATGCAATCATCGAATGGAATCGTCATCGAATGGAATCGAATGCAATCATCATCAAATGGAATCGAATGGAATCGAATGGAGTCGAATGGAATCATCATCAAATGGAATCGAGTGGAATCATCGAATGGATTCGAGTGTCTGTTCAGACAGGTCTGGGGGATATCTAAAGGACTCATGAAAGGCTGTTTTTTTCTGTGTTGCTAGAATAAAGAACATATAAGGAATGGACATTTTTAAGAAACTCTGCAAGGAGACCTAACAAACCACGGATGCTTAGGGCAAAAATTAGAGTTTACACATATAGTAGATCACCTTCAGCACAGGAAGAAAAGTTGGAGAAGAGTATTTGGAAAACTAAGACATTCAAAATCATTCACGTACATGGGAGAGTCTAGAAAGTCACATGTATGCATAGGTTAAGCCATATGCTGAAAAATGACATAAGAAGACCCTACACTTTTACCTTGGCCGATCCCTCCCCTCAGTGCAAGCTCTGTGCAAGAGTGAACTTGAACTTCACTCAGTGCAAGAGTGAACGCACACTTTGTGGCGGCTTTAAAGAACCCAGCACAAAGCTAGTCTGCATGGCCTAGAGACATATTTTGCTGGATAATGATTACTTGTTTTTCTTTGTTTTTGTTGTATTTGCCTGTTTTCTTAGTTCCTGACATACAAGAAAATCACTGTCAAAACATTAGCTTAACATTTGTTAAGGAAACAAAAAGCCTTTGGTGACCACACCTTATAAAGCAAACAGTTTTGTAAATCACTTTGGAAAATTTCACTAAAAAAAATCCTTAACAATATAATAAGAAAAGAAAATTTAAAACCACAAAACATTACTGTGTTTGTAGGGGGGGT
This sequence comes from Homo sapiens, assembly GCF_000001405.40. Classification (NCBI taxonomy): domain Eukaryota; kingdom Metazoa; phylum Chordata; class Mammalia; order Primates; family Hominidae; genus Homo; species Homo sapiens. The sequence goes on from NC_000010.11 coordinate 42,172,888, forward strand.
TCTGATTTACAGAGTAACCACATAGTAATTGTAATTATTATAATGTCCAGTTTTCAAAAAAAGTTACAAGGCATACAAAGAATGGGAAAGTATGGCTCATTCAAAGAAAAAAAACAAATTGACAGAGAATATCTCTAAGGAAACCCAGACATCAAACTTACTAGACAAAGACTTTAAAACAACTCTCTTCATTATACTCAAATGTCAAAAGGAAAACATAAACAAAGAAATCAAGGAATCAGAACAAATATTAAAAAGTAGGAATATCAACAGAGATAACAAATTCTGGAGCGGAAAACTACAACGATAAAAATTTAAAAATCACCAGAGGGATTTAAGAGTATATTTGCACACACAGAAGAAGACATGAGCTTGAAGATAAGAAAATGGAAAATATTGACTCTCAGAAACAGATAAAAAATGAGCAGAGACTAATGAATCTGTGGGACATCATCAAATAGATCAACATTCATATTCTAAAAGGATAAATTATGTTGTTGAAAACTTTAGCATTCTTTCTTTTCACCTTTCTTTCTTCCTCCCTCCCCCTCCTCCTCCTTTTTACTTTTCTTCCTCTTCCTTTCTCTTCTTCTGTCTCTCCTTCATTATCCCTTTTGCTCTGTTTCTCTTTCTCCCTTTCTCTTTTCTTTCAATTATCTCAATTACGAAGAGATGTTTAAATACCCTTACCATGTGAGTTGATATGGTTATTTCTGCCTTTAGTTCTTTTTTGAGATTTATAGTCACTCTAAGTAAAGAGATAACCCAAACATAAGCCTCATAAACAGGCTTCCATACCATTCTTAATTTGGTCCTGTAATTCTTCATTGCTGTGTTAACTTTCTGATGCTTTTAAGGATGTTTTATAACAAATTGTTTAGTTTTTTCCAATGGAGTGTTTATTCTGAATTATCTAATTCATATTGTAAGTATAGAGGGAGTTTAATATAAAATTATTAAGCTGACATTTGTGAAAGAATGTATTTGTGCATTTAACAAATATGTTAATCCTCAGACTGTTATTGGGCAGCTGAGCATACAGCAATAAAAATAACATAATTTTTATGTGTGCAATATTTATGGAATACGTTACTGGACCAAATAAATAATTTAGTTAATAACATGACAAAGAACAGAAATTGTATACACTATAAAGCATAGTAATGGAATAATGAATGATTAAAGTTATTAATATTAGGTAGAAAATAAAGGGTATCTTTGAGAGCAGAAATCAAGGAAGCAAGCAATTCGCCTTACGAGGAAAGAGTTACCTGTGGATAAAGGAGAAACTGAAAAATTTACAAGTCAAGACTTTTTGAGCAAAAACAAAAATATGATTATTAGTCACCAATTCAGTACAGTGAAAAAAAAGTTGAAGAGATATCTTGGAAGTAAACCATGTTGTGGAAGAGCATGTAGGGTTTTGATAATCATGGGATTATTCTGAATTAATTTTAAATGCAATAGGAATATATGAGATAATTTCAGCAGAGAATAACATGATTGTGTTTGCATTTCAAAGGGGTGTATCTGGTGCACCGTGTAGAATAAATAGGTTATGTGAGCAAATAAATTAGGAGGCTATTGTAATCCAGAGAAAAAAGGCAGTGACTTAGGTGAGAATGCTGTCAGGATGAGTGGTATTAGTGGTGAGAAGTCGTTAGGCCATGGATGTATTTCATAGGACTGGCCAAGAGAACTGCAGCTAAATTGGAGTGTAGGGAATGAAATGGAGAACTCAAAGATGACTCTGAGCACTGGAAAGTGACAGCTGTCACTGAAGCATGCTGATGCCTCTTATTAAGAGAGTTACTTGGGAATGGCAAGATCAAGACTTCTCACTTTCAAATTTATGAAAAATATTGTTTTCAGAACGAATGACTTTGGGATCAGAAAGCCACCATTCTAATTGATGGTTCCACGACTACACGGGCTCACACTCCCAAGAACAAAAGTAAATAATCACAAAGGTGCTTCCTGATAATCTAGAGAATGGAGAATTACTGTAACATCTTTCTGATTTTAGGAGAGGTAGCAGTTCCCTGTTTAGCCTAAACGCTATTTTTTTTAAAGCTCAGCAAAGAGACTCCAATATAATTTTCAAACGTGTGTAACTTAAATTCTCATATGAAATACCACTATGCTTAAATTAGTCAAAACATTTTCCCTATCTACAACTCTATCTTGTCACTGCAATCATTTTCACAAAAGTGACTGCAGCTCACAGACACTAAAAGGAGAAAATCCAGGGTAGGTTACCTGATCTAGTTAGTTTCGAAGACAGGATCTAGAGATTATTTAATATGAAATAGGTCACCTGAAATGTTTACTGAAAACAGCTTGGGTCAGCCCAGTTTTCTACCACTGAACCATGCATTTGGTTTAAAAAACACAACAACTCTGGGGAATATCAGCTGCTTCCAACTGTGTTGAAGGTGTTAAAGAAAAAAGCATAAAATAAAAAATGATCATCTGAGGCCTTTATAGTCTCTGCTCAAGACACTAGAGTCTTCCATTCTTAATGAAACACCCAAATATCTTAATAATTGGGCAAAATCTAAGTATCAGAGAGATAATTTTATCTTGAAGATTGTTAAATTATAATGGTGATTCACTACCTTGCCACGTCTCTGAGTCAAAAATTAGGTATTTGTTTAGGAATCAATCATAATCTGCAATTTGGAAATAGGAAGATTTTAGAAGACTCAGACATTGACTTTCTTGTGTGCAAAAAAAAGACGTATTGAGATAAGACAAGTCTTTCCTTGCAAGGATACCTCTAATGCTCATACACCACCTCCCCTAACATTAATAGAGCTTCCAGGTCAGTAACCAGTGTCAGAGAGCAGCCCATGCAACTACAAATTCAATAGATGTCGAACACAGGGTCAAGCCTAGAATAAGAAGTCTTAGCTAATTAAGTATGCTTTTTTCCCCAAACTCATATTAACAAAAACTTGGATATGTCAGAGAATGCATTCTAAGTTCACTCAACATAGGAGGGAGAAACATAATTTTAAATTAAGAGCTGAAGCATTCTTGTCCTAACAGAAAGCAAGGAAAACGAAATATCACACCACAGGAGGGATTTCACAAATTAGTGTCAACATCAAAACCTTAAAATAGGCAAGGAGAATGGAGATTCACAGTGAACTCTTGTACTTGTTTTATTCAGAGAAGAGATGGTTCTGAGAGAATGACAGTGAACTAACCCCAGCTGGTTTAGTTGGTGCTTTCAACTGCTGCTTCTGATCAACTTCTTTAGCTAGAAAAAATTGATGAGGATTTTGGCATGTGGTATTAGAGATGGTTATTAACTTTTTCCTCTTATTTGCATTGTTCAATGTAGTAAATACTAGCTGTGTGTGGCTACTTCAATTCAAATTAATTACAATGAAATATACTTAAATATTGAATTTTTTAGTCACTGTTGGTTCATTATTGAATATCTTCAGCTAAGATTTCCCATCTAAATACACTAAGAGGTGGCTTAGTTAACTGGTTGTCCACAAATATTGAAGCTGTTGTTAACTCCTGATATATTCTCTGCAAAGAGAATATTCATGAGCCTCCTCCTGAAATCAGCAGCCTAGAGACAGTTTTATAAATTGGATACAAGTTGGAAATCTATATACTCTTTAAGTTTTTGAAATATTAGCTTCCCAGGGAAGAAAATCAAATTCATAAGATATGTTAGGACAATTTAACTCAAGATGTTCAAAACTGAAATGACATATTCTACAATATGTGATAAAACCACCCCCTAACAACTTAAAGCAAAACAGGGATTGACCTTAAAGACCTGCCTTTTCCTCATCCCCCAGCCAATCAGTTTTCAAATCTTGCATTTTATTTTGAAAGGTTCTTATCCCCCTGGTCTCTTGTTTCTAGATTTGGCACATATTTTTGTTACCTCTATCTACTGACTTTTCTCTCTTCAAACAGTATCTATGCCTGCCAAATGTGAACATACAAAAAACAAATCAGAATGTGCCATTCTGATTTAAACTGCTTATTAGTTAATACCCTCAAGGCAACATCTGGGTTCTTGGCTGCAATGAGTCAAGCCTACTTACATCTTTTTTTGTCTTTGGCTGCACATTTCCTATCACATCACACTCCAGCAATGCCAAGCTGTGCCGGCCTTCTACCCCATCTCCACTATTTTGCCCTCCGCCGCCGCGGCTTTTTGCCCCCCCCCCCCGCCCCTCCCCGGCTTTTTACTCTCCGAGACTTTTCGCCCCCCGTCGCCGCGGCATTTTGCCACCCGCCACCGTGGCTTTTTGCTGCCCGCCGCCGCGGCTTTTTCCCCACCGCGGCTTTTTACCGCCCGTCGCCGCGGCTTTTTGCCCACCCGCCGCCGCGGCTTTTTGCCCCCACCGCTCCTCGGCGTTTTGCCCGCCGCGGCTTTTTGCGTCCCCGCCGCCGTGGCTTTTTACCACCCCCCCCCACGTGCCGCGGTTATTTACCCGCCGGAGCTTTTTGCACCCCCGCCACCACGACTTTTTGAACCCCCGCCGCCGCGGCATTTTGCCCCCCGCCGCAGCGACTTTTTGCCCGCCACGGCTTTTTGCACCCCCACTGCCGCGGCTTTTTGCCCCCCGACGTTGCGGCTTTTTGCCGCCCGCCGCCGCGGCTTTTTGCCCCCCGCCGCCGCGGCTTTTTGCCGGTCGCGGCTTGTTGCCCCCCTGCCACCGCGGCTTTTTGCCCCCACCCCCCGGTGCCGCGGTTATTTGCCTGCCGCGGCTTTTTGCCCCCGACTGCCGCGGCTTTTTGCCCGCCACGGCTTTTTGCCCCTCGCTGCCACGGCTTTTTGCCCCCCCGCTGCCGCGATTTTTTGCCCCCCGCGGCTTTTTGCACCCCCGCCGCCAAGGCTTTTTGCCCCCCGACGTCGCGGCTTTTTGCCGCCCACCGCTGCACCGGCTTTTTGCCCGCCGCGGCTTTTTGACCCCCCCGCCGCCGCGGCTTTTTCCCCACTGCGGTTTTTTGCCCCCCGCCGCCGCGGCATTTTGCCCCCCGCCGCCGCGGCTTTTTGCCCCCCGCCGCCACGGCTTTTTGCCCCCCCGCCGTCGCGGCTTTTTGACCCCTGCCGCAGCGGCTTTTTGTCCCAAGGCCATCCTCAGAAGCATGAGTGGAACAGAGTGAAGGGAAAGCTATTTTCTTCTAAAGCTCAAAAATCTTGAACTTTCAAATAGGAATAAGTGTTATTTTTGCTCCAAGCACACATTTGAGAAATCTTCCATTTAGCGGATCTGATGATAAACCCACATTTTTTGTTTGTTTTAATCTGAAAATGTATTTGTATGGTTCTTGGAAATTTTTTTTGCATATAAAATTATATTTTATCAGCTTATTTCAAGTTTTATTTACCATTTTATAATTACTCCTAAAATGTCATTGATTAAAGAAAGAATCATCTATTGCTCCAACTGTTCTTTACTAAAGGTAATTTTCTTTTTAACCTCATCAGGCTCCTTTTAAGCTCTCAAACTGACCTTATTTTTTTTTTACAGATTCAATGCATTAAGTCAATTTATTTGACTGAATTTATTTATGTATTTATTTTCGCTATCACAAGTAGAAAAAGCCTGTAAGTTGCTATGCCAAAATCCTGCCTCTAGATGGCAAACAAACCCCACAATACACAAAAGAGAGCCAAATTCTTAGAAACCCTGGGAAAGGAAGAGGGCTACTGTCCCATTAACAACTTGGAGCCCTTAAGGCAAGAATGAGGTGGAACATCTGGAACATCTGGGAGGAGACAGCAGGGTGCAGAGTAGTGGGGAACCTGCTCTGTGCTCTGAGACTGAAAGCCCAGCCTTGCCTCTCACCGCTGCCTTGACTGTGTCCCCATCTGCTGTGAAGTGAATGGTGTCTTCTAAATTCATGCTGAGCCCTAATTGCTGAAAAGTGTAAGACATGCAATGGGGGGATTATGTGCATCTTCCTGACACCAACATGATGCTGAGGAAGGAGACTTCTTGTTTTCTCTTAGGATTCTTTTACTAACCAAGATTTTGCCTCTACTGCGTATTTCCCTTTGCTGATTGTCCCTCCCTTTTGACAGAAGATGGCCCAGGGCATTCACTACTAAGTCTCAACCTCTTACCCAAAGTCGTCAGTCTAGGGTTGCTCTTTCCTTCATGCTATTTTTGTGTGTTTCTTTTCTTGTAATCATCTTGGCAATAAAATAATCACTTTTTTCTTTCTACCTATTAAAGATGTTACCTTAGTTAATTACAGTGGTTTCCTTCAGAATGATAAATAGTCTTTCAAAATGATGTAAAGAGATCTAAATCCGTGTGCTCCAGAAGTTGAAAGAAGCTCTGTCTAGCACGGGTGCCAGTGACTCTCCCAGAGTGCTCCATGCAGCTGGCCCCACAGAGTCCCTCTGTGCTGTCATATCACCCACTGCCTTCTGTGAATGAGATATTCTGATTGGAATCCTGGTGGATGCTATTTGAGCCAGTGCCCCCACAACTCCTATGAAAGCCGAGGACCACAGGCCCCTGAAGACAATCACAGGTCTCTAGACTCACAGCTCATGACCGTCCTCTGCAGACACAACTTCTCCCCGGATGGCTGAGGGTTGTCATTGTCTGTGTCCTTCCTTGTGCATGACAACAGGAGACATAGAAGGTCTGTAAGCAGCCCTGCAAGCCAGTTTCTGAGCAAGCCCTCCTGTGTGGGGCCCTCTTACCTGGACATAGGTGCGTAAACCAAAAATGAAACTCTAAGCTCCCTAACCAACTGAATGAACTCCTCCTCTCAGCCAAGGACACACCAAAATCAACTTGAAATACAATGCAGTCCATGATCGGAATGGATGATTGGATATGCCTTAACTTACCCTCTTCCCTTTAAAATTCAGGCACAACTGACCAGCTTTTAATATGAAGACAGAGACCTTGAGACTGACAAAGAAAACTCTTTATACCAATAAGATACCAATGTGACAGATACCACGTCCTAAGAGAAATCAAAGTATTTTCCCCAAGATATTGTTATTTAATGTATTTAAAAATGCCTCTGCAAAGCTGGTTCTTGTGGGAAAAATCTACATTCTGTAGAGATTCCTTTTTAAGTCTCTTTCCTGACCCAGAGAGATTTAACTAAGAGTTTGGCACCTTTTAAGTCTACTAAGAAACAATTACAATCTATTCTCTCTGAAGCCTGCTACCTGGAGGCTTCATCTGCATGATGCAATCTTGGCTCCAAAACCCTTTTTCTAAACCCAGAAACTCCCTTGTGTTGATTACAGGTCATTAAATAAACTATTTCAACCACCTATGAAATCTTTGAATCCAACTATGACCTGGAAGTCCCCAACATCCCCCCTCCTTTGGGCTGTCCTGTCTTTCCATATCAAAGCAATGTACAGCTTACACGTATTGATTGATATCTTATGTCTCCCGAAAACGTGTAAAATCAACCTGTAGCCCAACGACCTTTGACACACTTTCTCAAGACCTCCTGAGGCTGTTTCACTGATATTTCTTTAACTTTGACAAAATAAATTTCTAAACTGATTGAGACTTTTCTCAGATACTTATTTGTTTATAGGTATCACTGGATACACTTAAGGAATTGAAGAGATTTATGACATTGAGAAAACTAGGAAGCCAGGGTGTGTGGAGAGAGAGAGAGAGAGAGAGAGAGAGAGAGAGAGAGAGATTGTGATGTATGTACAGGACTAACACTGAGACCTGGTTATGTAATGGTGTAGTACTGAGTATCATCCCCAAATAGTGAGGTTTCATTCCAAGAAGACTACGCATGTATCTCATTTGGGAAAACAGCTTTTGCAGGTGTAAATTAAGGAGCTTGAAACAGGGAGATGGTCTTAGATTAATCAACTGGGACTTAAATGCAAACTCAAGTGTCCTAAAAAAAACAAGAGGTAGAGACACATTTAGCATAGACTGAAGTGGAGAAGGCAATGTGAACACAGAGACAGAGATTGCAGTGATGTGTCCACATCCCGGGAGAGAGAAGCCACCAGAAGCTGGAAGAGCTAAATCAGACTGCTCCCTAGAGCTTCAGAAGGAGCCAGAACTGATGACTCCAAGATCTTAGCCCAGTGAAACTGATCTGGACTTCTGAACTATGAGAGATTCCATTCCTGTTGTTTGAAGCTACCACATTTTTGAGAACTTGTTACAGTAGCCCAAGGACACTAACAAAAATGGGGCTCCGGGAAAATCCAGACTAAAGGTGTTGTGTTGGTTTGCAATCTCCTTGCTTAACTTTCTGATACTAGACATAAATAGATCAGTGAAAAATTTTGTGATTGAAGCAATGTACATGAAACCTACAGTGTACAGAGAAGCATCTGTTAGTTATAAGATAAATATCGATAATTTTAGTTGAAAATGACATATGACTGTTAATATCTCACATAACATTCTGAGTTACTCCAGAATGCATAAAAGGGGCACTAGATACTCTTCTCATGTATGTGTGTGTGTCTGTCTATACATGTATGTACACTTCATGGTGCATCAGCTGGCGGAACCCTCAGGACACCCCTTCACATCCCCAGTGCTCCATTTCACACATGAGGAAACTGTTCATGACAGCACATGGCTGATTTGCATAAAAGTCACTTGGTCAGCAGTTGTTGAAGCTGAACTTGGAATCTAGGTCTGTCTGACCTTAACTATGTTCCTTCCACAGAGCCACGTTCATTCCATAGAGGAACCCACCACCTATAAAACCAGAAAAGAGACAAAGCCAGAAGTGCAGGTTGGATTTCTTAACACAAGCTCACTGCGACCTCTAGTCCTCATCACGCTGACACTAAGCTTAAACCCAGACCCTTCTACAGTTTTGTCTACAAAGCACAATTTGCCCAAAGCCTTTACAAACACCAACAGCCTTTCTTTCAGATATGGCAGCAGGGTCACATCTTACACGGCCCTGATCACATTTTCTCTCCTCTGCCATCCCCATCTCTCTGACTCAGTCCTCGCTTGCAGCCATAAAAATGGATGAGTTCATGTCCTTTGTAGGGGCATGGATGAAGCTGGAAACCATCATTCTCAGCAAACTATCGCAAGGACAAAAAAACCAATCACTGCATGTTCTCACTCACAGGTGGGAATTGAACAATGAGAACATATGGACACAGGAAGGGGAACATCACACACCAGGGCCTGTCGTGGGGTGGGGGGAGGGGGGAGGGATAGCATTAGGAGGTATACCTTATGTAAATGACGAGTTAATGGGTGCAGCACACCAACATGGCACATGTATACATATGTAACAAACCTGCACGTTGTGCACATGTACCCTAGAACTTAAAGAACAATAATAATAATAAAAAAAAGAATGAGTCTTGTACATCTAATTTGCCTCACAAATGTTAAAACAGCAAACCCGCATCCCCTTCCTCTTCTCATGTGCTGTGAGGGATGACCTCCAGGCTCTCAGATACTAAGATTGTACAAGACCTAACCCAGAGAATTACTCAAGACACTCTACATAAGAAGAATTGTGGTGCTAGCTCTCCTCATAGAAAAATATTTTCTGTCTCTTGTTGAGATTGACAGCAAACACAAAAACACGGAACTATTTGGGAGAACAGAAGACAGTGATACACTAGGGAAGTAAAACACACCCCTTCCCCTTGCATTGGTTTCCTGTTGCTGCTGTAACAAATTACCACAACCTTACTGCTCCACATAACACAAGTGTATTATCTTACATTTCTGGAGGTCAGAAGTCTCAATGAAGTAAAATCAAGGAGTAATAGGGCTCTATTCAGTCTAGGCTTCAAGAGAGAGAATCCAATATTGAGCATTCCGTCTTTCTGATGTTCCCACATTCCTAGCAGCCTGGCCCGTTCCTCCACCACTCCAGTTTCCCTGTCCATTGTCCCAGGTCCTCTCTGGCTGTTACCTTCCTCCCTCCCTATTGTAAGGACCCTTGTGATTATGATGGTCTCACCCAGATAATTCAGGATACTCTCCTGACCCCAAAATTCTCAACCATGTCTGCCGAGTTATTTTTGACATATTCATAAGTAACGATCATAGATTCCAGATATTAGGACAATGATGTCTTTAGTGGGTGTATTATTCATTCCACAAACAACTCTCATCATCCACACAATGGTCTTCCCCTAAGGTAGAATAAAAATATCACAAGGCAGATTTATGAGGCGATCGACCTAGAAAAAACCTGAGACTCTAGGACTGTCTGATGTGTGGATGTCAAATCCTGGGAGATTCTGAGTCTCTGCTCTATGTGGACTCTATGTTGTGTAGCCATTTGTGGAAGGCTTCTGTGATTTTGTGACCTAGAGAAAATGAATCTCTGCTAAAATCAAATCTAAGAAAGATTGGCAAAGGGAATTTAAATATTTCCTAAATTTTTGGAATTTCCCTAGGCATTAAAACATGAGAAGTGGCAATAATTCAAACCAACGATGCCCTCCAAGAATAAGGATTTTTCCAATGCATTAGGTTGGGTCCCCTCAGTGAGAAGGATGCCAAAGATTCGCATGTAGACAGTATATTTACAAAGTGCGGGAAACAAGCAAGTGAGCAAGGGAGGGGAGGAGGGAAAGGGAAAGTGAAAGGTGCCTCAGAAGGAGCCACCTCTGAGGATGACGAGAGCTCAAGCCCACATAGAAACACAGGAAAAATGCCTCTGTTATTCCACCTGAGAGGTGAGGGAGCTGGGGGATGTGTACACCTCCCTTGTCATCACTGATTGACAGCCGTCCTAGGGGATGCTAATTCCAGGCCATGAGGTCTGCCTCATTTGCAGCCTGAGCTGCTTCCCCAGGTTCAGATAGAGCAGTGAAGGGGAGAAAGGGCCATAGAGAGTCAGCTGAAGTATAATGACTAGAATCCCCAAGGCGTAGTAACAATGACTGCTAAAATTATGCACAAAGAAAAAGCGCATTTGAATCCAGAGATGTATCTCTCTGAATCTGGATATATGGATCCTGGCAGCCTGTTCAGTAGCCATTTCCCAGAAATCCAGTCCTCTGGAAAAGCAGCAGGAGGTTTGTGCACAGGCTGCACTACCTTGGTCTGGCCACTGGTAGTCGTGCATGAGAACTACTCCCTGGAGTATTTCTCAGTCCACTGACACTGATGTAATTGGCTCCACTTCCCCTGCTGTTGAGCCAGGCCAACATGCCCTGGACAAAGGCATCTGTGTGAAGTATTGAGGTTCAAATCAGTGCTTAAGATATGTTTGGATGCAAAATACTTTTTCATCTACATGGGCAGTGTCTTGGCAGAAGATGGAGATTCTCTCTAAATGGATGTGAGACAGGGTGGCTGGCATCTGGGTCAGTATGATGCCCTGGTGCATGGCAAGAACATGCATTGGGCAGCAGCTGCCCTCACTAAGGAGAGAGGTTCACTGACCTGGCTTTTCACCCCTCACCTGCTCTCCAGAAAGCCAGACTCTAGGGCAGATGCTCCTGAGACTCCAAGAACAGTCTGGTGGGGAGCGCAGCTGAGAGCATTACTCAGGGGATGTGGCTTTTGTCATCCTACTTTGAAACAATTGACTATCTGAGCCTAGATTGATAGAGGGCTTCAAGTTGATTTTAATCCAGGCTCCTATAGTCAGCGAGTGAAACAGAGATTTTAGTTGAAATAATGACACCTGGTATTACTAGTCAGCTCTCCATGCTGGAGAACCATAAGAAATTATACCAAAGGCAGGAAAGGGGATAGATAGAATATGGGGATCATCACGCCAAGAATAAGGTGCAGCCCATTTAGCCCCTGGGTCTTAAAGAGACCCATAGCTCTGGATAATGGCAGATCTATGCCTGACACAGTTATCATCTTTGTGCATCTTCAGAGAATTGTTTTTCCTTTTACTCCTAGGAACAATGTCTTAAGTTTGTTAGTAAATTCTATTTAATTTATTAAAGATGCTGCTGATAAATTCTTTTTATATTCATTTCAAAAAAGAAGCAATTTCACACCGACAGAGACATTGTTATTATAGCACTAAATACTTTTACACTCATCAAATTCCTTTGAGACTAACTGAAATTTCTGACAGCCCTACATTCTACTACTTTATTGTAAATTTTCTGCCAAAAAGGATGCTTTCCTATACACTCCTAATACAAGTATAAATATATTATTTAATCTAGTCTTAGGTTGATTTAAAATTTTGAAAATTCACTCCAAAAATATGTTCTGTAACCATATGGCCACCAATGAGAAATGTATTCTTTCAAGGTAAATCTGTGCTGTCCTGGTCTGACCTGGGACTCTGGGGATACTGCGCCCGTGTGCTGAGTTACTGAGATGAGCCAGCCCTGCAGCTGTGCTCAGCCTGCCCCATCCCCTGCTGATTTGCCTGTTCCTAGAGCACAGCCCCCTGCCCTGAAGAATTTTTATAGGCTGTTCACACCCGGTGCAGGAGTCAGCCCCAGTCAGGACACAGCACAGAAGTGAGGGCCCCCACTCAGCTCCTGGGGCTCCTGGTGCTCTGGCTGCCAGGTAAGGAAGGAGAACACTAGGATTATACTCGGTCAGTGTGCTCAGTACTGTCTGGAACTTCAGGGAAGTCCTCTGATAACATGATTAATTGCAAGAATATTTGTTTTTATGTTTCCAACTTCAGGTGCCAGATGTGACATCCAGATGACCCAGTCTCCATCCTCCCTGTCTGCATCTGTAGGAGACAGAGTCACCATCACTTGCCGGGCGAGTCAGGGCATTAGCAATAATTTAAATTGGTATCAGCAGAAACCAGGGAAAACTCCTAAGCTCCTGATCTATGCTGCATCCAGTCTGCAAAGTGGGATTCCCTCTCGGTTCAGTGACAGTGGATCTGGGACAGATTACACTCTCACCATCAGCAGCCTGCAGCCTGAAGATTTTGCAACTTATTACTGTCAACAGAGTGACAGTACCTCTCCCACAGTGTTACAAGTCATAACATAAACCCCAAGGAAGCAGATGTGTGAGGCTGGGCTGCCCCAATGCTCTTTCTGGTGCCTCTATCTGCTGAGGGAAGTTCTCAAACTCAGTCAGGTTTGGAAAGTCATTGGGAGATTTTCCTAGAGGAGGTCAGGAGGTTCCTCTGAACCCTAAGCCTCTTTCGCCCTCATCCCCAGCAGAAAAGACGTGACAATGCCTGTCCTGACTGAATAAAGAAGAGAGATAAGTCCAGCTGAGGAGTCTGTGTTATGGGATAATCGGAATTTGTACAGCAAAAGAGAAGCTATTCTCAGTATTTCAAGGAGAAATTATTCAAGTTGAATAAATTAGAGTCTAAACCACAGTCTTTCCGAAGCCTGTGGAGTGTTATTCATGAAGTAGGTACTAGACACAGGGGATTCTCAGGTGCTACTTCAGAAGCCATGGTGCACCTGCACCTGGTGGTATGTGCTGAACACTGTGTGATGATCCTCGGTCCTGTCTGGGAAGCCCAGGGCTGGGGGTGCTGATGCTCTCAGCTGCCTGCAGCACATCTCCAGGTGATTCTCCAGTCCACACCTAACTGCATGTGTTTTACTTCAGGTGTCAGTGTACATGAATCCACCACTCTGACTTCCCAATCTCATGACAGTAATTAGTTGTAACTTATTGTGACCTCATGGAGCAACTCTGAAGAAACCATAGAGAGAAAAGGAGTTTTGGAAAATGTGCTCCCAGAAGTGATAGTAATGATGGGGAATTGACAGCTGACGGGGAAGTAAGGTGACTCTTTCCACAAGGCTCAACATTTTGCCAGTTATGAATTGTTGCAAAATACATTTGAATGTGCTTTCAAGTACTATCAGTTTGGGGTCATAGCTGAAAAACTTATATTAAGTCACAGATAAAATGGGAAAATCAGGAAATTGTATGAAATATACAATAACACTGTGTGTGATGGCTCAGGTCTGTAATCCTGTGATAGTTAATACTGATTGTCAACTTGATTACATTGAAGGATGTAAGCATTGCTCCTGGGTGTGTCTGTGAGGGTGTTGTCCAAGGAGATTAATATTTGAGTCAGTAGTCTGGGGAAGGCAGACCCCCTACTTAATCTATGGGCACCATTTAACCAGCTGCCAGTGAATATAAAGCAGGCAGAAAAAAGTGAAAAAGTGAGTCTGGCCCAGCCTCCAAGCCTACATCTCTCTCCCGTCCTGGATGCTTCCTACCCTTGAACATCGGACTCCAAGTTCTTTAGTTTTGAGACTCGAGCTGGCTTTCCTTACTCCTCACTCCTCATGCCTGCAGACAGCCTGCTGTGGGACCTTGTGATCCTGTAAGTTAATATGTAATAAACCCATATATATATATTGAACTTATTAGTTTTGTCCCTCTAGAGAACCCTCACTAATACAGATTTCGGTACCAGGATGGTTCTGCAGGAACAGAATATTAAGGTTGGAGTTCTTTTGTTGGTTTTGGGGTTTCTGGATTTGGCTGCTAAATATGATTAGATCCCAAAATGCTAAGGACTCTACTTTTAATAGTGTAGAGAACATTGACAGTTCTTGGCATGAAAGGTTTAAACAGCTATGCAAAACAAATTCATTTGACACTAATGAATCATCGCTCTTGAGAGGCAAGGAGTTTAGTGACTCTGTACCTAATACCCTTGACAAACACCTTGCAAAATAGATTTGTGAGGACAGCACCTGCATCTTTGAAGAGCCCTGTAAAGGCTCTTCTCTGTATGTCAGATCTAATGGTGAGAACTGCAGTCACTCAGTTACAAAAGTTAAATACAATTTGGAATAATTGGATCCTGAAGTGGCAGGGGCCAAGTGTTAGCACTCAACCCTCAAAGGCACGGTGAGCGTAGCTACGGTAATGGGCAGAAAAGACAAAGCAGCAATCTGAACAGTCTGACTCATGTAGAGCTCTGGCATTGGCTAACTAATCACAGTTTTCCTAGAAGTGAAACTGACAGGAAGACTAATGCATTCCTACTTAATTTATGTAAGGAGGAAACTTAAGGTCAAACAGATAAAAGACTAATTGGAGTTATAAAAACAGAGATTCATGGCCCCTCAATCAATTTCCAGCCTTGAGCCAGTTTACAGACCCAGAACCCCTTGAATGAAGGGGAGGCTGAGTCCCCCTGAGGTGTCCGTGGCAGATAGGAATGCTGCTTTGAGGCTTTGGCAGGCATCCTTAGGTGAATCATGGTGGAGGCCCCTAGTATTTTGCAGCAAGGCCCGGTCATCTTCTCCAGTTAACTACTCTCCTTTTGAGAGACAGCTCTTGTCCTATACTGGGCTTTTGTGGAAACTGAACATTTGACTATGAGTCAACAAGTCACCATGCGACCTGAACTGCCTATTGTGAACTGGGTGCTTTCTGACTCATGTAGCCATAAAGTGGGTCATGTACAGCAGCATTCCATCATCAAATGGAAATGGTGTATAAGTGATTGGGCTCAAGCAGGTCCTGGGGGGCACAAGTAAGTTACATGAGGAAGTGGCTCAAATGCGCATGGTCTCTACTCCTGCCACCCTGCCTTCTCTCCCACGGCCAGCACTGATGACCTCATGGGGACTTGCCTTTGAGCAGTTGACACAGGAAGGGAGGACTAGGGCCTGGTTCACAGATGGTTCTCCACAATAGGCAGGTACCACCCAAAAGTGGACGGCTGAAGCACTACAGCCCCTTTCTAGGACATCCCTGAAGGACAGTGGTGAAGGACAATCTTCCCAGTGGGCAGAACATTGAGCAGTGCACCTGATTGTGCACTTTGCATGGAAGGAGATATTTCCAGATGTGCGGTTATATACTGATTCATGGGCTGTAGCCAATGGTTTGGCTGGATGGTCAGGGACTTGGAAGAAGCATGATTGGAAAATTGGTGACAAAGAAACTTGGAGAAAGAGTATGTAGAGGGACCTCTCTGAGTGGTCAAAAACTGAAGATATTTGTACCCTGTGTGAGTGTTGACCAACAAGTGACTTCAGCAGAGGAGGATTTTGATAATCAAGTGGATAAGATGACCCGTTCTGTGGATACCACTCAGCCTCTTTCCTCAGACACCCCTGTCATTGTCCAATGAGCCCATGAACATAGTGGCCATGGTGTCAGGGATGGAGGCTATGCATGGATTCAGCATTGTGGACATCCACTCACCAAGGCTGAACTCTCTGTGGCCACTGCTGAGTGCCCAATTTGCCAGCAGCAGCAGAGACTAACAGTGAACCCTTTGTATGGCATCATTCACTCGGGTGATCGACCAGCTAGCCGGTGGCAGGTTGATTATATTGGACCTCTTCCACCATGGAAAGGAGAGAGGTTTGTCCTCATTGGAACAGGCACTTACTCCGGATATGGGTTTGCCTACCTGCATGCAATGCTTCTGCCAAGACTACCATTTATGGACTCAAGGAATGCCTTATCCACTATCACGGTATTCCACACAGCATTACCTCTGACCAAGCACTCACTTTACAGGTAAAGAAGTGAGGCAGTGGGCTCATGCTCACGGAATTCACTGGTCTTACCATATTCCCCATCTTCCTGAAGCAGCTGGATTGATAGAATGGTGGGACGGCCTTTTGAGGTCGCGATTACAACGTCAACTAGGTTACAATACTTTGCCGGGCCGGGGCACCATACTCCAGAAGACCATGTGTGCTCTGAATCAGCGCCCAATGTATGGTATTGTTTCTCCCATAGCCAGGATTCACAGATCCAGGATTCAAGGGGTGGATGTGAAAGTGGAACCACTCACTATGATGCACTAGCAAAATGTTTGCTTTCTGTTCCCACGACATTAGGTTCTGCTTTACTAGTCATCTTAGCTCCAGAGGGAAGAGCGCTGCTACCAGGAGACACAATAACGATTCCATTAAACTGGAAGTTAAGATGGCCACTTGGACGCTTTGGGGTCCTCCTACCTTTAAGTCAACAAGCTAAGAATGGAGTTACAGTGTTGGCGGCAGTGATTGACCCAGACTATCAAGATGAAGTCAGTCCGCCACTCCACAACGGAAGTGAGGAAGAGTATGCATGGAATATAGGAGATCCATTAGGGCGTCTCGTGGTATTATCAGGCACTCTGATTAAGGTAAATGGGAAACTACACCCAATCCAGGTAGGACTACAAATGGTCCAGATCCTCTCCGGGTCACGACCTGCTGAGGTGCTTGCTGAAGGCAAAGGGAATACAGAATGAATAGTGGAAGAAAGTAGTTATCAATACCAGCTACGACTACCTGACCAGCTGCAGAAATGAGGACTGGAACTATCATGAGTATTTCCTTCTTCTTTTGTTAAAAACATATTTGTGCATGTATGCACTTGTACTAAGAAAATATCTTCATTTCATTTCCCTTTTCTTTATCAGGTGACATCGATTTGCTGACCTCATATCAGCATTTAAGTATTGTTTACTGTATGTAATAGTATTTGGGTTGGGGATTGGTGCATTTCCAGTTGTAGGAAGGATAGTTTATTATGTTGGGGTAATTATGATCTTACTATTGTCTGTAATTTAAGACTATGTATGATCTCAGGAGATGTGTGTGGGTTCAAGTTCACAAGGGGTGGGCTTGTGATGGTTAATAATGAGTGTCAACTTGATTGGATTGAAGGATGTAAAGTATTCATCCTGGGTGTGTCTGTGAGGGTGTTGCCAAAAAAAAGATTAACATGTGAGTCAGTGGGCTGGGAAAGGCAGACCCACCCTTAATCTGTGTGGGCACAATCCAATCAGCTGCCAACCCAGCCATACTATAAGCAGGCAGAAAAATGTGAAAAGAGACAGGCCTCGCCTCCCAGCCTACATCTTTCTCCCATGCTGGATGCTTCTTGCCCTCGAACATGGACTCCAAGTTCTTCAGTTTTGGAACCCTGGCTGGCTCTTTTTGCTCCTCATCCAGCAGATGGCCTATTGTGAGACTTGGTGACTGTGTGAGTTAATACTTAATAAACTTCCTGTATTAGCCAGTGACATCTAGAGGGACAGAACTAACAGGAGATATATATATATATATATAGATAGATAGATAGATATAGATATATATATAGATATATATATAGATATATATATAGATATATATATATAGATATATATATATAGATATATATATATAGATATATATATATATACATACACACATACATACATATATATATGCACACACACACACATATATATATATTTATTTATAAAGGGGAGTTTATTAACTTATAGGATCATAAGTTACACAATGGGTTGTCTGCAAACTGATGAGAAAGGAGAGCCATGGAGTCCAATGTTTGAGGGCAGGAAGAAACCAGCATGGGAGAAAGATGTAGGCTGGGAGGCTAGGCCAGTCTCTCCTTTTCAAATTTTTCTGCCTGCTTTATATTTGCTGGCAGCAGATTAGATTTTGCCCACCAGATTAAGGGTGGGTCTGCCTTCCCCAGCCCACTGACTCAAATGTTAATCTCTTTCGGCAACACTCTCACAGACACACCCTGGGTCAATACTTCATATCCCTCAATCCTATCAAGTTGACACTCATTATTAACCATCTCACTCCCCTTCATATATATATATGTATATAGTCCTTTAATTCTGTCACTCTAGAGAACCCTGACTAATACATCTACACTTCTGATGGTCTATTTCTTTTATTTTAGGTCATTTATTTCCCCTGGGTTGCCTACACTCGCTTCTTCCCACTCCCCTATGAAGGACAATATAAGCCTCTGGACCTCACTAAGTCAGGGCATGTCCCTGCTTGCACTATGCATGACACTTACCTCTTTTACTCTTTAGCAATGAGGGAATGTCATCCTTACCCAGATGCCAGCCACCCGTCTCACATCCAGGACAGAGAGTCTCCATCTCCTCTCCAGCAAATACCCATGTATGTGGGCATGGTGGCATGTCCCTGTGATCCCAGCTACTCCATAGGCTTAGTGGGGAGAATCACTTGTGCTTGAGAATTCAAGATTGCAATGAGCCATGATCACACCACTGCACTTCATGCTGGGTAACTGAGTGAGACCCTGTGATTTTTCCCCTACATTTTACAGATTTTTTTTTACTCTTTCTTCTATTAATTTATGTTTTGTCCATTCATTTTCTGCAAACCTTTAGAGGGCAAATAGGAAGTTTCCCTTTTTAACGTGGTGGCTCACGCCTGTAATCCCAGCACTTTGGGAGGCCGAGGTGAGCAGATCACCTGAGGTTGGGAGTTTGAGACTAGCCTGGCCAACATAGAGAAACCCCACCTCCACTAAAAAAAATACAAAATTAGCAGGGTGTGGTGGTGTGCACCTGTTATCCCAGCTACTCAGGAGGCTGAGGCAAGAGAATTGCTTGGACCTGGGAGGCGGAGGTTGCAGTGAGCCCAAATTGTGCCACTACACTCCAGCCTGGGTGACAAGAGCGAAACTCCGTCTCAAAAAAACAAAACGAAACAAAAACAAACAAACAAAAAAACCCTACTGCCTCACTGAATTAAAGCCGTGTTCAGCAGTTTCTTTGTTATTTCAAAGAGTGGCATCTGCTTCAGCAGGGTCAGTTTTTAATGTATTTGTTTTGTTTCTTTTTTCTCTGGTGTTCTTTTTTATTTTATTATAATTTTTTAAATTTGAGGGATGAGGTTTTCATAGTACTGAATATCAAACAATGAATCCGCATGAATGATTCACCTAATTTCCTTGGTTTTAGTCCTCTATACAGGTTTTATATAGCAAAAGAACCATTTAAAGACTTGGGTTACAAATGTATTTTATTTTACCTCTGGCATGCCTTGGCCTGAGAAAGCATTATATGGTGGCACAATATTTGTAACATTCTCATCGCCATCTGGTGGTGGTTCGAGGTATGACGTTTTGAAAATCTAGCAAGAATTAAAATATGTCAAGTTAGAAAGAAAAATTCCAGATTATTATTAAGATATAATTCATTTTGCCCCAAGTATATACTTCAGACTAAGCATCCTGGAACTAGGTTCTATAATTAAATAGATAAATTACACTGACAACAATGAGAAAGAGCCTTATCATTATTATTGTCTTCCTAATAATAGAAACTTTTATAAATGCATGCAATCCCAGGTAACCAAAAGTTTCCTTATAAAGTGTAACAGCGGAGCCTCAAAGGTGGCACTTTGGCAAGCCTCTTTTTTTGACTATGGCTTTTCAGCTTCCTTTGTGGGCTCCTTTTCTTTCATCTTTATTTAAATAATATTTCCTTATGTTTTATCCCCAGCCCGTTGCTTGCCTCTGTACTGCCTCCCTGCGAGACTTCATTAAGTATCAGAATTTTACCCATAGCTCATATGCTTATGATGCTTACCTTTTCAGATTCGTATATTTAAATGTTTTGTGGTTATTTCATTCTGGATGTCCTAACTCAACATGTCTCACCCCGGGCCTGCTTTTGGTCTGCATTTCCTACCTCTATTAATAGCTTCAGTCATTAGCCACGGACACCAGACAGTCTCGGAGTCATCCTGAACTCTGTCTTCCCCTCCTTCCCCAAGTCAATCACTAATCAAGTCCTGCTAATACATTACCTTACTATTTCTGAAATCCATCCCTCTTCCTCATTCCTACTAACATCCTAATTTAAAACTTTATTATCTTTTACCTGGACTATTGTCTTAAGACAACAACTTTAATCCGTTGCTTAGCCTAGGTGTAATCCACAGAGGATCTTGTCTGTCTAAAATGCCCCTCTAGCCACATCCTTCGCCTGCTCAGATCTTGTCATTGGCTCCCATGAACTGAAGTTGAAGTTTAAGCTCCTTAGGACAGCATACACGCGCTTCTATGATCTGTTCCCAGAACATATTTACTGGTTTATTTCATATCATGGCCCACTTTGTATTTTACACTTTTGAAATACAGACAATCATTACATTCTCCCAATAGTACTAAGCTAGTGTATGCCTAAAAGCCTTTGCCAATATTTTATCTTTTGTTGAGAATTCTCTTAGCTTATTTTGTCACGTGGTTAACTCCTTATGTCCTTTCATGACTCACAAGTCAAGACTTCAGGAAACCTTCTCTAACTCCCAGGCTGGGCTGAGTGACCCTTTTCTGGGTAAATAATGAACTCTAATCATACTCTTCATAGCACTTACCATACTAATTTGAAGTCTGAAGTATTCCATTGTCTGCCTCACTTTACTTAGGCAAAGGAACCATGTCCTAGTCTCATTCTGGCCTCAGGAGTTCAGCCTGGGTGACAGTGGGAGACTGTGTGTCAAAAAAAAAAAAAATTGCCAATGATTGAAGCCTAATACTGAAGATTCTGGTTTATTAATAATTAGTCTGTTGCTGGGTGTTAATTGAGCTCCCCAAGTGATTACTCATGTAGGACTTCAAACCAATAATTTAGAACCTTGTGACTCAAAATCTGGGCAAAAATAAGCAGCATCAGTATCACCTGGGAGCAGCTTCCGGTCTCATTTTAGATTTACTCTGAATCTAAATATTATATTTTTATTAAAAAAAAACAAGAACAGATGACAAGCTTCAACTACATCTAAATTCTTTAGATTTACTTTAAAAGAATCAACATTTTGACACAATACCAAAGTGAACTAAATTCGCTTTTTTTTTTTTTTTGAGACATAGTCTTGCTCTGTTGCCCAGGCTGGAGCGCAGTGGTGCAATCTCGGCTCACTGCAACTTCCACCTCTCCAGTTGAAGCGATTATCTTGCCTCGGCCTCCAAAGTAGCTGGGATTACAGGCACATGCCATCATTCCCGGCTAATTTTTGTATTTTTAGTAGAGACAGGGTTTCACAATGTTGGGTCAGCTGGTCTCGAACTCCTGACTTCAAGTGATCTGCCCACCTCGGCCTTCCAAAGTGCTGAGATTATAGACATGGGCCACGATGCCCAGCCTAAATTTGCTTTAATTTGGAGTACTGGTCTAGAAAACACAAATTCCAAGGAGACTCAGGTTCTTAAGTTGATTTCTTGAGTACAAGTTCTTCAAATGCATTCTCCAAGATTAATTTTTTTTTGTACTTTTTAAATTGACAAAGATTATACATATTCATGGCTATACGGGGATGTTTCAGTACATGTAGATGGTGATCAGATCAGGGTAATTAGCATATCTATCATCTCAAACATTTATTATTTCTTTGTGTTGGGAACATTCAAACTACTCCTAGGTATTTTAAACTACATAATATAGTATCGTTAACTATAGTCATCTACAGTACTGTAGAACACTAGAACTTATTACTCCTACCTAGCTGTAATTTTGTATCCATTAACAAATCTCTTACTATTCCTCCTTTCTCGCTACCCTTTTCAGCCTGCAGTATCCTCTGTTCTACTTTTTACTTCTATGAGATCAACTTTTTTTTAGCTTCTGCGTGAGTGAGAACATGTGGTGTTGAAATTTCTATTCCTGGCTTATTTTGCTTAACATAATATCCTCCAGTTCCATCCATGTTGCTGAGAATGACAGGATTTTATTTATTCTTTTTTATGGCTAAATAGCATTCCTTGGTGTACATATACCACATTTTAAAAATCCATTCATCTGTTGTTGGAAACCTAGGTTGATTCCATATCTTGGCTATTGTGAACACTGTTGCAATAAACATGGGGATGCAGATGTCTCTGCAATATAATGCTTTTCTTTCCTTTGGATAAATACCCAGTAGTGGGATTGCTTGAGGGGTTTCAATACTGTTCTCCATACTGGCTGCACTAATTTACATTCCTACCAACAGTGCATAAGAGTTCCTTTTTCTCCAGCTACTCAGGAGGCTGAGGGAGGAGAACTATTTGAACCCTAGAAGCAGAGGGAGCCAGATTACACCATCACTGCACTCCAGCCTGGACAGAGAGTGAGACTCTGTCAAAAAAAAAAGTCCCTTTTCTTCACGTCTTTGTCAGCATTTGTTATTTTTGTCTCTTCTATAATAGCCATCCTAACTGGAGTAAGATGATGCCTCACTGTGGCTTTGATTAGCATTTCCTTGCTGATTAGTGGTGTTGAACATTTTTTCATATATTTGTTGGTCATTTGTATGTCTTCTTTTGAGAAATGTCTGTCAGAGCATTTGTTTATATTTAATTAGATTGTTGTGCTTCTTTGCTGTTGATATGTTTGAATTCCTTGTATATTCTTGATATTAATTTCCTGCCGGATGAGTAGTTTATATTTTCTCCCATTCTGTAGGTTGTGTTTTCACTCACTTTATTATTTCCTTTGCTGTGCAGAAGATTTTTAGCTTGATGTGATCCCATTTATTTATTTTTTCTTTTGTTGCCTGTGCTTTTGATGCCTTATTCATAAAATATTTTCCCAGAGCAGTGTCCTGAAGGATCTCCCTTATGTTTTATTCTAGTAGCTTTACCATTTTGGGTCTTATATTTGGGTATTTGAGATACTTTGAGTTGATTTTTGTATAGGGTGAGAGGCAGGGGTCTAGTTTCATTCTTCTGCATATGGATACCCAGTTTTTCCAGCACCATTTATTGAAGAGACTATCCTTTCCCCAATGAGTGTTCTTGGCATCTTTGTAAAAAATCCGTTGGCTGAGATATGTGGATTTTCTGGGTTCTTTATTCTATTCCATAGGTCTATGTGTCTGTTTTTATGCCAATACCATGATGTTTTGGGTTACTACAGTTTTGTAGTATATTCTGAGGTCTGGTAGCATGATACATCCAGCTTTGTTCTTTTTGCTTAGGATGGCTTTGGCTATTCAGGATATTTTTTGATTCCATAAAATCTCTTTGGATTTTTTTAATTTTGTGAAGAATGTTCATAGGTATTTTGATAGAGATTGCATTGAATCTGTAGGTTGCTTTTGAGTAGTACTGTCACTTTAACAACGTTCATATTTCTGATCCATGAGTATGAATGTCTTTTCATTTGTTTGCATCCTCTTTAATTTCTTTCATTAGTGATTTGTAGTTTTCATTTTACCTCCTTGGTTACATTTATGTCTGGGATTTTTTTTGGTAACTATTGTAAATGGGTTTGCCTTCTTAATTTCTTTTTCAGCGAGTTTGTTGTTCATATATATAAATGCAACCAATCTTTGTGTATTAGTTTTGTGTCTTGCACAAATAATTTCTTTATCTTCTAGTTCTGGAAATACCAGGTGCTGTGTATGTAAAGCAGGAATTTTGGTTGAATATTGTATAATTTTCTGACCCCCTGTTACTAATCCAGTTTCCCCTGTACTCTGATCTTCCATGCTACAGACAGACTGACAGATGCTCAGCAAATAGTAGCTAATATTTTCTAGGAAACTAGGTGCTAAACGAGTTTTCTTAAATTTCTACCTCCAGGTCTGTAAGTTGATTTGAAGCATTACCAGTTTCTGGTTCTGCACAGGTTGTTGAGCGCAGGACTTCTCTCTTCCAGTGGAAAGTCCACCTGCTCACAAACAACCATCCTTTCCTGCGGCCTTCAGACACTGCTCAGTGTAGCACCCCTCCCAGTCTAGAATAAGCACACTCATCATCAGTCTCTCTCATTTTCTGTCTTATCTCCATTCCTTCTACACACAGTTTTTGTTTTTGCCAATGTTTTTAAATAAACAACTGTACAAGCACAACAATGACAACAGAAACCCTCCTTCCTCCCAGTGTTGTAGTGAGCAAGGAATATATTTAACTTCAAATAAAAGACAAAAACAAATGCTGGATAAAGCTGACGGAAAGAAATGAAACTGTAGGTGCTCTGGCAATATAGAAATGATACAACTAAGAAAAATGGAAGAAAAGGAAAGAGAGAGTATTCCTCAGAATGATTTTACTGACTGCTCACTGTAATGCCTGGGAGTCAACGGATATTGTTTATAGAAATGTAAGCATACTTAATGGCACCAGGGGAAACAAAGTTAATATGATTAAATCAAATTGTGGGATGAAAAATCACATAAGGAGGACAAGAAAGAGAATACAGCTAATACCATTGTTCTTAGTTTAGAGACATTAGCTACTGTCTAAAGAAAGAGATGATTTTATGAAATTACATAAGGTAGCCATCAGAATAAAAGTTTAACTCTTCCAAATATCACAACATCAAAACAAAAGCAATAAAAACAAACAAGACAGCAAAAGACAGATATGTACATATAAATCATAGCATAATATACTGTAATCAAAATATAACCAAACACAATTTATCATTAAAAGTAAGTGGGCTTGACTCTTATTAGAGGAAAAAATATTGTCAGATTAAATCAAAAAGCAAATCTCAATTCTATGCTGGATATAAGATAAAGTGTTACAGAAAGTTTAGAAATAAAAGTAAAGGCAATGAATAAAAGGATCTTCTCTTCATGCGTTAGGAGTATAAAACAGTAAGTAAACACATCATACAGTTTCTGTTTTTACACTTAAATGGCTGGAGATGTTACACCACTAGTATGAATTTACTTCAGATATATAAAGGATACACTTTTATGTGGTTAGAAACAGCAATGATAATAGTTAAGGTGAAAATAACATCTGCATTGACGCTAGGAAGAAAGAGCCATTGTTGGGTACATAGTGATCACATTACCATGGAGCAATCTGTTCCCAACTGAAATGCCCTTGCCCTTCTATTGAAATCATGTAAGATTCTGCAAAAGTAGTGTTTACTTCCCACAAATCAGCCATTTGTGGGAATGGCTGCTATTGTTGTCCACACGGAATCAGCATCAGACCTATATTTAGCTGTTGTACCATTAAGAGTCATATTTGGCCCTTTCCAGAGGCTGTTATTTCAATTATATTTTGGAGAATTAGTCTATTTGCAGACAAATAATTTTACCAGAACTTTGATCCATATGAAATGACCCTTTGGTAGGGATCCAGGGATTGAGTTTATTTTTAATTACTATAGCATCCTGGTCAGGTTGAGAAACAGATTACCTTTATATTTCCCTGGCATGTGAGCAGGGCTAGATTTAGCGTGAGAATGCTTGAAAGTTTATAGTTTTTTAGAAATTTTATTTACTGTGTGTCTCTTTATCAAAATAAAATTAATTCTGAAAAGCTCTATTAAATGAATTATTTTGAGATGGTCTTTTCCCCTTCATCCAATGAGAGGATATCCACAGATATGTCAGGAGCTTGCTTTACGTAGAAATGTGTTGAGGGCCACAGGTTTGGGTTCACCTGGGAATGTTTAGGGACACCTCCCCAAGTTGTTGTTGAAGAGTGGGGTAAATGTAAGATAGAATTAGGCTCACGGAGACCAGATGAGAGCATCATGTCACCCCAGAAACACAGCATATACCTAAGAGATCTGTTCTCAGTATCAAAGTCTTAAGCACCGTAAGATTGCATATAGACCAAGACAACAACTATATATATATATATATATATATATATATATATATATATATATATATATAGTTAATAAAATCAGTTAATATATAAACATATACTTATTAACTTATTTTTATTTTTATCTTCAGACAGCATCTTGCTCTGTCGCCTAGGCTGGAGTGCAGTAGTGCAATTAAGGCTCACTGCAGCCTTGACCTCTGGGGCTGAAACTATCCTCCTGCCTCAGTCTCCTAATGTGCTAGGATGAGAGGTGTGAGTCACCTTGCCAGGCCCAGGGCAATAACTATGCAATGTTTATATAATTTGGAGCAAAAAAAATATTTGAAATATGTGTGCATTGCTTTTTAACCTTTTCTATTGATTTACTTTATTAAATACTGAATAGAAACAATATATTTATAAAATATTTATTTTATATATATAATAAGCACATAATGAACACCTGTGTCTCCAGTCTTGGTTTAAGAAATTAAGCCAAAAGTAATCATAAATGCTTATGATTACTTTTGAAGTCATCTGTACAACTTTTGCTGACTACATCCCCTTCTTCAAAACTCTAATGATGGCCACTGTGAGCACTGTGTATATTGAATTGTGTTGTATTTTAATACCGTGTGCACTACATTGTTTTCCTAGCTGGATGCTATTGCATTTAGTGAGCATAATGAATTATATCAATATAATTCACTTTTGTCATTTCATTGTTTCAGCTTTTCTGTACTAATTATTGCCAATATATTTCTACTGGCATAAAAACAGACACATAGGACAGTGGAACAGAATAGAGATCGCAGACAAATCTACATATTTACAAACAACTCATCTCTGACAAAGGCATCAAGAACATACACGGGGAAAACAACAGTCTTTTCAATAAATGATCCTGGGAAAACTGAATAACTATATGCAGAAGGATAAAATTAAACCCATCTCACCATACACAAAAATCAAATCAAATAAAAATGGATTAAAGACTTGAATCTGAGACCTGAAACTATGAAGCTAATTAAAAAAAAAAGCATAGGAAAGGCTGGGCGTGGTGGCTCACGTCTGTAATCTCAGCACTTTGGGAGGCCAAGGCAGGCGGATCACAAGGTCAGGAGATCGAGACCACCCTGGCTAACACGGTGAAACTCCGTCTCTACTAAAAATACAAAAAAAAAAAAAATATAGTGGGGCATGATGGTGGGTGCCTGTAGTCCCAGGTACTCGGGAGGCTGAGGCAGGAGAATGGCGTGAAAAAAAAAAAAAAGAAAGAAAAAAAGAAAGCGTAGGAGAAATGCTCCAAGACATTAGTCTGGGCAAAGATTTTTTTGCGTAAGACCTCGGAAGCACAGGCAACAAAAGCAAAAATAGGCAATGGGATTATATCAAACTAAAAAGCCTCAAGCAAAGGAAACAATAAAGTGAAGCGCCAACCACAGAATGGGACAAAATATTTTCAAACTATCTATCTGATAAAGGATTAACAAGTAGAATATATAAGGAGCTCAAACAACTCAATAATAAACAAACAAAAAATCTGATTGAAAAATGGGCTACTGAAGAGGCTGAGGTAGGAGGATTTCTTTTTTTTTTTTTTTTTTTTTTTTTTGAGATGGAGTCTCACTGTCGCCCAGGCTGGAGTGCAGTGGCGCGATCTCGGCTCACTGCAGGCTCTGCTCCCCCGGGGTTCATGCCATTCTCCTGCCTCAGCCTCCTGAGTAGCTGGGACTACAGGCGCCCGGCACCAAGCCCGGCTGATTTTTTGTATTTTTAGTAGAGACGGGGTTTCACCGTGTTAGCCAGGATGGTCTCGACCTCCTGACCTCGTGATCCGCCCTCCTCAGCCTCCCAAAGTGCTGGGAATACAGGCGTGAGCCACCGCGCCCGGTCAGGAGGATTTCTTAATCCCAGGAGTTTGAGGTTACAGTGAGCTATGATTATGGTACTGCCCTTTAGCTTGGGTGACAAAGCAAGACCTTGCTTCTAAAAAAATAATAGTTAAAAATATATAAATAAATACAATTTAAAAATGGGCAAAAGATCTGAACAGATATTTTCTCAAAAGAAGACATACAAATGGCCAATAGGAAGATGAAAAAATATTCAATATCACTAATCATCAAAGAAATGCAAATCAAAATCACAATGCAATATCATCTCACCTTGGTTGAAATGACTTGTTTCAAAAAGACAGGCAATAACAGATGCTGGCAAGGATGTGGAGAAAGGGAAATACTAGTACACTGTTGGTGGGAATCTACATTAATAAAGCCACTATGGAGAACAGTATGGAGGTTCCCCAAAAAAGTAAAAATAGAACTACCACGTGGTCCAGCAATTTCTTTACTGGATATATATCCAAAATAAAGGAAATTAATATATCAAAGACATATCTACATGCCGATGTGTACTGCAGCACTATTCACAATAGACAAAATATGGAATCAACGTACAACAAATGAATAGATTTTAAAAGTCATATATATACATAATGGAATACTACTCAGATACAAAGAAGAATGAAATTCTGTCATTCGCAGCAACATAGGTGGCACTGGCCATTTGGCTTAACGTAATGAACATAGGCCATTGTGTTAAGTGGAATGAGCCAAGCACAGAAAGGCAAATACCACATGTTGTCACTCATATGTGGGCAGTAAAAAAGTGGATCTCATGAAGATAGAAAGTAAATCGGTGGTTGCTAGAGGCCAGCAAGGGGAGTGGGAAGAGGAGATTAAGAGAAGAAAATATAAATGTATTTATCACCACTAAACTGTCCTCTAAAAATGTACAGATGGTAAATTATATATATATTTTTTAACTCAATAAAAAATTAAAAAAATTCTGCTGTGTGTTTATAGGGCACATGTACAAGACTTTCTCTAGGGTTGTATCAGTTTTCTGTTCCTGCTGTAACAATTTACCACAAATTCAGTGGCTTAAAATAACACATTTTTGTGAGATTTGAGTCAGTTTTAAAAAACACACACAAACTTATTGTCTTAGAATTGTTTTGGTTGGAAATCTGGCATGGCTCTCACTGAACTAATATCAAGATGTTGGCAGGCTGCATTTCTTTCTAAAGGCTCTAAAAGAGCATCTGGGTTGTTGGCAGAATTCCGTTCCTTGTGGTTGTAGATCCTCAGTTTCTTCCTGGTTGTAAACTTTGGGTCATTCCCAGCTTCTAAAGGTCACTGGCTTTCCTTGGCTTGTGGCCCCCTACCACTGTTTTAAAAGCCAGTAATAGCAGGCCACATCTTTCTCATACTGCCATCTGTCTGAATCTCAGCATCCAGAAAATATTCTCTGCTCTCAAGGAATTATGAGATTAGATTGGCTCACCAAGGTAATTCAAGGTAACTTCCCCATTTCAATGACCTTAATGGTAATCACATCTGCCAAGTCCCTTTGAACATGCTAACTTACGTTAGCATGTTCACCTTATCTGAAGACTGGGATGTGGCTGTCTTTG
Source organism: Homo sapiens (assembly GCF_000001405.40). Lineage (NCBI taxonomy): Eukaryota > Metazoa > Chordata > Mammalia > Primates > Hominidae > Homo > Homo sapiens. Next base: position 42,202,567 of record NC_000010.11, read on the forward strand.
GTGGGGGGCAATTATTCTGCCTAACCCAAAGATACACAACTTGCAGATATACAACTGGTTCATGGAGATGAAACATTTTCAAATCTACAAGAAAATGTTTTCTAAAATGAGCATTTCATATTAGACTTTCACAAGCACTGTATCAGAATTATATTTACTTCATAATGTTGCCAATACTGATATCAGATATTTAATTTTCTAGCCAGTTCAGGATAATGTGAATTGTGAATAATATATTTGTTCATTCAGTCAACAAACATTTTTTATCAGATACCACCGATATGCTGGACAGTGTCATGGATCCTAAAAATATAGCTGTTATTTTTTTTTTTAAACAAAGTCCCCACTGTGATAAAGCTTTTATTCTTTGGGACAGGCAGACAGTAATCCAGATAAATAAATGCAAGGGCAAATTGGGGGAAAAATTGGAATGGAGAGCTCAGAATCTGGCCCCAGAGAAGGGCGGAGGGAAAGGGGACCCAGTTCAGAATCTCGGTGCGTCCACACCAAACAATTCCATGAGGGCTGAGGAGACAGAGCTGAAAGGCTTGTCTGACATCACAAGAGACAGAAAAGTGAGCCCCATTTTCATCTCTATCCTGGCAATGTTCCTGGCTTGATTTCCTCCTTCCAGCAGACACAAGAATCAGGGAGCGCACCCTGATGGTAAGATTTTTTTCAGAGGCCTATTTTGGGCATCCTGGTGAGAACCTGAGTCCGTCACTGACCACGGCAGCCCAGCATGGTCCCCAGTGCGTGGCCCAAGGCCAAGATTCTCTACCTCCATCCTGGAGGCAGAAGAAATGTCTGGGGGAAAATGAGAGGTTTTAGGTGGTTGGCACTGGGTGAGACCAAGGAGAAATTTTAAAGCTGTGTGTCCTGGGGCCAGGGGCGGTGGCTCACGCCTGTAATCCCAGCACTTTGAGAGGCCGAGGCGGGCAGATCACGAGGTCAGGAGATTGAGACCATCCTGGCTAACGGTGAAACCCCGTCTCTACTAAAAATACAAAAAATTAGCCGGGATTGGTGGCCGGCGCCTGTAGTCCCAGCTATTCGGGAGACTGAGGCAGGAGAATGGCGTGAACCGGGAGGCGCAGCTTGCAGTGAGCTAAGATCGCGCCACTGCACTCCAGCCTGGGTGACAGAAAGAGACTCCTTCTCAAAAAAATAAAAATAAAATAAAAATAAAAAATAGAAAAAGCTGTGTGTCCTTTGTTTCTTCATATTTTGCAGATTTTTGATGTCAAAATATTTTCATAGTCAAAAGAGTGTTAATAAAGAATGACTTCTCTGTTATAAAAACCCTAATAGTGAATGTATTTACCAAGAAGTTAGATTCTATCTTTGGTTTTTTTGTTTTTTGCCCCGTAGTTTAAAAAAAATAGTTTTATTGTATGGATATTCTATAGTTAGTGTATCTATTCACCTCTTGATGGACATTTGGTTTGCTTCCAGTTGTTTTTACTATTTCAAATAAAGTTGCTACGAATGTTTGTCCAATCGTTTGGACATACGCTTTCATTTGTCTTGGGCAAATAAGCAGGATTTGAATGACTAGGTGGTGTGATATGTTCAATTTTTTTTTTTTTTTTTTTTTGAGACGGAGTCTCGCTCTGTCGCCCAGGCCCAGGCTGGAGTGCAGTGGTGCATCGCGGCTCACTGAAATCTCCGCCTCCCGGGTCCACGTCATTCTCCTGCCTCAGCCTCCGGAGTAGCTGGGATTACAGGCGCTCGCCACCACGCCCGGCTAATTTTTTGTATTTTTATTAGATACGGGGTTTCACCGTGTTAGCTAGGATGGTCTCGATTTCCCGACCTCGTCATCCGCCAGCCTTGGCCTCCCAAAGTGCTGGGATTACAGGTGTGAGCCACCACTCCCGGCCAGTTTAACTTTTAAAGAAACTGACAAAGTGGCTGTATTTCCAGCAGCGGTGTATGAGCATTCCTGTTTCTTTGTGTTCTCACCAATGTTTAGTATGGTCAGTCTTTTAAATTTTAGCTATTCTAATAGGCATGTGGCAGTATCTCATTGTAGTTTTAATTTACATTTCCCTAATGATGAATGATGTTGAACATCTTTCAATGTGCTTACGTATCATCCATCTGTATTCTATGGTGAAATGTCTGTTCAGATCTCTACATTTGTGTTAGACTATTTGTTTTCCTATTATTGAGTCCTGAGAGTTCTTTGTATATTTTGGATAACAAATGTATCTTCACCAGATATAGCTTTTGTAAATTTTTACTCCCAGTCTGTGATTTGTCTTTTTATTCTCTCGATAGCGTTTTTCTTTCTTTCTTTTTTTTTTTTTTTTTTTTTTTTTGACAGAGTCTGGCTCTGTCACCCAGGCTGGATTGCAGTGGCACGATCTCGGCTCACTGCAATCTCCGCCTCCCGGGTTCACGCCATTCTCCTGCCTCAGCCTCTCCTAGTGGCTGGGACTACAGGCGCCCGCCACTACACCCGGCTAATTTTTTGTATTTTTGGTAGAGAGGGGTTTCATCGTGGTCTAGATCACCTGACCTCGTGATCCACCCACCTCAGCCTCCCAAAGTGCTGGGATTACAAGCGTTAGCCACCGTGTTTGGCCACTGGATAGTGTTTTTCACAGGTCAGATTAATTTTTATATAAATCATTTATTTTATTTTTATTATGTAAAATTTTATAATTTTTAATTTTATTTTTAATTTCCTTTTTAAAAGGTAAATAAAATTTTAAGTGTAATGATGCAAAATTTTGTTTAAAAGTAAATGCATATAAAAATGTTGATATAGACTAAAAAATTGAATAAGAAGGTAGTTAGTTGTCACAGTAGGAGTGAAGTGAAAAGCTTCCCCTTTCACCCTCTGAAGATTAACCGAAATGAACTGACCATACACAGATTAATAAAAGAAAGGGTATACAAACTTACTTAAACTGCAAAAACATGAGAGCTATACACAAAGTATAAGACTTGAAGATGGCTCAGATCTTAAACGCTCTCCTCATAGGCAATAGATATATAGACCCAGGATGCAGACATTATTTTGTAAATAATTTCCTTTGGAAGCTGGATGGGACAGAATAATTACGGGACGGTGAGAGATGGAACTGCACAGGAAAAAGTTTGTCTTTGTCACTTTAATCTTATCATTACTAGAGAATAATTATGAATATTTTAGAATAATATATTTTTAAGCCCAAACCTCACCAAATGTTTTTTCTAAAACAAATACTTTTTGTTGTTGTTTGTTTGTTTTTGATACTGTGTCTCACTCTGTCACCCAGGTATGGAGTGCAGTGGTGCAACCATGGCTCACTGCAGCCTTGGCCTCCTGGGCTCACGTGATTCTCCTACCTCAGCCTTCCAAGTAGCTGGGCTACAGGCATGCACCATCATGCCCTGGTAATTAAAGAAAAAAATAATTTTTGTTAGAGACCAAGTCTCATTATGTCACCCTGGCTAGTCTTGAACTCCTGGAATCAACTGATCCTCATGCCTTGGCTTCCCAAATTATTGGGATTATAGGTGTGAGCCACAGTGCCTGACCACATATTTCTATACTTCACTGAAGAAAGGAAGGTGCTAGGAAAATTGGTTAAGAACTATTTTTTAAAAAGCTATTAGTAGTGTTTTATTTTATTTTATTTTTTAATGATTGATTGATTTTTGAGATTGGGATCTCACTATGTTGCCCAGGCTGGTTTCACATTCCCAAGTTTAAGCAATACCCCTGCCTCAGTCTCCCAAGTAGCTGGGATGACAGGTGTGTGTCACCATACCCAGCTCCATTAGTAGCGTTTTTAACAATTGTGGGCCACTGAGTAAGAATAATTTTTTTTAATTAAAGGTTATTTTTTAAAAAGCACATTTGTAGAAAATTACTAGCATAATCTGCCTAAAATAAATATACATATTGAAAAAATGTTTGCTCTGAACAAAAATAAATATATTCACCACACATACATACATACACACGCACACACGCACACACACACACACACACACACACACAAACATTATGGAAGATTTCAAGACCAGGCAATAATTTCCACTCAATCCAAAAACAATGCAATCCCAGAGCTGTGTATTTAGGTGAAAAATATATCAGGAATGGGAGGCATTCAGGTTTAATTTTCATGTTTTGGTAGAGTTAGGATGTGACTTTTCATTTAAAAATATTCTTTATTTTTTTGCTACTATTGTGGTTTCTGTATTGTTACTATACAATCTGTAAACTAAATAGTAAAGGAGAGAAAAGTGATTTTCAAAGAAGCTGGCTTGGGAACAGGTACTATTCTGGGAAGATGAAAGGTTTCACTTAATGACTGGTACCTGTGCCACTCTGGTTATTTTAACTGTTAACCTTTTAGCAAGAGGTTTTTCTTTTAAAAGACATCCTTTACTATTTGGGAAGCTAGTGCAATAGTACACATTGAGGCCCACATACCACATGCCAAATATTTAAAAGGCATATTTCTAGCTAACCACTGTACATACATATATTTTTTCTCTCTTATTTTTATTTTAGTTTTTTTCCTTGTCAACAATTTAATGTCCACACTTATCTTCTATCATCCCACTTTGACAAATAATTTCATACCTTCAAAATGATGTGGAAGACTAGATTGGAATTTAGAACCGTGGAACATTGTAATTGTACAGGCAAGTTTCTTCCTGGGAAAAAATAAAACAGGAAGAAAAGGCTGGGCAGCCTCTGGTTCAGGAAGGAAATTCGGGAGTCCCTTATAGCAGCATCTCTAGTACTTGGGAACCGAACAGACTTCTCGGCCTGTGAGGCTGGAATGGGCCCTTCTGGAGAACACGACAGAGTAGTTATCTACTGCCTTTGCCCCCAGGGCCCAGGCAACACTTTTACCCTCCATTGCTTGTCTCCGAAGTTAAGGGGAGGAGACAATGTTTTGTTTAGTGACCTCGACAGAAAAGGTGTCCTCCTGCAACCACTCATTTGTTACTTTCCTTCTTCCTGAATTGCCTGGACCCACTCCTCCTCCATTTGACTGGCTCTGTGCACTGATGTTATAGTCAGGAATTGTGGCTTCTAAAAATGTACACCCGACTCTACCCATAGCTGGCCCTGTGAACCTACATACTTGCTCCACTGTGTCTCCTTCTCATAGAGACACTCTTCCTGCTGAGTCTCTGCCCTCTGCTCCTAGATCCAAATGGCATCTCCTACCCTATCCCTGTATGGCTTAACCTAGGGAAACTCTTTCCCAGAGGAGTCAGGTAAGGAGACGGTGGCTGAGCTTCTTACAGACTTAAAGGAGACATCCTGGAATTTAGGAGTCCATCCTTCCTTTCTGTCTCCCTGGCAGCTCCTGCTGCTGCTCAAAGTTTAGCTTTGTCTCTCATCCAACTCAGACTGTTGCTGGTCCTGATGGCCTCTGCTTAGCAGTATTAGTATGTTCTTGCATTGCTATAAAGAAATACATGAGAAATACCTTTAGTTGGCTCACGGTTCCATAGGCTATGCAGGAAGCATGGTGGTTTCTGCTTCCGGGGAGGCCTCAGGAAACTTTTATTCAAGGTGCAGGGCAAAAAAAAAAAAAAAAAAAAAAAAAAAAAAAAAAGCTACCAGCACTGCACTGTGAGGCCCTGATCCCTGAGCTAACTTCATATTATTACCTCTACAGCAAGTGTCTGTGAGAACATAGATATATTTCTTATGTGAGTACACAATTTACAGAAGAGGAACTACCCTCCCAACCAAAACAAAATGTCATAATTTTAATTTACCAGCAAACCTAGGTTGCTTCTGTGAAATGATCTCATTTGCTGAGTTTTAAAATTGACTAAATTTCCCAATTTCCAAATGAAAATATTTAGTTATCTTGCCTTGCTATGTGTTTTTGGTTAATATGATGATTAATTTTTGGTCTATTACTTAATATATTTCATGATTGTTGATATGGATTATAAGGACTCACAAAATAGTTTTCAGATGTCTTTAATTTTTTTACTTAGTGTAGATCCTATAAATGGATTAGGAGTATTCTATTAACTCCCATGTATTCAGAAATCGAATTGGAGTGGTAAATTCTGTTTGAGGTAACAAGGGATATCAAAGGAAAAAAATAATTTTGTGACTATGTCTTCTATACATAAATTTTTCAGGCATCTTTATCAATGGCTTATACTAAAGACATTTTCTGGATCATGGGTGACAGACAGAAGACATGCGGATAAGTGGCATTGTGTACACTACTGCATTTTATCATCTGGTTTATTTTTAAACTTTTATTTCTCTTAAGGATGTTTTATTAACCGGTGCATCACCAGATTAACAGTCTCTGGAACACTAAACTTACCAGAAAATACTTGTTGATTGAATTAACAAGAAAACAACATTAGAAAACAGTGGTGGCTTGTTTTTGTCTGTTGCAGTATCTTGGAGAGTAAAGCCTAACTCTTTAATTTTGGCCAAAAATATAAAGAAATACCTGAGAAACACCTTTAGTTGGCTCATGGTTCCGTAGGCTATACAGGAAGCATGGTGGTTTCTGCTTCTGGGGAGTCCTCCAACACTTACTGGCAGGGTAATTTTGAAGAAGTCATGATAAGATGGTTGTTACAATTAAATGAAATAATCAAAATGGAAGAGCTTATTTAGCTGTCTTCCCTAAATGAATCACTGGCAAGTAAGAGTGTGATTGATTTTCCTACCAGTCAGGACTCACCCCTTGAAGCTATAGGAGGGTAAACCTCTGAAGACCATACAATTTAGGGAACACTAACACCTCAAAAAACTCTGTAAACTTCGTTCCTTCCTTTTCTTTCTTCCTTCCTTCCTTCCTTCCTTCCTTCCTTCTTTCCTCCTTCCCTCCCTCCCTCTCTCTCTTTTCTTTCTTTGTTCATTTTTGAGACAGAGTCTTGCTCTGTCACTCAGGCTAGAGTGTAGTGGCTGGATTATGGCTCACTGCTGCCTTGACCTCCTGGGCTCAAGCAATCCTCTCACCTGAGCCTCCCTAGTAGCTGGGACTATTGGCATGCTCAGCTAATTTTTTCCTCCTTTTCTTTTTGTAGAGACAGGGTCTCATCATGTTGCCCAGGCTGGTCTTGGACTCCTTGGATCAAGCAATCCTGCTGCCTCAGCCTCCCAAAGTGCTGGATTACAAGCATGAGCCACTGTGCCCAGCCTTAAGTTTTTTTCATACAGGAGGAAAGAATTTGGGAAAGTAGGTGTGTGTGTGTGTGTGTGTGTGTGTGTTGGTTAGGGAGCCAACACATTTTTCTGCAAAGCTTTGAATTCTGTGCCTCAGTTTTTCATTTTTGTTATGTGCAAAATAAAATCATATCCTGCTATAGATGTAAACCTGTGAGCGGATCCTACTCAAAACCTGATTCAAACTTTGTGTAGATCTTTGTCTCTCTATGGCATAAGAATAAATTCTTCTGGTTTTCTTCCCTCAGAAAAAGGGACTTAGACTTCCCACAAGCCTTCCAGAAAGAACTCACCTGCCTCATCTGCCTGAATTACCTCATAGACCCCATCACTATAGGCTGTGGGCACAGTTTCTGTAGGCCCTGCCTCTGCCTTTGCTGGGAAGAAGCACACACTCCTGCCCTGCATGCAGGGAGCTGTCACAGCAGGAAGATTTCAACCAATATTCTTCTGAAGAATCTAGTGTCCATTGTCAGAAAAGCCAGTCTCTGGCAATTCCTGAGCTCTAATGAACAAATGTGCGGGATCCACAGGGAGACAAAGATGTTCTGTGATGTGGGCAAGAGCCTGCTCTGTTTTTTGTGTTCTAACTCTCAGGAACACTGGGGCACAGAAACACTGGCCCACTGAAGGGGCAGCTAAGGAACACTGTGTAAGTGATGACTCAGAGCACTTTGAAAGCTGGAGGGCATCACAGGTAAAGAGATTAGGAGGAAGATGAAGAGCATGAGGATTAATCTATTCTTTACCGAGTGTCATGTACTGCCTAGGCATCAGTGATATAACTGTTATCCTGCTATCAAATCTACTGATAAGTGGCTCATTTAACTTATATGCACTCATCACAATGCAAGAAATCCTCTGACTGCTCCTACCATCATGGCCTCTAGCCATGATATGACTTGTCTCCACAGTAGCAGAAACTAATCGAGTCCCTATATTAGGGATAAGTGGCATTTATATATATATACAATTTTTATATATAATTTTTATATGATATATAAAATACAAATAAATTGTTATACAATATTTATTATATACATATATATATACATATATATATATCACAATGCCAAAAATGTTTTGTCTTCGAAATAATCACAGTGCATTTGGATAGACAAATGCATCTACAACCAGGTGACAACACTGAAAATAAAATTGTAGCAGTTTGAATAGGGGATTAAATGAGTTATTTTTTTCCTGGGGTTCAAAAAAAGAAACAGCAACAAAAAGTGGTACTTAAGACTGAAAGTTGGCCAGGTGCAGCTGCTTATGCCTGTAATCTCAACACTTTGGGAGGCCAAGGTGGGCAGACAACCTGAGGTCAGGATTTTGAGACCAGCCTGGCCAACATGGCAAAACAAAGTTATTACTAAAAATACAAAAATTAGCTGGGCATGGTGGCAGGTGCCTGTAATCCCAGCTACTCAGGAGGCTGAGGCAGGAGAATCACTTGAACCCAGGAGGCAGAGGCTGCAGTGAGCCAAGATCATGCCATTGTACTGCAGCCTGGGTGACAAAAGCAAAACTCCATCTCAAAAAAAAAAAAAAGTTCTGGGTTATGACACAGAACATATGCAACATGAATATGTCATGGTTATGAACATGTAGACTACTCAAGATTGTGTATTTTTAAAATAATAGAATACGAGGTTAAAAAATTAGCATCACAGAATGAAAAATAAGCCACAAACTAGCAGAAGATAATTGTAACACATAAAAACAAAGACTTAAATACAATGGTAATATAATGATAGCTATTCTTACAAAGTTGTTTCTATGTCGCAGGTACTATTCTGAACAACATACGTGCATCTTGAATTCGTGAAGAATTCCTATATAAGAAAAGCACAAACAACAACATTTAAAATGAGCAAAAAACCCGAATAGGAATTTCACAGAAGAGAAAACATAAATGGCCCATAAACATAATAAAAGATGCTCAACTACAATTCTAATCAGGGAAATAAACATTAAAACCCCAAAGAGATACCACTTCATACTCTAGGAAAAACCTAAAAGGCTGTGAATATCTAGTTTCATTGAGGAAGAACAATGGGAAGACTATTCACTGCTGGTGAGGGTGTAGATTGGTACAACTGCTTTGGAGAACAGTTTGATGCCACTCAATAGAGCTGAACACACACATGCCCAAAGACCAAGCAATTCCACTCCAGGTACATACTGTAAAAATACTCCTGCACATGTAGAATAGGAGACACTGCATAACAAAGTTAACTAGAACATGAGGCTGAGGTGGGAAGATGGCTTGAGACCAGGAGTTCGAGGCTGCACCAGTAGCTGGGACTATAGGCATGTGCCACCGTGCCTGGCTAATTTTTTGCTGTTGTGGTTGTTGTTAAAGATGAGGTCTTCCTTTATTGAACAAGCTGGTCTCCAACTCCTGGCTTCAAGTGATCTTCCCACTTCTGCCTCCCAAAGTGCTGGGATTACAGGTGTGAGCCACCATGCCCGGCCAAGTTCTGCTTCTTAACTTGAGGTAGATACTTTGATGTTTCATTTTCCTTTATTGTACAGATATACTTTATATTCTCATATGTGACACAAGTCAAAATTTAAAAAAACAATTTAACGTTTATTCCCTTTAGATGAATGATGGGCAAATTTACATAATGAATTCATTACTGAAACAATGTATAGATTTCAGACTAGGAAAGTAACTATTTATAAAAGAAAAGCTTAAAACCTGAAACAGAAACAAAATCCTGAAACTGTAAAATTGAGTCAAACTAAAATTTAAAAAACAAAGCAATGATATAAAGTATCATTTGTCCAAATGTGTTCTACAAAACGCTTTTTTCTTAAATATGTCTGAGGAAAAACAGGTTCTAGGAGTAAAATATGTTTGAAAAATGCTGGGTTAAACAACTGAACCTATGAAGGAAGGAATAGAACTTCTCAAGCTCTTGACTCTGGAATCTTTTTTACACGGCAATTAACACCATGCTTCTTCTTGGATTTGTATTTCAGATAAACACAATCTGGGAAACATTTTATAATACAGAGGGCCACACCAGATTGAATATTGCCCCCAGGAATGAAATGAAAACAGGAATGGATTCTCCAGTAAGAGGTACCCAGATATCCTAATCTTCAGTAGCTGACCTAAACCCTGGACAAGTGGGATCAAACCCCATTACCAAATACAACTTTTTAGGAACTAAGTGGATAATCACTCTGTGTTGTATGAACATGTGGGCAGTGTGTTTCCTACACAGCTTAAAAGTGCAACAAAAAAAGATCTAGGTGTCATGTAAAGAATTTCTACCACTGTTAGGGTAATGGTGGACTGACAGGCAGAGGGTCTTAGATGTCACTTAAGTAAAGTTCAATAGAAGCTTCCAGCACAGATATTCATGTTTCGAATTGGACCGCTCAGTTAAAAAGTTTTTCCATTAGACTTCCCCTAATCAAATTAGAAATTATCTAATTTTCTAATAAAGTTTTCCCCAGGCTCAAGAAATCTGTGAACTGGACCTAAGAAATTCTTCATAATGTGCTTTTATTACCATAAAAGATGCACATTTATTTTAAAAACTTCTCTACACCACTATCATAAACCTTTGAACACACTTATTTCTTTTGGAAGCTAACTTCTGAGTGGTAACGAAATGTATTCTTAAGAAAAAAGTCTGACACAATGCCTTTGTGTCTTAAAATATGTTAAAATATTATTTGAAAAGAGTCAAACATCTGTCTGTTCAGGGTATCACAGGGCGTCAAACTGGAAAATGTGGCACTGCCAGGAGTTTCTACCTGGTGAAGGTTGGCAGACTTTTCTCTTCAGAGGGCTCTTGACAGGGTAGCATCCATTATCTTGCCAATTTACCAAAACCTAGGCCCAATCCTCAGTCTTATAGGTTCAGAATTTTATTTTTATCATCATCAATAGCGTAGCTACATTGCTTAGAAGAAAACAAAAATAACCATGTTTCAATAGAAATCAGGATATAGATGTATTAATACAGAATGACAAATATAACTGTGACAGAAATAGGAATGCCTGTTTATGGTCATATACGGCCAATACTTTCATTACAGCCAAACTCATACATGCAGCCAAATAAGAGGCCCCTGGATACACAGGGAATCAGAATAAAAAAAGAAGAACTGAACATTTAATAGTCTTCTTTCATTCAATCAATAATTTTTTTAATTAAGCAACTACTATGTCCAGGTAACCTTCTAGGTCCTGGGGATACAGAGGTCTCTGCTTACAGAAGTCATATGTAAGTAGCAGGTGAAGAGTATGTGTTTCACAGAAGTTTATTACAATATATTAACAAGAGCAAAAAATTTTGGAAGCAATCTAAATGTTCAATAATAGAGTTCCAATTAAATAACAATAAATCCAAATAATGAAAAATAATGCAGCCCTTTAAGAATAAGCACTTGCAAGCCGTAATTCATGACATGGGAAAATTATCATGATGGAAAAAGAAGCAAGCTATGTATAGTGCACGATCCTATACACACACATACATACATAAATATTTCCTATCCCTTTATATGCATAAGAAAACAAGCGGGAGGAAAGTCATATCTTTAGTCAAATGTTGTTTACTAACGTACTATTAATGATTATCTTTTCTTTTTCTTTATACCTTTTTGCATTTTTCAATTTCCTAAAATAGCCTTACATACCTTTTATCACCAGGAGAAAAATTACTTCTAAAGTAATTTCAGTCAACATGCATACTAAGAACTCTTCAGATTTATCTGTTAGAAGCTGTGCATGAATGCCAGTCCTTGCACCTGTCTTGGAACTCACAGAGAGCTCTTTTCCCATGGCTTTAAGCAATACTCAAAAAGACTAGCATACCTGAATTTCCTAGTCCTATGTTTTTTTCATCCAACAGCCAGTCTTGTATTTCTAGCTGTTTTCTAAACATTTCAACCAAAACATTTTACAGATAACTCATACAGTCATCCTTTGATATGCATGGGGAATTGGTTCCAGGATCCCCCTTGTATACCAAAATCCATGGATGCTCAAGTTACTGGTATAAAGTAGTGTAGTATTTGCATATAACCTACACACATCCTCCTATATACTTTACATTATCTCTAGATTACTTAATAACACTTATTACGATGTAAATGCTATGTAAATAGTTGGTACACCACGTTGTTTTTTATTTGTATCATTTTTTATCATTGTATTGTTTTTTCTGACAATTTTGTTCCACAGTTGTTTGCATCAGTGGATGCAGAACCCATGAATATGGAGAGTCAATTGCATTTCATTATGCCCAAAGGTAAATGCATAACTTTTTCCGCACAGCTAATCTTCTAGCAACCCCATTGTTGTCCATGGCAAGCAGGCGTAGTTAATCTCGCCCTTTCCCGTTTCAGGTTCATTAAAAAACTCTTGTCAAAGTCTCTTTCATCCCACCTTATTCTTCATTCTCACTTCCATCAGCATATCAGTCCAGGCCCTAGTAACATTAATGTTACTAATGGCATTGTTAGTAACATTACTTACCAGCATTCAAGTGGGTCTTCCTGATGCCATTCTCTCTCAGCCTGAAATCACTGCTGTTTATATAGAACTTGTATGATGTCATTCATTGGCTCAAAAACTTTTAAAGCCTTCCTTTTTCTACCACCCCAATCTAAATTTCTATGCCTGGCTTTTATTAAAACCCGTAATTTGGCACCACCCTAGCTATTTAACTTTATTTTCCACTATTCGCCAGTCTCCTCCCTCATCAATGAGAAGACATACCATAATCAACCTCACCACTAACCCTTGGAATATCTAAAGTTAAAAATGGTCCTTCCTTTCCCCTTTACTTGTATTTAAAGAACCTGACGAATTATTCCTCCTCTGCTAAACTTTTCACAATTTCTTCAACCTCATTTATGTTTCACATTTTCAGAACATATCTTGCCATTTATTAGGAATCTCACAATTAGGCACTCTCATGTAGATAGATTTACAATCATGTATGTTGTCATCTTCTATTAAATTCCATACTCCTTGAAGGCAGGAGCCATGCCTTATTCTGTCCTCCAGAGTACTCAGAATGATGCAGAGCACACAGAAAGTACTCAAATCTTGTTGACTGATCCAGTGAGAAATGACCAACTTCAGTTCCAGCCTCTCTTTAACATGTACATAGCAATTTGGGCAAGTCAAGCTCCATCCTGAAGGACATAATAGGGGACTCTTTAAGCACATTATTATGAAGGCCCTTCAGGGATAACACCGGAGTGATGAGGTGCCCTATACCAGGGATAATGGAGACAGAGTTCTTGGGATTCATCACTGGGGTCCTCAAAGCATCTTCCAAGGGCATAATAAGGAAGGACTCAAACACCTTTGAATCTTCGTGAGACCAGGCATGAGGTCTTTTGAAAGAGTTCTTTAACTGGAGTGAATGTCAAAGAGAAGTATAATAAAATAAAAGACCTGAGTAGGGTCCCCCTTGTTCATAAAATGACACTACCTAACTCACCAAATCTCACTGAGCCTTGGTTTAACTCAAGAGGTTCCATGCCACTATAAGAGGTGGTAACTGCCAACTGATAGGAAATATTTTCATATGCATAGTCATAGTGCCCCATATTTATGAACTTCTTAAGAGTCTTCAAAAAGCTTTCTATATACATTATCCTTTACTTTCTAACTTTTCTAAATACAAGGTGAGAGAGACACAAGTGTTCTATCAAAACAGAATCTTTGCCGGGCACAGTGACTCACACCTGTAATTCCAGCACTTTGGGAGGCAGAAGCGGGTGGCTCACTTGAGGTCAGGAGTTCGAGACCAACATGGCCAACATGGCAAAACTCCATCTCTACTAAAAATACAAAAAATTAGCCAGGTATGGTGGCAGGTGCCTGTAATTCCAGCTACTCGGGAGGCTGAGGTAGGAGAATTGCTTGAACCCAGGAGGCAGAGGTTGCAGTGAACAGAGATCACACCACTGCACTCCAGTCTGGGCAACAAGAGCAAAACTTCACCTCAAAATAAAAAAATAAAAATAAAGACTTTGGCAAGGACCATGTCCCACCCAGAATGGTGCCTGCCTTTTTACAGTTTTTCAGGAAGAGGAAACATTTTCTGCTTCTCTTGCTGAGGTTTTTTTTAACCACCCATTAGGAACGTATAGATTTCAGGATCGAACACTGGGATTCCCTCAGCACTAAAGGAGTAAAATTGCAAACAGAGCTGAAAGTGCAATGTGGAAAGGTCAGGCTGAGGAAGGTTCTTAGCCAGTAGACCAAGGGCAGAAAGGACACTGCCTCCTCAGTCTCCCACTAGGGAACTTGTGATTCTCGTCCCCTGACCTCAGAATTCCTTGTCATGTTTGTTTTGTCTCCAAGGGAAGGTTTTGAATTACAGAATTTAAGGCTAGAGTGGGCCTCCTGCAGTTAACATTAACCCTCTCTCTCCTTCACTGGCCGAGGTGAAGTCCGGGACCATGTAGTTCTGACGTCCACTCTCTCGGGGGATCACCAGTTCACCCACCTCACCTGGCAAGCTGGGCCCTAGTTTGGCAACAGGCATCTTCCACCCACCTGGGAGGCAGGGTTCAACACTCTGCCTCTGACCTTTTTTCCTTCCTCTGCCACCTGCTTAGGCAGCCAGAAGGGGTTGTCCAGCCAGCACCTGGGCTTTGGTGCTCCTCAAGCAGGTGGAGGAAGTTTCAGGCACCTGGCTCCTCAGGTGTCTGCCATCCAGCTGCTCTTCAGGCCTGCCCAGCAGAGCTCTCTTGATCCAGCTAGAACTGGCCAGAACTGACTCACTCAGGAATGTGTAGACTTTGGCATCAGGGGCAGCTTTAATTTGCACAATTTCCAAATACCACTTTTTTCTTCTTTTTCTGATGAGTCATCTCCCTAGACTTGCATTTTAAAGAGATAGATAGTTATCAGGTTCCAGAGAAGACATGGTAGAACATTTATATCTCAAAGACACAGAGCTGAGACTTCAGGTTTAGATACAATAATTTACCTAAACCAAAAAGGAAGGTGTAGGTAAAGTTCTAGTCGAGACAGGATGGCCAGGAAAAACACCTTAAACCAAGGGATGGCTTGCTTTGCTGATTTAAGCCAATGGCTTCTTTATCATAAGACTTCCCAGTGATTTAGTCCTCCCTCTCTTCCAGTGCACAGACGCATGACCCTCCTTACAAATAAAAATGTTCTTTATAGATGTAAATTTATTTTACAAAAATGTTTCAAAATAACTAGATGAAAATCATCCTTATGCCAGAAAGACTTGTTTTTTTTTTTTCATTACTAGAAATGAAACAGTAAGTATTTGTTGTATTGACATACTAAGGCTAAGACCTATGTTTAACAAGAAAGCCTAATAATAGCACTGTGGTTAGACTGTAGCCTATTTTTCCAAACCATCATTTTATTATTAAGGAAAGAAAGGATCAAATACCTTTCATTCATCTGATATGATCCTTTAAAACACATTCCACTAATAAGTCCCATTTGGAACAGCTGAAAATCTTTTAATAAAACTTTTTAAAGATGAGCTCATGGCTTAGTGTAAATTTCACAAGCTTAATTAGGTCAAATGGAAGGAACTCAGATGAGTAGTTGCCCAATCAGAGCCCATTATTTGTAAATCATCAGCCCCCTTCATGACCTTAAAAACTCCACTCTGACCTAATTATTGCAAACCTATATACAACAAAGTGAAAGGATTAATTTTCATTCATCAACCTCTCAATCCCAGATTTTCAAAGAAAAAACCTATGTAAGGAATACTTACCAAAACCAGACAGGAAAATTAGAGCCTTCATACTTAAGAGTCAAATTTGTTTCACTACAGCCAGGTCACATACAATTACATCATTTGGTTCTTCATACACTCTGGAACTGACCAGGACAGAGTTTAGCATAGAAAAACTGTAAGAAATAGGTTCCAAGACATAGAAATTGCAAAGTCCAAAATGCTATGAAAAAAACTAATGTAAATGAGAGACTCCCCTCCCTTTGTTTTAAAGAAATAGACCCATCAGGGAAATGCAAATCAAAACCACAATGAGATACCATCTCACACCAGTTAGAATGGTGATCATTAAAAAGTCAGGAAACAACAGATGCTGGAGAGGATGTGGAGAAATAGGAACACTTTCACACTGCTGGTGGGACTGTAAACTAGTTCAACCATTGTGGAAGTCAGTGTGGCCATTCCTCAGGGATCTAGAACTAGAAATACCATTTGACCCAGCCATCCCACTACTGGGTATATACCCAAAGGATTAAAAATCATGCTGCTATAAAGACACATGCACACGTATGTTTATTGCAGCACTATTCACAATAGCAAAGACTTGGAACCAACCCAAATGTCCAAAAATGATAGACTGGATTAAGAAAATGTGGCACATATACACCATGGAATACTATGCATCCATAAAAAATGATGAGTTCATGTCCTTTGTAGGGACATGGATGAAGCTGGAAACCATCATTCTCAGCAAACTATCGCAAGGACAAAAAACCAAACACCACATGTTCTCACTCATAGGTGGGAATTGAACAATGAGAACACTTGGACACAGGAAGGGGAACATCACACACCAGGGCCTGTTGTGGGGTGGGGGGAGGGATAGCATTAGGAGATATGCCTAATATAAATGATGAGTTAATGGGTGCAGCACACCAACATGGCACATGTATACATATGCAACAAACCTGCACATTGTGCATGTGTACCCTAGAATTTAAAGTATAAAAAAAATAGAAAAATAAAAAAAGAAAGAAATAGATGTTCTGAAAAAATATACACAATTTTTACAGACAAATACATTTATAAGTTGTTTTTATCTTAAAAATTGGGGATATTTCATATTTATAACTAATTATTGAGCCTTAAGTTTTCTTGGCCATTTCTAGGCTAATAAACTAAGAATCATGTAAACTAAGCCAAAATAGAATAGACATAAAAGTCCTGAACACTTCAACTTCCTATCCTTCACGAAGTATACCTCGCAAAGCTCATTTGAGAGAGGAAAAGCTTTCCTCCACCCTCTGTTTTACAGCGCTGAGGCTTCTCATCACATTTCTATGACTTGTAGCTTAAATCCATGTTACATGGTCACTGGCATTGTTAGGACTTCTCTTTTAACACTGTAGGAATTAATCAATTTGGTGGCATATTTAATTAATTCTATCACTAGAGGATTGTAAAATTACATATATGAATACCTCACTTTAGAGGCCACTTAATTTTTTTCCAAGGGGATATTTGACTATATTTCACTTGTGTCTTATTTAATGATTTTATAATTTAAACCCTAAATTATAAGTCTAGAATTTAGAAAGTATATTTCCCCACTGGATTACATTTTTGGAAATATTATTTTATATGTGCACAAATATTACAAAATCACTGTAGACACCTGCAAACTATATTATCTTTCAAAGGCAATATTTATATTAAACTGGTATAACAAAATTGTTTGGTGCATTTTTTCCAGTACATTTTGTGTATATTACATGTTTAACCTTTTTTTATCCAGCAAATAATTTTTGAGTATCTACTAAGTGCTAGGTTCTGCATTACTAACTGAATTTAAAGAGTGAAATAACAGACATGGTCTCAGACAATAAAATTAACATTAGGTCACCTATTTATATATTTTAAAATGGTAATTATGAAAACTTTCTGAGATTTTTAACTAGATAACATTATAATAACACACTTGACGTTGTTAATATTTGCCAGTGAGCAAAAAAGAAAATAAAAAGATGGTTTTATTCAATATACACTTTAAAATTGCAGAAAATAGTCAAGTTTCTCTGCTTTGCAGTTGAATGTCTATGTGTTTTTCTCTGCAACTTGGCTTTTGTGGAGTGAAACAATTATTCTTCCAGCCCAATGAAGGCAGAAGAGTAACAATAAATCTAATATTTTAAATGCTTATCAAAAGAAAGTAAACACATTATTTCAGAATACTGAGTTCAATAAGTTGACCTACAAAAAAAGTCAAACTGACAGTATTACTGAATAAGGAAAGGCCCAAAGAGACAAAATACTTTTTAATTTGTAACCTCAGTATGACACAACTTACCCTAACTATAAAGACCCTAAATTACCAAGATGGGTGCTTATAATATGGAGAGTAAAAAAAGTCATTTCACTTTTAGCTTTTTTATTTCTCTCAGAATAAAAAGTGTATAAGGAGTTGATAAAGAAGTTGATACTATAAGTTGGTACTACAATGACAGCACTTTCCAAGAAAAGACTTTTTTCTCTCTTACAAATATCATGTTAGCAGTATTTGTTTTCTCCAGAAATAATGAGGAAATAAAAACATAAGTATGTGGGTAATTACTGTAGTTTCTTAAAGAAATGAGTTAGGCAACAGGCTAATAATGTATACTTCGCTGGCTTTTGAATGCCAACAATCATATTCTTTATAAGGCACAGAGAAGATTTTTCTGAAGAATAAGTATGTGAACCTGAAAAGTAATCACCACTTGGTAGTGACAATATGGATAGGGTGAAGGGCGTCACCAAGAAGCAATGAAAAGATACATTTGCAGTTAAATTTGAAAACCATGATGTTTAATACATATAGTAATAAAGAATACTTTCTCCTATTTCAAAATTATTTTAGAATTTAAGATAGAAGCTAAAATACCTAGGGATAATGATATGACTATCAAAAATTAAAAATTAAAGGACATTTTGAGTATTATAAGTTAAGAATGAGAACTTATTACCCAATGAACAGGGGATAAATCATTATGCTCCCTATCCATTGAATTAAAAGACAGGCCCATTACCTGGATAATTTGAAAGTTTAATTTTATTTAAAAGTCTTGTTTCATTCATCAAGCTAAAGGATTAGCTCCCAGAAATATTCTAGGATTGCATATCCCCAACTCTGTAGGAAGTATAGAAAGAATATTATAAGGGCCACCATCTAAATATTATTATGTAAATAATTTAGTACCATTCCATTTGCTTTTGTAGATTTAAAAATGTAAATGGCTTTCTCATATTAGGAAACATCATTTTTCAAAACCCAGATAAACATAGTATATTGCAAGAGAGTAATTATTTTCTTTATTAAAAAAGAAATACTGGATGCTAAGTCCAAAAGACATAAATTATTTTATACTAATAACTACTAAAATTTTATTCATTAAAATAAAAAATCAAAGATTTTAAAATGATCTTCAAATGATTAATAACATGTTGAACTTTTTCTTCTTTCTGTAAACCTTTTTGAGTCTTAAAAATACTAAACTATACAAGCAATATTAAATAGTATATAAACTTGGATTAAAATATTCAAATTTACTAGAATGTGGACATTGGAAAGAATGAAAATAAACAGAAGCATAAAGCAGCAGATATAAAATTAAGAAAGCAACTAAGAGTGCTTAAAGTACATATTCATCTGTAGTCTAATTTCTACCATAAACAATGACTCTTCTCAGTAAAACACAAATTGTTCATGAAGGGAAAAAGCATGTTGTATTAGAGAATATTCAACATAACTTTTTTAGTACTAACTTGTGCCTGAAGTATTATTGGTTTTTCTATTATGAACTTATGCACTTGATAATTTTTTTCATAAAGACTGTATGTACAACTCCATTCAAAAGCAGTTGTTGGTGGGTTTTTTTTTTTTTTTGAGACAGAGTTTTGCTCTTTTCACCCAGGCTGGAGTGCAATGGTGCGAACTTGGCTCATAGCAACCTAGCAACATTTGCCTCCCAGGTTCAGGTGATTCTCTTGCCTCAGCCTCCCGAGTGGTTAGGACTACAAGCATGTACCACCATGCCTGGCTAATTTTGTGTTTTTAGTAGAGACATGGTTTTTCCATGTTGACTAGACTGGTCTTGAACTACTGACCTGAGGTAACCCGCCCACCTTGGCCTCCCAAAGTGCTGGGTATGTGCAAGAGCCACCATACCCGGCCTCAAAAGCAGTTTTTAAAAGCAAACACAATATAACACCAAAGTTGAAAAATTCATGCTCACCCAAGGATGCCAGGTTTAATAAATTATTTATAGAATACTGCATCAAAAATAAGACAATAACCCAAAATATACCATTAAAGATGTATCCACTCCTACAACTAGAGATAATTAATCTATCTGGTAGCAAATGATACTTCAGTCAGTTTCAGCATGTCTGAAATCTTTAAGGACAAAAGTGATAAAACATGACTTCATTCTTCATTAGACTCTTAGAACACTTGAAGGAAAATGATTTCTGAAGCACAAAGAGGTAAAGAAGTGTAATCTTTCAAAAAGATATTCAGTGTTCAAAATCCAAGAGTGCAATATCAGGCAGGGTGCGGTGGCTTATGCCTGTAATCACAGCACTTTGGGAGGCCATGGTGGGTGGATCACCTGAGGTCAGGAGTTCAATACCAGCCTGGACAACAGGGTGAAACTCTGACTGTACTAAAAATACAAAAGTTAGCCAAGCATGGTGGTGTGCACCCGTAGTCCTAGCTACCTGGGGGGCTGAGACAGGAGAATCGCTTGAACCTGGGAGCTGGAGGTTGCAGTGAACCCAGATCATGCCACCCCACTCCAGCATCAGTAACAGAATGAGATTCCATCTCAAAAAAATAAAATAAAGAGTGTAATATCATATCGGTATACATAGATAATATACTGAATGAAACAAATAGAATAATTTGAAGAGGTATCTTGACGAACAAGGAGTCATTAGAAAGGTTGTATTCATGTCTCTGAAGGAAATTGCAGTGTGAGAAATTAATACTTTGACTACTATACTAAAAGTTTATTGCTAACATGTATTGAGTTATTAACATGTGTTAGGCAGAGTACCATATAATTTACAAGTGTTATCTTATTTATTGTAGGTAAAATGTAATTTTGAACTCTGGGAGTATAAATGAATTAGATAGAATAAAATTCTATTTAAATGGCCATCAGTAAATCGGTATCTAGGAACAGGGTGATACAGTGCCCAAGTTTTCTATTCTTACTAAATGTTGTGTTTCATTTTCAATGTTTTCTTGGATATTGCTCTTTTTTGGTGACTGATTTTTTTTTATTTTAGAAAACTAATAAACTGACTCTTCTTGGTACTGACTCTTGGGTTTTATAGAAGAAAAAGTAATCAAATTCTGTACATTTACCTTTACCTCATTTTTTCTCTTTTAAATTTAATTGACATATAATAAATGTACATGTTATGGGATACAGAGTGATATTTTGATATATTTATGCAATGCGTAAAGTTCAAGTCAGAGTCATTATCATATCCATTACCTAAATCATGTATTATTTATTTGCAGTGAGAATATTCAAAATCTTTTATTTATTTGAAAACACACAATAAATTCCCGTTAACTACAGTCACCCAACAGTGCTGTAGAGAACTAGAACTTCTTCCTTCTCTCCAGCTGTAATTTCGTATGTATTAACCACATTTTTCTTATACTCTTCTTTCTCCTACTCTTTCCAGGATATGGTAACCAAAACTCTACTATCTACTTCTACGAGATTAAAAATTTTAGCTTCCATACATAAGTGAGAACACGTAGTTATGTGGTGTTTATGTTTCTATGCAAGGCTTATTTCACCTAACATAATGCCCTCCACTTGCATTCTTGTTGCCACAAATAACAGGATTTTGTTCTTTATTATGACTAAATAATATTCCATTATATATGTATGTCATATTTCTTTATCCATTCATCTGTTGATGGACACTTTTGTTGATTCCATATCTTGGCTATTGTGAATAGTGTTGTAATAAACATGCGGGTGCAGGTAACTCTTTGATATACTGATTTTCTTTCCTTTGAATATATACTGAAAACCATATGATTAAATTAATAAACACAATAAAAGCGTTTGGCAAAATTAAATATTCTTACATGACACAAAACCTCTCGACAATTTAGTATAGAAAATATATGCCTTAACACAGAAGGACATAAAGGACAAATCTACAGCTAAGATCATACTGAGTGTGGAAAAGGTGAAAGATTTTACTGTGAACAAGAAAAAGATTTTACTGGAGCAAGAAAAAGATGCCTATTTTCACCAATCATATTTCACATAGTGAAAGTCTTAGCCAGGACAATTAGGTGAGAGAAAGAAATAAAGGACATCTGAATTGGAAACGAGACAGTCAAATTGTCCCTGTTTAAAGACAATGTGATCTTATACACGAAAAAAAAAAAAAATAAGACGCTACCAAAAGCTTCCTAGGGTGATACATAAAATTAATAAAGTTGCAGGATATAAATCAACATACAAAAATCAGTAGCATTTCTATATATTGATAGTAAACTAGCTGAAACAAGAAATTAAGAAAGCAATTCCTTTTACAATAGCTACAAAAATGTACTTAGAGATAAGTTTAACCAAGGAAGTAAAAGATTTCTACAACAAAAATGACAAATATTAATGAAAGGAATGAAGGAAAACACAAAAAAGGAAAGACATCCACGTTTATAGATTGAAATAACTAATATTCTTAAAATGACCCACTATCCCATGTGATTTACAAATTTAGTACAATCACTAGCTTGTATTTTTAAAAGCACCTTTGCTGCATATTCTTAAGATATTCAGTGACAATGCCTGGATTAAGTTTGAGGTATTATTATATCTATTTTATATTGGGCACAATATAATATTATCAGAGGTAATGGTTTTGATTGGTCCTAGGTCATACAGTAATATATACATTGTGATTTATAGACATGCTATCTTTTAATACTCAGGCATTTAGAAAGTTCATTTAGACAAAGTTATAAAAACTTGCCTTCCTTTCTGCCTATATCACCTAAAAATCCTAATTTAAGAGGTAATAACATTTTTTATTTGATATACAATTTATCAACAAAATAAAAATCTAACAATTATCATGTGCAGAGTGTGAAAATCTCATCAGATTAAGGAACACAAAGACATCTTTTTCATATTTCGAATGTAAAACTCTTTTGGAAACTGTTATTTTTAGAAACAGTTAAAAACATTTTTTCATTAGTTTTTCATGTAAAATTGTGACAACCAGCATGAAATAACTGTCATCACAGAAGCATGGTATATTCAATTCCAAAACATATTCTTAGTAAGTTTTAATATATTTATGTATTATTTATGCTTAGATTGTAACCCATAATGTAGATATTATTTTTCCTTCAACTCTTAAGAATATTCTTAAATAATAAAATTAAAATGAATTATAATTTTTGTTGGTTGGGAAAAAGAATAGACACACACGTGACAGTGCATCACTTCACCTCATCATTTCATCTCATTTCATCATTTCATCTCATTTCATCTCATTTTATCTCATCTCATCATATCATCTCATCATTTCATCTCATCATTTCATCAAATCTCATCTCATTTCCATTATTTCATTTCATCATTTCATTTCACTATTTCATTTCATTTCATCTAATTTCATTTATTTCATTATGTCACTTCATATCATCTCATTTCATTTCATCTCATCATTTTTCATACCATTATTCATCTCATCATTTCATCTCCTCATCTCATTTCCTCCTTTCAACATTTCATCTCATCATTTCTTCTCATCTCATTTCAATTTCATTTCATTATTTCATTTCATCTCATTTCATTATTTCACCTAATTTCATTATTTCATCTCATCTCATCTCAATTCATCTCATCTCATCTCATCGTTTCATATCATCATTTTTCATCTCATCATTTTTCATCTCATCATTTAATCTCATTTCATTTTGTCTCATCATTTCAGCTCATCATTTCATCTCACCACATCTCTTCATTTCATCATTTCATTTCAACATTTCATCATTTCATCTCATCATTTCATCTCATCTCATCTTCCAATTTCATTTCAATATCATTTCATTTCATCATTTCATCTCATTTCATTATTTCATTATTTCATCTCACTTCATCTCATCATTTCATCTCATCATTTTTCATCTCGTCATTTCATCTCATCATCTCATGTTATCATTTCATCTCATTTCTTCTCATCATTTCATCTCATCATTTTATTTCATCTCACCTCATTTCAGTTTCATTATTTCATTTCCTTTCACTTTATTTCATTTCATCTCATCTCATCATTTCATCTCATCTTACCTCATTTCATCTCATCATTTCTTCTTATCTCATCTCATCATTTCATCATTTCATCTCATTTCATCTCATCTCACCTCATCGCATCATTTCATCTCATCCTTTCATTTCATCTCATCATTTCATCTCCTTTCATCTCATCTCACCTCAGCATTTCATCATTTCATCTCATCATTTCTTATTTCATCTCATTTTATCTCATCATTTCATCTCATCTCATCTCAATTCAATTTCCTTTCATTATTTCATTTCATCTCATTCATTTCATCTCATTTCATTACATCTCATTTCCTCTCATCATTACATCTCATCTCATCTCATCATTTCATCTCATCATTGCATCTCATCATTTCATCTCATTTCATCTCATCATTCATCTCATTTCATCTCATTTCCATTTCATTTCCATTTCATCATTTCATCATTTAATTTCATCATCTCATTTAATTTCACCTCATTTCATTTTTTCTTTTCATTATGTCATTTCATTTCATCTCATTACATGGCATCTAATTTCATTTCATCTCATTTCATCTCATCTTTTCATCTCATCATTTCATATCATCTCATCAACTCATTTCATCTTATCTCATCATTTCATCATTTCATCTCATCATTTCATCTCGTATCTTCTCATCTCATTTCAATTTCATTTCATTACTTCATTTCATTATTTCATGTCATGTCATCTCATCATTTCATCTCATCACATCTCATCATTTCATCATTTTATTTCATCATTTCATCTCATCTCAATTTTATTTCAATTTCATTTCATTTCATTATTTCATTTCATTTCATCTCATGAGTTCATTATTTCATTGCATTTCATTTCATCTCATCATTTCATCTCATCATTCATCTCATCATTTCATATCATCATTTATTCTCACCATTTCATTTCATCTCATCTCATCATTTCATCTCATTTCATCTCATCTCATTTCATCATTACATCTTATTTCATCTCATTTTATGTCATTTCATGTCATCATTTCATCACATCTCGTCTCATCTCATCTTTTCATCTCATCATTTCATCTCATCATTTCAACTCATTGCATCTCATCTCATCATTTCCATTTCATTATTCCATTTCATCATTTCATTTCATTATGTCATTTCATCTCATCACATTTCATCTCATCTCATTTCATCTCATCTCATCATTTCATCTCATTTCATCTCATTATTTCATCTGATTTCATGTCATCATATCATGTCATCAATTCATCTCATTTCATCACATCTCATCATTTCATCTCATCATTTAATCTCATTTCATCTCATCTCATCATTTCATCTCATCATTTCATCTCATCTCATCATTGCCATTTCATTATTTCATCATTTCATTATTTCATTTCATCTCATTTCATTATTGCATTTCATTATGTCATTTCATTTCATCTCATTTCATTACATCTCATTTCATCTCATTTCATTTCATCTCATCATTTCATCTCATTTCATCTCATCTCATCTCATTTCATCTCATCATTTCATCTCATTTCATCTCATCTCATTTCATCATTTCATCTCATCATTCCATCTCATCTCATTTCAATTTCATCATTACATTTCATAATTTCCTTTCATTATTTCATTTCATTTCATCTCATTTCATTATTTCATCTCATTTTTCATCTCATCATTTTTCATCTCATTTCATCTCATCATTTCATCTTATCATCTCATCTCATTTCATCATTTCATCGTATTGTTCATCTCATTTCATCTCATCATTTTATCTCATTATATCATCTCATCTCATCTCAATTTCATTATTTCATATCATTTCATTTCATTATTTCATTTCATCTCATCATTTCTTCTCATCATTTCATCTCATCATTTTATCCATCATCTCATCTCATCTCATCTCCTTTCAATTTCTTTTCAATTTTGTCATTTTGTCTCATCATTTCATCTCATCATTTCTACTCACCATTTCATCTCATCATTTCATCCCATCATTTCATCATTTCATCTCATCTCAAGTCATCTTATCATTTCATCTAAGTGAAATGATGTAATGGAATCATGAAATGAAATGGATAGGATGCCCTCAGTGATGTTAAATTTAAAAATTGTTTTCATGTATTCATTTTTATATTTATATGTATTTATATTTCTATTTACTTATATTTCTTTTTACTTATTTTAAATTATATTTTTACTTATTTATTTATAGACAAGGTCCTGTTCTGTGGCCTAGGCAGGAATGCAGTGGTGCATTCAAAGTTCACTGCAACCTCGAGCAAACCTCCCACCTTAGCCTCCCAGGTAGCTGGGACCCCAGGTGCGTACCACCACACCTGGTTAATATTTTATTATTTGTAGAGATGGAGTCTTGCTATGCTGCCCAGGCTGGTCTCAAACTCCTGGGCTCAAGCAATCCTCCTGCCTTGGCAACCCAAAATGCTGGGATTACAGATATGAGCCACAGTGCCAAACCTATTTATTTGTTTATTTATTTAATAAAGAAAAGGTCTCACTATGTTGCCCAGGCTGGTCAACTCCTGCACTCAAATGATTCTTCAAACTTGGCCTCTCAAAATGTTGGGATTACAGGTATAAGCCACCATGCCTGGCCTAAAAATAGTATTATATTTTTGCATTATATAATTTTCAATTAGGTAATATGAATATTCTGTACAGGAAATATGCCCTTAATTACATAGGAATAAACATTTGTTATACTGAGAATAATCTAATAGAGCTAAAAATAAAAATTAATTTGGAGAGGTCATTAGATACACATACATTCTTATGTTTATACATTCTTTCATATATTCATATATTCTTTTAACAGTATCAATGGTTTGGAGTTACGTGTACAAAACCATGACCTATATGTAATACAACTAATAACAAGCACTTACAATTCAAGGCATATTATATACAAAGTTTTAACTTCTCATCATCAGATTTCGTTTTTTTTCTTTCTGTTTTGGCAGATACTATGAACACAACATTCAACTCACAGACACTATGGAGCCCTTACTAAGCATAAAGTACTGTGAAAGGCTAGGGCTAGGACAGAACTGAGACAGGGCCAGGGATAGGACAGAACTGGGGCAGGGTCATGGCCAGAGAAAAACCAGGGGCAGGGTCACAGCCAGGGACATGAGAGGACCAAGGCCAGGGCCAGATGTAGGGCAGAACCAGGGCCAGGGCAGGGACATGGCAGGGCCAGGGCCATGGCAGGATCAGGGCCATCAGAAGGCCAGGGCAGGGCTAGGGTAGCACAGGGCCAAGGCAGGGCAGGGTCAGTGTAGAGCAAGGAACGGGCCAGGGTATGGCAGGGCAGGGACAGGGAGGTCCAGGGCCAGAGTCAGGTCCAGGACATGGACAGGGCAGGGCCAGAAATATGGCAGGACCAGAAAGGGGACAGGGAAGGGGCAAGGCCAAGGCCAGAGAAGGACCACGGTAAAAACATGGCCAGGGAGGGTCCAGGACAAGGGCAAGGCCAGGGCAGAACCAGAGCCAGGGCAGGCAAAGGCAGGGCCAGGGCAGGGCAGGGCCAGGGCAGGTCAACGCCAGGGTAGGGTAGGGCCAGTGTAGGGTGAGGGTAGGGCCAGGGCAAGTTCAGGGCCAGGGCAGGACTAAGATAGCACAGGGCCAAGGCCAAGGCCCTGTACTAAGATAGCACAGGGCCAGGGCAGGGCCAAAGGAGGGGCCAGGGCCAAGCATGGCCAGTGTGGGGCCTGGGGATTGTCAGGGCCAGGGCCAGGGTGAAGGCTGAGCCAGAGACAGGGCCAGAGCAATGGCAGGGCCAGGGAGAAGGCAGAACCAGAGAGGATCCAGAGAAACAGCAGGGCCAGGGCAGAACAAGGACCAGGATAAGGCAAAGCCAAGGCCAGGGCAGGGCAACGACAGGGCAGGGCAAGACCAGGGAAGGGCAAGGCCAGGGTAGAAAAGGCCAGTGTACAGCCAGGCCAGGGTAGGAAAAGGCCATGGTAGGGCCAAGGCCAAGGTGGGGCAGGGCTAGGGTAGCACAGGGCATGGCCAAAAACAGGGCAGGGCCATAGCAGTGGCAGGACTAGCAACAGGGCCAGGGTAAGTGCTGGACCAGAGCATGGTGGGGACAATACAGGGCCAGGACAGATGATGGCAAGGCAGGTCCAAGGTCATTTCATGGACTCGGTAGGCCTGGGGTCAGGCCAGGGCAGGGAAAGGGCAAGGCCAGGGAGAAGGCTGGGCCGGGGCCAAGGCACTGCCAGGACAGGGCAGGACCAGTGCAGGGTGAGGGCAAGGCCAGGGCATGGATGGGCAGGGCAGGACCAACGAAGGGCCAGGAGAGGGCCACGGCAGGGTCAAGGCCAGAACAAGGGTATGGCTGGGGTCAGGAATATGGTAGGGCAAGGGCTGGGCCCAGACTGGGACACACAGGGCAGAGCATGGCCTGTACAAGGCAGGGCCAGAGCCAGGCCATAGAGATGGGAGGGCAACACCAAGGCAGAGTCAGGGTAGATCCAGGGCTGAGCAGAGTCAGGGCGGGTCCATAGTCGAGGCAGAGCTAGGGCCCAAGCAGGGCCATGGCAGCACCAGGGCAGAGGAGGGCAGGGCAATGCAGGACTGGGCCATGGCAGTGCCTGGTCAACTTCGGGGCAGGGCCAGAAGCAGGACAGGGCCAGGGCCAATGCTCAGGCCAGGGACAGGGCATGACAGCAAGTGCCAGAGCAGGGCTGGGCCAAAGTTGGGGCAGGGCAAATCAGACCAGGACACCTCCAAGTCCAGCTCTGGCCCTGCCTTGGCCCTGGCCCCTTCCTGACCTGACCTTGTCCCTGGCCCTGTCCTATCCATGCCCTGTGTGTTTGACCAGTGTTTTATAACCAGAATCCTACAAGAAACTTAAATCAGCTCTTTTTGTGCATTTTTAGTAGAGATGGGGTTTCACAATGTTGCCCAGGCTGGTTCCAAACTCCTGAGCTCAAGCCATCTGCCTGCCTTGGCCTCCCAAAGTGCTGGGATTACAGGAGTAATCTGGCCAAGTATTTAACTTCTTTATGCCTGTTTCCTACATTTGGAAAATGGGGATGCTTTAAGTACCTAGCACATAGAATTATTGTGAGAATCAATGCCTCACATATTTACATATTGATAAAATTATACTCATAGAACAGTACTGGAAGCAGAGATAGTATTAGTTAAAATTTAGTGATTATTTACTGTAAATATTATTACTATTACAAACAACATAGTATAGACATTATTACCACTACTATAGTTATCTTAAAAATCTAAAATAAAAATTTTACATAATAGCCTAATGTAATCTCCCCTGCTCTGCCCCGGCTCAGCCCTAGTGCCGGCTCTGCCCCTAGTCCTACCACATCCCTGGCCCTGACCCTTCCCTGGTCCTGCCGCTGCCCTGGCCCTTCCCATCTTCAGGCCTTACCATGGCCCTACCCTGGTCCTGACCCTGGCCCTACCCCAGAGAAGGGGTATGGCAGAGCCAGGGAAGGGCTGGGGCAAATAAGGGACAGGACACATCCAAATCCAGGAAAGGGCCAGGGCCATGACAGAGCCAGGGCGAGTCCTTGGCAGGGCCAGGTTCCAGGCCAGGGCCAGGAAAGGGTCATGGCAGGGTCACTGTATGGCCAAGGTCCAGGCCAAAGCCAAGGCAGGGGCAGGGTCAGGCCTGCATAAGGGCAGGACCAGAGCCAGTGATACGGCAGGGCCAGGGCCAGGGAGGGCCAGGGCTGTGTCAGGACAGAACAAGAGCAGAGCAGGGCAGGACCAGAGCCAGGCCATAGAGAGAGTAGGGCAAATGCCAAGGCAAGGCCAGGGTAGTGCCAGGGCTGAGGCAAGGTCAGGGAAGGTCCAGGGCTGAGTCAAGGCTGGAACAAAGACAGGGGCAAAGGCCGGGGCAGATCTAGGGCACAAGCAGGGCAGGCTAGGGCAGGGCAATGGCAAGACCAGGCCATGGCAGGGCCAGCCCAGGATAGAACAGGGCACAGGCAGGACAGGGCCAGGGCCATGGCTGGGGCAGGACAAGGACCAGGACCAGGGTCCAGGCCAGGGCAAGGGTATCACCAGGGCAGAAGTAGGGCCAGAACCAGGGTCTGGGCAGGACCAAGGAGAGTCCATTGCAGGGCCAGGGTTCAGACCAGGGCCAGAGCAGGGCTGGGACAGGGCCAGGGCCAGGACCAGGAAAGGGCAATGTCAGGATAAGAGCCATGGCAGGACCAGCAACCAGGCTAGGGCCAGGACAGGGACAGGGACAGGGTCAGGGCTAGGGCCAGAATAGCATGCCAGGGTAGAGCCAGGCCAAATTAGGGCCAGGACAGGGTCAGGACCAGGGCTGGGCCAGGGTATGGCCTTAAGTAGTGAAGGGCCAGGGCCAGGGTCCATGCCAGTGCCAGCGCTGGTCCAGGGCAGAGGCAGGGCCATGGCCAGGTCAAGGACAAGGCTGGCAGGGCCAAGGTCTGGGTCAGGGTCAGCACAAGACCAGGACAGAGCCAGGGGAGGGACAGGGCCATGGTAGGGCCAGGTTAAATCAGGGACAAGACACCTGCAAATCCACTTCAGGGCCAGGGTCAGGGCAGGGCCAGTTCAGGGCCAGGGCCAAGACAGGGCCAGGGCCAGGGCTGTCAGGGTCATTGGCAGGCCCAGGGCCATGGCAGGACCAGGGTCAGGAGCAAGGGTCAATGCCAGGCCAACGCCACAGATACGACCAGGTCTGTGCTAGGGCCAGTGTGAGGGCCAAGGTGGGGTCAGGGCAGGGCCAAAGGGAGGGCAAGGCAAGGGCAGGGTGGAACAGGCCCAGAGTAGCACATGGTTAAGATAGGGCACGACCAACCAGGGCAGGTCTATGGCTGGGGCCGGGGCATGGAAAGGGCCGGGGCAGGGCCAGAGCCAGGGCAGGGCAAAGACAGTGGCAGCTCCAGGGCAGGCCCAGGGTTAGGACCACGGACATGTCCAAGGCCAGTGCCAGGGCAAGGACAAGGGCAGGGGCAGGGCCAGGGTCATCTAAGAACCAGGGACAAAGCCAGGCCCAGAGCAGGGCCAGGACAGGTACCTGGAAGGGCTAGGGTCTGGGACAGGGCCATGGCAGGGCCAGGGCCACAACCAGGTCTGTGCTATGGCCAGGTCCAACACAGTGCCCAGGTAAGGCTAGGGTGAAGGCCAAGGTAGGGCCAGGGCGGGGTCAAAGCCAGGCGAGGGCCAAGGCAGGACCAGGGCTGGAAAGGCAGGGACAGGAAAGCATAGGGCCAAGGCAGGGCAGGGCCAGGCCAGTGCCAAGACCTGGGCAGGGCCAGGGAACAGCCAGGGCAGGGCCAGGGCCAGGGCCAGGGCCAGGGCCAGGGCCTGGGCAGGACCAGGTTTGGGGCAGGAGCAAAACAAGGGCAAGGACAGTGCAGGATCTTGGCACAGCCAGGGCCCAGGACAGTGTCAGGGCAGGGCCAAGGCAGGGTCAGGGCCATGGTAAGACCAGCAACAGGGCTGGGGCTAGGCCAGTGACAGGACCAGAGTCAGGGCAAGGGCCAGAGCAGTGCAAGGCCAGGGTAGGGCCAGGCATTTCAGGGTCAGGGCCAGGGGAGAACCAGGGCAAGGTCTCAAGCAGGGAAGGGCCAGGGCCAGAACAGGTCCAGGGCAGGGCCATGACAGGGCCAGGGGCTGTGTTAGGGCAAAGGCAGGGCCAGAGCAAGGTAAGGGTCAGGGCCAAGGCCAGGGTAGGGACAGGGCAAGAAATATGGCATGACCAGGGGCAATTCCAAGGCCAAGGCTGGGCCAGGGCTGAGTCAGGGCAGGGCAGGGCAGGGCATGGCATGGCCAGTGCAGGACAGGACAAGAGCCGGTCCACAGAGAGAGCAGGGCTGATGCCAAGAAAGAGCCAGGCTAGTGCCAAGGCTGAGGCAGTGTCAGAGCATGTCTGGGGCAGGGCCGGGGCCAGGGCCAGAACTGAGCCAGGGCACAGCCAAGGCAGGGTAGGGCAGGGAAACAGCATGGCCGGGTCAGTACTGGGACAGGGCAGAGCAGGGCAAGGCAATGGTAGGGGCAGGGCAGGGACAGGCCAATGCAGAGCCACGTTATGCCGGGGCCAGGACACCTCCAAGTCCACTTCAGGGCCAGGGCTATGGCAGGACCAAGACCAGGGCCAGGGTCAGGGCCAGGTCTGTGCTAGGGCCAGCTCCAGAGCAGGGCCTAGCAAAGACTAGGGTGAGGGTCAAGGTAAGGCCAGGGCAGGGTCAAAGGCAGAGTAGGGCCAGGGCAGGGTGATGACACATCCAGAGCACAGCAGGGCAGGGTGATGGCAAGACCAGGGGCAGACCACTGCCAGCTCAGGGCCAGGGAAAGGCCAGTGCAGAGCCAGGAAAGGGTCAGGGCCAGGAACAAGGCAGAGCAGGGCCAGGGCCATGGCAGAGTCAGGGCAAGTCCTTGACAGGACCAGGTTCCAGGCCAGGGCCAGGGCAGCAGCAGGGGCAGGGCCTGGATAAGGGCAGGGCCAGGGATATGGCAGGACCAGGGCTAGGGCCAGGGCCAGGCCATAGTGAGGGCAGGGCAAAAGTCGAGGCAGGGTCTGGGCAGGTCCAGGGAGCGGCCAGCACCAAGCAGGGCCAAGGCACAACCAGCACAGCGTAAGGCAGGGCAATGGCACCACTGGGCCATGACAGGGAAGGTCAGTGCCAGGAGAGGGCAGAACAGGCAGGCCCATGGTGGGGCCAGGGCAGGGATGGGCCAAAGCAGGACCAGGACATGTCCAAGGCCAGGTCAGGGCCAGAACAGGATTAGGACCATGACCACTGGCAGGGCCAGTGCCATGACATGACCAGGGTCAGGACAAGGGGCAGGGCCAGAGCCAGGGCCAGAGCCAAGGTCAGGCCAGTGCAGGTTCAGGGCAGGGCCAGTGCCAGGGCAAGACCAGGGCAGGGACAGGGTAGCACAGGGCCAAGACAGGGTCAGGATGGGACCAGAGCTGGACAGGGCCGAGACAGTCCAGGTAACAGTAGGGCAGGTACAGGGCAAGGCAGGGCAAAACCAGGCCCATTGCCAATGCACCAGCCCTCCCTACAAGGCTCCTACAACCTGGCCACTGCTGCAGCCCGTCCATCGCTGTAAGCCTGACCCCAACCCTGGCTGCAGCCGCCTGCCCTCCTAGCGCGGCCGCTCTCCTACCGCTCTGGCGCACTGCAGTCTCCATTGCTGCCACCCACCCGCAGCGAGGCAAGTCATGGTGTCACAGGCTCTAGGTGTCTCCTTCTCCTCCTGGCACGGAGCAGCTGGGCGGGCAAAGCCAGAAAAGCCTAGAGGAAGATGTAAGGGGTGGAAGGGTTAGAGCCTCAACTTGTCGTGCTGGCCACTGGGTGGCAGGGGCCAGTTTCAGCAAAGGCCCTCACACCCACCCTCCAAAGTCCAGCCTCTCCTTTTGGCCCAAGCTGGCTGGGAACTGGGGTCTGGGGTGGGTGCTGGAGACACCACAGCACCCAGCTCCCCACTCCACAGGAACCATTGGGCCCACCAGGGCTGCACTCCTTGGGGAACAGGAGAAGCAGAAAAATTCAGACCCAGCCAGCCCTCTGCACCCAGGTGCCAATTCCTGTTCCGGACGCCTCCACACACAGGGCCCTGTCCCCCGTGGTGTCCCCAGGGGTGCCTGGCAGCCTCTGAGGCACAGACCCAGAGTGCACAGGCCTAGGAACCACGGTAGGTGTGGGGGCTCTGCCATGCTCAGGATTCCCACACAAACGCTGCGTGCCTGCCGCACTCCAGTAGGACCAAGAGTGGGTCGCCCTCTGGAGTGTGGAGTCAGGGAGAGGAGAACCACTCCTTCCTTGGATGCCAACTCTGCTGACCGCCGCCAGCAGTGCAGCCCCTGATAGCACCGAACTTGCCCGCCCTCCACAGCTAGTCCTGCCCTCAATAGCGCCCCCCACCTCCATCCCCCAATGCCTCCAGTAGCGTATACCCGATAGTGCCCTAACCTGTCCTCCTCCATGGGCATTGCAGCCCCAGAAAGTGCCCATAACCCACCCTCCCTGCCATGGGCAGTGCAGCCCTGTACAGTGCTACCAACCAGTAGCCCTAATGCAGGCAATGACAACCTGGATAGCGCCCCCAACCCACCCCACACTGTGAAAGGTGCAGCCCTGGATACCCCCTGTCATACCACTCTGGTCGTGCTGCAGTCTCTGTCACCACCACCACCAATCACAGTGAGGCAAGCCAGTGGGCCACAGGCTCTAGCACCCAGCAGCCAGGCACGGAGCAGCTCTCGCCGATGGCTGGCTCCTACCACTCTGACCACGCTGCTGTCTCTGTGGCCATCTTCTTTGACTACAAAAGAATAAAACTAGGTATCAATAAGAAGAGTAATTTTGGAAACAATACAATCACATGGAAGTTAAACACTACCCTCCTGAATAAATGACTAGCGGGTAAATGAAGATACTAAGACAGAAATTCAAAAATTTCATGAAACAAAGGGTAACGAAAACACAGTATACCAAAACTTGTTACGCAGAAAGCAGTACAGAGGCAGAGATTTACAGCTATAAGTGCCTACCATCCAAACAAAAGAAAAACTTCAAATAAACAATACATCTTAAAGAACTAGTAAAGTAAGAACAAACTAAACCGAAAATAAGAAAATAAACAAGATCGTAGCAGAAATAAAATTGAAAGAAAAAACACACAAGATTAAATGAAAAGTTGGTTTTCTGGAAAGCAAAACAAAATTGACAAACTTTTAACCAGGCTAACTAAGAAAAAAGAGACAAGATTCAAATAAATAAAATCAACAGATTAAAAAAAGGAGACATTACAACTAATACTTCAGAAATTCAAAGGATCATAACTGGCTATTATATGCCAATAAATTGGAAAGCCTAGTAGAAATTGGCAAATTCCTAGATGCATACAACCTACTTAGGTTGAACAATGAAAACATCCAAGACCAGAACAGATCGGTAAAAAGTAATGAGATTGAAGCCATCAGAAAAAGTCTCCCAGTAAAGAAAAGCCCAGGAACTGATGTCTTCACTGCTGATGGCTTCACACCAAACAATTTAAAGACCTAGTACAAATCCTACTCAAACTATTTTGAAAAACAGGAGGGGATACTTCCAAACTTATTCTATGAGACCATTATTACTGTGATACCAAAATCAGACAAAGGCATCAAAGAAGGAAACTACAGGCCAGTATCTCTAATATTGATGCAAAAATCCTCAACAAAATACAAGTGAATCAAATTCAGTAATACATTAAAAAGATAATTCATCATGATCAAGTGGGATGTATCCCTGGGATGCAAGGGTCACTCAACATACAATGTGATACATCATATAAACCGAATAAATGTCAACTGAAACTGAAAAAGCATTTGATGAAATTCAACATCCCTTCATGCTATTAATCCTCAAAGAAACGGGTACAGAAGAAACATACTGCAACATAGTAAAAACTACAGGAAAGACACCCACAGCTAGAATCATATGGAGAGAGGTCCAGGCTGCAGTGAGCTGTGATCCCACCACTGCACTCCAGCCTGGGCAACAGAATGAAACCCTGTCTCAAAAAAAAAAAAAAAAACAAAAAACGTAAAAAGAGGTATGAGCCTCTTTTATAGGTACAGTGACTCACATCTGTAATCCCAACACTTTCTGGGAGGCTGAGGTGAGAGGATCTCTTGAGGCCAGGAGTTCAAGATCAGCCTGGGCAATATAACAAGACCCTTTATCTACAAAAAATTTTTAAATATTTGCCAGGTGTGGCGGCACGTGCCTGTAGTCTTAAACAATTATATGACCCAGATAGTGTATTCCTTAGGGATATACCCAAGGGAAATGAAAATATACATCCACACTAAAATTTGTACACAAATGTTCACAGCAGCATTGTGCATAATAGCCAAAAATTGGAAAAAAAACTCAAGTGCCTATCAACAGAGGAACTGATAAAATATGGTATATCCATTCAAAAGATTACTCAGCATTAAAAAAGAATGAAGTGCTGATATATGCTACAGCATGGATAAACCTTGAAAACACTGTGCCAAGTGAAGTAAGTCAATCACAAAAGACCACATGTAGTAAGATTTCATTCTGTGAAGCCTCCAGAAGAGCTAAACTCAGAGACAGAAAGTAGGCTAGTTATTGCCAGGGACTAGGGGAAAAGGGAATAAGGATGACTGCTAATGGGTATGGGATTTCTTGTGGACTGATGAAAATGGTCTGAAAGTATCTAGATACCTGTCTTGTTTGTGCGATTCTGTGAACATATTATAAACCACAAAATTCTGCACTCAAGGGGTTGATTTCATGGTAGGTGAATTTATCTCATTTATCTTTATCTCAATAAAGCTTTTTAAAGACACTTAAAAAAGACATCTGTATAAGCTACAAATATAACACACTGAGAGACTAAAATGCTTAATTTTTCCATTTTTCTTCTTCAGCGCAATCTCAAGTCCAAAAGTCTTTCCTTCCTATATATGCATATTTTGTCCAGTGAAACAAGAAACTCTATTAACTTTTTTATTAGAAATTTAAAAAAGCCAGGTGTGCTGGCTCACAGCTGTGCTTCCAGCTACTCAGAAGGCTGAGACAGAAGGATCACTTGAGGCCAAGACTGGGAGTTCAAGACCAGCTGAGGCAACATAGCTAGATCCTGTCTTTAAAAATATTTTTCAGGCCAGGCATGGTGGCTCATGCCTGTAATCCCAGCACTTTGGGAGGCCAAGGAGGGCAGATCATTTGAGATCAGGAGTTCAAAACCAGCCTGGACAACATGGTGAAACCCCATCTCTACTAAAAATATAAAAATTAGCCAGGTGTGGTGGTGGGCACCTGTAGTCCCAGCTACTTGGGAGGCTAAGGCAGGAGAATTGCTTGAGCCGGGAGGGTGGAGGCTGCAGTGAGGCCAAGATCATGCCATTGCACTCCAGCCTGGGTGACAGAGCAAGACTCCGTCTCAGGAAAAAAAAAAAAAAAAAAAAAAAAAAAATATATATATATATATATATATATATATATATATGTAAATATTTTTAAGTTAAAACCCTACTGAAATGAAACTAATAAAATAAAATTCAAGTTAATTAAAAAATAGTTCCTGAAATATTAATTTTCAAACAATTCTATTTTAGCTTTGACTCTGAACAAAATATAAACCTCAATTTCAAAATATCACAAAGATTGGCTGGGGGCAGTGGCTCATGCCTGTAAGTCCAGCACTTTGGGAGGATGAGGCAGGTGGATCACTAGAGGCCAGGAGTTCCAGAGCAGCCTGGCCAACATAGGGAAACCCAGTCTCTACTAAAAAAATACAACAAAAATTAGCTGGGTCTATTAACCCCAGCTACTCAGGAGGCTGAGGCATTAGAATCGCTGGAATCTGGGAGGTGGAGGTTGCAGTGAGCGGAGATCATGCCACAGCACTCCAACCTGGGCGACAGACTGAGACTCTGTCTCAAAAAAATAAAAATAAGGCCAGGTGCCGTGGCTCACACCTGTAATCCCAGCACTTTGGGAGGCCAAGGTGGGCAGATCGCTTGAGGTCAAGGAGTTTGGGACCAGCCTGGGCAACACAGTGAAACCTCCTCTCTACTAAAAATACATAAATTAGCTGCGCATGGTGGCACACACTTGTAATGCCAGCTACACCAGAGGCTGAGGCAGGGGAATCGCTTGAATTCGGGAGGTGGAGGTTGTAGTGACCTGAGATTGTGCTACTGCACTCCAGCCTGGACGACAGAGTGAGACTCCATCTCAAAAAAAAAACAAAAAAAAAGAAAATTTAAATTTAAAATTTAAAAAAATCACAAAGACTACAAATACTCAGGTTTAAGCAAATTCCCACCTTTCTTGAATTAACAGTAATTCATATTTGCTTTGTCAAAAATGTAGATATTTACCTGCCCCAACGGAATGAAATCCTAAAAGCCTAGTGTTCTCAAATGATGAAGAGAAAGAAACATGAATATTTTAATTAATAATTTTGATTCAGAATTAATTTTAACCTAGCTGGAGTATACATAATCATTTATGTATTTACTTATTTAAGAGACTGGGTTTCTCTGTGTTATCCAGGCTGGAATGCAGTGGCACAACCTTGGCTCACTGCAACTTGTACTTCCTGAGCTCAAGTGATCCTCCCACCTCAGCCTCCAGAGTAGCTGAGACTGCAAGTGCATGCTACCACACCCAGCTAATTTTTGCGGAGACGAGCCTCACTATGTTTCCCACACTGGCCTTTAATTCCTTGGCTCACTACAGCCTCAAGCCCCTGGGATCAAGCAATCTGCCTCCCAAAGTGCTGA
Organism: Homo sapiens; assembly: GCF_000001405.40. Classification (NCBI taxonomy): domain Eukaryota; kingdom Metazoa; phylum Chordata; class Mammalia; order Primates; family Hominidae; genus Homo; species Homo sapiens. The sequence goes on from NC_000010.11 coordinate 42,241,090, forward strand.
GATTACAGGAGTGAGCCACCGCACCCCGCCTATTGGATAGTATATACTAAGCAACATGTACCCTGCTTTTGCCTAGAACATACTGAAAACATGGCATTAAAAACAATCACAAAAGTTGGGAGCTGAGAAAAATCATATACTGTAAAACAAATCTGACAGATATTAATCTCAAGAAGCTCCTGAAAATGTCTCAAGAACTCCTATGCTGCACTCTCCCTAATAATTTAGACTTTCTACAGATATTTTCTGATCATCTACCGTGTGCCAGGCACCATGCCACGTACCAAGATGCCATGGTGAGGTATACACAAAACCGGCTCCTGCTTGTAGGAAGCCTACTCTCTAAAACAGTGCTTGCCAAGCTCGACTGATCCAACTTGGGAGCTTGTTTAAGTTCCAAATCGGCTTCCCTGCTTTGGTGAGCCACAATCCGTGGCATTTTTATCAGGTGCTCCCAGTGATTCCTACGCTCTAACGGGTTTGGGAGGCAAGGGTGGGGGTAAGCTGGAGAGCCCAGAGCCATCCCGTCCAGCGGGAGCCCCACCTCTAAAGTCCATGTCGCTCAGCATCCTTCCCCCTGACTAGTGGCCCAAACACAGCACGAAGCTGAGGTGGGTGGAACGCTTTCCAAAACAGCGCTCTATGATGAGCCACTGACAGACTTGCTCGCCTCCGGGAACGAAGAGCTCACTCCTCACAAACCCCCCCCCCCCCCCCCCCCCCCCGGGAAAGGTAGCACCTGAGCCTCCCGGGCTGCGCCGACACCTGGACACCTGTCTCCCCGCGGGTGCCACCTACTGCTCCAGGGGACTCCAGTCCCCAGGTTCCGCCCCACGGGGACTGGGGGGAGGGGGGAGGCGCCCCGCGCATTAGGCGCCAACTGTATACCGACCCCCCCCTCCGGAGTGCGCAGGCCAGCACCCATACACACCCTCACACACCCACACACACTCCCGTGGAAACTGAGGCAGGCAGGCGGCGGACCAGGTCCCGCCGCCTGACGGCTCGCGGCTGGGATTGAAGCCGGACCTTCCGCCTCACAGGCGCTCCTCAGCCGCTGAGGCCCGGCCCAGCTCCCACCGCCGGAGTCTCACAAACAAAGTCTCCTGGCCCGAGCCCCTCACGCACTCACCTGCGCCGACGCCGGCGGCGATTCGGGCTCCAGCCGCCTTCAGCTCCTTGCGGGGGCCCTTGGGTCGGCTCGGGCGCCGGCGGCGGCGACTGCTCCATATCCACGGGGTCCGGGCGGCGTCCGCCTCGAGTTAAAGGTCCCGCCAGCTAGGCGCGCGCGCCAGTTCCGCTCGCCATGTTCCAGCCGTGCTGCGCGCCGCCGCGGCGACCCTCACTGCCCCCCAACCGCGCGCGCACCCGCTCCCCGCGCGCCCCCCCTCCCCGCGCGCCCCGCCTCGCGCCCTCTGGAGCTGACCGCTGTTCCCAGTGTCTCGCCCACCCCCGCGGGGCCCGTCCGACTCGACGGGTGAGCCCGTGGTTCCCGGCTCCGCACCGTCGCCTGCCTCTCTGCAGACCACCCCGGACCCGACCCCTCAGCCACTTCCCCACGCTGCCCCTTTCGCTTCCCCCATGACGCGGGGCCTAGGACGAGGGTCTGGGCCAAGAGGAACTTCCCCGCAAGAAGTGCCGAGCTAAGGACGCTACTAAGGGGGCGGGATCGCCACGTGGAGGTGTGCAAGCACGTGCCTGCGTCCGGGAGACAGCCAGACTCAACGGAGAAGCTGAGTTCAAGTCCCACATCTCCACTAACCCTTGCGTGTTAGGGTCAGGGCTTCAGGACTTGTTTCTCCTAAATCTTTTTTTTTTTTTGAGACAGTCTCTGTCACCCAGGCTGGCGGCTTTTTGCCCGCCCCGGCTTTTGCCCCCCCGCCGCCGCGACTTTTTGCCCGCCGCGGCTTTTTGCCCCCCCCCTCCCCCCCGCCGAGGCTTTTTGACCCCCCGGCCGCCGCGGCTTTTTCCCCACTGCGGTTTTTTGCCCCGCGCCGCCGCGACTTTTTGCCCGCCGCGGCTTTTTGCACCCCCACTGCCGCGGCTTTTTGCCCCCCGACGTTGCGGCTTTTTGCCGGTCGCGGCTTGTTGCCCCCCTGCCACCGCGGCTTTTTGCCCCCCATCGCCGCGGCTTTTTGTCCCCCGCCGCCGCGGCTTTTTGCCGGTCGCGGCTTGTTGCCCCCCTGCCACCGCGGCTTTTTGCCGTGCGCCGCCGCGGCTTTTTGACGCCGCGGCTTTTTGCCCCCACCCCCCGGTGCCGCGGTTATTTGCCTGCCGCGGCTTTTTGCCCCCGACTGCCGCGGCTTTTTGCCCCTCGCTGCCACGGCTTTTTGCCCCCCCGCCCCCGCTGCCGCGACTTTTTGCCCGCCGCGGCTTTTTGCCCCCCCGCCGCCGCGGCTTTTTGCCCCCCCGCCGCCGCGGCTTTTTGCCCCCCCGCCGCCGCGGCTTTTTGCCTCCGCGGCTTTTTACCCGCCGCGGCTTTTCGCCCCTCGCTGTCGCGACTTTTTGCACCACCCCCCCCGCCGCCGCGACTTTTTGCCCACCGCGGCTTTTTGCACCCCCGCCGCCCCGGGTTTTTGCCCCCCCCCCCCCCCGCCGCCGCTGCCATTTCTAGGCTAATAAACTAAGAATCATGTAAACTAAACCAAAATAGAATAGACATAAAAGTCCTGAACACTTCAACTTCCTATCCTTCACGAAGTATACCTCGCAAAGCTCATTTGAGAGAGGAAAAGCTTTCCTCCACCCTCTGTTTTACAGCGCTGAGGCTTCTCATCACATTTCTATGACTTGTAGCTTAAATCCATGTTACATGGTCACTGGCATTGTTAGGACTTCTCTTTTAACACTGTAGGAATTAATCAATTTGGTGGCATATTTAATTAATTCTATCACTAGAGGATTGTAAAATTACATATATGAATACCTCACTTTAGAGGCCACTTAATTTTTTTCCAAGGGGATATTTGACTATATTTCACTTGTGTCTTATTTAATGATTTTATAATTTAAACCCTAAATTATAAATCTAGAATTTAGAAAGTATATTTCCCCACTGGATTACATTTTTGGAAATATTATTTTATATGTACACAAATATTACAAAATCACTGTAGACACCTGCAAACTATATTATCTTTTAAAGGCAATATTTATATTAAACTGGTATAACAAAATTGACTCAATTTCATTCCATTCTGCCCTGATTTTGGTTATTTATTTTCTTCTGCTAGCTTTGGGTTTGTTTACTCTTGTTTTTCTATTTCCTTTAGGTATGATATTAGGTTGTTAATTTAAGATCTTTCTAACTTTTCAATATGGGCCTTTAGCACGATAAATTTTTCACTTAACACTGCTTTGCCTGTGTCTTAGAGAGCCTGGAATGTTGTATCTTTGTTTTAATTAGTTTCAAAGAATTTATTGGTTTCTGCCTTAATTTCATTGTTTACCCAAAAGTCATTCAGGCACAGGTTGCTTAATTTCCATGTAATTGTATGGTTTTGAGAGTTCTTCTTAGTGTTGACTTCTATTTTTGTTACACTGAGCAGTCCAAGAGTGTGGTTGGCATGATTTCTGGGGTTTCTTTTAATTTATTGAAAATAATTTTAGACTGATAGTGTGATCGATTTTACAATATATGCCATGTACAGATGAGAGGAAGATATATTCTGTTGTTGTTGGGTGGAGTGTTCTGTAGATGGCTGTTAGGTCCATTTAGCCAAGTGTTGACTTCAAGTCTTGAATATCTTTGTTCATTTTCTGTCTCTATGATCTGTCTAGTACCATCAGTGAGATGTTGAAGTCTCCCACTATTATTCTGTGGTTATCTAAGTCTCTCTATAGGTCTCTATGAACTTGTTTTATGAATGTGAATGCTCCAGTTTTGAGCACATTTATCTATCAGACAGTTAACTCTTCTTGTTGAATTGAACCCTTTATCATTACTTAGTGCCCTTCTTTGTGTTTTTGATTGTTGTTGGTTTAAAGTCTATTTTGTCTGAATTAGAATAACAATGCTTACCCTTTTGTGTTTTGCATTTGCTTGGTAGATTTTTTTCCATCCTTTTACTTCAAGCCAATGGGTATTGTTGTATATGAGCTGGGTCTCTTGACAACAGATACAGTTGGGCTTTGCTTCTTTATCCAACTTGCCATTCTGTGAGTTTTAAGCGGGGCATTTATACTGTTTACATTCACAGTTAATATTGGCATTTATAGCTTTGGTCCTGCCATTATGTTGTTAGCTGGTTATTATGCAGACTTGATTGTGTAGTTACTTTACACGTCAATGGTCTATGTACTTAAATGTATTTTTGTGGTGGCCATTAACAGTCTTTCACTTCCACGCTTAGCACTCCCTTAAGGACCTCTTGTAAGGCATGTCTGGTGGTAACAGATTCGGTTAGCATTTGTTTGTCTGAAAAGGATCTTACTTCTCCTTCACATATGAAGTTTAGTTTGGCTGGATATTAAGTTCTTGGTTGAATTTTTTTTTTTTTTTTTTTTTTTTTTTTTTTTGTGACAGAGTCTTGCTCTGTCCCCAGGCTGGAGTGCAGTGGTGCTATCTTGGCTCACTGCAACCTCCACCTCCTGGGTTAAGTGATTCTCTTGCCTCAGCCTCCCGAGTAGCTGGGACTACAGACACGCACCACCATGCCCAGCTAATTTTTGTATTTTTATTACAGATGAGGTTTCACCATGTTGGCCAGGATGGTCTTGATCTCTTGACCTTGTGTTCTGCCCCCCTCAGCCTCCCAAAGTGCTGGGATTACAGGCATGAGCCACCACACCTGGCCAAGTATTTTTTTTTTTAAAGAATGCTGAAGGCCGGGCGTGTTGGCTCACACCTGTAATCCCAGCACTTTGAGAGGCCAAGGTGGGCAGATCACGAGGTCAGGAATTTGAGATCACCCTGGCCAATATGGTGAAATCCTGTCTCTATTAAAATTATAAAAAATTGCCGGGTGTTGTGGTGCACACCTGTAGTCCCAGCTACTTGGGAGGCTGAGGGAGAAGAATTGCTTGAACCCGGGAAGTGGAGGTTGCAGTGAGCCAAGATATCACCAGTGCACTCCAGCCTGGGCAACAGAGTGAGACTCCATCTCGAAAAAAAAAAAGAATGTTGAATATAGGCCCCCGGTTTCTTTTGGATTGTAGAGTATCTTATAGTTCCACTGTTAGCCTGATGGGATTCTCTTTGTATGTGACCTGCCCCTTCACTTTAGCTGCCTTTCATATTTTTTTATTTCATGTTGACCTTGGAGAATCTGATGACTGTCTGTCTTGGGGATGGTCATCTTGTATAGTATCTCACAGGATTCTCTGCATTTCCTGGATTTAAATGGTGACTTCTCTAGCAAGATTTGGGAAATTTTTGTGGGCAGTATCCTCAAATATGTTTTCCAACTTGCTTGTTCTTTCTCCCTTTCTTTGAGTGATGCCCTGAGTCATATGTTTGGTCTCTTTACATAATCTCAGATTTCTCAGAGGTTTTGTTCATTCTTTTTTATTCTTTATTTTCATCTGACTGAGTTGATTCAAAGAAGTGGTCTTTGAGATCTGAGATTCTTTCCTCAGCTTGGTCCGTTCTGCTGTTAGTACTTGTTATTGTATTATGAAATTCTTGAGGTGCATTTTTCAGCTCTATCAGTTTCGTTTGGTTCTTTCTTAAAATGCCTATTTCATCTTTCAGCTCTTATGTCATCTTATTGGATTCCTTAAATTATTAGGATTGGATTTTGACTTTCTTCTGAATCTCAATGATCTTTGTTTCTATCCAGATTCTGAATTCTATGTCTGTCATTTAATCTTGCTTAACAACCATTGTTGGAGAGTTAGTATGATTGCTTGAAGACAGGAAGACATTCTGGCTTTTTACATTGCCAGAGTTCTTGCACTAGTTCTTTCACATCTGTGTGGGCTAAGGTTCCTTTAATGTTTTGAATCACTGTCCTTTGGATGGAGTTTTTTCCTTTTTTATATTCTTTAATGCCCTTGAGGGTTTGACTGTGGCACAAGGTAGTTTCAGTCAAATGGCTTCATTTCTGGAAGATTTCAGGGGGCAAAGGCTCAGCTCAGCACTCCTGAACTGCACTTTCTAACTTTGCAAGGCTGGTACCATACCTACAGATTTGTTGTCTGGCCCTTCAATGTTAAGCACTGAGGTGTTCCCAGTTCACTGGCAACAACACTCTGATGGGGTGTGCCAGCCAAAGTGCTTCATTGTAGTGATTGTAACAAGGTCCCCACTCACACATATGTGCCAGCAGCAGCAGCACACAGCAGGTATGCATGTGTTGGCAGGGGTGCAGTGCCAGCAGGAGTGGGATGGGGGTGTTCTGCATACTTGCACGTGCCAGCCGGGGCAATGGTGCTGTGGGGTGCACTCATGTGCTGCTGGAGACAGAGTGGCAGCATCTTCATGAGTTTTATGTTATCATTCTAGATCTTTAAAAATAATATTTTGGACTTCTAACAAATGTATTTGTGAACCCAGAGAAAAAAAGAGTATTATTTTGTGCATTTTTACTTAATCATACCCAAGAAAATTTTACTTTACAATTTGTTCTTTTCACTCAACAATAGTCTTGAGGTTTATCCATCTCAAGATAGATACACATGTAGTTAATTCCTTTTAATTGTATAAGATTACATTGTATGTCAACAGCAGATTTTATTTACAACGTTATAACAAAAATAACATTTTATTTGTCTCATTTTACATAAATATAAGTTTGTCTAGAATAGTTACCTGGGTTACATGCATTTTTAGTTTGATGTATACTGCCAAAATCCTTTCGGTATGGCCACTTTAATTTGCCCTAATACCAACAGCTTATGAGCCTACCTGTTGTTCTTGAAAATCCTTGCAAATCCTTGATATTATTAAATTTTATAATGTTTTCCAGTCTGATAATTGAAAAAATGGCATATTTTTGTTATTTTAATTTGCATTTCTGTGATTATTCACAAGCTTGAATATCTTTTATATATGTGTTGTCCTTCAGCTTTTCCTTATCTGTAACTAGCCTGTTCATATCCTTTGTCCATTTTTTTGTTGAGTTGGTCTTCTTTATTAATTATATCTGTTATATGCATTTGTAAATTATATGTATTGCAAATATCAGTAGATATTTAATTTTGTTTGTGATGATTTTTTTTCACTCTAAGAAGTGTATTTTGTTATTTTCAACAGACAGAATTGCCAATACACAACACTGTTCACTTGACTTTGAAAATGAAAAAGAGAAAAAGAGGAAGAAAGAGCAGAATTGCTTTTGAAGTAGTACTTTATTATAGTACTTTTGAAGTTACTTTTGAAGTGCTACTTTAATATAATTGAATGTATCAAAATCTCTTTTTATGTCTAATGCCTTTGTATGTATCATTCAAAAAGTCCTTTTTACCTCATGATCACAAATATATTATTCTACATCTTTATTTTGTTGTTCAGAGTCTTGCTGTCACCCAGGCTGTAGTGCAGTGGCATGATCTCAGCTCACTGCAACCTCCACCTCCCAGGTTCAAGTGATTCTCCTGCCTCAACCTCCCAAGTAGCTGGGACTACAGGAATGCACCACTGCACCCAGCTATTGGTTTCGCCATGTTGGCCAGGCTGGTCTCAGATTCCTGATCTGTCCACCTCAGCCTCCCAAAGTGCTGGGATTACAGGTGTGAGCCATCATGCCTAGCCCACTACATTTTCTTATTACTACTTTTCCTTTTGAGCTTTTAACATTTATTATGTGTAAGAATCTATCTATATTCCTTTCCACATAAATAGTTATCTCAACACCATTTGTGAAAGATTTCTTTCTTTCTCCCACTGATTTAAAATACCAGTTGTATGATGTAACAAATCCCATAGATTTGTTTCCACACTTTGTATTCTCTTTTCTTCCAATTTATTTTGTCTATTTATATGTCACTATTATTCAGTTTTAACTATTTTACCTTTACAAAAACAGTATCTTGTTTTCTTAAGTTTACTTGATCTTTCATTCTAAGATCTTATTCTTCCAAATGAATTTTATAATCAGCTTGTCAAGCTCAGTAAAAATCCCTGCAAAGATTTTGATTGGCGTATCTCTGATTAATTCATTTGGGGGAGAGATTACATCTTTCTATTATTGAGGCTTTGGCCGGGCGTGGTGGCTCACACCTATAATCCCAGCACTTTGGGAGGCCAAGGCAGGCATATCACTTGAGGTCAGGAGTTCAAGACCAGCCTGGCCAAAATGGTGAAACACCGTATCTACTAAAAACACGAAAACTAGCCAGGCGTGGTGTTGGGTGATGGTAAAATTGGGGCTTTTTAGTTCACACTTGTGAAATGTCTCTCTAAGTATTCAGGTATTATCTTAATTACTATATTATTAGATTCACAATTTTTATAAAAGTATAGACTGTCTTCACAGTTTTGTTCTTAGATACTTTGTTTTTTTAATTGATGTTGTGGATTAAATTCTCTTTGATCACTTATTCCTGGGGAAGCCAGCTGCCATGTCCTGAGGCAGCCCTGTGGAGAAAACCCCGTTGGAAAAAAACTGAAGCCTGCAATGGCTACATGAGTAAACTTGGAAGCAGATCTTCTCCACCCCACCCTACCTCATGGGAAATCTTAAGTCGAGGCATACAGCTAAGCCATGCCCAGATTCCTGACCCACAGAAGTCATAAGACAATAAATATTTGTTGTTTTAAGCTGCTATGTTTGGGGATGACTTGTTAAGCAAAATGAGAAAAATAATACAACAGGTGATTACAATGTGCAGCAGAGTTCAGGAACCACTAAACTAGACCAGTATGTGGTCTTAGAGAAGTCTAGTCTCTTCTTGAGCCCACAGGGAAATCTGTAGCATAAACTGCACCATAGAGTTGTACAGCCAGAAGCAAATCTCACATCAGTCCGTCATTGGCAGATCTGTCTGGAGGGAAAGTAGAGGGGTGCACAACCTCCCTAGTATTCCCAGGTAGGTGCTTGTCAGCAGGACAAGGGTTCTAGAAACCTGCAGATATTAGCAGCCAACAAGCAGCACTGGGAGATGTGTTCATTGACCTGGTAAATGGATTCTGGCAGGAGCACCAAAAGCATTTCTACACAGGATATACTTCACGCTTTATAAAGTAAATGTAGAAGAGATGAGGTGAAATTCTGGATAAGATATGCCAATAGAAGGTATTCTGAGCAGGAGCCTCCCCATTCCTCATGGGTGTCATCAACCACTCCAGAAATGTTCTCATTTGCCTTTGTAACTTAGGTGGCCACACTTGTTTTTTTTGGGCAGACAACTCTGTTCCTTCCTTCCTTACTTACTTATTTACTCAAGAGGTAGGAAATGTGTGGAAGGTAGATTTGTCTGATCATTCTTACAGTGGTAATCCAAATAATCAACTATTTGGTTTCCCCAGAGGTCTCTCCTGCTCCCAGCGTCTGTCATTTCAGGGCTTGGACCACTTTTAGAAGCACATGTATCTTTTGAGGCAATCTTATTTACACACATTTTTGTTTATGGTTTCCTTTTTTCAATCCTAAATTGTCTGTCTCTTATCTTTCTGGCATATGCTTAGTTTCTTGTCCATTGATGATTCACCTTTTGCTTTCTTGTTAGGTTATGAATTTTTCTATTAACTTTACATCTTCATTTCAAAGGATTTAGGAATAGAGGGAGAGGCTGCAACCTGTGCTCAGCCCAACATTTTAAACCACGTCTGTATAAAATTTTAGCTAGCAGTAAACAATGCATGAAAAGTTTTATCACCATTAAATTGCATTCACTCAAATTTGAAATTCTTCTAAACAATGTTTGTTACAAATTTATTATAAACTACTTGTACTTATAAAACACTACTTGATTAAAAAGATGCTTTTAAATTAATTTTCATTCTTTCTTTCAGTTTTGTTTTAGGTGCTGTCTCTCCTGTTGTTGTTGTCCTTTACACGATGGTGTTGCAAGAAAATGGATATGGTGTTGAGGAAGACATTCCAACATTACTAATGGCTGCTAGCAGTATGGATGACATTCTGGCTATCACTGGATTCAATACATGCTTGAGCATAGTCTTCTCCTCGGGTAAACAAGAAAATATAACAACCACCAGATCATTCATGACCTTTTTTGTGAGTTCTTTAAACAGGGTTTCTGGCTTTGCTTCTTCATGTATTAACCAAGACTGTTCAATTTAACATCTTTTTAATCTCCATAGAAAGCTCATTCCAGACCAAGGAAGATATTTCAGTGGCTTAAGATACAACTACTTAACACACATGATCTCACTTTAATAATCATGTGACAATTAATTTGATAAACCATATTATTACTATTTAACTGCTTCTGTTGCTTTTGAATTTTATCAGTTCTCATTGGAAAAAATTAAACAGCAATATTATTTGTACTACTAATATTTTAATAGGCATTTTTGAAATGTGCCTTTTTGGCCATCCTAATAAACAACTGGTTGCTCTATTATAAGACAACATAAACATACAGAGCTGGGACAGCCATATGCCTTTTTGGTAGTGTTAGGACAAGATCCTGCACCAGTTCTGATTCCCAAGGTGATATCTGGTCTTGAATATCACTACAGAAATTGTGAAACTAAACATTTCCACATTTAATAATGCTTTAATTATCTGCAATGTTTGAGTCTTCTGTATTATTGAAATGCTAAACTATTTTTAAGTTGAAAAGTAATATATATACTTTTATAGTTTCTCTTAAAATAAGAAAATATAAATAAATCAGAAAAAGAGGAAAAGTTAAAAATAAAATCTGCAATAGTCACATCCAGAAGAAAAGAATCATTTCCTTCTGAACCTTTTGATATAAATCCACCCATATTCCCTTCCCTTCCCTTTTTCCCTTCTTCCCTTCCCTTCCCTTCCCCTCTCCTCCCCCTTCCCTTCCCTTACCCCTCTCTCTCTGTCAAATATTCTTATAAAAATCAGTGAATATTGACCAATATGTTCTTTTATTTTTTTTTTTTTTTGAGGCGGAGTCTTGCTCTGTCACCCAGGTTGGAGTGCAGTGGCACAATCTCGGCTCACTGCATGCTCTGCCTCCCGGGTTCATGCCATTCTCCTGCCTCAACCTCCCAAGTAGTTGGGACTACAGGCGCCCGCCACCGCGCCTGGCTAATTTTTTTTTGTATTTTTAGTAGAGCCAGCGTTTCACCGTGTTAGCCAGGAAGGTCTTGATCTCCTGACCTCGTGATCCGCCTGCCTCGGCCTCCCAAAGTGCTGGGATTACAGGCGTGAGCCATCGCACCCGGCCTAATATGTTCTTATAACCTGAATTGTTTTACACTTAACTGTATATCACAAACATGTTTCTTTTCAGTAAATGTATTTGTATATCATTTTTAATAGTTGTTTAGCTTAATGAAAGAGTATTCAATGCGCTGCATCATGATTACTTATCCTGTTCAAAATTAAAGTTAACTCCAATATTTACTATTAAAATAATACTTAGTTGTGCTGCTATAAAAATATATTTTTAAATTAAAAAATTGGCCGGGCATGGTGGCTCACACCTATAATCCCAGCACTTTGGGAGGCCAAGAAGGGTGGATCACTTGAGGTCAGGAGTTCAAGACCAGCCTGGCCAACGAACATGGTGAAACCCCGTCTCCACTAAAAATACAAAACTTAGCCGGGCATGGTGGTGGGCATCTGTAATCCCAGCTACTCAGGAGGCTGAAGCAGAAGAATAACTTGAACCCAGGAGGCGGAGGCTGTAGTGAGCTATCCAGCCTGGGCAACAGAGCGAGACTCTGTCTCAAAAAAATTTTTTTAATTAAAAAAATAATACTTAGTAGAACATATAGGGAAATATTTGTACCTAATCTTCATATTTTCTTAAGCTTAAAAGTGTAATTGTTGATCTAAAAGGTATATACATTTATGAGTGTTCTGAAACATATTGCCACAATATCATGTCCTACCAGGGTACATAAACTTGTCATTTCCTCTCACCTCTCTTCAAAACTTGGTATTACTAGCCTTTTTCATCTTTGCTAATTTGATAGGTGAAGGAGGGATCTCTATAAATGAAGTACTTTGAATACTAGTGTTGTTAAATATCCATGTTTATTAGTCATTGGCATTTTGTAAATTGCTTTTCTTGAAAGTTTTTTGCCTATTTCTTTTAGGTGGGTTCACCTTTTGTTCTTTTTGATTTGTCAAGATTCTGCATTAAATTGAGAATGAAAACCTTTGTTTTATATACTTTAGTTTTTTCAATTTGTAATTTGGCTTTTAATTTTCTCACTCTTTTTACCATTCAGAAGTTAAAGTTTTTTATTGTCAATTGTGAAAATCTTTTCCTTCATGATTGGTATCTGTCATTCTTTCAAAAAATATTCTTATCAGTCATGTTTCAAAAAAATATTTCCAGGCTGGGCCCAATGGCTCACGCCTATAATCCCAACACTTTGGGAGGCCAAAGCGGGGGGATCACTTGAGGACATGAGTTCAAGACCAGCCTGGCCAACATAGCAAAGCTCCATCTCTACTAAAAATACAAAACGTTAGCTGGGTGTGGTGGCACAGGCCTGTAATCCCAGCTACTCAGGGGGCTGAGGCACAAGAATCACTTGAACCCAAGAAGCAGAGGTTGCAGTGAGCCAAGATCACACCACTGCACTCCAGCCTGGGTGACAGAGGGAGACTGTCTGAAAAAAAGAAAAAAAAAAATTCCTCTTCCTTTTGCCGGCTACTATGCCAAACACTGAGAATAAACAGTAGGCAACAACATTAGCTTTTATTGAATACTTACTTGGCTCTTGTTCTAAGTTCCATATATGTCACCACTCATTTACAGGTAAGGAAACTGAGAAAGATGTTAAGTAATTTTCTCCAGGACAGAGATCCAATAAGTAGGGGAGCCGAGATGCAAATCTGACAGTCTTTCACTCCATACCCACACATTTAACTCTTCTCTTCTCCACTGCCTCCCAACACAACAGAGAGACAAGATCAAATGGTGCATGTTCTCAAGGAGCTTGTATATTAAAGAAAAATTACAAATGGGATGAATATTACATTGTGAAGGTTAATATTCAGTAAGGTGTCAACTTGATTGGATTGAAGGATCCAAAGTATTGTTCCCGGTTGTTTCTGTGAGGGTGTTGTCAAAGGAGATTAACATTTATTTAGTGGACTGGGAAAGGCAGATCCACCCTCAATGTGGGTGGGCACCATACAATCAGCTGCCAGCATGGCTAGAATAAAGCAGGCAGAAGGAGGTTAGTAGAAGCTGACTTGCTGAGCCTTCTGCCCTCATCTTTCTCCCATGCTGGATGCTTCCTGCACTCAAATGTCAGACTCCAGGTTCTTTGGCTTTTGGACTCTTGGACTTACTCCAGTTGTTTTCCAGGGGCTCTCAGGCCTTCATCCAGAGACTCAAAGCTGGCCTGTCGGTTTCCCTACTTTTGAGGTGTTGGGACTCGGACTGAGCCAATATTAGATTCCTTGCTCCTCAACTTGCAGACGGCCTGTTGTAGGACTTCAATTGTGATGGTGTGAATCAATTCTCCTTAATAAACTCCCTTTCATATATATATATATATATATATATATATATATATATATATATATATATATATATATATATATCCTATTAGTTCTATCCCTCTAGAGAACCATGACTAATACAGATTCTGATACTGAGGTAATGGAATATTGCTATAAGATACCTGAGAATGTGGAAGTGACTTTGGAACTGTGTAATGTGCAGAGTTTGGAACAGTTGGGAGGACTCAGAAGAAGACCAGAAGATGTGGGAAAGTTTGGAACTGCCTAGAGACTTGTTGAATGGCTTTGACCAAACTGCTGATAGTGACTTGGACAGTGAAGTCCAGGCTGAGGAGGTCCGAGATGGAGATGAACAACTTGTTGGGAACTGAAATAAAGGTCACTCTTGCTATGCTTTAGCAAAGAGACTGGTGGCATTTTGCCCCTGCCCTACAGATTTATGGAACTTTGAAATTGAGAGAGATGACTGAGGACATCTGGTAGAAGAAACGTTTGTTGTTGTTGTTGTTGTTATACCTTAAGTTCTAGGGTACATATGCACAACGTGCAGGTTTGATACATAGGTATACATGTGCCATGTTGGTTTGCTGCACCCATCAACTCATCATTTACATTAGGTATTTCTCCTAATGCTCTCCCTCCCCCAGCCCTCCACCCCCCAACAAGCCCCAGTGTGTGATGTTCCCAGCCCTGTGTCCAAGTGATCTCATTGTTCAATTCCCATCTATAAGTGAGAACATGTGGTGTTTGGTTTTCTGTCCTTGTGATAGTTTTGCTGAGAATGATGGTTTCCAGCTTCATTTATCTCCCTGCAAAGGACATGAACTCATCCTTTTTTATGGCTGCATAGTATTCCATGGTGTATATGTGCCACATTTTCTTAATCCAGTCTATCATTGTTGGACATTTGGGTTGGTTCCAAGTGTTTGCTATTGTTAATAGTGCCGCAATAAACATACATGTGCATGTGTCTTTATAGTAGCATGATTTATAATCCTTTGGGTATATACCCAGTAATGGGATTGCTGGGTCAAATGGTAATTCTAGTTCTAGATCCTCGAGGAATCACCACAATGTCTTTCACAATGGTTGAACTAGTTTACACTCCCACCAACAGTGTAAAAGCGTTCCTATTTCTCCATATCCTCTCCAGCACCTGTTGTTTCCTGACTTTTTAATGAATGCCATTCTAACTGGGGTGAGATGGTATCTCATTGTGGTTTTGATTTGCATTTCTCTGATGACCAGTGATGGTGAGCTTTTTTTCTTGTGTCTGTTAGCTGCATAGATGTCTTCTTTGGAGAAGTGTCTATTCATATCTTTGCCCACTTTTTGATGGGGTTGTTTTTTTCTTGTAAATTTGTTTGAATTCTTTCTTTGTCAAATGGGTAGATTGCAATTTATCTCCCATTCTGTATGTTGCCTGGTTCACTCTGATGGCAGTTTCTTTTGCCGTGCAGAAGCTCTTTAGTTTAATTAGATCCCATTTGTCAATTTTGGCTTTCGTTGCCATTGCTTTTGGTGTTTTAGTCATGAAGTCCTTGCTCATGCCTATGGCCTGAATGGTATTGCCTAGGTTTTCTTCTAGGGTTTTTATGGTTTTAGGTCTAACATTTAAGTCTTTAATCCACCTTGAATTAATTTTTGTATAAGATGTAAGGAAGGGATCCAGTTTCAGCTTTCTACATATAGCTAGCCAGTTTTCCCAGCGTCATTTATTAAATAGGCAGTCCTTTCCCCATTTCTTGTTTTTGTCAGGTTTGTCAAAGATCAGATGGCTGTAGATGTGTGGTCTTATTTCTGAGGCCTCTGTTCTGTTCCATTGGTCTATATATCTGTTTTGGCACCAGTACCATGCTGTTTTGGTTACTGTAGCCTTGTAGTATAGTTTGAAGTCAGGTAGTGTGATGCCTCCAGATTTGTTCTTTTTGCTTAGGATTGTCTTGGCAATGCAGGCTCTTTTTTGGTTCCATATGAACTTTAAAGTAGTTTTTTCCAATTCTGTGAAGAAATTTATTAGTAGCTTGATGGGGATGGTATTGAATCTATAAATTACTTTGTGCCGTATGTCCATTTTCATGATATTGATTCTTCCTATCCATGAGCGTGGAATATTCTTCCATTTGTTTGTGTCCTCTTTTAATTCGTTGAGCAGTGGTTTGTAGTTCTCCTTGAAGAGGTCCTTCACAACCCTTGTAAGTCAGATTCCTAGGTATTTTATTCTCTTTGTAGCAATTGTGAATGGGAGTTCACTCATGATTTGGCTCTCTGTCTATTAATGGTGTATAGGAATGCTTGTGATTTTTGCACATTAATTTTGTATCCTGAGAGTTTGCTGAAGTTGCTTATCAGCTTAAGGAGATTTTGGGCTGAGATGATGGGGTTTTCTAAATATACAATCATGTCATCTGCAAACAGGGACAATTTGACTTCATCTTTTCCTAACTGAATACCATTTATTTCTTTCTCCTGCCTGATTCCACTGGTCAGAACTTCCAACACCATGTTGAATAAGAGTGGTGAGAGAGGGCATCCTTGTCTTGTGCCGGTTTTCAAAAGGAATGCTTCCAGTTTTTGCCCATTCAGTATGATATTGGCTGTGGGTTTGTCATAAATAGCTCTTATTATTTTGAGATACGTCCCATCAGTATCTAGTTTATTGAGAGTTGTTAGCATGAAGGAGTGTTGAATTTTGTCAAAGGTCTTTTCTGCATCTCTTGAGATAATCATGTGGTTTTTGTCTTTGGTTCTGTTTATGTAATGGATTACGTTTATTGATTTGCATATGTTGAACCAGCCTTGCATCCCAGGGATGAAGCCCACTTGATCGTGGTGGATAAGCTTTTTGATGTGCTGCTGGATTTGGTTTGCCAATATTTTATTGAGGATTTTTGCATCGATGTTCATCAAGGATATTGGTCTAAAATTCTCTTTTTTTGTTGTGTCTCTGCCAGGCTTTGGTACCAGGATGATGTTGGCCTCATAAAATGAGTTAGGGAGGATTCCCTATTGTTCTTTTTTTTTGGATGAAAAAAGAACTGTTTAATTTTTTTGATGTTTTCAATGTTGATATGTTTTCCAAGAATTAGAGAAATATCTCTGGATGGTTATCTAAAATTTATAATTTTTCTACAGATATGGTATGTAGGAGAGTGTCATAGTTTTTCTATTATTATACTTTAAGTTCTAGGGTACATGTGCACAATGTGCTGGTTTGTTACATATGTATACATGTGTCATGTTGGTGTGCTGCACCCATTAACTAGTCATTTACATTAGATATATCTCCTAATGCTATCCCCCCTCCCCCCACTCCATGACAGGCCCCAGTGTGTGATGTTCCCCACCCTGTGTCCAAGTGTTCTCATTGTTCAATTCCCACCTATGAGTGAGAACATGTGGTGTTTAGTTTTCTGTCCTTGTGATAGTTTTCTCAGAATGATGGTTTCTAGCTTCATCCATGTCCTTACAAAGGACATGAACTCATCCTTTTTATGGCTGCATAGTATTCCATGGTGTATATGTGCCGCATTTTCTTAATCCAGTCTATCATTGATGGACATTTAGGTTGGTTCCAAGTCTTTGCTATTGTGAATAGTGCCGCAATAAACATACGTGTGCATGTGTCTTTATAGCAGCACGATTCACAATCCTTTGGGTATATGCCCAGTAATGGGATGGCTGGGTGAAATGGTATTTCTAGTTCTAGATCTTTGAGGAATTGCCACACTGTCTTCTACAATGATTGAACTAGTTTACACTCCCACCAACAGTGTAAAAGCCTTCCTATTTCTCCATATCCTCTCCAGCACATGTTGTTTCCTGACTTTTTAATGATCGCCATTCTAATTGGTGTGAGATGGTATCTCATTGTGGTTTTGATTTGCATTTCTCTGATGGCCAGTGATGATGAGCATTTTTCCAGTGTCTGTTGGCTTCATAGATGTCTTCTTTTGAGAAGTGTCTGTTCATACCCTTTGCCCACTTTTTGATGGGGTAGTTTGATTTTTTCATATAAATTTGTTTAAGTTCTTTGTAGATTCTGGATATTAGCCCTTTGTCAGATGGGTAGATTGTAAAAATTTTCTCCCATTCTGTAGGTTGTCTGTTCACTCTGATGGTAGTTTCTTTTGCTATGCAGAAGCTCTTGAATTTAATTGGATCTCATTTGTCAATTTTGGCTTTTGTTGCCATTGCTATTGGTGTTTTAGTCATGAATTCCTTGCCCATGCCTATGTCCTGAATGGTATTGTCTAGGTATTCTTCTAGGATTTTTATGGTTTTAGGTCTAACATTTAAGTCTTTAATCCATCTTGAATTAATTTTTATATAAGTTGTAAGGAAGGGATCTAGTTTCAGCTTTCCACATATGGCTAGCCAGTTCTCCCAGCACCATTTATTAAATAGGGAATCCTTTCCCCATTTCTTGTTTATGTCAGGTTTGTCAAAGATCAGATGGTTGTAGATGTGTGGTATTATTTCTGAGGGCTCTATTCTGTTCCATTGGTCTGTATCTCTGTTTTGGCACCAGTACCATGCTGTTTTGGTTACTGTAGCCTTGTAGTGTAGTTTGAAGTCAGGTAGTGTGATGCCTCCAGATTTGTTCTTTTTGCTTAGGATTGACTTGGCAATGCAGGTTCTTTTTTGGTTCCATATGAACTTTAAAGTTGTTTTTTCCAATTCTGTGAAGAAAGTCATTTGTAGCTTGATGGGGATGGCATTGAATCTATAAATTATCTTTGGCTGTATGGCCATTTTCACGATATTGATTCTTCCTATCCATGAGCATGGAATGTTCTTCCATTTGTTTGTGTCCTCTTTTATTTTGTTGAGCAGCGATTTGTAGTTCTCCTTGAAGAGGCCCTTCACGTCCCTTGTAAGTTGGATTCCTAGGTATTTTATTCTCTTTGAAGCAATTGTGAATGGAAGTTCACTCATGATTTGGCTCTCTGTTTGTCTGTTATTGGTGTATAGGAATGCTTGTGATTTTTGCACATTGATTTTGTATCCAGAGACTTTGCTGAAGTTGCTTATCAGCTTAAGGAGATTTTGAGCTGAGATGATGGGGTTTTGTGAATATACAGTCATGTCATCTTCAGACAGGGACAATTTGACTTCCTCTTTTCCTAACTGAATACCCTTTATTTCATTCTCTTGCCTGATTTCCCTGGCCAGAACTTCCAAGACTATTTTGAATAGGAGTGGTGAGAGAGAGAATCGTTGTCTTGTGCCAGGTTTCAAAGGGAATGCTTCCAGTTATTGTCCATTCAGTATGATATTGGCTGTGTGTTTGTCATAAATAGCTCTCATTATTTTGAGATACGTCCCATCAGTACCTCGTTTATTGAGAGTTCTTAGCATGAAGGGCTGTTGAATTTTGTCAAAGGTCTTTTCTGCATCTATTAAGATAATCATGTGGTTTTTGTCTTTGGTTCTGTTTATAGGATGTATTACGTTTATTGATTTGCGTATGTTGAACCAGTCTTGCATCCTAGGGATGCCAACTTGATCATGGTGGATAAGCTTTTTGATGTGCTGCTGGATTCAGTTTGTTAGTATCTTATTGAGGATATTTGCATCAATGTTCATCAGGGATATTGGTCTAAAATTCTCTTTTTTGTTGTTGGTGTGTCTCTGTCAGGCTTTGGTATCAGGATGATGTTGGCCTCATTAAATGAATTAGGGAGGATTCTATCTTTTTCTATTGATTGGAAAAGTTTCAGAAAGACTGGTACCAGCTCCTCTTTGTACCTCTGGTAGAACTCAGCTGTGAATCCATCTGGTCCTGGACTTTTTTTTGGTTGGTAGGCTATTAATTATTGCCTCAAGTTCAGAGCCTGTTATTGGTCTATTCAGATATTCAACTTCTTCCTGGTTTAGTCTTGCAAGGGTGTATGTGTCCCAGAATTTATCCATTTCTTCTAGATGTTCAAGTTTATTTGTGTATAGGTGTTTATAGTATTCTCTGATGGTAGTTTTTACTTCCCTGGGCTCAGTGGTGATATCCCCTTTATCATTTTTATTGCATCTATTTGATTCCTCTCTCTTTCCTTCTTTATTAGTCTTGCTAGCAGTCTATCAATTTTGTTGATCTTTTCAAAAAACCAGCTCCTGGATTCATTGCTTTTTTGAAGGGATTTTGTGTCTCTGTCTCCTTCAGCTCTGCTCTGATCTTATTTTTTCCTTCTGCCAGCTTTTGAATGTGTTTGCTCTTGCTTCTCTAGTTCTTTTAATTGTCATGTTAGGGGGTCAATTTTAGATCTTTCCTGCTTTCTCTTCTGGGCATTTAGTGCTATCAATTTCCCCCTACACACTGCTTTAAATGTGTCCCAGAGATTCTGGTACATTGTGTCTTTGTTTTCATTGGTTTCAAAGAACATCTTTATTTCTGCCTTCATTTTGTTATTTACCCAGTAGTCATTCAGGAGCAAATTGTTCAGTTTCCATGTAGTTGTTCAGTTTTGAGTGAGCTTCTTAATCCTAAGTTCGAATTTGATTGCACTGTGGTCTGAGAGACAGTTTGTTGTGATTTCTGTTCTTTTACATTTGGTGAGGAGTGCTTTACTTCCAATTATGTGGTCAAATTTAGAATAAGTGATATGTGGTGCTGAGAATAATGTATACTCTGTTGATTTGAGGTGGAGATTTCTGTGGATGTCTATTGGGTCTGTTTGTTGCAGAGCTGAGTTCAGGTCCTGGATATCTTTGTTAACCTTCTGCCTTGTTGATCTTTCTAATATTGACAGTTCGGTGTTAAAGTCTCCCATTATTATTGTGTGGGAGTCTAAGTCTCTTTGTAGGTCTCTAAGGACTTGCTTTATGAATCTGGGTGCTCTTGTATTGGGTGCATATATATTTAGGATAGTTAGCTCTTCTTGTTGCATTGATCCCTTTACCATTATGTAATGGCCTTTGTCTCCATTGATCTTTGTTGGTTTAAAGTCTGTTTTATCAGAGACAAGGATTGCAACCCCTGCCTTTTTTTGTTTTCCATTTTCTTGGTAGATCTTCCTCCATCCCTTTATGTTGAACCTATGTGTGAATTTGCGCATGAGATGGGTCTCCTGAATACAGCACACTGATGGGTCTTGACTCTTTATCCAATTTGCCAGTCTGTGTCCTTTAATTGGGGCATTTAGCCCATTTATGTTTACAGTTAATATTGTAATGTGTGAATTTGATCCTGTCATTATGATATTCGCTGTTATTTGCCCGTTAATTGATGCAGTTTCTTCCTAGCATTGATGTTCTCTATAACTTGGCATGTTTTTGCACTGGCTGGTACCGGGTGTTTCTTTCCATGTTTAGTGCTTCCTTCAGGAGCTCTTGTAAGGCAGGCCTGGTGGTGACAAAATCTCTCAGCATTTGCTTGTCAGTAAAGAATTTTATTTTCTCCTTCACTTATGAAGCTTAGTTTGGCTGGATATGAAACTCTGGATTGAAAATTATTTTCTTTAAGAATGTTGAATATTGGCCCCCACTCTCTTCTGGATTGTAGGGTTTCTGCCAAGAGATCAGCTGTTAGTCTGATGGGCTTCCCTTTGTGGCTAACCTGACCTTTCTCTCTGGCTGCCCTTAACACTTTTTCCTACACTTCAACCTTGGTGAATCTGACAATTATGTGTCTTGGAATCGCTCTTCTCAGAGAGTATCTTTGTGTTGTTCTCTGTATTTCCTGAAGTTGAATGTTGGCCTGCCTTGCTAGGTTGGGGAAGTTCTCCTGGATAATATCCTGCAGACTGTTTTCCAACTTGGTTCCATTCTCCTTATCACTTTCCGGTACACCAATCAAATATAGATTTGGTCTTTTCACATGGTCCCATATTTCTTGGAGGCTTTCTTCATTTCTTTTTACTCTTGTTTCTCTAACCTTGTCTTCTCACTTTATTTCATTTATTTGATCTTCAATCACTGATACCCTTTCTTCCACTTGATTGAATCGGCTATTGAAGCTTGTGCATGTGTCACAAAGTTCTCGTGCCATGGTTTTCAGCTCCATTGGGTCACTTAAGGTCTTCTCTACACTGTTTATTCTTGTAAGCCATTCGTCTAATCTTTTTTCAAGGTTTTTAGCTTCCTTGCAATGGGTTCCAACATCCTCCTTTAGCTCGGAGAAGTTTGTTATTACCAACCTTCTGAAGCCTACTTCTGTCAACTCGTCAAAGTCATTCTACGTCCAGCTTTGTTCCATTGCTGACAAGGAGCTGTGATCCTTTGGAGGAGAAGGGGTGCTCTGATTTTTAGAATTTTCAGCTTTTCTGCTCTGGTTTATCCCCATCCTTTTGGTTTTATCTACCTTTGGTCTTTGATATTGTTGATCTACAGATGGGGTTTTGGTTAGATGATCTTTTGTTAATGTTGACACTATTCCTTTCTGTTTTTTAGTTTTCCTTCTAACAGTCAGGACCCTCAGCTGCAGATCTGTTGGAGTTTGCTGGAGTTCCACTCCAGACACTGTTTGCCTGGGTATCACCAGTGGAGGCTGCAGAACAGCAAATATTGCAGAACAGCAAATATTGCTGCCTGATCCTTCCTCTGGAAGCTTTGTCCAAGAGGGGCAGCCGCCTATATGAGGTGTCTGTCAGCCCCTACTGGGAGGTGTGTCCCAGTTAGGCTACACAGGGGTCAGGGACCCACTTGAGGAGGCAGTCTGTCCATTCTCAGAACTCAAACGCCATGCTGGGAAAACCACTGCTCTCTTCAGAGCTGTCAGACAGGGACGTTTAAGTCTGCAGAAGTTGCTGCCTTTTGTTCAGCTATCCCTGCCCACAGACGTGGAGTCTAGAGGCAATGGGCCTTGTTGAGCTGCGGTGGGCTCCACCGAGTTCAAGCTTCCCTGGCCACTTTGTTTACCTACTTAAGCCTCAGCAATGATGGACGCCCCTCCCCCAGCCAGGCTGCCACCTCACAGATGGATTTCAGACTGTTGTGCTAGCAGTGAGCAAGGCTCCATGGGTGTGGGACCCACTGAGCCAGGCACAGGAGAGAATCACCTTGTCTGCTAGTTGCTAAGACCTTGGGAAAAGTGCAGTATTTGGGCGGGAGTGCCCTGTTTTTCCAGGTAGTCTGTCACAGCTTCCCTTGGCTAGGAAAGGGAAATCCCCCAACCCCTTGTGCTTCCCGGGTGAGGCGACACCCCACCCTGCTTCAGCTCACCCTCTGTGGGCCTGCACCCACTCTCCAACCAGTCCCAATGAGATGAACCAGGTACCTCAGTTGGAAGTGCAGAAATCACCTGTCTTCTGTGTCGATCATGCTGGGAGCTGCAGACCGGAACTGTTCCTATTTTGCCATCTTGGAATCCATCCAGGACATCTGGTAGAAGAAATTTGTAAGCAGCAAAGTGTTCAATTTATGACCTGAGTGCTCTTAAAAGTGTTCAGTTTTATGTGTTCACAAAAATATGGTTTGGAATTAGAACTTATGTTTAAAAGGGAGCAGAGCATGAAAGTTTGGAAGATTTGCAGCCTGATGATGTGATAGAAAAGAAAACCCATTTTCTGGGGAGAAATTCAAGCTGACTGCAGAAATTTGCAGAAGTAACAAGGAGCCAAATGTTAATTGACAAGATAATGGGGAAATTGTCTCCAGGGCATGTCAGAGTTCTTCACGACAGCCCCTCCCATCACAGGGTTGGAGGCCTAGGAGGGAAAAAATGGTTTTGTGGGCCAGGCCCAGAACTTTGCTGCTCTGTGCAGTCTTGGGACTTGGTGCCCTGTGTCCCAGCCATGGCTAAAAGGAGCCAATGTGCAGCTCAGGCTATTGCTTCAGAGTTCAATCCCCAAGCCTTGGCAGTTTCCATGTAGTGTTGGGTTGATATGCTAGTTGGCCATTTGTATTTCTTTTTGGAAAAAATGTCTATTCAAGTCTATCTTAGTCCATTCCTGCTGCTATAACAAAATACCTTAGGCTGGTAATTTATAAACAACAGAAATTTATTTCTTGCATTCTGGAGTGTGAGAAGTCCAAGATTTAGGCTACGACAGACTCAGTGACTGGTGAGGTCACTATATTCACTATATATAGCACCTTCTCTGTGTCCTCAAATGTTCAAAAGGGAAAACAAACTCCCTTAAGCCTCTTTTATAAAGGCCCTAGTCCCATTTCTGAGAGCTATGACTTCATGAACTAATCATCTCCAAAATGCCCCACCTCTTAATATTATCACATTGAATATTAGGCTCCAGCATATGAATATTGGGAGAACATTTGGACCATAGCAAAGTCAACTGACCATTTCTCATTTAGGTTGTTTTGTTATTGAGTTGTTGTTCTGTATATATTTTAGATATTAACCCCTTATCAGGTATTTGGTTTGCTGGGAGGTTTTTGATTCCTGATTCAGTTACTAGTTATAGGTTTATTAAGATTTTTTATTTTGTGACTTAGTCTTGGTAACTTGCATGTTACAAGGAATCTGTTCATTTCTCCTAGGTTATCCAACTTGTCAGTATATAATCATTCATAGTAGACTCTTAGAATCCTTTTTATTTCTGTAATATCTGTTGCAGTGTCTTCTCTTTTGTTCCTAAAAGAAGTTGAGTCTTCTTTTTTTTTCTTAAATATTCTAGCTAATGATTTGTCAATTTTGTTGAACTTTGAAACAACTACTAGTTTCATTGGATTTTTTCTATTCTCTAGCCTTTTTTTTTTTTTTTTTTTTTTGAGATGGAGTTTTGCTCTTATTGCCCAGGCTGTAGTGCAATGGCGTGATCTCCGCTCGCTGCAACCTCCACCTCCCAGTTCAAGTGACTCTCCTGCCTCAGCCTCCAGAGTAGCTGGGATTACAGGCATGAACCACCATGCCCGGCTAATTTTGTATTTTTTAGTAGAGACACGTTTCTCCATGTTGCTGAGGCTGGTCTCGAACTCCCGACTTCAGGTGATCCACCTGCCTCGGCCTCCCAAAGTGCTGGGATTACAGTCGTGAGCCACTGCTCCCGGCCTTCTGCTCTAGACTTTATTATTTCCTTCCTGTTGCTAACATTGGGTTGAGTTCTTCTTTTTCCAGTTTCTTGAGGTGTAAAGCTAAGTTGCTGATTTTAGATCTTTCTTCTTTTTTAAGGTAGGTAGTTAGATATATAAACTGTCCTCTTCATATTCATTTTGCTGCATCCCACAAGCTTTGGAATGTTGTGTTTCCATTTTTATTTGTCTCAAGACATTTTCTAATTTTCCTTGTGACTTATTCTTTGACTATGTATTAATCAGAGTTCTCAAGAGGGTCAGATCCAATAGGAAATATAGATATAGATACAGATATGGATGATATAGATATATATATAGATAATAGATATAGATATAAATATATACACATGCATCTAAAAGAGAATATATTTACATATATATGAAATATAATTTATTAAGGAGATTTGGCTCACATAATTACAAAGGCAAAGTCCCACAATAGGCCATCTATAAGCTGGAAAATGAGAGAAGCCTACAGCATGGCTCCCAAGGAAGCCAGTGACATGGCTCAGTCCCAGTCTGAAAGTCTCAAAACCAGGGAGGCTGACAGTGCAGCCACTAGTCTGAGGACCAAGGCCTGAGAGCTCCCAAAAGGCTGCTGATGCAAGTCCCAGGGTCCAAAGGCCAAAGAACCTAGAGTTTGATGTGCAAGGGCAAGAGGAAAAAAAGGCATACTGCTCTGGAAGAGAGAGAAAGTGCATAAAAAAGAAATCCAAGCAAGCTGAATGTTCCCATTCTTCTGCCTTTTTGTTCTAGTCACACTTGCAACCAATTGCATGATGCCTACCCACAGTGAGGATGGGTTTTTCTCTCTCAGTCCACTAACTCATCCATCATTCTCCTGTGGCAGCACCCTCACAGATATACACACACACAGTGCTTCATCAGGCATCTAAGCATCCCTCAATCAAATTGTCAATTAATATTAACCACACAGGTCAATTGGTTAAGAGAGTATATTTTTGTAATTTCCACATATTTATTACTTTTCCTTTTTCCTTCTGCTATGAATTTGTAATTTCATTTAATGTGGTCAGAAAAGATATTTGGTATGAGTTCAGTTTTCTTAAATTTTTAAAAACTTGTTTGTGGACTAGCATGTCATCTATCCTGGAATCGTCTTGGTATGTACTTGAGAAGAAAGTGTATTTTGCTATTATTGGGTGAAGTGTTCTGTATATGTCAGACAGGTCCAATTGGTCTATAATGTTGTTCAAGTTCTGTGTTTTCCAGTTGATCTTCTGTCTGGTTATTGTATCCATAATTGAAAGTGGAATATTGAAGTTTTCTGTTATTATGATGTTGCTATCTATGTTACCCCTCAATTCTGTCTATGTTAGCTTCATATATTTAGATGCTGTACTGTTAGTTACATATACATTTATAATTGCTATATCTTCTTGGTCAATTGGCCCTTTTATTATTATGTAATATCCTTGTCTGTTGTGCTATTATTTGAATTAAACTCTATTTTGTCTAAGTATGGCCATCCTTGTTCTCTTTTGGTTACCAAATGCATTGAATATCTTTTTCCATCCTTTCACTTTCAACCTTTGTGTGTGTTTAGATCTAACATAAGTCTCTTGCATATAGTATATATTTACATTTTTTTAATCCATTCAGCCAATTCTCTGTCTTTTGATTGGAAAATTAGCCTATTTGCATTTAAAGTAGTTACTGATAGGGAGGGGCTTACTATTGTCATTTTGTTCATTGTTTTATACATGTCTTGCAGGTATTTTTTTCCACTTTTCCTCTCTTTCTGCCTCCCTTTATGTTTCACTGATTCCTTTTTTTGGTAGGGACGTGCTTTGGTTCCTTTCTCATTTTTATTTGTGTAACTTCTGTAGGTCTTTTCTTTGTGGTTACTGTAGAATTACATGAAAACATCTTATAGTTATAATAATCTATTTTAAATTGACAACAACTTAACTTTAATCACATACAAAAACTCTACTTCTTTACACCTCCTTCTCACTTTGTTATCAATGTCACACTATATATTTTATATTGTTTATTCACATAATTTAATACAGTAATATTATGCTTTCAACTTTTAAATTCTATGCATCAATTAAAAGTGAATTACAGGCTGGGTGTGGTGTCTCCCACCTGTAGACCCAGCACTTTGACAGGCCAAAATGGGAGGATCGCTTGAGCCTAGGAGTTTGAGACCAGCAAGGCCTTATGTCTGCTAAAAATTTAAAAATATTATCTGAGTGTGGTGGTGCATGTCTGTAGTCCCAGCCACTCGGGAGGCTGAGGTGGGAGGATTGCTTTAGCCCAGGACTACAAGGCTGCAGTGAGCCATGATCAAACCACTGCACTCCAGCCTGGGCAACAGAGCAAGACTTCGTCTCAAAAAAAAAAAAAAGTAAAGGAAAAAAAGTGTTTTGCTTACCACCATTAGAGTATTAAAAGATTCTATGTTCACTCATATATTTACCTTTACCAAAGAAGTTTATATTTTGTATGCTTTTGTATTTCTATCCAATGCCTTTTCATTTCCACTTGGAGGACTCCCTTTAACATTTTTTGTAAGGTAGGTCTAGTGGTGATCAACTCCCTCACCTTTTACTTCTCTGGGGAACTCTTCGTTTGTCCTTCATTTTTGAAGTAGAGTTTTACTGGCTATACAGTTCTTGTTGACAGTTTTTTTTTTCTTTCAGCCCTTTTAATATATCATCCCATTCTCTTCTGGTCTGTAGAGTTTTTGCTGATAATTCCATTGATAACCATATGGCATCTCCCTTGTATGTGACAAGTTGCTTTGGTCCTGTTCCTTTCAAAATTCTCTCTTTGTCTTTGACTTTTGACAGTTTGATTGTAATGTGTCTCATTGTAGGTCTTTTGCAAATTATCCAACTTGGAGTTCTTTGAGCCTCTTGGATTTGTATGTCCATTTCCTTCTTTAAGTTTGAGAAGTTTTTGGTCATTATTTTTTTAACTGGCTCTCTGCCCCTTTATTTTTCTCTCCTCCGGGCACTTTCATAATGCATACATTGGTCTGCTTGATGGCATCCTGTAAGTCTCTTAGGCTGTCTTCACTCTTCACTCCTTTTCCCTTTTGCTCTTCTGACTCCATAATTTCAAATGACTAGTCTTCCGTTTCACTGATTCTTTCTTCTGCTTGATGTTATTGAAACTGCCTTTGCAAAAATTATAACTGAAGAAATTATGACAGCAAAAGACATCAGACTTAATCAACTCCATCTTGCTTCTAGCATTTAAACTGTCCTTGTTCATTCCTGGCAGTAGGATGAACTAATTTTGGGAAGGTATTCAGTTCATGGTTTGACTCTGAAACAAAGTTGATAATAGCCATTTCCCAAAAAGATCCCCTTCTTGCCTGGAACCAGTCTGCCTTTGCAGGATAAACAAATTAGCTATAACATCAGAAATTACAGTTGAGGGGTTATGCAGCCTCTGGCTCCAAGAGTCTGAACCTCTCCAAATTGCTCCTGGGGATAACATCACTATTGTAAAACCTAAAATCAGTGCTTGAGATATTTTGCGGACCCTGCACTGGATGAATCAGCTGACACCACCCAGACTGGTAATATGGCTCAACTAGTTCTGCCACCCCACCCACAAACAGAAGACAGCAAGAAAACATCATTTCAACCCTGTATGATTTCATCTCCAACCTGATGAATAGGCAGTCCCCACTTTCCAAGCCCCTACCTGCCAAATTATCTTTAAAAGTTCTGATCCCCGAATGCTCAGGGAGACTGATTTGAGTAATAATAAAACTCTGATCTCCCGCACAGCTGGCTCTGCCTGAATTACTCTTTCTCCATTGCAGTTCCCCTGTCTTGATAAATCAGCTCTGTCTAAGCAGGGCACGAGGTGAAACCACTGGGCAGTTACACAGTCTATTGGTGATTTCCAATAGTGAATTTTTCAATTGAGCTATTGTATTCCTTAGCTCCAGAGTTTCTGTATGGTTCCTTTTTTTTTTTTTTAGTTTCTATCTCCATTAATATTTTCATTTTCTTCATGAATTATTTCCTGCTTTCACTTAGTTGTCTATTTCTGTTGTCACTGGGCTTCATTAAGAGAGTTAATTTGGATTCTTTGTCAGGTAACTCATTTATCTATTTCTTTAGGGTTGGTTTCTGTAGATTTATTTTGCTCCTTTAATTTAGTCATCAGGTTTCTCTGTTTCTTCTTATGTCTTGTTATTTTTTATTTTTTTATTTATTTTTGCCAAGATTTGGGCGTTTGAAAAAACTGCCACTTCTCCCAGTTTTTATCAGCTGGCTTCATACGGAAGACCTTCATACCTGAATCAGCATGGCTATAGGTTCCAGCAGCCTCTCAAACTTTTTCTGGGAATGCATCTTGTTTGGGTTTATACATTGCAACATCCCAAGTAGAGGTTTGCCAGTTTCTTTTTCTGGAGCTGTTGCTCCCTCTGGTATCTGTCTGTGGTACTGCAGGTTCCCTGGTGCTGCATCATCTCTGACCTCTCCTTTATTCCCAGTGGCTCCCATGAATCCAAAGTATGCCAGTTGGGCGTCAAGTTAGAGAGAGAGGGAGAGCTTCAGGTAACCTCATAAAACTATTCCGTTCCAGTCTTCTCTTTCTCTGCTAACGGAGAAGCTGCAAGTTGAGTGCTTCCCAGCCAAACCAACCTGTTCGAGCTTGGGGAAGGGGTATCATGAGTATAATGCAACAGCTTTTCTTATTTGTTCAATGCCACTATTCTTGGTTTTGCACTTGTCTGTGCTACTACAATTTCTTAATGGTTTATGGAACTCCATAAAGGCTTTTAGACCATATATTGTTTTTCAGTTGCTATCTTTATGGAGAATCAAGGTTTGGAGCCATTCCACCATCTGGCTGGCATCACTCTGTTTATATAATTTTTTATTTTTATTATATTTTATTTTCTTGAGACAGGATCTTGCTCTGTCAGCCAGGCTAGAGTGCAGCCTCGAACTCCTGAGCTCAAGGGACCTCCTCCCTCAGGCTACTGAGTACTTGGACTATAGGTACACACCACATACCGGGCTAATTTCCTATTTTCTTGTGAAGATGGGGTTTCACTCTGTTGCCCAAATTGGTCTCAAATCTTGGGCTCAAGCAATCTTTCTGCCTTGGCCTCCCAAAGTGCTAGGATTAAAGGTGTGAGCCCACCATGCGCTGCCTGTTATATTTAGTAGAAAATATATCTAAAAATATACTTACGTACTATATTGAATCCACTACCCAGAGCTTAACTGAACTATTTTTGTGACTCATTCTGGTTTTTTTTATTTTTTGCTTTTTACTTATTACAATGAACTACAAGTATGGATATATTAATATTAATTAATATAAAATATACTGGAATCTTTTGTATTTTTTTTCCTTTTTTCTTCACCAAAAGCAGAAACTTAAATATACTGAAATCTTAAATGACCCTTGAATGTTTCTAGGACTGACCCTGGAACAAAATTTTTTATGTTGTTATTACATTGTTCTTTTCATGTTAAAATCATTTGTTTCTTTTTCATATAGTACATCAAAGAAGAATTGTTAATATAGCCCTTACCAGCCATATGCTAAGTGCCACAAGTGTTTCGGTCTCTCTCCATTCTTGTACCTCACTTGGTCTTTTTTTTCTTTTCGAGGTGTAGCCTCCATCTTTCACCCAGGCTGGAGTGTGGTGGCACGATCTCAGCTCACTGCAACCTCTGCCTCCCAGGTTCAAGTGATTCTCCTCCCTCAGCCTCCTGAGTACCTGGGACCACAGTTGTGTGCCACCATGCCCACAAAATTTTTGTATTTTTAGTAGAGATGGGGCTTCATTATGTTGGCCAGGCTGGTCTTGAACTCCTGACCTCAAGTAATTCACCCTCCTCGGCCTCCCAAAGCGCTAGGATTACAGACATGAACCACTGTGCCCGGACTACCTCACTCTGTCTTTTAAATTGGCTATGTAAGGGGAGCATCTTGTGCTTAAGTCTTTGTTTTCTGGCCTATTTATATAATGGACATTTCTGAGTTGTGTGTATATATTAAATTATTTGAGAGTATATATTTAATGTACTAAATAGATCTACGTGTTTTCATACATGTCACTATAAAAAGACCATTTGCATATATTTGTTCTATAAAATGCTTACTTTTCTTCATGAACCACCTAGATTTGCTTTTCTGATGTGTAGTGTATGTGAAAATATTTCTTTGTGAATTTTTTTTTATTGTGTGCCCCTACAGGTGGTATGCTTAATAACGCCATAGCCTCTATAAGGAACATATGTATTAGTCGGCTGGCAGGAATTGTTTTGGGATTTTTTGTTCGATATTTTCCAAGTGAAGACCAGTTAAATACAAAATCTATCTTATAGAAGTATAGTATTAGACTTTTTTTTCAAAATATTAAACTTTGGTAAGATCCATGAAATTTAATACTTAACTCTATTTTTCTAAAACTAGCCTCCAATGCCTACTCTGTATTTAAAACTGAGCACAGTGGTGATTGATACAGGTCAATGGCTTTGATTAAAGTCTCTGCTTCCTGATTTGGCAAATAAGGAATGTCAAAAAATATACTTAATTCAGAGTATCCCTCTCAATTATACTTTCCCTTTCTCTACTAAATTGCCTATTGAGGTTTGATAATTTCCCCCAAATTTTCCCTTAAACATTTTAGGGGGAGATAGGTTCCCATTTATTTCTGCATATTTTCTGACTGAAATTCACTCCTGCTATCCTTTGACAAAGGCAACACTCAAACTTAGCCATTTCCTGCCTTAAAGGAAAACATGCCATTACTTTTGTATTTCTGTAATTTCCATCCAAATTTAGCTGTAACATATTGACCAAAGAGATATTCAAATATTTTTTAAGAATTCATTGGATATGTTATATGAAACTGGAGATTTTATGGGTCTCTTTTCTTCTTCACTTAAAGTAATATTTTAACTATTTTACTGATACTAGTATCAGAGATGTGGCAGAAGATGAAACGTTACTAATTGGAAATTTTGTTACTTGGTAGTAAGTCTGCTAAAATGTATGGTGAGAAAGAAAATCAAAATTTTAGACATGTAATATAACATTTAAAGACATAATATCAAAGGGTCAAACATATATAATAGATAATGTCTGTCTGGGCGACAGAGCAACACTCAATCTCAAAAAAAAAATAAATAAATAAACAAAAACAAACAAAGAAACTCAATGTAACCTTTTTCTATTTTTATTTTTATTTTCATTTTGAGACCAGGTCTCACTCTGTCACCCAAACTGGAGTGCAGTGGCATGATCACGGCTCACTGCAGCCTCAACCACCTGGGCTCAAACAATCCTCTCACATCAACCTCCTGAGTAGCTAGGATCACAGTCACCTGCCACCACACCCAACTGCTTTTTTTCAGTTTTTTTTTTTTTTTTTTGAGACAGTCTTACTCTGTTGCCCAGGCTGGAGTGCAGTGGCATGATCTCAGCTCAATGCAACCTCCACCTCCCAGGTTCAAGCGATTCTCCTGCCTCAGCCTCCTCAGTAGCTGGGATTACAGGTGCACACCACCACACCCAGCTAATTTTTGTATTTTTGGTAGATATGGGGTCTCACCATGTTGGCCAGGCTAGTCTCAAACTCCTGACCTCAAGTGATCTGCCCGCCTCAGCCTCCCAAAGTGCTGGGATTACAGGCATGAGCCACTGTGCCTGGCCTTTTCTTTCTGATTTTTTTGTAAAGAGGAGGTCTTGCTATGTTGCCCAGGCTGATCTTGAACTCCTAGGTTCAAGTGATCTTCCTGCCTCAGCCTCCTAAAGTTCTGGGATTACAGGCATAACCCACTGGGCACAGCCAACGTAACCTTTTGAAATCTCAGTTTTAAAAGCAATTATTTTGAAATCAAAAAGTATTCTTTCAATAAGTACTTTCTAAGTTTATGAAAATATGTTTTTTATTTTCCTAAAATATATAATAAGAATATATCTGAAAATTGGAGTTTTTATATTTTGCTGAATATAACAAAGCTAAATGTTATGATTTTAAAAAGTAGAGACACAGGCCAGGCATGGTGGCTCATGCCTGTAATCCTCGCACTTCGGGAGGCTGAGGCAGGCAGATCACTTGACCTCAGGAGTTCAAGACCAGCCTGGGCAACATGGTAAAACCCCTGTCTCTACAAAAAAAATACAAAAAAATTAGTCAGGTGTGGTGGCACGCACCTGTAGTCACAGCTACTTGGGGACTGAGGCAGGAGAATAGCTTGAACTCGGGAGGTTGAGGCTGCAGTGAGCTGAGGTCACGCCACTTCACTCCAGCTTGGGTGACAAAGTGAGACCCTGTCGCAAAAAAAAGTAAAGTAAAATAGAGACACATTGATTTTTTAAAAAATACTTTTCCTACCTTGCCACTCACTCCATCACACAAATGTGCATATATTTTTTTAATTACACATTTATTTGTATACTATTTGGTTAATGGCTAAATCCCTGCCCCCGCCCCCTTGATAGACTACGTAAGGACAGGGACAGTGTCTAGTCGTTGCAGTTGTTTTTCATTATTTCTCCCTGGCACTTAACACAGTGCCTGACATGCAGGAGGCAAATACGTATTGCATGCCTGCAAGGATGAATGAACGGAAAGGGAAACCTTGTAATTTTGCCCTGTTATTCAAGGAGATTCTCCTCCTACTAAAATATATTGCTACTTCTTGTTAGACTGTTTAACTTGGCAGCATAATATACCTTAATTTCCTGTGGCTCTTTTCTTAGTTGTTATTCCAAAACAGAAGCTCCTAAATTTTCATGCAAAAAACCTCTATTATCATGTTAGAAAAGCAGGCTCATAGGGCCAGACTACCTGTTTTGAATACCATGTTACTTGCCTATAACCTCAGGAAAATTATTTTCTAGTCTCTCAGTCCTTCAGTGTTCTCGTCTTGCAATGAAGTCTATGACTGTATCTGTTTCTTAGCAGTATTGTCAGGATTCAAGGAGATAATCCACGTAAAGTGCCTTAGCACTCTCTCTGGCATATGGTGGTGCTCAGTTAACAAACAATGTTGTTATTTTATCTTACCTTCAAGTAATATAAATAATAACTTTTTATTTTTAATGTCTACTGTAGGGAATAATAAATCTACAAAAGGAGTATCTGTTCTCTCTCCTTCCAACAATACTCTTGCAATTTTGTTTCATTATTTCATAATTTTCATAAAGCAGGGAAAAAAGAAAAGCAGGTATGAGGAAAGAGACCACTCACTCGAGCCCTGCAGTATTATTCTGCTTCTGCCTATTCCTGTCGGCTGGCTCCAGGCTGGCTTCTACACAAAGAATATCAAGCTGGTCCCAGGAACTGGCAAGACATAAAAAATTAATTATTTATACAAGTAGAGTCACAACAGCAATAATAGATAACAATAATGTCACAAGTAAATACGATCAACAAATATTTAAATTTCAATTTTAAATTATTTTCACCTTTATCCTCTTCCGCCATTCTCTGCTGCTAAAATAAAATTGGCTAAGGTTCAGCTTTCTCTTGTTCCTTAGTTTCGAGTTACTGATAAAAGTTAGACAGGAAAAATAGAAGCTATTAGGAGAGTAAATAAATAATTTAGTTTACAAATGTAAGATCAGCTTGGCAACTGGATTTTTTTAAAGAAATAGTATTAAATCTCAGTCACTAGGAGGAAATCATTTATCATCTAATAAAAGTCCTCACATAATAAGGTTGTCATAAGAATTAAATGAATTGATAAATGGAAAGCTTTAAGAATGATACCTGACATATGATGAATGCCATATAACTATAAAAATATTATTTCTAGTTTCACCATTATCGTCATCATCTCTTAAAAGTCAGTGGGTTTGGCTTTTGTTTTTGTTTTTTCTGTTGGCAGTTCTTTTATGTTCAAATCCTCTTCTAAACTGTGAGATTCTTTCAACGTGGTTTTCTGCATGATTATTTTTTTTCTCCCTAGCATCCTCCAGCACACTGGATCATGTTCAGTACATTAAAAGTTATGATATAAAAATAATACCATTTTAAATTATTGATTTAGGATATAGAAATTGATCTTAAATTGAGGGGTTCTCTTGCCATAATGTTCCATATCAGAGGTAATGTTTCTACTATTATGTTGTTACTTCACAACTCCATAGAAAATATGTTATATGTTGGTATTTAATTCCCCCAAATTTTAAGGCAATTTCAGGCCTAGTTATTAAACACAAGGAAAGATAGTTACAAGAAATTTGCTTTATGTTATTAAAAATAATATGGTAGAAGGTAACTAGGGAAAAATCTTGTGACCCAGTAGTCATTCTAAAAAAAAACTTCAAAGGAACTCATTCTCTGACCTGGCAGGGGATGAGGAGTGAAGGAGAAAGAAACTTACTACTATCTGAATACCTACTGTGTGCCAGGTATTCTTCACATTCTCATATTTAATTTTCACAACCGTCCAGTAAGATAAGTATTTTGTTCTTCGTTTTACACGTAAGTAAGTAGAAGTTTAGAGAGTGTGAGTCATTTGTACAAGGTCACTAGCCTGGTTGCAGCAAAAATAGAATTCAAACCCAGTTTGCTAGATTCCAAACCTGCTGTCAGTTCTGCTATAACCCAGTGCCCCCTGAATAAGGAGAACAATGAGAAGAAGGGCAACACATCCTAGAGAACCATAAGAAAACTTAATATTTTATTTGGTCTTCTTGTAGTCAAAAACTACTGGTACACGATAAAGGCAACTAAGCAAAACTGGTTTTGTTAGAACTCCTGGTGTTATGAGGGCAACACTCAAAAGAGATATTTGAATAGAGGAACACTGAGAGGACAAGAGTGCAAAATCAGCCCAAAAATGTTTGCATGCTGATTTGTCACTATTGTACTCTTCCTCCACATATATTTGCTAGGAAGAACATGGAACTGATGAGTAACTTATGATAATTACTGAGTACTTTTTTTTTTCTAATAGTCTAGTACTAGATTTTGTTTATTTTAACAGGGCCATTTACATTATATATTAACTCAGTAATATTTTTCTTTATGCCCCATTTTTATCCCTAAATGTAGGCTGTGCTAGGTCCTCTGGCTCTAGAAACAGCAAGAGTCTCCGCACCCCACTTGGAACCATATGCGAAGGATGTGATGACAGTAGCATTTTTAGCCATCTCGATCACAGCTCCAAATGGAGCTCTACTTATGGGCATTCTGGGGCCTAAAATGCTTACACACCATTATGATCCAAGCAAAATAAAACTGCAATTGTCAACATTAGAACATCATTAAAAAGTTTACCTGTCATCATCTGCCTGCTTCTTTTAATGAATTATTTCACATGACTGAAGAATTTTAAAGTAGAAATATGTAGGAACTGCACAGAAAATCCAGGATTTAGTAAACATGTGATTTCAGTACAGGGCTTTTCTTGGACTTTTTACTCCAAAGTTAATTTAATAAAAATAATATTAAATGGAATGCTCTCTTGGTATTTACATACTGTAAGAACAAATTAAATCTGTAAATACCCTAGGAAAGTTTAAGTAATCCCTCAGGCTGAATTTGATATCATAATACAAACTGAGCTTAATATAAAATTAAACAAACTTAATGGCAGAAAGAAAAACTTTGAATATTGAACTTGGTAAGATAGCCTAAGTTTCCAAATAGGAGGAGTAGAACTCCCCATGATATCCAGTAATTCCGTTAAAAAGATCACTACAAAAAAAAAAGGAGTAAAACACATCAACTTTAAATGGGTTAACTGAATAGATTTTAAATTCTGGTTTTGGTGACTACCTGAATAAATAATATGTTAAGTAATAGAACCAAGTTAGTCTTTCCTTATTTCTGCCATGCCCTTAAAATGAAAGTCTGGTTTAGCAGTTTTTAGATGAAACACTATCTATATATTTATTTATAGAAATAAAATTAAATCACAAATGGAAGTAAACTATATTTTTTTCAATTAGTGTTTTAAAATCTAGGCATAAAAGGCAGCCTCCAAAAATGAAAGATTTGGAGACTACTGTCATGTGGCAGTTTCTTCTCCTTAGTAATATAGAATTATCTTTTAATTCTGGCTGATTAAATCTGCCATGTTAATGTAGAACCCATCACAAGCAAAGTGAGTTTTAATTAACTTCAAGACTCTTTATTTTAAAGTTATAAGAGTTATATAAGCACTTCTAAAATGGCCTTATTGAAAGGCATTTTAGAAATTGTTTAGACTTCTTTGGCAAAAGCTCAATGCAAGGACTGAATATTACTTTCATTCCTCTTTTTCCTCTTCTCCACAAGCAAGATATTAAAATGCCACAGAATATGAAATTCACACACAAATTTGCCAAGTGAAGCAATTAAAATTTAAGGCAATCAAAACTATGTGTTATTCCTATTAAGACTAAGGGCTTTTATAGAATATATCACCGAAACTGCCAAAAGTTCTAAAACCATCTGGGAAATAACTCTTAGAAAATACACTCTGGGAGAATAACTCTGGGAAAAGATAAAATAGCTACTGTTTTAGTGATATTTTCTCTTTATAGTTTTACAACAAAGTACAGACTCCATTTTCAAATATTGTAATTCTAGTACTCAAATTCTAAAAATTTAAACTGTGCCAGTGTTTTGACTACTATTTAAATCATGAGGATATCTCATTGTCACTTATAAAAAAATAAAAATATAGGCAGGCTGTTGTGGCTCATGCCTGTAATCCCAGCACTTTGGGAGGCCAATGCGGGCAGAACACGAGGTCAGGAGTTCGAGACCAACCTGACTAACATAGTGAAACCCCGTCTCTACTAAAAATACAAAAATTTGTCAGGTGTGGTGGCACGCACCTGTAATCCCAGCTACTCAGAAGGCTGAGGCAGGAGAATCGCTTGAACCCAGGAGGCAGAGGTTGCAGTGAGCTGAGATCGCACCACTGCACTCCAGCCTGGGAGACAGAGCAAGACTCTGTCTCAAAAGAAAATAATAATAAAATATATATATTTACAAGATAGTAATTTACATTCACAAGAGGATTAGATTTCAAAGTAGAAAGTTTATTTTAATAAAAGAGAGATAAGAAATGATTTTCAAAATGAGGAATTGTGTTTTTGATTAGGAGGAAAATTGTTCTACCTATTCTTTTTATTCTTTATTTATAGAACTTTCTCTAAGTGTCTGTGATATATGTTTATTATACTGAAATAGTCGCCGTTTTAAGGTAGTGTGGCAGATGTTGTTATTTATTTGAAATTTTAAGTTTTTTATTTATAAAATGTTTTTATAAAAATTTATTAATATAATTTAAAAATTACAACCAGTTAACCATGTGTATGATATTAGTGTTTATAGTATTTAAACAAATAAGGCTGGGCACAGTGGCTCACACCATCCCAGCACTTTGGGAGGCCAAGGCGGGTGGATCAGGAGGTCAGGAGAAGGAGACCATCCTGGCTAACATGGTGAAACCCTGTCTCTACTAAAAATACAAAAAACTAGCCAGACATGGTGGCAGGTGCCTGTAGTCCCGGCTACTCGGGAGGCTGAGGCAGGAGAATCACTTGAACCTGGGAGGCAGAGGTTGCAGTGAGCCAAGATCATGCCACTGCACTCCAGCCTGGGTGACAGAGCGAGACTCCATCTTAAAAAAATAAAATAAAATAAAATAAAATAAAATAAAATAAAATAAAATAAAATAAAATAAAATAAATACAAGATTGTTGTTTCTTATAAACTTTTTTTGTATCTTTGCCTATTTTTTTCACTGTTTAAGGAATTTTTATTAAAGCAAAATTTTATAATCCAAATTACCTTTCCTTGCTCAGTTATCAATTCTGTTACTTAAAACAGAAGTGACATTATTAGCTATTCCACACTAATGAATTACAAAATTAAAGGAATGCTTTAAATTTTTATACTTTGCTGAAAATTATTTATCACAGAGTCTGAAAAGCATTACAGTGTTTTTATATTTTATTATTTTGGGAGGATTTTTTCTTTTCAAATCAATAAGTAATCTAGGACTATCATTGCATTTGTTAGATCTGACATTTTCTTGGTATGTAAAGTTCAAAGTTTCCTTTTTAAATTTATTTTATAGTTTACAAATTTTTTCCATAGTATTTAAGGTTTTTGATATTGAGATATTTTTCTTCAGTGATGCTCAAGTTTCTTTCTGTGGTCCCTGATCAGTTTTAAACAATTGGAACACCAGTGGCACCATTAACTGCTTTCTGGGCAGCCTCTTTAGCTTGGTGCTCTTGTAGTACAGCTATACCTTTGTCAACCTTAGTATAGAGAGGCTCTGGAGATTCAAGCATATGAAGGAGTTCTAAATTACCAATCTCCAACAACATGCCAATGATTTTACCAGCACGACTAGGGCATGGCTTGAAGAAGAGGAAACAGCCATTCACTCGTTTCCTTTTGCTTTTGAGGAGGAGCAGATGCCATCATGGAAGTCAAAGGTTCTTGACCTTCTACATGAACAGCAGGCTGCTGCATGGTAACCTGGGGCTGTGCATGAAAATATCATTGAGGATTGTGAGCTTCCATAGCATATTTATACTGTGAAATGGTACAAACAGCAGGAGTATCTGTAGTAGCAGTAGCGGCAACTGCAGGATGTGCTCCTATTGTCTGTGTCGATGTGTTACAACAGCTGTGTTGACATGACTCGTGGAAGCTGTGAAGAAGCTGGTCTCTTACTACTAAATGTAGTGAGCTAGGAGTGGCTTGGGCATATTTTTCAATGGATGAGGTCTGGCACCCTGAGCAATTTAGGGAGGATTTGATCTTAGTTGAGCAGTTTGGCTAGGAGAATACTTTGCAGCATGGCTCTCAGTCTGTGGGATAACTGCCATGAAGTCAATTGAAGAAGGTGCTGGCTGATAGGGACTGATTCCCAGGTTGAGCATAGTTTTTACACTTGCCATTCTTTGCACATAGTGTACTGGTTAATGAGCTGAGCCTGGTGCTCTTCATTGCTTTTCTTCCCATGGAGTTAACACTATATACAATGGCTCAGTGCCCACAATTCTACCATTCATTTCTGAAAGTGCTTTAGTTGCTTCCTCTGGAGAGGAGAAACATACACAAATCAAACCCTTTGTTGTGACAACCATCCTTCATAACCTTTGCATTGGTGATTGTACCAAGTGGAGAAAGTTCTTTCCAGAGACATTCATCAATACCATCATGATTTTTTGCATAAATGTTAACACTTTGTTATCTGGTGATCCTATACTGCTTGATCTTTTCAAATTTGCACACAAGTTCCATCTGCCATTCTACTTCTTTCTGAGCTTGACCAACATCAATTTGTTTTCCATTGAGCTTCTTTCTGTTCATCTCATCTGCGCATCTTTATGCCTTTCAAAGCTGACAAATCCAAAACCTTTGGGTTTTCCACTTTCATTAACCACTACTATCACACTTAAGACAGATCCCAACTTGCCAAAGAGATCTTTAAGGCACCTACCATCCATGTCTTCTCCAAAAATCTTCCTGTAAACATTGGTGAACTCTTTAACTCTGAGTTCTGCTTCTCATTGTTTACAAGACTTAATCCAACAAAGACTTTGCTATCATTTAGAAGCATCCATTTCATTTTTGAATAGATCTTTCAGCTGCTTCTGTGTCTCAAAATGTACAGTGCCATCACCCTTGAAACCGTTTTCACCACAAAGCACCTAATGTGAAAGTGATGGAGACAGGAGGCAGCCAAGGGTCCCCTGGTAAAACCCCACCTTCAAGACTAAAACAGCCTGAAGGCTGATAAACTGGACTGCAGGTCCGGGTTGAAGCCGCCCTTTCCTCACTGATTCTGAATAATGCCCACCTGCGCACTGGGATTACGGGGTGGAGCCTCGGGAAGTTTGTGCAGTGTGCAGTGGAGAGGAGTCTGGCCTGTTCCCATGTAGTGACCTAGGATTTAATCTATGAGGCGGGAAACCCGCTAGCAGGACTCTTTCTCTCTTTGCTAAGAGTTATTTTTCCTTTTTCCTTTCCATCCAATAAACTCCGTTCCCCCTCACCCTTCAAGTGTTTGCGTGCCTTTTCCTGGTGGTATGACAAGAACCTGGTTTTTTCTGCAACAAAAAGATGTTACCAAAAGCAGATGTATCATGGAATGCTTTATAATCAATAGATTTGTCCAATTTTTTTATGAACATGTTGCCCACTCCATTTTTGCGGAGTGATGGATCACACCGAGACTACTTAGTGTGTATTGGCTAGTCTTTTATAACATCAAAATTCATGGGGTCTTAAGGACATTCCACATCCTGCGTTTCCCAAGGAGCGCCGGTGATCTGGTTCCTGTAGCCCGGGATAGAGAGGACCAGCCAGCAGGCCTGGTCACGTGGGGTGCGAGGACAGGGGATGGCTGGGACGCTGGGCTCACCTCTTCACCTGTCTGCCGGTAGGGCCACAGGCTGCGACCTTTCCGTGAAAGGAGAGTAAGGGCTGGGGCGGAAGCCTGGGCCAGGGCAGAGAGACAAAATCACCTGGAATCTAAAACTACTCCACGGCCGAGGAACTGCGGCCTGCAGCGGGCTGGGACGAGGGTGGCGGTGTAGGGTCCAGCGTCCAGGCCTCGGGATCCTGTTCCTTCTTGAAGCTGCTTCGGAGCTGCGAGTGGGCGGGTGGGTCGCTCTCGGCTGCCTCACGGGTAATCTTATACAAGAAGAAAAGGAAAATGTCTCTGGCAGTGAAGACAAGGATTTTTTTGTACAGTGTTTTGCAGGGGTGATGGGTGTTAAAATAGAAACCTTTTTTTTTTTAAGTTTTTTCATGGGTTTTTTTCAGGGGAATGGGTTTTCCAAGATAATAAATATGTGCTGATCCTGGAGAACACACTCCACACTCTCGGCACTAACCGCTTGGGAGAAGGGACCCATTAATGTTTAATTGTACCTTCTCTTGTGGCCCCGTTATTTCCCTTTTAATTATGAAACATTGGAGCCTACAGAAAGGTAGAAAAAATGGGCACCCACATAACCACCACCTAAATCCAATTAATTGTTAATATTTTGTCAAGTTTTCTTTATGTAATTTTTCAATTTGAATTAAAAGTAAATTATAGGCATCATGCTAATTTGCCTGTGTATACTTGAGCCTGCATATTCAAAAACTAAAGCCATTTTCTTGCATAACCACAATTCCCTTATCCTTTCACACCAAGTTATCAGTAATTCCTTACAATTATTCAACTCCCAAATATTTTCAAATATAAACAGTCATGCCCCATGTAACACATTTCAGTCAACTAGTCGACCATCTACACTGTGGTGGTCTCATAAGATTAAACTGGAACATATATAGAAACTTGATAAACAGTTTATGGCCCTTGATATTGGCATTGCAGCTCAAGTAGAGGAAATGACTAATGCTCAGTAGTGGTGCTGGAACATTTGATTTTCCTTATAAAAAATAAATAAGTGAAAATATATAGGGCCGGATGTAGTGGTTCATGCCTGTAATCCCAGTGCTTTGGGAGGCCAAGGTGGGCAGATCATCTGAGGTCAGGAGTTTGAGACCAGCCTGGCCAACATGGTGAAACCCCGTCTCTACTGAAAATATAATTAGCCGGGCGCAGTGGCAGGTGCCTGTAATCCCAGCTACTCAGGAGGCCGAGGCATGAGAATTGCTTGAACCTGGGAGGCTGAGGTTGCAGTGAGCTGAGATCGCACCAGCACTCCAGCCTGGGTGACACAGTGAGACTCTGTCTCAAAAATATACGTATATATACCATCTAGGTTTGCATAATTACACCCTATGATTCACATTTTCTTAATTGTTTTCCAATTATAGCAATTTTTAAAAGCCATGATCCAATCGAGAACTGGACACTACATTTTGTTTTTGTCTCTTATTTTGTAATCCAGTACATTTCTCCATACTTAATCCCTTGCTAAATGGCATAGACTTTTTTTTTTTTGAGACGGAGTCTTGCTTTGTCACCGGGCTGGAGTGCAGTGGAATGATCTTGGCTCACTGCAACCTCTGCCTCCTGGGTTCAAGAGATACTCTTGCCTCACCCTCCTGAGTAGCTGGGATTACAGGCCCCTGCCACCACGGCCAGATAATTTTTTGTATTTTTACTAGAGACAGGGTTTCACCATGTTAGCCA
The DNA here is from genome assembly GCF_000001405.40 of Homo sapiens. NCBI lineage: Eukaryota > Metazoa > Chordata > Mammalia > Primates > Hominidae > Homo > Homo sapiens. The sequence goes on from NC_000010.11 coordinate 42,283,667, forward strand.
GGATGGTCTTGATCTCCTGACCTCATGATCCACCCTCCTCAGCCTCCCAAAGTGCTGGGATTACAGGTGCGAGCCACCGTGCCCAGCCGGTATTGACATTTTAAAGGAACCATGCTAGTTGTCACGTAGAATATCTCACATTCTGGAATTGTGGGACTGTTCATGGTTTCATTTAGTTTGTTTGTCTATCCCCTCAATTTTCTGAAATTTGAAGTTAAATTTAAAGACTTGGTTACATTCAGGTTAAACTTTTTTGGCCAGAATCATTCAAAGGTGATGTTGTATACTTCCAATAGTGGCACATTACGAAGTTTATGTCTGGTTGTCCCACTGCCAGTGATGTTAATTTTCATTCCTAAATTAAGGTGGTGATTGCCAGATGTCTATATCGTTAATGGTATATTTTCCTCTTTAATTAGCCAGTGATGTCTGAGATTATACCTTGGTACTACATGAATATTTATTCTTCATCAAATTTCTCAAAATTAGTAGACTTTGTTTTTTAGAGCAATTTTAGGTTTACAGAAACCAATGAGCAGAAAGTACACAGAGTTCCCATGTAACACTACCTTCCTATCCCACTCTCCACCCAATCCCTACCTCTGTACACAATTTCCCCTATTATTAACACCATGTATTAATGTGGTATATTGGTTACAATTGATACATATTGATACATTACTATAACTGAAGTCCATAGTTTACATTAGCGTTCACTCTTTGTGTTGTAAAGTTCTGTGAATTTTGACAACTGTATAATGACAGATATCCACCAGTATCATATAGAATAGTTTCATCACCATAAAAATCCTCTGTGTTCCACCTATGTATCCCTCTCTTACTTTCTGCAAATTGCTGAAAACCACTGATGTTTCTACATTATAGTATTGCCTTTTCCAGATTGTCATACACTTAGAACCATACAATATATAGCCTTCTTATGCTGGCTTCTTTTACTTAGCAATATACATTTAAGTCTTCTCCATGTCTTTTCTTAGCTTAATATCTGATTTCTTTTTAGTGCTGTATAATATTCCCTTGTCTGGATGTACCACAGTTTGCATAGCCATTAACCTACTGAAGGATATCTTGGTTGCTTCCAAGTTTTGGCAGTTATGAATACAACTGTTATAAACAGCCGTGCACAGGTTTTTAAGGTTTTAACAAACTCTCCCTGGCAGTTTCTGTTTTTCCTCACTTTTCAAGCCCATGGACTATCTCCCAGTGCTGTTCATTTTAATATTCTGCAGAGTACTTAAGCATTACAGAATATAGAAGCTGGAAGATACTTGGCAGTCATTTAGTCCCTCATGTTCTAGATGAGAAAACTGAAGCCCAGATACCTTATTATTTGTGCAGTCCCCTAATCTGAGTGTCAAATCCACCTCTCCCAGATGTTTTCTGTTCAAATAACCCTGTGAACTTCAGTGACCCTCACTGACCACATCATCATTATTCACCAATAGTTCTCCAACAGATCCGCTCTACATTAGCTCATTTCAAATGTTCTTTTCCTTTCACGCACATACCATACAGTACTTAAAATTTTGTTGACAACAATCAATATGAATTCAAACTAATTTCTTGCCCCAAGGATGTGACTTCTACTACACAGTTCCTTTTGGCCTGAGGGCAATTCCTAGGGCATGAACTTAGTCATGTGCCCTCAACAGACAGCACTCTAAGGAAGCTGGGGAATGAGGGTCTCCATTCTGCAGGGAGGCCTGGACTACACACCACAGAAGACACTACTCTGTCCATCCCTCGTGTCATTTGGATCCATGACTTCATATAACTTCTCTCCATCTAGGAATAGCTCCTCCAGGATTTTGGTTGGTTTCTTTTGCTGGGGAAATGTGAAAGTAACATTCATGGAGGGAACAATAGCTCCTTGGCTCTTCAACTTGTCTTTTATCAGTGATAAAAGTGATCATCTGCCTTTCCTACGATACAGGTACTATCAGGTTTACATTCTTACCCTCAGCTAGCACCTCCACTGGTCTAGGTCACTTACCTGGAGATAGGAGAGGAGGGTGTAGTAGCCATGGCTACTAGACTTGTCCTTTTAAATTGAGCAATCAAAATTTAGTAAGGGACTACTTAAACATCCCTTGGCTGCCAAACACATTCCTGTCTGCTTCCGTTGTGTAACAGCATTGAATTGCAGAGATAAGAAGCAGAAATTTCCTAAGTGAATCCCTGGGGGTGACGGTAAATAGTGCTACTCTTTCTTCAATCCATGGTCCTCTTTCTATTAGCGACATGGGACCATATAATGGTTACTGATCTAGGATATATGCTTGTATCCCATCCCTGCAGCTTCAAAGGGCTACTGGAGACTGTTCCATCACTCCATCAGTTTGACAGCTTCTAGTTGTTGTGATTTCGTGATTTGTAATAGGATCACTGAATTGCATTTTCATGTGTCCACCACTGCAACTACAGTGCTACAAAGTGCATTCCCTTTATACAGTGCTATAAAGTACAATGCAAGGATGTGTAGGATTCCATACTGGAGGATTAAACATTCTGTCAACCCTTGGATAGTGGTGCTGGTTGAGGCCATGTAAGTAGGAAAGATAAATCCATACTCAGAATAAGTATCAGTTCCAGCCAAGATGAATCATTACCCTTCCTGTGATGGAAAGAATCCAGTGCATTCAGCTTGCCACCAGGTGGCAACTTGGTGTCCTTGAGGGATGATGCTATCTTGAGGCCTCAGTGTTGCTCTGTCTTGATGACAACTTTGACATTCAGAAGCAGCAGTAGCTAGATAAGACTTAGACAGTGGAGACTTCTGCTGTTTGGGCCTCTGCATAGCCTCCATCCTTGTCACTATATTTATTCACCAGTACTGAGCTGGCCAATGGAAGAGGATGGCTAACATCATCTGGCTGAGTCGCTTTTCTCCTTGGTTGTTGATAGATACCTCTTGTAGGTGTTAACATGTGAAACAAAGATCTTCATACTTTTTGTACATCCCCATAAGTCCACCCATATGCCCTTTTCTCAGATGTCTTTTTCTCCAGTCATCCAAATTTTCTCCTTCCATCCCCCTGACCTGTAGCCAAGCCATTTGACCATGAGTCAGTACATTCTTACTATGAGTCTCTTCTCTTTCCATGCAAAGTGAATGACAAGGTGCGTAGTGCAAAGTTCTGCCAACTGAAATTTTTTAATTTTTTTATTTTTTGAGACAGAGTCTTGCTCTGTCACCAGGCTGGAGTACAGTGGCGTGATCTCGGCTCACTATAAGCTCTGCCTCCTGGGTTCATGCCATTCTCCTGCCTCAGCCTCCCGAGTAGCTGGGACTACAGGTGCCCGCCACCACGCCCGGCTAATTTTTTTTGTATTTTTTTAGTAGAGACGGGGTTTCACCATGTTAGCCAGAATGGTCTCGATCTCCTGACCTCATGATCCACTGCCTTGGCCTCCCAAAGTGCTGAGATTACAGGTGTGAGCCACTGTGCCTGGCCAAGAATTTATTTTTGAGTTGAATTTTTAAATATTAAAACTTTTTAAATATACAAACAAAAATTGTATATATTTGGAGTGTACAACCTGATGTTTTGAAATATGGATACAGTGTGAAATGGCTAACTCAAGCTAATTAATACATGTGTTACCTCACATACTTATCATTTCTTTTGTGGTGAGAACACTTAAAATCTACTGTCCTAGCAATTTTCAAGTATGCAATACATTGTTATTAACTGTAGTCACCATGTTGTACAATAGGTCTCTTGAACTTGTTCTTCCTGCTTAATTTTTGTATCCTTTGACCAAAATCTCCCCAGTTCTACCCTCCTCCCCCCGCCCCTAATAACCATTATTCTATTTTCTGCTTCTATGTGTTTGACTTTTTTAGATTCCACATATAAGTGAGATTACATGGCATTTATCTCTCTCTGCCTGGCTTATTTCACTTAATATAATGTCCTCCAGTTTCATCCATGTTATTATAAAGGACAGGATTTCCTTCTTTAAGGCTGAACAATATTTCATTATGTATATATACACCACATTTTCTTTAATCATTCATCTGTTAAAGGATACTTAGGTTGATTTCATATCTTGTCTATTGTGAATAATGTTGCAATGAACATGAGGTACAGATTTTTCTTTGACATACTGAATCATTTTCTTTGGGTATATAAATAGTACTAGGATTGCTGGATCATATGGTAGTTTTATTTTTAACTTTCTGAGAAACCTCTATATTACTTTTCATAATGGCTGTACTAATTTACATTCCCACCAACAGTATACAAAGGCTCCCTTTTCTCCACATCCTCGCCAACACATGCTATCTTTTGTTTTTTTCATAGTAGCCATTCTAAAAGGGACGTCTCATTGTGGTTTTGATGTGCGTTTCCATGATGACTGGTGATGTTGGTTATTTTTTCATATTCCTGTTGGCCATTTGTATGTCTTCTTTGGAAAAATGTTTATTCAGGTACTTTGCCTCCCTTTCATTAATCAGGTTATATGTTTTCATGCTGTTGAGTTGTATGAATACTTTATATATTCTGGATATTAATCCTTTATCAGATGTATGGTTTGCAAATATTTTCTCCCTTTTTGTAGGCTATCTCTTTACTCTATTGATTGCTCCCTTTGCTTGCACAGCTTATTAGTTTGATATAATCCCTTTTGTCTATTTTTGCTTTTGTTGCCTGTGCTTTGGGGGTCATATCCAGAAAATCATTGCCCAGACCAGTCTCATGGAGCTTTTCCTGTATGTTCTCTTCTAGTAGTTTTATGGTTTCAGGTTTTATATTTAAGTCTTTAGTCCATTTGTGTTATTTTTTTGTATATGGTGTGAGATAAGGGTCTAATTTCATTTCTCTGCATGTGGAGTTCTCCCAACACCATTTATTGAAGATTGTCCTTTCCCCATTGTGTATTCTTGGCATATTTACTGAAAATCAATTGGCCATAAACGTGAATGTATTTTGAGGCTCTCTATTCTATTCCATTGGTCTACCAGTCTGTTTGTATGCCAGTATCATGTTATATTTTTGATTACTATATCATCATAGTATATTTTGAAACTGGATAATGTGATGCCTCCTACTTTGTTCTTTTGGCTCACAATTTGCTATTTGGGGTTTTTTGTGGTTTCACATGAATTTGGGGATTTTTTTCTGTTTATGTAAAAAATATCATTGGAATTTTGATAGAGATTACATTGAATCTGTAGATCACTTTTGGTACTAAGAACATTTTAACAGTATGAATTCTTCTAATCCATGAAGATGGGATATGTTTCCATTTATTTGTGTCTTCTTCAATTTCTTTCACCAATGTTTTATAGTTTTCAGTGTACAGGTCTTTCACCTCCTTGGTTAAATTAATTCCTAAGTATTTGTGTAGCCATTATAAATGAAATTGTTTTCTTGATTTCTTTTTCAGATAGTTCATTGTTAGTGTATACAGATGCTAGTCGTTTTTTTATGTTGATTTTGCATCCTGCAACTTTACTGAATTAATTTACTAGTTCCAACAGTTTTTTTTTGGTGGACTCTTTAGGGTTTTCTACATTTAAGATCATGGTGTCTGCAGAGACAATTTCACTTCTTCCTTTCTGACTTTAATGCCTTTATTTCTTCTTCTTGACTAATTGCTAGAACTTGAATAGAAGTGGTGAAAATGGGCATCCATCTTGTTTCTGATCTTAGAGAAAAAGCTTTCAACTTTTTACCATTGAGTATGATGTTAGCTGTGGGCCTATCACATATGCCTTTATTGTGTTATGTGGACATTGATACCTAATTTGTTGAAAGTTTTTATTACAGAAAGATGTTGAATTTTGTCAAATGCTTTCTCTGCATCCATGGAGATATTCATATAGTTGTCGTCCTTCATTCTGTTAATGTGTATATCACATTTATTGATTCGTATATGCTGAACCGTCCTTGGGAGGATTTAATCTACTGCTATCTTTCCATAGCTGAAGTAGGCTGCTATCATTTTTTACTTACATCCGCATGCTGAGTTGATCTTCCAATGAACAAGCTTAGCTTTTTTCCTCCTTTATCAATATTGGAACTCCCACATAGGCAGAGTTGCCAGCTGAGGGAGAGAATCTAGTGTCACAATTTGGATAATGTGGGGACCTGGATCACCTTATCATACTGCTTACTTGTGTCCTCTAGTCTTTCTCATGCCCAATCCTTGATGTGATATGGTTTGGCTCTGTGTCCCCACAAAATCTCATCTCAAATTATAATCCCCACATGTAGAGAGAGGGACCTGGTGGGAGGTGACTGGATCATGGGGGCAGTTTCCCTCATGCTGTTCTCATGATATTGAGTGAGTTCTCATGAGAGCGGATGGTTTAAAAGTGTTTGGCACATCCCCCCTTGCTCTCTGTCTCTCCTGCTGCCTTGTGAAGAAGGTGCCTGCTTCACCTTTGCCTTTAGTCATAAGTGTAAGTTTCCTGAGACCTCTCCAGCCATACGGAACTGTGAGTCAATAAACCTCTTTTGTTTATTAATTACCCAGTCTTGGGTAGTTCTTTATAGCAATGTGAAAATGGACTAATTCAATGTGCTACTTCTATTTTATTATGATTTGTTGCTGGGCCAGCCTGTCCTTATGATCTGGTAGATCTAACAAAACCAAACTCACAGTGGGAACTTTTAGCTACATGGTCACTTAATATTTGTTGTCAGATAGTCCATCTCTACCTAGGTGCAGTAGCATGCTAGGAGCTATTAAAGTACACAATTATGCTATATATTTATACAATATACAATTATTTGCAGATAGCATGACCATGCTAGTGAACCCCACAAGACTATGTGTGAATCATCTATTAGGGTTTGCTATAAACTCTACGTGGTGCTTTTTCCAACTGCATATATTTCTAATACCATAGAGCCTACTAGATTGTATGGCTCAAACAGTAGGGCTGCTTGCCCTGGATCCTGGACCTGCTGCAGAGGCCTTTTCTGCCGTAAGCTTTTGTCAAAAGTGGAAGCCTTCTGTGTCACTCAGCAAATGTGTCAGAACAGTATTCCTTAGTATGGGGGGGGAACAATGGGCCCCCTAAAATCTTCTGTGACTGATGTCACAGGTCCTTAAATCTTCAGATGATTTTCTCTCTCAGGGATGCTTGTGTCTCTCTAGGCCATCCAACATGTTATTTCTTACCCAGTCTATTTTAACTGGTAAATAAAATGGAAAAATGTAACATGCTACAGAATGTCCAGACAGCTCAGGTCTCTGGACTACATTAGGACAGAGAGTCAAAGAACTAATATACATCTTGGACAAGTCTCTAAATGCATGCTGTTGTCCTTCCCATGAATGTGAATTGCTTCTGGTAAATTTCACTGTAAGTACTGCTTCAGTTATTTTACATATATATTGATCGGTAATCTTTTCATTTTAATTCAATTTTAAGCATGTTCTAATTTTTATTATAATTTCTTCTTGCTTCCATGAATCATTTGGAAGCTATTTGTAGTTTCTAAAATTCATGGATTACTTTTGGATAAGTTTTTGTTATTGATTTCTAATAGTGCTATTACACATTTGTTATACCAATGTAAACATTTGATACTATCTTTAGGCCTAATATCTGGTCAATTTTTGTAAATACTCCAAGTGTGCTTGAAAAGAATCAAAATTCTTTAACTGTTGATTAGCCTTACTAATTTTATGTTTATTTATTCAATTACTAAAAATGAAATGTTAAAATATCTCACTGTGTAGATTTTTTTATTGCTCTTTCCAATTCTAATTTTGGCTTTATTTATTTTGAGACTACATTATTAGGTATCCACAATTTTATAAAAATTAAGAAAAAATTAGAAAAGTTTAGAAAAAAAATAGAAAAATATAGAAAAAGATGTGAAAGAAGCACACATGGGCTTTATCTGGATGATCTCTTGTCAGGTTTGTATCCTGGGGAAGGCCTTCACAGCAAGAGATGGACCAGAGGATTGAGACAAGGGGGCCACCACTCAGAAAGGGAGGAGGGCAAAGGAACTCCTGAGGGAGGAAAGGATCAGAGAGGAGGCTTTCATGTCTCAGTGATATCACTCAGCAGCATGGCATGGAGTCTGTAGTTCACAGAGTTCCAAAGAGCAGAAGCAGTTTGGGGTCTTTACAGCCTAGAGTTTATCTGTGGCAAGCAGATTTTGGATGTAGTTTCCCAGGGCATGTAAATCAGGCAGGCTCTAAATGCCTACAAATATGCATGTCTGGGCTATGTTTAACACAATTGGATGTTTAAAAATTTGAGTTTGGTGCCAGTTGGTTTTTGAGCTAATGGGTTTCAGCTTGCTGTGAAGAAATAACCTAGGCGCCAATACACAGAGGCCATCCTTGTCTCATTTACATTATATGCAGTGACTCTATCCTTTTTTGCTCATAATTGTTTTATTCATTTCTTTTAGATTTGTTTACTTTACTGAGATTATTTGGTAGGTAAGATTTCAGTTTATTGTAGTTTGCTAATTCATTATTCAAAGTGTTCTAATAAAAATTTTGCTCCATCCTTAATCCCCATTTAAACAAAGCTGCTGTGGGTAAGGTCATCAATGGCCTTCGTGTCATCAAATCCATTTTGTTAACAAAATTTTAATGTTTAAAATTTTCTTATGTGTACACGTTTAATTTATGTAATTTCAAAACGGGGTATCACACATGGAATTTGGTAGTTTTCTTTCCTTTTTTTATTCACTTACTCTGTTTCTTAATGCTTTACTGTAACCCACAGCGCAATGTCCCCAATATTTATTATGTATAACTGATATTCACATACAACATATTTCGTCATTAAGTGTTATCTTTTTCCACATAGGTGTTCCTGTCTTTAGTCTTCTATTTTCTCTCTCTCCCGCTTCTCTCCCACCCTTCCTCTCTCCATTTACGTACGTATTTAAATCATTTTAAAAATCATTTTATGTATCACTTCAAAGCCTTCAGTGTAAATTGAGGGTCCAATTTTGTTTTCTTTGAATTGTTTATTTTCATATATTAATTTTTCATCTACATGTAGATTCTCAATTTTTTACCACTCTTGCTTATTCTTAATTAATACAATTGTTTTTCTTAATTGATCAATTCCAATAGTTCTATAGTAGGTGCTGATATCTGGTGAGAAAAGTTCCTCTCAATAGTCTTTTTTTTGGTACAATTTTCTGACTATTCTTCTACATGAACTTTAAGATAATTTAATCCAATTTTAAAATGCTTTTGTGATTCTAATGTTAATTTAATTGAATTTATATATAATTTTAGGAGATTTATGCTTTTACAAGAGTTTTGTTGTTTGTTTTTTTGAGACAGGGTCTCACTGTGTCAACCAGGCAGGAGTGCAGTTGTGGGATCTCAGCTCACTGAAGCCCCAACCTCCCACCTCAGCCTCCCAAGTACCTGGTTCTATAAGCATGCGCCAAGCCCAAATAGTTTTTTGTTTTGTTTTGTTTTGTTTAGAGATAGGGTTTCACAATTTGCCAAAGCTGGTCTTGAACTCCTGGGCTCAAGCAGTCCTCCTGCCTCAGCCTCCCAAAGTGCTGGGATTACAGGTATGAGCCACTGCGCCTAGCCTCATGTGTTTCTTTTTTTTTTTTTTTTTTTTTTTTGAGACGGAGTTTCGCTCTGTCGCCCAGGCTGGAGTGCAGTGGCGCGATCTCGACTCACTGCAAGCTCCGCCTCCCGGGTTCACGCCATTCTCCTGCCTCAGCCTCCCGTGTAGCTGGGACTACAGGCGCGCGCCACCATGCCCGGCTAATTTTTGTATTTTTAGTAGAGACGGGGTTTCACCGTGTTAGCCAGGATAGTCTCGATCTCCTGACCTCGTGATCCGCCCGTCTCGGCCTCCCACAGTGCTGGGATTACAGGCGTGAGCCACCGTGCCCGGCCATGTGTTTCTTATTCAACAGCTTTTGGTAACATTTTTATAGTTTTTTTCTTATAGATCTTCTTTCTTGGTAAATTTATTTTACCTTTATTATTTTTGTTATTGTGAATATTTTTACCATTAGCATTTCAAGGTGCTTATTGCTAATATATTTTGTATTATGATCTTATTTCCAAATGCCTTACCAATATTCCTCTTTAAAATATTTGAAAGTTCTGTTTTTCCTAATCTCTATGATTTCCTAGGCATATAATCATATCCACAAAAAGCTTTCTATATATTTATACTGATTATTTCATTTAAAAATCTTGTTACATTCATGGATCCTCCAAGATAATCTTTAATAACAAATACTGACAGCAGCTATTCCTGCTGGTTCCTTGTTTTATTTGAAATGTTCCTTTATGATTTAAAATACTTGTTTTGTAGGCATTTCATAAATAGCGGTTATGTTTAGACACTTTCCTTCAATTTCTATTTTACTCAAGAATCTTCATTAGGAGTGGATGTTTAATCTTAACAATAGCCCTCTCAGCATCTACTGATATAATCACATTTTCCTCTTCTTTGATGTCAATTATGTAATTGTGTTAATATACTTAACTGATATTGAAATACCCGTGAATTCCTGAAATACAATGCTCTTTGCATACTGTATTACTCTTTTTTGTTGTTGCAATTATTGATAAAAGTGCTGGGTTTTTATTTAGAATATTCATTCATATGTATAAGTCAGATTGGTCTATAGTTTTGGTTTTTTTGTTTTTTTTTTTTTTGTTTTGAGATGGAGACTTGCTCTGTCACCCAGGCTGGAGTGCAGTGGCGTGATCTTGGCTCACTGCAACCTCTGCCTCCTGGGTTCAAGCTGGGATTACAGACATGCACCACCAAGCCGGGCTAATTTTTGTATTTTTAGTAGAGACGGGGTTTCGCCATATTGTCCAGGCTGGTCTTGAACTCCTGACCTTAAGTGATCCACGTGCCTTGGCTTCCCGAAGTGCTGGGATTACAGGTGTAAGCCATGGCATCTGGCCTATAGTTTTGTCTTATGTTTATCAGGTTTTCATATTAATGCTGCACTGCCTATGTGAAATGAATTGGTTTTTCTTTTTTAAAAATATTTGGGATACTTTAAATAACATTGGAATTATCCTTCTTGCAACCCTAGTACTTTTTTAAATTATGGATTTAAAAAATCACTTTACATTCTTTCTTTGTAACTGGTCTATTAACATTTTAAATTTCTTCTTGGATTAGTTTTGGTCATTTATATTTTTCCAGAAAATTACCCATTTTCTCTAGATTTTCCAATGTGTGGCCATATAGTTGCATGCAGCATTTCAAAGTGAATCTTTCTTTTTTCTTTTCTTTTTTTTTTTTTTTTTTTTTTGAGATGGAGTCTTGCTCTGTGGCCCGGGCTGGAATGCAATGGCATGACCTTGGCACACTGCAACCTCTGCCTCCTGGATTCAAGCAATTCTTCCACCTCAGCCTCCCGAGTAGCTGGGATTACAGACATCCGCCATCATGCCCAGTTAATTTTTGTATTTTTGTAGAGACGAGTTTTCACAATGTTGGCCAGTCCATTCCATTCCATTCCATTCATTCCATTCCATTCCAGTCCATTTCATTCCATTCCATTCCATTCCATTCCATGACAGTCCATTCCATTAGAGTCCAGTCCAATCAATTCCATTCTATTCCATTCGAGTCCATTCCATTCCATTTTATTCGATTCCATTCTATTCCATTACTTTCGAATCCATTCCATTCCATTCCATTCGAGTCCATTCCATTTCATTCCATTCCATTTCATTCCATTCGAGTCCATTCCATTTCATTCCATTCCATTCCATTCCATTTCATTCCATTCGTGTCCATTACATTACATTACATTACATTACATTACATTACATTACATTACATTCGGGTCCAATCGATTCTGTGCCATTCTTGTCCCTTCCATTCGATTAGAGTCCCCTCCATTCCTTTGCATTCCATTCGAGTCCATTTCATTGCATTCCATTTCATTCGAGTCCATTCCTTTTCACTCAATTCCACTCGAGTCAATTCCAATCCACTCCATTCCATTCGAGTACATTCCATTCCATTCGAGTCCATTCCATTCTATTCCATTCAAATCCATTCCATTCCATTCCATTCCTTTTGATTCGAGTCCATTCCATTTCATTCAAGTCCATTCTGTTCCATTCCACTCCATTCGAGTGCATTCCATTCATTTCCATTCCATTCCATTCCTTTTGGGTCCGTTAAATTCAACTGCATTCCATTCCATTCCGTTCCATTCCATTCCATTCCATTCGGGTCCATTTCATTCCATTCCATTCCATTCGTGTGCATTCCATTCCATTAGAGTCCATTCCATTCCATTAATTTTGATTCCATTCCATTAATTTTGATTCCATTCCATTCCATTCCATTCTATTCCATTAGTTTCCATTCCATTCTATTCCATTAGAGTTCATTCCATTCCATACCATTCCATTCCATTCCACTCCTTTCCATTCCATCCAATTCCATGCCTTGCCATTCCTTTCGATTCCATTCCATTTGGGTCCATTCAATTCCATTCCATTTGGGTCCATTCCATTCCATTCCACTCCATTCGGGTCCTTTCCATTCCTTTCCATTCCATTCAAGTCCCTTTCTTTCCATTCCATTCCATTCCATTCTGGTTTTTTCCATTCCATGCCATTCAAGTCCATTCCATTCCATTCCATTCAAATCCATTCCATTCTACTAGAGTCAATTCCTTTCGAGTGAATTCCATTCCATTCCATTCGAGTCCATTCCATTCCATTACATTAAATTAGTGTTTATTCCATCCCATCCCATTCGAGTTCATTCAAATCCATTCCAATCCATTCGAGTCCATTCCATTGCTTTCCAATCCATTCGAATCCATTGCATTCTATTAAATTCAAGCCCATTCCATTCTGTTCAATTCCATTCGAGTCCAGTCCATTCCATTCTGTTCCATTGCATTCCATTCTATTCGAGTCTGTTCCATTCCATTCCATTCCATTCCATTCTATTCCATTCGAGTCCATTCCACTGCATTCCATTCAGGTCCATTCCATTCCCTTCCTCTAGAGTCCATTCCATTAAATCCCATTCTATTCCATTCAAGACTCTTCCATTCCATTCCATTCCATTCGTTTCCATTCTATTCCATTTGAGTCCATTCCATTCCATTCCTTTTGAGTCCATTCCATTCAATTCCATTCTCTTTCAATCCAATCAAGTCCAGTCCATTCCATTCCATTCCTTTCCATTCCATTCGATTCCATTCCATTCGGGTCAGTTCCATTCCTTTCCCCTCCTTTCGGGACATTCCATTCCATTCTATTCCATTCGAGTCCGTTCCTTTTCATTGCATTCAATTCCCTTCAAGTCCATTCCAATGCATTCCAATCCATTCAAGTCCATTCCATTGCATTCCATTCCGTTCGAGTCCACTCCATTGCACTCAAGTCATTTCCATTCCATTACATGCCATTCGAATCTATTCCATTCCATTCCATTCCATTCGAGTCCATTCCATTGCATTCCATTCCAATCGAGTCCAATCTACTCCATTCTATTCCATTCGAGTCCATTCCATTCCATTCCATGAGATTCCATTCCATTAGAGTCCAATCCATTAAATTCCATTCTATTCCATTCGAGTAAATTCCATTCCATTCCATTCCTTTCGAGTCCATTCCATTCCATTCCATTCAAGTCCATTCCATTCCATTCCATTGCATTTGAGCCCATTCCATTCCATTCCATTCCATTCCATTCCATTTCATTCATGTCCATTCCATTCCATTTCATTCCATTCCATTCCATTCCATTCGGGTCCATTTCATTCCATGCCATTTGTGTCCCTTCCATTCCATTTGAGTCCATCCCATTCCATTCTATTCCATTTAATTTGAGGCCATTTAATTGTATTCCATTTCATTCGAGTATGTTCCATTCCACTCCATTCCACACGAGTTGATTCCATTCCACTCCATACCATTCAAGTCCATCCCAATCCATTCCAGTCCATTCCATTCGAGTCCATTCCATTTCATTGCATTCCATTCCATTCCATTGCATTCCTTTTGAATCATTTCAATTCAACTGCGTTCCATGCGATTCCATTCCATTCCATTCAATTACATTCTTTTCGGGTCTATTCCATTCGAGTCCATTCCATTCGAGTCCATTCCATTCCTTTCCATTCGACTCCATTCCATTTCATTCTTTACCATTTCAGTCCTTTGCATTCCATTCCATTTGAGTCCATTCCATTGCTTTCCATTCCTTTTGAGTCCATTTCTTTCCATTGCATTCCATTCCAGTCGTGATAATTCCATCCCATTCCATTCGAGTCTATTCCATTCCATTCCATTCAAGTCCATTCCATTCCACTCGAGTCAATTCCATTCGAGTCAATTCCATTCCATTACATTCGAGTTCATTCCATTCCATTCCATTCCATTAGAGTTTATTCCATCCCATTCCTTTCGAGTCCATTCAAATCAATTCCATTCCATTCGAGTCCATTCCATTGCATTCCATTCCATTCGAGTCCATTTCATTCTATTTCATTAGTGTCCATTCCATCCATAATATTCCATTCGTGTCCAGTCCATTCCATTGGAGTCCATTCCATTCCATTCCACTCTCGTCATTTCCATTCCATTCCATTATATTCAAGTCCATTGCATTCCTTTCCATTCCATGCCATTCCACTCAAGTGGAGTCCATTCCATTCCATTCGAGTCCATTCCATTTCATTCGTATCCATTCCGTTCTATTCCATTCCATTCGAGTCCATTTCATTTCATTGCATTCCATTCCATTCCATTCCTTTCGAATCAATTCAACTGCATTCCATGCGAGTCCATTCCATTCCATTCCATTCCATTCCATTCAGTTAGATTCCTTTCGAGTCCATTCCATTCGAGTCCATTCCATTCATTTCCATTCGACTCCATTCCATTCCATTATTTACCATTTCAGTCCTTTGCATTCCATTCCATTTGAGTCCATTCCATTGCTTTCCATTCCATTTGAGTCCATTTCTTTCCATTCTATTGCATTCCAGTCGTGATAATTCCAACCCTTTTCATTCATTTGTATTCCATTCCATTCCATTCAAGTCCATTCCATTCCACTCGAGTCAATTCCATTCAAGTCAATTCCATTCCATTACATTCGAGTTCATTCCATTCCATTCCATTAGAGTTTATTCCATCCCATTCCTTTCGAGTCCATTCCATTCCATTCCATTCCAATCCATTCGAGTCCATTCCATTGCATTCCATTCCATTCGAGTCCATTCCATTCTAATTCATTCGTGTCTATTCCATCCATTATATTCCATTCGTGTCCCGTCCATTCCATTCGAGTCCATTCCATTCCATTCCACTCGAGTCATTTCCATTCCATTCAAGTCCATTCCATTCCATTCCACTCAAGTGGATTCCATTCCATTCCATTCCATTTGAGTCCATTCCATTTCATTCGAGTCCATTCCGTTCCATTCCATTGGTGTCCATTCCATTCCATTCCATTCTAATCCATTCCATTCCTTTCGGGTACATTCAATTCGACTGCATTCCATTCAAGTCCATTCCATTCCATTTCATTCCATTCCATTCCATTCGGGTCCATTCCATTACATTCATGTCCATTCCATTCCATTCGAGTCCATTCCATTCCATTAATTTTGATTCCATTCTATTCCATTCCATTCTATTCCATTAGAGTCCATTCCATTCCATACCATTCCATTCCACTCCATACCATTCCATTGCATTCCATTCCACTCCATTCCATTCCATTCCATTCCATTCCATTCCATTCCATTAAACGCCTTGCCATTCCATTCAATTCCTTTCCTTTCGGGTCCTTTCAATTCCATTCAATTCGTGACCATTCCATTCCATTCCACTCCATTCTGGTCGATTCCTTTCCTTTCCATTTCTTTCGAGTCTATTTCTTTCCATTCCATTCCATTTCATTCGTCTTAATTCCATTCCATTCCATTCAGCTTAATTCCATTCCATTCCATTCGAGTCCATTCCATTCCATTCCATTAGAATTTATTCTATCCCATCCCATTCGAGTCCATTCAAATCCATTCCATTGCATTTGAGTCCATTCCATTTCAATCCATTCGAGTCCATTCCATTGCTTTCCATTCCATTCGAATCCATTCCATTCTATTACATTCAATCATTCCATTCCGTTCCATTCCATTCGTGTCCAGTCCATTCCATACCATTCCATTCGAGTTCATTCCTTTCCATTCCATTCCATTTGCGTATATTCGAATCCATTCCATTCGAGTCCATTCCATTCCATTCCATTCGAGTACATTCCGTTCCATTCCAGTCCATTCAAATCCATTCCATTCCATTCCATTCCATTCTTTTAGAGTCCATTCCATTAAATCCCATTCTATTCCATTCAAGTCTGTTCCGTTCCATTCCATTCGAGTCCATTCCATTCCATTCCATTCGAGTACATTCCGTTCCATTCCAGTCCATTCAAATCCATTCCATTCCATTCTTTTAGAGTCCATTCCATTAAATCCCATTCTATTCCATTCAAGTCTGTTCCGTTCCATTCCATTCGAGTCCATTCCATTCCATTCCATTCGAGTACATTCCGTTCCATTCCAGTCCATTCAAATCCATTCCATTCCATTCTTTTAGAGTCCATTCCATTAAATCCCATTCTATTCCATTCAAGTCTGTTCCATTCCATTCCATTCCATTGCATTCATGTCCATTCTTTTCCATCCCCTTACATTCTAGTCAATTCCATTCCACCTCATTACATTTCAGTCCATTCCATTCCATGCCATTCCATTTGAGTCCATTCCATTCGATTCCATTCCGTTCCATTCCATTTGTATCCATTCCATTCCATTCTTTCCCATTTCAGTCCTTTGCATTCCATTCCAGTTGAGTACATTCCATTCCTTTCCATTCCATTCGAGTCCATTTCTTTCCATTACATTCATGATAATTCCATTCCAATCCATTAGAGTCCATTCCATTCCATTCCAATCCATTAGAGTCCATTCCATTCCGCTCAAGTCAATTCCGTTCGAGTCGATTCTATTCCTTTACATTCGAGTTCATTCCATTCCATTCCATTCCATTAGAGTTTATTCCATCCCATTCCATTCAAGTCCATTCAAATCCATTCCATTCCATTCTAGTCCATTCCATTCCAAATCATTCGAGTCCATTCCATTGCATTCCATTCCATTCCAGTCCATTCCATTCTATTTCATTCGAGTCCTTTCAATTCCATTCCATTCCATTCGTGTCCAGTATATTCCATTCGATTCCATTCCATTACATTCCATTCCAGTCAATTCCATTCCATTCCATTCTAATTGAGTACATTCCATTCCACTCGAGTCCATTCCATTCAATTCCATTCGAGTCCATTCCATTCCATTCCATTCTATTCCATTCGAGTCCATTTCATTCCATTTGACTCCATTACATTCCATTTCATTTGAATCCATTCCATTCCATTCCATTCTATTCCATTAAAGTCCTTTCCATTCCACTCCATTCCATTATATTTGTGTCCATTCCATTCCATTCAAGTCCATTCCATTCCATTCTTTCCATTCGCGTCCATTCCTTTCCATTCCATTAGAGTCCATTCCATTAATGCCCAAACCAATGAATTCCATTCTATTCCATTCGAGTCCATTCAATTCCATTCCATTCCCCTCGAGTCGTTTCCATTCCATTCCATTCCACCTGAGTCGGTTCCTTTCCTTTCCATTCCATTTGAGTCCGTGCCATTTCATTCGAGTCCATTCCATTCCATTCCATTCCATTCCATTCGAGTCCCTTCCATTGCATTCCATTTTAGTTCATTCCATTCCTTTCAGGTCCATTCAATTCAACTGCATTCCATTCAGGTCCATTCAATTCCATTCCATTCCATTCCATTCCATTCCATTACGTTCCATTCCATTCCATTCATGTCGATTCCATTCCATTCGTGTTCGTTCCATTCCATTAATTTTGATTGCATTCCATTCCATTCCATTCTATTCCATTAGAGTCCATTCCATTTCATACCATTCCATTCCATGCCTTTCCATTCCATTCGATTCCATTCCATTGGGTTCCATTCAATTCCATTCCATTCGGGTCCATTCCATTCCATTTCACTCCATCCTGGTCCATTCCATTCCTTTCCATTCCATTCAAGTCCATTTCTTTTCATTCAATTCCATTCGGGTTAATTCAATTCCATTCCATTCGCGTCCATTCCATTCCATTTCACTCCATTCTGGTCCATTCCATTCCTTTACATTCCATTCAAGTCCATTTCTTTGCATTCTATTCCATTTGGGTTAATTCAATTCCATTCCATTCGAGTCCAATCCTTACCATTAAACTCCATTCCATTCCACTTGAGTCAGTTTCATTCGAGTGAATTCCATTTCATTCCATTTGAGTCCATTCCATTCCAATCCATTCCATTAGAGTTTTTCATCCCATCCCTTTCGAGTCCATTGAAATCCGTTCCATTCCATTCGAGTCCATTCCATTCCAATCCATTCGAGTCCATTCCATTACATTACATTACATTACAATCCATTCCACTCTATTACATTCAAGTCCATTCCATTACGCTCCATTCCATTCACATCCAGTCCATTCCGTTCGAGTCAATTCCACTCCATTCCATTCCATTTGAGTACATTCAATTCGATTCCATTCCTCTCAAGTCCATTCCATTCCATTCTATTCTATTCCATTCCATTCCATTCCATTCGAGTCCATTCCATTCCATTCCATTTGAGTCCATTCCACTTCATTCCATTCCATTCCATTCCATTCGAGTCTATTCCATTCCAATCCATTTCTTTTGGTTCCATTCCTTTCAATTCCATTCGAGTCAATTCCATTCCATTCCATTCGATTCCATTCCACTGCATTCCATTTTAGTCCATTCCATTGCATTCCATTACATTCGAGTCCATTCTATTCTATTCAATTCGTGTCCATTCTTTGCTTTCCATTAGATTCCATTCGATTACAGTCCATTCTGTTAAATTCCATTCCATTCTATCCGAGTCCATTCCATTCCATTCAAGTCCATTCCATTCCATTGCCGTCAAGTCCGTTCCATTCCATTCAATTTTATTCCATTCAAGTCCACTCCATTTCATTCCATTCCATTCAAGTCCATTCCATGCCATTCCATTCCATGCGCGTCCACTCCGTTCCACTGCATTCAAGTCCATTCCATTCCATTCCATTTTAATCAAGTCCACTAAATTCCATTCTATTCCATTCGAGTCCCTTCCATTGCATTCCATTCGAGTCCATTCCCTTCCATTCCATTACATTAGAGTCCTTTCCATTAAATCCCACTCTATTCCATTCAAGTCTATTCCATTCCATTCGTATCCATTCTATTCCATTGGAGTCCATTCCATACCATTCCATTCCATTCCATTCCTTTCCATTCCATTCGATTCCATTCAATTTGAGTCCATTCCATTCCAATGCTTTCGAGTCCATTTCTTTCCATTCCACTCCATTCAGGTCCATTCAATTCCATTCTATTCCATTCGAGTCCATTCCTTTCCATTGCATTCCTTTCCAATCGGGTCCATTCCATTCCATTCCTTTCAACTCCATTCCATTCCATTCCAATCCATTCGAGCCCATTCCATTCCATTCCATTCCATTCCATTCTCATTCAATCCATTCCATTCCATTCCATTTGGGCCCATTTTATTCCATTCCATTCGAGGACATACCATTTCATTCCATTCTGTTCCATTCAAGTCCATTTCATTCCATACTATTCCATTCCATTCCAGTCCATTTCATTCCATTCCATTCCTTTCCATTCCATTCAGTCCATTCCATTCGAATGCAGTGGTGTCCATTCCTTTCCATTCTATTGCATTCGAGTCCATTCCATTCCTTCCCATTAAATTCGAGTCCATTCCTTTCTATGCCTTTCCTTTTGGGTACGTTCCATTCCATTCTAATGCATTCCATTCCATTCCATTTGGGTACATTCCATTCAATTCCATTGGAGTCTGTTCCATTCAATTCCATTCCATTCGGGTCCATACCATTCCATTCCATTCCATTCGAGTCCATTCCACTTCCTTCGAGTCCATTCCATTCCATTCAATGCCATTCGAGTCCATTCCTTTCCATTCCATTCCATTCGAGACCATTTCATACCAATCCATTCCTTTCCATTACATTCGGTTTCATTCCATTCCATTCTATTCGAGTACATTCCATTGCATTCCATTTCAATCAGGTCCATTCCATTCCATTCCATTGCACTCGAGTCGATTCTGTTCTATTCCATTCCATTCCATTCCATTCCAATCCTTTCCATTCCATTCCTATCGAGTCCATTGCATTTAACTGCATTCCATTCGAGTCCATTCCTTTCCATTCCATTCCATTCGAGTCCATTCCGTTCCATTCGGGTGCATTCCATTCCATTCCATTCCATTCAGTCCATTCCATTCCTTTCCATTCCATTCCACTCGAGTTCATTGCATTCCATTCCATTACATTCGAGTCCATTCCATTCCATTCCATTCCATTCTAGTTCAATCCATTCGATTCCATTCCATTCGGGTCCATTTGATTCCATTCCATTCAAGTACATTCCATTTCATTCCATTCTTTTCCATTCCATTCCATTCCATTCATTTCAATTCCATTGTATTCCTTTCCATTCCATTCCATTCCATTCCATTCCACTCCATTCGGCTCCATTCCATTCAATTCCATTGCATTCCATTCGGGTCCATTCCATTCCATTCCATTCCATACCATTCCATTACTTTTGGGTCCATTCCATTCGAGTCCATTTGATTGCATTCCATTTCATTCGAGTCCACTTCATTCGAATCCATTCCTTTCGAGTCCATTTGATTGCATTCCATTTCATTCGAGTCCACTTCATTCCATTTGAATCCATTCCATTGCATTCCATTCCATTCGAGTCCATTCCACTTTATTCCATTCGAGTCCATTCCATTCCATTCCATTCCTTTCCATTCTAGTTCAATACATTCGATTCCATTCCATTCTGGTCCATTTTAATCCTTTCCATTCCAGTACATTCTATTTCATTCCATTCTTTTCCATTCCATTCCATTCCGTTCCATTCTATTCCATTCCATTCCATTGCATTCCATTTGGGTCCATTCCATTCCATTCCACTCCATTCCTTTCCACTCCATCTGGCTCCATTCCATTCCATTCCACTGCATTCCATTCGGGTCCATTCCATTCCATTCAAGTCCATACCATTCCATTTCTTTTGGGTCCATTCCATTCCATTCCATTCCAGTCCATTCGATTGCATTCCATTTCATTCAAGTCCACTTCATTCGATTCCATTCCATTCGAGTGCATTCTATTCCATTCGAGTCCATTCCATTCCATGTGAGTCCATTCCATTGCATTCCATTCCATTCGAGTCCATTCCACTTTATTCCATTTGAGTCCATTCCATTCCATTCCATTCCAATCCAATCCATTCCATTCTGCTCCATTCCATTCCATACCATTCCATTGCTTTCGGTTCCATTCCATTCCATTCCATACCATTCCATTTCTTTCGGGTCCATTCCATTCCATTCTATTGTCATCCATTCCTTTCCGTTCCATTCCATTTGAGGCCATTCCATTCCATCCCATTACATCCAAGTCCATTCCATTCCATGCCATTACTTTCAAGTCCATTCCATACCATTCAATTCAGGTACATACCGTTCCATTCCATGAGAGTCCATTCCATTCCCTTCCACTCCATTCCATACCATTCCATTCCATTCCATTCCATTTGGGTCCATTCAATTCCATTCCTTTCGAGTCCATTTTATTCCATTCCATTCCGTTCCATTCCATTGGAATCCATTCCATTCCATTCCATTCCATACCATTCCATTCCATATGAGTCCATTCAATTCCATTCCTTTCGAGTCCATTGCATTCCATTCGAGTACATTCCTTTCCATTCCATTCCATTCGAGGCCATTCCATTCTATTCCCTTCCATTACATTCGAGTCCATTCCACTGGAGTCCATTCCATTCCATTCGAGTCCATTCCATTCTATTCCCTTCCATTACATTCGGGTCCATTCCACTGGAGTCCATTCCATTCCATTCGAGTCCATTCCATTCTATTCCCTTCCATTACATTCGGGTCCATTCCACTGGAGTTCATTCCATTCCATTAGAGTCTATTCCTTTCCATTCCATTCAATTCCATTCCATTCAGGTCCATTCCTTTCCATTCCATTCGAGTACATTCCACTTCATTCCATGCTATTCCATTCAAGTCCATTCCATTCCACACTATTCCATTCCATTCCATTCCATTCCATTCGGGTCCATTCCATTCCGGTCCCTTCCATTCCATTCCATTCCATTCTGGTCCATTCCATTCGGGTCCATTCCATTCCATTCCATTGGAGTCCATTCCATTCCATTCGGGTCCATTCCATTCCATCCCATTCGAGTCCATTCCATTCCATCCCATTACTTTTGAGTCCATTCCATTCCATCCCATTACATTAGAGTCCATTCCATTCCATCCCATTACATTAGAGTCCATTCCATTCCACTCTATTCCATTCCATTCGTATACATTCCATTCCATTCCATTCCATTGGATTCCATTCCATTCAATTCCATTCCATTCGAGACCATAACATTCCATTCGATTCCATTCGAGTCCATTTCATTCCATTCCATACGACTCCATTCCATTCCATTCCATACGACTCCATTCCATTCCATTCCGTTCCATTCGAGTCCATTCCTTTCCCTTCCATTCCATTCGAGTCCATTCCATTCCTTTCCATTACTTTTGGGTCCATTCCATTCCCTTCCTTTAGAGCCCGTTCGTTTGCATTCCATTTCATTCGAGTCCAGTCCATTCCATTCCTTTCGAGTCCATTCCATTCCATTTGAGTCCATTCCATTCCATTCCATTCGAGTCCATTCCATTTCATTCCATTCCATTTCAGTCCATTCCACTTTATTCTATTCGCGTCCATTCCATTCCATGCCATTTCATTCCATTCCATTTCAGTCCATTCCACTTTATTCTATTCGCGTCCATTCCATTCCATGCCATTTCATTCATGTCCATTCCATTACATTCGACTCCGTTTCATTCTATTCCATTCAAGTGAATTCCAGTCCATTGCATTGCATTTGAGTCCATTCCAATCCGTACCATTCGAGTAAATTCCATTCCTTTCAATTCCACTCGAGTCCATTCCATTCCATTCTATTCCACTCGAGTCCATTCCATTCCATTCTATTCCACTGGAGTCCATTCCTTTCCATTCTTGTCCATTCCATTCCATTTCATTTGAGTCCAATAAATTTCATTCCATTCGAATCCATTGAAGTCCATTCCATTCCATTCATTCCATTCCATTCCATTCATTCCATTCCATTCCATTCATTCCATTCCATTCCATTCCACTCCATTTCACACCATTCCATTCCAGTCCATTCTTGTCCATTCCATTCCATTAGTTTCGAGTCCATTTCATTCCTTTCTATTCCATTCGAGTCCATTCCATTCCTTTCCATTAGAGTCCATTCCATTATAGTATAATCCTCTAAATTCCATTCTATTGTTTTCAACTCTGTTCCGTTCCACTCCATTCCATTTCTGTCCATTCCATTCCATTCCATTTGAGTCCATTCCATTTAATTCCCTTTGATTCCAATCCATTCCATTCCATTCTATTCCACACAATTCCTTTCTATTCCATTCCATTCCATTGCATTCCTACCCATTCCTTTCCATTCCATTCCATTCGGTTCCATTCTATTCCATTCCATTGCATTCGAGTCCATTCCTTTCTTTTCCATTCCATTACTTTAAATTCCATTCGAGTCCATTCCATTCCATTCCAATCCATTCGAATCCATTCCATTCCATTCCATTTGAGTTTAATCCATTCCATTCCATTCCATTTGGGTCCTTTCCAATCCATTCCATTCGAGTATATTCCATTTAATTACATTGTGTCCCATTCAAATCTATTCCATTTCATATCATTCCATTCCATTCCAGTCCATTTCATTGATTTCCATTCCATTCCATCCCATTCCATTCCATTCCATTGGAGTCCATTCGTTTCCATTCCATTGCATTCAAATCCATTCCATTCCATCACATTAAATTCGAGTCCATTCCATTCCATGCCATTATATTCAAGTACGTTCCATACCATTCCATTGCATTCCATTCCATTCCATTCCAATTGGGCACATTCCATTAAATTTCATTAGAGTCCATTCCATTCAACTCCATTCCATTCAAATCCTTACCATTCCATTCCATTCGAGTCAATTCCATTCAATTTCCTTCGAGATCATTCCATTGTATTCAATGCCATTTGAGTCCATTCCTTTCCATTTCATTCCTTTCAAGTCCATTCCATGCCAATCCATTACATTCCATTACATTTGGGTTCATTCCATTCCATTCTATTCGAGTCCATTCCATTGCATTCTATTTCTTTCGAGTAAACTCCATTCCATTCAATTGCACTCCAGTCGATTCCATTCTATTCCATTCTTTTCCTTTCCATTCCATTCCTTTCCATTCCATTCCTTTCGAGTCCATTCCATTTAACTGCATTCCATTCGATTCCATTCCTTTCCATTCCATTCTATTCAATTCCATTTCATTTGAGTCCATTCTATTCTATTCCATTCCATTAGAGTCCATTCGAGTTCAATCCATTCGATTCCATTCCATTCGTGTCCATTTTATTCAATTCCATTCGAGTATATTCCATTTCATTCCATTCTATTCCATTCAAGTCCATTCTATTCCAGTCCATTCCATTCCATTCCATTCCATTCCATTCTATTCCATTCTATACCATTCCATTCCATTCGGGTCCGTTCCATAACATTCCATTGTAGTCCATTCCTTTCCATTCCATTCCATTCGAGTCCATTCTGTTCCATCCCATTACATCCGAGTCCATTCCATTCCATGCCATTACATTCATTTACATTCCATAACATTGTATTCCATTTCATTCGGGTACATATCATTCCATTCCATTGGAGTCCATTCCATCCCATTCCATTCGAGTCCATTCCTTTCCATTCCATTCCATTCGAGTCCATTCCATTCTATTCCCCTCCATTACATTTGGGTCCTTTCCATTCCATTCCATTCGAGTCCATTCCATTCCATTCAAGTCCATTCCTTTCCATTCCTTTCCATTCCATTCGGGTCCATTTCATTCAAATCCATTCCTTTTGAGTCCATTCTATTCCATTCCATTCCATTCGAGTTCAATCCATTCTTTTCCATTCCATTCGGATCCATTCCAGTCCATTCCAATCGAGTACATTCCATTTCATTCCATTCTATTCCATTCAATTGCATTTTGTTCCACACCATTCCATTCCATTTCGGTCCATTCCATTCCATTCCATTCCATTCCTTTCGGGTCCATTCCATTTCATTCAATTCCATTCCATTCCATTGCATTCGGGTCCATTCCATTCCATTCCATTGGAGTCCATTCCATTCCATCTCATTCCATTCTATTCGAATCCATTCCATTCCATCCCATTACATTCGAGTCCATTCCATTTGATGTCATTCCATTCGAGTCCATTCGATTCCATTCCATTCCATTCCATTCCATTCCATTCCATTGATGTACATTCCCTTCCATTGATGTACATTCCCTTCCATTGAATTGGAGCCCATTCCATTCAATTCCATTCCATTCGAATACATAACATTCCATTCCATTCCATTTGAGTCCATTCCATTGCATTCCATTTCATTCGAGTCCACTCCATTAAATTCCATTCCCTTCAAGTCCATTCCATGCCATTCCATGCTATTCGACTCCATTCCTTTCCATTCCATTCCATTCGAGTTCATTCCATTCCAATCCATTACATTCCACTACATTCGGTTCCATTCCATTCTATTCGAGTCCATTCCATTGCATTCCATTACATTCAAGTCCACTCCATTTCAATTCATTCCACTCACATCGATTGAATTCCTTTCCATTCCATTCCATTCCATGCCTTTCCATTACATCCCATTCCATGCCTTTCCATTCCATTCTATTCCATTCCTTTCCAATCCATTCCTTTGTTTCCATTCCATTCAACTGCATTCAATTCGAGTCCATTCCTTTCCATCCCACTCCATTCAATTCCATTCGAATGCATTCCATTCCATTCGAGTCCATTCCATTCCATTCCATTGAAGTTCAGTCCATTCGATTCCATTGCATTTGGGTCCATTCCATTCCATTCCATTCGAGTACATTCCATTTCATTCCATTCTATTCCATTCAAGTCCATTCCATTCCATAACATTCCATTCCATTCCTTTCGATTCAATTCGGTTCCATTCCATTCCGTTTCATTCCATTCCATTCCATTCGGGTCAATTCCATTCCGTTCCATTGTAGTCCAGTCCTTTCCATTCCATTCCACTCGAGTCTATTCCATTCTATCCCGTTACTTCCGAGTACATTCCATCCCATGCCGTTAAATTCGAGTCAATTGCATTCCATTGTTTTCCATTCCAATCCATTCCATTCCATTCCATTTGGGTATATCCCATTCCATTCCATTGGAGTCCAATCCATTCCATTGCATTCCATTCTATTCCATAAAACTCCCTTCCATTCCATTCCAGTCCATTCAATTCCACTGCCTTTGAGTCCATTCCATTCCACTCCATTCCATTCGAATCCATTCCTTTCCATTCCATCCCATTCAAGTCCATTCCATTCCATTCCCTTCTATAACATTCCGGTCCTTTCCATTCCACTCCACTCGAGTATATTCCATTGCATTTCCTTTCATTCGAGTCCATGCCATTCCATTCCATTCCAGTCGAGTCGATTCCATTCCATTCCATTCGATTCCATTCCATTCCATTCGAGTCCATTCCATTCCATTAGATTCCATTCCACTCCATTCATTTCAATTCCATTGCTTTCGAGTCCATAGCATTCAACTGCATTCCATTCGAGTCTATTCCTTTCCATTACGTTCCATTCCATTTTATTCCATTCGAGTCCATTCCATTCCATTCCATTCGAGTCCAATTCATTCCATTACATTCGAGTACATTCTATTGTGTTACATTCCATTCCTTTGCAGTCCTTTGAATTCCATTCCATTCCATTTGAATCCATTGCATTCCATTCCATTCGAGTCCATTCCATTCTCTTCCAGTCGAGTCCATTCCATTTCAATCCATTAGATTCCATTCCATTAAATTTCGTTCCATTCCATTCGAGTCTATTCCATTACATTTCATTCAATTCGAGTCCATTCCATTTGAGTCCATTCCATTCCATTCCTTTTGAGTCCATTCCATTCCTTTCCATTCGAATCCATTCCATTCCATTCCCTTCGAGTCCATTCCATTCCTTTCCATTCGAGTCCATTCCATTGCATTCCATTCCATTCGAGTCTATTCCACTTTATTCCATTCGAGTCCATTCCATTCCATTCGCGTCCATTCCATTACATTCGACTCCATTCCATTCTATTCCATTCAAGTGAATTCCAATCCATTCCATTGTATTCGAGTCCATTCCATTCAATTCCACTGAGTGAATTCCATTCCATTCCATTCCACTCGAATCCATTCCTTTCCATTGCATTCATCTCAAGTCCATTTCACTTCATTCCATTTGAGTCCATTCCATTCCATTCCATTCCATTCGAGTCCATTCCATTCCATTCCATTTGTGTCCATTCCATTCCGTTTCTTTCGAGTCCATTCCATTCCATTCCATTCATTCCATTCCATTCCAGTCCATTTCATTCCATTCTATTCCATTCCATTCCATTCCATTCCATTATATTCCATTCGAATCCATTGCATTCCTTTCCATTAGAATCCATTCCCTTAGAGTCCAATCTGGTAAATTCCATTCTATTGCATTCAACTCCGTTCCATTCCACTGCATTCCATTTGAGTCCATTATATTCTATTCGAGTCCATTCCATTCAATTCCATTCAATACCAATCCATTCCATTCCATTCTATTGCATTAAACTCCTTTCCATAACATTCCATTCCATTGCATTCTAGTCCATTCCATTGAAATCCATTCCATTCCATTCGTGTCCAGTCCATTCCATTTGAGTCCATTCCATTCAATTCGAGTCCAATCCTTTCCATTCCACTCCATTCAATTCCATTCAATTCCATTCCAATCCATTCCAATGCATTCGAGTCCATGCCATTCCATTCCATTCCATTCGACTTCAATCCATTCCATTCACTTCCATTACATTCCATTCCATTCGAGTACATTCCCTTTCATTCCATTCTATTCCATTCAAGTCCATTCCATTCCATACAATTCCATTCCATTCTTGTCCATTTCATTCCATTATATTCCATTCCATCCATTCGACTCCATTCCATTCGGTCCATTCCATTCTATTCCATTGGAGTCCATTCCTTTCCATTCCATTCCATTCCAGTCCATTCCATTCCATCCCATTACATTCGAGTCCATTCCATTCCATGCCGTTACAATCTATTCCATTCCATTCCATTCCAATCCATTCCATTTGGGTACTTCCATTCCATTCCATTGGAGTCCATTCCATTCAATTCTATTCCATTTGATTCCTTACCAGTCCATTCCATTCCATTCAAGTCCATTCCATTCCATTCCCTTCGAGTACATTCCATTCCATTCCATTCCATGCCATTCGAGTCCATTCCTTTCCATTTCATTTCATTTGAGTCCATTCCATTCCTTTCCATTCCATTACATTCGGGTTCATTCCATTCCTTTCAAGTCCATTCCTTTGCATTTCATTTCATTCAAGTCCAATCCATTCCATTCCATTTCACTAGGGTCGATTCCATTCCATTGCATTCCATTCGAGTCCATTCCATTCTATTCCATTCCGTTCCACTCCATTACATTCCATAACATTCCATTCCTTTCCTTTCGAGTCCATTCCAATCAATTGCATTCCATTCGAGTCCATTCTTTTCATTCCATTCCATTCAATTCCATTCGAGTCCATTCTTTTCCATTCCGTTCCATTCAATTCCATTCGAGTCCATTCCATTTCATTCCATTCCATTTGAGTCCATTCCATTCCATTCCATTCGTGTTCATTCCATTCCATTCCATTCCATTCCATTCGAATACATTCCATTTCATTCTATTCTATTCCATTCAAGTCCATTCCATTCCATTCAAGTCCATTTCATTCAATACCATTCCATTCCATTCGAGTCCATACCATTCCATTCCATTCAATTCCGTTCCATTGCTTTCTGGTCCATTCCATTCCTTTCCATTGGAGTAAATTCCTTTGCATTCCATTCCATTTGAATACATTCCATTCCATCCCATTACATTTGAGTCCGTTCCATTCCATGCCATTCCATTCCATGCCTTTCCATTGGAGTCCATACCATTCCAATCCATTCCATTCGGTTACATTCCATTCCATTCCGTTGGAGTCCATTCCATTCCATTCGAGTCCATTCCATTCCATTCCCTTCTAGTCCATTCCATTCCATTCCAGTCCATTCCTTTCCATTCCATTTCATTCGAGTCCATTCTATTCCATTCCCTTCCATTACATTTGGGTCCATTCCTTTTCATTCCATTCGATTCCATTTCTTTGCGTTCCCTTTCATTCGAGTCCACTCTTTTCCATTCCATTCCACCTTAGTCGATTCCACTCCATTCCCTTCCAGTCCATTCCATTCAAGTCCATTCCATTCCATTCCCTTCGAGTCCATTCCATTCCACTCCACTCTAGGCCAGTCCGTTCCTTTCCATTCAATCCATTCAAGTCTAATCCATTCCATTCCATTCGAGTACATTCCATTGCATTCTCTTTAATTCGAGTCCACTCCATTTCATTCCATTCCACTTGAGTCAATTCTATTCCATTCCATTTGAGTCCCTTCCATTCCATTCGAATCCATTCCATTCCATTCCATTCCTTTCCATTCCATTCCTTTTGAGTCCATTCCATTCAACTGCCTTCTATTCAACTCTATTCTGTTCCATTCCATTCCATTACATTCCATTGCATTCGAGTCCATTTGTTCCATTTCATTCGAGTCCATTTCATTCCATTACCTTCCATTTCATTCGTGTCAATTCCTTTCCGTTACCTTCCATTCCATTCGAGTCTATTCCATTCCGTTACATTCCATTCCTTTCGAGTCCACTGAATTCCACTCCATTCCATTCTAATCCATTGCATTCCATTCCATTAGAGTCCATTCCATTCTATTGCATTAGTGTCCATTGCATTCAATTCCACTGGAGTTCATTCCTTTCCATTCCATTCCATTCGAATCCATTCCATTCCAGCCCATTACATTCGAGTCCATTCCATTCCATGCCATTACATTCGATTCCGTTCCATTCCATTCCATTCCAATCTATTCCATTCGGGTACTTCCATTCTATTCCATTGGAATCCAAGTCACTTAATTCCATTCCATTCGAGTCCTTACCATTCCATTCCATTCCATTCGAGACCATTCCATTCCATGCCCTTCGAGTCCTTTCCATTCCATTCCATGTCATTCGAGTCCATTCCTTTCCATTCTATTTCATTCCAGTTCATTCCATTACTTTCCATTCCATTACATTCTGGTCCACTCCATTCCATACCATTCGAATCCATTCCATTGTATTCCATTTCATTCGAGTCCACTCCATTCCATTCCATTCCACTAGAGTGCATTCCATTCCATTGCATTCCATTTGACTCCATTCCATTCCATTCGAGTCCATTCCATTCCATTCCATACCATTCCATTCCTTTCCATTCCATTCCTTTCGAGTCCATTCCAGTCAACTGCATTCCATTCAAGTTCATTCCTTTCCATTCCATTACATTGCATTCCATTCGGCTCCATTCCATTCCAATCTATTCCATTCGAGTCCATTCCACTCCATTCCATTCCATTCCATTCGATTTGATTCCATTCCATTCGGGTCCATTCCATTAAATTCCATTCCATTAAATTCCATTCCATTCGAGTCCACTCCATTCCATTCCGTTCGAATCCATTCCATTCCATTCGAGTCCATTCCACCCCATTCCATTGCATTCGATTCCATTGCATTCCACACTATTCCATTCGGGTCCTTCCCATTCAATTCCATTCGAGTCAATTCCATTCCATTCCATTCCAGTCCATTCCATCTCATTCCAATCCATTCTTTTTGAGTCTGTTCAATTCCATTCCATTCCCTTCGAGTCCATTCCATTCCATTCCATTAGAGTCCATTGCATTGCATTCCATTCCATTCGGGTCCATTCCACTCTACTCAGTTGGAGTGTATTCCATTCCATTCCATTCGAGTCCATTCCAATCCAATCCATTCCTTTCAAGTCCATTCCATTCCATTCTATTTGAGTCCATTCCATTCCATTCCATTGCATTCCATTCCATTCGAATAAATGCCATTCCCTTCTGTTCCATTCTATACCATTCCATTCCATTTGAGTCAATTCCATGCC
This sequence comes from Homo sapiens, assembly GCF_000001405.40. Classification (NCBI taxonomy): domain Eukaryota; kingdom Metazoa; phylum Chordata; class Mammalia; order Primates; family Hominidae; genus Homo; species Homo sapiens. The sequence goes on from NC_000010.11 coordinate 42,315,144, forward strand.
ATTCCATTCCATTCCATTCCATTCTTTTCCATTCCATTCCATTCCACTCCATTCAATGTGAGTCCATTCCATTGCTCTCCATTCCATTCAAGTCTGCTCCATTCTATTCCATTCGTGTGCATTCTATTCCATTCCATTCGAGTCCATTCCATTCTATTCCATTCGAGTATATTCCATTCCATTCCTTTCCACTCGAGTCTATTCCATGTAATTCTGTTCGAGTCCGCTCCATTCCATTGGAGTCCTTTCCCTTCCATTGCATTCATTCTAGTCCATTCCATTCCATGCTACTCCTTTTGACTCCATTCCTTTCCATTCCATTTGAGAGCATTCCTTTCCAACCCATTCCTTTCAGGTCTGTTCCATTCCATTCCATTCGAATACACTCCATACCTTTCCTTTCCATTCGAGTCTATTCCATTTCTTGCCATTCCATTCCTTTCCATTCCATTCCATTCGAGTCCATTCTATTCAATTCCATTTGAGTCAATTCCATTCAATTCCATTCGAGTCCATTCCATTACATTCCTTTCCATTCAATTCCAGTCCACTTTATTTCATTCGAGTGCACTCCATTCCATTCCATTAGAGTAAATTCCATTAAATTCCCTAGTATACCATTTGAGTCCATTCCATTCCATTCGAGTCCATTCCATTCCATTCAGGTCCATTCCATTCCATTCGTGTCCATTCCATTCCATTCAATTCGAGTCCATTCTATTCCATTCCATTCGGGTCCATTCCACTCCATTCCATTCGAGTCCTTTCCATTCCATTCCATTTCATTCCTTTCAGTTCCATTCCATTCCATTCCATTCGAGTCCATTCCATTCCATTACATTACATTCCTTTCAGTTCCATTCCATTCCATTCCATTCGAGTCCATTCCATTCCATTACATTACATTACATTACGTTCGTCTCCATTCCATTCCATTCCATTCTACTCACTTTGTTTCAATTCCATTCCATTAGTTTCTAGTCCATTCCAGTCCATCCGAGTCCATTCCATTCCATTCGAGACCATACCATTCCATTCCATTAAATTCCTTTCTAGTCCATTCGATTCCATTCCATTCCATTTTAGTCTATTCCATTCCATTCTATTCCATTCCATGCCATTCCATTCCATTCATGTGCATTCCATTCCATTCAATTCAATTCGACTCCATTTCATTCCGTTACATTCCAATCCATTCTATTCTATTCCATAACATTACATTCCGTTCAATTCAAGTCCATTCAATTCCATTTCATTCCATTCGAGTCCACTCCATTCCATTCACTTCGAATCCATTTCATTCCATTTGATTATATTCCATTCATGTCCATTCCACTGCATTTCATTCTGTTCCATTCCAGTCCATTCCATTCCATTCCATTCCAGTCCAGTCCATTCGAGTCCATTCCTTTCCCTCCGTTCGAGTCCATTCCATTGCTTTCGTGTTCATCTCATTCGATTCCATTCCATTCCACTCCATTCCTTTCAATTCCATTCCCTTCTATTCCTTTCAAATCCATTCCATTCCATTACATTCTAGTCCACTCCATTCCATTCCATTCTATTCCATTTGAGTCCATTCCATTCCATTCGAGTAAATTACATTCCATTCGATTCCATTCCATTTCATTCCATTCCAGTCCATTCCATTCAATTCTGTTCAATTTGATTCCATTACATTCCATTCCATTCGATTCCATTACATTCCTTTCCATTCGAGTCCATTCCATTCTATTCTCTTCCATTTGAGTCCATTCCATTCCATTCCATTCCATTCCAACCCATGTCATTTGAGTCCACTCCATTCTATTCCGTTTGAATCCAATCCATCCAATTCCATTCCATTCTTGCAAATGCCACTGCATTCCATTCCATTCGAGTCCATTCCATTCCATTGCATTCCATTTGGGTCCATTCCATTCAATTCCATTTGAGTCAACTCCATTCCATTGCATTCGAGTCCATTGCATTGCATTCCCAACCATTCGAATCCATTCCATTCCATTGCATTCGAGTCCATTGCATTGCATTCCCAACCATTCGAATCCATTCCATTCCCTTCCATTCGAGTCCAGTCCATTGCATTCCATTCCATTCTTTTTGAGTCCATTCAATTTCAATCCATTCCCTTCGAGTCCATTCCATTCCACCCAATTCGAGTCCATTCCATAACATTCCATTCGAGTCCATTCCACAATATTACATTTGAGTCCATTCCATTCCATTCCATTAGAGTGAATTCCATTAAAATCCATTGTATTCCATTCGAGTGCATTTTACATTCCATTCTATTAGAGTCCATTCTGTTAAATTCCATTCCATTCCTTTCGAGTCCATTCCATTCCATTCCATTCCATTCCATTGCATTCCATTCCATTCCTGTCCATTCCATTAAATTCCATTCTAGTCCCTTCCATTCAAATCCATTCCATTCCAGTTCGTTACATTCTGTTGCCTTCGAGTCCTTTCCATTCCATTCCATTCCATTCCGTTCCTTTTGGGTACATTCCATTCAATTCCAATCGAGTCCATTCCATGTCATTCCATTCTCTTCGAGTCCATTCCACTCCGTTCCATTCTATTCAATTCAAGTCCATTCCATTCCATTTCCTTCCATTCCATTCAATTCCATTCCATTCCATTAGGGTCCATTCCTTTCCATTCCATTCAATTCCATTCCAATGCATTCGAGTCCATTCCATTCGAGTCCATTCCATTACACATCATTTCATTTGATTCCATTCCATTCCATTCGAGTCCACTCCTTTCCATTCAATTCTAGTACATTCTAGCACATTCCATTCCATTTGAGTCCATTCTATTCCATTTCATTCCATGCGATTCCATTGCATTGCATTCCATTCCAGTCCTTTCCATTCCATTCTATTCCATTTGTGCCCATTCTATTCCATTCCATTCGAGTCCATTCCATTCCAAAACATTTCATTAGAGTGCATTTCATTCCATTCCAGTTCTTTCCATTCCATTCTATTCCATTTGTGTCCATTCTATTCCATTCCACTCGAGTCCATTCCATTCCAAAACATTTCATTCGAGTACATTCCATTCCATTCCGTTCGAAACCATTCCATTTCATTCGATTCCATTCAAGTCCATTCAACTCCATTCCATTCTATTCCACTCCATTCCATTACATTCGAGTCCATTCCATTCCATTCCAATCCATTCGAGTCCCTACCATTCCATTCGATTGCATTCCAATCCATTCAAGTAAATTCTGCTCCATTCCATTCTGATCGAGACCATTCCATTCCATTCGAGTCCATTCCATTCCATTCGAGTCCATTCCATTGCTTTCCATGCCATTCCATTCCATTGAATTCATTTCCATTCCATTCCATTCCATTCAGGTCCATTCCATTGAATTCCATTCGAGTCCTTTCCATTCCATTTGAGTAAATTCCATTCCATTTCATTCGAGTCCATTTCATTCCATTCCTTTCCTTTCGAGTCCATTGCATTCCATTCAATTCCATTCCATTCCATTCCATTCCATTCCATTCTATTCCATTCTGGTAAATTCCATTCCATTCCACTCGATTCCGTTACATTGCATTCCATTCATTCGAGTCCATTCCATTCCATTCCATTCAACTCGAGTCAAATCCATTTCATTCCATTCCATTCGAGTTCATTCCATTCAATTCGAATCCATTCTATTGCATTCCATTCCATTTGATTCTATTCCATTCTATACCTTTCGAGTCCTTTCCCTTCCATTCCATTAGGTCCATTGCATTAAATTCCACTCTATTCCAATCGAGTACGTTCCATTCCATTCCATTTCATTCGTGTCCATTCCATTGCATTCGAGTCCATTCCATTCCATTCCATTCTAGTCGATTTCATTCTACTCATTTCCATTCGAGTCCATCCCTTTCCATTCCATTCGAGTCCATGTACTTTCATTCCATTCCATTCGAATCCATTCCATTGCATTCCATTCCATTCGAGTCCATTAAATTCCATTCCATTCGAGTCCATTCAATTCTATACCAATGGAGATCATTCTTTCCAATCCATTCGTGTCCTTTCCAATCCATTGCATTCCATTTGAGTCCATTCCATTCCATTCCATTGTATTCCATTAAATTCCATTCAATTCGACACCATTCCATTGCATTCCTTTCCATTCGTGTCCACTCCTTTCCATTCCATTCCTTTCCATTCAAGTCCATTGCATTCCATTCCATTCCACTCAAGTCCTTTGCATTCAGTTGCATTCGAGTCCATTCCATTCCATTCCATTCGAGTCCATTCCATTCCATTCGAGTCCATTCCTTTCCATCCAAGTCCATTCCATTCCATTCAAGTACATTCAAATCCATTCCTTTCCATTCAAGTACATACAATTCCATTCCTTTCCATTTGACTCCTTTCCTTTCAAATCCAATTGAGTCCATTCCTTTCCATTCAAGTCCATTCCATTCCATTCAAGTCCATTCTCCTCCATTCCATTCTACTAGAGTCCATTCCATTCCATTCCAATCCATTCCATTCCATCCCATTCGTGTCCATTCCATTCCATTTCATTCCATTCCATTCCATTCCATTCAAATCCATTCCATTCGTGTCCATTCCATTCCATTCTTTTCCATTCCATTCCATTCCTTTCCATTCCATTTGAGTCCATTCCTTTCCATTCCATTCCACTTGAGTCCTTTCTATTCCATTCCATTTCATTCCACTCTAGTCCATGTCATTCCATTCCATTCCACTTGAGTCCTTTCTATTCCATTCCATTTCATTCCACTCTAGTCCATTCCATTCCATTCCATTTCGTTCCATTCCATTCCATTCCATTCCATTCGAGTCCATTGCTTTCCATTCTATTCCATTACTTTCCATTCGAATCCATTCCATTCCATTCCACTCTAGTCCATAGTATTCCAGTCCATTCGAGTCCATTCCATTCCATTCTGGTCCATTCCATTCAATTCCATTCGAGTTAATTCCAATCCTTTGGAGTCCATTCCATTGCATTTCATTGCATTCCTTTCGATACCATTCAATTCCATTCCATTCCATTCGAGTCCATTCCATACCATTACATTCGAGAACATTCCTTTGCATTCCACTCCATTAGAGTCCATTGAATTCTATTCCATTTGAATCCATTCCATTCCATTCCTTTAGATTCCATTCCATTAGTGTCCATTCCATTAAATTCCATTCCATCCTATTCGAGTCCATTCCATTCCATTTCTGTTCATTCCATTCCATTACCTTCAAGTCCATTCCATTAAATTCCATTCTCTACCATTCAAGTCCATTCCAGTCCATTACATTCCATTCAGGTCCATTCCATTCCATTGCAATCTATTCTATTTGATTCCAGTCCATTCCATTTGAGAAAATTCCATTCCATTCCATTCCATTTGAGTCCCTTCCATTCCATTCCATTCGAGTCCATGCCATTCCATTCCATTCCATTCGAGTCCATTCCATTCCATTCCATCCATTCCATTCGTATCCATTCCATTCCATTCCATTCCATCCGGGTCCATTCAGTTCCATTGCATTTTGGTCCATTCCATTCCATTCGAGTCCATTACATTCCATTCAATTCGAGTGGATTCCCTTCCATTCCATTCCATTCGAGTCCCTTCCATTCCATTCAAGTCCATTCCTTTCCATTCAATTCCATTTGACTCCATTCCATTCCAATCCATTCGAGTCCATTCCTTTACATTTGTGTCCATTCCTTTCCATTTGATTCCATTCCACTCCATTCCATTCTAATAGATTCCATTCTATTTCATTCTAATCCATTCCTTTCCATTCAATTCCATTCCATTCCATTCCATTCCATTCGAGTCCATTCCTTTCCATTCCATTCCACTTGAGTCCTTTGTATTCCATTCCATTACATTCCATTCGAATCCATGCCATTCCATTCCATTCCATTCCATTCCATTCTATCCCATTCCATTCCATTCGAGTCCATTCCGTTCCATTCCCTTCCATTACATTCCTTTGGAATCCATTCCATTGCATTCCATTCAAGTCAAATCCGTAGCATTCCATTCCATTCGAGTCCATTCCATTCCAATCCATTCCATTCCGGTCCATTCCATTCAATTCCATTCTAGTCAACACCATGCCAATCCTTTGGAGTCCATTCCGTTGCATTTCATTCCATTCCTTTCGAGACCATTCAATTCCATTCCATTCCATTCGAGTCCATTCAATTCCATTACATTTGAAACCATTCTTTGCATTCCACTCCATTAGGGTTTGTTGAATTCTTTTCCATTTGAATCCATTCCATTCCATTCCATTCCATTCCATTCCATTCCATTATTGTCCGTTCCATTAAATTCCATTCCATTCTATTTGGGTCCATTCCTATCCATTTGTGTTCATTTCATTCCATTCCATTCCATTAAATTCGAGTCCATTCCATTCCATTCAAGTCGTTTCCATTCCTTTCGAGTCCATTCCATTCCATTCCACTCCATTCGAGTCCATTCCATTTCAATCCATTCCACTCATCTCCATTGCATTCCATTGCATTCTCTTTTTGTAGAATTTGTAAGTGGAGATTTGAAGAGCTTTGAGACTTATGGCAGAATAGTGAATATCTTCGTGTAAAAACCAGACAGAATCATTCTCAGAAACTGCTTTGTGCTGTGTGTGTTCAACTCACAGAGTTTAACCTTTCTTTTGATATAGCCACTTTGAGCCACCGTTTGTAAAGTCTGCAAGTGTATATTTGGACCTCTTTGAGGCCTTCGTTGGAAACGGGATTTCTTCATGTAAAACTAGACAGAAGAATTCTGAGAAACTTCTTTGTGATGTGTGCATTGAACTCACAGTGTTGAACATTCCTTTCGATAGAACAGTTTTGACACATTCTTTTTGTAGAATTTCCAGGTGCGTATTTAGAGTGCTTTGAAGCCTATGGTAGAAAACGAAATATCTTCATATAAAAACTAGACAGAATCATTCTCAGAAACCGCTTTGCGATGTGTGCATCCAACTCACAAAGTTTAACCTTTCTTTTGATAGAGCAGTTTAGAAACACTCTTTTTGTAGAATTTGCAAGTGGATATTTAAAGCACTTTGAGGCCTATGGTAGAAAAGGAAATATCTTCATATAAAAACTAGACGGATTCATTCTCAGAAACTACTTTGTGATGTGGACGTTCAACTCACAGAATTTAACCTTTCTTTTGATAGAACAGTTATGAAGCACTCTGTTTCTAAAGTCTGCAAGTGGATATTTGGACCTCTTTGAGGCCTTCGTTGGAAACGGGAATTTTTCATATAAAACAAGACAGAAGTATTCTGAGAAACTTCTTTGGGATGTGTGCATTCAACTCACAGAGTTGAACCTTACTTTCGAAAAAGCAGTTTTGAAACACCCTTTTTGTAGAACTTCCAAGTGTATACTTAGAGTGCTTTGAAGCCTATGGTAGAAAACGAAATATCTTCGTATAAAAACTAGACAGAATCACTCTCAGAAACCACGTTGTGATGTGTGCGTTCAACTCACAGAGTTTAACCTTTCTTTTGATAGAGCAGTTATGAAACACTTTTTTTGTAGAATTTGCAAGGGTGTATATAGAGGGCTTTGTGGCCTATGGTAGAAAAGGAAATATCTTACCATAAAAACTAGACAGAAGCGTTCTCAGAAACGAATTTGTGATGTTTGCATTCAACTCACAGAGTTTAACCTTTCTTTTGACAGAGCAGATATGAAACACTCTTTTTGTAGAATTTGCAAGTGTGTATTTAGAGGGCTTTGGGTCACCCAGGCTGGAGTGCAGGGGCGCAATTTTGGCTCACTGCAAGATCCGCCTCCTGGGTTCACACATTCCCCTGCCTCAGCCTCCCAAGTAGCTGGGACTACAGGCGTCCGCCATGACGCCTGGTTAATTTTTTGTATTTTTTAGTAGAGATGGGCTTTCACCATGTTAGCCAAGATGGTCTCGATCTCCTGACCTTGTGATCCACCCGCCTTGGCCTCCCAAAGTGCTGGCATTACAGGCGTGAGACACCTCGCCTGGCCCAACTTTACTCTTTATTCTCAAACTTACAACCATCAGATACTCATGTACACAGAATAAGAAAAATCAACTTTTTTTCCTTGAAGGCAATGTTTCGTCTTGTATTTTATAATATCTGTTCCACATTGCTGTGACAATGCTGTTGAAGTGCACCTTCCTTCCTTCACCAAAAGATCACCTGTGTGAATTTGAATAGATGGTCACTGGAGGGGACCAGCGTGGCACACTGGGTTGAATTGTCTCTTTGCTTTTCAGGCAAAGTGGCTTTGAAAAGACTGAAAATAAAGTGACTGCTGATTAAGCAGATGGCTTGCCATGTAAATAGGACAATTGTTTGAAAATCACATCGCATGAACTACAACTATTAAAGTGTGAAATGCATGACGCAAATATTGCACAAAAAAATAAAATGAAAATGATGAATACAGTCAAAAAAGACAGCCAAACTCCATTTTAGCAATAAAGTAAAATATAATCTACTGTCAGGGGAAGGTAACTTGAAGTACTTGAGATGTTCTTTAATTTAAAAATCCAAAAATATTTTTAGCTTTAGTTACTATAAAAAATGTTTAAGCATTTTCCATTTGAAATAAAATTTCAATTTCATGCTTTGTCAGTTTAGTTTCCCTAAATAAATAGAAAAGAGTAAAATATCACATACAAAAAAAATCAACTTCTTTGGTAATAAATCAGTTCAACTGTCAGACCAAAACATAATTACATTTTACCCAATGTCGTGCTGACCAATTTGATCAAATGCCACTTCCTTATCACTAAGAGAGATGCAAAGATGTAGACTTTATGTTGAGTGAGACAGGTAAGGATTACTAGGAGCTAGATAGTTGTTTTACTAATCAAGGTCGATTTTCATTACTATTTTGTCTCTATGTTAATTAATGGTCTTGATTCAAGAAAATTTTTTTAAAAACTCATCTTCTCAGTCAGGCAAAATATTAACAAAAAGGCATAGAAATGAAGGCATTTAACACAGTCATAGTTTACATTTTAAAATTAAAATACTTCTAGAAATAACAAAAAAAGAAAAAAGACAGATGTAAAAAAAAATGAACTTAATTTTTGGTGCAAAGCACTCATTACTAAGCCTAACACAAATATTTTGGTAAAGGCTTTCTAACACTGACATTCTTCTCATGACTTAAAAGCGCCACTAATTTTACTTTTGACATATATTTAGTTTTAATATTAAAAGCTAAAAGGAGCCTATTATTTTATTTATAATTTGTGGTCTGCATGTACATCATCATCCACTGAGTCGACTAAAGTTTCTGAAAGTTTCAGAAACAGTAACATAAGAATACTTTTTCCTGCCATGCACGGTGGCTCACGCCTGTAATCCCAGCACTTTGGGAGGCTGAGGTTGGGGGATCACCTTAAGTCAGGCATTCGAGACTAGCCTAATAAACCTGGTGAAACCCCATCTCTACTAAAAATATAAAATTAACGGCATGGTGGCACATGCCTGTAATCCCAGCTACCCCTTTAATGACCACATGTGAAGTTTCTTTTGAACTAATTTTAACTACCTATTTTTATTGCTTTTTTTTGGTCCTATTAGAAAAACATTAAAGTTCCTGTTACTACAAACACAATCTATTCAAATCTAAGCATACTGCTTATCTTAAAAGATCTGTAGGCTTGGAATTATGGAAATCCTATTCTCCATTTAAAATACTGCTTTTCAGTAAGCCAAAGGGGGCAATTGTGGCTCATAATCATGTTATTAAATATTAATACCATCATCTAGATGGAACTTTTAGTTATCTGCATGTTCAAATTGTTTTCACTTATAATAAGTCAGAAACTATAAAATTTTATAAACTATAAAAATAAACTAAAAATATATTTATCAATGCATTTTTTTTCAGTTTTAAAATACTTAGCCTCAGGATTATTTCTAGTTGACATAACACTAGATTTCAGATGATGTGGATGTAGAAACTAGAAACATCCTAGTTGACTCATCTTCACTTTCTGCCTTCATTTAGCACACAAACATAGCAGCACCAACAAAGGCCAGCAATGCTACCCCTTTTGAAAAACACACCAGTGCCCTTCTAGGGAGAATATATGTGTGAAAAGATTCATCTGAAAGTCATGCCATCTTCTTTTTGATTTACAGACTTATATATGACAAATAATACAAATAAAAATTTAACAGTGCCATATAATCAGAAAATTATTCTAAAAATTCCTTCTGACACATTATTCTTTTTCACCAAAATGGCTGTGATGAAATGATTGCCTTTGCAGGACTGTTGTCTTAAATAACCAATACTCCCGTTTCATTGTTCTTGAACTTTAACCATAACGCTTTCATGCTTTTTCTAGAAATTTTATTTCCTAATTATGTCACTTAGGTATAATTACCATAGCTTCATATTTTCAAAAGTGGTTCTAAAAAAACTTAAACCACTGACCATCTTTTTTTCCCAAAGGAGTAGAGTAATAAATAAACACTATCACCTAGTGCACTGTAAATAGATGAAAAATAAAGATGTAGAGCTGGGGTGTCCAATCTTTTGGCTTCCCTGGGACACACTAGAAGAGTTGTCTTGAGCCATACATAAAATACACCAATGATGATTTAAAAAATCACAAAAAACTCATAATGCTTTTAGAAAGTTTCTGATTTGTTTAGGGCTGCACTGAAAGCCATATTGGGCCACATGGAGCGTAGGCCATGAGTTGGACAAGCTTGATGTACAGTCATTTATTTTAGCTGCACACTCAAAACTAAGGCCGAGAGCTTTCAGAGAAAATAGCTTATAGGATGTCAGGAGACCTGTTATAGAAACATTCACCCCTATGTCTAAAGGGGACAAAATTCTATGTCTTCCACCCTTAATTCCAACCATTAACCAAAACTGGAGAAATCTAACATGGCATTATATCACAAAGTATTTTATTATTTGTATTTTGGATTCAAGGATACACGTGCAGATTTGTAACATAGGTATACTGCATGACGTTGAGGTTTAGGCAATTAATAATCCCATTGCCCAAGTAGTGTACATTATACATGACAAGTACTTTTTAACCCTTGTACCCCTTCTCCCTCCATTTTCGAATCCTTAGTGTTTATTTTTCTCATCTTTGCTTCCATGTGTACCCAATGTTTAGCTTCCACTTATAAGTGAGAAAATGTAGTATTTGGTTTTCTGTTCTGTGTTAATTTGCTTAGGATCATGACCTTGAGCTGCATCCATGTTGCTGCAAAGAGTATTACATGATTCTTCTTCAGTGGCTGCATAGTATTGGATGGTGTGTAATTACCTAATTTTTAAAATCCATCTTAAGATTTATGAGCACATGGTTTCATTCCATGTCTTTACTATTGTGACTAGTGCTGCAATAAACATACGAGTGCAGGTGTATTTTTGGTAGAATAATTTATTTGTATTGTATTGAGGTATATGCCCAGTACTGAAGCTGCTGGGTCAAATGGTAACTTTAGTTTTAGTCCTTTGAGAAATCCCCAAAATGCATTCTACAGGAGGTGAACTAACTTGCATTCCCACTAAGAGTATATCAGGGTTCTCTTTTCTACATAATTTTAACTTTTTTTTTTTTACTTTTTAATAATAGCCATTTAGACTGGGGTGAGATGGTATCACATTGTGGTTTGGATTTACATCTCTCTAATCATTAGAAATGTTGATCAATTTTTCATATGTTTGTTGGCTGCTTTTTTTGTCTTTCTTTTAAAAGTATATGTTCACATTTTTGTCAACATTTTTTCTTAAATTCCTTATAAAATGTATATATTAGTTATTTATTGTATGCAGTTTACACGTATTTTAGCCCATACTGTACGTTGTCTGTTTATTTTGTTAATAGTTTCTCTTGCTGTACAGGTCACAATTTTTAATTTTTATTTTTGTTGCTTTCACTTTTGAGGATGTAGTCATTAATTCTTTACAGAGACCAACGCCAAGGAGAGAATTTTCTAGGTGTTCTTCTAGGACTTTTATAGGTTGAACACTTACAGATAAGTCTTTAATGTATCTTGATTTAATTTTCTGTATCATGAGAAGTAGGTGTTGCGATTTCCTCTTCTGCATATGACTAACCAGTTTTTCCAGCACCTTTTTTTGGGTAGGGAGTTCTTTCCATTTGTTTTTGTTGATGCTGTCAAAAATCAATTAATTTTAAGAGTTCAGCTTCATTTCAGTGCTCTCTTCTGTTCCGTAAGGGTGTGTGTGTGTGTGTGTGTGTGTGTGTGTGTGTGTGTGTGTGTGTGTATCTGCATCCATATTATATTGGTTACCGTAGCTTGTGGTAAAGTTTGAAGTTTGGTAACATAATGTCACCAGGTTTATTCTTTTTGTTTAGTATAGCCTTGGCTATTTGAGCTTTTTTGTTTTCATATAAATTTTAGAATAGTTTTTTGACTAATTTTATTTAAAAATGGCATTGGTAGAGTGATAGAAATAGAAATAAACTGTTGATTGTTTTGGGCAGTATGAACTTTTTAATAATTCTAATCCATTAGCATGAAATACTATTCCACTTACTTGCACTGTGTCTGATTTCTTTCAGTAGTGGTTTGTAGTTCTTCTAGTAGAGATATTTAACCTCCTTTGTTTAATGGATCACTATTTTATTTTTTGTTTCTGGCTATTGTAAACTAGATTGTGTTCTTAATTTTGCTCTGTTTAAGTGTTACTGGTGTATAGAAATGTTCCTCATTTTTGAATGTTGTTTTGCTTTTTGTTGTTGTTGCCCTGAGATTTTGCAGAAGTCTTTTATTAGGCTTAAGAGTCTTTTGGAGGAGTCTTTGAAGTAGGTAGACAGTTATATCATCAGTAAAGACAGATAAGTTGACTTCCTCTTTTCTTATTTGAGTGTTTTTCTTTCTTTATCTTGCCTGATTGTTCTGGCTAAAACCTTCAGAACTATGTTGAATAGGAGTGGTGAAAGTGCACATTCTTTTCTTATTTCAATTTTTAGGAAAGATGCATTAATCTTTCACCTGTTCAGTATGATGTTGGCTGAGGATTTGTCTTATATGGCTGTTATTATTTTGAGGTATGTTCCTTCAATGCCTAGTTTTTTGAGAATTTTTTTCATAAATAGATATTACATTTTATTAATTGCTATTTCCACATCTATTGAGATAATGTGGTTTTGTTTTTTAATTATTTTTATATGTTGAATCGCATTTATAGATTGCACGTTAAAACATTCCTGCATTCACAGAATAATGTCCACATAGTTGCAGTGAAATAACTTTGATTTCCTGACTCAGTTTGCAAGCATTTCATGAATAATTTTTGGGTCTGTATTCATCAGGGACATTGGCCTGTAATTTTTTTTGTTGTGTCTTTACTAGGTTAATATATCAAGATGACAGTGATATTATATGATAGAATTAATTAGGATGGAGTCCCACTTTGATTTTTTGGAATAATTTCTGTAGAATTACAGCCAACTCATTTTTGTATATGTGATAAAATCATGCTATGAATGCATCTGGTTTAGTACTTTTTATAATTGGTAGATTTTTTTTATCACCAATTCAATTTACTTACACATTTTTGGTTTCTTGAAGACTTCTGTTTATTCCTGATTCAATCTTGGGAGGTTGTATGTTTCTAAGAGTTTATTCATTTCCTCTAGATTTTCTAGTTGGTGTGCACACAGATATTTATAGTAGTCTGCAAGCATCTTTTGTATTTTTGTGGGATTGGCTGTCACAACTGTAACATTCAAATAGATGCATAATGAAAGTGTAACAAAATTCAATATCTCCTCATAATAAATCTCTTGAACTAGTTATAAAATAAATGCAATTCAAGGTAATGTCATTAACAACAATGCACACCTAACAACATACTAAATAAGGAAAAACTGTAAGCCTTTTCTCTAAGAGCTAGAACAAGACAAGGATGTCCAATTTCTCCAATCTTTTTTTTTTTTTTTTTTTTTGAGATGGAGTCTTGCTCTGTTGCCTAGGCTGGAGTGCAGTGGTGCAATCTTGGCTCACTGCAAGCTCTGCCTCCCAGTTTCACACCATTCTTCTGCCTCAGCCTCCTGAGTAGCTGGGACTACAGGTGCGTGCCACCACGCCTGCCTAATTTTTGTATTTTTAGTAGAGACGGGGTTTCACCTTGTTAGCCAGAATGGTCTTGATCTCCTGACCTCGTGATCCCCCCACCTCCGCCTCCCACAGTGCTGGGATTACAGGTGTGAGCCGCCACGCCTGGCCCAATTTCTTCGATCTTACTGAACATAATACAAAATGACCAAGACAGAAAAAATATTCAATAAAATCAAAGCAATCTTAAATAAAATGAAGAAGATAAATTATAGTTTCCTTGCAGATGATATAATCTTAAGTATAGAAAAACCTAGGACCTCACAAAAAATTATTAGAATATACAAATTTATTAAACTTGCAGGATCCAAAATCAACATAAAAAAATTCCGTAATATTTCTATATACTAACAATAAAGTATCTGAAAATAAAACCAAAAAACAATCCTATCTACAATAATTGCAGCAGTAACTATACTTAGAAATGAATGTAACCAAAAAGGTGAACGATCGGTACATTATAATCTAAAAAAAAAAGAATTTAGAAAATAAATAATATTCAAACAAAAAGATATTTCTAATTCATAAATGGGCACGATTAATATTGTTAAATAACTGCATTACACAAACTGATATACAGATATAATAAAACTTCTATTAAAATCCAGTTAAATTCTCCATAGAAGTGTTTTTAAAAAATCTAAAATGTATATTGCCCCACAAAAGACCTTGAATAGCTAAGAAAATCAAGCAAAAAATGAAAAATAAAAGGCTGAAGGAATCACTCTGACTTTTAAATGTCCAACAAAGCTACAGTAATCAAAACAGAGTGTTACTTGCATAAAAATGGACACATAGGCCAATAGAGCAAAAGAGAAAGACCAGAAATAAATTCATGTATTTACAGACAACTGATTGTAAATAAAGATGACAATTTAAAAAAAAAGTCTTTTATAAACGATGTTGAGAAAATATATATCCACATGCAAAATAATAAAATCAGACCTTCATCTCACACCATATATAAAAATTAACTCAAATTAGATACTTAAATGTGAGACCTGAAAATCTAAAACTAAGATGAGGAAATATAGAATGAATGCCCCATAACATTGGTCTGGGCAGTGACTCTTGGGTTTAACCTCAAAATTTTAGGGGGAAATAGACAAACCAGATTTCTTAAAATTAAGAAGCTGCTGCACACCAACAGATACAATCAGCAGAATGACATAACTGAAAAATGGAAGAAAATATTTGCAAATTATACATGTGAAAAGCAGTTAATATCAAAAATACATAAGAAACTCAAAGGACTATAAAACAAAAAACAAATAACCATTAAAAATAAGCAAAAGATCTATATAAATAATTTTCAAAGAAAGACATACTTATAGCTTGGCAGATAGATGAATATGGCTCAGTCAATTATCATCAAGGAAAGGCAAACCAAAACAACTCTAAGATATAAACTCACTCCTGTTAGAATGTTTAAAAAAAATTGTTGGTAAACTTGAAAAAAGAGAAAGAGGAAAGCTTTCACACTGTTTGTGTCAATGTAAATAAAAACAGCCATTATGAAAAATAGAAATTTTGCAAAACAATTAAAATCTAACATGTAATTGAACTACTGGATATCTATCACAAAACAAATGAAACTAGATTGATGAACAGACATCTGCAATTCTGTTTGTTGCAGCACACTTTACAGAAGCCAAAATATAGAATCAACGTATGTGTCCATCGTCCAATGAGGAAATACACACACTATGGTGTATATATACAATGGAATACTATATTTTAAACAAAAAATCTTATTTTTAATCACAAAGATAAGCCTAAAGGACACTATAGTTGTTGAAATAAGGCACAGAAAGGTTAATATCTCATGATTTCACTCACATGTGGATTCTACAAAACATATATTGATTACATAATTACAGTTGGATAAGAAAAATAAGTTCAAGAGATTATAATGCATGTATTGTGTTTCTGAAAAAATGCTAAGACAGTAAATGTTGTCTTCGCACCAAAAAGTAACTATGTGAGGCAAAGCACTTGACAATTACCTAAAATTAGGCATTGACAATGTATATTTACTTCAAAATACTATTTTACAAAATAAATACATATTTTATCAGTGAATTTAAAAATATATTTATAAAAACTATTAAAAATGACAAAGGTTCAAATTCTGACTCTGTGTTTTTGTCATAAACCTGTCTGAATAGTATGAAAGATACATAGTTTTTGTGCTGTTTTTTCACCTAGTCAGTCATGACCATATGAACTCTAATATTTACCACCATGTTTTTGGGACCCAGCACAGAATATGGGAGAAGCCAACGTACCTTAGGCCTTTTACTTTGAGCTTGGGACACCTGGAGTTTCTGGTGCTGGTGGTAATGATAGGGAAGACACAAAAAGGGCAGGTGTTGCTGTGGTTCACATGATTAAACCACTCTGAAGAGAGTAAATAAGTTTGCATCCCAGATCACTGAAGAAATTTTTTAACTCAAAAGATGACATGATCCTTAAAATTTTTCCAGATAAAATGACCAAGGAGTTGACTAGTTAGGTGACAAAGAATGAAACCTCTAAATTGTAAACTGCACCCAATAAAAAAGTACATTATACAAGTGTGAGAAATTCCTCAAGATTTTAATGTTAATATGAAAAAGATTACTTCACATGTGAAATCCACAGGTGTCATTCTATTATTTTTGAATATTTAACATTCACACCAAAATAAAAGATTCTGAATGAAAACTTAAGTTGAGCTGTAAGTATGTAATAAAAAATTTAACATTCTCCACTTACCATTAACTCTTCTAAAAGTTTAATTTCTAAGACATATCTTCTAACTAATTTTATATTTTCCACACATTGTGTTAATTTTGTTTTTTTTTGAGATGAAGTCTCGCTCTGTCATCAGGCTGGAATGCAGTGGTGCGATCTCAGCTCACTGCAACCTCTGCCTCCTGGGTTCAAGCGATTCTCCTGCCTCAGCCTCCTGAATGGCTAGGTCAACAGGTGCATGCCACCATGCCCAGCTAATTTTTGTATTTTTAGTAGAGATGGGGTTTCACCATATTGGCCAGGAAGGTCTCAATCTCTTGACTTAGTGATTCTCCCACCTCAGCCTCCCAAAGTGCTGGGATTACAGGCGTGAGCCACCACACACAGACTGTGTTAAAATTTAATAAAAGTTTGGTTTTACAAAGACAAGAAATTCTGACTGATTTATTCCTCTCACCTGTGAACACCGGATGCCTTTTATCTCAATTAACGGATCTGAAAGTTACATTGACAAACTTCTCATCAGAACCTACAAAGTACTGTGTGAAATGACATGGCACAAAACAAACAGCAATAAAAATGTAGCCATAACACAAAGAAGAAAAAGAAGGGCTGTGATGCATACACAGTTGGGATAAACATAAGTAGACACAAAAACAAAACTAAAGATAATCAGAAAATAAGAAGAATGTCTCTTTAAATTCAGAAAGAGTCAGTTTTGCAGCATAAGAACAACGTCCTCTCCACATACAGAATCGATTTTATTTCTTCACCACGCATATTTCTTTATCTTTACTTGGAGCTACAAACTAACTCCAGCAGAAATATTTATGGCCAATAATGGTGCCTCTATTACAGCAAGCATTGTGTTTGCTACATTTACATATCAAAATATCTTTGTGACTTATGAAGCCTCCCCAGTATTTACTTAAACAAATTGGCTGAATGAATAAATTCACCTATGTCAATTATAAAGAGTAAAAGGAACAATAAGGAAACTTAGCTTACACAGGTTTCTCCAATTAAAATAACAAAATGGGATGTTCTAACTAAATGAAATATAAGTTGGTCAGATGCAGTGGCTCACGCCTGTAATCCCAGCACCTTGGGAGGATGAGGTGTGTGGACCACGAGGTCAGGAGTTCAAGGCCACTCTGGCCAGTATAGTGAAACACAGTCTCTACTAAAAATACAAAAACATTAGCTGGGCATGGTGGCACATGCCTGTAGTCCCAGCTACTTAGGAGGCTGAGGCTAGAGAATTGCTTGAACCCAGCAGGTGGAGGGTGTAGTGAGCTGAGATCCCACCATTGCACTCTAGCCTGGGTGACAGAGCAAGACACCATCTCAAAAAAAAAAAAAAGAAAAAAGAAAGCAACAAAAGAAATATAAGTTAATACACTCATTGTGAAATAACATTGAAAAATTATTTTGCATGCATTACTAAATTTTATAAAAATTCTTAGAATATCTGAGCAACTCACATAATGAATACTTAATAAATTATAAACACAAAAAATATGAAAAAAAAAATCAGTCTACCATGAGTACCAGGCAAATGAAAGAAAGAATTTGCATGGAAAGATTCGGAAACACAGTCCATAAGACTTCACAGTAATTAATTAAATAAAATGCAGAGAATACAGATATTATTCAAAATCACTGAGGTTTCTGGTTTTCTAGTAAATGATTTGTCCACTTTATTAAAGTGATATTTTGTTCCAATATTGCTTGTCTTCTGAAAATAGGTACTCTCACACACAATTACTTGCCCCACAATTTTCTTACACCTAATGTTTATCTTAAGAGTAATATATTTGTATATTTAGCATCATGTAAGTAAAAACTAACAGTCTGCATGAGTTTACAGGCAGAGAGTCCACTTGTTCAAAATATATATGACAAATTTTTAAAAATATTCATTCAGGACTTAGAAATGTGAGATTTATTATACTACTATGTAATTATTATCAAGACGATAAAAAACCTCTGTAGCAAGTAATAATTTACTTGTACATTTTTAGATAACTAAAAATGTTTAAATGGATTGTCTGTAATACAAAAAAAATGCATTAGGTAATGAATACCTCATTTACTCTGATGTGATTACAAATTGTATGCCTGTATGAAAATATTCTATATATGCCATAAATAGGTAAACAATATTATGTTCCTACAAAAATTTAAAAAGTTAAACAAATGTACATTTTACCCATTGAAACAATACTGTTAAACTTTTCAGTTTAATGCCACAGGCAAAAGAGATTGCTAGAGAGGTCATTCTACTATGTTACCATCTTTTATCTACATCTTTAATACAGTGGGATACGTTAAAGTTGGTGACATAACACTTTACTAAATGCACGTCTTAAAAAGTTTAAAACCATTTCGTTTAATTTAAAAGTTAAGTTATCACAGTCTTATAAAAGAATTTTAAAATTCCCTACATTTTATTACATAAAAGTACAATTGGTAAAACAATTTACTACTAAAACTCAAAGTTTTCCTCTCACTATAATGCAGAATATTACTCTAAACACATAACTCATGCATCACATGAACAATGTTAAAAGTCAGCCATAAAGAGCCTCTCCAATCAGATTTTCATTATCATCTTACATTTTAATATCCTTACTCTTCCATGGAAAAATTAATGAATGATGCCTACCTAATAAGAAAGGAATCTCTCAGATTTCTGATGCAACAGAAATTGATGACATGCTTTTACACAAACAACAGGAAAAAAGGAACAGCATGAAGCAATTTTACAGTTGAATTACCTACTTGCTTTTCAAAAAACTTACACTTTTTTCAAGGAAAAACGTATACCTTGAATGTAATTTTAACTCTCCAAAAAATAACCTTCCACTCCTCTTAAACTTATATACAAATAAATTATCCAACAGTTTTAGCTTTGGATTACTTTCTTTACAGAACATTCTGATTTAGTGTAACGTCTTAAGTGCCAGTGCCTTAGTTCTCCCTACCGTGAATTTTCTAAAGTTTACAAAGACTTAATTTTGACTAAATATTTTTACATATGTATTCCATCTGCAAAAATATTTTTTATTATAAACTGTGTGGTGTTTTGTAAGCTGTAGTTTCTGAACAAATGTTTTTCCACACTTATTACATTTGTACGGTTTCCTTCAACATAAATTCTCTGATGCCAAACAAGTTTGAGTAATTCCTTTAGAGTTTTCTTCTAGTGTAAAATCTGTACATTATATAGGGCAAGTAAAGGTATTACAACCCTCTTTATATTTGTAATGTTTGTCTCCAGAATACTCTTTTTTATTTTAAGGGTTTATATTTTCCAAGGTCTTTGAACAGTAATTACATTTATAATAATTTTATTAAGTATGAACTTCCTGATGTTGACTATGATGTGAGCAGATAGAAATGGCTTTTCCACACTCTGTATAATTTTTCAAGTATAAACGCTTTTATGTGCCATAAAGTATGAGCATGTTAGAAGTTTTGACACATTCTTTGTTTGTAGAGATTTTCTCCACTATCAATTATTTTACCTACAGTAAGATGTGACAACCATTTAAAGGGCTTGCCACATTGTTCAGTTTTCTGAGGTTTCTCACTGATATTTCTCCAAGGCTTAGGAAAGTTTGAGGTGTATTCATAAGCTTTGCCAAACTTCCTTAGGTTCATAGGCATAATCTTTAGTATGAATTATGGCTGGATATATTTGAGCAATACTTAAAAGATTTTGCCACAGTCTTCCAATTTGTATGATTTTTTTCCAGTATGAATTCTCATAAGTTTAGTAAGGCTTAAGGACTGGTTAAAGGCTTTCCCACATTCTTTACATTTGTGGGATTTCTCTTCAGTATGAACTCTCTTATGTTGAGTAAACTTGAGGAACAAGAAAAAGTTTTGCCACATTCTTGACATTTGTAGGGTATCTCTCCAATATGAACTCTCTTATGTTTAGTAAAGCTTAAAGACCAGTAAAAGGTTTTGCAACATTCTTCACATTTCTGGATTCCTCTCCAGTATGAATTCTCTTATGTATAGTAAGGCCTGAAGACTGCTTAAAAAGCTTTGCCGCATGCTTCACATTTGTAGGGTTTCTCTCCAGTATGATTTCTCTTATGTTCATTCGGTTTTGAGGAGTGTTTAAAGACTCTGATACATTCTTCACATTTACAGGGTTTCTCTTCAGTATGAATTCTCTGATGTATAGTAAGTTCAGAGGACCACTTAAAAGCTTTGCCACATTCTTCACATTTGTATGGTTTCTCTTCAGTATGAACTATCTTATGCTTAGTAAGGCTTGAGGAACAGTAAAAGCCTTTGCCACATTCTTCACATTTGTAAGATTCCTCTCCACTATGAGTTATCTTATGTTCATTCAGGTTTGAGGATTGTTTAAAGCCTTTGCCACATTCTTCACATTTGTAGGATTCCTCTCCACTATGAGTTATCTTACGTTCATTCAGGTTTGAGGATTGTTTAAAGACTGCCACATTCTTCATATCTGTAGGGTTTCTCTCCACTATGAATTATCTTATGTACATTAAGGTCTAAAGACTTCTTAAAAGCTTTGCCACATTCTTGACATTTGTAGTGTTTCTCTTCAGTATGAACTATGTTATGTTGAATAAGGTGTGAGGAACAGTAAAAGGCTTTGCCACATTTTTCACAATTGTAGGGTTTCTCTCCAGTATGAATTCTCTTATGTATAGTAAGGTTTGAAGACGCTTAAAAGCTTTGACGTATTCTTGACATTTGTAGTGCTTCTCTCCAGTATGAACTATCTTACGTTTAGTAAAGCTTAAGGACCAGTAAAAGGCTTTATCACATTCTTCACATTTGTAGGGTTTCTCTTCATTATGAATTCTCTTTTGTATAGTAAGGCCCAAAGACTGCTTACAAGCTTTGCCACATTCTTCACATTTGCAGGGTTTCTCTCCCGTATGAATTCTCTTGTGTATAGTAAGGTTTGAAGACCACTTAAAAGCTTTGCCACATTCTTGACATTTGTAGGGTTTCTCTCCCCTATCAATTATGTTTAGTAAAGCTTAACAACCAATAAAAGGCTTTACCACATTCTTCGAATTTGTAAGGGTTCTCTCCAGTATGAATTCTCTTATGTAGAGTAAGGCCTGAAGGTTGCTTAAAAGCTTTGCTACATTCTTCGCATTTGTAGGATTTCTCTCCAGTATGAGTTCTCATATGTTCATTCAGTTTTGAGGATTGTTTAAAGGCTTTGCCACATTCTTCACATTTCTAGGGTTTCTCTCCACTATGAATTCTCTGATGTATAGTAAGGTCTGAAAACCACTTAAAAATTTTGCCACAATCTTTATATTTGTAGGGTTTGTCTCCAGTATGAACTATGTTATGTTGAGTAAGGCCTGAGGAACAGTAAAAAGCTTTGCCACATTCTTCATATTTATAGGGTTTCTCTCAAGTATGAATTCTTTTATGTTCTTTCAGTTTTGAGGATATTCTAAAGGCTTTGCCACATTCATCACATTTGTAGGGTTTCTCTCCCATATGAATAATCTTACGCATAGTCAGGTTTGAAGACTACTTCAAAGCTTTGCCACAGTCTTCACATTTGTAGGGTTTGTCTTCAGTATGAACTATGTTATGTTGAGTAACGGTTGAGGAATAGGAAAAGGCTTTGCCACATTCTTCACATTTGTAGGTTGTATCTCCAGTATAAATTTTCTTATGTTTATTCAGTTTTGAAGATTGTTTAAAGGCTTTGTCACATTCTTCACACTTGTAGGGTCTCTCTTTAGTATGAATTCTCTCATGTATAGTAAGACCTGAAGACTGCTTAAAATCTTTGCCACATTCTTCATGTTGGTAGGGTTTCTCTTCAGTATGAATTATCTCATGTTGTCTTAGGTGTGAGAACCTGTGAAAGAATTGGCCACATTCTTTACATTTGAAAGGTTTCTCTCCAGTATGTCTTCTCCTAAGTCTATTTGAATTTGAAAATTTCCTAAAGACTTTCACACATGTATTACATTGAAGTATTTTGCTCTGAGTAACCGACAAACATTGGTTAAGTCCATTATAACCTCCTTCCTGCAACTTAGATGCATTCAAACTTTTACAGCCTTTTCTTATTTGTAAATTCTCATGTCTAGATTTCTCATATCTTCTCAGTATCACTTTTTGAAATGAATTTTTTATGTTCTGATCTAGCCAAAGGTCTTGGGTGAAATGAGAACACAGCTGAAAGAAATAAAAATAAATTATCTCAGTAGGCCCATGTGAATATACAAATCTATTGTTTACAAATCTAATACATAAAATTATACAAAGTACATTAGCAACATGGCATAACAAAAATACCACAGGTCCTAATTCTTTTATAGAGTTATAACAAAACTCTACTGACCAAAATGTCCTTATGGAAAATCTAGAAATGAGTTAAGTGTGTTCAGTGTACCAGGTGAGCAAAATGCCACAAGCCATACTGAATGGATAGAAAAGTTTGTTACATTTGCCCAACACCTTTCCTCCTCCATAATGCAGCATGGCACTTTTAGAAGTAAACTGCAATGTCTGGCATCTTCCTCAATATAGAAAAAAAAAAAAACTGGCTCATGTATTTTTACTTCTGGCTTCTGGACACTTTTACAGAGACTTGTTTCTGTCTCCAATGACAAAATGTGCTGAAAGAAATTATGGTATACTTTGAAATAACAGCTTGAGTCTGCTGAGACCAAAGGTAAATGTTACAGCAACCAACTACAGTACCACAGACATGAAATATGTATAGGAAGTAATTACAGACTGTTTAAGAAACACAGGCAAACCCCTTTAACTGAGTAATCAACACAAAATTCCACACATGACAAATCATAACATATTTGATAGGCTCCCAGAATCTCTAGTTGAGACACTTGGTTTCAGACTATGTTAGGACAACACCGCATTATAAAGATTGTGACACATAGCTGTTTGTTAATGTCCAAATCTCAACCAAAGAGTACAATACATACAAAATATTACAGTGACATGGCCTAAGTAAAAAAAAAAACTTAAAACTGTCAGAAAACAACCATGAAAATAAAGATGTACACATTAGTTTTAAAAATTTAACCTAAATGGGAACACAGGTAACTAAATAAAATCAGAAAAAAACAGACTATCAAGGAAAAGATGAAAAATATAATAGAAATTATGGAAGTAGAAAATACAGATAGAAATAATGACTGAGGCCAGGTGTGGTGGCTCATGTCTGTAGTCCCAGCACTTTGGGAGTTTGAGGCAGGCAGATCACTTGAACCTAGGGAGTTCAAGTTTAAACAGGGAAACATGGCAATACTTCTCCTCTATAAAAATTAAAATTAGTCAGGTGTATTGGCACACACCTGTGGTACCAGTAAACAGGAGGCTGAGGTAGGAGGATCACGTAAGCCTAGGGAATCCAAGGCTGCAGTAAGCTGCAATCATGCCACTGTACTCAAACCTGGGTGACAGAGCAAGACACTGTCTCAAAAAGTTAAGAATACCTGAGAAATTCTCAAAAGTAAGAAAATAAGGTTGTAAAAATGAAGAAGCTCAACATACTAAAACTAGGAAACACACAGATCCATAACAAGACATGCAAAGCAAAGTTCCCAAAATCACAGACAAAAAGAGAATCTCGAATGCTGGAAAATACATAATTATGGTTCTATGATATAACCAGTGACTCTTTCAACAAAAACCTTGCAGGCTAGAAGGAAATTATGTGCTATAGTCAAAGCCAAGTGAAAAATAGCTTCTGTGTAAGAATAATATAACCAGAAAAACTGTGCTACAAAATGAAGAAAAAGTAAAGACCTCTGAAGATAACCAAATGTGGAAAAATTATATCAACACTACATACGCCCTACAAAAAATGCTGAGAAGAGTCCTACTACTAAAATTATATGATGCTAAAAAACAAAACTATCATATAAAAATAGATAGCTTTCTGGGAAAAATATAAAGATATGCAAATATTATACAAAAAAATCCTGTAGCATTATCATAATACCAAAAAATGTTTTATTTAATTATTCTCTAAAATTTAAAGATAAAAGCTAAAAATAATAATGAACATCTGGTATAAATATATAACATAAATAGATATGTTTAGTGACATCAATAACTAAGTTGAGGACAGATGTAATAAGAAATAATTTGTGCATGAACCCGAATTTAAATTTCACCACTTCAAAATATATTGTTGAAATTTTAAGAGATTTTTATATAATCCTGAAGGCACCCACAAAGAAAATGTCTGTATAGATACAAAAAAGGAAGTAAGAAAGAAGTGACAGCCTATCCATACAAAAATCAAAAAGACACAAAGGAAGATAGAATGAGAAACAGACATGCAAGAATCATTAAACAATAAAATAACAATAATCTTTGTCTTCAGAAAATAAATATTTTAAAAACAGACTTTCCAATCAATACACATATATTGAATAGAGGGATTATATAAAATTTTATGTACCAAGATCCAACTTGCCTTTCTTCAAGAGTCACTTGAGATCTAGTAGTGAAATCGGCCTGAAAGTGGCAAGTGGAAGAAGACATTTCAGGCAAACATTAACCAAATGTGAGGAGAAGACATCAAAATTGTATTATACAAAATACATCGTAAGTAAACAACTCTCTTATTTTATAAAATATACTTTATGTCAAAATTCACAAGAGAAAAAAGGTCATTAAACAATAATAAAGACATCATTTATTGAAAACGTATGACAAATATGTGCATACATATATTTATATGTTTGTGTGTGTATGTGTATTTCTCACATTAGGTTTCCAAAAATACAAATCAAAAATTGACAGAATTAAAGCAACAAATAGAGAGAAATATAATTATAATAAGATATTTTAATACTTCAATTTCTGCAATGAACAATAAAACAAAACAATATTAATAATAGAAAAGAGGGCCAGGTACGGTGGCTCATGCCTGTAATCCCAGCACTTTGGGAGGCCGAGGCAGGCCATCATGGGGTCAGGAGATCAAGACCATCCTGGCTAACACAATGAAACCCAGTCTCTACTAAAAATACAAAAAATTAGCAGGGCGTGGTGGTAGGTGCCTGTAATCTCAGGTACTCAGGAGGCTGAGGCAGGAGAATGGCATGAACCCAGGAGGCGGAGCTTGCAGTGAGACGAGATCGCACCACTGCACTCCAGCCTGGGCGAGAGCGAGACTCTGTCCCCAAAAAAAAAAAAAAAAAAAAAAAAGGAAAAGAGAAACTGAAAGCAGTACAGATGGGGACAAGTGGCTCATGCTTGTAATTCTAACACTTTGGGAGGCCAGGGAGGACAGATCACCTGAGGTAAGGAGTTTAAGACCAGCCTGGCCAACATGGCGAAACCCCATCCCTACTAAAACCCCATCTCTACTAAAAATAGCCATGTACAGTAGCAGGCGCCTGTAATTCCAGCTACTCAGGAGGCTAAGGCAGGAGAATTGCTTGAACCAGGGAGGCGGGGTTTGCAATGAGTCGAGATTGCGGCACTGCAGTCCAGCCTCGGTGACAGACCAAGACTCTATCTCAAAAAGAAAAAAAATACCAAGAAAGCAGTATAAAACAATATTATGCCTAACAAAGAACACCCCTTAATAATAGCAGGGTACAACCATTCTCAATAGCTCACATACATTCTCTTTGAAAAACTGCCTGTTAGTCCATTATAAAAAAAAAACTTACTAAATCTTTAAAAATTGAAATTGATAGATTACTTTTTATGACCAAAATGGAATGAGAGTAGAAATCAACAAAAACAAAACTAAAAAATTTATAAATACATGAAAATTAAACAACACACTCTTCAGCATGCTCAAAGGGTAAAATAATTAATATTCAGCATGATCAAAGGGTAAAATAATTAATATTGTGAAGATGCCCATACTGCTCAGTGTAATCTACAGATTTAATGCAATCCCTTTCAAATATCTAATTTTATTTTAGCAGAAATAGAAAAAGCAACCCCAAAATTACATGAAATTTTAAGAAACAATGAAACACCCAATAATCTTCAAAGAGAGGAACAACGTTGGAGGCATCACAACTCCCTGATTTCAAAACACATTATACAGACTTAAAACAATTTGGTTTGGTTATAAAAAGTGAACTAGACCAAATAAACAGAATGTAGTATAAACTCTCACACATATACTCATAGGAAGAGTTATTTGCACATCCATAATTTTTTTTTTTTAGATGGAATCTCACTCTGTTGCCCAGGCTGGAGTGCAGTGGCACAATCTAGGCTCACTGCAACCTCCACCTCCCAGGTTCATGCCATTCTCCTGCCTCAGCCTC
Organism: Homo sapiens; assembly: GCF_000001405.40. Taxonomy (NCBI): domain Eukaryota; kingdom Metazoa; phylum Chordata; class Mammalia; order Primates; family Hominidae; genus Homo; species Homo sapiens. The sequence continues at coordinate 42,342,338 of NC_000010.11, forward strand.
CCAAGAAGCTGCGACTGTAGGCGCCCACCACCACGCCCGGCTAATTTTTTTGTATTTTTAGTGGAGACGGGGTTTCACTGTGTTAGCCAGGATGGTCTCGATCTCCTGACTTCATGATCCGCCCACCTTGGCCTCCCAAAGTGCTGGTATTACAGGCGTGAGCCACCGCACCCGGCTGCACATCCATAATTTTTACAGCATTGTTATTGACAGGCAATAGGTGAAAGCAATGCAAATTTTTCTCCCCAGATTACTGGATAAATATAATTTGAAACATAAAAATAATGGAATATTACTCAGTGTTTAAAAACAGGAAATACAGGCCGGGCACACTGCCTCACACCTGTAATCCCAGCAGTTTGGGAGGCCAAGGTGGGTTAATCAACTGAATTTGGGAGTTTGAGACCAGCCTGAACAACATAGAAAAACCCTGCCTCTACTAAAATACAAAAATTAGCCAGGCATGGTGGTGCATGTCTGTAACCCCAGCCTCCTCTCAGGAGGCTGAGGAAGGAGAATGGCTTGGAATTTGGGAGGCGGAGATTGCGGTGAGCTGAGATCACTGCACTGCACTCCAGCCTGGGCAACAAGGGCGAAACTCCATCTAAAAAAAGAAAGGAAATATTCTAACAACCATAATAAACTTTCATTAAATTATGCAAAATAGCATATGTCAGCCACAAAAAAATGCTGTATGAATCCACTTACATGAGATATTTAAAGCAGTTAGACTCAAAAACAGGAAAATAGAATTGTTTGTAAAGGGCCAGAAAATGGGAGAAATGAGTAGTTGTTTAATGTGTATTCAGTTTTAGTTTTGCAAGACAAAAACATTCTAGAGATATGTTGTATAATAATGTCAATATAATTAATATAAACTACATATTTTTAAATTAAGATTCTAAATTTTATGTTCTTGATAATTAAAAATAAACAGTAATAATACCTAAAAATGGGACAAAATTGACAGTTTTTAAAATTACCTTCAAATCAAAAAAGTATTTCTCCCACACAAAAATAGATTCCCAAATAGATATTAGAAGTAGGAGAATTTTTATGACTACTCAGATAAAACGACCATTGATCACTCACAAACATACAAGTCATAAGCAATATAGAAATAATATGCGTATACACAAACACAGAAATTATTATATTGGGAATAGACATATGACTGATTCATATTTAACTTTGGCTCCACGCTGTCTTAAAGTGCACAGAGTTGAATATTGACATTCACAATTACCATACAAAGTAAAAACTAAAAACACAATTAACTGATGTGAGGTGGCATACTCTAAAATATGAAACAAAAAAAAATAAAATTGGCTGGGCATGGTAGCTCATGCCTGTAATCCCAGCACTTTGGGAGACTGAGGCGGGTGGATCACGAGGTCAGGAGATCGAGACCATCCTGCCTAACAGGGTGAAACCCCGTCTCTACTAAAAAATACAAAAAAATTGGCTGGGCGTAGTGGTGGGCGCCTGTAGTCCCAGCTACTCGGGAGGCTGAGGCAGGAGAATGGCGTGAACCTGGGAGGTGGAGCTTGCAGTGAGCCGAGATCACACCACTGCACTCCAGCCTGGGTGACAGAGCAAGTCTCCATCTCAAAAAATAAAATAAAATAAAATAAAATAAAGTAAAATGAAATAAAATAAAACTGCAAAACAAAATGAAAACATGGAATGTTAAACATACTGAACACCATTAAGTAGATTACTACATTTGGAAAAGAAATCTTAGAAGACAAATGTAGGGAAAAAGTATTAGAGGGGTTATATGAAGATAAAAGAGGATGAAAACTTTCCAAATTTTTATGTGATAAAAGAAAAACTAATACCAATCAATACTGTTTGCTTTGAAATTATTTGGAATTACTCTGGAATTAAAAATAAGGAAACAATAAAGAACTTACAAAATAAACAAAAGGTGAAGGTATTTATCACCACTAGCATGGTCCCACAAGAAATGCTACATGGTAGCCAGGCACCAGTGGCTCATGTCTGTAATCCCAGAGTCTTGGGAGGCCAAGGCAGGCAGATTAGTTGAGGCTAAGAGTTCAAGATGAGCCTGAGGAACATAGTGAGATGCTGTTTATTTTTTTTAATGCCAAAAAGAGTCCATATGTTGAAAAATATAATGATGCTGAACAGCCTTAAAAAACTACATGAAACTATAAAGCTTTCTGTTAAATGTAAATATATAAACACATATACAATTGTTTACCACCATAATCATGAAGCAAAATCTCTTAAAATTCTGCTATAAAATTTGAACAAAAAATCTGCATAAATCTGTTAATAGATACACAATATAAAATAATATTTGTAATAATAAAAAACTACAGGATGTAAGCCCGGGCGCAATGGCTCATGACTGTAATCCCAGCACTTTGAGAGGCCGAGATGGGTGGATCACAAAGTCAGGAGTTCAAGACCAGCTTGGCTAAGATGGTGAAACCCCGTCTCTACTAAAAATATAAAAACTTAGCCAGTCATGGTGGTGGGTGCCTGTAATCTCAGCTACTCGGGAGGCTGAGGAGCATTGCTTGAACCTGGGAGGTGGAGGTTGCAGTGAGCCAAGATCACACCACTGCACTCCAGCCTGGGTGACAGAGCAAGACTCCATCTCAAAAACAAAACAAAACAAACAAAAAAAAAACCACTACAGGATGTAAAGAGGTATAGTTTTTGTATTCAACTGAAGTTATGACATATTAATATTGTTATAACTTTAAAATGTTTTACATAATCTCCAATTACCAAGATAATTACAAGTTTATAGAAAGTATGCAATACAAAATGAGAAAGGAAACAAAGCATAACACTACAAAATCAAAAAAACAAAAATTAAGACAGTAAAATAGGAAATGATGGAAAACATCTCTACAAGAAACACAGAAAATAACAACAATCAAAATGGTAATAGTAACTTCATTTCTCTAAGGAATCATTTTAAATATAAATTGATTAAACTAATAATAAGAAATTAAATGGCTGAATGGAATAAGAACAAACAAAATCATACAATATGCAACAAATTACACAATATTCTTGTTTGAACTTGGTGTACTCTGTTAGGACACATAATAAGCCTTATTAAGTTTAAGAAGACTAATCAGGTGTGGTGGCTCATGCCTGCAGCCCCAGCACTTTGGGAGGCCAGGACTGGAAGATTGCTTGAGACCAGGATTTCAGGAGAGTCACTTTAACTTTGAGTCAAACAGGTTGAAAGAAACAGAATGAAAAAACATATTCCATGCAAACAGTATCCACAGTTAAGTGAGGTGGTCATAATTATATTAGACAAAATACACTGTAAATCAAAAACTAGCATGAGGTAATAAAGATTGTTACTATATAATGATAACATTGGTCATTTACCAGGAATCTATAACTATTATATCTATTTAAAAGATCAGGGTTCCAAAATATATAAAGCTAATATTGACAGAAGTGAAGCAAAAAATACATAGCAACATAATAATTACAGACATTAAGACCCCACTTTAATAATGAGTGAAAGTTTAGATAAAACATCAATAAGAGAACAAAACCTGGATGACATTATAAATTGTATTAATTCATTTTGTATTGCAATAAATACCTAAGACTGTGTAATTTATAAAGAAAAAAGATTTATTTTCTTCATAGTTATGCACAATGTACAATAAGTATGGTGTCAGCATCTGCATCTGGTGAGGGTCTAAGTAAGCTTACAATCATGGTAAAGGCAAAGAGAAACCAGACATATTGCATGGGGAGAGAGGGAGCAAGCATGAAAAGAAAGTGCCAGGTTCTTTAAACACGCAGCTCTCACATGAATTAATAGAGTGAGAACTCATTGATCACCAAGGGGATGGTGTGAAGTCATTTACAAGAGATTTGCCCCCATGACCCAAACACATCACGCAAAGATCCATATGCTACATTGGGAATCCCATTTCAACACGAGATTTGAAGGGTACAAACATCCAAATCATATCATAGACCAACTACACATTAAAAATATGTACAGGACCCTCCAGTAAAAAGGAACAGATTACACAATATTCTTTACACAATATTCTTGTTTGAACTTGGTGCATTCTGTTAGGACACATAACAAATCTTATTAAGTTTAAGAAGACTGGCCAGGTGTGGTGGCTCATGCCTGTAGCCCCCAGCACTTTGGGAGGCCAAGGCGGGAAGACCGCTTGAGACCAGGATTTCAAAACCAGCCTGGGCAATATAGTGAGAACCCACATTTCTACAAAAAATCAAAAAACTAGCCAGGCGTGACAGTACACGTATGTAGTCTCAACTACTTGGGATGCTGAGGTGGGAGGATTATTTGAGCCTTGGAGGTTGAGGCTGCAGTGAGCCAAGATTGTACCACTGCGCTCCAGCCTGAGTGGCACAGTGAGAATCTGTCTCTCAACAACAATACGAATAAATAAATAAATTTAAGATGACCAAAATTATACAGTTATGTTTTCTGACTAAAATAAAATGAAACTAGACATCAAAATCAAGAGATAAACTGGCAAATTCAAAAATATATGGAAATAAAACACACTCTGTAATATATTCTTGCTCAAGGTCCAGATAATTTAATCAAATGTGAAAACAACTCACGGTGGTGAAGAAATTCCAATGGTACATTGTTGACCAGAAATATTGTTTAAAAATTTTTAAATTGATTATGAGCTAAAACTAGCCAAACACCCATGAGAAAGAACAAAGAGGCATTATATTTCCTGATTTCAAAATATATTAAAAAGCTACAATAAACAAAAGCAATGTGGTACTAACAGAGACAAACAGATGATGGAACAAAATAGCTCAGAAATGAACCCTTCTTTATATAATCAAATAATCTTCCACAAAGTTGCCATGACTACACAATAGAGAAAAGAAAATCTCTTCAACAAATGATGTTGAAAACTGAGTATCTACACTCAAAAAAATAAAGTTGGATTATTTTCTTGCACATTTTAAATAAAATAATGAAACTAAAAAACATATAACTAATACAACTCTTAGAAGAAAAAAATAGGGAAAATACAGAACACTGGTTTTGGCACCTTTTTGTAGATATGACATCATACTTATGAAAAACATAAAAACCCCCATAATTTAACTACACTAAACTTCAAATTTTCTGCATACCAAAGAAAATATTTAGCAGAATGACAATGCCACCGAAGAAATGGGTGAAAATATTCGCAAATTACATGTGATGAGTTAATATTCAGAATTATAAACAACTAAAACTAAACAACAAACATTGAATAAATTGATTTAGAAATGGACAAAGAATTGAATGGATGTTTAATCAAAAATATATATATAAGTAGAAAAAAGCACTTAAAATAATGCAAAAAAAGTACCAATTGTAGAGAAATACAAAACAAAATTTCAATCCAAAACAAAACCACCTCATACCCATTAGAATGGCCATGATAAATTTTTAAAATGCCAAATCTGTTGAGGATGTAAAGAAATTAAAACTCATGTGAATTGTTGGTGGGGAAAAAAGGATGCAATCATCATATTATGAATGTTTCTTAAAAATTAAATTACATAATTCAGGAATTCCACTTATAAACCTATATTGAAACATAAATCATATTATTTGACTGGAATATAAAATATATTTTTATATATTAATATATTTATAAATGGAATCCAAGAATTCCACTTATAAATCTATATTCAAACATAAATATAAACGTATATTCCAAATATAAATCTATATTCAAAGAACCTGGAAGATATATTTGAATATATATTTGAAATATTGGTATAATATATTATACCAATATTTATATATTTAATATATATAACATTTACATATTAAATATATAAATACTGGTAAAATATATTTATTATACCAATATATTATATATAAATATATACATATATATTTATAGATGTACTATATATATATAAAGATATTATACCAATATTTACAAAAGCCAAAAGGCAGAAGTAACCCAGATATCCCATGACTGATAAACAAATTAAAAATGTAACATATACACATACAGTGGAATATTATTCAGCCTTAAAATAGTAAATCTTGTCACATTCTTACATAAACGTTGATAATATTATGTCAACTGAAATAAGATAGTAACAAACTGACAGATACTATATGATTCCATGATGTGAGTCATCGTAAGTGGTCAAATAAAAACAGAAAGGAGAATGGTGTTACTCAAGGTCTAAAGAGAGGGTAAAATGGGCAGTTGTTACTTAATGGGTATTAAGTTTTAATTTTAGAAGACGTAAAAATTCTAGAGGTCTTTATATAACAATGTAAATACTTTTAATGACTAAAATGTACACCTTTTTTAAGGCAGGTTCTACTCTGTCCCGCAGGCTGGAATGAAGTCACATAATCATAGCTCACTGCAGCCTCAACCTCCCATGCACAAGTGATTCTCCTGCCACGGCCTCACAAGGAGCTAGGACCACAGGTGGACAAACCTGGCTAATTTTAAAATTTTTGTAGGGATGGGCTCTCTATATGCTGACCAGGCTGGTCTCAAGTTCCTGGGCTTAAGCAATACTTCTGCCTCACTTTCCCAAAATGCTGGCATTATAGGCATCAGCCTCCACCACACTCAGTACTGAAATATAGACTTAAAAAGCTTTAAGATGGTAAATTTTATGTTATGTGTTTTCACAATTTTTTTTGAAAACAAATAAAAGTGATATACGTCTTTCTATGAATCACAAAATATATAAATATATAAATATAAATCACCTCCAAATCACAAAAGTGTTTCTCTCACACAAAGGAAATATATATATCATTAAACACCTGGTGAATATACCACTATTTCTATGACTACTCACCTTCACATAATAAGACAACTATTGAAAATCAGCCAAGAAGGCTGGGCATGGTGGCTCACTCCTGTAATTCCAGAACTTTGGGAGGTCAAGGCAGGCAGATCACCTAAGGTCAGAAGTTAGAGATCAGCCTGGCCAATATGGTGAAACCCAGTCTCTACTAAAAATACAAAAAAATTAGCCAGGCATGGTGGCAGGCACCTATAGTCCCAGCTACTTGGGAGGCCGAGGCAGGAGAATTGCTTGAACCAGGGAGGCGGAGGTTGCAATGAGCAAAGATTGTGCCACTGCACTCCAGCTGGGCCTCTACTGTGGCCTGCAGACCTTGGCCTCTACTGTGGCCCCTGAAGGAGTTCAGTGACTCAGTTTCAGCTGTCTTTGCCACAGTTCACAGCAATTCCTGCCAACACAGGAACCCACACAGTGATGTGGAAAAAAACTTCCAAATACTCAGTGGTGGCCACACTTACCACATCCCGATATAAGTTCCACCATATGCAGACCCAACTGCAGAAATCTGTCCTAGTTTCTGCCCTATAAATAAAAGTCCTGAAGGAAATCCAGCCTGCCCAGACATTAGATGGGAATCACAACAACCAAAGCCCCTGGTAAAAAGCCACTTGAAGGTGGAGTCCACTGCATACCCAGCAGCCTTGTGACACAGTTACAAACTCTTCCCTATTACAAGCTCATAGGGCATCCCATTACCCTGGGGACCCAACAAAAGAAGATCTGTACCTCCTGAAACCAGTTTATAAAAAATTAAAGAGCTGTTTGCTTCTTCAAATTTATAGACACCAGGGTAAGGCTACATGGTTCCATTGCCAATGTTTCTATTTTAACATAGCAGTGAAAGTACTTTGCAGAAGAATTAGTCAAGAAAATGACCGTAAAAATGACATTCAAATTGAGGAAAAAAAAATTAAAATGTTGCTGTTTGTAGGTGACATGATCTTATATATAGAAAACCATAAACAGTATATCAAAAACTAACAAATGCCCTCAGAAAATTAGCAATATATAACATTAACATATAATTATCAGTTATGATTCCATATGCTAACAACAAACCATCTGATAAAAAAGGAAGAAAACAATCTCATTTCCAATAGAATTAAAATAATAAATTTCTGAAAAATAAATTTAACAAAGAAGGCAAAAGATCTTTACACTGAAACATATATTGATGAAAGAAATTGAAGAAGTCACAAATAAATGCAAAAAGATTTCATGTTTATGAACTGCAAGAATAAATATTATAAAGTGCCATATGATTCAAAGTGATCTACGGTTTCAATGAACTCCCTATTAAAAATCCAGTGACATTTTTCATGGTAATGGAAATTACAATTCTAAAATTTACATGAAACTACAATAGGCTTTGAAAAACCAAAGCAATCTAGAGGAAAAAGGACAAAGCAACCAAACTTCATACTTTATGATTTCAAACTATATTTTAAGATTGTAGTAAAAAAAAACAAGAGGATACATGCAAAATATGGACACAAGAAACCAATGGAACAGAACAGAGCCCAGAAATAAACCCGGGCATATAAATTGTACTAATCTTTGACAAGTGCATCAAAAATACACAATGAACAAAGTATAGTCTTTTTAATATTTGGTTCTGAAAAAACTGGATACCACCAGGCAAAAGAATAAAATTAGCTTATTTTTCTTACACCATGCTAAAAGTTAAATTACAGAGTTAAATATGAATCCTTAAAAAACCTGAAAAACAAATACATGGAAAACCCACATGATATGGTCTTAACAATAATTTATTAGACATAATACCAAAAGTACAGCAACAAAAGCAAACATAAACAAGCTGGACTGCATCAAACTAAAAACCTTCTGCACAGAAAAGGGAACAATAAAATTAAAAAATTTGTAGAATGGGAAAAAATATTTGCAAACCATACATCTGATGAAAGATTGATATACAAAATATATAAGAAATACAAGCAGATTAAAAGCAAAAACAACAGTAACCCAGTTCAAAATAGGCACAAAACTAAACTGATATTTGTCCAATGAAGACATACAAATGGCCAACAGATAAACCATAAAGTACTCAATATCACCAAATATCAGGCAATTGCAAATCAAAACCATGATGAGTATCATTTCAAACATGTCAGAATGGATAATGTAAAAAGAAGAAACATAACAAGTGTTGACAACACTTTGAAGAAAAAAAATTCTGTACATTCTTGGAGAGTTAAAAATTGATGGAGTCATTACAAAAACCAAGAGGTTATTTGAAATACAGAACTACTACACAATCTAGCAATCCCACTTCTGTGTATATAACAAAAGGAAATGAAATAAGTAACTTGAAGACATATCTGTACCACCATATTTGTTGCAGCATTATTCACATTTGCCAAGATGTAAAAAACCTAAATGTTTGTGGATGCTGAATAAAGAAAAGCTGGTATAAATAAACAATAGAATATTATTTAGCCTGAAAAATAACAAAATCTTGCCATTGCAACAACATGGGTAGAACTGGAAGACATTATGCCAAGGGAAATAAGCCAGACACAGAAAGAGAAATACTGCTCATTCTCACTTATATGGGGAATCTAAGAAAGCTGAACTCACAGAAGCAGAGACTACAATGGTAGTTGTCAGGGACTAGATATGGGAGAAAATGAAAAGATGTTGAAAAGACACAAATTTTCTGTTATGAGTAAGTTTTTCGAATGTAATGTATAGCTTCATGATACAGTTAACACTAATTTTTTGTAAGCTTAAAATTTGGTGTCAGCAGATTTTAGATGTTTTCATTACAAAAAAGGTACCTATGTGAGGACAGGTGATAGAAATGGTCATAAACATAATTGTGCTAATCATTTTACAATCTACACATGCAGTAAGTCACTACATTGTACACAATAAATATATAATTATACAATTTTTACTTGTAAAAAAATCCACAATACACACCTACATATATATACACACATATAAATTACAGTTCTGGTAAACTTTATCCTAAACAAGATAAAATTACAAAATAGTAATTAAAAAAACAAGGAAAGAAGTGGGAGCTTAACATATGCTCAGTAATGTTCTAAGTTCCCTGACATAGTGAATTGAAGAAATGTAGGAAATATATACATTATATTACAGTTGAGAAATTAAGACAGAGTTGAAATTACCAACCTCAGTTAGTACTAAAACAATAAAAATTTCAATTCAAATAACATTAGATATTCTTAAAGATACTTAATATTCTGATTAAATTACCGAGTATGAATTTCTGTAGAAACACATTTGAAACCTCCATAAAATAAGAAACTATAAAGCAGAAAACATACAACATATGTTTGTTGTATTTCTGGGATTTCTGAACCAAATCTCAATATCACTACTTTTACATATTTCAGACACAATGCAGAAAGAGAACTTAAAAATGGTTAAACACAGAGTTTCTAAAAAATATGCAGCTATATGTATATCCCCAAAAGCAATAAAAGTAGTCAGATTGTGCACTCCTTTATAAGCCATAAAGAGAACTTTGGCTCTCACTGCAAATCTGAAGAAAAATTATTGAAGAAAAAGTAGAGTCGTTAGAGAGCATGGGACAGAAGATGCCCCTATGTGAGAACAAGTGAAAAAACCCAGGCTTCTCAGAAACGATTTCCACTGAAGCACAGCTTCCCAAATCACATGTAAAAGTCTGGGTTCCTCCTTGGCCTTTGGATCTCTCATCTATGTCATCCTCTTCTTCATTCGCTTTCACCTACCTGGATGCTTCATACTCCATGGCTTTTTCCTTTGCTCCAGACAGGTGACCAGGTCTGGCTTAGAGAAGACAATACGTGTTTTATTTTAAAAAGCAGCAAGAGCATGACTTTTCCTGGGATTCGCCATTTACCAACCTAATACTGTGCTAAGTAGAGAAAAGAGGACATAATAGAAGATTCTAGAAAATTAATTCCAAAATAATTTTTACTGACAGAACCTTTAGCATATTCAGAAAGTACATTAAATATGTGGGTCCTCAGTTTCACTCCCCAGTATTACTGAATCAAAAATTGGTGGTGGCAATTGAATTTTAAGGTCTGGACAACATTATTTTATGCCACTAAATTTCTGAAATTACCACTTATCTAGAGTGAATAATATAGATAAGCTCAGGAAAGGGGAAAATTCAGGTCAAAATGAAACATCTTGAAGAATTTATTTTCCACACCAAAAAATCCTCAAGATTGTCTTGAAAGTGAACTCCCATTCACAATTGCTTCAAAGAGAATAAAATACCTAGGAATCCAACTTACAAGGGATGTGAAGGACCTCTTCAAGGAGAACTACAAACCACTGCTCAATGAAATAAAAGAGGATACAAACAAATGGAAGAACATTCCATGCTCATGGGTAGGAAGAATCAGTATCGTGAAAATGGTCATACTGCCCAAGGTAATTTATAGATTCAATGCCATCTCCATCAAGCTACCAAAGACTTTCTTCACAGAATTGGAAAAAAACTACTTTAAAGTTCATATGGAACCAAAAAACAGCCTGCATCACCAAGTCAATCATAAGCCAAAAGAACAAAGCTGGAGGCATCACGCTACCTGACTTCAAATTACACTACAAGGCTACAGTAACCAAAACAGCATGGTATTGGTACCAAAACAGAGATATAGATCAATGGAACGGAACAGAGCCCTCAGAAATAACACCGCATATCTACAACTATCTGATCTTTGACAAACCTGAGAAAAACAAGCAATGGGGAAAGGATTCCCTATTTAATAAATGGTGCTGGGAAAACTGGCTAGCCATATGTAGAAAGCTGAAACTGGATCCCTCCCTTACATCTTCTACAAAAATTAATTCAAGATGGATTAAAGACTTAAATGTTAGACATAAAACCATAAAAACCCTAGAAGAAAACCTAGGCATTATCATTCAGGACATAGGCATGGGCAAGGACTTCCTGTCTAAAACACCAAAAGCAATGGCAACAAAAGCCAAAATTGACAAATGGGATCTAATTAAACTCAAGAGCTTCTGCACATCAAAAGAAAATACCATCAGAGTGAACAGGCAACCTACAAAATGGGAGAAAATTTTCGCAACCTACTCATCTGACAAAGGGCTAATATCCAGAATTTACAATGAACTCAAACAAATTTACAAGAAAAAAACAAACAACACCATCAAAAAGTGGGCGAAGGACATAAACAGACACTTCTCAAAAGAAGACATTTATGCAGCCAAAAAACACATGAAAAAATGCTCACCATCACTGGCCATCAGAGAAATGCAAATCAAAACCACAATGAGATACCATCTCACACCAGTTAGAATGGCAATCATTAAAAAGTCAGGAAACAACAGGTGCTGGAGAGGATGTGGAGAAATAGGAACACTTTTACACTGTTGGTGGAACTGTAAACTAGTTCAACCATTGTGGAAGTCAGTGTGGCGATTCCTCAGGGATCTAGAACTAGAAATACCATTTGACCCAGCCATCCCATTACTGGGTATATACCCAAAGGATTATAAATCATGCTGCTATAAAGACACATGCACACGTATGTTTATTGTGGCACTATTCACAATAGCAAACACTTGGAACCAACCCAAATGTCCAACAATGATAGACTGGATTAAGAAAATGTGGCACATATACACCATGGAATACTATGCAGCCATAAAAAAGGATGAGTTCATGTCCTTTGTAGGGACATGGATGAAATTGGAAATCATCATTCTCAGTAAACTATCACAAGGACAAAAAACCAAACACCATATGTTCTCACTCATAGGTGGGAATTGAACAATGAGAACACATGGACACAAGAAGGGGAACATCACACTCTGGGGACTGTTGCGGGGTAGGGGGAGGGGGGAGGGATAGCATTAGGAGATATACCTAATGCTAAATGACGAGTTAATGGGTGCAGCACACCAGCATGGCACATGTATACATATGTAACTAACCTGCACATTGTGCACATGTACCCTAAAACTTAAAGTATAATAATAATAAAATAAAATAAGATTGTCTTGAAAACAGGGATCTGAAATTCACTCATGCAAAGCAGAAATTACCAAAACACATCCTACAAAGGAAGAAAATGAAACATTTAGGGTAAATTAGGAATTCTATATTGAAGTTATCCTCAACCAAGAAGACCGGGTTTCTGTGGTTCTCTAACATCACATCGTTATACAAATTCTGCTGAGCAGCATCCAGGTATTGATACTCCTCCGGACAGAATTCTATGTGGCTACATCCCTGAATATCAGCAGTCCCTGAAAACACACACACACACTTCAAGTGGCCATGGGCAGAATTCTTAAATTGTCTCAAGATTAAATGAGTGAAGAGAACTGATTCTGACTTATACTACTGAAATTGTCCTATAAAATAATTCCCAACGAAGAAATATTCTGTGTTGTATTCTCTATCTCTGAGAAAAGAGAGCATAAGATTCACAACACCAGTGTAGTGTATTGATGATATTTTTTGAATGATAAAAGTACAAAATTAACAACAGGAACATAGACATGTACATTTTTGAGTGCTCAATTTAATCATACAGTATAAGTTGTATATTTCTCAGATTAAAAAGTCAGGCTTAGTTATAAAGTACCTCTCAAATTTTAATGTGTACAACAATAAACTGGAGATCTTTTTATGCAGATTTTGTTTCAAGAAACCTGAGGTAAAACTTGAGTTTCTGAATTTCTAACAAGCTCACAAGTAACACCAATCTTTCTGGCCCAAGATAAATCTTTTGTCAAACATTCATTAAGTGGCAGAGCCTGGGTTTTTATGACCAGTAAACAAAGATGAGAGACTTCACTTTTTAAAGAAAGATATATGCAAAGAGAATCTAAGAAGAAAAGAGAGTTTCCAGATTACATGTGATGCTTTATGCACATCAGCTGGTAAATGTCCCCAAGGTACTCAATAATAAAGAGAAAAATATCTCTACAGTGGAAAAAAATTCTCAGAGAACTATTTAACTAAGCGAATCAAATTAACACCATTGTAACAGAACAAATTTTCATCATGCGCTGATGCTCACAGAAGGACACAATATCACTGCTGTGATACTGGCCCCCGCCAAAGAAGCAAATTATAATTCAAATTTAATCATAAAGAAACAAGTTTTATGCAAAATGCAAGCTACAGTAATCGCTCATGTTGTGTAATCTCTAATAGAGTATTTAGGCAGACTTTCCTTAGCATTCTAGAAAGCGAGTATCTCCTCATTATTTTTTTCAAAACTTTCTGAATTATTCTGGGTAATAAATGCCATCCTGTTCAAATGTGCATATTTTAATCCTGTTCCGCATGGAGTTGATGGAGCACACAGACAGAACTTCAACATTACATATTCCCCTTTTTCATGAATATCTAAGAACCCCACCTCTTCCCCAGTAGGAATCTTGGGTATCCATACCTTTCCATGTGCACCAGCACCAGCAACAAAGGGTATTTTTCTTTTTTTTTTTTTTTCCTTTGGAGATGGAGTCTCTCTCTGTTGCCCAGGCTGGAGTGCAGTGGCACGATGTCGGCTCACTGCAACCTCTGCAACCTCCACCTCCTGGGTTCAAGTGATTCTCTTGCCCCAGCCTCCCGAGTAGCTGGGATTACAGGCACCTGCCACTACACCCAGCTGTTTTTTGTATTTTTAGTAGTGACAGGGTTTCACCATGTTGGCCAGGCTGGTCTCGAACTCCTGACCTCAGGTCATCCACCCACATCGGTCTCCCAAAGTGCTGGGATAATAGGCATGAACCACCGTGCCCAGCAAAAGGGAATATTTTTAATATTACGAGTCGTAAATTAATGATGAGAATTCTTCATGGCGGAGAAGAAGCCAAGATGAAGAGAATGTCGAGAAGGCTCTAGTATATAGAAAAAAAATATTTTTTCAGAGTTCCTTGACTATCATGAGAAGAAAAAATGTTTAAATAAACATATAGGGAGAAACAGCATAAAGTCAAGAAGTACAGGTTTGTAAGTTCTAAACATACGGCATTCCAGGAGGCAAAGTGAACACAGCGCCTGATCTGAGACACAGTCACCTGAGAAAGAGCCATTTTTCTCTTCATCATCCTCCTCTAGGATTTCTTCTCAGGTGATATTCTCTGGACAAGTCACACCTGCATCTTGGGAATATGCCTTTAAAGGAATCAGCACAATCCCTTCACCTGCTACCACCACAAACACAGGCAGAAAGATCCAGGCATGCAGAAAATGTCCACCCATTTATGTTGTTTATAACAGGTGAGATTCAAGGACAGTGAACTCCTCCACGAAGATCAAAATTTATCTTTCTCTTTTCCTGCCCTCAGGTGCCCTCCCCTGCCACAGACACTGCAATTTCTGCTACAGCAATGGGAATATGGGCCACACTAACTTGTCCCTACCAAATCCAACCATAGCAGGCCCTGTGACCTCCCTTTGGAATAAAGTTTGAACTCAACTCTCATGAATGTATTTTGAATTCCTCATATTTGGCCCTGGCCTCAACCTGGAGTCACGTGAGGCACTTAATTATATCAACAAGGATGCTTCCACCCAGAACAATATACAGAGCCTGCGGTAAGGGCACAAGTGAAAATATTTCTGCAACCTGGCCATGGAATCTTAATTAGAAGCCTGGGCCAAGAACCACTTAGCTAAGTATTGCCTCTCAAGCTTCAATGTGCATATAAATCATTTGGTAACCCTGGCCCCACACTATGTAATGTGATTCTGCAGGTTTTAAGAGGGTCCATGAAAGTGCATTTTAAACACATCTCCTGTCAATGCCGATGTAGCTTCCCCAGACCCATCATTAGTAGCATTTAGCTAGAAAAAGCAGGCATGGAACAGACTCTTACACTCATCACTTATCACAACACAAATACTTCTCATCAAATAAACAATCAATCTCTATCCTGAAAGACCACATTCTTTGCTAGCTCTTTAAAGTTTACAGAGACAGGAGAAGGCAGCAATGTCTGCGTGTCTGCATTGAAAAACAACATGCACACATATACTTATGCAATGCTTATTAAACAGGTACTATGTGCTCAGGAGTCTGTTACAGAGCACTCTGCTGGGAACATCACATTATGTGATTTAATCTTCGTAACAACTTGAGAGTTGGGTACTAAGTGTTCAATAATTCTCAGAATTTAGATGAAGGGGCCAGCATTGTTTTCTTCTCCTGTTTATCTTTTTTGAAATGGAGTTTCGCTCTTGTTGCCCAGGCTGGAAGTGCAATGGCACGATCTCAGCTCACCACAACCTCCACCTCCCGGGTTCAAGCGATTCTCCTGCCTCAGCCTCCCGAGTAGTTGGGATTACAGGCATGCACCATGACACTGAGCTAAGTTTGTATTTTTAGTAGAGACGGGGTTTCTCCATGTTGGTCAGGCTGGTCTCGAACTCCCGACCTCAAGTGATCTGCCCACCTCGGCCTCCCAAAGTACTAGGATTACAGGCATGAGCCACAGAGCCCGGCCTCTCACTGATTTTTTTAAAAATGTATAGCATAAGAGATAAATATAGACAGATGGGAGGGATACAGAAAGGAAAGGGTTAAGTGTAGTTCAGAGGGATTTTTTATTGTGTTTCTATTTACTTTCTTGTGACTAGTGGAGTAACTACTGGAATGGAATGTCTCTACAAGCACTGGTTTTAATTAAAAAGAAAGAAGTTAAGACCTCAAAATATATAGTTTATTGCTCTAATTTATCTGCTTTTGGGTTGAATACTGTGAGCGTAAGTTCTGGAAAGGCAGCAGGAGCCAACTCCCAAATCTCTGGTCTCCTCTAATGAGTTCTGTGAGGACAGACTCCAGGGTGGGACCAGACCTGAAGGAGGCTCAGAAAAGGGTGAATCTGGACAGAGCTGGGGTGGAGAAACGGTCCTATGTTGAATTATGATCTCTATGCTGCTGGAGTACTTCTTGTTCTGTCTTTCCTAAGCCTGTCCAAGAGAAACTTAAGAGTTTGTATAATTTTAATCCATTTAGCCACTACTCTATTTTATAACATATAATAACAATTTAACCAAAATTTTTAGGGCTTTCTAAGATAATTTTATTAGAAAATACGTATTCTTAGCAAGGTAAAAGCAATAAAAATACAAATAGCTCTCCTGTTTGAGATCTTCAGGTGGTGACATCAGAAGTCACAACAACATAAGAGCCATCGCCAAAGTCCCCTTAACACCCCACTTTATTGTACTGACTATATGATGCTTAATTAAACCATTTATCCAGTTGCTCTACACTGAAAGTTTTTGAATGACAGGGACCATGACTGCTTCATCTATTTTTCTAAAGACCATATGAAATGGAGGCAATTTGTTTATCAGTCTGAGTCTCCAGAACTCCTGAATTTTTTGCCAAGGAAACTGGAGAAACTCTCATCTGGGTACCAACCACGGAGAATCTTTCTACAAAAGAAGGAACAGACACTGAATGACTCATTTCCCTTCCTCTAACATGGAAGCAGAATTAGACACTCCTGCCAGCCTGACCCAAGTCTGCACAGGACATCCTGAAATGTCTTAAAGATTCCCGGGTGACTGTGAGAGGATTCCTAGTGACCATGGACTGATGACCCTATGTTGATCCAGGCAGGAAAGACTCAAGCTGATTCTAAATAGAAAATGGAACTGCCCTGGTAGAGCTCCAGAACCTGGATCTACGTGTGATATCACCTGTTCTGATTAGCTAGCTCTTAGGTAATACTCAAGAATACTCTATTCCAGTGTCACATTTTACAAATAGGTAAACTTATGTCATTGCTCTGGGTATTTTGTGGCTTTGATCTCTCCTTGCTGACATGCATGTTTACACTTACAGATTGTGCAACCAGATTCTATTTACACCAGCAGCCTCTCACTTAACCATAGCAGGTCACTGGAAAAGATCTGGAAAGCTCAAAGGGATACACTCTGAAAGAAGGGCTTTAAGATTTCTATGCTGACATCTCACAGATCAGAAAATGTCTCCTATGGGTTTTCTGTACATTCTCAAACCAAAATCTGGCTCTCTCCTGTGAATCCCAGGCAGAGCTCAGCTCTTACGTGCAGATTACAGGTAAGATCAACCTGACTCTTCATTCTTTGGTGTTACAGCAAGGAGAGTTAAAAAAAAAAAAAAAAGTTTCCATCATAAAGTCTGCTCTAGCACATGATATGTCAGCCTAAAAAGAAAAGGCTAAGGCAACACTCATTTAAGTAGAGAGTTTATTTGGGCCAAGCCTGAGGATTGAAACCTGGGAGCATAGATTCAAGTTGCCTTGAATGTACACTTTAATTAGCAGCAGTTACAAGTGCATTTACAAAGGCAAAAGAGAGGGACGGGGAGTGGACTGAAACAAAGTTATTTGTCAGAAATTCTTCTTGTTCTACAGAAATAACATTGATGACTAATTGGCTATATAATTTAAGCTATAAGGTATTGCTTATAACATCTAGTGTGGCATTATTAGGTTAATTTATATCTACTTGTAGCAATAGCAAACAGTTTCAAGAGGTAAAAACGTAGCTCAAAGGAGGCAGAAGAACATAATTATGTTCTCATTTTTATGTCTCTCCGGGCCTGATAAAACTAAAAGGACTTGCACTCCTCAGATCAAAGTTATTCTTTTTCCTCTAATCTCAAGACCGAGATTCAGAATTTGGTACTGTAGATTTAGGTCCTGGATGGGTGGAGAAATGGCAGGTGTTAACTGCACATTTATGGGAATTTTGGGAGGAGGAGAAAGAGGAACGCTGAGATACTCACGTTTACTCAATGCACACGTCACCCTAATTGTTCTTCTGGGCCTAACAGTCTCCAATTCAGTTTCAGGTCTGAAGACACTATGGTCACTGAAAGAGGTGAAATGGCTGATTACTGTCCTGTGAATTTTGTCAACCACTTGTAGAAAGGCTTGACCTCTCTACAAGTGGTTGTAGAGGACTATAGATGTGAAATAGGCAGAGACACAATTCTGCTTGCATACTCTGGGGGCAGTGTGCACTTTGAAGCAAAACTGACTGGGTTGACTGGAAGCCTGAGAGGGAAAGCCTTCTCCAAAGTGAAGATTGGTGGGCACCTTATACGTATATACAATGTCTGGTAATTGTGGACAGTGTTTGACAAATATAATTAAAAGGAAAAGACAGAAAATAAAAAGAAAGAATAAAAAAGAAAAAGAAAACCTTTGCCAAATCAAAAGCAAAAGCAAAATAATGGTTCTCAGGTCCTAGACAAAGACAATCTGGTAGGGAATGAGACAGAAAAAGCATTTATTTCTATGTAAAATAATTAAGCCTCTTATTCCTAAATTGTATTTTCTTGTACAACAGCCAGAACTATAGGCATGGTTTTGAACTTTTGGACATCTGAATTTTAGTATGCACTGGATTTAGGCACCTAAGGGGTGGTTCTGAACACACCGTGTGCACATGAAAGAAAGACTGTGGGGCAAAAAGTAGAAGAGAGAGGCCGGGAGTAGCGGCTCACACCTGTAATCCCAGCACTTTGGGAGGCTGAGTCGGGTGCATCGCCTGACATGGGGAGTTGGAGACCAGCCTGAACAATATGGAGAAACCCCGTCTCTACTAAAAATACAAAATTAGCCTCATTACACATTACTGAGGCAGGAGAATCACTTGAACCTGGGAGGCGGAGGTTGCGGTGAGCTGAGATTGCACCATTGCACTCCAGCCTGAGCAACAAGAGTGAAATTCCGTCTAGAAAAAAAAAAGTAGACGAGAGAAAGGAGCTTCCAAAAATTTATGAGTCGGGGAAGAATAAAAGATAGCTGGAAGGACTGGTTTGAATTAAAGATGTGGCCCAGGAGGGACTGTACTATGAATTTTTTGTGTTCATGCAGGCAGGTGAGATTATGAACAGGTAGTCCAGAATCCTAGGTTGATGGAGAGAATGGGTTGCTGCTGCAGATTCAGTGTCTGAGGGCAGAAATAAGCTAGGAGTCCTATAGGTACTTGTGTAGGTTTCTGGCAAGAAACTCTAGCAGCAAAGGCACTGTGATGGAATTCCTGAGGTTGGTGCCTAGTCCTGGGAGGCGCATGGCCACATTAATACCTCCTAGTGGGTATGTTCATGAGTAGGTAAAAACCAAGTGATGGCAGCTGTAGGGGAAGAAGGTTTGTTCTGAGAACTCCTTTTCTCTAAGTTTCCATTCCCCTCTCACCCTGGGAGAACTGGAATCACAGGAGAATGTGCAGTGTGACTGCTCATGTGCAGGAGAACACACAGGGTCTGATCCCTAGCCCCTGTGATGTCTTTCTTCTGACATCACATGGCTCAGGCCCGGTGACGTCTTTCTTCTGACACCTAATTTGTAGAATTTCCTGAATATCCAGCAATTCTCCAACATCAACCAGTTGTTTAACATTTTATCTCACACTACTCAAAATCAGTGCAGATCCCACAAGTCCAGAGTTTAGTCCCACAATACTGTCCTTACTGCAGATGCCCGTCACAAGTCCCAGGTGCTCATCTGTACTTCTGAGTGACTGTCTAGAGCAGCTACTTTAAATGGTTCAAATTATTGAACCCCTCCTGGAATTGAATAATGTGATTAAACTACTCACAGAACTCGGCAAAACACTATACTTGTGTTTACCAGTTTGTTCTATAAGATACAATGCAGGAACAGTCAAATGGAAGAGGTGTATAGAAAAAAGGAAAGTGGTGTGAAAAGATGGGGGCACACAGAAAATTTTGGTAAATAACTGTGATTAATAAAAATTTCTCATCTATTGTGTTCTCCAGGAGCAGCTTAATGAAAATAAACAACTTTCCCATTGTGACTTAGATGATGCTTGCTTTTTTCACCTATCACATAGCCAGACACAGACTCTACAAATTTTCATCATTTTCCCATAAAGAATCAGCTGAACAATTGTCTTTAGTGATCATAACAACATACTTTTTAATCCAACTTTGCTTAAGTTTCTCTCCTTCCCCAGACTCCTGAACTTTGACCCAATCTCAGTCTGAGCAAACATACAACCTCATGTTATGTCCCTGCTAAAAAGATACTGACTTCAGGGTAAAATATTCTCTGATCTAGAGTCTGATTTTGCCACCCTTCATCCTGCCCTCCCCTCCCATCTCCTTTCTAATCTTGTTTGCTTCTCCCTAGGAAAGACAGCCCTTGTATGCCTAACCTTTGAGGTCCTCAAAGATCTTATAGTCTGTACTACCCCCTCTTGTAATACTCCTTTGGAAATTCAAAACTTTTTACTTAAATCTGACTTTTTTTATTTGACAGAGTCTAGAAACAACCCCAGGTCAATAAAAATTTCATCCTCAGAAAGACCCTCCCAATGCCCTTCCATCCCAACCCCAGCTGCATCTGCCTATGGATCCCCAGCTCGCCTGGGCTCTGTAGCTTCTCTCAGTAGAAAGGATTCTTCCATGGCTGGGGTGAGCGGGCTGGGACACCTGCAGGAAAGGCTCCTCAGGAAGAAATAACTGGACCTTCAATAACCTTTTTTTGCAGTCTCAATATTGGCCTTAGCTTGGAGTCACTGGGCTCAGGCTTCAATTCCCAGTCAGAGTTATTCACTTGGCTTTTTAATACTAAGTGTTTGAAAAATTCAGCAAAATTGCTCAAACACAGAGTTTATATAAGGGAAGAAAATTTTAGGCCGGGCATGGTGGCTCATGCCTGTAATCCCAGCACTTTGGGTGGCCAAGGCGGGTGGATCACGAGGTCAGGAGTTCCAGACCAGCCTGACCAACATGGTGAAACCCCGTCTCTAATAAAAATACAAAAATTAACCAGACATGGTGGTGCACACCTGTAATCCCAGCTACTCAGGAGGCTGAGGCAGGAGAATTGCTTGAGCCCAGGAGGCGGAGTTTGCAGTGAGCCTAGATCATGCCACTGCACTCCAGCCTGGAAGACAGAGCGAGACTCCATCTCAAAAAAAAAAGAAAAAAAAAAAAAAGAAGAAAATTTTAAAGTGCTTACTTACATTCCATGACTTAACAAAAAAAGCAAAACTATCCCTTTCAGACAATAAACATGTCATTAAATTATTTTATAACAAATCATTTAGTAAACAATTAGTCACTTGGGAACACTGCTAGGAGGTGGCAAGTCCCATCTCATAAAATTTAGCATTTATACTCAAAAATCAAGATAACAGGATATAGAGCAGAGATAGCCACTGTCACAATTCACCCTACAAAAATCGGAACTGTTTTGATGAATCTACACATTTCACCAACTGATCTATCATATTTTCTTGTAGAAATATATTCATTATCTATAGCCATAATGGAATAAACATTTTTTCCTATTCTTTTTCCCAGTAGCACTCCCAAAGCTAAGCCCTGGGATTTTGTTTGAATCTTCCCTCTCTTAAAAAAAAAAAACACTTGACAACCTTTCTACACTCACTCTGGGGAACAAAAAGGCAAATAAGAATTTTTAACAAATGGAATGTATGACTAAATATTTAATTTTTTCCTGAAACCTACCTTTTTCATGTCCTTTGTATATTTTCTTAACCTTTCAAGCTCTACTGATAAAATGTAATTTACAGTTAAAAAACTAATAAGTGAACAAATATCTTCGAGGTGAAAAACCTAGAAATTCAAATGCTCATTGGAATACAGATGTGTTTGATTCATGTGTCAAGTCAGGCCATCCAACAAATGAGAGATCCTCCCACCCTCATCCTGATCGCTTAAGTGCTCAATGACCATGCTCCAGGAGAAACTATGCTATGCCCCAGTGAGGGCCTCAAGTGCATTTTACTTTGCAGGTTCTTGCACCATCTCACTGGGTTGGGTAGTTTTTGTTTTTTGGACTATTTTCTTTCCTTCACAAATCTGAAAGAATCAAGGGCAAAAATTATTTCTCTCTTTTAACCTCAGTACCAGCATCTGATTAGCTGACCAGCAATATGTCTCCAAGAAATGGAAGCTGGGTTGGATGAAGGCAAACTTAATGTCTCAAGGGGTTAGCTTTTTAGAGGAAGGGTACACCAGGAGATGTCTCTCTGACCCAGGGCATCCACCTGCTCCCTTGAGAGGCTACATTCTTTAACTCAGGTTGTCTTCTGGAAGGAAAATGACTCAGAAGCTGATATTCATGGGACACTCTAGCAGACATGGCCAAGGTGAGTATTTTGGGTTATCCCTAGACAGTATGAAACCCAGGACCAAGATAAAACTGGATCATATCTGAGGACACATCACCTTGTAAAAATTCCAAAGGCAACCCCAACTCAAAGACATTCTGGGCCAGGCATGGTGGCTCACGCCTATAATCCCAGCACTTTGGGAGGCTGAGGTGGGTGGATCACTTAAGGTAAGGAGTTCGAGAACAGCCTGACCAATATGGTGAAACCTGGTCTCTACTAAAAATACAAAAATTAGCCGGGCATGGTAGCACAGGCCTGTAATCCCAGCTGCTCCGGAGGCTGAGGCAAGAAAATCATTTGAACCTGGGAGGTGAGGATGCAGTGGGCCAAGATCACACCACTGCACTCCAGCCTGGGCGACAGAGTGAGACTCTGTCGCAAAAGAAAAAAAAAGACATTCTGATAAGATATCTGTGCCTAGGGAAGATAAAAGGAGGCACGAAGGTTTTTTTTGTATTTTTTTTTGTATACTTTTAAGTTCTAGGGTACATGTGCACAACGTGCAGGTTTGTTACATATGTATACATGTGCCATGTTGGTGTGCTGCACCCATTAACTCGTCATTTACATTAGGTATATCTCCTAATGCTATTCCTCTCCCCTCCCCCCAACTCAGGACAGGCCCGGGTGTGTGATGTTCCCCTTCCTGTGTCCAAGTGTTCTCATTGTTCAATTCCCACCTATGAGTAGAGAACATAAGAGGCACAAAGGTCTTTTACAATTAAGTATCAGAAGACAACTGTGCTTTTTTCTCACGTGAAATGGTTACGAACAGAAAACAAATCTTTCTAAAAGTGTTATCCAATGCTTTGTGAAAAAATGATTAATTAAAATACTGTGTCTGAAATGTACAGTAAAGTAGAAATAACGGTAATGTTGTGAACCATGGAGGGGAAGTTAGCATTTGAGAATGTCAGAAAGAACTGGAAAGTTAGTATTTTACTACAAGAGAGGGTTAGGCTGGAGGAACGGTGACGGGGAGGTAGACTTGAGACCCTGCTTGAGCCATATTTGGAAAATGCAAGGGAAAACTAGTCCCCAGTGGAGTGTGAAGATAATTAGATAGCAGGCAATTAGACCAAGGTGGCTCTGGTGCCCTGAGTTCCTAAGTTTAAAAAAATTTAACTCAAAGGCACTTCTAGTAAATTTCTGCCTTGCGGTAAACAAAATTCAGGCTTAAGCAACCACAAACCTCCAATAAACCTCTGATTACATAACCAAAACTTTCCCACCTGCATCGTACAAATAAGGCGACTACATTACTGTATCCAACCAATTATTGAATTCGATTTGCTTCCTCACTGCCTCTCGTAAAAGCGTTTCCTTCGGGCGGGCGCAGTGGCTCACTCCTGCAATCCCAGCACTTTGGGAGGCCGAGGCGGGTGGGTCACCTGAGGTCAGGAGTTCGAGACCAGCCTGGCTAACCTGGTGAAACCCTCCATTAAAAATACAAAAAAATTAGCCGGGCATGGTGGCGGGCGCCTGTAATCCCAGCTACTCGGGAGGCTGAGGCAGGAGAATCACATGAACCCGGGAAGCGGAGGTTGCAGTGAGCCGAGATTGCGCCATTGCACTCCAGCCTGGGAGACAGAGCGAGACTCTGTCTCCAAAAAAAAAAAAACCGCATTTCCTTCAAGCCCTCACAATGGACAACTAAAAACAATAGTTGGGTGCTCTACGATTCTTGAATCGCTCTTTGCCGAAATTTTTAAATATTTTTGCAGTGACCCCCTCACTTTTTTTTTTTTTTTTTTTTTTTTTTTTTTTTTTTTTGTGAGACGGAGTCTCGCTCTGTCCTCCAGGCTGGAGTGCAGTGGCGTGATCTAGGCTCACTGCAAGCTCCGCCTCCCGGGTTCACGCCATTCTCCTGCCTCAGCCCACACCCCCCCCACCCGGAGTAGCTGAGGCTGCAGGCGCCCGCCACCACGCTCGTTTTTTGTTTGTTTGTTTCTTTGTATTTTCAGTACAGACGGGGTTTCACCATGTTAGCCACGATGGTCTCGAGCTCCTGACCTCGAGATCCGCCCGCCTGGGCCTCCCAAAGTGCTGGGATTACAGGCATGAGCTACCGCGCCCGGCCCCCACCCTCCCCGTTACATTTTTAACAGGAGAAAAGAGGGACCGGGGACCCCACAAATACACCTCTTTGCATCCACAAATCCTGCTCACCGAGTCGAGATTCTCCCGTGATGACGCTCCAATCATCCCCGCACACGCTGGGGAAGACGCGTGGCTGTGGGAGCCGAGTGGCACAGGGAGGGCTCCAGACTGGGGAGCCGGTGTCGCCACACAGGCAGGGGACTGGAGCCCGGGGTCCCAGCTTCCAGTCCAGCCGACATTTGTGGCCGAGCTGGGCCAGGAGGGACTCGGGTCCACAAACCTAGAAGACGACTGCAGGGAGGCCCAGTCACGCTACCGCCGCTTCGGCAGCGGAGCCTAGCCTGCCCCCCATCTCTTGGGATGTCGAGCCGGCACTCACCATTTCTCTGCTTCCAGGAAATCCTGGCGTCTTAGCTACGGGTCTGCCAGTCCCTGCAGGTCGCACAGCCACAGCAGCTGGGCCTGTAGGAGCAGAGTACGGGGGAGCAGTTGGGGGGCAGTTCTCTGTGAACTGAAGACTAGATCTGCAGCCCCAGCTGCGGCAGGAGACAAATGCCCCCGCCAACACCCGGAAGCCGCCCTTGTCCTCTCCAGCTGCAGCCTGATTGCCCGGTTTTCGGCCCCGTGCCCCTTATTGGATAAAGCTTCAGGCCCCGTCCCCAGTCCGTGAGTGACAGAAGATGTGACCAAACACTGGACTCAATGAGGACGGAGTGACAACCTAGGCTGCAGCCTTTCCTGGCAGGCCTTTATCCCTGCTCTGAGCAGGGCCTACCCTACAGGGTATTTGCATTTAACCTTGTGTATAAGGTCATATCCATTTATAAATAATATGTTTTATGTTATTCACAAGTGGAAAGAGTATAATGAGAATTATTTTAGAATTTTGGATTTCATGATCTTCCTGGCCCTAGTCTTTTGAGCAAGCAGCCTGAGATTACAAGGAGGAGGTATTCCTCTGGAGTAAAACGTGAGCCATGTGTGAATTTTAAATTTTCTAGTAGCCATATTTTTAAAAAGTAGAAAGAAATAGGTAAAACTGACTGTAACAATTTATTTAACCCAATATGTTCAAAATATTATCATTTTAATATGTAATCAATAAGCATGAAGAATATATATATATATGGTACAAAATATTTGAAACTCACTCCATATTTTACCTTTCTAGCACTCTCAGTTTAGACCAGTGAGTTTCCAGGCACTAAGTACCCACAAATGGCAAGCAGCTGCCACATAGGAGTGCAGCTCTGATTTCAGTGGGGTGAAGGGCCAGTAAAACATCCCTTTTCTGTCAGAGGTGAAAAAACAGCCTCTCCTCACCAACTTCTCTCCTCAGATCCAAGGGTATAGGAGACAGTGCCCATACAGGGAGAAGAGGGTGGAAAAAATAAAATGTTCACAGGTAGACCATTGCTGCCAACCTGCTGCCTGCCTGCCTTCTTTCCAGAAATCAGACAGTAAACAAAGGATGATAGGGCCACAGGAGAGGGGAACCCCATGTTTTTAGATCTGGCTCACAGACTTGACCTCCAATGTTTAGATATGGAGAAAATGAATTAATGGCAAACGTAATTTGCTATTTGGCCATGGCCCTAATAATCAGGCTGTGGTTTTCTCTTTTCTCCTGTAGTGTGGGGATCGTGTAAGTATAAGTACCAATCACATGTGTACATGTCTACATGCATTTTTGCATTACTCAACATTATCTTACAAGATATCCAACTTTAAATAAGGGACAAGAAAATCGATACCTATGAGATGCTCACTGTTTTCAAGTAATAGTAATCAATCTGTTTTTGAATCCTACCAGGCTGTCTACACTGGGTGCATGGATTAGTTAGTTATTGATGCATAAAAACCACAAAAAACTTAGTAGCTCATGATTGACATGCTCAGCCATTTAGGCTTGGCTCACTGAGCCATTCTTCTGGTCTGAGATGAACTCCATCAGGCATGTATGGTAAGCTGCTGGTTGAGTAGGCAGCTTGCTTCCAGGGGTAAGCTGACTGTCAACAGGGGCATCTCGCTTCTCCTCCCCATAATATCTCAGCCTTCAGCTGGGTAACAGGGGCTTGTTCTCATGGAGATGGCAGCATTCCAAAACAAAAACAGAAGGATTCAAGATCGTTTGAGCCTAGGCTCAAAACTAGCACACTGTCATGTTCACAGGTTTCTATTGCCCTAAGCAGATAAGTCCAGCCAGATCCAAAGTTTGGAAAACAGATCCTGTCACTTGATGCTAATAGCTGTAAAAGCACCTTGCTATGGGCATAAATACAGAAGGGATGAAGAATTGCTGCCATTTTTGCTGTCAGTATCACCCTGCCTTTCCTTGCATATTAGGTTTATAGAATTCTTTTACATCAAAAAACTTGTCCGAAGACCCACAGCTACTAAGTGGCTGGACTGGGACTCTGGATAAACTCTACCTGACTCCAAAGCCCATGTGCCTCCACAGACTGCACCACTCAACTAGCTTTCCTCGACCTTGGAAATACTGAAGTGTGACACTTCCGTAATAGAGGTCAGACTCCTTTTATATTCATGCTAAGTAGTACTGTTTACCACTGGGAATAATCCCCTCAAAAAACTGCAGAAGTATTTTAGAAGGACATGAAATAGTCTGGGGAAATGACTGAGGGAGAAGTTAAGGAAATCAAAGCCCAACAACCTCTTACTTATTTTTCATCATAGGAGAAATTTGAAAACTGTTAAAAGAAAAAAACCTTAGACAAATTAAATTTAGTAGAGTGTAATTGAGCAAAGAATACTTTGTAAATTTGGCAGCCTCCAGATACAGAGTAGGCTCAGAGAGACTCAAGCACAGTCACATAATGGAAGAAGATTAATGGTCAGAAAGACACAGTGACATACAGAAAACAGAAGTGAAGTACAGAAACAACCAGATTATTACAGCCTGGGATTTGCCTTATTTGAACATGGTTTGAATAGTTGACCCCCTTTGATTGGCCAAAACAGTGACTGACCCAAGAGTGGGTTACAGTCTGTTTACACATTCAATTAGGTTTTAGTTTACCATGTACAGAGAAAATTTTGACCAAAATTAAACATGTAGGAAGGCAGATTTAGGCTAAACTCAATTTAACAATTCCTCCCTTTTGGTCATTCTCTCAAATTTGAAAGATAGAGCAAAATTTTAGATATTAGTATTACCCTGCCCCAGTGATAAATGCACTTCTTTGGTCTCAAATCCTACTGTGAAATAGCAGAACTGTGGGTTTTGTAAAGTGGAAACAATGACTTTGGGTTATTATTTTTTAAGAGTTGGAGTAGAGGAGAACTCCTTGTGTTGAAACCTTCTGTTTACAGAAGAAAAACGAAACCTGGTATGTTTTAGAATTAATCCTTGTTTTAAGTTTCAGTTCAATTATGTTGCGTTTAGCATGAGTGACTCCATTTCAGCTTGGCTTGGTATGTTGGGGCTCAGCGCATGAGCTTAGTTCAAAACAATGGTGTCCACCAAGTCTGTTTAAAAACCCCCCATTTTGGCTGGGTGCTGTGGCTCACACCTGTAATCCCAGCACTTTGGGAGGCCTTGGTGGGCAGATCACGAGGTCAGGAGATCGAGACTATCCTGGCCAACGTGGTGAAATCCCTTCTTCACTAAAAATACAAAAATTAGCTGGGCGTGGTGGCACATGCCTGTAATCCCAGCTACTCAGGAGGCTGAGGCAGGAGAATTGCTTGAACCAGGGAGTCAGAGGTTGTGGTGAGCCAAGATCGCACCTGGGTGACAGAGCAAGATTCCTTCTCAAAAAAAAAAAAAAAAAAAAACACCTGTTTTTAAATTTTATTTTATTTTATTTTTGAGACGGAGTCTCTCTCTGTCGCCCAGGCTGGAGTGCATTGGCACGATCTCGGCTCACTGCAAGCTCCGCCTCCCGGGTTCAAGTGATTCTCCTGCCTCAGCCTCCCGTGTGGCTGGGACTACAGGCGCCCGCCATCGTGCCCGGCTAATTTTTTTCTTTTCTTTTTTTTTTTTTTTTGAGACAGAGTCTCGCAATTTTTTTATATTTTTAGTAGAGACAGGGTTTTACCGTGGTCTTGATCTCCTGACCTCGTGATCCGCCCGCCACGGCCTCCCAAAGTGCTGGGATTACAGATGTGAGCCACCGCGCCCGGCCAAAACCCACCTTTCTTAAAATCAGGTTCTTACTTCAGTGAGAGTGTGGCCAAAACTCAGGGCCTTAGCGCCACTCTCAGTTACCATGGTTTTGGGTTTCCAGTCTCATCACATCATTCACAGGTTACTGTGTCCTCATGGTTACATATTTCTTTGAATTTGTGATTCCAGTTAAAAAGGAACTATTTGACATTCGAGAGATGGCTGCATGCAAACATTTATAGCTTTTGAGAGAATACAGTGCACCAGGGAGACTACCAAGTGAAAAATACCAAGAGTTTGGAGTATGCATTTTGGCCAGGGATCACATGAAACGAACCAACTAAAATTAAATAGATCAAAGAATGAGCTAAATAAAGGGTTTACTACTGATTTTGATCAAGTAGTTTGTTTATTAATTCCAGACAACTGAATCTCTGTAATATCCAAAGTATTCTTTTATGTGCAACTACAAGTATCAGTAACTGCACAGATACTTCTCTGTTTGTCCAGTAAGCACATAATTCTATACTTAGCACAATGTTCACAACAGAATTTAAAGTCTGTTGTGTAGCCTTTACAGTAGAATCTGCTACAGAGCCTATTATGGGGGTTAAATTACTAATCATTGCGTTATTTACTCTAAACCATGAAAAAAGAAATCTAACAATTGATACCCATCCAGAAGAGTGAAGGCCTTCTGGCAATGCCCTTTATACTGAAAAATTTCTATTTAACCTATGAAGTAAGTAGGTTAAGAGCAGTGGGCCAATGTTCCTTTTCTGATATTATAAGGAAAAAAAGTCCCATTAATATTTCTCACCCACACTGGCCCTTCATCTTTCATCTCTCAAGGCATAAGTTTGTCCATGTATAAAGTTGGCTGCAAAATCCTCTGCATAGATAGTATACTCCATGAGGGGACAAAAGACTGCTTTTTTATTTCTATTGTTTGTAGGGCCATAAGCAGGAAAAAACAGAGCTAAGAGTCTCATGACAGCAGAGAAGTTTTGATTCATAATCTTAGAGAAAATGCTGTGTTAAGAATGTCATCTGCTTCTGAGGACAAATTTATCTGGTTAGCTTTACCTAAAGGTCTCTGATGTATATAAAATTCTGGCAGGGCTTAGTGGCTCATGCCTGTAATCCCAGCACTTTGGGAAGCCAAGGTGGGCGGATCATGAGGTCAGGAGATCAAGACCATCCTGGCCAACATTGTGAAACCCCTCTCTACTAAAAATACAAAAATTAGCTGGGCGTGGTGGTGCGTGCCTGTAATCCCAGCTACTCAGGAGGCTGAGGCAGGAGAATCACTTGAACCAGGGAGATCACGCCATTGCACTCCAGCCTGGCGACAAAGCGAGACTCTGTCTCAAAAATAAATTAATTAATTGATTAAGTTAAATAAAATTCCAAGAATCTGGAGAGGACCTTCTGAAATGTAAGATTATAAACCCAGGGGTTCAAGGTCCCAAAGTTCTGCCACAGTGTGGATAAAAAGGAGATATTCAGTATCTTGGTTATAGATTATAATGGGATTATTGTCCTTCAGTTGGTGGACCATTAAAAGCTTTCTTTACCTGGAAAAAAATATGCCTTGGCATAATGCATTAAAGCCTTGCTGCATTAAACCACATCACAATTTAGTAACAGAAAATACATGCAGTTCTATTATTAAGTGAATGGACCTTCCAATGAGTATTTCTTAAGGGTCAACTGATGTTGTCCACACTAAGTGGATCAGATTGTCATCAATCTGCAATACATTTGACCAAGGTAATCCAGTCAATTCAGTTATCCTTGCTTAATGCTGTAGCATCTGTAATAATTCATTTTACAGTTTTACAACTTTTCCAGTGAAATAAGTACTTCTATCATTGAAGGTTTTATCAGAAATGTCCAATGAAAAAACATATTTTCTAATAACATTTTAGTTACTGTTGTAACATCAGCCTTCTTGCATGGGAAAGTTTTTATACAACCAGAAAACATGCATTGAAAATGACAATTGAATAAAACCTGTGTACAAATGTTTAAATGACCCATCAGGTTTCAAAAATATACATGAAGTTTTAATTGTCTTCCTAGAATTATAGATTTGATAAACCAAACAATGGTTATAAACTATGTTAGCAATTTAAAACAATCACCATACATACATGACACACACACACACATTTAATTTATTTAATTTGGATTATTTTTTCTCTTCCATGAGTCATGAAATGCAGAGCTTTTAATAATAAAAGCCTTGAAGACTCAGGAAAAACCAGGTAGCTGTCTAGCTTCTCCACAAGTTCATGTTTAACAGTGGATTCATGTCCTTTTAAATACCAGGTTTGTTTCTCCAATTTAGATGCATAGCACTAATAACTGATGGCTTATCATAGGGAATTTGACTTGAACCACAGAGTTCATTCAAATTGCATATCTAAACAATCTCAGCACTGGCTAGTTTAGTATGAAAATCTGGCAAAACATTTTCTTGGTATTCAATTAATTTTTGTCTCGCTTTGATTAGGAGTTTTATAAGTCATTCCCTTCATTAGAGTTCTGAGGGTTGTTACCCAGTCCAAATGATACAATCCTAAAGTTATCTAAAACCTGTATGCAACATGTCTGGGTTCTTACCACTCTTTTCATGACCTCCTTAAAGACATAACACTCTAATATTTTGTGTGCTTGTGAAGTTTTTAGAAACTGCATCAGAATTAAGTCAGTAACTATAGATATGACTTAAAATGGTCATACTTAAATACACAGTTGGTGGCTGGGCGCAGTGGCTTATGCCTGTAATCCCAGCACTTTGGGAGGCTGAGGTGGGTGGATCATTTGAGGTCAGGAGTTCAAAACCAGCCTGGCCAACATGGTGAAACCACGTCTCTACTAAAAGTACAAAAATTAGCTGGGCATGGTGATAGGCGCCTGTGGTCCCAGCTACTTGGGAGGGTGAGGCAGGAGAATCACTTGAGCTCGGGAGGCAGAAGCTGCAGTGAGCCGAGATCGCACCACTGTATTCCAGCCTGGGAGACACAGAGAGACTCAAAACAAACAAATAAACAAAAAAGATACAGCTGTCAGGGAAATTTGGTTATATCTGTGGCCTACAGTAATTTATCAAAATAACCATAATTATAACTGATAGTGTACATTCAGATATATTAGAACTTTAGAAATTCCACATAATTTTGGAACAAACATTAATAACATATTTATTAAAAGATAACTTGAGGCCTAGCATGATGGCTCACTCCTGCAATCCCAGCACTTTGGGAGGCTGAGGCGGTGTATCACGATATCAGGGGTTTGACACAAGCATGGCCAACATGGTGAAACCCCATCTTTATTAAAAATACAAAAATTAGCCAGGTGTGGTGGCACCCACCTGCAGTCCCAGCTACTCAGGAGGCTGAGGCAGAAGAATCGTTTGAACTGAGGAGGTGGAGGTTGCAGTGAGCTGAGATCGGGCCACTGCACTCCAGCCTGGGCAATAGAGCAAGACTCCATCTCAAAACAAAAACAAACAAACAAATATATATAAGTATGTATACACATATACACATATATGTGTATATACGTATATACACATATATGTGTATATGTGTATACATATATATATTTGTTTGTATATGTGTATATACGTATATATGTATATGTGTATATACGTATATATTGTATATGTATGTGTATATATATATAACTTGAAGAAAGTTAAACATCATTATTCATTTGACAATAATTTCCATGTAGTTTAACATATTCTGTAATCCCATTTACCTCTTTTTTGGATGCTGCGGGGTCCCTCTGTAACATCCCAAAGTTGAGTAAAAGAAAAGACAATTTTGGAGCTCAAATTTGATGTTGGGAAGCCTGTCAAATATGTCAAAGGTTTAAAACATTTGACTAACATATGATCAAAGGTCATCACAAAATAACAGTCATTCATGTAGCCGAAGGAATAATTAAAATAATTTAGGGCTGAGCATGGTAACTTATGACTGTAATCCCAGCATTTTGGGAGGCTGAATAAGGAAATCTGGCTGTCCTGGTTTGAGCCCAGGAGTTCAAGACCAGCCTGACAAAACCCCATCAGTAAAATATATATATTTTTTACTATATATAAAAATATATAATATTATATAATATATATGAACATAATATATATAAATATATAAATATTACTATGCATATAAATATATATATATGGGTGTGTATATATATGTGTATGTGTGTGTATTTTATATATATATATAAATTAGCTGGGCACGGCGGTATGTGTCTGTGGTCCCAGTTACAGAGGAGGCTGAGACGAGATAATTGTTTGAGCCTGGGAGGTCAAGGCTGCAGTGAGACATGATTGTGTCACTGCACTCCAGCCTGGGTGACAGAGCAAGATCCTGTCTCAAAAAATGTTTTCAAAAAACAAAACACTTTACTCTTTGATAGAGGAGACTCAGTTTTCCAATAAACAGACTTGAGAAAAACAGCGTGAAATAAAGTCTGTCTTTTCTCTACTCTCCTTTTCGTTTACTCAAAAGGTGAACAAAAATATTTGCTTTCTTTTATTAATAATACATATCAATACAATTTTGTTCAAAAATCAAAGTTTACTTTTATATTAGTTTATCAATACTAAAGCTATTTTTAAATAAGAACTTATAAATAAATCTATCAAATCTGTCATCTTTTGACCACACTAGATTTCCATACATTTTTATAATTTCTTGTAATTAAATTTCTTAAACTTTTTATATTTTAGTTTTATCTGCATCCTTTTTGTGCTTTTAATTTGAAACAATCTTTTGGTAACTTTAAACTGTTACCAGATGATCCAGACCCCAAAAGAGGGTTCTTGGATCTCATGCAAGAAAGAATTAGAGGCAAATCCATAGAGTAAATTGAAAGCAAGTTTATTAGGAAAGTAAAGGAATAAAGAATGGCTATTCCATAGGCAGAGCAGTGGCATTGGGCTCTGGTTGCCCATTTTATGATAATTTATTAATTATATGCTAAACAAAGGGTGAATTATTCATGAGTTTCCTGGGAAAGTAGTGGGCAATTCCTGGAGCTGAAGGTTCCTCCTGTTTTTAGACCATATAGGGTAACCTCCTGATGTTGCCATGGCATTTGTAAACTGTCATGGTGCTGATGTGAGTGTCTCTTAGCATGCTAATGCATTATAACTATCATATAATGAGCAGTGAGGATGACCAAGGGTTACTCTCATCACCATCTTGGTTTTGGTGGGATTTGGCCAGCTTCTTTAACACATCTTATTTTATCAGCAAGGTCTTTGTGACCTCTGTGTCATGCAGACCTCCTATCTCATGCTGTGAGTTAGAATGCCTAACCTCCTTAGAATCCAGCCAAATAGGTCTCAGCCTTAAAAACCGAGTCTGTGGTGCCTCCTTTGTTTTTCCCATGGATTTCCAGGCTGTTAGAGCTTAAATAGCCACTTTTAATTAAGCTTTTAACCATAGTGCTCTTTAAAAAAAATCATTTTAATTTTTTTTTTTTTTGAGATGGAGTTTCTCTCTTGTTGCCCAGGCTGGAGTCCAATGGTATGATCTAGGCTCACTGCAACCTCCGCCTCCCGGGTTCAAGCGATTCTCCTGCCTCAGCCTCCCAAGTAGCTGGGATTACAGGCATATGTGACCACGCCCAGCTAATTTTGTGTTTTTAGTAGAGATGGGGTTTCTCCATGTTGGTCAGGCTGGTCTTGAACTCCCAACCTCAGGTGATCTGCCTGCCTTGGCCTCCCGAAGTGCTGGCAAAGTGCTCCCAAAGTGCTTGCATAGGAAAGAGCCACCACGCTTGTAGCAGGACAAGACGCAGACAAAACCTCTCAGACACCAAGTTGTAGAAGGAAGGGCTTTATTCAGCTTGGAGCATCGGCAAGCTACTGCCTTAAAATCCGAGCTCCCCGGGTGCACAATTTCTGTCCCATTTAAGGGCTCACAACACTAAAGATTTCATGTGAAAGGGTCGTGATTGATTTGAGCAAGCAAGGGGTACGTGACAGGGGCTGCATGCACCGGTGGTCAGGGAGGAATAGAACAGGGCAGGGAGTTTCACAATGTTCTTCTATACAATGTAAGGAATCTATGAATAACATCAGCTTCTAAATCATAAGTTGATTTTTAACTACTGGGTTTAGGCCAGCCAGGCCCAGGCCTGGTTTCGGGCCTGGCGCCCGGCTGCCTGTCTTTGGTTTTACTTCCTTGTTCTTTTTACTGAATATGAAACAATATAAAACAAAGCGAGAGGGTCTTTCTCTCCTCTCACTCCCAGCCCATTTAAAATCTTTTATCACCCGACTTTAGCCAGGCCAAATGGCCAATATTTCTGTGCTCAGTGAAAGGAAAATTCAAGATCATTGGTGGAGGGGAAGAGAATCAACAAATGATAAAGGTCATGCAGATGTCAAACTAGGAAGAGGTCACTCAAACCAGAAAGGAGTCATTCCCTAAGCTGGGAATCAAACCCGGGCCCACCATTGTAAAACAGCAAAGCCTTCACTGCTAAGCTACAGCACTAGGTGGTTTCTATTGCTCTTCCCAGAAGGAGTCTAGAGTAGCAAATTTTGAGCTTTTAAAGGCTTTTCACTGCTCAAGATAATTTTTAGACTTAACTATGACATGAACCCCTGAATTCCTGTTCCCTGGAAGGAGGAGACCAAGAGAAAGTACTGCCACATGGTTACAAGGTCAAGTTCCCAAGGACTTAACTGACCAGTTTGCTGGGGTGTCTTGAACAGTGGACTTATGGGGCCCCAAGCTCATGTTCTATCCTAAGTTACCCATCTTTCTGACAGAAAGATACAGAAAGACATAATCATAGCACAAAGTACAACAGATCGGCTACAGCTTAACTAGCCTAACAAATCCTTCTTCTGATTAATCAACACTTTACAGAGGAGATAAACAGTGATGCTTACCATTCATTCAATCGGTTTGCACAGAGAGATAAAGGAAAGGGAAGGGAGAAAAGCATTGCCTATGGTGGGGTGGGGAAGGCAAGAAGCTCAGGGGGGCCAGAGAGAGACTCATTCACTGCAGCAACACTGAATCAAAAGTTCAGGCAGCCACTCATCAGTGTTGAAAAGATCTTTTCCAGCAGTTCCATCAGCTCTCAAGTTTCTCCCTTTTGGGGAGGTAAAAGCTCACCATGTTCCACAATCCTGTACATGCCTAATCCTGTCACCCACAACCATCAGCAGAGAGTGCAAGGCAGATTAATCTAAAGAAAATAGCAGTTAACATCCCATAGTGTCAAACCCATTCTTAGCCAAGAGGGACTTTACTGAAAGGGTGGCCTCTAACCCCCTAAATCGTAGGAAGGACGTTAACCTTCCTAAGTTGGGCCTCAAACCCAAGGCTGGTCAAGCATCCTTGCCTTTTTTTAAGAGAGGCCTTTAACACTCTGTGTCTTAGGAGAGATTCTAACTCCCCTAAGTTGGGCTTCTAACCCAATCCCATCCTTTACCTGGGTAAATGCACCTCACTTACAAAGTCAGCCAATCAGTGGTACAGTCTACTTTCTTTGGGTCAGGGGTCTCCTCATTATCATCCCTTTGTGGTTCACCAGAAAAATGTTACCAGAAACGGGTCTTAATCTAGACCCTAAAAGAGGGTTCTTGCATCTTGCACAAGAAAGAATTTGAGGCAAATCCATAGAGTAAAATAAAAGCAAGTTTATCAGGAAAGTAAAGGAATAAAAAATGGCTACTCCATAGGCAGAGCAGCAGCATGGGCCACTGGTAGCCCATTTTTATGGTTATTTCTTCATTACATGCTAAACAGGGGGTGGAAAGTTTCCCAGGAAAGGGGTGGGCAATCCCTGGAGCTAAGGAGTCTTCCCCTTTTTAGACCATATATGGTAACTCACTGATATTGCCATGGCATTTGTAAACTATCATGGTGCTGGTGGACGTGTCTCTTAGCGTGCTAATGTATTATAATTAGCATATGAGCAGTGAGGAGGACCAGAGGTCACTCTCATTGCCATCTTGGTTTTGGTGGGATTCGACCAGCTTCTTTACCATATGCAGTTTTATCAGCAAGGTTTTTATTACCTGTATCTCATGCAGACCTGTCTCATCCTGTGACTTAGAATGCCTAACCACCCTTGGAATGTAGCCCAGAAGGTCTCAGCCTTATTTTACCCAGCCCTTATATGAGATAAATTTGTTCTGGTTCAAACACATCTGACAAAACTGAAAAATTTTTTTAAACAAACACATATTTTAATGCCTTTATAACTTTCCTCATCAAAAGCACATCTTGCTTGTTTGCAAATTATGCAGAATTGTTTGTCTTACACATTACAGATGTACTTATATTTATAATTAATTCCATTAACTCTTAGTAATTCTCATTTTTAGCGAAATCCCTAGAAAGCAATTTTGAATAGTTTTGTATCCATATTTGTATATAAAAATTATTTTATAATTGTTTAAAGAAATGTGTCTTCAATGTTCTTTTTACTAACAGATCTAAATATACTCAGCTTTTCTATATCACATAAAAATAAGATACCAAAGCATATAAACTTAAGGTGATATTTAATAATTAATGTTTTAGTATTTTAATGTACAAATGACTTTGATTTTATAAACATTATTAAATTAACATAACATGTCTTTAAGATCTTAAATTATTGAAAAGGATTTTGAAACTATGACCTGGGTACATTCTCTAATGTCTTTCTCAGTCATCCTGGTGAAAGAAGAGAAAGGCCAGGGCACGGTGACTCAACGCCTGTAATCCCAGCACTTTGGGAGGCTGAGGTGGGTGGATTGCCTGAGCTCAGGAGTTCGTGACCAGCCTGGGCAACATTGTGAAACCCCATCTCTATTAAAACACAAAAAGTTAGCTGGGCGTGGCAGTGTGTGCCTGTAGTCCCAGCTACTTGGGAGGCTGAGGCAGGAGGACTGCTTGAACCCAGGAGGTGGAGGTTGCAGTGAGCCGAGATCGCACCACTGCACTCCAGCCTGGGCAACAGTACAAGACTGTGTCTCAAAAAAAAAAAAAAAAAAAGGGCCATATGCAGTGGCTCACGCCTGTAATTCCAGCACTTCGGGAGGCCAAGGTGGGTGGATCACGAGGTCAGGAGATCGAGACCATCCTGGCTAACACGGTGAAACCCCGTCTCCACTAAAATAAAAAAATTAGCCGGGCGTGGTGGTGGGTTCCTGTGGTCCCAGGTACTCGGGAGGCTGAGGCAGGAGAATGGCGTGAACCCAGAAGGCAGAGCTTGCAGTAAGCCGAGATTGCACCACTGCACTCCAGCCTGGGCGAGAGTGAGACTCCGTCTCGAAAAAAAAAAAAAAAGAAG
The DNA here is from genome assembly GCF_000001405.40 of Homo sapiens. Taxonomy (NCBI): domain Eukaryota; kingdom Metazoa; phylum Chordata; class Mammalia; order Primates; family Hominidae; genus Homo; species Homo sapiens. The sequence goes on from NC_000010.11 coordinate 42,380,899, forward strand.
AAGAAGAAGAGAAAGGAACCAATCAATTAAGCAGATATTTAGAACAAAGTCCTCAGAAAAATTCCTTTTATAACAAGAGAGTTGCCTGAAAGATCAGGCTGCAAAACAGATAAGTAAGTAAGGTCCAACATTAAAAAAAAAAAATGCCTTCTGTGTAATCAGCAAGTTTCACATATATATGGTGGGCCTCAGTGAACACATTCCTTTCCTTTTGAGGACATACTTAGATAAGGGAACTTGCACAGTCAGGGGGCTTGCTTGGAACATGCCTGTAGTTGCACAGATAAGAGGAACCAGGCACATCCACAATGGAAAATTCTGTCACCTAACATATCCACAGTTAAGGAAAGTTAAACAACATGGAATAACTTAGACTAAGAGTTCATGTGCATACTAGAAGGACAGGGTGAAGCTGTCAGGAATTCGTGCCTTATGCAAATAAAATACATACTTCTAACCGGTTTTTTGCACCTTATGTAAATAAAACATCCTGCCCCACTATCTTGCCCGTAAAAGTCTTTGTATTCGGCTGGGCGCCGTGGCTTACACCTGTAATCCCAGCACTTTGGGAAGCCAAGGTGGGCGGATCACAAGGTCAGGAGTTCAAGACCAGCCTGGCCAACATAGTGAAACCCCATCTCTACTAAAAATACAAAAATTAGCCGGGCATGGTGATGCACGCCTGTAGTCCCAGCTACTTGGCAGGCTGAGGTAGAAGAATTCCTTGAACCCAGGAGACAGAGGTTGTGGTGAGCCGAGATTACACCACTGCACTCTGGCCTGGGCAACAGATCAAGACTCCATCACACACAAACACACACACACACACACACAAACACATACACACAAAAGCCTTTGTATTCAACTGTGAAATGGCAACCCTCTTTTGGGCCCCCTCTCCATGGCAGAGAGCTTTCTTCTTTTGCTTATTAAACTTTTGCTCCCATCTCACCCTTGCTGTCTGTGCTTCTTAATTTTCCTAGTCATGAGACAAAGAACTTCTGGTGATACCTCAGGCAATGAGGCCATTTCACTGGGTCTCAAATAGCCATTGGCACACAAAATGGCTATGAAGGACAGGGCCTGATTGAATCCTAAATTGAAATAACAGGTATGAAGTTCAGCACAGGAGAGGGATCCCACATTTTCCAGAACTGTCAGGAGGCAAAGCTAGGCCAGAAAAAGGGTCATATTGCACTTGATGCTGCCTTCAGCTGATGGTCTAGGCAATGAGTGCTTGTCCCCAGGCCTCACCATGTTCACCTATCCAGACCCCTGAATCCACAGACTCAAAACCAAAATTGTAAGACAACAGTCACATCAAGCAAGTATCAAAGTATATCTAACTGATAATTTTGAAGCCAGTTCTATTTACCAGGAATTTTAAAACATGTTTTATTTACAACATATTGTCACATACACATAGCACAAACACACAGACAGAAGCAGATTTTACAGCTTTCATTTAAAAATTCTCATTTGCTGACTTTTAAATACTTTTAATTTCCCTATTCAACATATCAATCTTCCAATTTCCTGCTTCTTTGCCCTAAATGATTGTTAGCTAGGCAACTAATTTGCATGTCTAAAGGAACAACTCTTGGGTGAAACAAGAACACTTATATTTTTAAAGCACAAAGCTAACACTTTAGGGAAAAATATTGGTTTTGTATTTGCTTTTTTTCCCAATCCTTACAATCTGTGAAAGGCAAAAATATTGTATCATTAACTCAAACCAAGAAAAGTATGGTGTAAGTAAAAGTTTAGTTAAGACAAAATAGAAAGCACCTTAAACAAAGGTATAATGTGTGAGTTTTAAAATAATAAGAGTTTCTAACGTACACAGGCAGACACCTTACAAATGGAGATTTTCTTAATAGATGTAAATTTCTTTTACAAAATGTTTTCAAAACAACCAGTTAAACTCCAAGAAGAGGTGTTTTAGTTTAATATGTGGTCTTTTTAACTTAGCTCCTCTTTCCTAACTAAAATCACCGAGTTTAGGGTGGAGCCCATTAAAGAACAGGGCAAAGAAAGCATTCTCTTATGGCTGGAGTCAGGAAGGATAAATCTGAAAAAGGTGTGAGCCTATTTTAGCTGAGGGTCTACCTTTTTTTTTTTTTTTTTTTTTGAGACTGAGGGCGGCTGGAGTGCTGTGGCGTGATCTCGACTCACTGCAACTTCCACTACCCAGGTTCCAGCAATTCTCTTTCCTCAGCTTCCCAAGTAGCTGGGACTACTGACGTGCACCACCACACCCAGCTAATTTCTGTATTTTTAGTAGAGATGGGGTTTCACCATGTTGGCCAGGATGGTCTCGATCTTTTGACCTCATGATCCGCCCACCTCCGCCTCCTAAAGTGCTGGGATTACAGGTGTGAGCCACCATGCCCAGCCGGGCCTACCTTTTATAAACACTTTATCTAGGATAACTTTTTTCTCACCTTCAGGAAGAGCATAGTTTAAAAGTGTAGCATAGTTAATTGTCTTACCAGTGATTCACTTAAGCCTTTTCCTTTGCCTCTTATTGTCTTTTTAAAAAACAATATTGAAATCTTTTTATAAGCTTGTGCACATCAACAGTCATTCCTAGATAAGACTAATTAGAAAAACCTCATTTTCAAATACACCTCTTAAAATGCAGTATTGTTTATTTGGAACATTCCATTGTAATTTCAAATTACCTTTAGTATGTTTTTGCCATTTCTTTAAGAATTTGCTGCTTCTGGGGTCTAATACTTATATATGTAAATGTAGCCATAGCTAGGAGGTGGATTATTCAGTTCTTAAGAAATTAAGAATCCCATTTTTACCTTGAATCTTGGCTTTGGCACTGTTCTTCTTGATCAATTTAGCCAACAATTTTTCCCTGCCTAAGGTCATAAGAAAAAGAAACAAAAGCACTAGAACATAAAAAAACTCTGTCAATTTCCAAAAACCAAAGTTTATATGCCCTGTAATATTGTCATTTACTATTGGTTGATATCTGACCTATTCAGAGAAAAGGGACCTCTAACTGGATTCCATCCAGTTAATTATCAAATCCAATGGGATCCTGAACCCAGTCATATTTCTGTCATAAATTTCTAACCAAGTTTGGATTAGAAATTTGCTCAAACAAACTTGGAGAGCTCAAAACACAAATCCATAATGCTTTGTGTAAGAGTTAAAGAAAGAGTAAAGAAACACAAAATGCGGCTCAACAGTTAGAGACAGATTTATTTTTGAGAAAATATAACTGTGGGGCTTCTGGCCAATTTTGGTCAGGAGCACTTTCTCTTACAGACTAAGAGTATATATTGGTTTTAGGGTGAGGGTGCCTATCACAAGCTTGGAATTCTTCTGTGTGAGGGAGAAGTTTTATGGAGGGATTGAAATGTCTCTGGGTGGAGGGGAGGTTATCTTGGGGATAACATCTTTCTGGCCAGAGAGGGGTTATCACAAGGCTGGCGTCTTCCTGGCCGGAGGGAGGTTATCTTGGGGCTAGCATGTCTCTGGTCGTTGAGGAGTTTGGAATGTTTCTGTTTGGAGATGTTATTTGTGGTTTATGGTTGTGCTGACCTTAGCCATTAGGCTGACGCCCTTTGGATTTAGGCAGTTTTTGATCAAGGTGAACTTTAGAATGAGGGGCTTGTCCAAGATGGCGACGCTCCTACTCTGTCAATCCAGACACCATAGTTATAACAAAGATGAGGGGTAGCATGTTCTTTCTGGCTACTTCTTGCTGATGAGGGGACAGAGAGTTTTCTGGTCTCAGGTTGACTATAGGAGCAATGCCGTCTGTAGGTGTTTTTGCATAGTTGTCTGTGGAATGGCCACGATCCTGCCGTCTGTACTAAAAATACAAAAACAAAATTAGCAGGGAGTGGTGGTGGGCACCTGTAGTCCCAGCTACTCGGGAGGCTGAGGTGAGAGAATGGTGTGAACCTGGGAGGTGGAGCTTGCAGTGAGCAGAGATTGTGCCACTGCACTTCAACCTGGGTAACAGAGCGAGACTCTGTCTCTCCATTGGTAGAGAGACAAAGATATGTGTTGGTGCCACACAAAAAGTACAGGCCTTGTCGTGTATACAGGCAGAGATATGGAAGGGGAATAAGTGAACTAAAGATGGAGTGTTTTTCCTTTCCTGTCATTCATTACTCCAGATGGACAAAGAGGAGGCCACAGAGACACCTATTATAGTAGAAACATAGGAAGAGTTATTTTTTACACACTTAATTTGATCAGATGTTGCACCATTGATATTGAGCCATGGAAAAAGGTGGGCACAAGGGACAGCACAAGTTATGCAGGAGGTATTGGTTGAGGGAGAGGCCATAAAATGAGCCGGACAGAGAAATGCTCCATATGCTTCAAGTGATATTTGGTAGTTAACTTGGTTAGTTTGATGGTCAGGGAGTATTTAAAAATGATAGTATGGTTGCACTGGTTAGGTGTTAAGGATCCTACAGGGAGATTTCCCTCAGAGGCTGAAAAGCAAAGTGAGGCATGTTGTAAAAGGTGGGTGTGTTTAGTTATAGGCCCTTTAATGGGAGGGCCTTGGGGCTTGAGGCATTGCAAGGAGTTGTAATAGATTTGAAATAATTTGATAGCCTGATTGGCCCTGCAAGTAGGATAATCATCAACAAGGGTGTCAGCTCTTTCAAAAAAGGAAGCTCCTTTTTGGAATTTATAAATTAGGGTTATGCTCCCTCCTGAAAGGTCATGAAGGGGTGCGGGAAGGGCTGTGTAGGCTGAGGAAAACAGCGATAAGCACGTCCAGCATTCCAGAGCAAAGGAAGAGTTAGCTTGCAGCAAGAAGGACTGTGTAAGGTTTATAGAGTGTTCAAGCTTGAGAGCAGTGAGGAGTGGTTGTATTGGTGAGGTTGATTTACTTAGGGAATTTATACTGAAAAAAACAAGCAAAAAGAGAAAAAGATTATTTGGGTAGGAGTAAAGTCCTGGAAAGTTCCTTGAAGCCATAGGTCCCATGGAACAGCAAGGAGGTGGGCTGGGCTCGGTGGCTCCTGCCTGTAATTCCAGCACTTTGGGAGGCCAAGACGGGTGGATCAGCTGAGGTCAGGAGTTCGAGACCAGCCTAGCCAACATGGTGAAACCTTGTCTCTACTAAAAAGTACAAAAATTAGCTGGGCATGGCGGCTGGCACCTGTAATCCCAGCTACTCGGGAGGCTGAGGCAGAAGAATAGCTTGAACCCAGGAGGTGGAGGTTGCAGTGAGCTGAGATCATGCCACTGCACTCCAGCCTGGGAGAAAAGAGCAAGACTCCATTTCAAAAATAAAAATAAAAAATAAAATAAAAGAACAGTTAAGAAGCTGATCAGGTTATATAATGGGAGTTTTGTAGGGGTACCACTGAAAGTCTGTAACATGGTTTGTTAGGAAGTGATGAAAGTTTGGGAGAGAAAGACACATAAGTGGTTTATGTGGATTTTTGGGGAGACAGACAGGTCCTGGGGAGACACAAGAGAAGGCTGAAGGGATTTTATATTTGGTTGGTTGGGTATGTGGTGAAGGGAATTCTGTTTTCTTGAGAGCAGTATAATGAATCCAGTTAGGGAGTACCTGGAGTTTTGCTGCCGTGGGTGTGGTAAGAATGATTTGGTAAGGTCTCTTTCATTTAGGTGTGAGGGAGGAATTGGGGGTAGGGCTGGGATCTTTTACCAGGACCAATCTCCTGGCTGTAGGAAGGGATTAGAAGAGTTGGTGACGAGTTGTGGCAGGTATTTGTCAGCATATTTCCAAATGAAATGGCGTATGGTATGTAGAAGAGGGGAAACAGGGGGAGTTGGTAGAGGTGGCACTTGACCCACAGATGGAACAAATGGGGCAAGTGGTCTCCCATACATGAGTTCAAAGGGGCTGAGCATTAAGGGTTTATGTGGGAGAGCCCAAATTTTTAGAAGGGCCAAAGGTAAAAGTGTAACTCAGCCTTTATGTGTTTGGAGTGAGTACCTGGTGAGGTGTTTTTTAGAGTGCCATTCATTTTCTCACCCTTTCCTGAAGATTGAGGTCGAGAGGGGATGCATAGCTTACAGGCAATTTGTAGGGCTTGTGCAAGTGTTTGAGTAATTTGAGAGATGAATTCAGGACCAATGTCAGATTGAAAAGAAAGAGGCACGCCGAACATGGAGATGATTTCTGTTGTTAATTTGGAGGTGACAGTAGAAGCCCATTTGTTGGTTGTGGAAAAAGCCTCAAGTCATCCTGAAAAGGTATCGACCAGAACTGAAAGAAATCAAATCCTTTTTACTGGGAGCATATGGGTAAAATCAATTTGCCATTCCTGTCCTAGAAGGCGTCCCCTGGCTTGGGAAAGAAGGAGGTTTAGTGTTGGAGTGGGGTGAAGCATTTCAGCAAATAGAACATTGATGGGAAATGGCTTTTAGCTGTTCCTTTATATCTGGGCTTATGCGTATATGGGAGCTTAAGAAATATTGTAAGATAAGATCCCCATACAACAGTAGTTTTTCAGGGTCAGGTAGGACTAATTTGTTTTTTGTTTGTTTGTTTTTCTTTTGTTTTGTTTTGAGACAGAGTCTCACTTTATTGCTCAGGCTGGAATGCAATGGCACGATCTTGGCTCATCGCAACCTCTGCCTCCCAGGTTCAAGTGATTCTCCTGCCTCAGCCTCCCGAGTAGCTGGGATTACCGGTGCGTACCACCAGGCCTGGCTAATTTTTGTATTTTTAGTAGAAATGGGGTTTCACCATGTTGGCCAGGCTGGCCTTGAACTACTGACCTCGTGATCTGCCCACCTTGACCTCCCAAAGTGCTGGGATTACAGGCGTAAGCCACTGCACCCAGTCAACTAATTTGTTTTGTATGAACCAGTATGGGGGCTTGAATTGTGCCCCCACTGTGACTAGTTGTTGTATTTGGTGTTCTGGATAAAAGAAGGGATATGTTGTATAAAGGGAAATAGGTATTGGGGGATTGGATGATTGGTTGAGGCTTGTTTTGCCCAATAGTTAGCCTCATGATTTCCTAACGAAATGTTTTTATCTGATTGAAGTCCTTTGCAATGGATAACTAAAGACTTTTCTGGAAGCAAATGATGGATTAGTTTTCCACTAATGATAGGAGTTCCCTTAGCCATAAGATAGCCCCACTCACTCCAAATTTGGGCATTGGAATAGATGATGTTGTAGGCATATTTAGAATTGGTGTATGTATTAACTTGTGTGCTTTTTGCTAGGGCTCTTATTGGGGCAACTAATTCTGCTTGCTGGGAGAAGGAGGATGTGCCCAAAGGCAAGGGGGCAGCCTCTATGACCCTTCTAGGTGGGAGAGAGTGAGTATCATCATGATATCCCTCAATGATGGCATATCCTGCTTGGAGGGGAGGGTTTTTTGATGTGCTGCCATCTATAAACCAATCTGGGGCTCCATTTATGTGAGTGGAAGTAAGGTAGTGAAACATGGTGAGACAACTTTTCTTTTATTTTCTTTCTTTTTTTGAGATGGAGTCTCACTCTGTAGCCCAAACTGTAGTGCAGTGGCGTGATCTTGGCTCACTGCAACCTCCACCTCCAGGGCTCAAGCGACTCTCATGCCTCAGCCTCTTGAGTAGCTGGGACTAAAGGAACTTGCCACCACACCCAGCTAATTTTTTGTATTTTTAGTAGAGATGGGGTTTCACCATGTTGCCCAGGGTGGTCTGTCTCAAACTCCTGAGCTCAGGCAATCCACTGGCCTTGGCCTCCCAAAATGCTGGGATTACAGGCATAAGCCACTGCAACTGGCCAAGAACTTTCAATTAAATCAGAGCATGAGTGGTGGCTGGGGTCTAAAATTCGTGCTGAAGGCAAAAGAGTGGCGGAACTAATGGGGAGCATCTATGAAGAGAGATAGACAGTTGAAGGAGAGTTGCATGTAAGGCCTACATGAGAGAGGATGAGATGGAAGTGATCACATTATGGCTGAGCATGTCTTGCAGACTGTAAGAAGAAAATACCTGAAGGGGTTCATAGAATGTGAATTTTTGTGCCTTAGGGATAATTAGAGAGGGTATGGACAAAATTTTTAAGCAAAGAGGCCAGCCTTTCTAAATGGGGTCTAGTTGTTTTGAAAAATATGCTACCAGTTGGAGGGAATCTCCCACGGGCTGTTCTAATAGTCCAAGGGCCTGATTATAAGAACTGTGTAAATATAGATGTAAGGGTTTCAAGGGGTTTGGAAGGCCTAGGGCAGGGGCCTGTAATAAGGCATGTTTCAGTGAGAGACAACATGATAACGGTCTGGGGTGGGAGTGAGTGTTTGGTCAAGCTTTCCTTTTGTGTGTTCATACAAGGGTTTAGCAATAATGGCAAAATTTGCTGTCTATAATTGGAAATATCCAGATAATCCAAGGAAAGAAAGTAAGTCCCTTTTTGTTTTAGAAAAAGGGATTTGTTGAATGCCTTGCTTTCATGCTGGTGGAATTAATCGAGTATTTGGAGTTATGATTAATCCTAGGTATGATACTTTTGGAGAGGTTAATTGGGCCTTCCTTCTGGACACCCAGTACCCACATTTAGCCAAAAAACTTAAAAGCCTGGTAGTATGTTGATTACAATGTTCTAGAGAGGGGCTGCAAATAAGTAAATCATCCACATACTGAAGCAAGATGCTAGGTTGTAGAGGTAGCTGGGAGAGGTCTAATTGAAGTGCCTGACTGAAATAGTGAGGGCTGTCCCTAAAACCCTGGTGGAGCACAGTCCAGGTGAGTTGTTAAGAGTAGCCTTTGTCAGGGTCAGTCCAAGTGAAAGCAAAAGGTTTTGAGAGGAGGGATGTAGAATAATAATAAAAAGGCATCCTTGAGGTTCAATACCAAGAAATGGCTAGTGTTGGGAGGAATTCACTATAGGAGGGTGTAGGGGTTTGGGACAACAGAATAAAAAGGAACAACAGCAGAGTTGATTTGTCACAAATCCTGAACCAGTCTATAGGAGGCATCCAGCTTTTTGATTGGGAGAATAGGAGTATTGTGGGGCGAATGGGTGGGAATTAAAATACTGGCAGTCTTGGGAGGCTGAGGCAGGTGGATCACTTGAGGTCAAGAGTTTGAGACCGGCCTGGCCAACACGGTGAAACCCCATCTCTACTAAAATACAACAATTAGCCAGGCATGGTGGTGTGCACCTGTAATCCCAGCTACTAGGGAGGCTGAGGCAGGAGAATTGCTTTAACCTGGAAGGCAGAAGTTGCAGCGAGCCAACTTTGTGCCACTGCACTCCAGCCTGGGTGACAGAGTGAGACCCTATCTCAAAGAAAAAAAATACTTGCAACCAAAACTTGGAATATGATGGGCTTGAGTCCCCATAATCCATTAGCTTTGAGGCGATATTGTGGGGCCACTATGTAGCACTTAAGATCCTTCACTGAAATTTAATTGGAGAATGATGGACAGCTATTATGGGGGAGTTGGCGTTCCATACTATGGGATTTACCTGGCTGATGAATTTGGGTTTTAAGACTTTTTGATGTGGAGTGTCTGAGGAGGGGTTTTGTTTTTGACATAATAAGTTAGGGTGGCTTTGATGTAGGGCCAATAAATGAATGATTCCCCCTAGTTTGTGTAGGATGTCCCTTCCTAGTAAAGGAGTGGGACAGTGAGGAATGACCAAGAAAGAGTGTGGGTGGTTCCCTGAAATAAGCAGTATAGGGGCGTGGGGTTTTGCGTGGGGTTTCTTGTATGCCCTTTATGCCAACAACAGAAATGGATGAACATTCTAATGGGCCTTGATATCTGGTTAATACTGATAGGCTCACCCCAGTATCCAGGAGAGAGGAAATAATCTTACTGGATACTGTACCAATTACCCTGGGTTCTGTGGACTCACTGGACATGGGAGCTAAGGATCCTGGTCCTCAATGGACATGGGGGCCAAGGATATTCCATTGTCAGCACCAGCAGTGAAGACATTTCCTCCTGTGACAGTCAGGGGGCCTGATTATGAGCTGCATCCAAATGGGGAGGGTGTCCCCGTTGGGGGCAGTCCATTTTCCAGTGTCCCCAAAGACTGCAAGTTGGGCACGGTTTGTTGGAGGCCAGGGGTTAGAACAAGACTTTGTTTTAACATCTTTATTGCCACATACAAAACAGACTCCTGGAGAGGTGAGGGAGTTTCCCTTGGGGTTATCGGGGGGCTTTTGTGTAACTGACTTTTGGACAGCAGAAGCGAGCATCTGGCATTTTAACCAGAGATGTTTGTCTTTTTGAATTTTTTGTTCCTCATCTCTGTTGTTAAAGACATGGAAGGCCACATTTAGGAGATCCCACTGAGATGTTTGGGGACCCTCCCCTAATTTTTGTAATATTTTCTGGATATCTGGGGCAGACTGGGAAATAAATTGGAGGTGGAGAAGTTTGCCCTTCTCTAGATTCTGGATCCAGACTGATATATTTTAGCATGGCTTCAGTGAGGCATGATAAGAAAATGGCAGGATTCTCCTAGGTCTCCTGTGTAATTTCTCTGAGTTTTTCGTAATTAACTGCCTTATGGGCATTTTTGTTCATCCCTGAGAGGAGACAGGTAATCATGTCGTCCCTTCACCTGATGCCATTGTCTCCCTGTTGGTAAGTCCAATCTGGGTCTCTATGGATGATTGCATCATTGGCCACTGGATTTTGTATAGCGGCTTTGTTATGGAGTTCATCTGTGTGGGCTTCAGCTGAACACCAGATATGCTCTTTTTCATCAGGAGTGAGGGTGGAGGTTAGAATTATATAAATATCATGCCAAGTTAAATTAAAGGATTGGGTTATGTGCAGGAATTCCCGGTGATCATGGGAGGGGTTTTCAGAGAAAGATCCTAGATGCTGTTTGAGCTGCGACAAATCAGATATGGAGAAAGGGATGTGAACATGAGCAATGCTTTCAACCCCAGCCAGTTACTGGAGAGGAAGAATGGCAGAGGTGGTTTGAGTGGTAGTTTTTGAACAGGTAACAGGTGGAGGAGGAGGAGTGGGGTCTGGTGCTGAAGGCTTGGGGGCAGGAGGGGCCACTGGGGCAGAGGGTTCAGTCAGTCAAGGAGCAGATGCAGGGGATGGGAATATGGGGGGAGTTCATCTGCCAGGTCAAAAGGGGTTTCAGAAGAAGGGGTTTTGATGGAAGGGGTTTTGGAGGAAGGGGTTTTCAGAGGAGGGAGAGACCCGGGGAGGGTTTTAATTGAGAAGAAGGATTTTATGAGGGGTGCAAACTTGACATAGGGAGGGTCAGGATCTAAAGTTGAAGAAAGCCTGAATATAGAGAACCTCTTGCCATTTGCTATTCCTGGTTATAAAGCTGTCAAGGTCCCTGAGAATTTGAAAGTCAAAGGTGCCATTTTTGGGCCATCAGCTGTCATTATCTAATTTTTATTGGGGTCAGGCCATGTTGCAATGCTTTGGCTAAAGACTAAATGCTTTGGCTTCCCCAGAAGCCAACTTTGGCAAGGTTGTGAAGGAGACAGCCCAGTGGAGAGGATGTAGGAATGTGTGATTGTTTGGCACCCATGTAGACTGGTGAGAAGAAGCCGAGGGTGTCTGTTTTTGTTCTAGGCATCCCCAGATGAAAGACAGAGACCTGGAGTCCTCTTTCTAAAGAGAATGGTCAACCTGAGAAGAAACTGGGTGTCCCCAAGATTTCTTCTAGCTTAGTCCCGCTGGTCCTCCAAGGACCAGGATAGCAGATCTGACTTTCCCAGGTACCGCAAGAAAGCCAGGGGAGGACAGATCTTACCCATCAGCTGGATGACTATCTGATGTTGGATGTTCTGGTTGGAATAGGCAAAGGGCCTCTTTGACTGGAGCTGCACGAGGAAGACAGACAGAGAGAAGGGAGGATGAGGGAGGAAGAGGAGAGAAGAGAGCAAAATACCCATTGTGGCCAGTCAGAGGTTGATTCCGGAGACCTGAGGGTTTAGAGAACTTCCTGGGGAATAGCCCCAGCCAGAGCCTTGCAGTCCCCTTCAGGTTAGTTGTCCTCCTCTTGCAAATCGGTCAAAAAGTGAAATGACAGAAAAGATGGGGTGTGTGGCCAGAAACCCTCAGGATCCAGGAATTAACTCAGGATGAGCTGCCACTGCCCACTGCTTCCTGGGTTGCAAGAGACTCTCTGTCCCCAGAACCCATCCTGGGTTTCCGCACCAAATGTAAGAGTTAAAGACAGAGGAAAGAAACACGAAATGTAGCTCAACAGTTAAAAACAGATTTATTTTAGAGAAATAAACCTGAGAGGGGCTTCTGGACGATTTCGGTCAGATGCATTCTCTTTTACAGACTAAGAGTATATATTGGTTTTAGGGTAAGGGGGCTTATCACAAGCTTAATGTTTCTTTGTGGGGGATAAGTTTTATGGCAGGGTTGGAATGTCTCTGGGTGGAAAGGAGGTTATCTTGAGGCTGACATCTTCCGGCCACAAGGGGGTTATCTTGGGGCTGGCATCTTCCCAGCCAGAGGGGGCTTACCTCGGGGCTGGCATGTCTCTGGTTGGGGAGGGGTTTGGAATGTTTCTGGTCAGGGATGGTATTTGTGGTTTATGATAATGCTGACCTTAGGCATTAGGCTGATGCCCTTTGGATTCAGGAGTTTTTGATCAAGGTGAACTTTAGAATGAGGGGCTTGTCCAAGAAGGTGATGCTCCTGCTCTGTGAACTCTCACACTGACATAGCTAATATTGTCTGGTGATTTTCCAGATGACAACCGCTCTCCTAAAAAATCTACCAAAGGAACATAATGATCTCAGTTTGGATAAATGGCTGACAAAGAGACACCATATTGAAAATGAAATATAATGCTATCATGAAATAACGGCTTTACAATAAAAATTTGACAATGATAGAGAAAGCACAAATAAGTTCCACAAAACTGAAAGGGACTTAAGCCCCTACCTTTGTTGGTCATTCATGCATAATGAAAGATAATTCTGATTAGATTGCTCTTCTCTAGAAAAAAAGCACATGGCTAGTTACTGTTAGTAAGTTTTGTCATCAAATACAGTATGAATCGTGGGCATCATCTTTCCACATATGAAGAACACTACAAACATTCTAAGGGTCTAAATTATAAGAAAATACAAATAGACTAATAACTCCATGAAATAATCATAATAATGCAGCAATGTTGCATTCACTAAGTAACCATTTTTGAGATCAAGATGTTACTCTTTCATTATAGATATGGGAATGCAGCACTGTCAGTGGAGATGTATTCCTGTAAGAAATACAAGATATATAATAAAATATATTTGTAGAAATTCTAATATATTTAACTTTAATTTTAGTCACCCATAGTTTTAATCAAGTAAAACAGATGCCAGGAGATGAATAATTATTTACCTTTGTCAACATAACTATAAAAGGAATACTAATTCTCACTATTTTTCTGTTTGCTCCATTATATTTGAACATTGGATAATGTTTGATACTCTGTGTCCTACTCATTTTCTTAAATTTTATTTAAAACTTTTTTTGTTTTGAGACAGAGTTTCGCTCTTGTCACCCAGGCTGGAATGCAGTGGCATGGTCTTGGCTCACTGCAATGTCCACCTCCTGGGTTCAAGTGATTCTCCTGCCTCAGTCTCCCAAGTAGATGGGATTACTAGGTGCCCGCCACCACTCCTGTCTAATTTTTTGTATTTTTAGTAGAGACAGGGTTTCGCCATGTTGGGCAAGCTGGTCTTGAATTCCTGACCTCGTGATCTGCCTGCCTTGGCCTCCCAAGGTGCTGGGATCACAGGCATGAGCCACTGAGCCCAGCCTATTTAACTTTTAAAACTATTAAGTTATTAAATTGGTTTACAAAATATCTCAACACAATTGCAATTTATTGTGTATCTCATGTTTCAAAATCCTTCCCTTAGAAAGACATCAAAATGATTTAAAATCAAAATATGTTTCACAAAATATGCCAACACAAAGTATTGAATAATTGACTCTGTAATAAACCTAATAATGAATGAGTAAATTACAAAAATTTTATCCCTAGCTAGTGGTGACTTCTAAAGGGGCAATTTCAGTAAAAATTTTAAGTTCAAAAAAATAGTATCTTTAAAAATACAACGAAGACATGAAACTTGGAACTTCTAAGTTAAAAAAACTGTTGAGACAACATTTTTCAGACCAGAATATAAAATGGTTTCTTTGATTTTTATTCCCTCACAATCATGGAGAATCAAACCAAAAATAAATATAGAAATTATTCAAGAATGTCAGATCTTTTTGAAATTATTTTTATAAGGTAGATGTAAACAAATAAAATATTTGTTTTTGTAAAGGGGGTTACACAAGTTTTCTTTAGACTATAAATAACAAGAAAGCAGGAACCATTTTCTACATATGTTCCAAATAATAAGTGCTATTAAGTGCTCAATCAATATTTCTTCAATAAAAAGCCAGCATTAGTATCAAGTGCTAGAAATAAAAACACCATTAAAATTATTTCAATGAATCATCTTGAAATAAAATTTAAAGAACTATCTTTTTTGGCTGTGCGTGGTAGCTCATGGCTGTAATCCCAGCACTTTTGGGAGGCCGAGGCAGGCAGATCACCTGAGATCAGGAGTTTGAGACCAGCCTGGCCAACATGGTGAAACCTGTTTCTACTAAAAATACTAAAATTAGCTGGGCGTGGTGGCACATACCTGTAATCCCAGCTACTTGGGAGGCTGAGGCAGGAGAATAGCTTGAAACTGGAAGGTAGAGGTTGTAGTGAGCTGAGATCTCACCACTGCACTCCAGCCTGGGCGACAGAGCAAGACTCCATCTCAAAAAAAAATAAATAAATAAAAACCAAAAAAAACTATCTTTTTTGCTGTGGTGATTCTTTATCAGGTAATGCCTGATGAGGCATAAATGACCAACACAAAACATTCCAGACTGGAAAAATTCAATTAAGGGAAACATTTTTTTCCTTTTAAAGATGTTGTAGGACTTTTCCTTAGTTCAGCTAAAGACAGGGTCCTTGTCACACGGTCATGAAATATTCGGCTCACAGACACTTTGAAGGGTGAGAAAAATGGAATTTATTAAGGATAAAGAGGAACCAGGGCTCCTCAGCAGTACAAGAGTCCTGCTAGCATAGGCTTCCTGCTTCACAGATTGAATTCCAGGTTCCACTCAGGAAGGGAAGGGGCCAGGCTCCCCCCACCGCGAGCTTCCCAAGGCTCCACCCCAGTGCACACCCCTCCCAGTGTGCAGGCCGGTGGGAGGTTCTCTGATGGCCCCTTTTTACTCAGCTGCCTCATTCCTCCCTCTAAGGAAGTACATCTAACTACCGTTAGAATAAGGATACTGCTTCCTGCTATCAGGAGCAGTCTGGGGACTCAACTGTCCCCTCAGAGGCCTATCTAAGGGTCCCTGGCAGAAGGGGCCAATGTCCAAGGCTCCAGCTACCTGACCATTCAAAGTCTGATGGCTGAAGGGGAGAAGAGACACAGCAGGTTATTAGAAAACATGCATCAAAACGAAACAAGAGGAGGGGTAAGGACAGCTCAAAAGTCCCAAGGCTTTTCACCAGTTTGCACACGGAGAGGGAAGCCAAAAGCCCAACTGGTAAAACAACAACAACAACAACAACAACAACAACAGCAACAACAAAACTTGAACTTTTTGCCAGCATATTGGGCTTCTGGGTTCCCTTCCCCTGAGCCCAGTGCTAAGCCAACCAGTTTAAGGTTTGGGAAATTAACTTTTTCCAGTATGGAGAATGCATCTGAGGAAAGTGTCCCATAGTATGGAGACACAACTACCTATCTGTGAAGAGAGGACAGAGGAGGAGAAAGGAAAATATGTTTTTATCAAAGGAGTCCCAGTGTTTCAGCATGCATTCGAAAGGGTCACAGACTGAAGATGAATGGCTACCCATTTAGAAAGAAGGGAGCAGGCGTGCCTGGTTCCCTTCTCTTCCTAGCAGATATACCTGTGGTATGTGAGGGAGAGAAGGAAGAGTGTCCCCTTTCCCACTTCCATCCTTGGATCCCTGAGTGCTGGCAACCTTGGCAGATGCCACCCATAGGTGCCAAAGCAGCTTGCACCTGTGAAGCAGGGAGGACCTAGAGAATAAGAATTATCTACTCTCACCCATGTCTCTAACCCACCTACTCTCAGTAGCCTTGGCGTTCCCTAGACCTCATTTATGCCATGGATACTACTCATCCATGAAAAGGAACAAAATAATGGCATTCATAGCAACGTGGATGAAACTGAAGACCATTATTCTAAGTGAAGTAACTGAGGAACAGAAAATCAAACATCATGTGTTCTCACTGATAAGTGGGAGGTAAGCTATGAGGATGCGAAGGCGTTAAGAATGATACAATGGACTTTGGGGACTTCGGGGAAAGCGTAGGAAGCGGGTGAAAGACAAAATACAACACATTGGTCAATGTACAGTGCTCAGATAATGGGTACACCAGAATCTCAGAAATCACTACTAAAGAACTTATCCATGTAACCAAACACCACCTGTTCCCCAAAAACCCATTTAAATAAAAAACAAAAATAAAGAGACAAAAAAATTTAAAAGTCTAGGATAGGGAAAAAAAGAGGTCTTATGAATCTATAAGACATACTTCTGTCAGCGTGCCTAATAGGTTTACGTATTTATGTGTTGTGTGCACAATGTTTCTCTACTATAAACAGAGAGCTCTAATTCGTTGTCTTAAAGAAAAATACAAGTGCATAAATCAACCATTTTATCAATAAAAAAGACTAGTCAAATGGTTTTTCAAGTTCATGTGACTTAAGTCACATTTAAGCTGGCTTTCAAGTTATTGGCAAAATAATATTAGAAATGTTGTAAGAATTATTAGCATTTTTGTTTGCATTTGTTGATCAAGTGATTTCATGATTATTCCTGAAGAATACTGGAAGATTTGCCATAAGGGTTATAAAAGTATAAAACCCAGCCCAAGACAGAATGATCTTTGCTTGTGTAATTTTTGATAAATAGGACATGGAATATCTTGGTTTAATGAAAACAGCTAAATTCTGAGTTATTGGTAAAAATACCCTTATATTTAACCTTAAGAGTCTCACTTAAATAAACATCTGAAATTCACAGCTATAAAAATGATTAACAGGGAATTCAATTTAAATAATGACTATCAAAGTTTTCATAAATAATCTAGGTAAAGGGGGGGCAAGGTGGCTAATGTCTGTAATCCCAGCACTATGGGAGGCTGAGGCAGGCAGATCACCTGAGGTCAGGAGTTCGAGACCAGGCTGGCCAACATGGTGAAACCCCATCTCTACTAAAAATACCAAAATTAACTGGGCACGGTGGCCGGGCACCTGTAATCCCAGCTACTCAGGAGGCTGGAGCAGGAGAAGCGCTTGAACTGGGGTGGCGGAGGTTGCAGTGAGCCAAGATCACGCCATTGAACTCTGGCCTGGGCATCAAGAGTGAAACTAACTCAAAAAAAAAAAAAAAAAGCCTAGGTAAAATATTAAATAATCTGGTAAGTGTAATGGACTAAATGCTTGTAAAGAGACTTGCCATACGATTAGGGATCTAAGATTATTAGTAGATATTAAGTAGGTAATTTCCAACTTAAAAACACAGGAAAACATTTTTTAAATGTTCTTATTAAAAGGTAAATATCTCTGTTTAATTCAAAGCTTCTTTAAAAGTTATGTATAAAACAAGGTAAAAGAAACCAGGAAATAAGAGATGTAAGAAAGTTAAAGCTATAAAGAGGCATTTTTGGTAAAGGTGAAAAGGAAACAATTTTACATAAGAAGACATTTTGTGTGGTAAATTTTTTGTCCTAAAATGACTAGGTTGTTCAAGAAAGAGAAATATTTAGGCAAAACAGAAAGTTTAAGCATGTTGTGCATCATCTACATAGGTTGTAGAAAGGTTAGTTAACAGAAACTTTGTGTTTTTTTTAGAAAACGAGGTTGTATACTTCAGTTGGGTGTGATTAAGAATTATAATGGTCTTTCTAGAGGTGGGTCTTTGATATTAACAAAATTACATGAATACAAAAAATAATTGGTTAAAACAAGATTTTATTTAAAATATTTATTTTTTATGAGACAGAGTCTCACTCTGTCACCCTGGAGTGCAATGGTGTGATCTCAGCTCACTGCAACCTTTGCCTCCTGGGTTCCAGGAATTCCATCTATATTTCTGAGCAACTGTCCATAAATCATGGACTTCCATAACCCCCTTGCTCAAGTTTAATAATTCGATAAAACTACTCACAGAACTTAGCAGAGAAACTTTACCTATGTTTATCAGGTTATTATATAGGATACGACTCAGGAAAACCAAATGGAAAAAAAAAAGGTATAGGACAAAGTAAGGCGGGGAAAAAATGGGGTGGGTAGTAAATCTTGATAAACAGCCATGATTAAGAACCCTCCATCCTTTGTGTTCTGTAGGAACAGCTTACTGAAAATAAATACCCTTTTCATTATGACTTAGATGATGCTTCCTCTTTTAGATATCATAAATTCACAGACTCTCTAAATTCTCATTTTTCTCTCATAAACAAATAATTTTGTCTTCAGTGTTCAGAACAAAATACTTGTTAAACAAACTTTGCTTAAGTTTCTCTCCTTTCCTCAGGCTCCCAGACTCTGGTCCACCTTCAGTCTGAGCTAACATATACCCCACCTTTATGCCCCTCCTAAGAAAAGGCTGACTTTAGGGTGGAACATTCTCTACCCTTCAATCTGATTTTGCCATTCTCCATTCTCCTCTCTTTCTCCCACCTTCCTTCTAATCTTGTTTGCTCCTCCATATGAAACTGTACAGTCCTTTTCTCTCTTGAGATGATTGTAGATGTGATGCTTGGTGCTTTCCCCATTGCAATACTCTTTTCAAATAAAGTCACTTCTTACCTACATCTGAATTTATTTGACAGTATCAAGAAACAGCCTCAGGATAATAACAATTACACCCTCACAGAGGACATCACAACCCGCCTCCCATCTCAACTCTCACAATGTCTGCCTGTGGATTCCCAGCTTTCCAGGGCTCTGTAGCTTCACTCAGTATAAAGGCTCCTTCAATGGCTGCTCTGAGCAGGCTGGGATAGCTCCAGGGGAAGCTCCCCAGGAAGATATGACTGTGCTATTCATGAACTCCTTTGACAGGTCAAGATTGGCCTTAGCCTGCAGTCAACGGGCTCATGTCTCTGATTTCCAGTCAAGGTTATTCATTTAGTTTTTCTTTGTTTTGTTTTTTGAGACAGAGTTTCACTCTTGTTGCCCAGGCTGGAGTGCAATGGTGTGATCTCGGCTTACCACACCCTCCGCCTCCCGGGTTCAAGCGATTCTCCTGCCTCAGCCTCCCGAGTAGCTGGGATTACAGGTGTGTGCCATCACGCCTGGCTAATATTGTATTTTTAGTAGAGACGGGGTTTCTCCATGTTGGTCAGGCTAGTCTCGAGCTCCCAACCCCAGGTGATCCACCCGCCTCAGCCTCCCAAAGCACTGGGATTACAGGTGTGAGCCACCGCACCCACCTACAGAATAGATTTATCCACTGTCACAAATACTCCACTGTACAAAAAGAGAAACTAATTTTTTTTTTTGTAAATCACCAATTGACCTACCACAATTTCTTGTGGAACTATATTAATTTCTCTGCAGGTATAAAGGAAAAGAATTTTTCCTTCTCACCCAGTAATATCCCTAAAACTAAGCTCTGAGATTCTGCTTGAAACCACCCCCAGAAGGTACAGACCTCAGATATTTATTACACATTCTCAGGAGAAGAACAAATAAAAATAAGAATTTTTAACAAATTAAATATATCATTAGATTTTTTGTGATAGTCACTTTTTTTTGAGAATATTTTCCTATCTTTCAAGATCTGTCAATAAAATGCATTGAATACTTAATAAAAATGCAAGTTGAAATGAGAAAACAAGTCTTTTCAAGATGACACACCCTGAATGCAAGTTGAAATAAGAAAACAAGTGGCAGTACTGGCTGGAATATTAATACACCTGATTCTAGTGTCAAGTCATGATATCCCATCATATGGATCCTCCCACCTCTATTCTGCTCATTGAAGTACTCAGTGACCACCCTCTGGAGAGCCTCTTCACTGTGGCCCTGAATGTGCCTGGAGTGCATTTTTCTTTGCAGGTCATTGCATCATCTTGATAGAATGGATTTTCATTGTCTTTGGGGATAGTTTTTCTCCCTTCCCAATTCTGAAAAAATCCAGATGGTAGGAATTATTTCTGTCTTTCCCCTAAGTATCACCACTCAATTGGCTGACCAGCAATGTGTCTCCAAGTAATGAAAACTGGGGTTGGAAAAAGAAAATTTTTATGCCACAATGAGTTAGCTTTTTAGATAAAGGGTAAAGCAGATTTACAATCATCTACCAGTAATAATTTGAAGATTCAAGTTGATTATCTACAAATAAAATATCACAGGCTCTGATGTGTAAGTTCTGGATTTAACATGACAGTGCATACACTGCATGGGACAGGTACTATACATATCTGGACACCACAAAGAGTATTTAACGCCTGCATTTAAACTACTGAATTAGCATGTACCTCACTTGGCTCAGTAATCCACCTGCACCAAACTCATATCAAAAGTCACTAAATCTCTCGTCTACATTATATATATTCTGTAGATACACAACTACAAAATGTACATACTATACAAATAGTTTGAATCAACATGAAGTTCCATTGTTTTTGACAATGTACCCACAGATGGACATTATCATGGCTAAAATCTATATAATATAGATGAGATTATAAATCTAAGGTTTTAACACTAACAAAAGACAACCCAGAGCATCTTGGTAAGTCTTGTTTTTATTTTCTTCCTGAGAGTCAGTAGAATGGCAGCTGTATTTTGTTATGTTAGTCCCATATATTTCTGTTAACTTTATTATTTGCAAAAAAAGTTTTGCTTGTATTTGTAGAAAGGTAAAATGGTTTTTTTTGTTAAATATGGAGATTAGTTATGTATGATAAAAACAAATGTGCTTTTGTTTCTTTGTTCCCAATTAATGTACATTAATTTTAAAATGCATTAAAGCAATAGCAAAGAAAATAAAGAGATGCCATAGAAATCTCTTTCTCTTCATGTTTGCATGCAGAGATACACTGCTTCCTAAGGATATGTAAGGAGAGATGTGGATTTTAATTTTAGAATCAGATTTTTCAAATGTACTTAAAATATAAGCAGCAAAAATTTTATTAATCTTAAACTCAAGCAAATTCCAATCACAGAGGCAGAACTAATTAAAACATGTTTTAATTGAATATACTTCCTAGGTTTCTCCTAGCAATCCTGTTATTGTTTCATGATCCACTTGAAGAAATGAAGATACGTGGAAAAATAGTCATTGCCCAAGATTGCCCTCCATTTTATAAATGCTCCATTTATGCTGAAACAATCTGAATAGACACGGTGCTTTTTGTGCATCTGGTTGGAGGACAGAAACTCCCCAAACTTTTCTATTCAGCTGTTGGATCCACAACTTGCTGTTGAGCTGTAAATCCACATCAGGAAGCCCAGGTACAAACTGAGAGTTGGCTTCTCCCTGGTAATCTAAACAGATGCTTACTGAGCCTGAAATGCTATTTTCCCACCACCTTCTGCTGACTGCTGCTTTGGCAAAATAAAGATTGGCCACGAATCTACCAACACCACCTCACTTTAAGGCCTGGTATGTCAGCATTCTCCATCATACTCTGAGACATAGCATGTGGGAGACATGACTCTGTAATTAGGAGCTTAAAGTGTTTCAGGGAGACCACGTAAATCTAGTGAGAAGTGAATTAGCAATATATGAGAGCATGTAATTTCATGTTAAGGCGGGTGCTGTGAACTTGATTACATTAGTATGTAAGTTAAAGCAGCTGGGAGAGGCAGACCAGAAAATATAGTTGTTGAGCTGAGTCTTGAGAGAAGGGCAACTGCACCTTCCACCTTCCGCGTGCAGGACTGTCATCAGCACATCTTCCCCATGCTTTCCCATTGCTCATATTCCTCCAGTGGAAAAGAAGGGGGCCAGGCACGGTGGCTCATGCCTGTAATCCCAGCATGGTGGCTCACGCCTATAATCCCAGCACTTTGGGAGGCCGAGGTGGGCGGATCACGAGGTCAGGAGATTGAGACCATCCTGGCTAATATGGTGAAACCCTGTCTCTACTAAAAATGCAAAAAAAAAAAAAAAATCAGCTGGGCATGGTGGCGGGCGCCTGTAGTCCCAGCTACCCGGGAAGCTGAGGTGGGAGAATGGTGTGAACCTGGGAGGCGGAGCTTGCAGTGAGCCCAGATCGCACCACTTCACTCCAGCCTGGGCAACAGAGTGAGACTCCATCTCAAAAAAAAGCAAAAACAAAAAAACAAAACAAATAAACAAAGAAAGACAGAAAGGAAAGGGCAAAGTTCACATGCTGAAGCAAGAGGGACTGCCAGACTTAGAAAGGTGGAGAAATAGGTGGGCCCAGGATAATATTGGTGAGAAGGCTGCTTTTGGTTGATTTAGTTACAGAGCTTTTGAGCTCATCATGAATAGAAATAGGGTTAATGCAGAGCGGCTATAAGCATAGACTTGGGAGCCAGGCTGATTGGGAATATAAGTCCCAGCTTCACCTTTTATGAGCTCTATGATCCTGGACACTTCACCTCTTATTATTCAGTTTTCTCATCTGGGAAAAACAGATAACAGTACTTAAATCCTAGGATTCAGAAGAGTTCAAGGATTAACTCAGGTTAAGATAAGTGAAACAAGGGAGAAGCAACTGTTCAGACAAGAAATAAAAGGAAATTGACAAGGATTTCCATTTGAATCTAATAATCGTTTAGGGTATCTGTTACAATTTTAGATTCCCAGGCCTCAGCCCCAGGAATTGAGATTCATTAGTTCTGGGGCCCAAAAGGCTGTTTTATAAAAAGAAACTTAGAAAAAGTCACCAAAATAACTCAGTTTCTGTATGCCCTTACCAGTTCCCCACTAATGTGAACATCTCGTGTTGACATGGTACATTTGTTAAAACTAAAAAGTCAAGGTTGACACATTACTACTAACTCCAGACTTCATCAGGTTTTCCACTCATGTTCTTTACCTGTCCCAGGATCAAATCCAGGATACCATACTGCATTTAGAGAAGCTGCATTTTTCACAAGCTCTTTCAGCTGCTAAGAGGGAGGTGGGTGGGGATCACATCTTGAAAAACACTGGGACCGTTACAGGAATGACGCAAAATTGCTGCATCCCCAAGTTGGGGAGGTGAAATGCAATTTTGAAGAGGAGAATTGGTGGAGGAGATGAATATAGAAAGCTGATTTTAGAGGTAGAGATGGAATCCTCTCCATTAGATGAGAGGGTGTTACCTTCAGAACAAGGCATTAATGCCAGAGAAAATAGGTTTTGGAAGGAAGAGGTACAACCTCATATTCAGGCTAGATTGAGAATACACGAGTAGGGTTGTGAGTAGGTCAGAATCAGCAAGTGCAGCAAACTGGGAACAGGTGTTTCAGAGAACGCACACAGAGGGCTCACATAAGGGAATTACAAGGGGTCAGTTAGCTCGTGAGCTACATACAACCTGCATGTTCCAGAACCTGGTGCTAATGCTTTGGCAGTGGGTCACGATGACAAATATCAAGCACTGCCACATTGGAAAGTAGTAGAAAAGGTAAGGGTGAGGCTGGGATAATCAATTTTATTTAAGGAGGGTTCTAAGGGTCTTGGGTGAAACAGGGGCTGGAAGAAGAGGTGTATAAAACACTTGAAGCTCTGCTTGTGAGTCAGTTGTCACACTGAGGAGACACAGGAGTCACCAGCTTGAGGTGACAGGTAAAGGTTTGTAGAATTGAGAAGGTGAAGATGAAGCAATATATTTTTTTAAGAAGCAAGCAGCCTATTTTGGGAATCCATGGAGGTCTTTTGAAGTAGATACTACTCATATTTTACTAAAGACCTTAGGTTCTGGGACTATCACTGAGTTTTCTTAATCACAGTCCAATTGCTCAGCTTCCTAACACCAGTTATAAAAGTCACCTAACCTGTTCTTTTTTAGAGAATGTTAACCATTTTCCAATGGACTCAAGATTCTTATAATGTCTATACCATTTTTCTTTCCCAGTTAGTTGTTCTTTCTGTACCCTAGAAATCCTAAACCACAAGCTGATATTCTTTAAATTTCACATTAAGTACATGTTCTGTCACTTGCCAAATGCATTTAAAAGAGTTCAATAGACGCAAGGCGCAGTGGCTCATGCCTGTAATTCCAGCACTTTGGGAAGCCGAGGTGGGTGGATCACAGGGTCAGGAGTTCGAGACCAGCCTGTAGTGGGCACCTGTAGTCCCAGCTACTCGGGAGACTGAGACAGGAGAATCGCTTGAACCCGGGAGGCAGAGGTTGTAGTGAGCTGAGATTGCGCCACTGCACTCCAGCCTGGGCGACAGAGCTAGACTCCGTCTAAAAAAAAAAAAAAAAAAAGATAGACTTCAGTAGAAATTGCCTTAGAAACCTGTGTCCTATGGGGCAGGCTTCTGAAGGGCTCCTAGATCTTTTGCGTTGCTCGCTGGCACATTGTTGGGCCCAACTGGGTAATAAGTGTCTGGCCATTAGACTTAAGGTCATCTAATCCTTAACTTGATAGATTCTGGGTGTTCTCTACAAATTTGCATAGAAACTAGCACTTACCTGGGAGATTTCTCTGCCAGCTGTCAAAAATGTAGTTCCATATTCAACGGTCCTGTGTGAGGAAATAATGAAGCCACAGAAATCTTAAATGTGGTTAGGGAAAGGGCTGGGTGATGAAGATTCTAGCTAACCAGCACACTGCAGCAAAATTAGTTTCCAGAAACACTGCATAACCTGAATACAGAATCAAGAGTAATTTGGCTTTTGGTTAAGATTGGCTTTGGCATTTTTTTTTTTTTTTTTTTCCGAGACGGAGTTTCTCTCTTGTTGCCCAGGCTGGAGTGCGATGGCGCGATCTCGGCTCACCACAACCTCCACCTCCCAGGTTCAAGCAATTTTCCTGCCTCAGCCTCCTGACTACTGGGATTACAGGCATGCACCACCATGCCTGGCTAATTTTAAATTTTTAGTAGAGACGGGGTTTCTTCATGTTGAGGCTGGTCTCAAACTCCTGACCTCAGGTGATCCACCTGCCTCGGCCTCCCAAAGTGCTGGGATTACAGACGTGACCCACCGCGCCCGGCTGGCATGTTTTTTTTAAACCAAGGAATAGTGTATTTGGAAGTGTGGGAAAACTACATCAAAAAACTGAACCTTGAGTTGTAATAAAATCAGGATTTAGTGTTGCTTGATTTCAGTGATATATGGGCATCTAGGTTACAATAAAAGAAATGTGAATAAAAGACCAGAATAAAATTTCTCTAGAAACATTGAGCCCTAAGATTAGATAGTTCATCTTGGAATAAACTATATAAAACTGCCAATAGGCAACTGCTTTTGTGCTACAAAAATGGCCATTTCACTTGGCTCAAATACATATTTCAGATCTTTGTCTTTTCCTTGTAATGAAGATGTAAAAGTTTTAGTTCACACTATACCAGAGTAAAATTTCACTGGGGTCTGTATTACAAATGTTAAAATAACCCAAAAAGTCAAAGTAAATTTGAGCTTTGGTACTCAGATAATCGTTTTCATAGTCTTATGTTAAAGAACTTATCTTTCCCAGGTATCAAACTCTAAGAAAACTGCTATAGTTACCACCTACTAGCAACTTAGTTTCCTTGCCCCATAACATTTGTCAGAGAACCTGCCCAGTTTCAGTGACATTTATATTCTTATTCTAAGTTGACCCAATTTTTCATTTATCTAAATGATTGTATTCCCTTCTAGAATTCAAGCCAAAGGACAGAACAATGTTAGTGTTCCTTATTCTATTGATTTACTCTTTTTTTGAGACAAAGTCTTGCTGTGTCGCCCCAGGCTGGAGTGCAGGCATGATCATGGCTCACTGCAACCTCTGCCTCCCAGGTTCAAGCAATTCTCGTGCCTCAGTCTCCCGAGGAGCTAGGACCATAAGCGGTTGCCACCATGCTTGGCTAATTTTTGTATTTTTAGTAGAGAGGGGGTTTTGCCATGTTGGCCAGGCTGGTCTTCAACTGCTGGGTTCAAGTGATCTGCCTGCGTCAGCCTCCTAAACTGCTGGGATTACAGGCGTGAGCCAGTGCACCCAGCCCTGACTTACTCTTGAAGTCATGAATTTATGTCCAGCGTCCCTCTGTCAAACTGGTTTTTAAATCTTTGACCACTCATATATGTCAGGACTTCTACTTAGTTAATGGCATATTATAAGGTGCAAACCATCTTATAAACAAGGATTCATCATACACTTTTTCTTCTAAGTTTAACACAGATCATTGATTCTAGTTTGCAATTTATCAAGATAAGGTGATAAGTTGAAGATTTTACCTTAGGTGCTAAATAATTAAAATGGATAAAAATACACCAATATTATCAGGATTTAGTGAGGATCACTGAAGCTGAGTGGCTAGAATTTTAATTCTAAAAAAAAACCAACAGTGATTTATTTTTAACTAAAATGTAAACTTGAAAACAGTGTGCTAAAGTCAAATTATGTGGTTTAAGTCACCCTCTGTACAGCAACTTTAAATCTACTTTCTGTACTTCCATTTTGTTTCTGTGTAACTGAAAACTTCAAACACTCTCATTCTAATTCTACACTATTCCTGGAAATCCTTTCTCTTTGATATATTTATCTAATTTCATATTCTAATGTGTTTTTCCTTTCAGACACAACAATCAACTACTCAAAGATGCCATCTAATGCACTATGCCACTAAGTATTGTGGCCAGAGAGTTATTTTAAGTGTAATAAATTATCTTAAAATTGAGGGCCGGGCATAGTGGCTCATGCCTGTAATCCTAGCACTTTGGGAGGCCGAGGCGGGTGAATTGCCTGAGGTCAGGAGTTCGAGACCAGCCTGGGCCACACAGTGAAACCCAGTCTCTACTAAAATACAAAAAATCAGCTGGCCGTGGCGGCGTGCGCCTGTAGTCCCAGCCACTCGGGAGGCTGAGACAGGAGAATTGCTTGAACCCGGCAGGCAGAAGTTGCAGTGAGCCGAGATCGCGCCACTGCACTCCAGCCTGGGCGACAGAGCTAGACTCCCTCTGAAAAAAAAAAAAAAAAGAGAAAACAAATATTACATCTTAAATACAGGCATGAATTAAACCAACTTGTGTATGGTCAAGGCAACTTACAAAAATGCTTTAAGACATATCAAGACTGATATAAACCATTTAAGTTAGGCAGAGATGCAACACTATGTGAATAGAAGTGTTATAAACACACTCGCCACATTTTAATTAGTTTACTAGGTTTTCTTTTAATATAAACATGAGAAATGAAAACCACATCAATTGTAGCATTTATTTTGAAAATAAAACTGCAATCAATACTCCAATCTCTAAGCTCTGCATTCCATAAATGATACTTTTTCAGGAGGTAGGATTCCTAAGGTTTATGGAAGTTCTTTTTAAATAGCAGGACATGAAATATGATACCTGCATCCAGGCTAACATGTGGGATAATAAAATGTATTGCATCACCTACTACTATTAGGGTCCAATTCCTTCTAATTTGTTACATATGAATTAACATGGATCCTCCTCTTTATCACATCTAGGGAAAATAATCTGAGGTGATCAATGCAGATAAAAGCCTTGCAAAGAGCTACTTTACAAGAGAAAAGGGCACTTTATAAAAACACAAGAATTCCAAAAGTCTTAGTGAAATTTTAAGCTTTGATACTTGTAGAAGTAACAATGCTACAAACATTTACAAATCATTGAAAAGCTTGTTGTATTTCTTTTACGTTTATTTAGTTTTGCCATTTTTTAAAGTGACAGTGTCTCATTATGTTGCCAAGGCTGGAGTGCAATAGCTATTTACAGGCACAATCACAGTGCACTGCAGCCTCCAAGGCTAGGCCTCAAGTGATCCTCCATTTAAGCCTCATGAGTAGCTGGGACTACAAGCATGCCTAGCTCCTGAGTATTAAGCTTTTAATTTATTGTTTCAGTCCTTCTTGAAGATAGCAGATATTGACTGAAACAAAAGGTTAAAAGTTTAACATTCAAATTCTGCAAAATAAAGCCAGAGGCAGTGGTACACACCCATGGTCCCAGCTACTTGGTAGGCTGACATGGGAACATTGCTTGAGGCCAGGATTTTCAGGCTGTGGTGTGCTATGATTGTGTCTCTGATTAATCATTGCACTGTAGCTTGGGCAATATAGTGAGGCATCATCTATTAAAAATAAAAAGAAGAAATACAATTACACTTTCAAATGATATTTTGTAAAGATTTACAGCATGTATACATATGCTGCAGTCCTCTGGAGGGCCCAGGCACACTATATTAAAGCTAAAAACTGCCCTGAAACTTTCAGGACACCTTGTATTTTATTATTTTTATATAACCACTGGACCACCATGCTGCTTGGCACTATGAAAACATCTTTGAATACATTTACTTAATAAGAAAATTTATCAGCAAATGAGAACCATTATAGTTCATAAGAAATACACCATAGAGCTTCATAAAAGTAGATAATCAATAACCAATACTTTCTCTTTTTATGACCCCCAAACATGCTAAACTGCTAATAAGAAGGGCTTACAAAGGATACGAATGGCAAATGTTAATTGGCAGCTTTTGCTTGATGATCGCCAGTAACTGTAGCTTCCATGGTAAAAGTAGGAAGAAAGAGCCCTTCCATACCTGACAATGCTGGGACTGCTCCTAGTGGCTTTAGGAGTTGTTAGACTCCCATGTTTTAACAGTGATACTGCACTGATTCCAAATGCATATGCAGGAATATTGGGGAAAAGAAAAAAACATAAAAGAAACAGAAAAGTTATCTTTAAAATCTAAAAAGTTAAACTATTGTTTTAAAAGCCTTACATAGTTCACAGCTATCAGCCCACACATTAAGCAAATATCTGTACGTGGGCAGGAGTCTTCACTTTGAAGTGGTTTTTATAACTCTGTTTACATTAAACAGGACAGAAGAGTGTAAGAGTGTGTTGTTGCCCTGACAAGGTCCCATTCTTTACTACGAAGTGCAATCTTAGTTGTCCTTGAGTTAACTTGAATTGAGGTGTTTCTTCTTTAGAAAATACCAACTTTTCTAGTTCTTTAGCAGGAGAGGTGATATTTTCCTGTCTTTTTTGATGAGGGGTTCAGATGTTAAATTACTCCTCATTTCTTCCTTCAGAAGAGGATGGCCTTAGCACGCTGAAGATGAATTAAATCATCTGCACTCAGAGACCCATTCTTGGCAGCACTGTAGAAAACTTTGTCTTGTTCCATCCTTGAAAAAGCCTAAGAATGTCAAATAGAAAAGAGGTACAATTTTAAAAAGGTTTCCAATCTTTTAACAATCACCACTGATGATAAGCCACACATGCAGACTCCTTTAGATAGTTCAGTTACAGCTACTTTTTGTTTTTTTTGGTTTTTTTTTTTTTTGAGAAGGAGTCCCAGGCTGGAGTGCAATGGCACAATCTCGGCTCACTGCAACCTCTGCCTCCCAGGTTCAAGCAATTCTCTGCCTCAGCCTCCTGAGTAGCTGGGATTACAGGCGCCTGCTAGCATGCCCAGCTAATTTTCATATTTTTAGTAGTGACGGGGTTTCACCATCTTGGCCAGGCTGATCTTGAACTCCTGACCTTGTGATCCACCCACCTCGGCCTCCCAAAGTGCTGGAATTATACGAATGAGCCACTGCACCCGGCCCAGTTATAGCTACTTTGGCTGAGGTTTACACTGCCAAGTTTTGTCAACTCATTAAGGTAATCTCAGGGCTAGAATTAGATTGCTGGAGCAAAGGGGAACTTGTTTTATTAAGTTACTTAAAAATTGGGCTCCCAAAGATGTCACAGTATTGTGACAGGCTTCTAAGAGCAGTATCATGTTACCTGTGCACTTGTTCCTTAAACATAATGAATGTACACTTTTGCAAAAAGTTAGTTTATTAATCTACTTAAACTCTACCCAATCTACAGTAGTTATTATATACTTTAAGCAAATTTTAACGATGCAGGCATGTGCTGGATTGTATTGAAACATCAAAGAAGTCTAATGACTCAAGCATCAAAAGGCACTACTTCACTTGTACATTAATTATGATAGAAAATGTATTATTTTAAAATACTTCCAAGGTACCACAAAACATGCCTATTTTAAATGTTCATCCTTGTCAGCTGTAACTCTGCTGTGTACTTACCAAAAGTCACAAACCATAAATATTACTTTGTCTCATAAAAGTTATCATTTCCAGTAAAATCCCATGTATTTCCTGCATCCAGTATTTGAGACGCGCACACCTTATACAGTCTAAGTGCAGGTCTCTTGGCTTAGGCACTAATGCTTTGTCTAACAAACCCATGGGACTGACTGCACTGTGGTATATACAGTAGGAAATGACATAAATTTGCAAACTGAGTAATAAAAAATAGTCAAGAGTGGTAAGTGCATTATGTATGTAGACATTGCTTGGAATACAATAAAAGAAATCATTTATATATGATGATTTGAAAGGGTAAAAGTTCAAAAGGGAAAGATTACAAATGAATTAAATTTGACTAAAATATTCTGAATTATGCTCACAAAAGAGAAGATAATATCTATAATTTCAAATAATGTGGATCTTTGTAAAAACCATAAAAGATACAGGAAACAGAATGCCAAAAAGGTAATAAGCTCTTCAGTATGTTAGTTAATTTTGAAGCTTTCCATTTTTCTAATCACTACTTAATATGACCTAGTCACAGATGTTGGCATTGGTGTTTGACTGAAAACCCACCTTAGTAACTTCGTAGCCTTACCTCCAGCTTCCAAGCTCTTTCTCTGTCAAGAAGATAAACTGGTGAATACAGGCCGTTGTTGTGTGCCAAGGTGCGAAGATCGAAGTAGAATCTGCTATAAACACTGTTAGTAATGCTGTTATTATAATTAATTAGCTTCAAGAATTGCCTTTCCAACTCATTCCTGGGGAAGGAGAAACACAACAAAACCAACACAGGACAATGTTAGTTCAAAAACATTATTCTCGTGTAAGAAATGTGGTAAAGTCATCATGTGCTCTAGTTTATTAGAACACATGAAAGAACTCACACTGTACAGAACCCTATTGATCTAAGAAATACAAGAAAGCATGCAACTTTCCCAGTTCTCTTTGAAAACTTAGAAAAACAAAAAACAACATGAATGTAAAAACTGGGTTAATAACGCGATTATCTCACGTGCTTTCAAAGACATATTTGAATTTAATATGGAGAAAAACGACTTAATCTTAAGAAACATGGTAAAGCCTTCAGCTTTTTCATTTCTTTGAAAACATGAAAGGATTCAATGGAGAAAACCCTTGTAAATACAAACATCCATGGTAAGGCCTTCAGTTGTTCCAGTTCCACATGAAGAACAGAACTCATTTCTGAAATAAAACCTGTGAATGTACAGAATGTGGAAATGCCTTCATGTACATGATATTTGCTCCAAGACCCATGATAACACACACTGTAGACAGACCTTACAAATATAAGAAAGCACACTGGATTGGAACCCTAGTAGATTACCAAATTCAGAAAAGTTTTCAGTTTTAACAATTTCTTCAACATTTATATGAAAATTTCCCCTACAGGGAAATCCTCTCCGTGTTTCGAAATTGGAGAGCCTGATGCAAACTGATTATGGCATAATCTTAAAAAATGTGCATAAGTAAATGTTATACTACTTATAAATATTTTGTTTCTCAGTGATTCTTCATTTGAAAGGGTCTCTGTCCTTACTTCCACTTCTTTTGCAAGAAAACACTGAGGTCAAAATTTTGTAGATACTCCTTAAACAATATTAAATGAATTTAATAGGCAGTGTTTTTTTGTTAAGTCAGTTAATAAAATTTTTCTCTGTTTATTTAAGAATATCACACTGAGCTACTAGAATAGCTCCAAATTCTTTTTTGAAACAAATACAGGCTATGCAGGTGGATTCCTACACTAATGTCCAAACAGGGCACAGCTGCTTGCAGTCCATTCTGCATCCAGCACCCCAAGTTTGGGATGAGGAGAAAGGGGACAGCCTTCTCTGCACTCGTGCAGCTGACTCAGGGCTCATTCTTGAGGGTTCCATTGCACAACTCAGACTCCATGGTCACTCCCAAGGCACCACAATAGTGATCAGATGACAGAAATGATGGATGCCATTTATTAGCTGTCACTATTACGGGGCAGGAATACTCTTTACATTTCAGACGGTAGAAAGATCAAAGAGAAACACCTTGGCTAGACTAAACCCATTTTATGACAAGCCTTTTGGTAGGGTTCTGGCCTTACACAGTGTTTCTCCTAAGTTGGAAATGAAACCCCAAGGTGCTCAGCACCTGTCACCCCTGGCCAGAACAGAGTGTGGGGATGAATTGAATGCAGTGAGAGGGGAACAGGCTGGGAGCAGCCCTCTGCCAAATGATTATTCAGCTGTCCCGGCCGAAGATTTTTGTTTGTTTGTTTGTTTTGAGACAGGGTCTTGCTCTGTCGCTCAGGCTAAAGTTCAGTGGCATGATCCTAGCCTTTCAAGTAGCTGGGACTACAGGTTCATGCCACTTAGCTGGGCTCTTTTTTTAAAATTATTTTTGTAGAGACAGGCTCTCACTTGTTGCCCAGGCTGGTGTTAAACTCCTGTGATTAAGTGATACTCCCACCTTGGCCTCCCAAAGTGCTGGTATTACAGACGTGAGCCACTGTATCCAGCACTTTGTCAAATGTTTAAATAAATATAAAACTAGAGTAATCTTACCACTTTCATAGTAATCCCCATAAAGACTTAACTGTATAAAAGCAATTAATACCTCAACAACATATTTGGTTTCTTGGTTTTAAAGTTTTATCCATTGGCTAAGTCAACAAATGCTTGCTGTTCTCTGGTATGGAAAGCAGTTAGGATATAAGCAGATATATGGTTTTCTCATTTGTTTAACTGAAAACCCCACTGAAACTACTTCTAACATTAGTTTCCTATTCATATAACCATAAGACTATAGGAATGTAAATCAGATAACGCTTTAATAATCAGCTAATCAGGAGTTAATTTACTATAGGAATCTATGCACTTCATAATCTCTTATGTTTTTCCACAAACATATTTTAAATGTGTAAAATACAGTATTTTATATAATTAACATGTTTATTAATAGAAGCTTAGTTATTGAAGAAAACCATTATGCCTACAGGATATGTATCTTCTTAGTTTTTTGTTGTTTTTTAAATGGCTAATAGCATACCCTTTACCGGCGCAGCAAATTTTCTGAATAGGAGCTGCTCAGTTTAACTTATATGTATGTATGTATGTGTGTGTGTGTGTGTGTGTGTGTGTGTGTGTATATATGTGTGTGTGTATATATATATGTATGTACATATACATATATATATACACATATAAAATCCTCATAGCTTAGCTCTCACCTATAAGTGAGAACGTATGATATTTGGTTTTCCATTCTTGAGTTACTTCACTTAGAATAATGGCATCTAGCTCCAACTAAGTTGTTGCAAAGGCCATTATTTCATTCTGTTTTATGGCTCAGCAGTATTCCATGGTGTATATATTCCACACTTTCTTTATCTGTCCATTCATTGATGGGCATTCCATATTTTTGCAATTGCAAATTGTGCTGCTATCAACATGCATGTGCATGTGTCTTTTTCATATGACTTCTTTCGCTTTGGGTAGATACCTAGTGTGAGATTGCTGGATTGAATGGCAATACTGTTTTCCATAGTGGTTGTACTAGTTTACATTCCTATCAGCAGTGTAAGTGTTCCCTTTTCACCAAATCCATACCAACATGTACGATTTTTCAATTTTTAAATTATGGCCATTCTTGCAGGAGTAAGGTGGTATCACACTGTGGTTTTCATTTGCATTTCCCTGATAATTAGTGATGTTTCTGAAGGAAAATATATTCTAAGAAGACAAACAGATGTTGAAAAGTTTTAAGAAAAATCTGATAAACACTAATTTTTAAATGGTTCAATTTACAGTCCAAAAGAGATCTTTACAATCAACAGTAGAGGGACAAGATAAATGTACATTACACACTTTGTTGCAATGTTTTACATTTTCTAAAAATCGTGAACATAGCTCCTGTTCAGAGCATAGATCAAGGTGCTTCTGCATTCACAAACAGCATTGTGTAGAACTGGAGCTGGCTTCTGCCACCACTGCTTCTGGAGCTCACATCTGTGGAAACCTGCACATTTCTCTGGATATTCTCTGACCTTGTAACTAGAACTAGAGCCCCACCGGATTAGCTGCAGGTTTTGAGAACAATTTAGCTGCCATTATAGTGGAGCTAAGTGTTCATAATTACAAATTTTGCTGCCTTCAAGAAACCAGTTTACAGATTGATGACAGTAGTGATTAAGAGCACTTTAGCTTCTGCAACTTTCAAAGTACTTCTATTTGTTTCAAATTCATTTTCTGTTACATCCTTTGCTAAAATGGCTACTAGCAATATCACCGTGACAACTCAGTTTCTACTATTAGCAAAGCAGTAATTTAGCAGCCATTTCAAAACCAACTGACCAACACTAGTGAGTCTCTTCTTAGTCACAAGAATCCTCAATTCACTGGTAAATATACAGTGTAGTAATTCTGAATGAAAGTCTTTAAAAATGTTTTTGGGGTATATTATAAGTGTATATATTTATATGGTATATAAAATATTTTGATGACTATGACGTGTAATAATCACATCAGGGTAAATGAAGTATCCATCATGCCTCAAACATACCTTTGTTTTACAAATAATTCAATTACACTCTTTTAGTTACTATAAAATGTACAATTAAATAATTCTTGAGTGTTGTCACCCTGTTGTGCTATCAAATACTAGATCTTGTTTATTCTTTCTAACTATATGTGTGTACCTATTAACCATTACCCCTTACTCCTCATCCCCCATACTACTTTTACCAGCCCTGGCTAACAGTTCTCCTACTCTATATCTTCATGAGGTAAATTGTTTGAGGCCAGGCGCAGTGGCTCACACCTGTAATCCCAGCACTTTGGGAGGCCGAGGCGGGTGTTCGAGACCAGCCTGGCCAGCATGGTGAGACCCCATCACTACTAAAAATACAAAAATTATCCAGGCATGGTGGCATGAGCCTGTAATCCCAGCTACTCGGGAGGCAGAGGTAGAGGAATCGCTTGACCCCAGGAGGTGGAGGTTGCAGTGAGCCGACATAGCACCACTGCACTCCAGCCTGGGTGACAGAGCAAGACTCCATCTCAAAAAACAAACAAACAAACAAAAAAACTGTCTTAATTTTTACTTCCCACAAATAAGTGAGAACATGTGAAGTTTGTTTTTCCGTGCCTGGCTTATTTCATTCAACCTTTCCATCCATGTTCTTGCAAATAATAAGATCTCATTCTCTTTTACGGTTGAATAGTACTTCATTGTGTATATGTACCATATTTTCTTTAGCCACTTATCTGTTGATAGACACTCGGAATGCTTCCAAATCTTGGCTGTTGTGAATAGTGCTGCAGTATACATGAGAGTGCGGGTATCTCTCTGATATACTGATTTCCTTTCTTTTGGGTATATACCCAGAAGTAGGATTGCTGGATCATACGGTAACTCTATTTTTAGTTTTGAGGAACTCCAAACGTTTCTCCATGGTGGCAGTACTTAAATTACATTCCCACTAACCATGTATGAGTGTTACCTTTTCTCTGTATCCTCACCAGCATTTGTTATTGGCTATCTTTAGAATAAAAGCCATTTTAAGTGGGGTGAGATGATCTCTCATTGTAATTTTGATTTGCATTTCTCTGAAGATCAATTATATTGATGTTGAGTATCTTTTCATATACCTATCTGCTATTTGTATGCCTTTCTTAGTTTTGAAACAGGGTCTCACTTTGTCACTCAGGTTGGAGTGCAGTGGCACAATCACAGCTCACTGCAGCCTCAACCTCCCAGGCTCAGGTAATTTTTGCACCTAAGCTTCCCCAACACCTGAAACCACAGGCACGTGTCATCATGCCTGGCTAATGTGTCCTCTTTTGAGAAATGCCTATTCAGATATTTTGCCCATTTTAAAAATCAGATTAGATTTTTTTCTATGGAGTTCTTTGAGCTTCTTAAATATTCTGGTAATTAATCCCTTGTCAGATAGTTTTCAAATATCTTCCCCCATTCTGTGTGTTGTCTCTTCACTTAGTTGATTGTTTCCTTTGCTGTGCAGAAGCTTTTTAACTTGATGTGACCTAATTTGCCCATTTTTGCTTTGGCTGCCTGTGCTTATGAAATATTCAAGAAATATTTGCTGAGTCCAGTATCCCAGAGAGTTTTCCCAATGTTTTGCTTCATATTTCAGGTCTTAGATTTAAATTTTTTTAATTTTTAATGTTTTAAAAAATAGAGACAGAATCTCACTGGTTTGCCCAGGCTGGTATTGAACTACCGGGCTCAAGCAATTCTTCTATCTCGGCCTACCAAAGTGCTGGGATTACAGCCGTGAGCCACCGCACCCAACTGAGATTTAAATCTTTAATCCATTTTGATTTGATTTTTGTATAAGGTGAGAAATAGAGGTCTAGTTTCATTCCTCTGCATATGAATATCCAGTTTTCCCAGCACCACTTATTGACAAGACTGTCATTTCCCTATCATATGTGCTTGGCACCTTCACTGACAATGAGTTCACTGTAGATGTATAAACTGGTTTCTGGGTTTTCTATTCTGTTCCATTGGTTTATGTGTCTGTTTTTATGCCAGTGTCATGCTGTTCTGGTTACTATAGCTATAGAGTATAATTTGAAATCAGATAATGTGATTCCTCCAGTTTTGTTTGTTTTTTGCTCAGGATAGCTTCGGATATTCTGAGTCTTTTGTAGTTAAATATAAATTTTAGAATTCATTTTTTATTTCTATTTCTGTAAAGAATGTCATTTTTTTTTTTTTTTTTTGCAGACTTGTGGAGGTACCACATTGGTGGTCTGAGATCAGACCTGAAGGAATTCTCTGGGTTAGCAGACAGGGACTCACTTCTTCTCTTACTTTCCCACAAATGAAGTCTCTCTCTCTGTGCTAGGCTGCCTGGGGCTCAGAGAGGAGCAATGCAAGCACCCCTGTGGCCACCACCTCTGTGACAGCACTAGGTCTGAAGCTGGCACAGCACTGTGGCGGGCCAAGGCCCACTGTAACACCTACCTGCTGCCACCTATTTCACTCAAGGCCCAGGGGCTCTACAATTAGCAGGTAGTGAAGCCAGCCAGGCTTCTGTCCTTCCCTTAAGTGCAGTAAGTTCTCCTGGTCCCTGGATGGGGTCAGAGGTGCTGTCTGGGAGCCAG
The DNA here is from genome assembly GCF_000001405.40 of Homo sapiens. NCBI lineage: Eukaryota > Metazoa > Chordata > Mammalia > Primates > Hominidae > Homo > Homo sapiens. Next base: position 42,418,231 of record NC_000010.11, read on the forward strand.
GGCTGGAGTCATAAACCTTAGACATCTACCTGGTGCTCTGCTCTACCATGGCTGAGCTGGCACTGAATCCACCAGGCAAATCCATTCCCACTCTTCCCTCCCCTTTCCCCAGGCAGAGTAGTCTGTCCCCACATATATCGTCAACACAGTCCCATGGGGATTACTGTCAGGTCACCACTGATTCTCACTCAATGCTCAAGTGCTCTCAGTCAGCCTGTGGTGAATGCTGCCTGGCCTGAAACTCACTCTTCAGGGCAGTGGGCTCCCCTCTGGACCAGGGTAGGTCCAGATATGCCATCCAAGAGCCAAGGCCTGAATTGGGGACTCCAACAGTCCACCTGGTGCTCTTCTCCACTGTAGCTGAGCTGGTATCTAAGCTCAAGAAAAATCCTCTTAACTCTTCCCTCAGCTTTTCTCAAGCAGAGAGAGTCTCTCCTCACAGCCACCACAGCTGGGAATGTGCTGGGCCACACCTGCAGCCAGCACATCTCTGAGTCTCACTCGAGGCCCATGGCATGTACTACCTGGTCACCACTGATGATTCTTCAGGGCCCAAGGGCTCTTTCATCAGAAAGTGATGAATCCTGCCATTACTGAGTCCCTTTAAGGCATCAAGTTCCCTTCTGGCCCAAGGTTTGTCTAGATATGCTATCCTGAAGCTGGGACCTGAAATGGGGGTCTCATGACTCTGACCAGTGCCCTCTCCTACTGTGGCTGAGCTAGTATCCAAGTTGCAAAACAAAGTCCTCTTTCCTCCCCTCAAGCAGAAGAAAGAGGTCTCTGTCAGACCTGTGAGCTGCACTGTCTAGGGTTGGAGGCGGGGTGGGCAAGCACTCCCTAGCTGCCCCAGTTGCTGTCTCTGTAGGTCACATGCCCCTAAATACACTGGCTTCAAGGGCAGCACAGCAGTCCTTGTGGCCTAGACAGACTTTCAGGTTTATTAAGGACCCCAGAGTATTTTATCCCACAGTAGCCAGTAGCCTTTCACAACTCAAGTTCCAACCAGTGGCATGAAAAATTCCTCTCTGGCTAGGGCTAGTCTAAATGCTTCCTCCGTGGGTGGGCATTGGATGAGCACAGCCTTGTTTTGCTTTCTGCTATGACAAGGCAGCACTGAATTTAGTGCAAAGTCCCACAGTTGCTGTGCTCTCCATCCCCCAAGCATGTAGCCCCTCTTCTCACCACAGGTCCACTGCTAGGACATGGGGGAGGAGTGGCATCAGCAATTCAAGACTGTCTTTTCTACACTATTCAGTGCTTCTTTCAGTGATATGAAGTTAAAACCAGGTACTATGAATGCTTACCTGATTTTTAGTTCCTATGCAGGTGCTTTTTTTATTTAGACAGTTGCTAAATTTGCTATTCCTGCGGGGAGCACAATTGGCAGAGACTGCTATTCAGCCATCAGGCTCCACCTCTGTGAATGCATACATTCTGAAAGACAGTCTTAACTGGAGTAACAGGAAAATGTAAAAAAAAAAAAAAAAAAACCCAAAACCTCTTGCCACTGCCTGTCATGATCTTGGATCTTCATATGGTGCTCAATGTCATCAAGAGGTATTCCTTCAGATTTCCCTAAATGTCACCCACAAAGCCATTCTCGCTGTCTAGTGGACACTGTGACAGCCTCTGCTGGAAATGCCTCCCTGGCTCACTCTGCCTACCAGCTCCAAGGCCCTTCCCTTTACAACAGTCATGAGGCCAGACTGGAAGAAAGACCCCATGAAGTTTCTGTTTCAGCATCATGTTGGTGCCATCTGTGAGCAACCCCATGACTCAGCAAGATTTATTGCACTCTCACAGGTAACTCGGGGCCCCCAAAGTGCTGCTGTGGTTTTATGAGTGCCCCAGGAACCTCCTGAGTGTGGTGAGCACTGGGTGATGCTCCAGCAATATTTCTCAGACTGCCTGAGGGGAACACTGGAACTTCTAACTCATCAGCCCAATTTCTAAACACATGCAACACTCCTACTGGGATGGGACAGGGACACAGGGATCTGTGGCTATTCTGTATCTCGAGGTTTCTATAAAACAGAACTTCAGATAAAAGCAGGGGGAACACCAGCAAAGGCAAATTCACAATGTGTAACTCAGGGTGAAACTACACAGTTTTCACAGTCCAGAGGCCTTAGACCTGTCACTGGCCAAATAATTATTTCCAAGGCCACACATGTGCTCCTTACAAAGAGACTGGAACTTGCACACAGCTTTGAAAAAGCCATAAGATATTTACTGTACTATTATGTTCTGGTAGTACACTGGTAAGATAATGCCAAAAATATTCACCAGAAAAATACTTTTCAATTTATGAGCAGATTATTAAAACATCAATTTACCAAGACCTACCAGCAAACAATGAAAAATATGAACTATTGTTCTAAAGCTGGATGGAAAAATATGTGGTGTTTAGGCCCATTTTCATTATCTGCACAACGTAAGCTTTAAAAGTATTTCTTAAAGTATTTAAGTTTATGGGACCACATAAAGTACTGAAAAATGGTTACAAAGTTCACAAAAACCATACAAACTCACATTTCTTCAACTGTAATGTTCTTAAAGAGCTTGCAGTAGTCCTCATTCCACACAGCCATATCACTCCAAACCTTGGAGGCAAGAAGAATGGCTCCCAAGACAATCCTCTTCCAGTTAGTTGGACAAATGTCGATATCAGCATAACTTACAAGTCTTTCTATGTAAATCTGCAAAACAGAGCACTGGCCTTTGATTTAGCTCAGTTTAAGTGCCAAGAATTCTTATGAATGACAGATTTCTTCTGGTTTTGACCAGAAAGTAAGTGCTTATGTTCTACAGAGATTTGCTTGATCAGACCAAACAAGTGGCCATATCACAATTGTAGGTCAGATACTTCTGCTACCTACTCTGCTCATAGAAATTCACAGCCCAATTTTGGTCACAAGAATGACCGTATATCTCAGTCAAGGGCATCATGAAGACAGGCAGTGCTGTCACCTTCACACTCATAAAAGACAGCAGACATGCAGGCCCAGTGTGGAATAAAGTCATTCAATAAATCCTTAAGTGCCTACATATGTAATGTCTCACACGGAGCTGGTAGGTAGATGGGAATTTTATAAGTACGTCAAGCTTGAATATGTAAAACCCATGTAATAGTGAGCAAATGTTAACCTTCTTCTCACAAAAACTCACCCTTCTGTGGCACTAGCTTTAAAAACTGCTGATCAAGAGAGCCTCCCAGCAGCTGCTGTGTAGAGCAGCATGGCAGGAGCAGGTCTGTGGGGTTGTAAAACATTCCCCATATTCAGTTGCTCACTTGGTAAGAAACACATGTGTATAAAGGATGGTCCTTCTCACAGCCCCTATCTTGCACATCTTCATGATCACTTCAAAAAATTTATTCTGTCTTACATCACCTGCAAATTAGACAATTCTGTTGGTTTTAAGGTGGAAACAGCTGCCAGTCTCTGTATCCCTGGGATTCCTCTACACCTGCCAGGCAGTTGGTGAGACAATCCCCTGAATTACTTTACATCTATCAAACATCTGTCCTACAAAGAATTGAGCAAAGTGAATAGCTGAGTAAACATTAAAGGTGAACTGTGAGGTGTTGTTACCTCAGAGGGTGCTCTGCAGAACAGTATGTCTGTGAGCTACTTGAACTGTTTACATCGAAACAAAAGGAAAAAACTTTATATAAATAAGCAAGTTTATTTCTTGTCTGAAGGGTATCAGATTGCAGAACACTGCCAGATCTGATACTGATCTGAACACTGCCAAACTCAAGTATGTTTTCAAAAACAAATGGCTATTGAACATGAAATTTTACAGATTCCACTCCCTTTCTCCCAAACTCTGCACTCTCAAGTATTTCAAGAGTGAACCTCCCTCCCAGGGTTCAACTGCGTAGGAATCAGAGACCTCTGAAACAACATGGCAAGCCCTCTACTTCCTGTCCCCTTTCCTGCTAAGCTGCTGACCTGCTGACACTCATCCATGCCACGTGCCCTTCTGGGTGAGTTTGAGAATTCTTTATTCCCACTGATGCCAACTCTTCCCTCAGTGCAGTTGATCCCATCTCACTTTTGCAGCACACTGTTCCCACAATCACCTCTTTCTGAAGATTTTCTTCCTCTCTACCAGAAATTTCCTCCAAATTGTGTTTCCTTTGTCCCCATCCCACTCCCCACTCCTCTCCAACTGTGTCCTCTCACTGATGCTCACAGCACCATACCCTCATACCAGCTCCTCATCTTCCATCTCTCCTTCAGCTACACTGCCTGCCCCTGCTGACATGACTCTCCCAAGGCTCCTCTTGCCAACAGGCACTTGTCTCTTGTGTCTTCACGCTGACAAACTAAAGCTCTGCATACATTGCCATTTGCCTAGGTGTTGGGGCCAAATACCTGCATTTCAGTTCCCCTGCTCCAATCTGTGTGCAATGCCTCTTACGTCTACCTTCACTGGTGGTCTGCATGGTTTGATGGTGACCCACAGTCTATCACTGCTCACCTGTATTACCCTAGTTGCTTCTTAACCCTCTTCACTGCCTCCACTCTGCCTCCCAACTATAGCTTACTGTCCCCAAAGCAGCCAGCATAACCTCTTCATTTAGAGCATGGCACTCCCCTGCTCAAGATCTCCCCAAGAGCTTCCCATCAAACTGGAGTAAAACCTTAACTTCTTCCTACAGCCTACAAGCCAAAAGGCCCTGTGAGCTATGGTACTGCCTGAAGGGCCTCATCTCCACTCTTTCCCTCATTCTTCACTCTGACTATGCTGGTCACCTTGCTGTTTGTTCCTCAAACACACATGAAATGCATTTCTGTCTGTCTTGGCAGTCATCCTGCTGCCTGTAATGTCAGCACTCTTTCCCGTCGCGCCTTCAGTCAGGTCACTGTTCTAATGTCAGCTCTCTAGAGAGGCTCTTCCTTATCTGTCTACCTAAAATAGCCCCCAATCACTCTGTATCCCTTTATCCTGCTTCCTCTTCCTGCTGTTTCATACACTTAAGTTCCATCTTCCTAGAATATAAGCTCATAAAAGCAAGAACTGTGTTCCACCTGTCCTCTCCTCTACCTCCGCACTTAGAAGAGCGGCACAGGGTCAGCATCCAGTGAGTGTTCACTAATCAGTCACTGCTTGGCAGCATTCAGCACTGTGACTACAGCTTCTCCTATCTTGAACTCTTTCTCCTTTTATTATCCTCTTCTGCTTTTCCTCTTCCCACTCTAGTAGACACTCTTCTGGGGGCTTGTCCCTTAAATGATAATAGTCTTTACCAACCTATATTCTGTCCATTTTATCTGTTTTTGAGACAGGGTCTCACTCAGTTGCTCAGGCTAGAGTGTAGCCTCCACCTCCTGGGCTCAAGTGAACTTCCTGCCTCAGCCTGCCATGTGCCTGGTGCCACAGGCATGTACCATCATGTCCAGCTAATTTCTTAATTTTTTTTTTTTGTAGAAATGGGTCTCACTTTATTGCCCAGTCTGGTCTTGAACTCCTACACTTGAGCAATCCTCTCACCTTGGCCTCCCAAAGTGCTGGCATTACAGGCATGAGATACCGTACCTGGCCTTACTTTTTGTTTTCTTAAGATGCAGGGTCTCGGCTGGGCGCGGTGGCTTACACCTGTAATCCCAGTACTTTGGGAGGCTGAGGCGGGCAGATCAGGAGGTTAGGAGATCGAGACCATCCTGGCTAACATGGTGAAACCCCGTCTCTACTAAAAATACAAAAAATTAGCCGGGCGTTGTGGCGGGTGCCTGTAGTCCCAGCTACTCGGGAGGCTGAGGCAGGAGAATGGCGTAAACCTGGGAGGTGGAGCTTGCAGTGAGCCGAGATTGTGCCACTGCACGCTCCAGCCTGGGCAACAGAGTGAGGCTCCCTCTAAAAAAAAAAAAAAAAAAAAATACAGGGTCTCATCATCTGGCCCAGGCTGGACTTAAACTGCTGGGCTCAAGTAATTCCCCCACCTCAGCCTCCCAAGTAGCTAGGACTAAAGGCATGAAACCACCATGCCCGGCTTGTCCAATTTCATTCTACACACTTTCTTGGTATTTAAACAGCTGCCGTTGCTCTTCATTCTGTAGCTCTATGTCCAATTCATGCTCTAGTCCTGTATATCCAAATGATGACTAGACTGTGCTACTCTGCTCTCTCAAAGGCACACCAAGCTTAGCCTATGTACAAAACTCTCCCTTTTCCAATCCAGCTTTCCCTCCTGCATCACCTATCTCTACATCTGGAAACACCACTCCTGCTTCCCTCTAGCATGTGCTAACAGTCCCAAATGACTTGCAGCTTCTCGAGAGGACTGTATCTGGTCCAGTGCCCTTTGAGGGCTTTGATTCAGGTGCACAGCAGGAGCCTTCTCCCCTAGAATCTAACTGGTTGCTAAACAAGTATTGACCTAAGTATTTTTTCATTCCTGGCCATGCAGTTGACTTTCCTCTATAGGTTTGTTGTGGGGAGGAGTAAGACTATTTTTAACAATTTGAGCAGAATTTATTATTTAAAATGATAGGTTTACAAAAGGAATTTGTAGGGATAATGTAAATGTAACGACACAGCTATGGTTTGGTAGACCAACTGGAACCACATTCCTGGGCAACTTCATGAGCAAGCACAGGTGATCAGCAGGGATAGATAAACACACATCATCCAAGGAACAAAGAATTGAGGGCAGCAGCTGTCAATGACAACATGCATCAGAATTGCCTGGGGATATACCCTGGGACTCAGCTTAGACCTACACTGGCATCCCTTCCTGCCCATCAGCCAGATGGTTTTGTTACTGCTCCCCATTCCAAGCTGTCCACATGACCTGGATGTGTGTGCACTGTGTGTGCATGTGTTTATTGATGTGTTGGGGGAGAAATCAGAAATCCCTCCTGCTGCCTTTAATAGCAATTGTTCTGTGATGAGAAAAGCAACTGTGACATTTTAAGCCATAATGATGATTCAACTAAAATGTGTGTATTTGCTTTCAAAAGTTTCTCTTAAAATTCTGAGATAACTTCAGAAACCTACTGTATTAAAAAACAGGACCATACCACCCTGTTTACAAGAAGAACTTCTAAAGCTGCTTTATAAATAGAAAATATCTTACCAAACTTACGATTGCAAACTCAGCTGTTAGCCTCATGGCTTTAAACAGAGTACGAACAAATCTGAAGATCAATTTGTGTTCAGGATCATACTTAAAATATTCCTCCAAAACCTCTTTTCGCTGAAAGAAGAAAGGATGCAATGTAAGTATCCATTGAAGAAAAAAACCTGAGGTGCTCTTAAGACAGCAGTGTTCACATTTGTGCCCATGTGTCACTTACGATAATTTTGATTGGTGAGATGTCTTTTAGTTTTTTACAATATGAACAGCAGGATCCTGAAATACCATAATGATTTAATACTCATCCACATTCACTTAAAAATAATATGAGCTTAAGCTCAGAAAATGTTTATATTCTTTTTTACCCTTTCCCTCACATAATTCCATCCAAATGTAAGCTACTCCATCCAAATGTAAGCTTTAATGTCTTACTGACTGTATGTCATACTTCTCTGCAATAAACTTTGAAAAAATATAGTTACCTGTAACCATGAGGCTCTAAGCCTGTGCTGATAAATACAATAGTCACTAGCCACATGTGGCTATTATGTACCTAAGGAAGTACATTTTTAAATTTTTACACCATGTAAGTTGATATAAACTTAAATTCTTCTTCTTTTTTTTTTGTTTGATTTTTTGAGACAGATTTTCACTCTTGTTGCCCAGGCTGGAGTGCAATGATGTGATCTTGGTGCACTGCAACCTCCACCTCCTGGGTTCAGGCGATTCTTCTATCTCAGCCTCCCGAGTAGCTGGGTTTACAGGCACATGCTACCATGCCCGGCTAATTTTTATATTTTTAGTAGAGACAGGGTTTCATCATATTGGTCAGGCTGGTCTCAAACTCCTGACCTCCGGTGATCCACCCGCCTCAGCCTCCCAAAGTGCTGCAATTACAAAGGTGTGAGCCACCACAACCAGCGAACTTAAATTATTTTTAACCCTCTTCATAAAAATCATGCTTCTTTGTTAAAAGTATTTACATATACTTATACTGCTTGATACTATTAACAATTATCTTTTAAAAAGATATGTTTTCTGTTATTTGGATAGTATATTTACTCACATTAGCTCACTAATTAAACATACCTGCAGATCAGTTCTTATTCCAGCATGTTCTTTTTACAACACTTTTAAAATAAGATGACTAGATGCCACATGAAATGGGGAACAAGACTTAAAGAAAGATGCCTTTGACTGCGGGCACGAAACAGATACAAATCTATGATGAAAATACAGACTCAGGCTGGGCGTGGTGGCTCACCCCTGTAATCTCAGCATTTTGGGAGGCCAAGGCGGGTGGATCATGAGGTCAGGAGATTGAGACCATCCTGGATAATATGGTGACACCCTGTCTCTACTAAAAATACAAAAAATTAGCTGGGTGTTGTGGCAGGCATCTGTAGTCCTAGTTACTCGGGAGGCTGAGGCAGGAGAATGGCATGAACCCAGGAGGCAGAGCTTGCAGTTAGCCGAGATTGCGCCACTGCACTCGAGCCTGGGCAACAGAGTGAGACTCCATCTCAAAAAAAAAAAAAAAAAAAAAAACAAGAAAGAAAATACAAACTCAATAAAAGTGAGACTTACTGGGCCGGGTGCGGTGGCTCACGCCTGTAATCCCAGCACTTTGGGAGGCCGAGGTCAGGAATTCAAAACCAGCCTGGCTAACATGGTGAAACCCCATCTCTACTAAAAATACAAAATTAGCCGGACGTGGTGGCAGGCACCTGTAATCCTAGCTACTTGGGAGCCTGAGGCAGGAGAATCGCTTCAACCTGGGAAGCAGAGGTTCCAGTGAGCCAAGATGGCAGCACTGCACTCCAGCCTGGACAGCAAGATTGAAACTGCATCTCAAAAAAAAAAAAAAAAAAAAAAGTGACACTGTAAGTGGGTGTAACTGTTCATCAAATATGCCCAAAGATCTATGTGCATCTCTATAAAATAAGAATGTGTATTACTTCAAAAACTGTTAATATCTTAGTATAATATCTGTTTAGTAAAATAATGCTTCCTATGTGCCTATGTGCTTTGGTGTTTACTTCACCAAAGCAAACAGTTTTTACAAATTCTCCTTGATACTGACTTGCGGAGGGTTTCCTGACCTCTTCTTCCTCAGCATAGCATGTCCTGTACTGTGAAGTCTTTTATACCATAACCAGTTACAACTGCCTGTAAGTATTGACCCTCCCTAACAGGCAATGGCAATAAACCAAACACATTTTCACTCCTCGAACCACACACTGAAACACAAGAACGTTTTACAAAGCAGTAGTGGTGGGCAATAATCTCTTTAGAACTTTAATAAATGTAAATGTGATTCAGATTTGCTAGCTTCCTTTAATTTAAATTACTAAAAATAATAAATACATCATGAGAATATACTACAGAGAACTAAAGAGAAACATCAGTTTCATTTAAAAATACAACCGGGCCAGCACAGTGGCTCACACCTGTAAAATCCCAGCACTTTGGGAGGCCAAAACAGGCAGATCACTTGAGCTCCTTTAGGAGTTCGAGACCAGCCTGGGCAACATGACAAAACCCTGTCTCTACCAAAAACACAAAAAAATTATCCAGGCATGCTGACACACATCTGTGGTCCCAGCTACTCAGGAGCCTGAGGTGAGAGGATTGCTTGAGCTGAGATCATGCCAATGGACTCTAGCCAAGTGACAGAGTGAAACTCGGTCTAAAAAAAAGGTACAACTATCATTCTCAAAAATAAATGAAGCTGTCACTCATTCACAAGGAAATGTGTCACTCATGTCACAAGGAAAATAAGTATTTGTTTCCAGTGATAGAATTTAAGCTTTCCTGAAGACTTTGAAAAACTTGTTCCTTCTACTGTAAGCTTGACAGCTTCTCAATACTTAAGGATGTTTTAAAATAAAATTGGTGGTTAAATTAAAAAAGTCCTTTTTGATACAATAAAACATAAACCAATATTTTCCAAATAACTAATGCATAATATTATAAATGCAAGTATGTGGGGAAAGAACCATTTATTGTGCAAGAAAGATCGGTGAGTACTGAGAATACATTTGCTAATATGTAAAATGCCACTGTAACTAATTTAAGAAACTAGCACTTGTGAAGTTTTGATTTAGTATTAAAGAATACCCACAACTGTCTTAAAGCTTTAAAAATACACCTTTTACCAACTACATATTTGCATGAGGCTAGGTCATCTTATTGCTTCTTTAAAGCAAATTGCAAAGAAAGAGCTAGAGAATCCAGCTGTCTTCTATTAAGCGCAACACTACAGATTATCAATAATATAGATACATGATACACTTTTTACTCAACTTTTCATCATAGAAAAGTTATATTTTCTTTTAAAATTTTATGTTAACAATATTGTTCTCAAGGAATATTTTCTATTGTCACAACCTGGGTCATGGGTTACTACTGACATCTAGTGGGTAAAGGCCATCAGTGTTGCTGAATTTTCTGTAATGCACAGGACAGTCTTCACAACAAAGCATTATCTAGCTCATAATATCAATAGTGTTAAGACTGTGAAATCTAAACTAAAAATAGATTTTGAAAAAAATCTCAAGTTTATATTTCTATCAGAGTAAATATCAATATAATCAATATAAAATCATACTCATTGGGATACTTAATCATTTAAGAATTTAAAAAGTCTCAAGGACCAAAGAAAACACAAATAATTTGCTTCGATATTTTAGTAGGCACAATACAGCTTATGATGTCTAGAGCTATGATCTAACGCTGAGCTTAATATCATGCAAAGTAATTAGCCAGAATAACAAGACAGGTTTTAAAAAAGCTCACCTTTGCTTGATATGATAATATAGTGCCAAGGTCACACTGTGGAAGGAAAAAAAATATTCATAACAATAAATGTTATCATTTGTTAGGCTTGAAGACATTTTTTAAGAGGGGGGCAGAGGAAACTCTCCTAGCGGCTCTGAAATTCAAATCTTATAGTTCAGAACAGTACCATAAGGGCACTTTCTTATTTTCATTTCTTGGCTTTTAGCAAAAATATGAGAACCAAAATGCAAGGCAGTATGCTTTTAGAAGACATGTTTCTGTTGTGATTATAATATATAAATAACAACATATTTCCCTGTTATATGCTCTTCTACCCACAAAACCTTTCATCCCATGCAATTTATTTTATGCATTTATCTATTTTTTGACCCAGAGTCTCTCTCACTCTGTCACCCAGACTGAAGTGCAGTGGCGCGATCTTGGCTCACCAAAACTTCCACTTCCCAGGTACAAGGGATTCTCAAGCCTCAGCCTCCCAAGTAGCTGGAACTACAGGTTTGCACCACTATGCCCAGCTAATTTTTCTATTTTTAGTAGGGACAGGGTCTCGCCATGATGGCCAGGTTGGTCTCAGACTCCTGGCCTCAAGTGATCCACCTGCCTCGGAACTCCCAAAGTGCTGGGATTACAGGCATGAGCCACCGCACACAGCTTCATGCAGTTTACATCTATGTGTCCATATGTTTAAGCCATACAGTAGTGTTTTCTTTTTAAGATGTTAGGCCCTGCATTTTAGTTTAGTTCACTATCTCCTACCACCCATTTTTAATTATTTCCCTAAAAATACATAATGAAAGTGCTTTATAAAAAAATTATTTGAAATCACTTTTGCATAATTATTTAAAAATATATTAGTAAATATACGCACACAGGAAATCAATGATAGGTGCAGTGATCCCAAAATATGCAGTGCTGACAAGGCAGTATACCATGACACAGTGTAATATGAATGGCAGGTACCTTCAATTAGTTTAACTGAAATATTTATGAACAGATACACCTCTTCAGATACATGTAACTATATTCCTAAGTTACTCACAGATGCTGTGTATCACAAAACAAGAGGTTCTCTTACATAAGTTATGTGCTTCCATTTGCTCTCAGCATCTAGAATGAGACTCAAAATAACTGAGGGAAGGAAAATCCCTCGGTTAATAATAGGTCTATACAATATTAGCACTTTTTAAAAAGCTTATAACATTAGCATTTAAGATGGATATGTCTATAGTGCTTCAAGTAGTTTTCACTTCTAAAATCATTTTAAAATCACAGAATTTGAAGTTACATGCTGGAAAGGACCAATGACCTTACATGACATTTAATCCAACACTCATTTTACAGATCAGGGAAACAAACCTTAAAACTGACTTGCCCAAGGTCCCACCAAATAGGAGCAGCTTCTCATCCTAAACTCAAATTAAGCAGTGCTCTCAAACTTTGCTGTACATTAAAATCAACTGAGGAGCTTTAATAACTGCCTCATTTTCAACATGAGACTTTTTAGTTTAATTAGTTAGCATTGGGTAGGACTTCAGGCATTAGGGTTGTTGTTAAAAATTTTCCTGGTGACTTCAAAGTGCAGCAAAGTTTGGAGTGATTGAGTTGGGGTGAAAATCAGAATCTTCTGGGATGCTTTTCTTCACAAGAAGATGCCTCACATCGATTCCTATTTTCCTAAAGGGCTTCTCAGTGCCTAGAGACAGAGGGAAGGTTGAGGTGGGAAGATACAAATGTTTGCAGACATGTATTTTGAAAAAAAAAACCTTGCAAAAGTGATCCCAATGAGTTCCATCTACCCCATTGACAACAGTGTACTACTAACCCATAATAAACATTTTTCAAAATCTTTTCTTGAAGCCAATTTGCCCTATTAATTTGCTCAATAAACCTTTATTTCACTAATAGTGAATATACCAAATGATAATTTCTCAAACTTGTTGATGGGAAATTAAAACTTACTTTACTTTCAAAAGTAGACTTCTAAAAATTAGAATAATGAGGAAAAAAGCGTGAAATTTGTTTGAGCAAGATTAATGTTTAAAACTACTTTTAAATTGTATGCTAACACATCAAAACTTTTGAATTCAAAAGAAGCCAGGGATACAAACCAGAGTGATTTTTTCTTTTTTTGCTCAAGGATTTAGAGGCTTGGCTGAATACAGACATGTAGTGATTATGCAATAGGTCCCAAAGCGCAGGACTTGAGACAGGGTTTGAATCCAGTTTTCACTGAAACACAATTTCATCTCTACTACTGTGATAAGGGAGAGAGGAAGTGACATTATTATGAGCGTAAACTTGCCTCTTTGTTGTTGTAATTATTAGTTTTAGAAACGGAGTTTCACTCTCGTTGCCCAGGCTAGAGTGCAATGGTGCGATCTCGGCTCACTGCAACCTCTGCCTCCTGGGTTCAAGCCATTCTCCTGCCTCAGCCTCCCAAGTAGCTGGAATTACAGGTGCCTGCCATCACGCCCAGCTAATTTTTGTATTCTTAGTAGAGACAGGGTTTTGCCGTGTTAGCCAGGCTGGTCTCGAACTCCTGATCTCAGGTGTTTGGCCTGCCTTGGCCTCCCGAAGTGTTGGGATTACAAGCATGAGCCACCATGCCTGGCCGCCATGTTTTTTTTAAATTATACTTTAAGTTCTGGGATACATGTGCAGAACGTGAAGGTTTGTTACATATGTATACATGTGCCATGCTGGTGCGCTGCACCCATCAACCCGGTATTTCTCCTAATGCTATCCTTCCCCTTGCCTCCGATTCCCCACAGGCCCTGGTGTTTGATATTCCCCTTCCTGTGTCCATGTGCTCTCATTGTTCAACACCCACTTATGAGTGAGAACATGTGGTGTTTGATTTTCTGTTCCCGTGTTAGTTTGCTGAGAATGATGGTTTCCAGCTTCATCCATGTCCCTACAAAGGACATGAACTCATTTTTCTTATGGCTGCATAGTATTCCATTGTGTATATGTGGCACATTTTCTTTATTCAGTCTATCATTGATGGGCATTTGGGTTGGTTCCAAGTCTTTGCTATTGTAAATAGTGCAGCAAAAAACATACATGTACATGCGTCTTTATAGCAGAATGACTTAAAATCCTTTGGGTATATATATACTCAGTAATGAGATTGCTGGGTCAAATGGTGTTTCTGGTTCTAGATCCTTGAGGAATCACCACACTGTCTCCACAATGGTTGAACTAATTTACACTCCCACCAGCAGTGTAAAAGCATTTCTATTTCTCCACATCCTCTCCAGCATCTGTTGTTTCCTGACTTTTTAATGCTCACCATTCTTACTGGCATGAGATGGTATCTCATCGTGGTTTTGATTTGCATTTCTCTAATGATCAGTGATAATGAGCTTTTTTTCATATATTTGTTGGCCGCATAAATGTCTTCTTTTGAGAAGTGTCTGTTCATATCCTTCACCCACTTTTTGATGGGTTTGTTTTTTTCTTGTAAATTTGTTTAAGTTCCTTGTAGACTCTGGATACTAGGCCTTCATCAGAAGACATTAATATTCTAAATTAGCACTTTCCAAACTGTGTTCTAAAAATCAATACTCATAATCCAAGGAAGTGATAATGATGTACACTGGACAAACCCAATGGAGCTTGTGGTGGTGTTGGTTGTTGTTCCTTTTAAAATAAACTTCATCTCAGGGTGCTCTCAAAGAGCATCTTTGTGGCCCATGAGGTTCTCATGCACAATGGGAGAAAATCAAATGCAGATACACTGTGGTGCCAGTAGAGAAAAAGCTGTTCCTTCTTCCAAGACTAATGTCCAAAGAAGTACGCATTGATTTAGGCCTGCAATGCACTGAAAAACTAATATTTCACAAAAATCATTCAATAAAGGGAACCTATCCTTCTCATTGAGTTCAGCATTGTCTTAAGGCATAAAGGCATCAAACAAATAGCTGCACTTTTTCTGGGATTGCTTATTTGCTGATTTTTCCTTCCACCATGATGTCTAAGATTAAAAGAGAAACTGATACTTAATATTTAAAATCTGGATATCAATATATAGTTGACTCCAATTTCTTAAAATGATTGCTGAAGAGGACAACCAAATGGCTGAAATAATTTTTGAATGAAGGAGTCTATCCCTTGGCATTATAGTTGTACTCACGATTTTAGTGTCATTGTAAGATGAGGCTGGCTGGCTATGCTGTCATCAAGGAATATTGTCGAACATGAACTGTATTGTTGAGTAAAATGCTCAGTAGATACCTGAAGGGGAAGGGAAGTATAAGATAAACTTATCAAAGTATACTTTTTCATTGGTTAAAATGTCAAATTTTTCAAAGCACTAGGATATTTCTTACACTCCATGAATGCCTGAGTGTGGTATCATGAGCACTCTATAGAAAACCCATCAGAGGCTCTTAACTTCCACAGAGGATGTTTGAGATACAGGTTATAAAATGCTGCCCTTAATGTGGTGCCTATCATCAAAACTAACAAGGATTTTATGAATTCCCTTTGTAAAAAATGAAAAAAGTTTAAAATAATATTTCATTTTTTTATAGTGACATAAAACAGCTGAGGATTTCTATTTCTGTTATTTATTTACTACAGTAAAATGTAATGTATTGAATAATATTGGTATAAGACCATTTTACTGCAATGAATACAAGACTAAGACTAACACATTTACTAAGTTACTAATCCTAAATGTATTATTTCAGGCGATATTGTGACAAAACAAGTGTTTCAGATTCAGAGGCTCGTGTACCAGGGCTGCTAGGCCACCAACAAGTGAGGAAGACATAGGTTTCTCTAGTCCTGTTTTCTTATGTGGAGGATAAAAAGAGTATCACCTAAGTATTCTCTCACACCCTGAAAACAGATGACAACTTAAAAAATTTAACTTTCACTTCATGTTTAAATAAGACTGCCATGACATGACTCAAATGAGACCCTCAGAGAATACTTTCCGTTCATTTCAAAATTTGATTAATTTTATTCTATACATCATTTGACCTGCACCTAGGCATTTTCCTGCTCTACCCCTGTTCTCTGTCTGGAATAATGCTTTTCTCCTTCCTTGTTTCAACAAGCTTGACTCCATCTACCCTCTTGGATCTCTTTGCCAGTAGCCTCAGCCTCACATGTTTTGTTTTTTTGTACACTAACCGATTACAAGATACTAATTCTAGCAGAGTATTCCCCTCATGAGAAAGTACGCCTCTCCATAAGAGTAAGGGAGAGCCCTAACTGTTCCTACCTCTAGCTGCTCAGCATAAAATTTTGAATAAATCAAAAAGTTCAAGTGTTTGACAAATTAATTCAGTTATAATTTGGAAGGTAAGTCTTACTACATTTAATTACAGCAAAAACACTACTAACGGTTTACTGTTTATAGGTATTATTTAAGGTAGTCACAAAATAGAAACAAATCTAACTTCAGTCAGCATAAATCACAGAGTATGAAATTTTACAATGTTTAACAAGAAATGGAAGGGTTTACTTAGTGGTTTTAAGGTTTTATGACAAAAACTAGAAAATAATCATACCTCATATTTTAGTAAATCAAAACCAAAGGCTTTACCATCAAAGGTCCAGTACCTGTTGGACACCGATGCCCAACCACTGACTTCTTCCGCTGTACCTGCTGCCTCTCATTTTAACCCATTAAAAACACTAAAACTGTTTTCCTTGTAGAGGTCTTTCCCCTCCTTGCTTAGTTAGATTCTTAAGCTGGTTTTTTGTTTGTTTGTTTTGCAGCTGTTGTAAAGGGGTTGAGTTCTTGGTTTGATTCTCAGCTTGGTCGCTGTTGGGGTATAACAGCTACTGATTTGTGTACATTAATTTTATATCCTGAAACTTTTCTGAATTCATTTATCAGTTCTAGGAGTTTTACTGGAGGAGTCTTTGGGGTTTTCAAGGTATACGATCATATCATCAGCAAACAGCAACAGTTTGACTTCCTAGTTACTGATCTGGATGCCCTTTCTTTCTTTCTCTTGAGTGATTGCTCTGGCTGGCTAGGTCTTCCAGTACTATATTGAATTGGAGTGGTGAGAGTGGGCATCCTTGCCTTGTTCCTGTTCTCAGGGGGAATGCTTTCAACTTTTGCCATTCAATATTATGTTGGCTGTGGGTTTGAAATGGATGGCTTTTATTATATTGAGGTATGTCCCTTGTATGCTAATTTTGCTGAGGGTTTTAATCACAAAAGGATGCTGGATTTTGTCAAATGCTTTTTCTGCATCTATTGAGATGATCATGTGATTTTTGTTTTGAATTCTGTTCCTGGGGAGGAGCCAAGATGGCCAAAAAGGAACAGCTCCAGTCTACAGCTCCCAGCGTGAGCGACGCAGAAGATGGGTGATTTCTGCATTTCCATCTGAGGTACCGGGTTCATCTCACTAGGGAGTGCCAGACAGTGGGCGCAGGTCAGTGGGTGCATGCACCATGCACGAGCCGAAGCAGGGCGAGGCATTGCCTCACTTGGGAAGTGCAAGGGGTCAGGGAGTTCCCTTTCTGAGTCAAAGAAAGGGGTGACGGACGGCACCTGGAAAATCGGGTCACTCCCACCCGAATACTGCGCTTTTCCGACAGGCTTAAAAAACAGCGCACCACGATATTATATCCCGCACCTGGCTTGGAGGGTCCTACGCCCACGGAGTCTCACTGATTGCTAGCACAGCGGTCTGAGATCAAACTGCAAGGCGGCAGCGAGGCTGGGGGAGGGGCGCCCGCCATTGCCCAGGCTTCCTTAGGTAAACAAAGCAGCCGCGAAGCTCGAACTGGGTGGAGCCCACCACAGCTCAAGGAGGCCGGCCTGCCTCTGTAGGCTCCACCTCTGGGGGCAGGGCACAAACAAACAAAAAGACAGCAGTAACCTCTGCAGACTTAAATGTCCCCGTCTGACAGCTTTGAAGAGAGCAGTGGTTCTCCCACCACGCAGCTGGAGATCTGAGAACAGGCAGACTGCCTCCTCAAGTGGGTCCCTGAACCCTGACCCCCGGGCAGACTAACTGGGAGGCACCCCCCAGCAGGGGCACACTGACACCTCACACGGCAGGGTATTCCAACAGACCTGCAGCTGAGGGTCCTGTCTGTTAGAAGGAAAACTAACAAACAGAAAGGACATCCACACCAAAAACCCATCTGTACATCACCATCATCAAAGAACAAAAGTAGATAAAACCACAAAGATGGGGAAAAAAACAGAAGAGAAAAACTGGAAACTCTAAAAAGTAGAGCGCCTCTCCTCCTCCAAAGGAACGCAGTTGCTCACCAGCAACGGAACAAAGCTGGATGGAGAATGACTTTGACGAGCTGAGAGAAGAAGGCTTCACACAATCAAATTACTCTGATCTACGGGAGGACATTCAAACCAAAGGCAAAGAAGTTGAAAACTTCGAAAAAAATTTAGAAGAATGTATAACTAGAATAACCAATACAGAGAAGTGCTTAAAGGAGCTGATGGAGCTGAAAACCAAGGCTCGAGAACTACGTGAAGAATGCAGAAGCCTCAGGAGCCGATGCGATCAACTGGAAGAAAGGGTATCAGCAATGGAAGATGAAATGAATGAAATGAAGCGAGAAGGGAAGTTTAGAGAAAAAAGAATAAAAAGAAATGAGCAAAGCCTCCAAGAAATATGGGACTATGTGAAAAGACCAAATCTACGTCTGACTGGTGTACCTGAAAGTGATGGGGAGAATGGAACCAAGTTGGAAAACACTCTGCAGGATATTATCCAGGAGAACTTCCCCAATCTAGCAAGGCAGGCCAACGTTCAGATTCAGGAAATACAGAGAACGCCACAAAGATACTCCTCGAGAAGAGCAACTCCAAGACACATAATTGTCAGATTCACCAAAGTTGAAATGAAGGCAAAAATGTTAAGGGCAGCCAGAGAGAAAGGTCAGGTTACCCTCAAAGGGAAGCCCATCAGACTAACAGCGGATCTCTCGGCAGAAACCCTACAAGCCAGAAGAGAGTGGGGGCCAATATTCAACATTCTTAAAGAAAAGAATTTTCAACCCAGAATTTCATATCCAGCCAAACTAAGCTTCATAAGTGAAGGAGAAATAAAATCCTTTACAGACAAGCAAATGCTCAGAGATTTTGTCACCACCAGGCCTGCCCTACAAGAGCTCCTGAAGGAAGCACTAAACATGGAAAGGAACAACCGGTACCAGCCACTGCAAAATCATGCCAAAATGTAACGACCATCGAGACTAGGAAGAAACTGCATCAACTAACGAGGAAAATAACCAGCTAACATCATAATGACAGGATCAAAATCACACATAACAATATTAACTTTAAATGTAAATTGACTAAATGCTCCAATTAAAAGACACAGACTGGCAAATTGGATGAAGAGTCAAGACCCATCAGTGTGCTGTGTTCAGGAAACCCATCTCACGTGCAGAGACACACATACGCTCAAAATAAAAGGATGGAGGAAGATCTACCAAGCCAATGGAAAACAAAAAAAGGCAGGGGTTGCAATCCTAGTCTCTGATAAAACAGACTTTAAACCAACAAAGATCAAAAGAGACACAGAAGGCCATTACATAATGGTAAAGGGATCAATTCAACAAGAAGAGCTAACTATCCTAAATATATATGCACCCAATACAGGAGCACCAAGATTCATAAAGCAAGTCCTGAATGACCTACAAAGAGACTTAGACTCCCACACATTAATAATGGGAGACTTTAACACCCCACTGTCAACATTAGACAGATCAACGAGACAGAAAGTCAACAAGGATACCCAGGAATTGAACTCAGCTCTGCACCAAGCAGACCTAATAGACATCTACAGAACTCTCCACCTCAAATCAACAGAATATACATTTTTTTCAGCACCACACCACACCTATTCCAAAATTAACCACATACTGGGAAGTAAAGCTCTCCTCAGCAAATGTAAAAGAACAGAAATTATAACAAACTATCTCTCAGACCACAGTGCAATCAAACTAGAACTCAGGATTAAGAATCTCACTCAAAACCGCTCAACTACATGGAAACTGAACAACCTGCTCCTGAATGACTACTGGGTACATATCGAAATGAAGGCAGAAATAAAGATGTTCTTTGAAACCAACGAGAACAAAGACACCACACACCAGAATCTCTGGACACATTCAAAGCAGTGTGTAGAGGGAAATTTATAGCACTACATGCCCACAAGAGAAAGCAGGAAAGATCCAAAATTGACACCCTAACATCACAATTAAAAGAACTAGGAAAGCAAGAGCAAACACATTCAAAAGCTAGCAGAAGGCAAGAAATAACTAAAATCAGAGCAGAACTGAAGGAAATAGAGACACAAAAAACCCTTCAAAAAATTAATGAATCCAGGAACTGGTTTTTTGAAAGGATCAACAAAATTGATAGACCACTAGCAAGACTAATAAAGAAAAAAAGAGAGAAGAATCAAATAGATGCAATAAAAAATGATAAAGGGGATATCACCACCGATCCCACAGAAATACAAACTACCATCAGAAAATACTACAAACACCTCTACACAAATAAACTAGAAAATCTAGAAGAAATGGATAAATTCCTGGACACATACACTCTCCCAAGACTAAACCAGGAAGAAGTTGAATCTCTGAATAGACCAATAACAGGAGCTGAAATTGTGGCAATAATCAATAGCTTACCAACCAAAAAGAGTCCAGGACCAGATGGATTCACAGCCGAATTCTAACAGAGGTACAAGGAGGAACTGGTACCATTCCTTCTGAAACTATTCCAATCAATAGCAAAAGAGGGAATCCTCCCTAACTCCTTTTATGAGGCCAGCATCATCCTGATAACAAAGCCAGTCAGAGACACAACCAAAAAAGAGAATTTTAGACCAATATCCTTGATGAACATTGATGCAAAAATCCTCAATAAAATACTGGCAAACCGAATCCAGCAGCACATCAAAAAGCTTATCCACCATGATCAAGTGGGCTTCATCCCTGGGATGCAAGGCTGGTTCAATATACGCAAATCAATAAATGTAATCCAGCATATAAACAGAACCAAAGACAAAAACCACATGATTATCTCAATAGATGCAGAAAAGGCCTTTGACAAAATCCAACAACGCTTCATGCTCAAAACTCTCAATAAATTAGGTATTGATGGGATGTATTTCAAAATAATAAGAGCTATCTATGACAAACCCACAGCCAATATCATACTGAATGGGCAAAAACTGGAAGCATTCCCTTTGAAAACTGGCACAAGACAGGGATGCCCTCTCTCATCACTCCTATTCAACATAGTGTTGGAAGTTCTGGCCAGGGCAATTAGGCAGGAGAAGGAAATAAAGGGTATTCAATTAGGAAAACAGGAAGCCAAATTGTCCCTGTTTGCAGACAACATGATTGTATATCTAGAAAACCCCATTGTCTCAGCCCAAATCTCCTTAAGCTGATAAGCAACTTCAGCAAAGTCTCAGGATACAAAATCAATGTACAAAAATCACAAGCATTCTTATACACCAACAACAGACAAACAGAGAGCCAAATCATGAGTGAACTCCCATTCACAATTGCTTCAAAGAGAATAAAACACCTAGGAATCCAACTTACAAGGGATGTGAAGGACCTCTTCAAGGAGAACTACAAACCACTGCTCAAGGAAATAAAAGAGGATACAAACAAATGGAAGAACATTCCATGCTCATGGGTAGGAAGAATCAATATCATGAAAATGGCCATACTGCCCAAGGTAATTTACAGATTCAATGCCATCCCCAGCAAGCTACCAATGACTTTCTTCACAGAATTGGAAAAAACTACTTTAAAGTTCATATGGAACCAAAAAAGAGCCCGCATCGCCAAGTCAATCCTAAGCCAAAAGAACAAAGCCAGAGGCACCACACTACCTGACTTCAAACTATACTACAAGGCTACAGTAACCAAAACAGCATGGTACTGGTACCAAAACAGAGATACAGATCAATGGAACAGAACAGAGCCCTCAGAAATAATGCCGCATATCTACAACTATCTGATCTTTGACAAACCTGAGAAAAACAAGCAATGGGGAAAGGATTCCCTATTTAATAAATGGTGCTGGGAAAACTGGCTAGCCATATGTAGAAAGCTGAAACTGGATCCCTTCCTTACACCTTATACAAAAATCAATTCAAGATGGATTAAAGACTTAAACGTTAGACCTAAAACCATAAAAACCCTAGAAGAAAACCTAGGCATTACCATTCAGGACATGGGCATGGGCAAGGACTTCATGTCTAAAACACCAAAAGCAATGGCAACAAAAGACAAAATTGACAAATGGGATCTAATTAAACTCAAGAGCTTCTGCACAGCAAAAGAAACTACCATCAGAGTGAACAGGCAACCTACAAAATGGGAGAAAATTTTCGCAACCTACTCATCTGACAAAGGGCTAATATCCAGAATCTACAATGAACTCAAACAAATTTACAAGAAAAAAACAAACAACCCTATCAAAAAGTGGGCAAATGACATGAACAGACACTTCTCAAAAGAAGACACTTATGCAGCCAAAAAACACATGAAAAAATGCTCATCATCACTGGCCATCAGAGAAATGCAAATCAAAACCACAATGAGATACCATCTCACACCAGTTAGAATGGCAATCATTAAAAAGTCAGGAAACAACAGGTGCTGGAGAGGATGTGGAGAAATAGGAACACTTTTACACTGTTGGTGGGACTGTAAACTAGTTCAACCGTTGTGGAAGTCAGTGTGGCGATTCCTCAGGGATCTAGAACTGGAAATACCATTTGACCCAGCCATCCCATTACTGGGTATATATCCAAAGGACTATAAATCATGCTGCTATAAAGACACATGCACACGTATGTTTATTGCAGCATTATTCACAATAGCAAAGACTTGGAACCAACCCAAATGTCCAACAATGATAGACTGGATTAAGAAAATGTGGCACATATACACCATGGAATACTATGCAGCCATAAAAAATGATGAGTTCATGTCCTTTGTAGGGACATGGATGAAATTGGAAATCATCATTCTCAGTAAACTATCGCAAGAACAAATAACCAAACACCGCATATTCTCACTCATAGGTGGGAATTGAACAATGAGATCACATGGACACAGAAAGGGGAATATCACACTCTGGGGACTGTTGTGGGGTGGGGGTAGGGGGGAGGGATAGCATTGGGAGATATACCTAATGCTAGATGACAAGTTAGTGGGTGCAGCGCACCAGCATGGCACATGTATACATATGTAACAAACCTGCACGTTGTGCACATGTACCCTAAAACTTAAAGTATAATTAAAAAAAAAAAAGAATTCTGTTTCTGTGATGTATCACATTTATTGACTTGCATATGTTAAACAATCCCTGCATCCCTGGTATGAAACCCACTTGATCATGGTGGATTATCTTTTTGATATGCCACTGGGAACTACAAAACATTACTGAATGAAATTATGGATGACACAAACAAATGGAAAGATATTCCATGCTCATGAATGGGTAGAATCAATATTGTGAAAATGACCATACTGCCAAAAGCAATCTACAAATTCAATGCAATTCCTATCAAAATACCATCATCATTTTTCACAGAACTAGAAAAAACAATTCTAAAATATGGTACCAAACAAGACCCCACATAGCCAAAACAAAACTAAGCAAAAACAACAAAACTGGAGCCATCACATTATCTGACTTCAAACTATACAGTGAGGCCATTGTCACCAAAACAGCATGGTACTGGTATAAAAATAGGCACATACACCAATGGAACAGAATAGAAAACCCAGAAATAAACCCAAATACCTACAGCCAGCTTATCTTCAACAAAGCCAACTAAAACATAAAGTGAAGAAGGTAAACCCTATTCAACAAATGGTGCCAGGATAATTGGCAAAGCCACGTGCAGGAGAATGAAACTGGATCCTCAACTCTCACCTTATACAAAAATCAACTCAAGATGGATCAAGGACATAAATCTACAACCTGAAACCATAAAAATTGTAGAAGATAATATCAGAAAAATCTTCTAGACATTGGCTTAGGCAAAGACTTCATAACCAAGAACCCAAAAGCAAATGCAATGAAAACAAGATAAACAGGTGAGACTTAACTAAAGAGCTTCTGCACAGGAAAAGGAACAATCAGCAGAGTAAACAGACAACCCACAAAATGGAAGAAAATCTTCAAAATCTATACATCTGATAAAGGACTAATATACAGAATCTACAAGGAACTCAAACAAATGGGCAAGAGAAAAAACAAACAATCCCATCAAAAAGTGGGCTAAGGAGATAAATACACAATTCTCAAAAGAAGATATACCACTGGGCAACAAACATATGAAAAAATGCTCAGCATCACTAATGATCAGGAAAATGAAAATCAAAACCACATGCCATACCACCTTACTCCTGCAAGAATGGCCATAATCAAAAAATCAAAAAATAATAGATGTTGGTGTGGAAAAGGTGAAAACACTTCTCTACAATGCTGGTAAAAATGGAAACTAGTACAACCACTATGGAAAGCAGTGTGGAGATTCCTTAGAAAACTAAAAGTAGGCCCACCATTCAATCCAGCAAGCCCAGTACTGGGTATCTACCCAGAGGAAAAGAAATCATTATACAAAAAAGATACTTGCACATGTATGTTCGCAGCAGCACAATTTGTAATTATAAAAATATGGAATCAGCCCAAATGCCCATCAATCAACAAATGGATTAAGAAATACCATTCAGCCATAATAAGGAATAAATTAATGGCATTCCCAGCAACCTAGATGGAATTGGAGACTATTATTCCAAGTGAAGTAACTCAGGAATGGAAAACTAAAGATCTTATGTTTTCATTCATATGGGGGAGCTAAGCTATAAGGATGCAAATACATAGAATGATACAATGGACTTTGGGGACACAAGGAAAAGGGTGGGACGGGGGTGAGGGATAAAAAACTACAAATTGGGTTCACTGGATACTGCTCAAGTGACAGGTACACCAAAATCTCACAAATCATCACAAAGAATTTACTCATGTAACCAAATACCACCTGTTTCCCCCAAAACCTATGGAAATAAAAATATATAAATAAATAAACTACGGCATTCCTCTCAGCAAATATAAAATAAAATGAAAACTCAAGTTTACGTTTTCCTCTCTCCTTTTTAGCAGGACAAATTTTAGAAATGTTTTTAAATAATAACTTTTTTCTCTTTCTGAGACTGGGTCTCCCTTTGTTGCCTAGGCTGGAGTGCAGTGTGCAATTATAGTTAACTGCAGCCTCAAACTCCTGAGCTCAAGCGATCCTCTGCCTCAGCCTCCTGAGTAGGTAAAACTAAAGGCACATGCTACCAAGCCTGGCTAATTTGTTATTTAACTTTTTTTTAAAATTTTATTATTATTATACTTTAAGTTTTAGGGTACATGTTTTTGTAGAGATGAGCTCTTGCTATGTTGACCAGGCTAAAAATAAACAAATTTTAATTAACTTAAATATTTCTAACACTTTGGGCATTCATGAAAACAGCTCCATCTATGTTGTGAGGTATTGGGATAATATGGCAGTGAAAGTTTGAATAAAAATATTAAATAAGGCCTTAGGAGAAAAGTATAATATGCTTATTATAGATACATCACTAAAAAAATTGTCTGGGTTAATACCATTAATTATATTGAAATTAAACTTTGATTCACATGTAAATATAGGTCCCAAATTTGGATTAAGTATAATAGATTGGCCACAGATTTATTTCCTCTGCCTCTGGAAGTCTCGTTAGTCATACATAAAATACAGGTTACACACAGGATCAAGAGAGAACGTTGACAGAGATGATTTTTAATAAATGCTGGGTCATAAAAAGTAGATAAAGGAGTGGTAAATAACACAGAAGCACAACTTTGGTCCCTACAGAAAGCGACTGGAAGAGAAGCAAGCCAGTTTGTCTTGTAGAACTAAAGGCAGGCTGTGAATTTACAGGCAAATGGAACTTTGGAAAGTAGGGTAAAACATAAAACAAAAGCCAGCAAGGTCAGAAAATCTGTGGTTAGAACTCCAAGGCCACCTGTCGACCCATCTGATAAGAAACTTAGATGTGTGTTCTCTGGATATACCAAACCTGAGAATTTCTAGGTTCAGAAATACCACGGCGTAAAACTGAGATATAAAGAAAACTGTACACCAAAAATAGAACTCCAACTTGCTTCCCTAATTCTGCTTTTGGAAAGCAAGTAGCCATTCTTTTACTTCCCAGGAAGAAAATTGGGAGATCCTTTCTCAGAAGAAACTGAACTGGCTCGAATAAAGATCCCCAGATAATACACTGAAGTCCCACAAATGAAAAGCTAGTTTGGCTTCCAAAACCTCACACTGAGTGCCACCAGTTAACAGAAGTCCAGCTTCCAAATAAAGCCAGGGACCACCACACATTGGAGGGAAGCCTCCAACAAGAGACATCAAAACAACAGAAAAAAGGGATTCATGGGACCAGTCAAAATCAGGAGCAAAACTTACAAAAAAAATCTGAAAACACTCTGAAAAAGATATAAAATTCAATAGAAATGTTAGAGTAAAAAGTCACAGAAACTGAAAAATCGAAGGGGAAAAATTAAAAACCACTGCAGGTATACTGGTCTAAGCAGCTGAGTGTCTGAATAACAAGACTATCAGAAAAAAAAGAACAGAGAAAATAAAAAAATTCTCAAGAAGAGATAGTCTTCAGACTTAGTAGCCTCAATAAAATGAAAAGATTCCCACCAAGCTGTTATGAAATTTCAGAATCTCAGTGAGAAAGAAGCTGCTAAAAAGCTTCCACAGAGACATAAAACCTGGTTACAAATAATGTATCTCACAATGGCAACAGAGTCAAGAACAACACTGTAATGATTGCACAATTGCAAAATATCTTCAGAACCATAAAGTTTAGATTCAACCTAGAAGTTTGCTCTGTATCAAAAAGAAGGGATTTTAAGACTGGCCAGATCCCTAAACATCTCTGCCCAGGAAAATGTGCTCAAGTACAACTAGTGAGGATAACAGGACAGAAGGAAACAGAATCTAGGACTCAGGTGATCCCACACAAGATGGCAGTTATGTGAGATCCCAAAAGACTTCAAGGAGCTAGCACAGAAAAGCAGACATTGAGCATATCTAGGGAAAGCCACTCTGTATTGAACTAGGATGACAAAATGCCAAAGAAAGTTACCCCCCACCCCTGGCAAAAAAAAAAAAAAAAAGGAATATATGTGTTTTAGCAGATGGAAAGTATATTTGAAAGGCATGTGATAAATGCAGCAACACTTGGGGGGAAAACAGCTGTTAGAAAACAGGCAAATGAATATAGTCAGAAAATTAGCTTCAGGCTAAAAAAAAAAAAATGGATGTGAAAGCAAACAGACCAGCCAGGGGCTACTTACTGCATTTGGCTGGGTAAAGTAACATAGGCTAGGGAAAAAGAGATGATCCAGAAAAAGTACAGAAATGCTCAGATTTCAGAACTGTTTCAGAGAAAGAATGAAGGACATATAATGCAGAGGCACAGTGAAAACATCATATGACTTAGCAGTGAATAGAATTTGCATAGTGATAATCATGTAAATATTAGTGATTTAATTAAAAAGTGTGCTACAATTGGAAGAAACAGAGGGAGAAAAATAAGGTCATGGTGTAGTGAGGAAGGTATGCTTTCACCCGCTATGACAAAGTCAATAGACAGTGCTGATAGCTATTCTATTTTTGTTATTTGTTACTCTGTATTTGTTACTCTGTATTTGTTATTTTGTTATTTGTTAATTCTTAGCTATTCTATTTTTGTTATTTGATTAAGAATATGATTAAATATTTAAGGCAGATCTTTGTACCACAACCAGAGTATTGAAATTTAACTTAAATGTCAGAAATTCTTAAAATTTCTAAGCTGAAGACTTCTCTGAATAAATTTTATACTTAGGAAAATACAAAAAGAGGTCCGTGCTATCACCACAGGGTCCCCACTATAATTTCAAGGAATCAAGAGAGACATATTTTTATATCAAACTATCAATTTCTTAACCTTTTGACTGTTTACGTACATGCTTTGCATAGTTGCTTTTTCTTTTTTTCTTGTACTAAGAATGAAAAAGAAAATGGTCACTTCTGATAAAAATACCATAAAATAAGAGTAGTAGTTAATGTCTTACTAATTACTCCTAAATGAGGAAAAATTCCATTTAAAAAAATTACTTTCAACAATTTATATTTAAATTATCTGGCATGATAAATCTCATAGAGTAAAATCTAATAACTTAGTTTTACTTTTTGACCTAGTTTACTTTTTGTTTCTGTTACACACAAATGAAAGAATCCTTGTGCACAAAAGAAAAGGGCAAAAAAAAAATGGGGACAGATGAAAAAGTTAGCTAATAAAAAATTTAACTGTTGCATATATGAGCCATGAGTATTTTCTCATTCTGCATTTACACATAGCTTACTTTATTTGCCAGAATCTGAGAGTTAACAGCTCTAAGAACTACTTTCTGGCCAGGCACCTATCTCTGGATGCACCAGAATCCCTGTAAGCATCTCGAACCACACTTAGTGATCATCTACTAATATGTCACTAAAAACAAAACAACTGGAAAGTAACTTATCTTAAATTTAAATTTTAAAATGACTATACAAACCTGATTGGACATGGTGTCCGCAGCACAAAAAATCATTTTTTTCTAAAAAAAAAAAAGGCCAGCATAATAAAAGCTCCAAGAGGACTTGGGCCATGCTTTGTTTCCTACACCGCCTCCACCTTTGATGCTGGAAGGGCCTTGCAGGCAAACATTCCTACCACTGAAGAGTGAGGGACATGAAATAGCTTTTGTTTTTACCTCTTCTATGCTCTCTATGTGTGAGAAGCCCATAGCTCTGGAAGGAACTGGGAAAAACAACTCTGACATGGCTTGGATATTTTCCCCCCTCCAAATCTCATGTTAAAATATGACCCTTAATGTTGGAGAAAGGGCATAGTGGGAGGTGTTTAGGTAATGGTGGTGGATTCCTTATGAATGGCTTGGTGCCATCCCCATGGTAAGAAGCAAATTCTCATTCTGGTAGTTTAAGAGAGAAAGGGAAGTAAAGCTCTCCTCAGCAAATGTAAAAGAACAGAAATTATAACAAACTATCTCTCAGACCACAGTGCAATCAAACCAGAACTTAGGATTAAGAATCTCACTCAAAACCGCTCAACTACATGGAAACTGAACAACCTGCTCCTGAATGACTACTGGGTACATAACGAAATGAAGGCAGAAATAAAGATGTTCTTTGAAACCAACGAGAACAAAGACACAACATACCAGAATCTCTGGGACGCATTCAAAGCAGTGTGTAGAGGGAAATTTATAGCACTACATGCCCACAAGAGAAAGCAGGAAAGATCCAAAATTGACACCCTAACATCACAATTAAAAGAACTAGGAAAGCAAGAGCAAACACATTCAAAAGCTAGCAGAAGGCAAGAAATAACTAAAATCAGAGCAGAACTGAAGGAAATAGAGACATAAAAAACCCTTCAAAAAATTAATGAATCCAGGAACTGGTTTTTTGAAAGGATCAACAAAATTGATAGACCACTAGCAAGACTAATAAAGAAAAAAAGAGAGAAGAATCAAATATATGCAATAAAAAATGATAAAGGGGATATGACCACCGATCCCACAGAAATACAAACTACCATCAAAGAATACTACAAACACCTCTACGCAAATAATCTAGAAAATCTAGAAGAAATGGATAAATTCCTAGACACATACACTTTCCCAAGACTAAACCAGGAAGAAGTTGAATCTCTGAATAGACCAATAACAGGAGCTGAAATTGTGGCAATAATCAATAGCTTACCAACCAAAAAGAGTCCAGGACCAGATGGATTCACAGCCGAATTCTAACAGAGGTACAAGGAAGAACTGGTACCATTCCTTCTGAAACTATTCCAATCAATAGCAAAAGAGGGAATCCTCCCTAACTCCTTTTATGAGGCCAGCATCATCCTGATAACAAAGCCGGGCAGAGACACAACCAAAAAAGAGAATTTTAGACCAATATCCTTGATGAACATTGATGCAAAAATCCTCAATAAAATACTGGCAAACCGAATCCAGCAGCACATCAAAAAGCTTATCCACCATGATCAAGTGGGCTTCATCCCTGGGATGCAAGGCTGGTTCAATATATGCAAATCAATAAATGTAATCCAGCATATAAACAGAACCAAAGACAAAAACCACATGATTATCTCAATAGATGCAGAAAAGGCCTTTGACAAAATCCAACAACGCTTCATGCTAAAAACTCTCAATAAATTAGGTATTGATGGGATGTATTTCAAAATAATAAGAGCTATCTATGACAAACCCACAGCCAATATCATACTGAATGGGCAAAAACTGGAAGCATTCCCTTTGAAAACTGGCACAAGACAGGGATGCCCTCTCTCACCACTCCTATTCAACATAGTGTTGGAAGTTCTGGCCAGGGCAATTAGGCAGGAGAAGGAAATAAAGGGTATTCAATTAGGAAAAGAGGAAGTCAAATTGTCCCTGCTTGCAGACGACATGATTGTATATCTAGAAAACCCCATTGTCTCAGCCCAAAATCTCCTTAAGCTGATAAGCAACTTCAGCAAAGTCTCAGGATACAAAACCAATGTACAAAAATCACAAGCATTCTTATACACCAACAACAGACAAACAGAGAGCCAAATCATGAGTGAACTCCCATTCACAATTGCTTCAAAGAGAATAAAATACCTAGGAATCCAACTTACAAGGGATGTGAAGGACCTCTTCAAGGAGAACTACAAACCACTGCTCAGTGAAATAAAACAGGATACAAATGGAAGAACATTCCATGCTCACGGGTAGGAAGAATCAATATCATGAAAATGGCCATACTGCCCAAGGTAATTTACAGATTCAATGCCATCCCCATCAAGCTACCAATGACTTTCTTCACAGAATTGGAAAAAACTACTTTAAAGTTCATATGGAACCAAAAAAGAGCCCACATCGCCAAGTCAACCCTAAGCCAAAAGAACAAAGCTGGAGGCATCACACTACCTGACTTCAAACTATACTGCAAGGCTACAGTAAACAAAACAGCATGGTACTGGTACCAAAACAGAGATATAGATCAATGGAACAGAACAGAGCCCTCAGAAATAATGCCGCATATCTACAACTATCTGATCTTTGACAAACCTGAGAAAAACAAGCAATGGGGAAAGGATTCCCTATTTAATAAATGGTGCTGGGAAAACTGGCTAGCCATACGTAGAAAGCTGAAACTGGATCCCTTCCTTACACCTTATACAAAAATCAATTCAAGATGGATTAAAGACTTAAACGTTAGACTTAAAACCATAAAAACCCTAGAAGAAAACCTAGGCATTATCATTCAGGACATAGGCATGGGCAAGGACTTCATGTCTAAAACACCAAAAGCAATGGCAACAAAAGCCAAAATTGACAAATGGGATCTAATTAAACTCAAGAGCTTCTGCACAGCAAAAGAAACTACCATCAGAGTGAACAGGCAACCTGCAAAATGGGAGAAAATTTTCACAACCTACTCATCTGACAAAGGGCTAATATCCAGAATCTACACAGAACTCAAACAAATTTACAAGAAAAAAACAACCCCATCAAAAAGTGGGTGAAGGATATGAATAGACACTTATCAAAAGAAGTGCCAAAAGACACATGCAGCCAAAAGACACATGAAAAAATGCTCATCATCACTGGCCATCAGAGAAATGCAAATCAAAACCACAATGAGATACCATCTCACACCAGTTAGAATGGCAATCATTAAAAAGTCAGGAAACAACAGGTGCTGGAGAGGATGTGGAGAAATAGGAACACTTTTACACTGTTGGTGGGACTGTAAACTAGTTCAACTATTGTGGAAGTCAGTGTGGTGATTCCTCAGGGATCTAGAACTAGAAATACCATTTGACCCAGCCATCCCATTACTGGGTATATACCCAAAGGATTATAAATCATGCTGCTATAAAGACACATGCACACGTATGTTTATTGCGGCATTATTCACAATAGCAAAGACTTGGAACCAACCCAAATGTCCAACAATGATAGACTGAATTAAGAAAATGTGGCACATATACACCATGGAATACTATGCAGCCATAAAAAATGATGAGTTCATGTCCTTTGTAGGGACATGGATGAAATTGGAAATCATCATTCTCAGTAAACTATCACAAGGACAAAAAACCAAACACCGCATATTCTCACTCATAGGTGGGAATTGAACAATGAGAACACATGGACACAGGAAGGGGAACATCACACTCTGGGGACTGTTGTGGGGTGGGGGGAGGGGGGAGGGATAGCATTAGGAGATATACCTAATGCTAGATGACGAGTTAGTGGGTGCAGCGCACCAGCATGGCACATGTATACATATGTAACTAACTTGCACATTGTGCACATGTACCCTAAAACTTAAAGTATAATAATAATAAATAAAAAATTAAAAAAAAAAAGAGAGTGTGACACCTTCCCTCTACCTGCCTCTCCCTCCCTTCTCACTGTGTGGAACCACCTGCTTCCCCTTTGCCTTCCATCATGATTGTAAGCTTGCTGAGGCTCTCACCAGAAGCAGATGCTGAAGCCATGCTTGTACAGCCTGAAGATCTATGAGCCAATTAAACCTCTTTTTGTTATAAATTACCCAGCCTTAGGTACCTCTTTATAGTAACACAAAAATGAACACAAATTCTAACCAGAAATAACTTACTCAAGACAGGCAAAGTCTACTCAAAACTACAAAAAAAAAGTTATAAACTCCCATATTTACTGCACTGCATTACTTCCCATATTAATATAGATCCTCACTTGTATTCTTGTTGCTTAAATCAACTGGAAAACTTGGCTGTGTATGGCTTTTTAGCAAACAAACAAGGATTTAACATAACATTAAGGAAAATAAGCAGAAGTAGGGCATGTTTAAATTTACATCAGATGACAAGGTTAATGACTTAAAAGTTCCGAGAAGTATAAACTTGGATGTGATAAATGCATGTGATCAGAGGACTGTGCAAGAGGAGGCCAAAATCACAGATTCAATCTCTGTTGATGAACAACAGTTTTTTTTTTTTTATTTGTTTAAATGGAAACCAAGCTGAAGCCTAAGTTCTATCTTTAAAATGCACCCTTAGGAGCAAGGAAAAAGGGGCAAAGAATTATAAATAAAGATAAATCTATGACTCCTCCATCACATGACAAATTGTGTTGATAAAAAGATGGCAAAATGTATAAATAAAAAATTTACATGATTTCACTAACACAGTAACAACTAAAAAAAGTATATCACATATTAAAATAAGACAAGCGAATATGTGAAAAGTTCAAAAAATTAAACCAATATGAGTTTTTCTAAATACTTTCTATAATACATCTGATCAAACAACAAGAGTTTTCGATCTTTTTCTTGGCAGAAAAAACAATGTTGTCTCACCATCTGTTTGAGATTTTCTCAGGAATATTGTGCTTGCCTTTGGATGGTCAGAAGGGTTGGGCTCCAAAGGTATATCTATAGAGGGAGAGAAGAAAAAAAGATGTGATCATTTATAAAAATTTATCAACTCATTTATTTGACTGCTGCATTTAGGCTATTTCACTACCTCTACTTTTATCCTTATCCGTTGAAATGAATGTATAGACATAAGATAGAGCCAGGCAAGATGGCACAGGCCTGTAGTCCCAGCTCCTCAGGAGGCGGAGATGGGAAAATCACTTGAGCCCAGGTCAGGAATTTGAGGCCAGCATGAGTAACATGGTGAGAACCTCCTTCATTTAAAAAAAAAAAAAAAAAGGTAAATTTGCCTTTAAGTTGTGTAAAATCAACTGCATAGAATAAAACAAGATGGCAATATGTTTTAAAAGACAGGTCTATTTTATAGGCAAAATATAAGATGTAATCTGGAGTTTTTAAAATTTTAAAAAAGTAAATTCAGCATATCTATCTCTTCCATGTCATTCTGAGGACACAGAACCTTAGTTCTGTTGAGTAGCTGCCTTCCATAGTTACATGAGATCTCTAAGTCCTCATTTCTTCATTAGCAAAATGTAGGGAGAACACATATAGGCCTTTATTTGTATTGCAAAGAGCCAAATGAGACATACATAAACTGTGCTGTAATCCTAAAGAATGACAATAAAGAGCCTTTTTTGGGCTCTCATCCAACACTACCCGTCTATTAACTGGTGTGTAAAATCACTCAGAGGCTTTCCTTACACCACCAAGTGGAGTATGTTTACACAAGTACTTACATGCTTTGTGTATAAAAGTATAATGAATTAATTCACATATTTGTTTAAATTCTTTAATATCTTGAAAAGCGAGTATAGTACTCCAAGTTACAAAGTCACACATCATGAGTCTTAATTATTCTACCTCTGAAAAAAATAAAAGCCCAACCAAAGTTGTTATTTTTTTGTTTTTTTTTTGTTTTTCACTTTAAGTTCTGGGATACATGTGCAGAACATGCAGGTTTGTTACATAAGTATACATGTCCCATGGTGGTTTGCTGCAACTATTAACCCATAATCAAGGTTTTAAGCCTCACATGCATGAGGCATTTGTCCTAATGCTCTCCCTCCCTTTGCCCCCCACCCCCGATGGGCCCCAGTGTGTGATGTTCCTTTCCTTGTGTCCATGTGTTCTCATTGTTCTTTTTGTTTAGGATTGTCTTGGCTACACGAAGCCCAATCAAAGTTTAAATAGAAGAGCTATAAGACATTTCCTCTACAGTAATAAATCTCTGGCATTTAAATGAAACCAAAGAGCCAGTGGATTTAATATCTTTATGATACAATGTTTTCTATTTGTAAAAATTTAGTTTTTATTCAAGAACCATATTGTTACTCAGAATTCTTTTTACTTAGATTCACCTCTTTGCAAAAGTTTAGAGGCAAACCAACTAAGTGTTTTCTCTTTTCTACCCCCTCCCATCCCCCGCCTCTCCCAGCAGTGTAGAGACTGAAAAACTCTTAAGTTTCTTATCTTTGAACAAGATGTTATTGTCAGGAGGGGGAAGGACAAAGGGGAAGCCATGGCAACAAACACTCTTACACAGGCAAGGTCTGACATTTTAACCTTCAATCTTTATATTACACATTCAAAGTCTACGTTTACGTTTTATGTCTTTTGAAAGTTTTGACCACGAATCATCCCCACCTCTCTTTTAGAACGAGGAGGTAAATAATGTCTGTTAAGTCGCCAGAATAAATCTGCAGACACATTTTGTGTTAAAGTAAGAATTTTAAAGTAATCAGAGCCTCATAGGTACACTCCTTTGGGGGAACCCCCCCACACCCATTTTTCTGCAGCCCTAGCCATGACATTTCACACCTTTCCCAATTATTTTAAGCACCCTCCATTTTCTTTCCTTCTGTGTTCAACTTAGTTAGAAGAAACTAAGCAGCTTCTATCCAGGTGACTTAAAGCAACCCATATAGTCTCTCCTATGGCAACCTGCATTCTGATTTTAAATAAGAAATCCCCAAATATTTCAGTATGAATTGTCCTGAGATTTGGCTACTTTAACAAAGGAAACAATTAGGCACTTACCTGGTTCCTTCACTTAGGTACCACCTGGATAGGTATAAAGAGAATGAGATGGGTACTGGAAAGTTGGGATATTTGAGTTTTTATTGAGAAAAGGGAGAGAATATTCCAAAGAAGCCTCAACAAAGTCCCACAGGATACTAAATAGAGCTACAGACAAGAACAGCCATAAATAAATGGTCCCATGCCAGAAGGGGAGAATGAGATGAGGGAGCAAGAACTGGGAGTTTTGGAGGGAAGGAAAAAATAAACTAACTGGAGTCTTTGGGGAAAGACTAAGGGGTGGGAACGCAAGGCAAGCCAGGTTTTGTTCCTGGACAGGCCTAGGATAGCTGGCTACAGGCAGAAAGGAGCCTGAGGTGGGGGATGCCTCCCAGAGGACCCTGGGGACAGCAGCAGCCAGAAGTATGCCGAGGGCAGAAGGCACCTGTCACCTCCTTACCTTCAGGCATCTCCCGTTCACAGATGTGGTGCATGTGGAGGCCCTCACCAGCTACAAAAGTCACCTCACCAGGCTCTACAGCAGCAGCCACAGGCACTCCTGCTATCAGGTCCCCAGCTGCTGCCTCATAGATCTCAGACTCACAGTGACACACCAATCCCTGGTGCTGGTGCAACCCAGGGCTGGCCCTGGGGCACACACAACAGGTCAGTATGTTTCCCATGGGGTGCCTCTACTCCTGTCACCATCTGTGCCTTTGCTCACAGCTTGGGCCACACACTCCCGCTGCCCTAGGCTGAGGCTATGCTGCACTTGCAGAGATGGTCTTGCCTGCTGCTCGCCTGCCCACTTCACAGCCCAGGCATGGCCCCAGCTGGGGCTGCGGGCCAAGGCCCGTGCCCTGCTGACTCCCCTGAGTTGACTTGTCTGGGAGGGTGAAGACCAGCCGGCTTATTTAATAGGTTGTGAACCCAACAAGCGCTGAGACACACAACAACTGCCTGAAGAGAGAACAGATGGAGCTCCTCCTCCTTCTGCAGTCACCTACAGACTGAAGCCCACTGGCCCAGGTGGGAGCCCAGGCTTGTGGCTCACAATGCCCCGCCCCACACTTCACAGTGCCCTCCCCGACACCTCACAGTGCCCCACCCTGGCTGCCACCCCTCCCCCACAGCTCAAAATGTCCCTGCCTGGGCTGCCCCACCCTGTGACTTATGCTGCTGCTGCTCTCCTGGCCCCTCATGCAGTGCCAGTGGGACTAAGATTTTCATTCATCACCAGCTTCCTGAGCTTTTTAGTCCTAAGAAAAGCATAAGGTGTTTCCTTACTTGAAGCCATCTTCCTCTATGAGTTCTATACAAACCCTCAGTTAGTAGAGTGGGTCCCATTAGCAACCAAGTTGAACAACTTTTATTTGCTGACTTAATGTAGACACACCTGAATTGTTGACTGCTTT
Organism: Homo sapiens; assembly: GCF_000001405.40. Classification (NCBI taxonomy): domain Eukaryota; kingdom Metazoa; phylum Chordata; class Mammalia; order Primates; family Hominidae; genus Homo; species Homo sapiens. The sequence continues at coordinate 42,455,118 of NC_000010.11, forward strand.
TGTAACTAAATATTCCTCTCCTGTCTTCCAATGAGTGGTAGTTTTTGTCTGCAACTTGACCATAGCGGTCCCTGGGGCCCTAGCTCTACTCTCAATAAAGAATTATGGCTGTGTGTCTTGAATCACACCTTAGGACCCATCCTGCCTCCACCTCCTTCTCCATAAAATAGAAACCTAACTTGTCCCTCCAAGTTCTGAAATGCTGAAACTTACCAACTCCCTTTTCTACCCTCTGTTTCTTCCTTCCATGGCAAGGACTTTCAGATTTTCTCTCTTTTACTAAAAAGCATTAAGCATGATTTTGTCATACAAAATAGAGAGCTGTAAAGTGGGGTACCACAGTCCTAATTCAATAAAGATGAATATTCAATATCTGGCAATCAGTATGTGCCTGACAGTGTTCTAACTATGCTATGCTCATTTAACCCTCAGAACAATCTCATTTTACAGGTTTTACAGAAGACATTGAAATGGAGAGGTAAGTTATCTCCCCAAGGTCACACGACTGCTCAGGCTGGGGCCATGATTTGATCCCAGGTAGTATGAATTCTCCAATTACTCAAGTGTGATTATCAGAAAGTGTATTGGTCCATTTTCACCCTGCTATAAAGAAATACCTAAGGTTGAGTAATTTATAAAGGAAAGAGGCTTCATTGACTCTTGTTCTACATGGCTGGGGAGGCCTCAGGAAACTTACGATCACAGTGGAAAAGGAAGCAGGCACTTCTTACATGGTGGCAGGCCAGAGAGCGTGAGCGTGTGAAGGAGCAACTGTCAAACACGTATAAAATCATCAGATCTCGTGAGAACTCACTCACTATTATGAGAACAGCGTGGGGAAAACTGTCCCCATGATCCAGTCATCTCCCACTGGGTCCCTCCCTCAACACGTGGGGATTATGGGATTACAATTCAAGATGAGATTTGGGTGGGGACATGCCCAAACCATATCAGAAAGTAAAGGTAGAAGTCAAGCTTGGAGGGAAAGTGACATAGTAGATTAGTACATTTTTAAAAGAAAAACCTTTTTTTGATGTGGATTTTAAAATGCCTCCCCTTCATTCAACATTGATTAAGTCCCTTCTACATGCCAGGCACTGTATGTGTGAAACAGTCCTTTCACATCTTTTCTTTTTTTTTAGATGGAGTCTTGCTCTGTCACCCAGGCTGGAGTGCAGTGGCGCGATCTAGGCTCACTGCAAGCTCCGCCTCCCAGGTTCACGCCATTCTCCTTTCTCAGCCTCCTGAGTAGCTGGGACTACAGGTGCCTGCCACCACACTGGGCTATTTTTTCTATTTTTAGTAGAGACGCGATTTCACCGTATTAGCCAGGATGGTCTCGATCTCCTAACCTTGTGATCCGCCTGCCTCAGCCTCCCAAAGTGCTGGGATTACAGGCATGAGCCACCGCGCCAGACCAAAACAGTCCTAACTCTTAATGCTCATAGGCAGATACAAAAACAAAGGCTTAAGGAGTTCAGTTGTCTGAGACCACACTGCTGGACAGGGTATAAACCTGGGATACAGACTCACCTCTATTTGACCCCAAATTTGATGCTGGGATGGTTTTAATTTTATTCTGAAAATTTGAGTCACTGAACCATACAAAGGTGAAGAGTCTCTGTCAGATGTGGGTATAGTGGTCTGTATAATAAGAAAGGACTGAAGGAAGTAACAAGACCAATTAAGAGACTTTATCTAAAAGAAGAATAATGATAAAGGCAGTGGCAGTGACAAAAGTCGAGGAAAAATTTTCCGATCATTTCAGAGATGGAATAGGAAGTGTGTGGTCAAGAGATGTGAAAGAAGAGGGGAAGTAGAGGGAAAACAGAGCTGCTCAGGCTCTGCTGGGGAAGACTGGGTATGTAGCAGTGCCTTCCTCCTGGCAGAGAATGTAGGAAGTGAAATAGGTAAGGAGGAAAAGATAGTTTTTTATTCTCAGTGTCACATAAAATGGAATTCTATGGTCAAAAGTTGAATATAAATCTCTGTAGGCTAAGTTCATTTGTGACATCCCAACATATGTTTTCAAAAATAACACACATACTAAATCAAACCATTAAGAGTAACTGGGGAAATTTTCTAAAATTTGCATGCTAATAATATCACCATTTTTCATTTATTACTTTCATGGAGCAATTCTGAATCTATGGTTATAGCAAATGAGGCACCTTGTATAAAATAAAGCTACTACATGAAACAAAACATTTAAAATTCTATTGTCCTCAGAGAATAGAGAATGCAACTGAAGCCATGGTCATGGAAGTGATTACCTTGAGAAGTTGTGTACAGTAAGAAGAATTGGGAGGAAAAAAAACCTGGAGAATAGGGTGATTTCCACGGCATTAAGTGAAGCTTGCCAAAGTGAGCACTGGGAGTCAACAGACCTGCATATAAATCAGGAATGGCTGCCTCTGTAAGTCATTAGAAAGGAGATGATGTCTGCTTTTCATTTCTATAACAGCAGCACCTAACACAGTGCCTGGTCAATAGGTACTCAACATGTATTATCTCAATGCGCAGAGTCAAATGTTGCCAGGAGGGCAGGAAAGCTACAAATTGGCTATGATAACTTAGTGATTGGGCTTGTGTGTGTGTGAGTGAGCTGGATGTCAGGTAATGGGTAAAGTATTGAACTGGAGGTGAGAAAACAATGACACAAACTGAGGGCTTCTCTTTCCAAGTATTTGGCTGAGAAGAGAGATGTAGGTAGTAGTTAAAGGGTAAATATGGTAAAGAAAGTCTTTTATTCCAAGATTCAACAAAAAGGATGAGTATACTTCTATGTTAAAGGGAAAGAGTCAACAGAGAAAATACATTTTTGAGTTTAGAAGAGAAGGAAGAACAAATGCAGAAGGGCCCTCAAAAGGCACAAGTGCATGCAATCTGGATCAGGGCAGATTAGCTTTGGACTTCTACAAAAGCAAGATGGGAGAAAGGACCATGTCATTCCAGAGATATTTCTGGTAGAGGAAAGGTTTAGGAAGAGATCTTTTGATGACCTCTATTTTAATAGACTTTTCAAAAAACTACTGTGGGAAAAAGGATGCTATGTATAGAAAAGTCTACAATTCTTGATACATCTAACAACAACAACAAAAAAGCTTGATACACTAAACAAAACCCAAATAATGTCTTCCCTAAAAGTGGATAACTGGAAAAGCAATTTGAGCATAAACCAAGGAGTTCAATTACCAGTAAGTATATCAAAAAAGTGAAACATGGGTTTAATTTTTCCCACAAAGAGTTAAAAGAAGTAACAACAACTTTCGGGGAAGAGGAAAAAAGAAGAAGAAAATTATATGAAATTCCAAAATGTGTGAATATTTACAAACTCTAACATAAGTTCACTACAAAAAGGACTAGAAGAATCATCATCATAGGAAGCAATGGGTAATTTCAAAAATCAGGGAAGAAGGGATGATTCATATGTAATTTAATTTTCTTGAAAATATTTAAGTTCGAGGACAAAAATAGGTGATACATTGAAATGTGGGAAGCCACAGTGGCAAAAAAAAGAATTCAAGAAAGTTCAGTTTCAGTAACCAATATCTAGTAAAACCCTCAGGACCTAGTGGCTACAATCTGCGTTAATAGCATCTGAAGACCTAGAAATATCATTAGATACCATTTTGGATAATTTTTGTTGACTTGAGATGATGTCTATTTAAAGTTACAAAATAGTGCCTGCACTTAACAACAGACACACTCAAAAACAGGTATCCATGACTTTACTTTTACTTTTTATTTTTTTGAGACAATCTCACTCTGTCCCCTAGGCTGGAGTGCAGTGGCACAATCTTGGCTCACTGCAACCTCTGCCTCCTGGGTTCAAGTGATTCTCCTGCCCTCAGCCTCCTGAGTAGCTGAGATTACAGGCACACATCACCATGTCCAGCTAATCTTTGTATTTTTAGTAGAGACGGGGTTTCACCATGTTGGTCAGGCTGGTCTTGAGCTCCTGACCTCGTGATCTGCCCACCTCGACCTCCCAAAGTGCTGGGATTTCAGGCGCGAGCCACTGCACCCGGCCCACAGATATCCATGACTTTAAAAAGGAAGAATTTTAAACTCTCTAAACAGGAAAATATTGGGAAGCATTGTTATGAAAATAGATTTTAAAACATTTTGGTTGAAGACAATATTGAAGTACATTAAGAAAAATCCTATCCTACCATGACATTGGCAAGTCTGAGAGAGCAAAGAGAAATAAGTTGGAGTACTGTGATTTGAATTAATCAGGAGCTTGATTCTGTGAAATGAGCTGAGACCTTGTTTCTTTATGGCTCCAAAGTAAACTAATTCATCCATTCATTCAATACCTATTTAGTACCTGAGCCCTTAGCAAACATGCCGCACACTGTATGTAAGTTCTGGGGCTATTGCTTGGACCAACATAAACAAGGTTCTTATTCTTGTAAAACTTATCTTCCAGTAAGGGAGTTAACAGACCATGTTGCCTGCTTTACCTAGGATGGCTACTGATCTCCAGCTATTGGATCTTCATTCCAGACAACAGGGTAGAGGGAGTAAAGAAGAAGGAAGGTTTTTTAGAAGGTACTCATAGCACAGTGCTTACAAATTATTGGCTTAAAACTTAGTCACAAGACCACACCTAGCTGCAGGGGAGGTTCAAAAGACATAATCATATAGCTAGGGTAATGAATACAGAAGAAACAATTGGATATGGAAAGGAAACTAGCATGCCATTCCACAATCTCTAAAGAAAGATTAGGGAAGTTTTGGCTTAAAGCAAGAATAATCACAATAAAATTTTACAATCCTTTGCAAGCATATATGAAAACATACAAAAAAGTTTGTAATGATCTTTTCTTAAGCTGAGAGGACAGAAAAAATGAGAAAAATTAAATTATTAAGTGAAACTTTGGTTTAGAGGTAAGAAACATTTGATGACAGTCAAGAGATCAGGGTTGTACAGTATATTATGTGAATGTTGTGACTCACTGGTTTCATCTTGGATATCATAACTTGACATTTTGTAAAAGTCGTTTTTCATGAGAATTTTTCCAGGTGCCCTATAAAGTCCTGTCCCATCAAAAGTGAATAATAATCTTCCATATTCATGAGATATCTTAATGGCATCTCCTACAGTCTTCCATTGTTTAGTTTAGGTAAACCTGGGAATCACTTTTGGGTATTGTCTCATCCAACTTCTGTTACCCATCCGCAGCATAAGTCATGAAGGTCTTGGATATTTTGTGCTCTAGCAATTAATTCATCATGAATCCTGGAGTTATTTTCTATTCCAATCATTTGTCCTACTTTGCTTCCCTTAAGCATAATGAATTTACCACCATTAACTTCTAAACCATATGGAATTTGTACATGTGATTTGACTTTGTGAGCAAAAATTCTATGGATGTCTTGAAATTTGTGCCTAGTATAAAACTTATTTTCAGTAGAGATTATATTTCTGCACTCAGGCAGCTATGTAACTTTCACTGTTATTGCTGGTCGGGCTTTCCAGACATGATGATAACCTCCTAGGTTCTCTGGAAGAGGGACATATTCTTCAGGATGACATTATAATATTTTGTTAGGTAAAATCTTTTATCTATCTAAATTGATAGTTCCTAATGTCTTGAGTAACAAGACTAGTACTTTTTATTTTTGTTAGCTCTGTGAGTTAATGTGACCAATGCCTGAGGTTGAGTAATCAGGCCAGTATCAGACTGGTCTTTGCCAGAACTTTTTGCCTAATACGTTTCTCTATTGTTTTCTACAGGTCACAGGATGTTAACACGGGTTCTAGAATGCAATTTTTAAAAATGTTTTGTGAATGACTAGCAACATGGTAATTTAATTTTCAAATATAATTTACAAGTGAAATGTGTAGGACTCCAACAAGGCACAATGACCTAGATCCTGAGTATGATTCCATCGGAAGAAGCAAATACTGAGTTGAACAAGCTCACTCATGTCTGCTTACACCAGTCACTTTTGAATGCTCAATGGCAGGCAGGGGGAATGACCTGTGTTTGGCAGATGTCCACTCAGTATGACCCTGGATTGGACATATAGTTACCTTGGGTCAGGCCAGCCATGTGTTGTTGGACTATTCCTTGGAGATACACTCTTAGTGACTGTCAAAGTTCCTGAGTCATTAGGTGCCTGCAGACTATGCCCACTGATATTTGCATTAGGTGCAGGCTGCCTAGCTGTGCTGACACTGAGTGAAGCTGTGAGGTTTCACAATGACATGGCAGCCAATTACATATGCTCAGATGTACCATGTATCAAGAGTTATTCACATAATCAATTAGGCAATATCATTCTACACACAGGCAGTAATAAAGGGAGTAAAAAACCACAACAATGACTCGGGAGACCAATGTGCCTCCAGAAGAGTCCAGTGGGTCCAGAAGCCCTTTAGATACTGGTCAGAGGTTCCTTTTGGGCAGAGATCACAGCAGCAGCCACCAGGTATGGAGAAGTCCTTAGAGTTCTCATGGACAAAGCTTCTGAAGGCATCTTGGACAAGACCTTATCTTTGCTGGCTTCATGATCCTATGCAGATGGGTCCATTCTCATTTTCTCAGCCACCTTTCACTTCCTATCAGTTCGTTTCAGGTCTCTCATGATCCCAGGCAGCAGTAGTTGTTATCGTCTCAGTCCAATCATATATGTTTATCTCTTTGGGGATGAGGGGACAACTTCATTGTGGACTTAATTCTACTGGAGATGAGTGACCCCATTTTAAGACATCAGGATCACAAATTATTATCGCATGTCATCAGGGCAGAGAATAGCTACAACCTGGAGCTGAAAGCAGATAACTCCATTTATTCTAGAAACATTCTGTCTTGATTATGGTGCCAGTTACTGTGAGGGACTTCCTTTTCTCCACCTATTTTTTACAAGGTTTGAGTCTGAACTGCTAATATTCTACTGATTTATGGATGAAGGGACTGACTGCACCATTCCAGCCTGTCACAGCACTTGCACCAATACTTCCACTTTAAGAGTTTTCCACCTTGTCCAGAACTACAGTCCATTAATCCCCTCATTTTCTCTCTTAAGAGAATAAACAACACATCTCATGTACATACCCACACCCCTCTTCTCCCAAATACCAAATACACAAAAATCCAATCTCTCTCCTACCTAAGCAATTTTAGATAGTCACTTTCTCTTAATTACTTTAAGCTCCCTGACTCAATGCTTGTCTTTTCTCTGGCAAAATCTCATCCCTGGATGAGCACCACTTTGTGTTGGCTCAATGACACCACTCAGCTGAACCAGAAAAATATCAAAAAGTGGTCAGAGGTGTCATCATAAATTCAAATTACTTACATAACAAATTGGCCCTAAATATTTCCAAAAATCAATAAAAGTTTTGTTTCTCCAATGACATCATTTCTTCAGAAACCCAACATGTATAACCAATCTTTTCTATGTTCCTCTAACTTTTATTCTACTTCTTTCACCTGAATATCTTGCCATATCATTCAAGGAGAAAATATATCCCATTAGGCAAGAGCCGATCATCTTCCCATCACCTAAGAAACTAATATGCACAGGATGCAACCACCTCATCTTTCTCTGACTCATCATATCAGAAAAAGTACCTTTCCTTTTCTCACAAGGCAAATCTGAGATAAAAGGTTTAGATGGCCTATAATTCTAGCACCTGGGGAGACCAATGCAGGCAGACTACTTCAGCCCACGATTTTGAAACAAGCCTAAGCACCTTAGGGAAACCCATCTCTAAAACAAATACAAACAAATAAGTAGCTGAGCATGGTCGTGTGGTGGCACATGCCTGTAGTCCCAGCCACTCAGGGTGGGGAGCACTGAGGTGGGAGGATCACCTGAGCCTGGAAGGTTGAGGCTGTAGTGAGCCGTGATCACACCACCACACTCCAGGTGGGGCAACAGATATTTTTAAAAGGATCTTCTCTGTTAAAAATGATCAAATAAACAGATGGCTATGAGGCTGAGGTGGCTCCAGTATGCTCAGTTCCTCCTTCAACAAACCAAAACTTGACTCAATTAAATAATAAAAGGAAACTTAAGCTTAACCAATCAAGCCACCAACTATCATCTAACCAGAGACTTTCCACCGTAATGTTCCAAATGAGGCCACTGCTGCACTTTCCCCAATCAAGTATTTTCTTTTTCTTTCATATTCACCATATAAAAGCCTTCCCCCACCCTCCCTAAGCCTCTCTGTTGGAGCTCTGGGATGTTTGCAGTCTCAGGCTGCTTGGTTTATACATTTCCGAATGCTCAAATATACTTCCTAATGTTTCAAAGAGCCTAATTGTATCTTTTAACAGCTCTCATGGTTATGTCATTGTTTCTGGATTTTCAAGTTCTACCTCCTTCATGGGACTGATTCTCAGTATGTGAACACGTTCTCTTCTACCATTCTAAAGACTCTCCTAATATGGGCAGTTTCTTACAAAACTATAACACACTCTTACTATGTGATCCAGCAGTTGCACTCCCTAGGTCTTTATCCAAATGACCAGAAAGCTTATGTCTACACGAAAACCTGCACACAGATGTTTATAGCAGCTATTAAAATAGCTGCCAAAAGTTAGGAGGAACCAAGATGTCCTTAAGTAGCTTAATGATAAATACAAATGTGATATATTTAGAAAATGAAGTATTAATCACCTCTGAAAAGAAATGAGCTATTACTAACTGTGTATTACACACTAAATGCATATTACTAATTGAAAGAAGCCAATCTGGAAAGTTATCTACGCTATGATTCCAAGTATATAACATTCAGAAAAATGCAAAACTATGGAGAATGAAAAGATTGGTGGTTTCCAATGGTTAGGAAAAGAAAGGATAAATAGAGCACAAGATTATTACAGTAATGAAAATACACTGCAGGATATCATAACAGCTATAATGATACATTCATTATACATTTCATTCTCATTATACATTTCTCCAAACCCTTAGAATGTGTGCCACCAAGAGTATTGCTCTGGGTGATGATGATGTGTCAATGTAAGTTCACTGACTATAATAAATATTCTACTCTGGTGTAGGAGGTCATTGGTGGAGCGACCCAAGAGTGTACAGGAATCGAGGGCATATGGGAACTCTGGACTCTGCACTCCATTTTGCTGTACACTCAAATCTACTCTAAAATAATAATGTATCTTTAAAAATCTATTACTATCACATAGCCCTTTTCAAGTCTCCAACTGGTCTGAGCCAGTTCTATTAAATCTCAGAAAACACTGGTTAATAAGCTAGTTCTGACCCAACTGGCAAGAAGAGGCAGAAAAGACCCAGGCCAGGGGAGCATATTGCACATGCATGCACCAGGAAACTGGAGGAAGCTTGGAGGCTCTTTAGCCTAGTCCTGAGCCTGCTGAAACTGCAGTTACAGGCACAGGTGCCTGGGGCACCAATCTGAATCTGCCAACATCCAAGGCCACATGAACACAAATGCGCAGAGTCTCCTCCGCAATTGGTAGCTAAGGATGTTAGGCCATGATTGGACTACCATGGGAGATGATCTGGGGACAATAGATTCTGTAGACTTTTGTTGTCTCTTCCCTGCCCCAAGCATTTCACTCTTTACTCTTGCCACAGGCAGCAGGGAAGCTCCCTATGTACATCATCCCCACAGCCTATAGCTTTGTCACACCCTCAGTCTCATACCCTCCTATGGCACAGTCAGTCAGGACATCCAACCCTCAAACTCAAGGGTGCAAACACGGCCAAGATAATGGGGTGAGCAGAACCCTCACCTTTGATCTGCAGACAAATGCCCCCTACCTTCTGGGCCTCTACCAGCAACGGGAGGCTCTGGAAATTTCCAGACACACACCAGTGTTCTGAACTGCAGGCTGCTGCCCCATCCTATGGCAGAGTAGACATTTTCTCCACCAGATTGCCCTGTTATCCAGTTGAATGAAATGTCTTTTTAACATAGAAACAGGGCACAGAAACTAGTGTTCTTTGGCCCTGAACCCCATCACACTGTCTGCAGGTATACACCCATCCTTAGCAAATACCACAGATTTGAGGACTCAGTCCCTGGAGTGTGGTCATTGGCTCTGCTTTCAGAAAACATCAAGGTACTTTTGGCAACTCTGCAGATTTCATGAAGAAAAGCAAAAACATAAACAAAACCAAGTGATGAACACACACACACACACACACACACACACACACACACACACACACATACACACACACACACACACCCCAAAGTGACAGGATGTCCCTCCAGGACATTTGCAGAGAGGGGAGCAGAAAACATCCCAGGGGCCTTTCACAGCTACTTCCTTGAGCCCATTTTCAGACAGTGCTGTCTAGACCTGTCTCAGCCCAAGCACCGCCACCCTGATATGCAGGAGCTGGCTTCCCTACCTGAAATTCAACATCAAGAAATGATCTCTTGGCCAGGCATGGTGGCTCATGCCTATAATCCCAGCACTTTGGGAGGCTGAGGCAGGTGGACAGCCTGAGGTCAGGAGTTCGAGACCAGCCTGACTGACATGGTGAAACCTTGTCTCTACTAAAAATTAAAAAAGTAGCTGGGCGTGGGGTTGTGCCCCTGTAATCCCAGCTACTTGGGAGGCTGAGGCAGGAGAATCGCTTGAAACTGGGAGGCAGAGGTTGCAGTGAGCCGAGACCGGGCCATTGCTCTCTAGCCTAGGTAACAAGAGCAAAATTCCTTCTCAAAAAAATAAAAAAGAAAAGAAACCATCTCTTCTACTTAACATTAACAGGAATGTCCTCAAGCAGTGTCCTCATTGGCAGGGGTGGAGTGGGGGAGTTTCTTAAAAAGTGAGGTCTCTGCCCACCACCTAGAGAACCTGGAAATGTCCATCAATGCCACAAAGTCCAAATCAATGGATAGTGCTCCAATGTATGGCAGATTAGACCATCTCTCCATTAGATCTGGGTTTCTATTCCATTAAATGAAATGGCTTTTCTATTACAGGGTCAGGATAAGGGATCAAAAGGGTCTTACAACTGAACTCCAGTGTACAGTCTGCACAGACACTAGGCTTGTGCAAATATGCCACGGCGAGGCCCCAGGACCCTTGAGCCAGCTGAATGCACTGAGTTTCAGGAAACAATGAGATACATTCAGCAAAAAAGTGGGCTTCATGCTGAAAGAAATCAAGCCAAGAACACACACATCACTCTGACACACACACACAAAGACACACACACACATGCAAACACATATGCAGACACCCTAGTGGCCAATAGGTCCTTTCACCAGGAACCTGCAGACAGGAGAGCAGAAAGCCTCCCAGGGTTCCATCACTGCACTTTCTGGAGCCCCTTATCAGACGGCCAGCCCCAGGACAGCACTGTTTTATCCTGGTCCAGCCCAAACTGCAATCTCCCTCTGATGTGGGAGCTGGCCTCCTCACCAGAACCTCTCTGTCAGACAAATTTCTTTTTAAAATGGTGAGAGAGAACCTTCAGACAGTGTTCTGATCAGGGTGGGTGGAGAGGGGGGCTTCCTAGGAAGTCAGGCAGGGCAGGGCTGAAGCCCTCTGGGTTAGCTGTGGGCTTTTGATATAAAGGCAGATAAGACTGGACAGGTGGGGGGTTAGTGAGGGGATGGACTGGGGTGTGCTGAAGAACTCCAGTTGGGAGTGTTCTGTTGCTATAACTGAGTTCCTGAACCTAGGTAACTCATAAAGAACAGAAATTTATTCTCTCACAGTTCTGCAGGCTGGGAAGTCTGAAATCAAGAGGCCTCTGGAGAGGGCATTCCTACTACATCCTCACATGGAGGCAGGTGAAAGGGAGAGAGGATGGATGTGATGTGCTCACATGACAGAAGAGTGACAAAAAGTAAACTGATTCCTTCAAGCTCTTTTTATACTTATATAAGATGTAACTATTTTGTATGTATATAAAAAGTAACATCCCCCTCATCTACTACAGGGTAGTAGATACCACCCACATATGGGAAATGCAGAATAGATAAATAATTTATTCTCTCCTTTATCAGTTTTCCAAATAACATGTAGCTTTTTTACCTAAACACCTCCATTAGGCTGCAGCTCCCAACACTACTGTCTTAGGGATTAGAGTTCTGAGAGATACATTTTGAGGGATACATTAAGACCATAGCAATTGTAAAACCAAAGAGTATCCCAGCCAGGTCTCAATCAATGTAGTAGTTTATTTTGCCAAGGTTAAGAACATGCCCAGAAGAAATAAATACAGAATCACAGACACAGTCTGTGGTCTCTGATTTTCTCCAAAGATGATTTTGAGGGCTTCAATATTTAAAAAGGAAAAGTGACCTAGAGAGGAAATAGGAAATGTGTGGTGATCCTCACGTTGCAAGAGAAAAGGAGCAGGTAGGGAAATAGTCAATTATGTACTGATCTTATGCTCAATAAATCAGCACTTAATTAGAAAAGATGAACGGGGTAGCTACCTGTGGAAATGTTTAAACTTTTATCTGTAACTGCTTACAAAGGCAAGGAAAGGTGGCTTCTTGCATGACTCAGCTTTCAGGTTACCTTTTTTTCTTTTGGCATAGTAAATTGGGTCCCCAGTTTTTATTGTCCTTTCATACAATGATCAATCCCTAGATCTATTATTTCACTAGGAGTTGCAAAATAGTAATATTCTAATGCTATCATTACACCTTCATTTATTAGCTGAAATACTTACATAAAAAGTAACTTCCCCTTGATCTGTTAGTTATCCAGTGACATCACCCACACAGGAAATGCAGAATAGATGAATTATTCCCTTATCAGCTTTCCAAATAATAAATTGGATCACTCGCAGCCTTTTTCTTGCTTGTAAACTTATTTATTATAATTACAAATCCATGCACTTATTGCTGTTACTATACCAATTGAAGTTCCAATTGTCCTGTTTTTGGACAGTAGGAGCATCATGTCATCTCCTAGGCCCTCTGATATACCCTAGTTATGTTTCATAGCATCCTTATTTGATGATATGTCAGATTGATCCAGAATCATCTCATACATCTTCTGTCCAGACCTAAATTCAGGTATTTCTCCAAGGAACTCTGATCTCTTTTTATAAAAAAAATTGTTATTTCCAGAATACAGCCTGGATATGAGAAATGCTGCCTTACTAAGTTGGTCCTTGATTCGTGCCTTTTTCTGTGAATACATACAGGAGTGCTCCTTCCTTCTGGGTTCTCTTTTTTTTGAGAGTTAAAACATATCATGACATGAATCAAGTTAAATTATGCCTCTGAGTTTCAGTTTCCTTTTCAGACTATTTATTTTGATGATTACATGAGTTAGTACACAGAAAATGTACAGCAGTTTTTGTGATATACTTTAGGTGATCAGTAAATTCTCAGTGCAAAATGTGCAAAGGGTGAAGGGGGGAACTCCCATCAGTCCTACCTAACTGGATAGCAAGCTCCTTAAAGCCAGGATCGTAGTTCTAAACCTCTGTGTATCCACCATAACTCCTAGCACAATGCTTTGCATCAATCATGAGCTCAAGAAATTATTACTGATGACCAATAACCATCATATTAGCTGCATGAAAGTGCAATAACATATGCACTTTCAAACCAAATAACAAGAAGAAAATCTATAAATAGCAACCTGTATCAAATATTTCTGTGTATTGTTGTAGGTCTGTGAAACCACAACACACTGATATATTGAAAGACATAGACTAAATCCAGTCCTAAAGCAATTCGAAATTTCCACAATATAATTTAAATTCATTAAATTTTCAGATTTCTGAATTCATTCAAGTTCTAAAGTTATCATTCTGGGACAGTTCAATGTCTTTAAGCTTTTAATCTTCTCCATTCTAATTTCCTGCTATAAAATCAATAAAGTGTAGGTTGTAAAGAAAAAACAATCATGAATCCATGATGACTTGTCCTATCCAAATTGAGGACTATAAAGTAGTTGTTTATTACTTTGTAACTTCTATCTGTATCCCCTTTCTCCTATACTAAGAATCCTAGGTCCTCAATGACACCAGGAATGACAGAATTAAAGTATTATTTCTCCTCATCTCCTTCATCCTATAATACCGATCTACAAATTGAAGATGAACAATGCCAACAACAAACAGTTTTAGGGTCCTTGTTTGGCAATTCATTTTTTTCCTTAAGATGTATTTCCTTTTGGTTGTACAAATTGCAATGCTTTAAAGCGTCTTGAAACAGTTATTTTTGGTATGTTTAGAACCCTCAACTAGTGTTTTAAGACATATTTATGTTTAGGTATTTTATATTCATTTTTTATTTACTGTACTTTCATTTATTAAGATTTTATTATGAATAATATTAATATTGGCTGGATATGGTGGAATGATTCATTCAGATTGGTTGGGACTTTGGGTGCTCACTTCAGCAGCACATATACTAAAACTGGTTGGGACTTGGGCCATACCAGTGTTTAAGTATTTCTCTATCCCCCTGCCTTGATGGATCCTGCCCTGCCATGAAAAATTGACTAAAGTAAGTTTAATTCATTAAAATGTGATTTTAATATGCCTACTTCTCTTGAAAGACATTTGCCAAGGTTCTAAACTGAATTCTGGATAAAAACAGGTAATGAATTCTATTATCTGTTTAAGGAATGAATTCCTTGCATTCACAGAAGCAAGAATGGATGACAAAACTTTGTATCCTTCAAATGAAGATGAAGTGGCCAGGTGTGGTGGCTCACTCCTGTAATCCCAACACTTTGGGAGGCCAAGGTGGGCAGATCATCTGAGGTCAGGAGTTCGAGACCAGCCTGCCCAACATGGCGAAACCCCGTCTCTACTAAAAATACCCAAAAAATAGCTGGGCATGGCGGCAGCTGCCCAGCAACTCAGGAGGCTGTGGCAGGGAGAATTGCTTGAACCTGGGAGGCAGATGTGGCAGTGAGCTGAGATTGCGCCACTACACTCCAGTCTGGGCAATAGAGCAAGACTCCGTCTCAAAAAAAAAAAAAAAAAGATGAAGTATGCAGAGAAGAAAGAGCTTTCACTTACTTGCATGAAGTACTGAAGATGTGACCTCAATTTCACTTGCTGCTTGATCAGACTGAAAGGCTGAGACATTGTTGGTGCCAAGCTCACTAGCACTAGTAAATCTCTCCGGGCTCTGGGTATGCATGGAGCTGGCACTGATGTCATCACCTCCATGATGTAGATCTTGCTTATCAAACACTGCAACCAGCTAGAAATGAAACACAAATGTGCATTTATAAATAAAGACATTTAAATTACTACCAAAAATTTATACTACTTTAACATAAGTCTACAGTGGGAAAATACCCGAGTGACCCCAGAATGTTAAGTTTTAAGAAGCAAAACCTTGGCTGGGCGTGGTGGCTCATGCCTGTAATCCCAGCACTTTGGGAGGGCAAGGTGGGTGGATGACCTGAGGTCAGAAGTTCGAGACCAGCCCGGCCAACATGGTGAAATTCTGTCTCTACTAAAAATACAAAAATTAGCCAGGTGTGGTGGCACACGCCTGTAGTCCCAGCTACTCAGGGAAGCTGAGGCAGGAGAATTGCTTGAACCCAGGAGGCAGAGGTTGCAGTGAGTGGAGATCGCGCCAATGCACTCCAGTCTGGGCGACAGCATGAGACTCCATCTCAAAAAAAAAAAAAAAAGAAAAGAAAAGAAAAGAAAAAAAAGAAAAACCTTAAAAAGACAATGTTTCTGTTAATGTTGATGCTTTATTTCTACATTTCTGAAGTGAATATTTTATAGACAAAATTCTATGGCTGAAAAATAATGAAACTGTTTGCTATCACAGCATGCTAAGATGAAAGTAAGTTTAAATATGTTCTAAAATATAGGCTATATTGTTAAGTGGAAAGAAAAAATGCAAAACACAGAGCGAGAATGTGTATATATATATATATATATACACACACACACACACGTGGTATAAGCTACACTTCATATAATGAGAAGGGGATATTAAAAATTATACATGTTATCTGCACATTTGTGCATAAGATATCTAAAAAGGATAAAAAGGAACCTAATGAAATGGGAATCTAATAAAAGGAAATCTAATAATATGAGCATGCAGAAAGAGGTGGGGAAGAACATAACTAGCCTAAGTAACTTTGGAAAACTATTTTCATTGTTGAAAGCTAAAGACAAAAAAAAGTCCCACAAATACTATTTTCTAATTAGTAAATTTATTTCTCAACAAGCATACGGTTTCACAATTCTCAATCTACTATACACACACATACACACACACACACACACACACACACACACACCAGGAACAAACAAACAAGTTAACATATTTTGGAAAATAAAAGCCAATTTTCTCACTGTTAGAAGTTACAAAGAAGGAAAAGCTAGAATAAACTCAGTGGTGTTAGAGTGGAATCAAAGGCAACAGTAAGAACTCACAGTTTTTATAAGTAGGTAGGTAGGTACACAGTCAGATAGGTATAGACAAATGTCAATGCATGTGTGAGTACACCAACATAGAGTTCTTAGCTCTGTCAATGGAGAGATCCTAGAGTAAATGACATTCCAGTGCTAATGAGCACACCTAGTGCTCAGATCATGGTTTCTAGTACCATTCTCCAGTTAATGATGAACCAGGGCTCCCTAGAAATAGGGTTAATTTCAGGGCTGAGGTCAGAGAAGATGCATGATAAGCCTGGAACACTTTGTGATGCCAAAAATAAGGAAGAACTCAAAAATGATGAAGGCATATCAAAAGGAAACAGGTGCCAACCTGAAGGGGCTCTCAATGGCCAATGTTGAGTGTTGGGAGAAAAGCTGAGTGTTGGGAGAGAAGCTGAGGCAGGGCTTGGAACACGTCCAGGGTCTAGGATTAAAACCCCTCGTGGTCTTTGGAATGTGTCTAGACTTGCTGGCTCCTTGCTTCTAGCACTCCCTTTATCTCAAGTAGCCGTATGTTTCAAAGAAAATGCTAAACCGT
The DNA here is from genome assembly GCF_000001405.40 of Homo sapiens. Lineage (NCBI taxonomy): Eukaryota > Metazoa > Chordata > Mammalia > Primates > Hominidae > Homo > Homo sapiens. Next base: position 42,472,012 of record NC_000010.11, read on the forward strand.
CACAGCTGTAGCTCATTCACTTGATACACCGCTTCCTTTCAACCCCCACATCTTCACTGCCTGTTTCTTTGTTTGATCATCAATAAATAGTGTGGGATCCCAGAGCTCAGGGCCTTTGCAGCCTCCACACTAGCATTGGCTGCATGGTCCCACTTTCTCTTTTAACTTGTCTTTTCTCGTTCCTTTGACTCCGCCAGACTTAGTAGCCCCCATGGCCTGGTGTTGGGTCTGATCACTCCAACAGTTGAGACAACCTGAAAATAAAATAAATAATATTAGCATTGGATCATAATCCAAAGAATACACTAAACAGCCATGAGTCCATAATAATATAAATAATTGAATAAATAAGTGGTGTAGAAGCAACAGCTGTTTCCTACTAGAACATTCCAAATAAATGCAGAAGTAATGATGGAAAGAAATCATTAGGCAACCTCCACCGTAATAACTGCTATAGGTAAAAATCTACTCATGGGTCCTAGGACTAATGGGGGAGAATACAATATCAAACAGGATATTTGTATATCTCTAAATGTCTCCCCGTATGATACATTTCAGCTAAAAAGGGAAAAATATTTGGCAGCCCCCACTGTACCAAGATTAACATCACCAGTAATGGCAACATCACGTACCATCTGATAAAATGCCCTGAGAAGTATGTAACATTACTTCTGTGACATTCCTGCCACATGAATCGTATTTATTTCATAGACTGTACCTTCATTTGGGTTTGTCTGATGTTGCCTCATGATTAGATGGAAGGTTACTTCATGATGAAACATTCCACAAACCCAAATGGAAGTGCAGTCTACAAAATATTTACAAAATAAATATAATTCTTAAAAAGTATCAAGGCCATGAATACAAAAGAAATAATGAGAAAATTATGCAAACTGGAGGAGGCTGACGAAAAATGAGAACTACATGCAATGAGGACAGAAAATGGGTACTGGAGGGAGAATTCAGATGCGCTCTGAACATTAGTTGACTGTACTGACTCAGTATGAGTTTTTCACCTTTAATAATTGTTCTATGATTATGCTAAACATTAACATTAGGGATAGGTGAAGGGTATGCAGAAATACTGTTAATATTATTTCAATTTTTCTGAAGTATATAATTATTTCAAATTGAAACGTTTTAAAATAAAAATTGATTCTATTTCTTCTTATAACTAATACAGCTCTTAAAATGTTAGTACACTTATTAAAAATCCCATTGAGAATAAGGTCTAAGGATCAACAATGACTGTCACCTTGGGATATTCATCCTACAGCCCCATGCCTAGAGGAACTAACCTTAGGATTCTGATGAGAAAACCATGCCTGAAGCCAAAATCCACCCCTTTTCTGCCTCCAATCCAAGGACAGAAATATACATGTACAGAATTCAAATAGCACACATAATTACAATCCTCATTTTATAAATAGTTTTGTCACTTGGAACAAATGCTATTTCCATGAATATGTACATTTTACATATCATCAATCCATTTATGAAACAACAAAGAGGGTCATAGAGACATGTAAACAAACAAGAAGCTCAGAACCCTGCTGAGGTATAATATAAAAACACCTGATTAAATAATCTGGAAGGAGGGTAAATGGTATGAAGAAATCAAAACAGGATGAATAGTTGAGCCACTCAAAGTTACAGGGAGCAAACTAAGTGGGAAAATAAATCGTTAACAGTTACAAAAACTGGAAATGTGCTTGTATATATGAGACAAATTGTCCATAAAATCAACTTGTTTATCTGACATTGGCTGGCAAGGATCTCCCTGTACTAGTAACACAGACATTCAACTAGATTAGGAGTCATCCAGCAACTTTTCCTGAAAATGGCAAAACAGTAAACATGTTTGGAGCTGTGGTCCACATCATCTATTCCATATTCTACTCGACCTCTGCAGCATGAGAGCAGCCATAGACAACACATAAACAAGTAAACAGGGTTACGTTTAAACAAAACTTTAAGTATAAAAGCAGTACTGATAGGGTTTTTGCATATGTTACTTTAATTATGACTTTAATTGCTTAAAGTATTTCCTGGAAACACGAAGTTGTTAACAAGTGTTAGTTATTTTTGTTTGAGAGAATTTCAAGAGATTGAAATTATCAACAGAGGAATGTGAAAGTCGTTGGGCATTAAGCTAAGCCATAAAAACTTTACCCTGAAAATCGTGGGGGTGTCCTTGAATGCCCACGAGTTTAATTTCCATTTTCTGCCTGAGGTTTTAAGGAGTATGCAGGATTAGGAGGGTAAACACTCATAGCTCATTAGTCTAACAGTGAAGAAACCATGAGGGCCTAGAGTAATGGAAAGGCAATGAAGTGAAAAGACAGTTAAAATGTGTAATTTTCCAAATACAGAACTGAGATATTTAAAAGGATTGTATGTGGTGGTTGGGTGCCATTACAAAGGAGGTGGATGAATTTTAGGCGTCTAGATTTGTGGTGCTGATGGTTGGGCAGGGGACAAGCACACAGGGAAACAAGGAAAAAAGATGTATTTAGGTTTAGGTAAAAATATCACATGCTCAGTATCCAATTCCTGTTAAACACCTGGAGATGGGAGTCTGTGGTGCAAAGGGAGTTCGAGTTTAACTATACACGATTGGGTGATGCTGGCATGCAAGGAGAGATGAAGCCATGGATTTCATTAAGGACCCCAATCTGAATGTGGACCGCACACAAGAATCAGAACCAAAACCTGGACACAGCCAAGACTGCAGGTTTCTCTTCCCTTGCTCCAAATCCACTTTCAGAAGAATTAGAGAAGAATTGACTAAAGAATGTAAGTAAACTCCAGGAAACAGGGTTCCACAGAAGCTGGGGAAAGGTCAGTACGTGGAAGAGAGAGATCAGTAGTACCTGCTCGCTACAAGGAGGCGCCTCCAAATGTCAATGCCTATTTTCAACAAGTGGGACCCAAAGTGATTCATGCCAGTGCTCTAAAATACACCTGACCCTTGAACAATGTGGGGGATATGGATGCTAACCCCCCACAGTCAAAAATCCAAGTTTAACTCTCAACTCCCCCAAAGCATAACTCCTAACGGCCTGCGGTTGACCGGAAGTCTTTGTCACTAATAATACAAAAAATTAAGACCTATTTTGCCTGTTATTCACATTACACACTGAATATGCTGCTCCCAGCGGAGGCCGAGACTCCTGCCCGGGCACCCCCTCACAGCCCCCACTCCAGCCTCCCCAGACTCACCCTCGGCGGGGCCACCTTCTTCTCATTTCAGTCTGGGGCCACATTCTCCGGGCCTGCGGGGCATGGCAGGAGGCAAAGCCAAAGGCGAAGTGGCCACAAATTCCGGTGGGGGCGCTGGCTCCTGCCCCACCCCAGCATCTATACCCTGAGTCTGATAGGACGAGAAGGAACATTTCAGCCAGCCCTGATTGGGTCATATTATCCAATCAGAGTTGTTTTGCACAGTGGCTCTCATCCAATCCGAACATGCCTTACAGGATATCTAGTTAAATAAGTCATTATAAATAGTTGCTCCGTGGGCTTTCCGCATTTCACCCTGCTCCAGGCAGCGTGGTCTGTATGGCTCCGCCCTGGGCAGGAGGAGAAAGAAGAGGGCCAGGCACCACGTGCCTGCACTCTCCCTGGATGCTGGAGGCTGCTCCGCCGTGGGCAGGAGGAGAAGGAAGAGAACTGGGTGCCGCCTGCCTGCACTCTCTCCGGATGCTGGAGGCTGGAGGCAGTGAGGCAGCAACAGCGCGAGGGCGAGGCGACTTTGGAGCTGCCTCATGCAGCGACCTCGCCTTCCGCTGCGCCTCCTCCCAGAACCCAAGAAGCCTGGAACCTGTGGCGTCCAGCCCTGAAAGGAGGAGACGGCAACCCAGCCGCGCGTGAGTCCGGGAGTCTGGGATACCGGCGGCAGAGGAAGGACAGGCAGGAGTCTCGGCCTCTCGGGGAGCGACGTGCCGGGAAAGGCAGGAGGGCCCCAGCGGTGGGGGCGGGGGTTGCGCGCCGGGGAGGGCGGCCTCAGGCTGGGAGCCTGGCAGATCGTCTGACTCTCCCCGAGCCCCATCCCAGGCCGAGCCAGGACCCCTCTGATGCACAGGCGTCTCAGGAGCCCGTTTCTTTCTTGAATCCGGGGCCCAGTGCGGCTTGAACCTAGCCCCCGACCTCCTCCTCGCCCTCTCAGAGTCCGCTGGGGTGGGCGCTGAAGGAGCCCGGGTCGGAGAGGAGCCCTCCCCTTCTCTCCTGCGTGGAAGCCCTGCAGCCTCCGTTTCTTTTGGGACTGGGGTCCGGGGCCTTCTGCCTGACCCGGGGTGAGAAAGGGAGCCCTGATCAGGACCCGGTGAGAGGGCGCTGGAGCCCGGGAGCGGCAGGAGCCTTGAGCGGCAGCCCGGGAAGAGGATGGGGTCACCTTCTGCCCCAGGTCCCCCACTGCCAGGATCTCTGTCACCTTCTGGGGGTCCTGTCCCCTGGGGTCCCACCCCCCGGGCTGCCTGTGGGTATCTCTCATCTGGAACTGGAAATAACCCTCTTCATAGTACGGCTTAGCAAATATTTATTCGCCCATGCACCCCCCTTTTTTTTCCTTCATAGTGTTCTTTTTGTCTTGGATCATTTGTGTTTTTCCTACATTGATGTGAAGCATTTTTAAAGACACTTTAGAGATTAGTCCTTTATTGGTTCATTTCTATTGTAGGTTGTTGTTTCCTACTCTGGTCTTTGTTGTTTAATTTCAGTTTTAATTTCTTGCTTGGTTTAGTTCATGTAACAATATTTTTCTTAGAATATTTGTATCTGTGTTTGTGAAACAGAACATCTATTATTTCTGGGTTTTTTATTGTCTGATCAGATTGTGTATTAATGTAATGCTGGCTTCTCGAAACAAATTGAAAAACCATCCCTTTCGTCTTTCTCTTTGAGAGAGAGTGAGCAGTGTCAATATTTTTTTCTTCCTTAAATATTTGGAACATTTTCAAAGTCTGATCCTGGTGTTTTCCTTGTGGAGCATTATTGTTGATTTGTTGGATTTTTAAAATTAGTTAGTTAATTTTGTTTAATATATATAGGAGTGTTCTTATTTTATGCTATTTTTGTGCCAGTTTTAGTAAGTTGGGTTCAGCATCTGTTGCGATCTCTGTTGTCAGACTTTTGATCATATGTATTTCACAAAATTCTCTGATTATCTTGTTATAATACTGTTATGTAGAGTTGTTGTTTTGATTCTGATACTGGTCACTTGTGTTCTTTCATCTTTTTTCCTTAATCAGTTTTGCCTGCACTCTCCCTGGATGCTGGAGGCTGGAGGCAGTGACGCAGCAACAGCGCGAGGCGACTTTGGAGCGGCCTCATATAGCGACCTCGCCTTCCGCTGCGCGTCCTCCCAGAGCCCAAGAAGCCCGGAACCTGTGGCATCCATCTCTGAAAGGAGAAGACGGCAACCCAGCCGAGGGTGAGTCCGGGAGTCTGGGGTGCCGGCAGCGGAGGAAGGACAAGCAGGAGTCTCGGCCTCCCGGGGAGAATTTCACAAAATTCTCTGATTATCTTGTTATAATACTGTTACGTAGGCTGTTGTTTTGATTCTGATACTGGTCTCTTGTGTTCTTTAATCTTTTTTCCTTAATCAGTTTTGCTAGTGGTTTATTAACTATGTTGTTTATAAAAACAACTTTTAGCCTTGGTTTATTTGTGTTATGTTTTTTTTTCCATTTCATTGATGTTTGTTATCTTTATTATTGCCTTCATCCTGTATTCTTTGCACTTGATTTTTCTTTCTTGATTCTTGAGAAAAAAGTTGAGGTGCCGGGCACGTTGGCTTACGCCTGTAATCCCAACACTTTGGGATGCCAAGGTGGGTGGTCAGGAGTTCCAGACCAGCCTGGCCAACATAGTGAAACCCCCATCTATACTAAAAATACAAAAATTAGCAGGGCGTGGTGGCAGACACCTGTAATCCCAGCTACTCGGGAGGCTGAGGCATGAGAATCGCTTGAACCTGGGAGGTAGAGGTTGCAGTGAGCCGAGATCGCCCCATTGCACTCCAGCCTGGGCAACCGAACAAAACTTCTTCTCAAGAAAAAAAAAAGAAGTTGAGGTGATTGATTTTCAGTGTTTCTGGACTCCTGCCCTGCAGAGATCCTCTTGCTGTAACCTGTTTCATGTGAGGTAGAGTTTAGAAAATATTTATTGGCCTCTGTGCCTTACTTTTCTTCATATACTCTTCTTATTTTGTTGATTTATCTTTAGGGATTTTTTTCCTTATGTTAAATTGAAGGACTTATTGTTAAAATCTGTAAGTTAGCCCTTTATTGGCTTATTTTTGTCATAGGTTCTTGTTCTCTAGTTTGATTTTTGTTGTTTCATTTCTTTGTGTTCATAGTTGTATATAGTAATCTGGTTGATAATGATCTTGTATGCAGTAGCTTTGCTTAATTTATTTATTAATTGTAACACTTTATGTCATGTTAGGCTGTGCTGAGTGCTTCTGGGAGCAGCCAGGTTTCCATGAACTCCCAGTTTACTCTAAATACTCTAGCAGCCCACATGTGCACACACTGGATAATGGTCATGCATGTAGAGCAATGATGCTGGGGAGGCACCGACTCTGTCATTCTGTGAATCCACCGCACAATCACAAACATTAGCATTAAAATAAAATGGACTGTTAGGCAACTGCAAAGGACTAATGCACCTATGTGGCACAAATGTGTCTTTCCGTATTCAAAGTACTTGTAAGAGCTTCAAGTTCCTCATACTCAGCCACTGACCTCAGGGTTCTTGGTACACAGGCATACATGTGCAGACACACATACAGGCACACATATACACATGAATGCACATATGTGCACACATATTTACAGGCACATGCAGATGTGCACACACAGACCTGGGTGAGAAAGTCAGATGTACATGGAACAGCCCCTGCTTTGTAAGCTGTCTGGCTTTGTAGGGAGAAAGAGGTGAAACAACACACTTGTTATCTTGGAAGAGGAGATGAAGGGAGCTGAGCTGGATATGTCCAGTGGGGAGAAAGCCAGGAGCCACTCCACCGAAAATCGAGGTCTCCACATGGATGATACCCACAAAACATTGGCAGGAAGGACACAGCCAGCACCACATCAGTGGTGACTTTCATGAGTGTCAACTGTGGCCATCCAAATTAAAGGCCTGGCAATGGGATAAGTTAGCAACTGAACTTTCTGTATGTTACCTTATTAACTTTCTGTATATTAGCTTATTAACTTTCTGCAATCAAATGCTGATTAAGCATTTTCTGAGCCAAAAGCTTTGTGTAATTTGAATCTAGTGAAAAAATGTTATGCGTTTAACACTATAACTTGAGATCTAAAAACAAAAAAACAATTGCATAAGAATTGGTCAGATACCTTGTCTTTGAAACATACTGAAGTCTTCAAAATTAATCTGATAGCTCTGCAGTTGGTATGTGGCATAAGAAAATATTTGGCATGAAGGGGAGTAACACACCACATGAATTCATTCATTATGAAGAAATTCATTATGAATATATGTGGGCAAATTATTAACAACCCTCCCAAAAGCAGAAAGCTCAGACTCAGGAAGATCCATTTAAATGGAGTGATTTGGGAGATGATTTCAAGCGCAACTCTGCATTGACTCAGCATTTATTAAGTCATACAGCAGGCTACTGGAGGCCTCACTGCAGCCTGGGCTGGTATTCAGTGTCCTCCTCCTTCCTTCTCAGTAGACTTCCTTGGCCTTGATAATAATACGTGTTAACAAACACAAATCTCAAAATACACATAATGTTTCTTCCCCCACAAGCCAGGGTATCAGCTCTGCAAATCAGATGACCCCAAGGTCAGTGGGGTTGACCAGGGACACCATTCTGCATTCCTCCTCAGCTTCCAGATCCTGAGGAGCTCTGGGGCCTTCCTTCTGGACAGGGAACATGTCTGCCTGGCTTCCTCAGCCAGGTACGGGAGGCTTTGGGGACCTGTGTCTGTCTCTGGGAAGGAGGAAGGAGCCTGTGGCATCTTCCTTAAGCAAAAGCACATCCAGCCCATGGCCAAACTTCAGAGTGGGGCGAGGGGCCCAGCACAGCTCCTCCGTTCCTGCAGCAGAGCCCAGAAAACACATCTGATGTTGTGGCTGCCTCAAACCTACAAACACCATGGGTTTGAAGTGTCCTGTTGACATGGCCATGGCCACTTTCCCCGTGGACCGTGGCAAGTTTTTGTTTTTGGTTTTTGTTGTTTGTTTGAGACAAGGTCTCACTTTGTGGCCCAGGCTAGAGTGCAGTGGTGCAAACTCGGCTCATTACAGCCTCCACCTCCTGGGCTCAAGCAATCCTTCCACCTCAGCCTCCCAAAGTGCTAGAATTCCGGGCTTGAGCCACCGTGCCAGGCCTTGTGTAGAAGTATTATACATTATCTTTAAAATGTAGTTTAGTGCTAATAATCTAAAATTGTGTTGCCATTTACTATTAATATGCCCTTTGTGGTGCATCTAATAAAATGCTTTGCTTCATAACCTGAAACAAAAAAACTTTCACTATATTTACTTGATCAGATCAACAACTATAGAAGTCTTAGAATAATGATATTCTTACTCAAAAGAAAAGCAACAACTCATCTTTAATGAAACTGTTTCTGTGTTTTATTAGTGGTTGAGAAATAACACATTCCTTCAGCAGTGGCAGCAGTCAGATACCATATGAATTTTTTATTTTTTTTTACTTTGATAAATCCTGAGGCTCTGTTGAGGAAGAAGCTTCCACAGTAGGCCCTAGGAGAGCTGCAGCCACCATGTCCACACTGTGTTATGCACAAATGGGAATGTAGTTTCCCAGAGAAAACAACTTCTGTGGGTAGATTTGTGATCGAAGTTTGTGAATAGCTTTAAAAAATCCTTATGAAGGCCAGGCACAGTGGCTCACGCCTGTAATCTCAGCACTTTGGGAGGCTGAGGCAGGCAGATCACCTGAGGTCAGTTCGAGACCAGCTTGACCAACATGGAGAAACCCCATCTCTACTAAAAATACAAAAATTAACCAGGCATAGTGGCACATGCCTGGAATCCCAGCTACTTGGGAGGCAGAGGCAGGAGAATTGCTTGAACCTGGGAGGCAGAGGTTGCAGTGAGCTGAGATCGCACCATTGCACACAAGCCTGGGCAACAACAGCGAAACTCTATCTTAAAAAAAAAAAAGAAAAGAAAAGAAAAAAAAAGGCTGGGCATGATGACTCATGCCTGTAATCCCAGCACTTTGGGAGGCTGAAGCGAGCAGATCACCTGAGGTTGGGAGTTCAAGACCAGCCTGATCAATGTGGAGAAACCCCGTCTCCACTAAAAATACAAACAATTAGTTGGGCGTCGTGGCACATGCCTGTAATCCCAGCTACTCAGGAGGCTGAGGCATGAGAATCGCTTGAATCTGGCAGGCGGAAGTTGCGGTGAGCCAAGATCGCGTTACTGCGCTCCAGCCTGGGCAACAAAAGTGAAACTCCATCTCAAAAAAAAAAAAAAAAAATCCTCAGGAAGATTATTTACTTATAATCTCCTCCTTCCTTAATTAGCAGTCTCAGCATTTCTGCAATAACCAAGTCTCAGCATCCAGTGAAGCAGCCTGCAACATGCGGGAGCTCAGGGCATTGCCACTGCACATGGGGCACCTGGTGGGACTTTGGCAAGGATTTTGTCATTAACACTGAGCAAAACTCTACGAAGACAGAGGCATTCTTTTAGATTAAAAACTAACAACATAAGGCGGGACATGGTGGCTCACACTTGTAATCCCAACACTTCGGGAGGTCAAGGGGGACAGATCACTTGAGCTGAGGAGCTCAACACCATCCTGGACAACATGGCGAAACCCGTCTCTACTAAAAATACAAAAATTAGCTGAGCGTCATGGTGCACACCTATAATCCCAGCTATTCAGGAGGCTGAGGTGGGAGAATCGCTTGAACCCAAGAGCAGAGGTAGCAGTGAGCTGAGATTGTGCCACCACACTCCAGCCTGGGCAACAGAGTGAGACGCTTACAGAAAATCTTTAATTTCTATAGAAAATCTTCAGTCTTCTATAGAAGAAAATTAAATATTACAAAATTGAAGATTAGAAAATTACATAGAGAGCCGGGCATGGTGGCTCACACCTGTATTCCCAGCACTTTGGGAGGCCAGGGTGGGTGGATCACCCAAGGTCAGGCGTTCGTGACCAGCCTGGCCAACATGGTGAAGCCCCGTCTCTATTAAAAATACAAAAAATTAGCCAGGTGTAGTGGCGGGTGCCTGTAATCCCAGCTACTCAGGAGACTGAGGCAGGAGAATCACTTGAACCCAGGATGCGGAGGTTGCAGAGAGCAGAGATTGCGCCACTGCACTCCAGGCTGGGTGACAAGAGCTAAACTCTATCTCAAAATTAGAGAGAAAGAGAGAGAGAGACAGAGAGAAAGAAAAGAAAAGAAAAAGAGAGAAAGAAAAGAAAAAAGAAAAGAATGATTGATTCCATAGAGAAACAGGTATTTATCAATCTTCTTGATTCTGGTGCTCATCACAAGGCTGCAAGTTACTCAGTTCCACCGTCTTTTGCATCTGTGGTTGTGGTTGAAAGGAATGGCCTGAATCATGCACCTCATAACTCACAGAGTGGCCCCATGCCTTCCAGTTTTCTTTTTTTTTCACTGAGGTTCTGAATTACCCATGTAGTTTAAGGAGTTTTGTTGTTCTTCACAATTCTGTCTGTGGCTAATCTTATGTCCATGGGATTCATTTGAGTCTGGAACATGTCCCAGATGGCAAGATGCAGCATGCCATGATATTTTCAAAATCCATGAACATGGTTGTTTGGCAGTTCCACAGTAAATATGTATTTGGAGCCTTAAGCTATTTCTTTCATGATATATGCTCAGGTACTGATAGCGACACTGTTGAATTCTACTTGAGCCCTGAGGCACTGGGAAACTGTGATGGTTAAAGAAATCCCCACCTTGTGTTCCTGCCTTACCGCAAAGAATTCCCCTTCCCCGTTGACTTAGCTAAGACTCACGGATCCCCCTCAAAGGATGTCCCACCTATGACAAGGTCAGACACAGACCCCCCCAAATGCTGTCCTTGTTTCATGAAAGTTTAGCTGAACTGCTTGTCCCCACAGATTCATCAGGATATAATGCTAATTAACTCAGCTTTGATATGGGCTTTACCATGTCCTTCAGGACCTGCTTATTAGTTAGAGACCCCTTGGACTGCATAACTTCTTCAAAGACATTTTATTTTATGCTTAATCATATAGAAATATAATGATTTGATAGATTAACCAATGTGGTTTTCCTCCCTTGTTCTCCAGTTTCCCACTATTTCTCTCCCATTTAGTCTAAACCTTGGCATCTCCTCTTTCAAAGGGGAAGTTTTAACAAAAGGACAAAGAGAAAGAAAAGAGTAGACACTCACATTTTGAATTTTAATAAACTTGGAAGAATGATGACACAAGAGTGAGTTTGTCCCATCCCAGAGCAGATGAGGAGCTTCTGAATGAGAGTGGGGGAAGGGATTGTGCTGTTGACACTCGATGGCAATTACACTGATGCAGACAGGGACCTTGAGTGGTGGGGGGCTGAGAGTGCTGAGTGCACCTCCCCGGGCAGACAAGAAGAAACTTGCAAGTGCAGGCACAAGATGAGGAATCACAGTGAAACTTACCACAACATTCAGCCTCTATTCAGGAGATACTTCACAACACTTGCCAGGTACTTTTCTAGGCACTGGACATACCGCAAATAATAAAGCCATAAAAAAAAATATGTCCCTGTGGAACTTGCAATTTTGTGCAGAAGAGCAAATAGTTCACTAAAGAACTAAGCACAACTGGCCATGCATGGTGGCTCACACCTGTAATCCCAGCACTTAGGGAGGCTGAATTGGGTGAATCATGAGGTCAGTAGATCAAGACCATCCTGGCTACCATGGTGAAACCCCGTCTCTACTAAAAAATACAAAAAAATTAGCTGGGCGTGGTGGCGGGCACATGTAGTCCCAGCTACTCAGGAGGCTGAGGCAGGAGAACGGCGTGAATCTGGGAGGCAGAGCTTGCAGTGAGCCGAGATCACAATACTGCACTCCAGCCTGGGCGACAGAGTGAGACTTCGTCCAAAAAAAAAAAAAAAAAAATAGAAAAGCACAACCATACAATGTGGGAAGGTGTCAAAAGTTATGGAACAAAATGAAGGAAAGGGGATAGGGACTGCTGAGGGGTGGGCTACAATCTGAATTGGGGGTTAGGAGGGGATGGAGTGAGAATGTTCTATTTGATCACAGCCTTGATTCATGTGAGAGATCCTGGAGGAGAAAGTGGGCAAAAGCCGCCCAAGTGGCTGTAGCAGGCTGGGTGCTGCATTACATAGGGCACATTAAGTGAAATGTGATGGCTATTTTGTGTAATCCTTTAAAATCCCAATAGAAATAGGACTTTGTGGGAGGACTACATTTTGAAATAATTATTTTCAAAAATAGTTATTTCAAAAAAAGCACAGCAGTTGCATCCTATTGAATAGTGGGAACACTGGATGATAAGTTAAAGTATCATTTTGTGTTAAAATATTGAAGCAAATATGGCTTGGTGTGGTGGCTCACACCTGTAATCCCAGCACTTTGGGAGGCCAAGGAGGGTGGATCACTTGAGGTCAGGAGTTCGAGATCAGCCTGGCCAATAGGGTGGAATCCCGTCTCTACTAAAAGTACAAAAATTAGCCAGTTTTGTTGGTGAGTGCCTGTAATCCAAGCTACTGAGGAGGCTGAGGCAAGAGAATTGCTTGAACCCAGGCGGCAGAGGCTGCAGTGAGCTGGGATTGTGCCATTGCACTCCAGCCTGGGTGACAGAGCAAGACTCCATTAAAAAAAATAATAATAATATTAAAGCTACCCATTAAAAAAATTTGAAAGTCCCAGAAATGTGGCAAGACAAACAACCCTATTAATGGCCCTAATGAAGCCCTATAGATTTCTCAGAGGATCCTCCATGTGTTAGAACCATACCTAGGGCTGCAGCTGGCTAAGACATTCTCCATCAGCCTCTGGGATCAAAGGCGGGGTGTGGAGGTTGTCTGGATGGGACCATGAGCCTCCCTCTCAGTAAAACACAAGCACAAGGGCGACATCCCTCTTGGTTTTTCGTAATGTAGGAACACAGGCAGAGCTTAGTGTTCTCAGAGCCTCTGAGATCCCGGGCAAAGCGTTTGGTAAGATGCTGCAGATATTTCCTTCTAAAAATAAAAACTCCCTTGGTAAATGCTCAGGCATCTCAATGGCCACACCAGCCCTCATATGTGTACCCAACTCCCTTCATTTGCCTCTGTTCCCACTGAAATTTTCCATGTGAAATCTGGGAAGGGATGGGACAGCTTGCATAACTTAGTTGATGACTCTCCCACAATCTTATAGACTTCACTAATCTTTGAGGCTCTTCACTGACTCATGTGACAAAGTCACTTAATTCTGTAAATTTGGGCCAGTTCATTTTGCTAGCTCTCAGTTTGCTCATCTGTATGCAAGAAGTTTAGTGTAGGTAAACCAAGGACGCCAATATGCCTGTCTCTCCAGAAGGTCAATAACAGAAAATCTGAGCTGGGGGGTGCAGTTCCAAGTCCCAATTCCATGCCTCAAAGATCAGCTGGTTGTCTTTATTCATCACCAGGCACACATCTCCTTGATACTCTCAATATCTAGGCATAAAATGTGACAAGACAGATTATCTCTGTGTTATTTTTTTCTCCATTCCTCATCACTTGTATTTCCTTAACTCATTGAAATCAGTTTTCCACATTTTTTGAAGGAGAGTCTTTTGGCAAAGATGTGAATTATCTACAAGCAGCTGAGAGAAATGGCTACTGCCCTCAGTGTGCTGGTTATAAGTTTCCAAGTGATGAATAAAAGATTTCCTAAGGCATCAGTTTCCGTGATGGTGTGTTCTTTTTTTTCTCTTGGGCACAAGGGAATGAGCAGAGCAGGTACACCTCTGGGTTTGTTTTGTTTGTTTTTAGCTTATGTACAAAATCAAGCTCTGTTTTTCATTGAAATATCTTTTTTTCTTGTATCAGAGAAGAGTTGTAAAAGACTCATTGTGGGTTCAGGGAAGAATGTTTTAACATGCAAGGAAATGTTGCAAAATTGGAAAGAGGACATAATTCCACAAAACTAAATACAACTGGGGGAATTTTTAGGATACTCTGAGTTAATCTTATTATTTGCATCCTGCTAACCCCAATCAAATAATAATTTAGAATTGTTTAATTTACTAAACTGCACATTCAATTGACTAAACTGTAGAGGATGAGCAAGTGTCAACAATAATTACCCTCCTTATGGGCTAACACAACAGGCTCCAGTGAGTCATAATACACACATTCAGAGGTGGTCCAATGCAGTCCCACCATAGAAATCCTTCCCATGCTTAGCCACTGTTGTCATTAATCTCTCCAAACTCAAACCATGGTTCAAACACAGTTGTCCCTTGGTATCCAGAGGATTGGTTCCAGGACCCACTTTGGACACCCAAATCTGCTGGGAACAGGCCCTAAGCCTGTCATAAACAGGCCTTAAAGAAACTGGCCATAAACAGGATTTCTGCAGTAATGTGACGTGCTCATGATGGCTATGACACACACTGCTAGAAGATATTGGTTTATTGGAGCAGGGCAAGGAACACCTGGCCTACCCAGAGTGGAAAACTGCTCAAACCACAAACAACAGCATGAGCGGCCTGTTCCATAACAACATGTTTTTGCTGCAGATGATCATCCAGGGACTGTTTCTCTGCTCCTCACTAAGAATGTTTGTTTCCTGTAAAGAATGCTTTTAGCTAATCTATAACCTATAGAAACAATGCTTATCACTGGCTTATTGTCAATAAATATGTGGGTCAAACTCTGTTCGTGGCTCTCAGCTCTGAAGGCTGTTATCCCCCTGATTCCCACTTTGCACTTTATTTCTGTGTGTTTGTCTTCATTCCTCTAGCACTACTGGGTTGGGGTCTCCACGACCGAGCTGGTCTCATCAAGTGGCGTCCAACAAGGGGCTCAAACCCGGGTTGAGGGGTTGCTGGAGCGACGGAGAACGTGGAACTACACTGGAGGACACCAGAGTACTCTTAAGCAATCCCTTGGTAAGTAAGACGGGGAGCTTGGAAGCATCAGGGTAACAATGGGACAAGGGTCGAGCAGGCATGAGTCTTATTTGAGTCTGTTTTGGCAGCTCCTCAGAAAAGGGGGAAGGAAGGTTAGTACTAGCCGACTTATGCAGCTTTGTAGTGTGGTAGAGAAATATTGCCCCTGGTTTCTGGACCAAGGAACTATGAATATAGAGATCTGGGAAAAGGTAGCCAGAGCACTGAAAAAGGCATATAGGGATGGTGCTGAGGATATTCCTATAAATATCTGGTCAGTGTGGGCTCTGGTTCATCCCACCTTGGAGCCTTTCCACACAGATCATGATGAGGAGGAATCAGAGGAAGAAGGAGAGTATAATGAAGTAACAAAAGAGGTGACAGAGCAGTTTTGCTTGCCAGCTAAAGCAGCAAAGGAGGGAGGTTTGTCCCTCCCCCTCTGTACCCCCTCATCATTTTGAAGAAAAAGAGTGGCCTGACCCTCCGAATCTTTCTTTTCTGGAGGACGCTGGGCGAAAAGTAGTTGCCTCAGTGACTGTTCAAGCAGCACCTCAAGCGACCACTCTCAGTTCTATTCAGGCATGGATCCAGCAAGCTGGATGAGAGGGTGATATGGATGCTTGGCAGTTCCCTGTTAGAATACACCCACCTGATCAACAGGGGAATATTATAGCTATGTTTGAGGCTTTTCCTTTTAAAATACTTAAATAATTTAAACATGCTATTAATCAATATGGACCAGGTTCTCCTTTTGTAATGGGACTGTTAAGGAATGTTGCTGTCTCTAGTCAGATGATTCCTACTGACTGGGATGCTTTTACTCGAGCTAGTCTGACTCTGGCTCAGTTCTTACAATTTAAAACTTGGTGGGCAGATGAAGCTTCCATTCAGTCTGCTCGCAACACCAAGGCCCAACCTCAAATTAATATAACTGCAGACCAACTTTTGGGGGTTTGTGGCTGGGCTTGTTTAGATAGATGCACAAGTGGCCATGCAGGATGATGCCATAGAGCAGCTTAGAGGAGTGTGCATTAGAGGTTGGGAAAAAAATCACTTCAGGAGGAGAACAATACCCTTCTTTTAGTGCTGTCAAGCAGGGGCCTAAAGAACCTTATGCAGATTTTATAGCCAGGTTACAGAAATCTCTTAAAAAGGTAATTACAGATTCGCCTGCTAAGGATATAGTGTTTTGGTTATTAGCTTTCGACAATGCCAATCCTGAGTGCCAAGCTGCTCTGTGACCTATTAGAGGAAAAGCACATTTGGTTGACTATATTAAAGCTTGTGATGGTATCGTAGGTAATCTGCATAAAGCTACTCTGCTGGCCCAGGCAATGGCAAGAATGAGAGTGGGCAAAGGAAATACTCCATTTCCTGGAGTTTGTTGTGGGAAGCATGGTCATACTAAGAAAGAATGTAGAAAAAAATCAGTGAGTCAGACTGCCAGTTGGGGGAAAATAGAAAACTGCTGAGCCTGAAATATGTCGAAAATGCAAAAAACGAAAACACTGGGCTAATCAGTGTCAGTCTAAGTTTGAGACAGATGGGAACCTGATTTTGGGAAATGCCATGAGGTGCCTGTCCCAGGCCCCATTCCAAACCAGGGAATTTCCAGCTCAGGCCACTCCCTCACCCCGTACAATGCCTGTCCCCCGCCACAGCCAGTAGTGCCACAGTAGATTTATGCTGCACAAAAGCTGTGAGCCTTCTGCATGGGGAACCCCCACAAAAAGTGCCAACAGGAGTCTGTGGACCCTTGCCAGCAGGGACGGTAGGATTACTTCTAGGTAGTTCTAGTTTAAATTTAAAAGGAGTGCAAGTACATACAGGAGTCATTAATTCAGGTTACAATGGGGAAATACAAATTGTTATATCTACTTCTGTTCTCTGGAAAGCAGAGCCAGGAGAGCATATAGCACAGCTCCTGGTTGTGCTGTATGTGGAAGTGGGGAAAAGTGAAACTAAATGTACAGGAGGATTTTGAAGCACAAATAAATAAACCAAAGCAGCTTATTGGGTGAATCAAATTACTGGTAAACATCCTACCTGTGAAATAACTATTCAGGGCAAAAAATTTAAAGGATTGTTAGATACACGATCAGACATTTCAATCATTTCTCTACAGCACTGGCCGTCTACATGGCCAATTCAACCCACTCGATTTAACACAGTTGAAGTTGGTAAAGCCTCTGAAGTATATCAAAGCAGTGATATTTTGCATCATGAAGGACTCGATGGACAATCTGGGACTATTCAACCAATTGTAACTTCTGTACCTGTAAATTTATGGGGAAGAGATTTATTACAGCAATGGGGAGCACAAATGTTAATTCCAGAACAATTATATAGCTCTCAGAGTCAGCATATGATGCAAGAGATGGTGTATGTGCCTGGCATGGGATTAAGAAAAAATTTACAAGGGTTAAAGAAACCCCTTCAAGTGAAAGGACAGAATTCTCATCAGAGTTAGGATATCATTTTTGATGGAGGCCATTGTTAAGCCTCCAGAACCTATGCCTTTAAAATGGTTAACAGATAAGCCAGCTTGGTTAGAAAAATGGCCTCTGAGTAAAGAAAAACTGGAGGCTTTAGAGGACTTAGTTACTGAACAATTAGAAAAAGGACACATAGTTCCAACATTTTCCCCCTGGAATTCTCCAGTCCTTGTTATTAAGAAAAAATCACATAAATGGAGAATGTTGGCAGATCTTAGAGCCGTTAATTCAGTTATACAACCTACTGGGGCATTGCAGCCCAGGTTGCCTTCTCCTGCTATGATTCCAAAAAATTGGCCTTTAATAGTCATAGATTTAAAAGACTGTTTCATTACTAACTCCTTAGCTGAGCAAGACTGTGAATGGTTTGCATTTATAATTCCTGCAGTAAACAACACGCAGCCTGCTAAGCATTTTCACTGGAAAGTGTTGCCACAAGGCATGTTAAACAGTCCAACAATTTGTCAGACTTATGTAGGACAAGCAATTGAACTTACTCATAAAAGATTTGTCACAGTGTTAAATTATTCATTATATGGACAATATTCTTTGTGCTGCCCCCACTCGGGAAATATTACTCCAATGTTATGATCACTTGCAAAACCCGATTTCTCCTGCCAGTTTAATTGTAGCTCCTGACAAAATTCAGACTACTACTCCTTACTTCTACTTAGGGACCTTAGTAAATGACACTACCATTGTGCCACAGAAAGTAACCATACGTAGGCCTCAATTGAAAACTTTGAGTGACTTTCAAAAATTACTAGGGGACATTAATTGGACACGACCTGCTCTAGGCATTCCTATCTATGCCATGAGTAATCTATTTTCTATCCTTACAGGAAATCCTAGTCTCACTAGCCCTCAGCAATTAACAACAGAGACTGAGGCAGAGATACAGCTGATTGAGAAGCAAGTGCATAAGGCTCAAATAAATAGAATAGATCCAGAAAAGACTTTAGACTTATTGATTTTTCCAACTCAGCATTCACCTACTGGTGGTGTTGTCCAAGAGCAGGACTTGGTAGAATGGCTTTTTCTTCCACATAGTAATTCATGGACTCTAACTCCTTATTTAGATCAAATTGCTACTCTGATAGGAAATGGGAGAACTCAAATTGTTAAATTGCATGGATATGACCCTGGAAAAATTATTGTCCCTCTTACAAAGGCACAAATACAACAGGCCTTTATAAATACTCTTAATTGGCAAACCCATTTAGCTGATTTCATGGGTGTTCTTCATAATCACTTTCCGAAAACAAAGTTATTTCAATTTTTGAAATTAACTAATTGGATTCTCCCTAGAATAACTAAATTTAAACCAATTGAATGTTCTGAAAATGTTTTTACAGGTAGGTCTAGTAATGGTAAAGCTTCTTATTCCAGATCAAAAAATAAAGTTTTCCAGACATCCTATACTTCAGCTCAAAAAGCGGAGCTTGTAGCTGTAATTGAGGTGCTGACTGCTTTTGAGATGCCTGTCAATGTAATTTCTGATTCTGCATACATGGCTCATTCCACACAATTAATTGAAATGCTCAGTTATGATTTCATACAGATGAACAACTGATGACTTTATTTACCCAGTTACAAACTGCAGTTAGGAATATAATGCACCCTTTTTACATTACTCATATTAGAGCTTATACACCCCTTCCAGGACCTTTAACTACAGGGAATCCAGTGGCTAACCACTTAGTTGCCACGGCATTATCTAATGCTAAACACTTTCACACTTTGACTCATGTAAATGCCTCTGGTCTTACACAAAGATATAATATTACTTGGAAAGAGGCTAAAGCCATTATTCAACAATGCCCAACCTGTCAAATGATTCATTCTCTGTCCTTTACTGGGGGTGTTAACCCCTGTGGATTGCAACCAAACTGTCTTTGACAAATGGATGTCACTCATGTTCCTTCTTTTAGTAAATTGGCCTATGTGCATGTATGTGTAGGTAACAATTTCTCACTTTGTTTGGCCTATCTGTCAAATGGGAATCTTCTGCCTGTGTTAAATTGCATCTTCTGCAATGCTTCACAGTCATGGGTATTCCAGCTTTGGTTAAAATGGACAATGCCCCAGGATATACTAGTCAAACTATGGCTACATTTTTCTGTCAATGGAATATTAAACATATCACTGGCATCCCGTATAATTCACAAGGACAAGCCATTGTGAAATGAATGAATATCTCCCTAAAATGACAATTGAATAAACAGAAAGAGGGAGACAATGACTACGGGACTCCACATATGCAATTGAATCTAGCATTATTGTCTTTAAATTTTTTGAGCCTGCCTAAAGGCCAGATGCAATCAGCAGCTGAACAGCATCTACAGAAACCGGCTGCAGACAGAAGCAGAGCAACTGGTTTGGTGGAGAGATCCGATAACAGAAAGTTGGGAAATAGGTAAAAATAACATGGGTAGAGGTTATGCTTGTGTTTCTCCAGGCCAAAACCAGCAACTGATTTGGATACCATCAAGACACCTGAAATCTTGTCATGAGCCAGATACTGAGGAAGAGATTTTGGGAAGAACCCAAGGACCCCCCAGTTGCAGCCATGTCAAGACTGACAATAAGGAAGACATCAGTCCCAGCAAGCAACATTCATCGGGCACAGCCACCCATGTGGGGCCAGATCAAGAAGTTGACACAGATGGCGGAAGAAAATCTGAAGAAAGCGGATGACCAGCTACAATGAGTAATCTAATGGTAGCTATGATGGCTGTGCTCACCATTGCCATGAGTATTCCCCCAGCACCTGCTGAAACAAAAAACATTATACTTATTGGGCATATATTCCTTTTCCACCAGTTTCATGGCCAGTGACATGGTTAGACCCCCCAGTGGAGGTATACACTAATGATAGCTTTTGGATACCTGGTTCTACAGATGATAGAGGCCCATCTCACCCCCAAAAGGAGGGAACAATTATGAATATTTCGTTGGGATTTGAGCATTTAACTACTTGCTTGGGAAAAGCCAACAGGTGCTTACCTCCCAGTCATCAATCTTGGCTGGCAATAGTGCCTGAAGGTAACATCTCTGTGGCACAATTACATATGCTTTCTGACCTTAGTATTTATTACAATGATTATGCCCCTGTAACCAAAGTTTACCGCCCTCAAAAACCTATCTGTATAGTGGATTGAACATGTTCAGAAAAAAATGAAGATATTTACTTGGGAAGATTGTATTGCAGGGCAAGCAAAGGTGTTGTGTAATGATTCATATGGAGTCACTATTGATTGGTCCCCTAAAGGGGCATTTATAAGGCTCACTTCTCAATCTGTAGGTAATGGTCACCCTGCATCTAAAGAAAATGATCAGATGGTAGACACTATAAAAAATACAACAAAAGTTCCTATTATTTGGACATATGGTGATATGGTGGAACCTCGACCCCAAATGATACGACCTGCTGTAGGAGCTAAACATAAGGAATTGTGGAAAATATTAATGGCACTGAAAAAGATAAAAGATTTGGGAAGGGAAATATACTAAGCCATCCCAATATAATCCTAATTACATGTTAGAATTGGCTCACAATGATTCAGTCTGGATACATAGTTGTGTCTGTCCTCCCTTTCTGCTTGTAGTGAGTGATTTAAAACTTGATCTCCCTAATCATCATGTGACTGTCAAGAATGTAGATTGTTTTCTTGTGTGAATTCTTCCTTGTATAATACTGATCATTCTATCTTAGTGGTAAGAGCCCGAGAAGGAGTATGGATACCTGTAAAGCTTTCCCGTCCTTGAGAAGCCTCTCCTTCTGTGCATATTATTACTGAAATTCTTCAAAAGATTTTGAGGCACTCTCAGGGTTTCATTGCTACTTTAATCATTATGGGATTGATTGCTGTCACAGCTACTGCCACGGTAGCTGGAGTTGCTTTACCAACACAGTACAAACAGCAGATTATGTAAATAATTGGCAGAAAAATTCTACTTTGCTGTGGAATTCCCAAACTAATATACACCAGAAATTAACCAATCAGATTAATGATCTCCGACAAACTATCGTATGGTTGGGAGATCATGTAGTTAGTTTAAAATATAGAATGCAGTTAACAATGTGATTGAAATACTTCTGATTTTTGCATTACTCCTCACCTGTATAATGAAACAGAGCATGAGTGGGAAAGAGTTAAGAGACATTTAAAGGATCATACTGGAAATTTATCTTTGGATATTGCAAAACTGAAGGAACACATATTTCAAGCCTCTCAGGCACATCTGACATTAATGACAGGAACTAAAGTGCTTGAAGGAGCTGCAGATGGATTAGCAGCTATTCACCCATACAAGTGGATCAAGACACTTGGAGACTTTGTGATTTCAATGATGATTGTGCCTTTAATCTGTATTGTTTGTCTTTGTGTAGTCTGCAGATGTGGATCCCGAATCCTGCGAGAAGTAGCCCACCATGACGAAGCTGCCTTTGCTTTTATCGCTTTGCAAAAACAGAAAAGGGGACATGCTGGGAACAGGCCCTAAGCCTGTCATAAACAGGCCTTAAACTGACCATGAACAGGATTTCTGCACGAATGTGACGTGCTCCTGATGGCTATGACGCCCACTGCTAGAAGTTGTTAGTTTACTGGAGCAGGGTAGGGAACACCTGGCCCACCCGGAGCGGAAAACTGCTCAAACCACAAACAACAGCATGAGTGGCCTGAGCCTTAACAACATGTTTTTGCTGCAGATAATCGGCCAGAGACTGTTTCTCTACTCCTCTCTAAGTATGCTTTGTTTTTCGTAAGGAATGCTTTTAGCTAATCTGTAACCTATAGAAACAATGCTTATCACTGGCTTGCTGTCAATAAACATGTGGGTCAAACTCTGTTTGTGGCTCTCAGCTCTCAAGGCTGTTTTCCCCCTGATTCCCACTTTGCACTTTATTTCTGTGTGTTTGTCTTCATTCCTCTAGCACCACTGGGTTGGGGTCTCCTTGACCAAGCTGGTCTCGGCACATATGCATGTATGCCCAGGTCCTGAAATCAGCCTTGTGGAGCCTGTGGGTAGGAAAAGTCAACCCTCTGTGCATGTAGGCCTGGAACCTGACCAATACTGTATTTTCCTACCACGTTTGGTTTCAAATGTGGAAACTGCCCATACGGACCTACTGCATTTGTTTTTAAAAATCCTCTGTAAGTGGACCTGCACAGTTCAGGCCCAGATTGTTCCAGGATCAACCCTACAGTAGAAATCAAGTATCTTTTTCATTGTCTCTTGGGATCTGCCTTTTCACCAATAAAATATGAGGGCTGTTGGGAGCAGGCCCCCCCAAATCTGGCCATAAACTGTCCCCAAAACTGGCCATAAACAAAATCTCTGCAGCACTATAACATGTTCATAATGGCCATAACGCCCAAGTTGGAAGGTTGTGGATTTACAGGAATGAGGGCAAGGAACACCTGGCCTGCCCAGGGTGGAAAACCACTTAAAGGCATTCTTAAGCCACAAACAATAGCATGAGTGATCTGTGCCTTAAGAACATGCTCCTGCTGCAGTTAACTAGCCCAACATATTCCTTTAATTCAGTCCATCCCTTCGTTTCCCATAAGGGATACTTTTAGTTAATTTAATATCTATAGAAAGAATGCTAATGACTGGTTTGCTGTTAATAAATACGTGGGTAAATCTCTGTTTGGGGCTCTCAACTCTGAAGGCTGTGAGACCCCTGATTTCCCACTTGACACCTCTATATTTCTGTGTGTGTGTCTTTAATTCCTCTAGCACTGCTGGGTTAGGGTCTCCCTGACCGAGCTGGTCTCAGCAAGTGGAGTCCATTGTGGGGGCTCAAATCCAGGTTGAAGGGTCACCGGAGCAACATTTGGAAAGGAAAACTAGCTGAAGGACATGTGAATACTCTTAAAGCAATCTCCTTGGTGAGTAAGAAGGGGCGCTCGGAAGCGTCAGGGTAACAATGGGACACGTTTGGGGTCTGGTTTGTTTCACCTTGGAACTTTTTCACACGGATGATGAGGAGGAAGGAGAGTTTAATGAAGTAACAGAAGAGAGTACAGAGCACATTTATTTACCAGCTAAAGCTAAAGCAGCAAAGGAGGGAGAGATTCATCCTTACCCTTCTGCACCCCCTCATGATTATTTTGAAGAAAATGACTTTCAAGATCTTTCTTTTCCAGAGGACACTGGGCGAAAAGTAGTTGCCCCAGTGACTGTTTGAGCAGCACCTCAAGCGACTGCTCTTAGTTCTATTCACGCAGGAATTCAGCAAGCTAGATGAGAGGGTGATTTAGAGGCTTGGCAGTTCCCTGTTAGAATACACCACCCCCAGATCAACAGGGAAATATTATAGCTACATTTGAGCCTTTTCCTTTTAAATTACTCAAAGAATTTAAACAAGCTATAAATCAGTATGGACCAGGTTCTCCTTTTGTAATGGGACTGTTAAAGAATGTTGCTGTTTCCAGTTGGATGATTCCTACTGACTGGGATGCTCTTACTCGAGCTTGTCTAACTCCTGCTCAGTTCTTAAAATTTAAAACTTCGTGGGCAGATGAAACTGCCATTCAGGCTGCTTGCAATGCCCAGGCCCAACCTCAAATTAGTATAACTGCAGACCAACTTTTGGGGGTTGGCAACTGGGCTAGTTTAGATGTCCAAGGGGTCATGCAGGATGATGCCACAGAGCAGCTTAACAGAGTGTGCATTAAAGCTTGGGAAAAAAATCACTATAGGTGTAGAACAATACCCTTCCTTTAGTGCTATAAAACAGGGACCAGGAGAACTATACCTTGATTTTATAGCTCGGTTACAGGAGTCTTCTTAAAAAGATGATGCAGATTCGGCTGCTCAGAATATAGTGTTGCAGTTATTATATTTCAACAATGCTAATCCCAATTGCCAGGCTGCTCTGCAACCTGTCAGAGGGAAAGCACATTTAGTTGATTATATCAAGGCCTGTGATGGTATCACAGGTAATCTGCATAAAGCTACTTTGTTGGCACAGGCAATGGCAGGACTGAGAGTGGACAAAGGAAATACTCCATTTCCTGGAGCTTGTTTTAACTATGGGAAGCATGGTCATACTAAAAAAGAATGTAGAAAAAATCAGCGAGCCAGGCTGCCAGATAGGGGAAAAAAGAAAACTGCTGAGTCTGAAATATGTCCAAAATGTAAAAAAGGAAAACATTGGGTTAATCATTGTCACTCTTAAGTTTGATAAAGTAGGAAACCCGATTTTGGGAAATACCATGAGGGGCCCTTCCCGGGCCCCATTCTAAACCGGGGCATTTCCAGCTCAGGCCATTCCCTCACCCCTGTACAATGTCTGTCACCCACCACCGCTGGTAGTGCCGCAGTAGATTTATATTGCACAAAAGCTGTGAGCCTTCTGCCTGGGGAACCCCCACAAAAGATCCCAACAGAAGTCTGTAGACTCTTGCCAGCGGGGACAATAGGATTACTTTTAGGAAAGTCTAGTTTAAGTTTAAAAGAGGCACAAGGCCAGGCGCAGTGGCTCACGCCTGTAATCCCAGCACTTTGGGAGGCCGAGGCGGGCGGATCACAAGGTCAGGAGATCGAGACCATCCTGGCTAACACAGTGAAACCCCGTCTCTACTAAAAAATACAAAAAATTAACCAGGCGTCTTGGCGGGTGCATGTGGTCCCAGCTACTTGGGAGGCTGAGGCAGGAGAATGGCATGAACCAGGGAGGTGGAGCTTGCAGTGAGCTGAGATTGCGCCACTGCACTCCAGCCTGGGTGACAGACCGAGACTCCGTCTCAAAAAAAAAAGGGGGGGGGCACAAATACATACAGGAGTCATTGATTCAGATTACAATGGGGAAATCCACATTGTTATATCTACTTCTGTTCGCTGGAAAGCAGAGCTAGGAGAGGGCATAGTACAGCTCCTGATTGTGCTGTATGTGGTAATGGGAAAAAGTGAAATTAAATGAACAGGAGGATTTGGAAGCACGAATGAACAAGGCAAAGCAGCTTATTGGGTAAATCAAATTACTGATAAACGTCCTACCTGTGACATAACTATTCAGGGAAAGAAATTTAAAGGTTTGGCAGATACAGGAGCGGACATTTCAATCATTTCTCTACAGCAGTGGCCATCCGTGTGGCCAATTCAACCCACTAAATTTAACATAGTTGGAAACGGTAAAGCCCCTGAAGTATATCAGAGTAGTTATATTTTGCATTGTGAAGGGCCTGATGAAAAACATGGGACTATTCAACAAATTATAACTTCTGTACCTATAAATTTATGGGGAAAAGATTTATTACATCAATGAGGAGCACAAGTTCTAATTCCAGAACAGTTATATAGACTTCAAAGTCAACATATGATGCATGAAATGGCGTATGTCCCTGGTATGGGACTAGAAAAAAATTTGCAAGGTTTGAAAAGTTTCCACCAAAGATTAGGATATCATTTTTGCTGGTGGCCATTGTTAAGCCTCCAGAACCTATACCTTTAAAATGGTTAACAGATAAGCCAATTTGGATAGAACAATGGCTGCTAAGTAAAGAGAAACTGGAGGCTTTAGAGAAATTAGTTACTGAACAATTAGAAAATGGGCACAGAGCTCCAACATTTTCCCATGGGAATTCACCAGGGTTTTTTGTTTGTTTGTTTGTTTGTTTGTTTCATAATTAAGAAAAAATCAGGTAAATGGAGAATGTTAACTGACTTAAGAGCCATCAATTCAGTTATACAACCTGTGGGAGCATTACAGACAGGATTGCCGCCTTCTGCTATAATTCCAAAAAATTGCCCTTTAATAGTCATAGATTTAAAAGACTGTTTCTTTACTATCCCTTTAGCTGAGCAAGACTGTGAACGGTTTGCATTTACAATTCCTGCAGTAAACAACCTGCAGCCTGCTAAGTGTTATCATTGCAAAGTGTTGCCACAGGGCATGCTAAACAGTCCCACAATTTGCCTGTGGGGCAAGCAATTGAACCTACTCGTAAAAAATTTTCACAGTGTTACGTTATTCACTATATGGATGGTATACTTTGTGCTGCCCCCACTGGAGAAATATTACTTCAATGTTATGATCACTTGCAAAAATCGATTTCTTGCACTGGTTTAATTATAGCTCCTGACAAAATTCAGACTACTACTTCTTAATCCTACTTGGAGACCTTAGTAAATGACACTACCACTGTGTCACAGAAAGTAACCATTCATAGGGATCAACTAAAAACATTAAATGACTTTCAAAAATTACTAGGGGACATTAATTGGATACGACCTGCTCTAGGCATTCCTACCCATGCCATGAGTAACCTGTTTTCTATCCTTAGAGGAAATCCTAGTCTCACTAGCCCTCGGCAATTAATGATGGAGGCTGAGGCAGAGTTACAACTGATTGAGAAGCAAGTCCATAAAGCTCAAATAAATTGAATAGATCCAGAGAAGACTCTAGATTTGCTAATTTTTTCAACTCTGCATTCACCTACTGGTGTTATTGTCTGAGAACAGGACTTAGTAGAGTGGCTTTTTCTTCCACATACTAATTCATGGACTCTAACTCCTTATTTAGATCAAATCACTACTATGATAGGGATTGGGAGAACTCAGATTGTTAAATTACATGAATATGATCCTGGAAAAATTATTGTCCCTCTCATGAAGGCACAAATAAAGCAAGCTTTTATAAATAGTCTTACTTGGCAAACCCATTTAGCTGACTTTGTGGGTGTTCTCAATAATCATTTTCCTAAAATGAAGCTGTTTCAGTTTTTGAAATTAACTAATTGGATTCTCCCCAAAATAACTAAATTTAAACCAATTAAAAGTGCTGAGAATGTTTTTACAGAAGGGTCTAGTAATGGTAAAGCTTCTTATTTTGGATCAAAATGTAAAGTTTTTCAGACGCTCTATACTTCAGCTCAAAAAGCAGAGCTTGTAGCTGTAATTGAGGTATTGACTGCTTTTGATATGCCTATTAATGTGATTTCTGATTCTTCATACGTGGTTCATTCCACACAGTTAATTGAAAATGCTCAGTTACGATTTCATACAGAAGAAAAACTGATGACTTTATTTACCCAATTGCAAACAGCAGTTAGAAGTAGAATGCACCGATTTTACATCACTCACATAAGGGCTCATACACATCTTCCAGGATCTTTGACTGAAGGGAATCAAATGGCTGATCGCCTAGTTGCTACTGCAGTATCTAATGCTAGACACTTTCACAGTTTAACCCATGTTAATGCCTCTGGTCTCAAACACAGATACAGCATTACCTGGAAAGAAGCTAAAGCTATTATCCAGCGATGCCCAACTTGCCAAGTGGTACATTCCTCATCTTTTACAGGAGGAGTTAATCCTAGAGGACTGGAACCTAACTCTTTTGGCAAATGGATGTCACACATGTTCCCTCGTTTGGGAGACTAGCTTATGTACATGTATGTGTGGACACCTTTTCTCACTTTGTCTGGGCTACATGCCAAACAGGAGAGTCTTCTGCCTGTGTTAAATGTCACCTTTGCAGTGTTTTGCAGTGATGGGCATTCCAGCTTCCATTAAAACAGATAATGCCGCAGGCTATACTAGCCAAACTCTAGCTACATTTTTCTCTATGTGGGATATTAAACACATTACTGGCATCCCATACAATTCTCAAGGACAAGCCATAGTGGAAAGAATGAATCTCTCCCTAAAACAGCAGTCGCAAAAGCAGAAAGGGGGAAACAGAAAATATGGAACCCTACAGATGCAACTGAACCTAGGATTATTAACTTTAAATTTTTTGAAGCTGTCCAAAGGCCAGATGTTATCAGCAGCTGAATAGCATCTACAGAAACCAGCTGCAAACACAGAAACAGAACAACTGATTTGGTGGAGAGATCCAATAACAAAAAGTTGGGAAATAGGTAAAATAATAACTTGAGGTAGAGGTTATGCTTGTATTTCTCCAGGCCAAAATCAACAGCTGATTTGGATACCATCAAGACACTTGAAACCTTATCATGAGCCAGATCCCAAGGAAGAGATTCCAGGAGGATCCCGAGGACCCCCCCCCCCCCCGCCATTGCGGCCATGTCGAGGCTGATGCTAAGGAGGATCCCAACTGTCATGAGCAACACCTGTCGAGCACAGCCACCCACCTGGGGGCAGATCAAGAAGCTGTCACAGATGGTGGAAGAAAACCTGAGGAAAGCAGGACAACCAGTAACAATGAGTAATTTAGTGGTAGCTGTGATAGTGATGATCACCACTGCCATGAGTATTCTTTCAATAAGGGCTGACAAAGAGAACAGTTATACTTACTGGGCATATTTATCAATCTTGGCTGGCAATATTGCCTGGATGCAATCACTCTGACACAGTTACACACGCTTTCTGATCTCAATATTTACCATAATAAATCTGCTCCTATAAATGAGGCATACCACCTTCAAAAACCTATTTGTAAACAAAATGGAACCTCACCAGAAATAATGAACATACTTGTTAAGGAAGATAGCATTGCAGAACAGGCAGAGGTGCTGCACAATGATTCCTATGGAATCATTATTGATTGGTCTCCTAAGAGGATGTTTAGCTTGAATTGCATCTCTGAGTCTGTGTGCCACTGCCACAGTATGCTCAGATGATAGAAATGATAAGAAGTATGGCAAAAGTTCCTATTATCTGGAACCATGGTGGGATAGTGGCATCTCAACCTCAAATGATATGGCCCGCTCTAGAAGCTAAACATAGGGATGTGTGGAAACTATTAATAGCTCTTAATAAGATCAAAACTTGGGAAAAAATAAAAAAGCATCCAGAAAGACACTCTACAAACTTGTCTTTGGATATTGCAAAATTAAAGACAAATATTTAAAGCATCCCAGGCACACCTGACCTTAATGACAGGAACTGGAGTGCTTGAAGGAGTTACAGACAAATTAGCAGCTAGTAACCCATTAAAATGGATAAAAACACTTGGAAGTGCTGTGATTTCAATGATGATTGTGCTTTTAATCTGTGTTGTTTGTCTTTGTATAGTCAGCAGATGTAGATCCTGACTCCTGCTAGAAGTAGCTCACCGTGACAAAGCTGCCCTTGCTTTTATCAATTTGCAACTCAGAGAAGGGGGACATGTTGGGAGCAGGCCCCCCAAAATCTGGCCATAAACTGGCCCCAAAACTGGCCACAAACAAAATCTCTGCAGCATTGTAACATGTTCATAATGGCCTTTAGGCCCACACTGGAAGGTGGTGGGTTTACAGGAATGAGGGCAAGGAATACCTGGCCCGCTGAGGGCAGAAAACCGCTTAAAGGCATTCTTAAGCCACTGACAGTAGCATGAGTGATCTGTGCCTTAAGGACATGCTCCTGCTGCAGTTAACTAGCCTAACATATTCCTTTAATTTGGCCCATCCCTTCATTTCCCATAAGGGATACTTTTAGTTAATTTAATATCTATAGAAACAATGCTAATGACTGGTTTACTGTTAATAAATACATGGGTAATTCTCTGTTCAGGGCTCTCAGCTCTGAAGGCTGTGAGACCCCTGATTTCCCACTTGGCACCTCTATATTTCTGTGTGCCTGTCTTTAATTCCTCTAGTGCTGCTGGGTTAGGGTCTCCCTGACCGAGCTGGTCTTGGCAAGGGCTTAATTTATCCCTAAGTCCAATCTAGCTGTTTATTTATATCCTCATAAACTACTAAAACACCTGTTGTGGGTTGTGCATGGTGGTCGTGCCTGTAATCCCAGCACTTTGGGGGGCTGAGGTGGTGAGTTGAGATTGTGCCACTGCACTCCAGCCTGGGCAACAAGAGTGAACTCTGTTTCAAATAAATAAATAAATAAATAAATAAATAAATAAATAAACACCTGTTGTGAAGTCTTAGGGAAATGTGCCTGGCTCTGGCTTCTCCCTGCTTGGGTTGTTCCAATTATGCCAAGATAAGAGGCAGTGATTTCAATGAAAGAAAACTATCTCACAGTCTATTTTGTTTCTTTCTTTCTTTTTCTTTTTTTTTTTTTTTTTTGAGACGGAATCTCACTCTGTCACCCAGGCTGGAGTGCAATGGTATGATCTTGGCTCACTGCAACCTCTGCTTCCGAGGTTCAAGCGATTCTCCTGCCTCAGCCTCCCGAGTAGCTGGGATTACAGGTGCCCGCTACCACGCCTGGCTAATTTTTGTACTTTTAGTAGAGACGAGTTTTCACCATAGTTGGCCAGGCTGGTCTTGAGCTCCTGACTTCAGGTGATCTCCCCACCGCAGCCTCCCAAATTGCTGTGGTTACAGGCGTGAGCCACCGCTCGCCCAGCTCAGTTTTAGTCTCCCCTTGAGAAAAACAGTTTTATAGATATATTCTCACTCAGCTGATCCTTTCTCATTTCTTGAGGAACATTTCTGGTATTAGTTTTTACCACAGTAAATCTGCTACAGTGACTGAGCCCCCAGCCAATATGAACTGTATAGGCACATCCACTGTTTTCCACTGTGCAGTGTCCCATGAACCAAAGGGTGAAAATTGTGCCTGAGTGACGAATTTGAAAGCCTAATCTAGTACTCCAAAAGTTTTATACTCCATTCATGTGATAGAAAAGATCCCTAGTGAGAATGTAGAGATAATATGAAAAATGTAGAGATAATGTGAAAAAAATAATAACAGGTCCATTGTTAAAAATTTCCCACACAAATTTTAAAGTATAAAATGCCTGGCAAGAAAATGTTTAAAGGGAAATGACACTTGTGGAATTCAAATCACTCTCGGAGCACTTACAGCCTCTCTTAGTCGGTACGGTGAGCTAGATACCCTAACAAACAATTTGTTTCCTTCCTAAATTTCAAATGATATTAGTGACTGATTTTATTATAATAGTCACAGGCAGTGTGAGCCAGAATTATTTCCATACCTTCTGTTAAAATTTGTGGCATTCCGATCCTTTTTTCCCCTGGATCTGCTTTTATTGTTGTTCTTTTTGTTTTGGAAATGGGGAGTGTGTGAAAGTCAATAAAGCTGTTGAATTTGTCTCCTGTACGTTTAGCATCCAAGCCGCTCAAAACTGCCCCAGGTGTGAAGGAGTGAGAAGGGATTTGCATTTCTGCCTTTCTTTTTAACTTTCCATGTATCTGCTGTCAAATCTTCATATGCTATTTCCCACACCTCCCATTTGGAAAATTCCTGTATAAATCCATCATTTTACTAAATGCATTGTTTTAGAACTGAACTGACCCAGCACTACATATGTTGTAGAATCTGGACAACTTCCAGCCACCTTCTTACCTCTGATTCTTGAGTCTGGTATTCAGCTGGTTGGTGCTGCATACAAGACTTGGTTTAAACCATGGGGGGTGCTTTAAACCACACCCATGGCATTGGGTTCACTGCTGGAAACATTAAAGAATTTAAGATTCTACTATGCGATTTTTGAATTTTTTCAACTTCATCCAAGCAGACATAGGTAATTGATGTGCAGAAACATTTCAGAAATTAGGTCAGCAGACATTCAGTTGTCCAGGGTTGCCACCCATGTGGGCTGTGCTGGATACTCAAGCCATGTGTATTCATTAGGTCCTTTGGGGCTTGACCCCTTGTTGAGAAGCTGGCACAGCATTAGACAACTATAATGAAAAAGAATTAATGCATACTATATTGTGTCATGAATCTGTGGGTCACATTATTCCAAAATATGTATTTTATAATTGTATTTGACTGTGAGAGAAATTAATGTACCCATGGATGAGTATATACTGATTAAAACAATAAGAAACAGACTATAAGTTTATTTTTTGATTACGTGATTTTTTAAAATGGGAAAGTCACTGGTTACATCATATAATTTTAAACTTTATATCACAGAAGGTAGTAAGAAGTTCTAGTATCATTTGTTTCTCACAGACGCTGAGTTCTTGCTAAATACATTATGATACAACTTTTAACAAAAACATTACTGCAAATACATAGTAATGCAAATCTCAGTTAAAAAATAAATCTCTGAATACTGTGATCAAAACACTGACAATTTCAGAGCTGATTCTATAGCTCAAAGAGGTTTGATGACTAGAAAACTTAATTGCAATAAAAGACACTTCCATATCCCTGTTGACCTCTGTGTCTCCTCTTTCCCCTATCTCTGCTCACAGGCGCCATATGGACCATGGTTCTCACGGCAGCCCTAAGGCAGTCACAGGTAGAGGCTCCCTCTAGGGCACTACAATTCCCATCCTTGGAGCGTGCGGCCAGTCTTGGGCAGCTCCAGACCCCAGCTGACCTCACTTACTGTTGCCAGGGAAAGGCCCTGTTTGTGGACTTCTTGCTGCAAGGGGTGGCTCGCAGTGCATGTGATTCCTCCCATCAGGCAAACTGGCCATACTCTGCAGATGGTAAACTGCATGTCCAGGGAGCATAGGCCAAGGGTATTCACATGGAGCTTAAGTTGAAGCCCTGGCCAAGCTCTTAGTGTCTCCCATTCTTGACTGGACAACAGAGCAATGAAGGGCTCCTTCCTGACAGTTCATAAATGTTCCTTCATACCACAGTGAGATTTTGCTACTAACACCATGTCTTCGTTTTCTGAAAATGACCTGTGTGTTTCGTTTCATAGACTTCACAATCAGGAGAGAACAGATAATTAGGGTGGGTTGGGTCAGGTGCAGTTCTTTCCAGAGATGACACTGGGGACCAGATATGCCTCCTTACTCTTCAAAATCAACCTCATATAAAACATCAATTTCCTGTCTTTAGATGATCTCAATATGTAGTGTGGAGCTGTTTCTCCCTGGTCCTACTAGTCTCAACTTGGTTTAGCCCTTAAATATTTATTGAAATGATTACCATATCTTTCCAGTGAGTCCCCCAGGCCTTCCAGATTATCCAAAAGATTAATCCTCATAAATACAGACCATCACCTTGAAATAATGGCTTCCATCCAATTCTGTCTGGTTTCAGAAGTGCTGGTGCCTTATCTTTTAGGTCAAGTGCAGACCCCCTGCCACAATTTCAAGACCTCCTACAGCCCATGCCCACCCTGTGTATCCTAGATCCACAGTGCCGGCTGCCAGGGGGACCTGGGACTCAAGGAAGGACACAGCAACCTTTTTAAAGATGTGGCTAAAGGAAATTCCTGATTCAGAAACAAAATGATAAAAGAAGGAAACAACATCAGGGATGAAGAAAAATAGAAATAATAAAAGCATGGATAAATATGATAGGCTAGCCTTCTTGAGTTTTTCTAAACTGTGTCTGATGATTGAAGCAAAAATTTCTCCACGGTCTGATATAGTTCTTCATGCATGTAAATTATGTTGTAAATTGAGAAGGAGAAATGGGCCTATATGGAGGTGAAGATCCTGCACATCACATGGCAGAATGTGGACACCAGTGGGCTGCAACAAGTGACGTGCATAAAATGTCACACCTGAAGTAATGAAGGGTCTAGAGAAACCCATACATTCTAAAACAGTATAGATAAACCAAACTGGAATTAAAAAAAACATTACCTTGCTGAGAGCAGCAGCCGGTGAGACCCTAACCCAGCAGCACTAGAGGAATTAGAGACACACACACAGAAATATAGAGGTGCCAAGTGGGAAATCAGGGGTCTCACAGCCTTCAGAGCTGAGAGTCCTGAACAAATATTTACTCAGGTATTTATTAACAGCAAGCCAGTTATTAGCATTGTTTCTATAGATATTAAATTAACTAAAAGTATCCCTTATGGGAAACGAAGGGATGGGCCACATTAAAGGAATATGTTGGGCTAGTTAACTGAAACAGGAGCATGTCCTTAAGGTACAGATCGCTCATGCTATTGTTTGTGACTTAAGAATGCCTTTAAGTGGTTTTCTGCCCTGGGTGGGCCAGATGTTCCTTGCCCTCATTCCAGCAAACCCACCACCTTCCAGCGTGGGCGTTATGGCCATTATGAACATGTTACAGTGCTGCACAGATTTTGTTTATGGTCAGTTTTGGGGCCAGTTTATGGCCAGATTTTGGGGGGGTGGCCTGTTCCCAACATGTCTCCCTTCTTTGATTTGCAAATCAATAAAAGCAAAGGCAGCTGCGTCATGGTGAGCTACTTCTCACAGGAGTCAGGATCTACATCTGCAGACTATACAAAGACAAATGACACAGATTAAAAGCACAATCATCATAAAAATTACAGAGCTTCCCAGTGTTTTTATCCATTTTAATGGGTTAATAGCTGCTAATCTGTCTGCAGCTCCTTTCAGCCCTCCAGTTCTTGGCATTAAGGCCAGGCGTGCCTGGGATGCTTTAAATATTTGTTCTTTTAATTTTGCAATATCCAAAAACAAGTTTGTAGAGTGTCCTTTTAGATGCTTTTTTATTCTTCCCCCAATTTTGATCTTATTAAGAGCTATTAATAGTTTCCACAAATCCTTAATGTTTAGCTCCTACAGCAGGCCATATCATTTGAGGTTGAGGTGCCACTATACTGCCATGGTTCCATATAATAATAACTCTTGCTGTACTTCTTATTATGTCTACCATCTGACCATTTTGTTCAGATCAGCTGAACATAGTGTGGCCTTGGCACACAGACTGAGAGGTGCAATTTATGCTAAATATCCCCTTAGGGGATCAATCAATAATGATTCCATAGGAATCATTGTGCAGCACCTCTGTCTGTTCTGCAATGCAATCTTCCTAAACAAGTACATTCATTTTTTCTGGCCAGGTTCAATTTTGTTTACAAATAGGTTTTTTAGGGCGGTATACCTCAATTATAGGAGCAGATTTATTATGGTAAATCCAGAGATCAGAAAGCATGTGTAACTGTGTCATAGAGTGATTATATCCAGGCATTATTGCCAGCCAAGATTGATAAATATGCCCAATAAGTATGATTGTTCCCTGTGTCAGCCCTTACTGAAGGAATACTCATGGCAGTGGTGATCATCACTATCATAGCTACCATTAAATTACTCATTGTGACTGGTTGTTCCACTTTCCTCAGGTTTTCTTTTATCATCAGTGACAGCTTCTTGATCTGTCCCCAGGTGGGTGGCAGAGTTTGACTGGTATTGCTCATGACAGTTGAAGTCCTCCTCAGCATCAGTATCAACCTGGCTGCAATGGGGGGGGTGGTCCTCGGGATCCTCCTGGAATCTCTTCCTTGGCATCTGGCTTATGATAAGGTTTCAGGTATTTTGATGGTACCTAAATCAGCTGTTGAATTTGGCCTGGAGAAACAGAAGGATAACCTCTACCCCAAGTTATTATTTTACCTGTTTCCCAACTTTTTGTTATTGAATCTCTCCACCAAATCAGTTGTTCTGCTCCTGTCTTTGCAGCTGGTTTCTGTAGATGCTGTTCAGCTCCTGATAACATCTGGCCTTTGGGCAGGCTCAAAAAATTTAAAGTTAATAATGCTAGATTCAATTGTGTATGGACTGTCCTGTAATCCCTATTTCTCCCTCTTTTTTGTTTTTGTCATCAGTTGTTTATCTGTATGATATCATAACTGAGCATTTTCAATTAACTCTGTGGAATGAACCATGTATGATGAATCAGAAATCACATTAATAGGCATAACAAAAGCAGCCAATATCTCGATTACAGCTACAAGCTTTGCTTTTTATAGGGCATCTGAATAACTTTACTTTTTTGAGCCAGAATAAGAAGCTTTACTATTACTAGACCCATCTGTGAAACAATGAAAACACTTAGCAGGCTGCAGGTTGTTTACTGCAGGAATTATACATGCAAACCGCTTACAGGCTTGCTCAGCTAAAGGGATAGTAAAGAACTGAACTGATGGCTCTTAAGTCAGTTAACATTCTCCATTTACCTGATTTTTTCTTAATTACAAAAACTGGAGAATTCCAAGGGGAAAATTTTGGAGCTGTGTGCCCATTTTCTAATTGTTCAGTAACTCATTTCTCCAAAACCTCCAGTTTCTCTTAACTTAGTGGCTACTGTTCTATCCAAATTGGCTTATCTGTTAACCATTTTAAGGGTATAGGTTCTGGAGGCTTAACAATGGCCACCAGCAAGAATGATATCCTAATCTTTGATGGGATCTTTGTCTTTCCACTTGAAGCAGTTCTTTCAAATCTTGCAAATTTTTTTCTAGTCCTATGCCAGGGACATACCCCATTTCATGCATTGTATGTTGACTTTGAGGGCTATATAATTGTTCTGGAATTAGAACTTGTGCTCCCCATTGTTCTAATAAATCTCTCCCACATACATTTATAGGTACAGAAGTTATAATTGGTTGAATAGTCCCACGTTGTCCATTGGGCCCTTCACAGTGCAAAATATAACTACTTTGATATACTTCAGGGGCTTTACCAACTCCAACTATGTTAAATTTAGTGGGTTGAATTGGTCACGCGGACAGCCAGTGCTGTAGAGAAATGATTGAAATGTCCACTGCTGTATCTACCAAACCTTTAAATTTCTTTCCCTGAATGGTTATTTCACAGGTAGGACGTTTATCAGTGATTTTATTTACACAATAAACTGCTTTGCGTTGTTTATTTGTGCTTCCAAATCCTCCTGTTCATTTAATTTCACTTTTTCTCATTCCCACATATAGCACAATCAGGAGCTGTGCTATGTGCTCTCCTGGCTCTGCTTTCCAGGGAACAAAAGTAGATATAACAATGTGAATTTCCCCATTGTAATCTGAATCAATGACTCCCGTATGTATTTGTATCCCTTTTAAACTTAGACCTTTCTAAAAGTAATCCTATTGTCCCTGCTGGCAAGGGTACACAGAATCCTGTTGGGACCTTTTGCGGGGGTTCCCCAGGCAGAAGGCTCACAGCTTTTGTGCAGCATAAATCTACTGCGGCACTACCAGCTGTGGTGGGTGACAGACATTGCACAGGGGTGAGGGAATGGCCTGAGCTGGAAATGCCCCAGTTTAGAATGAGGCCCAGGATGGGCCCCTCATGGCATTTCCTCAAATCAGGTTCCCATCTTTATCAAACTTAGAGTGACACTGATTAGCCCAATGTTTTCCTTTTTTACATTTTGGACATATTTCAGACTAGCAGTTTTCTTTTTTCCCCTATCTGGTGGCCTGATTTGCTGATTATTTCTCCATTCTTTTTTAGTATGAATAGCTTGTTTAAATTCTTTGAGTAATTTAAAAAGAAAAAGCTCAAATGTAGCTATAATATTTCCCTGTTGAACTAGGGAGTGTATTCTAACAGGGAACTGCCAAGCCTCTAAATCACCCTCTCGTCTAGCTTGCTGAATTTCTCCCTGAATAGAACTAAAAGCGGTCACTTGAGGCGCTGCTCAGTCACTGGGGCAACTACTTTTTACCCAGTGTCCTCCAGAAAAGAAAGATCTGGAGGGTCATTTTCTTCAAAATAATAATGAGGGGGTGCAGAATGGTAGGGATGAACCTCTCCCTCCTTTGCCGCTTTAGCTTTAGCTGGTAAATAAACATGCTTTGTAACCTCTTCTGTTACTTCGTTATACTCTCCTTCCTCCTCCACATCAGTGTGAAAAAGTTCCAAGGTGGAATGAACCAGACCCCACACTTTTCCCATTGGTACCCTGATGCTTCTGAGCTCCCCTTCTTACTCACCACAGGGATTGCTTAATTCCACGTTCTCCAACCATCGCTCCAGCAATCCTTCAACCTGGATTCGAGCCCCCACGATGGACACCACTTGCCAAGACCAGCTCAATTGGGGAGACCCTAACCCAGCAGCACTAGAGCAATTAAAGACACACACACAGAAATATAGAGGTGTCAAGTGGGAAATCAGGGGTTTCTCAGCCTTCAGAGCTGAGAGCCCCGAACAGAGATTTACTCACATATTTATTAACAGCAAACCAGTCATTAGCATTGTTTCTATAGATGTTAAATTAACTAAAAGTATCCCTTATGGGAAACAAAGGGATGGGCCAAATTAAAGGAATAGGTTGGGCTAGTTAACTACAGCAGGAGCATGTCCTTAAGGTACAGATCACTCATGCTATTGTTTGTGGCTTAAGACTGCCTTTAAGCAGTTTTCCACCCTGGGCGGGCCAGGTGTTCCTTGCCCTCATTCCGGTAAACCCACAAACTTCCAGCGTGGGCATTATGGCCATCATGAACATGTCACAGTGCTGCAGAGATTTTGTTTATGGCCAGTTTTGTGGCCAGTTTATGGCCAGATTTTGGGGGGCCTGTTCCCAACACCCATCATATACCAGCAGTGCACTTAGAGAAATGCACCACCTGAATGAGCTGTGTAACACTAGGAAAGCACATCTTTAGTTGGAACATTACTGGTTTCACTTAAAACCAAGTATCAGACACATTATATACACACTTTGTTTTCTGTTTTTCATTTCTAATATTCGTATATTAGCATTAAAGAGAGAAATACAATTTGAGTGCTTGTCATCAGTGAAGAAAGTGATTGGCGTAATTGAAAAGATGAAAAGAGCAGACATTCTGAGTGTCCTCAATCGATCTTATTGATTTTTAAAGGATTCTAGGGCTTGAATGTCTCAAACTAGTCCAAAAAAAGCCAACAGCAGGACCCATACAACTATAAATCTCACTAGATACATCCCCTATTCCATGAACATGAGAGGAGATGAACATTATCAGCCTTGCCCAATTTCTCAGCTTACATTTATTTGGGGGTCAATCCAATACCGTTATATGAATTCTTTGGAAATTGGAATATTTGAGCAAAAATGTTTACTTTTTGCACTTGAAAATACAAAAAGATATAGACATAGAGTGCATCTTTATTAGAGAATACCGAAAATCCCTTCAAGTCCAAGTTTTGAAATCCCCAGTTGACTGTTTGGCAGAATGGCTCATTGTCAGGTAGAACTCTTTTCTAGGGCCCAAACTACATTGCTTAGATACAATGCAAAGAGACATGGGCCAACCCCACCTTTCCAGCTCATTCGTTATCAGCAAAAAGCTTCGGCCTGGGCTCCAGTTATGGTTATAGTTGGCTTCACAGGTGTGCGAACTGTCATCTGGGTGATCACAGGGTGATGACAGGGCTGCTGCATGTTGCTCTGGAGGTTTTTCACTGCACAGTGAACTGCCTGATCACAGCAGCCTTAGACAAAACTGGATAACATAGTTCTTAATGTTTTCTTCCTCATTGAGCATCCCCTGATCTGAGAGGCTGTGAGGCAAGTTTTTACAAGACAAAGATATTAGCTGAGAGGATCAAGTAGAACAAATGCATTGTTGCTGAACACCAGGGGTTTGGCCTAGGTGTGGTTGCTCACTGCACAGAAAGCCAGTCACTAAGACGAGTATTGCCAGGGAAGAAGAGATTTATTGTGGATGCTGTCAGTCTAACCGTCAAATCCGTCTCTCTCCCAACTAAAGTTAGGAGTTTATATAGACAGGAATTAAGGGGAGTAAGGAATATGATCAACAGGCAGCAGGTGGTTAGATGAGAGGTCTAGCATCTCATTGTAACCACCTGTGGGAAAACAGGAACGGGAGAGAAGGAAGAGGAGTCAACTGGCAACAGCTCTCCTTGTCCAGTTGTGGTGATCTGTAAAGTTTCAGTTCCATGAAACTATGTGGGAGTCCTAATGATCAGTTTATTGAGAAAGAAACTCAGATGACAAATGTTAAATTTCTCAACCTTTAAGACTTGGAGGTCAATCCTATACTTTGGATATTTTTGCCTGCTTAAATCTGATGTTGCATTGTAATTCCCAGGGCTGGAGGTAGGTCCTGGTGGGAGGTGATCATGGGGATGGAACCCTCATATGGCTTAGTGCTGTCTTCCTGATACTGAATTCTCCCAAGATCTGGTCATCTAAAAGAATCTGGCACATTCCCCAACTCCCTCTCTCTTGCTCCTGCTTTGCCTTCTGCTATGACTGAAAGTTGAGGCTTCACCAGAAGCCGAGTAGATGCCAGCACCATGCTTCCTGCAAAGCCTGTAGAACCTGAGCCAATTAAACTTCTTTCCTTTATAACCTCTTTACTTTATATTACCCAGTCTCAGGTATTTCTTTACAGCAATGCAAGAATGGTTTGACAGTCAATTTCTATGTTTATTCCCCTCACAAAAGGCCTCCATAAACATCAACTGCATAGGAAAATTGAGCTGGTTTCAAGATCAAAAATTTGGCCCATATTAATAGTGGTTGAAACTTTATGTTTACAATTATTACTTCTGTTCATTTTACCATCTCCTCTTCCTCCATGCAGCAGGGGCATGTTGCAAATCACACACTCCAAAAAATTAAACACAGGACATTCCAAAAATTAGCATTGGTATTGAAAACACTCCCCCAAATCAGGCTTATTTGCCATTCGTATTTTTTCTGTAGTGAAATTTTCATACCAATCTTTCACCAATTTTCTTTTTGGGATTTTTCTTCTATTCTTATCCAAAGCTGTTTTACAAGTACTTTTTTCAGTCCATAACTCACCTTTCCATTTCCTTAATTGTGTGCTTTAAGAACACAAGTTTTGAATTTAACAAAATCTAATTTATCAAAGTTTAAAGTGAGTACATCGTTTTTATTACTTTAAGTGCATTAAATTTGTGTATATTCCATATTTGTATTGTCCATAGAGAAATCATCACCTAACTGAAACCTACAAAAATTTTCTCAGTTTTTCTTCTATAAGTTTTAACTTTGAGCTCTTGTATTTAGATCTATGATGAGTTGAGGCCTTATATATGCTTTGGGGAGTCAAAGTTAACACCACATTTTGAAGATGTGTCTTTCCCCTTGGATTTCATTGGCACATTTGCTGAAAATGTCCCAAGCACCTCATGGGGTATGGCTGTGGTTCTGGACTCATGTATTCACAATTGTTTTGAATATTCACATAAATTTATAATCCACTGTCAAATTTTAATTCAGGTGGTGTTTAATTAATAGAACAATTTGAGGAAAACTGACATCTCAAAAATAGTTTTCTTGCCTATTTTGGCCCTATTTCTGCCATACACATTTTGGAAAACTTTTTCCAGTACTAAGAATAAATATTGGAAGCTTTATTGAAATTGTATCAAATTTACAGAAACATTTAAAGAAAACATATTAATAATGGTCTTCCTAATCATTGAAATTTTTACTTTATTTTTAATTTTTTTGGGTACATACTAGGTGTATACATCTATGGGGTACATGATATATTGATACAGGTTTGCAATGTCTAATAATCACATCAGGGTAAATGGGATATCCATAACCTCAAGCATTTATCCTTTGTGTTACAAACAATTCAATTATACCTTAAAAATGTACAATTATTATTGACTGTAGTAACCTTGTTGTGCTATCAAATACTAGGTCTTAGTCATTCTACCTTTTTGTGCCCATTAACATTCCCCAATTCCCCCTCATCATGCCCCCACTACCTTTCCCAGCCTCTGGTAAACATTCTTCTACTCTATCTCTAGAAGTTCAGTTGTTTTCATCTTTAGCTCCAATAAATAAGTCAGAACATGTGATGTCTGTCTTGCTGTGCCTGGCTTATTTCACTTAATGATCTGTAGTTCCATCTATAATGTTGCAAATGACAGGATCTCATTCTTTTTTATGGCTGAATAGTACTCCGTTGTGTATACGTACCATATTTTATTTATCCATTCATCTGCTGATGGACACTTGGATTGCTTCCAAATCTTGGCTATTGCGAGTAGTGCTACAGTAAACATGGTGCAGATTTATCTTCAATATACTGATTTCCTTTCTTTGGGGTATATACCTACCAGTGGAATTGCTGGATTGTATGGTAACTCTATTTTTAGTTTTTGAGGTACCTACAAACTGTTCTCCATAGTGGTTGTACTAATATACACTTCCACAGTGCACGAGGGTTCCCTTTTCTCCACATCCTCTTCAGCATTTGTTGTTACCTGTCTTTTGGACAGAAGATATTTTAACTGGGGTGAGATGATATCTCATTGTAGTTTTGATTTGCATTTCTCTAATGGATCAATGATGTTGAGTACATTTTCATATGCCTGTTTGCCATTTGTATGTCTTCTTTCGAGAAATGCCTATTCAGATTTTTGTCCAGTTTTCAGATTAATTTTTTTTCTATAGAATTGTTATAGTTCCTGATATAGTTATAGTTACAGCTCCTGATATAGCTAGTGATATAGTTTGGATATTTGTCCCTGCCCAAATCTCATTTTGAGATGTAATCCTCAGCATTAAAGGTGGGTCTTGGTGGAAGGTATTTTCGTCAAGGGGGAGGATCCCTCATTAATTGATGCTGTCCTTTCATCAACGCCCATATTTCTGCCATATGCATTTTGGAAAAGTTTTTCCAGTGTTAAGAATAAATATTGGGAGTTTTATTGAAATATTAAATTTATAGAAACTGCTATTATTTTAATAATGAGTCTTCAAACATTGAAATTATTTTTAAATTTTTGTGGGTACAAATAGGTGTATATGTTTATGGGGGTACATGAGATATTTTGATACAGTCATGAAATGTATATGAACACATCAGGGTAAATGGGGTATCCCTGACCTCAAGCAACCCTCACAAGACCTGAGTACTCACAAGATCTGGTTAAGTGTGTGGCACCTCCCTCCCCCTCTCTTTGCCCTTGCTCCTGCCATGTGAGATACTTATTCCCCTTTTGCCTTCCACAATGGTTGGAAGCTTCCTGACGCCTCCCTACAAGCTGATCAGATGTTAGCACCATGCTTCCTGTACAGCCTGCAAAACTGTGAGCCAATTAAACCTCTTCTTTATAAATTACCCAGTCTCACGTATTTCTTTATAGTACTTCAAGAATGGCCTAATACAGATGGATAGTTTGCAAATATTCTTTCCCATTCTATGGGTTGTCTCTTCACTTTGTTGTTTCCTTTGCAATACAGATTTTTAACTTGATGTGATCCCACTTGTCCATTTTTGCTTTGGTTGCCTGTTTGTCAGGTATTACACAAAAAATCTTTGCCCACTCCAATGTCCTGGAGAGATTCCCCAATGTTTTATTTTAGCTGTTTCATAGTTTGAGGTCTTAGATTTAACTTTTTAATTAATTTTGATTTTTGTATATGTTAAGAGATAGGGGTCTAGTTTCATTCTTCTGCATACGGATATCCAGCTTTCCCAGCACCAGTTATTAAAGACACTATCTTTACCCCAATGTATGTTCTTCATAACTTTGTCAAAAGTGAGTTCACTGTAGATGTATGAATTTGTTTCTGGGTTGTCTATTCTGTTCCTATGTGTCTGTTTTTATGCCAGTATCATGCTGTTTTGGTTACTGTAGCTCTGTAGAATAATTTGAAGTCAGGTAATATGATCCCTCCAGTTTGATTCCTTTTGCTCAGGATAACTCTGACTATTCTAGGTCTTTTGTGGTTTCCATATAAATTTTAGGATTGTGTTTTCTATTTCTTTGAAGAATGTTAAAGTTTTCTGGATATTGCACAGTTTGTCCATTAACTTGCTGAGCAACATCTTTTTTTTTTCTTTTTTCCTGAGACAGGGTCTCACTCTGTCTTCCAGGCTGGAGTGCAGTGGCATGATCACAGCTCGATGCAGTCTCAATCTCCCAGGCTCAAGTGATCCTCCCACCTCTCTGCCTCCTGAGTATCTCGGATGACAGGTGCATGCCACCACGCCTGGCTAATTTTTAT
Organism: Homo sapiens; assembly: GCF_000001405.40. Taxonomy (NCBI): domain Eukaryota; kingdom Metazoa; phylum Chordata; class Mammalia; order Primates; family Hominidae; genus Homo; species Homo sapiens. Next base: position 42,516,160 of record NC_000010.11, read on the forward strand.
ATTTTTTGTAGAGACAGTTTTGCCATGTTGCCTGGGCTGGTCTCAAACTCCTGGGCTCAAGCAACACACCCACCTCGACCTCCTAACATGCTAGAATTACAAACATGAGCCACTGAGCCCAGCCAGAGTATTTTCTTTCTGTTAGGTACATGAAATGATTCAGGCTCATCTTCTTTTTCTCCCAATCTCCGACTAGGAATCATCCCTGGTCCCCTTTTTTGTGGATAGTATTTAGGAAATAATAACTTGGCAGTTGGTGTGTTTACTGTTACTGAGCTGTGACTGCATTTATGTCCTCTCGGTAGAATGAATCACAAAATATATGTATATGGGCACACCCAACAATTTCTCTATTGTTCCTATGTATTTAAAAGATATGAGTTCTATTCTAATCCCACACTCCAGGTTTTCTAGCTCTCCTCATTCCTATTTCTACAAATACCTTCTCTAACAGGGAGAAACCTTGCCATCATCATTCTCAACATATTTGCTCAGTGGTACCAATCTCTTAACAATGCTGCCCATCTCCTCCCCCTGTCCCTTCCACACCTCACCCTCAGCCCTCTTGGTGCCAGCAGACACATAGCCACAACTCCTCTCATCCCACAATGCAGGTCTAACTCCTCCACTCTGGGAAGGGAAGGCAAAAGAGACACATAAAAACTCAAAGAGGGGAATCAAAAGAAAGAGGAAGGGAAGGCCACATTGATTTTTTAAAAAATAATAAATCATCTTTTGATTGCCCTAATAAACATCTCTTGGTGATGATACAGTTTATGGATATGACTAGACTTTTTTTTTCAATTTTAGGATTTTGCATCTAAATCTATGAGACTTTGGTCTATAGCTTTATGTTTTTTGTTTGTTTGTTTGTTTTATTGGTTTTGGTATCAAGGTTGCACTGGCCTGAAAAACTGAATTGGAAAAGTTCCAACTTTTTTCTTCTAGAAGAGTTTATAAAAGCCTGGTATGCTTTATTTATTAAATATTTGGAATAACTTCAGTGGAGCCATCTGTCCTAGAGTTTTCTTTCTAAGCAAGTTTTTGAATATTCCACTCAGATATTGTTTGCAGTTGTGACAAGGTACAATGAATCTCTGGTATGACCTTGTTTCCAGGGCTTTTACTGATGGCATGTTCATGAAAGGACCAACCCACTGGCACTTCCTAAGGTCTAATCATTTCTCCTCCATATTGCAAAATGCAAAACAAAACAAAAATCCTACTTGTTTTCTTCTCAAATTAGCTTTTCAGCCTCCTGCCCTATGCAGCATGAGATATCTGGAAATTTCTTGAGAAATTATGTGTTTGAAGCCCCTAATGTATCCATTTTTTTTTAATTGCAGTCTTGATTGTTCTCCTGGTTTCTGGTCCCCCCCATGCCTTCCCCTGACCCCCAGGGTATGGCCCTCTGCCTGAACCAAGTTCAGTATTCAGGTTCTTCCCTATAGCCAGAAGTGGAAAGGGTCCCCAGAGCAAAGAGCTGCATTCTGTGCATGTGCTTTCTGGGATTTACCACTCTCTAGAATTTTGCTCCTTTAGTTCTCTTTGCTTCTATAGCAATAAGTTGCATTTAAATATTTTTTGTAATTTTATAGTTGTCCTCAATCAGTCCATTCTGCTGCCGACTACTATACCTTACCCAATAGCAAAATCTATTTTTTTTTTAAAGTGTCTGTCACTCAGGCTGGAGTGCAGTGGCATGATCTCAGCTCAATGAAACCTCCAACTCCCAGGTTCAAGTGATCCTCCCACCTCAGCCTCTCTAGTAGCCGGGACTACAGATGTGCGCAATCATGCCTGGCTAATTTTTGTATTTTTAGTAGAGACAGGGTTTCATCATGTTGGCCAGGCTGGTCTGGAACTCCTGACCTCAGGTCTTGCCCACCTCAACCTCCCAAAGTACTGGGATTACAGGTGCAAGCCACCATGCTCAGCCTATTTGTGCTTTTTCAAAGCCCCATATTTAAGTTATATCTCTATATACATTTTAAAAAGTTATATCACCTATGAAAAATGTATTTCACTTTGGAGAGAAATAGAGTTGGGTACAATAAGTCACTCACAGCAGAATGTCCTGGCTTATGTGTTGGACATCTGCTAGGGCAGAAACCACCAGAAATCTGGACCCACTCTCTTCTACTAATCCTCTTAAGCTGCATACAAGGCAAGTTGACTTGCCCCCTTGATCCACCATTCTGAGACGGGTCACCCAAAATTAGTCTGCCCCAGGATTATTCAAAAATCCTGCTGGTGGGCTCCTGTCCTATGGCCCCAGATTAAGGGTCTCTTTCTTCCTGGACATACAAAAGCACTCTTGCTTATGGTTCCCTTTGCTAAAAACTCTTCCCTTATTTTACATATGGCTAAGCAATACATCTTTGACCTAGTTATAGTCATTGGCTCCAGCGTGGCATCTTTTCAAGTGTCAGAAAACAGCAGTCTTGACAATGAACTGAACTGGATATAAGCAAAGTAAAATGCTATTTCTCAATAAAAACCTTTTTTTGCGTGGTGGCTCACACCTGTAATCCCAGCACTTTAGGAGGCCGAGGCGGGCAGATCACGACGTCAGGAGATCGAGACCATGGTGAAACCCTGTCTCCACTAAAAATACAAAAAATTAGTCAGGTGTGGTGGCAGGCGCCTGTAGTCCCAGCTACTTGGGAGGCTGAGGAAGGAGAATGGTATGAACCCAGGAGGCAGAGCTTGCAGTGAGCCGAGATCATGCCACTGCATTCCAGCCTGGGTGGCAGAGCGAGACTCTGTCTCAAAAAAAAAAAAAAAAAAAAAAAAGAAAACCTTTTCTCTACATGTTCTTAAATTGCTAGATATCCTGCAATTCAACACCTCTGGTCTATATTAAATTTAGATTTTAACCTAAAGTGTCCACACATTGGATACAGTTAAAAATACTTTCTCACTATCTGATGTTCACTAAGAAGGTACTTCTTATTACATATACTCTATAAAATATAACCTCATAGTAAATGCTTTCCTATAGTTTGTGCATTTTCTGTGGCCTCTTGACTTCACACAGAATGATTTTCCACATTCATTACATCCATAGGGTTTCTGTCTTATATGAGTTCTGTGGTGAACAATTAGGGCCCACTTCTGGTGAAAGGTTTTCCCACATTCATTACACCCAAAAAGTTTCTCCCGTGTGTCTTCTCAGATATTCTGTGAAACTGTAGTAGTAGCAAAAAAATGCATCCCTTCTCAACTTACGGATGTTGAGCCAGGTTTCACCCTGTGTGAACTCTCTGATGTTTACTGAGGTGTGGCATTGAGCAAAATGTTTCCTATATTCATTCACCAATAAGTGTTTTTCACTTTTAGTTCTTAAACATAATCTATGGCCCAAATCCCAGAATAATGTTTTCCTGCATTCCATATCTTCATATTGTTTTTTCCCTCTTTAAGTTCTCTTCTCTACTGTGAGAACTGACTTCAGGGCAAAGGTGTTCTCATTATCATTATATTAACAGATTTCTCTCACCCTTTATGTTCTCTGCTCTACAAAGTTCTGACTTCACCCAGAGTAATTTCCCTCACTTACTACATTTATAGGGTTTCACCTCAAGTGTGTTCTGTGATGTACAGTTAGTTTTGACTTAATAATAATTTTCCACAAACATTACATTCATAGGGTTTCTCCCCTGTGTATGTTCTATGATGTGCAATGAGTTTTGACTTCACACAGAATGATTTTCCACATTCATTACATCCATAGGGTTTCTGTCTTATATGAGTTCTCTGGTGAACAATTAGGGCCAACTTCTGATGGAAGGTTTTCCCACATTCATTACATCCAAAAGGTTTCTCCCCTGTGTGTCTTCTCAGATGTTCTGTGAAACTGTAGTAGCAGCAGAAAAATTTTCCACATTGAATACATGCATAAGATTTCCCATCTGTGTGTTCTTAGATGTTTAGTAAGGGTTGACTTCTCGGAGAATGACTTCCCACATTCATTACATTCATAAGGTTTTTCTCCTGTGTGAATTCTCTGATGTTTAATGAGGTCGGATTTTCTGAGAAAGGTGTTGCCACATGCATAGCATTCATAGGGCTTCTCCCCTGTGTGTTTTCTGATGCACAGTTAGAACTGACTTAAACGAGGTTTTCCCACATTCATGACATTCATGATTTCTCCCCACGTGTGTTCTCTGATTTTGAGTAAGGGATGACTTTTCACTGAAGGATTTCTCCATTCATGACATCTGTAAGGTCTCTCCCCTGTGTGAATTCTTTGATTTCTAATGAGGTCTGAATTCTTATAGAAGGTCTTCCCACATCCGTGACATTCATAGGGTTTTCCCTGTGTGTGTTCTCTGATGTCTTGTGTGGGCTGACTTCTGGGTGAAGGTTTTTCCACATTCATGACATTCATAAGGTTTTTCCCCTGGATGTGTTCTCTGTTGTAAATGAAGGGCTAATTTTTCACTGAAAAAGGTTCCACATTCATTATATTCAATAATATTGCTAATTGAGTGGGTTCTCTGAATTAGAGTGGGATTTAAATTCTGGCTGAATGGGTAAACATTCTGATGTTCAAAGAGAATGGATTCCTCAAAGATACTTTCTCCACATTCATTACATTCATAGTGGTTCTCTCTTGGATGTGTTTGCTGATGAGTAATAAAAAATGACATATAACAGGTTTTCCCATGTTCAGTATATTTGCATGTTTTCTGTCCTGTGTAAGCTCTCTTATGTACAAGGAAGAGTGAATTCTCAGGGAAAGCTTTCCCACATTCATTGTATTCAAAAGGTTGCTCCCAATTTTTAATCTTCTGATGCCAAATGAGGTCTTCATTCAGCCAGAAGCTGTTCCCATTGTTATTATATTCAGAAGGTTCCTCTTCAAAATGAATTATTTCATGCTTTCATCACAGAAACATTTTCCACCTTTGTTAAACTCATTGAACTTCATTCTTGAATAGTTTCTACTGGTATTAATTAATTCTGAAATACAGAGTGACAAGAAAGATTAGTTGACAAGGATATGTAAGAGAACTGAAGTTAGCATTATGTTTGAAGGCTCAGTTTAAGCCATTATCTCCTCACACCTACATTATGACAACAATGTGCACACTTCCAGTCTTATACCTCTTTTCAACTCAACACAGCAGCAACAAATCAAATTTCTAAAAGTTCTAATTCATAGATAGTCCTATAATCCAGGCTCCAATTGTGTGTGTTGTTGTTGTTTTTGAGACAGAGTCTTCCTCTGTCACCCAGGCTGGAGTGTAGTGGCATGATCTCAGCTCTCTGCAATCTCCGCTTCCTGGGTTCAAGCGATTCTCATGCCTCAACCTCCCAAGTAGCTGGGACTACAGGCATGCACCACCATGCTCAGCTAGTTTTTATGTTTTTAGTAGAGACAGGATTTTGCAATGTTAACCAGGCTGGTCTCAAACTCCTGGCCTCAAGCAATTCACCCACATTGGCCTTCAAAAGGGCTAGGATTACAGACATGAGCCACTGCATCTGGCTTAATTGTTTTTCTAGCTCTGATTCACTAGGAATAAAAGTATGCAACAATAAGAGTGAAATCAATGAGTGAACAAGTCATCGTTGCCACAGGATCAGGCTTATGGTTCTATTCCGGCTATGGGATTTGCCCTTTATTCCATCAACTGTACTATATTATACTGAGTCCAATGTTCCAAGAACAAACACTTTTTTTTTAACAAGGTATCACTGAAGTAGACATATCTTTACGTTTAGATTCAGATTAGAACCAAGCCATTCTTTTACAAGTCTATAATGAATGTAATTCACTCTAGGTAAGTTCATCTGTTTGTCCCTCATAAATTGCTCATTCCCATCATAATTTTATACTGATTTTTTTTTCATTGTCAGCTTACAGTCTAACAATGTTTTTAAAAAGTTGCCTTCCCAAATTTTCCCACCACTTCCAGATTCATTTACTAAAAAACATGAAAGGACCATTTGTATAATTCATTTAAGCACAAACATCAGCTGGATTGCTATAACAATATTCTTTGTTAAACACTGAATTTTAAAATATTTCATGCAGTTCTGTTTTCGTTCACCAACTATGTTCCTGGCAGCCATTACTTTACCTATGATTTTCTCTCAGTGCCCTACATAGATATTTATATCATGGTACCTAATAAATAATGTTTATCAGAATTACCCAGAGAGCATTTTCAAACACAAATTTTTTCAGGCTTCACGCTGAAATCATTACTGTTTGAATGTTTAATTTTAATTTTAAATGCTTTTTATATTTTAGAGACAGAATCTTGCTCTGTCACCCAGGCTGCAGTGCAATGGCACAAACACAGCTCACTGCAGCCTCTTCCTGGGTTAAAGCAAGACTCTCAGCTCAGCTCCCCAGTAGCTGAGATCACAAAAATCAGCCAGGCATGGGACCGCATGTGTGTGCCACCATGCCTGGCTAATTTTTTAAGTTTTGATAGAGATAGGGTCTCCCCGTGTTGACCAAGCTGGTCTCAAATTCCTGGGCTCAAGAGATTCTCCCACCTCAGCCTCCCAAATTGCTGGGATTACAGGCATGAACCACTGGGCCCAGGCTATTTTAAAATAATTCTGTAAAAAAATGTGAATATGGTAGAATGCTAACGAATGAGCAACTCAAAAAAGCATGTATAGAAAAATATATTTAATATTTTATAGAAGGAGGGATGCTCTTGAATGGGAAGACCACACGAGGGAGCTTTCCAGGGGTGCTGAAAAACACTCTATATATTCATCTCAATGATGGATACATGAGTGTCTCATATATATATATACACACATATATATTTAATTTTATTAAGCTGTGACTTAACTATATAATTTATATCACAATTAAAAAAAAAGATGTGTGTATGGAAGTGATACTGGGAGATGCTGGGTGATTAAGAGCCACTGGATATTTGGGTCATGTCAACATGTTACTTCCAAAGGTCTAGAGCCTCTAAAATATGATTCCTGAAGAACATTTCAATGGTCTTATTATCTGAACTTACCCTTTGTGATCTGCCTACCTTTAAATTCCATCTGGCACTAACTCACCCAGATGACTCTGGCTTCGAAATTTTTCCTCTAATATCCATGGCTCCTTGCCTGTCTCCAATTTGAGGATCACTTCTGGTTTAGGAATGCAATACCCTGTGAATGATGCAATACCCTGTGAATGAGAATTATATTACTTCTGACAAACTGGGTGGGTTTCCCTGAAGGAGGAAGACAGTATACCCCAAACAGTACACACACACACACACACACACACACACCTCATTTAATCCTGTCGTGGGGCAGAGGAAAATATTCTTTCTGGTATCCAAAAGGGATACATTGTCTCTGACCTCTAAATTTCAAAGCTAAATGTTATATTTTACAAAATTTCCACAAGTTTCTATCGATAAGAAAGGACATGCATTCTGGCCTTCTACATGGGAAACAATTCCTACCTACCTACTGAGACAAGGTGGCTGTAGTTCTCCAGCATCACATTCCTCTACAGGGTCCTCTGAGCAGGGTCCAGATGATGCCACTCCTCTTGAGTGAAGCCCATAGTCACATCCCTAAATGACACTGATCCCTGGAAAATCACAGTTCTGCTCAGTCTGATGCAATAAGAATCAGCTGATGTGAGACAAGATGTTTAGGGACTAATTCTTACAATTTTTGTTGTTGAAAATTAAATAGAAAATGTTATAAAGGGCCTCCATGATATATGTTGTTTTATGTTACACATTGTGGGTAAAAGATCATAGCAGAAATATCCTGTTGGTGAATTAATTACTTAATGCAAAAGTATTTAGTACCTACATGTGCCTAGAGCTTTCTTAGTTTCTGAGTATTCCAATTTGAATACAAGAGTCTTCCTTACAAGAGAGGAACATACCTTCTCATAAGGAAACATACATACAGAGACATATCTACCACAGGACTTAAAGGACTCACACCACAGATATGTGCAACACAGATGGATCATAAAAGTGTTCTGGGCAAATTCATGTGAGAGTGTGTCAACATATTAGACTTCACTGAAGTGATAAAACTTTAGTTCCTTTGCAAACATATAACAAAAACTTAAGAAAACGTTAAAAACCTGAAAAAATATGTGGCAAGTCAATGGAATTGCTTAACAGGATAACAGCATGTCTTACCTGTGATGAGATAAAGGTTGCAGAGGCATGGGAGATGAGGGAGACTAGGAAATACTTTTGGCTTTAATCCTGTTAGTGTTCTCCAAATATTTATCACTCTTCTAATCCATAAAAATGTTTAGCAACTACTAGTTTAGTTTATATTTATAAAGTAAATAAAATACAATCTACATATAAGGAAAGCTTAATTTTGTTTTCATTTTTTAGATAAAAATATAAATAGGCATGCTGATAGTTTCCTCCCATGCCCTAAAGGACTGGCAGTATATGACATAAACACAATAATCTTGCACACTTCCTTTAGGCCATAGGCTCCCTGCTCTCCCAACTCCAAGTCATTGATGCAAATAGCAGAAGTTGATGGTGAACTGAAAATACACACCTGAATCCCTGTAACATAATTCAGTTTTCACTCAGGAAGCAATGCCACCAAAGTACAGTGGAGACTGTGCTGGAGAGCAGCGTTAGAGGTAGATTGTCTATATTACGGGGCAGCAGTGGAGATGTGGAAGAGGGAATTCACTAAGCAAAGGAAGAGAAGAAGGGCTACTTCCAGAGGGCCTGTATAGGGGCCTTAGAAGGTCTGGAAATTAGAACCAGGAGGTTGGGTGTTGGGGGAGGTGAGAGTACAGAGTGACAATAAGACACATGCAGGCCATGCAGCTCTTGGAATGTCTTCATGTCATGGAAGTGAGCATGTCCAGTGGAAGGTTACAGAGATGATTCTGAAGCTTGGGAGAGACCTAAGGTCTGGAGTTCAAGACCAGCCTGGCCAACATGGTGAAACCCCGTCTCTACTAAAAATACAAAAAATAGCCATGCATGGCAGTGGATGCCTGTAATCCCAGCTACTCAGGAGGCTGAGGCAGGAGAACCTCTTGAATCCGGGAGGTGGAGGTTGCAGTGAGCCAAGATCGTACCACTGAACTCCAGCCTGGGTAACAGGGTGAGACTCCATCTCAAAAATATATATATGTCAGAGAAGAAAAAAACAGCGTTCCAAAATCAATGTTAATATTTGCCTAACTGTGAAAACAAAAAAAATACTCTGTGAACACTACTAGAAAATAAAATAGGCCAGGTGTGGTGGCTCACACCTGTAATCCCAGCCCTTTGGTAGGCCAAGGCGGGAGGCTCACGAGGTTAGGAGTTCAAGACCAGCCTGGTCAACATGGTGAAACCCCTTCTTTACTAAAAATACAAAAATTAGCCAGGCGTGCTGGCAGGTACCTGTAATCCCAGCTACTCAGGAGGCTAAGACAGGAGAATCACTTGAAAATCCAGGAGGCAGATGTTGCAGTGAGCCAAGATCGCACCACTGTACTCCAGCCTGGGCAAAAAGAGTGAAACTCTGTCAAAAAAAAAAGAAAAAAGAAAAAGAAAAAGAAAGAAAGAAAGAATACAAAATGGATGTAAAATGCAGAATTGTACAAATCTAAATGTATAAAATTGCACAAATTATCATAAAATAAAAACTTGAAGAAGAGTTAATAATAGTTTGTAAAATATAAATAAATCTAGGAGATAAATTCCATTCTACAATGAATTCTAGAAGAAAAAAAAGCTAAAGAGAGACTTTTGGGGGGGGGAATGAGGGCAATCAAGAGCACTGTGTACGTTATAGCCCATTTATGCCTGAGGTTACAATTTTATTAATTTTTGCAATCAGACCTTGAAATGACCTTAAGCAGTAAGATATAAATAACCCCCACAGGCTTAGCGTTCCAATAATGGAACACTAGGTATAAATGGGTTAGGGAATTCAGAATGGCAAGCACAAACCCAGGACAGGAGAAGCTTGGCAAAGACCTGAAAAGACCCTAAGGTTTTACTTCTGGCTAATCTCTATGCTCGGTTCAAGCAAGTAGTGAAGACTAAGATGAAGTTCTTTTTATTATTATTATTATTATTATTATTATACTTTAAGTTTAGGGAACATGTGCACAATGTGCAGATTAGTTACATATGTATACATGTGCCATGCTGGTGCACTGCACCCACTAACTCATCATCTAGCATTAGGTATATCTCCCAATGCTATCCCTCAACCCTCCCCCCAACCCACAACAGGCCCCAGAGTGTGATGTTCCCCTTCCTGTGTCCATGTGTTCTCATTGTTCAATTCCCACCTATGAGTGAGAATATGCGGTGTTTGGTTTTTTGTTCTTGCGATAGTTTACTGAGAATGATGATTTCCAATTTCATCCATGTCCCTACAAAGGACATGAACTCATTATTTTTTATGGCTGCATAGTATTCCATGGTGTATATGGGCCACATTTTCTTAATGCAGTCTATCATTGTTGGACATTTGGGTTGGTTCCAAGTCTTTGCTATTGTGAATAATGCCGCAATAAACATACGTGTGCATGTGTCTTTATAGCAGCATGATTTATAATCCTTTTGGTATATACCCAGTAATGGGATGGCTGGGTCAAATGGTATTTCTAGTTGTAGATCCCTGAGGAATTGCCACACTGACTTCCACAATGGTTGAACTAGTTTACAGTCCCACCAACAATATAAAAGTGTTCCTATTTCTCCACATCCTCTCCAGCACCTGTCGTTTCCTGACTTTTTAATGATTGCCATTCTAACTGGTGTGAGATGGTAACTCACTGTGGTTTTGATTTGCATTTCTCTGATGGCCACTGATGGTGAGCATTTTTTCATGTGTTTTTTGGCTGCATAAATGTCTTCTTTTGAGAAGTGTCTGTTCATGTCCTTCACCCACATTTTGATAGGGTTGTTTGTTTTTTTTCTTGTAAATTTGTTTGAGTTCATTGTAGAATCTGGATATTAACCCTTTGTCAGATAACTAGGTTGCGAAAATTTTCTCCCATTTTGCAGGTTGCCTGTTCACTCTGATGGTAGTTTCTTTTGCTGTGCAGAAACTCTTTAGTTTAATTAGATCCCATTTGTCAATTTTGGCTTTTGTTGCCATTGCTTTTGGTGTTTTAGACATGAAGTCCTTGCCCATGCCTATGTCCTGAATGGTAATGCCTAGGTTTTCTTCTAGGGTTTTTATGGTTTTAGGTCTAACGTTTAAGTCTTTAATCCATCTTGAATTGATTTTTGTATAAGGTGTAAGGAAGGGATCCAGTTTCAGCTTACTACATACGGCTAGCCAGTTTTCCCAGCACCATTTATTAAATAGGGAATCCTTTCCCCATTGCTTATTTTTCTCAGGTTTTTCAAAGATCAGATAGTTGTAGATATGCAGCGATATTCCTGAGAGCTCTGTTCTGTTCCGTTGATCTATATCTCTGTTTTGGTACCAGTACCATGCTGTTTTGGTTACTGTAGCCTTGTAGTATAGTTTGAAGTCAGGTAGTGTGATGCCTCCAGCTTTGTTCTTTTGGCTTAGGATTGACTTGGCGATGCGGGCTCTTTTTTGGTTCCATATGAACTTTAAAGTAGTTTTTCCAATTCTGTGAAGAAAGTCATTGGTAGCTTGATGGGGATGGCATTGAATCTGTAAATTACCTTGGGCAGTATGGCCATTTTCATGATATTGATTCTTCCTACCCATGAGCATGGAATGTTCTTCCATTTGTTTGTATCCTGTTTTATTTCACTGAGCAGTGGTTTGTAGTTCTCCTTGAAGAGGTCCTTCACATCCCTTGTAAGTTGGATTCCTAGGTATTTTGTTCTCTTTGAAGCAATTGTGAATGGGAGTTCACTCATGATTTGGCTCTCTGTTTGTCTGTTGTTGATGTATAAGAATGCTTGTGATTTTTGTACATTGATTTTGTATCCTGAGACTTTGCTGAAGTTGCTTATCAGCTTAAGATTTTGGGCTGCGACGATCGGGTTTTCTGGATATACAATCATGTCATCTGCAAACAGGGACAATTTGACTTCCTCTTTTCCTAATTGAATACACTTTATTTCCTTCTCCTGCCTAATTGCCCTGGCCAGAACTTCCAACACTATGTTGAATAGGAGTGGTGAGAGAGGGCATCCTTGTCTTGTGCTGATTTTCAAAGGGAATGCTTCCAGTTTTTGCCCATTCAGTATGATATTGGCTGTGGGTTTGTCATAGATAGCTCTTATTATTTTGAGATATGTTCCATCAATACCTAATTTATTGAGAGTTTTTAGCATGAAGCATTGTTGAATTTCGTCAAAGGCCTTTTCTGCATCTATTGAGATAATCATGTGGTTTTTGTCTTTGGTTCTGTTTATATGCTGGATTACATTTATTGATTTGCATATATTGAACCAGCCTTGCATCCCAGGGATGAAGCCCACTTGATCATGGTGGATAAGCTTTTTGATGTGCTGCTGGATTCGTTTTGCCAGTATTTTATTGAGGATTTTTGCATCAATGTTCATCAAGGATATTGGTCTAAAATTCTCTTTTTTGGTTGTGTCTCTGCCCGGCTTTGGTATCAGGATGATGCTGGCCTCATAAAGTGAGTTAGGGAGGATTCCCTCTTTTTCTATTGATTGGAATAGTTTCAGAAGGAATGGTAACAGTTCTTCCTTGTACCCCTGGTAGAATTCAGCTGTGAGTCCACCTGGTCCTGGACTCTTTTTGGTTGGTAAGGTATTAATTATTGCCGCAATTTCAGCTCGTTATTGGCCTATTCAGAGATTCAACTTCTTCCTGGTTTAGTCTTGGGAGGGTGTATGTGTAGAGGAATTTATCCATTTCTTCTAGATTTTCTAGTTTATTTGCGTAGAGGTGTTTGTAGTATTCTCTGATGGTAGTTTGTATTTCTGTGGGATTGGTGGTGATATCCCCTTTATCATTTTTTATTGCATCTATTTGATTCTTCTCTCTTTTTTTCTTTATTAGTCTTGCTAGCGGTCTATCAATTTTGTTGATCCTTTCAAAAAACCAGTTCCTGGATTCATTAATTTTTTGAAGGGTTTTTTGTGTCTCTATTTCCTTCAGTTCTGCTCTGATTTTAGTTATTTCTTGCCTTCTGCTAGCTTTTGAATGTGTTTGCTCTTGCTTTCCTAGTTCTTTTAATTGTGATGTTAGGGTGTCAATTTTGGATCTTTCCTGCTTTCTCTTGTGGGCATGTAGTGCTATAAATTTCCCTCTACACACTGCTTTGAATGCATCCCAGAGATTCTGGTATGTTGTGTCTTTGTTCTCATTGGTTTCAAAGAACATCTTTCTTTCTGCCTTCATTTTGTTATGTACCCAGTAATCATTCAGGGGCAGGTTGTTCAGTTTCCATGTAGTTGAGCGGTTTTGAGTGGGATTCTTAACCCTGAGTTCTAGTTTGATTGCACTGTGGTCTGAGAGATAGTCTGTTATAATTTCTGTTCTTTTACGCTTGCTGAGGAGAGCTTTACTTCCAAGTATGTGGTCAATTTTGGAATAGGTGTGGTGTGGTGCTGAAAAAAATGTATATTCTGTTGATTTGGGGTGGAGAGTTCTGTAGATGTGTATTAGGTCCACTTGGTGCAGAGCTGAGTTCAATTCCTGGGTATCCTTGTTGACTTTCTGTCTCGTTGATCTGTCTAATGTTGACAGTGGGGTGTTAAAGTCTCCCATTATTAATGTTTGGGAGTCTAAGTCTCTTTGTAGGTCAATCAGGACTTGCTTTATGAATCTGGGTGCTCCTGTATTGGGTGCATATATATTTAGGATAGTTAGCTCTTCTTGTTGAATTGATCCCTTTACCATTATGTAATGGCCTTCTTTGTCTCTTTTGATCTTTGTTGGTTTAAAGTCTGTTTGATCCGAGACTAGGATTGCAACCCGTCTTTTTTTGCTTTTCATTTGCTTGGTAGATCTTCCTCCATCCTTTTATTTTGAGCCTATGTGTGTCTCTGCATGTGAGATGGGTTTCCTGAATACAGCACACTGATGGGTCTTGACTCTTTATCCAATTTGCCAGTCTGTGTCTTTTAATTGGAGCATTTAGTCCATTTACATTTAAAGTTAATATTGTTATGTGTGAATTTGATCCTGTCATTATGATGTTAGCTGGTTATTTTGCTCGTTAGTTGATGCAGTTTCTTCTTAGTCTCAATGGTCTTTACATTTTGGCATGATTTTGCAGTGGCTGGTACCGGTTGTTCCTTTCCATGTTTAGCACTTCCTTCAGGAGCTCTTTTAGGGCAGGCCTGGTGGTGACAAAATCTCTGAGCATTTGCTTGTCTGTAAAGTATTTTATTTCTCCTTCACTTATGAAGTTTAGTTTGGCTGGATATGAAATTCTGGGTTGAAAATTATTTTCTTTAAGAATGTTGAATATTGGCCCCCACTCTCTTCTAGCTTGTAGGGTTTCTGCCGAGAGATCCGCTGTTAGTCTGATGGGCTTCCCTTTGAGGGTAACCTGACCTTTCTCTCTGGCTGCCCTTAACATTTTTTCCTTCATTTCAACTTTGGTGAATCTGACAATTATGTGTCTTGGAGTTGCTCTTCTCGAGGAGTATCTTTGTGGCGTTCTCTGTATTTCCTGAATCTGAATGTTGGCCTGCCTTGCTAGATTGGGGAAGTTCTCCTGGATAATATCCTGCAGAGTGTTTTCCAACTTGGTTCCATTCTCCCCATCACTTTCAGGTACACCAGTCAGACGTAGATTTGGTCTTTTCACATAGTCCCATATTTCTTGGAGGCTTTGCTCATTTCTTTTTATTCTTTTTTCTCTAAACTTCCCTTCTCGCTTCATTTCATTCATTTCATCTTCCATTGCTGATACGCTTTCTTCCAGTTGATCGCATCGGCTCCTGAGGCTTCTGCATTCTTCACGTAGTTCTCCAGGCTTGGTTTCCAGCTCCATCAGCTCCTTTAAGCACTTCTCTGTATTGGTTATTCTAGTTATACATTCTTCTTAATTTTTTAAAAGTTTTCAACTTCTTTGCCTTTGGTTTGAATGTCCTCCCATAGCTTGGAGTAATTTGATCGTGTGAAGCCTTCTTCTCTCAGCTCGTCAAAGTCATTCTCCGTCCAGCTTTGTTCCATTGCTGGTGAGGAACTGCATTCCTTTGGAGGAGGAGAGGCGCTCTGCTTTTTAGAGTTTCCAGTTTTTCTGCTCTGTTTTTTCCCCATCTTTGTGGTTTTATCTACTTTTGGTCTTTGATGATGGTGATGTACAGATGGGTTTTTGGTGTGGATGTCCTTTCTGTTTGTTAGTTTTTCTTCTAACAGACAGGACCCTCATCTGCAGGTCTGTTGGAGTACCTGGCCGTGTGAGGTGTCAGTCTGCCCCTGCTGGGGGGTGCCTCCCAGTTAGGCTGCTCAGGGGTCAGGGACCCACTTGAGGAGGCAGTCTGCCCGTTCTCAGATCTCCAGCTGCATGCTGGGAGAACCACTGCTCTCTTCAAAGCTGTCAGACAGGGACATTTAAGTCTGCAGATGTTACTGCTGTCTTTTTGTCTGTGCCCTGCCCCAGAGGTGAAGCCTACAGAGGCAGGCAGGCCTCCTTGAGCTGTGGTGGGCTCCACCCAGTTAGAGCTTCCCAGCTGCTTTGTTTACCTAAGCAAGCCTGGGAAATGGTGGGCACCCCTCCCCCAGCCTCGCTGCCACCTTGCAGTTTGATCTCAGACCGCTGTGCTAGCAATCAGTGAGACTCCGTGGGCATAGGACCCTCCGAGCCAGGCGTGGGATACAGTCTCCTGGTGCTCAGTGTTTTAAGCCCGTCGGAAAAGCGCAGTATTCGGTTGGGAGTGACCCGATTTTCCAGGTGCCATCTGCCACCCCTTTCTTTGACTAGGAAAGGGAACTCCCTGACCCCTTGTGCTTCCCAAGTGAGGCAATGCCTCGCCCTGCTTCGGCTCACGCACGGTGTATGCACCCACTGACCTGAGCCCACTGTCTGGCACTCCCTAGTGAGATGAACCCGGTACCTCAGATGGAAATGCAGAAATCACCCATCTTCTGCCTTGCTCACACTGGGAGCTGTAGACCGGAGCTGTTCCTATTCAGCCATCTTGGCTCCTCCCCTCAGTCCAGTTGACTAAGATGAAGTTCTAAATGGACCAGGCTAAGTGCTTAAAAAGTGCCCCAGGACAGAGCCAATTTGCAAATAATAAGAAAGGGGTTTTGTTGTATTTTTGTTTTAGTTTTTTGTTTTTTCTTTTTCTTTTCCTTTTTCTTTTTTGTTTGGTGGTGGTTGTTTGAAACCTGGCCTTCCAGGAAAAATGCCTGTTAAAACACTACCTAAACACAAGCTAAAGAGAGAGAATTCAGTGACCACACATAAGACTGCAAAAAAAAGTTTGAAAAATTCATAAAAACAAATGGATACTGAAGACTTCAGTAATTAAGAACAGCAAAGTCTAGAGAAGAATGAGAAAGTGATTTCTAAAGTTACTAAATTATAATATTAAAATACCCAGTTTCAACAGGAACAAGAAAATCACAAAGCATACAAAGAAACTGGAAGTGTTGTCCAATCAAAGGAAAAATAGAAATTGACAGATATATCCCAGAGGCAAACCAAACATAACACTTCTTAAACAAAGACTTTAAATCAACTGTCTTAAATATGCTCAAAAGCTAAAAGAAAACATACGAGCACCAGAGAGAACCATGAAACAACTTATAAACCAAATATCAATAAAGAGATTGAAATTATAAAAAAGCACCAAATAGACATTCTAAAACTAAAAAGTACCATAATTGAAATAATGAATTCACCAGAGGAGTTCAACAGCAGATTTGGGAATGCCAAAAATAATCTGTGAATTTAAGTATAAGACTATTGAAATTATCAAGTTTGAGAATCAGAGCAAAAAAGAATTAAGAAAAATAAATGGAACCCAAAGGACCTATGGGACACCATCAAGCTGACCAGCAAAAACATTATGGGAAATGTAGAAGAATACAAGAGAGACAAGGAAATAGAGTATTTGCCGAAAAGCCAAAATTAAACTCCCTAAATTTGGTGAAAGACACAAATCTACACATCCAGGAAGCACAATAAACTCAAAATAAACTCAAATACATCCACCAAGTCATGTTATAAGCAAACAGTCAGAAAAAAAAAATGACAGAGAATCAAATGCAAAGGAGAAGCAATTTGTCATATACAAAAGAACCTCAAAAAGATCATCAGCAGAAACCTTGGAGGTTAGAAGGCACTGGATTGATATATTCAAAGTGCTGAAAGAAAAAGCTGTCAGCTGAGAATTCTATGCATGGGAAACATGCCTGTCAATAATGAGGACATTCCCAGATGAACACAAGCTAAGGGAGTATGTTTTTACTAGATCTACTCTGCAAGGAATGCTAAAGGGAATCCTTTGGGTTGAAATGTGATTCACAACAAACAAGGGAACTGTTAAAAGATTATAAGCCAAGTTTTCATCTGGATTTGGTCTTAAAAGAGAAATTAGGATTAAATAAATAAGAAAAATGGCAGAGATTGGCAGAGTGGACAAATTTCTTCAAATAATGCATACAAAAATGTAATTAGAATGAATAAGATCGAGTATTTGATAGTACAACAGGGTGACTATAGTCAACAATTTTTTTTATTATACTTTAAGTTCTGGGGTACACTTGCAGAACATGCAGGTTTGTTACATAGGTATACATGTGCCATGGTGGTTTGCTGCACCCATCAACCCATCATCTACATAAGGTATTTCTGCTAATGTTATCTCTCCCCTACCCCACCACCCTCCAACAGGCCCTGGTGTGAGATGTTCCCTTCCCTGTGTCCATGTGTTCTCACTGTCCCACTTATGAGTGAGAACATGCAATGTTTGGTTTTCTGTTCTTGTGTTAGTTTGCTGAGAATGATGGTTTCCACCATCATCCATGTCCCAGCAAAGGACATGAACTCATCCTTTTTTATGGCTGCATAGTATTCCATGGTGTATATGTACCACATTTTCCTTATCCAGTCTATCATTGATGGGCATTTAGGTTCATTCCAAGTCTTTGCTATTGTGAATAGTGCCACAAAAAACATACATATGCAAGTGTCCTTATAGTAGAATGATTTATAATCCTTTGGGTATATTCCTAGTAATGGGATTGCTGGGTCAAATGGTATTTCTGGTTCTAGATTCTTGAGGAATCACCACACTGTCTTCCACAATGGTTGAACCAATTTACACTCCCGCCAACAGTATAAAATCGTTCTTATTTCTCCACATCCTCTCCAGCATCTGTTGTTTCCTGACTTTTTAATGCTCGCCATTCTAAATGGTGGGAGGTGGTATCTCATTGTGGTTTTGATTTGCATTTCTCTAATGACCAGCGATGATGAGCTTTTTTTCGTATGTTTGTTGGCCACATAAATGTCTTCTTTTGAGAAGCGTCTGTTCATATCCTTCACCCACTTTTTGATGGGGTTGTTTTTTTCTTGTAAATTTGTTTAAGTTCTTTGTAGATTCTGGATATTAAACCTATGTCAGATGGATAGATTGCAAAAATTTTATCTCATTCTGTAGGTTACCTGTTCACTCTGATGATAGTTTCTTTTGCTGTGCAGAAGCTCTTTAGTTTAATTAGATCCCATTTGTCAATTTTGGCTCTTGTTGCCATTGCTTTTGGTGTTTTAGTCATGAAGTCTTTGCCCACGCCTATGTCCTCAATGGTATTGTCTAGGTTTTCTTCTAGGGTTTTTATGGTTTTAGGTCTTACATTTAAGTCTTTAATCCATCTTGAATTAATTTTTGTATACGGTGTAAGGAGAGGGTCCAGTTTCAGTTTTCTGCATATGGCTAGCCAGTTTTCCCAACACCATTTATTAAATAGGGAATCAATTTCCCATTGCTTGTTTTTGTCAGGTCTGCCAAAGATCAGATGGTTGTAGACGTGTGGTGTTATTTCTGAGGCCTCTGTTCTATTCCATTGATCTATATATCTGTTTTGGTACCAGTACTATGCTGTTTTGGTTACTGTAGCATTGTAGTATAGTTTGAAGTCAGGTAGTGTGATGCCTCCAGCTTTGTTCTTTTTGCTTAGAATTGTCTTGGCTATCTGGGCTCTTTTTTGGTTCCATATGAAATTTAAAGTAGTTTTTTCTAATTCTGTGAAGGATGTTAATGGTAACTTGATGGGGATAGCATTGAATCTATAAATTACTTTGCAGTATGCCCATTTTCATGATACTGATTCTTCCTATCCATAAGCATGGAATGTTTTTCCATTTGTGTGTGTCCTCTCTTATTTCCTTGAGCAGTGTTTTGTAGTTCTCCTTGAAGAGGTCCTTCACATCCTGTGTAAGCTGTATTTCAAGGTATTTAATTTTGTTTGTAGAAATTGTGAATGGGAGTTCACTCATGATTTGGCTCTCTGTTTGTCTATTATTGGTGTATAGGAATGGTTGTGATTTTTGCACAATGATTTTGTATCCTGAGACTTTTCTGAAGTTGCTTATCAGCTTTAGGAGATTTTGGGCTGATACGATGGAGTTTTCTATATATACAATCATGTCATCTGCAAACAGAGACAATTTGACTTCCTCTTTTCCTATCTGAACACCCTTTATTTCTTTCTGTTGCCTGAATGCCCTGGCCAGAACTTCCAATATCATGTTGAATAGGAGTGGTAAGAGAGGGCATCCTTGTCTTGTGCTGATTTTCAAAGGGAATGCTTCCAGTTTTTGCCCATTCAGTATATTGGCTGTGAGTTTGTCATAAATAGCTCTTATTATTTTGAGATACATTCCATCAATACCTAGTTTTTTTGAGAGTTTTTAGCATGAAGCGGTGTTTAATTTTGTCAAAGGCCTTTTCTGCACCTATTGAGATATTCATGTGGTTTTTTTCATTGGTTCTGTGTATGTGATGGATTATGTTTATTGATTTGCCTATATTGAACCAGCCTTGCATCCCAGGGATGAAGCCAACTTGATTGTGGTGGATAAGCTTTTTGATGTGCTGCTGGATTTGGTTTGACAGTATTTTATTGAGGATTTTTGCATAGATGTTCTTCAGGGATATTGGCCTGAAATTTTCTTTTTTTGTTGTGTCCCTGCAAGGTTTTGGTATCAGGACGATGCTGGCCTCATAAAATGTGTTAGAGAGGATTCCCTCTTTTTCTATTACTTGGAATAGTTTCAGAGGGAATGGTATCAGCTCCTCTTTGTACCTCTGGTAGTATCTGGCTGTGAATCCGTCTGGTCCTAGACCTTTTTTGGTTGGTAGGCTATTACTGCCTCAATTTCAGAATTTGTTATTGGTCTATTCAGGGATTTGACTTCTTCCTGCTTTAGACTTGGGAGGGTGTATGTGTCCAAGAATCTATCCATTTCTTCTAGATTTTCTAGTTTATTTGCATAGAGGTGTTTATAGTATTATCTGATGGTAGTTTGTATTTCTGTGGGATCAGTAGTGATAGCCCCTTTATCATTTTTTATTGCATCTATTTGATTCTTCTCTCTTTTCTTCTTTATTCTTCTGGCTATTCTATTTTGTTGATCTTTTCAAAAAACCAGCTCCTGGATTCATTGATTTTTTGAAGGGTTTTTCGTATCTCTATCTCCATCAGTTCTGCTCTGATCTTAGTTATTTCCTGTCTTCTGCTAGCTTTCGAATTTGTTTGCTCTTGCTTCTCTAGTTCTTTTAATTATGATGTTAGGGTGTCTATTTTACGTCTTTCCTGCTTTCTGTTGTGGGCATTTAGTGCTAAAAATTTCCCTCTAGACGCTACTTTAAATGTGTCCCAGAGATTCTGGTACGTTGTGTCTTTGTTCTCATTGGTTTCAAATAACTTCTTTATTTCTGCCTTAATTTCATTATTTACCCAGCAGTCATTCAGGAGCAGGTAGTTCAGTTTTCATGTAATTGTGCAGTTTTGAGTGAGATTCTTAATCCTGATTTCTAATTTGATTGCACTGTGTTCTGAGAGACTGTTAAGATTTCCATTCTTTTGCATTTGCTGAGGAGTGTTTTACTTCCAATTATGTGGTCAATTTTAGAATAAATATGTTGTGGTGCTGAGAATAATATATATTCTGTTGATTTGGGTGGGAGAGTTCTGTAGATGTGTCTTAGGTCTGCTTGGTCCAGAGCTGAGTTAACATTCTGAATATCCTTGTTAATTTTCTGTCTTGTTGAACTGTCTAATATTGAGACTGGGCTGTTAAAGTCTCCCACTATTATTGTGTGGGAGTCTAAGTGTCTTTGTAGGTCTCTAAGAACTTGCTTTATGAATCTGGGTGCTCCTGTATTGAGTGCATATATATTTAGGATAGTTAGCTCTTCTTGTTGCATTGATCCCTTTACCATTATGTAATGCCCTTCTTTGTCTCTTTTGATCTTCATTGTTTTAAAGCCTGTTTTATCAGAGACTAAGATTGTAACCTCTGTTTTTTTTGCTTTCCATTTGCTTGGTAAATATTCCTCCATCCCTTTATTTTGATGTGTGTCTTTGCACATGAGATGGGTCTCCTGAATACAGCACACTGATGGGTGTTGACTCTTTATCCAATTTGCCAGTCTGTGTCTTTTAATTGGGGCATTTAGCCCATTTACATTTAAGGTTAATATTGTTATATGTGAATTTGATCCTGTCATTATGATGCTAGCTGGTTATTTTGCCCATTAGTAGATGCAGGTTTTTCATAGTGTCAATGGTCTTTACAATTTGGTATGTTGTTGCAGTGGCTGGTACTGGTTGTTCCTTTTCACGGTTAGTGCTTCCTTCAGGAACTCTTGTAAGGCAGGCCTGGTGGTGACAAAATCTCTCAGAATTTGCTTGTCTGTAAAGGATTTTATTTCTCCTTCGCTTATGAAGCTTAGTTTGGCTGGATATGAAATTCTGGGTTGAAAATTCTTTTAAGAATGTTGAATATTGGCACCCACTCTTTTCTGGCTTGTAGGGTTTCTGCAGGGAGATCTGCTGTTAGTCTGATGGGCTTCCCTTTGTGGGTGACCTGACCTTTCTCTCTTGCTGCCCTTAAAATTTTTTCCTTCATTTCAACCTTGCTGAATCTGATGATTATGTGTCTTGGGGTTGCTCTCTTCAAGGAGTATCTTTGTGGTATTCTCTGTATTTCCTGAATTTGAATGTTGACCTCTCTTGCTAGGTTGGGAAAGTTCTCCTGGATAATATCCTGAAGGGTGTTTTCCAACTTGGTTCAATTCTCCCCGTCACTTTCAGGTACACCAATCAAACATAGATTTGGTCTTTTCACATAGTTCCATATTTCTTGGAAGCTTTGTTCATTCCTTTTTGTTCTTTTTTCTGTAATCTTGTCTTCTCACTTTATTTCATTAATCTGATCTTCAATCTCTTATATCCTTTCTTCTGCTTGATTGAGTCAGCTATTGATACTTGTGTATGCTTCATGAAGTTCTCGTGCTGTGTTTTTCAGCTCCATCAGGTGATTTATGTTCTTCTCTAAACTGGTTATTCTAGTTAGCAATACGTCTAATCTTTTTTCAATGTTCTTAGCTTCCTTGCATTGGGATAGAACATGCTCCTTTAGCGTGGAGTAGTTAGTTATTACCTACCTTCTGAAGCCTACTTCTGTCAATTTGTCAAACTCATTCTCCATCCAGTTTTCTTCCCTTGCTGGCAAGGAGTTGTGATCCTTTGGAGGAGAATAGGCATTCTGGTTTTTGGAATTTTCTGCCTTTTGCACTGGTTTCTCCCCATCTTCATGGATTTCCTTACCTTTGGTGTTTGATGTTGGTGACCTTCAGATGGGGTCTCTGAGTGGATGTCCTTTTTGTTGATGTTGATGTTATTCCTTTCTGTTTGTTAGTTTTCCTTCTAACAGTCAGGCCCCTCTGCTGCAAGTCTGCTGGAGTTTGCTGGAGTTCCACTCCAGACCCTCTTTGCCTGGGTATCACCAGCAGAGGCTGCCAAACAGCAAAGATTGCTGCCTGTTCCTTCCTCTGGAAGCTTTGTCCCAGAGGGTCACCTGCCAGAGGCCAGCTGGAGCTCTCCTGTATGAGGTGTCTGTTGGCCCCTACTGGAAGGTGTCTCCCAGTCAGGAGACATGGGGGTCAGTGACCCATTTGAGGAGGCAGTCTGACCTTTAGCAGAGCTTGAACGCTGTGCTGGGAGATCTGCTGCTCTCTTCAGAGCCATCAGGAAGCAACCTTTAAGTCTGCTGAAACTGTGCCCACAGCCGCCCCTTCCCCCAGGTGCTCTATCCCAGGGAGATGGGGCTTTTATCTATAAGCCCCTGACTGGGGATGCTGCCTTTTTTGTCAGAGATGCCCTGCCCAGAGAGGAGGAATCTAGAGAGGCAGTCTCAGCCTTGCTGAGCTGTGGTGTGTTCCACCCAGTTCAATCTTCCAGGCAGCTTTGTTTACACTGTGAGGGTAAAACTGCCTACTCAAGCCTCAGCCATGGCAGATGGCCCTCCTCCCACCAGGTTCGAGTATCCCAGGTTGAGCTCAGACTGCTGGGCTGGCAGTGAGAATTTCAAGCCAGTGGATCTTAGCTTGCTGGGCTCCGTGGGGGTAGGACCTGCCGAGCCAGGCCACTGGCTCCTGGCTTCAGCCCCCTTTCCAGGGGAGTGAATGGTTCTGTCTCACTGGTGTTCCAGGCACCACTGGGGTATGAAAAAAAAGCTCCTGCAGCTAGCTTGGTGTCTGCCCAAACGGCTGCCCAGTTTTGTGCTTGAAACCCAGGCCCTGGTGGCATAGGCACCAGAGAGAATCTCCTGGTCTGCAGGTTGTGAAGAGTGTGTGAAAAGTGCAGTATCTGGGCCAGAGTGCACCATTCCTCATGGCTCAGTCCCTAATGGCTTCCCTTGGCTAGGAGAGGGAGTTCCCAGACCCATTGCACTTCCTGGGTGAGACGACGCCCCATCCTGCTTCGGCTCACCCTCCATGGGCTGCACTGACTGTCCCACTGGTCCCAGTGAGATGACCCAAGTACCTCAGTTGAAAATGCAGAAATCACCCGCATTCTGCGTCAATCTCTCTGGGAGCTGCAGACCAGAGCTGTTCCTATTTGGCCATCTTGACACAAATCCCCAAAATAATTTATTGTACATTTTAAAATAAGAGTATAATTTGATTGTAACACAAAGAAAGGATAAGTGCTGTAGTTGATGGATACCCCACTCACTCTGATGTGATTTTACACATTGTAGGCCTATATCAAAATATCTCATGTATATAAATCACATAAATATATATACTCACTATGTATCCATAAAAATTATAAACAGAAAATAAGGGGAACAAAAGAAAAAGATCTAACCATAAGCTGTCTCCAAGAAACTCATAGTAGATCCAAAGCCAGTAAGCTGAATGCGAAAGGGTGAAGAAAGATATTTATGCAAATAATAACCAAAAGAGTGCTGGGTAGCTACACTAATACTAGAAAAACAAAAAACAACAACAAAAAAAAACAGACTTTAAGTAAAAAACTGTTATAAGAGACAAAGAAGGACATTATACAACTGGAAAAGTGTTAATAAAAAAAATCAATTGCAAACATACGTAGATCAAAGAAAATAGAACCAAACATATAAAGCAAACACTGACAGATTTAAATGAAGAAATGCAGAGTTCGGTAATAATAGTTGGACACTTCATTGCTCTGCTTTCATTAATGGATAGAATATCCAGACAGAAGATCAGTAAGAAAACAGAGTATTTGAATAATGGTATAAACCAAGTAGGCCTAAGAGAAGTATGTGGAATACTCTACCTACCAATAGCAAAATATGCATTATTCTCAAGTGCACAAGAAACATTGTACAGGGAAGCCCACAGATTAGGGCACAAAATAAATCTCAGTAAATTTAAAAAGACTGAAATAATAAAAATATATATATATTTTCTGACCATAATAGGATAAAGCTAGAAATCAGTAATAGAAAAAAATTTTTAACGTGGATATTAAAGTTTAATGATCAAATAAGAAAGCACAAAGGAAATTTAAAAATACTTAGAAACAGGTGAAAAAGTAAAGAGACTGTATCACAACTTATGGGATGCAGCCAAGAATATGCCTATAAGGAGATTTATAGCAATAAATGCCTATTTTCAAAAAGAAAGAAATCAATAACTTTACACTTTCAGCAACTAGCAAAGAAGGATCAAACTAAACCCAAAGCTAGCAGAAGGAAGGATATAATACATATTACAGCAAAGATAAGTGAACAGAAAATAGAAAACTACAGAGAACCAAAAAATCCAAAAGCTGATTCCTTAAATAGAACAAAATTCATAAGCTTTTAGCTAGATTGACTAAAGAAAAAAAATTCAAAGGACTAAAATCAGCAATGAAAGTGACATTACAAAAAAAAATGGGTTATAAGAGAATACTATGAACAACTGTACACTAATAAATTAAGTAACTCAATGAAATAGACACATTTCCTAGAAGCACACACATTACTAAAACTGACTCAAGAAGAAACAGAAAATCTCAACATACTTATAACAAGTAAAGAGATGTATCAGTAATTTTTTAAAAAACTGCCCAAGGGAAAAAAATCCAGCGTAAGATGGCTTCACTGGTCAATTCTATCAAATTAAAGAAGTAATACTAATCTTCCTCAAACATTTCCAAAAATTAGAAGGGAATACTTCCTAACTAATTCCCATGAGTTTTATAATGCTGGCCAGCATTATCTTGATACCAAAGCCAAAAAAAGACTTCACAGGAAAATAAAATTACAGGCTAATATCCCTTATGAATACAGATGTAAAAAATTATAAAATACTAGCAAACAAAATTTGGCAGCATATTAAAAACATTACATACTATGACCAAGTTGGATCTATCCCAGGAATGCAAGAGTGGTTCAATATAAGAAAATTAATCAGTGTAAGACACCACATTAATAAAACAAATGAATAAACACGTGATCATATCAATGAGGCAGAAAAAAATACAAAACCCAATACCATTCAAGGATAATAAAAGTCAGAAAACAGAGGAAAGGAAGCAAAGTTCTTCAACATAATAAAGTGCATATATAAAAAACTCACAGGTAACATACTCCATAGTGAAAGACTGAAACATCCCCTCTAAGATCATGAACAGGCAAAGCATAGTGCTTTCACCACTGCAATTCAACACTGTATTAAAAGTTCTAGCCAGAGCAAATAGGCAAGAAAAAGAAATAAAAGACATTCAAATTGAAAGGCAGAAGTAAAACTACTCTATTTGCAGATAACATTATTTAGCAAATAATCCACAAAAAAACTATGAGCTAACAAATGGTTTCGGCGAAGTTGCAGAGTACAAAATCAACACATAACAATTAGGTTTTCTGTAAAAAAAAAAACTCCAACAATGAACTATCCAAAAGGAAATTCAGAAAATAATCCCATTTATGATAGTATCCAGTAGAATAAAATACTTAAGTGTTATGGTCTGAATGTTTGTGCCCTTCACAACTTCATATGTTGAAATCTAATACCATTGCAATAGTATGAAGAGGCATGGCCTTTAGGAGGTGATTAGGAAGCTCTGCCTTCCTTCATGAATGAGATAAGTGTCCTTATAACTTAATGGACAAAGTAGTGGCTTCACAACCTGGAGAGACAGGTTTAGATACTGTGCTGCCAATAAGCAGAAATTTTATTTTTGATAAGCTTACATAAAGTAATAATGTTTTTCCAAAAATAAGACTTTGTCAAATGGCCCCTTTTAACTTCTAAAATTTTTTAATACATCAAATCTGATTTGAATATTTAATATAGCAAGTATGGATAATTCCAGGAAGATGGTGATCTAAGGGATCAAACCAGAGCTGAGGAGACAGGTAGCACTGGCAGGTTTAAGAGATTAGATACAGGCTGGGCGCAGTGGCTCATGCCTGTAATCCCAACACTTTGGGAGGCCAAGGCGGGCAGATCACCTAAGGTTGGGAGTTCGAGAACAGCCTGACCAACATGGAGAAACCCCGTCTCTACTAAAAATACGAAAGTATCCAGTCATGGTGGCACATGCCTCTAATCCCAGCTACTTCAGAGGCTGAGGTAGGAGAATCGCTTGAACCCAGAAGGTGGAGGTTGCAGTGAGCTGAGATCATGCCATTGCACTCTGGCCTGGGCACCAAGAGTGAAACTCCATCTCAAAAAAAAAAAAAAAAGATTGGATACAAACAGGGAGAAGGAGCAAATAAATATTGTGGATAATGATATAGCCTGGTTTCTCACTATTGGAGAAAGAAGTTACAAAGATGGAAAACAGAAAGGCTATGGGGTTAAGATTGAAACTGGGAAATGTCTATGTAAACTCATTGTTTAAAAAATATGTATAGACAGACCAATACAAAAATAAGTGTACACATGTGTATTTCTGTGTATGTGTATGTACACATACATACATGTATTTCCTATCTCTGTCAATTGAGAGGGTCTGAGGCAGTGACAGCCTCTAGCAATGAGCACCCAGATCTTGGTTTTTAAATTCCATCCTCCACTAGAAAGAACAATGTCCTTTGGAGAAATGGCTGATGGCAAAGGTAGTGCAGGAAAAGGACAAGATGGGCCAGGCATATCTGTTGTGCCACAGAGTAATTACTCAAAAATTGATGTGGGAAGCAGGCTGAAAATGGAATAGGTAATTCCAAAATTCCATCCCAAACTAAAGCAACAATTAAGCTGGAAAAACAAAAAAAACCCTCTCAGCATCAAGCTTTTCAGAATTCTCCAATCTAATTAAAAACCTAGTAAGCCCAGAACATTTCTGGCGTGGCTTGCTGATGCCTGTGCCAAAGTGGACAGTATGCACTTTGTTTTCAGAGAACTGTAGTTGTGTGTTTTGATCTGTCTATGCGGGCTCTCTGAAGAAGTGGCTCACAGGCTTGTCTTTGTTTTGCCTGCCTTGGAACTTTCTCAGGGCTAGTCTTCCAGGAAGTGCTAGTTGAAAGCATTTAAAGGCAATTATCTGGCCTCAGCAGCCAGATGAGAAAAGCAGCAGATGGACTGATAAAACTGGGAGTGGAAAAACTGGGAAGGAAATACATGGGGGCCGGGGTGGGGATAAGGGGTTTGAAAAGCTCCTGCATAAACCAGGGAATTGAGGTCATGTGCAAGGCCAGGGCAATATGCACGCTCACAAAAAACCTGAGAGGAACCTAAGCTTTCAGTCTGGTTGACCTTCAGGCTCAGTGTAAGCAGGAAGTAAAGCTTTACACAGAGATGTAAATGGCCTGGCAAACCATTACAAGAGCGCCCTAAAACAGGGCAAATATGCAAAGACCAGAATAGTTTTTTGTTTTGTTTTGGCTTTGGGCATTTAAAGAAATCTCTGTCAGATCACAAACTGACCACTAAACTAAGGGAACAGAGGTTTCTGTGACCATGTACAACAAAGAACTTTACAAAAATAGTTTTGAAAAGTCACAAAATAAACAAACAATGCAAAATAAACAGCAACAACAAATTCTGGGGAAAAGAATCTGATTTCTAGAATTAACACATTTTAATATTCAAAATGTTCAGTTTTCAATAAAAAATTATGAGGAATGCAAAGAAGATAATATGACCCACAGACACACAGAAAAAAGAAATGAATAAAACCTGTCCTCAAAGACACCTTTGTTATTGGTCTTACTAGATAAAGAATTTAAATCAACTGTTCTAAATGTGCACAAAAAGCTAAATGAAACCAGACAACTAACAGAAAGCAGGTGAGCGATGCCCTGCCAAATATAAAATATTAATATACAGAACAAAATTACAAAAATGTAATTAGGAATGTCTGGAGCTGACAAGTACAAAAACTAAATTTTTTTAAAATCAGTCAAAGGATTTAATAAAAGATTGGAGCTCAAAGAGAACAAAGAATCAGCAAAATTGAAGACACTGATGGAGATTACTCATTCTGTGGAGCAGAGAAAAAGAATGGTGAAAAATGGACAGTGCCTAAGAGATCTATGAGACAACATCAAGCATACCAACAAGTTAATAACAAGAGTTGCTAATGAAGAGGAGAAAAGGGAACCAAAAATATCTGAAGAAATAATGTCTGAAGACCTTCTAAACTGATGAAAGACATGAATCTCTATGCCCAAGACTCTCAAGAAACTATAATTAGGATAAGCTCAAAGAACTTCAAACTGAGAGAAATAATAAATTGTCACAAGACAAAGAATCTCAAAAGTAGCAAGAGATAAGGGACTAACCATGTACAAAGGATCTGAAATAAGATTAACAGCCAGACTTTTATTAGGAACCATGAAGGCCAGAGGCAGTAGGATAATGGCACCTTTCAAGTGCCAAAAGAAAAAAAATATATATCAAAAATTCTACATTTGGCAAAACTGCCTTTCAAAAATGAAAGAGAAATTAAAACATTCCTAGATCAACAGAATCTGAGAGAATTTATTAGTACTAGATCTGTCCTACAAGAAATGCAAAAGGAAGTCCTTAAGGTTGAAACAAAAGGACATTAGACAGTAACTCCAATCGAAACACACAAAAAATTCAAATGGTAAAAGTAACTACTGTAAGTAAATGCAAAAGCCAGTCTTATTGTATTCTTGGCTTTTATGTTCTCTCTTTTTTCTATATGATTTAAAAGACAAATACATAAAACAATAATTATAAATCTATGGTAATGTGCACGCTATTTATGAAGGCATAAAATGAGACAATAAGAAGACAAAGGACAGGGACAAAGCCGTATAGGAGGAGAGTTTTTATATAATATTAAGGCTTAGTTAGTATTAATGCAAGCTAGATTGTTATAAATTCAAGATGCTAATTGCAATTCCAAGTATTAACACTAGGTAAATAATGACTACAAACAAATACAAAAGGAATTAAAATGGCACATTAGAAAAAAACAAACACAAAAGAAGGCATACACAGAAAAACTGAAAACAAAAAAGATGTAATACGTATGGAAAACAAATAGCAAAATGGTATAAGTCCTTTATCAGTTTATAATTTACTCTAAATGTAAATAAACTAAACTCCCAACTAAAAGACAGAAATTGGCAAAATAGGCTGGGCATGGTGGCTTACACCTGTAATCCCAGCACTTTGGGAGGCTGAGGTGGGCGGATCACGAGGTCAGGAGTTTGAGACCAGCCTGACCAATACAGTGAAACCCCATCTCTACTAAAAAAAAAAAAAAAATACAAAAATTAGCCAGGTGTAGTGGTGTACACCTGTAATCCCAGCTACTCGGGAGGCTGAGGCAGAAGAACTGCTTGAACGCTGGAGGCAGAGGTTGCAGAGAGTCAAGATCGCACCACTGCACTCCAGCCTGGGTGATGCAGTAAGACTCTGTCTCAAAAAAAAAATAAAATAAAATAAATAATAAAAATAAAAATAAATTGGCAAAATAAATAAAAATATATGATCCAGGTATATATTGTCTACAAGACACTCTCTTTAGATACAAACACACAACACAATAGGTTGAAATTGAAATGACAGAAGAGGATAGTAACCTAAAGAATGCCAGGGTGGCTATACTGAGACAAAAGAGACTTTAAATCAAAAATTGTTACAAGAGAAAAACACTACATATTGATTAAAAAAAAAAAAAAACTAAGTCTACAAAGAAGACATAGTAACAGAAATAGAAATAAATCATCCTGAAGTTTACATAGAATTTCAAGGGATCTCAACTAGCCAAAATAATCTTGAAAACCCATGCATGTATGGTAAAATGATTTTCAACAAAGTTGTCAAGAACAGTCAATAGGGAAAGGACAATTTTTCTAACAAATAGTGTTGGTAAAACTGGATAGCCACATGCAAAACAAAACAAAAACAAAAAAATTAACTCAAAATGAATCAAAGACCTAAATCTAAGAACTAAAGGTACAAAACTCATGGCAGAACACATAGGAGAATGGATTCGTGTGGCAATGTTTTCTTGGATATAATACCAAAAACCACAGGCAACAGAAATAAAAATAAATTGGACCACATCAAACTTAAAAATTGTGCATCAAAGGACACAGTTAACTGAATGAAAAGACAACCAACACAACAGGAGGAAATATTTGCAATTCATGTATCTGATGAGGAATTAATATAAAAAATATATAAAGAACCCCTACAACTCAAAACAAACAAAATAACCTGATTCAAAGATGGACAAAGGATTTGAACAGACATTTCTCCATTAAAGATATATAAATGGTCAGCAAGCTTATGAAAATATGCTCAACATCACTGATCATTAGGGAAATACAAATCAAAACCACAGTGAAAAATTACCATACACCCATTACAATGGCTGCTATCAAAACAACAAAAGAAAATAACGAGTGTTGGCAAGGATATGGAGAAATCAGAATCCTGTACACTGAGGATGGGACTGTAAAATGGTGCACCTTCTGTAGAAAACAGGTCGGTGTTTCCTCAAGGAATTAAAAATAGAATTACCATAGGTTCCAGCCATACCACTTCTGAGTATATAACCAAAAGAACTGAAAGAAGGATCTCAAAGAATAGTTGTACCCCATGTTCACAGTAGCATTATTCACAACAGTTAAAAGGAGGAAGGAACCCAAATGTCCACTGACAGATGAATGAATAAACAAAACATGGGTACAATGAAATATCATTCAACATCAGAAAGGAGATAAATTCTGACACATGCTACAACACTGAGGAAGCTTGAGGACATTACGCTAGGTGAAATAAGCCAGTCACAATAAGACAAATACTGTATGATTTCACTTATATGAGATATAGCAAAAATAGTGAAACTCATAGAAACAGAAAGTAGGATGGTGGTTGCCAGGGGCAAGGAGGAGGGGAAAATGGGGAGTTATTGTTTAATGGGTAGAGAATTTCAATTTCCCAAGATGAAAAAATTCTGGTGATTAGATGTACAATATGAATATACTTAACACTGCTTCTGAACTGTACATCCAAAAATAGTTAAGATTGCTAAAGCAAAAAACTAACAATAAATAAAGATGCCTGCTTTGGCCACATATATTCAACATTGTACTAAAAATTTCAGCCAGAGGAATTAGGCTAAGTAAATAAATAAATAAACCCAAATTAGAAAGAAAGAAATGAAATAGTTTTGTTTGCAGATGACATGATCTTATATGCAGAAAATACTAAAGAATCCACAAAGAAACTACTAGAAGTAGGAAACAAATTCAGCAAAATTACAAGATACAAGATCAACACTCAAAAATTATTTGTGTACTCATTACAATGAGCAGTCAAAAAGCAAATTAACAATTCCACTTACAATAGCATTTAAACAAAAGAAATTTTAGGCTTGTGGGCCATCACAGTCTCTACTGCAACCAGTCAACTCTGCCCTCGTAGTGTGAAAGTACTCACAGGCTATACATAAATACATGAGTATGGCTGAGTCCCGATAAAACTTTATAGACACTGAAGTCTGAATTTCATATAATTTACGATAGCATTTAAATGAAAAACTATTTAATAAATTTAAGCAAGGATATGCAACACTTGTACACTGAAAACTACAAAATATTAATGAAGGAAAGAAGACCTAGGGAAAAAAAATCTTATGTTCATTGATTATAAGATTTAATATTAAGATAACACTCCCCAAAGTGTTATCACCCACTCTAATACTTACCCAATCCAATACTTATCAAAAACTCAACATACTTTTTTGCAGAAATAGAAAAGCTAACTAAAAATTCCTATGGATTGCAAAGCACCCTGCTGTGGAAAACTGTCGGTTTCACAATAAATTAAATGTAAAATTACCATATCACCCAGCAATTTCACTTGTACGTATATACCCAAAACAATTGAAAGCATGTATTCAAACAAATATTTGTACATGAATGCTCATAGGAGCACTCTCCACAATAGCGAAACACAGGATGACCCCCAATGTCCATCAACAGATGAATGGATAAACAAAAGGTGATATATCCATATAATAGAATATTGTTCAGTCATAAAAAGGGACAAAGTACTGATATACAACTACAACATAAATGGGTCTTGAAAACATTATTCTAAGTGAGAGATCAGACACAAATTGTATGATTCCATTCATATGCCATATCCAAAATAGGCAAATCTATAAAGACAGAAAGGAGATTATTGGTTGTTAGGGGCTGGGAGCACAGCGGGGAAAAGGGAGCAACTGCTTATTAAGTTACAATACTGCTTATTAAGGGTGATGTGTTTCCTTTTGGTGTGATGAAAATATTCCAGAAATAAATGGTGGTTATGGTTGTACAACATTGTGAATGTACTAAAGTCACTGAATTCTATACTTTAAAATGGCTTGTGAATTTCATGTGATGTGTGTTTTACCACAATTTTTTTTTTAGGTAGAATCCCTCGAAAGTTATTGCAAATATTCCAGTTCTGCCCAGTCTCTAAGGCTGTCACAAAGCCTGCCACATCCTAACAACCCATGATCACCCTAGCCTACCAGGACTGTTTCTTTAAACAACCATGAGTCCTAATGCTACACAATTCATTGGATTTTTTTTTTTTTTTTTTTTTTTCCTGAGACGGAGTCTCACTCTGTTGCCCAGGCTGGAGCGCAGTGGCACAATCTCGGCTCACTGCAACCTCCACCTCCTGGGTTCAAGTGATACTCCTGCCTCAGCCTCCTGACTAGCTGGGATTACAGGCACGCACCACCATGCCCAGCTAATTTTTGTAATTTTAGTAGAGACAGGGTTTCACCATGTTGGTCAGGCTGGTCTCGAACTCCTGACCTCATGATCCACCCGCCTTAGCCTTCCAAAGTGCTGGGATTACAGGCGTGAGCCAATGTGCCCGGCCTATTTGAATTTTTTAATCATATACTTTCTTTTGCTATCTGTTAAGTTTTCCCCTGGACTGCACATGAATTACTCACTTTGTTGTACTACTTTTTTAAGTACCTGCAAGACTGTCATCAGAAGTTTCACAATGTCACCTAATAAAGCCCACCGACAAACTGTTTTATGTTCCAGTTTCACAACTGTAAGATCACAAGATCTGCATTCACCTATATGACATTTTTGTCTTACTCTTCATCAACTCTCTATCAGAAATCAGCAAACATTTTCTGTAAAGAGTCACACAGTAAATATTTTAGGCTTGTAGGCCATTACAGTCTCTGCTGCAACCAGTCAACTCTGCCTTTGTAGTGTGAAAGTACCAACAGGCAATACATAAATACATGAGTATAGCTGAGTCCCAATAAAAATTCATAGACAATGAAGTCTGAATTTCATACAATTTCCAAGCAAAATAATACTCTTGGTTTTTTTCCCTCAGCCACCTAAAAGTATAAAAACCATCCTTCATTTGTGGACCATAAAAAAACAGACAGTAGGCTGCATTTGACCCATGAACTGTAATGTGACCTCTCCTCTATATTTTCCAGGATGTTATTTCTACTTTCATATGAATGTATAGACATTTTTTAAACCTCAATAATTAGTTTTAAGCAAAACTGTGAAAAAATAAACAACTTACCTGGGATGTGATCATATTCCACTAGTGTTGGCAGAGCAGAGAAAACCGAGAGGGTGTAGCTTACAAACAAGAAAAGAACATGAGAAATGTCACTTGCCTAAAAATGTCCACCTCCCAGCTGGCAAAACATCTCTAAAAGGGAGATACTCACACGTCCATGCATGACTCTGGCATGGTTATGTACTGCTTGGACACATTAGTTTTCAAATGTGAAAACGTTTGGTTTTCTACTGACTTATAAACAACTTATGCTGTACTCTAACAGAGTATGCAAACCAATATATTAAACTAATTAAGCAAGTTAGGAAAAGCCAAAGAATGGAACATAATACTTTCATTAAAACTGATGCTAAACAAAAATATTCAGGTTTTAATCTTTATTATAAACCAGAGAATCCCAACAAGGTTTTGAAAAAAGTGATGTGGTATTTTTCAGCCCAGTTTTTTTTTGTTTGCTTTTTTGAGACAGAGTCCTGCCCTGTCACCCAGGCTGGAGTGCAATGGCACAGTCTTGGCTCACTGTAACCTCTGCCTCCTGGGTTCAGGTGATTCTCCTGCCTCAGCCTCCCAAGTAGCTGGGACTACAGGTGCGCACCACCACGTCGGGCTAATTTTTTGTATTTTTAGTAAAGACGGGGTTTCACCATGTTGGTCAGGCTGGTCTCGAACTCCTGACCTCGTGATCTGCCGGCCTCAGCCTCCCAAAGTGCTGTGATTACAGGCGTGAGCCACTGCGCCCGGCAGAGCCCAGTTTTTTTGGAAGGAAAACGAACTTGCTCTAACTTGGTTTCAGGTTCTCAAAACCATCTTTGGATTTTAAAAAGCAAACGGATTTTTTCTTACTCTGTTGTCAATGCAGCAAACACCTGCCTGAGTCCTCAAGCGACTCAGTGTCTGTTCTTGACTCTGCCACAACAAAATGTGTCAATGTCAACAGTCACTTAACATGTTAAGCTTGTTTCCTGTCCACCCCACCCCATCCCATCTTTTAAATAAAGCCGAAATAGATAACTTACAGACCTTTCTTGCGGCTGCACCTCTGATTCTGTAAGATCAAGATGGGGGCATCCGTACATCTCTAGTTGTGCTGCAATATGCCAGCAGCTCAACATCGAGAACGAGCGAGTAACGAATCCAGGCATGGAGGGTGCTGTCCTCCACTTGGCTGCTAAGCTCGGCCCTCCGCATGATGCCTTCACAACTCCCCAAGAAGCGGTGCTGTCTGCTCCTTCGGCCTTGCCCTCCTCTGCCGCCACATCTGAATGGGCACAAATCTCCCACCATCACCCAGCCTGTGGGAGTCTGAACAGGACACAAATCGAGCCTCTGCTCCTCCCATCCGTGCTCTAGATCTCTAATGAGGTCTCGGCCCAACAGGTCCGATGTCCTCCTAGGAGGGCCCCTGCACCCTCACCCCTCCTTTCCCTTCTCACCCCACAACAGATGTTTTGCTCCAAGACAGCTGGGCCTAAGCCCTTCAGTTCGAATCCTCATCCAAGACTGAAAGCTCCTACATCTTCCTGTCACTTTAGCCACAAGCTGCACCGTCTGGAAATGCCCACTGCTACTAGGGACACAGGCGAGGCCGGACAGTGCCGGAGGACCCGGGGTGCCTCCCTCCACGTGCGCGGCCTCACAGGTCAGTGGAAACAAGAAATCCCCCAATCCACAGCCACGATGACTTCAAAATACTTCCTGAAGGCATCAGGCCATGAAGCTGCGACCTGCGAGGACACAGCAAGCGGGGTGACGCTGAGCAGAGGCTTGGTGTGGAGTCCGCGCCCGCAGGGTCCCTCCCCGCCCCGCGGGTGCTTCCCGCCACCTCGCTCGCCTCTGCGTCGCAGTGACAACGCGGGGATGCCGACCACAGGTGGTTGGAAGGAGACAGCGAGATTCTGAGGGGAAAGAATAAGGAGAGAAGCAGCATCTTTTGGGCAGAAGGCCCGTTTCCGCACGGTCCTGCCGAGGCCTCCGGGCATCCTTCACCTCAGGGAAGAGAAAATCCAACCTTACTTATCACAGGCGCGGGACCTACGTTCCCTTCGGGAGCAGAAGAACCAGGACAGGATTAGGACGCAGGCCAGGCGGCAAAGCCGCTCCCTCTCTCCCACCTCCAGGACAAGCGGCACCTCCAGTCCACCCTCGCTCCAGCCCTCCCGTACTCTACCCCCGGCATCCTCTGCCCCGAAGCAGGGAGATGCCGGGAGCCCTCCCTACCAGGCTGTACCGGAGAAAAACAAACCTGGAGCCACACCGCGCACATGCGCAGAAAGCCCAAAGCGGCTCCCGCGACCGGGGCCAAAAAGTGCACACTACATTTCCCACAAGTCCTCGCGCCGCTCCCTTAGAAAGTACACGCTACATTTCCCACAAGCCCTCGCGCCGCTCCCTGAGAAAGTGAAGACTACATTTCCCAGAAGTCCTCGCGCCGCTCCTTTAGAAACGGCCTGAGGTTTCAGCGCCGTTCGGTAGTTAGTTCCCAGATGCACCGAGTGCAATACTGCAATTTTATTCGTTAGCTGAAATAAATTATGAGTATTTAAATTACACAGGTTTCTTATGAATTACATCTCCCTGATGATTTGGCTGTCCTCAACACTTCCTCGTTTGGCAGAATTCAGGAGTGGAATTTCTCCAGACACGGTCGGTTCCTGTGGCCCCGCTGCGCCGCGGCGGCACCACCTCCACTTGCGCCTGTGGCTCCACTTGCTTGGTTCTGGTCCACTGGACGCTCACCCTGAGAAAACACGCTGGACATGAGCATTACCAGCCTGTACACTGTTGTAAAGATAACTCGGAATTGCTCTTCAAATTTTATTTGTTAAACCACGTAATACCATCTTTTATGACAAACCTGCATTTTCCATTCTTCAGGAGTATGTTGGATCTCTTGATCAAAATAACTTTTTAAAATGTTCACTGACAGAGGTAACACAGGAGTGGATAACTAAAAAACGTACGTTCTCACTTATAAGTGGGAGCTAAGCTATGAGTACGCAGAGGCATACAGAGTGATACAATGGACTTTAGAGACTCAGAAGGGGGCTGGTGGGAAGGAGGCCGGAGATTTAAAAAACTACACATGGCCAGGCGCAGTGGCTCATGCCTGTAATCTCAGCACTTTGGGAGGCGGAGGCGGGAGTCAGGAGTTCAAGACAAGCCTAGCCAACATGGTGAAACCACGTCTCTACTAAAAATACAAAATTAGCTGGGCGTGGTGGCACACATTTGCAGTCTCAGCTATTTGGGAGGCTGAGGCAGGGGAATTGCTTGAACCCGAGAGGTGGAGGTTGCAGTGAGCCGAAATCGCGTCATTGCACTCCGGCCTGGGCAACAAGAGTGAAACTCAGTTTCAAAAAACAAAACAAAACAAAAAACTACACATTAGGTACAGTGTACACTACTCGGGTGACAGGTGCACTAAGATCTCAAAATTCACCATTTTATAATTCATCCATAACCAAAAACCAATTGTACTCCAACAGCTATTGAAGTTTAAGTTAAAAATAAAAAATAAATGTCCACTGACCAAAACAGAAGCATTTTTCTCCATTTCTATTCCTTTTTTTTTTTTTTTGAGACGGAGTCTCACTCTGTTACCCAGGCTGGAGTGCAGTGGCGCAATCTCAACTCCCTGCAACCTCTGCCTCCTGGGTTCAAGCGAATCTCCTGCCTCAGTCTCCCGAGTACCTGGGACTACAGACGTGCACCACCAAGCCTGGCTAATTTTTTTGTATTTTTAGTAGAAACGGGGTTTCACCATGTTGGCCAGGATGGTCTCGATCTCTTGACCTCGTGATCCGCCCGCCTCAGCCTCCCAAAGTGCTGGGATTACAGGAGTGAGCCACCGCGCCCGGCTTCTATTCCCTTCTTTACCACCACTGATGATAATCCCACTTGTTCCCATGCTGGAAAAGCATTTAGTACCATCCACGTAAAAGAGTCAGTTTATTCAAGGGATGAGATGTATTTCAGAAGACATCATGGCAAGTACAGTAATGATTATCATTTCAAGTCACAATTTATTTTCCTGCTCATGATTTTTTTTCTTTTTCTTTTTTTTTTTTTTTTTTTGAGGGAGTCTCACTGTCACCCAGGCTGGAGTGCAGTAGCATGATCTTGGCTCACTGCAACCTCCGCCTCCTGGGTTCAAGCGATTCTCCTGCCTCAGCGTCCCAAGTAGCTGGTACTACAGGCTTGTACCACCACACCTGGCTAATTTTTGTAATTTTAGTAGAGACAGGGCTTCACTATGTTGGCCAGGCTGGTTTTGAACTCCTGACCTTGTGATCTGCCCGCCTTGGCCTCCCAAAGTGCTGGGATTACAGGCATGAGCCACGGCACCCGGCCTAATGTTTTTCCATTTTAAGAACAGTCTTGACACTTGTGAATATTCCATTTTTTTTTTTTTCAGACTGGGTCTCATTCTGTCTCCCAGGCTGGAGTGCAGTGGCATGATCTCGGGTCACTGCAACTGCCGCCTCCAAGATTCAAGTGATTCTCCTGCCTCAGCCTCCCCAGTAGCTGGGATTACAGGCACATGCCACCATGTCTGGCTAATTTTTCATATTTTCAGTAGAGACAAGTTTTCACCATATTGACCAGGCTGGTCTCGAATTCCTGACCTCAAGTGATCCACCCGCCTCAGCCTCCCAAAGTGCTGGGATTACAGGTGTGAGCCACCTCACCCAGCCTCCATTATTTCTTTAATGGTTCAGGTTCCATTATGCCATGGATTATTTCAGTAACATTGTTTGCTCTTTCAATTTGTATAATCCTATCCCTAAAGAGATTGAAAACTATGAACATGCCACTCCCAGCCTCCTTGGGACTTGACACATCCTCCTGGGATCATCTCAGATGGGACTGACTGTGCCGGCACCATGGAGGTGGTGCTGATCTTTCTATGCAGCCTGTTGGCCCACATTGTCCTGGCCGATGCAGTTGAGAGGGAGAAGCAAATTGACCCTTTTCATTATGACTACCAGACCCTGAGGATTAGGGGGTTGGTATGTGCTGTGGTCCTCTTCTCCATTGGGATCCTCCTTATCCTAGGTTGCAGATGCAAGTGCAGTTTCAATCAGAAGCCCAGGACCCCAGGAGAGGAGGAAGCCCAGGTGGAGAACCTCATCACTGCAAATGCAACAAAGCTCCAGAAAGCAGAGAGCTGAATGAAGTGCAGCCTTCCAGTGGGAAGCCTCTGGAACCTGAAGGCAGCTGCTTGAACTTTTAGATGCAAATGTTGATGCTTAAGAAAACAGCCACTTCAGCAACAAATCTTTCCCCAAGAGAAGCCAATAACTTGTGTGTCCCCCCATGCCCTTCCCTGTCCCTTCTAACACCATTCCTCCACCTGATGATCCAACTAATCTCTTGCCTCACCACTGCAGCCTGCAGGCTCCTCCAACTCCTGTGATGTGTCTGTGTGTGTGTTTGCTGACTGTAATGTTCATGGCTACTTGTTCATGGTTATTATAGTTAGTGAACTGTGGACTCACTTTCCTGGGCAGAGGCTGAGCCATGCGGCCATCTGCTCCTATCTGCCCCCCATCACCTCTCACTCCTGGGGGTCTGCTTTTTTCCCTGGAGAGTCTAGCTCCTTCCCTTTAGAGCATGGGCAGGAGTCTCCAGTTGTCTTGGGACCTGGGAAGGTTTGCATCACTTTCATCATCTTTCTTTATGGAGTCTCTTCACTCCTTTTACAAGAACCTCGCTTCCTTATCCCACTCCAACCTCAGTCTGTTCTGAAGATCAGCAATTAGAGATACAAAGCAAAGCAAGGAGTTTGTAAGCCCAGCATTGCCTTCAGGAGGCTACTATACCCTTCCACGGTTATTTTTCTCCCTGGGGAAGCCCCAGGGGGCTCCATCTGCCCTGCCCTTCACATAGCACCCAGGGATTCCAGGTCCGGGGCTGCTGCTTTTTTTCTTTTTTTTTCCAGAGTCCCACTCTGTCACCCAAACCAGAATGCAGTGGCACGATCTCAGCTCACTGCAACCTGGGTTCAAGGGATTCTCATGCCTGGGTCTCCCGAGTAGCTGGGATTATAGGCAGGCAGCACCACACTCAGCTAATTTTTGTATTTTTAGTAGAGATGTGGTTTTTCCTGGCCTCAAGCAATCCACCTACCTTGGCCTCCCAAAATTCTGGGATTACAGGTGTCAGCCACCATGCCCAGCCCAGGCCCAGGGCTTCTAATCTGCCCTTGGGGAATGTAGCCCTTACATATCTTATCAGCAATAACCACAGGGGCTCTGGTATCCCACCCATCTCCAACCTTCCTGCTTCTAAGACTTCAACCTACAGCCGAGTTTTTGTGGACACAGGCTTCCGTCCTTGAAGTTGAGTCTCCAGCAGGTGATGACTGAAGGATTCCCATTCTGTTGCTGCCAGCACACTGGAATGGACAGAGGGAGAGTAAGGGGCCTTTGCTTCTCCGCCCATGTCCCCTTGGTCAGCAGAGAACTCCTGCATCCTTTGCTCTGCCTGTCAGTGGTCAGAGAGGTGAGTGAGGTAGGTTAGAGACCCAGTAGGCTCCATGCAGCACTGCTGCAGAGGGTACAGGAAGAGGCCAAAGGTCATAATGACAGCGGGAGCTCAAACAAGATCCCGCCCTTCCTGTCCTCCATGTGCCTGTGGAAATCAACCAACCGAGCCTCTGTGCCAGACTGCTGTTTTCTGTATCACGATCTGTCTGAACAACAGAAAAAAGGAATAAAATATTTGTTTCCTAGTGAAAAAAAAAAAAAAAACATGAACAAAAAACAAGTAAACTTCAATCAATGGATTATTTTTAAAGTAAACAAAAATTTTGGAATCTTTTCTTGAGAATTAAAATATTTCAAGACTTTACATAAACAACTTTCTCAACTGTGTTAGTTACAGGAGCCAATGAGTTTCTAACTACAAAGGAAATGAAGAATATTGAATGCCAAAAAAAATCAAACAATCCTTTAATCACTCAATTCTAATCGTGTAAATGCTGAAGTAAGAGAACAATTTTATGACAGTTACTTCAATGAAAATGCAAAGAACATCAGATGCTATTTGGACCTCATGATGCAGAATGTGGGTCGGACGGCCCACAAGTTGGAATCATTCATGCTGTACTTCAGCTTGGACCAAGCATGTCTGTGCCTTTATGCAAACATCAACCACAATTTGTATTTGTGTTATCGCCACCAAAAGCAGTTCAGAAGCAAAGGGAAAATATCTTCTGCCTTGTGCTTACTTGTATCCATGGCTCTGCTGTAAATAGGTGAGGCATTTAGATCATTGATCATCTCTGTGATCATAGTGAAGCTATTACTTTTGTTGTTGTTGCAGTAGATTTCATCCTGGCTCTTCAAAATTTGATTGCATCTTTGAAATCAGAAAATACTTCTAGCAGTAGTACTTTCAAATTGTCATTTGAGCTGAAAGACTGCTCCTGTTATATAGTGTGGCAGATAGTTACAACTTCCACTGCAATTACTATATCTCAATCTGAATTCTTTTTATTTTTTATTTTTTTTGAGGCAGTCTCGCTCTGTTGCCCAGTTGACACCATCATACAGTGGTGCAATCTCAGCTCACTGCAACCTCCACCTCCCAAGTTCAAGCAATTCTCTTTCCTCAGCCTCCCGAGTAGCTGGAATTACAGGTGCTCACCACCATGCCACGCTAATTTTTTGTAATTTTAGTAGAGACAAGGTTTCACCATGTTGCCTAGGCTGGTCTTGAACTACTGAGCTCAGGCAATCCACCCACCTAGGCCTCCCAAAGTGCAAGGATTACAAGTGTGTGTCACCGCACTCGGTCTTGAATTCTTTTTAATAAAAAAATTTGTTTACCACTTTATATAGTATTAGTTGAGGAAATCATACATCTTCCATGTTTAGCTGTTACTATGTGCTGGTGCCTTTCTCTATTTTTGCATACTGCACAAAAAGCTTCAAAAGGAATCTTTCCTCATTTAATAAATCTCCACTTTTCAAACAATTCATCGCAAAGTATATGCTTGAATTTTGGTATTTGGCATTCAAATATACACAAATAAAAATAGGTAATAGCAACCATGACAAAAATTGAGCTGAGTGAATTTGATAATCTCACAGCTGCCTTAGCGTGTCTGTCACTCATAAGTCTGAACTCAGGACTAACATCAAACAGGGGTTGAACCATTGAAAGCATTACAAACTTGCAAACTAATAATCAATTGAAGTGGCCAGGCATGGTGGCTCACACCTGTAATCCCAGCACTTTGGAAGGCTGAGGCTGGTGGATCACAAGGTCAGGAGATTGAGACCATCCTGGCCAACACGGTGACACTCTGTCTGTACTAAAAAAAATATAAAAATTAGCTGGATGTGGTGGCACATGCTTGTAACCCTAGCTACTCCGGAGGCTGAGGCATGAGAATCGCTTGAACCCGAGAGTTAGAGGTTGCAGTGAGCCAAAATTGCGCCACTACACTCCAGCCTGGTGATAGAGTGAGATTCCTTCTCAAAAAAAAAAAAAAAGAAAAGAAAAAAAATCAATTGAAGTAGAGTTGCCTTTGAAGTGGCCTGAGACGGCTATCCTATCCTTGTCTGGTATCTGGGAATGTGAATTTTGGGAAGGTTTGGGAACCTGGATTTCAGAAGGGTTCCCTCCTCCCTCACTGATCAAATGGCTCACTGTACCTAAACAATATGGTTTCTGCGGAACACCTGCTTTTTTTCTGGGAATCTGGAATCTTGATTTCTGCACAATAGACAGTGTCTACACGAGCAGCCCCCCAATAAAAAGCCCAGGCACTGAGTCTCTAAGGAGCTTCTGTGACAACATTTTGCATTTGTTGTCACAGCATGTTGCTGGAGGAATTCAGCACATCCTATGTGGCTCCACTAGGAGAGGATGCTTGGAAGCTGGTACCAGGTTTCCTCTGGACATGGCCCTGTGACCTCTCCCCTTTGCTGACCTTGCTGTAATAAGTTGTAGCCATACTGTGACTATATGCCAAGTCCTGTCAGTCCTCCTAGCAATTTGTTTAGCCCAGAAGTGTTCTTGGGAATCCC
The DNA here is from genome assembly GCF_000001405.40 of Homo sapiens. Taxonomy (NCBI): domain Eukaryota; kingdom Metazoa; phylum Chordata; class Mammalia; order Primates; family Hominidae; genus Homo; species Homo sapiens. The sequence continues at coordinate 42,559,595 of NC_000010.11, forward strand.
CAATACAGTTGGCATCAGAAGCAAATTTTTTTTTACTTCTGACTCTGTCACCCAGGCTGGAGTGCAGTGGCACAATCATAGCTCACTGCAGCCTTGAGCTCCTGGGCACAAGTGATCCTCCTGCCTCAGCTGGGACTACAGGTATGTATCCTCCTGAATAGCTGGGACTACAAGCACGTGCCACCATCCCGGGCTCTTTTTTTTTTTTTCTGTAAAGATGGGGTCCTGCTATGTTGCCCAGGTTTATCTTGAGCTCCTGGCCTTAAGTGATCCTCCTGCCTCAGCCTCTCTAAGTGCTGAGATTACAGGTGTGAGTCATTGCACCTGGCCCAGAAGTGGAATTTGCTAGAACAGTCCTGATTCACTAAGATTTGGCTCCATCACTGTTTGGGAAAAGGAAGAATGAAGGGGAATGGTGATAAGCCTTGGTGTCTATCGAGCCCTCCATGGTTTGAGAGCAGCAGCTGAACTGCCATCTGCTGTTAGAAGCCACAGTGACCTTTGGGGTTAGAAATGGATCCAACCCTGGCTTCTTTGAGCTGTGCTGGATGAAGTGAGGGGGAAAGTATACATCTGGGGATTGGCTTTGTTTTTTATTCTCTTCTCCAGGTGGGAGGGTAAAAAAACAACAGTGACAAATTATAAAGGTGAGTGTTAGGTGGCCCCAAAAATGTTAGAAGTTCTCAGGGCTGGAGCAAAGCTGGGGTGGGAGGGTGGGAGGGTGGGAGGGTGGGGAGGGCACCAAGACTCCATCCAGCCTCTTCTTCAGCCCAGCTGCTGCCCTGTTGCAAGAGCTGCCTCCTTCTTTACCACCCCCTGTACCCTCCCCCATCTGCTTTCCAACCTGAATCTTTCCCACAGCAGTAATGCTAACCTAACTGCAAATGCTGGATTTACTGCTATGGATTTAGTTTGCAACAGAAAAAAAAATTTAATGGCTTTGTGTTTTGTGGCTATTACATCTAGATGTATTAATATGATAAAATTGATATAAAATGTTAAATGCTTTCAATTTCATAAATTCTAGAGGGAACACACTTATCAGGAAAAGCTGCAGCGGAAAGTGAAGGTGATACAACTTCCTTGCTTTTTGCAGCTAGTGGGCAGCTTGGAATTTAAATTCTCAATACTGGAAACAGAACAAGTCCCCAAAATTAACAATTTTTGCTACAGTTTTTGTCTATTGGAGCCACTGGAAAAAAGGAGACAATATGAAGAGAGGCAATCTTGAGCTAGAGATACGCTTTGGAATTTACAAGGCAGTTTTTCATCTCTAATGAGCTCTTGTAAGATCATATAGCTGACCCTCAGAGGCTGATGATTTTCTGGCCCCATGTGTATAGTTTTGAGTTGCTCAGCTTGGACTCTAAGGTGAATAATGTAAAAAGAGCCCAACAAAGCCTTGCTTGTCACTTGGCTAAGAACACAGCTGTCTGGCCCTGCAGCATCTCAGTCTCCAGTTACTGGAAGAACATATATTAGATGTTGGGGAAACTATAAGGCTACAGGATGATGCTGCATGTTGGCAGGGAGAATTGTTCAAGGTAGAAACTGTGGGGAACAAAGAAAGAGATTCTCATCTGTGTACCTGCTGCTACATGCTAATTTGGGAGTAAGAAAACTGTTAAGGAATAAAAAAGCCAAGAACTCTGTCTTCACAGGGCTTTCAGGCTAGAAGGGAAACTGGCCACCATACAAATTGTATACAACTCCATTAGTACTTAAGAGGTCTGATTTATTGCTTTGAAACACAAGTGCAGGAAGTTTAAGGTTTATCAGCAGCCTTTCCCTTTGCAGAAATTGTAAACTAAAAATGAAATCCTAAGCCCCCACCAACTGAAGGACACTCCCCTTAGCCAAGGGGACCCCAGAAAAATCTTACAATTGAGTTCCTGGCCATGATGGGATGGGAGGTCAGACATGTCTCATTATACCCCCTCATGTTTGTGGTTTAGACACAGCGACTGACCAGCATTAATGTTAAAATAGAGATCATAAGACTGGCAGAACAGACTTTTTGTGGCAATGAGATATCAATTATAAACAAGACCTAAGGCCATGCCAGGCAAGGGTTAGGTCAAGCACTCTAAACTTAAAGATTAACTATGGTCTAACTGCCACAAGGTTTTTCTTTTTTCTCTAGCAGCTAAATAAACACTGGCCTTGACATAAGCAAAATAAAAACAATTGTAGCTCATCACCAGACACTAATTGGCTCCCAACTCCTGTCCCAAGCACCATAACTACAGCTTTGATTAGACAAGAGACTGATTTCAGTAACTTTCTCCTGATAAGAAGACCACCCACCATGAACTGGTTCTGGCTGGTTTTACAGAGATTGCACACTTGAGTGCCTTCGTGTCCTGTAAAGACCTTTTGACTGATAGGGCCTAATTATAATACATTCAAGTGTTAGGACTCCACCCCAAAGTGAACATGGGTCATGTATTACATGCATGTTGGTTCAATACATGTGCCTCAGGACCACCTTCATGCATATTCATAGCTCCTCCTATAACCTGTTGAAGATGTATGTTTAGCTAACTTGTCCAGCATAATGCTCCTACCCCAACCTATATTCCTTCAAAGTGCCTGTCCCTAGTCCCTGGTCTTAGCCAGAGGCATTCTTCTCAGCCTGTTGCAGGCTGTAACCCCTTATAAGAAATAAAGCCTCCTCTCCATTCCAAATAGTTAAATCTTGTGAATTGTTTTTGTTTTGTTTTGTTTTGTTTTGTTTTGTTTTGTTTTGTTTTGAGATGGAGTTTCACTCTTGTCACCCAGGCTGGAATGCAATGGCACGATCTTGTGTCACTGCAACTTCTGCCTCCCAGGTTCAAGCGATTCTCTTGCCTCAGTCTCCTGAGTAGCTGGGAATACAAGCACCTGCCACCATGCCTGGCTAATTTTTGTATTTTTAGTAGAGGTGGGGTTTCATCATGTTGGCCAGGCTGGTCTCAAAATCCTGACTTCAGGTGATCCACCTGTCTCTGCCTCCCAAAGTGCTGGGATTACAGCTGTGAGCCACCGCACCTGGCCTAAATCTTGTGATTTTTAAATTCAACAGAGTCAATTAAATGGTTCCTTGATAGAGAAACATTTAAGGCAGACATTAGCTTTTATTGCCCCATAACGCTTCAGTAAGTTTCCCTGAATATTTGCATTTACTTGTCAATCAACTCACAGGGACTGAGGCAGAAGTAAAACCCACAATTACCTTACCCCTGGCCTGTGTGACAAAGTAACAAATCTTTTATCACATATTTGAGAGGCATCTCAGCTACCAAGAACTTTTTTTTTAACCTTTTATTTTAGGTTCAGGGGGATATGTGCAGGTTTGTTATGTAGGTAAACTCGTATCACAGGGGTTTGTTGTACAGATTATTTCATCACCCAGGTACTAGGCCTAGTACCCAATAATTATTTTTTCTGGTCCTCTCCCTCCTCCTACTCCACCCTCATGTAGGCCCAGTGTCTGCTGTTCCCCTTTGTGTCCATGGGTTCTCATTATTTAGCTCCCACTTATAAGTGAGACTGGGCGATTGCTGACCTGCATCACTCTTGGGTGGATCTAACAGGACATAAGTAAAAGACCCTTGGCCACAACCACTACCAAAGTCCCTTTTTCTGCTGCCTCCAAGTTGGGGAGGAAACATAAGCCCTAAGATCACCCCAGAGCTGTGGTGAGAAGCCCAGGAGAGAAAAAAACCTGAGTAGTTTTAAACTAGAATATCCATGTGGCTTTTTAAAGATGTTTGCAATTTTTTTGCTATTCTCCCTTTGAGATATGGGGGTCTATGCCCACCCTTACCAGACTGGACACTAGTGCTCACTTGTCACTGACACATGACATGAAAGTGATGCTGTGTAACTTCCAAAGTTATGTTTAAAAAGGCCATGAGCATCTGCCTGGTTCACTCAGGTCACTCACCTATGGTGCCCTTGATCACCAAGTCAAAGCTCTGAATGTCCTGAGAGTGCTCTGCTACCTGGAATCCCAGGGTAACTGGGAGGTCTCCTATAGGTCCTGAAGCCAAGCCCCATGTCCTCTGCAGACATGTGAGTGAAGTCACCTCCAGATGATGCCAACCCTTTGCTGTGGATTCAACTCCGGCCAATGAGTCTTCTCTGCAGTCCCCAAACACCAATAAACAGCAATAAGCCATCTTTTCTGTTTCTTCCTAGCCCTGTGAACCATGAACAAAATAAAATGGTTGTTTCATGCATTATTTTACGGTGGTGGTTCTTTCTTTTAAAAAAATTCACGGTAAAAGCGCCAAGAATAACACACTTGTAGGACATTCACAAGGCACAAAATAACATACATTGAAATCTAGGTTTCCTTCTTTCCTTCTTCCACAGCCTATCAGGTTCTGCCTCTGGAAGTAATAATGGTTAAGTTTCTGCACATCTTTCCAGATTTATTAATTAAACAATCATATAGCACTGACACTGTGAGGAAGCTTTTTAAGGGCTTTGCTTATATTTATTCACTTACTCTTCACTCACTGCGGACACTCAGGTGGCAGCAGGAAGGAAAGTGTTTTGCTCAACCAAATGAAAGTTTGATCTGCTCTTTGAATGCTGTTCCTTCAATCAGATAATTCTATTTTCTTCATATATTACCAAGTCTTTTTATTTTCTCCCCTAATTGAGCATTCAGAGATGTGACTCTGTTTTCTAGTTTTTCTTACGTTTCACCACTAAATCTTAAATTTCATATGAGACAGACAGTGATGAAATTCCTGTCACTGGACATATATATGTATGTTTATGATGGTGCCTTACACATACACATTTTTCTATCTAGCGATTAACCATTAAAACTCTATACTCAGAGTGAGGAAACATTACACGTTCCTTCCCAAACCCTGTCAACTACCCTGTCAATTAAATAATCCCTGAAAAAATGGCAACATCTATATTAATGCGGTTTTTATATCTCATCAATGACCCATTTGATAAAATAGTTCTAGAAACTTGTAATGAACCAGCAGTGATGGAAATTTGTACTGAACTATTTCATATCTAAAAGGGTATCTACTTTGTTTTAGACATGACAACTCTCTCATGTTTTAGAATTTTCCATTGTTGCATGTTTAAAGGGCTTGTCAATTCCCTTCCCTTTCCTAATTCTCATGACCAGATCATAAGAATGTGTGTGATCAGGCTGGTTGATGTGCCACAACACATCTTTAATCCTGGAATTTAGGGTTATCAGAAGTCTCCATTTAAAAAAGTATCATATGCTTTCAAACAACCCACTGTTGAACATATAGTGCTTCATTTCTCTTAATGTCTCAGTGAATAGCCAGCCTTTTATGCATACATGAATAGAGGATCTCTCAACAAATTCAGAGATTCAGAAATAAGTACATAAACTTAGTTGCATAGAGAGAAAAAATAGGTAATATACATAAGTGATAAAAGAAGGTTTTATATAATTACTTTTTCAAACTAAATTTATAATAGTGCTTTTTAAACTAAATCTGGAACAAATTTTAAATTATTTAATCTAGAAATGTCCAGTGATTCAGGAACAGTAGAAATGGGTGAGGAGAGCATTTCAACTCAAGCAAGGAACTCCTTTTATTCTCAACACATTAGCTTTTTCCCTCTTCACTCTAAAATGTTCACTATCAAATATAATTGAGAGGTCTTTTTTCCTCATTTAACATTTATTTCATACACAGAGAATAATACTGTGGGTCTGAGATTCAGTTTTTGAAATGCAACATATACTCTAAGTGACCCTTTTACCCATGTCAAAATAGCAGCAGTTGGACCCCATAATGTGGCATGTATTCATTTGAAAATTCTACAGTGACCTATCACTGTGATCATGTGATGAAGCATATCTTGCCTTCCATTCTAACTGTCACTCTGTGAGCTTCGAGGTTCAAGTTTGACAGCATTTGTCAATTTCGGAATGTCATACAAAGAACGCTCAAATATGGGGAATTTTATGTACTGTTGCTGAGATATGTTCACTTTCATCTTCCGATCATGGTTTCTTCAAATAGGCCAGTTCACTTGTACTCAAAATCTCTTCCTCATTTTTTTGTTTCCCCCACTCCAATTCGTCTATGGATTTATGAACATATTTTATAGTATTATTACTGATTTGTACTTTTGATTCTTCCACCAAGCGTTTTGTCTTAAATATTTTCCTATTTTTAGAAAAATGTACTGTTTCTAAACACTTTTGTACACAATGTTTCATAGGATACAGAAAAAACACAACCACACTGTCTTCATCAGATGAGGAGAATCTTGATACCAAATACAGTATGAGACATTCCATGAAAGGGAAATTATAGACCAAAGTCTTCTGAGTATAAAAGTCAAAATCTGAAACCAAATATTAGAGTGGTCTAAATCTGGAGATTTTTAGGAAAAGAAACTGAAATTTCATGGTGGGAAACATAATTTTGCTTAGCTTAGAGGTTTTGAGGGATTGTTTTAAAGAAAAATTTAAAAGATAAATAACATTAAATGGATATAAAAGTTATAAAATAAAAATATAAAGTTATAAAAATTAAAATAAAAATATATTCATATATTAATATAAAATTGTAAAAATATTATAAAAGGTTATAAAAATATTATAAAAGGTTACAAAATTCTTTTGCTGTCAAGATTGACTGGGATTAGATTTGTTTATAAGGTCTTATTAAAATTAGCCATAATATTAAAAATACGGCTGGGTGCGGTGGCTCACGCCTGTAATCCCAGCACTTTGGGAGGCTGAGGCAGGCAGATCACCAGGTCAGGAGAAAGAGACCATCCTGGCTAACAAAGTGAAACCCCGTCTCTACTAAAAATATAAACATTAGCCGGGCATGGTGGCGGGCGCCTGTAGTCCCAGCTACTTGGGAGGCTGAGGCAGGAGAATGGCGTGAACCCGGGAGGCGGAGCTTGCAGTGAGCCGAGATTGCGTTACTGCATTCCAGCCTGAGCAACAGAGCAAGACTCTGTCTCAAAAAAATAAAAATAAATAAATAAATAAATAAATAAAAATATTAAAAATACATTAATATCCAACTAAATTTTTTTTAAAAAAATAAGCGTAAGATTTTTTCCCCATCGAACTTAACAAAAAGAGTATGTATTCCCGTGTGCCAGAGTGCCAGATCACCACATACTATTATGTTGGGTTTGCATATTTGATGATGTGTCGCTACCAGGATGCCATCCGGGTCTTTGCCAACAGCCTCCTCTACATCCAGAGGACCAAGAGCATGTTCCAGAGGACCACATACAAGTATGAGATGATTAACAAGCAGAATGAGCAGATGCATGCACTGCTGGCCATTGCCCTCACGGTGTACCCCATGAGTATCGATGAGAGCATTCACCTCCAGCTGCAGAAGAAACACAGGGACAAGATGCTGCGCATGCAGAAAGGTGACCCACAAGTCTATGAAGAACTTTTCAGTTACTTCTGCCCCAAGTTCCTGTCGCCTGTAGTGCCCAACTATGATAATGTGCACCCCAACTACCACAAAGAGCCCTTCCTGCAGCAGCTGAAGGTGTTTTCTGATGAAGTACAGCAGCAGGCCCAGCTTTCAACCATCCACAGCTTCCTCAAGCTCTACACCACCATGCCTGTGGCCAAGCTGGCTGGCTTCCTGGACCTCACAGAGCAGGAGTTCAGGATCCAGCTTCTTGTCTTCAAACACAAGATGAAGAACCTGGTGTGGACCAGCGGCATCTCAATCCTGGATGGTGAATTTCAGTCAGCCTCAGAGGTTGACTTCTACATTGATAAGGACATGATCCACATCGCGGACACCAAGGTCTCCAGGCGCTATGGGGATTTCTTCATCCGTCGGATCCAAAAATTGGAGGAGCTTAATCGAACCCTGAAGAAGATGGGACAGAGACCCTGATGACATTCACACACATTATTTAGGAACCTGTTTTGATATATTACAGGCAGGAAGTGTTTTTGCTACCGTGAAACCTTTACCTAGATCAGCCATCAGCCTGTCTACTCAGTTAACAAGTTAAGGACCGACGTGTTTCAAGTGGATATCAGTAAAGGATCTTTGGAGCCAGAAAAAAAAAAAAAAGATTTGTTCTCAATGAGATTACACACAGTAATAATTTTTAATTCTCAAATCTGTTTCTTTTTAAAACTTCTGAGATTTGTATCTCAGAAGTTCAACCTTTACTATATTTTTTTACACATTATTTACAGATCACACATCATTACCCTTTGTTTCTTTTCTCCTTCAAAAGGTAAATCTTTTTACTTGGCTAGAATGGTAACTTTGTACTTCAACTTTTCCATCAGCTCTTTTAACTTTTCCCTCATATTCTATTTCTGCTGTTATAATACCAAAATATTGATCCCAAAGGTAAAAATAAATTCTTTCTCAGGGGTAACATGATTTTTTACTCTTAACTTTTTGATATGTCTGAATTGTTGCATGTAATCAGGAAACTTCCCATGCTATTAGGTTGGTGCACAAGTAATTGTGGTTTTTGCCATTACTTTCAATGGCAAAAACTGCAATTACCGCACCAACCTAATACTAGGAGCCATATATCCACCTGCTCAAGGTGCTAGCTTTCATGTTTACATTCTTCTATAATACAATGTTCACTCATGACCTTGAATACATTGTGCCTGTGTCTAATTAAATTCAAGTATCTTTTTCATCAGGTTTGACTTCCAAGTTATTTAAACCGACTTTACTTAGGCACTTCCCATTCTCAAGTATGCCTTAGTCCAGGTTGTTCAGATAGTTGCTCAGATTAAGCCAGTGAGATGATTGGGGTCACAGATTTAATTCATTAAGCCACTAAAGCATCAGCCCAGATAGCCATATTTTCAGTTAATTTCAATTAGCTGCTCATGAAGGGTTGGCCAGTTGAATGGAAGTTGATTCTTGGCACAGCCTTCAAGTGGCAATTGGTTTAAAATGTCCTGAGTTCTGAGCCAGCCTGGGGGCTGATACAGTTTGGATATGCGTCCCTGCCCAAATCTTATGGTGGATTGTAATCCTCAATATTGGAGACAACTGGTTGAGAGGTGACTGGGTCATGAGAGTGTATGTCTCATAAATGGTTTAGCATCATCCCCTTGTTGCTGCTCTTGCAACAGTGAGATTTGGTTGTTTAAAAGTGTGTGACACCTCCTCCTACCTTGCTCCTACTCTGGCCTTGTGATGTGCATGCTCCCACTTAGCCTTCTGTTATGATTCTAAGTTTCCTGAGGCCTCCCCAGAAGCCACGCAGATGTCCGTATCATGCTTCCTGTAAAGCTTTCAGAACGCTGAGCCAATTAAATCTCTTTTCTATATAAATTACCCAGTCTCAGGAATTTGTTGTTGTTGTTTTATTTGGGGGGTTTTTTGTTTGTTTTGAGACAGAGTCTCACTCTCACCCAGGCTGGAGTGCAGTGGCATGATCTCGGCTCACTGCAACCTCCATCTTCTGAGTTCAAGCGATTCTCCTGCCTTGGCCTCCTGAGTAGCTGGGATTACAGACGCATGCCACCATGCCCAGCTAATTTTTGTATTTTTAGTAGAGACAGGGTTTCACTATGTTGGTCAGGCTGGTCTCAAACTTTTGACCTCGTGATCTGCCCACCTTGGCTTCCCAAAGTGCTGGGATTACAGGCGTGAGCCACCGTGCCCAGCCAGGAATTTCTTTACAGCAATGTGAGAATGGCCGAATACAGAAAATTAGTACTAAGGAGTGGGGCATTAGTATAAAGGTACCTGAAAATGAGGAAGCACCTTTGGAACTGGGTAATGGGCAGAGGTTGAAAGAGTCTGGAGAACTTGGAAGAAGACAGGAAGATGAGGGAAAGTTTAGAACTTCTTAGAAATTGGTTAAATGGTTGTGACCAAAATGCTGATAGTGATATAGAAAGTGAAGTCCAGGCTGATGAGGTCTCAGATGGAAATGAGGAACTTATTGGAAACTAGAGCAAAGGTCACGCATGTTATGCCTTAGCAAAGAGCTTGGCTGGATTCCATCCAAGTCCTAGGGATCTATGGAAGTTTAAACTTGAGAGTGATGTCCTAGAGTATCTGGCAAAAAAAAATTTCTAAGCAACAAAGTGTTCAAGAAGTGGCATGGGCCAAGCATGGTGGCTCATGCCAGTAATCCTAGCACTTTGAGAGGCCAAGGCAGGCAGATAGCTTGAGCCCAAGAGTTCAAGACCAGCCTGGGAAACATGGCAAAATCCCATCTCTGACTAAAAATATAAAAAAAAATACCTGGCCTAGTGGCATGAGCCCATAGTCCCAGCTACTCAGGAGGCTGAGATGGGACAATTACCTAAGCCTGGGAAGTCCAGGGTGCAGTGATCCATGTTTATGCCATGGCACTTCAGCCTGGGTGACAGAGTGAGACCTTGTCTCAAAAACAAAACAAAACAAACAAAACAAAACAAACAAACAAAAACTGGTGTGACTGCTTCTAACAGCCTATGCTGGGATGTGGAAGCAAAGAAATAAGTTGGAACTTCTATTTAAAAGGTAACCAGCAAATAAAAGTTTGGAAAATTTGCATCCTGGAGCCTGGCCATGCAGTAGGAAAAAAAAAAAAAAAAACCAAAAACCCAAAGCCCATCGTCAGAAGAATTCAAGTGGGCTGCTGAGTAACCACCTGCTAGAGAAATTTGATAACTAAAAAGAAGGCAAGTGCTGATAGCCCAGACAATAAAAAGCCTTGAAGGCATTTTAGAGATCTCAGAGGCAGCCTATCCAAACACAGGATCAGAGGCCCAGGGAAGAATGGTTTTGGAGGCCAGGCCCAGGCCTACACTGTCCTGCACATCCTCAGGACACTGCTCCCTGCCTCTTGGCAACTCCAGATCCAGCTGTGGCTTAAAGGGGCCAGGGGTAGCTTGGGCTGCTGCTCTGACAAGTGTAAGTCATAAGCCTTGGTGGCTTCCACATGGTGTTAAGTCTGCTGGTGCACAGAATGCAAGAGTGAATGAGGCTTGGCACCTCTACCTAGATTTCAGAGGATGTGTGGAAAAGCTTGGGTGTCCAGTCAGAAGCTTGCTGCAGGGGTGGAGCCCTCACAGAGAACCTCTACTAGGGTGGTGTAGAGGAAAACTGTGGGGTTGGAGCCCCCACATAGAGTCTGTACTGGGGCATTTGCTAGTGGAGCCACCATCCTCCAGACCCCAAAATGGAAGATCTACTGGCAGCTTGCACCCTGCACATGGAAAAACTGCAAGCACTAAACTCCAGCCCATGAGAACAGCTTTGGGGGCTGAAGCTTGCAAAGCCACAGAGGCAGAGCTGCCCAAGACCTCAGGAGCCCATTGCTTGCACCAATGGCCTGGATGTGGGACATGGAGTCAAAGAAAATTATTATTGAGCTTTAAGATTTAATGATTGCACTGCTGAGTTTTGAATATGTGTGGAGCCCGTAGCCCCCTTTTTTTGGCCTATTTATCCCTTTTGGAATGGGGTTTGTAACCCAATGCTTGTACTTCCATTGTATTTTGGAAGTAACTCTAACTTGTTTTTTATTTTACAGGTGGAAGAGATTTACCTTGTCTCAGATGAGACTTTGGACTTCAGACTTTTAAGACAATGCTGGAATGGGCTAAGACTTTGGGAGACTGTTGGGAAGGCATAACTGTATTCTGAAATGTGAGAAGGACATGAGATTTGGGAGTGGCAAGGGGTGGAATAATATAGTTTGGATATGTGTCCCTTCCCAAATCTCATGTTAAATTGTCATCCCCAGCATTGGAGGTGGGGCCTGATGGGAGGTGATTGGCTCATGGGGGTAGTTTTCTCATGAATGGTTTAGCACCATCCCCTTGGTGCTGTCCTTGCAAAAGTGAGTTCTCATGAGATCTGGTTGCATAAAAGTGTGGGGCATCTTGCTCTCACTCTCTCTTGCTTCTGCTGCTGCTATATGGGATGCCTATTTCCCCTTCACATTCCACCATGATTGGAAGATTCTGGAAGTCTCCCAAGAAGCAGATGCCACTATGCTTCCTCTACATCCTGCAGAATGATGAACCAATTAAACCTCTTTTCTTTATGAATTACCCAGTTTCAAGTATTTCTTTATATCAATGCAAGGATGGACTAATACGGGGCCAAGCAGACCATGGTCCCTTAGGATGGTCAACTGATTATAAGGTGGCTTATACTGCAAGGTGAGGTCAGGGATTAAAACCTAGAGGTTGAAAGATTCTTTTTTTATTACTGTTTCAGCTCTTCTTTTGACTTAGCCACCTCTTCCAGGGCATCAGATTCCTGAAGCAACTTTGGGGTAGGAGCAGTTGAGAAAGCAAGTGAAAATAGCCCTTTGTTCAGGGTTCAGGGAATTATTTCAAGGTCTTGGGTCTTCAGAGACCTCAGTCCCCAGAAAACCAATTACCTTCTTGTGCCAGATCCATCACTCATCAGTGCTGTGACTCTGGGCAGACCACTTCAAATCTCTCCATTTCACTTCCCTGAGCTGTCAAATATGGGTTGTAGCCCCTGCTCTGCGCATTCCTCCAGGCTGATGTAAGCATCACAAGAAATAACAGATATTCTCCATGAGCTGTAAAGCATCATACCTATGGAAAAAAAGAAGAAAATCCCATCCTCCACTCCCCTGGAGCCACCCACGTTTCTTCTCTGTATTCAACAACTACCAAGGTTCTGGCATATTCTTCTAGACATATAATGATTGAACACTTTAGGTCACTTATGAATTGCCAGTCTTCTAAAGGCTTTACCTCCATTTCACCATTTTTAGCCTTATAACATACGCCATATTAACATTTCAATACCTCAGAACAGGGAACTGAGGCACAGAGAGGTCTCTATAACTTTGTCAGGTTTGTGCATCTTCTAAGTAGGACTTGAACCCCCATCTTTATGCACCAGGCCCAGTGTTCTTGGTCACTCCAATATTTCTATATTGTCTCATCTCAATACAGGTATTTGCCTACATAGTCAGTCTGTTGGTTATGAGTGCAACTCACACTGCAGGTTCTTGTTAAAATCCAACTGAGATTCAGGGGGTTTCGCTATGCAGATGGTGAACAATGGGTCAAACATTTAAACTGTCAATAAATGATTACTCATTTCTCTATGGTCTTTGGCAGGAAGATGTCAAAAACTGTCTTTTTCATAGTACATTTCCCAGCATCTTGCCTCCAGGGTATGACAGTAGATCTTCAGGGATCAAGGGAATCTACTGTCCACACCAAGCTGAGGAAGAGAATACTCTGCCACTGGCCTCATAACTAGGCGCACCCCGGAAAGCAGTCAACTGAAAGTACTGTGGAAATTAAATTGTTAAGTTCATTCAAGGATAACAATTCTAGATTATTCAGCGTCCCATATTTCAGACAACTCTAAAATTGCTATGCCATATTATTTCATGTGTGCAAATTTAAGTTTATTAAGTCAATCACTAGTGCTACAACTACAGAAGATACATTTACAACTTCAAAATTGTTTCAGTTTTAATAGCATAGAATATCTCAATGTAGTATTTAGATATTTAGCTGCTTGTTAAACATTAACTAAAATGAAACACTTCCTGAACAATGCTGCCATATTTTTTAAATTAATGGACATTATATGAAACTGTTTTGAATTAACATAAAAACTGATGAAGTAGTACAGAAAGTTCTCATACACCCTTCCCCCACCTCAGCATCCTTTTTGTAATCACATCTTACATGAGTGTGGTAAATGTTACAATGACTGAAATAATATTGATACATTCTTATTAATGAAAGTCTAGAGTTTGGCACAGAGGTAGAGATGGACAATCTTGATGTCCAGTTTTTTCATAGCTGTATGTATCCAGTAATTAATTTCCCATTTGGTAGGAGGGCAACAGTTTTATCAATATTTGTATCGTATGTTAGTGTAGGCGACATTACTTCTCCATTAGATGCTGGCTTCATTTCTTGTTGTACTTGAAATTAGACTTCTCACAGACCAGCAAGGGGCCTGCAACCATTCACATACTACTGAGGGTTGCCATGGTTATGTTGGCCCTACAGGAGCTTGACAAACCGTAGGTGGTCTTCTTATCGGGAGAAAGTTACTGAAATCAGTCTCTTGTCCAATCAAAGCTGCAGTTATGGTTTGTGGAACAGGGGTTGGAGGTTAGTCAGTATCTGGTGTTGAGCTACAATTATTTTAATATTGCTTGAGGGTCAGTGCTTATTTAGCTGCTAGAGAAAAATTAACTTGTGGCAGTTAGAACACAGTTTATTCTTTAAGTTTAGGGTGCGTGACTTAACCCTTACCTGTTGTGGCCTTCAGTCCTGTTTATAATTCGGTATCTCATTGCCACAAATAGTCCATTATGTCAGTCTTATGATCGCTAATTTCACAGTAATGCTGGGCAGTTGTGTCTAAACCATAAACATGAGGGAGTATAATGAGATGTGTCTGAACCTCCTCCCATCTCATCATGGCCAGAAACTCAGTTTTAAGGTATTTCTGGGGTCTCTTTGACCAAGGGAGGGCCTGTTCAGTCAGTGGCGGGTTAGAATTTTATTTTTAGTTTACAACTCCCACAAAGGCAAAGGCTGCTGCTAAGCATCTGCACTTGTGTTTCAAAGCAACGCACTTTTTTTTTTTTTTTTTTTGAGACAGAGTCAAAAGACGGGGCACACAGAAAAGTCATGCAACATGGTGGTCCTACCACCACCTACAGCCTCTCCTCCTCATTAAAGTGGCCTATGGAGGGCTTAGCCCAGCAGGCTTAGAGCTTCTACAGAATGGGTATCTGCTCCCTGGGAGGATGTTCTCGGGACATCCTTCAATTGCCTGCAGGGATTTTGGGGGTTGTTTTCAAAGCACAAGTGTGGTCCCGGCTAAGAGCAGCCTATCAGCACTCTCCTCGGATGTGTTGGTTTCCTTGATGGGCCAAAAGAAAGTGAGAAGCCGCTGAAAACACATACACTTATTTGCCTTCCCTTTTTTATGTTACCCACTCCACCATCACATTTCCTCTTCCTCTTTTTCTCCATCCTTCATATCTTCCATATCTTCTCTGAGATGGAGGACAAGAAGTCAGCAAGTTTGTGTCTCGGTGAGTTATTTCAAGGTACATACCACTCTCTCCTGAGGCTGATGACATCTGCAATCATATTTTAAAAGCACTGTGAGGATTATATTATGCTGTGCACTTCACACAGGTCTGTTTTTTCTCTTGACTTTAGGAACCTAGAAGGGGTACAGTGGTTACGTCAAAAATCAAAGTTCCCCAAAACTAGCACAGAGGATACCTGTGGAAAAGATAACACCTTTTCCTGCCACATTTATCTTTCAAATTGATTTAGATTAGCAGTGGCACAGTCCTTAATTCAAAAGGGAAAAGTGGTGCTGAGGGAGATGCCTCTACATTACAGTTTATCATGGAAACTGTCAGTTGGTAAGAGATGCCCACCTAATACCACCTCAACCAAGGGTATTACATGTCTCCCATAATGTACATTTTCAGATTTTTATCTCTAAATTTCACTGGTAAAGAAATAAACCAGGAAAGCAAAATTTCTGTATAAGAAAGAAGCGTGGTCTTACATTGACAAGGTCTTCTTTATTTGGAGATGACTTGTCCAAAAGTTTCTCCAAAAGCTAGGACGACACAGAGTGACTATCAGTGCCCTGGAGGTTGGTGATTATGGATCACTCAGGGAGCTGTGCTTAATGTGGCGCGTGGAGGTGGTTGGTTCACATGCATGGACTGAGTTGACACAGGGCCATCCTCCAGGGTGGAGGAAGGATGGCAAAGAGGAGCAGCAGGAAAGAAATGAGAAACCACCAGGAGCCTGGAAGAAGGACAGGTTTCCCCTAGAAGCATCAGAGGGAACCTGGCCCTGCCTATGGATTTTGCACTACTAGCTCCGAGAACTGAGACATTTCTGTTTTTTTAACCCCCCAGTTTATGGTCCATGTGATTTCAGGCCTAGGAAGCTAATACACTAAGACAAATCAATATACCTCTATTTTGAATTTGCATTCATTTCTTTCATGTATGCCCCTAATATTTCCACAATTATGATGATTTTTGTGTTTATCTTTCTATATTTTATATACCACTAGTGTCATTTTATGTTAATTTAATTTCCCTGGTCGTGAAGACATTATAAGTTTATAATGACTGCATAATAATATATATATATATATACATATATATTTTTTTTTTTTGAGACAGAGTCTCACTGTGTAGCCCAAGCTGGAGTGCACTAGAGCAATCTCAGCTCACCACGACATCTGCTTCAGGGCTCAAGCGATTCTCGTGCCTCAGCCTCCCCAGTAGCTGGGACTACAGACAAGCGCCACCACGCCTGGCTAATTTTTTTTTTTTTGAGATGAAGTCTCGCTCTTGTCCCCCAGACTGGAGTGCAATGACAGGATCTCAGCTCATGCAACTTCCGCCTCCGGGTTCAAGCAATTCTCCTGCCTCAGCCTTCTGAGTAGCTGGGATTACAGGTGCCTGCCACCATGCCCAGCTAATTTTTGTATTTTTAGTAGAGACAGGGTTTCACCATGTTGGCCAGGCTGGTCTCGAACTCCTGACCTCACGTGATCCGCCCGCCTTGGCCTCCCAATAATTTTTTGTATTTTAGTAGAGACAGGGTTTCACCATGTTTCCCAGGGTGGTCTCGAACTCCTGAGCTCAGGCGATCTGCCCGCCTCAGCCTCCCAAAATGCTGAGATTACAGGTGTGAGCCACTGCGCCCGGCCACAATATTATTTTTATCATAGGTACTAATACATATTGATTTTTAGCTAATTCGAATTGCTTATTAATATCAATAAAAATATGCAGATCTTGTTATTGAAGCTCTATGGATCTGTGAGCTCAGGGGAGATGCCTCCGTGTGCAGTGGGAAGCCTCAGGTGCAACATGCCTGGCATCTCCTGCTCAAGATAGAGTGCAGGCAGGGAGCTTGCTGGGCATGTTTGCAGGAGGGAGACTAGACTGAGGCATGAGAAACAATCTGTCACCCACACCCACCAGTGCTTTCATGCCTGAGTCAGACCAGAGCTTTTCAGATGTTACTGTGCGCACCCATCATCTGAGATCCTGTAAAGTGTGAATTCTGATTCCGTGGGTCTGGAATAGGACCTGACTTTGCATTTCTAAGGGGTCCTTTCCCCCAATTTTTCCCATACATATTTTAATATCCTCAAATTCATAAGAATGGTGGAAAACAAGAAGGAAAGCTATGAGCAGACAGAAACCAAAGAGTAATCTCTTGCAGAGAGAACTAAAGACTTTTGACTTAAAAATTTCCCAGTCCAGGGCCGGGCGCCGTGGCTCATGCCTATAATCCCAGCACTTTGGGAGGCCAAGGCGGCTGGATCACCTGAGGTTAGGAGTTTGAGACCAGCCTGACCAACAAGATGAAACCCTGTCTCTACTAAGAATACAAAAACTAGCCAGCTGTGGTGGCAGGCGCCTGTAGTCCTAGCTACTCAGGAGGCTGAGACAGGAGAATTGCTTGAACCCGGGAGGTGGTGGTTGCAGTGAGCTGAGATCGTGCCATTGCACTCCAGTCTGGGTGACGGAGCAAGACTCCATCTCAAAAAAAAAAAAAAAAAAAAAAAATTCCCAGTCCAGGCTGGAAGATGGCTAGAGAGGACAGCTGAGATGCTGACAGAGGTGCCACTTTAAGAAACAAACCAGAAATGAAAGTAAACACACCCCAAACCTCGACCTCCCCTCTGACTCCTGTTCAATCTCCCCACTGGTGCCTCCTCCAGTCTTTGACAGAGTGTGGAACATCCTCACCCTCTCCCATTCCTTATCTCTGATTCACAATTTCCCATCTTGATTCTCCAGTCTCTCTTTCCTACCGTCTCCTTCTCCCCTGTGACCTCCTCACTTAGTCAGCAAGTTCTCTATGTCCAAACAGCCATGGGAAGTTTTTCAGATCTTGTAAGTTGTCACTTGCATCCCCTTCCTTTAGTGAATCTCTCTAACCCTTCACTTCAGAAAAAGCCCCAAGGCTTCTGATTCTCCAGTACTTTCTCCTTCTACTCCCGGGGTTCTCCTCACTTGACAGAGAATTCAGTGGATCTATCAATCAGGTGAATTTGTCCTCCCCAGCACTCACCAGACTGCTTACTATGTGCTGATCTCCTGAGCAACCAAGTGGGGAGAGAGAAACCTGGCTTCATGAGTATCCTGGCAAGTGGATTCAGGGCTGAATCGCCCCTGCTTGTAGATAATGTATGCTTATTTCAGCTGCAATTTGTATATGAGATAACCCTTCCCTTAAGAACTCCCTATAAAGTGAGAATTGTGCACCCTGTTCCCACTGAGGAGGCCTACATAGAAAACTAAAGACTGAGACATCAGGCGGCTGCCCTGAGGGAGAACCTCACTGTGTCATTAGGCAGTGAGTGGGCAGGGGTCCTGGCCTAGGTGGAAGCAGGAGCCTCTGTGAAAACCACCCCTCCTCTAGTCACAGAGAGGATAGCCGGTGGGCCTGCCCTGAGGGGACCTCTGGGGCTCTCAGCTGGGGAAATGAGGAAACAGACACTGATCCTGGCCTCCGCTCAGGACTCATTGGGCTAGCAGCTGAGTCCTCCCTGGGACCCTGCAGAGCCTCAAGCCAGGCTGAGCACAGGCCCACGCCTCCCAGAAATGACACCCAGCCACAGGGCTGCAGGAAAGACCCAGCGAGGCTTTGGTTGGCCAAAAATTTGCATGAAGGGCTCCTGTTTCTCCACGGTCTGGAGGGTGGATAAGAGGCCTGCAGCATGGCTGCCTCGGCACAGCACTGGGGTATCTGGACAGTGGCATACACCCTACTCCTCCTCTTCATCCTCCTCCTTCATGGGACAGGCCAACATGGTCCTCGGCATCCTGATCCCTGGCTCACTCATGATGCAACTGTCCCCTCTTCTCCTTCCTCCAGGATGTAATGAGTTTGTTTTCAGGTTCCCTCTCCCAGCCAGGGAGTCTCAGCCAAGCTCACCTGCACACTGAGCAGTAAGCATAGGACCTACACCACTGCATGGTAGCATGGACAGGGAAGCCCCTTGGTGTGTGATGTGGCTTAAGAGTGATGGAAACCATGGCAAGAGGGACGGGATCCCTGATCACTACTCAGGCTCCAGGTCTGAGGCTGACCACTCCTTAACCACCTCTAACATCCAGTCCCAGGACAAAGCTGACTGTATCTGTGGTGTATCTCACAGCACTGCAATGCCATGTGAATGAAGCACAGTGACCCAGATGAATGGAGATGTGGGACAAAAACTGTTTTCTCCACTACGAAGGCTGCCACACAGCTCTCAGAAAATGTCTGGTGTCATAAATTCTAGGAAATGTTGGCGGATTTTTTGTTGTTCCTGTTGTTTCCTTTTCAATTTTACAAGGAGTGACATAGATGCATTCTGATTCCTGCCAAGAGTTCCCTGGGAACCAGTTTGCTACACAGATCTTCAGTAATGCTGCAAATATTACAACAGATCTTGACACCCCTGCTGGTCATTGTCTCTGCACGGGGGATGCAAGGCCATTCACTCTCCTCTTCAGATATAAACACTGGGACTCAGCTACATGCCACCCTCCTACCACATCATGGTTCATCCTAATGACCACCCTTTGAAGATAACACCTTTATCTTTTTTTGACAATTTTAAAAACAATTTCTATTTTTATCTTAAGATTCAGGGGGTACATGTGCAGTTTTGTTATGTGGGTATACTGTGTGATGCTGAGGCTTGGGGAACGATTGATTCTGTTATTCATGTAGTGAGCATAGAGCGCAACAGGTAGTTTTTCAACCCTTGCCCTATGTATGTTTAACCCAGAAAGTCCAAATTTGGTTTTCACATTTTGAAACTAATGTTTCATTCAATGTCCCCTTTTGCAACTGGTTTCTGAGTTGTTTGTGTGTAATGTTATGAATGGCATGAGATTCGGTTTTTGGTGTGGATCTCTGGATGAAGGCTATCACCCTTTCTAATCTGTGCAATGCCCTGTGCCCAGTTAATCATGGAGTGTGCATCCAAAAAGTACAAACACAGAGTGACCACTGGGACTCAACACCTTCAACCTGGTATCAATAGAAGGTCTGTATCTGCATCACAGATGTGAATCCACAACAAATCCTTCCCATGGCTTTGACCCATTTCTCTATACCAGGCTCTCTCCCAAGAGAATTTCAACAAAGAATTGTTTTGAACTCAAGTCAAAAAGATGCCCTTCAAGCATTGTTTAAGCAGAACTCCTACCCTGGCATACCAACCAGAGAGCAACTGGCCAAAGAAATCGGCAGTCTGGAGTCTAGGATACAGGTGGGCTTGTATTTCCATTTCATTTCCTTGGAGTCAAAGAAAAAAGACAAGCTGGACTAAGCAGTCTCCAATCATACCATGTTAAGAATGAACTGAAAACTAAGACCCCTATCTCTGCCTTTTACCAATCGTGGAAAATGTGGTCTGGTGTATTCACTGATGGAGGAAGGAAGTTAAATTGGGCCTTTCTCCTGGTAGGAGGAAATTAAATCATATTTGCATGCTCTAGAGAATATAGGTAATATGGTCACCATGATCATGATAAGTTGTCATTGATACCTGGCACCAATATTATAGAATGCTCAGATAATAGGTAATATTGAGGACGGTGAGGTCAGGGCTGCCATAAAGTCCCGTTTCTCATCCCATGGTTTTTGTTTCTTTTCTACTGTTTTGTTTTGAGACAGAGTCTCACTCTGTCACCCAGGCTGGAGTGCAGTGATGCAATCTCAGCTCACTGCAACCTCCACCTCCCAGGTTCAAGCCATTCTCATCCCCTACCCTCCCAAGTAGCTGGGATTACAGGTATGTGCCACATCTGGCTAATTTTTGTATTTTTAGTAGAGATGGGGTTTTGCCATGTTGGCCAGGCTGGTCTTGAACTCCTGGCCTCAAGTGATCCCCCCACCTTGGCCTCCCAAAGTGCTGGGGTTACAGGAGTGAGCCACTGTGCCTCGCCTCTACTAAGTGTTTTTATGTGGGCTTTACACACTGGAGAGTTTAGTGCCTGATCCCATTTTGGAATATTTTGAGTGGAAAAATGGATATAAAAATAAAAGTGTCTGGGAGCGGTGGCTCATGCCTGTAATCCCAGCACTTTGGGAGGCTGAGGTGGGTGGATCATGAGGCCAGGAGTTCAAGACCAGCCTGGCCAAGATGGTGAGACCCCGTCTCTACTAAAAACACAAAAATTACCCAGGTATGGTAGTGGGACCCTGTGGCAGAGAATTGCTTGAACCCAGGAGGCAGAGGTTGCAGTGAGCTAAGATCGCGCCACTGCACTCCAGCCTGGGTAACAGAGCGAGACTGTCTCAATAAATAAATAAATAAATAAATAATAAAATAAAATAAAACCATTCTGTTTCTCCAGTTAAGAAATAGCTGGAAAGATCACAATCACACCAGGAGAAGTGTATCCAGACTGTCAACAACTAAGTAAAAGGGACTCTGTTGAAGAAAAGCCTACGGTCAGGGTTTTATATCAAATGCTATAATCCTGAGTAAGCCCTGGGATACAGGGATCTGAGTTTCAGGCAGGCCAAGTGAAGACGTATTTCCTTTTCTTTATGCACCCAGTCCAGGTGTCAGAGTGCTACATCAAATCCAAGAATGAAAGTGTGGCCCGGGCTGGGGGCAGTGGTTCATGTTGGTAATCCCAGCGCTTTTGGAGGTTGAGGCAGGAGTTCGAGACCAGCCTGGCCAACATGGTGAAACCTCGTTACTAAAAATACAAAAATTAGCCAGGCGTGGTGGTATCTGCCTGTAATCCCAACTACTCGGGAGGCTGAGACAGGAGAATCACTTGAACCCAGGAGGTGGAGGTTGCAGTGAGCCCAGATCGCACCATTGCACTCCAGCCTGGGCAATAAGAGTGAAAATCTGTCTCAAAAAAAAAAAAAAAAAAAAAAAAAGTGTGTCCACGGGAAGACATGGAGATTGGCTGGAGCACTGGCAACCAGCCCACTGGAATTGATGGTGCCGAAGGAAAGCACAAGAAACCATGTAGAATGAGGTTGGATCCGCCAGGGTGTTCACTAATGTATTTGTTGCCCCCACATTTCCAGCCATGTTTAAGACTTCTTTCCTGATCATATTTGAAGTGACATATTGAGAGAATAGATGAAACAGTTTTACAAACTGCCTGGGACATAAGAGCAGGTCAACAGGTATTGCTTGTCTTTTAGGATAGAATCCTTATTGTGAGTTATCAAGTCCCCACATGAAACACTAAGAAATGATTAAAAGCACATTCCTGGCTGAGCATGGTGGCTCACGCCTGTAATCTCAGCACTTTAGGAGGCCGAGGCAGGTGGATCACCCAAGGTCAGGAGTTCAAGACCAGCCTGGCCAACATGGTGAAACCCCGTCTCTACACAAAATACAAAAATTAGCCAGGGCATGATGGTGCATGCCTGTAATCCCAGCTACTCAGGAGGCTAAGGCAGGAGAATTGCTTGAACCCGGGAGGCAGAGGTTGCAGTGAGCCGAGACCGCACCATTGTACTTCAGCCTGGGCATTGCAGCGACACTCTGTCTCAAAACAAACAAACAAAAATCTGCATTCCTCTATGCCCTCCAGTAAGAAGGAGGCAGCCACAGGGTTTGATTATGACAGTCACAGTCTATTCAGAGTTAGGTTTTTGGCTCATAGGAGTCTCCTTATCTAGTACTGTGTCTGGAATGAATGAACTCTGGGGTATATACGAATGATTCCAGGCTCAGCAGTAAGTACTGGTAATTAGTGAGCTCCTCTTTAAGTGAATTTTGATCAGAGGTCCCTTCACATGGATTGTGTGTTATGAAATGCCTTTGATTATGGGGAGATGACAGAGAGCCAAGGAAAGTCAGTCAGTCCTTGACCAAAGCCTTTGTGAGACCTAAAGAGTGAGAGGGAGGCAGAAAGAGCAAGTGAGCATGAGACAAAAACAACTGTAGGGTGGGGAAGAGGTGAAGGAAGAGTGGACACACACCCATCGGCCAGCTCTGGCTTTAGGATGCTAGCCAGTGTCTCCTAACCCAGGGACCTTTCCTTTGGAGACCACAGATGGGACAGAGAAGGAAGTGATTCTTGGTGTTGAGCTCAAATAGATACTTAAAATTATGTAGACTAAATCGGATAAAACTTGAATCTTCTTTTCCCACTTAGATTTGGTTTCAAAACCAGATAGGACACCTGAGGCTGAGCTGGCTGCAGTGTGGACGCTCCTCGGGAGGACAGCAGCTCCAAGGACACGAGAAGCCTCAGCCCTGGGCCCCAGGTGAGTCCCCAGCAGTGCCAGTGCACTTCCTCAGTGCATCTCTTTGAAGTAGAAACGTCTCTTTAGGCTGTTTCCAAATTTGTTGCAGAGAATGCTGATGTCTCTTCCACAGCACGCCAGTGTTGGAGATGTGACCACCATCCCCACCTCATGGGAAGGTAGTTTGGAAGAAGGGAAGGCCATTGATCTTCCAGTCCTGGTGTGGCAGGCAGTGCAGAGTCCTCTTCTTCCAGCACTGCAAGGGTTTAATCCAAGGTCCAGGATCAGTGCATGAACACCTCAGGGGCCTGGGAGGGAGTAAGCATGGTGAGAACAATATTTGAAAATGTCTGTCTTAGGGTTGATGTGAAGATGGCCTGAAAGCCCTCTTTTCTTGTGTTTTCCTACAGAATGCTTAACCAAAGGAGGGAGACAAAAGTGATGCCATCACTAAACCACAGACAGGTGTCCTCCTTCAAGCTTTTCAGAGGAACCGATTCCCTGGAACTGCCATCAAGGAAGAGCTGGCAAAACAAACAGGCATTCCAGAATCCAGAATCTAGGTAAGTTTTCTGTCTGTGGTGCACAATTTGTCCCATAAATTTGGAAGTGGTATTGCCCGCTGAGATGGTACTAGATAAATGGGAGCTGGTATCTTCAAAGAAGTTGAGAGTTCTTTGTTATGAGGGTGCTGTCATGTGTCTTATTCGTCTTATGTCATATGTGCCTTATGTCTTATGTGACCTTTATCTCCATCCCAGGCTTCTAGGCACTAGACACCAGTATAGACCTTGCCCCTCAACTAACCCCCAGGTGTGATAATCTAATAGTCTATGGTCTCCACTTTTGTGGGAAAATCTTGCCATTCTAGCAAATCAATGTGGCATCCATTCACGGGCCAGTGCAATACTTCCCTTAACTCGTCCATATTTTGCAGACTAAATGTACAGACAGAATCACCGAGATAAAGCCCAACAGATGTCACTTCTGCCTCACAGATGAGGGAATGAAGCTGGAACCTCTTACGTCTTCTGACATCCTTGTTTCCCTTTCTCTTAGATGTGGGCTCAGAACTGAAGAGCTCAGCCCCCAGGCCAGAGCAGAGGCAGCCCCGTGAATTCCCTGGCAGCCCCAGCCACAGAACTCACCCTACTGCTCAGCTGCAGCACAGCAACCTGTGCATTGCGCAAGCAGCTCTGCGCACAGGCCTCCCTCCAACTCCCCCAGCAGCCATTGGTCATCTGTACCAGCCCTTCCTCCACTAAGCAGGTCTGTGGAGGCTGTGTGAGCCAGGCACCAAGGGCCATCCTGCACCAGTCCACCTGAGTTGTGCCAGGAGATCTCTCCTCTCAGGACCCATGTGTCAACAGGACCAACTCTTGGAGGGGTACTCTCACCCACTTAGTCTCGTTTCTGGAATGTGTACCAAGGAAATTGCCAGAATGACAAGGACAGTGACAGCACTAGCCTGGGAGTTCTGCCCTTCAAGGACACTACTCAGCCTCCTTCTGGTCATCCTGAGCAAGGATCGCAACAACAAGGTCTGCAAGACACAGCCCACCTTAGGCAATGGTGGCCATGAGCAGCCCCAGGGTGTGGTGGTCAAATTGCCACCTGGGGACAGGGTGCTGCTCCACAACGTGCTCACATGGACACACCTGCAGCAGCCTAGGGCATGGCCAAGCAAGGGGCCACCCCTTTCCTTTGAGCTTTTTTTTTTTTTGAGACAGAGTTTCGCTCTTTCTCCCAGGCTGGAGTGCAATGGCACCATCTCGGCTCACTGCAACCTCCACCTCCTGGGTTCAACTGATTCTCCTGCCTCAGCCTCCCGAGTAGCTGGGATTACAGGCACCCACCACCATGTCCTGCTAAATTTTGTATTTTTAGTAGAGACAGGGTTTTACCATGTTGGCCAAGCTGGTCTCAAACTCCTGACCTCAGGCGATCCACCCACCTTGGCCTCCCAAAGTGCTGGGACTACAGGCGTGAGCCATTGTGCCTGGCCTCACCTCATCCCTTTTAGATGAACTCCTGACAACCTCAGAGTTTCAGAAATCACCATCATCAGTTAGGATTAGGACAGGAGAACCCTCCATGGCCTGCAGCCAGGAAGAGTTTCAGGCTCTGCTCGATGCCCTGCAGAGCTCACTAGGGCTTCGGGTTTAGGAGGGAGAAGGAGTCTTTCTCACCATCCCATCTGGCTCCTCCTCACGATGAAGTAGTAGTGTGACCCACAGGAGGATAAACAAGGGGAGACACCATGTCCTGGGACAAGACTAATGCAAGAGGAAACTGACCACTTGGAAACCCAAAAGGAGCATCTTTTCTCTGCCTTGTGGACACCACTTTAGTCTCTGGCCTCACTTCATGGCCTACGTGATTGTTTCTAAGCTCCACACTGTCCTGCAGGCACCACGGACACCAGGCAGTGGATACCTTTGCTGAATCCTAAGGAGCCAAAGTGTTTTTATAATGAACACGACCTCCTTCCTGTGATCGTCACATCCTGGGCAGTCTGGACAATGCACAAACTAGAACTGAACCAAGGTGAAAATAGGTAAAAGAGACACATCCACACTTCACTACCTTTGATGAGTTCACAGGGTGAGCCTGAAGACAGGCTAATGCAGAGAAAATGGGGGTGCTATATTTCATCTTGATGTCGGTTCACCACAAAGGGTTTGCATCTTAGTTCTTACTGGAGGAGATGGGAACTAGAAGTTATCTCACTATCTATCTACCAATGATTGATAACACCAGCTTAGATGCATAATACTGATAATGAATAGTGTTCACATGTAATCCTCCCTTTAAACATGTAGACAGAGAACATGACAAGGAAATGCAAAACAGCAACTCCATGAAATCACTGAACAAAGCAGGATATTCATCTTCTGACACTGTTAGCATTATGTATATATTTACATGTACCTTGCTGCCCTTTTTGTTATAAATAAATTTTTTGGCAAGTTTAAGCCTCTTGGTTGTCTTTGTCTGTGTCTCCTCTCTTCCATTCAAGTGGTACCCATGGATTACCAAGCTATGTCTGCTTCCATTGGTGCCTTAAAACTATCCTTAAAAAGGAAATGTGATTTATCAAGATGGCTGTCTTTCCCACAATTATTTCATTCATTTGTGCTGTCTCTTTCCATGTGAACCTGTGGGACCAGAGTCAGGATGCCTTGCTCTAGTTCATAGCTTGAATCTGCAGATGCCAGTCTGTTATTACTACACACAGACACAGATGCATTTTGCTTTACGGTTTCTCTAGGGTGTGCATACTCCAAACCCACTGTTTACTTCCAGATGATCGGCACAGGATAATTTTCCTCAGATTTTTTTTTTTTTTTTTTTTTGAGACGGAGTCTCGCTCTGTCATCCAGGCTGGAGTGCAGTGGCACCATCTCAGCTCACTGCAAGCTCCGCCTCCCAGGTTCACGCCATTCTCCTGCCTCAGCCTCCCGAGTAGCTCGGGCTACAGGTGCCTGCCACCACGCCTGGCTTTTTGTATTTTTAGTAGAGACGGGGTTTCACCGTGTTAGCCAGGATGGTCTCGATCTCCTGACCTCATGATCTGCCTGCCTCATCCTCCCAGAGTGCTGGGATTACAGGCATGAGCCACAGCACCCAGCCTTTTGTTTTTCAAAGAGACGAAGTCTCACTCTGTCACCCAGGCTGGAGTGCAGTGGCACCACCGTAGCTCACTGCAGCCTTGAATTCCCGGGCTCAATCCAACCTTCAGATTAACTATTAACTGGGGTATTATAAATCTCTCTCCCAGCCCCACCTCACATACACATAGGCTGCATGCAAACACACACACACAGTCATAATAGTCTCACAGTTTCCCCTGAAAATAATCTGACAAATGTCTTAAGCAGCATTGGGACCATGCCATTAGGTGTTGAGTTTGATTTTTTCAGTAGCCTCCCAACATATTCCTCATGTGCAGAGATGAGAGTGTAGCATGGCCAAATGCCAAATTTCCAAGAGACATTTTGTCTTCATCCATTTGTGTGAACCATGTACTATAACAAACCACCTGAGACTAGGTCGTTTATAAGCAATAGAAATTTACCTCTCACATCTCTGGAGGCAGGGAAGTCCAAGATGAAAGTGCCAAGATGAAAGGTGAGTATCCAGTAGGGACAAGGTCTCGGCTTCCAAGGCAGCCCCTCCTTGCTGTTTCCTCTTGAGGGGAGTGACACTGGGCCCTCACATGTCAGAAAGGAGAGGGGCAAAAAGGGCCTAGTGTGTTCTCTCCAGCTGGCTCCTAAGATCACTAATCATTCATGAGGTGGAGTTCTCATGACCTTACCACCTCCCAAAGGCCAAACCTTTGCAAGCTGTTGCACTGAGGATTCAGTTTCAACATGACTTGCTTTTTGTTTTGTTTTGTTTTGAGATGGAGTCTTGCTCTCTTGCCCAAGCTGGAGTGCAGTGGCGCCAACTTGGCTCACTGCAACATCCGCCTCCTGGATTCAAGTGATTCTCCTGCCTTAGCCTCCTGAGTAGCTGGGATTACAGGTGCCCACAACACCCAGCTAATTTTTGTATTTTTAGTAGAGACGGGGTTTCACCATATTGGCCAGGCTGATCTTGAACTCCTGACCTCAAGTGATCCTCCCGCCCCAGCCTCCCAAAATGCTGGGACTTGTGCTTGGCCTCCCAAAGTGCTGGGATTTGTTCTTGGCTTCTCAAAGTGCTGCGATTTGTTGAGCCACTGCACCTGGCCTCAACATGACTTTTGGAGGGGACACAAACACTCAAAGCACAGTGGATGTCACAGTCACTCTCCCTATGATAATGGTAATGTCATATATTCTGTGGCTCAGGTGCAGGCCATCAGGCCCCGTGATTCCAAAATTCACCCTGTGGCATGTTGGCAAGTATCAGTGCCAGGCCATGCTCAGGCACACTGGCGAGGGTTTTGTATTGGGAGAGCAGAAGAGTTACTTCCTCTGGTAATCTGGGGAGAACTGGTACCTTTTTCTCTTCTCATCAGCACCTGGACCATGGGCCACCATGCATGTGCATCTTGACATTCTTAGGGGTCAGGAAATCATGTGTAGTGGCAGCAAGTGAAGGCGCAGCACAGGGTGCAGGTACTACCCCTCCTGAATGCCTCCTTAGGCAACTGGAGTGCCACACTCACCTCTCTCAGTTGTCTCCTGCCTTTCCACAAACCTCACAATAGGCCATCTGCATGCACAACCCAGGGGTGTGCAATAACAAACAATAGTCTATAGGGATGTTCCATGCAGCCAGTGATAATCAGAGAGCTCCAGCCAGTCCTTTGGAAAGTGGGGCTCAAGTGCTGATCAGTTTGTGTGCAGTGTGGTCACTACCTTTACAGGTGGGAGCCTCAGAGACCACCTGCCAAACAGGCTGAGCCCAAGTCAAGTCATGCAGGGATACAGCCAATGGGAGAGCACTCTTGTCCTGCACACAAGAGCATTTTAGGATGGGAAGAGATGTGACACTCACCTCCCCTAAGAAAAGTGCATTACAGCACAGGCCAAGTGCAAACCTGCCAGCAACTGGTGGTTCTGTCCAAGAAGCCTTTGCCATAATATGGAACCTGTCAGTTAGCCAAGAGCAGTTAGTTAAAATTGGACTAGACGACCCTGGCTTTGGATGGGCCATCCTGTTTATGCCAGTGGTTGTAACTGCTTCCTTTTCACCCTGATGGTGAAGATGGGATTCCCCACTCTGATGCTATAGAAAGGTTGAACACTGAATACCCGACACTGGACAGATAAGATCTAGGTGAGTTTGTCAGTCACACCAACTCTCAGAAAGGTGAGGAGGACACCACATGCCGGGCAGAGCCACAAAGGGTTCCACTTGGGAGCAAAGTGGAAAAGAAGGGGTTGTAGTGAGCAGCTGTACTATCCAGAGAGTACAGTGACCACTGTTTGCTGTGGGAGGATGTGAGGGGTTTGGTGAATAATTCCAAGAGCTGGTAGGGAAGCAGATCTTACTGCTTAGGAATAAGCAGGAACTGTGCCTGGCCCCCCTGACAGGGAGGACTGTCTGCTAAGGTACCTCACCTGTGGAAGCAGAGTGGGGATGGAAACGAGTTTAGGTCATTTGAGGTCCTTTTGGCTTCAGATGTCAAGAGAACCAAGAATACTAGTCCTTAATTTCAGGTCACAGTTACCATAATTTAAAATATATCAAGGATGTATAAAAGCAATTCAAATGTTCATTAACGGTGATTTACAGGTTCAGTCAGAAACACACGACTAACAAAAGAACACCTTAGTACAGAAACAAGATGTTCCTCAGGGTTGGTTGGTTATTTACTTATTTATTTACTTAATACACTTCATTTTTTAGAGCAGCTTTAGGGTTACAGAAAAATTGAGCAAAAAGTACAGAGAATTCTCATATAAACCTTTAACCCTCCCATCCTCCACAGGCTCCCCAATTATTAACATCTTGCATCATTATGGTTCATTTGTTACAATTGATGAGCCAATAGTGGTACACTGTTATTAACTGAAGTCCAGAGTTGACACTAGGGTTTACTCTGTGTTTTCCGTTCACTGTTTTCCATTCTCTGCATTTTGACAAATTACAGTACCCTACAGAGTACTTTCACTGTCCTAAAAATCACCTACCTGCCATCCCTCCTTTCCCCTCAACTCTCAGCAACCACTGGTCCTTTGACTCGCTCGATAGTTTTGCCTCTCCCAGAATGTCATATAATTGCAATCATACAACATAGAAAGCCTTTTCAGATTGGTTTTCACTTAACAATAAGCATTTAGGGTTCCTATATGTCTTTTAATGACTTGATGTCTAATTCTTTTTTATCATATACCTGAGGACTACATTCTACAACCCTGCTATAATTGCTTATTAATGTCAGCAGGTTTTTGTTATTTAGAATTTTCTACAAAGACAATCATGTTATTTGAGAACAAAGACAGTTGTATTTCCTCCTTCCAAATTTATGTGCATTTTATTTCCTTTTTTTTTGGTATCACTGCATTAGATAGCACTTCCAGTACAATGCTGAAAAGCAGTGGTGTTCCTTGCCATGTTCCTGATCTTAGTAGGAAAGCATTTAGTTGGAAACATCAAGGATGATGCTAGATGTAGGGTTTTTTGTAGTAGTTCTTTATCAAATTGAGTAAGTTCTCCTGTATTCCTTCTGTGTTGAGAGGTTTTATCATGAATGGATATTGGATTTTGTCAAATGCTTTTTCTGTACCTATTGATATGATCATATTTAATCTTTGAACTGCTAATGCATGCAATGGATTGCACTGAATATCAAATGTTGAACAAGGCTTGCATTCCTGATTTGCTAACATTTTAAGGATTTCTGCATCTGTGTTCACTGGAAATATTGATCTGTAGTTTTCCTTTCTTGTAATGTTTTTGCCTGGCTTTGGTATTAGGGTAATCCTGGCCTCACAAAATGATTTGGGAAGTGTTATCCCTGCTTTTATTTTCTGAAAGAGACAGTACAGACTTGGTATCATTTCTACCTTAAGTATCTCGAAAAATGCACATCAGTGAATCCATTTGGTCCCGGCACTTTTTTTGGAAGGTTTTATTATTATTAATTTTATTGAGATGGAGTCTCACTCTGTCACCCAGGCTGGAGTACAGTGGCACAATCTTGGCTCACTGCAACCTCCACCTCCCAGGTTCAAGTGATTCTTCTGCCTCAGCCTCCTGAGTAGCTTGGACTATACACGCATGCCACCACGCCCGGCTAACTTTTTGTATTTTTAGCCACCGCGCCTGGTCTTGGAAGGTTATTAATTACTGCTTCAATTTATTTAATAGATATATATGCCTACTGAGATCTACCTTTTATGAGCTTTGAGAGAATGCATCTTGCAAGGAATTGATCCATTTTAGCTAAGTTATCAAATTTATGGACAGAGTTGTCCATATTTCTTTCTAATCCTTTTGGTGACCATAGGATCAGCTATGATGGCCTCTTTCACTTTTGGTATTAGCAGTATTTGTCTTCTGTTTTTTCTTAATCTAGCTAGAGGTTTATCAATTTTACCCACCTTTTCAAAGAACAGTTTTGGGTTTTATTGATTTTCTCTTTTCAATTTCACTGATTTTTACTCTAATTTTTTTCCAGGTTACTTTGGATTTAATTTGCTCTTCTTTTTCTAGTTTTCCAAAGTGGAAGCTTAGATTACTTGTGTAATCTAGGGTCACCAGACTGTAAAATCTTAGATTATTTGTATGATCTGATCATGTAATGTAGTGTACAATCTTCACACTGTCAATAAAAGCCCCATGCCAGCTTGATTCTGGCTCTTCTCCAGCCTCAACCCTCCTCTTCATATTCTCAAAAGTCTCTGAAGGCCCAGATCCCTGTCTGGGTACAATGAGCAATGAAATGACAGTCCAACAGCCCTGGGCAGCAACTGGGCTGTATGTGTGGGCCTCTTTCCAGGGCCCTGTCTTGGAGAGCAGCTGCTTAAAGAAAATTTGGACTATCACTTACGCTGAAGGCTGGAGTGTTCACATATGTACCCCAGGCAGTTCATGGCATGGGATGAGCCACAGGTAGTAAGAGAAAGGGAGTAACATGGAGGCAGGCCTAGATCTTCACACGTACAGGATAGATTTTTTTTCAGATAATCTGTTATTTTGATTTATAACTTTTAAATGGATAAACATTAGCTCTGTGGGTCTCTATTTAAATTGTTTCAGGACACGACAAACACCTGGGATGGGCCTGATGAAGTAACCACTACTAAATTAGGATACCTACTTCCTATTCACAATTACGTTAAATACCATTATGCATATGAAACACACGATTTATATCACATACCACTTGTACATATGTAAGTCCTATGAACTTCAGGGATAATTCACAGATGTGCTTAATGCTGTTGCCCTGATTATTCAATTTATCTATGCTTTACAAAAAGCTTCATAGTCAAGTGGATGCCAGGGACAGGGATGCAGAAAGGGTGTGGTTATTAATACAACAAGGGAACTACTTGAGGCTAAATCCTGATTCCTTTGTAATCCTGAAACAGTACAGATCTCAGACTCCTTTTCCATTCTGTAAACTAATTGTGTTGATGGTTACTCAAATGTAAAAGTACCAGTTTGTTATAACCACACACACACACATACACGTACACACACAGAGTGCACGCAAACCATAGCAAAATCTGAGTAAGTCTGCATCTACTAGCAAGGTAACATCGATTTCTTGGACTTGACCATATACTATGATTATATATTATCCTTAGAGGAAGCTTGGTGAAGGGTACACGGGAATTCTCTGTACTCATTACAACTTCTTGTGAGGTTATTTTAATTATTACTTCTTAAAAAATTCTTAAAGCTTTACATTCCACAATGTACATCTATAAATTATTGTTAGATACCTTAAAAACTATTATGGCATCAAACTCAAAACAGAACTTGTCATATTTTATTTCTAAGCAAAATTTTCACTTTAGATTTCTTAAATTGACAATTTTCTCCTCAGTGTAAATGCTAACATAATCCTATTTGTAGTTTTGCCAAAAACTTTCACAAATTCAAAAAAATCTGTGAGGTTTTATGCCAGTATTAACCATCTGATATTCAACAGAATATCACTTCCTAACAAAAGCCATCCTATAGTTGTTGTAGTCTATGGGTTTATCCCCTACTGTTACTTTGGAGTAACATAAGGCGAGTTTGTGGATAGTTATTGAACATTCAGGATGTCAACAGGCCCTTCTCCACAGTGTGAAGACTCTGAGGCATTATGGAGGCTGACTTGTGGCTGGAAATTTCTAATATCCAATTCATTCATAAGGTTTTTCTCCTATGTGTGTTCTCTGATGTACAATGAGATTTGACTTTTGAGAGAAGGTTTTCCTGCATGTGTTACATTCATAGGGCTTTTCCCCTGTATGTGATCTCTGATGTTTAGCAAGGTCTGATTTACGGTAAAAGATTTTTCCACATTCATTACACTGACAAGATTTCTCTCCTGTGTGAGCCCTGTGATGTACTGTGAGTGATGATTTGTGACTGAAGGATTTCCCACATTCATTGCATTCATAGGGTTTCTCCCCCGTGTGCTTTCTCTCATGTAAAATAAGTCCTGACTTCACACAGAAAGATTTTCCACATTCGTTACATTTATAAGGCTTTTCTTGTGTATGGGTTCTCTGATGTACAATTAGAGCTGACTTATGGCAGAAAGCTTTTCCACACTCATTACATTCATAGGGTTTCTCCCCTATGTGAATTCTCTGATGCTGAGTGAGTTGTGACTTCTGGCAGAAGGTTTTTCCACATTCATTACATTCATAGGGTTTCTCCCCTGTATGTGTTCTATTATGTTTTGTTAGGTATGATTTATTGTAAAAGATTTTTCCACATTCATGACATTCATAGGGTTTCTCCCCCGTGTGTGTTCTATAATGTTGAGAGAGGGTTGACTTATGGCTAAAGAATTTCCCACATTCAGGACATGCAAAGGGTTTCTCCCCTGTGTGCGTTCTCTGATGTATTGTGAGGTCTGACTTCAAGCAGAAGGTTTTCCCACATTCATAACATTCATAAGGTTTCAACCCTGTATGAATTATCTGATGCCTGGTGAGTACTGACTTGTGGTAGAAAGTTTTCCCACATGCATTACATTCATAAGGTTTATCTCCTATGTGAGTTCTCTGATGCTGTGTAAGATGTGACTTTTGACAAAAGGATTTCCCACACTCAAGACATTCAAAAGGTTTCTCACCTGTGTGAGTTCTCTGGTGTACTGTAAGGTGTGAATTCATACAGAAGGATTTTCCACATTCATAACATTCATAGGGTTTCTGCCCTGTGTGTGTTCTCTGATGTTTAGTGAGGTCAGATTTCTGGTAAAAAGTTTTCCCACATGCATTACACTGATAGGGTTTCTCCCCTGTATGTGTTCTCTGGTGTAATGTGAGGGCTGACTTATGGCTAAAGGCTTTCCCACATTCATTGCATTCAAAAGGTTTCTCCCCTGTGTGTGATCTCTGATGTTTAGTGAGGTTTGACTTCTCCCAGAAAGTTTTTCCACATTGATTACATTGAAAGTGTTTCTCTCCTGTGTGCACCCTCTGATGTCGAGTGAGATGTGACTTCTCCCAGAAAGCTTTCCCACATTCATTACATTCAAAGTGTTTCTCTCCTTTATCACCTTTCTGAAGCTGTGACAGACACAATTTCCTCCTGAAATTATTCCCACTTTCACCACAATCATAGTGTTTCACAGGTACCCCATCATGTTTAGAAAGGGTGGACTTCACACATAAGAACTTCTCACAATCACTAAATTCATAGTGACTGTCCTTTGATGGAGGTATCTGATGGAACAAGAGGGATGAACTATCACAGAAAGTTCTCCCAAATTCATTATAGTCACAGTTATTCTCTTCTGCATTCTCTCTCTTCCGTGTATTGAATACTGCCTTTTCAAGGAGGGTTTCCTGACATATACTGTATTCAAAATTGTGGTCTAAAGTTTGAATCTTCTCATGCTGCAAAGTGTTCTCACGATGACTCAGAGTGTTCCTATTTTTCAAAACTTCATTTTTCTCTCGAGTATGAGTTTCATCATGCTTAATATTGAGTAACAATTTCCCACATGCATTAAATTCGTCAGACTTTTTTCCTAAATAGTTTATCTTACTGATAACCAATTCTGAAACAGTGTTGAAACTCATTCCACGTGAGTCATACTGACAGAACATTTTTCTGGAAGGAAAAGAACTTACGTCCATGTTAAATGGTATTCCTATTACATTACCTTGTTCCTTAGTCAGCATTTCATTATTGATGAATACAACTTCCCACAAATGTTTAGATTGATTTTCTTGGCTCCTCTCTTTCAGGTGATCAGCTGTCCAGACTTCTACAAACAAACAAAATTAATCTTACCATATAAATACCAAAACATCTCTTAGGGAATGAAATCTCTACACAAATGCCCTATGTTGTAGCTGACTCTGGTTTTTTGGCCAATTTCCAGAGATGAACATAATTGCAAGTGCATATTTTTTTGTATTTCATGAGTTTGGAGTGAAAAAACAAAAACAAAAACCAGAAACAAAAGGCCTAGGCTAGTGGAAAAACAGAGAGGAAATTAACTATCTGAATGCACACACTTGGTTTCTAATGTAAGAAGAATAATAGCAACTGCTTACATCTGCATTTCCCCATGCATCTCCCCAAGAACTATAAAGGTCAGCATAAGTGGAGCAAATAATATTATCTATAACAACCCATGACTTTAGCATAACTAGGAGATGGAGAATATTACTCATTTCAAATCACCACTATGCAATAGATATTCAAATACAGCAAAAAGTGACAGCCCATGCCTACAAAGAGAGTCAGCCAGAGACTGTGGTGATCACATGGAATAGAGGAGACAGACAGCCCAGAGAGGATGAAACACAAAACTACTCCCAGAAAGGGAAAGTTTTACTATGAGTGAGAAAATGCTCAGAAGATGTCTGAATTCACATAGATTAAAGCTCAGGCTACTGGGAAATCCAAGAGAAGAGACTTGGATTGTATGTAAACTAAAGAGGCAAAGGGTAATCAAACTCAGGAATGAAGTTGTAAAGAGGACAGAGTAATCACAGAAAATAAGACTTGTAATTCAAGTCTTATTAAAGACTTATTAAAGACATTCCTTATTAAGGAATCTGTCATGGACTAAACTGTGCCCCCCAAAAATGTGTATGTTAAAACCCCAACCTCCAGTGTGACTGTATTTGAAGATGGGGACTTTAAGGAGATTAACTAAGGTTTAATGGGGTCATAAGGGTAAGACTAATACAATGGCATTCATGTCCTTATAAGAAGAGGAGGAGACTGGAAAGCACATGCATGAACTCTCTTTCTCCCCCTGCCCACCACACCCGACCACTGGTCATATGCACAGAGAAAAGGCTGTGTAAGGACACCAGAAGAAAATGCCATCTGCAAACCAAGGAGTGAGAACTCACCAGAAACCAACGCTGTTGTCACCTTGACTTTAGAATTACAGCTTCCACAATTGTGAGAAAATTTATTTAAGCTACCCAGTCTGTTGAATTTTGTTACAGCAGCCTGAGTAAAGTAAAAAAGAGCCAAAGGGGAAACTACACTTGACTGAAACTTGAATAAACAGCATTGTAAAGGAGAATGAAACAGAAAAAAGAGAAGAAACAATAATTTTAAAAGAGTAAGAAAAAAGAAAATTGGATCAGAAAGAAAGTTCTGGATAAAGCTGGTCTACAATTAAATAAATAAAATTATAATATAGTATATATGTTATTGCAGTCCTTAAAGAAGAAAAAAGAAAACAATGGAATAAATCTAATATTAGAAAGTATAATCTAAGAAAACTGTCCAAAACTAAAAGACCTGATCCATGATGGTTCCTATTCAAAAGAACCATCATGAACCTGGGAAAACTGTTCAGCAACAGTTTTCTCTAAAACATATCTTAATAAAACTACTAGATGTTAAAATTGAAGAAAAAGTACTCTGGACAAAAAGACCAAGTCTCAGCAAACTTTTACTTTGATAATGAGTCTTGAAATCAGGTAATGTTATACATATGACTCAGCTTTTATTTTTCAAAGTTTTAGTTATTGTAGTTCCTGTGTATTTCCACATAAGGTTTAGAATTACATACTCAATTACTACAAGAAATCCTGCTAATTACTACATGGAATTATATTATTTTAAATCTATAAGTCATTTTAATGACAAAACATGTCAGCAATATTGAGCTTTCTGACATAAGCAGGGAGTTCCACTTGTTTAGGTCTTCAATTTCTCTCTGCAGTGGATTATTGTTTCTAGTGTGGTCTTTCACATCTTTTGCCAGACATAGCTGTAAAAAAAAATTTTTGATACTATTGCAAATAGAACTTTTAAAAATTGCAATTTCCAATTGATCATTTCTTATAGAAGATTCATTTTTACATATTTTTCTCCTGTCACCTAGCTACACTTAATAATTCTAGTCATTCTTTTTCCCATATCTTGGGAGACTCCATTAGATTTCCTACGTAGATAATCATATCTTTTGTGAATAAAGACATTTCTACTTCTTTTCCACTCTAGTCTCCTTTCTTTTTCTTCCTTGGTTATACTAGATAGCATATATTATACTATCAGGTATGAGTGTACATCCTTGTCATGTTTCTGATATTGGAAAGAAATCATTCCATTTTTCACAATTATATACAATGTCAATTGTACATTTTCTATAGATGACTTTTATTAAAGAAAGTTATCTTCTATTCTTCATTTGAGAGTTTTAATCAGAAATGGATGCTAAATTTTGTCAAATGCTTTCTCGCATATGTTGAAATGGTCATACGGGTTTGACTTTTTTTCTCTTTTTTTCATTTTAATACAGGGCAGAGATGACTACATAATTGATGGGGCCAGTGCAAAATAAAAATGTGAGGTCAGTTACTCAGAATGTATAAAAAGAAGTATAGTAAAAAGTAAAATAAATTATGCTTTTTTCCTTTAACATATTTTACTACTTGTAAAATGTAATAGGTATAATAGTAACATAAAACAACATAAATTTACAAATCACAAAAAACAGTTTTGTTGTAATAAACTTTAAATAATACAATAATTACTAATAGTTTGTTAATATGATACCTTGATTGATCATAAGATTTTCTGGCACTCTTTTTGCAAATTCATTTATTAAGTCATCGAAATTTATATTTTTAGCAACTTCATTTTCAATATATAATTGAAAGTAACATGTATTCTTGGCAAATGCAAGATAAGTAATTTTTGCTAATTTTTAATTTTGAGAAGGTTGATTTTTCAGCTGATGCAATCATTAGGGACCTGTTGGTTCTTTATACATTGTGACAATATGGGCTAAATTTCTGATTTCTGATATATTACTGCACAATAAAAGTTAAAAAAATACAAGTTTTGGTATATATAGACAAAGACTGGAGTAGCACTTCTCTGCAATTAATTCTTCATGAATGTTAGTTTTGTACAAAACTGAATTCAATTTTACATATAAATTTATACAATGGCATTTTAATGTTTCCTCTGACATTTCCTACATCTTGTACAAGAAACCAAAAATGGCTTCATGATTTGCATATAATTGGAAACACCTGTTTATGCAGTATATTGCTGTATTTTCAAATGCAAAAAAAACCCTATTTTTAAAGTTGACTTCTTTGTTAATACTTGATTCATCCAAAATTTTAAATGAAAATAATGTTCTCTCCCATCAAATGAAATTCCTATTTCTAAGCCTGTGGATATTTGCTTTGCAATGTTGCAGCAGTTCTTAACACCAGAGAATCTACACTCCAAAGAATTCTAGTAACTGCCTAGTGTGCCTTAACACAATGTCCACAAGTATGCTTTTATTTTCTAATACTTTACTGACCATGATGACTGCCTGAAAGCTGGAGGTTACTGTCCCAGTACTCAGCCCAGAAAATTAGTATTTCCTAAGAATGGCAGAGGGACAGACTTAGGGGAGAGACAAACCAGCCTCACGCTGTGGGTCCTCTCTGGGTTGCAAATGTTCATGAGTTTGCTGCTGCTGCAACCAATGCAGACAAAGGTCATGGCCTTGGCCACCCACACACAATTCCAGAACACTCCCAGGCCATACTACACAGACCAACAGCTTAGTAGGGCACTGCCTCTCAAGTATCCTGTCTACTTGCACACATAGTCCAGTGTCCATCAGACTTCACATACAAATCACGAGTTCAAAGATAAAACTGTGAAGAACTTCAAGATGGCAACAGCAGGGCATTAAGTGAAGTACAGGATCCCTTCTTACAAGAGTGTAGCAACGTGTGACTGCACAGGTCACCTAGCCATGAAGTTGGCCGAGATACAGGGAATTACACTGACTGCTTTTCAAATGTTGAAAAAGCCTGCCAGGGATTAACCACACTTGGTCATGAGGTATTAATAACCTTGTTATATACCACTGGTTTCTAATCACTAGTGTTTTTGAATTTATGTTCATGAAGGACACTGGTCTACAGCTTTCTTTCCTTGCAATGTCTCTGTCTGGTTTTGTTATTAGGGCAATGCTGGACTCAAAGAATGATTTAGGAAGTATTCCCTCTTCTTGAATTTTCTGGAAAAGTCTTTATAAATTGGTACTATTAATTGTTTGCTGGAATTCACTACTGAAGCATCTAGGGACCTGGGGTTTTCTTTGTGGAAAGGTTATCTATTTGTTTTGGAGCAAGCCGTAATAGCTGTTTATTTGAATGAAACTGTTCATTTCATCAAAATCGTCAAACTGATAATTTACAGGTATAGTATTCCCTCACTTCCTTCATAATATCTATAGAATCTTCAGTGATACATCATTCTTATTTTTGATATTGATAATCTGTTCCACCTAGAAGTTTATCCATTTTATCGATCTTCTCAATGAAACAGCTTTTGGTTTCACCGATTTTCTCAACTGTTTTTCTGGTTCTACAGATTATATTGTTCTCCATTTTGTTTTTTATTATTTCCTTTCTTCTACTATTATATGGATTTGTCTTCTTTTCTACATTCTCAAAGTGGAATTAGCTAAGACCATTGATTTAGACCTTTCTTCTTATCCAACACAAGTTAAACTTCATACATGTGTATATTACATATATACATATGTATATTACATATATACATATGTATAAATGCATACACATGAAATTCCCTCTATGTGAAATTTACACATTATATATTTAATATATATTACACATAATACATTATATCCCATATATGACAAACGTCATATATGCATTTACATATTGTGGAAACTTCATATATGCATTTACATATGGTGGATATATATGCACA
Source organism: Homo sapiens (assembly GCF_000001405.40). Taxonomy (NCBI): domain Eukaryota; kingdom Metazoa; phylum Chordata; class Mammalia; order Primates; family Hominidae; genus Homo; species Homo sapiens. The sequence goes on from NC_000010.11 coordinate 42,599,658, forward strand.
CAATACAAACACACACAATGCTTATTTGTGTCGCATAAGAAAGATCTCAAATCAATGACCTCAGGTGCTTCTACCTTAAAAAGCTACAAAAAAGCAAATTAAACCCAAAAGTAAGTAGCAAAAAGGACTAAGGATCAAAATGGAAAACAATGAAATCAATGAGTATTGTATGTATTTTATATTTCCTATGAATTTCCTATATGTAAATTTCCCATAAATTCCATTTTCATTAACCCAAAGTTCAAAACACTTTCTAATTTCCTCTTCGAATTCTTCTTTGAAGCATCCATTACATAGACTTATATTCAGTTTCCAACTATTAGGGATTTAATAGATACTTCTGTTATTGATGTTTAATTTAACTAAATTTAAACCCCTTATGGTGGGAGAAAATACTCTATATGACTTCAATCCTTTTATATTTATTAAGATTTGCTTTACAATCAGGATGTGATTTACCTTTGTTAATATATTCGTTCATCTGCCCTTGAAAAGAATGTATATTCCACTGTTTTATTTGGGGAGGAGTGTGCAGAAGAATATTTTATAAATGTCAATTAAGTTATTTAGGGTTAAGTCTATTATATCTTTGCTCCTTTTCCATTTCCTGTTTTATTAATTATTAAAAGGATGCTAAAGCCTCTGATTATAACTGTGGATCTATTTCTCCTTCCAGATCTATCAGATTTTGCTTCAAATATTTTGCAAATCTGTTACTAAGTTTAGGATTGTTAAATCCTCTTGATGAAATGATCTCTATCAATATGAAAAAAAATCTTTATCACTGGTATTCCTGGCTCTGAAAGCTACTTCATCTGGCTGTCACAGCACTGCAGCCTTGTGAATAATTTTACCATTCTACATCTTTTCCCATTCTTTTTGTTTATCTATTTGTCTTTGAATCTAACATGTTTCCTTTATAGGCAGCATGATTGGATCTTATTTTTATTTATCTTATCCAGAAATCTCTGCCTTTAAATGGGGTGTTATATACCATTTATATTTTCTGTGATCATCAATGTTTATAAAAGCTTTAATCAGTGTACTTTTCAGTAACAGTATATATATGAATCTTCCAATAGTATATACTTTACTTCTTTTTCATAGCCTTTTCAGGCTGTGATTGTCATGTATTTTCAATATATGTTATAAACCCCACAATACATTTGATGTTATTTTTGTATAAAGTCAATATCCTTTTTAGAGACTTACATAAAGAAAAATATCTTGTATACATATCCAAGTAGTCAACATTTCCTGTTCTTCATCCCCCTGAGTAGATCCAGATTTCCATCAGACATCAGAACATGTCTTGTGATGCAGGTCTGCTGGAGAGGAAATCTTTCAGCTTTGTTTAACTGGAATGTCCTTATTTCTTCACTGTTTCTTATAGCTATTTTTACCAAGTATATAACTCTACATTGAGATTTTTGCTTTTAAAACCAAAAATAATGTTCTACTATTTTCTCTGTTGCCTCATTTAAGGAGAAATCTGTTATCATCCTTGCCTTTGTTCCTCCATAAAACATGTCCTTTATCTCTGGCTGCTTTGAGGACTTCATTTTAACACTGATTTAGAGCATTCTGGTTATGATTCATGTGGCTTGGTGTAGTTTTCTTCATGCCTCTTGTGCTCAGGGTTTGACGAGCTTCTTAGATCGGTAGGTTCCCAACACATTTGGAAATTTTTTCATTATTCTCAAAATACTGTTTTCTGTTCTTTTCCCACTTTCCTTTTAGAGACTCCAATTCCATGTGTGTTAAGAGACTACCTGAAGTCCTGAAGTTCTCCTAAAGCTCACATGGGCTTGTTTTTTTTTTTTTTTTTTTTTTTTTGAGACACAGTCTCACTGTCACCAGGCTGGAGTGCAGTGGTGCAATCTCAGCCTCACTGCAACTTCTGCCTCCCATGTTCAGGTGATTCTCCTGCCTCAGCCTCCTGAGTAGCTGGGACTACAGGTGCCTGCCACCACACCCGGCTAATTTTTGTATTTTTAGTAGAGACAGGGTTTTGCCACGTTCGCCAAGATAGTCTGGATCCCTTGATCTCGTGATCCACCCACCTTGGCTTCTCAAAGTGCTGGGATTACAGGCATGAGCCACTGCAACTGGCCCAAGGGCTTGCTTATTTTTCAAATATGCTTTTTCTCTGTTTCATTTGTATGGCTTCTATTACTGTGTTTTTAAGTTCAATAATCTTATTCTTCTGCAATCTTTGAACTGCCATTAATTCTTGCTCTATGTGATATTCTTTTTTTTTTTTTTTTTTTTTTGGGGGGAGACAGGGTCTCACTCCATCACCCAGGCTGCAGTGCAGAGGTGCAATCTTGGCTCACTGAAACACCCACCTCCCAAGGCTCAAGTGATCCTCCCACCTCAGCCTCCCAAGTAGCTAGGACAACAGGCATGCACCACCACACCCAGCTAATTTTTTTGTTGTTTCATTTTTGGTACAGATGAGGTTTCATCATGTTGCCCAGGCTGGTCTCGAACTCCTGAGCTCAGGAGATCCACCTGCCTTGGCCTCCCAAAGTGCTGGCATTACAGGTGTGAGACACCAATGACTGGCCATGTATTTTTCATCTCAAGCATTATAGTTTTCATTTCTGGAAATCTGATTTCTATCTTTTCTGTTACACTGAATTTTGATTTGTTTTTTTTTTTTTAATCTTCTGTGTCTCTACTTAAGTTTTAGAACATATGGAACCAAATTATAGCACTGTTTTCAATGAACCTGTCAGTTAATTCTAATATCTATGGCAATTCTGAGTCCATTTCAATTTCCTGGTTAGTCTCTTTGAGAAAGCTCATGTTTTCCCATATGTCTGTAAGTCTGGAAATATTTCAATGGATGGAAGACTGAGAGTTTTACTTGGTTGGATGCTGGGTACTTTTGGCTTCCTATAAGTATTTTTGTGCTTTGTTCTAGGATGCACTTAAGTCACTTGGAAACAATGTGACACTTTCAGGTCTTGCTTTTATGATTTCTTAGGCAAATCTGGAGCAGTGCTCAGTTTGGGGCACATTACTCCTCACCACGGAGAAAAGACCTTTCTGAACACTCTACCCAATACTCTGAATTATGAGTTTTTCCACGCTGGCTGGCAGGATCAGTCCTTCTCCAGGCCCTATGTGAGTACTGTGTACTGTTCCCTCTGATTCTTTTCAAAAGTTATTTCACTCATTTCCTCATATACATGAGCTGATTAGTACTTTGCTGAACATTCATGGAGGCCCCTTTACAGATCTCCAGGCCTCTCTCTGTGTGCATCTATCTCCTGCAAGCCACCAGTGCTCCTCAACCCCCACAGCTTCAAATTCTAGGAAAGAACTGCCAAAAGGCCTTGAGCCAGCTTCCTCCACCACCCCAATTAAAATATCCAGCCCAGTCATGGCAGTCTGAGAATAGTGGAGTACAATGCCTACCTAGGTCATTGAGAAGAGATTCCAAAAGAAACCAAGAAGACCAGAGACTACTGCCCCAATCCAGATCCCTGATCATAAAGCACAGTATCACCCACCCAGAGAAAAGCAAAACACTGCTGTAGCCTCCAGATCCCGAATAATGGAGCAGGACTCTCACCTAGGGCCAGCTGTAAGGACAGAGAGTTCCAAAACTCTCCTCCAGAAAACTCACTTTGTTCAGAACAGAGTTTGGGTGAGTGCAAGCCTAAGATCACCCTCAAAAAGAATGGAAATTCAATGATAACCAATTAAGAAGAGGGTAGCAGTTCTATGACAGCAACAAGCTAAACCACAGACCAACTGAAAGTTTACTGGAGAGAGCAAGGGAAAGAGATGCCTAAGAAGAGACATCCAGGGCAATTAGATGTCTTCCTATCTACCAGAAACACTCATACAAATACATACACAGATTTTCCACAGTCATGATTTTTAAATTTATGTTTTCTAGGAGGTGACTTTCAGAATGGCAACATAAAAAGCAAACTCAAAGCCTCAAAGACAGCCCTCTAGAAGGAACCCAAATTTAACAAGAGCAAACTAAGAGCAACATATGGTCCAGGACAGTGTTGAAAACAATAGAGCAATATGTCAGCAATCAGTAGCGGCTATCAGCAAAGTGTAACAGCAACAGAGGCAGACAGGCTAACACAGCAATCACAGAAAGATTCACTCAAAGAGAGCACTGTTAACACCACTGCCATGCTAAAGATAGTGTGCATTTCTAAGGCAGGGCCCTCTGACAAGCATCATCAGTGAGAACCCAATGGGAGTGAAAAAGCTTCTCTCAAATAGTAGTCAAGTTGCCTAAATAAATAAGAAACAACAACAAGCCCTAGAGAGAATAGAGGAATCAGTATCTAGAGAAAGTACAAAGTATTCTCTACAATGTCTATTCTTCAACAAAAAAATTACAACACATACAAAGAAACAGGAGACTGTCATCTATATACAGGAAAAATGGCAGGCAACAGCAACTGCCCTTGAGAAGATCCAGATATCAGACTTAGCTGACCTCAAAGCACTTATTTTAAATATGTTCAGGCCAGGTGCAGTGGCTCACGCCTGTAATCCCAATACTTTGGGAGGTTGAGGCAGGTGGATCACCTGAGGTCAGGAGTTCAAGACCAACCTGGCCAACATGGTAAAACCCTGTCTCTACTAAAAATACAAAAATTAGCTGGGTGTGGTGGCCAGCACTTGTAATCCCAGCTACTCTGGAGGCTGAGGCAAGAGAATGGCTTGAACCTGGGAGGCAGAGGTTGCAGTGAGCTGACATCATGCCTCTGAACTCCAGCCTGGGTGACACAGCAAGACTGTATCAAAATTAAAAATAAAAATAAAAATAAATATGTTCATAAGGAAACACTATTTAGAAAAGGGAGGTATGATGATGTCTCATCAAACAGAAAAATATTAGTAAGAAGACAGAAAAGAATACAATGAAAATTCTGGATTCAAAAATTATAACTGCAATGGAAAACTCACTAGAATGACTCAACAAAAGACTTGGCCAGGTGGGGTGGCTCACGCCTGTAATCCCAGCACTCTGGGAGGCCAAGGCAAGCAAATCACCTGACGTCTAGGAGTTCGAGACCAGCCTGACCAACATGGTGAAACCCCGGGGTCTCTACTAAAAATACAAAAAAGTTAGCTGAGTGTGGTAGTGCACATACCTATAATCCCAGCTACTCTGGAGGCTGAGGCAGGAGAATCGCTTGACCCCATGAGGCAGAGGTTGCAGCGAGATGAGATAGTGCCACTGCACTCCAGCTTGGGCAACAAGAGTGAAATTTCATCTCAAAAAAAAAAAAAGAAAGAAAAGAGAGGTTGTAGCTGGCAAAATAATCAGTAAACTTGAAGATGGATCAATAGAGATTAAGTAATCTGAAGAACAGAGAGAAATAAGAGTGAGGAAAAATGAAGAAACCCTCAAAAAATGAGGAATACCATTAACTACACCAATATATTCATAATAGAAGTACCAGAAGGAGGGGAAAAATATCAAGTAGCAGAAAAAATATTCAAACGAATGGCTATGCTCACCTTGCAACACATACACTAAAACTGGAACAATACCAAGAAGATTAGCACAGTAGCTACACAAGAAAGACAGAGAAGTTCATGAAGTGCTGCATTAAATTTAAAAAAAAAAAAAAAAAAAGAGGCCAAAAACTTGCAAATCTGTTGACGAAGAGAAAATCCTGAAAGCATCAAGAGAAATACAACTCCTCACATGAAGGGAATGTCCTAAGATTAACATATGACTTCTCTTCAGAGACAGTAGAGGCCAGAAGGAGGCAGGATGACATATTCAGTGTACTGAAAAAAAATTTTTGTTAATAACTTGTCACCTAAAATAGCAGAACTATTTGCAAAACAGAGGGTGAAAATTTAAAATCCTCAAATTAAAAAACAAATAGAAACCAAAAAAACTTGAGAATCCATTGCTAGTAGACTAACAATAAAAGAAAGAAAAGAAGTTCTTTAGGGTGAAAACAAGTGACTCCAAACACTAGATCAAATCCACAATTATTGTGGGTAAAGGCAATGATACGAGAGAGTAAAAAAGGCACACTTTTTCTCCTTTCTTTTCCTACCCAATTTAATAAGCAAATATGTATAAGTCAATGTTTATAATTGTATTGTTGGACCTATAACATATAGAAATGCAATATATTTAACAATAAGGCAGGCTAGGCATGGTGGCTCACGCCAGTAATCCCAACACTTTGGGAGGCTGAAGCAGGAGAATCACTTAAACCCAGGAGTTCAAGATCAGCTTAGGCAACATACTGAGACCCTATCTCTAAAAAAAAATGTGTTTAATTACCCGGGCATAGTGGCACACACCTATAGTCTCAGCTACTCAGGAGGCTGAGGTGGGAGTATTGTTTGAGTCCAGGAGGTTGAGGCTGCAATGAGCTGCGATTCTACCACTGCACTCCAGCCTCAAGGACTCAGAGAGACCCTGTTTCAAAAAAAAGAAATACATTGATAAACAAGGAAACAAATAATAAAGCAAAAAAAAAAAAAGAATAAAGCAAAAAAAATAAGCAGAGCAGCTGGGTGTGGTGGCTCATGCCTGTAATCCCAGCACTTCGGGAGGCCAAGGCGGGCAGATCATCTGTGGTCAGGGGTTCGTGACCAGCCTAGCTAACATGATGAAACCCCATCTCTACTAAAAACACAAAAATTAGCTGGGTGTGGTGGCGCATGCCTGTAATCCTAGCAACTCGGGAGGCTGAGACAGAAGAATCACTTGAACCCAGGAGACAGGGGTTACAGTGAGCCCAGATCGTGCCACTGCACTCCAGCCTGGGCAACAAAGCGAGACTCCATCTCAGGGGGAAAAAAAATAGGTACAGATCTGTACTGGAGTAAGGAAATTACACTAGATGTTAAGTCTGAATCCACACAAACAAATGAATTAAAGCAGAAATGAAGAATAAGGTTAGTATACCAAACTCTACAAATAGATACTTCCTATCTTTCTTTCAGCTTCTTTAAAAGACATCAACACATGAACACAGGGAGGGGAACAACACACACTGGGGCCTATTGAGGGGTTGGGGGCAAGGGGAAGAAACTTAAGAGGATGGGTCAACCACCATGGCACACATATACCTATGTAACAAACCTCCATGTTCTGCACATGTATCACAGAACTTAAAGTAAAAAAAAAAAAAAAAGACATCAAATGACATAAAGTTACAATTACAGGTTGAGTATCTCTTATCTGAAATGCTTGGCATCAAAAGTGTTTCTGACTTTAGAGTTTTTTCCAAATTTTGGAATATTTACATTATACTTACTGGTTGAGCTTCCCAAATCCAGAAATCTAAAATCTGAAATGCTCCAACAAGCATTTCCTTTGAGCATGTTGAGCATGTTGGCACTCAGTTTCAGATTTTGGAGCATTTGAGATTTTCAGATTTGGGATGCTCAGCCTGTATAACAATGTATTGTTGGGTTTTAAATATATATGCAATATATATAAAAATAACAAATGGAGAAGAGGAAATAGAGCTATATATAGGTAATGTTTCTGTATTTTACTAGAGTTAAGGTAGTAGAAATCTGAAGTAGATTTTGATAAGGTAAGATTTATTAGGTAAGTTCTAGAGCAACCACTAGGTAAATAAATTTTCAAAGAGACATAGTAATTTTAAAAATTAAAACGTTATACTAAAATATATTCATTTCACGTTGTGTACACATAAACAAACATAGAGAGTGGAATGAGAGACACTGGAGACTTGGAGGGGTGGGGAGGTGGGTGAAGGATAAGAAATTACCTGATGGGTGCAATGTATACTATTATGCTGATGGCCACACTAAAAGCCCAGACTTCATCTCTATGTGATATGTCTGGGTAACAAAACTGCACTTGTACCCTCAAAACCTATAAAAATAATAAAATATATTCATGTCATGTAAAAGAAAGCAGAAATAAAAGGAATAGAGTATCAAAAAAGCACGAGACCGAAAACAAAAATGGCAGAGGTAAATCCAACTACAGATGCTCCTTGACTTATGATCAAGTTACATCCTGATAATAGTCAAATTAGTTGAAAATATTGTTTTTCCACTTAAAATGGGAACACATTCTAGTAAAGTCAGAAAAAATAGTTAAGTTGAACCTTTGTAAATCCTGAAAATACAAAGGGGTTTCAAACCCAATAAACCCATTGAAAAGTTAAAAAATCATAAGTCAAACCATTGTAAGTCAGGAACCATCTGTATAGCAATAACGACAGGAAAAAGGGAATGATTTGAAAATCCAATCAAAAAGCAACAATTCTCAGGTTGTTGAAAGTGTGAAAGTCCAAACATGTGCTATCTATAAGAGATAGATACAAACAGGTTGAAAATTTGAAAACAGAAAAAGATATATCAGGCACATGGCACCAATAAGGCTGGAGTAGCTATCCTAATATCACACAAAATACACTTTAACACAAAAATTTTACTAAGGATAAAGAGGGGAATTTTATTAATATAACAATAAAAGGGTCAATCGATAAAGGAGACATAACAATTCTAAGCATATATACTACTAACAGAGCCTCAAAGTACGCGTAGCAAAAACTGACAGAATTAAAAGAAAAAATACACAAGTCTATGATACTAATTGCAAACTGTAATAACCCATTTTCAATAATGGTTAGGACAACTGGGCACAATATAAACATGGAAACAGAAGATATAGATGACACTCTAAAGCAACCAGATCTAAGAGATATAGACAGAACATTCCACTTGAAAACAGTGGAACAGGTATTCTTTAAAAGTACACATGAAACATTCCCCAGAATAAATTTAAAACGATTCTCTGACCACAGTGGAAATTACAAATCAGTAAGACAAAGGAATTTTGAGAATGCACAAACATGCACAAATTATATAATACATTCCAAAGTTAAAAAAAAAGTCAAAGAAGCAATAAGAAGGCAAATTAGAAAAAATGCTATGAGGTAAAAATGAAGACATACTCAAACTTATGGAACACAGATAAAGCAATGCTTAGAGAGAGATTTGTAGCTGTAATAACCATATTAAAAAAGATCTCAAATCAATAAACTAATTTTCCACCTTAAAACACTGGACAGGAGCAGCAATACAAACTCAAAGCAAGAAGAAGGCAGGAAGGAAAGCAGAAAGATTATAGAGTAAAAATTAGTGAACTAGAGAACAGAAAAATAGCAGATTCCTGGAAAAGATCAACAAAATATACAAACCTCTAATTAGACTGACAATGGAAAAAAAAAAAAAGAAGATTCAAATTACTAAATGTAGGGATTAACGATGTATTACTAGTACTCTTACAGAAATAAAAATAATTACAAAGAATGGTATGAACAATGTATGTCAACAAATTATTTAACTTCAACAAAATGGAAAAATCCATAAAACAAAAACGACTAAAACCAACTCAAGAAGAAAAAGAAAAATCTGAAATGACCTACACAAGTAAAAAGATTGAAGTTGTAAATTTAAAACTCGCCATTACAGGTGGGATGCAGTGGCTCATGCCTGTAATCCTACAACTTTGGGAGGCCAAGGCAGGCAGATCACTTGAACTCAGGAGTTTGAGACCAGCCCAGGCAACATGGTGAAACCCCCTCTCTATAAAAAAATTACAAAAAATTAGCTGCATGTGGTGGCATATGCCTGTAGTCCCAGCTACTTGGGAGGCTGAGGTGGGAAAATTGCCTGAGCCTGGGAAGTCAGGCTGCAGTGAGCCATGACTGCACCACTGCACTCCAGCCTGGGCAATATAGTGAGGCTCTGTCTCAAAAAAGACAAAAAACAAACAAGAAAACTTCCCATTACAAAAACAAAAACAAAACCCAGGTCCATATGGTTCACTGGAGAATTTTATCAAACATTTAAAAAGAAGTATCAATTACTCAAAAACTCCAAGAAAATAAGAAGAAACACTTGCCAGCTCATTCTATGATCCCATTACTACCCTGGTACCAAAATCAGACATGAAAAAACTACAAATGCATGTGTCATGATTACAGACCTATAAATCCTCAACAAAATACTAGCAAATTTCATCTAGTAGTATATAAAAAGGATTACATACAATGATCAAAGGGGATTTATACTAGTAAGGCAAGTTTGGTTTATCATTTGAAAATCAACTAATACATCACATAAGCAGAAAAGAAACAATAACCACATGATCATCTCAGTATACAGAGAAAAAGCATTTAACACAATCCAATGCCCATCTTCTCTATAAAAACAATCAACAAACCAGGAATACAGTTAAACTTCCTGAGCCTGATTAAAGGCATCTACAAAAAGTCCACCACTAACATCATACTAAATAATGAAAGGTACAATGATTTTACTCTAAGAACAAAAACAAGATAAGAATGCCTTCTTGCCAGTTACACATCACACAGCAGATTGTAGTCAACACAAGCAAGGGGAAGGGGAATTCAGATTGAAAAAAAAAAGTGGAACTATATGTATTTGCAGTTGACTGCTCATGCATATAGAGAATCTTAAAGAATCTACTAAAACACTATTAAAACTAATAAAAGAGTTCAACAATGTTGTAGGGTGCAAGTTCACTAACAACAAACAAATCATAAATGAAATTTTAAAAAGAATTCCGGCCAGGCATAATGGCTCAAGCCTGTAATCCCAGCACTTTGGAATGCCGAGGTGGCTGGATCACCTGATGTCAGGAGGTTGAGACCAGCCCGGCCAACATGGTGAAACCCTGTCTCTACTAAAAATACAAAAAAGTTAGCCAGGCATGATGGCATGTGCCTGTAGTCCTAGCTACTTGGGAGGCTGAGACAGCAGAATCGCTTGAATCCCAGAAGCAGAGGTTGCAGTGAGCCAAGATCGCGCCATTGCACTCCACCCTGGGCAATAAGAGCAAAACTCTGTTTCAATAAATAAATAAATAAGTAAATTCCATTTACAATAGCATCAAAAAGAATAAAATACTTGTAACTTTAATCAAGGAAATACAGAGCTTGTAGTCTGAAAACCACAAAACAATGATGGAAGTAATTAAAGACAGCCTAAATAAATGGAAAGGCACTGAATTGCATTCATATGGTTAAGATGGCAATAACTGCCAAATTAATATCTAAATTCAACACAATCCTTACCAAAATCCCATCTGCCTTTTTGAGGAAACTAACAAGCTGGTCTAAAATTTCATGTGGAAATTTAGGGAGCTGAATATAATCAAAACAATCTTTAAAAAGAAGTAGAAAGTTAGAAGACATACACTTCTCAATTTGAAAATTTGCTACAAAATTACAATAATCAAGATGGCATGATAGTGGCATAGAGGTAAACATGTGAAATAAAATTGAGAATTCATAAATAAACACTACAATATATTATGTTCAGTTAATTTTCAACAATGATGCCAAGAAAACTTAATGCTGAAAAATCCCCTTTTTGGCTGGTCGTGGTAGCTCACGCCTGTAATCCTAGCAATTTGGGAGGCTGAGGCAGGCAGATCACAAGGTCAGGAGTTCGAGCCTGGCCAATATGGTGAAATCCCATCTCTACTAAAAATACAAAAAAAATTAGCCAAGTGTGGTGGCACATGCCTGTAATCCTAGCTACTTGGGAGGCTGAGGCAGGAGAAATGCTTGAACCTGGGGGGCAGAAGTTGCAGTGAGCCAAGATCATGCCACTGCACTCCAGCCTGGGTGACGGAGTGAGACTCCGTCTCAAAAAAAAAAGAGAAAAAAGAAAAATCACCTTTTCAAGAAATGATGCTGAGACAACTGAATATTTGTATGAAAAACAACCAAAATTATTCCTTTCCTCACACCATATACAAAAACTAACTGAAAATGGATCACAGGTCTACATTTAAAAGCCATTACTTAAAGAAAATATAGGAGTGGATCTTCATGCCCTAGGGATAGACAAAGCCCTTTTAGATAAAGTACCAAAAATACAAGCAACAAAAGAAAAAACAAATTAGACTTCATGGAATGAAAAACTCTTTTGCTACCAAGTACAAAGTAAAGACAACAAAATGCCAACCCACAAATGGGAGAAAAATACTGGCTAATAATATATGTAATTAGCAACTTGTACACAGAATATGTAAAACACTCTTACAACTCAACAATAAAAGGACACATAACACAACTACATAATGAAAAAAGGAATTGATTTTTCTCTATTAAGCTTCTATCCTCCAACTTGGCTATAAAGACTTAACAGTTTTGGGAGTTCTTTAGAATTTTCTCCTTAGGCAATCATGCCTGTACAAACACAGAAAGTTTTATTTCTTCCTTTCCCATCTGTATGCCTCTTATTTTGTTGTCTTATGGCATTACCTACAATTTCCAATGAGATGTTGAGTAAGAGTGAAGAGACAGGACATCTTGTTTCCTTATCTTAGGGAGAAAGTATCCAGTGTCTCACCACTAAGTATGATCTTAGCAGTAGGTTTCCTGCAGATTTTTTTTTTTTATCAAGTTGAGGAAGTTCTTCTCTATTCCTAGTTTGCTGAGTTTTATCATGAATGGGTGTTGAATGCTTCTTGTCCATCAATTGACATGATACAGTTTTCTTCTGTAGCCTGTTGACGTGGCAGGTTACAGAAGTTGATTTTTTTTTTTTTTTTTTTTGAGACAGAGTCTTGCTCTGTCACCAAGTCTGAAGTGCAGTGATGCAATCTCAGCTCACTGCAACCTCTGCGTTCCAGGTTCTAAGCGATTCTCCTGCCTCAGCCTTCAGAGGAGCTGGGAATACAGGCGTGCTTCACCACGCCCAGCTTATTTGGTATTTTTAATAGAGACAGGGTTTTACCACGTTGGCCAGGCTGGTCTCGAACTCCTCACATCAGGTGATCCATTCACCTCAGCATCCCAAAGTGCTGGGATTACAGGCGTAATCCACTGCACCCAGCCAGATTAATTGATTTTCAAACTCTGACCAGCCTTGAGTGGTCATGGCATCTAATTATTTTTATAAGATGTTGTATTCTACTTGGATTTTTGCATCTACATTCATAAGGGATATTAGTGTGCGGTTTTTCTTCTTCACAAGGTCTTCATATGCTTTTAGGATTAGAGAAAAAATAGCCTTTTAAAAAAGTGTTAGGAAGGTTCCCTTTGCATCTCTTTTCTGAAAGACACTGTAGAGAACTGGTATATTTCTTCCTTAAATATTGCACAGAAATCACCAATGAAACCAAAAGAGTCTGATAATTTATTTTCTTTCTTTCTTTTCTGAAAGCTTTATGGATTCAATTTATTTAACTGATATTGGTCCATTTGAATGGTTTATTTCTTCTGTGTAAGTCTTGGCAGTTTGTGTATTTCAAGGAATTACCCATTTCACCTAAGTCATGGGTTAAGAAGAAGCCAGGAATAAAGGCATCCTGTACCAAAACCATCTAATTGCATTACAAATGCAAAAAATAGTATCAATGAAGGACCCCCTTCAATGCAGGAGGAAGTCTTGACCTTAATTGCTTTGGAAAGAGATAGAAGTCTGTGAGACTAAAGGCAGGTCTGCACATAAGTACTATATTTTAGTTGATAAAATTATAAAATTATTTTCCACATGGGTATGATTAACAATTCTGGCAGTGCTATACATGTATACAGGGAAAGAATAATGAAGGTAAATGGAAGGCCAGGCATGGTGGCTCTCACCTTTAATCCCAGCACTTTGGGAGGCCGAGGTGGGTGGACTACCTAAAAGATCAGGAGTTCGTGACCAGCCTGTACAACATGGCAAAATCCCATCTCTACTAAAAACACAAAAATTGGCTGGGCATGGTGGTAAGCACCTGTAGCCCCAGCTACTTGGGAAGCTGAAGCAGGAGAAATACCTGAACCCAGGAGGCAGAAGTTGCCATGAGCCAAGATCACACCACTGCACTCCAACCTGGGTGACAGAGCGAGACTCTCTCTCAAAAAAAAAAAAAAGGAAAGAAACTAAATAGATGATGGATAGTTAGAGCCAGATTTCTTACTGTTGGGTATGGCAATTTACACTGAAGCAAGGGAAGAAAGCTAAAATGATCCATGTGGTAATAAAGAGTTGAAGGTTTAAGTATAAACACATGTTTAGCTTAAGAGAGATACAGATGGTTACATGTAGAACTATATAAGTAAGTATATTACATGGTTTATGCACATGTGTGTTTCCCTGTTCTGTCAGCTGAGACAGCCACACCCTACTGCTGTAAGCACACCATTAGCCCCTATCTTGGTTTCTAATACCATTCTCAAATAAAAGGAAACAGGGTTACCTGAAGAAATGGTGACTGATTTCAGAAAGGAAATATATAAGATAAGCCTGGACCATCTTGCAGTGACAGAAAGAAAGTGCTCTAAAAAACAACAGCAACAAAATTCATAAATCTCCACTTCTTACGTGTGAGTTGTGCAGAGTAACATTGTTCCGATGTGTACAATATGGAAAATAGGAAGAAGATGTAACTTTATAGTGGACAAACTGTATGTTTGCCAAGACATTTAAGGCCAACATCAAAAGTCATAAAACATGGTGACAGTATGCATGCTTGATATAATGTGACAAAAAAGGTACTTTACTACTGTGGCCTTTTTCCCCAAAATCTATAATTCCAGTCTTATCTTGAGAAAAACATTAGATACATTCCAATAAGTGGAATTTATATATACCTCACCAGGATTCCTCCAAACTGTCAAGGTCATCCAAAACAAGGAAAGTCTGGGAAACCACCATAGCCAAGAGGAGCCTAAAGAGACATAACAACTAAATGTAATATGGTGCCCTGGAAGGGATCCTGGAACAAAGAAGGACATTAGGTAAAAATCAGCAGACACTAAATAAAAATATGGACTTTAGTCAATAATCATGTACCAATGTTGGTTCAACAGCTGTTGCAAACATACCACCCTAATATGTTAATAACAGCAGAAACTGGGTTAATGGCAATTCTCTCTACTACCTCCCCAATTTTTCTGTAAGTCATGAAATAAAGTGAATGTTTTAAATAGACAAAGGAGATACATAAATAGCCAACAGGTGCATAAAAAGATGTTCAACATCAGTCCGGGAGCAGTGGCTCACACCTGTAATCCCAGCACTTTAGGAGGCCAAGGCGGGTGGATCATGAGGTCAGGAGTTCAAGACCAGCCTGGCCAACATGGTGAAACCCCATCTCCACAAAAAATACAAAAATTAGCCAGGCGTGGTGGTGGGCACCTGTAATCCCAGCTACTCAGGAGGCTGAGGCAGAGAATTGCTTGAACCCAGGAGACAGAGGCTGCAGTGAGCTGAGATCGTGCCACTGTACCCCAGCCTGGGCAACAGAGCGAGATTCCATCTCAAAAAGAAAAAAAAAAAGACATTCAACATCATTAGCCATTAGGAAATGCAAAAAACCACAATGAGATACCTCTTTACAACTACTGGATTGGTATAATAAATAATAACAATAATATTAATAAAAAGTGTTGGCAAACTGGAGAAACTGGAAAATTCATGCATTGCTGGCAGGACTGTAAAGTACTGTGGCTACTATGAGAAACAATCAGGCAGTTCCCAAGAAAGTTAAACACAGAGACACCATATAACCAGCATTCTACTTCTAAGTATATATCTGAAATGACTGAAAATACATGTCCATGTGAAAACTTATACATGAACAATTACAGCAGAATTATTCATAATAGTCAAGAAGTAGAACTAAAACCAAATGTCCATCCACTGACAAATGGATACATAAAATGTAGTATACCTATATACCATGTTATATGGTAATAAAAAACAAGTGAAATATTGATACATGCTACAACATGGATGAACCTTGAATATGTTATGCTAAGAAAAAGCAGCCAGGCAGAAAAGGTCACATGCAGTCCCATTTTTATGAAACATCCAGATTAGGCAAATCCACACAGACAGAAAATTCAATTTTGGTTGCCAAGGGCTACAGGAAAGGGGAAAGAGAAAGTAATTGCTAATGGATATTGGCTTTGTTTCAGGGATGATGACAATGTTCTAAGAAACATTGTCGGCTGGGTGCAGTGCCTCACGCCTATAATCCTGGCACTTTGAGAGGCCTATGCAGGCAGATCACTTGAGGTCAGGAGTTCCAGACCAGCCTGGCCAACACAGTGAAACCCTGTCTCTACTAAAAATACAAAAAATTATCTGGGCATAGTGGTGCATGCCTGCAATCCCAGCTACTCGGGAGGCTGTGGCAGGAGAATCGCTTGAACCCAGGAGGTGGAAGCTGCAGTGAGCCGAGATCACGCCACTGCACTCCAGCCTGAGAGACAAGAGTAAGATTCTGCCTCAAAAAAACAATTGTCGGCTGGGTGCGGTGGCTTACGCCTGTAATCTCAGCACTTTGGGAGGCTGAGGTGCGTGGATAATCTGAGGTCAGGAGTTTTGAGACCAGCCTGGCCAACATGGTGAAAATATAAAATCAGCTGGGTGTGGGGGCATGCAACTGTAATCCCAGCTACTCAGGAGGCTGTGTAATCCCAGCTACTCAGGAGACTAAGGCAGGAGAATTGGCTTGAATCCGGGAGGCAGAGGTTGCAGTGAGCTGAGACCATGCCACTGCACTCCAGCCTGGGTGACAGAGTGAAACTCCATATTAAAAAAAAATAAAAAAATTTGTCAGGAAGGTTGCACAATCCTGCAAATACACTAACAGTGATTGATTTATACACATAAAATTGGTGAAGAGTACAGTATGTGAATTATATCTCATATAATTCTCCAGAAAATTGTTTCTTATATACCTGTTTTGTGGTGTATAAATAACACAACTGATATGCATTGTTCTTACAGCCAACCACCTCACTAATTTTTTTAGTAATTTAAATCACTTCTATGTAACATTTACTTTTGCTTGTACAGATAATCAAATCGTCTGCACACAAAATGAAAATTTGACTTCCCAACCTTTATGTTTTATTATTTTTTTCTTGTCTGTGTAATGGACAGTAGATCCTCTATGTGATTCTGTAAAACTGGTGATACAAGAGATCCAGCATCTCTCATATAGAAAGTGTGCTATGATTTTTCAACAAATAGTGTACAATATGTTTTTGTCCATTACATTTATTTTATTTTTTGAGATGGAGTCTCGCTCTGTCGCCAGGCTGGAGTGTCGTGGCACCATTTCGGCTCACTGCAACCTCCGCCTCCCGGATTCAAGCAATTCTCCTGCCTCAGCCTCCTGAGTAGCTGGGACTACAGGTGCGCACCATCATGCCCGGCTAATTTTTTGTATTTTAGTAGAGACGGGGTTTCACCATGTTGGCCAGGATGGTCTCCATCTCCTGACCTCGTGATCTGCACACCTCAGCCTCCCAAAGTGCTGGGATTACAGGCATGAACCAACGCACCCAGCCTGTCTATTATCTTTATTAAAGATTAAGAAGCTGAATTATTTATAGTTGGTAAGCAATTTACAAAACTTTTTATTTGAAGAAAATTGTTCATTTTTTCTCTTTTTTTTTTTTTTTTTTTTTTTTTTTTTGAGGCAAGGTCTCACTCTGTCACCCAGGCTGGAGTCAAATGGTGCCATCACAGCTTACTGCAGCCTTGACCTCCTGGGCTTAAGCGATCCTCCCACCTCAGCTTCCCAAGTAGCTGGGACCACAGGCACGCACCACCACACCTGGCTAATGTCTTTACTTTTTGTAGAGATGGGGTTTCACCATGTTGCCCAGGTTGGTCTCAAACTCCTGAGCTCAAGTGATCCACCCACCTTGGCCTCCCAAAGTGTTGAAATTACAGGCATTTGCCACCGCACCCAGCCTGGAGGCAATTCTTGAATTGACATGCAGCTGGAAGAAATAATGAGAAGATTCTGTATACCCCTCACCCAGTTTTCTCCATGGTAACAATTTGCAGAACTACAGTCCAATATCAACCAAAAACTGACATTGATTCATTCAATCAATCTTATTCAGATTTCACAAGTTTCACATGCATTAGTTGTGTATATTTAGTTCTATAAATTTTGCCACAGGTATAGATTTTTGTGAAAATCACAACACTGGGGATACAGAACAGTCCCATCACCAGGATCCCACACATGGTAACTACAGCCATCTCCCACCCTCTCTGCCTTCCTAACGCTGGCAACCACGAATCTGTTCTCCATCTCTATGCTGTCATTTCAAAACTGTTACACAAATAACAGATCATGAGGTATTATGATAAACAGCCTAACTGCATTTGTGATAATTGGCTAATAGATTTCAAATCCCACCCATCTCCCCTCTTACCCTACATTTGGGCAAGCCAATAATAAAGCCTAGGTGGTCCCTCCCTCAATGCCAGTAGGAAACTGAAACCACACAAACTCCATCCTTTTTGTGTGTGCTCACCCTACCCCAAATTCCTAATGACAAGCAGCCATTCTTCTCCCTTCTTTCTCAATCCACATTTAGACCTGCTTAGGAGCCTTCTCTGGTCTCCCTAGAAACCTGTGTGTATAAGTAATAAACTCTTTTTTACACTCTTGATATCATTACCAGTTTTGATACCTAAACCAAGCGTAGGGGGCAGGAGGGTTCATCCCAACTCTATGGGGTGGACCAGAACAAACATGTAAATTTTTGAGATTGGGTTTTTTAAAACTCAGCTTAATCTCTTGAGATTCATCCATAATGTTACATGTATTAGTCATTCATTCCATTTTAATACTGGGTAACACTTCATGGTATGGACACACTACACATTATTTATCCATTCAAGAACATCTGGATTATTCGGGTTTGGGCTATGACCCATAAAACTGCTATAAAATTTTTTTGATGGAACATTAAGTTTTTATTTCTCAAGGATAAATGTCTAACAGTGTAACTAGTGGTTCACATGCTAAGTTTGTTTTTAGTTTTAAATGGAACTGACAAACTATTTTCTAGAATGACTGTAGCATTTTACTTACCATCAAAAATGTATGAATAATTCAGTTTCTCTAAATCTTCACCAGCACTTGTATTATCACTTTTATAAGGCAGGTCAAATAAGAGCATGATAAAAACATCTTTCATTATGACGTGTCTGGGTATAAGTCTCTTTGCATTTATCCTCCTATGAGTTTGCTGAGCTTCTTGGATGAATATATTAGTTTTCTTCAACAAATTATGGGCGTTTCTGCGAATTCTTCAAAAAATTTTTCTTTCCCTTTCTATTCTCTCATATTGATACTCCCGTTTGTGTATGCTGGTGCACCTAATGATATCCGTTTCCCAAGGTTTTGTTCATTTTTCATTATTTTACTGGCTCTTCCTCAAATTACACAATATACATTGATCTGCACCAGACAACCCAGTTTCTGCCAACTAAAATGGCAGTTATTATTGTGTTGCCTATTGATAGTCCTGTGCATGGGTCACATTTTTCCTGTTTCTTTGCATATCTCATTTTGTTGTTGTTCTCGAATGGACAACTGGTCCATTCACTTAACAGTGTTGAGTGACATAATCAAATGGTGGAGTACACAGCTCCCAACTGTCCCCACACAGAAACACCAAAAAAAAAAAAAGAACTATAAAAACCAACCTTGTTAGAACTCTGGAAAATAATTAAAGGTTTACAGTAACCAAGTGAATGCTAAATCAGGAAAAAGGCGACTTCAAATGGTGGGAAAGTTTTGTGGCATTTTTACTTTACAAGAGACCCTCATTAATATCAGGAGCTCATATCTCCGCAGAAATCAATTGAAGGCCTGAAGACAGATGGATGACATATATAAATTCCTGAAAGAAAAACACTATCATCTGAGAATTCTCTAGCTGGTAAAACTGTCCTTCAAAATGAAAGAGAAATGAAGATAATCCCAGATAAACAAATGCTGAGTTTGTTACTACTAGGCCTGCTATACAGGGAACACTAAAAGGTGTCTTTCAAGATGAAATAAAAAGAAACTAGACTCAAATCTGGAGGAAAAAATAAAGACTTCCAATAAAGTTAACTATATAGACAAATATAAAAGCCAGGGTCATTATGTTTGCTTTGTAACTCCATTTTTTTACTTCCTGCAGGACTTAAAAGACAAATGGATAAGAACTAAATATAAATTTACATTATGGGCACACAATGTATAAAGACATAATCTGTGACAACATAAAGGGGATGAGTAAGGTGCTAGGTAGAAGCAAGGTTTTCATATGATATTGAAGTTATGAGGGAATCAATTTAAACTAGATTGTCATGAATTTAGAAAGTGAAAGTAATCCTCATGTTTAATTACAAAGACAATATCTTAAAAATGTACACAGAAGGAAATGAGAAGGGAATAATATATAATATAAAATAATAAAAATATAAAAATCAGGCCAGGTGTGGTCGGCTCATGCCTGTAATCTCAAGCACTTTGGGAGGCCGAAATGGGTGGATCACTTGAAGCCAGGAGTTCAAGACGAGCCTGGCCAACATGGCAAAACACCATCTCTACTAAAGACACAAAAATTAGCTGGGTGTGGTGGCACGTGCCTGTAGTCCCAGCTACTTGGGAGGCTGCGGCATGAGAATTGCTTGAACCCAGGAGGAGGAGGTTGCAGTGAACCAAGATCATACCACTACACTCTGGCCTGGGCAACAGAGCAAGACTTTGGTCTTGAAAAAAAAAAAAAAAAATGAAACACAAAGAAGGCAGTAATAAAGGGAATATGGGACCAAAGAAGGTATACAATATACAGAAAACAAAATGCAATATGGCAGAAGTGTTTCCTTGTTGGTGATTACTTTAAATGATAATTGCTTGAACTCACCAATCAGAAGACAGAGGCTGGCAGAATGGATTTGATTGATTTATTTATTTTTTAGACAGGGTCTTGCTCTGTCACCCAGGCTGGAGTGCAGTGACACAAACAGGACTCAATGCACCCTTGACTTCCTGGGCTCAAGGGATCCTCCTGCCTCAGCCTCCCAAGTAGCTGGAACCACAGCGCACACCACCACACCCAACTATTTTTTTTTTTTTAATTTTTTTTGTAGAAACGGAGTCTCACTTTGTAGACCAGGCTGGTCTCCAAGGCCTGGGCTCAAGAGATCCTCCCAAAGTGCTGGGATTACAGGTGTCAACCACCCAGCTTCAGAATAGATTTTTTTAAAATATGATCAAACTACACATTGTCTAAAACAAACTGACTTAAAATCCAAAGACACAAATAAATTAAAACTGAAAGGCTGATAAAAGATATTCCATGAAAATAGCCACCAAAAGAGAACTGGGGTGGCTATACTAATTTCACTCAAAATAGATTAAGTCATAAGCTGTTACAAGAGACAAAGAAGGATACTATATATGAATAAAGGGTCGTTCCATCAATAAGATATAAAAATTATAACTATATATGTACCAAGCAGCATCCTGAAACATGTAAAGCAAACACAGAATGCAAGGGAGAAACTGACAGTTCTTACAGTTAATAGTTTTAGACTGAGGCTGGGCATGGTAGATAGCACCTGTAATCCCAGAGGTTTGGGAAGCCAAGGTGGATCACTTGATGCCAGGAGTCCAAGACCAGCATGAGCAACATAGTGAGACCCTGTTTCCACCAAAAAAAAAAAAAAAAAAGATAGCTGGGCATAGTGGGCATGGTGGTATACAGCTATAGCCCCCTCAGGAGGATGAGTGGGGAGGATCACTTGAGCCTGGGAGTTCGAGGCTACAGTGAGCCATAATTGTGCCACTGCACTCCAGTCTGGGCAACAGAGTGAGACTCTTTTAAAAAAAAAATACAAATGCAAATGAATAAATGAATGAATGAATGATGCGTATGAATACAGATACAAAGCTACACAAACACATACACACACACACAAATACCAGTAAAATATATTTAATGGTATATTAAGAGGAGTATACACCATGACCAAGTGACCAAGGGGGACTTATCCTGGAAATGCCTGTGTGGTTCAACATAAGAAAATCAATGTTTTTAAAAAAAAAAAGAAAAGAAAATGAATGTAATACACTTCATTAATAAAACAAGTAAAAAAAGGACACGATCATCTCAGTTGATGCAGTAAAGGCAGTTGACAAAATCCAACCCCTTTCAGGACAAATACATTCAGAAAACACAAAACAGAATAGAACTTCTTCAACATGATAAAGGGCACATATAGAAAATTCACAGCTTTACATCATATTCACTGATGAAAGAAAGCTTTCCTCTTAACATCAGGAAGAAGACAAAAATACCCACTTTTGCCAGTGCTATTTAACACTGCAGTAGAAGTTCCAGCCAAACAAGAAAAAGAAAGAGAGGCATCCATTGCAAAGGAAGACATAAAACTATGCCTACTCACAGGTGACATAATCCTAAAGATAGATCATAAAGAAACTACAAGAAAGATACTATAGCTAATGAATGAATTCTGCAAAGTTGCAGGATACATCAACACACAAAAATCCGTTGTGTTGCTACACACCTGCAAAGAACAATCTGAAAAGAAAATTAAGAAAACAATTCTACCTATAGCACCATCTAAAAGAATAAAATACTATCTAGAAATAAAGTTAACCAAGAAGGTGCAAGACTTGTATACTAAAAACTACAAAATACTGATGAAAAATATTAAAGAAGGCATAAATAAAGGAAACAGTATCTCATGTTCACAGTTTGAGAGATGTCATATTTTTAAAAGGCTAATACCATCCAAAATGATCTACAGATTTAACACAATCCCTATCAAAATTCCATCAGCATTTTTACCAAAATAAAAAGCTGATCCTTAAAGTCACGTGGAATTATAAGGGCCCTGAATAGCGAAAACAATTTTTAAAAAGAAGAACAAAGTCAGAGGACTCAAAACGTCCAATTTCACAACTTATTAGAAAGCTACAATAATCCAAACAGTGGGTCATGTCATAGGTGTAGACATACAGACAAACGGAATACAAGTGAGAGCCCAAAAATACACTGCCTATGGTCAACTGATTTTTGACAAGGGCGTCAATTCTATTCACTGGGAGAAAGAAAAGCCTTTTCTTTCAGTTAATGCAGGCCAAATATTGTCACGCTACTGACATGAGATACAACAGTCATACTCACAGACAAAATAGATTAGAGGTTACCACAGGCTGGTGGGAATGGGAATGAGTAGTTACTGCTTAATGGTGATAGAGTTTCTGTTTGAAATGATGACAAATGACCAAAAAAATGATGCTGGGTTAACTGGATTTCCACATGAAAATAAAGTTAGAAAATAAAGTTAGATCCCTACTTTGACTATACACAAAAATGAACTGAAAATAAGAGCTAAAACAATAAAATGTTTAGAAGAAATGTTCAGAAGAAAACATAAGGAAAACTTTGGGTTTGGTGATGGATTCTTAACTATGACATAAAATGGATAAGCAACAAAAGAAAGAGTAGGTACGGCCGGGTGCGGTGGCTCACGCCTGTAATCCCAGCACTTTGGGAGGTCAAGGTGGGTGATCACCTGAGGTCAGGAGTTCAAGACAAGCCTGGCCAACATGGTGAAACCCCGTCTCTACTAAAGCCACAAAAATTAGCTGGGCACTGTGGCATGCGCCTGTAGTCCCAGCTACTCGGGAAGCTGAGGCAGGAGAATCACTTGAACACAGGAGGCAGAGGCTGTGGTGAGCCGAGATCGTGCCACTGCACTCTGGCCTGGGTGACGGTGAGACTCTGTCTCAAAAACAAATATCTGTGTATATATACACATTAAAAATAATTCAGTGGTACCCCAAAAAGCTAAAAGAAATACACTTTGATAAAACAATTCTACTCCTAGGTTTATATCCAAAAGAAATGAAAACAGGAACTTTGAGCAGATAATGATATACCAGTGTTCACTGAAGCATTATTCACAACAGCCAAAAGGTGTACGACCCAAGTGTACATCAACAGATGAATGGATTAAACAGCCAGAAAAGAAAGTCTTGATACTTGTTACAATACAGATGAAAGCTGAAAGCATCATGCTAAGTGAAATAAGGCAGACACAAAAGGCCAAATGTTGTCACACTACTGACATGAAATATTCACAACATTCAAAACTCACAGAGACAAACTAGATAAGAGGTTACCATAGGCTGTTGGGAGGGGGGAATGAGTAGTTACTGCTTAATGGCAATACAGTTTCTGTTTGAAATAATGCAAATGTTTTAGAAATTGTGGTTATGGCTATACAACATTGTGAGTGTAATGCCACTAGACTGTACACTTAAAAACTGTTAAAATGGCAAATTTCATGTTATATATATTTTACTACACACAAAACAATATATTGTCAAAATGCTCCAGCATCATTTGCTGAATACCTGACTGAATTTCTTTTGCATTTTTGTCAACAGTTTGTCAAATGTCTTAGCTTCAGCTGCCATAACAAAATACCAGACAGTATGGCTTAAACAACAGAAGTTTATTTCCTCACGGTTCCAAATGCTGGAAGTCTGAGATCAGGATGCCAGCATGGCCAGGGCCTGGTGAGGGCCTCTTCCCAGCTTGCAGTTGGCCACTGCATGTTCACATCGCCTTTCCTCTACGCACATGGAGAGTGAGGAAGCTCTCACTTCCTCTTCCTGTAAGGCACTAACCTCATCGTGAGGGCCCCACCCTCATGACCTAATCTAACCCTAATTACCTCCCAAGGGCTCCACATCTCCAAACACCACCACACTAGGGTTGAGGGCTCCAACATATGAATTTTGGGGAGACATGAACATACAGTCTATAACAGCATAATCAATGTTGAAGTTTTCTATTCTTTTCCATTGTTCTATGTGTATGTTCTATCAATGTGTATATTCAACCAACATCCTGTCCTCTTGATTATTATAGCTATTAATATATACATACAGTAGTCACTCCTTATCCAAGGGCGATACATTCCAAGACGCCCAGTGGAAGCCTGAAGCCTCAGATAGTATTGAGCCCTATAAATACTGTTTTTTCCTAAATATACAAACCTAAGATAAAGTTTAATTTATAACTTAGGGACAGGGAGAGATTAACAACATCATAAAATAGAAAAGTTATAACAATATGCTGGCATCGCTACTCTTGCACTTTAGGGCCATTATTAAGTAAAATAAGGGTTACTTGGACACATATAGTGACAGTAAATAATCAAGACAATTACTAAGTAATTAACTCATGGGTAGCATATACAGCCTGGGTATGCTGGACACAGGGTTGATTCATGTCCTGGAACAGGACAGTGCAAAATTTCATCATGCTACTCACAACAGTGTGCAATTTAAAACTTAGGCATTACTTATTTCTGAAGTTTCCTATTTAATATTTTTGAACCACAGTTGACCTCAGGTAACAGAAACTGCAGAAAGCAAAACCACAGAAAAGGGGAGACTAATGTAATAAGCCTTAACACTGGATACAATAATTCCTCCTACTATTCTTTTTCTCAAAACTTCTGAGAAAAAATTTCTCAAAATTGTTTCATATTTTATATATATATATATATATATATGGTTCCTTTGACCATTTATGGAAATTTTGGAATAAGCTTATTTAAAGCTGAGAAAAACCTTACTGGAATCTTGACAGGAATGCCATTAAACTGTAGGTCAATTTGGAGAGAACTGGCCTACTTACAAAGTTGAGTTTCCCAATCTATCAAGAGACCACGTATCTTCATTTATTTCAGTGTTCTTTTATTTCTTTCATCAGAATTTTGTAATTTTCAGCACAAAGGTCCTATACATATTTTGTTCAATTTATAACAAAGTATTTAATTTTCTATGGAATAAGTGGTATTATGTTTTTAATTTAGATTTGTATATGTTCATTGTTAGTGGAAAGAAATTGATTATATGTGTTCATCTTGGATCCTGAAACTTTTTGGAAATCATTCATTCATTCTGGGAGGTTTTCATTTTGTTTTCTTTTCTTTTTTTTTGTTTTTGAGACGGAGTTTCACTCTTGTTGCCCAGGCTGGCGTGCAATGGTGTGAGCTCGGCTCATCACAATCTCCGCCTCCTGGGTTCAAGCAATTCTCCTGCCTCCCAAGTAGCTGGGATTACTGGCATGCGCCACCACACCCAGCTAATTTTGTATTTTTAGTAGAGATGGGGTTTCTCCATATTGGTCAGGCTGCTCTTAAACTCCTGACCTCAGGTGATCCACTCGCCACGGCCTCCCAAAGTACTGGGATTATAGGCATGAGCCACCAGGCCTGGCCTGAGGTTTTTATTTTCTAAGATTCCTTGTAATATTCTACATATACAGTCATGTCATGTGTAAATGTAAACAGTTTTATTTCTTCTCTATGTGTATGCCTTCTCTTTCATTTTCTTGCCTCATTGTGCTTGAAAGAAGTTACAGTACTACAATGAATAAGAGTGGTGAGAGCAAACATCCTTGCCTTGTTCCCAGTTTTACAGAGAAAACATTTCATCTTACCAGCAAATATATCTGCTATAGATATTTTGTGCATGTTCATTTATCAAACTGAGGAAGATCCTCTTAATGTCTTGTATAGAGATTTTTTATCATGGATGCATACTGCATTTTGTCAAATGCTTTCTCTATATTAACTGATGTTATATCATTTTTCTTCTTTAGCCTATGGTGGGTTAATTACATTGATTGATTTCTGAATGTTGAACCAGGCTTGCTTGTATAACTCAAGTAAATCCCACTTGTTTATAGTGTATACTTTTTACATGACTATTTTCTATTTGCTAGTGTTTTGGTAAAGATTTTTGCTACTAAATGTATGGGGAGTATAGGTCTGTAGTTTTATTATTTTTGTACTGTCTGTATGGTTTTGACATCAAAATAATTTTTTAAATGTGTTAAGAAATGTTCCCTCTTGGCCAGGCGCAGTGGCTCATGCCTGTAATCCCAGCACTTCGGGAGGCTGAGGTGGGCGGACCACAAGGTCAGGAGTTTGAAACCAGCCTGGCCAATAAGGTGAAACACCGTCTTTACTAAAAATACAAAAATTAGCCGAGCATGGTCGCATGCGCCTGTAGTCACAGCTACTCAGGAAGCTGAAGCAGGATAATCACTTGAACCTGGGAGGCAGAGGTTGCAGTGAGCCGAGATTGCACCACTGCACTCCAGCCTGGGTGACAAAACAAGACTCCATCTAAATAAATAAATAAATAAATAAATAAATAAATAAATAAAATAAAGAAATGTTCCTGCTTCTATTTTTTGAGGACATTGTGTAAAATCATCATTAATTCTTGTGTAAATGTTTGGTAGAATTCTCTAGTGAGAACAACTCTCTAGTACACAGAAATTGGTTTTTTGGAGGTTTTTTATTTAAAATTTAAAGTATTTGATTCAAATTAAGTCAACTTTTATGAAAACCTATGGGTCATTCAAATTATCTATATCACCCTAATTGAGTTGTAATAGTTTTTGGTTTCTGAAAAACTGCTACATTTCTTCTATGTTGTCATTTTTCTTTTTTTTTTTGGAGACAGAGTTTTGCTCTGTTGCCCAGGCTAGAATGCAATGGTGCAATCTCAGCTCACTGCAACCTCCCACTCCCTGGGTTCAAGCCATTCTCCTGCCTCAGCCTCCTGAGTAGCTGGGATTACAGGCGTGCACCACCACACCAGGCTAATTTTTGTATTTTTAGAAGAGACGGAGTTTCACCATGTTGGCCAGGGTGGTTGCAAACTCTTGACCTCAGGTGATCCGCCTGCCTTGGCCTCCCAAAGCCCTGGGATAACAGGCATGAGCCACCACACCTGGCCTATGTTGTCATATTTATGAACATAAAGTTGTTGACAAGATTCCCTTATTATACTGTTAAATGGATGGTGGAGTGATATTCCCTGTTTCATTCCAGATATTGATGATTTGTCATCTCATTTTATATTTTTAATCAATATTGCTAGATGTTTACCAATTTTATTCTTTTCCACAGAACCCTATGTTTCATTAGTTTTCTCTACTTTTTCCTATTTTCAATTTTACTGATTTCTGCTTCCAGTGTTATTTTCTTCCTTCTACTTAACAGAGGTTTTATTTTGCTCTTTGCTAGTTTCTTAAGGTAGAAAGTCAATTATGGGTTTGCAACCTATCATCTTCTCTAATGTTAGCATTTGGCACTATAAATTTCTCTATCAGCACTGCTTTAGCTACCTCCCACATATATTGATATGGTATGGTCTCATTTTCATTAAGTCTATGCATTTCTACTATTAAATTTGAGGCCCCTTCTTCACTCCAGATGTTATTTAGAAGTCTGATGTTTAATTTCTAAATTATTATATATTTCCCTATTGTCATTCTATTACTGATTTGTAGTTTGGTTTCATTATGGCCAGAAAACATACATACTCAGAATGATTTCAATTCTTTTAAATCTGCCAAGGCTTATTTATGGCCCAGGATATGGTCTATCTTTCTGAATATTCCATGGACACTTGAGAAAAAAATTGTATTTTGCTGTTGTTGGGCACTATTCTTTTTCCTTTTTTTTGAGACAGAATCTCACTCTGTAACCCAAGTTACAGTGTAGTAGCACAATCTTGGCTCACTGGAACCTTTGCCTCCCAGTTCAAGAGATTCTCCTGCCTCAGTTTCCTAAGTAGGTGGGACTACAGGCATGCGCCACCATGCCTGGCTAATTTTTGTATTTTTAGTAGAGACAGGATTTCACCATATTATCCAGGCTACTCTTGAACTCCTGACCTCAAGCAATCTGCCCGCCTCGGCTTCTCAAAGTGCTGGAATTACAGGCGTGAGACACCGCACCTGGCCTTGTTGAGCACTATTCTATAATGATGCTTCAGTCCTGTTGGCTGATGTTGCTGTCCTGTTCTTCTATATCTGCTAGTAATCATATGGCTAGTAATTCTATCAATTGCTAAGAGGGAAGTGATGAATTTTCCAACTACAATTAAAATGTGCTTTTCTCTTTTCAACTCAATCAGTTTTGTTTTGTGTACTTTGAGGTTTGCTAGAGACACATTTAGGATCATTGCATTTTTGTTGGATTGATCCTTTTATCATTATATAATGTTCTTTTTGTCTAATAGTTTTCTTTGCTCTTTGCTCTAGAGTCTACTGTATTTTGTTTTTGATTAATGTTTGTACAGTTTATCTTTTTATATACTTTATCAACCTATGTTGTTCACTATGAGTTTCCTAAGAAAACATTTTTAGGATGGGTGGAGCAAGATGGTGGAATAGAGAACGCCACCGATCATACACACTCCCCCGCAGGAAGACTAACATTGGCAACTATCTACACAAAATAAGCAGTTTCACAGGAACCAAAAGTCAGGTGAGCACTTACAGAGCATGGTTTTCACTTCATATGGCTGAAAGAGAACAGTTTGGAAGTTCCTGAAAAAACTAAAAGTAGAGCTATCATATAATCCAGCAATCCCACTCCTAGATATATACCCAAAAGAAAAGAAATCAGAACATCAATGAGATATCTCTGCTCCCATGTTTACTGCAGCACTGTTCACAAGAGCTAAGATTTGGAATCAACTGAAGTGTCCATTCACAGATAAATAGATAAAGAAAATGTGGTACATATACACAATGGAGTACCATTCACCCATAAAAAAGAATGAGAGATCCTGTCATATGCAACAACCTAGACAGAAATGGAGGCACAGAATGTTAAAATTTTGCATGTTCTCACTTATTTGTGAAAGGTAAAAATTAAAACAACTGAACTCATGGAGATGAGGTAGAAAGTAAAAGGACAGTAACTAGAGGCTGGGAAAGGTGGTGGGGTGGGGTTGGGGGAAGGTGAGGATGGTTAAAGGGTACAAAAAAATAGTTAGAAAGAATGAATAAGACCTAATATTTGCTAGCCCAACAGGGTGACTACAGTCAAAAATAATTTAATTGTACATTTTAAAGTGACTAAAAGAGTGTAACTGGATTGTTTATAACACAAAAGATAAATACTTGAGGGAATAGATACCCAATTTACCCTAATGTGATTATTACACGTTGTGTGCCTGTATCAAAACATCTCCTGTACCCCAAAAATAAATACACCTACTATGTACTCACAAAAATTAAAAATTTTAGATCATGTTTTATGTTTTTTCCACTCTGCCAATTTATATTTTAATTAGTGTACTTTGATTATTTACATTTAAGGTAAATATTGCTCTGTTAGGCTGCTATTTGTTTTCTTTTCTGTTTTCTATTCATCTGTTCCTTTTTTCTTATTTTCTGATTAGTTACCTAAATATTATTTTAGATTCCATCTGGGTTTATTTATAGTGTTTCTAAGTGTACCACATTTTATAGTTTTCTCAGTAGTTGTTCTAGGTATTAAAATGTACATATGTAAGTTATCACAGTCTATCAAGCATTTTACCACTTCAAGTGAAATGTACCAAGTTTCATTCCACTTAGGCCCCTTTACCCTCCCCACTTTTAAAATATAATTGTCTTAAGTGTTTCCCCTACATACAGAGCATTTTGCTCCAACCATCAAAAATGATTCTAGAAACTCACGAGAAAAATATATTTATCCCCATTTTTGCCAACCTCCAATCTTCTTTCTTTCCTGCATCCCAAGCCTTCTTGTTATTTCCTTTCTATTTAGAGAACTTTTAGTCAATTTTTAAAGGTAGGTTTGCTAGCAACATTTTCTCTTAGCTTCCCTATCTAATAATGCCTTTAGTTCCCCTTTATTCATGAATATAGTTTCAAAAGATACAGAATTTTTATTTAATAGTGCTTTCCCCTCAGTACTTGAGAAAATATACTACTTCCTGCCTGCCACCACAGTTTCAGAAGAGAAACCCACAGTCATTCCCTGCAGGGAATGTGTTGTTTCTCTCTGGCTACTTTGAAATTTTTTTTGTCTTTAGTTTTCAAAAATTTAATTATAGTGTGAGTTTGCCATGGACTTAACTTATTGGATGTTACTTCAGACTCGGGAATGTGCAGTTTTATATCTTTTGCTAAATTTGAGAAGGACCAGCCATTACTTCTTCATATACTTTAAACACCTCCTTCACTTCCTTCTGATGTTACAAATGTTAGTTCTTTTGTTATTGCCCCACTTTCCAAATACTGAAAGAATCAAACCTCATCCCATTCCCTCCTGCCTTCCGGCTTTGTCTAAGCTACCACAATCACTCATAAGGAAAACTACCACAGGACTTTAATGAGCTCTCTATGCCCTATGCCCTGCCCAATATTTTCTCTACAGAGGTGAGAAAGATCTTACAGAGATATAAATCAGATGTTGCTCATCTGCTGAAAATCTACCACTAAACAGATTTTAACCAAATAAGGCTTATGATAGGCTCACCTTTGGACTCTAGCTGCCTCCCTCACCTCACCTCCTGCCCTTCCTCCAATCAAGCCCTCCCTTCAGCCACTGTGACTTTTTGGTCATTCCTGAAAACCACCAAGCACATTCCTGTCCAAGGCTAGCAGCTGCTATTACCCCTGCTGAAAAGAGGCAGAATCCTCATGGCTCACACAGTCATTTCATTCAAATTTCTACTCTAATGTTGACCTCAGTAAGGTTTCCCCTGACTGTTCCTTAAAGTAATCTAAACTTGCTTTAATTTCTTTCATAGTCTTTAAAACCACAGAACACTTAATATACATAAACATAAGTATACATAATATACTTAGAGACATAATTTTGTTTTTTTTTTATATTTATTTACTTATTTTTGAGACAGAGTCTCGCTCTGTCGCCCAGGCTAGAGTGCAGTGGTGCAATCTCAGCTCACTGCAACCTCTGCCTTCTGGGTTCAAGTGATTCTCCTGCCTCAGCCTCCCAAGTAGCTGGGATTACAGGCACCTGCCACCACGCCCAGCTAATTTTGTATTTTTAGTACAGATGGAGTTTCACCATGTTGGCTAGGCTGTTCTCAAACTCCTGACCTCAAGTGATCTGCTCACCTCGACCTGTGCTGGGATTACAGGTGTGAGCTACCATGCCTGGCCTAATTTTTTTCATTATCATATCCTCAGCACACACCAAGTGCTCAAAAATTATTTGCTGAGTTTAAAAATGAGTGAATAAAAAATTCTGACAGAAGAATAAACACAAAACAATGGAGGTTAAGGTGGGACACTGAAAGTGCTTTGAGAAAAATAACCAAGAAAAACAACAGTAAAGTTGAGGTGGGCAAAGACTGAACTATTGGCAGGTGTAAGAATGGTAAACCTTCAAAAAATGATTCTAAAAGGAAAAATTTTTTGTGAGTAGTATCTGGAGGTTTGATTTAGCAATCAGTATTCTCCATCACTTCCAGAGGTTAGGACCCCTATGGAGATGTTCTTGAAAAATGTTCCAAAGTTGCCAAACCCTGAATTAACTACTGGGAAACAACAAATCCCCTGATGTGAATCTGTGCAGTACATATTAACCCACCTGGAAAGCTCTGGCTTGGGAATTCTTCCTCCAGTCTCCATGGTTCTTCTCCTTGTTCCAGCCTGAAGATCACCTCTGGTTTGTGAGCACAATACCCTGTTAACAGGAAATAATTTAGGATTTGGACCAAGCAGTCTAGACTTCAGGCCTTTGAAGCAGGAAGAAGCTTCTGGGGCTGCTTCAAGTTGCCAGTGGAACATTTTCACTGGAGAGGTGAACACAAGTATCTTCTGGTGCTCAATCAACACTGACTCCTGAAGCCTAACCTAAGCCTAAATAATGTCATTAAACTAGACAGACTGCCTATATGTTTTATAATCAAAATAAACGAATGCTATTTAGAATGATACAGTGAACAGACCTTACCCACTGAGACAAGGTTGCTGTAGTTCTCCAGCATCACATCTCTATACAGAGCCCTCTGACTAGGGTCCAGGTGCTGCCACTCCTCCTGGGTGAAGCCCACAGTCACATCTTTAAATGATACTGACCCCTGGAACTTCTGATCTACCTGAAATGTTCAGAATTAGGTGGCATGAAAAAAGAAGTATGGGCTAATCCTTACCATGATTATTATTCACAGAATATTTGTTTTGCTTTATACTTTTAGGGAAAAAAGAAATCATAACAGAAATATTCTGCCATTAATGCATTAAGATATTAATTCATGCAAAAAAATTATCAAGTTCCCACAATGTACCTGGAACTATCATCACTCCTGGCAACACTAAGATTAATAAAAATCTTCCTGTGTTCAAAGAACACACAGAGTGGTAAGAAAATATACATGGTAACATGTTGCAAGTACTAAGGTGAAAGTACAAACCCAACAGACTAACGTTAGGAGCAAAGTTAGCTCTGCTTTGAGTTTCACTGAGGAAGTATAGCTGTTGGTTGAATTATGAAGAACACTCTATTACGTCCTTCATAAGCACGGGGCCATGATACAAGCAAAGGTGAGGGCCTCCAACACACTGCAGACATCAACAAAAGGGCAGACAGCACAGGAAATGGCCTGCTGCTGTCTTGAGAAGAAAAGCCAAGGAAATGGGTTACAGAGTAATTTTACACCAATGGTCTCTAAAGTATTTGATCATTTACCATTTTCAAGAATATTACTGAGAACTACAGATTTATATTTACAAATCACAGAAATAAATTGTCAGTACATTTATTATGAATTCTAATTTAATTCTCATTTAGATTTAAAAATGTAGAAAGCCTGACATTTTCTTCATCGCAGTACATATTCTGGGTTCTAATCCTTTAATTCAAAGACAATAATAGGGATGTGTAGAAAATGGAAAGATCTTGGAACTATTATACTTGAAACCTCTGTGGAGTACATAGGAGAAGACATCCAGTTGGATTGTTCTGGATATCCTCTAGGGCACATCTTTTAGGGATCACTGCTGTGAAAAAGGGAGAGCCAAAGATGAGATGTGAGCATATACTGCAATTATGTGACCAGGTTTTGTTTACAGAACCAATTCTATTGAGAACAGCAAAGGACAAAACAACATTTACATAAACTACTGTAGAAGAAACCAGGATGCAAATAGGGCATGAATAATAGGAGACAGAGCATCAAAATGTGGTCACTAATTCATTAAGAAAAAAAATGTTTCCTCTGGCTATCCCCATGAACAGCTGCTCAGATACTAGGGCCACAATGTAAACCAGGAAAGTTAGGGCAAAATAGGTTGGACACGGTATTCTAGCAAGAAATGTCCTAAATATATTAAATTTGAAGCACAGGCTGGGTGCAGTGCCTCACGCCTGTAATCTCAGCACTTTGGGAGGCCGAGGCGGGTGGATCACCTGAGGACAGGAGTTCGAGACCAGCCTGACCAAAATGGTGAAACCTCATCTCTACTAAAAATACAAAAAATTAGCCAGGCGTGGTGGCAGGCACCTGTAATCCCAGCTACTCAGGAGGCTGAGACAGGAGAATCCCTTTAACCTGGGAGGCAGACATTGCAGTCAGCCGAGGTCGGCACCACTGCACTCCAGCCTGGGTAACAAGAGCAAAACTCCATCTCAAAAAAAAAAAAAATGAAGCATAATATGAAGATCAAGAATGAAACAAGGACTACAGAGACATTTATAATACAGTGGTGCTCAAAGCCATCAAGAGAAAATCAGAAGGATGTCAGAAAACTGGGGAAAGAAAATAATCAAGAATGGAATCAGAGGCTAAGCACAGTGGCTCACATCTGTAATCCTAGTACTTTGGGAGGTAAAGGCAGGCAGCTCACTTGAGGTCAGGAGTTCAAGACTAGCCTGGCCAACATGGAGAAGCCCTGTCTCTACTAAAAATACAAAAAAATTAGCCAGGCGTGGGGGCAGGTGCCTGTAATCCCAGTTGCTGGAGAGGCTGAGACAGGAGAATCACTCGAACCCAGGAGGTGGAGGTTGCAGTGAGCTAAGATCGCACCACTGCACTGCAGCCTGGGCAACTCTGTCTCAAAAAAAAAGGTAAGAAATTCCTCCCAAATTTATATATAGGTTCAATTCAACCCCAAAGAAAGTCTCAGCAAGTTATTTTAAGAATACTAACAATATTTGTATGGAAATGCAAGGAACTAGGAAGAGCCAGGATTTGCTGAAGAAAAAATGTGTTAAACCCACTACTAGACACTAAGATGTTTCACCAAGTGAGGTACTGGCACAAC
The DNA here is from genome assembly GCF_000001405.40 of Homo sapiens. Classification (NCBI taxonomy): domain Eukaryota; kingdom Metazoa; phylum Chordata; class Mammalia; order Primates; family Hominidae; genus Homo; species Homo sapiens. Next base: position 42,634,604 of record NC_000010.11, read on the forward strand.
CAACCAACAGAACACAGTCCAAAAAAACACACAGACATATATGTACACATAATTGATGAAAATATCACAATGTAAAACTGGGGAAAGGATGGTGTTTTCAAAAATAATTCTACACTAACTGTATGAAAAACAGGAATCTGACATCCACCTCATACAAAAGTAGACACCCATTCCAATGAAAGAGAGGTAAATGTGAATGCCAAAACAATAAATATTTTAAAAGATAACAAAAGAGATTATCTTCATGACCTCAAAGTAGGTAAAGTCATCTAAAATAGCACACACCATCAACAAATAAACTTAATAAACTAATCTAGGGATTGGTAAACTTTTTCTGTAAAAAATCAGACATTAAATATTTAGCCAGGCATGGTGGCTCACACCTGTAATCCCAGCATTTTGGGAAGCCAAGGCAGGCGAATCACTTGAGGCCAGGAGTTTGAGACCAGCCTGGCCAAGTGAAACCCCATCTCTATTAAAATACAAAATTAGCCAGGTGTGATGGCATGTGCCTGTAATTTCAGCTACTGGGGAGGCTTAGCCAGGAGAATCCCTGGAGCCCTGAAGGCAGAGGCTGCAGTGAGCCAAGATCGCACCACTGCACTCTAGCCTGAGTGACAGAGTGAGACATTCTCCAAAAAAAAAAAAAAAAATCAGACATCATTATATTTGGGGCTTTGCAGGCCAAAAGGTTCCTGTCACAATTAGTCAACTCTGCCACTGAAGCCACAGATTAAATGTAAATGAGTGAATGAGCAGGGAGGTGTCAGGATTGTGAGGGGGACAAGACGGCAGCTGCAGGAGGGCTGGCAATGTTTTTTTTGACGTATGTATTCATTATTTGCGCCATGGATTTGTAATAATTCATTAAGTTCTATATTTAAAATGTAGGGGTTTTTCCATCTATCTGCTACACATGTAGAAATAAGATTCATTAAAAATTAAAATATGTAATCCCAGCACTTTGGGAGGCCGAGGCAGGCAGATCATGAAGTCAGGAGACTGAGACCAGCCTGGCCAACATGGTGAAACCCTGTCTCTACTAAAAATACAAAAATTAGCTGGGCATGGTGGCGCATGCCTATAATTCCAGCTACTTGGGAGGCTGAGGCAGGAGAATCACTTGAACCAGGGAATCGGAGGTTGCAGTGAGCCGAGATTGCATCACTGTGCTACAGCCTGGCGACAGAGCAAGACTCTGTATCCAAAAAAAAAAAAAAAAATTAAAATACACTTTAATTTATTGGCCGGGCACAGTGGCTCACGCCTGTAATCCCAGCACTTTGGGAGGCCGAGGAGGGCAGATCACGACGTCAAGATATCGAGATCATCCTGGCCAACATGGTGAAACCCCGTCTCTACTAAATCTACAAAAATTAGCCAGGTATGGTGGTGCACGCCTGTAGTCCCAGCTACTCGGGAGGCTGAGGCAAGAGAATTGCTTGAACCCAGGAGGCAGAAGTTTCAGTGAGCCAAGATCGTGCCACTGTACTCCAGCCAGGCAACAGAGCGAGACTCTGTCTCAAAAAAATAAAAAAATAAAAAATTTAAAATTAAAATACATTTTAACTTACTGATCAAACAGTACATCCAAAAGAAAATTGGAACCTGTATAAAATAAAAATTAAAAAAGCAGTTTGACTCAATAGGCTGCACTCATTTCAGGGCTAACACTGGAAGGTTATTCACTATGGGTCCCTATGTTATAACCAAAAAAGGTATCTGCCAGGAAGTCTTTGTGTCTTCAGAGGAGTCAGTTTGTCTGTATCCATATCCAGTGTCTTCCTTTCTGCCATGGTTGTTGGAAACATAAGAAACACATGAAGCTCAACTTATTGACTCTAACTTGGCCCTGCTATTGATCTGTTACTTTATATTTTCTGGGAAGTTCAATTTTTATCTATTACTAATTTCTCATCTTAACATATTGACTCTTGGCCAGGCACGGTGGCTCACACTTGTAATCCCAACACTTTGGGAGGCCGAGGCGGGCGGATTGCCTGAGCTCAGGAGTTTGCGACCAGCCAGGGCAACACGGTGAACACATCTCTATTAAAATGCAAAAAATTAGCCAGGCGTGGCGGCCTGCGCCTGTAGTCCCAGCCAATCGGGAGGCTGAGGCAGGTGAATTGCTTGAACCCAGGAGGCAGAGGTTGCAAGGTTGCAGTGAACAGAGATGGAGACACTGCGCTCCAGCCTGGGCGACAGAGCGAGACTCCATGTCACAAACAAAACAAAACAAAAAAACCATACTGACTCTTACAAATCTCACAAAGTCCACCGCAAAATAAAGTAGGGAATTAATAAACAACTTACCTTGTTCATTTTGTTCTGTTCTTGGAAAGACGGAGACAACTCTGAAGATACAGCTGAGTTGGAAAAAGAGGAATGGGGTCATGAAAGATTTGGCCTGCCTGGCAACTCCCGGATTCTTCTGCCCTAAGAAGCCATACACACCCACTAGGTAAAATGCTCCGTCTGGGAGAATATCAATGTCCTCTGACACTTCGGAATAGGGGGTAGAAATGGTGAAAGAACACCCTAATACAACTCCAACATAACCATGTAGCTCTTGGGCACAAGATTTTTCATCAGGTGAAAGTAAATATTTGCTTCCTAAGGATTTCAATCTCCCTCAGTCTTCACAAAAAATGTATAATGACAATATTGGCCAAACAAGTTAACAATACATTTAATGAAAAAACATTAACACTAAAACCATTGTAAAGAATAGGACTAGGCTATCGATTTTCCCAGTAATGTTACTTAACCTCTGATGAGTTAGTCCACAGAAAACCATAAGCGTCAGTGCTTCAAAGAAAAAATCCGTTTTAATTTCTTCATCTAACTTTGTTGCTATTTCTCAAAAGGATGTTTTAAACTTGCTTTGATGTGTGTAGAAAAGTAGTACTGGCTTAGGGGTCAGGAGAAGTGACTTTTAGTTCTCCCTACTAACAAACTTTGATCCTGAACAAGTCAGTAACCTTGACAAACAAAAAACAAAAAAATTATTTTTTCTTCTAACAAATGAGGCAAAATTAGGTAATTCTGGTTTTTTGTTTGTTTGTTTGTTTTTGAGACGGAGTTTCGTTCTTGTTGCCCAGTCTGGAGTGCAATGGTGCAATCTCAGCTACCTGCAACCTCCGCCTCCCGGGTTCAAGCATTTCTCTGCCTCAGTAGCTGGGATTACAGTCATAGGCCACCACGCATGGCTACTTTTAGTATTTTTAGTAGAGACGGGGATTTGCCATGTTGGTCAGGCTGGTCTCGAATTCCTGACCTCAGGTGATCCACCCTCCTCGGCCTCCCAAAGTGCAGGATTACAGGAGAGAGCCACCGCGCTAGGCCAAAATTATGTAATTCTTGAAGATCCTTCCTGAGTGCAAGATCAAGTTAGGACAGAGGAACAGCAAATAACAAGATGGGGTGATGGACATGACTGGAGGGCAGTTCGAAACCTAAAGAGGATGAACGCAGAACGGGCAACAGAGTCCGTATGTCGGGCGGGCGACTGCACCCGCCCTTTCCTACCCAGGTAGGGCCGCGCCCTAGCACATGGGCGTAAACACGCTCAACCAGAGAACTGCCCCTCCCGCAAGGCTCAGCGCTCGGACCGCGCAAGCGCACATGCCCTCCTCCGCGGCCCCTACAAACAGGGCAACGCACAGGGCGTAGCCCGCTCCCTACAGAGGCTGCGCCTTAGAGGAACTGGCGTAGCGTCCTGGTAGACATGCTGCAGCCCCGCCGTCCCCGGCTTCTCCGTGAGGTCCCCGGGACTCCTCGCCACCACCTGGCACTGGCCCCCGGCTGCCTGCTCCTGGAGTCGCGCGGGGCCCCCTCTCCGTCCCTGCCCAACCCGCGGAGGCTTACCTCACTCTCTCTTCGGGTTGCATTCGCCATAAGAGAGCCGGTAGACCCCTGAAATCCCGGGACCGCCTCCCACGCAAAACGTGAGACAAACAAAAGGAAAGGCGGAAACGCAGAAACGCAGAGGTAGCCAGTGGATGAGGCATGCGCAGAGCCCACGCTCAAAGCCTGGCGCTGTTGGCGCCCAACCTGGAAACTACCTTTCCCGTGAGGACGCGAGAGCAGCCCTTCGGGATTGGCAGAGAGGTGCCCCGCTAGGCAGTGGACAGATGCGGTCTGAGTTGGTGTGGGAACTGCCCGCAGCCCTGGCTCTCCCGGGGCGACCCAAAGGGATGCACTGCAGGGGAGGTCTGTGTGCAGCAAGTGTGCAGGTTAGACACAGACGCCTCAAGGAAAGGACAGCTGTGTGTCAGTTTCACTTTAAATGTTAGGAAGTAGATCTTATTGATACAGTTTAAAAGACTTTGACACTATCAGCGATTCTTTGAGAGCAGGGATGGGGGGGATGGGGGAGGTGCCACAGGAAAGCTACTTCATCAAAATCGTTAACGCAATAAACGGAAATTGAAAAGTCAGAAAATAGACATAATCCGAAAGAAGAAAATAAATGTCACATGATTTCCCCTGTGACATTAAAATTGCTTGACTAAATGGAAATACATTTAGTCTATCTGTACCTTTCTTAGGAAGACAAAATTCCTAAAAGAATATCAACAAATTTTTTTATGTATTTTTTCTCTTTGATCTTTAGTGTATTGTGTACTTTACAAAAGCATTGTCAACTTTATCCAGAGTAAGTAAAAAACTAAATGAACAGCCATTATACGTTTTAAAAAGCTTGAAAAAATGCCTGAGAAATATCTATATCTATCTATATATATAATATTGCTCTATTCAAAGTAGTTTGGCACCTGCTCCATGGAAATAAGACACCATGATTGAGAGTATTCTTTAATGTGTAGTAAATACAGCATTTCAAAACAGTGAGGGAAAGAATGGAGTATTCCAAAGAGCATGTCATTCCTAACAATTTGGAATATAGAGATATATATAGATCACACGTGATAAAATTCACATGTATACAGTATTGAAACATTTAAACGAGTATAAATTTTTGAAAATTGACATGTGGGCCAGGCACAGTGGCCCACACCTGTAATCCCAGCAGTTTGGGAGGTGGAGGCAGGAGGACCACTTGATCCTTAGAGTCCAAGACCAGCCTGGGCGTTATAGTGGGACCCCTGTCTCTACAAAAAATTAAAAATAACAATTAGCTGGGCATGTAGGCAGGCGCCTGTGATCCCAGCTACTCAGGAGGCTGAGGTTGGACGATCACTTGAGCCCCAGGTTGCAGTAAGCCATCATGGCACCACTGCACTCCAGCCTGGGTGACAAAGTGAGACTTTGTCTCAAAAAAAACCAAAAAGGGATGTGATACCAAAGACAGAAACTATAAATTTAATATCAGTTACATTTTATAATAGAGAAAAATAAGCAGCTCCATTCCAGCAAAACTTTTTAAGTCCATTATGAGAATTGAAAGAAATGCAAATATGGCCGGGCATGGCAGCTCACGCCTGTAGTCCCAGCATTTTGGGAGGCTGAGGCGGGCAGATCATGAGGTCAAGACATTGAGAACATCCTGCCCAAAATGGTGAAACCCCTTCTGTACTAAAAATACAAAAATTAGCTGGACGTGGTGGTGCGCACCTGTAGTCCCAGCTAGTCAGGAGGCTGAGGCAGGAGAATCGCTTGAACCCGGGAGGTGGAGGTTGCAGTGAGCCAAGATCGCACTACTACACTCCAGCCTGGTGACAGAGTGAGACTGCATCTCAAAAAAGAAAAAAAGAAAAAAGGAAATGCAAATATTTGAGTAAAAATATGTGAAACATATTGAAATTTACATTTTTAAATTTATGCTTTATATACTGAAAAGTTCACTTTATTTGTTGCATAATTTTATGAGTTTTGACAAACGCACAGATTTGTGTAACCACCACCACAAGCAAGATACAAAATTATTTCACCTGTCAATAAAATTCCTCCATGCTACCTTTTGAAAGTCAGATTCTCTAACCACTCTTAGCCTCTTGCAGCCACTATCTAGTCTTTGGGCCTGTATGTTTGCCTTTTTTAGAATATTATATAAATGGAATCATACAATATGCAGTCTTTGAATCTGGTATCTTTTACTTAACACAATGCAATTGAGATCCTTCCGTGTTGTTTTGTGTACCAATACTTCTGTTTTTCTTGCTGTTAGAAACAAGTGCCTGGTGCCGCAGAGAAAACCAGCACAAAGGCAGAAAATTCCTCAGCAAGAGAAATTTACTTCTGCAGAAGGGTGCAGGTTATGCCAGTCATGATCACAAGAGAACACCGAGAAGGGCAGGGCAGGGGTTTTTATCCCTGATGCAGTTCCTAGCACTTCTGTGTCCCTTCCCCATTGGCTGGGATTAGACCTCACAATCAAAGCTAACTCGATTGGCTAAGGTTTAAAATTGACAGGGTCTATTAGGCGGGAAGGAAGGGGGACTGTCCATTACTAAGCGGGAAGGCATATCCGGACTTGTCTGGGCATGGCAAAGGCGGGAAGGTTGTTTACAGAACAGGTAGCTTGGAGACAAGGAAGTACAAGGAAGTTGGTCTTGAGCAACAAACAACAGGGAACTAAAGCTTTCTGAAGAGTAATTTGTCAACTCTGACATTGCTGACTCCTATTTCTTGGTATGGATTTACCAGCTTCCTTGTCCATTCCCCAGTCCAGGGATATGCAAGTTGTTTCCAATTGGGAGAAATTGTAAATAAATAAAATATTTTTAAGTTTAAGATTTGAAAAGATTGTAAAAAACACTAATATACACCTATGGTATGGGCTTGGGGAAATGTTTATTCCCAGTGTATTAATCAGGATTCTCCAGAGAAACAGAACCAATAGGAGGGAGTAAGGGAGAAAGAGACATTGATGATGAGAAATTGGTTCACATGTCTATGGAGGCTAAGAAGTCCAACAATCTGTCATTTGCAAGCTGGAAATCCAAGAATGCTGGTGGTGTAATTCTGGTATGAGTCCAAAGGCTTGAGAACCACGGAAGCCAATGGTGTAAATCCCAGTGCAAGGACAGGAAAGGATAAGATGAAATGTCCCAACTCAACAATGAGGCAGAAAATATGGGTGAATTCCTCCTCTCTGCCTTGTGTTCTATCCAGGCCCTTAGGGGATTGAATGATGTCCATACACATACGGAGGGCAATCTGCTTTACTGAGTCTACTGATTCAAATGCTAATCTCATCTGTACACACCCTCACAGATGCACCCATAAGTAATGTTTAATCCAGACACCCTGTGACCAAGTCAAGTTTACACATAAAATTAACCATTAACCATCACAGCTATTCTATTTTTTTTTTTTTTTTTTTTTTTTTTTGAGACAGAGACAGAGTTTTGCTCTTGTTGCCCAGGCTGCAGTGCAATGGCATGATCTTGGCTCACTGAAACCTCTGCCTCCCGGGTTCAAGTGAGTCTCTCAAGTAGCTGGGATTACAGGCATGTGCTACCGTGCCTGGCTAATTTTTTGTATTTTTCCTAAAGACGGGGTTTCTCCATGTTGTTCAGGCTGGTCTCGAACTCCCGACCTCAGGTGATCCACCAGTCTCGGCCTCCCAAAGTGCTGAGATTACAGGCCTGAGCCACCACACCTGGCCACAGCTATTCATTTTTACGGTGAATTTGATTAACTCTGGAGGCTCATTTTTTCCTCTCATTTCTTCTTCGGTTTTTGTACCTTTTTCCCTTTTACATTTCGTTGACACCTAATAATTGTGCATATTTAGGGGATATAGACTGATATTTTGACATGTGTATAAAATGTATAATGATCAAATCAGGTTAATTAGCATATCCCTCACCTCAGACATTTGTGTGTGTGTTGTAAGCATTCAAAATCCTCTCTTCTAGCTTTTTGAAAATACACAATAAATTACAGTCAATTATATTTATCCTACAGGGCTGTGGAACACCAGAGCTCATTTCTTCTATCTAGCTGTAATTTTGTATTCATATACCAACCTTTCCCCATCCTGCCCTCCCCACTACCCCCTCACCCTCTAATGCCCATAATTCTACTCACTACTTCTATGAGCCCCAATTTTTTTAGCTCCCAAATATAAGTGAAAATGTGCAGTAATTATCTTTCTGTGTCTGACTTATTTCACTTAATGACATCCAGGCCTATCCATGTTGTGGCAAATGACAGGATTTCATTTTTATAGCAGAGTAATATTCCACTGTGTTTATATACCAGATTTTCTTTTTCCATTGATGTGTTGGTGGACGTTTAGGTTGATATTATATTTTGGCTATTGTGAATAGTGTTGCTATAAACACAGGAGTGCAGGTATCCCTTTGATATATGGATTTCCCTTCCTTTGGATATGTGCCCAGCAGTGTGATTGTTGGATTGTATGGTAGTTCCGTTTTATTTTTTAAGAAACCTCCACACTGTTTTATATAGTGGTTGTACCAATTTACATTCCCACCAACAGTGTCTAAGAGTTCCCTTTTCTATGCATCCTTACCAGCACTTATTTATTTTTCTTATAATAGACATTCTAACTAGGGTGAGATGATGCCTCATTGTGATTTTGATTGGCATTTCCCTGATGATTAGTGATGCTGGACATTTTTCATACATTTGTTAGCCATTTGTATGTCTTCTTTTAAGAAATAATTATTCAGATCCTTTGCCTGCATTTTAATCAGATTACTTTTGTTTTTGTTTTTGCCATCGAGTTGTTTGAGTTATTTGTATATTCAGGATATTTGTCCCTTTTGGATAAATAGTTTGCAAGTATTCCCTACCATTCTACAAGTTGTCTCTTCACTTCCATAATTGTTTCCTTTGCTGTGCAGCTTTTTAGTTTAATACAGTCCCACTTCTTTTTGTTGTTGTTGTCTGTGCTTTTGTTTGTTTGTTTATTTTGAGACAGAGTCTCACCCTGTTGCACAGGCTGGAGTGCAGTGGTGTGATTATAGCTCACTGTAGCCTCTACCTCCTGGGCTCAAGTGATCCTCCTGCCTCAGCCTCCCGAGCAGCTGGGATTACAGGTGCCCACCAGCATGCCTGGCTAAATTCTGTATTTGTAGTAGAGATGGGGATTCACCATGTTGCCCAGGCTGGTCTCGAACTCCTGTGCTCAAGAATCTGCCCACCTCACCCTCCCAAAGTGCTAGGATTACAGGTGTACACCACTATGCCTGGCCTGTCTGTGCTTTTTTTTTTTTTTTTTTTTTTTTTTTGAGATGGAGTCTCACTGTGTTGCCAGGCTGGAGTGCATTGGCTTCAACCTGGCTCACTGCAATCTCTGCCTCCTGGGTTCAAGCAATTCTCCTGCCTCAGCCTCCCAAGTAGCTGGGATTACAAGTGTGCACCACCACACCCAGCTAATTTGTGTGTGTGTGTGTATTTTTAGTAGAGATGGGTTTTCACCATGTTGGCCTCAATCTCCTGACCTTGTGATCCACCCACCTTGGCCTCCCAAAGTACTAGGAGTGCATCACCATGCCTGGCCCTGTCTGTGCTTTCTAAGTCTTAGTCATAAAACTTTTGCCTAGGCCAATGCCCTGAAGAGTTTGCTCTAGGTTTTCTTCTAGTATGTTTACAGTTTTGGTCTTATGTTTAAGTCTTTAATCCATTTTGAGTTGATTTTTGTATACGGTGACAGGTAGGGATCAAGTTTTGTCCTTCTGCATATGGATATCCAGTTTTCCCAGCACAATTTATTGAACAGGTGGCCCTTTACACAATGTACGTTCTTGGCATTTTAATTAAACGTTAAAGGACTTATAATATTATAATTCCACTTATATGACTTTGTAATAATAAATTATTGTTGATATATGTGCAAGTATATTTAAATCAATCAGAGTTCAAATGGTAACAGAGAGATCACTCAAGTATTACAACTGAGAGAATTTGATGAAGATTATTTAAAGCAGGTGTTTTAATGGTAAAAATGAACACTGAGCTAACACAGGATGACAACATCAGGTAGCAGCTACCTGTCTAGGGCTGGGAAACAATGGAAAAGATTAAGGTTCTCGGAACCTAGAAACTCACAAGAGTGGCCCCAGAGAGCTAGAATTAGACAAGACAGCGGAGGCAGGGGCAGTGCCAGGATCATGCTGGTACCTCAGGTATTCAGAGAAGAGCTTTGCAGAACTGGAATTCAGATGCTGTCCAGTTGCTAACTGAACTTTCAGGAAGGCATGTTGAAGCACATTGTGTTCACCTCTGAAAGTCGTTACTGTCCAGCTGGTGCTAGTAGCCAGAGTGGGATCAATGTGGAGAGTTCTGGGAGAGCTAAAAGAAGCTGGAGGGTGATCAACATGTTCTGGAATTAGATAGTGGTGATGGTTGTGTAACTTTGTGACTATAATTATTGAATTACACACTTTTAAAGGAGTAAATTTTGTATGTAAATTGTATGCCAATGTTACAAATACTTTTTTTTTTTTTTAGACGGAGTCTAGCTCTGTCACCAGGCTGGAGCACAGTGGCATGATCTCGACTCACTGCAACCTCCACTGAAGAAGGAATTCATGAATTTTACAAGTATAATCAAAGACCACCAAGAAATTTTTACTTTTTCCTTCAAAAGCTAAGTGTAGTGTAGCACCCCCTGCCCATAGTCTAAGTTACAGAAGAATACTAACTGCCTGTTTTTCTTTCTGTGTTGTGAGCCTTATCTGTTCTCACCAGTTTCACATTCCTTGAGGCTCAGTGAGTTCCTGCGCACCTCCCTAGCACAGCTGCAAAGTTACAAGGTTGATATGCATATGTTACAGAAACATAGTTTCCCAAGGATGTGGAACATGTAGTATAGATAAATGTAAAAGACTGATCAACTGCCTTTGTTCTCGCTTGTGTAAGTAGACTTCATGAATCACATAGCTCCCGGCCACTGACTGCTTAAAAGGTGGCTGCATTCTTTCTCCAGGGCTCAGACTTTCCTGGACGCTAGTCCTACTGAGCCAGGTGATCCCCTTAATAAAGGCTTTCCTGAACTCTCTTCAGTCTCTCCCGTCTCTGATTGTCCCATAACATTTCTGGGGGCCTGTCTGGGATTGGAGATGGCAGGTTTCTGTCTCCTTTGCCTGTGGGCTAAAGCCACAGGACGCGGGAGATTTGGGAACTTTGGTGCCACTGGGGAAGACTTAGCCCAGAAGGAGAACGGCTCCCATGTATTGGAGCCTCGCCCTGACAGCGCAAACGGAACCGACTCAGGAGTTGCAGGACAGTCACAGGAGCAGTGCGCTGGCAGACTACTGAACCGCCATAAGGTTGGGCCCTGGAAAAGCCCATCCCATAAGGACAGAAGGGGAGCTTGATTACCTTCCCCGGAACGATCACTTATCCAACCCAGAGTGGCTGGGGGCAGCAGGAGTGGCCTGCCAATTTGGATGAATCTCGTGTCCCCACACAAGCAAAAGTGGTTCACTGGATCTGGAGACAGAAACTGGGAGTGTTTTGGTGTGTGTGAACCTACTCGGGACATAAAGAAGGCTTCTTTCATCTGATCAGTCCTGGGGTAGGAGTGGTTTGTGTATGTGTGTGAATGTGGAAGCCTAACTAAGCTCACTCGGGACATGAGAGAGGCTTGTTTCATCCGATGAGGAGTCCTGGGGCAGGGGAGGTGTGTGAAAGTGTGTGAAAGAGGTGGTCTCGGAGAAGCCAACACGGGGAGTGATGTGGGGAGTTGCAGATCTTAGTGCAGACTGTGTCCCTCAAGGTGAGTGTGGGACAAGCCAGACCTAGGTCACTGCATAAGACCGACAAGATTCACTTCATGGTAGCTTCACAGCAGTAGTTGGCTGTGACCTGGCCAAGCAGCATCCAAACCTCCTGTAATAGGACCCTGTCTGGTGCATCCAAGAGTGAAAGTGAGAGTGAAAGTGTGCCACGAGGGAGGCAATAGGAGGAAAAGTATTGAAGCCAACTCCATTAGAACATATGTTGAAGAACTTTAAGAAAGGCTCTGATGGTGATTATGGAATGAAGTTAACACCGCAGAGGCTAAGAACACTTTGTGAAATTGACTGCCTCTCCTTCAACATAGGGAGGGCGGCCAAGGGAACCATAGATAGGGAAATAATTGGCCGAGTATTTAGGGTGGTCACTGGGGTTGGAGAACAGCCTGGACAACCTGATCAGTTCCCATACATAGACTCCTAGCTGAGCGTGATTCAAACCCATCTGAAATGGCTACAGGCCTGTTTTGAAAATTATTGTAAGACTCTGGTGGCTCGTACAAAACAAGGAACCATAGAAAAGACCCACAAAGTGTAGGCCCAGGAGAAAGAACAGCAAGGAAAACAGGAAAAACCTGTCCTACAGGCCCCACTAGAAGAGCTAGAGACTCCATCCCCTTATGTTCCAATTTATCCGCCTCTGGCAAGGCTTAGGCAGGAAGTCACTCCAGCAGCTGCCTGTGGAGGGTCAGACTCAGAGGAGAGTACCCTTCAAACTTCACCACATAGGGAAGAGCCAGGGTCACTGCCCGATAATTCAAAGGAGGAACTCCAGTATGACGGCCATCTCCGGTCAGGACACGCCCGAGCTTTGCAGATGCCATTCAGAGAACCTAGGGGACAGATCTATTTAGATGCACAAAATGAGGTTCAAGGAGGAGAACGGCTTTATGTTTATCAGCCCTTCTCTACTACAGATATTTTCAACTGGAAACAGCATACTCCCTCCTATACAGAAAAACCCCAGGCTCTTATCGACCTGATGCAGTCCATCTTCTTAACTCACAACCCAACCTGGGCTGACTGCAAGCAGTTCCTTCTGTCACTGTTCAATACAGAAAAACACTGCAGAGTAATACAAGTGGCTTATCAGTGACTAGAAAGCAATGCTCCAGTAGGCACAGGAGATGTCAGAAAGTATGCTCAGCAGGCTTTGCCAATAGAAACTGACCCAGGCTGGGACCCAAATCAGGCCTAAGGGCTGCTGAACTTGCTGAGATACCAAGGGGCTCTGATACAAGGAATAAAAGCTGGAGGGAAAAAGGCAACAAACACTGGAAAGGTTTCAGAGGTCCATCAGAAACCAGATGAAAGTACCAGTGAGTTCTATGAGAAGCTTTGTGAGGCTTACCGGCTCTACACACCTTTTGACCCAGAAGTGGCAGGGAATCAGTGCATGGTTAATGCGGCATTTGTGAGTCAGGCACAAAATGACATTAAGTGAAAGTTGCAGAAGCTGGAGGGGTTTGAAGTTATGAACATTTCCCAGCTTATCCAAGTGGCAACTAAAGTGTTTGTAAATCAAGATGAAGAAGCAAAGTGGGAGGCCAAGCATAGAGTGAAGGAAAAGGCAGAGTTCTTGGCTGCAGCCCTGATTGAAAGAGAGGCTGGATTTGCAAGAGGACATGGACATGGTCGTGGATGCAGTCATGGTAAAGGACAAGCTAGGGCTAGGCCAGGTCAGGAGACCAGGACAGGTCAGGAAGGTTGGCCTAGACTAGAGAGAAATCAATGTGCGAGATGCAAGCAAAGAGGGCATTGGAAAGATGAATGTCCAGAGAAAGAAAAGAATAAAGGCTACAAGCAGGGACAGAATGGCTGGACAAGGCCTCCTTCTGCTGCTGGGCAGGGCATAGTAGGATGCGATGTGGATCTAATTGGGCTGGCAGGAGTCAGTGACTACCTTGAAGACTGAGACAGACTGGGCTACATCTCATTAGGCCCTGAGGAGCCCATGGTCTCAATGGTAGTAGGGGGCCGAAAAATAGACCTTATGGTAGACACAGGTGCTGAACACTCAGCTGTGACTCAAACAATTAGGGTGTTATCAAAACTCTATGCTAATATTATTGGGGCCACAGGTATCACAGAAAAAACACCTTTTTTCACATCAAAGAGAGGTATAATTGGAAACCAAGAAGTCCAACACAAGTTCTTATACTTGCCAAACTGCCCAGTGCCGTTGTTGGGAGAGACTTGTTGCAGAAGCTGCAGGCTCAAATCTCCTTCACACTGAATGCAGATATACCTTGAGCCTAGGGCAAAAGAAGGCTATGGTACTAACTCTTACAGTACCCAAGGCAGAGGAGTGGAGACTTTATGAAAGTAGTTGTCAGGAGTGTGGAAAGGAGTACAGCTGAGAAAGAAAAACTGTTCACAGACTTACTCCCTAAGTTACCAGGAGTCTGGGTGGAGGACAATCCCCCAGGGTTAGCAGTAAATCAAGCACCTGTCATAGTAGAGCTACTACGAGGAATCTACCCAGTGTGGATCCATCAGTATCCCATTCCCATAGAGGCTCACCAAGGGATTGCAAAACACTTAAAATGACTCCCTGAATTTGGAATAATAGAGAGATGTGTCTCCTCACGGAATACTCCCCTACTGCTGGTGTTAAAACCTTCTGGCAACTACCAGCCTGTACAAGATTTAAGGACAGTCAACAAGGTAGCCAGTACACTGCATGCTATTGTGCCTAACCTGTACACTATGCTTGGACAAATACCTGCTAGTGCTGCTTGGTTCATATGCTTGGACATTAAAGATGTGTTCTTCTGCATCTGATTAGCCCCTATAAGCCAAGACATTTTTGGTTCATATGCTTGGACATTAAAGATGTGTTCTTCTGCATCTGATTAGCCCCTATAAGCCAAGACATTTTTGCCTTTGAGTGGGGCCCATCTCAGTATACCTGGACTAGACTTCCCCAAAGATTTAAAAACTCCTCAACTATCTTTGGAGAAGCACTAGCCTCAGACTTAAAGGCTTTCACACCACCAAGTGATCGCTTGTCTTACTGCAATATATAGATGATCTGCTGTTAGCCAAACCCACAAGAAAATAATGTATCCAAGGAACAGAGAGTCTCCTTCAAGTGCTGTGGGAAGCTGGCTATAAAGTGTCTAAGAAAAAGGCACAGATCTGTGGCTGAGGAGTTCAGTATCTTGGATTTTACTTCTCCCAAGGACGGTGTGAGCTTGGACAGGAGCGAAAAGAGATTGTCTGTAGCATTCCTCAGCCAGACAGAAGGCAGCAAGTGCAGGAATTCCTAGGGGCAGCTGGTTTTTGCCAATTATGGATTCCTGACTACTGGCTCCTAGCAAAGCCTTTATATGAGGCAACCAAAGGAGGGGAAAAGGAGCCCCTCCTTTGGGGAAAAGAACAGGACATGGCTTTCAAGGAAATCAAGAAAGCTTCAATCCAGGCCCCAGCACTAGGACTGCCAGACATGACAAAGCCCTTTTACCTGTATGTTCATGAAAGAAAACAAACGGCTACAGGAGTCTAAGTGCCAATGCTAGCATCGTAGTATCAGCCTATAGCATATTTGTCCAAGCAACTAGACTTGGTGGCTATGGGATTGCCACCCTGTTTCAAGGTGCTGGCCGCCACTGCCTTGTTAGCCAAAGATGCTAACAAGCTCACATTTGGGCAGCAGCTGATAATTCAGGTGCCCCACACAATTGTCACCTTGATGGAACAGAGAGGACATTGTTGGCTCTCTAACCGTAGGATGCTAAGATACCAAGGACTCCTATGTGAGAATCCATACATCACCTTAGAGGCTGTGAATACCCTAAATCTGGCCACACTGTTACCAATAGAATGTGCAGAACATGGAAAGTCCCTGTTATGTGCCCCAGGGTACCACTGCTGTGTAGAAACAGTGGATGAAGTATTTTCAAGCTGGGAAGACTTAAAGGATCAACCCTTAAGAAACCCAGATGTTGAATATTTTACTGATGGAAGCAGCTTCATATCTGAGGGTATCAAAAAGGCCAGATATGCCGTAGTCACATTAAGCTCGGTGGCTGAAGCCTGCCCCCTACCAGTAGGAACCTCAGCGCAGAAGGTAGAACTAATAGCTCTCACAAGAGCACTATTTCTAGTGAAGGGAAAGTCAGTGAATATCTATGCTGACTCAAAATATGCTTTTGCCACCTTGCATGCTCATGGAGCCATTTACGATGAAAGAGGACTGTTAACTACTGAAGGAAAAGAAATAAAGAACAAAAAGGAAATAGAGCAGCTCCTAGAGGCTGTGTGGGCTCCAAAGGAAGTAGCAGTCATCCATTGTAAAGGACAGCAAACAGGAAGAAGTGATAAGGCTACAGGAAACAGCAAAGCAGACAAGGAAGCAAGAAAGACTGCAATGACAGAAAAAACAAAGAAAGAAGAGACTTATGCCATGCCCTTATTAGAGCCTCCCCTTGCAGACACTCCTAATTACTCGTCCAATGAGAAGGCATCGTTTGTGCAGGAAAACGGGAGTTATCAGAAAGAAGGCTGGTGGAAGTTTTCAGATGGGAGACTTACCATTCCAGAAGCCATTGCCCCCCAATTTATAAAGCAGTTTCACCAAGGAACACACATGGGGAAGACAGATTTAAAGATTCTCATAGGGCGGTATTTCATTGTGCCATGCCTAACTGCCATGACTCGAGCCATCTACGAGCAGTGTGTTACTTGTGCCCAGAATAACCCAAGGCAAGGGCCTACTTGGCCTCAAGGAATTCAGGAAACAGGAGCAGTGCCATGTGAAAACCTACTTGTAGACTTTACCGAACTGCCTCAGGCTGGAGGCTATCGGTACATGTTAGTGTTTGTCTGCACCTTTTCAAGGTGAGTTGAGGCATTCCCCATCAGGACAGAAAAGGCACGAGAAGTAACCAGGATATTATTAAAAGACATTATTCCCAGATTTGGACTGCCTCTAACCTTAGGCTCAGAAAATGGACCAGATTTTGTGGCAGAAGTAGTACAGCAACTAACTCAGATGTTAAAAATTAAATGGAAACTGCATACAGCCTAACATCCACAAAGATCTAGAAAGGTTGTAAGGATGAACTGGACACTGAAACAACTGTTGAAGAAGTTTTGCCAAGAGACTCATTTAAGGTGGGACCAGGTATTGCCCATGGTCCTTCTCTGAGTCAGGTGTACCCCTACAAAATTAACTGGGTGTTCACCTATGAGATAGTGCATGGCCCACCACCCCCACTCATATCTCAAGTAAAAGGAGATTTAAAGGAAATTGGAGAACTGACCCTAGGAAGACAAATGCAGGTATTAGGTGAGGTAATGCAAGAAGTACAAGGGTGAGTAAGAGAAAGAATACCTGTTAGCCTTACAGATGCAATACATTCCTTTCAACCTGGGGACTTCGTATGGGTTAAATGCTGGAATCCTACCACCCTTGGGCCCTTATGAGATGGCCCCCATATTGTGACCATGTCTACCCCTACTGCTGTTAAAGTTGCAGGTATTACACCTTAGATCCATCACAGCTGACTGAAACCTGCAGCCTCAGTTCAAGACATGTGGACGAGTCAGCAAGATCCAGATCATCCAACTCAACTGATCTTGCAGAGGAACCAAGGCGCAGTAGGAAAAGACGACCACCCTGCTCCGACCACACCAGAAGCTGGTCTGTCAATGCACAGCTGAAGCTTAAGGAAACGTCAAGCCCTGCTCTAGTCACACAGCTGGAAGGTGACTAGTCTACGCATGGCTGAAGCTTAAGGAAAAGTCAAGTCCTGCTCTAGTCACACAACTGTAAGCTGACTAGCCTATGCACGGCCAAAGCCTGAGGAAGCCAGCACTAGATAAGTAAATGTAGATTGAATTTGCAAGTGTAGTTATACTATTGCTTATACTGATTGTCTTGCTGTCATGCTATCTTTGCAATTGCTATCAAACTTGTTGCCCGGGAGGATGCCTGTGCATAGTATAAACTTAATCACACTAATGACAATAATGTTAACAGGCATGGGAGGAAATCAAGATAACTGTCATTGTATGATAGAAAGTTGGTCTGGTAAAGGTATAACTAAAACCCTGTTATATCAAACTTATTATGAGTGTACAGGAACTCCCCTGGGGACATGTGTTTATAATCAAACCAGCTACTCCATCTATAACCCAGGAAATAGGCAACCTCAAGTATGTTACAATTCAGGCCTCCTACCCTGTGGCTTCTGGTTTGAAATTAAAATAGGGAAACCTTTATTACCCTCATATGCCAATCCTAAAGATGTTAGAACTGGGAAACTCATAAGCAAAACACAGGTATTCCCTTATTTACATAAAGGATCTGTTTCTATATATTTTGATGCCTGTCAGGCTGCACACCTCAGCAACCTAAACAATCTAGGAGTAGTCTGCAAGAACTTAGGACAAGAAAGACTCAGCAGCAAGGCTGCTAAGATCATAACAGGAGAACCAGAAGAAGAATGTCCTGATTGTAACATTCAAAGGACCACACATGAGTTCAGCCAATGCCTTTATGCAGGAAGAGTAGCTCTGCTAACCAGCCAAGAAGCAAAGATTGGTTGTGCGACTAAAATATGCAACCCCCTTAATCTGACCATATTAAAGCCAAACATGCCTTTTTGGACTAAAGAACACCAAGGAGAGCTAAGCTGTGCTCGAGAAGGAGCAAATCTGGGTGTTCTGTTAATCATTATTAAAAAGACACAGTGAGCTAAAGCTCAAGTCAGTCCAATGTCACAGTTCAGATTTCTCAAATCCTTCAATAAACATTTTAACCCCAAGGAGCCAAAAGTTCAGATTCCACCAATGTTAGCCAAGAACCTATTCACTCAGCTAGCTGAAAGTATTGCTACTAATCTTGGAGTCATCTCATGTTATATATGTGGAGGTACCAGTGTAGGTGACCAACGGCCCTGGGAGGCTAGAGAAATAATACCACAAGATAACTTTACCATACCAGAATTTGTTACAAAGTTCAATTGAAACCCAGGTGTCTGGCTATTAAAAACCCCTATCATTGGAAGATACTGCATAGCACAATGGGGAAAAGACTTTCAAACCCAAGTAGGAGATATGACTTGTTTAGAAATATGACTTGTTTAGGTCAGCAGTATTTTGAAGAGTCTAAGAACAAGACACAGTGGAGAAGCTTTATAGACAATTTCTCTACCATATTTTAACTCTCTCTCTCAGTTTCCAGTGCTAAATCAGTCGTAGTATCAACTAGACACTCCAAATGTTTGGAAAGCACCGGCAGGACTACATTGGATCTATGGGACAAAAGCCTATTAACTATTGCCAGAGAAGTGGACCGGAGCCTGTATTTTAGGGACAATAAGGCCGTCCTTCTTCTTGCTCCCACTGAAACAAGGGGAAGATTTTAGTTACCCAGTCTATAATGAAGAAAGAACAAAAGAAATGTCTTTACTCAGATAAGTACTGTAGAAAACATAAGCACAAACATAAAGAAGGACATTGAGATAGGTAGCTGGAAAGATAAAGAATGGCTTCCTGAAAGAATTATCAAATACTATGGGCCAGCTACATGGGCCCAAGACAGATCATGGGGCTACCACACCCCTATTTACATGTTAAACCAAATTATAAGATTGCAAGCAGTACTAGAAATCATAGTCAATGAAACAGCCTGAGCCTTGGATCTGTTAGCCATACAGGCTACTCAAATGAGAGATGCTACATATCAAAATAGGCTAGCATTAGACCACCTCCTAGCCTCAGAAGGAGGAGTCTGTGGCAGGTTTAATTTGACCAACTGTTGCTTACAAATCTGTGATAATGGAAGAGCTGTTACGGAAATTACTGCTAGAATATGGAAGTTAGCCCATGTCCCAGTCCAGACTTGGTCTGGGTGGAGCCCAAACTCACATTTTAGAGGTTGGTTCTCATGGTTTGGAGGCTTTAAAACCTTGATAATTGGTTTTGTAACTATAGTAGGAAGATGTCTAATACTGCCTTGTCTTTTACCTCTCCTCAACAGAAGCATCCAGTCTACTATGGAAGCAATAGTGGACCGAAAAACTACCACCAAAATAATGGCATTACAAAAATACCAACCTGTCCCCCAGGAAGAATATGAGCCTACACAGGAAGAGATAAATGATTGTGGTGCTCTTTATTAATCTACATTTATGGTGAGCACCAAAGGTGGGGGATGAAGAAGGAATTCATGAATTTTACAAGTATAATCAAAGACCAAGAAATTTTCACTTTTTCCCTCAAAAGCTAAGTGTAGTGTAGCCCCCACTCCCTGTCCCGTAGTCCAAGTTAGAGAAGAATACTAACTGCCTGTTTTTCCTTCTGCGCTCAGCAAGCCTTATCTGTACTCACCGGTTTCATATTCCTTGAAGCTCAGCGAGTTCCTGCTTCACCTCACCAGCACAGCTGCAAAGTTACAAGGTTGATACGCATATGTTATAGAAACATAGTTTCCCAAGGATGTGGAACATGTAGTATAGATAAGTGTAAAAGACTGATCAACTGCCTTTGTTCTCGCTTCTGTAAGTACACTTCCTACATCATGTAGCTCCCGGCCACTGATTGCTTAAAATGTGGCTGTTTCTTTGTCTGGAGCTCAGAATTTCCTTGATGCTAGTCCTACTTGAGCCAGACGGTCACCTTAATAAAGGCTTTCCTGAACTCTATTCGGTCTCTCCCATCTCTGATTGTCCCACAACACCACCTCTCAGGTTCAAGTGAATCTCCTGCCTCAGCCTCCGGAGTAGCAGGGATTACAGGCAAGCACTGCCACATCCAGCTAATTTCTGTATTTTTAGTAGAGACGAGGTTTCACCATGTTGGCCAGCATGGCCTCGATCTCCTGACCTCGTGATCCGCCCACCTTGGCCTCCCAAAGTGGTGGGATTACAGGCATGAGCCACTGCGCCCAGCCCAAATACTTTTTTAAAAGAAGAAGCTGGAGACTAGAACTAATGGATAAAGTAAAGGGCTACTGCTGGGGTGAGATTAACAAGAGCATACTGCAGACAGGAAGGAGGAGGAAATTCCTTAATCTGTTATCCTTCCTACAGTCATCATTATAAAAATTTAAAATTAGGCCAGGTGCGGTGGCTCATGCCTGTAATCTCAGCACTGTGGGAGGCCGAGGTGGGCAGACCACTTGGGGTCAGGTGTTTGAGACAAACCTGGCCAACATGGTGAAACCCCATCTCTACTAAAAATACAAAAATTAACCGGGCATGGTCGCAGGTGCCTCGAATTCCAGCTACTCAGGCAGCTGAGGTGGGAGAATTGCTTGAACCTGGGAGGCAGAGGCCTCAATGAGCAGAGATGTGCACCACTGCACTCTAACCTGGGCAACACAGCAAAACTCTGCTTCAAAAAAATAAAAATTAGTCTGGGCATGGTGGCTCACACCTGTAATCCCAGCACTTTTGGAGGTTGAGGTGGTTGGATCACCTGAGGTCAGGAGTTCGAGACCAGCCTGACCAACATGGAGAAATCCCATCTCTACTAAAAATACAAAATTAGCCACATGTGGTGGCGCATGCCTATAATCCCAGCTACTTGGGAGGCTGAGGCAGGACAATCACTTGAACCCGGGAGGCAGAGGTTGCGGTGAGCCAAGATCACACCATTGTACTCTAGCCTAGGCAACAAGAGCGAAACTCTGTCTCAAAAAAAAAAAAATAGAATGATATTAAATGTTAAAAATACAATGCTTCATTAGCTCACCCAAAAAAGATTCCAAAGCACATAAGACAAGCCTATGCCTTATTTGTAGGCCCTTGACATAAATGAAGTTAAGGGCACCACCACTTAGCTTTCACATAAACATGGGTCACAAACCACTGTTGACACTGTGAAATTCTGTAATTCCTAAGACTCTTTCAAAAATGTTGAGGGAATTGAACTATTTCAACTTTTGAGCATAACATGAGAATTTATTTGCAAACATGATTTAGAATTCCCTTAAAGTATGACAATTTAAATTCTTTTGAAATATGAGAGAATATATGTTTTCTATAGGCTCATGTATAATGGATAAAATACAAGGTAAAAGTTGAAAAGAGCCTCACAAAACTGATAGCAGTCATTATCTTTGTGGAAGAGGCAACACTGGGAACGCTGGTCAAAAGAGCTTTTGTACTTACATGAAAAGGCAATGCATGTTACTATTACCTGTGACAGTGTAAATTAATAATTTTAAAGAATAGACAACACAAACCTGATACATACACTCACATTTGGGACAGCAGGAGAGGGGACAACCTAACATGGCTCTTTCTCTATGGCATGGGAACTTCCCCTCTCTGGTTTTCACTCTTGCCATCTTCAAACTGGGTCAATCTACTCTACCACCCAGGGTTCTGAAAATAAAATGTAGGAGCTCCTAGCCCAAGGCCTACCTAGAATATTGTAATTCCTCATTAAATGTGCTTAAGTATTGTATCAGAGTTCTCCAGAGAAACTAAGTTTGTGTGTGTGCATGTGTTTGTACACTTGCATATATGTTTGTGTATATATTTATGTGTGTATGTGTACACACACACACACACACACATATATATATGGGAGAGATTTATTATAAGGAATTGACTTATGCAATCTTGCAATTATGGAGGTTGACAACTCTCCAGATCTGAAGGATGATGAGTCCATGTTTGGGGACCCAGGACAGCCAATTGTGTAGTTCCAGGCTGAAGGCCTGCAAGCTTGAGATGCAGGAAGAGCAGATGTTTCAGTTCAAGTCCAAAGGCAGGAAAAAGCTAATGTGTCAGTAAGAAGGCTTGTTTTACTCAATCCTTCAACTGACCAGATGAGGCCCACTCACATCAGGAAGACAGTCTACTCAGCCTACCAGTTTTGTTTTCTCTTGTTTTAGTGGGGGCTTTTGCTGTTTTTCTTTGGGGGGGGAGTTATTTTTAGCATAATTGAACTTTTTATGTTTTTAACTTTGTTTGATTTTAGATTTGGGGGTAGATGTGCATGTTTGCTACATGGGCGTATTGTGAACTAGTGGGGATTGGACTTCTAGTGTACCCCATTACCTAAATAGTCAACATTATCCAAATAGTGAGCCCTCACCCCCTTCCCACCCTCCCCCCTTTTGGAGTCCACAGTTGTCTATTATTTCCAAAACAAACAGAAAAACATTCTACATTCATGGATATGAAGGATCAATGTTGCTAAAATGGCCATACTACCAAAAGAAATTTACTTTTTAATTCAATGTTATTCCTATCAAACTACCAACAACGCTTTTAACAGAATTTTTTAAAAATGAAAAATCTTATTTGAAACAAACAAAAAAGAGGCTGAATATTCAAAGCTTTCTATGCAAAGGAACAAAGCTGGAGTGATCGTACTACTCAATTTCAAACTATACTATAAGGCTACAATACCTAAAGGAGCATGGGTACTGGTACAAAAATAGACATATACACCAATGGAACACACTAGAGAACCCAGAAATAAAGCCACACATCTAAAACCATCTGATCTTTCACAAAGTCAACAATAACAAACAATAAGGAAAGGACTCCCTATTCAACAAATAGTGCTGGGATAACTGGCTAGTCATATGCAGAAGATTGAAGCTGGACCACTTCATTATACCATATACAAAAATTAACTCAAGATGGATTAAAGACTTAAATGTAATATTTAAAAGTGTAAAAAACCCTAGAAGAAAACCCAGGAAATATCATGCTGTACATTGGCCCTGGCAAAGAATTCATGACAAAGACTCTAAAAGCAATTGAAACACCACCACCACAAAATTGACAAGTGAGACCTAATTAAGCTAAAGAGCTTCTGCACAGCAAGAGAAACTACAAACAGTAAACACGCAACCTACAGAATGAGAGAAAAAACTTATGTATCCAGCAAAGGTATAATAGCTACAATCTATAAAAAAAGGTAACTCAACAAGCAAAAAACACACAACCTTATTTAAAAATGAAAAAAGAACATTAACATACACTTCTCAAAAGACACACATGTATCCGACAAGCATATAAAAATACTCAATATCAGTAATTATTTAAAAAATGCAAATCAAAGTCATGAGATACCATCTCACATCAGTCACAACAGCCATATTAAAAAGGCAAAGAATAATAGATGCTGGTGGGTAGTGAATAGTAAAAGCTTATACACTGCCAGTGGGAATGTAAATTTTTCCTGCCACTGTGGAAAGCAGTCTGAAGATTTCTCAAAGAATTTAAAACCAAACTTTCATCAGACCCAGCAATCCAATTTTTTGGTATATACCCCAAAGATAGAAATCATTCAACTATAAAGACACATGCATACTTATGTTCATCACAGTACTATTTACAATAGCAAAGACATGGAATCATCTGATGTCCTTCAATAGATAAATGGATTTTACAAATGTGATATATATGTATACACACACACACACACACACAATGAAATGGTATTCAGTCACTAAAAAAGATAAAATTCTGTCCTTTGCAGCAACAGGGATGAACCTGGAGGACATTAAGTGAAACACACCAGGCATAAAAAAAAAAAACACTACACATTCTAATCTATAGAATCTAATAAAGTTGGTATCATTGAAGTAGAGAGTAGAATGGTGGTTACTAGAAACTAGAGTGTGTAAGAGAGTGCAAAACGGGGAGAAAATGGTCAATGGGCAATAAGTTACAGTTACATAGCAGGAATATATTCAAGTGCACAGTAGGGTGACAATGGTGAACAATTTTGTATTAAATATTTCAAACGGCTAGAAAAGAGAATTTTGAATGTTCTCACCACAAAGAAATAACATGAGATGTCAAACATGATAAATCCCATAATTTATTACATATATATACACATATCTAATGCTCACATTATGCTCCATCTGTATGTAAAATTACTGTGTCAATTAAAAACAAAATTAAAGGCCAGGCGCGGTGACTCATGCCTGTAATCCCAGCAATTTGGGAGACTTAGGCGGGAAGATCACCTGAGGCCGGGTGTTTGAGACCTGTCTGGCCAACATGGTGAAACCCCATCTCTACTAAAAATTCAAAAATTAGCCGGGCATGGTGGCAGGCGTCTGTAATCCCAGCTACTTGGGAGGCTGAGGCATGAGAACTGCTTAAACCTGGGAGGCAGAGGTTGCAGTGAGCCATGATCATGCCACTGCACGCCAGACTGGGTGATAGAGACTCCATCTCAAAAAAAATTATAGAAGGAAAAAATGAGGTCATAAACTAACCATCTGTCCCCAGATTGTATGGAAAGACATACAAATAAAGATAATGACAACTCACCAGAAGAAAAACCTGTAAGAAAAAACTTCAGTAGCAATTAGTACTATGGTAGAAAACCTACACCGTAATTGAGGAGTTGCTGAAGCCTAAGAGTGGAAAAGTTTGAGAGTTAAAATCTCCATGGAGGCCAGTCTTAGTTCCTCCTCACTTTTGAGAGTTTTATTTTCAGAAGCCTTACCAGATTCTCACAGTAGAAATAGAAAAATCTTTTCTTTCTGGCATAGGGAAGGGAAATGTACCCTTCTAAAAGCCACTCAGGGCATTCTGTTCTTCTTACCAAGCTCTGCCATCATTAAACTATTTTAGCAAAGCCTGACTTACTGGGGTTTTGTCTGAGTTTATATGACCTGAGGTAAGGGAAATACCCATCACCAAACTGCTGCAGTATTCAGTTGGGAAGAAGAGAAATATTCAATTTCAGACCACTTGAGCCCTTCATGTGAGCAAAGGGACATACCCAACTCCCATTCTCTCTAGCCTTCCTGTTAGACCTAAGAGGATGGGAAATGTGAAGCATTTTCTAAGATAACAACACAGGCACAGACTCGCTAAAAGACACAACACTCACAGTGGTTGGAATGAACATATCCATCTGTTCTCAATAAATGTACTTGGACAAACTGATGGGAGCAGAGGTAATAAGCAACCTACATTTTCCTCCCTGTATCTCATGTTCTGTGTCAACAGATGTGTGCTCTGGAGGACAGAGCAGTTCTCCTATGTTTCTTTAAAAGAAGTAAGATTTTTCTGACTCCCAAAGTAATTTTGATCTAGTTCCATTCTGAAAACTAAAATCCACTAAGGAACATATACAAAGAACACCACAAATCACCCGTACGGAACTCACAGGGACACATTAGGAAATGTGACACTGGGTTGTACTAATTTTGAAGGCTGTATCATTGGGAGTTATACTTTGTTGACAACTTCTGAGAATATACAATCCACTAGGCAGAAGCTACATAGAAAAATGAGCTTTGACATTAAAATGTCTGAAATCCAGATGGTACAACAAAAGTTTCAAAATTGTATACTCTCTACAGCATGACTGTGAATGTGTTATTATATATATAATATATATATATATTATATATGTTATTTGATGTGGCAATGAGTGAGGAGGCTGGATTACCCAGAATGTATATGAGATAATCAGAGTTAACCACGAAGTGGGTAAAATTAATATGAAGATGGTAATCATTTGGAACACTAAAGAACACTGATAATGTGAGATCTATTGTTTTTCCCAGATACAAGAAATACGTTTGTTATTAAGACTAACACGCTTTCCTCTTCTGTTATGCTTAAAAATGCCTCTTTTTTTCCCCAAGCTTCCACTGGACTTTGACCCAACACCTTTTTTTTTCTTCAACATCTTCACATTCCTTTAGGATCACAGATCTAAGCACCATGGCCTGATCAGCTATCACTTGGCCTTCATTAATATTCCTCACTGTGGTGGATGGTTGGTCTCCAGGTATGCTTGAATCACTGCACTTAGAGAATGAGTTCAAACTTAAGTCCTTGTTCTACATAAACAGAGTGAGGATGGCCTATGTATCTGTAACACCTGTCTCCTGAGTGTACACCCAGCCAGCACCATCAGCCCCAGCAACTGCCAGTTGGCAAGGTTTAAACAGAAATTCACAAATAACATTATCACTGTCATCTCTTTTTATTTTTTTATTTTTATTTTTTGGTCAGTTTGTCTTTCAGTAGTGATATAATATTCTTCACTGTGGCTTCTTCCAATGTGATGCATACCAGTCTACTTAAGGTCAGCAAATACTGTTCCCTTTCTCCCATGAAGTCCTTTTTTTACTCTGACATTATCCGGGGATGTCTTCATTATAGGAATTACACTGCATTCAATCACACACATGGTGATCTTTTTGTCCCAGCATCAGAGGCAATCCCAGCACCTTCACAGCACCAGGATCTCTCCAAGAGCCTTCCCAGAGAAAAGGGCCATTCAGACCATCCTGCTGTTAGTGAGCTACTTTGGGTGCTGGGTGGACCTCATCATATCATGCTCTTCAACCCTGCTGTGGACATATAACACAGTCATCCTGAGTGTGCAGAACCTTGTGGGCAATGTCTCTGCCACTGTTGTTCCACTGGTACGAATCAGCTGATAAAAGGATAGCTGACATTCTCCAAAATATGCAAAGTGCTATAAAGATTTAACGAGTTAGCAATGGAAAACATTTCTAAAAGAACAGTCTTATCCTATAAATTGTTCAAGTAGCCTTGGAATTCTTTTTATCTTATTTAATAAATTGCATGGAATCACACTTTTATTAATATTTATATGCTTTCAAAACTGATGCATCCAAGAACTATGTAATTTCTTTAGTTCAATGTCTACCATGGGTAGACATTTCCATATCAAGTCTCTTACACTTTTATTTTCATTTTATCTTGGTAGCAGAAAATGTTTCTCTCGAAGTATACTCTTAACAATCTTCTATCGGTAATCAAATCTCTCAAAGTTTTTACTTCTGAAAAAATTTAATTTACTCTTATTTATGAAAGACACTTTAGCTAAATATCAATTTTAGCTTTTATACTAAGCTTGTTCATTAGAACTTCCCTGACTGGAAATAATATGTCAATTTGGATTTTACATTTAATCTATAATTTATTTTAAAGGGATTAAAATAAAATTTACATGTAAATAGTTGTTCTTCTTTATTAATGAAATTTACTTATACATTAACTATAGCCTCCATGCTGTACATTAGGTCTCCAGTCCTTATTCATATTATAAAACAGGTTTGTACCATTTGACCAATATCTGATTCCCCCAAGACACAGCCCTTGGTCACTTGCATTCTATTGTCTGTAACTGTAATTCAAACACTTTTTTAGACTCCACATATGATTGAAATAATGCAGTGTTCATCTTTCTGTGCCTGGTTTATTTCACTTAGCCTAAAGACCTCAAGATGATCCATGTGGTTGCAAATGGCAAGGTTTTTTTCAAGACCTGAACTGTGACACACACACGTGCACACACGCACATACCTATACCTATACACATACATATATATATATATATATATATATATATATATAATTTCCTTGTTGTTGTTGTTGTTGTTGTTAGATACAACAGGCTGGAGGGCAGTGGCATGATTATAGCTCACTGTAACCTCTGAATTCTGGGTTCAAATTATTCTTCCACCTCAGCCTCCAAAGTAGCAAGGACCACAGGGGTACACCACCATGCCTAGCTAATTTGTAAAGACATGGTCTTGCTATGTTACCCAGGCTGATCTTGAACTCCTGGCCTCAAGTAATCCTACTCCCTCAGTATCCCAAAGCACTGAGATTACAGGCTTAAGCCACCATGCTCAGCTATATAATATTTTACTTACTTCTGTGTTAATGGACATTTAGGTTGTTTTCATATCTTATCTATTGTTAATAATGCTTCAATAAACATAGGAGTGAAAATATCTCTTCAAGATAGCTATTTTATGTTCCTTGGATATTTACTTAGATGTAAGATTGATGACTCATATGACAGTTCTATTTTTAATTACTCGATGAACCTCCATGCCGTTTTCCATAATCGCTTTACCATTTACATTCCCAGTGATAGTGTACAAAGGTCCCTTTTCTCTACATTCTTGACAACACTTGCTTTCTTTTGAATTTTTGATAAATATCACCTTAATCTTTGTTTGAATGCGATCTCATTGTGGTTTTGATTTGCATTTTTCTCCTAATTACTAATGGCTTCTTTAAATAAATAACCTATTAGTTTTTGGCTACTTTTTAAAAAAATGTATCACTTTTTATTGTTACTTTTATTTCGGGGTGTTAAGTTTTATGAGTTTCTGGCAGATTTCGAATACTAATCCTTTATCTGATATTTGGCGTACAAGTATTTTTCTCCAATTCTGTAAATAGCCTTTTAAAGACACTGAACTGTCTTTTGCTATGCAGTAGACTTTTTAGTTTGATGAAGTCCCACTTTTTTCCCTGTGCTTTTGGCGTCAAATACAAAAAAATTATGGCTAGGACCAATGCCAAAGCATTTTCCTCAGTGTTGTCTTCTACAAGATTTTTCGTTTCAAGTCCAGTGTCTACGTCTTTAATGTATTTTAAATTAACTTTATGTATGCTGTAAAGGCTGGGTGCAATTTGTTTTTGCATGTGGATATCGCATTTTCCCATCACCATTTACTGAGCAGTTTTTTTCTTTTTCCATTGTGTATCTTTATGCCATTGTTGAAAATTCATTGACTGTATACAGATGGAGACATCTGATATATATATATATATCGATATATATATATATAAATACATATATATATGAGCTCTCTATTCTGTTCCAGTGGTCTATGTCTTTGTGTTTATGCCAATATTTTGCAGTTTTGATGACTACAACTTTGCTATATAGCTTGAAATCAGGCAGTGTAATAGCTTTGTCCCTCTTGCTCAAAATTGCTTTATTTGAGTCTTTTATAATTCCATACAAACAGTAGATTTTTAAAATTTTTGTTGAAAATGCAATTGGAATTCTGATAGAGATTGCTTTAAATAATACATCAATTTTAGTATGAATGTTTTAGTAATAATTTTTCTGATCCATGAACACTAAGTATTTTTAAATTTATCTTTTCTATAATTGCCCCCATTAATATTTTACAGTTTTCATTATACAAATCTTTTACCTTATTATATTTATTCCTAAGTATTAGGTTGCTGCAAATGTAATTGTGGTTTTTGCCATTACCAATCCAATACTTTATTCTTTCTCATGTTACAGTAAATGTAACTGTCTTCTTGCTTTTTCCCAGATATTTGTTGTTGGAGTATAAAAATGCAATTGATTTTCTTTACATTGATATAGTATCCCGCAAAGTTCCTTAGTTTACCAGTTCTAAATTTTTTTCATGTCATGATGAGCACACTGGCCTGTGTTTACACATTAATTGACAGTTTCTATTAATCTATCACAGAGCCTAAAAGTGTGCTCTGTTGTATTTTTGCTGTGACAAATTCCATGGCATCTTTTAGTCTTAATCTTTTTTTAAATGCTTTTGTTTGGTACTTGATAATAAGGTGTGTCTTTGTTTACTTTTCAATTGTGAAACACATTTATCTCCATGCCTAGTCAAACTTTCTAATAAAGTTCTCTAATAGTTTTATGTACATTTAGTTATTATAAATCAAAATAGTAAATTTTTATGATAGTTTCAAAGTTACTAAGATTGAAAATGTCAATTTTTCACTGCTCATGAATCTGCGGTTTCCTTATTTTAAACAATTATGTATGATGTCTATATATTTGTGTGTGTGTTTAATGGCTTACAATCTTGCCCAACATATTTGTATGTAGTAAGCAAGTACTAATCAAATTAATCAAACTATCATCTTGATACTATTCTTCAAATGGCATATTATGTTTGTTCTAATTAAAAACTGTGTTCATGTCTTATATAATTATCAAAAAAATTAGAAAGTCTACTTTGTCTGCCCTCTTGAGAAAATCCAAAGTTAAATGGTAGTTTTACTAATTTCCTTTAGAATCACTACCTTATTTTCCTCACACAATAAATGTAAACATTATTGGGTGAAGTCAAGATGGCTGAATAGGAACAGCTCCGGTCTATAGCTTCCAGCATGAGCGATGCAGAAGACGGCTGATTTCTGCATTTCCATCTGAGGTACCGGGTTCATCTCACTAGGGAGTGCCAGACAGTGGGTGTGGGACAGTGGGTGCAGCGGACTGTGCACGAGCCAAAGCAGGGCGAGGCATTGCCTCATTCAGGAAGTGCAAAGGGTCAGGGAGTTCCCTTTCCTAGTCAAAGAAAGGGGTGACAGACGGCACCTGGAAAGTCGGGTCACTACCACCCTATTACTACGCTTTTCCAACGGGCTTAAAAAATGGCACACCAGGAGATTATATCTCGCACCTGGCTGGAAGGTCCTACGCCCACGGAGTCTCGCTCATTGCGAGCACAGCAGTCTGAGATCAAACTGCAAGGCAGCAGCGATGCTGGGGGAGGGGCACCTGCCATTGCCCAGGCTTGATTAGGTAAACAAAGCAGCCAGGAAGCTCGAACTGGGTGGAGCCCACCACAGCTCAAGGAGGCCTGCCTGCCTCTGCAGGTTCCACCTCTGGGGGCAGGGCACAGACAAACAAAAAGACAAGAGTAACCTCTGCAGACTTAAATGTCCCTGTCTGACAGCTTTGAAGAGAGCAGTGGTTCTCCCAGCACGCAGCTGGAGATCTGAGAACGGGCAGACTGCCTCCTCAAGTGGGTCCTTGACCCCGGAGCAGCCTAACTGGGAGGCACCCCCCAGTAGGGGCAGACTGACACCTCACACGGCCGGGTACTCCTCTGAGACAAAACTTCCAGAGAACGATCAGGCAGCAGCATTTGCAGTTCACCAAGATCCGCTGTTCTACAGCCACTGCTGTTCTGCAGCCACCGCTGCTGATACCCAGGCAAACAGGGTCTGGAGTGGACCTCTAGCAAACTCCAACAGCCCTGCAGCTGAGGGTCCTGTCTGTTAGAAGGAAAACAAACAAACAGAAAGGACAAGGACATCCACACGAAAAACTCTTCTGTACGTCACCATCGTCAAACACCAAAAGCAGATAAAACCACAAAGATGGGGAAAAAACAGAGCAGAAAAACCGGAAACTCTAAAAAGCAGAGCGCCTCTCCTCCTCCAAAAGAACGCAGCACCTCACCCGCAACGGAACAAAGCTAGACAGAGAATGACTTTGACGAGCTGAGAGAAGAAGGCTTCAGACAATCAAACTACTCCGAGCTACAGGAGGAAATTCAAACTAATGGCAAAGAAGTAAAAAACTGTGAAAAAAAATTAGACGAATGGATAACTAGAATAACCAACACAGAGAAGTCCTTAAAGGAGCTGATGGAGCTGAAAGCCAAGGCTCGAGAACTACGTGAAGAGTGCAGAAGCCTCAGGAGCCGATGCGATCAACTGGAAGAAAGGGTATCAGTGATGGAAGACGAAATGAATGAAATGAAGCTAGAAGGGAAGTTTAGAGAAAAAAGAATAAAAAGAAATAAACAAAGCCTCCAAGAAATATGGGACTATGTGAAAAGACCAAATCTACGTCTGATTGGTGTACCTGAAAGTGACAGGGAGAATGGAACCAAGTTGGAAAACACTCTGCAGGATATTATCCAGGAGAACTTCCCCAATCTAGCAAGGCAGGCCAACATTCAGATTCAGGAAATACAGAGAACGCCACAAAGATACTCCTCGAGAAGAGCAACTCCAAGACACATAATTGTCAGATTTACCAAAGTTGAAATGAAGGAAAAAATGTTAAGGGCAGCCAGAGAGAAAGGTCGGGTTATCCACAAAGGGAGGCCCATCAGACTAAGAGCGGATCTCTTGGCAGAAACTCTACAAACCAGAAGAAAGTGGGGGCCAATATTCAACATTCTTAAAGAAAAGAATTTTCAACCCAGAATTTCATATCCAGCCAAACTAAGCTTCATAAGTGAAGGAGAAATAAAACACTTTACAGACAAGCAAATGCTGAGAGATTCTGTCACCACCAGGCCTGCCCTACAAGAGCTCCTGAAGGAAGCACTAAACATGGAAAGGAACAACCAGTACCAGCCACCGCAAAAACATGCCAAAATGTAAAGACCATTAAGGCTAGGAAGAAACTGCATCAACTAGTGAGCAAAATAACCAGCTAACATCATAATGACAGGACCAAGTACACACATAACAGTATTAACTTTAAATGTAAATGGGCAAAATGCTCCCATTAAAAGACACAGACTGGCAAATTGGATAAAGAGTCAAGACCCATCAGTGTGCTGTATTCGGGAAACCCATCTCATGTGCAGAGACACACATAGGCTCAAAATAAAGGGATGGAGGAAGATCTACCAAGCAAATGGAAAACAAAAAAAGGCAGAGGTTGCAATCCTAGTCTCTGATAAAACAGACTTTAAACCAACAAAGATCAAAAGAGACAAAGAAGGCCATTACATAATGGTAAAGGGATCAATTCAACAAGAAGAGCCAACTATCCTAAATATATATGCACCCAATACAGGAGCACCCAGATTCATAAAGCAAGCCCTTAGTGACCTGCAAAGAGACTTAGACTCCCACACATTAATAATGGGAGATTTTAACACCCCACTGTCAACATTAGACAGATGGACGAGACAGAAAGTCAACAAGGATACCCAGGAATTGAACTCAGCTCTGCACCAAGCAGACCTAATAGACATCTACAGAACTCTCCACCCCAAATAAACAGAATATACATTCTTTTCAGCACCACACCACACCTATTCCAAAACTGACCACATAGTTGGAAGTAAAGCACTCCTCAGCAAATGAAAAAGAACAGAAATTGTAACAAACTGTCTCTCAGACCACAGCGCAATCAAACTAGAACTCAGGACTAAGAAACTCACTCAAAACCGCTCAACTACATGGAAACTGAACAACCTGCTCCTGAATGAC
Organism: Homo sapiens; assembly: GCF_000001405.40. Classification (NCBI taxonomy): domain Eukaryota; kingdom Metazoa; phylum Chordata; class Mammalia; order Primates; family Hominidae; genus Homo; species Homo sapiens. The sequence goes on from NC_000010.11 coordinate 42,668,034, forward strand.
TACTGGGTACATAACGAAATGAAGGCAAAAATGAAGATGTTCTTTGAAACCAATGAGAACAAAGACACAACATACCAGAATCTCTGGGACACATTCAAAGCAGTGTGTAGAGGGAAATTTATAGCACTACATGCCCACAAGAGAAAGCAGGAAAGATCCAAAATTGACACCCTAATGTCACAATTAAAAGAACTAGAAAAGCAAGAGCAAACACATTCAAAAGCTAGCAGAAGGCAAGAAATAACTAAAATCAGAGCAGAACTGAAGGAAATAGAGACCAAAAAAACCCTTCAAAAAATTAATGAATCCAGGAACTGGTTTTTTGAAAAGATCAACAAAATCGATAGACTGCTAGCAAGACTAATAAAGAAGAGAAGAGAGAAGAATCAAATAGACGCAATAAAAAATGATAAAGGGGATATCACCAGCGATCCCACAGAAATACAAACTACCATCAGAGAATACTACAAACACCTCTACGCAAATAAACTAGAAAATCTAGAAGAAATGGATAAATTCCTCGACACATCCACCCTCCCAAGACTAAACCAGGAAGAAGTTGAATCTCTGAATAGACCAATAACAGGCTCTGAAATTGTGGCAATAATCAATAGCTTACCAACCAAAAAAAGTCCAGGACCAGATGGATTCACAGCCGAATTCTACCAGAGGTACAAGGAGGAGCTGGTATCACTCCTTCTGAAACTATTCCAATTAATAGAAAAAGAGGGAATCCTTCCTAACTCATTTTATGAGGCCAGCATCATCCTGATACCAAAGCCGGGCAGAGACACAACCAAAAAAGAGAATTTTAGACCAATATCCTTGATGAACATTGATGCAAAAATCCTCAGTAAAATACTGGCAAACCGAATCCAGCAGCACATCAAAAAGCTGATCCACCATGATCAAGCAGGCTTCATCCCTGGGATGCAAGGCTGGTTCAACATATGCAAATCAATAAATGTAATCCATCATATAAACAGAACCAAAGACAAAAACCACATGATTATCTCAATAGATGCAGAAAAGGCCTCTGACAAAATTCAACAACCCTTCATGCTAAAAACTCTCAATAAATTAGGTATTGATGGGACATATCTCAAAATAATAAGAGCTATCTATGACAAACCCACAGCCAATATCATACTGAATGGGCAAAAACTGGAAGCATTCCCTTTGAAAACTGGCACAACACAGGGATGCCCTCTCTCACCACTCCTATTCAACATAGTGTTGGAAGTTCTGGCCAGGGCAATTAGGCAGGAGAAGGAAATAAAGTGTATTCAATTAGGAAAAGAGGAAGTCAAATTGTCCCTGTTTGCAGATGACATGATTGTATATCTAGAAAACCCCACTGTCTCAGCCCAAAATCTCCTTAAGCTGATAAGCAACTTCAGCCAAGTCTCAGGATACAAAATCAATGTACAAAAGTCACAAGCATTCCTATACACCAATAACAGACAAACAGAGAGCCAAATCATGAGTGAACTCCCATTCACAATTGCTTCAAAGAGAATAAAATACCTAGGAATCCAACTTACAAGGGATGTGAAGGACCTCTTCAAGGAGAACTACAAACCACTGCTCAATGAAATAAAAGAGGATACAAACAAATGGAAGAATATTCTATGCTCATGGGTAGGAAGAATCAATATCGTGAAAATGGCCATACTGCCCTAGGTCATTTATAGATTCAATGCCATCCCCATCAAGCTACCAATGACTTTCTTCACAGAATTGGAAAAAACTACTTTAAAGTTCATATGGAACCAAAAAAGAGCCCGGATCGCCAAGTCAATCCTAAGCCAAAAGAACAAAGCCGGAGGCATCAAGCTACCTGACTTCAAACTATACTACAAGGCTACAGTAACCAAAACAGCATGGTATTGGTACCAAAACAGAGATATAGATCAATGGAACAGAACAGAGCCCTCAGAAATAACGCTGCATATCTACAACTATCTGATCTTTGACAAACCTGAGAAAAACAAGCAATGGGGAAAGGATTCCCTATTTAATAAATGGTGCTGGGAAAACTGGCTAGCCATATGTAGAAAGCTGAAACTGGATCCCTTCCTTACACCTTATACAAAAATTAATTCAAGATGGATTAAAGACTTAAACGTTAGACCTAAAACCATAAAAACCCTAGAAGAAAACCTAGGCATTACCATTCAGGACATAGGCATGGGCAAGGACTTCATGTCTACAACACCAAAAGCAATGGCAACAAAAGCCAAAATTGACAAATGGGATCTAATTAAACTAAAGAGCTTCTGCACAGCAAAAGAAACTACCATCAGAGTGAACAGGCAACCTACAAAATGGGAGAAAATTTTCACAACCTACTCATCTGACAAAGGGTTAATATCCAGAATCTACAATGAACTCAAACAGATTTACAAGAAAAAAACAAACAACCCCATCAACAAGTGGGCGAAGGACATGAACAGACACTTCTCAAAAGAAGACATTTATGCAGCCAAAAAACACATGAAAAAATGCTCATCATCACTGGCCATCAGAGAAATGCAAATCAAAACCACAATGAGAGACCATCTCACACCAGTTAGAATGGCAATCATTAAAAAGTCAGGAAACAACAGGTGCTGGAGAGGATGTGGAGAAATAGGAACATTTTTACACTGTTGGTGGGACTGTAAACTAGTTCAACCATTGTGGAAGTCAGTGTGGTGATTCCTCAGGGATCCAGAACTAGAAATACCATGTGACCCAGCCATCCCATTACTGGGTATATACCCAAAGGATTATAAATCATGCTGCTTTAAAGACACATGCACATGTTATGTTTATTGTGGCACTATTCACAATAGCAAAGACTTGGAACCAACCCAAATGTCCAACAATGATAGAGTGGATTAAGAAAATGTGGCACATATACACCATGGAATACTATGCAGCCATAAAAAATGAAGAGTTCATGTCCTTTGTAGGGACATGGATGAAGCTGGAAACCATCATTCTCAGCAAACTATCACAAGGACAGAAAACCAAACACCGCATGTTCTCACTCATAGGTGGGAACTGAACAATGAGAACACATGGACACAGGAAGGGGAACATCACTCACCGGGGCCTGTTGTGGGGTGGGGGCAAGGGGGAGGGATAGCGTTAGGAGATATACTTAATGTTAAATGACGAGTTAACGGGTGCAGCACACCAACATGGCACATGTATACATATGTAACAAACCTGCACGTTGTGCACATGTACCCTAAAACTTAAAGTATAATTTAAAAAAAGAGGAAAACTACTTGAATAAGCTTCTTTTGCTGTTTTTATAAAGCAAAAAAAAAAAGAGATTCACTATCAGTAGAACTAATACACAAATTTATCCGTGTTACAAGACAGAAAACTGGCATGCCAAAGTAGATTATGGTTTATATAAAAGCAACCAACAATTAAAAATAAAATAAAGAAAACAATTCCACTTATAATGGCATCAATAAAAAACATTAAGAGAAAAAAATTCAAGACAGATACAGGAATTTTACACAATTTGTAACACTGAAAGAAATCAAAGATAAACTGAAAAATAACTGGAAGTCATTTTATGTTCAAGGATGGACTGTTTGTAAGGCAAAGGTTACATGTTTGAGGGGATGGATACCCTACCCTCCAGGATATGAGTGATTATTATGCATTGTATGCCTATATCAAAACATCCCATATACCCCATACATACGTATACCTACAATAATTTTTTAAATACTTATTATTCTTAGGATAACAATACCCTATAAATTGATTTGCAGATTCAATATAATCCCTTCAAATTTCCAAGTGTATTTTTTTAGAAATTAGAAAGTCTCTCACTCCCTTAAATCAATATGTATGTACAGAAAATCAAATTGCACAAAACAATTTTTAAAAAGAAAAACAGAATCAAATGACTTATACTTCCTAATAGCAAGTCTTACTAGAAAGGATAGAGTACAATTCCGCAGTTTCTTCACATTTTCCATCTGTTCTGACCAAGAATACACAGACGCTTGACTTCTCTGTTATTCTGTGGCCCGGATACCTGCATGCTTTCCCCTGCAGACTTGAACCCAAGCCAGGGCTCTGAACATTCGCAGACATAAGTAAAGGTGTTGTGTTTAGGTTGTAATTCAAAACACTAAAAGAAAGTATCCCTGGTCCTGGGAGATTCCTTAAACGCTCCTATAAACTGCATAACCAGACTCCTCACTGCAAAGATACCTAGACAAAGCATCCTTGGTCTCCTTTCCTCCCAATAAGATGAGCTGCAGCCCTCACTGTGTGTACATCCCTTAAGAAATGCTTTGGGCTCATCATACCAGGGTTTAGAGTTTACTTCTTTGGAATCCTAACCCCCTTCATCTCAGGACAGTCTGGGACAGTCCCTTGTGAAAATTCCTCTGTGATCACCTTTGGGGCAACTCCAGCTAAGTGCTGAGCTGGAGGAAGAAGTAGGGAAGTCAGCAGAGTTTTAAGGAATGGGCTGGGGAAAAGAGGATCCCATTCGGAGATCCTGAGATACCTGTAAGGGTCTACGTGGGCTTTGTTGCCTGCCCCTCCCTGATGTCCGCGAGCTGCCCCAGAGATGCTGAGATGCTCCAAAATCTCCAGCAGGATACAGGAGGGTGATGGAGGGTCTGAAATTGCAAAGGATCAGTAAGGAAGTCTGGTGCTTGGATATAGAGGGACAGGACTGGTTGGCATCAGCCATGGGCAGCCTGCATAGAAACAGGCTAAGCTGGAGGCCCAGAGTAAGGTGTGCAAGGCCCTGGGGAAACAATGATGAATGATATCCTCAAGGGACACAGGGTCTAACAGAAGATAGAATTTTACAGAAAGATGATTCTGGCTTCTCTGTTCTATGCTGGAGTAGAATTACATACCAGGGACCAAGGTGGGCAAATATGGAGTGCCTAACTCTGGGTATGGGAGTCTGAGAAAGTTTCCCAAAGGAGAAGGCAGACTCATAGTATCAGTGAAAAATGCTTTATTAAAAGTGGCTGCCAAACGGAGAGAGAGATCTGCCCTCTCAGGGAGTTGGGGTGATGGTGGGAGTGGTGGTGGATTCTGAAAAGCTTCACAGAAAAATTGATACGAAAGGCTTTGCAGGATTATGAGGGGTGTGTAATCTTGAAATGCAGAGGGAACCAGACTGGCAAATGTTTGGTAGCACAGAAGTATACAGCGCCTTTGGTAAATGATGTGTAGTACAGTGGCTAGAATGTAGGTGTAGGATGGAAGTCCAATGTAGTGCCCGAGTGTAGAGGGCTTTGAATTTTATATGAAGGAGTCTGACTATTACAGCAGGTACTTGAATAATGTCATTTCGTTCAGTATCATTTCATTGTAATGTTGATAAGAAAAAACAATCAACTCCCAGCTGGCCACTTCCTGTGTGTCCTTTACACATTCTCCCCAGGTCCACATGGGTTTTCACTGGGTACTCCCAGTTTCCTCCCACATCTCAAAGATGTGCCCATTATGTGAACTATCATTTCTAAATAGTCCCCATTTGAGCTCTGTGTGTGTGTGTGTGTGTGTGTGTGTGTGTGTGTGTATGTACACTCTGCCATATGATGGCACCCTATTCCAGATCCAGGGCTGGTTCTGCCTAGCGCCCTGAGTTGCTAGGAGAGACTCCGGCCACCCATGACCCCTAGCTAGAATAGGTGGGTAAATAATAATCTTACTTGTTTTTATCACTGATAAAGGGAGTTTTTTCCTGCTTTGTATTAGTCGCAAAGCAAGAAAACCCAATCAGAAACAAGGCCAAGTGGGTTTTTTCCCTGCCTGGGATGGAGAAGAAAAGAGTTCTTGCTCTAAAGACACCCTTTCCCTGAAAAATGGAAGGCATGGAGTTTTTAAGAACTAGGTACGGGGAGGGAGAACAACGTTAGCATGAGCAGGGTGGAACTCTAGGTGCACAGGTTCAGTGCATATAAACATACATCTTTATACAACTCATGTCACAAAATGGCAAGATTTTCTTTGGCAGAGGGAATTTTAGTATCATAGTGATATGTTAATGATCTAGGCCAGAAGCGGTGGCTGACGCCTATAATCCCAGCACTTTAGGAGGCTGAGGCATGTGGATCACCTGAGGTGAGGAGCTCAAGACCAGCATGGCCAACATGGTGAAACCCAGTCTGTACTGAAAGAAAAATACACAACAAAATTAGCCAGATAAGTTGGCATACACCTGTTAATTCCAGCTACTCAGAAGGCTGAGGCAGAAGAATCGATTGAACCTGGGAGCCAGATGTTGCAATGAGCCAAGATGGTGCCACTGCACTCCAGCCTGGACGACCGAGTGAGAGTCTGTCAAAAAGAAAAAAAAAAAAAGTTATCTAAAAGCAACTAGGGCTCACCTGTTCGAGTTTGTGCTGGTTGGGGATCTTATCTCCTGGTATGTGGTCAGGGGTGGAGAAGCCCTGGTGCTGGTGGGCCAACTGGTTTCTTTATGCAGCTATGCCTACAAATAAAGAAACTAAAGAAACACAGTAATAAATAGATCTTTCCCAGTTATTTCATCAGGGTGGCCCTGGTAACATTTTTATTAATTTTTCTTTATCTTTTTTGGGGGGGGGGGGCGGTGGGGAGATGGAGTCTTGCTCTGTCACCCAGGCTGGAATGCAGTGGCACGACTTCAGTTCACTGCAACCTCCACCTCCCAGATTCAGGTGATTCTCCCGCCTCAGCCTCCCAAGTAGCTGGGATTACAGGCACGTAGCACCATGCCCGGGTGATTTTTTGCATTTTTAGTAGAGACAAGGTTTCGCCATGTTGGCCAGGCTGGTATCACACTCCTGACCTCAAGTGATCCTCCCACCTTGGCCTCCCAAAGTGCTGGGATTACAGGCGTGAGCCAACACGCCTGGCCTAATGTATGTAGAGCTCACATTTTTCTTAAATGTATGTAGAGCTCACATTTATTTCAGTATTTAATACTGGAAGTGTTTTAGGCCTTTCTAAGTTTGGTGATGTTCTTGTGACCAGAAATATGCCATAGAAACTTAACTATTTCTATCAATTAGACTATGGTAAGGTTGGCTTAATTGTAGGTCACAGTTTTCAAGAATGTATTAAATCCTCACACTAAGTGAGAACTTAACTGTATTCAGCAGGCAATGGAGAGTCAGGAAAGTTTAAGCAAAAATGTGTAATTATTCTACCAGAAAATATTTGATAAGACATAATTTTATGAAACATCAGGTTTATAACAAAGTTATTAAATTATGTACATATTAGGGTTGTGAAGATAAAGGCCACATAGGCCCATTTCAAGTCAACACATAAACATAGAAGGATGATTAACAAAATAAGCGTGTAGCTTATGCTAAATGTTGATTGGAATAGACAATAAATTATGGAGAACTTCACAGGATACTAAGCTTGGATGGGATCTTAGAAGTTTTACAGGTCAATGCCACTCCATCTACTGGCTGATTTGCACTAGTTTAATAAATGAACAACAAAGATAACATGTATCAGTAAAAGTTAAAATCATTTTATTGAATATCTGTCATGTCTGTGCCATTGTAGTGTACTAGGTGCCTTATACCACTTATGAGTCCTCTACTTACAAAACGCTTTTCACAAAATATGAGTCTCCAAAGTCAATGGCATGAATAGTTGTGGTCCAGACATATGATGTTTGTTTTTAAAATCTTTACACAGCCTTGTATCCTTTTTCCTTTTCTTCCTTTTACCCTTTTTAAAATGTGCTGAGTTTTATCTAAGGCTAACCTCTGTAATGTTGCTATATGCCAGTATTCAGTTACTGTGTTTGATGAATCATAAAATGGTGTGAAGCTTTAATTAGTGTTCTTTTTAAATAAAATGCTATTTATGAATGCATCCATCAAAATGCTTTTGATTTGGGTATTCACAAAATATTAGTTTTCTGTGGATCTAACAATAATGCAAAAATCCAAAATGAATATAAAATATTAGCTAATATATATTTCAAAGTATTCTACAAGTATAAAAACTATTGTATGACATTACTTTCATATATGTAAAAAATAATTTTTAGTCAACATAAACATACTCCTTATATCTAAACTTGTATTAATTCATTTAAGAGTTAATATAGTATTGTAAAGTCATCAAATATTTAAAAACAAAATGTATTTTGACTTAGAATATACATAAAATTAACTATTTTCAGCTGAGTCCAGTGGCTCATGCCTGTAATTCCAGCACTTTGGGAGGCCGAGGCAGGTCGACTGCATGAGGTCAGGAGTTTGAGACCAGTCTGGCCAACATGGTGAAACCCCATCTCTACTAAAAATACAAAAGTTAGCCAGGCTTGGTGGAGCGTGCCTGTTATCCCAACTACTCCGGAGGCTAAGGCAGGAGAATCACTTGAACCCCAGAGGCAGAGGTTGCAGTGAGCCGAGATCGTGCCACTGCACTCCAGCGTGGGTGACAGTGAGATTCCATATAAAAGTAGTAATAATAATAATAATAACAATTTTCTGTGAGTCCCAAGATAAAATAGCATTACAGAACACTGAATAATCCTGAGTTTGGTTTTCTTGGTTGCATTCTGCTTTATATTTAGTTTTGTTCACCTTGACCAGTGGGCTTGTGGTTCTTAGGTGCAACAGGGTTTTCATTTTTAGGTTCAAGATTTTAAAGCTTTAATGTGGTAATTTCTCTAATTTTTTTGACAGTTATTTCTCAGGTTACAAGTTAAAATAAAATTTCCATTTCACTGAAGTCTTTGGTTTATTAATGATTTCATGACTTAATATACAATGAGTAATAAGGGGTGCTACAAATTTTCAGAAATCAACACTAAATAACTTACTCATGGAAGCAAACACTACCTGTTTCCCAAACACCTATTAAAATACAAAAATTTATCAATAGTTTTTAAAAATAACTAAAAATGAGAATGAAAAAACATATATCCAGGTTAAAAAAAACTGTATTTCAATTAAATGACAAGTAATTTTTGGGGGGTCTCAGCGCTACTACAAAATTATTTGCTGTTTATTATAACTAATAAGACAGCTACAAAATAATTTTTTAAAATGAAGAAATAGTAAGTACAAAAAAGATATTAACAAATATTGGTATATTGGTGAAGGCTGGACTCAGTGGCTGTTTTCCAAAGTGGTTATACCAGTCGGGTGTGGTGGCACACACCTGTAATCCCAGCACTTCTGGAGGCAGAAGCGGGCAATCACTTGAGCTCAGAAGTTTGACCTAGGCTACATGGCAAAACCCTATCTCTACCAAAAAATGTAAAAATCAGCCACACATGATGACAAGTACCTGTAAGTCCCAGCTACTTGGGAGGCTGAGGTGAGAGGATCACTTGTGCCTGGGAAGTCATGGCTACACTGGCCATGTTCATGCCACTGTACTCCACCCCGGGCAACAGAGCAAGATTTTGTCTCAAAAAAAAAAAAAAAAAAAACAGTTGGTGACAATGTGGAAGAACTGGAACCCACACACATTACTGGTGGGAACATAAAATGGTGTCATCAGTTTGGGTGTTTCTTTTCTGGTCAATTGATTTTTTTAAAAATCAAGATATTGTCTCCCTATGTTGCCCAGGCTGGTCCTGAAGTCCTGGGCTAAAGCAGTCCTCCAAACTCAGCCTCCCAAATAGCTGAGATTAAAGGCATGAGCCACCATGCCTGACTGGTGTAACCACTTTGAAAAACAACGTGGCAGTTTCTCCAAGGCTAAATGTATAGTTATCACATAATGCAACAATTTCATTTCTGGGTGTAAATCCAAGAGAAGCAGAAATATATGTTCACACAAAAACTTGCATGTGAGTGTTCATAGCACCATTACTCATGACGGTTTATATGCAGAAACAGCACAAATGTCCATCAACTGATGAATGGCTAAACATAAACTATTATTCAGCAACAAAAGGTAAGAAATACTGATGCACACTATAACATGAAAGAAATTTGAAAACATTGTGCTAAGAGAAAAAAAAGCAAACTACAAAAGATCACATACTGTACAATTCTATTTCTATTAAAGGTCCAGATTAGGCAAAACTACAATAAAAGAAAATAAATCAGTGGTTGCCTATGAAGACACAGGAACGTGGGGGAAGTAGGAGGTAGCAGCTAAGAGGTGAGGGTTTCTCACTCTTAAGTGGGTAACTCATAAATGGGTAATCGCTTCTAAAAGTGACTGTGGTGATGGATGCACAGCTTCATGAATATTCTAAAAACTACTGAATTTCTCTCTTTCTTTCCTTTCTCTCTCTCTCCGTCTCTCTTTACTTCTTTCCTCTCTCACTCTCTCTCTTTCTCGACATGGTCTCCTTCTGTCACCCACACTAGTGCAGTACCGCCATCTGGTCTCACTGCAACCTATATGCCTTCTGGGCTTAAGTGATCTTCCAGCATCATGTCCTCAAGTAGCTAAGACTACAGGCATGAGCCACCATATCCAGCTAATTTTTGTATTTTTTCTAGAGATGCTGTTTTGCCATGTTGCCCAGGCTAGTCTCGAACTCCTGAACTCAAGCAATCCACCTACCTCAGCCTCCCAAAGTCTTAGCGTTATAGGAATTAGCCAATACACCCAGCCTGAATTGCACACTTTGATAAATGAATTGTGTGAGATGTTAATCATATTTCAATTAAATTATTATTATAAAAAGGGCCAGATGCAGTGGCTCACACCTGTAATCCCGGCACTTTGGGCGGCCAAGGTGGGCCAACTGCCTGAGGTCAGGAGTTCAAGACCAGTCTGGCCAACATGGTGAAACCACATCTCTACTAAAAATAGAGCAAAAATTAGCCAGGTATGGTGGCATGCGCCTGTAATCCCAGCTACTCGGGAGGCTGAGGCAGGGGAATTGCTTGAAACAGGGAGGTGGAGGTTGCAGTGAGCCGAGATGGCACCACTGTACTCCAGCCTGGACAACTGAGCTAGACTCCATCTCAAAAAAAAAAAAAAAAGAAAATGGGGGTTGAGCACAGGTGGCTCAGGCCTGTGCATAATTCCAGCACTTTGGGAAGCTGAGACAGAGAGATCACTTGAGGCCAGGAGTTTGACACCATCCTGGGCAACATAGCAAGATCCCATCTCAACAATAAAAAATAAAGAAGTTAGCTAGGCACGGGGGCAAACGTCTGTAGTCCCAGCTACTTGGGAGGCTGAGGTTGGAGGATTGTTTCAGCCCAGGGGTTTCAGGCTGCATTGAGACATAATCAAGCCACTGCACTGCAGCCTGGTGACAGAGCAAGAGCTTGTCTCTAGGAAGAAAAACAAAAGTAATGCAAGTTTTCGTCACCTTCTGAGAGTAATCGACTTTCAGGAGGACTAGAAAAACAAAAAAAAGGACCACTGAATGGTTGAGGGTGTGTTCCTGGTTAGGCTCAGTTGCTGGCTGAGTAGTATCTGAAAAATTAATTAGTAAAATTACAGCTCTAGGGATCAGTCATGCAGTCACCATAGCCAGGACTACAAGTGAGCATCACAACTCCCAGCTACTTTTTTTTTTTTTTTTTTTTTTGTGGAGACAGAAGCCTTGCTATGTGCCCAAGCTGGCCTCAAAACTCCCACCCTCAAGAGATCTTCCCACCTCGACAACCAGAGTAACTGATTCTACAGACACATGCCACCGTGTCTGGATAATTATATTTTATTATTATTTATTTGTGTAGAGAGGAGATCTTGCTATGTTGCCAAGGGTGGTCTCAAACTCCTGGACTTAAAACAATCCCCCCATCTCTGCCTCCCAAAGTGCTGGCACTACAGGCATAAGCCACTGCACCAGCCTGACTTAAGGTTTCCTTAATCTAGCAACCCATACTTCATATAATTGGGAAAGGCAGTACTGTTTTTTTTTTTTTAATTACTTAGTATTTCAACAAGAATCAACCATCTCTCAGGGCCAGGCACGGTGGCTCACGCCTGTAATCCCAGCACTTTGGGAGGCCAAGGTGGGTGGATCAAAAGGTCAGGAGTTCGAGAACAGCCTGGTCAATATGGTGAAACCCCGTCTCTACAAAAAAATGCAAAAATTAGCCAGGCGTGGTAGCAGGTGCCTGTAGTCCCAGCTACTCAGGAGGCCGAGGCGGAAGACTCTCTTGAACCTGGGAGGTGTAGGTTGCAGTGAGCTGAGATCTCCCCACTGCACTCCAGCCTGGGCAACAGAGCGAGACTCCGTCTCAAAAAAGAAAAGAAAAAAGAAAAAAAAAGAATCAGCCATCTCTCACCATTGCCATGACCCTGGTCAAAAACACTTATCTCCCATCTGGATGTTGCCACAGCTTGGCCTCCCTGCTTCTACCCAAATCTTCCCACAATCTTTCTCAACTCAGCAGCCAAGGGATGCTTTTAAATCAGGAGACAGATCATGTTGCCTCTCTGCTCAGAACCCTCCCACAGTTCCGATCTCAGTCAGAGTAAAAGCCAAAGCCCCAGCAAGAGCCTCCCAGAGATTACACAATCTTTACTGATCAGACACACCATGGAGTTCCCTCCTAGCATCTTTATCCTGTTGTTTCTGCCTACAATGCTCTCACCTCAGCACCTTGGCCAGTTGCTTCCCCCACTTCAAGTCTTTGATAAATTTTCACTTAGGGCAACCCTGGCCACTCTATTTAATATTGCCATCTGTCCCCATTCCTGCCATGCTCTTTTTTTTCCACAAAATCTCGCTGTGCCACTCAGGCTGGGGTGCCATGGCACAATCACGACTGAGACCTCGAACTCACTGGTGAAGCAATCGTCCTGCCTCAGCCTCTCTAGTAGCTAAAGACTACAGGTGCATGCCACCACACCTGCTAATTTTTTAAAAAATATATGGAGCATCACTATGCTCCCCAGGCTTGTCTTGAACTCCTGGGCCAAAGCGATCCTCCTGCCTCGGCCTCCTAAATACCTGGAATTATAGGTGTGGGCCACCAGCCCTGGGTTCATGTTCATTTCTTCTTGCTGCTGTTACAAACTGCCCTACATTGAGTGCCTTAATACACGACAAATCTACTACCTAACAGTTCTGGGAGCCAGAGTCCAAAATAGGTCAATTAAGGCTAAAGTCAACGTGTCAGCAGGACTGCATTCCTTCTGGAGGCTCCAGAGAGGATGGGTTCCCTTGCCTTTCTCAGCTTCTAAAAGCCACCCCCATTTCTTGGCTCATGGCCCCTAACTGCATCTTCAAAGCCAGAAGCGAAGCATATTCAAATCTCCCTCTCTGACCTCTGCTTCCATCATCACATCTCCTCCAATTCTGAGTCTCTTGCCTCCCTCTTTCTCTTATAAAAACCCTTGTGACTGCTGGACACAGTGGTCGTGGCTCACACCTGTAATCCCAACAGTTTAGGAGGTCAAAGCGGGGAAACACCTGAGGCCAGGAGCTCGACACCAACCTGGAAAACATAGTGAGATCCCCAACTAAACAACAAAAACCAAAAGAAATAAGAAAAGAAAAAATTGGCTGGGCATGGTGGTATGCATCTGTAGTTTCAGCTACTTGAGAGGCTGAGGTGAAAGGGTTGCTTTAGCCCAGGAGTTCAAGACCAGCCTCGGCAACGTAACAAGATCCCATCTCTAAAAAAAAATACAAAAATTAGCTGAGCATGGATGGTGTGCACCTGTAGTCCCACATACTTAGAAGGCTGACGCAGGAGAATTGTTTGAGCCCAGGTGGTTGAGGCTGCATCACTGCACTCCAGTATGGGTGAAAGAAAGAGACTCTGTGTCCAAAAGAAAAAGAAAAGAAATACACATCTGGTTTCTGCCCCTGGTCCTGGCACAAAGCTTCTAAAGTTCTCATAAAGTTCTCAGTGATAAAGTTGATAGGAGCATCTTTTGTTTCAATATTTGGTCTTAGTCCCAGGTTTCTAACACAAGACCCTCTAAGACCTTTGGGATCTCCACCATAGTAAGAATGCATTTGATGATGCTACTGAGATGACTGGGTGACTGAAAGCTCCCAGACAGCTTCAGGAGGAGGGCTGGTTGCCAGAACAAACCATGTGATTAGAGGCTTGAAACTTGCAGCCTCACCCACTGAGCTCCAGGAAGAAATAGTGGCTGAAGATTGACTTAATCACCAATGGTCAATGATTTTATCAATCATGCCTGTGTAATGAAGCCTTCAGAAACACCCTAAACAACAGGGTTTGGAGAGTGTCTGGGTTCCTGAACACAAGGGGGATACTGGGAGGGTAACATGCCCAATAGACGGCATGGAAGCTCTGTGCCCCTCTCCACATACCTTGCCCTGTGCATCTTTTTTCTTTCTTTTTTTTTTTTTTTTGAGACAGGGTCTGGCTCTGTCTCCCAGGCTACAGTGGCACAATCGTGGATCACTGCAACCTATGCCTCCCTAGCTCAAGCCATCCTTTCACCTCAACCTCCTGAGTAACTAGAATTGTAGGCACATGTCACTGCACCAGGCTAATTTTTATAAAATTTTTTTTGTAAAGATGAGGTTTCACCATGTTGCCCAGCCTGGTCTTAAACTCTTGAGCTTAAGCGATGCTCCCGCCACAGTCTCCCAAAGTGCTGAGATTACAGGCATGAGCCCAGCATGTACACCTCTTTCACTGGCTGTTTCTGAGATATATCCTTTACAATGAACCAGTAATAGAAAGTAAATTGGTGAGACCCAGTGGCTCACGCCCATAATCCCAGCACTTTGGAGGTTGAGATGGGAGGATAATGTGAGCCCAGAAATTTGAGACCAGCCTGGGCAACATAACAAGACCCCATCTCTACAAAAAATAAAAGAATATAGCCAGATATGGTGGTGTAGGCCTGTAGTCTCATTGGGAGGCTGAGGCAGGAGGATCACTTGAGCCCAGGAGTTCGAGGCTACAGTAGCTTTGATCACATTGCTGAATTCCAGCCTGGCAACAGAGTGAGACTATGTATCTCAGAAAAAAAAAAAAGAAAATAACCTGTTTTTCTGAGTTCTGCAAACTGTTTTAGCAAATGATTCAACCAAAGAAGGAGGTCATGAGACCCCAGTTTCTAACTGGTTGGTCAAAAGTACATGTAACAACCTAGGGTTTGCAACTGGCATGTGAAGTGAGGATAGTCTTGTGGGACTGAGCCCCTATCCTGAGGGGTCTGCACTAACTCCAGTTAGTGTGAGAATGGAACTGTGAGATACCCAGTTGGTATCCAGATTGTCCGAAAACTGGTGTAGAATCTCTGCATTTGGTTGGATGTATTTGACCACAGCTACTATTCAGGAAAAAGAACTACTCATTATAAAGAAAAAACCATAAAATTATATGTTCTACAAAAAACAAATCAACCTTAACTACAGCCCAGTCCTACTCAAATATAGACTGTTAGAACAAAAGGTCTCACCATGGACTCGAGAGCTGACATGAGGAATGTCACAAACATCCCGCTCTCTGAGAACTCCTCATCTTCAACGAGCGGGGGGACACTGCAACTTTGGCCATGATCCCTGCGCAAGAAAAGTAGTAAGAAAGTGAGTGGTAGAAATCCAGTGTCTTAAACCCATATCCAGAGCTGTGAGAGTTTTTTTTACCAGCTGGCTAATTTACACTTGTCTTGCATCAGAGGAAAATTAAGGCTCAGAAACTAGATATTCGATTTGTCCAAAACTCTCATCAGATACAGAATCCATCCGCTAACTTTCTATCTGGCATTATTTCCATAAAATTAGAACAGTATCACTCCCAAAATAAATCCATATGGCACCCAGCATCAATGCATTTCTCCCAAGTAAAATAGGAGGCAAGGCGCTTTACAACCCAGCGACGGGCTACCACAACACAGGAAAGAGGTGCCAACCTCCCTTTCTCCCCTGCACAACCCAACACAAAAAAGAGTGGGTGCAGTGGAATGAGGCTGGGTGAAGAGAAGTTCCTCTTCTTAGTGAGAAAATAGATCACAGGGCATCAAGTAACATGTAAAAGTCTCTATAATAAGGCATTTTTTTGAAAACGTTTTCTAATATTTTGGTATCAAGAAAACCCTCAGATGAATTTCAAACACCATAAAAATACAATACATAAACAGAAAATATTAACTGTCAACAATGATATCGATAAATTGTAACCTTTATGGATGGCTTTTTGGAATGTAAAATGGTACAGCCCACTGTGGAAAATGGTTTGGCAGTTCCTTAAAATATTAAGCACAGAATTATATGATCCAACAACACCCTTTAAGCGCTATATCCAAAAGAACTAAGATCAGGGACTCAAACAGGTATTTGTACACCCGTTTAACAGTAGCATTATTCACAGTGGCCAAAAGGTAGAACCAGCCCTATGCCCATCGGTAGGTGAATGGGTAAAGAAAATGTAATACACACATACACAGAATACTATACAGCGATAAAAAAAAATCTCGCCAGGTTCAGCAGCTTACACCTGTAATTCCAGCACTTTGGGAGGTCAAGGCGGGCAGGTCGCTTAAGCACAGAATTTTGAGACCAGGCTGGGCAACATGGCAAGACCTCGCTTCTACAAATAAAAATTTTTTAAAAAAAGGAAATTCTGACAGTGTTATCAATGAGCCTTGATAGCATTATGCTAAGTGAAATAAACCAGACAGAAAAGGACAAATATTGTACAAGTCCACTTATATAAGGTATCTAGAATAAACAAATTCATAGAAAATAGAATAGTAATTGCCAGGGGCCAGGAGGACGGTTCAATGGGGAGCTATTGTTTATGGAGTACAGAGCTGCAGTTTACAATGATGACAAAGCTCTGGAGATGGAGAGTGGTGATAGCTAACAATGCGGATGTGCTTAACACCAGGGACCTCTGTGCACTTAAAAATGGTTAAAAGTGTTATTTTATATTATGTATATTTTTACCAAAATAAAAAAATAAAAAATAAAACAAGACACCACATAAGGACATACTAAGATGGCAAAATCTAAAGCAACTTTTTAAAACCCAGAGAGTTTTTCTGTAAATAGCATATGAATTAAATGCCTATTAAAAATTAGCCCCTTTAATTTAGTTGAATTAATTCTACTTTTAGAGAGAGCTTAAATAATTAAATAAACTTAATTGGAAGCATAACTGAAAAATTAAACACTAGATGCAGGAAGAGGAACTGTAAAAACATATCTATGTACATAAACCAATTTACTGACAACACTCGAGTATCCCTTAACTAAAGCCCCAGTATTCCAGAGAAGATGGACAAGCACTTGAAGAGCTGTCAGCAGGAAACTGTTGTACCTAAAAATGTCAGTAAATCTTCATTAAAGAGAATGTTCTATTTTCCTATTATTAAAGGTTGTCACCTAGCTTTACCATCTGTTACCATGTGCATTGACTACTAGGCCAGATTTAGACATCAAGTAATGAAGCATACATACTTAGGAAGTTACAACTTATAATAACAACCACGATCAGAAAAACAGTACTTTGCATCATGAAGACCTTCAGTTACCACTTAGTCTTCATCCTCATGGGCTTTATTGATCAATATTGTAAAGAGGTATATTACCTCTTATAACTTAAAACAACTTGTCGCCTAGGAAAGCATACCAAAAGAATCATCTTTTATTTCCAAGTGAGGTGTTTTAAGAATAATATAATCTATAAAATAGAATAAACATACAACAGACCAGGCATGGTGGCTCACCCCTGTAATCCCAGCACTTTCGGAGGCCAAGGTGAGTGAAATCACAAGGTCAGGAGATCAAGACCATCCTGACCAACATGGCAAAACCCTGTCTCTACTAAAAATACAAAAATTAGCTAGGTGTGGTGGCTCTTGCCTGTAATCCCAGCTACTCGGGAGGCTGAGGCAGAAGAATTGCTTGAACCAGGGAGTCAGAGGTTGCAGTGAGCTGAAATCACACCACTGCACTACAGCCTGGCGACAGAGCAAGACTCCATCTCAAGGAAAAGAAAATATATATACAACAAATACAGTAACACACAAAATCTCTTTTTCTCCTAACCTTCTGCTGGTCCTTCAATTTCTGCTGGTACTGTTCCGTCACTGCCTTCTACAGAATGATGGCTTCCTAAAAAGAAAATAAACATGTAATAAACCAATAAAAACTCACACTGAAAAAAGAGAATCTAGATAACAATGCAATCACTTTTAAGATATAATAAACATAAAAAAAGATTCTTTTAACTCAATGGAAACAATACTTTCTAATTCAGAAAAAAAATAACACTTCTATTAGGCAGCTAAAAATTATTATTTTAAAATACAAATACAGAGTAGACCAAAGTAGGTTTGTGGATTTAATATTAGTTACTGTAACTGTATGGCAAAATTACTGGATATTGGAACCTGAAGAAGCACAATTATGTTTCAAGTACCATGTTCATCTGTCACTGACACACACACAGACACACCATTGTGAATGCTTGCTTTGCTCAGACACTTAATTAACTCTCTATAAATAAGTTTAGGGTTTGCTGTGGAATGCTCCCTGCTTTCCATTTTCACTATGGTAAAAGCTACAGAAACTCGATTCCCATAATTTAATCAAAGTTGTACTTAAAGTAACTCGTAAGTAAAAATTAAAGATACTACCTTTAGTATCAAAAAACATTTTAATCCAGGTAATATAATCTGCTTGCTTCTAAAAACTGGGACATAAAGCAACAGATCTGTTAGGCAGTCACATGGTAAACAGGCTTATCCTACTGGAGCAGAAGTTTATTCACAAATAGGAAAGAAAGAATCTAAGATATCGGAGCTCCAGTAAGGATTAAGACCACAAGCTGCCCCCAATATACATCTTCTGTCCTTGAAGATCTGAGCTACTAACATGGAAAAGACTGAAAAACACTGCCTTCAAGTATAAATAAAAAAGTATTGCATTTTGGTAAGAATACATCGCTTAGGGGGAAGGGAAGCAGATGCTCATCTATTTTGTCCTGTCTATTGATAAATTCAGAAGCTGTACTAAAAGTTAAATAAAAGTTATAAATAAACTTTCTCTTAATTTTTAAAGAGTAATGATTACCGTCTGAAAAATTCATTTGTTGGCTACTATTCTTGAATTAAAAGTGCCATACTGAGGTGAAATCTTTTTGGTTTCCAGTATCTAGCTTTATTATGTAATAATTATCTTGGGATTCTTTTCAACTTACTGCATATTGTGAAAACTCACCTGAACTCAAAACTCTAGGTAAATCTATAAACCTCTATGAATCCATCTTTAATTCACTTGTAAAACATACTTTCTCTGCAAACATTTCCTTTCTTTTCTTAACCTTAATATTTGGATTCAGGGAGCATTAAGTTCTTTGACTGCAAAGTCAAAGAAAAAAGAGATGTGAGGTCAAAGGAATGATAGATAATAAAGAAGAGGCCAGTAATTAAAACGTAAAATTTCAGTAAAGAGTAACAGTTAAGATGGTTGTTCATGTTATTACCCAAACACCAAGGGTTTGGTCCAGGTCCTGCTGCTCACCAGACAGAAACTAGTCACTGAGGCGACAAGTATTACCAAGGAAGAAAGCTTTAACCTGGTGCTGCAGCCCAGGAGATGGGGTCTCAGTCTCAAATTTATCTCCTTGACTCACTTAAACTAGGGTCAGGAAAGAAATACAATAATGTATAAGAGAACAGAAATTAGGGGCTGGCAGGAGGCATCTAGTGCGGTGATCTGGTATGTTTCAGTTATTTGATACTTCCTGAAGGTCTTTTTTTGAGGAGACAACTCAGATAAAACAGATACAAGTTTCAAGGTTTAACAGCAGGGTCAACTCTTATGTTGATCCAAACAAAACCCCATCCATGGGACAATTGGGCTGGTGTCAATGTAAGCAATAATTCTATAGGTCCTTTTTGTTCAAAATCTGAACAATTAAATTTATATTATATGCTAAACCAAAGGAAAATACATCTTATGTACTCGAGGCCAGAAGAGATAGGAGTAAAACCTACTACTAAATAGCCTATGAGTGTCAAGTTTGGGAACACTACAAAAAATTACAAAAAAGTAATAAATGCATAAAAGTTACAGATTAACAAGTGCTATTTCAGAATTCTTCTAAATACTAAGTACATGACCTTATTAATATTTGCATTACTAACCACACAATAAGAACCTGACTTATGACTATTCTGAGATAAGGTATAAATGTGTACCTTTACCTTAAATGGGAAAGTGTGTCATATACCCACATCGAGATTCACAAAAGGGAAAACTGATTTGAAAAATTGTTGCTTGTGAAGTTCATTTATACGTTAAGAAAAGGCCAATACAATTTTTCCTTTTCAATATAGAAAAGTAATTCTTAATACTATAGTTATAAATACTAAAACACAGTCTGTGGAATACAAGAAACCATTAAATACAAACAGTATGTAGGAAAGTGGAGGTAAAAAGATTACACCTTGCAAAGACTTCAGGACAAGTTTTGCATGTCATCAGTTTCAGAAGGGCCTGCTTTGAGATACAAAGATAATACTTCAACAGTAACCCCCCAGGCCAGAGGCAGTGACTTATGCCTCAGCACTTTGGGAGGCCAAGACAGGCAGATCAGTT
This sequence comes from Homo sapiens, assembly GCF_000001405.40. NCBI lineage: Eukaryota > Metazoa > Chordata > Mammalia > Primates > Hominidae > Homo > Homo sapiens. The sequence continues at coordinate 42,688,507 of NC_000010.11, forward strand.
GAGGTCTGGAGTTCGAGACAGACCTGGCCAACGGGGTGATACCCCATCTCTACCAAAAAATACAAAAATTAGCTAAATGTAGCGACATGCACCTATCTAGTCTCAGCTACTCGGGAGGCTGAAGCAAAAGAATCCCTTGAACCTGAAAGGCAGAGGTTGCAGTAACCCAAGATTGCACCACTGCACCCCAGCCTGGGAGACAGAGAGAGAATCTGTTAAAAAAAAAAAAAAAGTCATGTTCACGTAGAGTTAGGCTCCACAGTTCACTCTCTTAACCATCCTGTATTCTACCCACTCTATGCTATGCCCGGTCACTGATGCACCTGTATGGTAGCTCATGGCCCCCTTAGAGCTTAGAACCTAGGTTTCATTTCCTGCTCTACAGCTATATAATTTAACAATTTTCCTCTCGAGTTTGTTGGATTCTAACCCTATACATAACAAATCTTATTAATATTACTGCATCTTAAAGGGGGCTGTGATGTCTTCAGTCCCTAGAAACATTAAACAACCTATAAACAAAGGACCATATGAGGGTAAACAGAATCCAAATTTCTATACGCTTTAAAACGCTGAGGCAATGTACTGAGAAACACACCTAAGAAACTGCAACCAATCTACTGTCGACAAAAATTTAGACGCTGTCGACAAAAATTTAGACACTGTCTCTTCAAAATAAGCTATCTGGTGGTACTTATCCATATTCCCACATGTATCAACAGTATTTTACATGTCATAAACTTAAAAATAATTTTAAAAGTGTCAAAATTATAGGCCTTAATCCATTTCTGTGGGCTTGAAAAATGATAAAATATACATTTGTTTCTTTATTCAATAAAATGCATAAACTTCTAGTGCAATCACTAAAAAAAGAGTTCATACCAAAGGTTGTAATACTAGGAAAGAGGGCTCAATACTGCAGGTTCTTAAAGACAAAAGTTAATAAAGCCTTGTTTTTGGTTGTGAATCTTGGCCTTAAAACATTATTTGCATGATCCCCGCTTCCTTTTCCTGTTGTAAAGATGTGGTGACAAACCAGGTTTGGTCACGCAGATAATAATCTTGAAAATAGTGGGAGGGAAATAACATGAAGGGAATATAGTTTACCTAATGACCTCCTAAATTGGAACTTATTACCCCCATGCCTCTTGCATATCTCCAGACTAATATGTAAGACAGATGAAACAGCTGTTTGCTACCAATATTTTATTTGATGCTTCTTTTTTTTATTCCTTGAATAACTGCTTACAATGCGTTAACAGGAACAGGAAAGCATATCTATTCAAGTACTAAATAATTATGCAAATCTCTAAGACATAGTAATGGACCAATTATTTTTAAAGTACAACACACTGACAAGTACTTTATTTTTAACTCAGTCTTGGTTTGTTGTTAATGCCATTGCTTGGGAAAAAGCAAACAAAAGCAGGAGGTGGTGAAGGAGAAACAAGAAATAGAGGCAGCAGCATAAGCAAATAAAGAAGAACAAGAAGATGATGATGAGAATAAAAGACTGGAAGAAAGGAAAAACAACACGTGAGGGAATCGGAAGGCCTATTATGATACCTTTTTTCCCCTCCTTGATTCATGAAATTTGAAAAAGTTCAAGACTTTTTCACAACAACAACAACAACAACAACAATAAAGAGCAAAAAGATACACAGTCACCCCTAAATTTTGTTAAGATTGCGATAATGCTCCACTCACACCTGGCTCAGGTGCCAGCAGAAGGATGGGACCCTCCAGATTCTGCAGGAGAAGGGGGAGGACTCCTCCTTGCCCTGGCGGCACCTCCACTGCTGCCACCGAGGCCGACGGTACAGCACCCACAGCTTCCTACCCACGCCAGGCCAGGTGGCTCCGCAGTGCTCCTACTCCCACTTCCCAGGACCCCCAGACTTGCTGCTGCTGCCACCACTAAGGCCAATGCCAATACAACCACTGCTGCTGTCACCCTCGATGCACCGGCACTCCCTACAAGGCCCCTACTAGCTGGCCACAGCCACAGCCCTGCCACAGGTGGCCACAGCTGGCTGCCCTCCTACCTACTGCTCCAAAGTGCCACCCACCGCAGTGACGCCAGCCGCCACGTCCCAGGCTCCAGGCTCCAGCCTCCACCCTCCAGCGTGTGGCAGGTTGCTCCTCCTTCTGGCACAGAGCAGCTGGGCCAGTAAAGTCAGAAAAGCCTAGAACATGATGCAGGGAGTGGTAACGTTAGAGCCTCACCTTGTCATGGTGGCCACTGGGTGGCAGTGACAGGTTTCAGTGAACTGGAGACTCCAAGGTGGCTGGCTCCCCACCCACAGGAACCGTTGGGCCCACTGGGGCTGCGGCTCCTTGGAGAGCAGGAACAGCAGAACTCAGACCCAGCCACTACTACCCCGCCCAACCCCCGGCCCCTCCTGCGCCCCCACCCCGAGTGCCGGTTTCCATTCCTAACGTCTCCACCCACAGGGCCCTGTCCCCCCATGACGCCTGTGCCCCATGTCTACCCCATGACTGTGCTCAGGAATCCCAGGTTGTCTCAACACAGAGTAAGAGGACGCAGACCCAGGAACCATGACAGGCCCTGCCATGCCCATGATTCCCATGGAAACACTGTGTGCCCGCTGAGCAGTAGGAGGTCTCCTTCTAGAGTCTGGAGCCTGGCTCCTTCCTTGGAGGCCACCGCTGTGGCGGCCACCTCTGCCACTACCAGCAGTGCAGCCCCGATTGCGCCCCTAACCCGCCGCTGACAGTGTAGCCCCCGATAGTGTCCCAAACACCACCCCCCACTCCCAGGGAGTGTAACCCCTGATAGCGCCCCCAACCCGTCCCCACCTCGAACACTGCAGCACCCAATAGAGACCCCAACCCGCCCCCACACTGGGAGAAATAACGCCCGTAACAGTGCCCCAAGCCCCACTCCATCCCCGGGCAGTGCAGCCCTGGATAGCACCCCAACCCGCTCCTGGCTGCAGGCAGTGATGCCCGGAATAGCGCCCCCAAGCCGCTCCCCACCGTGGGCAGTGCAGTTGAGAATACTCACCTACCTGGGCTGCCTTTCTACCACTCCAGCAGCCGTGCAGTCCCTGTCACAGCCACCAGCTTCAGTGAGGCAAGCCAGGGTGCCACAGGCTCCGGCCTCCAGCTTGTGTCAGGAGAAACCACCTTCCCCTCCCCCTGTAGCACCGCACGGAGCTGCTGCAGCTGCTCGTCCGCCATCTTACCACTCCAGCTGCGCTTCAGTCGCTGTCGTCGCAGCCAATGTTCTAATTGGATGAGAGAAAACCTCTAGGCTTATTCTGATTGGACTTTATTATCATGTTCTGATTGGTTAGCCTAAGGCTTACTCTCATCCAATCAGAACATGTAACCCAGGAACCTCGGTATATAAAGCATGCTAAGGGGGAGTCAGGCCATTCCAGACTCTTCTGCTTCTGTCTGCTAAGCTGGTGTGTGCCAGGCTTAGAAGGGGGGAAGGGGCTGGGCATGGTGACTCACCTGTAATTCTGAGGCGGGTGGATCACGAGGTCGAGTTTGAGACTAGCCTGGGCAAGATGGTGAAACCCCCGTCTCTGCTAAACATGCAAAAATTAGCCAGGCGTGGTGCTCCTGTAGTTCCAGCTACTTGAGAGGCTGAGGCAGGACAATCGCTTAAACCCAGGAGGCAGAGGTTGCAGTAAGCCAAGATCGTGCCACTGCACTCTAGCCTAGGTGACAAAGCAAGAATCCATCTAAAAAAAAAAAAAAAAAAAAAAGGAAGGGGGAAAGGAAGAGCCACCTGCTGCATGCTGGAGGCTGTAGCCTGCAGCTCCACAGCTGGGCTTGCTGCAGTGAGTGGCAGTGATGCAGCATGGCAGGAGCGGTAGGATCTGGATGATTTCCAGCTTCATCCATGTCCCTGCAAAGGACATGAACTCATTCTTTATTATGGCTGAATAGTAGTCCATGGTGCATATGTGCTACATTTTCTTTATCCACCAAGCAATAAGATTTATCATCTAGGGGGCCAGTTGCAGTGGCTCAGGCCTGTTAATCCCAGCACTTTGGGAAGCCAAGGCGGGCAGATCACGAGGTCAGGAGTTTGAGACCAGCCTGACCAACGTGCTGAAACCCCGTCTCTACTAAAAATACAAAAAAAAATTAGCCAGGAGTGCTGGCGCACGCCTGTAATCCCAGCTACTCAGGAGGCTGAGGCAGGAGAATCACTTGAACCCAGTAGGTGGAGGTTGCAGTGAGCAGAGATCGAGCCACTGCACTCCAGCCCGGGCAACAGAGGGAGACTCCGTCTCAAAAAAAAAAAAAAAGATTTATCATCTGGGGTATCAGGTGAGAGGACTAGCTAGGTTGGGTATATGGAATTAGAACTCATGAGTGAAGAAATTCAAAATTAAAGTTAAGAATATTACTGGTCTATATAGCATTTACAGAAGAGCCAAATAGACAATATTCCAGACTATAGAGGTTAGAGAAAATCAAGTTATCTATCTTAAGAGCACACTTTTTTTTTTTTTTTTTTGAGACAGAGTCTCGCTCTGTCATCAAGGCTGGAGTGCAGTGGCATGATCTAGGCTCACTGCAAGCTCTGCCTCCCAGGTTCATGCCATTCTCCTGCCTCAGCCTCCCTAGTAGCTGGGACTACAGGCGCCCATCACCTCGCTCAGCTAATGTTTTGTATTTTTAGTAGAGATGGGGTTTCACCGTGTTAGCCAGGATGGTCTCGATCTCCTGACCTCATGATCCACCCGTCTTGGCCTTCCAAAGTGCTGGGATTCTAGGCATGAGCCACAGCACCAAGCCCAGCCTGCTTTTCTTTAAATTTTCGGATAACACAGAACTCAGCAACACTTTGACAGTATGGATGATTACATACTATTTACAATATTATTGTCTTCCTCTATCTACTTGTTTATTTACTGAGAAAAAGGTGTCAGCATAATCACGGAAGCAACCTAATGAATAAACTACACCTTGATTATAAGAAAATTAAAATTGATTCATCCTTCTTGAATACAGAGTTTTAAAAATTCTTAAGAGAATTATGGCTTATTGAGTATGCCGCAATCCTTTTCTGTTACAAAAACAAAGACAAATGACTGCTTTGGGGTTATTTCCCCAAATAGCTTCCATGTGTTTCTCCATCTGGTACACTGCAAAACTTCTTTTAACTCCTAAGGCCTCAGGAGAATTTCACAGCCCCTTTATAAATCCTGGAAGTTCAGGAAAGTGCCAACACGTGCTGAGCATGCTAATTCCCAGTGTCCTTGGAAAGGAGTCTTGATAGTAGTGGACTCTCCCTTAGGGAAGTCTCACATGGCAGGAAACCAAGCGACTGTAACACAGGGTCTAGTTGTACGGTGATCTGCCTCACTCACTGTTCCTTGGGTTCGTTTTCCTCAGCTGGGCACACACAGAATTATGGCTTTGTTTGAACAGAGTTCTTTTGGACCATATGTACCTATGTTAGAGCCATTTGACTCCCTTCATTATTGGTGGTCTCCAAGCATAAGAAGAATATTGTAGGCCAGGCATGGTGGCTCATGCCTGCAAACTCAGCACTTTGGGAGGCCAAAGAGGAAGGATCACTTGAGGCCACGAGTTCGAGGCCAGCCTGGACAACATAGGGAGACCCCATCTCTACAAAAAATTTAAAAAATTAATTGTACATGGTGGTGCATGCCTGCAGTCCAAGCTACTTGGGAGACTGAGGCAGGAGGATCACCTGAGCCTGGGAGGTTGAGGCTGCAGTGAGCTATGATCACACCACTGCACTCCAGTCTGGGCAAGAGAGTGAGCTCCTGTCTCAAAACAACAACAATAGCCTCAACAACAAAAAGATAAAAAGAATATTGTAGATAAATGGGAGAATGTGTTCTTAGAACTCACCCACTCGAAACTCAAGGACATCAAATTGATAGTCTTGGTGACTTTCTAGGTAAAAATCTTCAAAATGAATATAAATAGATGAATTTCCCTGATTTGGATTGCTGAGAGTCCATTCACAGTTTAGGTTTCTCGAGTAATTCCTGACTCCGTCATAGCCAGGAGAAGTAAAGTTTCCTTCAGGAGTATTTGGAAGAGACCCACCACATACTAAGAAAACAGAAGGCAGCAGAAAGTAGTAGTAAGATTCAGGCCACAACAGAAGAGATAAACAATAGAGGAACAGTAACTAAAACATCAACATTACTGCTTTGATTTGTTTTTCTAGATGCAATCAGGATTATGGGTAAAAGGCATGCAAATTATGGAAGTTTCTGCACGTTTATAGAGGAAACATGTGCAAAAGTCGACAACTTCTCTATTTTCCTGTTGGTGTAGATTAGGTGGCTGGGGTTTGGCTCTGTATCAATATGTCCAAATATTGAAGCCTACTGCTCATTAATATTTAATTTAAAGGAATACCCAAATATAATGGTGGCAGGTCCTAATGGCTTGATAGCAATTCTCCACTTGATCTAATAATTTAATTTAAATCAAACAGATAATAAGACATTGACCTACCAATGAATTTGCCCCCTTTTAATAAAGGAACAGATGCTTCTTGTACCAATGAAATAACTTAGTGTTTTTTTTTAATATTCACTCCCACTTCTAAATTTTAAAACCCTTAGATAATAGCACCAATCCAGGAAATAGGAGGATATTTACAATTAGAGGCCATATCTTGCTTAATTTTGGAATATTCTATATCAAATCAAACCTCCCATTTATTTTCGCTGGAAATATGTGTGTGAATAGATGACCAGAAACAGTAAAGCCTGTTCTGTCCCAAGCAAAATTAATTACTCTCCGAGACTAAGTTACCTTCTAGGAGGTAGATGGTTTCTTTCAGCACCAAATAATTGACCAAGGACTACGGAACAGGTCACCAATCCTTTGGGTAACATGACTGAAACTGTGCAAGAAGCTCATCTAATGGCATTAAAAGTTTACCACAGCAGTTTCTTCCTGAAATCAGAAAGCTTTTTTCTGTCTGCAGTAAGTTTTTGATCTGCTTATATGTGTTTGTCTTATGTCAAATATTCCAAGTGAACTTTGATCACTAAAGGGAAAATGGATGGCTCTGCTGACATTGGCAGTAGCTGGGGGGCATCTGCAGTGCACCTGATTAAAATGAAGTACATTTACAATATCCTACATTATCTGCATCTTCACCGGAGGTATAAGAAGCAGTGAAGCCTCCATATGGCCTAGATCCATCCGTGAAAAAAATGACTTTCATTGTGTTTCCTGAAGATTTAATCTCACTGCTTACATTCACACTACTACACAGTTTCTCTAGCTGGGGTAAGTTACTTCTAATGCTATTGAATACCTATTGGAAAAAGAGTTTAACCTTTAGACACACAATCCATCTTACTGCATATTTCCTAGGAGGTGATATTCCTAGCCCAGACCCACTTCCTTCTATGGGAACCCTGCCCTAAAATGAATGACCTAACAATGCAGGTTTCTAACCCAGTGCCACAAGCCACTATGTTACCCTGAACACATTTTGTGACCTCAGGGTGATTTCACTAGAATGAAAGTATTGCAGTAATGCCTTCCTGCCATGTGGTGACAGATTAAAAGCTGCTATACACTTTGGAACTGGAAACTGAGCTCCCAATATAAAGGAGATAAGCCATCATGCTTACAATATGTTGTGCAGAGCTCACTGGTGGGCAGTTTTTCTTAACAATGCATCAGGACTTTTGCTATTTGTAAAGGAAGCTTAAAGGTTAGTTTCTGATGATTTGATATATATAATAAAGCAGATATTTTTATTTTAATATTTATTTATTTATTTATTTATTGAGATGCGGTTTTGCTCTTGTTGCCCTGGCTGGAGTACAATGGCATGATCTCAGCTCAGCTCACTGCAACTTCTGCCTCCCAGGTTCAAGCGATTCTCCTGCCTCACCCTCCCAAGTAGCTGGGATTACAGGCATGCACCACTGTGCCCAGCTAATTTTGTATTTTTAGTAGAGACGGGGTTTCACCATGTTGGTCAGGCTGGTCTCGAACTCCTGACCTCAGGTGATCCACCTGCCTCGGCCTCCCAAAGTGCTGGGATTACAGGTGTAAGCCACCATGCCCAGCAAGCAGATATTTTTAAATACCTTGAAAAGTAATTTGAAAAATCAATCTCCATATGCAATTAAACATAATAGTTCTTTCCTCATTAGTTATGGATTCAAAGCTTCAATTTTCTCATTTGAATTTTTAAGAATGGATTATTATTGACTCCAAAATATTAAATAATAACTGTAGTCATTCACATAGTTACAATAATTGGCAAATTGTTCCAATGCTGTACAAAATAAAAAAAATTTAGATGAAATAACTAAACAATAATTCATTGATTGAGTGATTGATATTCCAGTGTTTAAAAGGATTTGAATGACTCAAGATTAGAAATAATGACTCAGACTATGGCACTAAAAGTTACGCAGTAGGAGAATGCACTCCACAACAAAACATGTCAGTTTTTAAAATTTACTATAATTAATTAAATTTAGCTCTCTGGGGACTTCTGGTCTAAAGTGTCTTCCAGCTCACGCGACCAGAAGAAGAGTTTGCTATCATTTACCGAGCAGACAAAAATGCCAGTCTTGCTCATCATCTACTTAGTCTGTCTTATCCAATCAGCACAACACCCTCCCAAGCAGATAACAGTATCCCTGTTTTCCAGATTAAGATACCAGAATTCAGAATGATGATGTAATTTGCTGAAGTTCAAATAATTACTAATAATAGAACTGGGATTCAGACAATCCCTCTGATTCCAAACCATGAAGCAGTGTATAAAGAAATAGATGAGGACAAATATTTCTATAATGCTGAAAACAGGAATGGGCATCACATTGCCAAAATCAAAAGGGATTAGAACCAACTGTAAGGTTAATGGGACATGTTGGAAACCATGATCAATGGCTGTTATCCTGCCTCTGAGTCTGCCTTTGGCGTAGAATCACAATGACTGAACATGTTATAGTCATCCATTTATCACATGGACTTCTGCTGTTAGAAGCAACCAGAATGCAATTCTCATCATTGTGCTCTAATCCCTTTTGTACTCAGAAACTACAACTCTCAGAATACAAATGGATGGGAAGTAGGCACGTGAGATTTAGGACAGGCTATAACATTTGCTATGAACAGGGACAAAATCAGATACAGGTCATATTGTAGGACACACCGGGTGGCATAGCTTTTCATTTTCTCTGTCTGTACAGAGAGTCAGATAGGCAAGTGGGTTTGGAGAAATTTTAGGCTCAGACCAGCTGGATAAGGCATTAGCCACGAAGCAGTGCAATGAAAGTTAAAGCTGCCTCTGCACCAGCAGATCTTCTTTCTTCTTTACTCTTTTTTTTTCTTCTCCTTCTTCTTTTCTCTTTCTCCCTCTCCTTCTCAATCTCCTCCTTCTTCTCTTTCTCCTTCTTCTTCTTATCCTTTTCCTCTTTTCTCCTTCTTCTTTTTTCTCCTTCCCTTCTCCCTCTGTCTCTTTCTCCCTCTCCTTCTCCCTCTTCTTCTTCTCCCCCTTCTTCTTCTCCCCCTTCTTCTTCTCCCCCTTCTTCTTCTCCCTCTTCTCCTCCTCCTTCTCATCCTCCTTCTCCTTCTTCTGCCTCTTTCGTCTTCTTCCTCTTTTTGGCAAGTTGTCAATCAAGTAGAGTGGCAGCAAAGGCAGACCCACATGCCCTTGTTTGGAGCAGAGTAAAGAGGAACCAAAATAAACATTGAACATATAAAAATATATTTCAGAAAAAGGAATGTGGACATTATACTAAAGATTCAGAAAAAAAATTAATTCCGAAAGTGATTCCTTGCTGGAGTTTTAACCTCCCCAAGAGAAAAGTCCTGTGGATATGACATTTGTAGATTTGTAGGTTTCCTTATTTAAAGAGTCAGGGCACCCTCATGCATACAGAGATGCCAGTCATCCTTTTGGCAATTCATTCTTAAATATGAATGAACAGCCAAGGATCAGCAGACATTTAGGGAACTGACTAATGTAAAAGGCAGAGACCAATATGAGTAAACGGGAGATAGGAACATGAAGAAAACTGACCCCAAATAAGCAACACAAAACTTCAAAATTACTATTAATATATTCTTGTATATATTAATATAGTAAACATGTAAAATATTTAAATATATATTTTTCAAAGAACGATGGTAAAATAAAGATAATTTCAGGTATATCATTTCTTTAAAAATGTATTGCCCTTGCCCATTTCCTTGGGGAGCTACAAGAGGGTATGCCTCACCAAAAGAGGAAATTAACCAAGAAAGGGACGTGCATAGCATCACAAAGCCAGCTTTCTAGCCCAAGAGCAGAATGAAAGAACTTGCAAATCTGCTGGCAAAGGGAAATTCTGAAATGACAGCTAGCATCAGGCTTGCAGCTGTGGACAAAGGCTCAAGGAAGGATATTACTGAGGAAAAGAAATGGAACTGATATGTTTTACTACAGAAGGTGAAGATGAACACCCAGGGTGGAAAGGGTGTGGAAGAATTAGTGATCAGTGCTTAAAACCCAAGAAAATGTAAAGAGGACACAATTATTATTATTCCTTGGGAAAACAAAAACAAATGTTGCCACAGTACACTACTTGGCTCAGTTGTGAATGGTGTTTATGTAATCATGGTAATGTCAACTAAATGACAATTTAAGCAAAAGCTGTGACATATGTATTTTGGGAGACATTTGGGAAAGTATATAAACTGTGCATACCCCATGTGCATTTGTGGTGGCAGAGGGCTAATTCTCATCTTCCAGAGTAGGATGTGGATAGATAATGTCCAAAAAAAGCAAGGAGTAGTAGAATAGGAATATTATATAGAAATAATGACATAAAACCCACCGGCAGTAGCTGCAAGAGTTATAAGTTGATAATTAAGGGATAGGGAGATGACAACTAAGATCTGCTTTGGAATTTGTGGTTGTGGCTATAACTTTTATCTTTATTTGAGTTCTAAAACTATGACTGTTCATATTCTGTTTCCTAAAGGACATGTGAATACTCTGCTTATAAAATTCCTAATAATCATTATATTCAGTATGATTTAAACTATGAAAATAATTTCAAAGGTAAAAAACAACTGCTCGCATATACATCAAAATTTTAGTAATAGATGAGTAGAATTAAAAATATCTTTATATTTTTTATTTTCTGAACTCTCCAAATATTGCTCAATAAGCATCCATTATATTTATTACCAGAAAAATAGACTAAAATTAGAATTCAAGTGGATTTATATCATATAATTACAGTACATAAAATATGCTTTGCCAAGAAGAGATGAGAAAATGCATCAAAATATGATATAGTGGGACTGGTTAGTATTTTTTCTACTTCATCTCTGTTTATATATATTCAATCAATAATAGGAAACAAAGTTTCTTTATAATAAACAACCTTAGTCCAAAATTTCCTGTCTCTCAAATAAAAGAAAACACACTTGGTTTCTTATTTTCAAGATCTGAAAGACAACTGTTCAGTCCTTCAGATATTAGAACTTGGAAATAAAATCTGAAGGTTGAAGGAGATCATTTTAGGGCGATACAAAGTGGTCATAAGATACAAATATATTTCATATTTTTGAAATTGACTACCCAACAGAAGACAATTAAACTGAAAACAGAAGTGGCTTCTTATTAAAGGGATAATGATAGTACCTCTACCATCCATTCATTCAACAACTATTTATCTCTATTATATACAGGCATTGGGGATTCAGTGAGTCTCCAGCAGTGAATGAAACTATGGCTTGACCTCAGGGAGCTTACATTCTAGTGGGGGAAGCGGACAATAAACTGATGAACAAATCAAAATGATGTGTGGCAGCAGGTGTAAAGTGCTGTAAAACAACATGGCAGAGAAGTGGCAGGCCAGGGTGGGGTCTCTAATATAAGGTACTTACACCGTATGGATTAAAAGGCATTCAAGCAGAGACCTGAATGAAGTGAGGGTGTGGAGCAGGCTGCCATCTGAGAAGGGGCATTCCAGATGAAGGCAACAGCTGGACAGGGAGCATCTCAGCACATTCAAGGAACGGAACGGAGGCCAGGTGGCTGGACCCCAGCGAGCAGAGAATAGGGGAGTTTGAGATAAGGCAGATAGGTAGAAGAGGGAGGGGCAGCAGATAATGTTGGCCAGGTGGGCCACAGGTGCAATTTGGGATTTTCCTCTGAGTGAGATGAGAAGCCATTAGAGGATTTTCAAAGGGAGCAACATGATCTGATTGAGGCTTAAAACCATCACATGCTGCTGTGTTGAGAATGTAAGGAGTTGAGAATGGAGGCAGTGGGACCAGGTGGAACTTACTAAAATAATCTAAGTGAACGGTGGGGGTGGTAGTAGTAGATATAATAAGTAGTTTGATTGTGGATTTTTTTTATTTTATTACTATTATACTTTAAGTTTTAGGGTACATGTGCACTATGTGCAGGTTTGTTACATATGTATACATGTGCCATGTTGGTGTACTGCACCCATTAACTCGTCATTTAGCATTAGGTATATCTCCTAATGCTATCCCTCCCTCCTCCCTCCACCCCACAACAGTCCCCGAAGTGTGATGTTCCCCTTCCTGTGTCCAAGAGTTCTCATTGTTCAATTCCCACCTATGAGTGAGAACATGCGGTGTTTGGTTTTTTGTCCTTGCAATAGTTTGCTGAGAATGATGGTTTCCAGTTTCATCCATGTCCCTACAAAGGACATGAACTCTTCTTTTTGTGGATATTTTTAAAGAGACACCCAACAGGACTTGCTTATAGATGCCATATAGGGTGTGAGAGGAAGTATTCCAAAACAGACATCAAGATTTTTGACCTTAGCCACCAGAAGTTTGGAATTATTTACTGAGATAGCATATACTGCAGAAGGGGCAAGTTGGGTGGAGAAATGTACTAATATTAATCCAATCTACCTATCTACACACACATATGTATGTGTAGCACTTCACAGTTAACAATCTATTTGTTATTCACACTCAGGGATCTCATTTGCTTTCTTTCACTGCAGGAAGCTGAGAGTGCTGAGGGCACATCTGAAACCACTGGAGGTTGGCGACGTGGAGGTCAGGTAGTAGTGCTCTCCCACCAGGAGTCCCTCTGCACCCCTGGAGAGAGCAGTCATTATGCAGGACAACCCATCTGCTCAGAACTTTCAGTGGCGACTTGTGGTGTGACTCTGTTCCCATTCATCTATGTGCTGCTGTAGGCTTAGCTTCCCACAGCCTCCCCAGCTTTGCCATTTGTCATTATCATTTACTCTTAATATTTATTCTATCTATGACCCTGATGCACAGAGTGATAGCTGATAGTCTCTTAAAACAACGTTTACAATTATTTTGACAGTTTACCGTGTTTTGTTCTCTCAACAATACTTAGAATTTGTCTGAGTTATAGTTGCATAGACGGCAATTTTCCTGACCTAGTTTTCTGACTATGATTTATGGGTCAGTAAACTCCTTAAATGATGGAATATAACATCTCAGGCCACAGGGAACACTTACTATCACATGCTCACTGTTGCAGGACGGATGCGTGGCCAGCCTCAGGTTGCTAAATGTTAGGGTGATCTGCCTTCCTTCTGGGGCGGTGATTCTCCACTTGTAGATCCGGCCATGAGGATTTAGGTTCGGGTAGTTGGGAGAAGTAGATGTTCCAGCAGAGCCCTGAAGATCCCCACCACACTCTGATGTGGGGGAAGAAAGCCAAGAAAACTTCCAATCAAATCAAAATGTCTCCTTCCATCAGGAAAGCTCTCAAAATTCAGGTATTTAAAAATTATCCTTCTAGACAAAATTATTCACCGTATTTATGTGCGTGAGGATTTCAGTGAACATATACATTGATTTCCTATCTCTATTAATATTTAACCCTGGCTTCCATGGATGATAGTCCACAGACAGCAATTTAATTATCATCATGGCCCAAGAAATATGAGAGATCAATGAATATAATGAACTTAAGAATCACGAAAATCAGGTCGGGTGTGGTGGTTCACGCCTGTAATCCCAGCACTTTGGGAGCCCAAGGCGGGCAGATCACAAGGTCAGGAGTTCAAGACCAGCCTGACCAACATGGTAAAACCCTGACTCTACTAAAAATACAAAAATTAGCCGGGCGTGGTGTTGGGCACCTGTAATACCAGCTACTCAGGAAGCTGAGGCAGGAGAATTGCTTGAACCCAGGAGGCAGAGGTTGCAGTGAGCCAACATCGCTCCATTGCACTCCAGCCTGGGTGACAGAGTGAGATTCCATCTCAAAAAAAGAAAGAATCAGGGAAATCAGCCAGGAGTGGTGGCTCACGCCTGTAACCCCAACACTTTGGGAGGCCAAGGCAAGACCCCATCTTTACAAAAAAAAAAAAATCAGGAAAATCAGAAGGTTAATGTAGGTATCCAGTTTTTCCAAACAAGATCTTTATTTCATCTGAGTTTGTTGGATTTGCAGTGAGGCAAATTCTGAGTAACTACAGGACTTTCTTAAGGCAGGCATTGCAGTATAACTCTCATCCTCTTATTGTATCTCTCGTGATACTAGTTATTTTCCCTTATAGCACTGATCACAGCTGTAACTTTTTGTTTATCAGTGTGACTTTTTGATTAAGGTCCAAGAAGATAGGGGTCATGTTTTGTTTTGTTTTTCAAACTATTGTAACACCAGTGCCTAGCATAGTGTCTGTCCAATGCAGGTGCTCAATGTTGTTTTGAATGAATCAATGAAATCACCGTCTATGCTGGATTCAAATCGCAGTCTGAATCCTGAGGCAGTCAGAGAGCCATCTATGACAAACCTGACCATGGCAGTATTGCTAGAAGTCTCTATGCTGTCAGGAATGGTGTTTGCACAGTATCTTCCCAAGATGTTTCCTGTGAGAGACAAATAATTAAATATATATGTCCAGGTGATTGATTTCTTTTAACCTCTATTCAAGGTGTCCTGCGTGTACAAAGAAAATAATAAAAAACAAGACCTTGCCCATGAAGAAATATTAATCTCTCTCAAGAAAACAGGAAAACATGAATGAAAATTAACATATTCAAATATATGAAGAAGTGAAAAAAATGCAACCAGTTAGGGGAAGGATATCTCAGGATAATGAGGAAGGCCAGTTTTTTGGTTGAAAAAGTGGTTTGAGACAACAGAGTGACAAATATCTGCCTTATGCTACTGCCAGGAGACATGCATGACCCTCTTTCTGCCTCAAGCTATAGAACACCCCTCAAATAACGGCATCTGGCAATGGGATGTCTCAGCAGCAACAGGTTGCCTTCCCACTACCGTTGCTCTCCCCAGGTGGCCTCCAGGGTAGGCTATATGACACCTGGGCTCTGGACATCCATTGTTAATGGTAGAATTGAGGTAGAGAATCACTGGTACTGCCCAAAGCCCATTAATCTGCACTTCTTTGCAGAGTATAGACATGCTTTGCCTTTCTTGGAAGTGAAGAAACTTCAGAGGCTGAATAAGTACATGCGAAAATAAACACCCCAAAGAGAGCAGATATATTTCACTAACCAGAAGTATGATAGTCCCAGGTCTCCACAAAGTCTTTTTCACAGCCAGAGGAATTCTGAAGGTTAAAATCTTCAAAAGAGATGGTGAGATAGTGTCTGGAGAGCCCCTGGAGATGCCAATCACAGAATAAGTTGTCTCTATATGGAAGCATTAGATGGCCAATGCTTTCAACAACACCACTTTGCCCTGTTACTCTTCCCCCACACTGAGCTGAAAAAAAAAAGAAAGAAAGAAAGAAAAGAAAGAAAGGATTCTATTACAAACTGTGTTTTTTTCATTTCACCAGCACATGTGAAAACTTTTAGGTGCCAAGTGACTATGAATTGAAGTTTTTAAAATTCTGAAAATGCTTAGTGCTTTCCTCATTATTTGAATTCTAGGGTTGATGTAAACAGAAGTGATACCACAAGTCCAATCCAATAATGGGAAACAAGATGACGACCAAATGGCACATTCTGTAATGTCACATTAATTCTTTTGGGACACTATGTAAGAGCTATCAGTTGCAAGCAAGTTTCATCTCAAGAACAAACTGGTAGACTCATCTGACCTGCCTAGAACCTTGTGTTGATTCTAAAGACTGAACCCAAGCTCACCTGGAAGGGGGGACACCTGCTATATCTAGTTTTACTATCAACTAAACTTTCACTACTGTAACTGATATCTCAGGGCCTTGAAAATTACTATTCAATTATGTCTTATTAGCTGGATGTGGTAGCTAATTGAATTATATGCAGCTTGACCCGGGATATAATATGATCTATGGTGTAGTTAAATACTGTTACAACTAGCCTTTCTGAACTTTTGCTATATTAAATATTTGTTTGGTTTGTGTCTAGACCTATCAGATACTAAATTGTGTGCTATTGTGACCATACTATAGTGAATCTTCAACAAGCAAAGTTACTGCTCAATTTTTAAGTAAGGAAATCAAAATCCTGAAGAGACATATTTGCTTTTTATCCAGTGACTGATTTGGCACTAGAGACTCAGAGAAAAAAAAAAAGCTTAATCATTTTATATATGATGAGGAATTCAAAGACATTGTTCTAAATATAGTTATCTGGTTCTTAAATAGTTGTATTACTTAAAGTAATAAACATACTGTAGTTCTTCCTTTTCCTTGGCGGATACATTCCAAGTCCCCCCAGTGAGTGCCTAAAACCTTGGATAGTACCAAACCCTATATAGACATATAGACAATTTTTTTCTACATATATGTACCTATGATAAAGCTTGCTTTATCAATTAAACGTAGTAAGAGATTAACTAATAATAAAATAGAACAATCATAACAATATACTGTAAGAAAAGTTATGTAAATGTGGTCTCTCAAAATATCTTGGTGTACTGTACTCACCTATTTTTTGGGCCTCTGTTTACCAAGTGCATTGAAACCATGGAACATGAAACCATGGATAAGAGAGAACTACTGAATTTCATAGTAAGCAGAAGAAACAGGAGTTTGATTTAACTACACATATTTCTTCACAAATAAGTTAGAAAAAATATAAAATATTCAAGTTTACTAAGATTACATTTTAAAATAAAAATTAAAAGAGAAATTAAAGTTGATGACTGTGGTTTTAAACATTTACACTCCTTACTTATTTATAGCATTAAAATATTTTTAAAATTATGCAGATAGAATGACTTCTTTTTAAAAAGTCATGGTTTTAAAAAAAGTTTTAACATATTCATCCTGTAATAACTCTTTTATTTAATATAAAAATGTTTTCCAGGGTTTTTATAGTTTTGTGTTTTACAGTTAAGTCTTCAATCTATCTTGAATTGATTTTTGTATATGGTATAAGGAAGGGGTCCAGTTTCAATCTTCCGCATATTGCTAGCCAGTTCTCCCAGCATCATTTATTGGATAGGGAGTCTTTTCCCCATTGCTTGCTTTTGTCAGCTTTGTTGAAGATCAGATGCCTGTAAGTGTGAGGCCCTATTTCTAAGCTCTCTATTCCATTTTATTGGTCTATGTGTCTATTTTTGTACCAGTACCATGCTGTTTTGGTTACTGTACCCCTGTAGTATAGTTTCAAGTCAGGTATTGTGATGCCTCCAGCTTTGTTCTTTTAGTTTAGGATTGCCTTGGTTATTTGGGTTCTTTCTGGGGTCCATATGAGTTTTAAAATAGTTTTTTCTAGTACTGTGAAGAATGTCATGGTAGTTTGATAGGAATAGCATTGAATATGTAAATTTGGGGAAGCAGTATGACCACTTTAATAATACTGATTCTTCCTATCTATGAGCATGGAATTTTTTTTCATTTGATAGGGTGGAGGGTGGGAGAAGGGAGAGGGGCAGAAAAAATAGCTATTAGATACTAGGCTTAGTACCTGAGTGATGAAATAATCTTTATAATGACCCCCATGGCACGAGTTTACCTATATAACAAACCTGCACATGTAACCCTGAACCTAAAATAAAAGTTAAAAAATATATATTACCTATAGAATACTTGGCCTTGAATCCCACATGAGTGGGGCTGTTGTCAGAATGAAATCTCAAATACATAACCTCTCCTGACGACCACTGACTGCTGGGCAAAGATGTCCCACAAAATTTGGAAAGTATTGGTGCATCTGAATCCACTCCATCCCACAACTAGGGGTAGTTAGAAGGACAGCTAAAGTGGAAACAAAATTATGTTAAATTTACATGGTCAATTGCCTTGACTTATTTTGATAATGACAACTTCACTTACTTTCTTTGAAGATATTATTAAATCATCATTTCTTAGCATAAAAGACTATGATAGAATCAGCGTAAGCCATGTGTCACATTAAAATGCTGTATGATATTTTTCCTAATAATACATTCTTTCATTAGCAGCTCAGAAAGACAGGTTTTACATGTTCTACATTGAAGAATATTTACTTCCCTTCCATATTCTGTATTGGTTTTACAAATATAAATGTTGTTTTCAAATTAATCCCTATGAATTTCAAAAAAAAACAAGTATTTTGTTCCACACAATGATTTGGTACATTTCACATGATAAAGATAAATTCTCTAACAGCTCTGTAATTGGGACTAACAGAGAGTCCCAACTGGAATTTTCTGTGTCCATAAGAGTAGACAAGCATGTATCTAGCGTTTCTTGAGGAACTTACATCAGCTAATTAATGCTCCATGAGTGGAAGAGTAGTATTAAATCCAGTGTCAGAAATAGCAACAAAAGCTCTTATATCTTAGTTTTGCACCACAGCTGCATTCATGCAAATGTATACACACTTTTGTTAAAGGAAAGAGGAAAACGGTTTTTTACAATCTATATATTTTTACTTTCTCTTCAACATAGTAAGACTTACTCTCTGTTTTGTAATACTTTCAGAACTCTTATTAAATAAAGACTGAGAAATTATACTGTACGTGCTTTAGTACTGTTCTGACACTAGTGACCCCTGGTGACACACCACACAAATTCCCATTTGTTAAACAGACATTTTATCATTTGTGACACTGAATAAGAGGCTGGGCAAATAAATATTCATCTCTCAGAAACATGACATATTTCCTGCGGGAGGAAGAATGGATAAACATCAATCTCAAGTAGCCATCCTCAACGTCCCTTGCAGGAAGTGTCTAGGGTCACAAGGGACAGTATCCATGTACATAACCTACTCAGCTGATGGGAGAGTTGCTGGCAGACTGTGTTTTCATGCCTGAGTTATTAAGCATTTCCCTTTTTCCCTAGATTTGCTTGCAGTATGTGCTACTGAAAGAAATGAATTGTTCTGAGACATGACAGTTAAAAAATACTAACTTCGGGTAGGAAAAAAGTGAAAATGGAAGTGACATACTTGGGTGTTATTTCAATATCAAATTGATCTTCAAATTGCAGCCGTATGCATGTTTCCGGTGGAGCCGCTAAGATCCAAATGCAATCAGCGTGCAGGGGATAATTATCAGGGTGGGTGGGGGAGGTCACATACCCAGCAGAATCAGCTTTATGGATGTAGATGTTGCCCCCACAGGCTGTCAGCAAACACAGTTAAATCAATCTACGCTCTGGTGAAGGAGATGCATTCAATGGACAAAAATCATCTTTTAAAGTCAACTTCTCTGTAATTTGTCTCAATTTCCTTTCATCTGTTATGATCCTCATTTTCTTTTCCAGCAAACGAATTCTCAATTTGCTATCGAGGCAGCTACCAGGTGTGACACTTTTTAATTTGCCAGATCATCTATCTATTCTCATTGGAAATTTCATTCTTTCTTAAAGCCAACCAAATGATTATGGCACATTGTGCATGGGGCAGAACATCACAGAAGCACGAATAAATATCCAGCACTTCGATAAGCATGTAAGTATGCTAGCAGTTACAGCTTCCCACTGAGCGTTCAGTACAGCAGAATGATGCAGAGCTATGATCTTGGTATACTTAAAAGACTAAGCAGATGTATCTTTGCACAACTCTGGGGGCATTCATTCATCACATTTCTTCAGGATTTAGATGCATTTGAGAAACAAGGTCAATGGCATGAGACAATTTATAAGCCATGTTTTGCTAGATGATAACGGAGCTTTTTAATACTTCTTTTCTAAAAAAAAAAAAAAGTATTATGGAAAAATACTTTTCTATTGTCAATAAATATTCTTTGGCATTTTCAACAAACAAACCAGACAGGAATAAATGTACTTACAATGCCAATGCCAATGAAATTAACCTGTCCAATCACTTAGCCACACAGATACTTGATCTGCTCAACTCTAGCAACATTTATGTCCACTGTCACTCATCCACTTACAGTCACATCCTGAATTCTGTCAATACCTCCAACTCCCCCATTTCTGAAACTGTAAATTGCAAATCTCTTTGATGACGTCCAACTCCCTTGCTTCATGTCTTTCCTTCAATGTCGAAAGACGTTCACAAAGGGACCTATGTTAAAGGCTGAGAAATAGGAGTAGCATGGAAGTAGATATGGTGGGAAGATAGCCAGATAGATATGGGAAGTAGAAGCCTGGCTATAGTTATGGAACATGGTTGAGTTGGTAAGTAGAGAGAAATAAGAGTGATGCTATTGTTTCAGGTTGCCAAAAATAGGTTGTGAAATCAAAAGACTTTTGTTTAAGTCTGATGTTAATGGCAGTAATAACAAGCTTCATGAAAGACAGGGAGAAAGCAATGGCCATAGCCATACTTGCATGAACAGTGAGTCCACAAAGAAATAGAAGAGGTGCAGTGTCAAATATACCCTTAGTGTATCTCTTAGTGTATCTGAATTACCATTAAATGTTGACTTTAAAAACTTAAATCAAGACTGAGTCTATTGGCTGGGCACAGTGGCTCACTCCAGTAATCCCAGCACTTTGGGAGGCTAAAGCAGGTGGCTCACCTGAGCTCAGGAGTTCAAAACTAGCCTGGGCAACATGGTGAAATCCCATCTCTACCAAAAATACAAAAATTAGGTGGGCGTGATGATACATACCTGTAATCCCAGCTTCTAGGGAGGTTGAGTAAGGAGAATCACTTGAACCTGGGCGGTGGAGATTGCCTTAAACTGAGATCACACCACTGCACTCCAGCCTGGGTGACAGAGCAAGACCCTGTCTCAAGAAAGAAAAAAAGACTGAGTCGATCTTAAATAAAAATAGAAAAGTAGAATTCTGTCATGTGGGCTGACATCTACTCACTAGACTCAAGACACTGCTACTCTCAAAATGCTTTGGTACCAGGTGAAAACCCGCCCATTCCTGACTCAGTTGCAAAGCTCAACATGGAGAGAGGGAGGGGTGAGAAGGTCCCAGCCTAGAAAGCCATAGTGCAGGTGCCCACAGAGCTGCATTAAAGCTCCCTCCTTGTGCCAGAGCTCTGTGCACTGGGAAGTGACCAAAGCCCCTTCCCTGGTGTTTTGGACCTTACTCCAGCTATTCGATTATTTTTGTGTGTCGGTTGGTAAACACTCTTACTCATTTCTTTTACCAAAATGAAGAAATGATGTTGACTTTAAATCTCATACAATGTGCAATAAAACATATGATTTCATTGATATTTATTTATATATAAATACATTTAGGAATCTGGGATACAAGTCATAGGATCATTTTGAAATCTATATTATCTAACTTCTGGTGTGACAAAGCAAAAATTTATTATTATATTACTTTCTACTGACATTACTCCGTTTTTTGGAAGTGATGCCTATTTATTTATTTAATTTATTTATTCAATTAAACATTACTGAAAAGTAAATGTCACCAAAATCAAATCATTACAGTAGAATTAAATGCAATTATAATCAAGTGCAATTAAGTACAAGGAATTAAGGAAAGATCTTAGGTAATATATAATTAAATCAGTAATAATAGAATCAAAAGATTATATGTTCTTTTAAAAACAGCATACACATTATTACAAAATAAGGCAAATGTAATTCTTATAATGTTTCTATAACTAGATTTAACTTACAATTAGACATCTTATAATGGAAAGGTCTAAGGAGTTTCAGGGATCAAGAAGAATAGTGTATCTTATACTCATGGAAAATTTCACTTTGGTCACTAATTAGATATGTGGCCTTGGAAAAGTCCAAGCCTCGTTTTACTTATCTTTAAAACCGAAATAATGGTACTTTACTTGAAAAGTAGTCACAATGAGATATTGAATGTATCAAACATAATAAGTACTTGAGAGTAGGCATTCTTATTAATTCTATTACTGTTAGTTCAGAAAAGAAAACTTTATATGTTTTTTTCTCAAATCTACTTAATCAAAGAAGACCAAGCAATTGCAGGAAAAGTAGATATAATTCTCAGTGAAAATACTTACCTTAACTCTTTGCCTCATATTTGATCTTAAATCCTTGCCCTTCATTACTATAATCAGAAATAAACTGAACAAACATTTGATTATCCGAGGTGAACACAGTCGATGAAGCACGACTGCCACAAAAATGAACATTTCCTCCACAGGGTCCGAAGGGTGGAGAATAGATATCAGGGCCATTTCCTAGCTGGAAAGACAAATTAAAATTGCATCAACTCCTTTACATTGCAAAAGAAGGAGTACGTAATTCTTATCCATTTATGTCCCAGGAAAGAAAAATTATCATTTTGTTTTCTGAATGAAGTCTGTGGAAAACATAATTAGAAAGGGTAGCAAGCAAGACCTACCACCAAGTAATCCCCCTGGTTGCAAGAAGAATCACCATTTGGAATCTGGAAAGGCTGTTCAAAATGGACAGCAATGGTCAGGCCACTTTGGACCAGGACGTGCCAGGAACAGTTGAGGTTGGATGGGTAGGTCTCTGGATACCTGGGGAACATGATGATCCCTTGTCTGCATGCAAATATCCACCAGAGCCTCCCCACAAAGAAACAAAGGTAGGTTATTTCAATAGAATTGGCAACTGGATTTTTATGCTTTCTTAGTTTTCTTGGGGGGTTTTCACAGTGTAGGCAATAAAAATGCTTGAAAATAAAGCCAGAGTGTAGGAAATGATTAGCATAACAAGCATGTATTGAGCACATGCTATTGGCTACTCCGTTTGTGGTGGTTGTTGAGATATGGGATATAGAGGTAAGTAATGAAGACAAATTACCTACTTTCATAAAGATTTCTTTATAGATGGGGAAGACATAAAATAAACAATACATAATATGTGAGATAGTGATAAATTCTATAAAGAAAAATGGATGGGAGGAGGGAGAAGGGTACTTTATTGTCAGAGTTAAGTTGGAAAAGCCACGTCATTGGAGTAACATCTTAGCAGAGACATTAATGAAATAAAGAATCAAGCCAGATGTTTATGTGGGAGAAAGCATTCCAGTTCAGAAAACAGTTAATGTAAAGGCTTGATGTGGCAGAGGTACATCATGGAAGTCAGAATGGATGAGGCAGAATGAGAGATTCCAAAGGTAGCAGCATGTCTAGGTCATGCAGGAAACTGAAAAGACTTATTCTGAATAAGAAGAGGAAGACGAAGGGTTTTGGGCATCAGAATGGCATGATCTCACTTACATTTGAAAATATCACTCTATGTGCAGTCCTTAGACTGTAAGGAGTGGAGGGCAGGGAAGGGCAGGAGCAGAGTGTCCAATAAAAAGGGGACTGCCTGAGGCCAAGGAGAGATGATAGGTGCATGGGCTAGGCTGGTAGCAACAGAAATGGAGAGGCGTGGTTGAAATCTAGATACATTGTGAGGGTAGAGCCAGTGTGATTTGTTGATGGTTAAGTGTGAGACAAACAGAAAAGTCAAAAATAACATCAAGATTTTTGACTTAAATAATGAGAAAAATGTACTTTCCATTTGCTAACATTGTGAGGAGTGTAGAATTGGGGGCGGTGGTGGCATGGAAAAGGGTGGGAATAAAGTGTTCAGTTTTCAAAGGTTACATTTTTTGTTATTGGTTATCTATCTATCTAATTGTGGTACAAGTGGTTTTTGGTTAAATGGATGAATTGCATACTGGTGAAGTCTGAGATTTTAGTGCACTTGTTACCTGGCTAGTATACATTACACCCAATATGTAGTTTTTTATCCCTCATACCCCACCCATCCTCCCTGCTTATGAGTCTCCAAAGTCCATTATATCACAGGTTAAATTTGAAATATATTCTAGACCATGAGCTGCCAAGTATATATATATGCACACACACACATATATATACACAAACACACTTATAGATACACATATTTATATATATTATATACATATATACGCACACATATATACACACACACATATAAATCAATTACAATGGTTCTACCCTCACTATATACATTCATATGTATACATGTATGTATGTATAATGAGCTGCCATACATATTAATGTATACATGACAGTGAGAGGGCAGGAGGTGAAGGAAGAGAATGAAAGGAGCAGGCATTAATTCTCCAGTGGTCAGGGACTAGAAGCTCATCAGCAAGGAAGGGTAGACAGCTCACACAGCTAGTTAAATTGCAGAGGTGAAAATTTATCCCTTGTAAGTTGGATTCCTAGGTATTTTATTCTCTTTGAAGCAATTGTGAACGGGAGTTCACTCATGATTTGGCTCTCTGTCTGTTATTGGTGTATAAGAATGCTTGTGATTTTTGCACATTGATTTTGTATCCTGAGACTTTGCTGAAGTTGCTTATCAGGTTAAGGAGATTTTGGGCTGAGATGATGGGGTTTTCTAAATATACAATCATGTCATCTGCAAACAGGGACAATTTGATTTCCTCTTTTCCTAATTGAATACCCTTTATTTCTTTCTCCTGCCTGATTGCCCTGGCCAGAACTTCCAACACTATGTTGAATAGGAGTGGTGAGAGAGGGCATCCCTGTCTTGTGCAAGTTTTCAAAGGGAATGCTTCCAGTTTTTGCCCATTCAGTACGATATTGGCTGTGGGTTTGTCATAAATAGCAAACACCGCATGTCCTCACTCATAGGTGGGAATTGAACAATGAGAACACTTGGACACAGGAAGGGGAACATCACACACCGGGGCCTGTCGTGGGGTGGGGTGGGGGGAGGGAGGATGGATAGCATTAGGAGATATACCTAATGTAAATGATGAGTTAATGGGTGCAGCACACCAACATGGCACATGTATACATGTGTAACAAACCTGCACATTGTGCACATGTACCCTAGAACTTAAAGTATAATTAAAAAAGAAAATTTATCTTAGGTCTAATTCCAAAGCCCATGCTCTTAAGCCACTATGCAGCCTGCCTCTCTTGAGTGTGAGGAACACAATTTATCGTCAGTTGCTCCCTACTTTATAAAAGGTATATATAAGCATGGAGGAAATATTAGATTAATTTTTAATGTTAGATTGAGAATCTACTTTAAAATTATGTTTTTCAGTTAAAAACATGGGAGTCTTTCACTCTTCCATGGACTACTTTATTACCTTTCATTTAGTTTGGATTTAAGGCTGTTAATGGACTTCACATGTCAAGTTTGAAAAGTCTCAATCATACTGTGCATGATGGCATCCCATATATGGTGCCTGTTTTTGACTCATCAAGTTCATATTTCAAGAGCAACAAACCCTTCCTGCCAACCCTCAAATGGATGACTTTAACCAAGTAATTCATAAGGATAAATGATGACGTTTTGCTCCGTCGATGAGTTACGGATATGAGCTGTGCTCTAGTTCCAGCCCTCAGCTAGGCTGAAAAATTGCTTTAAAGCTCTCTCTCATGCATTTCATGGAGACACCTCCTCTGGAGTGAAGATGCCCCACCCAGAGGCCTGAAGCAGGACACTTTTGTACGACTTGGCCACAGTGCTTTGGATCAGGAATCAGCATTGACATAAGGGGAGCCAGCCATCCAGAACCTGGGCAGAGACCCATGTCCTCTGACGTGGCTTGTGTCCTCGTGCCCAGAAAGCTATATTAGGAAGAGAGAAAGAGAGAGGAAAGCAGAGGAGATGGGATAACATGGGATTAAAAAAATATTTAAACTCATTACTCTTGTGAAAGGATGCACTGAAGCCTGCCCTGGTTACACTGGAGTCCAAGGTGAAGCGGATGACCGTGTACTCTCAGTAGACCGGATGGGCCCAGGGATCTCTCTGCCACAGAGAACTGCTAGCTTCTGGGCCAAGTCATTTTCTCCTACATTGAAAGAAAGGAAACAGCATGAAAATACAGTCTTGAGAATCTGCTCTATCATCATTTGCAACTTAGCCGAAGCATCTCACACATTTTTTTCAGAACATCAGGATTCACAGGAGATAATGGGATTCTCAAAAAGAAGGACCCCTCAGGGGTGATATCATTCTGGCTCCAGCTTGCAATGGTGCTGCCTGCCCTTTTCTTTATCACCCTGCCTTTTTTTTTTATTTTATGAGATGGAGTCTCCCTCTGTTACCCAGCTTGCCCAGGCTGGTCTCGAACTCCAGAGCACCCACCTCAGACTCCCAAAGTGCTGGGATTCCAGACATGAGCCACTGTGCCTGCTCTCAGACCTCAGTATTTTTTAAGGAGCACATCTGAGTTCTTCCACACTGGCCACTGACATATTACACACAGTTAAAATCTGGGTTTTAACATTCAATGCATTGAATAGCACTGAATCTGTAAATTTGGGGGAGAAGTATGGCCATTTTAGTAATATTGATTCTTCATATCTATGAGCATGGAATGTTCTTTTCATTTGATAGGGTAGAGGGTGGCAGAAGGGAGAGGAGCAGAAATCACTGGCCACTGGGCATGTGTTGCTCTTTTTGGCTTTAGTGAGTGAGCTCCTGAGATTGTCCCATGGGAGGATCTGTTGACTCAGAGACCCAGAACCAGGGCAACCCAAGGCCAGCAGGTGAAGTCGAAGAAGTGTCCGCCCGATAGCATCTTATCTATCCTCAGCTTGTAGACTGTGGCTACCCCCCTGCCCCCATTCTCTTTGTCGTCAGCCCCTCCAACCAAAATGTACCTGTTCCAGAATCC
The DNA here is from genome assembly GCF_000001405.40 of Homo sapiens. Classification (NCBI taxonomy): domain Eukaryota; kingdom Metazoa; phylum Chordata; class Mammalia; order Primates; family Hominidae; genus Homo; species Homo sapiens. The sequence continues at coordinate 42,715,404 of NC_000010.11, forward strand.
TTTTTCTTGAGGTCCTGTTCTGTGCTAAGCGGAAGCTAGCTAACATGCTAATTCCTCCACAGTATATTTTTAAATGGAACCACCCCAATCATGAGAACTTCAGAACGGTGGCAGGCTGTGGAGAAAATAAGACGGGGGAGTGTAAGTCTGTCACTTTCCAACTCATAATTAGCCCATGTGTGCGGCTGATCCTGAAAAAGGTTTCTTTTGCTATTGATGATAGAATGTCTATCAAACAGAATTGATGTAATAGCAAAATATTATACATAGATTTTCAGTTGATGCACTCTTTCCTAAATAACTTGGTGTGTGTGTACATGTGAGTATATGTGCAGGATGTTAGAGGAGATACACTAAGAAGTGCGATACTTAGGTGCATACATTCTTCTAGAGCATCTGTTCTCTTTTTTATGTTTCTATTTTTTAGAGATAGTGTCTTTATCACCCAGGCTGGAGTACAGTGGCATGATCCTAGCCCACTGTAACCTGAAACTCCTGGGCTCAAACAAGCCTCCCAAATGGATGTGCACCACCACGCCTGGCTAATTTGCCCAGGCTGGACTTGATCTCCTCGGCTCAAGAGATCCTCCTTCCTTGGCCTCCCAAAGTACTGGAATTACAGGCCACTGTGAGCCACTGTGCCTGGCCTTCTTAACTTTTCTTAAGTCACTGACTGTTTTAAATAGTAGAGTGAAAACTACAACCCTGATCCGTAGAGAAGTGCATGTGATGGTTCTAATTTCAGCAGGCCTATGGATCCCATTGTGTTCATCCATGAATTCTTTAGAGGTCCACATAGCTCAGATTTAGAAACTCCAGAGTTGGGTGAAGATAACACTAGTATGTTTGCATGTATGTGGACATAGTGATGCTATTTTTTTTCTTTTTGAGATAGGGTCTTACTCTGTCATCCAGGTTGGAATGCAGTGGCATGATTTCGGCTCACTGCAACCTCCCTCTCCCAGGTTCAAGCGATTCTTCTGCCTCAGCCTCCCTAGTAGCTGGGACTACAGGCGTGCATCACCATGCCCAGCTAGTTTTTGTTTTTAGTAGAGATGGCTTTCACCATATTGGCCAGGCTGGTCTTGAACTCCCGGCCTCAAGCTATCTATCTGCCTTGGCCTAGTGATGCTATTTCTTAAAGGAGATGCTTCTTGGAAATTTGTATAAAACTTTAGACGATTTTTAATGCATCACAGAACTCATTCTTGATGGCTTCTTAAAAAATGTTGATAAGTGCCACCTTATTTATCTGCTTAAATTTACATTTGGTTAAATAAGAATTTGTAATCCCATAGCTCCCAGGCTTGAATGGAACATGAGTGTGGGCACATGCAGATTTTTTTTAATGGAATACCTTTCCCATTTCCATTTTTCATTTTCTTCGTCAGTCAGCCTCATAGGCCAAAACCACTCAAATACAACTGATAACCAGTTAACAAACTCATTGACCTTGCATTTTGCTGTTTTCAGTCTGAACCCTCTTTTGTCTAATTTTTTGCTATTTCTTTAGCTTTTTTTCCCCTGCCTACATATTCTTTGTTCTAGTTACCTGAATTTTTCTAAAATCTGAAGTTCCTACCCCTCTCTCTGGATTTTGCTTATCCTTCAGAAAGTTGAGATGAATGCTCATCTTTCTCTGTGAAGCCCTCCTTTTCATCCAACTGAACCAGCAATTTGTGGAAAGAAATACAAGACACCCCACAGCCTGCAGGACCATCAAGAACAACACCTATGTAATAACTTCAGCAGGAGATGAAAGTGACAAGAGCAAACTTGTTGAACCCCCACTCTATATCACGTGGAGGAGACAGGTGTAGTTAAGTGACGAGAATGAGGGAACGACAGAGCTTTCTGCACGGCTTCCAAGTGGCTGCTCCACCATGTACCCTGCTGTCTCTGCAAGTGATGTGTGTGTGCACTTGAGATGCCCCATCAGGTCAATCTAGGAGCGCCATGGGCGAAGTGTTCCTGTGGCTCTGGATCCTTACTCGTTCCAACGGAAGAACAGGGACAATTCCTAAAGTTAAAAGCCATAGTTGTGTTAGTTCAAAGGGAAAGATCAAAGCTCCCATGTGGATTTGGTGGATTTTCCTAGCCTTGGGCCTCTTCCTTTCCCTCCCCTTCCTGCCTTCCTCATGCAGTGACCCTAAAGATAAGGTCCAGTAGGAAGAGAAGCAGTCCAGTTTTGGCCTCTTGCTGGATTAATTCCTTTTTTTTTTTTTTTTTTTTTTGAGACAGGGTCTTACTTTGTTTCCCAGGCTGGAGTGCAGTGGTGCAATCTCGGCTCACTGCAGCCTTAACCTCCAGGTTCAAGTGATCTTTCCACCTTAGGCTCCTGAGTAGGTGGGACTACAGGCATTCACCACCATGCCAGCTAATTTTTTGTAGAGGTAGAGTTTTGTCCTGTCACCCAGGCTGGTCTGAAACTCCTGGGCTCAAGCAACCCACCCACCTCAGCTTCCCAAAGTGCTGGGATTACAAGTGTGAGCCACTGCACCCAGCCTAGATTAATTCTTAATTGTAAAAGAAGACAGAAACTAATGGCAAAACATGCTTTTTATGTGTACGTGTAAGAGAGTGCAAGATAGAATATGACTTGCTTACTGTCTACCTCATAATGTTAATAATCGAGGTTTACATGTAGATATACATTCAAATATATTATACATAATAAAGACATGTACTCATATAAAAGAGCCTAGATCACTCCTTTTATAACACTGAGCTTGTTATTCTCCATTGATGGGTTGAAGTTTTTTTTCATATTCTCCTTCTCTCTCTTCCCAGTGTTTTGGAATTTCCTGGGCATTTTTCCTACCCTTCCTTTTCTTACCCTTCGCTGGATGTCACCTCCTCCCCCGGCCACTGAATGCCATTGAATGCCATTGAATGCCATTTCCTTTCCTCTCAGCGCTGCTTCTCCCTCCCAGCTCCCCAGTTAAAGCCCTTTATTGATGTATGGCTTTGCTGGAGGGGTAGCACATCAGAACTGGAGTGCAATTTAGAAGCGGTGTTCCTGCAAGAATTCAGAATTCATATGTCCTCCTGAAGATGCTTTGGAAGTTAACACAAGATTCAGAAATTAACTAATTTTTATATCCTCAGAGGAGAAGAAATCTATGCTTATCAGTTTTTTAGGAGATTTGTTTGGTTATGCATACACCTTTTTATAGCTCAGGAACATATATTTTTGCATGTTTGGCTTTATACTCTCAAATCTACCCTATTACTTGCTTATACCTTTTTTCCTGTAATTTTCATGCAATTCGTTTTCACATTGCTGCTGAAAGAGTAGGACCATTGTGTTGCAGTGAGTTAAGCAAGGGACATTTTTGTTTACTAAAATGACTTAGGCTATAGAATCCTGAGGCGGCTCATAATAGGATAGAGTGAGCATGTGCTTTCGGGACACAGGTTCTCAGTAAATACTTGTTGTTTATTAACTGAAAGTAGCATTACCTTTGTTATTTATAAAACTAATAATATTTGGAGAACTTTGTTATTTATAAAGCTAATAATATTTGTTGGCCTTTCTTGGGGTAGATCCTTAGATATTTTGCTATTTTATGTTTACCTTGAGGAACATGTAGAACCTTTTAAATGATAATTTGTTTCACTGTTTCATAAACTTTATGTTTTTAAGTAACCCAGAACTACTGTAATTCACTGCTTTAATACCTGCTTTGGGTGAAATCCCATAAAATCTGTGAAGCCAGTTTTCATTAGTATACTTTTGAACTTCAAACTCTTATGGTAATATGTAATAAGTTAATTATCCACCTTGTGTTTTTGGCCAGAAAACCTTTGTTTTCTGGCCAAAACTATAACTACAAATGACCTTTTTTTTTTTGCATATAAAGTGCTTAGGAGGACTTGAAAGTAATTAATCACTATAACTACAAATGACCTTTTTTGCATATAAAGTGCTAAATAGTTTAATTATTCCTATGCGAGACTGAGAAGATTCTTCTTTATGTATAATCATTAAAATGGCATCGAGAACTATGATTTGCTGAAAGAATTGGCACGTCTATAATTAGTCTAGACACCACCTTTGTGCTGTGAATGGACTAATGTTCTCCAGTTATTATGGCTAGAGATTAAAAAGCCTGTGCTTTCACTTTGACCACGGATGCCCCAAGTCATATTTCATCTCGTTTCTGCTAATTTGGTTTTTTTCTCCCTTGCTTCATTCAGGCCAAAGAGGGGCACTTGTTTTTCAGTATCATATTCATCAAATGCTGGGGCAAGGAAATGTTTACTTTCACCATTTTCTCATAAATGGTCCTTCCCTCTCCCATACCTATAATGAATAATCTCACTCATTTTCATCTATTCTCAGGTTTTTAGTGATTTTTCTAGTAACTTAATTGTAGTAATGTAATATACTAAATTATCTAAGTGACAAGCTAATTTTAATATCCTCTACCATCCTCTATCCTTCTGTGCTTTATTTTAAAAAGCTGTAGAAATATATGACATTGTGAACATCTGAGCAGGCATTTTCCTTTGTTATGGCAGCAGACAAAAACCTCCTTTTTTAAAAAATAGCAATATGTCAGGTTTTTAGAAGCAATGCTACTCGGCTTCATTTTGCTGTGACTCATTCCATGTGTTTTCTTTGGGGACTCTTTGGCCTGAGGGTTGGTGGCATTTTTGCATCCTGGAGGCGGGCACAATACAGTAGTGTTACCACCATTGCAGCACAAGGGTGGCATGCCCCTGTGCCACCTGCTGTCCTAGCCCTGGCTGTAAGCAGTTGCCTGCCCTAAGTCCTCCTCTTCATTCCCTTGCTGTAACTCACCATCCTTCACTGGAAGCAGAGGTTCAGCCATCAGTTCACTTTTTTCAAAGAGGCTTGGTCCCCTGGCTTTCATGCTCTGGGCCAGCCCTAGCTCAGGAATCACTAGTTCTAAAAACATCCTTTGGTGCTTCTGCAAAAACAGTTGGGTGTAGTGCAGCCCCCAAGTCCCCAGAAGTTTGGTGGAGATGGTGGGTGGAGGTCACCTCCAGATTTCATGCCCGTGCTGTGGATGGAAAGCGCCATGTGTTCAGAGCAGCTTCTGGCTTCCTGGCAGCCGTAGGTGTGCGTTAGCATGGTGCAGGGTCTAGTGCTGTCCTTCTGGAGCTGAAGAGAACCTGGCTGTCGCTGGTAACCATATGACTCTAAAGACCAAAGTGTGACCCCCTGACCCTTCCGTGGGCTGCACCCAAGCAGAGCACTTGTCCTTATGTTTTCACATTGTGCCTGCTGCTCCCAGAGTCTGTCGCTCCTTACAGCTTTGTTTCTTTGCCTCAAGGGCCACAAGATGCTTTTGCTCAAAAAGCCCCCAGATCAGCTGCACCCAAGCCGGTCTGTCAGTGCCATCACTACCACCCAGCATCCTGCCGTTAAGGCTCAGTGTTTTGAAGCTGGGCAGTATAGCAGGTGACATCTCTTTGTATGGCCACCCTTGGTCATGATGAATTTGCCACTGAGTGACTTAATTCAGTGTGCTAGGGAATTCAAGGCTTTTCTCCTCTGGAACGTTGTCCATCTTAAGCAATACTGATCTCGCCATAAAATCCTGTGTGGGGAAGCAGAAGTTGACTAGAAAGGGTTTGATTGTGGCACCCACGTTGAATGTGTTAGCTATCTAGAGTATCATTTGTTTCACTTTTCATCAATCCCCAGGCTCAGTAGGCGTCTTCATTTGGATAAGATTGATTATTATACTCATTGCATTATTGCATGGGGTAAGGGACATATGTGTTGGATTGATAATCATGATGCTGCCAATGAATTCAAAGTTTTCTAAGCCAAAATGGGGTTCCCAGAGCAGCAACATCAGCATCCCCTGAGAAGTTGCTGGAAATTCAGATTCTCAGGCTTTACCCCAAATCTACTAAATCAGAAACTCCAGGACACTCCTCCATCTGTGTTTTAGCAAGGCCTCTGGTGATTCTGATGTCTCCGTGGTTTGAGACCCACTGCCATAGAGCAGGGCTGTCTAATAGAACGTTCTGTGGTGATGAAACGGTCAGTATCCCTGCCATGCAGTAGTGGAGCCACTAGACACCACATGTGGCGGTCGAGTTCTTGAAATGTGGCTGCTGTGACCAACAATAGCATTCATCATTTTATTTAATTTTGATTAATGTAGGTTTAAATTCAAATAGCTGCATATAGCTAGTGGCTGTCCATCAGATAGCCCAGCCCCAGAACACACCCTGCTAATTATTATTGGTAAACTCCTAAAATGCTTTAAGATGTTGGTTGTGGAATTATTAATTTTAGATCATAGAACAGAATCTTCCTTACTCAATTCAACAGAATTGAAACTGCAATTGTTATAACAGTAGTTGATTTTGATTCTTTGTGTGCAGGGGAGATAGTTTGTGGGCTGCTGGCTGGTTAGGGAAAGCCTATTCTTGAGCTGATTGATTGTTGATTTTGTGAATGTGCACCAACTGTGCAGTGCCGGGTGGCTCATGCCTGTTGCAGATATAACCAATGGCAGTAGATACATGTCCTTTTAGGAGTAAAGCTGTTGCTCAGGAAGGGGCTGTGCCAGTGTTTCGCACAGATGGACTCTGGTTTCTCCAGCCTGTCCAGCAAAGTGGAGGTGCTTCCGGCCAAAGAGAAGTTAAGGAGCCCTTCAGGCACTTTGGGCTGCTTGTGGAACCTTCCAGAAACTGTGCTGCGGGAGACGGGGGTGCTGAATTGCCAAGTCTAGGGCTGGCACGTCAGATGGACAAAACTCTTGAATCACATTCAGTTTCTTCAGTTTAGGAGAACTTGAAGGAAAAAAGGTCATGCCAGGTTTGTTAGGTGGAACTGCTACAAAGCCCAGAAGAAACTTTGAGATTTGTCTCTGGGGTGATGTGACCACATCCTTGTCACCTTTCCAAAACACCAGCAGACGCTGTAGGAAGAAAGCATCCCCAGCAGTCCTGTGATCCTGCAGCTAGAGCAAAATGTGACATCGAGGAGCCAGGGAATGTCTGAGTCCTTTGGGACGGTTCCCCCAAACCCAGCAACTGAAGTCTCAAACTTAAAGCAACTGTCTTTGGCTACGCAGAAAATGGTACTCAATTCTTTGTCAGAAGCAAAGTTCTACATCACTAAGCTTCCTAATTGAGGGCCCCATTTTTTGAATTATTTGAAGCCCTATCATTGATTTTCATAATCCATCTCCTGTTAGAATCCTAGAATGTTAAAACGAGGTGGAAGAGACCTTGGAAACGGTCATAATCCAGCCTTCTTATTTTATAGACACCCAGAGAGGTTATGAGTTGAGTAAGGGCACACACAGCACTGTAGGGTCAAGGACCACATTGCTCTTCAGTTTCTTCGGTGTCATAGGTCAGCTGGGGTCATAGGTCAGAAGCTGGACAGATTGATGAAAAAGGAACATTTCAAAGACATGATAAGAAATATACTGATGCACGCTATTAGGTTTTAAAATGCTTCTTGCTCATGCATCCTATAGATATCTGGAAAATTCCAATAAAATATTTTGAGTGGTAAGATATTGCAGTGGCCTTTTTGAAATAGCTAAAATTGTTCCTGCCACATATGTATATGATTTAGTCGTGACACAATTCATATTGCTAACTGGTTATTTTTTCTGGACAACTAGTTTGGCTGGGAGTAGTTTATTTTCCAAGCACTAGGCCTGTTTCAGTTTATTGACTTTGATACCCTGTCTTTTGTAACTTACTTTCCTTAAATAACATGCCCCTCCTACTTTACCCCCAAAGTATTGAGATGCTATGTGTGAAAAGTATGGCACTGAGCACCTAATCAGCATTCTCTAAGTGTTGGTTCAAAGAGTGAATACCATCCCATCCAGACGGGTCTGCATGTTAATTTCTTTAGATTTTCACTATGGCTGGGGGTTAAAAAAATTCTGTATATTTAGGGAGAATATTAGCTGCGTAATTTTTTTTCTCATCTAGCTTGAATGGAGTCTTAAGCAAAAAATTCACATGCTCACCAAAAGGCTGGGAGAGGTTTTGTAAATTGAATATGAGGCTATCGTTTGCGTCCACAAGACAAAGCCCTAAATCACATTTAGCATAATTTGTGGTTTTAAATTGGACTGATTTAGCAAGGAGAGTGAAATAATCTCTCATCCTGTCAAAAAGGTGATATCTTTAGAGAGTATTTAATTCCACTGGCAGAGTAACTTCAGGAAGACGACAGTAATTCTGCCTGCATTATTCTAGGTTTGTGGCTAAATTGAGATCATAAATTTCTCCTGATTTCACTAACTTTCATTATTGCTCTTCGAACTCATCAGATGAATGTGCTCTTCAAACTACTCAGATGAAGGCTTAGTGGTAGCTGGAGGGTGGACAGGGGAGGGATGAGGTCTGTGGGCAGCTGCACTGTATATACTTTATGATCTGGGGGGAGAAGATGACATCCAGTGACTTAGAAGACATAGCTTGGTGATTTTCTTTTCCTTTGAGATAGAGTTTCACTCTTGTCACCCAGGCTGGAGTGCAACAGCGTGATCTTGGCTCACTGCAACCTCCACCTCCTGGGTTCAAGCAGTTTTCCTGCCTCAGCCTCCCGAGTAGCTGGGATTATGGGCACCTGCCACCATGCCCAGCTAATTTTTGTATTTTGAGTAGAGTCAGGGTTTCACCATGTTGGTCAGGCTAGTCTCGAACTCCTGACCTCAGGTAATCCACCTGCCTAGGCCTCCCAAAGTGCTGGGGTTATAGGATTATAGGCGTGAGGCACCACTCCTGGCCCCGGTGATTTTCTTGATAATCACTTACACAAGATGAATACCATTCATTTCCATGGAAGTGTCCCATGGACTGTGCACCTAAGAATGTGCATTTGCATCCATATTTTACAGGTAGGATTCCTTTGAATTCTTGCAGGTATCCAAGAGGGAGGGTTCTGGAGGAACTTCCAGCTGTCTAGATTACCCCATGAAAACCTGTTCTTTTATCAACAGCCACTTCAGGAGCTCACCCAGGGGCTGCTCACTAGACCACTGCTCCCTGCCCATGTGCCCTAGTTCAGAGTAATCCGTATTCTTCACAGTCCCTTCTTCCAGTGAAAGCGTTTCTTTTACCTTTCACCAAGCATTCACTCTAAAAGAAATCAGGTCAGCGATACTGTAGACATTTCAGAAAGCTGAAAATGATGACTCAAAACTATAATTAGTCATGTTCCTGTCCCTTTAATTTTATTCCCCTTGGAGTTATCAATTGGTGTCCTTGAAATGGCTAGCTGCTTAAATATTTTAGATGTATGTTTGGCGTTTTACACACACCTTTGTACTGGTTCTAATCACAAGTGCTCTTGGGTCTGAGTTTAGGTCTGACTGCAGGCAAGCAGGTTGGTTTTCTGGCCTCCTGGGGCACCCCTGGAGGAAGCAGATGGGATGGGAAGTAAACCTGACGGATATGAGACATCACACTTTTTTGGGCTGGGCTCCAGGCACCTGTTCATGTTTTTAGTTACCTGGATAGTCTTGGTATCAGAGTTTACATGAACCATGGCCAAGCTTATCACCCATACAAATGTTTGTAGAATGATTGAATAGCAAATGGAATAGATGAATTACAGCCTATGGAAAGTCCTTCTGCTGCCAATTTATAGTTTGTCCTTTTGAGATAAAGATGCCTTTGGCTTTTACATTTGTATTTTCAAGTATATATATGCTAGGGAAGGAGGAACCTTTTGGGTCCCCAGTGGTTGATTTTCACCTTTGATCTGCATACTAGTGTTCATAGCATGTTACTGAGTTGACTTTTTTATTTCTATATAATAACAATATATCGATGTGTTGCAAATCTGATGTAACCTTTGTGTGTGTGTGTATGTGTATGTATGGGTGTGTGTCTGTATGTATGTGTGGTATTGATCAAGATACATTACTCCAGAGGCCAAAATCAGAAACTAGGGATATTGAATATTTCGTTATTTAAAGTTGAGCTAATATAATGCAATGTTAAGAGGACAGCTGTTCAGATACTGGGTTAAACAGCTTCAATGTATGTCACCCAGGAAGGGATTTGGAGGTTGCTGTCTTTCTTCTGGTGGCAATGCAAGAAAACCGAAAGAAAAAAACAATTGCACTTAAAAGATCCTATATGACAGCTATAAGTGTATATGCTTTGTAATATTCACTTTTATAGGCTGCTATGGTACAGAAATTCTCTTTTGTGCATTTTTGCTCTGTTTCCCTCCTCGTTGTCCCTCCGAAACAAACTATGCCAAGCACTTAGCTAATGATATACGAAGAAGCATTTCAGCAGCCACTCAGAAGTGAGTGACTGCTTATGAAAAACTTGTGAAAAATAAGTAAGACTGATAGGTGAATTCGATGGTCCTTTTGGAGTTATATGTTTCTTAGCTTTGAATAAAAACAAAATGTGCTGCTGCCATCCCTTGCTAGGAGTTCCATTCCCAGATTCACACTCAGCATTTATGTTTCCATGGTGGTACCACCAAACATAGCAGAACTGAAGAATTTGGAAGTGCTCAACTTTTTAAATAACCAGATCGAGAAGCTGCCAACACAGATCAGCAGGCTTCAAAAACTCAAACACCTGAACCTTGGGTGAGTATCAGTGGAGGTGAAAGGATGGAGAGGAAGAGAGTGGAAGGGGCGTGCTGGGTAGGGCCAGGGGAGGGATTCCATTTATATCATTGCACAGAAGTGGATTTCTAATTTCTTTTTGTGTTTTGTGTTTTAAAAAAAGTTTTATTGTTTTAATATATCCTTTCGGTGGCCTACATTAGTGAAGATTTGAGAGCTAATTGAGAAGCTAATAGTTGGCACAATAAGGAAGATAAATTTTTACTGTATTTTGTGTCCAGTAAAATTTTATCTCAGCTCTGTTGACCAAGAAGGGACTTATTTGCATAGCATGAACTGGCAGACAAGTTGTAATATGGTTGACTTTTTTCTCTCTGTGTTAAATAAGAATAGTTTATAAAGGACCTTTGTGCCATGGAGGGAAGAATATATTCCCTAATGCTGCTTCATTCATTTTTGCAATTCTTCTCTGTAGTTGAGAGGTGACAATTCTCTGTCTTTCTTTATGCAAAGGTAAAGATATGAGTTTTGTTTCAACTGAGGTTGCAGAACCAGGGAGCAGTAAATAATAATAATGATAACCTGTCTTCGTGTATTGCTTTGTAGCACTTGATCCTGTCAACATTTGTGAGGTAGGAAAGGCAGGTTTTAGTGCTTTCATTTTATACAGAGGAAGCCAAGCCTTTTCAAAGGGGCTAAGGGACTGGGTCCTGGTCACCCCTGAGGTTAGTGGCCAAGCTGGGAAGAGAACCCCATGGTTCTGGGTCTAAAGGCTCCATCAGACTCCATTGATATGGTCTGGATCTGTGTCCCCACCAAATCTCATGTGGAATTGTAATCCCCATTGCTGGAGGTGGGGCCTGGTGGGAGGTGATTAGATCTGGGGGCGGAGCTCTCATGAATGGTTTAGCACCATCCCCTCTTGGTACTGTCCTTATGATAGTGAGTGAGTTATTGCAAGACCCCTTGTGCTCTCCTTCTCCTGCCATGTAATACACATGCTCCTGCATTGCCTTCCACCACGAGTAAAAGCTTCCTGAGGCTTCCCCGCAAGCAGCAGCTGCCATGCTTCTTATACAGCCGGTAGAACCATGAGTCAGTTAAACCTCTTTTCTTGTAAGTTACCTAGCCTCAGGCGTTCCTTTATAGCAATGGGAGAACAGACGAATACATCCATAGACCCCAACTGGAACTGCAACATCAGAATTCCATCTTCATTGGCACAGCTATTAGATGAAACTGCCCACTCATGCTTCAGTCTCTGTGCAAAGTCGTATACTCATTAAATTGTAGCCACTAAATGCTCTGGTTAAGTTAGTGATTGACGTGGAGTGGCAATGGATGCTGGCCAGATATTTGCCAATTTTTTTTAATTTTTATTTTTGAGACGGAGTCTTGCTTTGTCACCAGGCTGGAGTGCAGTGATGCGATCTCAGCTCACTGCAACCTCTGCCTCCCAAGTTCCAGCGATTGTCCTGTCTCAGCCTCCCAAGTAGCTAGGACTACAGGTGCACACCACCACACCCAGCTAATTTTTGTATTTTTAGTACAGACAGGGTTTTACCATGTTGGCCAGGATGGTCTCGATCGATCTCTTGACCTCGTGATCCACCCACCTCGGCCTCCCAAAGTGCTGGGATTATAGGTGTGAGCCACCGCGCCCAGCCACGAACGACATATTTAAACACTCACAGCACTGCCTGCCTGGGGCCTGGGAGTTGTCAGTTCTTTGGTACTGTTGAGTATAAAGTGTGAGGCAGGTGGCTGTAAGGTCAGAGGTCAGGCTAGACAGGGAATCCTGGATATCCGCTGTTCAGTGAATGAGGATCTACCAAGTTCCCAATCGTGTACTAGGCATTGTTACAGCTGCTGGCCATCTAGCCCTGATGGAGCTTCCATTACAGTTGAGGAAACCAACTGTAAACAAATAAATGTTTATAATAATGGCAAGGAGTCAAAAGTGCTAATGAAAGGCCTCTGTGCTAAATAAACAAGCTCCTCCTGGGCATGGTGGCTCACGCCTGTAGTCTCAGCACTTTGGGAGGCTGAGGCTGGAGGGTCAGCTGAGGCCAGGAGTTCAAGAACAGCCTTGTCAAGATGGCAAAACCTCATCTCTACTAAAAATACAAAAATTAGCTAAGTGTCGTGGCATGCACCTATGATCCCAGCTATTCTGCCCAGGGGGCTGAGGCAGGAGAGACATTTGAACCCAGGAAGCAGAGGTTTCAGTGAGCTGAGATCGTACAACTGCACTCCAGCTACGTGACAGAGTGATATTCCATCTCAAAAATAAACACATACATAAATAAATTAATGAGCTCCAATTTTATCATGCTGACCATCGAGAAATTTGCATAGCCGAGTAGTGGATATGAGATATGAAAGATCAGTGTGGAGAAGAGGGTGGAGGGAGGGAAACTAGAGGTTAGAAGACCAGTAAGAACATAAGCTTCATGTCCCATGTGAACTAGGAGAGTGACAGTGGAGACAGGGAGGGATTTTATATGAAAAATATACAGGTGGTAACGTTGACAGACAGTAACTGATGGGATGGAATGATACCTACATTTCTGTTGGACAGCTGAAAAATAGAACCGATGGAGACAGGTTTGGGAAGAAAATAATAAGCTCAGGTTTTGTTGTTTGGTTTGAGGCACCATAGGACAGAGCCGTAAACTTTTCTTCTCCTTTTCCTTTTTTTTTTTAGACAGAGTTTTGCTCTTGTTGCCCAGGCTCTAGTGCAATGGCACAATCTCGGCTCACGGCAACCTCCACCTCCCGGGTTCAAGCGATTCTTCTGCCTCAGCCTCCCGAGTAGCTGGGATTACAGGCATGTGCCACCACACCCAGCTACTTTTGTATTTTTAGTAGAGATGCCATTTTACCATGTTGGTCAGGCTGATCTCGAACTCCTGACCTCAGGTGATCCACCTGCCTCAGCCTCCCAAAGTGCTGGGATTACAGGTGTAAGCCACCGCACTCAGCCCTAAACTTTTCTTTTTCAATGAATGCATGTAGTTGCCTTCTTGTTCTCTTTGGAGTTGTTTGCATTTTGGGCTGTTGGCGCTTTATTGATTGTGTAAAGCTTTTTGTACTTAATTACACAGCAACATAGATGGAGTTGTCAAAGTTTGAAGAAAACCTCCCAATTCTTTGGGAAAGGAGCTAAGATGGGTTTCACTAAAGGATACCTCTGTCCTCAAATGGTATAAAGAATTATACCACACAGTGAGGCAAGTTATAGGGAGGACTCCTTATTCTAAGGAGCCGGGCTGAAAGCATACACACGGGAGATCACAAAACGGAGCAGGGAAGCCACGTGTATGCATAATCCAAAAGGCACCCTCAATAAGAATTTGCTTTCAAAGTTTTATATAGTACTTGCAGTTTATTCTGTTGATTGTAAGACATGAGAGAATTTTAGGCCACCGGAACAAATTAAAGAAAGTTAAGTTCTGTTCTTAATTCCTTAAATGCAGTTTATTTCATAGAGTTATTTTCCAAAAAATGTGAAGCCACATAGGTTACCATGTTGATGATTATTTCTAGGATAACTTCACTGCAGGACCACTGTGCCCAACTATTCGGGAATAACGTTTGACCTTGTTTCTTGCAAGAGCTAGTCTCATGAACACATAGAAGTTTTTATTAAGTTCCATATTGGTTATTTACGGATTTGAATTATTTATTTATTTATTTATTGAGACAGGGTCTCGCTCTGTCTCCCAGGCTGGAGTGCAGTGCAGTGGTGCAATCTCTGCCCACTGCAACCTATGCCTCCTGGGCTCAAGTGATCCTCCCACCTCAGCCTCCTGAGTAGCTGTAACCACAGGTACGTGCCACCACACCTGGCTAATTTTTGTAGTTTTTTCTGTAGAGATGGGGTTTTGCCATGTTGCCCAGGCTGGTCTCGGGCTCCTGAGCTCAAGCAATCTGCCTGTGTAGGCCTCCCAAAGTGCTGGGATTACAGACGTGAGCCACCGGGCTCAGCCTGGATTTTTTTTTTAACTTTTATTTTTGATAACTGTGTGAGTAGGTCACTGTGGAGGTGAGAAAAATTAGTGCCTTTAGCCAAGAAGGTTTTATTGAAGCTGGAGGTGCTCAGGACCACCTGCAGAGAAGAAACTGCTCTGAAAAGGAGTCATTATTACAGACCTTTCTGGGGCTTTAGAAGAAAAGGAAAAAAGATGCTGAATAGACTTAGACCCCCTGGTTTTATAAATTTCTCCATCATATGCAGACATTTGCCCACTTCCAACATGCATTTGAAAAATCTTCCCATGCAAACAAAGAATTGATAGCACTTGGCATAGCTGAGACCTGCAAAGCTTTATGTTTCAACACCTGAAGTCACCTGAGATTAAGCAAGTGTGGCACAAATAGTAAAACCACAGTTAATAGTTCGGACTATCCAAAGTGGCTTGTCATGAGGTGAGCTTGCTCGCTTAGGGCTGATTCAAAATTTTCTCTCAAACCTTTTGAAAAATAATTCTAGCAACAGCTCTCATTTCCTGAGAAGTCACATCTGAGCCATGGATCAGGTGTTGGGTGCTTCACATATTTTCTCTCTCATCCTCCCAGTGATCCTGCCCTGAAGATGTTGTCAGCCTTATTTTATAGTCGAGGAAATTCAGTCTCAGAGAAGCTGAGTAACTTGGTCAAGGTCACGCAGCTAGCAAGTGCTGGAGCCAGATTCCTCACCTAGCTGTCTCCTATCTTAAAGCTCCATTCTTTTCCTACTCCCACTGTAACCTCTCATGGAAACCTTGATTGCTAGCAGTGTCAGAGTGGGGCCCTAAGCATGGAATTCCTACAAGTGGAAATGTGGATGGATGGAGATGGATGTTAGCACCTGCTGGGGGGAAGGGGGACAGCCAGCATGTTCCAGCCTTCATTCTGCAGAGAGAGATGCCACCAGGTCACCATGCACATGGTCTGGCCTCCGAAGAGGTGGCCAGAAGTCTCTGCAGTTCCTTGCCCCCTTTGTAGCTGGGGCCGTTGCTAGGAGTTCTTCTGAAGTTTCAGCATTTGTTTAAGGGCTTCCTTTCTGCCCCACCATGGTGGTGTGCCTACTACTGTTACATACTGCTGTCAGCTCCACATGGGACTCTGCTGTGTTCCTTACACGTTGTAGGTATTGGTTTGTCACTCAAAGGAAAAAGGAACCTTCAATTAAGTAGATTCTTGCCACCAAGAGGTGGAGGGGCTCCAGGCTTGCTCTGGGCTGGAGATTGAATGGGAGTTCTCTCTCAGGTGAGATGCCTCTTCCCTCTAAGCCTGTCTAACCGTGGATTTCCTATACCTAATATTGCAAAAGTGCATTTCTTTATTTGCAGAGAAAAATGTTAAGGAATCAGCAGTTTTCAAAAACGGATAACTTAAAGCAGTGTTTAAAGACAGAAGCACCTAGTGTATGCTTCTCTACCTTCCTTTCTGTCTCTGACTTGCAATTCTTCTCAGAATCCTTGCATGGGAGCCCAAGGGTCTGGAACGGCTTTGGCCTCTGTGAGGTACAGGGTGCTTCCAGACACATGTCACCTTCATCAGTCACTTCTGAAGTCTTTTCTCCTTACTCTCTCTTAGGCTGTTTTTTCATCTCAAGATAGCACTAATTACAAGCTCCATCTTGCCTGTGTTACAAGGTAATACAACAAGCCAAGTACTTGCCATAATGTGCTTCACAAATTGTGACTTCATGGAGAATATTTGTTGTTGCTGTCATGGCAGTAGATAGTCGTGGAGGTAGTTTTGCTGGGTGTAGTCTGTCTGGGTCGTTTTCTGCCTGAGAGCGGGAACCCACGTTTCCATTTTGGTTTCTCCCTCTGCTGTCTGCTGTTTCTGGTGAGGCCTGCTTGGTAGGACTGGACCGAGCTGGATCTGTTATAAGAAGCATCGATGACTAGAATGATTTTTATTGTCATACTTCCTTCCATCTTTCAATATCTGTCAACTTTTATTAAAGTTTTTTTTTAATTGGCTTTTAAGTATGCTCAAAGGGAACGGCTTTAAGAAAAATAAGGGGCTTAAAGAAAAGGATAAAAGATAGTGTAGAAAAAAATTCCCTTAACATCACACACCGGGGCCTGTCAGGGGGTGGGGGGCTGGGGGAGGGATAGTATTAGGAGAAATGCCTAATGTAAATGACGAGTTGATGGGTGCAGCAAACCAACATGACACATGTATACCTATGTAACAAACCTGCATGTTGTGCACATGTACCCTAGAACTTAAAGTATAATTAAAAAAAAAGAAAAAAATTCCCTTAGAATTCATCGGAGACACACACACACACACAGACACAAACACATACTGCGTAAACACACACACCACCACACCCCCATACACACCCCATACACATACCACACCATACCATATCCATAACCCCACACACACACCACACACATACAACACACACCACCCCACCACACACACACCCCATGCCCACCCACACACACCACACACACACGACAACCCCTCCACACACCACACACACAGCACACCCCTACACCACCATACCACACACACACCACACCCCCCACACCACACATAACACCCCCGTACACACACACATAACACTACACACAACACCACATACACACCCACACACACCACACACCCCTGCACACACCCACACACAATTGATCCTTCAGCAACACATGGGTGGAGGGAGCACCACACTGACCCCCCATGCAGTCGAAAATCCACACATAACTTTTGACTCTGAATAAACTTAAGTACTAATAGCCTACAGTTGACCGGAAGCCTTACCAAAACATAAATGCCAATTAACACATATTTTGTGTGTTATATGTATTCTATTCTGCATTCTTACAATAAAGTAAGCTAAGCAATAGAAAATGTTATTAGGAAAGTCATAAGGAAAACAAAGTGCATTTACTGTTCTTCAAGTGGAAGTGGGTCATCTTAAAGGTCTTCATCCTCTTCTTCATGTTGAGTGGGCTAAGGAGGAAGAGGAGGGTTGGTCTTCTTGTCTCAGGGGTAGCAGAGGCAGAAGAAAAATATCCATGTGTCATTGGACCCAGGCAGTTCAAACCCATGTTGCTCAAGAGCCAATTGTACGATTTAAAAAAATTTTAAGTTGCAATAAAATACACATAAAATGTACTGTCTGGCTGGGCACAGTGGCTCACACCTGTAATCCCAGCACTTTGGGAGGCTGAGGCAGGTGGATCACGAGGTCAAGAGATCGAGACCATCCTGGCCAACATGGTGAAACCTTTCTCTACTAAAAATGCAAAAATTAGCCGGGCATGGTGGCACGTGCCTATAGTCCCAACTACTCAGGAGGCTGAGGCAAGAGAATCGCTTGAACTGGGGAGGTGGAGTTTGCAGTGAGCTGAGATCTCACCACTGCACTCCAGCCTGGGCAACACAGCGAGACTCCGTCTCAAAAAAAAAAAAATTACTGTCTTTGTAGTATACAGTTCAATGGTGTTAAGCGTATTCATATTGTTGTTTAGCCAATCTGCAGAATTTTCTCATCTTGCAAACCTGAATCCTACACCCATTGAATAACATCTCTCCATTGCCCCTCCCTCCAGCCCCTGGCCATCACCATTCTAATTGAAGATAACTTTGAATTTTAACAGTTGTAGAAAAAAAAAAAAACCATGATTTTCCCTCCTAAAGGGAATAAATGAAATGAAATAAAGCAAAAGTCTGAAAACTACAAAGCTTCATGTGTATAGTTTCAGATATTATCACTACATTCATAAGGACGTTTTTCTTTACAAGGACAGATATTTTGTGATGGTTTGAATTTTTGTGTAAAACAGTGATTCAATTTCACCATTGGAGAAAAATGACAACTAAGAAATTTCCAAATGTTTCAGGAATATATAAGTTCTCTAAAATTATTAGTTTAAATAAGACAACATACCACATCATCTCACTTATATGTGGAATGTAAAAAAGTAAACCTCATCGAAACAGGGAATAAAATGGTTACCAGAGGCTGGAGGGAGAGGGAAATTGCCAAAGGACACGAAATTTTAGTTAGACAGGAGAAGTAAGTTCAAGAGATGGATTGTATATCATGGTGACTGCAGTCAATAACAATATGTAGCATATTTGAAAATTGCTAAGAGAGTGAATTTTAAGCATTCTCACCACAAAAGACAAAAAAATGACAAGCATATGATATGAGGCAATGCGTATATTAAACAGTGTGATTTAAGCCATTCCATGATGGATTATACATATATCAGAAGTATCATGTTGTACACCATAGGTATGTACAATCTTCATTTGTCAATATAAATTTTACATAAATGATTTTTATAATTAAAAAAAAAATAGGATGGATGTGTTGACTCACACCTATGATCCCAGCATTCTGGGAGGCCAAAGTGGGAGGATGGCTCGAGCTCAGGAGTTTGAGACCAGCCCGGGCAACACGGCAAAAACCAATCTCTGCAAAAAATACAAACATTGGTGGGGTATGATGGTGTGCACCTGTGGTCCCAGCTACTTGGGAGGCTGAAGTGGAAGGATCGCTTGAGCCCATGGAGGTCAAGGCTGCAGTGACCCAAGATCGTGCCACTGCACTCCAGCCTGGGCAACAGAGCAAGGCCCTATCTCAAAAAAAATAAAAATAAAAATAAAGTATAAAGTGACTCTAGGATCATGGCACTCTCTTACACTTTCAGCCTGTGAAACTGAGGTGCCCTTGATAGTCTCTATAAATGTGTCTTTGGTGTCCTGATGTAGATTTTTGTCCCCCTGCAACAGCATGAACAGGCTGAACATTTCGCCACAAGGCTTTGGCTCCCTGCCAGCTCTTGAGGTTCTGGACTTGACTTACAACAACTTGAATGAAAATTATCTTCCTGGAAACTTCTTCTACCTGAGTAAGAAACTTTCAGTTCTATGAATCTCCTCAACATTATACTTTGCATTCTAAGAGTGAAATTTATTTGCCAGGACTTAAACTCCAAGAGAAATTATTGGACAGAGATAACTTTTTCTTTAGAGACTCCTTTTGAATATTCCTTCATAGCTCAGCGTATGTGCATTTGATATATCGTTATGTGACACCATTGGGCTGAAGTGGACTTAGTAAAGTCATATTAACATTCTGAGAGAGATGATATACCTAAATGAGATCAAACCTCACATTTAGCTAAGAGACTTGACTTTCTTTTTAAATAGCGTGCCAAAAAAAGATATCCTCCCATGTTGGTATTAATTCTTTGTACGATATTTTCCAGGATGTCCCAATCAATTAATTATAAAAATATTTATTAATAAACCACTAATGGAATTTTTAAATTTTCCAGCCAGGATTCTTATTTTCAGCCTTTTAAAAAGTACTCTTATTGACCTATTTATCCAGTACACAGGCATTAAGAAATTATTGGCCACAGGTGAACACACCTTATTCTTTTATATGCCAACAAATTTCTTGCTGAAGATGCTTTTGAAAATTAAAAAATGATTTCTTCTGGGAACTCATGCACTATTTCAGACAAGGTTTGTTTCTCTTAAATGAGTGTTCTATTTCTTCAATTAGTAACTTATATGGCATTCAGAAAATCTGAATTTTCTGAGCTGGTCTCTAAAATTTCACTTTTTGCCTTATGTACGTTCTCTCTCTGTGACTTTCTCAAGCACATGAAACCAACTGTAAAATATTTTCTTGGGTGGTGAAGCCCCTGTTTTTATTATGTTATATTAACATACAGTTCTGGAGTCTGAGCTCCAAAGATCACTTGAGGCTAGGAGTTTAAGACCAGCCTGGGCGACATAGAGAGACCCTGTCTCTAGAAACAAAAATTAAAAAATTAACCAGGCATAGTAGCATGTGCCTGTAATCTTAGCTAATTGGGAGGCTGAGGTAGGAAGATTGCTTGAGGCCAGGAATTTGAGGCTGCAGTGACCCACTGCACTCCAGTCTGGGTGACAGAACGAGACTCTGTCTCTAAAAAATAAATAAATACTGATAAACAAAACATACCTCTAATTATACTCAGCTTTTTTGGTTGAGGATAAACAGATGCTTTAGAATTTTAGCCTTCAATAGTTTGGAATCATATTATCATTGTGTAGTAATTGTGAACAAATTTCTGACTACTGATATTCTGCTTAAGTTAGGATTTACTCTGTTAACTTCATGCCATTATTTTAGTCCCTTTGTCTTCATTTACTTTTGTCCTTAAGGCTGTAGAAACAAGTAGTAATAATTAGTCAGATTATGGACTGATGAGCTGTAGTTATAGCCTCCATCACCAGAAAGCCTTTCATTAATTTTTAACACAATGCTATTTACATAGGAAAAAGTCTATTTTAACATAGTTGCATTCCCTTGAAAGAACCTTTTTGCCCTAGGTATCCACAAAAGTGGCACAGTAGTTTTCTTTGTTTTACTTTGGATGCAAATGGAGAAATAAATGTGAATCAAAAGTAATCTGTGAGAAAAATAGCAATCTTTTTTGAAAATGTGTTGAAACTCTGTGCCCCAAAATGCTAGTGCCTACGTTGTTAATTGTATCAGTCCTCTTGGATATAGATGTTTTCCTGGACACACCAGCTCCACAACAATAAGCCAGTAAATGTAAGTTTGACCTGCTTGTTATTATTGGGAGCCCTAGGTATGTCAAAGGCTTTTCACCAAGCCAGGGTTATTAATCAAAGCTGACTCCCTCGTATTGATCAGACCTCAAATGGTTGGGTTCCATGCCACCCTGTTTATATATTGCTGTTTAATTTGCAGCCACCCTGTGTGCACTCTATCTAAGTGACAACGATTTTGAAATCCTGCCGCCAGATATTGGGAAGCTCACAAAGTTGCAGATAGTAAGTAAGTTATCTAAATTCTTAGAGAATCAATTCACTGCTGCAGCCTTGTAGGGGTAGAATCAAGTCAATCTGAGAAGGAGTCAGGTTTGTTTTGCAGGAATAAACCACTGCTTCTGATAGTGTTTCTTGATTATCTGCCGGCGCTTGTAAATAAATGGAAAGGACTGAGCTGTGGTAGAAGAGAGGACATGGAGGAAGATGAGAGTTTCTGTGGAGCACCTTTTAATGTGAAAATGTGTTGACAACTCCCTGTTTTCTTCTGTTTAGCTCAGCAATAGGGATAACAACCTGATCTCACTGCCTAAGGAAATCAGGGTGCTTACCCAGCTTAAAGAGCTCCACATTCAGGGGAACCGCCTCACTGTTCTACCCCCAGAATTAGGTAAGTTTGCTGATGAATGAACTTAGTTCTGGGTTTCATGAGTAACAATTATCCTAATGTAGCAATTCTGAACAACCTCTCTCCTCTTCTTGGCAACTGCTCTCCACCTAGACACCCAGTTCTGATCATTTGAGAACCATTTGTCATTGACCAGAGTTCAGCTGCTATAGGTTTGACCTTCCCCGATGCTGTGTTCTGCAGCTGTAGTCTCCCGTGTCTTAGAAACTGCTGATGAAAGATGACCCTGCTCAGCTCCCTGCATGATGTAGTGGAAAAAGCATGGGGTTAGTAGTAAGAGCCTTATGCATGGCTCCTCGTTGACTAGCTGGGTAAGCTTTCTGGGTCTTGGTTGTTATTGATAACTTTATCGAAGTATCACTCTTACTTTTTAACCCCTTACTTTTTTATTGACCTAGAAAAACTTTTAGCAAAGAATTAAAGTAGTTGTTATGGCTACTTGAAGATGTTGATACCTCTCCTGGTCGTGAATTTGCCTCTCTCCTGATCCCATTTCTAGTAGGAATTGTTAAATATGTTCTTGCTGGGAATGGGTCCTACTTCTGGCCACTGAATCCTAATCCTCTAACAAGTCATTCCTATTTCCGGAGTGGGTTTATGTCCCCCGCCAGAAGTAACCTCCAAGCCAGTCATTCTGTTACTGCTTCATTCCACTGCAAAAGGTTCCCAAGTTCCCTTATCTTTTCCTGTGCAGACCCTCAATAGCCTCTAATTTCTTTAATCCTTTGAACCACATTGTTTTCTCAAACTGCGGTTATTTGCTTTTCTGCCCCAAAATACCATCATTTTTAAGAAACACATTAAGGAAGCAGTTCTTTAAACAAGTCTGGCAGTTTGAAGAGGCCATTTGTTAGAAATTAGAATGCAAGCACCAGGAGGGCAGAGGCATTTTCGCATTTGTTCCCTGGGGTGCAGTACTTGCTCAGAAAACATTGACTGAATGAATGAAAGAAGCAAGGACCTTGGATGGCAAGAGGTTAGGAAGGTTATGAGCAGGCCGATGGGGCTAATGGTTACGCATAGGAAGACTGAGACACAGAGCACACCCATCAGCACTGAGAGTTCTGTTGGCAGCCTTATTAGTCTAAAGGGAAGGCAGTCACATGATTTCATGGAACAGATGGAAAGTCCCGCCTCCTCCCTTCCCATTTCCCTTAACTCTCTTGTTAGTGTTAAAAGACCAGAGGTTTATTTAATTATTTTTAAGGGCTGAGGAGCAACTCAACATTTCTCTTTATTGAGTTGCAAGCAGTCAAGTTTTGTTTTGGGAGCAGGGTTACAGAATCAAGAAACACTTTTTGCGAACAATTTCAAGGCAAAAAGCTTCTTGTCAAAGGAGAGATCTTGGGCTGGACACGGTGGCTCACACTTGTAATCTCAGCACTTTGGGAGGCCGAAGCGGGTGGGTTGCTTGAGCCCAGGAGTTTGAGACCAGCCTGGGCAACATGGTGAAACCCCATCTCTACAAAAAGTACAAAAAATTAGCTGGGCATTGTGGTGCATGCCTGTAGTCCCAGCTACTCAGGAGGCTGAGGTGAGAGGATCACCTAAGCCTGGGAGGTCAAAGCTGCGGTGAGCCATGATTGTGCCACTGCACTCCAGCCTGGGTGACAGAACAAGACCGTGTTGAAAGGGGGAAAAAAAAAAGAGAGATCTTGCACAGTGGTTAATAACCACAGGTGTTATCATTAGTAACAGCTGGGGAGCTTCTACAGAACTCAAACACTTGCTTCCTCCCCAGCCTACTAAATCAGGATCTCCATGTGTGAGGTGAATTCTTGTGTAACTTGGTGTAAAGCTCACTTAATGCCTCTGACATGTGTCCTTGGTTAGCGTGGTTAGTAGAAACAGAAAAATAAATGTATATTTTGATGTCATTTGATCTTATTTCATTTTTCAAGCAGTGAGGCAATGTAGGATATTAGATTAAACAATTATTTTATCAGACAGTAATTTGCCAGAAAAATGTCTAGTTGAACCTACACGTGCCTATGTATATATTTTAAAATGTTACTCATTTTGCTTATCTTATTTAAATACTATATGAGGTCATCTTTGTTCAACATTTCTGTTAAGCTTTCCATTAACAACTCATGTATATTTTTATTCAGGTGTAGAATTGAGGGGGAAGGCTTTAAATGACTTTATTTTTGCCAGCCATATGTAGAAAAGCTTAATCTTAACATTTGCCTGATAGCAGGTTTTCCTGATTATAGGCAAACACTTAGTTGTAAGTAAATGATAAACCTTTAGAAGTCACTGTCACGAGCTAAACTCAAGATGAAGACAAATGTACTATTTATTTTTGAATGGTGATTTTTTTTAAAAGTCAACATTAATATAATACTAATATAGTAACAGCTATTATAATAATAGGTAGTGTGTATTAAGGCCTGGAATTGCAAGGCACTAAGATAAGTGTTTTTCCTGCAATGTCGCCTACAATTATCATAAGAATTATAAGCAGACTTTTTAGAGGTGAGGACGTTGAGGTGTAGAGAGGGTTGGTTGGTGACATGTCTGTGGGGGACACAGCTAGTGAGTCACAGAGGTGAGATTTGAACCTGACAGTCCCTCCTCTGGGTCCAGCTTCCTCATCACGGTGTGGTCCTCTTTCCCACCCATATGCTGGTAAAAGGATTCCTAGAAATGCAGTTTTCAAGTTTGAACAAAACACAACCCTGGCACACCCCCCCAAAAAAAGCAGGCAGAGAGATGTTGCTGGATGGTGAGTTGGCATGGGCTTTGCTGGTGTGTGAGCAAGGCTAGCATAACACTTTGCAAAATGCAGCTGAGATGGCCTCTGGAAGACAAATTGCTGCCCCATTCCAAGTCAGTTGCATTGTCCCCATGTCTCTTTCCCCTCAACAAACATGACCCCCGATGGGAACGTCTTTTTTGTTTCTTTGTGTCCCCAACACCTGAGGTGACCATATGGATGCTGCTCTGGGCTGGCTGATGGGCAGTGCCGGGCACTGATGATGCACATGAAGTTTATGCTGCAGGTTTGCTTCTGGGGGTGTTTTAAAGCATGGATGATGATATCTCCCTGTATATTTTTTATGTATCTGAATATACAAGATAAATGCTTTTGAGATTTCTGTGAAATTTCCTTTCATAATAAATCCAGAGTTTATTAACTTGTAACCTTTTTGGTACTAATATTTCAGCCAAGCAAGAGAATCTAGATAAGTTCTGATTTGTCAGGTCTGAGAACATGCAGGGACACAGCAAAATAAAGTCAGGGGCTTAGCTGGAGTTTTAATATGTGACTGTATTACTTTCCCTTTATTGTGTGTCCTTGAATAAGCCACTTAAACCGTTATGTCTGATTTCTAAGTAGTAAAGCACTGCTTTCATATTAGTCTTTATACCTATCAAAAATGAGATGTAAGTTGAGTCTCTCCTGTACCCATTCATTCATTTATTTATTCAGGTTAAGTTCCTACTTTAGGGCAGATCTTTGAGTCCAAGGAAATTGCTTTTCCATTAAAGTAAGATTCACTTATTCAACAACTGTTTGTTGAGCCCCTGGTATTTGCTAAGGATTATGACAAGAGACAGAACACCCGTTATTGATGATGTTCTAGTGGGAGAGGACAGAAGAAAGAAAGAGAGAGAGAAAGAAAGAATATGAATGACAGACGTGTGATATTAAGAGCTCTGGGAAAAAATTGAGCATGGAAGGGAGTGTCCAGCTGGGGAAGGGGTAATCAGAGAAACCCTCACTCATAGGGTGGTTCCCTTTATGCAGAGACTTAAAGGAAGGAGGGAGGTCTCCTGACAGAGAGAACGGTAAGTGCAAATGTCCTGGATGGGCTTGTGCTGAGGAAGAGCAAGGCCGGGTACCTGGAACAGAGTGAGTGAAGGGGAAAGAGTTGTAACCAATGAGCTTATACAGGAAGTGGGGTCTGGTTCACATGGGAACTAGTAGGACATTGTCAGAACTTGGGCTTTTACTCTGTGTGAAATGGACACCCCCACAGATGCTCCCATCTTAATCACCAGAATATGAGAATCTGTATTGGTGAAACCCGCCCCCAATATTTCAACGTAGGTTCTTTCTATTTTCCATAAGTGTCGGCTGGCTGAGAAATAAAGAGAGACAGTATAAAGAGAGGAATTTTACAGCTGGGCCACCGGGGGTGACATCACATATCGGTAGGACTGTGATGCCCACCTGAGTCTCAGACCAGCAAGTTTTTATTAAGGGTTTCAAAAGGGGAGGGGGTGTAAGAACAGGGAGTAGGTACAAAGATCACATGCTTCAAAGGGCAAAAAGCAGAATTACTAATAGGGTCTAACAAAGATCACATGCTTTTGAGGGAACAGGACAAAAGGCAACAGCAGAACCACTGATAAGGGTCTATGTTCAGCGGTGCACGTATTGTCTTGATAAACATCTTAAACAACAGAAAACAGGGTTCAAGAGCAGAGAACCGGTCAGACCACAAATTTACCAGGGCGGAGATTTTCCCCACCCTAGTAAGCCTGAGGGTACTGCAGGAGACCAGGGCGTATCTCAGTCCTTATCTCAACAGCATAAGACAGACATTCCCAGAGCAGCCATTTATAGACCTCCCCCCAGGAATGCATTCCTTTCCCAGAGTATTAATAATAATATTCCTTGCTAGGAAAAGAATTTAGCGATATCTTCCCTACTTGCACATCCATTTATAGGCTCTTTGCAAGAAGAAAAATATGGCTCTTTTTGCCCAACCCCGCAGGCAGTCAGACCTTATGGTTGTCTTCCCTTGTTCCCTAAAAATCGCTGTTATTCTGTTCTTTTTCAAGGTGCACTGATTTCATACTCTTCAACCACACATGTTTTACAATCAATTTGTACAGTTAACACAATTATCACAGTGGTCCTGAGGTGACGTACATCCTCAGCTTACGAAGATAACAGGATTAAGAGATTAAAGACAGGCATAAGAAATTATAAAAGTATTATATGGGAACTGATAAATGTCCATATTAAAATGAAATCTTCACAATTTATGTTCCTCTGCCACAACTCCAGCTGGTCCCTCCGTTCGGGGTCCCTGAGTTCCCACAACAGAAGAGTTTTAGGATGTCTTCCATTAACCCTTATAACTAAGTGTTTTTTAGAAAAAAATGAAAGTTTAAGGAACTGTTTAGATTTTTTTCAAGAATATTTCATAGACAACATTATGTTTTTCTACCCAAACATTATTTCTAGTTGTCTTTCTTTTTGTGATATTAGCAGCTGTTTTGAATTATTTTGCCAACTTGGCAGCAACCACTACAGTTTTCTAAAACTAAGAAGCCTGTATTCTAGAACTCTCTTCCCTAAATGAATCCTCATAAAATTTGCAAATAGAGAAAATTCACACACAATTCCAAAGACAAAAGTAAAGCCGAAGTCACTGTGAGCAATTTTTGGCAGCCAGGCATGGAGACTTTCACAGCTTTTAACAAGTTTCTTCTCAGCAATTCTAGCATCCAGATATAGCCCCATCATAGACCTCGCATGAGCATGTACTTCATAATCCTGGTGAATACAGAAGTTTCCTGGACTCTTCATGAGCTGTTGCTTTCCCTCCTATATCAGTGTTTTCAGCTGAGGCCATTTGTGATTGTGTTTCTGACTTTCTGTAGGCAACCTGCCAAACCTTCATTTTTTTTTCTGCTTAGATGCACAAGAATGTAGGCACTAATTCTTATATTAAACTGTTTATTTCTATAATACTTAATTGGCTGTTTTCCTGGCTGAACCAAACCAAGAGCAGCAGGGATGATAACTTCCAAAACTGATTAAATTAGAGGTCAAGAAATTGAGCCATTTTAATTCTATTATTCTTCTTTCATATATTAAATAGAAAACTTTTGTAGATAGTTTTTCTTCATTATTTCTTTGGTTACCCTGAGGTACTGCTTGTAGAGAAAAGGTAGAATAAATATGGGATTCTTTCCCTTTATTTACCATTTTCTATTTATCAGTTACTTTTTTATTTACCAGTTTTCTAAGTAGTATTCTGCTTTCCTAAAATCCTAGAAAGCACTTGAAGAAATTAAAAATGGGTTGATTTTTTTTTCTTTTTTGAGAGAGAGTCTTGCTCTGTCGCCCAGGCTGGAGTGCAGTGGCAAGATCTCAGCTCACTGCAAGCTCCATCTCCCAGATTCACACCATTATCCTGCCTCAGCCTCCCAAGTAGCTGGGACTACAGGCACCCACCACCATGCTCAGCTAATTTTTTTGTATTTTTAGTAGAGATGGGGTTTCATCGTGTTAGGTAGGATGGTCTCGATCTCCTGACCTCATGATCTGCCTGCCTTTGCCTCCCAAAATGCTAGGATTATAGGTGTGAGCCACCATGCCTGGCCAAAAATGGGTTGATTTTTCAAAAATAAATGTTGGGAATTATTCTCCTGCCTCTTCTCAGTCTAATGAAATTTTTCTGTAAGATATTGCATTTTTAAGTACTCGAATTTTAATTTTTTTAAGTTTTTATCTCTACTGAGATTTCACACATGTTTACTCAATATTATTATTATTTCAGTCCTTGAGCATATCTATAATATAGTAGTATCCCCTTATTTGTGGCTTTACTTTCCTCACTTTCAGTCACCCACAGTCAAAAAATATTAAATATAAAACTCCAGAAGTAAACAGTTTATAAGTTTTAAGTCATGCATTGTTCTGAGAAATGTGATGCAACCTCCCGCCATTCTGCTGTATCCGGTTCAGGATGCGACATATCCCTTTGCTGGGCAGATCCACACTTCCTGCTTCCTGCTCATTAGACATTTGCAGCCATCTAAGTTATCAGATGGACCTAGCTTAGTGTAGCAGTGTTTGTGTTCAAGTAACCCTTATTTTATTTAGTAATGGTCC
Source organism: Homo sapiens (assembly GCF_000001405.40). Taxonomy (NCBI): domain Eukaryota; kingdom Metazoa; phylum Chordata; class Mammalia; order Primates; family Hominidae; genus Homo; species Homo sapiens. The sequence goes on from NC_000010.11 coordinate 42,744,034, forward strand.
CAATATGCAAGAGTAGTGATGCTGGCAATTCAGATATGCAAAAGAGAAACCTGAAAATGCTTTCAGTAACTGAAAAGCAGAAAGTTTTCCACTTAGTGAGGAAAAAAAATATGCTGAGGTCGCTAACAACTAGGGTAAGAATTAATCTTTTATTTGTAAAATTGTGGAAAAGGAAAAATAAATTATTGCTAGTTTTGCTTTTGTACCTCAAACTGCAAAAGCTACAGCCACAGTGTGTGGTAAGTGCTAAGGTAGGGTTTGGTATTATCCATGGTTTAAGAGATCCACGGAGGTCTTCCAAAGTACGCCCCACAGGTAAAGGGGGAGTACTGCAGTCTTTTAATGCTAATTCCAATATCTGGATGATGTATTTATTCTATTGACTGCATGCTTTAATATCATTATAAGCTTGATGATTTAAACATCAGGTGTGCACCTGCTCATTGCAGTCATCATCATCATCATCATCATCATCATCATTATTTTTGTTTGTTTGGGTTTTTTTGAGATGAATCTTGCTTTATGGCCCAGGCTGGACTGCAGTGGCATGATCAAAGCTCACTGCAGCCTCAGACTCCTGGGCTTAGGTGACCCTGCCACCTCAGCCTCTCAAGTAGCTGAGACTACAGGCACATGCTACCATGCCTGCCTAATTTTTTTGTTTTCTATTTTTGGCAGACAGAGGGTTTTACCATGTTGCCCAGCCTTGTCTTGAACATCTGGGCTAAAGCAATCCATCTGTTTTAGCTTCCCAAAGTGTTGGGCTTACAGGTGTGAACCACCATGGCTGGCTTGTGGTCATCATTATTATTGATGCTTATATTAGTTCATGTTTGGATAGTGGGACCTCCTTCAAGTTGCCTCTCAGATCCTATGGACATGATCCTGGGGGGTATAAACGTGCCCTTGCTTTCCAGTATGACAAGATGCTCTAGACTGATTTTGCACATTGCCTGCCTGCAGCCAGAAAGCAGCCATTTCTCCAAAAAGCTTTGGTTCCTTTTAGTGAGTGATGATATGGAGAATCCAAAGTTATGGCACCAAGGAGCTTTCTGCTTCTGTTTTGTTTAATGCTTCTAGGACTTTTCAGTGGATTAGTCTAAAAGATAAGTGCATTTTTTAATAAAAAATTATAATTTTTAAGTAAACCTTTCTGTTAACAGTCTTGATTAGAGGATTTTAATTATGCTTAGAGATAATACATCTGTATCTTCTTCTATTTCATTTGAAAAGCACCAGTTTTCAATGTCACACCCATAATGAGTCAGAGTCTAGCTCTGTCGCCCAGGCTGGAGTGCAGTGGTGTGATCTCAGCTCACTGCAACCTCCAACTCCCAGGTTCAAGCAATTCCCTACCTCAGCTTCCAGAGTAGCTGGGATTACAGGCACATGCCACCACACCTGGCTATTTTTTGTATGTTTAGTAGAGATGGAGTTTCACCATCTTGGCCAGGCTGGTCTTGAACTCCTGACCTTGTGATCCACCTGCCTCGGTCTCCCAAAGTGCTGGGATTACGGGCATGAGCCACTGCGCCCGGCCTTTTTTTTTTTTTTTTAAGACCCAGTCTCGCTCTGTTGCCCAGGCTGGAGTGCAGTGGCCTGATCTCGGCTCACTGCAACCTCTGCCTCCCAGGTTGAAGCAATTCTCTGCCTCAGCCTCCTTAGTAAATGGAATTACAGGTGCTTACCACCACGCCTGGCTAATTTTCTTTTTTTTTTTTTTTTTTTGAGACTGAATCTCACTCCGTTGCCCAGGCTGGAGGGCAGTCGCGTGATCTCGGCTCACTGCAACCTCCATCTCAAGTGATCCTCCCGCCTCCATCTCCTAAAGTACTGGGATTATAGGCATGAGCCATCACACCCAGTCAATATAACTTTATATTCACAAGGAAACAAAACAATTTGTTTGACTCGCTTTATAGCAATATTTGCTTTATTGTGATGGTCTGGAACCAAATCCACAATATCTTTGAGGTATGGCTGCACTTTCTAAGCATTTCCTGAGTCAGCCTACTTTTTCTCCATTTTATTGCCATTATTCTATCCATCTTTTTGTTTTCTTGTTGTTGTCTGGAAACAGAAAAGTGCTGTGTCGCCCAGGCTGGAGTGCCGTAGTACGATCATAGCTCACTGCCGCCTCGATCTCCTGTGTCCAAACTATCCTCTTGCCTCAGGCTTCTGAGTAGCTGAGGCTACAGATGCACGCTACCACACCTGGTTTTTGTTTTGTTTTGTTTTGTTTTGTTTTTGAGACAGAGTCTCGCTCTGTCGCCCAGGCTGGAGTGCAGTGGCGCGATCTCGGCTCACTGCAAGCTCCGCCTCCTGGGTTCACGCCATTCTCCTGCCTCAGCCTCCCGAGTAGCTGGGACTACAGGCGCCCGCCACCATGCCCGGCCAATTTTTTGTATTTTTAGTAGAGACGGCGTTTCATCGTGTTAACCAGGACAGTCTTGAGCTCCTGACCTCGTAATCCGCCCACCTCGGCCTCCCAAAGTGCTGGGATTACAGGCGTGAGCCGCCGCTCCCTGCCCGGCTCATTTTTAAAAAGACGTTTGTAGAGATGGGGTCTCATCATGTTGCCCAAGCTGATCTGGAACTCCTGGCCTCAAACAATCCTCCCGCCTCAGATTCCTGAGTAGCTAGGATCAATCCATTGCTGAAGAGTACATGGATGTTACTTTGCAGACTGTCAACCTGAATTCGTGTTTGCTTGACATTGCCTAATTATTAGTTTCAGTTTCAGCTTACCCACTTTTTGTCAGCAACATGCAGAAAAGACTGTGCCCTTTTTAGTGTATTGTATCAGGAAGCATCTCACATTGGTTTGTGCCGTTACTGGTGCGGTGACTACCAGCCACTTGGTTAAGATGGAGTTGGCCATATTTCTCCACTGCAAAATTACGCATTTTCCTTTTGTAATTAATAACTGTGTGTGAGAAAATTCTTTGAGATGAGGTATATATCTCATTCTTTGTCAAACTATAAGGTTTTTTTTAAGTGAAAGAAAATTTATTAAGAAACTAAAGGAATAAAAGAAAGGCTACTCCATAGGCAGAGCAGCGTCACTTTAAGGTTTTGCTGTCAACTGATTTTTGTCCAAATCAATAATTACTGCGATGATTGAAAAATGATTATTACTAAGTTTATTTTCATTGTCTCAAGTTCTGCCAAACTCTGGATCCAGGCTGTGTCAATAGGGTAGTGTGGTGCCTCCTATACCTGTCTCGGCCTCCTACAGTCCTTTTTATTTATTTTGTTTTTTATTATAGAGACAGGGTCTTACTATGCTGCCCAGACTGGTTTCAAACTCCTGGGCTCAAGCAATCTTCTTGCCTCAGTCTCCCAAAGTGCTGAGATTACAAGCGTGAGCCACCACACCCGGCCAAGTTCTTTACCATCTTCAGAAGGCTTAACTTGCACTTTCAGCAAAAGGATAGATTCCCAGGAAGACTGTGAGAGAGAGTTGGGGCCTAAGTTGATAATACCAAATACACTGAACTTGACTGTGTTCACCATGTTATGGCTCTAGAGAAATGAGAGTGCTAGTGAGGTTGGTGTCATTTTGTGTGTTTTCTGTACCTTGAAGTCCCTCAGAAATCTTGCCCCTGGTCTTCTTGTTCTAAGAACACAACAGTTTCTCTTTTTCTGTGGAGATGAAATATAGATCTTTGATTTTGGAACCAAATTTGGACTCTTGACTCTGGAGCACCAATTTCTTCAGCAAGTTGTTCTCTGGAATCAATCCCAGGGTATGGGTTTATCATAAATGCCTTGATGAGAGTGTGTAATTGAGAGGCGCTATAGGTGGTATGACACTGTCTGGCTTCTCTACTTTGAAATTCCACACCAGGTTGATCTTGCCCATGGCTGTGGCTTGAATCTAAAGTCAGGTTCTGGTCTTTTCTGGAATCTGTGCCTAGCTCTTCAATTCTGGGTGACAGAGCGAGACTCTGTCTCAAAAAAAAAAAAAAAAAAAAAAAAAAAAAGGCCAGGCGCGGTGGCTCATGCCTGTAATCCCAGCACTTTGGAAGATGGAGATGGAGGTGGGTGGATCATGAGGTCAGGAGTTCAAGACCAGCCTGGCCAAGATGGTGAAACTCCATCTCTACTAAAAATACAAAAAAATAGCCAGGTGTGGTGGTGTGTGCCTGTAATCCCAGCTACTCCGGAGGCTGAGGTAGGGAATTGCTTGAACCTGGGAGTTGGAGATTGCAGTGAGCTGAGATCATGCCACTGCACTCCAGCCTGGGCAACAGAGCTAGACTCTGCCTCATTATGGGTGTGACATTGAAAAGTGGTACTTTTCAAATGAAATAGAAGAAGATACAGATGTATTATCTCTAAGCATAATTAAAATCCTCTAATCAAGACTGTTAACAGAAAGGTTTACTTAAAAATTATACATTTTTATTAAAAATTTTAAAAATACACTTATCATTTAGACTAACCCACTGAAAAGTCTTAGAAGCATTAAACAAGCCTTCTGGACTCTTCTGTATTGATTTCTAAAGCAAGTTTTTGTTTCATAGCATAACCTGGGTAAGATTTTTGATTGGAGGTATTGATGAGGATTTTCAATTGATCTTCTGTGAATTTGGTGTGATTGCACCTATGATTTGCTGCTACCATCTTGTGTGAAGAGGTGTCTTTGGCCATGATGGAAGAGAGTCCTGGAGGCTGAGCTACTGTCTGGGAGACCACTTACAGCTCATTTTTAAAAAGAAAGGTTGCATATAATACAACATAATTTACAAATCTAAAGCTTATGGTTTTCTGGGCTTTGACAAATGAAAACACCTGTGCAACTTCAACCCTTACCAGGATATGCATGAGTTTCTACCTGAAATCACCAGTATTCTAACAAACAGCTTTGCGTTTTTTGAATTGTTCAGTGCCTGTGAGGATTCCTTACTGCAAGTTTATGAAAAATATATTCAGAAGGCATAGTCTACAATTACTGTTTGGGTAAGTGTTTTCATCAATTGTCTGAATATTTGCTGTGAATTTAAGTATGCTGATTTTTATGTAGTTATCCTCGGAGAAACATTGTGCCATTTTTCGTGTGGAAACCACTTGTAGAATAAACAGAGATTATTACCGCACGGAGTTGGTTGTGATGGGCACGTCTACCTGTGGCTGCCATTTGAGTGGAAGGTGGAATCCGACTCTGGATCATCGGCAGCCTGAGCTGGTACTGGGCTCACACTGACCCTGGGAGTGCTCTATGCGTGCTTCACCTTATGAGGGGTGCAGCAGGAACAAAAATAGAAAAGTGTGCTCTACTTTCACATGTTACCAAGGGACAGAGGATACCACCAAGGAATTAGAAAACTGTTAAGTGAGGATGTATTCTTCTTAATAGCCTTTCAAACAAGGAATTTGAAAACAAGATTCTACTCATCCCACACCAAAATGTAAACAGATATATTATTTTTTATATTCCCAGGATAATTTTGGTTTTACTTAAGCATCACTATTGCCCTGAAATGTCAAGTCAAGTGGAAAAATAAATGCGAATAATCCCACCACTAGCCTCCAGACTTGATGTTTATGTTATTTCCTTTTTAAAATGACCTTTAAAAAGTTATAAATTAGAAACGTGGAAAGTAGAATGGTTTCATGCAAGAAATACTGGAATAAGATCCCTGTTCTGGCCCCAAAGTCTTAGACAAGTCATTCAGCCTTTCTAAGCGTCAGTTCTCCCATCTGGAAAATGTGGGCATTCATCTCTATGGGAGCTTCTAGCTCTGTCAGTGAGTTTCTGAAACTTGCCCAGGAAGGAGCAGCCCTAGTCTGAGTGCATGCTGCCCCTGTGCTTGCCTTTTGCCTCCTTCTTATCCTCGAGGTAGCCTGCAGACTCCTCCTCATTCATCTCCTAAGCCAGTGCTATCTGACGGCAGGGAATATGTTTCCAATTCTGGTCACATCTGAAAGAAATTTTTCCTGGAAGATTACATCTATGACCTGCAAAGCTTTATGCTTCTCTCTGTATTCCAGATCTTGTGTTTTTTTTTTTTATATGGGAAAAGTTACAATTTTTTTTTTTTGAGACAGAGTTTCGCTCTTGTCACCCAGCTGGAGTCCAATGGCGTGATCTCAGCTCACTGCAACCTCTGCCTCCTGGGTTCAAGCGATTCTCCTGCCTCAGCCTCCTGAGTAGCTGGGATTACAGGCACCTGCCACCACGCCCAGCTATTTTTTGTATTTTTAGTAGACACGAGGTTTCATCATTTTGGCCGGGCTGGTCTCAAACTGCTGACCTCAGGTGATCCACCCACCTCAGCCTCCCAAAGTGCTGGGATTACAAGCGTGAGCCACCACACCTGGCACGATTATGTCTTTTTAAATGAGAAAAATTTCTTGAGATCATAAGGGAAAAAAAAAATCCCTAAGCCAAAGTAAGTCAACCAAGAAGAAAATGAAAATGAAAATGAAAAAAATATGTATTTTAAAGAAAGTAAAGTGGACATAGCAGTCACTCTGAAATCTGGGTATAGAACCACCTTCATCTCTAAAGTTTATATTTAGCCAACCACTATTCTAAGCAAGGTTGTGGTAGGAATACCTACCAACTATTGTAGGCCACATGTCACTTAAACAGGCAAAAAGTAAAGCAAAGCCATAATTGTGGTTTGATATTTTGGATATTCAATCTCATTTCAGTATTTGCATGGTCTCACATTTTGGAAACAAAATTGTGGTGATTTCACTTGTCTCTTCATATCATGATTATACTTAAAACTGAGAAACAAATGTAGACTAAAGAAGTAAACACTAAAGGGTGAGATCATGCAAGTTAAACAGATATGCTTTCTCAGGGGAAGGTCACTTACCCATCATGCGCTGATATATTTTTGTGAGCTTATATGGTTCTAGCGTATTTACAACTTGACTAACTTTACATGATTCACTGTGTACTGTAGAATATAATTAAATTGACATTTCCTGGTACAGAATAAATTTGCATATGAGCGAAACAAATGATGAGAATAAATAAGTCTGAGGCCATATAATTCCACTGGTTACCAATTTGTGTCTTCAGCTCTACACCAAAGCAAATATTACAACTCTGAACAAGCAAGCAGGCGAAGAATAGATTTGCTGTAACCTCAGATGTCAAAGAATGCATTTATCTCTGAAAACATTTGTATTTTTTTGTCACATTGTACTTTATTTAAAGGTGGCCACAGCATTAAAGTGTCAGTTCATTTTGTACAACCAGAAATGGAAAATGAGTCAGTCAAGCTGAAGCAGAAGTTTCTAACAAAGTCTAAGGCATAGTTCTATATAACTAATAATAAGGATACAATATTTGGCTTACTGAATTCCCAAACTGAGGTCACTAAAATTTAAGAATATCTACCAAAACTTAAGCGAAATCTCAGAGAAACTTTAAAAATAACATTTTATTTTTGATATTTCAAAATGTTTCAATCAATATTCTGAGCCTAAATGTGCAGGTGAGTGCTTTCTCCATCTTTGCACATGTGAAGTGCGCCTGAACCATAGCCCCATATTTCTCAAACACCATCACACTCATAGAACAGAAAGGAAAGGGTAGTTTCACCAGCTAGCCCCCACAAGCCACTCCCTGGGGTCCTCCCCAGCACCTGCTAAATTTGGGAGGCCTGATTTCAGGGGGGTGGATAATGAACTGGCAAAATAAACCCAAAAGAATCGTAATTACAAAGACCAACTCAGGTTCCAGTTAGACAGCCCATACCAGTGCTTTTGATGTTAGCTGCGGTTAAGGGGGCAGGAAAGGCTCCCACTCTATGGTCCGTGGCGTGGTCAGCTCAGCGCTGCCACCTTGGCGGGCTCCATCTCACCATGACCCTCTCAATCAGGCTGATGGTGTCTCCTTATGCCAAGTGGAAGGAACTTCAATCAAATTCTGACACGACCTGCAAATCCTCTCGGGCCCTGGGCTACTGGTTAGGCCAGTAGGGCTGTGTATCAACCGATTAAACCCATTAATAACTGGCAGCACAGCACGGCCTCCTTCTCAACAAATTACGATGCCGATCCCGGAATCAGCCATCCAGGCCCATGGTCTTTTGTCCTTAAGCTTTCAAAACGCCTCCCCTGCTTCATGCTTTCTAGTCTTGAGGACTTGGCTTCAGCGTGCTTCTGAATTGCCGCTCCCTCTGGTTGACAATTCTTTTTTTTTTTTTTTTTTTTTTAAGACGCGGTCTCACTCTTGTTGCCCAGGCTGGAGTGCGGTGGCGCGATCTCGGCTCACTACAACCTCCGCCTCCCGGATTCAAGCAATTCTGCTGCCTCAGACTCCTGAGTAGCTGGGATTACAGGCGCCCGCCACCACGCCCGGCTAATTTTTGTAGTTTTAGTAGAGACGGGGTTTCACCATGTTTAGGCAGGTTGGTGTCGACCTCCTGACCTCAAGCGATCTGCCCGCCTCAGCCACCCAAAGTGCTGGTATTACAGGCATGAGGTCCCGCGCCCGGCCGACAATTTACACTGTTCTCCAGTTGGGGCGGAGCGGGAGACACTATGGAGCCCACCTCTGCAAGAGGCAAGGCTTGGCGAAAGGCAGAGACCCCAACCATGGGAAGGTGCACTTTGGGCACCGAACTTTAGGGAAAGCGCTCTGGGTCAGGCGTCTCCTCCAGAGTGGTCAGTTTAGAGTTAAAAAGGCCGCCTTCAAAATAGTTTTAAAATCTATACATTTACCCAGACATACACATTTTTCGAGACAGGGTCTTGCTCTGTCTCCCAGGCTGGAGCGCAGTGGTGCGGTCGCAAGCCATCTTCCTGCTTCAGCCTCCCGAGGAGCTGGGACCACAGGCCCGCGCCACCACGCCGGGCTAATTTCATTTCGTTTCGTTTGTTTTATTTTCGTTTGTTTGTTTTGTAGGGATGGAGTCTGACTGTGTTGCCCAGGCTAGTCTTGAACCTCTGGGCTCAAGGGATCCTCCCTCCTCGGCCTCGCCAGGTGCTGGGGATTCAGGCTTGAGCCTCCACTCCCGGCCCTATTAATTATTCTTAATTAAAACATTTCAAGGACGCAGTGTTTGGGGCCAGCGCGGCGTTTGCAGTGGCTGCTCCAGCCTCGAGGCCGCAGGTCACCGCGCGGGCCCCGTGCCTACTGGCCCGGCAGTCCTGCGGGTCAGCTCAGGGGAGTGCTCTGGAGAGCCCTGAGCCCACCTCCTGCGCCCCGCCCAACCTCGGGTCCCCAGGCCCAGCCTCTGACACGCCGCTCCCAGCGCGGCCACGCCACAGCTCCGGGCTGCGCTCCCCCAGGCAAAGGCGCCGCCGGCGCGTCCAGCGCGGCCTCCTCCTCCAGGCGGCGCTTGTGAGTCAATGGAAAAGTCCTTGGCGAACTGAGCAGCCGCCTAGTATATCTCTGAAGCCTCCTGCGGAGACTTCACGGCTTGTCCCAGGAGCTTCTACAACAGCCTGGCATTGAGAGTAGAGTTGTAATATTTTCCGCCAGTTTTTCCCAGCCCGGCCCCGAAGCGTCTGATCTTAAAGTCCACGTATCAGACTCCGGGGGGCGTCCCTGCAAGAGCGCCAGGTCCCCGACACCCACCAGGGAATGAATCTGCGCCCAGGTCCCCGACACCCGCCAGGGAATGAATCTCCGTCCCAGGAGAAGGGCGTGGCGAGGGGAGAAGCAACAACCACAGGACCCGTGACAGTGGCCAAGCCTTAGAGGCCCCGCATGCCTGCCAGGCGCCCGAGCCCACGCAGTCCAGGTTTCCCCATCCGGGCGGGAACCAGCTGTTTCCCCTGCACGGGCGAGGGCGCTGGGGTCACCTCCGCCGACGCCAGGCGTGAGCTCCAGAACCCGCTCCCAACCGCCCGGTCCCGTGAGCGCGGGGAGCCTGGCTCTCGCCTGACAATAAAGAAATCATCACGGACAGAAGGAAAGAGGAGCGAGGCTGGGAAGGGAGCGGCTTTAATCCGGGGTCCGCCCCCTTCAATTCTCCAGCGCAGCGGCCCCGAAAGTGGGGTGGGGACGGGGATTGAGGCTGAGCTCGCTTCTTCCTTGTTTTCCGGGTCTCGCGCCTCTGAAGCGAACTGGGCCTGGAGGGGTGCTGGGGATCGAGGGAGCGGCGTTGGTGGGTGACCGAGGGAAAGGTGGGGCCAGCCCCTGGGCACCGGTCGGAGGAGGATTACGAGGCGGAGCCGCTGCCTGCCCGCGCCTCACCCGCTTGGTCCACCCAATAGCTCCGCTGTAGACTCGCGGCGGCAGGAGCGGCGGGCCAGATGGTGATTACAACCCGGGGCGCTATCCCTTTGGAACCTGACCCCCAACTCCGCTCAGTAACCGGATTTCCGGAAGCCGCGACCTCGAAGCCCCCAGCGTTTCTCCACCGACGGCGGGGCCGGGGCTCCTGGAAGCCTCGGAGCCGCAGCTCCAGCCTGCAGCGCACGCCTTGGCCCCCAGGGAGCAGAGAGGCAGAGTACCCCCCTGCATCCGGAGCATAGCAAGCATGCCCCAGGCTGAGGACCTGCGACTTGGTGGGACTTCGGTGCCCGCCCCTCCGCCACTACAGGGAGCAGAGGCGGCTCTGGAAGTCGGTTTAGTGCGGAGACCGCGACCGGAGGAGCGCAGAACGCTCCTCCCAGCGTCCTGGGCTCCGCAGGCACAATTTTTAAACCAGAGGCGAAATCCGAGTCCCGCCGCCCTCCGGGGAGGGAGCGTGGCCGCCTAGCCGAGCCCCTTCTCTGGCTCCGCCCGCTTTTGCGCCGCGAGGCCGCCTGGTGAGTTCCAGGGCCCTGTGGTCCCCCAGCCGCCGGCGCTCTCGGGTGTCTTTTGGCCGCGGCAGGAACGGAGCTGGGCGCTCAGACGGCGCCGGGGTCGTTTCTGTGCCCCCGCCCGGTGGCCGGAGCCGCAGCCTTGCCCCTTCCCCACTGGGGCAGCGCCTGCCTTTCTCGCGGCCGGACCGCGCCGGAGTCCCAGGCCCCAGGCAGCCCGGGCCGCAGCTGTCATGGAGAAGCCCGGCGCGTACTTGGGGTGCCCGGCAGGAGCCCCGGCCGCCTCGCGCCCTTCTTCTCACCCACGACTGTGGCCGGCGGCGGCCTCTGCTTCCCGGACAAAGCTGGAGATGCTGCTGCGGAGTCGGCCCTGGGACCTGCTTCTTCTCTTGGCTCCGGGGCCCGCAGCCGTCGGGGCCCGGAAGGGCTCCCCGGGGCGTTCCCTCAGGAGCGGTGGCCAGGGCTGATGGGGCGTGTACGACGCGGGACCCCGAGCCCGGCAGCAGCCAAGTATGGCAAGGACCAGCGCGAGCATCTCCCCACTGCGGCCGGGGACGGCGTGGGGTGGGAGCCGACCCGGGACATCCAGGTGGGATCGGCCACCGCTCAGGCGCTGTCCCAGGCGAACGCCGCCAGGGGCAGGCTCAGCACCGCCCAGGCCGCCGGCTCGGTGAGCGCAGAGAGGGGCCCCCGGTTTATGCCAAACGCGTGTCTTCTCCAACCTCCTCCTTAAGCCCCTGTCTCATAGGCTGGTTCCTGTCTCTCTCCAGTAGTTCCTGGGTGCCTGGGAGCAGAGACGGCCCATTCTCCCCAAGCTCAGCTGCAGGCTTCAGTGACCTGGGCAAAGTGCGGTTAACCCTGACCACCTTTTGGGGAGGAAGGCCGGTTGCTCCCCTAGCCTCCACTGTGGCACTAGGAGGCAAGGGTAGCCAAGCTGATCGCCGGTTTCATCTGTACCCACCCCCACCCCCACAGGTGTTGAGATGGGCAGTGACAGGTGGGTTGGCAGCCGGACTGGAGTGGCATGGCTAACTGCCCTGGGCACCATATTCCCTGCCTGTCACCACTCCTGGCTGCCCAAGTAGCAAAGCAAAGTTACAATGACAAGATCCAGAGAGGGGAGGCTCCAGCTGGAGATGGCGCTGCTGTCACAGGCCACCTGAGCAACAATGTGACAGCTTCTCATGGGGGCGGGATCTGTCCCCAGTCCCTACCCCGCCCTGGCTTGATCCTTGTCGGTGTCTATTTCTTTGCCTTGCTCTTATCTCAGCCTGGCTTCCCTTCCAGGATGTCAGCTCTGAGTGTCTCTTGGTCCACGCTTGTCTCCATCTCTCCTTTCTCTTCCCCACTCCCTAAACTCAGGACCCAGTCACTCCTGCTCCTTACACACATACACACCCACACTAACATACATGCACTCTCACATTCACTCTCGTTCCCCCCCCACACACACACTCCCACCCTACCTTAGACAGGAAACAAGTTTCCCTCCCAGAACCCTTATAAAGACCTGTGGGGAATGACCGGGATCTGGGCCCCCCGTAGGTCTGTGAGTGAGCCTGTGTGTGTGCAAAGGTGTGAGCCTGTGAGCATCCATGTGGCTGTGGAATTTAGAAAGCATGTGTGTACACACGTGAGTGTGACAGTGAATTGTTGAGAGTTGAAACTGTACATTTGGGGTCAGTGTGGTCTTGGTCATGTGGGCACACAGGTGAGCTCCGGCTAGGGTGGAGGGATGTGAGTGACTCGGAGTGTGGAAGCTGAGCCCAGGGCAGATGGACAAATACATCCTTTGAGCTCCTATGGAGGCTGCCACCCCATACCTTGCTCACCTACTCCCTCTTTGTCATCCTGGGTTCCGTCAAATCAGGATGGGGTGCAGGAAGGGGGAGTGAAGCTGCTGACCTCTGGGAAGGGGCCTGCACGCTCCTTGGGCCTGTCAGCCACTGATCTGTTCCATGTTCCTATAAATACTTAAAAATCCTAGCTGCTGAGGAGGAAGACATCCTCCACCAGCCAGCTGGGGGTCCTGGCCTGGAAGCTGGTGGGGAGGGAGCTAGGGAGCAAGACACATGGGGGAGGGGAGGGGGGATCGCATCAGCGAGGCTGGCATCAGGGACTCCTGAGTTCCGCTCCTAGTTTTGCCAAAGGTTAGCCTGGGTGCCCCAGTATGTCTTCATCAGGAACTGCAGAGCCAGAAATACCATCTATGCCTCTGTCCCAGGAAGCAGCCCTACCTCTGCCTGAAGAGAGAGACTCCCCCGTCAACAGCCAGCTTTCTGCCTTCTAGTCACGTCTCTCAAGTAGGGGTAAAGAGAGGGGTATTCTTGCTTTTTTTGTAGTGGGGAGCGTCTCACTGTATTGCCCAGGCTGTTCTCTAACTCCTAGCCTCAAGTGATCCTCCTGCCTGTAGCTCCCAAAGCACAACAATTACAGGTGTGAGCTGCCACACCCAGCAGCTTCTTACTCTTTAAACGCCAGACAAAATTCTTCTGGAGTTCCTGGAGGGGATTGTCTCTTTGAACTGAAAATCTTTCCCAGGACACCTTTATCAATCCATCAGGCTCTTTCTGGATTGGAGACAGAAGAAACTGCAGTTCAATGACCCCCTTTGCAAGAGCCCCCTCTGCAGCCGTTGAGGGGAGCGAAAGCATTTTCATCTGGCCTCACCCCCATCTGCAGCCAGCTCTTTCACTTCTGGAGCTGGGCTTGTTGTGATAACCTGGAAGAGGGGGAATTAGTTGGGATGACTCACTTGCTGGAGCCCATCAACACTAGACCAGGCTTGTGGCCAGATGCCTGGTTAACCAGCCCAGGAGAGCTTCCTTTCTCAGGAAGAGAATGATTATTGATCCTCTATACCCATTGCCCAGGACAGTGTCAGGCACACTATAGGCCCTTGGGCATTTGTGTGGCATCATCAGCATTACGCCTGTATCACCAAGTCAAGCTTTCCCAATAGCAGTTGGTGGCAAACTCCAACTCCTAGTGTCAGAAGGCATCACAAAGCCCAGATGTCCTGGGCCTCCCAGCTCAGGCAAGCCTAGCGTGGACACAGAAACCCTTGACACTGAGCCAATATCTCTTCCCCCTGTATGGCTTGAATTTCAGATATATTGATGTTGAGCCCTTCTGGCCGGCAGTGGGACTCCCCTTGGCCTTACATAGGTAATGCCTATATCCTGGCCTGGGCTTTTCCAAGAAGCCAGACTCTGGGAAGGACCTGGAGTGGAGGAAAAAACAGGCAGAGGGAACCCCATGAGGGGTTCTGGCTGTGGAAACTTGCCCCTAATGGGGCATCAAAGCCAGGCACGCAGGGGCTCCTGCTCTGCCAGAGGTTTGAAGTCAGGACTACAGCTTCCCATCTTACTCTTGGGATACAAATCAGCTGTTTTCAGATGAGAGAGTCTGAGGTTCCAATTTTATAAGATGAGAAGGGCTGAGGTGATGCCCATTGTGCCACTTGGCTGAGTCCAGAGCTGTGATGAAGAGGGAAAAGTCACAGGGCAGGACAAAGAAGGGGACTCAGGGACCCGGGAGTTTTCCTTGGCAGAAGTCAACTTGCCCCACCCCTGAGAAAACTCTGACCTTCTCAGCTGCCAGGGAGGAAAGCAGGGACTGGGGAGAAGGGGACAGGGAGAGGGAACAGTCTGGTGCTCTGCGCCCTGGGAGAGAAGTCTGATGACAGCAGTGACTCAGGAAGGGTTAAGAATATTCCTAAAATAGCCAAGCCACAGCTTAAGCCAGTCCATGAATGCCTCTTCCAGAGAGCAGATCTGTAGCAGGAAAAGTCAGCCTGATCTTTGCCCCACTGCCTGCTGCCTGGCCCTGGCTGCTAATTAAGCCTCCCACCCTGTCCCCTTCACCAACTCCTGTCCTAATGGCGATGGGGTAGGAGTAGTCAGAGGAGCCAAATCTCCCAGATCAACAGAGAACTCCAGCTGGGACCAGGAGCACTGGGCCCAATGCCTCCCCTCCCCCATCCACACTCCTGAGTCAGGTAGAGGACATAGGGGGACAGACAGGCAAAGTGCAGGCCTTCTGCATGGGATGGAGGCTGCCAGGAGAGAGCAACCAAATTCTCCCACCCACACATATGCATCGCCAGCCATGATCAGGTGGGACCTCCAAGATCATCATCAACTACTACCTTCTCCTAGCTCTTTGTTCCCTTTTACTTAGGGCATCTTGGAGTGAGATGCACAGGGAAGGGTCGAGGGAGCCCCTTCATGAACAAACCATATCTTTGTTTCAGGGGCAGGACTGGGTACATAATTTGCAGGACCCGGTGTGAACTGAAAATGGAGTCATTTGTTCAAAAAATGTTAAGAATTTGAAGGCAGTGACAACATAGCATTAAACCAAGTTCAGGTCCCCTCTGAATGTGGGGCTTTTGCCATTGCACAGGTGGCACCTCTATGAAGCCAGCCTTGTTTAGGGGTTTCGTTTAATGAACATTTACTAAGTGCCCACTGCTCAGCTCTTCTGGCTCTGTAATATGGTCTGGCTCTGTGTCTGCACCCAAATGTCATTTTGAATTGTAATCCCCTCGTTTTGGGGGAGAGACCTCATGGGAGGTGATTACTTCATGGGAGTGGTTCCCACGTGCTCGTCTCGTGAAAGTGAATGAGTTCTCACGAGATCTGATGGTTTTATAAGTGACCTTTCCCCTCTTCGTTTTGCACTTCTCTCTCCTGCTGCCACATGAAGAAGGACATGTTTGCTTCCCCTTCCACCGTGATTGTAAATTTCCTGAGGCCTCCCCAGCCATGTGGAACTGTGACTCAATTAAACTTCTTTCCTTTATAAATCACCCAGTCTTGGGTGTTTCTTCACGGCAGTGTGAAAGTGAACTAATACACTCTGTGACCTCAGAGACTCCCTCTCAGTGACCCTGTTCTCAAATGAATGAAGATGGGTGCTCAAAGATCTCTCTCTAAACATGGAACGGGGGCTATCTGAAGACACAGGTGATTAATTTCTAATCATAACTAAGGTCTGAGTCTTGAAGACCTTCCTCTGGAGCCTCATTAAATTTAGTTAATCTAGATGGGTCCAGGTGCTGCAGGTAATTACCCTTGTCTTGTCTCTTGCAAAATCATGGAGGTTTGGAGAGTTCTTTTAGACCCCCTCTCACATGGAGGTTTGTTTTCTTCTTTTTTCTTTCCTGCAAGGACAAAGTGAATTCTGTGATGGTTTGTGTAGCGTTTTTTAGTTTATTGCCAAAAATTGAGGCTCAAGTTAGTAGACTACATTTTTAAATGAAACTTTCTAGACAAAGAAATGCAGCTGAAACTGTTCCTTTGATACCAGTTTCCAAATCTGCACAGAGTTGATAGCAATTTTTTCTCTTTATCTTTCCCTGAATTGTATATATTCATATAAATGCTCTTAAATTATTAGTGCAACAGGGTGGATTGTCATTACAGAGAACGTCCTTAGTATAGAACATAAATCTTCCCACTGCCAACTGGGCTCTGGTCACAAAGCACCCAGAGCTGGCCTTTAACTTCCACTTCTTGATTCTTTTCCTTACCTTTTCTATTTCTAGAATGGCTTTGTCATTTCACTTGTCTGTCTGGTAATATCCTCCTCCTGTAAGAATCAACGAGTTCTTGATACATATTGGTCTAAATTTGCCTCCTGTTTGAACCTTTTTCCAGTTTTCCAGGCAAGGTTGATTTATCTGTCTTCTGTGTCTCCATAACAATCTTTCCAAGCATAATACAGTAAAAAGAGAGCTGATTCATCATGTCCTCTCCGTTTCCCTCTGGAGACTTGGGAGCTGATGTGAGGGTACAGGTATGTCCCTGTATAAGCTCTTTGGTCGCCTTTGTCAGTTTAGCACAGTTCTCGGTATATAATTGTTCTCAGGTGCCATTAAACTGGACCTGAATAACTGAAGGATCGAAAGTGTTCAGGAATCACCCAGGATGCTTCAATAATTCATCCTAATTAGGGATATGGGGAAACTGCATGAGAAAGAAGTTTTTTTTTTTTGAACTTTGAGGATAAATTAAAATTCAGTAGGCAGAATGATAATATATGTTGATAATTTTTATTTTAAAATGTTCATTTTTACCATTTTGATATAATAGTTTATTTTTTAAGAAAAAGGCAGAAACCCCTGCTTATTAGAAGGCAGATTTTATTGATTTTTTACCCCTAGACTTGTTGCATATCAAACCTATATAAAAATATCTATAAATCAAATCATTAATTGTGCCTCGTATAATAATTCTATATATGGATGTAATGTTTGATTCTTCAGGAGCTTTAATAACTTGAAGGCGCTTTGATTGCTTTAAAATTATTTCTCATTGTATTTGTTTATATTGTATCGTTAAGCAAAAGTACAGAGTAAGCAATTAGTGTGATTAATTCCTCTTCTATAATACAGTAAAGCACTGCCTCCCTAGACCAATTCTCTGGGATCCCTGGAAGACATCTGGCATCCAGCAAGTCTTTACCCCTCTTTAGAAAGCCGTGGAGAAACTGGGGGCAATTCTGTTACTTATTTGCCCTCTAGAGGCAATTCCATTAATTACCCTCCCTCACCTATCCATGGCACTATTTCTTCAGTTACATGTAGAATGCTGTTATGTGTCTCCTGGCCAGACCCTTTATTTCACAGATGTGGAAATTGAGGCCATGAAGGATGAGGTAATTGTTCAGAGTCCACATGACTAGTTACTGCCCAGAGCCTGGCCTGGACTTCTCTCTTGTTCTGAGGCCTTGAGTTCTCTCCCTCTTCTTTAGTGCATATGACCAGAGGTAACATAATCTGCGTACCAGATGGTTATTTTCCATCTTTTTTTGTTTGCATTATAATAGCCATTTTAATGGGTATGAAGCTGTACCTCACTGTGGTCTTGCTTTCCATTTCCCGTATGACTTGTGATATTGTCTGCACATATTTTAATGTTTATACACTAACAGAGCTGATTACTAGGGGTGTGTGCGTAAGGGGAACTGTGTGGCTGCTGAGTGGCTTCCCTGTGGGATGATCAGCCAGAACCCGCTATTGTATTAGGGGAATCCCCAGATGTCACCGTCTATGGGTCTTTTTCAGTTTTTATGGGTACATAGTAGGCATATATATTTATGGGGTACATGAGATATTTTGATACAAACATACAATGCATAATAATGACATCAGGGTAAATGGGATATCCATCATCTCAAACATTTATCATTTCTTTGTATTATAAACAATTCAGTTATACGCAGTTATTTTAAAATGTACAAAAAAACTATTGTAGTTACCCTGTTGTGCTATCAAATAATAGATCTTATTCATTGTAACTGTATTTTGTACCTATTAACTATCCCCACTTCCCCCCACCGACTGCACTTCCCAGCCTCAAGTAACAACCATTCTACTGTATCTTCATGAGTTTAATTGTTTTAATGTTTAGCTCCCCAAAATGAGTGTGAATGTGCAAAGCTTTTCTTTCTGTGGCTGGCTTATTTCACTTAAAATAATGTCGTCCGGCACCAGTCCATGTTGTCACTAATGACAAAATCTCATTCTTTGTTATGGCTGAATAGTACTCCATTGTATATATGCACATTTTCTTTATCCATTCATCTGTTGGTGGACACTTAGGTTGCTTCCACATCTTGGATATTGTGAATAGTAATGCAATAAACATAGGAGTGCAGCTATCTCTTCGATATATTTATTTTCTTTTTTGTGTATATATCTAGCAATGAGATGGTTGGATCATATGGTAGCTCTATTTTTAGTTTTTTGAGGAACCTCCAAATTGTTCTCCATAGTGGTTGCACTAATTTACATTCCCACCAACAGTATGCAAGGGTTCACATTTTTCCATATCCTCACCAGCATTTGTTATTGCCTGTCTTTTGAATAAAACCCATTTTAACTGGGGTGAGATGATATATCCTCATAGCTCTGATTTGCATTTCTCTGATAATCAGTGATGTTGGTCACCTTTTCCTAAGTCTATTAGCTTTTTGTATTTCTTCTCTGAGAAATGTCTATTAAGACCTTTTGCCCATTTTAAAATCAGATTATTAGATTTTTCTCTATACAGTTGTTTTAGCTTTTTATATATTGTGGTTATTAATCCCTTGTCAAATGGACAGTTTGCAAATATGTTTCCCCATTTTGTGGATTTTCTCTTTGTTGATTGTCTCTTTTGCTGTGCAGAAGCTTTTTAACTTAATGAGATCCCATTTGTCCTCTTTTGCTTTGGTTGCCTGTGCTTGTGGAGTATTGCTTAAGAAATCTTTCCCCAGTCTAATGTCCTGGAGAATTTCCCCAGTGTTTTCTTGTAGTAGTTCAACCTACCAAGATTGAACCATGAAGAAATTCAAAACCTGAACCAACCAATAACAAATAATGAGATCAAAGCCTTAATAAAAAGTATTAACAAAGAAAATCCTGGAAGCAATAGCTTCACTGCTGTATTTTACCAAATATTTACAGAAGAACTAATACCAATCCTATTCAAACTATTCCAAAAAATAGAGGAGGGAGAAATATTTCAATGCCTGATACTTAAATCAAAGACACATTAAAAAAGAAAACTACAGGCCAATATCCCTAAGGAAAATTGATGCAAAAATCCTCAAGAAAATTTACAGGCAAAACAAAGTCCACAACATATTGAAAATTATTCATAATGACCAAGTGGAATTTATGCCAAGAATGGAAGGATGGTTCAACATAACACAAATCAATGTGATCATCATATCAACAAATGAAGGACAAAATTCATAATAATGTGAATTGATGCTGTAAAGCATTTGATAAAATTCAACATTTTATTGTAAAAACCCTTAAAAAAACAGGGTATAGAAGAAACATACCTCAACACAATAAAAGCCATGTAAGACACACCCACAAGTAGTTTCTTACTGAATGGGAAAAAAACTGAAAGCCTTTACTCTAAGATCTGGAACAAGAGATGCCCACTTTCACCACTCTGCCTCCTGAGTTCAAGTGATTCTCCTGCCTCAGCCCCTCCCAAGTAGCTGGGACTACAGGCACATGCCACCACACCTGACTAATTTGTGTGTGTGTGTGTATTTTTAGTAGAGATCGGGTTTTACCGTGTTAGCCAGAATGGTCTCAATCTCCTGACCTTGTGATCCGCCTGCCTCAGCCTCCCAGAGTGCTGGGATTACAGGCATAAGCCACTGCGCCTGGCCCTTCCTGTCTTCTTCTAAGCTCTCCAAACTGTTCCAACCTCTGCCCATTACCCACTTCCAAAGCTGCTTCCACATTTTCAGGTATCTTTATAGTAATGCTCTACTTCCCAGTACCAATTTTCTGTATTAGTCTGTTCTTGCACCGCTATAAAGAACTACCTGAGACTGGGTAATTTATAAAGAAAAGAGGTTTAATTGGCTCACAATTCTTCAGGCTGCACAAGAAGCATGGCTGAGGAAGCCTCAGGAAACTTACAATCATGGCAGAAGGTGAAGAGGGAGGTGGCACGTCTTACATGGCTGGAGCAGGAGGAAGAGAGAGCAAAAGGGGGGAGGTGCTACATACTTTTAAACAATCAGATCTGGTGAGAACTCACTATCACAAGAATGGCAAGGGAGAAATACTCCACCATGATCCTATCACCTCCCCCAAGACCCTCCTCCTACACTGGGGATTACAATTAAACATGAGATTTGAGTGGGGACACAAATCTACACCATTTTCATAAGGTTAATATTAAAAATTATTTGCTTTCCTATATGCTAGCAATGAAAAAAATTGGAATTTGAAATTTCAAATGCAATGCTATTTACATGAGTACCCCCAAAATGAAATATGTAGGCATAAAGTAAACAAAATATGTACAAGATCTATATGAGGAAAACTTCAAAACTTTGATGAAAGAAATCAAAGAAAACCTAAATAAATCGATAGATATTTCATGTGCAAGGATAGCAAGACTCAGTATTGTTAAGACGTTAATACTCCCCTTCTTGATCTATAGATTCAACACAATTCCAATCAAAATTCTAGCAGGTTATTTTGTGGATATCAACACATTTATTCTAAAGCTTACATGAAGAGGCAAAAGACTCAGAGTAGTCAAAATGCTGAAGAATGACAACTCAGAGGACTGACACTACCCAACTTTAAGACTTACTATCCAGCTAAATAATTGAGATAACATGGCATTAGTGAAAGAACAGGCAGATTGATCAGTGGTTCCAAAGAGTGAGCCCAGAAATTGACCTAGGCAAATATAGTCAGCTGAGCTTTGACAAAGAAGCAAAGGCAATTAAATGAAGGAATATAGTCTCTTCAACAAGTGGTGCTTAAAAACTGAACATCCATGTACAAAAAAAAAAAGAATCTAAGCTCAGACTTTACACCCTTCTCAAAAATTAAAACTCAAAATGGATCAAAGATCTAAATGTAGAATGCAGAATCACAAAGGACAGAAAACCAAACACCGCATGTTCTCACTCATAGGTGGGAATTGAACAATGAGAACGCTTGGACACCAGGGACGGGGAACATCACACACCGGGGCCTGTCATGGGGTGGGGGGATGGGGGAGAGATAGCATTAGCAGAGATGCCTAATGTAAATGACGAGTTAATGGGTGCAGCAAACCAACATGGCACATGTATACATATGTAACAAACCTGCACATTGTGCACATGTACCCTAGAACTTAAAGTATAATAATAATTTAAAAAAATCTAGAAGATCAAAGGAGAAAATCCAGGTGGCCTTGGGTTTGGTGATGTGTTTTCAGATACAGCTAAGGGCAGGTGCAGTGGCTTACACCTGTAATCCCAGCACTTTGGGAAGCCGAGGCGGGCAGATAGCTAGAACTCAGGAGTTTGAGGCCAGCCTGGGCAACATGGTGAAACCTCATCTCTACCAAAAATACAAAAAATTAGCAGGTGTGGTGGTACGCATCTGTGGTGCCAGCTACTTGGGAGGCTAATGGGGGAGCATTGCTTGAGCCTGGGAGGCAGAGGTTGCAGTGAGCTGAGATTGTGCCATGGCACTCTAGCCTGTGTGACAGAGTGAGACTCCATCTCTAAATAAATAAATAAGACACAACCAAAAGCACAATGCATGAAAGAAAAAAATTGGTAAGTTGGACTTTATTAAAGTTAAAAACTGTTATGAGAATGAAGATGGGAGCAAGAGATGGGGAAAATATTTCCAAAATACATATTTAATAAAGGACTTGTATCCAAAATATACAAGTCTTTTAAAACTCAACAATAAGAAAATGAGCAACATGATTAAAAAATACCAAAAGAGGCCGGGCGCGGTAGCTCACGCCTGTAATCCCAGCACTTTGGGAGACTGAGGTGGGCAGATCACAAGGTCAGGAGTTCGAGACCAGCCTGGCCAATATGGTGAAACCCCATCTCTACTAAAAATACAAAAATTAGCCAGGCATGGTGGGGCATGCCTGTCATCCCAGCTACTTGGGAGGCTGAGGCAGAAGAATTGCTTGAACCCAGGAGGCAGAGGTTGCAGATCGCACCACTGCAGTCCAGCCTGGTCAACATAGTGAGACTCCATCAAAAAAAAAAAGAAGAAAGAAAGAAAGAAAGAAAGAAAGAAAGAAAGAGAGAGAGAGAGAGAGAGAGAGAAGAGAAGAGAAGAGAAGAGAAGAGAAGAGAAGAGAAGAGAAGAGAAGAGAAGAGAAGAGAAGAGAAGAGAAGAGAAGAGAAGGGAAGAGCTACTTGGGCTGAACTAGGACGGTCGCTTGAGCCTGGGAGTTTGAGGCTGCAAGGGAGCCTTGATTGCACCACTGGGTGACAGAATGAGAACTGGTCTCAAAAAAAAAAAAAAGAAAAAAAAGAGAAATGAGCTATCAAACAATGAAAAGACATAGAGGATATCCAAATGCATATTGCTAGGGGAAAGAAGCCAGTCTGAAAAGGTTATATATAGTACAGATCCAACTATATAACATTCTGGAAAAGGCAAAACTATAGAGATGGTAGAAAGATCAGGGGTTGCCAGAAATTTTGGGGGAGGGGGATAGATGAGTGAAGTACAGGGGATTTTTAGGGTGGCAAGATTATTCTATATGAAATTGTAAAGGCGGATACCTTTATGCATTTGTCAAAACTCAGAGAATTGTACAACAGAGTGAACCTTAATGTGAAGTATAGACGATAGTTATTTATAATGTGTCAATAATGGTTCATTCATTTTAACATATGTACCACCACAATCCAAGACGTTAACAATAGAGGAAACAGGCAGGGAAGTGGGGTGAGCAGATGGAATTCTGTACCACATGCTGGACTGGTCTGTAAATCTAAAACTGGACTAAAATATGAAGCATTTGACTGCTTAAAATACTCAGCTGATGAGCTCAACAATAGAATGGAGGTAACAAGAAAAGAATTGGTAAACTCGAAGATAGAGCAATATGAACAATGGAGAGAAAACAGGCTGTAAAAACGAACTTCAGGACCTGTGGGATCCACATGGAATACCTGACATTCCTGCCATTGCAGTCACAGAAGGAGAGTACAAAGAGGTGGTCCTCGAAACATATTTGAAGAAATCATGACCAAAAACTTACCAACTCTGGCAAAAGACAAAGCTATAGACTTAAGAAGCTTAGCTTAGTGACCACCAAACAGGATGAACACAAAGACATTCCAAGGGACATCATAGTTGAACTTCTGTAAACTTAAAGGCAAATAAAAAGTCTTGAAAGCTGTGAGAAAGAAATGACACCTCATCTATAAAGGGAAAACATCACAAGTGACAATAGATTTCTCATATGGAACTCTGAAGGCCAGAAGGAAGTGGCACATTTTTCCCCTTATTGAAAGAAAAAAAACCCCATCAAACAAAAATGCCCTGCAAGAATGGACAAATGGGCATTCTCAGATGAAGGAAAACTAAGAGAATTTGTCGCTAACAAACGCTCTCTTAAGAGTGGCTAAGCAGGCCGGGTGGTGGCTCATGCCGGTAATCCCAGCACTTTGGGAGGCCGAGGAGGGAGGATTGCTGGAGCCCAGGAGTTCAAGACCAGCCTGGGCGATGTAGCAAGACCCCATCTCTACTATTAAGAAAAAAGAAAATTAGCTGGGCGGTGGTGGACCGCACCTGTGGTCCAAACTACTCAGGAGGCTTAAGTGGGAGAATCACTTGAGCCCAGGAGTTTGAAGCTGCAGTGAGCCGAGATCTCATTACTGCACTCCAGCCTGGGCAGCAGAGCGAGATCCTATCTCAAAGGGAAAAAAAAGAAAAAAACAACAAACAATGGCTAAGCACAGTCGGCCGGGACCAGAGAATCTGGCTTCCTAAACCAAGAAGGCGGGCCAGCCCAGGACAGGCGGTGGGGAAGAGGCGCTGCCCAGGCAGGCGTCTCCCAGCAGGGCCGCCTGCGGGCGTCCATCCTCTGCGAGGCCCTTTGCCGGCCAATCGCGTGCTGTGGGGACCACAGAAGTCCCTCTCTGCTTGAGTGAGTGAACGCTACCAGCAACTGGTCTCCGTCCTCCAAAGCTGAGATGAGAGCCTCACAGCAAAAGCAGCAGCGTTAGCCCGTACATTTATTTAACGGAAGAGTTATTTATAGCAATGCACCAAAAACAAGCAGGTTGGTACTTTTTTTTTTTTTTTTTTTTTTTTTTTTTTTTTTTTTTTTTTTAGGTGGAGTCTTGTTCTGTCGCCAGGCTGGAGTGCAGTGGCGCGATCTCAGCTCACTGCAACCTCCGCCTCCCAGGTTCAAGCGATTCTCCTGCCTCAGCCTCCCAAGTAGCTGGGACTACAGGCGCCCGCCACCGTACCTGGCTAATTTTTTGTATTTTCAGTAGAGACGTGGTTTCGCCATGTTGGCCAAGATGGTCTCGATCTCTTGACCTCATGATCCACCCACCTCCGCCTCCCAAAGTGCTGGGATTACAGGACGCTGCAGGTTCAAGGCCAAGGCACTGGCCAGCCTTACGCCCGCGAGCTGGACCCGGCCCAGTCCTTGTTAGTCCTCAGCTCCTTCCCCGCCTCAGGAAAGTCGCGTCCTGGTCAGGAGGACCTGCCGACTGGTCTGCGCCCAGCTGCAGGTTGGTCCTTTCTGCTGCTGTTGTTGCTGCGGTCTCACCCAGAGTTGCCTCTCCTCGCCCCTGACAGAGCAGGGGCATCTCCATCTTGTACAAGCACCGCCATCTTAAAGTTCCCCTTGATCAAAAACTGCCTAAATCTAAAGGTCATCAGCCTGATGGCTACGGTCAGCATGACCATAAACCACAAATGACATCTCTGACCAGAAACATTGCAACCCTAAGATAAACCCCTCTCCGACCAGAGACATGCCAGCCCTGAGATAACATCCCCTCCCGCGGGAGACATTCCAACCCTGCCATAAACTTCTCCCCCACACAGAAACACTTCAAATCTGTGATAAGCTCTCTCACCCTAAAACACTCCTAGTCTGTAAGACAGAATGCTCCTGACAGAAATAGGCTAGAAGCCCCTCAGGTTTATTCTCCAAAATAAACCTGTCTTTGACTGTTGAGCCACTTTTCATGTTTCTTTCCTTTCTTTAACTCTTACAGCCCCCTCGCCCTAAGGACACAGTGTGGGCTGTTGCAGGTCCTCCTGACCAGGACGCGACTTCCCTGAGGCGGAGGAGGAGCTGAGGACGAACAAGGACTGGGCTGGGTCCAGCTGGTGGGCGTAGGGCTGGCCAGTGCCTTGGCCTTTAACCTGCAGCGTCCTGGGTCTCTTTGGCCCAGCCAGTCGTGAGGACTGTGGCCCAGGATGCTGCCGAACAGTGAGGGTGCCCATTGTGGACTGGAATCCAGCTAGCTATTCCTCATTCGAGACCCCATAGAACCCCACAAACATGATTGGGGTTGACATGGATTTTGAATATTAAAGTTACATGAGATTTCTGAACTTGAGTGTCATGGAGCAAATTTCAAACGTGGTGTGTGTGTGTGTGTTTGTGTCACACTTAAGAGACAAATTACAAGACAGGACACCGAGTCCTTCACCCGCCTGCAGTCCAGCCTTGCAAGCCGTGGGGGCATGGCCTTCCACTGGGGGCGTGGCCTCCTGGCGCGGGCGTGGCAGGGCAGCACAGCCTGGCTGAGGAAAGCACAAATCCTGCTCTGCAACTGCTGGCTCCGTGGCCTTGGGAAGTCAGCACCAACTCCCCAGGGTTTTTGAGGAGGTGGTGTGACTTAGTGACTGCAAATGCAAGGCGTGCCTTGCCTTCCACTGAACATGCGCAGTGTTGGCGCTGTTTTACTGTTTTCTTCATTGCTTGCACTTTTGACTTTCACTTTCTGCTGTACCCATTCCCAGGCCCAGGATTGGGTTCCTCCCCACCCCTTTCGTTACTCCCTGAGGAACCAGCTCTGAACTGTGGATCCCTGGAGTCCCACATGGAGCCCCTCCTCAAGTGTACCATGATGGCCCCACCTCAGGACCCACACACACAGGTGGCTGAGAAACAGGGCAACATGCAGAGGGAAAACCAGGCACCACGTTCCGGGATTCAAAGGCAAATTTGACCCAAGCAGTTCTTCATCCAGCAAGGCATTAGGCTGAAACCCCTGTCTGCTTCTCCGCAGCTAATCTTTCCAGGCTTCCCTGCTGATTTCAGGATCCAAACCTCCTCTCTTAAGGGCTCTCACCACTCCCCCAGGGACAGTGCCCTCTGCCACACCAGGTCCCCTCTCCTGGCCTTCCTTCCTGACATGGGCTTTCCCCTCTCCCAGGAAGCCCCTCATGCTCACCTGATGTGATTCACTGAATCACCCCAGGGCCTCACACACTGCCCACTCCATAAACATGTGACCTGAAGTGGGTTTATTACTTACAGATTGGCTGTGAGGGACAATAGAAGCCTAGGTTTCAGGACAAGCCAGTCCTCCAAGCCTCAGGAAAGCTGTCCAGAGTGGATGGACTCTCATCTGTTTGCTCCACTTGTACCACAACTAAGAGACCCTGCAGAGCAGCTGGCGCTGGGTGTTATACTCAAGGGTAGTGGGAATTGCTGGGCTAAAGCATTGGAGAACACTCTGTTTCTAGAGGGAACAAGAACAGAGCCTGGGCTGTTTTGGTCAGTTCCTCCTTATCTCAGGATGTTGCATTTTCAGCACATTCTATAGTTATTCTCGAGAACTATAAGTAAAAAAGTGGGGGCCGAGCATGGTGGCTCACGCCTGTAATCCCAGCATTTTGGGAGGCTGAGGCAGGTGGATCACATGAGGTCAGGAGTTTGAGGCCAACCTGGCCAACATGGCTAAACCCCATCTCTACTACAAATACAAAAAAATTAACCAGACGTGGTGGCAGGTGCCTGTAATCCCAGCTACTGTGGAGGCTGAGGAAGGAGAATTGCTAGAACCCTGGGGGCGGAGGTTGCAGTGAGCCGAGATCACACCACTGCACTCCAGCCTGGGCAACAGAGTGAGATTCCATTCAAAACGAAAAAAAAGAAAAAAAGGTGGGGAGAACTGCATTGGCCCAAGCCACCCAAAGAACTGTCCTGCAAGCAGCATTAAGCTGGTTTCTGTTACATCCAAGGAGTGGCTCTTATCGGCTCTTGGTCATGGTCTGTGTCATGCAGCAGGATTTGGTGAGCCACAGTTATAGGCAAAAGCCATGTCTCCAGGATGAACCACATGGGTACCATGTTCATAGCAGCCAGGACACTGGAAACCAGGAACTTGTAGACCTCTTATTGATGGCAGTGGTGGCCTGTCTGAAGTGGCTGCTGCCATCACACTGGCTGTGGCAAGGAGGTGCAGCCAGGGCTGCACATTCTGTGGAACCAGCAGCAGCTGGAGACAAATGGGAGCCCCACTCATTCAGAGTTGGTGGGGTGGGAGCTCCCTGGATGCAGCCGCAGCCACCCAACTCTTGGCTATGGACCCAGCCCTCCTGCTCCATGGAGCAAGAAGGAGCCACACCCACTCTGGGCACAGCTGTAGCTGCCCAAGTTGTGGCTGCAGACCCAGGCATCCTTGCACCCTTGGGGGCCAGGGAAGGCCCCCCCTTGCGGGCTTGAAAATGCCTGCTCCCACTGCCTGGCTTCTCCTTGCTGTTGGCACCCCCTCCAATCTCAGAGCAAAGTCCAGCTAAGCCTGGGTGCTGTCACAGCCTAGCTGGGTGTGCACCTGCTTGGGGCAGTACTGACACACCAGCCCGCTGCCACCTCAGCACCCTCCAGACTTTAGGCACTGATGAGCATAGGAGGGAAGCTGATGGGGGCCTGAGGGCAGCTTGGCGCTGACCTGCAGGCACCCCTTGGCACCTACAGCCTTGGCGCCATGAGAAGCAGCAGGAGGCAGACAGGTTATAGGGTGGGGGGGCGGGCAGGTCCCTGGTGAGGCCCCACCTTCAGGTCAGGGATGTCCTGAAGGCTGGTGGCCAGGACGGCAGTCCCATGGACCATAGTGGGAAATTGTGATGTCTTTTCCAGCCCACCTGTGGCGGTCCATGGACCAATCAGGGTGGCATTTCCTCTCCTCTGAGGCCCATAAAAGCCCCAGGCTCAGCCAGAGCTGAGTAGACATCAGGACAACTAGCTACAGAGAGGAGCCACCCACTTCAGGGCCTCCTGTCTGCTGAACACTCAACATGATGACCAGCTGCAGGGAGGAGCTACCCATTCCGGTGCTTCCTCTGAGCTATTCTGTCACTCAATAAAGCACCTCTTCACCTTGCTCATTCTTCACTTGTCTGTGTACCTCATTCTTCCTGGATGCGGGACAAGAACTCAGGACTTGCTGAATAGCAGGGCTGAAAGAGTTATAACACAAACAGTGCTGATACATGTCCCTTGCTCCCCATGTTGCAGATGAAGGGAAGGAGAGAAGAGCTGCAGCCCTTCAGGGAGCCCAGACCTGGGAGCTCCCCAGGCCAGGGCTTTGACTCCCTCTTTGGGGCCTTGTGGTTCCTGGAATCTTCAAGCTTCTGGGCACCACTGTGTTCCCTGGTGGCAGCTGTGGAAGCTGCTTGCAGTGTCCCTAGTTCAGCCACAGCTTCACAGAGAGCTGGTGCCCATGCCGGCACTTGGAACTGCCCATCCCACTGCAGCAGCCGGCATGCTTGACTGTGCAGTGACCAGACCCCATGCTCACTTGCTCACACACCCCTCACTACTCCATGCCTGGCTTACCCTTGGCAGGCCTGGGATCCAGGCTGGTGGCGTGAGCTGAGTGCAGCCTGCCAGGCCAAGTGAGTGGAATGAGCTGAGTGAGTGGAACAAGCCCATTGGTCCTGAACAAATATTGGGCAATGGCTCCACCCTCCACAGAGGTTTCTGGCCAGAAAAGTGAAACCCCAAGGATCCTGAAACATTATTGGTTCTCAGTGAGGGGTCCCAGGACCAGGAGCAACAGCCTCACTGGGGAACTTGTTGAAATACAAATTCCCAGCACCAAGCCAAGCACTCTGAATCAGAAACCTGAGTGGAGCTGGCAATCTATGTTTTAACGAGCCTTCCAGAATCGATGCATACCAGCGTTTGAGACCTAAAGGGGTGCCTAGACACCCTGGGCAGCTTTCCTGAGCCTTGGGAGTGCCATCCACTGATTGACTGGGGCCATCAGCCCCTCTACTCTTGCCTCCTCATATCCACCTCCAGCCTGTTTCTGAAACTGTTTCCAAGAGGCTTGTCCTGAGTTTACAGCAAGGCTTGTCCTTCTGTCTTCTCCCATCCCTGGAACTGCTCCTCGTCAGTTCTTTTCCTGCTGTGGAAGCCCTGGGATATGGAGACACTCCTGTCCTTCATGCAGAGCATCTAGATGCCGCTGCAGGGGGTGAGACCACACAGACTGCTGCACTCTGTTCTGCGTGCCCCTGACCGACTGCAGCTTCATCATCATAAGCTCAGGACAAGGTGGTCACACTGACCAGACCTGGCCCAGCACTCATCCTAGTGAGCCACTTCCCACCCTGGTGGCTTCTCTGCTGGGCGAATGGCCTGCAAGTGACCTGACTGCATCCCATTTCCCAGTGGCTGCCCCCCTGAGCCTGGAAAACAGGGAATGTGGAGGAAGCTGCCCATCCCACCCACAGGCCCTCTGGCTTGGACAGCAGCTCCTTTCTCCACAGGAGCCTCCTGAAGACTTCAAAAGCAGACTCTGGAAAAGCATATGTAATCTTGGCCTTAGTGGGGTTTCCTGGGTCCAAAAATATGTGAAATTGGATCTGATATGGTTTGGCTGTGTCCCCTCCCAAATCTCATCTTGAATTGTAGCTCCCATAATTCCCATGTGTTGTAGGAGGGACCTGGTGGGAGATAATTGAATCATGGGGGTGGTTCCCCCCATACAGTTCTTATGGTAGTGAATAAGTTTCACAAGTTCTGATGGTTTTATAAGGGGAAACCTCTTTTGCTTGGCTCTCATTCTTTCTTCCCTGCCATCATGTAAGATGTGACTTGCTCCTCCTTGCCTTCTGCCATGATTGTGAGGCTTCTGCAGCCATGTGGAACTGTGAGTCAATTAAGCCTCTTTCCTTTATAATTACCCAGTCTCAGGTATGTTTTTATTCGCAGTGTGAGAACAGACTAATACTGATGTGAGCGAAAGCAAAAAAAAAATTCATTTTTCTGAACATGCATCAAATTATCCAAGAAATCTACAAGTTCAGATAAGCTACAAACCCTTTCTTGAAGGAGACCCTTAGCAACCTCTTGAAGTTTCCTGGATGTAAATGGGAGATAACAATCCATAATTATTAAGGGAAGGAGATGTGGGCAAAAAATGTAAAATGACAACTCACTGACTACAAAATGCATAACTTAAAAACATGAAAACAATTCAACTTCATGAGGAAAAAAGTGCAAACTAAGGAAGGGCTGGGCCATCCTGGGTTAGAGCCAGCAGGTGGTAAATTGCAGAATCTTTTCACTTAAATACAGTCTGTAAGTGACTTCATTTTGACCAAATATATATATATACATTTAGATACACATCCAGAGGCCAGATAAATAGCTTCTCAGCTCTCGGAGATGTTTAGACTCTGAGCCCCCTTTCATCTGTGAAGTTCACTTCCACCCCCTCAGCCTTCAGAGGAAAGCTGCCTCTCCCTCCTCTGAATGATTTCATTCTGTCTCCCACCTGTCACTCTTAGTGATCCTTCTTCTAGGTCTGTCCCCATCAGAACCTAAGTTTCCAGCATCAGTGCCACTTCCTCCTCAAAGCTGCCTCACTCCTCAGTGCCTGGTCTGGTTCCGAGAACCACTCGTGAAGTTTAACAAAATCCTTGTGTGCACACCTGAAATTTAGCCAGTGGCTGCACTGATGGCAGGTGTTTTGACTTTAATAAAGTCACAACACACTGCGTTCCTCTCGGACCTCATTGTCAAACGGGCTACACAAAACTGACCTCACAGGTGGTTGTGAGAAATGGAAGAATGCATGTAGTAGTGGTCACTTGTATCATTATAGTCATTGCCAGGTGCTTTCAAAGTTTCTATTTCCTGATGCAGAGATATGAGCTGGCCCCTTTACCACTGGATTGCTGTATGGCCTTGGCCCATTCTCCCTGCTCTCTTCGCATCAGGCTTTCTATCTGTAATATGGGTGTTTGACTAATGCGCAGTATCCTTTGAAACAGACTCTGATTTCCCTTCATATTCCCTGCTTCACTTTCCAAGAGGAAGAGGGAAGGGGCCCTCTCACCCTGACTCTGGCCTTTAGGATGTCACAAGGTACTCTGGACTGTTTGTAAACCACCCCCAACCTATACATATGCTAAAGCTTAATGAGATGGAATTAGGAGGTGGGGCCTGTGGGAGGTGATTAGGTCATAAGGGTAGAGCCTTCATGAATGGGATTAGTACCCTCATAATGGGCTGAAGAGAAAAGGGCTTCCTCATCTACCATGGGAGGAAAAATCTAGAAGCTGCCATCTATAAGGAAGCAGCCCTCAGGAGATGTGGAATCTGCCAGTGCCTTGATCTTGGACTTCCAGCCTCCAGAAATGTGAGAAATAAATGTCTGTTGTTTATAAGCCACAGAAATTTATGGTATTTTGTTAGAGCAGCCCCAATGGAATAAGAGACAAGGTAGGTGGAGTTTGGGTTCACCTACCTCCAGACACTGCCTTTGGATGAGGGCTCCTGCCCCTCCCACTTGAATCAATCCCTCCTCAAGGAGGGCATTTTACCTGACACCTCCAATCAGCCCCCAAGTGAGGCTCCCTCCCTGCAGAAATCCCTGACCTGGCTCTGATGAACCCTTTCCTTTCAAAACCAAACAGCAGGAGAACAGGGCCTTTGATGGGTCTCGACAGAGCCCCCTGAGCAGTGTGCCAGTGCCACCGCTGCTATACAGAGCTCCTACCTATGGCCAAAGGGCCCCACATTCACTCACTAACCAAAGTTCCCTTTTCTAAGATCCCTTCGTCCTTTCTAACTCCCAGAGACCATGGGAACCCCTACACGTTGCCCAGCAATCTCCTTTCTTGATCTCTCACAAACCCCACCTGCTACCAAACTCCCCTTCAGGGACCGTTGCTCGGACCTGGTTTCCACGGGCTACTTCTCCCTGATGCTCTGCCCCCTACAACCTGCTGTCAGAAAACCTTCCATCCTCTGCCTCCATTTCTGCCACGTCTGATTAATACCCTTGCCCTGTCATTCTTTTTCTCAACACGAATGTCCACCCAATGCATGCTTCTCCTAAACATTCTGCCAATTTCTTGTTTCTGCCAGCCTCATTCCCATTCCAAGGATTTCCCTGGTTAGTTACGTGATGCCCTCAGCTCCCACCAGACCTCTCACCCAGACCCTGCCTCCCACCAGCTCACCCTGGTGGGAGCTCAGCCACTGGGAGCTCATTCAGTTGGCTTCTGGCCTTTTTGACACACCAATATCCTTCAGTTTGTAGCAATTCCTTACTTTCTGGCACTGCAAGATGCTTCAGGCTCCTCTTACATATTTCCTACCCTAGCCCTAGACTCAGCCATTTCTCCAAGGAGCTTTGGTTCCTTTTATTGGGGAATGGTTTTAGAAACCGAGATCTGGGAGCTCAGTGTGCACACTAATGCTAGGATGTCATTGCTTTTGGGCATACTAGGCAAACAGAGCTAAGACACACACACACACACACACACAATTTTGACTCTAATCCAGTACCACAATGTTCATTCTAGCTTGCTCACTGTGACTTCTCTCTCCAACAGTGAGAAATCTGGCTCTCACTATCCATGACTCATTTATTCAACCTTAATATGCAGGTAAAGCCATCTCTGACTTGTTAGTGCATATCCCTTGGAGAAACAAATTTACCAACTATAGTACAATGTTTGTGGACAATTCCTTTTATCCTTAGCCTTTCAGTTTCTAGTCATAATATCACTTTCCAAAGTTACTTAGGCCAGTTTGTTTTTTCTCCACATGCTCCAGTGACATTATGTCATACATTTATAGTTCAGTTAGGTCATTTGTTACAAGCTGCATTCCATCCTGGGATTCTCCAGACATCTTGGTTAATTTTTAAATTTCTCATACATTAAAGATCCCCCTTCCTCATGTATGGTTCTATGGGTTTGATCAGGATACAGTCATGTAAGCACTTCCTCAGTATGATACAGAACAGTTCCATCTCCTTAAAATTCTCTCGTGCATCCTCTATGTAGTTAATCTGTCCTTTTCCTCAGCCCCTGGCAACTGCCAATCTGTTTTCCATCCCTACAGTTTTTCATTTTCTGGAATGTAATATAAACAGAACCTTTGGGGATGGCTTTTCACTAGCAAAATGCATTTAAAATCCATCCATGTTATAGTGTGAATCAATAGCTCACTTCCTTTTATTGCCAAATGATTTTCATTGTATGGATACCACAGTGTGTTCATCCATTCATCTGCTTAAAGATATCTTAGTGACTTCACTTTGGGGTAGTTATGAATAAAGCTGCTATACATATTTTTGTATGGACAAAAGTTTCAAATCAGTTGGCTAAATAGCTAGGAGCACAGTTTGCCACATTAAAGCTCAGTAAATTGTTACAAAGTAAACACACTCATCAGCTAGCACAAGCAACAGAACAGCCCTCACCCAGTCGTACATTCCCTCCTCCACAAAAGTCACAATTATCTTCACTTCTGTTGCCACACGTTAATTTTGCCTGGGTTCAAGCTTTGAATGGATCATCTGGTATGTTCTTCTTTGTGTCTGGCTTCTTTCGCTAAGTATCCTCTGTGTTGGTGCATGTGGTGGTTATTTTCATTGTTCTATATCCTTCCATTGCAAATATATATTACAGTTTTGTCTTTAGGTTTTTGCTGGTGGATGTCTGGGTTTTTCCCGGTTTGGATAATGCTATGAACATTCCTTTTTTATTTTTAGACGGAGTCTTGTTCTGTTGCCAGGCTGTAGTGCGGTGGCGCAATCTCGGCTCACTGCAACCTCTGCCTCCCAGGTTCAAGCGATCCTCCTGCCTTGGCCTCTCGAGTAGCTGGGACTACAGGTGTGTGCTACCAAGCCCAGCTAATTTTTTGTATTTTTAGTAGAGATGGGGTTTCATCATGTTGGCCAGGATGGTCTCGATCTCTTGACCTCGTGATCTGCCCTCCTTGGCCACCCAAAGTGCTGGGATTACAGGCGTGAGCCACCACGCCCAGCCAAACATTCCTATGTGCCTTTCTGTATCTACTTCTGTTGCTGGCTCATAGGTAAGTGCATGCTCAGTAATAATAGACATGCTGAACCATTTCCAAAGCATTTCTACCAATTTAGATTACCAATGGTGCCTTATGTTTTAACAGGAGCCCTCTGGCTGCTTCATTGAAAACTGACTGTTTAAGGGCAAAGGTGGGAGCAGGGAGGCCAAGGGAAAGGTTTCGCAGTCATCCATGTGTGACTGCATGGGGCACAGCCCAAAGGGGTAGCAGTGGAAGTAGTGACAAGTGGTTGGATTCTGGTTGTACTTCAAAGGTAGAGTCAACAGGAATTTTCTGATGGATTGGAAATGGAGGATAGAAAAAGCGAATAGACAAAGGTGTGTGGGAGGCATTTTGACTAATCATCTTTATGGATGGAATTGCCATCAACTGAGATTATAAGACTGCTGATGGCCGGGCGCGGTGGCTCACGCCTGTAGTCCCAGCACTTTGGGAGGCCGAGGCGGGCGGATCACGAGGTCAGGAGATCGAGACCATCCCGGCTAAAACGGTGAAACCCCGTCTCTACTAAAAATACAAAAAATTAGCCGGGCGTAGTGGCGGGCGCCTGTAGTCCCAGCTACTAGGGAGGCTGAGGCAGGAGAATGGTGTGAACCCGGGAGGCGGAGCTTGCAGTGAGCCGAGATCGCGCCACTGCACTCCAGCCTGGGCGACAGAGCGAGACTCCGTCTCAAAAAAAAAAAAAAAAAAAAAAAAAAAAAAAAAAAAAAAAAGACTGCTGAGCAGTTGGTTTGAGAGGGAAGATCCTGAGTTCTGTTTGGCACATCACTTTGGAAATGTCTATTAAATATCCAAATGGATATGTCATGGAGGCAGCTGGAGTTCAGGTTAGAGGTCTGAGTCATTGATAAAACTTTGGGAGTTGTTGGCAAATGATAGTGTATTGGTCAGAGTCTAATTAGGAAAGAGAAGCTACACAGTCATTTGAACAGGAAACATGTATATAAAGAAGTGTTAATTGCAACAGGGAAGTGGAGTAACCAGGCACAGACTAGTAGGAAGTATAGGAGGAGCAACCACTAGCCTAGGGCTGAGGTAGAGAGCCCAGGAGAGTCCTCTCCTCCTAGTGCACTGCCCCTACACCTCATCAGAGGAACCCAGCTATGGCCCTCTGCATGTCAGGAGAGTCACTGGTGCTATACCACTGGAACTTACTAGAAATACTTCTTTAGGTGCTGGGGAAAGGAGCGGTGTCTCAAAAGAGTTACTCTATAACAAAACTGCCTGGAGCTGGTGAGGGGAGTGGGACCTGCTGGGCACTGGCCACTGTGTTTCTGGAGAAGTCACCCACCTGCAGGAGCCAGGCCAGGGAGCATAGGAGAACCAGGAACAAAGACTGCTTTCGCCCACAAAGTCTCTCCATTGCTCTCTACTGACAAAACCTAACATAATGTCAGAGGAAAATATTTAAATGGCCCAGTTCCATTTTTGCAGAGCAGGCAATGAAGAATGAGTTTGTAGCAGAGATGCAATAAATTGATAACTGTATTAGTCCGTTCTCTCACTGCTATGAAGAAGTACCTGAGACTAGGCAATTTATAAGAAAAGAGGTTTAATTGGCTCACGATTCTGCAGGCTGTACAGGAAGCATGACAGCTTCTGCGGAGGCCTCAGGAAACTTTCAATCATGGTGGAAGGTGAAGGAGAAGCAGGCATGTCTTACATGGCTGGAGCAGGAAAAGGTGGTGGGGGGAGGTGCTACACACTTTTTAACAACCAGATCTTGTGAGAACTCTATCATGAGAACAGCACTAGATGAATGGTGCTAAACCTTTCATGAAGACTCTGCTCCCATGATCCAATCACCTCCCACCAGGCCCCACCTCCAACATTGGGGATTACAATTCCACACGAAATTTGGGCAGGGACAGACCCAAAACATATCAATAACTGATACAGATGGCATATAAAACTGAGACAGAATTAGATCATCCAGGGAATAAGTATAGACACAGAAGAAAAGAAAACTGAAGCCCGAAACCTATGGCCTCACTCTAATTTAAACAGGTGAGAGCAGGGGAACCAGCAAAAGCAGCTGAGAAAGAGCATCCAGGGCTGCAGGTGGAGTCCTGTGAGACAAGTGAATCAAAGTGAATAGGAGAGGGGCCAGAGTATGTATTGACTGTTCTTTTGTGAAGTTTTGCTGCAAAGGGGAACATAGAAAAGGTGCAGGTCCTGGTATAGGAAATAGGGTCGAGTAATTTCTTTGTTTTGAAGATGAGAGAAATAGCTGCATGTTATGTGACGATGAGAAGAGTCCAGTAGAAAGGAAAATATTGCTGATGTTGCAGAGAGGATAGGCTGGCTGGAGTGACACCCTGGAGCAGTAAGAGATGATGGGATCCAGCAGTCCAGTGCAGGATTCTTTGGGTGGACCTAGCAGTTGTTCATCCACAGTCACAGGGAGGCAATAAGAGGCGGATGGGTGGAGGTGGACGTGGGAGTCTGTGGAAGACTTTTACCACTTCTATTCTCTTAGCAAAGCAGGAGGCAAGGAAGGGAGAGGCAGTGGGAAGGATTGAACAGAGAGGAGGAAGTGCGAAATACTCACTTGGAACAATGGGAGATTGAATAGACCAGGCAAAGAATGATTAAAGTGAGGACGGCTGGCATGGTCCTGTTTTCCTCCAGCCATGTTTAGTTGCATCGTCGTGGCATGGAATAGATGGAGAGCTGGGTTTATCCAGGGCTCCCATCTTACCAAGCAGATAGGAGATGACAGGGAGGTGCATGAGTTGAGGAGGTGTGCAAGGGATCAATGAGAATGGTTGGCCATTGAGTTTAAGCTGGCTCACTAGAGAGGGTCATAAAGGAAGAAACAGTGAACAAGTAGTAAGATCTTGATTGGAGGTGCTGGTAAGGTTGCAGGAGTTTTGTTTCAGGGCAGTATAGGGAGTGACCTGGACAGATAGGAGGATAGATAGACCTGGTCAGAGTGGGATACTGTGGGGGTTGCAGTCCTTGGACCTGACAAGGTCTAAGGTCTGATCATGGAGGGAGGGGGAAGCTGAGGTAGGGCAGAGGACAGGAGTGGGCTTCATGAGACCAAAAGGATGTTGGAAGGATTATCTACCTGGATACTGAAATCTTCAAGAAGTAAGAGGTGTAGTGTGAAGAAGTTACAACACTCTAAGCTCTTCAGGGATAAGGGAAGCATGTGCCACGTGGGTAGCCTCCCAAGTCCAGCACCCAGTATCTAGAATATGCAGAGTGAATACCTGGGGGCTGCTGAGGGCAAGAACAAGGTGCCTGTGAGAAGACCTGACGCCTGGGGTTCTCGTGACAGGAGTGGGCCTAGTTTTTGGTGTAGAATTGAGCCTTGAATGCACCAGCGGGATCATATTGAAAAGAAACCCTCCAAGACTAAAGGAAGATGCATCCTCTGACAATGTACGCTCTGTAGGCTCCCAAGTAGCTGGGCTGGGGATTAGATGGACTCCAAGGCATTTCCTCAGGTGGCAATGGGCGGATCCCTGGGAAGGTAAAGCTGTGCAGTAAGAAAACGGCAAGATGCTACGTTCACTCAGGTAAAGCCCCTTTCCCGGGTTTAGGGAGGGCGAGGCAGTTTAGGCTGGGTCAGTTTGTCCCTGCCCTCACGGTTTGTTGGTCCTGGCAAAAGAGGGCCTTATGTTATTTATTTTTCTTAGAGACAGTGTCTTGCTCTGTTGCCCAGGCTGAAGTCCAGTGGCTCATCTCAGTTCACTGCAGACTCCGCCTCCTGGGATCAAGCGATCCTCCCACCTCAGCCTCCAGAGTAGCTGGGACCACAAGCACCACAGGCGCCCGGCACGATGCCGGCTAATTTTTTTTTTTTTTTTTTTTAAGAGAGAGAGGTAGGCTCCCTATGTTGCCCAGGCTTGTCTTGAATTCCTGGGCTCAAGCAATCCTCCCTCCTCGGCTTCCCAAAGTGTAGGGATTACAGGCGTGAGCCACTGCGCCCTGCCAAAAGAGGGCTTTAGGGCACCCCAGAACGCGAGATCCCCCTCATCTGTAATCTTTAAAGAGGAGGAAGTGTACTCCAAATCAAGCGATAGTCCATTCGTCCTTGGCACGGTGACTGCCGGGAGGCCAGGACCAAATGTGTCTCCTTCCGGCTTTTGCACCACACTAACTAACCGGCGCCAGGCCGCAGAGCCGCCCTGGCCTTCGGCGAGAACTCAGGCGAGCGCGGCGCACGCTGCTCCGGAGTCCCACCGCGGAAGTTGAGGCCGCGGATTCCGAGGGCGGGGTGGAGAGGAATCTGGAAGGACCTGGACCCGGTGGAACGCACTGCGCGGACGGCGCCTGCGTCCGCACTCAGCTGTTCAGCCCTCTTTCTTCAGGCTCTCCCCTGAAAGCCGTCCCCATGCCGGTCTCTTTTTTCTGCCTTCTTGTTTCCCTCCGGCGAGTCAGCGCGACTGTGAATTTCCGTTTCCGGCGGTGTCCATGCTGACCTGAGGAGTCGCGGCTGCGAGCAGGTTCGGTGCTGCGGGTTGGGGTAGGCGGCGGTGGGGTCCCTGGTTCTGGGGCACTGGGAAGATCGCGAGTCGTGCGTGTGGGAAGGTCCTCCCCCGGTCCTCCGGGTCATCTTTGCTCCCGAGGAGCGGCATATTTCTCATCTGGCGGAGGTGTCCTGGGGTAGTTGGGTGAGTGACGTGATGAATCCCTGCAGAGAGCCCAGACGGGGAGGGAAGGTGGCTGGGCGACGTCGTTTCCTGGCGACGTGGTCCCGGTAGGAGACTTAGACCTGAGCTGGATCTGTTGACCCCAAATTGTGCTTTTCCCACCAAGAAGAAAGACAGGGAGAGAAACATTAGTACAAGTGCTGAACTAAAATATAGCAGAGAAGAAACATAATCTCTGAAATCACACAGCTATTCGGTTTCAAAGCGTTCCTAGCGCCCAGCTCTCCTAACTCCTGGCCAGTGTTCTTGACATTATGGTAATACATAAAGACTTTGTTTCCGCTGGTGTGTGTCTGTGGGAAGCCTCTGACTCACCTCCGTGCTCCAGTAGCACCCTGTGCAGCCTTCCAATGTCGCCCTTATTGCGTGGCGCGGAAGATAATAGTTTGGATTTCCTCTGCAAGTCAGATAATAGCTGTATCCACTTACTGGCACAGTGCCTAGCACATCGTAGACAGACACAAATATTTATTCAACGGAATGAATACAGTACCTTAATTGAATGAAATGGCATCCTGCTCCGCTTTTTTTTTTTAATCAAGCTGTCAGATTTTATGCAGCCCGATTTCCTAAAATAACTCACTAATTCAGTGATTGCCAATTTATTAGCCACAGATTCCCAGGTAACTCAGAAATCACTGGAAGGGTCTCTGTAAGTTCATGGGGTCTCCAGGTGTCATCTAGAACCAGTCCTATCTCACACGTACAGCTATTTCTATTTTTCAAATGTATGTAGATAAGTTGTAATTTAGGAGTTTTACAGAGTCAACAGGTACTAAAAGTAATACTGCGATCATATTGGAGGTTCATAAAAACGTTTCACATTTTTTTATTAAAATTTAAGTTTTAGTTTAAGTTAGGAAACCACTTCATCAGTCCAGTTGATACCTGGGTCTGAGCTGTCCAGTATGGTAGCCACATGTGACTATTTGGAGTTAGAATGAAATTAATTAAAAACTCATTTTTTCAGTTTCCCTAAGTATATTGTAAGTAACCACATGTGGCTAATGGCTAAATGGCTGAAAAGTACAGATATAGTATATTTCTATCCTTGCAGAAATAGATACTGCTGATGTTGACACTTAAGATGAATAAAAAGTAACTTAACCATAAAATGTAATCTTAAGAGAGGTAACTCATCTAATTTATAGCATAACAGAGAGAAATGAAATTGGGGATGGTTAAGCAGTTTCTACCCTTGTTCAGTGAACAAATACATCATCTCTTCATAAAGAAATAAATGAAATTTACTGTTTTTCCCTGGGTATTGCCTGGATTGTAAAATGCTTCTCCCATCTCCTTACCCCAACCTTCTTCCTTGTAGGTTAGAGTTACTTGTTATTGGTAAATAGCCACTATGGAGGCTAAGGACCAGAAGAAACACAGAAAGAAAAACAGTGGACCCAAAGCTGCAAAGAAAAAGAAGCGGCTTCTGCAGGATCTCCAGCTAGGAGACGAAGAAGATGCCCGGAAGAGAAATCCCAAAGCTTTTGCAGTTCAGTCTGCTGTGCGGATGGCTCGATCCTTTCACAGGTATGTTAGGCTACGGTCTGGTCATTCTTCCATTGATTCTTTTTTTAAATAGTAGGAGCCTCTCACAGGTGACATTTGGATTCACGAGTCTAGTCCAGCTCCAAAGGACATGGAGATTCATGGTGTGTGGCTTTCACTAAAACGTGAGAAGCTTTTCCCATAGAAGCTGCCTTGCCTCCAGCATCTGCATACTGGTTAGTGTTTATTGCCCAGGATACAAGAATTTATAGACTTTGTTTGTTCCTAAATTTTAAACTGTTTCTATGGTGATAAGTGTGCTTTTTCCCCCCAGGTATGTTTTACATAGTTGTAATATAAAATACAAAAATTACAATATTTAATACTAACATAGCTTTATTTAGTGAGCCCTTGTGATATGCCTAGCAGTGTACTTTAAACATTATTCAACTAAATCCTTCCAGCAGCCTTACCAGAGTAGGAATCATTCTTGCCCTCATTTTATGGGTAAGAAAACTGAGATCAAGAAAACAAGTTACCTCCAATCATATAACCAGTAAGTAGGAGAGCTAAATGTAACTCCAGCGCCTCTGCTCTTATCTGCTATGATGTACTGCCTCGCTATTTACCTTTTGGTTTTTTAAAAAACTATTAAAATCACTCTTAAAACAGTCAGATTTAAGGAGTGTTTAATTTTCGCTCTCTATAGTATTGAAGTCATCTTGTTACATCTTTATTGAACAGCAATTATTTGGATGGGGCCAGAAGTTAGCAAGTTAATAATTGACAAGTTAATTATATTTATATATTGTCTGTTGTACTCTCTATAAAATGTGCTAAAGTACTCATAGCTATAAGTGTACCAAAAAAGTCTACTTATAAGGTTGATACCTTTTACTCTATTTTGAAAATGAGTTTACTATTTATTTATTTGTTTATTTTTTAATGAATAGGACTCAGGATTTGAAGACAAAAAAGCATCATATTCCAGTGGTTGATCGAACTCCACTAGAGCCCCCACCAATAGTGGTAGTGGTGATGGGACCTCCAAAAGTTGGAAAGAGCACTTTGATACAATGCCTCATTCGGAACTTTACCCGGCAGAAGTTGACTGAGATCAGAGGCCCTGTGACGATTGTGTCAGGTAGGAGATGCCACCACAGACACAGAGTTGGCGTGGCTGTTGTCATCTGAGGGACATGCATGCGTTTGTTGTTTTCTTGAGTGGAACATGTTAAATATTGTCATATCATGGGACTTCTCTTATACTTAGTATTACTAAGTTGGCTATAGCTTCAGAAAAGGGTAAGTTCCCAGAGATAAGGATGTGATAATGTTCACATTTCCTCCCAGCACTCTGGGAGGTTCCAAGGCAGGAAGATACTCGAACCCAGCACTCGGGCTGGAAAATCAAGCTTTGCTGCTCGATTGCGACACCAGCCACAGTCCTCTTCCTCCGTGTAGAAGGATGTGTGGTCCAGCCTCTTAAGGTGATGCTTTCCTTTTCTTCCTGGTTTCCTCCTCCATTTTTTGTATGAGAAATGATAATGTTCACTATGTCTTATCCTGACTGCTCTTTGGCTTTGCCAAACATGTTCCTTGGAAGGGCCTAGCAGGCCTAGTCACCGTGAACACATCATTTAACAGATAGCACGCACCTCCTATGTGCCAGGTGCATATGCTTGCCTTATGAAGCCACATTCTGGTGGAAGTGCGAGTTTTCTCTTTTTCCTGTGAGAATTGTCTGCTTTGGGAGATGGTGACCTTTCCGAGTTTGAGGGAAAATGAAACAAACTTCCAGTGGTAGAATGGCAATGTACACTCTGAAATCTCTTGTTATTGCAATAATATAGTTGGATTGAGGCTTTTCTTTATCTTTGGAGCATCCATATTTTCTTTTCCCTTTTTTGAGACAGAGTCTTACTCTGTGGTACAGGCTGGAGTGCAGTGGTGTGATTACGGCTCACTGCAGCCTCTACCTCCCAGGTTCAAGCATTCCTCCTACCTTAGCCTCCTGAGTAGTGTATGCCACCACGCCTGGCTAATTTTTCTTTTTTTTCCTTTTTTTTTTTTTTCTGTAGAGATGGGGTTTCCCCATATGGCCCAGGCTGGTCTCAAAACTCCTGGGCTCAAGGGATCCGCCTGCCTTGGCCTCCCAAGTTGCTGGGACTACAGGCGAGAGCTACTGTGCCCAGCCCATATTTTCTTGACTGTTTTATTTTTACCTTAATTTAGAAGTAATTATTGTTATGAATATTCTGTTGCATTATGTTTGAGGATGTTTGTAGCTCTAGTGGGAATACGGGAAGTTTTGATAGAG
The DNA here is from genome assembly GCF_000001405.40 of Homo sapiens. Taxonomy (NCBI): domain Eukaryota; kingdom Metazoa; phylum Chordata; class Mammalia; order Primates; family Hominidae; genus Homo; species Homo sapiens. Next base: position 42,786,849 of record NC_000010.11, read on the forward strand.
GCAAAGACATTGGGCCTGCAGCTGAACAGCAGGATCATGGTTATCATGGAGTCTGTGCAGTCAGAATTTTCCCTTTTTGAGCACTTTTATTCATCTGGGTAGACTTTTGATGTTATTTAAATTTAGAACACAGCAAGAAAAACAGAATGGAATTTATTTTATTTTATCAGTTTTTGCCTGTAAAAATGAACTTCTTGTATGCTCCTGTAAATGTATATGATGTTTTACTGGATGCAGTTAAAAAATGAAAATTAAGAGTTGATGGTTAGAGTTTTTTCAGGGTCTTTTTAAAGTAAAATTTTCATCTTTTCACTTATAGGTAAAAAGCGCAGACTCACCATTATTGAATGTGGGTGTGACATTAACATGATGATTGATCTGGCTAAAGTAGCAGATCTGGTAAGTGAGCAGGGGCAGCCTGGGGTGCTGATGGAGACTTACAGCATTGTGATAGGTTATTTACCCCGTGATGAAGGGAAGAGAGTCTTATAATTATTAAAAGAATCATGGTCATCATCAGTGATACGGTAGATATGATTGAATTGATGATAATTATGGTAATAAATGTTGTTATGTTAATAATAAAAATGGAATGTGCACAATGAAATGTGTTCCAAAATCTAAAAGCAAATCACAGGATGGAGAAAACCTTTAATGAACACAACTAATAAGAGCTCATTAATATGTATACATATATACGTACAAATATATCATAGTAAGTACCATTTCTTCTTGGACTCTTCCTGGCACTGTGCTAACTGCTTTCTACAAATTTAGCTTACATAAACCCTTGATACACCCTTGAGGTGAGTAGGTATTATCTGTAGTTTACATAAGATGAAATAGAGCCTGCCAGCAGTTAAGTAACTTGTGTGAAGTTGGGACCCTTGTTCCTGATGGTTCCAGAACCTTCATCCTTAATGATAATGCTGAAGTAAGTACATGAATTGCCCTGAAGAAGTGGTCAGTTTATCAATAAAAAGTCTAGACAGTCCTCAGTGTATGGAAAATGTAAATGCTCTTGCATTTATGGAAATGATAGTGTTCACTATTCTGATAGTCTATTAACTATCTTTTAAATTAGCAAAAATAAAATACAAATTAGCAAAAAAATAAGCCATATTGATTAGGAAGTGTGGGGTGACAGACACCTTGATTTTTTCATTTTTATTTAGTTTTTTCTAGACACCTGTTTGGTGACAAAGAGCTACAGATTTTATACTTTGGCCCAGGAAGACTCCTAAAATATAAAGTAAAAAGTAATACAGATTTTAAAGTTGTGCCATTGTAATGTCAGAAAACTAAATAACATTCAAATTTTGAACATGTAATGTTAATATTAGTAAAAATAAGTGTTATTATTAACGTAGTGTAAGCTTACTAAATCTTGTATACTTGAAATGATTGAAATAGTTCATAGAAGTCATTTGTTTCTCTTTTATTTAAAATGTAGCAAGCTTCTAATTTTAAAGACATACATATTAAGAGATACCTTTACTTTTTTTTATTTTTAATTATTATGGATACATAATAGTTATACATATTTATGGGGTACATGTGGTATTTTGACAGAAGCATACAATGTGTGATGATCAAATCAGGGTAATTAGGATATCCATCACCTCAAACATTTATCATTTTTTTGTGTTAGGAACATTTCAATTTCATTCTTATAGTTATTCTGAATTATATAATAAATTATAGTCACCCTATTGTGCTGTTGAACACCAGAATTTATTCTAACTGTATTTTTGTACCTGTTAACCTTTCCCTCTTTGTCCCTCCCTCCCTGCTCCCCTTCCCAGCCTCTTAACCATCATTGAGAGAGATGCCCATTATGTAAATCTTTTAAAGATTTTTCAAAAGGAACACACACATTTGGTAAAGTACTCTAACTGTAATGCAGGGTGCACACAATGTGCATTTTCTTTTTCCTTAGTATAACCGCTGGTCTCTCAGATCCCTGCAGAGCAGTATCCTTTTAGATACATATAAACACACATGCCACCCTTTAAAAACAAATGGTAGCTTATTTTACACACTGTTCTATGCTTTGCTTTTTTCATATAATGTATTTTGGAGGTATATAATCAGTAAGTACTGCAGCTCTGTCTCCTTTTTAATATAATATTCCATTCTATGGAGGCACCATAATTTATTTAGCCTAGCTTATGTTGACTGCTCTGCTGTGGGTTGCCAAAGCCTCCTGTGTACAGCAAAGGCACACACAGTACGTGGATTTGGGTGTGTACAGGCGTGTGTAGATTAGGGGAATAACACTGGCTTAGATGACAAAGACTGGCAGCTGAGGGACTGTTTGCTCCCTGTTCTTCCTGACCCTACAATCAGCTGCTTGCCCCCTGGCACTCTGTGGCATCAAATGTAGTGTGAGGATATTCCGCCTGTCCTTTGAGCTGGTCCAGTGTTGCTGAAAAGCTGTGCTTGCTGCCTCAGTCCACAGTAGCAGCTGTGCTTTCTCACAAGCCCACCTTCATATATTCTGTGGTTTCGGATTTTGAATGTTTCCTAGTTTAATCAAAGATGGGCATTTCTGTTTCCATTTTTTTTGTTATTTTTAGTTATCTATGCAAAGATAAGAACAGAAATGTTTTTAATACTTAAACTAGAAATTTCCAGGAATCAATTCTGAAATTATTTTGCATCTTTGAAGCATCTTAAATTTTAAAAATTGGTCTCATCTGCTTATATTTTCTTATAGACTACCATTCATCGTAATCTTACTGTTTTTTTTTTTACCTAATTCTAAACTGGTAGCTATTTAAAAAAAATTTCTGAGCAATTGAGTTATCCAAATTAACATATAAGATAGAGGTTTCCACTGCATACTTCTCAACAAAAAACAGATTGTGGTTTTTTTTTCTATGAGGCGATTGAAAGAAGAGGTTGGTTTTCTGTACATATTTAATGTATTTCATTGATTATGACTCTCTTCCCATTCTTTGGATGCCAGAGACCTGTTATTTGGCTTAAAAATACCTTACAGAAAACTTGATTTCTTTAAATTAGGATTTCTTAGGTAAGGGCCAGGTTAGACCCAGCCTTTTCTGAGTTACTTCTCATACATTAAAATTCTTATAATGGAAGTTTATATCCTAGTGGACATTGTCTTATGGGTTGGCTTTTAGAGCAAGTCAGAGGGTGGTGGTTTCTCTGTCTGGGTGATGCCTGTGTAGTCATTTGATTTAGTCTGGAGTGCAACTTTTCCGTCCAGGGCCAGGTAGTAGATATTTTTGGCTTTGTGGATCATATCTTCTGCAGCTACTTAGCTCTGCAGTTGTAGTGCACAGGCAGCCATAGACAATATGTAAATGAATTAATGTGGCTATGTTCCAATAAAACTTTAGTTACAAACACAGGTGATGGGCTGGATTTTGCCCGTGGCCAGTTGCCAACCCTTAGTGTAGGTGGTCTGTTTTGGTAGTTTCTTTGAGAAATTATGTGTTCTGCTTTTAGGTACTGATGCTTATAGATGCCAGCTTTGGGTTTGAAATGGAAACGTTTGAGTTTCTAAACATCTGTCAAGTACATGGCTTTCCTAAAATTATGGGAGTTCTCACCCACCTCGACTCCTTCAAGCATAATAAGCAACTGAAGAAGACAAAGAAGCGATTAAAACACAGGTTCTGGACGGAAGTTTACCCGGTACGAAGAGAAATAATTGTTGGATACTAACAGTATAATCCTTTTAAAATAGACTGAAGAGGCCGGGTGCAGTGGCTAACACCTGTAATCCCAGCACTTTGCAAGGCAGAGGCGGTCGGATCACTTGAGCCTAGAGTTTTGAGCTCAGGGCAACATGACCAAACCCCATCTGTACTAAAAATGCAAAAATTAGTCCGGTGTGGTGGCGTGCGCCTGTAATCCCAGCTACTCAGGAGGCTGAGAAGTGAGAATTGCTTGAACCTAGGAGGCAGAGGGTGCAGTGAGCTGAGATCACGCCACTGCACTCCAGCCTGGGTGACACAGTGAGACGCTTGTCTCAAAAAAAAAAAATACTAAAGAGACATTACTAAACGTCTCTCTAGGATTCGCCTCCTGAATTTCCTTTGTGTGTGTATTCACAGTCCCTGGCCTCCTGAATTCCTTTGTGTGTGTGTTCACAGTCTATGGACTGCTGAATTCCTTTGTGTATGTGTTCAGCCTCTGGCCTGCTGAATTCTTTTGTGTGTGTGTTCACAGTCTCTGGCCTGCTGAATTCCTTTGTGTGTGTGTTCACAGTCTCTGGCCTGCTGAATTCCCTTTGTGTATGTGTTCAGTCTTTGGCCTGCTGAATTCCTTTGTGTGTGTGTTCAGTTTTCTGGAAGGTTTCCCTCAAAAGAGTGCTTGTTTGGGGCCTCTTGGTGTATCTCATTTGTCTCTCTCTGTACCTGCTGCACCAGGCAGTGTCTGGCTGTTTTGGGGTCAGGACTTAATAGAGTACCTCGGAAGTTTCTCCCAGTTACAGGACCAGGCACTGCCCCTTCCTTTCTATACTGCTCTGGACCATTGGCCACAGAACCGTTTCTGTGCTCAGACGCCTCACCTCCCTCTCCTCACCATACTTAGATGGATGCCCCGGCTCGGCTGCAGAGCAGTCTGCCTCTGTGGGGTTCTAATAAATCCTGAAAGAAGCCAGCAAGGCTCTGGAAGCCTCAGGACAGTGGCTTTGCTGGAAGTCTCCCTTCTTAGGATTGCTTCTTGTTTAGAGCTTTTATTTTGTTGCAGTATTGATGATAATTTAATTGAAATTTAATTTTTAATTTTCCTCTAATGTTTAGGGTGCCAAGCTGTTCTACCTTTCTGGAATGGTGCATGGAGAATATCAAAACCAAGAAATCCACAATCTGGGCCGTTTTATTACAGTTATGAAGTTTAGGCCTCTCACATGGCAAACTTCTCACCCTTATATCCTGGCAGACAGGTAAAATATGATTTTAAGCTTTTTCTTCCTGGGCCATATATTTCAAAGCTAAAAAGGCTAGAAAAAGAACAGTGATAGGATTTATTTTGTGCCGATTTGAATAGGGGGGATAGAAGTGTAGTTGATGGAAAATGTCTACTTATATCATTGCTCAAAGATGCCGTGCCTTTGGGAGTAAATTAATTATGAGATGTTAAGGAAAATGGGAGAACTTGGAAGTATTTAAGGCTACAGGATGTGGCCCCATCCTACGTTCAGCCTCAGTTTTCAGTGATGCTGCCTTCATGCCCGGGTGCTTGAGTCCTTCGTGTGTGCCTTCTGTTTCCTTCCTTTGTGCTCTTCCTCGTGTGGTTTTCTCAGCCTGGAATTCCCTTTTTCCACCTGCCAGAATCCAAGCCACAGTAAAAATCCCAGAGCACAGGCTCGCCCTCTTCCAGAAAGGGATTTTCTGAATATGTTCTTCACTCTTCCCCGACCCCAGGTGGACGTCATCTCCCTGTCTGGTGTCTTATGGAATGAATATCACTTTCAGCCTAGAGACACAGTTGTGTGTCTGCCCCTTTTCCTCTGGTGGATGGTGAATGGTGCCTCCTTATTTCTGCATTTTCTAGTTTTCTAAATGACGTGCTTAATGGACAAGAGTGTGATGAATCATTGACACATGAAAGGAGGTATAGGAACTTTTGGCATTCATTTCTGCTGTGATTGAATTTATTTTTCTAGGATGGAAGATTTGACAAACCCAGAGGATATCCGAACAAACATCAAATGTGACCGGAAGGTGTCACTTTATGGTTATTTAAGAGGAGCACACTTGAAAAATAAAAGCCAAATTCACATGCCAGGTATTCTCTTGTTGTAGAACATACTAGAATTACACATAGGATTCTTGGGATGGCTTCATTTCTCAGGAAAACTGAAAAATGACCAAACAAGGGAAGATGGCCTTGCTGGAGGTTTTAAAAGTAAGCCACCTATGTGTAGGCCTGCAAAGGTGTTACTGAATCCCCTCTTCTCTGACCTCTTGTCTTGTAGCTAGGGGGCCACTGTTCCAGTGTGGCACAATGCCCTTCTTTAGTGTTATGGGTTAAGCCCTTGGACTGTGGATCATATTTAACCCCCTAGTCAATGGTAGATGCTTCTGACTTCTTGTCAGCTGAAGCTGGCTTTTGGGTTCTGTCTTCCAGGGGTAGGAGATTTTGCCGTGAGTGACATCAGTTTCCTCCCAGACCCTTGCGCTCTTCCTGAACAACAAAAGAAGCGCTGTTTAAATGAGAAGGAGAAGCTGGTTTATGCGCCTCTTTCTGGAGTTGGGGGTGTGCTGTATGACAAAGACGCTGTCTATGTTGACCTTGGTGGCAGCCACGTTTTTCAGGTATCGGTGAGACGGGAGTCATTTCTCTGAACTTTCAGTATTCTTTCTGAATCTATTTTTTAATCACAAAAAGTAATGTACTCAGCTTTTATTTATTGAAGATTTTTCTCTTGTACTTATAATAAAGGCCCAAATGCATATTGTAAATATATAGGATAAAAATAATACTTTTTTTTTCATTGTACCAAGCAGAAGAGTCCTCTCCTTCATTCCTCCTTGATCCATGGCCCCAGCACAGGCATTGCTGCTGTGTGGCGCCTGCACGGCCCATCCCCGTTTCTACAAAATCAGTGTGCTTTCCAGCTTTCATTGGTCTTTTTCTCATTCACAATGGTCTCCTCATGCTGTATTTTAAAGTGGATTTCAAATATTTATTTCTTTGTTCTGAAGTGGAATTTTATTGGGTTAAAATCGGCTTATTTTAAAATATTAGAAAAGCTAGCATTGTTGTAGCTTTGGAGCTGAGGTTTTTCTAGCTAGGTTGTTTAGGTTATCAGGTTATATACTCCCTGAACTTTGGAAAAGTTTAATGGAGATGGGGATCCATTTCAAGCTTTGTTGTAAGGATTTTCTTCTCTGCTTTTTGAGGCATTAAGAAAGGTTCTTAGGAAATGTGTCTAAGATAATTTTGAGAAACTGAGTGAAGCTCGTGTCTCTCCAGGATCTTTGTGCTTTCCTCACGTGCCCTTTCTTGGTGGTCTTGACAGGATGAAGTGGGGCCCACCCATGAGCTGGTCCAGAGTCTCATCTCTACCCACTCCACCATTGATGCCAAGATGGCTTCAAGTCGAGTGACGCTGTTTTCTGATTCCAAGCCACTTGGGTCAGAGGATATAGATAATCAAGGGTAAGTCTGCTTTTTTTCTATTTTTAATAAAAAGATGTATTACAAAAGATCATATCACCCATAATTCAGCCATCATAACACATTTCGGTGGGATTCATTCTATGTTGTTTTGTTTTTCTTTGTGTGTGCATGTGTCTCTGAGGGCTCTTCACTTACCTGACATTACAAGGGAGTCTTTTCTTGAAATAAATTGCAGGATGCATTTTTCAACAGACCCCAAATATTCCTCAAATACCATGCCATCTTCCATAGGTTGCCTTTTGTTTTTTAAGAGACCTGAAGCCACTTGGCTTTCTTTTGGTGGCCAAAACACTAGAGCAAAGTCAGGGAGTTTGTGGCTGTCCAGAAGCCACATGCCTTGTCTCTGAAAGTTTTATTTAGATTGTGTTGTATTATCTCCTCTGGGTAGGTTTCCGTGGATGTATGGCTCATGTGAATTATTTTCCAGTCTGGGTTGGGGATTTGTATACCTTTATATGCAGTGGATGTTTGCAAAACATTGGTTTTGTTGTATTGATTTATGACTCCCAGTAAAATTTATCTGAAAATTTTGAGATTATCTAGTATGTAATTTGGTACAATGTGCATAAACTACCTAGCAGAATGCCTGACAGGTACGAAGTGTTCGCCGAAAGATCACTCCTTTATAATGGGATTACTAGCTATTTTCACTTTTGCATATCCTTCTAGTCATCTTTGTCTACAAGAATACTCTCCTCTAATATAGTTACAGTTAAAATACATAATTTTATTTCTATATTATCATTTCCTTCTTTTTTTTTTTATTATACTTTAAGTTTTAGGGTACATGTGCACAATGTGCAGGTTAGTTACATATGTATACATGTGCCATGCTGGTGCGCTGCACCCACTAACTTGTCATCTAGCATTAGGTATATCTCCCAATGCTATCCCTCCCCGCTCTGCCCACCCCACAACAGTCCCCAGAGTGTGATGTTCCCCTTCCTGTGTCCATGTGTTCTCATTGTTCAATTCCCACCTATGAGTGAGAATATGCGGTGTTTGGTTTTTTGTTCTTGTGATAGTTTACTGAGAATGATGATTTCCAATTTCATCCATGTCCCTACAAAGGACATGAACTCATCCTTTTTTATGGCTGCATAGTATTCCATGGTGTATATGTGCCACATTTTCTTAATCCAGTCTATCATTGTTGGACATTTGGGTTGGTTCCAAGTCTTTGCTATTGTGAATAGTGCGGCAATAAACATACGTTTGCATGTGTCTTTATAGCAGCATGATTTATAGTCCTTTGTCATTTCCTTCTTCTATACAGTCTTTATGTAGTCATCATTTTGTTATTATTGGTGTATTCTTTTTTTTTTGTGACAAGATCTTGCTTTGTCTCCCAGGCTGGAGTGCAGTGGTATGATCTTGGCTCACTTCAGCCTTGAACTCCCAGGCTCAAGTGGTCCTCCTGCTTCAGCCCCCCAAGTAGCTGGGACTACAGGAGTGCGCCACCACTCCTAGCTAATTTTTTTTTTTTTTTCTAGAGATTAGGTCTCACCATGTTGCCCAGGCTGGTCTCAAACTCCTGGGCTCAAGCAATCCTCCTGCCTTGGCCTCCCAAAGTTCTGGGATTACAGATGTGAGCCACTACCCCTGGCCTATTATTGCTGTATTCTAACTTACCCGTCTCTTATGGTATGATTTTCAGTTTTTTCAAATTTATGTTTTCTTAATTTTATATATCTTGCTACATTAAATAGCTTCATACAGTTTTCTTTTATCCTGTGATTTTAGCTTCCTGATGATTCTTCTGTATCAGTTATAGCACTGGTGACTTAAAATGGATGTTCTTCCTCTGTCATTCCTCCTACGTTTGTTAGCTGGCATTTTTAACAAAGAGCTTTCTCTTCTCCCCTTTATTTCGGTATCACTGCTGACTAATGCACTTGTGTTTTGTTCCATGGGTTATTTTCCATCACTATCATTATTCTTCCTGATGCCTATGCTGGCCCAGATTTGGCTGCAGGAGCCTTCAGCCTGTCTCCTGTGTCCTTTCAACTGTCTCTGTTAGTCTTTGAGCATTTCTCACTTTCTGACAGAACAAGAGGATCCAGGCTCATTTTGCCTTCTTTCTGCTTTGGGCCTGGACTTACCCATTTCTCTTAAGGATCATGTGTTTTTAGCTTAGAAATTAATCAGCTTTCCAAAAGATCTACAAAACAGTAACTTCTCTTTTGAGCAATTTTTTTCTAAAATTAGATTTTTGTTTTTTAAGGGTTATTCCTTTATTCTCTCTATAAGTTCTTTTGAAGTGTGGTGTTAGGGAACCATGCCCGAGTTTGCTTCTTAACTCTTCCAATGTTTATCAAATCATATTTTCCCTATGCTATGTCATCTTAAACAATTCCTTGACATTTTCTATTTCTTTGTATTTTCATTGACTATATTGCCATTTCTAGATTAGCTGATTAATGTACAAATTGAATTATTTTGTATTTCCTTGGTAATACAGGCTAATGATGCCAAAGGAGGAAAAACAAATGGACTTGAACACTGGTCGAATGCGTCGGAAAGCCATTTTCGGAGATGAAGATGAATCTGGAGATAGTGATGATGAAGAAGATGATGAAATGTCTGAAGATGACGGGTTGGAAAACGGCTCTAGTGATGAGGAAGCAGAAGAGGAGGAAAATGCTGAGATGACTGATCAGTATATGGCTGTTAAGGGCATCAAACGACGGAAACTTGAGTTGGAAGAAGACAGTGAAATGGATTTGCCAGCATTTGCTGACAGTGACGATGACCTTGAGAGGAGCTCAGCGGAAGAAGGGGAAGCGGAGGAAGCTGATGAAAGCAGTGAAGAAGAGGACTGCACTGCAGGAGAGAAGGGCATTTCAGGATCAAAGGCTGCTGGAGAAGGTAGTAAAGCAGGGCTGTCACCAGCTAATTGCCAGAGTGACCGTGTGAATCTGGAGAAGTCTTTGCTGATGAAGAAAGCAGCTCTCCCCACTTTCGATTCTGGGCATTGCACAGCTGAAGAGGTGTTTGCATCTGAAGATGAATCTGAAGAAAGCTCCTCACTCAGTGCAGAGGAAGAAGACTCAGAAAATGAAGAGGCTATTAGAAAAAAGCTTTCAAAGCCTTCTCAAGTGAGCAGTGGTCAGAAACTGGGGCCACAGAACTTCATTGATGAGACCAGTGATATAGAAAATTTACTCAAAGAGGAAGAAGATTACAAGGAAGAAAATAATGATTCCAAAGAAACGTCAGGTAAGCTTAAATGTAGTTGGTTGCTGCTATGAACTTGGCTCTCGAAATGGTAACCAAAGGAATGTCTACATTTAGGGGTCTGTTGATTCTGTGATTTTGTTAACTGTTGAAAAGCTGCATTGTGGATGGATCTCAAGGGAGGGGAGACACATGAATAAGCCTAACTGGAGGTTGGCATTGGTCGTTTCAGGTGCCCTCAAGTGGAAGGAAGACCTTTCCAGAAAGGCAGCTGAGGCCTTTCTGAGGCAGCAGCAAGCAGCTCCAAACCTCCGAAAGCTTATTTATGGGACAGGTAAAGAATTCTGGTTCAGAACTAGAAATGTTTTAGTTTCTCTGATTATTTAGATGAGGGAATTGGTTGGAGGATTCGGCTGGTATTGTTGACATCCATAATTGCTGTCCATCACATTTCATATTTGACAGATGTCTCTAATCATCAGCTTATGAGGACCACACATTGGTCTTATAAAGTAGACTTATGGGTTTGCTGTAAAACTTGATGCAAATACCGTCCATTGCATCATGTTATGTCCCCTATTTAAAAGTCCTTCATGAGAATTTTTTTGTAGATTAGTGCCAGAAAAATATTCCTGCCCATAAAAATATTTATTTTTTTCCTTTCTGAGAATGAGAACCCTGTATAACACATTTTGTTCTCCCTTTTGCCCTTGTCCTCTGATTTTATGCTTTACTAAACTTACCAATATGTTCTTTCTGGTAGAATTAATGCAAAAATAAATATATAGTGGTGAACTTTACATTGTGCTCCCTGGTTACTGCATGGTGAGATCAAGGCCACATGGTGAGACATTTGGGCTCAGCCCACTGAATTGGGAAGGTTGTTGTATACTGATTTTCATTCAGGTTTTGTCTAGGTACTCTTAGTGATGAGAGGCTCAACACTCTTTAGAGCTCTTCTTTAATAATCTAAAGCTCTGCCTTTAAATTCCCTTCCCTCCCTTCACCGCTAATATTCTCACTCCTCGGCCTCTTAGCTGCTCCCGTGCAGGAGCACAGGAGCCCCACACATGTAGAGCAATAGCTTCCTGGCTCTCTTCATCTGTGGCTGCCCTGCCCTCTCAATGCCTAACTCTTATGTGGCCATTGCCATACCCACCACAGACAGAGTCCCTCAGTTCCTGAGTTCAAAGACTCATGGCCTAACTGGTTGAAAATGATGAGTCCTCTAGGGCTGTAATTTTTGTTCTCACTTTTCTGCCATGGTGTGCTCTTTAGTGACAGAAGATAATGAAGAAGAAGATGATGATACTCTAGAAGAGCTTGGAGGGTTGTTTCGTGTCAACCAGCCTGACAGAGAGTGTAAGCACAAGGCTGACTCTTTGGACTGCTCCAGATTTCTTGTGGAGGCCCCCCATGACTGGGATTTAGAGGAGGTAAGTCTGGGTAGTACATTTGATTTATTAGAGAATTAGCGAATTGTTCTAGAATAAGATTATCTGATGTCAATATTGCTTACCTGTTGTTGGCTTCTTATTTTTACAGGATTACAGGTCATTCTCCCAGATATTGTAGTGGGCGCTTCATGCATCCTAAGCAGTAACATGTTCTGAGTTTAGTTAGACCATGTACATGGCCCACAGAGGACAGGTTCAGCTTTCAGTGTGGACAGTAGTGTGCATCTTTATTTTGAAACATCACACATAAGTTTTTATACATCAGATGTATTTTGTGTCTTATCACTAGGATATATGTAGCATCCCTGAGTTAACATTTATAGTTTCTGCTATTTGTAAGCATAGAGAAATCTGTGATACCTGTATATGTTCTTCCTGCAGCTTACCATTTTGTAGTCACACTGGAATTCATTCAGTACTCAAACTCACCACAGCTTACCCTCCTCTTAGACCTCTTCTCTTTCTCTCTCTCTCTCTTTAAGATATGGTCTTTCTCTGCAGCCCAGGCTGGAGTGTAGTGGCACAAGTGTATGGCTCAATGCAGCCACGACCTCCTGGGCTCAAGGGATCCTCCCACCTCAGCCTCCAGAGTAGCTGGGACTATAGGCACGAGCCACCAGGCCTGGCTAATTTTTGCATTTTTTGTAGAGATAATGTTTCACCATGTTGAGCTAGTTTCGAACTCTGGGTTCGAATGATCTTCCTGCCTTGGAACTTCCCAGAGTGCTGGGATTACAGGAGTGAGCCATCGCGCCAGCCCCTTTCTCTCTATTCTCTTCTGGAATGTTCTGATTTTCCAAAGGCTGCTTTCTTTTTGTCAATTCAGTTTGGCTTAGATGTCACTTCTCACAGAGGCCCAATTGCTATCATACTGTCTATTGTAATTCGCCAGATAACACTTAATGTACTTTATGAGATTTTATTTAACCATTTTTTTATGGTGAAATTTAATACAGATATATAAAACCACGTAAAAACAATTGTTCAGCCTAATGGGTTGCCAGAAGGTGAATATCCCTGTACTCAGCACTCAGGCTGGGAAATCAAGCTTTGCTGCTCAATTGTGACACCAGCCACAGTCCCCTTCCTCCCTGTAGAAGGAGGTGTAGTCCAGCCTCTTAAGGTGATGCTTTCCTTTTCTTCCTGGTTTCCTCCTCCATGCTTCCATAAGCATCATAGTTTACTTTTACTTGGTCTTCATTACTGTTTTTCAGTCTATCTTTTAACATTTTTAGTCAACAGTCTTTCCTTCCCATTTCTTTCTTTGGTTACATTTTATTTAATAAACCAAGTCTTTGGTCTGTAGAGTTTCTTGTATTCTGGATTTTGTGGATTGCTTTGCATCCCTCTGGAGTTTCCCAGGCCCTCCTGTATTTCCTGTGAATGGGTATGGAGCAATACCAATAGAACTTCTGTAATGAAAGGAATGTATATCTGAGCTGTGGGTTGTGGCTACTTGTGGCTACTGAGCTCTTTAAATGTGGCTAATGAGACTGGAGAACTAAATTTTAAATGTTATTTAATCTTAATTAAGATTAATTTAAATAGTCACATATTTCTAGTTACCCTGTAGACAAAACATCTAGCAGTTGGATGGGATTTAAATTTGATTTTTATTTTTCGGCGAAACTGCTTCCCAGGTGATGGTGTTTTCTCATTAGGAGGCGCATAAAGACTGGTTGTGTCCTTTTAATGCTGTTAGATGTTATCAGTTGTTGGTGCTCAATGCCTAGAACCATACCAATTTCTTAAGAATGTAGAGTGGTGATGTTCCATTCAATCATTTCTCTTTATGTATTAGCTGTAACACTTCTTTAAAGAGAAACTTTTCCTCTTCTATTCGGTTATCCACTGCCATATATATAGGGTAAATGCTTGATTTTTTTTTTTTTTTTTTTGAGATGGAGTTTCGCTCTGTCGCCCAGGCTGGAGTGCAGTGGCACAATCTCAGCTCACTGCAAGCTCTGCCTCCCGGGTTCATGCCATTCTCCTGCCTCAGCCTCCCGAGTAGCTGGTATTACAGGCGCCCACCACTAGGCCCAGCTAATTTTTTTGCATTTTTAGTAGAGATGGGGTTTCACCACGTTGGTCAGGCTGGTCTCGAACTCCTGACCTCCTGAGCCACGTGCCTCGGCCTCCCAAAGTGCTGGGATTACAGGTGTGAGCCACTGCACCCAGCCCATGCTTGATTTTTTAATCAGTTTGTGGAGTGATTCTCCAAAGGATACTTGTTTGTAAGTTTCACTGTGATGTCATGGATATAAATGTAGTTGATGTGCCTTGTGCTCCTGCACCTGTTATCCCTTATTGAAGCTCCTCTTTATCCCACCTGTGGCCTGTAAGAGTCTGTGCACACCAGCTCCTGAGTCCTTATGTTACAATCATAGTCATTCTTTATCAATTCTTGCTCTATGATATGAGAGAGCGCTTGGAATCACCCATAAGAAATCCTGATTTCTTTTAGTAGGAAATGGTATTTCAACGTGACAGCCTAGGCATAGGAATGCTACTGCCATGAGTTGGTCATTACTTCTAGGCCTTCTCAGTGACCTGAACCAGGAGAGCTCATATAGATATTTCCAGTTCACATACAGGACTACATCTTACTCATTCTTCCACTGGAGAATTATTCCTTGGTTGAATCAGCAGATGATGAAATTAGAGAATCACATAATTACTCATTTGCTTTATCCCATATTACACACAAAATAGTGTCAGAATAATATGACTACTGAAAACAGTTAAAGATTTTTTTCCCTTATATACTGTCTCATTTCTCTTTTCAAAAGTGACTGTGCCATTTTACTTACCCACTGGCACTGTAGGTGGGTTCCAGTTTCACCAGTTCTTCACCAGCACTTGCTATTATCTGTCTTTGTGATTATAGCCATCCTAGAGGGGGTGAAGTTGTATCTCATTGTAGCATTGACTTGCATTCCCTGATAGATAATGATGTTGAACATCTTTTCATGTGCTTATTGGCTATTTGTACATATTCTTCATATTGTTTGCCCATTTCAAAAATTGGATTACTTAGTTGTATGCGTTGTTTATATATTCTGGATATAAGTCCCTTATCAGGTACATAATTTGCAGATATCTTCTCCCATGTTATAGGAATTCAGTTTTCAAACAGGTTTAGATTAACAAATAGCAAGACCAACTTTGTAAACTACTGTCTCATTGCATTGCCTTAGAAACCTTAATAAAATTGAAAATCAGTTGAATTAGTAATTATCTGTTTGTTTACTTATGAGGTCAGTAGAGTAGTAGTATTTAATACTTTCCCTGTCTGCTGCTTAATGTGTTTTATCTCTGTGGTTATACTGTCTCCATCAAAGGTAAAGTTATTTTCTGGGCTCATTTGGAATGAGAATATCCATGAAAGTGGGAAATATTTAAAGGCAAGTTGTCACCTACTGCCATTTCTTAGAGTTGTTTTGCTGAGTGATTGGAACACCTCACCTAAGTGCTGACTTTTCTGCGTAAGGTTATGAACAGTATCAGAGATTGCTTCGTGACTGGAAAGTGGGAAGATGATAAAGATGCAGCCAAGGTCTTAGCAGAAGATGGTAAGTAAAGAGCTGGGTTCTTCAGGAAGACTGGCTTCTCTAAACTTTATTTTCTTCAGTATCTTAGACAATAGTCAAATTGAAAATAATAGTCACTTGTCAAATGCTTTGGGAATTCAGACAGGAGTAATGAACCAGGTAATATTCTGGGTTTTCCTTTTATGATGATCTTATTTTCTCAGTTGGCTGATTTACTGCGTATGGACTTTAAAAGTGAGAAACTTTCCATAAATTTTAATCATGTGTTTGTTAAAAATAGATTTTGTGTGATGTGAAAAATATATACAAATAACATTTATATTTTTTTCATAATAAAGGTAGTATGCATTGTGGAAAATTTCGAATGAAAAGTACATAACATACCAGAATTCTACCAACCCATAAAAAAACCTTTGTTAGCTTCTTCAACTGTTTCCTTCTAGTCATTTAAAAATTGTGTGTTTAAACCTTTTTAGTTGTACTTTATATAATTTTTGGCAGGAGGATTGCTTAAGTGATGTACTTTTTATAAATTTTGTCATTAAATTTTTTCAAATATTTCATTTTTATTATTTAAAATTAAAAAATATTTTATTTAAAATAAATAAAATATTATTTATTATTATCATACCATTATTGAAGTCACAATTTTTTCAATATCTAAGTAGTTTTATACTTTGTTCATTTTATAAAGAACTCCACACTGAACAACTTTGAAATAATTCTTGGCTCACACTTTTTTATTTTCATAAGACAGATTCATAAGTGTTAGAATTGAGTCATTTTTATGGATTGCAACTGCCACATGGTTTTTTGGAAGGTCATTCTTTTTGTTTTGTCTTGAGACAGGATGTCGCTCTGTTACCCAGACTGGAGTGCTATGGTGTGGTCATGGCCCACTGCAGCCTCAACCTCGCAGACTGAAGCCTCCCGAGTAGCTAGGACCACAGGCTTGCATCACTACACCCAGCTAATTTTAAAATTTTTTTGTACAGACAGTCTTTTTATGTTTCCCAGGCTGGTCTCAAACTCCTAGGCTTAAGAGATACTCCTGCCTCAGCCTCCTGAGTAGCTTGAACCACAAATGTATACCACCATGCCTGGCTAATTTTTAAATATTTTGTACAGATGGGGGTCTTGCCATGTTGCCTAGCTGGCCTTGAATTCCTGGGCTTAAGCAATCTTCCCGCCTTAGCCTTCCAAAGTGCTGGGATTACAGGCATGAGCCACTGTGCCTAGTCTGTAGTATGTGAATGTATTCTTTATATATATATAATTTTTTTTTCTGGGCCTTCTAGTTAATATCACTGATCTCTGTTGGTTCATTTATTATTACTATAATTTAGTACTCTATGCAGCTTTATCACGTTACTAAGATACCAGTTATTAAAACCGTGTCTCAACAGTTTCCCTTTTTGTTCTGCTGGGGGGCTTCTTTTAGGATTCTCCTGACTATTCTCACCTTCTCACTTGCTTATTGTTTTTTCCATAGGAACTTAAGAATCGGCTTTTCTGTTTTCAAAAGAAAGTGTGGTGGGTTTCTTTTTTAATCACTTCAGTGAGGTATAATTGATGGTAAACTACAGTATTTAAAGTATACAATTTGATAAGCTTTGATATGTGAATATACCATCACCACAATCAAAATAATGAACACATTTGTCACCCCCACAGTTTTCTTACACCACTTTGTAACTCTCCATCTTGTCCTCTTCCATCACCAGGTACATTCAGCTGCCTTGTGTCACTATTCAGTAGGTTGTGCCCTTTAGAATTTAATTGAAATGGGATCCTACAATATGTACTCTTTTCTGTCTAACTTCTTTTACTCAGCATGATTATTTCAAGATTCATCCATGCTGTTGCATCTTCATTTCTTTTTGTTGGCTAGTGGGTAGTCCATTGTATGATGTATAGCAATTTATTTATCTGTTAACCTGTTGATAAACAATTATTTCCAGGTTTTGGCTATTATGAGTAAAGCTGCTATGAATGTTTTTTAGAAGTCTTTATGTGAACCACCGCTTTTATTTCTTTTGGGTAAATAAGTAGTTCAGAATGGACTAAATGGGTCATATGATAGGTACACATTTAATTTTTTAAGAAATTACCCAACTGTTTTCCAAAGTGTTTATACCATTTTCCATTGCCACCATAACTTTATGCAACTTCCGGTTGCTTCACTCTACATCTTTCCCAGTACCTGATAGTATCAGTCTTTTTAAATTGTAGGCCTTCTTTTAGGCATAGAGTGGTATCTTGTAGTTTTAGTGACTAATGGTATCGAACATTTTTTCATGTGCTTATTTGCCGTCTGTGTCTTCTTTGATGAAATATCTGTCCAAATCTTTTGTACATTATTTTAATTTTGTTGAATTCTAAGAAATTTTGTGTATTTTTGATACAAATTCTGTATCACATGTGTTATCCAATTATTTTTGCCTAGCGTGTGCCTTGTCTTTTCTATTTTTAATAGTGTTTTTCACAGAGCAAAGTATTTAGTTCTGGTGTAGGTCAATTTATCAAAAAAAAATTTTTTTTTTTTTGGGATGGAGTCTTGCTCTGTCTCCCAGAGTGCGATGTGATCTCGGCTCACTGCAACCCCTGCCCCCTGGGTTCAAGCCATTCTCCTGCCTCAGCCTCCTGAGTAACTGGGATTACAGGCGCCCGCCACCACGCCTGCCTAATTTTTGTGTTTTTAGTAGAGATGGGGTTTCGCCATGTTGGTCAGGCTGGTCTTGAACTCCTGACCTCAGGTGATCCATCCGCCTCAGCCTCCCAAAGTGCTGGGATTACAGGCATGAGCCACTGTGCCCTGCCCAAAATTTTCTCTTATGGACTGTGCTTTTCATAGTGCATGTAAGAAATCTTTGCCTCACCCAATGTCACAAATTGTCTCATATATTCTGTAAGTCTTACAGTTTCAGGTTTTACGTTTAGGTCTATAATTCTTTTTGAGTTAATTTTTTATAGAGTGTTGGGTATGGATTTAGGTTCCTTTTGACATATTGATATCTACTTTTCCCTGCACCATCTGCTGAAAATCTATTTTTTTCCCCGTTGAATTGCCCTGTATTGGTTGGCCATATATGGGTGAATATTTCTGGGCTCTCTGTTCTGTTCCATTGATATATTTGTTTATTTTTGTACCAATACCAACACTGTCTCTGTTACTTACAGCTTTATAATTAGTCTTGGAATTAAGTAGTTTTTAACTTTAGGTAGTTTTTCAAACTTTAGTCTCCTTTTCAAAGTTGTTTTGGTTAATCTAGGTTCTTTGCATTTTCATATAAATTTTAAGATGAGCATGTCAATTGCTATAAAAAAGCCCACTGCAATTTTGATTGGGATTTCATGGAACTTGTAAACAATTTGGGAAAATTGCCATCTTAACCACATTGAGTTTTCTGATCTATGAACATAGTAACTCTCCATTTATCTTGTTCTTTAATTTCTCTCAGCAAGGTTTTCAGGATACAGGTCTTATACAACTCTCAACAGTTTATTTTCATATCAACTTGTATTTATGTATGGCTAATATATAAGAAATGCAGTTGATTTTTTTTTTAATTGATCTTATATCCTGCAATCTTGCTAAATTACTTGTTAGTTCTGTTTTTGAGACAGAGTCTCGCTCTGTCACCCAGGCTGGAGTGCAGTGGCTTGATCTCAGCTCACTGCAGCCTCTGCCTTCCAGGTTCAAGCAATTCTCATGCCCCAGCCTCGTGAGTAGCTGAG
Organism: Homo sapiens; assembly: GCF_000001405.40. NCBI lineage: Eukaryota > Metazoa > Chordata > Mammalia > Primates > Hominidae > Homo > Homo sapiens. Next base: position 42,805,936 of record NC_000010.11, read on the forward strand.
ATTACAGGCAGCCATTATCACGCCTGGCTAGTTTTTTTATTTTTAGTAGAAATGGGGTTTCACCAGGTTGGCCAGGCTAGTCTCAAACTCCTGACCTCAAGTGTGTGTTTGGAGGGGAGGGGTAAACTTTGACTAAACAGTATTCATGGTTTTCTAAGTAAATACTTCTTACTATCCCAAGGATTCTTTTTCTTTTATGCTGCTTTTTCTCCTGTTCTGCACAATAAAGCCTGGGCTTCCAATTCTGCTTTGACCTTTCACCTTGGTCCAATCTCATATGGTTCCCCCAGTTTCTGTGCAGGATGGTTCTGGGAGCCAAGCAGGAAACTATCTACAGAAAGGCTGAGATAGATCCCAGTGGTTTTACTTTCTTTCTTTCCTATCTGGATGACTTAATTTTTCTTGCCTTACTGCCCTGGTTTAAACTTCCAGGACAGTGTGGATTAGAAGTCAAAGTAAACAACCTTGCTTTGTCCTGATTTTGCTTATTTTCCAAGTGAACTTAAGAATCACCTTTCTGGCTGGGCACAGTGGCTGACGCCTATAATCCTAGCACTTTGGGAGGCTGAGGCGGGCGGATCACGAGGTCAGGAGTTTGAGACCAGCCTGGCCAACATGGTGAAACCCCGTCTCTACTAAAAATACAAAAATTAGCCAAGCGTGGTGGCACACGCCCGTAATCCTAGCTACTCAGGAGGCTGAGGCAGGAGAATTGCTTGAACCCGGAAGGCAGAGGTTGCAGTAAGCTGAGATCGCGCCACTGTACTCCAGCCTGGGCGACAGCACGAGACTCCGTCTCAGGAAAAAAAAAAAAAAAAAAAAAATCACCTTTTCTATTTCCAAAAGAAAAGTTTGTGGTGTGTTTTTTCCTAATTAAACTTTTAAGTTTGAGGTAATTGTAGATTGACATGCACGTGTAAGAACAAATACAGAGAAAAAAAAAGAACGAATACAGAGAGATCTCCTGTATCTTGTACTATAGCAGTATCTGTGTATATATGTACTATGTATACTATGTGTACTGTAATACAAGGTCACAGCCTGGATGCCAACATTGATACAATCTGTTGATCCTATGTAGATTTCTCCAGTTTCACTTATGTGTGTGTGTGTGTGTTTTACGTGTGTGTGTGTCTATACTTCTGTGCTCTTTTATCACATGTGTAGGTTTGTGTGTCTACCAACAGTTAAGATACGGAGCAGTTCCATCACAAGGATTGCTTGTATTGCTGTTTTATAAACACACCCACGTCCCTGCTGTTCCCCAGCCCCCAGTTCCTTCCCTTGTGAACCATAATGTGTTTTCTGTTTCTACAATTTTGTCATCTTCAAGAATGTTAAATAAACAGAATCATACAGTCTATAAACTTTTGTGAGGGGCTTTTTTCACTCAGCATAATTTCCTGGAGATCCATTCAAGTTGGTGCATATACCATAGGTCATTCCTTTTTATTGCTGAGTAGTGCTCCATTGTATGGATGTACCGGTTTGTTTAACCATTCATCCAAGATCAAGCTGGGTTGTTTACAGTTTGTTTTGTTTTGTTTTGTTTTCAGACAGGGTCTTGCTCTGATGCCCAGTCTGGGGTGCAGTGGTGTGATATTGGCTCACTGCAGCCTCGACCTCCTAGGCTCAAGTGATCTTCCCACATCAGCACCCCCAAGGAGCTGGGACTACAGGCATGCACCACCGTGCCTGGCTAATATTTTTTTATTTGTTTGTTTGTTTGTTTTGTAGAGACAGGATCTTGCTGTGTTGCTCAGGCTGATCTTGAACTCCTGGCCTGTTTTCAATTTTTGACTATTAGAATTGAGCTACTATGAACACTTGTATAGAAGTTTTTGTGTAAATATGCACTTCCCATTTTTCTGGGAAATAAATGCCCAATAATGCAATTGCTGGGTCATATGGTAATTGCACAGTTTCATAGGAGACTGCCAGAGTAGTTGGGCCATTTGATGTTTCTACTAGCAATTATGTGAGTGATCCAGTTTCTTTACATCCTTGACAATGTGTGGTGTTCTCACTGTTGTTTATTCTAGCTATTCTAATAGGTATGTGATATTTCATTGTGGTTTTAAGATATACTTCCCCAGTGGCTAATAATGGTGAGCATTTTTTCATGTGTTTATTTGCATTTTTATATCTTCTATACAGATAAAAAATGTCTGGGGATGTCTTTTTTTTGCACTTTTAAAAATTGGGTTGGGTTGGGTACTGTGAGTTCATTATATGTTTAACTCCATCGTCGGATGTGTGATTTGCAGATACTTTCTCCTAATCTGTAGTTTTCATTTTCTTAACGGGGCCTTTCACAGAGCAGAAGTTTTTATTTTTTATTTATTTATTTATTTATTTATTATTATTATTATTTGTTTTTTGAGACAGAGTCTCTCTCTGTTGCCCAGGCTGGAGTGCAGTGGCGCGATCTCCACTCACTGCAAGCTCTGTCCCCCGGGTTCATGCCATTCTCCTGCCTCAGCCTCCCGAGTAGCTGGGACTACAGGCGCCCACCACCACATCCGGCTAATTTTTTTGTATTTTTAGTAGAGACGGGGTTTCACAGTGTTTGCCAGGATGGTCTCCATCTCCTGACCTCGTGATCCGCCTTACTTGGCCTCCCAAAGTGCTGGGATTACAGGCGTGAGCCACCGTGTCGGGCCAAAAGTTTTTATTTTTGATGAAATCCGATTTACCAGTTTTTTATAGTATTTTTTGTTTTCTCTTTACACCCATGATCTATTTTGATTTTTTCATTTTATGAGATATGAGGCTTAGCTCAAGGTTTATATTTTCGCCTGCAATTGTATAATTTTTCTAGCACCACTTATTTTATTGAATTGCTTTTGACTTTTGTAAAACATTAGTTGAGCATCTTTCTGTGAATCTGTTTCTGGGTTCTCTTGTGTTCTATTGACTTCACATGTCAATCCCTTGGCCAGTACCACCCTTGCTGTCTACGTTCCTGTAGCTTTATAGTGAGTGTTAATGTTGAGTAGAGTGACTCCTCTTACTTTATTCTTGTTTTTCAAGATTGGTTAAGCTATCCCAAGGCTTGTGACTTTCCCTATAAATTTTAGAATAAACTTGTTTATGTCTACAACAACTTACCTGGGATTTTGGTAGGGATTGCATTAAACCTATAGATCAGTTTGGGGGGATAATCTTTTTCTATTTTGAGTATTAAAATAGATGAACACAGTATATTTATTTATTTTAGTTTTTATTTCTTTCATCAGTATTATGATTTTCAGCATACCAGTTGGGAATATGTTTTGATAAGTTTAGACCTAAGTATTTGATTTTGATTGATTTTCATTTGTTTCTCTTTTGTCCTGCTAAACTCACTTATTAGTTGTAGGAGGGTTTTGTTTTGTTTTGTCTTTGTAGATTGCCTGGGATTGTCTACACAGACAGTTGTGTAGAAAACATAGAGACAGTGTTATTTCTTTCTTTTCAACCTGTATGGCTTTTCCTTCTTTTTTTTTTAATTAAATTTTTTAGGGGTAGTGATGGGGTCTCACTATGTTGCTCAGGCTGGTCTCAAACTCCTGAATGCCAGTGATCTGCCTGCCTCAGCCTCCCAGAGTGCTGGGATTATAGGCGTGAGCGACCATGCCTGGCCTTCTTTCTGTTTTAAAATTTTCTGCCTTAATTCAGTGACTAGACTTTTAGTACAATGTGGAGTAAGAGTGCTGAGAGTGGACTTCCTATGTTGTTCCCAATCTTGTCACTGTTATTTATTTACTAACATGATTGGATGTTGAATTTTGTCTAATGCCTTTTGGTGTCAGTTGATATGATCATCTGGATATGGGTTTCATTCTTTACTCTTTTGATATAGATTACACTGATCCTTTTATTTTTTGAGACATGGTCTTCCTCTGTCACCCAGGCTGGAGTGCAGTGGTGCGATCATGGCTCACCACAGCATCGACCTCCTATGCTCCAGTGATCCTCCTGCCTCCACCTCCCACGTAGCTGGGACTACAAGTGTGTGCTATCATGTCTGGCTAATTTTTTTTTTTTTTTTTTTTTTGTAGAGCCAGGTCTTACTGTGTTGCCCAGGCTGGTCTTGGCTTCAAGGGAACTCTTGGCTTCAAGGGATCCTCCCACTTCAGCCTCCCAAGCGTTAGGTTTACAGGCAGGAGCCACCGCACCTGGCCTGATTCATTTTTTGAATGTTGAAGCAGACTTGCATACCTGGAATAACTCTCACTTGATCATGAATGAAAATGAAAATACAACATATGGAAATGTGTGTGTTTTTTTGTTTTGTTTTTTCCTTTCATGTCAGATGGTTAATGTGCTAATGTTGTAACAAGGGTCAAGGGTGGCATATCCCACATACATGCATGAATACCCAGTCATCACACTTATGAACTACGAAAAGATCACCATGTGAAAATTTTTATACAAATCTTTTTATGTGTTGTTGGATTCCATTTATAGTACTTTGTTGAGGACTTTTTGCATTCATGAGAGATACTGGTCTGTGAGTTTTTTTGTTTTGTTTTGTTTTTTCTTTTTGTGGTGGTACTGTCTTCATCTGGTTTTGGCATTGGGATAATACTAGCCTCATAAAATGAGTTGCAAAGTGTCCCCTATTCTGTTTTCTGGAAGAGTTTGTATAGAATTGGGATGAATTCTTTAAATATTTGGTGTAATTCTCCAGTGAAATCATCTGGGCCTGGAGATTTCTTATTCCAGAAGCTCTTAATTACAAATTTTATTTCTTTAATGGTTATAGGACGATTCAGATTATCTATTTCATCTTGCCTGAATTTTGGTAGTTTATGATTTTCAAGGTGTTTCAAGTCTTGTTAGGGAAGTGGAAGTTGCACTGAGTGCCTTCTTGAAGAGACCAGCTTGGGTAGTCTGAGGGTGATGTTTAGAGTATTTGCTTAATACTCTTTAACGGCTGCAGGAGCCTTTTTGATAACCCCTGTTTTATTCGTGATGTTGTTGGTTTGTGTCTTCTCTGTTTTTATCTTTGTCGTAAAATTTATTAATTTTGTTGATTCTATTCAAATGACCAGCTTTTTGTTTCATTGATTTTCTCTGTTTTTCTGCTTTCAATGTTATTGATTTCTGCCCTTTATTTATTATTATTATTTTTTTTTTGAGACTGAGTTTCACTCTTCTTGCCCAGGCTGGAGTGCAGTGGCACGTTCTTGGCTCCCCGCAACCTCCACCTCCGGGTTCAAGTGATTCTCCTGCCTCAGCTTCCCAAGTAGCTGGGATTACAGGCATGCACCCCCACGCACAGCTAATTTTTTGTATTTTTAGTAGAGACAGGGTTTCTCCCTGTTGGTCAGGCTGTTCTCAAGCTCCCAACCTCAGTTGATCCACCTGCCTTGGCCTCCCAAAGTGCTGGGAATACAGGCATGAGCCACCACATCCGGCCAATTTCTGCCCCTTATTATTTCTATTCTTCTGCTTGTTTGGGGTTTATTTTGTTCTTTTTGAAATTTCTTAGGTTATTGGTTTATCTTTTCTCATTTCTAATGTGAGCATTTAGTGTTTAAATTTCCTTCTCAGTACTGCTGAGCTGTACCCCACAAATGTTCACGTGTTGTATTTTCTTTTTCTTTTTTTTTTTTTTTTGAGACGGAGTCTCGCTCTGTCGCCCAGGCTGGAGTGCAGTGGCGGGATCTCGGCTCACTGCAAGCTCCGCCTCCTGGGTTCACGCCATTCTCCTGCCTCAGCCTCCCAAGTAGCTGGGACTACAGGCGCCCGCCACTACGCCCGGCTAATTTTTTGTATTTTTAGTAGAGACGGGGTTTCACCGTTTTAGCCGGGATGGTCTCGATCTCCTGACCTCGTGATCCGCCCGCCTCGGCCTCCCAAAGTGCTGGGATTACAGGCGTGAGCCACCGCGCCCGGCCTCACGTGTTGTATTTTCATTCATATTTCCTTTGGGACTTCTTTTTGGCCCATGCATTATTTATAAATATGTTGTTTTAATTATCAAGTATTTAGAGAGTTTCCTGTTTTTCTGTTATAGATTTCTAGCTTGATTATATTATGTTCTGAGAACATATTCTTATGAGTTGAATTATTTTAGATTTGCTGTGATTTCTTTTATTGCCCCAAATGTACTTCATCTTGGTAGATTTCTATTGACTTTAAAAATGTGTGTATTTTGCTGTTGGAGAGTAGGGTGTTATACGGATGTCAGATTTTGCTGGCTCACTGTTCAGATCTTTTGTAAATCCTTGCTCCTTTTCTGCCTAGTTTCACTCTGTCACTTACGCTAGAGTGCGGTGGCATGAACATGACTCACTGCAGCCTTGACCTCCTAGGCTCAAGCAGTTATCCTGGCTTAACCTCCTGAATAGCTGGTACTATAGGTGTGTGCCGCCACACTTGGCTAAATTCAAAATTTTTTGGAGAGACAAAGCCTTGCTATGTTGCCCAGGCTGGAACTCCTGGCCTCAAGCTATCCTTTGTCTTTGCCTCCCAGAGTGCTGGGATTACAGGCATGAGCCACTGTGCCCGGCCTCCGCCTAGTTTTAACAGTTGCTGAGAGGAGGGTGTTGAAGTAGATGTCTTCTTGGTGGGTTAATCCTTTTGTCATTAAGCAGATGTTACGGTCACTTCCTTTTCACCCCATTGGTGAAGGAGGGGTCCCTGCCCTAAAGTGTAGGAGATGGCTGAACACGACACCTGGCGTGGATGGATGAGACTGACAGCAGTGTTTTAGTCACATATACCCACAGCTCAGAGGAGGACACTGCATGCCACGCAGGGTCAGATGGGCACCATACTCTGTAGTGGAGTGAGGGCTGGGGGCTGAGGAAGGAGGCAGGCTTGGTAGTAACAAGAGCACACAATGACCAATGGTTCCTGAGGGGGAATGCAATTGGCTTGTTTGAATAAATTCATGGGCTGGCAGACAGGTGAAGTGAAACTTCTTAGGCTGAGGTGCAACCGTTCTGGCTGATAAAAGAACTAGCCAGGTGGGGAGCCTTTGCTGCTGGGTGGCGGGGTAGGGGGTGTCTGGTAGAAACAGGAAAACCCACGGCTAGGCCTTTGGGGCCCTGTGAGGCTCAAAGATGTCCAGGCAGCATAGGAAATTTTAGATCTTAAAATTCAGCGAAGACCCTCTCCAGCTCTGGTAAATTATTTTGCTTGAAGTCTACTTCATGAGATATTAATATATTCACTCCTGCTTCCTTAAAAAATTAATGATTACATAGGATATCTTTCTCCATTCTTTTACTTTCAGCCTACTTAGGTCCTTAAGTGAGTTTGAAGTTTCTTATGAACAGTATTTAGTTGGGCCATGTGTTTATTATAGGCTCTCCATCCATCCGTCTTTTGGTTTATTTAGACCATTTACATTTAAGGTGCTTATTGTTACATAATTGCTTATGTCTGATGTTTTTATTATTTGCTTTTTTGTTTCCTTTTTCTTTCCCTCCATCTTGATCTATTTCTGTATAATGTTGTTGCGTGTATCTCTTTGTATAGTCTTGAAGTGTTTGCTCTGGATGTTACAATATGCATATTGTAATATAGTAGTCTACTGGTACCAGTATTTACCACTTCAAAGTGTGGAAACCTGCCTTGCATTTATGTCTCTTTACCTTTTCCGCTTGTATGAATCACTGGCTTGAGTATTAGGTGGTGGTATAGTTTTTGTTTCAGTTGTCAAGTGTGATTTTAAGAACTGCGGATTGTCTCGTGTATGTATCCACATTTCTGGTCTTTCCTTTGTCCCTCCTCCCATAGTCCCATATTCATCCCTTCTGCATAAGAACTTTCTGTAGCCATTTTTTTATTTTGATTTTTTTGTTTTAATTTTTTGTATTGTGGAAATGACAGAACATATTTCTGTAGCCACTTTTTAGCATTTCTAAATTTACCAGAGACAAATTCCTATATTCTCTTCCTCTGATAATGTCTTTATTTCTCTCTTCATTTCTGAAGGGTAGTTTCATGGGATATAGAATTTGCAACCAACAGTTTTTTTGTTTGTTGGTTTGGTTTTTTTGTTTGTTTCTTTGGTTGGTTTTTTTTAAGCACTTGAAAATGTTGTGCCACTTCCTTCTGGCCTCCATGGCATTTGAGTTGGCATGTCCCTACAGGCATTCTGCCATTTTTGGTCTTTGTTTTTAGTTTTGAAAGTTTAATCAGTGTTGCTTTCTTTTGTTATACTTTGAGGTTTGCTCAGCTTCTTGAATCTGTAAGTTTATATCTTTCACTAAATGTGGGAAGCGTCAGGAATTAGTTATTTGCATGCTTTTGCAGCTCTGGTCTCCTGTGGGACTCAGATAACATAAATGCGGGGTCTTTTGTTATTGTCCCACAGGTCCGTGCAGCTCTGTTCATTTGTTTTCAGGTTATTTTCTCTCTATTGTTTAGACTGGGTGAATTCTGTTGATACAGGTTTCAGCTTCTCTGATTCTCTCCTCTGTCGTCTCCACTTTTACTCAATAGAGCCCATCTAGATAGATTTTTTTTTAATTTCTGTTACTGTATTTTATATTTCTGTAATTTCCATTTGATTCTTCTTCAGTTTCTTTGCTGACGTTTTCAGTTCTTTGTTTGTTGCCATAGGATTTGTAGTTGCTTGTTGAAGCATATTTATGCTGACTGTTATAAGTGATGAGTCAGATGGTTCCAACATCTGCCTATGTAATTTTTTTATTTTTGCAGGCAGTCCTCCTATTTGGGTTTAGTCTGTAGGTCCTGGTCTACTTTGTGGGCTGTGATTCCAATGGCAATTTAATTTCAGAGCCTTCATGGTGTTATTTTGGTCTGTTTGGCTTATATGTATCACTGGGATTCTCCCACCAGTCCCTGCTGTTGCCCACCTGAGGGAACAGGGGAGCTGCCCCAGGCTGGGCCACCTGCTGCAGCTAGGTGGGTGGGGAGTGGTGGTTGTCTTGGTGTGTGGAGCTGGTTTTCTTGTTATGGGGAAGATTTCCTTTGATCTGGGGGGACTGAGTCTGCCTGGGTTGCCTTCTATTGCTACGTTGGGAGTTGGGAAACTCTGGGCCTGGTCAACTTCCTATTGGATGAGGTCCAGGGAGACACCTGGCCACTATGCATTCCCTAGTCCTAGAGTCCCTCAGCAGCCTTTTTCTTTCCACCTTTCAGAATTCTCCTTTGATCATCTCCTGTCTATTATTTCTTAGGAGGGTATAATGTGTTATCTTCTCTAGACCAGAAATCCTTAATGGTGGTTTCAGGTTGTAACTGTGCTAAAGGGAGAATTGGCGTATTTTTGATGTTGAGTCTTTCTTTTCAAATGAGGACATATCATTATTCAGTAGATAATATTTACAACACCTACTTCCTTGGGTTGAAGAATGTGGTTAAGGCAAGGAAAGTACTTAACACAGTGCCTGGTGTGGAGAGCACCGATGAGTGTTGGTGGTGATGCTATTCCTTTTGTCCTTTGGTAGCATATTAAAGCTTTTCTTCTTTTTTAAAAAAATAAAGTTCTGGTGCATTTCTTGTTAGGTTTATTCCTATTTTATCCTTTTTTGCTTTTATTACAAATAGGAGCTTCCTATCTATTATAACTTCTACCTGGTTCTTTGGCCCTTATGTGAAAATGTTTTAATAGCCTTCTAAACATTGCTCTCCCAAATGAGTTTTAACTTGCCTATTTCTTTTATTTTCCTTTTTTTGAGACAGGGTCTCACTCTGTCACCCAGGCTGGAGTTCAGTGATGCAATTATGGCTCACTGCAACGTCTGCCTCCCGGGCCCCCAAAGTGCTGGGTTTACAGGCGTGAGCCACTGCACCCAGCCTTACTTGTCTGTTTCTTTTAAGAGTGGGAACTATAATTGAGCCCAGAGCTCCAAAAACAAATGAAGGAATGAATGAGTGAATAAGCTCTTCCCATGGGTTTGGTGTGGTTTGGGGCTCTACTCTTAATCTAAATGCTATGTTTTATATAACCTAAAATTTCCCCTAGGTGTGTTACACGATTGTGTTGTGTTGAACTTACATTGAGACTCCTTTTCACATGTGCTGGTATCAGCGTGGAGCTTTTCTATTCATTCCTTGAACTATTCGTTTGGGGGACACACATAGACCTCTGTGTCTTTCATAAAGAGTGTCCATTGGCCAGGTGCAGTGGCTCATGGCTGTAATCCCAGCACTTTGGGAGGCTGAGGAGGGCAGATCACGAGGTCAGGAGTTCGAGACCAGCCTGGCCAATTGGTGAAATCCCATCTTTACTAAAAATACAAAAATTAGCCAGGCTTGGTGGCGGGTGCCTATAATCCCAGCTACTCGGGAGACTGAGGCAGTAGAATTGCTTGAACCCGGGAGGCGGAGGTTGCAGTGAGCTGAGATCATGCCACTGCACTCCAGCTTGGGTGACAGAGTGAGACTCTGTCTCCAAAAATAAAAAACAAAAACAAAAGAGTGTCCATTGTGTATACTGGAAAAATTGAGATTGGGATTTTGATGTGAAGTGCGGAAATGTGGATTGGGTCCATTTAGTTTACCTAAACAGATGATGAAATACTAACTGTTTTACAAAGCATTCCCTAGTGCAAAGTTTTGCCTGTGTGTGTAGTGACAGGAACAGTGAGAATGAGGCTTGGAACGCAGAGCACACTGTGGGCCTGTGGTAGGTGGGGCCAGCAGCACATGCATACCTGGCTCACAGAGCAGCCTTTGGGTGTTCTTTTCCCAGAGGAGCTCTACGGTGACTTTGAAGACTTGGAAACAGGGGACGTGCACAAGGGAAAATCAGGCCCCAATACTCAGGTATGACTTTGTCGTAGCTGGCTGTTCTTGGTCATTGTGTTCTGAGAGAGGCCCACATTGAGAAATGCAAATCTTACTTGTGATGTGTGAAGATTGCAGACTGGATAGATAGATTCCTTCCTAAAGGGTGGGGATGTGGGGACCAAAGAGAAGCTTTCTTGTTTACTTGTTAAGTTTTGGATGACAGTTACTACCGTTTCTTGCCATAGTCATTTGCCAAGTCCACTGTGATTTTTCACTCACGGAAGTCTTAGCTTCTTGGACTTACATTCAACCATTGGCATCATTCTCCTTTTTTTAAATTTAAGTGTCATTTAAAAGAATGAAGTCCCTGTTCTCCCTAGTATTTCTTTAGAACAGGGTCTGGGAGCATCTGGGTGAGGGACACGTCTGTTATTTTTATTCTAGTTTGTGTTCCCAGCCAGCTTAAGGATTAGCAGCTAATTGTAATGCAGATGTAACCATTTCCTGTAGCAGTACCATGTTATTCAGAGACAAAGGTTGTGTTGTGTTTTCTTTTGTTTTATTGATAATGATAACAGATTTTTGCTAAGATTCTTGTTTAAATAGAACTTTAAAAAAGCTAATGTTTAAAGAAAAGACCTTCATAAACATACACAAAATTTTTTCTTCTGGAAATTTAAGAATGAAGATATAGAGAAAGAAGTTAAGGAAGAAATTGACCCCGACGAAGAAGAAAGTGCCAAGAAAAAGCATTTGGATAAGAAGAGAAAATTGAAGGAGATGTTTGATGCAGAATATGATGAAGGAGAAAGCACATATTTTGATGATCTTAAAGGAGAAATGCAGAAACAAGCACAGGTGAGAAACCTCAGTTCCTCTCAGCCCCTTGTCAAGACTATCATATAGCGCAGGAATCCCTGACTTTGTTTGGGTCCCTACGTCCTATCCTGCTTCTGTGTATCCTGCTTCTGTGCCTTTCATTCGGACTCCTGGGTAGAGATGCATGTGAGTGTGTTTATTCATGCAGTGAGCTCATTGTTTCTGCAGTCAGAGGGTCACCAGAAAAAGATCCATACCTATTTTGTAACAAGAATTAGGAAACAGAAATGACTGAGACATGGTCTCTACTTTTGAGACATGGTCTTACAATGTAGTGATCTGAGACAGTGTGTTCATTTCAGTGCAAGCATTGGCGGCCTATTCCAATCGCTGCTCCCTGATTTGAATGGCAGGTGATCAGTGGCCCCTGTGGCTTATAGACACACCAGAGCTCCCAGGGGAAGTGCTCTGAAAACTCATCCTGGTCAGAGTTCAGAAGGACATGTGGAGTATAAGGTCAGATGCAGAAATAAAGGGAGATGGTGTGGCCCTCCTGCCTGGGGATGCTGAGCAGGTTGCTGGAGGCGGTGATCTCACTCTGAAGGAGACAGACACAGAAACGTGTGTACAGTTGATGGTGAGCATCTGAGTTGCGTCTTGTTAGTGAGGCCAGGAGTGCCTGTGTAAGCTGGAACAGATTAGGTATATGATTTGTGAAACGGAGTTTCATCCTAGGTCTTCATCTAGTCAAAGGACTATTTCCTGATTAGGCATTAGCTTAGTGGTTGCTAGTCTGTGTTGACCTTTGAAAGGCATGACTAGGCTAACTCTGAAGTTTTTGCTTCACACCATTTACAATTTAAAATTACCTAGAGCCTTGTGGGCCATTGGAAAAGACTGAATGTTTCACTCTGAAATGGGAGTCCTTGGAGGGTTTTGAGCAGAGGAGAGGTAATCAGATCACTCTGCCAAGAGATCAGTCGGGTGGCACAAACCAGAAGGCTGGCAGTGGAGATGAGAGAAAGAGTCAAACCCGGATAGACTTTATTTGGAAGCTGGGTCAGTAGGATTTCCTGGTGGACTGAATGTGGGGTGTGTGAGAGGAAATGAGGATGTCGACTGGAAGTTCCTGGAAGGACGGGTTGTTGTAAGTTAGATAGGAAACCCTCTGCAGATGCAGTTTTGGGAAGATGATGTTTGGTTCGGCTGGGTATCATGCAGACAAGTGAAATGTCAGGTCTGGAGAGAGGTCTGGCCAGGGACTTAGATGTAGATGCCCTCAGCATGTAGATGCCACTTAACGCTGTGAGGTGGCCGGGAGTGAGTGCAGAGTGAGTGGGAGGAGCAAGACTGGCATGGGCGAGATGGGGCGATTGTGGCCGTGAGTCCTGAGCAGTGCCTAGGAGGGAGAAGCAGTGTGAGCATGCAGGCACACAGGAGGCCAGTTGTACATGGAGGCGAAGCATTGTTCAGATCCTGCTGCCATGTTAACTACGGTGAAGGCAGAGTTCACCACTGGAGGAGTCCTTCAGCGTGGAGGCCTTCAGCAATCTTGGCAAGCACCAATTTTCATGGATGTAGGAGAATGGGAGCAGAGGAACTGGAGGCTGCAACTGCAGAAAACTTTTGTGGGGTTTTGCTGCAGAGAGAAGCAGAGAAATGAAGCCGTTGTTGGTGGAAGAAGTGGAATCAAAAGGTTTTGAGATAAGAGAGAGAACAGAGGGAAGAGCTGTTGGAATAAAGTCCAGGAAGAGTGGATGGTGTCTAGTGAGCAAGTGATGTGTGGCCCTGAGTAGAGGCATGGACAAATATTCTGTGCCTGAGCTGCCTGTAGAACTTTCTGTGATCATCGAGATGCACGTCAGTGCTTCCCAATATTGTAACACTGGCCGCAGGTTGATATGGACCACTTCCAGTGTGACTAGTGTGATTGAGGAACTGCATTTTAAATATTATGTAATTGTAATTAATTTTAATGTAAATAGCCACTCATAGCTCCCCTATGGGCCAGGTCAGAGCTCTGATAAGGCTGGATATGGGAGGAAACCCTGGTAGAGGGCTGACCGTGGAGGTTCTTTTGGTTTTGGAGTGAATCAGGAAACAGCCATCAGCTGAGTGAAGGTGAGGGTGGTGGTGGGTGTTTGAAGACAAGGGAAAAGTGTGAAAGAATTGTTCAGAAAGGAAAGAAAGAAGATGTGGACTGGGGACGTTTCCAGTGTTCGGGCATGCAGGGCTCCACAGTTATCTACATTTGCTGTCCCTTGGAGCAGGAGAGAAGAAAACGGTTGGGACATATTCTGAGCAGACTGTAGAGGTAAAATATGTAGGTCTTTTTTTTTGGTTTTTTGTTTTTTGAGATGGAATCTCGCTCTATTGCCCAGGCTGGAGTGCAGTGGCACGATCTCGACTCACTGCAACCTCCGTCTCCCGGGTTCAAGCAATTCTCTCACCTCTGCCTCCTGAGTAGCTGGGACTACAGGCACGCACCACCACGCCCAGCTGATTTTGGTATTTTTAGTAGAGACGGGGTTTCACCATGTTGGCGAGGCTGGTTTCAAACTCCTGACCTCATGTGATCTGCCCACCTCGGCCTCCCAAAGTGCTGGGATTACAGGCGTGAGCCACTGTACCTGGCCAAATGTGTAGTATTTTTAATAGGGTAAAGCCTACATAATTCTGTCCACAGTTCCTTTACTTAGAAATTGCTCATTTGTTCATGTTAATCTTATGTTTATTACAGATAACAGCATACAGGTTTTTTTATTCCCCATCATGTACAGCTGAATCGCGCAGAATTTGAAGATCAAGATGATGAAGCCAGAGTTCAGTATGAGGGTTTTCGACCTGGGATGTACGTCCGCATTGAGATTGAAAATGTTCCCTGTGAATTTGTGCAGAACTTTGACCCCCATTACCCCATTATCCTGGGTGGCTTGGGCAACAGTGAGGGAAATGTTGGCTACGTGCAGGTGGGTCCCTTTGCTACATATTTGGTGCCTGAGGCTCTGTGGATTTCCCCTCCATCAATCATCTTACCCTCTCGTCCCCTCAGATGCGTCTGAAGAAACATCGCTGGTATAAGAAAATCCTCAAGTCCCGAGATCCAATCATATTTTCTGTAGGGTGGAGGAGGTTTCAGACCATCCCACTGTATTATATCGAAGACCACAATGGAAGACAAAGGCTTCTAAAGTATACCCCACAGCACATGCATTGCGGAGCAGCCTTTTGGGGTAAAATATGATTACAATAACTTGCCTGTTGCCAAGATTAAACCTTACAGGCTGCGTTATTATAGCTTTGTGCTTTTCTTTCATAAAATTCCACTCCTAAGATTTTTCTCTTTTCTGGGAGCGGGGAGGTGGTTTGGAGTATATATGTAAATCTATATCCAAATCTAAATGTCCATATCCAGTATGTTAAACTAGAATCTAAAATTTGTGGTTCGCTATATTTCTTTTTTTCCTTTTCCTTTAAGGCCCTATCACTCCACAGGGAACTGGTTTCTTGGCAATACAGTCTGTCAGTGGCATAATGGTAACTATCTTGGATGATTTCTTTTACAGATTGGTTTGAGAAATATATCCTGGGTGTGGGTTATTATGTACATGAGACTTTAAGTTGAAAATTACTCATTTTTATTAATACAAAGTAAATTTCCCTTTGCTTTTAATCTTCCTACATCGTTTTCAGTAGGGTGTGGGATTAGAGGAGGGGAGGTGGAAGAATTATAATGGTACATTTCCTATTTTTGTGCATCTTTTGCATTTATTTATCTAAGCAAGTACTTAAGCAGTGCTCACCATGTGCTAAGCACTATATGAGGTTGTGAGGAGCCATCAGAGACTCCCTGCAGCCGTGCAGGGAGTCCATTTTCATTTGACCAGTCAGGCAGGGCAGGGTTTATTGGTCCCATTTAACAGAGAAGAAAGCAGAATAATGAGCAGATGGAATCTGCCCTGGAGTTCCAAATTTTAATTTCCTAAACATTGCAACTGTATTTTTCTTTTCCATTTCATTCCAAATAAATCATTATAGTGAAATTACATTCCTCTGAAATCACTCTCAGGAAAGTACTCAAGGCGCCTTTTTTTTTTTTTTTTTTTTTTTTTTTTGAGACAGAGTCTCACTCTGTCATCCAGGCTGGAGTGCAGTGGCACGATCTTGGCTCACTGCAACCTCTGCCTCCTGGGTTTAAGCGGTTCTCCTGCCTTAGCTTCCTGAGTAGCTGGGATTACAGGTGTGCACCATCATGCTGAGCTAATTTTTGTATTTTTAGTAGAGATGGGATTTTGCCATGTTGGCCAGACTGGTCTTGAACTTCTGACCTCAGGTGATCCACCCGCCTTGGCCTCCCAAAGTGCTGGGATTACAGGTATGAGCCACTGTGCTCGGCCTCAAGTCACCCTTGTTAGTTTGGCTTACCAACTTTAAAGTTTTGGATTGCTTTTGTCAAACCACTGGGTTGCAAGTTCACATGGTCTCTCTTGTTTTTCTTAGCTAATTGTAAGTAAAATTCACTTTGGTAATTTATTGTGTCACATAGAATTGAAGTTTTTCTCTTGCTGATATTATTCCTATTTTCAAATTTTGGGGTTCCTGTTAGCCTGATTTTCGGATAGCTGCTACAGGAGTTGTCCTTGATCTGGATAAATCCATAAAAATTGTGAAGAAATTAAAGCTAACTGGTTTTCCATATAAAATTTTCAAGAACACTTCATTTATTAAGGTCTGTATATCTATATATTCTCATATTTATAAATGTCCATATTGTTTGAGAAAAGGAATGAAATACCTTTAAAATATGGGCCTCATATTTTTATAAAAGTGTTTGAAATCTTTTATAAACTTCATATTTTGTTTGCTCCTTTATATTCTGTGTTACTTAAATATGCTCTAAAAAGCAGTGGTAAAACAGCTATTTAGGAATTGAGGCTGTTATTCATAACTTCCATGTGAGACTGCCACATATTGAACTCATATTGAACTCATATTGAAAATATGTCATTTTATCCACTGGGTTTTGTTTCCTACTTTTTTTATTTGTGTTAAGAAAGGGAAAAAAATCACAAGTTTGTCTAACCATTCAGTAGAAAAATCGACAAAGCATTTGCAGACAACTTGGCAAGGTTACAGAGAAACGGATATACTGTTTTTCAGTATTTGGGGAGGTTGGTTTGAGCAGCATTTATTGAGAATTTCATTAGTGGGGATGTTTCTATTGAAAACACAGAGTTAGAAAGTCATAAAATGTTCTTGCAATATAAGGTAATAATACCACCAGCGTTTATCTTACTGTTTTCATGTTCTAAGTGCATGCACCTGAGTAAAAGCATCTGGGCTGCAGTCCAGTCTGAGAGATGCCAGGAAAGGCTGCCTAGGCCAGTTCAGTCCAGTAAATCCCTCTTCGATCTTCTCTTCCACACAGACAGCGGTGATGAGCATGCCCATGAACTGACATGATTATTTTGGGGAAAATGAAAGACTTGTATTCTTTTTGAGATAGTAATTCCACTTTCAGGGGCGAATACATTTTGTTTATTTTATCACCCTTCAGTGAGTTGTTTTTGTTCTTTAATCAAGGATGTATGTTTGAAGTAAGAAGTAAAGCATAAAGTATATGATTTTGTGTGTGTGTGTTTTTATCTTGCTATACCTGTAGGGAATGTTTAATTCTGCCTTGGAAGTGGCCAAATTTGAAGGTGCTGTGATTCGAACAGTCAGTGGGATAAGGGGGCAGATCAAGAAAGCACTCCGAGCTCCAGAAGGAGCTTTCAGGGCCAGCTTTGAGGATAAGCTGCTGATGAGCGGTGAGTGTCTTGAGTAGTGTTCAGGGCAGGGTGTTACCATTCATGCTTGACTTCTAGCCAGTGTGACGAGAGGCTGGAGTCAGGTCTCTAGAGAGTTGAGCAGCTCCAGCCTTAGATCTCCCAGTCTTATGGGTGTGCCCATTCGCTTTGTGTCTGCAGTCCCCTGGCCACACCCAGTAACAGTTCTGTGATCTATGAGAATAGTTTCCTTAGCGAGCTTTTCCTTCAAATACTTTGCAGCCAGGTAGAGAAGTTTGGAGTGAAGGTTTTATTCTTTGTTTCTTCGCAATATGGATATGAATCTTCTTTTGAAAATGTTAAAGTAAATTACCTCTCTTTTCAGATATTGTCTTCATGCGAACTTGGTATCCTGTTTCCATCCCAGCGTTCTATAACCCAGTAACATCTTTGTTGAAACCAGTGGGTGAGAAAGACACCTGGTCAGGAATGCGGACCACGGGCCAACTCAGGCTCGCCCATGGCGTCAGACTAAAGGCGAACAAGGACTCTCTGTATAAGGTACTGGTCGCGTGTGTGTTAGTGGAGATGAAGCCTGTGCTCTACAGACAGGGAGTCACACAGACACTTTTCTATAATTTCTTACATGCTTTGAATGTTCAAGTATAAAGTCTAACGTTAAATTTGATTGAACAGTTGTATATTTGTGGAATATTTTGGAATGGAACACCAAAAAATGATAATAGTGGTTCTTTCTGGATTGAAGACAAACTTTTCTTTTTTAAAATAAATTTTATTTTATATATTTGAGGTTGACCACATGATCTTAAAGGATACATATAGATAGTAAACTGGTTACTATCGTGAAGCAAATTAACATAGCTACCATTTCACACAGTTAGATTTTTTTGTGTGTAACAGGAACAGCTAAAATCTACTTACTTAACAAAAATCCCAAAGACAATACATTTTTATTAACTATAGCCCTCATGATATACACTAGATCTCTAACTTGTTCATCCTACATGTCTGCTACTTTGTATTGTTTTAATATACATCTCCCCATTTCCTATTGGTCATTTCCTATTTGGCCCATTTTTCAACTGGGTTGTTTTTCTGCTATTAAGTTGTAAGAGTTCTTTACTGATTTTTGGATATTAACACTTTATCAGATATGTGGTTTGCAAATATTTCTCCCAGTCTATAGGTTCCCTTTTCATTTTGTTGGTTGTTCCTTTGCTGTGCAGGAGCTTTTTAGTTTGATGCAGTCCTCCTTGTTTATGTTTACATTTGTAGCCTGGCTTGTGGTGCGATATCCAAAAAATTATTGCTAAGGCCAACGTCAAGAGGCTTTCTCCCTATGTTTTCTTCTAGGAGTTTTATGGTTTCAGGTCTTATTTGGGTCTTGGGTCTTGTATCTATTTTGAGTTGATTTTTGTGTATGGTGTATGATCAGGGTCCAATTTTATTCTTTTGCATGTGAAAATCCAGTTTTCCCAGCACTATTATTGAAGAGACTGTCTTTTTTACCATTGTGTTGTCTTGTTTGCCCTTATCAAAAATTAGTTGACAGTATATGTTTGGATTTATTTCAAAGGTCTCTGTTCTGTTCCATTGGTCTATTTTTTTGTTTTTATGCCAGCACCATACTGTTTTGATTACTATAGCTTTGTAATACAATTTTAAATCAAGAGGTGCGATGCCTCCAACTTTTTCTTTCACAGTAATCTCTTGGCTGTTTGGGGTTTTTTGTGGTTCCATATGAGTTTCAGGATTGTTTTTTCTTTTATTTTCTTTTTTTTTGAGGCAAAGTCTCACTCTGTCGCCCAAGCTGTAGTGCAGTGGCATAATCTCGGCTCACTGAAACCTCTGCCTCCTGGATTCAAGCAATTCTCCTGCCTCAGCCTCCCAAGTAGCTGGGACTACAGGCACGTGCCACTATGCCCAGCCAATTTTTGTGGTTTTAGTAGAGACAGGGTTTCACTATGTTTGCTGGGCTGGTCTCCAACTCCTGACCTTGTGATCTGCCCGCTGTGGTCTCTCAAAGTGCTGGAATTACAGGCATGAGCCACTGCGCCTGGCCAGGATTGTTTTATTCTGTTCTGTGAAGAATGCCAACAGAACTTTGATGAGGATTGTGTTAAATCTGTATATTTGCTTTGGGTAGCGTGAACATTTTAACAATATTAATTCTTCTGATCCATAAACATAGGATGTCTTTCCATTTGTTCATGTCTAAATTTCTTTCATCAATGTTTTATGGTTTTCAAGTGTACACATCTCTCACCTTCTTGGTTAAGTTTATTCCTAAGTTTTTGTTTTTCTTTGCTGCTATTGTAAATTAGATTATTTTCTTGATTTGTCACCTAGGTTATTTGCATACAGAAATGCAACTGATTTTTATATATTGAGTTTATACCTTGCAGCTTAACTGAATTGATTTAGTAGTTCTCACACTTTTTTGTGGAATCTTTGGAGTTTTTTATGTAAAGGATCTTGTCATCTGCAAATAGAGATAATTTTACTTCTTTAATTTAGTTGCCTTTTTTTTCTCATCTGATTGCTCTTGCAAGTACTCTATTGAATAAAAGTGATGAAGCTGGCCATCCCTATCTTGTATTCAATCTTAGTGGAAAAGCTTTTAGTTGTTCCCCACTAACTATTATGTAGACTGTGGGTTTTTCATAAATGGGCTTTATTACGTTGAGGAACTTTCCTTCTATACATAAACTGTTAAGAGGTTTTATCAAGAAAGGTTGCTAAACTTTGTTAAATGCTTTTTCTGCATCAATTGAGGTGAACATGTCGTTTTATCTTTCATTTTGTTAATGTGATATATCACATTGATTGATTTACATATGTTAAACCAGCCTTGCATGCCAGGGATAAATCCCACTTAAACACGATGTATAAAGTTTTTGATGTGTTGTTGAATTCTATTTGCTAAAATTTTTTTAGGATGTTTGCATCAGTGCTTAATTTATTGGAGAAGTTGACCTGTAGTTTTTGTTTGTTGTGTGTGTGTGTGTGTGTGTGTGTGTGTGTGTGTGTGTGTGTTTTGGTTTGGCTTAGGTATTAAGGTGATACTGGCCTGGTAAAATGTGTTTGGAATTATTTCCTCTTGCTCTATTTTTGCGAAGAGTTTAAGAAGTAAACTCCCAGGGGATGGGAGTGACTCTGGACATGGGAGTGACATAATAGTGACTCTGGACCCTACAGTGGTGGGACACAGCAGCATCTCAGTCTCTACGAGGCCAGGCGCAGCATCAGCAAGGACCCCAGAATGATGGAGCACTACTGTGGCTTGGGCCCTCGGGGGCAGGGACCAGTGCAGCAACTACTTCTCTCCCTGGGGAGGCAGGTGCCTGGGCAACTCAGATTCTCCAGGGCTAGTCCAGTTCCAAGGAAGCAGGGTTCTACAGTTGTTTGTCCTGAAGGGCAAGGTACCCCAGTTCAACCAATGCCATTTTCCTGGGACGTGGGGGTGCCATGTTGGCTCATCCCTGGCAGGTGTGGCTGCTCAGCTCAGCCAAGACACTGATTCCCTGTGAAGCAGGACAGTGCTTCAGCTCTTGTGCAGTGGGGAGTGTGACTGCTCAGACTGGCCAAGGCACTGATTCCCTGGAAAGCAGGGCACCAAGTCAACTCAGGCTCCAAGGGGCAGGGCGCAATGGCAGCTGGGAGGGGAGGGGCACGGCAGCGTGGCCCCGCAGGGTGGGGTGCATGCTGTGATGTGGACATCGTTTGTTCCCACCAGCACTCATGTTGAAATTTGATTCCAAATGTGGTGGTGTGGGAGGTGGGGCCTAGTGGGAGGTATTTGGGTCACAGGGCAGATCCTTTATGAATAGATTAATGCCTTTTCATGGGACTGGATTAGTTACCAGGAGTGGATTGTTACCAGAGTGAGTTCAGCTTCCTAGACTCTCGTGTTTCCTCTCTTGCCATGTGAGCCCCTTGCATACACCTGTTTCCCCTTCCACTTTCCCCATGAGGTGAAGCAGCACAAGACCCTCGCCAGATGTGCTGCCTGATCTCAGACTTTTCAGACACAAGCAGGGTGAGCCAAATAAACCTTTTTTATAAAATAAGTTACCGAGTCTCAGGTATTCTGTTACAGCCACACTAAATGGCCTGAGACAGTGTAACAGCAGCTCAGTGTAACAGTGGCCCACCGGCCACTAGGTGGGGGTGATATAGAGCAACAAAGCCTGAGGATGGAAGAAGGGTGTGGTGGCTGCTCACCCTGGGTGGGACATGCTCCCGAAGTGATTCCAGGTCCAGGAGGGCACGTTGCAGCAGCAGCTGGTCCATGGGGGTGGGGCACAACGTCAGTTCCTTCTCTGAGGGGAGTGCTGGGGCTGCTGGGCCCCTCTTGCTTCCTTATCCCCACAGGGAGACATCCCCTCTGCTTCAGGCTGATCCCTCTGGGGGATGGGTGGTGGGGGGCAGATATTTCCTTCTCTCCTTTATGTGACCATCCTAGTTTTCTGTGCTCTACTAGATTTCTGCTACTCCTTGATGCACTCTGGGGCTCTCCTTTAGTGACTTTCATCAAAATATAGTTGTTTGCTGCTTTGGCTGTCTTTGTCAGGGGATGAGCGCAAGGGGCTATTGATCGGCCCCTTGCTGGCATCACTCCCTCTTAAACTTTTCACTGGGTACTCTTTTGAACTATTTTTTTCCCCACCATATACATGTATTTTTAAAACATTAATGTGCTAATTTCTATTAAAGCAATGTGGATTTTTCTGAAAGTTTTAATGTTTTAATAAGCTTTTTATTGAAATGTTAATGTACATACAGAAGAGTGCCCAAATCATAAGTGTGCAGCTAGATGAACTGTAGCACACCAGCTGCCACGCCCTGGACCAAGCAGTAGCCTCGCCCTGTGGCCTCTCCCAGGCACTGCCTCCCCAACCCACAAAATAGCTACTTTGCCAGTTCCTGACGTAGATTTGTTCTGCCTGGTTTTGACTTTTATAAAATACAGCACATTCTATTTAGCCTGGCTTCTTTGGTTGAGTATTACAGAACACATCCATGTTCTTGTCTATGGCAGACATTGATTTATTGTCATTGTTGAGTTCCAGTATATGACTGTGTCACCATTTATCCATTGATGGGTAAAATGATTTCCTATTTTTGGCCGTTATCCCACGGCCCTTAACACTAAGGTCTGGATATGGGACTTGCAGGTACGGAGGGGCACACACACTTCTGCTGGAGGATCCCTGGGTAGGGTGGAGACTCCAGGGCACCTGTGCTCTGCTTCAGTGTGGAGGCTTCTGTGTCGTGTTCTGGGAGCACAGCGGCTTGGCCTCCACCACCAGCAGCAGCTTAAAGAGTTCCTGCTGTTCCACGTGCTTGCTGACAATTGGCCTCTTCAGTTTTTTTTTTTTTATTTTAGGTTTTCAATGCCTGCCTGGACTTGTGTTTTCATTTAGATTTTGGTTTCTTAGAACTGTTGTTATTCTCTTCACAGCTTAACAATGCATTTGAAAAGATTTGTTTTCATGTGGAGTGTTCAGTTTTGTAATAAGAGGGTTGTTCAAGGCATCAGTCTGCCACTCTGCTAGAAACAGAAGTCTCCCAGGCATTTCTTTTTATATAAAGTAGTTAATGAAATTTTGAACCGTCTTACATGAATTTTTATTAAAATACACTTCAGGATGTGGTGCCCATTATCCATTCTACTCTTTTGTAACAAGTAGATTTCTCTGAATTCTTGAATTCAAAAACAATCGGGGTTCCTAAACAAAGAATATGGAATATTATTGGGGATGATGTCTTTAATAATACATTTCAAGATAGGAGAAACTTGTTCTATATAGTTGACTTTAACAAAAGCCTAGGGCAAAACTTTCAATTTATTAACAGTATTTATGAGGCAGTTAAGAATTTGGGTCATCCTCCGTCTCCACTAAAAATACAAAAAATTAGCCAGGCGTGGTGGCGGGCGCCTGTAGTCCCAGCTACTCGGGAGGCTGAGGCAAGAGAATGGCGTGAACCCAGGGGCAGAGGTTGCAGTGAGCCGAGATCATGCCACTGCACTCTAGCCTGGGCGACAGAGCGAGACTCCATCTCAAAAAAAAAAGAATTTGGGTCATCTCAATTAAATATAGAATTTAAGATTACCTTGAAAATTCAGTGCAGAGTATTTTGCCTTCATCTGTTGTTTGAGTCTCCCTTCTTTTAGCCATCCTTCCATCAGAAATAGAATACCAAGTTAAACTTCTTAATTAGAATCAGGAATCAGGACTCTTTGGCTGCTGATTGAAGGAAGAACTGTCCTTAAATCCAGAGTGGGCCAGTTGTGGTGGCTCATGCCTGTAATCCTAGCACTTTGGGAGGCCAAGGCAGGTGGATCACCTGAGGTCAGGAGTTCAAGATTTCAAGACCAGCATGACCAACATGGTGAAACCCCATCTCTACTGAAAATACAAAAATTAGCCGGGCGTGGTGGTGTGTGCCTGTAGTCCCAGATACTTGGGAGGCTGAGACAGGAGAATTGCTTGAACCCAGGAGGTGGAGGTTGCATGAGCCGAGATCACGGCACTGCTCTCTAGCCTGGGCGTCAAGGCAAGACTCCATCTCAAAAAAACAAAACAAAACAAAAAAAACATCCAGAGTGGTTGATAGTCAAGACAAAAAGCTAGATTATTTTTGTTAGTCTGGGAAATAAGCACCTCAGTGGCCCAAAGACAAGGCCTGAAATTTCCATGAAAAGAAACTGGGATCTATTCATCTGTTCTGTTGAGACCCCATAGTTCCATACCATAGAAATGGGCACAGTGGGTTTTGGGGGGAGAGTTGTAAGTGTAAGCTGTCTGTTCCTCTGTTTACTGAGAATTGTGGGTGTCCACTGAGGCAGTTCATATTTGGCAGATGATTGAGTCCTGATT
The DNA here is from genome assembly GCF_000001405.40 of Homo sapiens. Lineage (NCBI taxonomy): Eukaryota > Metazoa > Chordata > Mammalia > Primates > Hominidae > Homo > Homo sapiens. The sequence continues at coordinate 42,830,129 of NC_000010.11, forward strand.
TCTCAGGGCCGGCAGACTCTGGTGTTACTAATCTTGTGGAAAAGTCAACCCATTGAGAAGATTTTATGCAGAAGTTTTAAATGCACATTGATCATAATTTGAATATGTCACAGTCTTTGTTTTTCTTTTCAGCCAATCCTGAGGCAAAAGAAACATTTTAATTCACTGCACATTCCAAAAGCCTTGCAGAAGGCCCTGCCATTTAAGAACAAGCCCAAGACCCAAGCAAAGGCAGGCAAGGTGCCAAAGGACAGGCGGAGACCGGCCGTCATACGCGAGCCTCATGAAAGAAAGGTACTGTTGCCCATGCTGTACTGCACGCTGCGTTTAGATAGGAAAAGAACACTCTCAATAGCACACTTCCTGTTTCTACTGTAGTCTCAGTTATTCAGGGCACTGGAACTAAAGTCAGAGGAAGAGCCAGAGTCCATTTCCCTTTCTTTGCCTGGTCCTGCTCTGCCCTGTGCTTTTCATGGGGGATAACAGGTACATGGCTGGGGAACCCTTCTGTCTCGGTTAGCTGCACACAGTGTCCACAGAATGATGAACAGAGGTGGTAAAGGTAAAATGGGATCACACCTGTGTCTCCATGCCAACAATGACTTCCTAGCACAGGATGCATTTTCATGCAGTTAATATTCATTTGGATCGTGGGTTGCCTCTAGTCTTAGTGCTTAGGATGCGAGTGTGTGGTGTCTGAGAGCATTCTGATACTCACCGGCTTTTGTCCTTGTCAGATCCTTGCACTGCTGGATGCTCTGAGTACGGTGCATAGTCAGAAGATGAAGAAGGCCAAGGAGCAGCGGCACCTGCACAATAAAGAGCACTTCAGAGCCAAGCAGAAGGAGGAGGAGGAGAAGCTGAAGCGGCAGAAGGACCTCAGGAAGAAGCTCTTCAGAATTCAGGGGCAGAAGGAAAGAAGAAACCAGAAGTCCAGTTTGAAGGGGGCTGAGGGCCAATTGCAGTGAGCCTTTGGACTGGAGGGACTGTCCCTGGATCTGCGGAGGTAGACAGTTTCAAACATCACAGTTTGAATGCCTGTGAATGACAAGTCAGTGGGAAAGAGCTCAAGAGATGTCTCTACTCAAACTGTGCCTGCAGGAGGAGGAACAGAGAAGCCTGGGCTGCTGGGACTGGGTTCATTCTCATGACTTGGGGCTGTCGAGATTTAAAGTGATGTAAGCTGTGGTTATGTGGATTCTCTTACTTTCCTCTGCCTGCCTCAGTTTAATTATTTTGTCCTACAGAAATATCATTAAAATATTTTTTTGTTACTTTTGGCTTAGTAGTTTTCATTAGGGATGAATGCCTGACAATTCTTTGTGGATAATTATTTATACTACCACCTTCATGAGGAGTCTTCCAGAAGAGAAAGAAATATTCACTTGAACTCTGAGCTCCCATGGAAGATTTTAGAGAATAGTGTGTAGTGTTTTTGTTTTGTTTTTTGTTTGAGTGACACACAAACCTAGATGGTACAGCCTACTGTGCACCCAGGATCTATGGGCTCCTTTGATCACTGGCCCTTGTGGACATTTTCTATCTTATTTCATATGTTCTGCACATTAGTATAGTGACAAGGTAACAGTAAGTACTTTTTTAAAGCTTTAGACTTAGGAGATTATTGTCTCAGGTGCAGAGACCAAGGAAATCGTATGTATCAGTGAGATAGGCTTCCCGTATTATGCTCATGCGTTATACCTGCCTAGCTACATTGCCTTTTTTTAAATTAAACATTATGTTGAAGTAATCATACTATTACATAGGCGATGTATGTATTTTATGATTGTATGTTGATATAGTTATGGGGAATCTATTCCTATACGATGTAATCATAGATTCACATATAGTTGTATATTTTGCCCAATTTCTCTCAGTGGTAATGTTTCACACATATAACAATCAGGATGTTGACATCAATACAGCCCGCTGATTTTATTCACATTTCCCCAGCTTTACTTTCCCCAACGTATACTCCTCCATGTATGCATGGGTGTGTAGAAATATGGAACGCAGCTGGGCACAGTGACTCACGCCTGTAATCCCAGCACTTTGGGATGCTAAGGCAGGAGGATCACTTGAGCCCAGGAATTTGAGACCAACTTGGGCAACATGGCAAAACCTCATCGCTACAAAAAATAAAAAATTCGCCAGGTGTGGTGGGTGCACACCTGTAGTTCCAGCTGCTTGGGAGGCTGAGGTAGGAGGATCACTTGAGCTTGGGAGGTTGAGGCTGCAGTGAGCCATGATAGCACCACTGCACTCCAGCCTGGGCGACAGGGCAAGACCCTGTTTCAAAAAAAAAAAATTATACATATATGTATGTAGAACACTTCATGAATTTGTGTGTCATCTGTGCATGGGGCCCATGCTGACCTCTGTGTTGTGCCAGTTATAGTATGTGTGCTGCTGATATGAGTGCCACATTGCCTTTACAACATCATAGGGGCCAAAGAGGGTTGGCAGGATTATGAGCAGTTGGCCTAGTCTGAGAGGCTCTCTAAAAGCCTAAAGTCTGTAGGCAGGTGCTCAGCTTTGTATCTCCATAAGAAGGGAAGAGGATGTGAGGATCCTGTCAGGGCTAGGTCCACCTGGGAAGTGACAATTGGAACACTCCCAGACCTCTCTGGGCAACTCTGGGTGTACATTTTCCTCTGTTCCTCAAGAGCTATTATGAATTTCATCATCCATTATGCTGATAGGCCTGGGGACTGACACATAGTAAGCCCATAACAATTATAATTTAAAACTAATTTGTTATATAGCATAATTGATATATTTTAAAATGCAAAACTATAATTCAACTAAAATATACAAGGCACTCAAGTCATACCATGTTTTAAGTAGCTTACAAGGTGATCAGCAAGTGTCTTATACAACAAGCAAATTTGTTCAAAGAGAAGCATTGCAAATAAGTATTTATAATTGTATAGTTTTATATTTTAGCCAGAAGAGTGGAATCCTTTAGCAATGGGGGAAATAAAAGAATGTTTAATTACAGTTGCAGATAATTGCCTTTTCCAAAGACAATGTATGTAGGCAGAACTCATACCTGTTAATATTAAAAATCTTGGTTTATCATATTTGGAGAACAAGGGAAATAAAAAGTTTGCATATTAAGATTATTTAAACTAAAGTTAAGGAATCTCTAATGTCTGAAAGAAACAATAAATAGCATTTTTCATGTAGAATTTTTATTGGTGAAGGTTCCACCTGGCCAGGTTAGTAAAATACAGTCACACATCAGTTAAGGATGGGGATATATTCTGAGAAATGTATCATTAGGCAATTTTGTCATTGTGTAAACATCATAGAGTGACACACAAACCTAGATGGTACAGCCTACTGTGCACCTGGGCTCTATGGTATGGCCTGTTGCTCCTAGGCTACAAACCTGGGCAGCATGTGACTGTACTGACTACTGTAGGCAGTTGTAACACAGTGGTAAACATTTGTGTATCGAAACATAGAAAAGGCGTAGCAAAAATACAGTATTGTGGAACCACTGCCATATACGTGGTCCATCCTTGACTGAACATCATGCGGCATGTGGCTGTATGTATACACATAGTTTTTGCTGTGAGTTTGCATCCATCTCATAGGAAGACATATATCAAAATAAGGACCAGACTGGAGAGTGTGTAAATTACTTTTCAATACTAATGGCTTATTAATTTGATATTGTCAGCAAGTATGTTGCAAAAACAAATTCCACCAGAATGTGAGTTCCATGAGAGCAGGAACTGGGTTGTTCACCTTGTTGGCACTTGGAGTAGAGCCACTGAGCTTCGTGCTGCATAAAATTGCTTGGAAGAAAGAAGGGAGGGCATTCCAGGTAACTGAAGCATTGCTATGCAAAGTAAGCATTTGCCCTCTGAAATATTTTAACAATGTTTATAGAAACCTTTCTCAATTGTATTAAACTTTGTAAATTGTAAAAATTATTCTGTTATACCTTTTCTATTTACTAGGCACAGGCAGCCATAGGTGCTAGGTATGTTTTGAAAACATATTGAACCTACAGTGTACATATCATTCCATGCCATTAAATATTCTTATTTAATCATAGATGTGTTCAGGTGTGTTTGGTTTCCTATTTGTGGATGTACTAGATTGTTTTCTTTTTTTAACAAAACCTGTGAACTTGCTTTAAGTATTATCATTTGGTGACATGCCCGCCATTTCAGAAATAAATGTTTGAGCAAAGAGGAAAGCCACCGGGTCTGATTCAGCTCTCTGGAGGCTCCAGAGCTTACCTCGCTGATGGGAAAAAGAGCATCGATTTAATTGCCCTTGGTACCGACTTCTAGTATCTAGTATTTTGCCAGACTCAGGTATTTCTTAAAGCCATTATTCAGAGTCTTCAGCAAGGACATTGTATTTTACTTGTGTCTCCTTAGTTTTACCTAGTTTATTTCATGGTTTTAAAGTATTGTACATTTTTATAATCCTTTAACAAGACAAAAGGTTGAGATGTTGGACATTTAAATGCCAAAGGTGTTTTATTATGAGACTTAGCATTTCATATTTGGGGATGGTACCTTATCGAAAATCAGATAAACTTTGGTTGGATGGGTATTTGGAGGAATCTTTTAAGTCTTTTCTTAAGCAAAGTTTGGACACTCTAAAATAAGGTTGCCAACTGGCATGTAGAGAGAAAAGGATGTGTCATACATTTAGACCAGGTGGCCTGTCCTGTAAATTTTTTTGAGGGGAGGGGTGGGCTTGTTTTTTTCTGTGTTTCGGTTTTTTCCAATTTTTGTTTTGTGATAAAATATGCATAATAAAACTTATTTTATCAATTTTTAATTGTATGAGTCAGTGGCATTACCTTCACAGTGCTGTTGCAGCCATCTTCAGAGCCTTTCCATCATCCTAAACTGAAACTTTGTACCCACTAAACTACATCTTCTCATTCCCTCCTTCCCCCAGCCCCTGCAACCACCATTTTGTTTTCTGTCTCTGACTACTCTAGATACTTTTGCAAATGGAATCATACAATATTTGTCTTTTTGTGTCTTGTTTATTTCACTTAGCATACTGTCTTCAAGGTGTGTCCAGTTGCAGCATGTGTCAGAATTTCCTTCCCTTTTAAGGCTGAATAATATTCCCAGTGAATGTCTTTACCACACGTTGCTTATCCATTCATCTGCTGATGGATGTGTGGGCTGTTGGGAATAATGTTGCTTGAACATTGGTGTGTAAATATCTGTGTGAGTCTCTGCTTTCAGTTCTGTGTGTAAAAGTGGAATTGCTGGGTCAAATGTCATTCTGTGTTTAATTGTGTGAGGAACTGCCACACTGTATCCACAGTTGCTGTGGATTCCTTACATTTCTTCTAGCAATATGTACAAGGGTTTCAATTTCTCCACAGCCTAGACCACCCTCATTACTCTGTTTTTTTGTTGGTTGGTTGATTGGTTTCTTAAAAAACAGGCATCCTAGTGTGAAGTTGCATCTCGTTGTGATCTGTATGTTGGGAATGACTAGTGATGTTGAGCATCTTTCTGTGTGCTTATTGGCTATCTATAGACCTTCTTTGGAGAAATGTCTATTCAAGTCCTTTGAATCAGATTTTTTTGTTGTTGAATTGTAGGAGTTCTTTTTATATTCTGGATATTCAACCGTTATCAGATAAACCATTCACAAATATTTTCTCTCATTCTTTGGGATGTCTTTTCACTCTGATAGTGTCCTTTGATGGGCAAAGGTTTTTTAATTTTGAAGTCCAATTTATTTTTTCTTTTGTTGCCTGTGCTTTTAGTGTCATAGCCAAGAAATAACCAAATTATTGTTTAGTTTTTTAAAAGTATTTATGCGATTATTTGGCTGATACCTGTCTCTAATGATTGACGGCACTTCTTGAGGGTGGCTTTTAAACATGCAAATTTGATGTCACTTTCCGAGGCTCCTTCCATGGCTTCCCTTTGCTTCTAGGCCGCAGCCCTTGTCCTTGCTGCTGCTCTGGCCCCTGCCCTCCTCTAGGGCCTCTCTTCTGCTGCCTCCAGCTCTGGCCACAGTGGCCTTTCATTCGTCGGTGCACTTGCCTGGGGTCCTCAACACATGCAGTTCCCTCTGCCTGGAATGCGGCAGCTCCTCCGCCCCCTCCCGGCCTCCACCTCCTCGCTGCTCCTTCTGAGGCTGGCCCTGAGACCACTGGTCGGTGCGGCCTTCCCTGGACCCTCTCCGAACTCCCCAGTACTCCTCCAAACTTTTCTCCAATAAACCAGTGGCACTCAGTTGTGCTGTCCAGGGACCCCTGGGATTTTCACGACCCCTGTCGGCGGCTGGGTGAGGTCAAGAATGTTTCATGACAATAAGGAGATGTTATTGACCTCTTTTCACTGGAAGTGGGAGCGTCTTGCGGGGGGGCAGCGGGCTGAGGATGCGGCTGTGTTAGGACGTGACAGCTCGCACAACTGAAGCACCGCCACTTTCCCACAATTTTTTTTTTTTTTTTTTGCTTTGGAAAACATTTCTCAAGAAAATATGCGACTTATGTTACCATGTAATGGGCTTGCTTCTGTTATTTTAAAACAAACTAATAAGTCTCCTAAATGTTTCTCGGCTTTATTTTTTGTTGTTATGGTTCCTTTTCTTCTGTTTCCCCCAGCTTTATGAAGGTGTAATTGACAAACTTGCATATCTTTACTGCTCACAGCGTGCTGTTTTGCTGCATGTGTGCCCTGTGGAACGCTTCGTGGCGCTGCTGCAAACCTCCATCACCTAGTGCTGTGAGGGCCCCTGGGATCCGCTCTCCCAGCTCTGCGCCCTCTACCCCCTGCTGTGCCTGAGGCCCCCCCACCTCCCTCGGACCCGCGCCCGCCGCTGGAACCGCACCCATGGCCCGCGCCCCGTCCCCGACCCGGCTTTAGTTTCCACCCACACGAAGAAACTCAGCCTCGGTCCTGTTTAGGCACGGAAAGGGCTGGAGAACCGCGTCCTTCCGAGGCGCCCCCAGCGCGGCTCCCCACGGCGTGCAGGACCCGGGACTGTCGCGCCGCGCCCGGGGACGCACAGGAGGTGGGACCCCGGAGCGAAGCCCCTGCAGCGTCCCGGGCTGGACGTGGCCCTGCACCCCCGGCTGCTGGGCGGGCCGGGGCATGTACGAGATCGCGCGCTTTACAAACTGTCGGTCGTTCTGGGAAAGTTAAAGAACGCGCTGCAGCTACTTCACCTGCTGCTGAAAGGAGCCCGGGCAGGGCTGGTCACTCCGCGCCACGCCCCGCGCGCCAACACCGGAAGGTGAATGTTCAGAACATTTTTATCATTTAAAGCCAGTATATTGGCTGGGCACAGTGGCTCACACCTGTAATCCCAGCTACCTGGGAGTCCGAGGCAGGAAGATCCGATTGAGCCCAGGAGTTCCAGAGCACCCTGGGCAACATGACAAGACCCTATCTCTACAAAAAAAAAAAAAAAAAAGCCGAGAGTGGTGGCGCGCACCTGTGGTCCCAGCAACTCGGGAGGCTGAGGCAGGAGGATGACCTGAGTTCAGTAGGTCTCCAGCCTGGGCGACAGAGCGAGACCCTGTCCATTAATAAATAAAGCCAGTGTACCTAAAATACCATCACAACATGGAATCAGCATAAAAATGATTATTGAACTACTTGACATTCCTGTTTTGTGCTAAGTCTTTGAAATTTGGTGTGGCGTTTTGTTTTGTTTTGTTTTGTTTTTTGAGACAGAGTTTCGCTCTTGTTGTCCGGGCTGGAGTGCAATGGCACGATCTCAGCTCACTGAAACCTCAGCCTCCCAGGTTCAAGCAATTTTCCTGCCTCAGCCTCTGGAGTAGCTGGGATTACAGGCGCCCGCGACCACGCCGGGCTAATTTTTTTGTGTTTTTAGTAGAGACAGGGTTTCGTGATGTTGGCCAGGCTGGTCTCAAACCCCTGACCTCAGGTGATCCGCCCACCTCGACCTCCCAAAGTGCTGGGACCACAGGCATGAGCCACCGTGCCCAGCCCAGTGTGTTGTACTCTTATAGCACCTCTCAATTCAGATCTAAATTTTGTGGGAAATAATCTATATTTAGATTTCACAGTATTCACAGTTGAAAAAATAGATGTATATCCCCTTGTTTCAAATGTAACTGAACCTAGTCACTTGTTTGAAATTCAAATTAATTAAAATTAAAAATTTCCAGTTCTCGGCACCAGTTACACATTTCAAGGGCTCAATGGCCCCATGTGGCAGTGGTCCCGTAGAGGACGGCACAGCTCTAGACATGGTGTAGGAAGTTGGAGAAGGCTTCCTTAGGGAAGCAAGTGACGGTTGAGCCATGACTAGAAGTTGGTTAACTTGGCAAAGGCTGGGAGTTGGGGAAGCAGAAGAGTGTGTCAAGCACAGGAATGTTATGTGGAAAGGCCTGTGACACAGGGCAGCATGACGCCTGCAAGCCAGCGTAGCTGGAGCCAGGACAGCAGCAGAGAGTCCTAGGAGCTGGAGAGGAAAATAGAGAGGCAGGGGATGAGGCCGCCTTAAGAGGCTATCTTCATCCCGAGACACCAGGAAGCCCTGGGAGAACATTTAGCTGGGACAGCGTGGTTAGATTTCCATTTTTCAAAAAGCCCCTTTGCTACTGGGTGGAGATAGTTTGCAGGAAGTTTAGGGGAAGGAGGCACAGAGAGGGAGAAGTGGTGGGTGCTAGAGCTCTGAGAGGTAACATTGGAGGGGTAGTAGGTCTGGGGGTTGTGAGGAACAAGGGGTTTTCAGGGAGTACCCCAGGGCCCCCAGGTGTCTGGCTGGGATGCCAGGTGGAGTGATGGGCACCTGTGGGACAGCCAGGCAGAGACATCTGAGGCGGCAGCTGGGGAACTGTCTGGAACTCCGGTTGATGTGCTACCTGGGCTTAAGATGTACTCCCAAGAGTTACCAACACCTACACTTGGGAGTGGGTGCATTATCCAGGGAGGAGCCAAGGTTGAACACAGGTGGGTTTTTGTTCAGCATTTTAAAAAATTTTCATTTTTTTTTGTAGAGACAAGGTCTCATTTTGTTGCCCAGGCTGGCCTCAAGAGATCCTCCTGCCTTGGCCTCCCAAAGGGCTGGGATTACAGGCGTGAGCCACTGGTCCCAGTCTGTTCAGCACTTTTTCCACTAGCTTAGTATCTCCACATACCTCAAAGAGATCACCAAGTCCAACTCATACATGCAAACCAGTGCTCAGGAAGTCCACATGATCCTGCTGTGGTTCATTTGACCAAAACTGAGCGGTGGAGCTAAGCAAGGCTGTTTCACAGAAGCCAGATATATAAGTGTCCTCAATATGGAGGGCAGTCACCATCTCCCAGTGTCTCTGACTGCTGCAGGCACACTTGGCAAACTGTGCTCAGGTCAGGGATGGTCTGGGTGGGGGCTCCAGTTTCTGCCACTCACCAGTGATGTGACTCTGGGCAATGTACAAAATCTCTTGGGTTTTAAGTTTCTTAGATGGGGATAATAAACCAATCTTGCAGCATGTGAGGATTTAATGAGACTACAGTTCCCATGAAGGGGATGGGGTGCTGACCTTCCCACACAGTCAAAAATCCACATATAGGCCGGGTGTGGTGGCTCACGCCTGTAATCCCAGCACTTTGGGAGGCTGAGGCGGGCAGATCATGAGTTCGGGAGTTTGAGACCAGCCTGATCAACATGGTGAAACCCCGTCTCTACTAAAAATACAAAAATTAGTCAGGCGTGGTGGTGCGCACCTGTAATCCCAGCTACTCAGGAGGCTGAGGCAGAAGAATTGCTTGTACCCAGGAGATGGAGGTTGCAGTGAGCTGAGATCTCACCACTGCACTCCAGCCTGAGGGACAGAGTAAGACTCCGTCTCAAAAAAAAAAAAAAAATCCATATATAACTTTCAACTCACCACAACTTTTGTTAATAGCCTACTGTTGGCCAGAAGCCTTACCAATAACATAAACACTCAACACATATTTTGTATGTGATTTGTATTGTATACTGTATTCTTACAATGAAGTAAGCTACAGAAAAGAAAAAGTACTAATAAAATCATAAGGAAGAGAATGTATTCACTATCACTAAATGGAAGTGGATCATCATAAAGGTTTTCATCCATATCATCTTCACATTGAGTAGGCTGAAGAAGAGAAGAGGTTGGTCCTGCCATCTCAGGAATGGCAGAGGCAGAAAAGGTGGGGGAGATGGGAAGGAAGGCAGGAGACGCACACATGCTGAGAAATTCATCGTTATTTCTGTCTGACATTTTTGCTTTTTCATTTCTCTAAATATGTTTCTTTGTGATACCAATCCTCCTTCCACCATTTGCTTTAGTTTTGGTGCCCGTACCATAGAAAGGTCCATATGGTAAAAGAAGTCACAAGCAGTCTTGAATAATCGGAACCCCTCTGCCAGATTGTCGAATGTCAACTTATTTTCTGGTACTGCGTCTACATCCACTTCTTCATCATCTGGCACTGATTCGAAAGCACTCATCTCCATCAAGTGGTCTTCTGTTAATTCCTCTGGTGTGATGTCTATTCACTCTTGAATTTCTCCAAGATCCATATCCTGAAAGCCTACATTCCCCACCTTTTTTGCCACAGGCACACTCTCTTTCATGATTTCCTTGATTGGCCCTATTGTAAATCTGGACACAGTTTTCTCCAGTAGGAAGGCTGGGCACTGAGAGCCTTCGAACCTTCTGCTTCACCTTTTGACATTTAGGGCCCAATTTTAATGCATTTAAATGTTGCCTCCACTCTGAAATGAACATGGGACGTCTGTAATGTGTGAAATAGGTGTGTCTCACCCCCTTCATGAATATTCATAGAGCCTTCTATAACCTGTTGAATATGTACATTTAGCCAACCCTTTCAGCATAACTTCCTGTCTCACCTTTCTGTCCCTGGAAGTGCCTACTTTTGGTCTTTGCTGGAGGCTAGACTTCCCAGCCTGTCAAGACAGCCAGGCTGCAGGCTGCAACCTTTCTAAGAAATAACGCTTTTGGGCTGGCCCAGTGGCTCATGCCTGTAATCCCAGCACTTTGGGAGGCTGAGTTGGGTGGATCACTTGAGACCAGGAGTTCGAGCCCAGCCTGGCCAACATGGTGAAACCCCATCTCTACCTAGAAAAAAATACAAAAATTAGCCAGGTGTAGTGGCATGTGCCTGTCTTCCCAGCTAAACGGGTGGCTGAGGCAGGAGAATTGCTTGAACCTGCGAGGCAGAGGTTGCAGTGAACTGAGATTGCACCACTGCACTCCAGCCTGGATGATAGAGCTAGACTCTGTCAGACAAAAAAAAAAAAAAGAGAGAAAGAAAGAAAGAAAGAAGAAAGAAAGAAAGAGAAAGAAAGAAAGAAAGAAAGAAAGAAAGAAAGAAAGAAAGAAAGAAAGAAAGAAAGAAAGAAAGAAAGAAAATAAGGCTCTTGGCCTGGCACAGTGGCTCATGCCTGTAATCTCAGCACTTTAGAAGGTCGAGGTGGGAGGATTGCTTGAGCTCAAGAGTTCGAGACCAGCTGGGCAAGATAGTGGGACCCCTGTCTCTACAAAAACAAGTTTGAAAATTAGCCAGGCATGGTGGCACACACCTGTAGTTCCAGCTACTTGGGAGGCTGAGGTGGGGGATTGCTTGAGCCTGGGAGGTTGAGGCTGCAGTTAGTCATGATTGTGCCACTGTACTTTAGCCTCTCCAAATTTGTAGATCTCATAATTTTAAGTCACCATCCTCCACCAGTCTTTCGTTTTAAGTTGTTGTATAATGATATCAGTTTTTCTTGAATCATATTAGAATCTATAGATATGCTTTTCTTATAGATATCCTGCACCCACATAAAAGCTGCATTTTCTCTATTTCTCTGTCCTTCCTTCCTTCCTTCTTTCTTCTTCTTCTTTCCCCCCCACCCCCCTACAGAGCCTCGCTTCCAGGCTGGAGTGCAGTTGTGTGATCTTAGGCTTACTTCAGCCTCCACCTCCTGGGCTCAAGTGATTCTCCTGCCTCGGTCTCCCAAAGTGCTGGGATTAAAGGCATGAGCCACTACATTCAGCCAAAAGCTACATTTTCAAGACTAGACAAAAAGGTATTTGGCAAAAAGAGCAAAGTTTCATGTCTGCTAGCATGGCTGCAGTGATGACACTGTGAATTTCCTTTTCTTTTTTTACAATGGTTCTTACACTGGATTAATTTATCTTGAAATGGTGGGCAACCGCAGCTGCAGACCTCAGTCTACAGTACATATCAATCAATCCACCTTTTTCTTGTACTGTCAAGACTTTTCTCTGCTTTTTGGCAGCACTTCCAGAATCACTAGTGGCGCTTCGTACGCGTCTCGATGTCTTCTTCAGATTTATGGTATTGCACTAAACATGAAAAATACATGAGAACCACGAGAGATTACTTTTCACTGTGATACACAATCTACAGGAGAGACAAGTGCTCACACGGAGATGGCTAGTGTCACATGGCATTTTAAGTGGACACTCGACACCTGAGCTCACTGCAATAGTAGCAGGAGGGGCGACAGAATTACTACAGTAGTACAGTGGGCTCCCATTAATTTATGCAATTATGACTTAATACTGCATCTTTACATTTGTTTACATTTCTCTTGACTGAATGGCACCATGTACTGTGTTTGTGTGCATAACTTTTGATAAATTTTAACTGTTTATAGTTGATTTATGTATGTTTTATGGTGGTAAATGATAAAAATATGCTAGTATTTTATGCATTCATGACACACCTTTTTCTTAACTTTTTCAATATTTCTAGGCTACAAGGTTCATCTGCAAGTTTCTTCAAATGGTTGCAATGCTTACTGCAACCTCCATCTCCTAGGCTCAAGTGATCCTCCTGCCTCAGCCTCCCAAAGTGCTGGGATTACAAGCATGAGCTACTACATCTGTCCAAAAGCTGCATTTCCAAGACCAGGTAAAAAGGTATTTGGCCAAAAGAGCAAGGTTTCACGTCTGCTGGCATGGCTGATGTGAAATTTTCCAATACATTTTTCCAATATATTTACTGAAAAAAAAAACTGGGCCAGGTGTGGTGGTTCATGTCTGTGATCCCAGCAATTTGGGAGGCCAAGGTTGGGAGGGTTACTTGAGTCCTGGAGTTCGAGACCAGCCTGAGCAACATAGCGAGACCCCGTGTCTCTTTTTTTTTTTTTTTTTTTTTGAGACAGAGTTTCACTCTTGTTGCTCAGACTGGAGTGCAGTGGCATGATCTCGGCTCACTGCAACCTCCACCTCCCGGGTTCAAGTGATTCTCCTGCCTCAGACTTCTGAGTAGCTGGGACCACAGGCACGTGCCACCACTCCCAGCTTTTTTTTTTTTTTTTTTTTTTGTATTTTTAGTAGAGACGAGGTTTCACCATGTTGGCCAAGTTGTTCTCAATCTCCTGACCTTGTGATCTGCCCATCTCGGCCTCCCAAAGTGCTGGGATTACAGGCATGAGCCATCACACCTGGCCAACCCCGTGTCTGTTTAAGAAGATTTAATTTAAAAAAAAATTTTTTAAGAAAAAATCTGTATGTAGGTGGATCCATGTAGTTCAGACTTGTGTTGTTCAAGGGTCACAATTGTATCTGTGGTGACTGATACGAAACAGATGACCAAAAAATGATAGTTTTATTTCCCCATCTGGTCCCATTTAAAAGAGGTGTTTAGGTCTGAGAATTTTCACACGTACAAGGTTCCACAGTCAGGATGCCAAGAAGCTGCACCCCTCTTGCTGGAGTCCAGCCCTCCCCACCCAACCCTGCTGACTGCTGATGCGCCTTCCATCCCTGTCACACCGTTGTCTCGGGAAGGTTGTGTGAGTGGAGACACACAGCATGGGATCTTTGTAACTGGCTGCTTTCGCTAAGCATCATGTTTTTCAGATCCACCCCAATGCTCTGTGTGTCAGTGGCATGTTCCTTTCAATTGTGGAATGGTGTTTGCCTGCACAGGGAGACACAGGTAGTTACCTCTTCATCCATGGGAGGACGTGCGGTTGTGTCCAGATTTAGGCGATTATGGATAGAGTTGCTGTAAACATTTGTGCAGAGGTTTTCATGTGAACACAATTTTTCCTTACTCCAGGGAAAATCGTTATGGGACTGCTGGGCCATGTGGTTTAACACAACTGTCAGAGTGCTTTCCAGTGGCACCTCACTATGGTTTTGATTTGCATTTCCCTAATGACTAGTGTTGATGGTCTCTCATAGGCTTGCTGTCTTCCACATACAGCGTCCTCTTCGGTGAGGGTCCAAGTCTTTTACCCACTTTTGTTTGGATGGTTTTCTAACTGTTGATTTTGAGAGTTCTTCATATATGTCGGACTACTTTCTTTGTTGGATATGTGGTTTGTAGATATTCTCTCCCAGCCTATAGCTGTCTTTTCAGCATCTTTTAATAGTCTCTTTTGCAAAGTTATATTTTTTATTTTGATCAAGTCTAATTGATGGATTTTTGCTTTTACATGCATTTGGCATCATGTCTAAGAACAATTTCCCTAACCTCAAGTAATGAAGACTTCTTCCTATGTTTTCTTCCAAAACTTTAAACACTCTCTCTCTCTCTCAGCAAATACGGAGGAAACATTCATGACAATTGCAATTCTGGTTTCTGTAGCTGGTCACGTGGTCCTATAACTACCTTCTTCCACTCCCCAGTCTGTATTCCCTTTGCCTTCAGGAAGCCTCTGCTGGTTGTGGTTTTTAACCTGGTGGGGAACCTTCATTCCCAAAGGTTCTGGACAATTATTAATCCTGCCTAGATTGGGCTGTTGTGCTTTTCTATTGATCTTAATCACAGCGCATGCCACGAGGGCCCTCCTATACCCCAGACATGCTCTTCCCCAGTCCATTGTGAAGCAGCAGGGCAGTTTCTCCTTGGTGGTCTGGACCAGCCACCCCCACCAGCGTAGTTAACTCCTTCTTTACCTGTTGATCCAGAGGCATGAAGAGCTTGGCGCCATCAGGTGGCAGCCTAAACTTCCAGCGCAATGGATCATCCCTGTGTCTCTTGGGGGCAGCATTCCTCCCTCTGGAACTAAGATCTCTAGGCCAGCAGAGCATAAGGTGGTGGGGACAAGGAGCAAAACTTTTGCTAGTGGGTCACTAGGGGTGATGGTGAGTAGTGCTATGCTAGGAGTCTTGGCTATGGGAGGAATAGCACCATGTATTGGACACTGATTCCGAGCATATCCAGCCTTCTGAGAGCCTTGCCCCAGCCTTGAAAGGCACTGCCACCGAGCTGCACTGTCACTGAGTCCTCCAAAGGCCATTATTCCACCATCTGTCAAGCCAGCTGCCTCAGGACAGTGGGAGCCTGGAAGGCCAGTGAATTCCATGAACATTGGGCCATCGCGGCATTTCTTTTGCTGTGATGTGAGTTCCTTAACCAGAAGAAATGCTGTGTGGATACCATGACAGTGGAGAAGGCGTTCCGTAAACCCACAGGTGGTAGTTTCAGCAGAAGCACTGTACTCAGGGAGGGCAAATCCATATGCAAAGTGTGTATTCCACTTAGAACAAATACTGCCCGTTCCATGGTGGAAAAGGTCGTAGGTAATCAACCTGTCACTAAGTGGCTGGCTGATCACTCTGGGAGATGGTGTCATACTGGGGACTCAGTGTTGGTCTCTGCTGCTGGTAGACTGGACATATTGGTGGCTGTAGAGAGTTCGGCCTTGGTGAGTGTGAGTCCACAATCCTGAGCCCATGCATAACCTCATCCCTGCCACCATGGCCACTTTGTTTCTGAGACCCTGGGGTGATGACAGGGGTGGCTGGGGAAAGAGACTGACATCTACAGAATGGGTCATCTTATTTACCTGTTATTAACGTCCTGCTCTGCTGAGGTCACCCTTCAGTGAGCATTCACATAGGCACACATATCATCACATTTTCTGCCCCTTCAGTGAGGTCTATCCACATACCTCTTCCCCAGGCTTGTCTGTCACACATCTACCTATCATGTTCCCTGCAAGTCCCTAACCAGCCAGCCAAATTATTGGCCACAACCCATGAATTGGTATATATAATCTCACGTCTGGCCATTTCTCCTTCCAAGCAAACTGCACAATCAGGTACACTGCCCCAAGCTCTGCCCATGGGGAGGGTTACTCTTCACCTTTGTCCTTTAGGGATATCCTAGAAGGGGGCTGTCATGCTGCAGCTGTCTGCTTTCAGGTGGTACCTGGGTATCACACAGAACCATCTGTAAGGGCCAAGAGAAGGCCTGAGCCTTCTCTCCCTCTGTCATCTGATCCTAGAGAACTCCCCATGAGGCCATTGGTGCAGGCTGGGAGAGAGAAGGCAGTGTACTAGGGGTGGGGACCATGGGCATTTGGGCCACTTATGCAGCCGACTTATGCCTTCAGGGCCTGCTGGGGCCTGTTCACACACAGACCCCTTTCCTCTGATGATGGAGCGCTGCCATGCATGCCCACCTCATGCTTCATGGGTCAGATAAAACTCAGTTCATGTTGGTCAGCTCAGGTCACATGGGAACTTGGTGATCCCCAGTTAAGCGTTCAGCCTAGTGGCAGATGAACAGATGTTTCTCAAAAGGAAAATAGTTCTCCCTCTCCCTCTCCCTCTCCCTCTCCCTTCCCTCTCCGTCTCCGTCTCCCCACGGTCTCCCTCTCCCTCTCCCTCTTTCCACACTCTCCCTCTGATGCTGAGCAGAAGCTGGACTGTACTGCTGCCATCTCGGTTCACTGCAACCTCCCTGCCTGATTCTCCTGCCTCAGCCTGCCGAGTGCCTGCGATTGCAGGCGAGCGCCGCCAAGCCTGACTGGTTTTCCTATTTTTTTGGTGGAGACAGGGTTTCGCTGTGTTGGCCGGGCTGGTCTCCAGCTCCTAACCGCGAGTGATCCGCCAGCCTCAGCCTCCCGAGGTGCCGGGATTGCAGACGGAGTCTGGCTCACTCAGTGCTCAATGGTGCCCGGGCTGGAGTGCAGTGGCGTGATCTCGGCTCGCTACAACCTCCACCACCCAGCCGCCTGCCTTGGCCTCCCAAAGTGCCGAGATTGCAGCCTCTGCCCAGCCGCCACCCCGTCTGGGAAGTGAGGAGCGTCTCTGCCTGGCCGCCCATCATCTGGGACGTGAGGAGCCCCTCTGCCCGGCTGCCCAGTCTGGAAAGTGAGGAGCGTCTCTGCCCGGCCGCCCATCGTCTGAGATGTGGGGAGCGCCTCTGCCCCGCCGCCCCATCTGGGATGTGAGGAGCGCCTCTACCCCACCGCGACCCCGTCTGGGAGGTGAGGAGCATCTCTGCCCAGCCGCCCAGTCTGAGAAGTGAGGAGACCCTCCGCCTGGCAACCGCCCCATCTGAGAAGTGAGGAGCCCCTCCGCCCGGCAGCCACCCCATCTGGGAAGTGAGGAGCGTCTCCGCCCGGCAGCCACCCCGTCCGGGAGGGAGGTGGGGGTCAGCCCCTGCCAGGCCGGCCGCCCTGTCCGGGAGGGAGGTGGGGGGGTCAGCCCCCCGCCCGGCAGCCACCCCGTCCGGGAGGGAGGTGGGGGGATCAGCCCCCCGCCCAGCCAGCCACCCCGTCCGGGAGGTGAGGGGCGCCTCTGCCCGGCCACCCCTACTGGGAAGTGAGGAGCCCCTCTGCCCAGCCAGCCGCCCCGACCGGGAGGGAGGTGGGGGGGTCAGCCCCCCGCCCGGCCAGCCGCCCCGCCCGGGAGGTGAGGGGCGCCTCTGCCCGGCCACCCCTACTGGGAAGTGAGGAGCCCCTCTGCCCGGCCACCACCCCGTCTGGGAGGTGTACCCAACAGCTCTTTGAGAACGGGCCATGATGACAATGGCGGTTTTGTGGAATAGAAAGGGGGGAAAGGTGGGGAAAACATTGAGAAATCGGATGGTTGCCGTGTCTGTGTAGAAAGAGGTAGACATGGGAGTCTTTTCATTTTGTTCTGTACTAAGAAAAATTCTTATCCTGTTGATCTGTGACCTTACCCCCAACCCTGTGCTCTCTGAAACATGTGCTGTGTCCACTCAGGGTTAAATGGATTAAGGGCGGTGCAAGATGTGCTTTGTTAAACAGATGCTTGAAGGCAGCATGCTCATTAAGAGTCATCACCACTCCCTAATCTCAAATACCCAGGGACACAAACACTGCGGAAGGCCGCAGGGTCCTCTGCCTAGGAAAACCAGAGACCTTTGTTCACTTGTTTATCTGCTGACCTTCCCTCCACTATTGTCCTATGACCCTGCCATATCCCCCTCTGTGAGAAACACCCAAGAATGATCAATAAAATAAATAAATAAATAAATAAAAAGGAAAATAGTTATCTGCTGAGGATGGCAGGGCTGTGCACCAAAATCTTAAGGGCCTGTGCTGCGACTCACCTATAGGCGCCTGCCAAAGGCTCCAAACTTATCTGCCACTGATGCTTCGAGCAATATTGGATCTGCTGGGTCACATGGTCCCTGTGGCAGAGTAGCATGCACGGACACCTGGACCTGCTGCACGGCCTTCTCTTGTTCTCAACACCAGCAGCCTTTCAGGTCACTTGTTACATGAGCTGGAGCAACACACCCAAATGAGGAATATGCTTCATCAAAACTCCAAATAGTTCAACTTGCATTATAATTCAGCTAGCCACAGGATGAGATTCTGAGTTTGATTTTCAGCAATCTCAGCTGAGGGGCTACCTGGGCTAAGGGTTTACTTGAGGGCACACAAAGGAGTTTTCAGGTCATTTATGTGATACTTGAGTTGGGAATTGGAATCCCTGAGCTCATTCTTTTATTTCCCCTTTGTCTAGTGACAATAGAAGCAACCATCTAGTATTCATTAGTTTGCTGAAAATGTTTGAAATGCCCTATACACAGTCACCCAGATCCTAGCTTCTTATAAAGTGGTTGATAGGAGTCTCCAATGGTGATATTTGTGTATCTCTATTGCCAGATTATGCCATGAACTATCAGTGCTCTATTATTGGAAATAGAGTTATTAACAACTTTAAATGAAATCTGTTTAGAGAACCAATTCCAGAAACCCCAGAACAAACCCAGAACACTCATTCTCAAAATTCTGTTCCTCTAGAACCATTATCTGTACCAAAATCTGTATTAGTCAGAGTTTTTGAGAAAAACAGAACCAATATGATATATAATGGGCTCACACAATTATGGAGGCTGAGAAGTCCAGTTGGCAGCCTGGAGACTTGGGAGAACCAATGATGTAGTTCTAGTCTGTGTTGGAAGGCTTGAGAACCAGGAGAACTGATGGTTGAGTTCCAGTCCAAAAGTCAGCAGGCTCAAGATCCAAGAATAGCCTATGTTTCAGTTTAAGTCCAAAGACAGGAAAAGACCAATGTCCCCTCTCAAGCAGTCAGACAAGAGGAGTCCCCTCTTGCTCAGGCTTTTTGTTGTATTCAGGTCTTCACTTGGTTGAATTATCCTGCCCACATTGGACAGAACAATCTACTTTACTCAGTTCACCAATCCAAATACTCATCTCAAGGAGAAACACCCCACAGACAAACCCAGAAAATGTTTAGCCAAATATCTGGGCACCCTGTAGCCCAGTCAAGTTGACACATAAAATTAACAATCACAGCTGTTGTGGAATTAACCTAAATGTCTATAACGAATGAATAAAGAAAGTGTGTGAGTGTGTGTGTGTGTGTGTGTGTGTGTGTGTATACATATATATAAAATATACACAATGGAATATTATTTAACCATAAAAATGACATGCTGTCATTTAGGCAATGTGGATGAGCCTGGAGGACCTTATGTTAAGCAAAATAAGTCAGACACGGAAAGATGTTCTCATTCATATGTGGGAGCTAGAAACATTTTGAACTCATGAAAGTAGAGAGTAGAATTGTGGGTATTAGAGGCTAGAAAGGGTAGAGAGGAGAGAAGGCTGGGGGAGGCTGGGTACCATACCAAATTACAGTTAGATAGGAGGAATGAGTTCTGTTCAGCAACACTGTAGGGTGAATGTGGTTAACAATAATTTATTGCATATTTTCAAAAAGCTAGGAGAGAGGATTTTGAATGTTCACAAAACAAATGAAAATGTCTGAGGTGATGGATATGTTAATTATCCTCATTTGATCATTTACACATTGTATGCTCATATGGAAATATCACTCTGTATCCCATAAACATATAGAATTATTACATGTCAACTAAAACTAAAAGGAAAAAATTAACTATCACAGAGATGAGCCAGAAGCTCATAAACACCTTTTTGAAGTCACTGTCCTGAACTCCTCACATGCTATGATTTCCCTGGTACTTTCCAGCTCCTAGGAGCTCTCCTTTTCAGCGCTCCAGCTGAGCAAGGGTATTATTTACTTCACTCTGCACCTTGCTTGTCATGACCATGCCCACATCCAGCGTCAAGCAATAAAAGGACAGAAAGAGTAAAAAAGCAATGGAGTGCACCCACCTGCTTAGACCATCTCTCTAGTTATCAGGAAGTGAGGTGCCAGTGGGCTGCAGGGGACTGGGGCATAAGAAAATGGAGTAAAGAGAAAAGAGTTTCTTGCACTCTCTCTGCATGTTAGGAGACTGTTTCCTGCTCCTCAGCCAGATCAGGAAGGCTTCTCCTGAGCCCTCTCTGTTTGCACCCAAGTCCACTTCCAAGTTCAGGCGTCCTTGAAGACAGACTAAGAGACACCAAAGAAGGGAAATGGTAAAACTCAATGCCAGATCAGTGTTACTTTGAATTATGGTGTTTTGTTTTGTTTTGTTTCCCAATTCTCCTGGGGTTATTTGGTTTTAAAACTCTTCAAATAGCTTCTTTATGTATTCTCTCTGATTTAGTGGGAGGGACACAGTGAAACGTGCTTACTCCATTTTCCCCAAAACTGAAATTCCCTTAATTTTTTTGAAACTAAAAATGAATTCCTACAAACATATGAATTTTTTTTAATGCTCATTGTTTTGAAATAATTATAGATTCACAGGCAGTTGTGCAGGAGTGTACAGGAAGGTTCCTTGTGCCCTTTACCCAACTGCCCCAGGGCTAGCATCTGACATAACTACAATATCAAAACAGGAAACTGACATTGGTACGATCCACAGAGCTTACTAATATTCAACGAGGTAGTGATGTGCTCACTTGGGTATGCGTGCATATAGCTGTCTGTAATGTTATCAAGTATGTACTTGTACCTATCATCACAATCAGGATGCATACCTCTGCACCACAGGCTTCCTTATGGTACCACTTTAGAGGCACACATCCACACGTCCTTCACTCCATCCCTAACCCCTGGCAACTATTAATCTTCTCTTCATCTCAGTAATTATGTTATTTCACAAATGCTATATACGTGGAATCATATAGTATGTACCTTTTTAAAACTGACTTACTTTTTAAGATTGATAATTTATTTGAGGTTCATTCAAGTTGTTACATGTATCAGTAGTTTGTTCTTTGTAATGCTGGGTAATATTCCATAATATGGATGTACCACAATGTATCCAATCATTCACCATTAAAGGACATCTGGGTAGTTTTCAGTTTGGGGTTATTACAAATAAAGCTGCTATGAACATTTGAATATAAAATTCTGTCTAAAAACAAGTTTTTATTTCTGTACTAGAAATGCCCATGTTTGCATTTTCTTGGTCCTATGGTAAGTACATTTTCAGTTTTATAAGGAACTGCCAAACTTTTTCCAGAGTGGCTGTACCATTTTACATTTTCACCAGCAAGTGTGGGTGCTCTGGTTTCTCTGCTTCCTTGCCAGGATTTGCTGTTATTCTGTTGTTGTTGTTGTTGTTGTTGTTGTTGTTGTTGTTGTTGTTGTTGTTGGAGTCTCCATCGCCCAGGCTGAAGTGCAGTGGTGTGATCTCAGTTCACTGCAACCTCCACCTCCTGGTTTCAAGCAATTCTCCTGCCTCAGCCTCCCAAGTAGTTGGTTACAGGCTCATACCACCACGGCCGGCTAACTTTTGTATTTTTAGTAGAGATGGGGTTTCACCCTGTTGGCCATGCTGGTCTCAAACTCCTGATCTCAAATGATCCACTCGCCTCGGCCTCCCAAAATTCTGGGATTACAAGCCTGAGCTACTGCACCCAGCCTAGTGCTAATCACTTTTTAAAAAGCCATTCTAATATGTAGTGATGTCTCATTGTGGTTTTAATTTGAACTTTCCTGATGGCTAATGTTGCTGACCATCCTTTCATTTACAAAGAATATTTTCTTTGGTCAAATATCTGTTCATGTCATTTGCACATTTTTAATTTGATTACTTATTTATTTTATGTTGAGTTCTGAGAGTTCTTTATTCTTGACACAAGTTCTTTGTCAGATATGTGATTTGCAAATATTTTCTCTCATTCTGTAACTTATCTTTCCATCATCCCAACAGGGTCTTTTGCAGAGCAAAAAAAATTTAATTTTGATGAGGTCCAATTTATCCATTTTTTTTCTTTTATGAATTGTATTTTGATGTCAAGTCTAAGAGCTCTGCCTAGTTCCTGGTCCTGAAGATTTTCTTCTATTTTTTTCCTGAAAATATTACAGTTTGACATTAAGCCCATGATCCTTGTGTTATGTTTTGTATAAAATGTGAAGGTCGGGCCAAGCCTCATCTCTTTGCCTATGGATGTCTGATTGTTCCTGCAGCACTTGTTGAAAGGGCTATCACTCCTCTACTAAACTGCTGTTGCATTTTTCTCAAAAATTAATTAAGCATATTTCTGGGTGGGGGGTCTCTGTTCTGCACCAGTAATTAATGTGTCTATCCCTCCACCAGCACCATACTGAGTTGATCACTGTAGTTATAGAGTAAGCTTTAATACTTGGTACAGTGATTTCTTCCATTTAATTATTCTTTTTCAAAATTGTTTCAGCTAACCTAGGGCCACTCCCTTTTAATATAAAGTTTACAATAAGTTTGCATATGTATACAAAAAACAATGCCAAGATTTAGAATTGTATTAAACCTGCAATTTGGGGGAAGCTGACATCTATGTTGAGACTTCCCATCCCTAAATATGGCATGACTCTCCATTTATGTAGATATTTGATTTCTTTCAGCAGAATTTTGTAATTTGCACTATATTCTCCTGTATATGTTTTATTAGATTTATACCTACATATTAATACTTCATGTATTTCGAGCAGTTGTAAATGGTATTGCAGTTTTTATTTTGGTTTCCACTTGTTTATTGTTACCATAGAGAGATGCAATTTGTGTACGTGTGTTATTCTTGTGTATTGCAGCCTTGATATTCTCACTCTTTATATCAAGGATGTTTTGTTTATTCCGTGGGACTGTTTATGTAGATGATTATGCCACGTGCAAGTAGTGATAATTTTCTTTCTTTCTTTTCAATCTGTGTACTTTTTATTTCTTTTTCTGGTCTTATTACACTGGCTAGAACTTCTAGTACTATCTTGAATTAAAATGGTGAAAGGGAACATTCCTGCCTTGTTCCTGCTCTTAAGGGGAAAGCATTCATTCTTTCACCATTAAGTGTGATGTTAACTGTAGATTTTTGCAAATGCTGTTTATGAAGTTGGAGGAAATTACCCTCTATTCCAAGTTTGCTAAGAGTTTATATCATAAATGGGTTTTGAATTTTGTCAAAACCTTTTCCTATGTCAATTGATAAGATCATATGATTTTTCTTCTTCAGTTTACAAGGCAGAATATGTTGATTGGCTTTTCAAATATTAAAACAGTCTTGCATAACTTGAGTGAAATTCCTCTTGATTGTGGTCTACTACTCTTTTTATGCATTACTAAATTTGATTTGCTAACATTGTCTTGAGGATTTTTCCATCTAAGCTTATGAGCCAAATCAGCCTGCAGTGTTCTTTCCTCTGTCCCTTCCTCCTTCCTCCCTCCCTTCCTTCCTTTGTGCTGTCTTTGTTTTGTTTTGATATCAAAATAATGATATCATAGTCCTTTCTCTTCTATTTTCTGGAAGAGATTGTGTAAAACTGGTGTTGATTCTTCTTTAAATATTTGGTAAATACTCCAGTGAAACCATTTGGGTCTGGATACATTGTGTTCAGGAGCTTTTTAGTTACAAATCCAATTTATATAATGGTTATAGGACTATTCAGGCTTTTATATATTTCATCTTTTCTGAGTTGTGGTAATTTGTGATTTTCAAGGAATTGATCCATTTTTTCCTAGGCTGTCAAATGTATGAGCATAAAATTTTTATAGCATTTTTCATAGATGCAGCCTCTTTTGTGATATTTCTTGTTTCATTCCTGATATTGGTGATTTGTGTGTTATCTCCTTTCATCTTTGTTGATCATGCTAGAGGATTATCAGTTTTATTAATTTTTTTAAGAACCTGTTTTTTATTTCCTTAATGTTCTGCATTGCTTTCCTGTTTTTAATTTCATCAATTTCTGCTCTTCACTTTCCGTCCTATTTGCCTTAACTTTATTTTACTATTCCTCTTTTAGTTTTTTGACTACTGGTTTGAGAACTTTCCATATTACTAAGGAAATAATATAAGGATTTAGTGCTATAAATTTCTCTCTCAGCTCTGCTATAGCTGAATCCCTCAATTTTTTTTTTAAGACAGGGTCTCATTCTGTCACCGAAGCTGGACTGCAGTAGCACAATCTCCACTTACTGCAGCCTCAACCTTCTGGGCTCAAGCAATCCCCCCATCTCAGCCTCCCAAGTAACTGGGACTACAGGTGCATGCCACCACACCTGGCTAATTTTTTGCAGAGATAGGGATTTCACCATGTTGCCCAGGCTAGTCTTGAACTCCTGGGCTGAAGAAGTGATCCACCCGCCACAGCCTCCCAAAGTACTGGGATTATAGGAGTAAGCCATTGCACCCAGCCGCATCCACAAATTTTGATATGCCATATTTTCATTGTGTTACTTGCGTTTTAAAAATTCCCTTTGAGACTTCTTCTTGTCCACATTGTATATAAATGTTTACTGCTTAATTTCCAAGTGTTTGCAGATTTTTCTCCTGTCTTTCTGCAATTTATTTCTAGTTTGATTCCATTGTGGTCAGAGGACACTCTTTGTATGATTTCGGTTTTTAAAAATTTATTAAGGTTTGTTTTAAGATCTAGAGTCTGTTCTATAAGAGCTTGAAAATAATGCGTATTTTGCTGTTGATGGATAGAGTTTTCCATAAATGTTAATTATACCCTATTGGCTAATAATATTGTTCAGTTATCCTATATTCTTGCTGATTTTTTTGTCTAGTAATTTTACAAATTCTGAAAGTGAGATGTTGACATATCCCAACTATAATTATGGATTTTTCTATTTCTTTTTTAAGCTCTATCAGGTTTTGCTTCATGTGTTTTGAAGCTGTGTTGTTTGGTGCACATATATTTAGGATCAAGATATACTCTTGCTCTTTTGTTATTATGTAATATTCCTCTTTTGTCCTAGAAATTCTTTTTGCCATGAACTCTATCTGATATTATTATAGCATCTCCTGCTTTTTTGAAAGTTCCTGTTTGTTTGCATGAAATATTTTTTTTTCTGTTCTTTCACTTCCAATCTGTTAAATACCTATGCCATGGTATTAGAACTGAATATCTTATGGACATCCTATAATGGGTCATATTTTTGCATTTACTCTGCTATTTCTGTGTTTTTCCCAGATTTAACCAAACTGCAAAGTCTGAGGGCATGGTTCCTAAAATTTCCCTCATTCCTGACACCAACAGCAAGTTTTGGAGGTTTCCAAAGCACCTTAAGTTTCAATCATTTGCTGGAAGGACTCATTGAAAACTGCTCTACATGTGGTTACTGTTTACTGCAGGGAAATGATACAAATCAGAACCAGCACAGAGGGCAGGGCTAGGAGGGTCTGTGAAGCCTCTGTTGTCCTCAGGTGCATTACTCTCCCAGCATCCACGTGTGACAATACCATGAAGCACTGCCAACCTAGGAACCTCACCCAAGCCTTGGTGTCCAGAGTGTTTCCTGGAAGTGCATTGTGCAGCCATAATTGACAGATCTGTTGGAGACTGGTTGGAACTCTGTCTTCACCTCTCCCTTTCCCGGAATCTGGGGCTGACAGCACATTCCTAGGGGGGCCCACCATGAGCCAGCTGGTAGCATAAACTTCAGGTATGGTCTGAGGGGCCCACTATGAATAGCAAAGACCCTTCTGTCACATGGGCTTCAGGACTACTTACCAGGAGCCAGGACAAAGGCTAGACCTCTCTTTGGGCTAGGCCAAATTCTTTACCACACAGAAATTATATTTAGGACTCAAATGTGCCATTTTTATTTGCTTTCTGCATGTTTCTTATGTTTCCTTTATCCTGTTTTGTTTCACTTGTCATGGATTAGTTGAACAGTTTTTAGCATTTCATTTTGAATTATTTATTCTTTTGGGTGCATTGCTTTGTATCGTTTTCTAAGTGGCTGCTCTAGGATTGATTATAATATACACATGTAACTTATCACAGCCTGCTGGCATCAATGTTTCACCATTTCATGAGAAATATCAAAAGCTTACTTTTATTTCCCCTTTTCCTCCCCCACTTAAACATGTAATTATCATAAATATTTCCTCTTCAGATGTAGAGCACCGCAGCAGATGATGTTATTATTTTTTGCTTCAACCATAAAATACAATTTAAGAAACTCATCATAGTCTATTATATTTACCACATGATTACCCCTTCTGTTGTTGCTATTTCTGATTTCCTTATTTCCTTTTTGTTAGGAGAGCTTCCTTCAGCCATTTATTAAGGGTGGGTTTTCTGGTAACAAATTATCCTAGTTGTCCTTCCTCTTAGAATGTCTTTATTTCCCCCTCATCCCTGAAGGATACGTTCACTGAATAGGGTTCTGGGCAGACAGTTTTTCTCAGCACCTGGCGATGGTGTGTTGCCCCCCTCTACCTCGTGGTTTTAGAGAAGCCCACCATCCTCAGAACCAGTGTATCTTAATGCATCATTTTTCTCTGGTGGTTTAAAAAATTTTTTTCTTTGTCTTTCCTTTCCTGAAGTTCCATTATGATGTGTTTATCCTATTTGGGGTTTGCTCAGATTCTTGAATCTGCAGGTTTATTTCTTTCACCAAATTTGGGACGTCTTCAACCACTGTGCCTTTGAATACTTTTTCACCACACATTCCTTCCTCTCCTCCTGGGACTCTGGTGACAGGAACGCTGGGCCTTTTGTCACTGTCCCACCCATCCCCAAGGAGGCATTCATTTCTCAGTCTCCTATCTCTCCGTTGTTCCTATGGGCCAGCTCTATTAATTGTCTTTGAATCAACAGACTCTGTTCTCTGTCGCCTCCACTCTGCTATTGAACCCAACTGCACATTTTTTCATTTAGTTATTGTATTTTTCAGTTGTATGATTTTCATTTTGTTCTTGTTTCAAGAAAATTCACCATTGTTTTCTGAAGCATTTTTATGATGGCTGCTTTAAAGTTCTAATATCTGATTTATCTTGATTAATCTTATTTTGCTATTTAAGTTGTTTTTTGTTTTGTTCTGTTATGTTTTTGAGACAGAGTCTTACTCTGATGCTCAGACTGGTGTGCAGTAGCATGATCTCAGCTCACTGCAGCCTCAAACTGCCGGGCTCAAGCGGTCCTCCTGCTTCAGCCTCCTAAGTAGCTGGCACCACAGGTGTGTGCCACCACAGCTGGCTAACTTTTAAATTGTTTGTAGAGACAGGATCATGCTGTGTTGCCCAGGCTGATCTCAAACTCCTGGACTCAAGCCATCCTCCTGATTGACCTTCCAAAGTGCTGGGATTACAGGTGGGAGCCCCCTCACCTGGCTTCAAGTTGCTTTTTATGTTTCCTGATGTGACAAATAATTTCAAATATATTCTGGAGATTTCGGTTATTATGTAAGGAAACTTTTTATCCTATTTGAACATTCCAGTTCAGTCCATGGTACCCTTATTTGGTTTACCATATAGGCCCCAGCCTGCTTTAGGGGAAATGTAGAGTCAATGACAATTTGGTTTTCAAAGCCCTCCCCGTGCTATTCTGGTCGGGTTTGTTCTTCTGGATCTGCTGGGCCTCTGGTTCAATCCCTGCGCATGTTGCCGGGGTTGCCCTGTGCGGTGGGGGTAGGTTAAGGAAACGCTGGGTGCTGGGTGTGGTCTCTGAGCCACGGTCAGCAGAGCCTGTTGTGGCCTGGGTGTGATGCTGAGGGCCAGGCCTGAACGGAGCTGCTGTGACATGGATCAGGGGGAATCTCCTCGCTGGGTCTCCAGTGAGATGCCCTTTTCAGTCCTTTCACCAGAGAGAACAGGCTCTTTTTCTTTTCTTTTTTCCCCCTGCAGGTTTTGGCAGTTACAGGTTGCAGGGTTCTCTGGGCCCATCCAGGAGATGAGAGAGAAAAAGAAAACTCAGGGCCTGGTACAGCGTCACCCCCAAAGTCCCAAGGTTCCTGGACAGCCTTTCTTCCTCTCCATCTCCTAGAGTCCTCTTACGTCTGTTAAATTATTTCCAGGGTGTCTAGTTGTATTTAGAGGGCAGATGCCACCTCGTCATAGAACACCAGGGTCCACTCTCCAGGCATTTGGAAAGAGTTGCCACGAGGTCCTCGGAAGGGTGTGACAGTTCACACGCCCACCAGCAGCGTTTCCACGTCTCCATTTCCTCTGCCCCTGACAGCATCTAATGCTATGATTTTTGTTTGAAAATTTGGCTTTTGGTTCCTTTATGAGGTGATTAATTAATACAGGCTGCTGGCTCCTTCCCATGAATCCAAACCTTGGAGATGCCATCAAAGGGATGACAGTTGATGGAGCCCAGAACCTAAGAGGAAACCCCTGAGAGCCTCGCAGAGGCTGGGCAAATGTGGTGGAGTCTGGGGCAGGAGGGGAACCACAGTCTGAGTGGAGGAGGCCACACAGCACAGCCCGGGCCAGTCTGCAGCTCTCTGCTCCGGGGCCCACCTGGGGCTGTCATCTGCCGGCCCTGCTTTCCTGTAGAAGATCCCACCCATACCAGCCCCAGGAATCCAGGCAAGGCCAGAGCACCTCAGGAGCCTCCTGGAGTGATGGCCATGACACCTGGTCAAGCTGGCTGGTAGCCCCTGGGCAGCCCTCCTCCCCAGCCCAAGGACAGCCAATTACAGCACAGGGCAGCCCTGGACAGACAGCACCAGCTAGAAGGACGGGGCATTCCCTGCAGACCAGAGCAGCCCCCGGGGATGAGCAAAGAGGGCCCCAGTCATCCTGCCAGAGGCTCTGCCCCGAGGAGCCCCTGCCTGCCTCCCTGAAACCCACCAGGAAGGTGTCAACTGGGGCCTAGGACGAAGGCAGCTGACCGTCCCCAGGGAACAGAGAGCGGCCTGAGGAAACGAGACAGCCAGGGGAGTGAACTCTGGGAGGGAAAAACCGCAAGGTTTTTCCTTGGAGGAGGGAGCAGATGAGCGGGTAAGACCGGCAAATCCGTCACATACCCTCAGGACGCAGGGAGCGCGGCTGGAATCAGCAGTTATGCAGAAAACGCAGGCCAGGTTACTGGACTGGAACATGCGGGCGCTTAAGTGATGAACTTGGTGGGAAGTTTGGAGAGCAGAAAATGAACGAGTGAGACAAGTCAGGCTCTGAGCTCTTTTAGAAGGATCTGAAGGGATTGAGGAGGCAGAGGTGAGGGAGGAGAAATATTCAGTGCTTAGAAGAGGAAAAATGAATAGATAAGAGGAGGTATCTGAAAAATGACTAGGAACTTCCCCCAATTAAGAAAAGACGCACATCCTCAAACTGAAAAGGCCTGCAGAGCGTTAATTACATTTTAAAGTTAAAATGTTCTGTGTAATTTCAAAGAAAAGCATCTACATTTTGAGTCAAAATTGCTAAAAACTTCCAAAGAGAAAAAGCAGGTAACCCTCACAGGAACGCGAGTGGTGCTGACATTAGAATTGCAGCACAGACAACGGATGCAAAAAGAAAGGGGGTGACAGCTTCAGACGCGAGAGGAAAGGACCCTGGAACCCAGGGCTGCGTCCTGCTCACCGCCATGAAATATGGGCACGCAGGAAGCCATCCTCAGTCCTATCAGCCCCCTTGAGAGTCAACCCCAAAAACACTCTTGGAGAAATATTTCAGCAAGAAAAAGGAGCCAGGGAGAATGCTGCCAGGTCTGGGGAGGAGTGGTGCTTCCCGAGCGTGAATGGTTCACTGCCATCTAAGTAAGCAATGACCTACGCGTGTGCCGCACAGTCCAGCTTCCTCAGAGGCGGTGGTGGCCTGGTGGAGGAATGTGGGCTGGCTGGGTGGCCACAGAGAATTACTGTTTCCATTAAAAGGAAATGTGTTCTGGCCGGGAGCCGTGGCTCACGCTGTAATCCCAGCACCTTGAGAGGCTCAGGCAGGTGGATCACTTGAGGTCAGGAGTTCGAGACCAGCCTGGCCAACCTGGTAAAACCCCGTCTCTACTAAAAATACAAAACTTAGCTGGGCGTGGTGGCAGGCGCCTGTAATCCCAGCACTTTGGAAGGCGGAGGCGGGCGGATCACTTGAGGCTAGGAGTTAGAGACCAGCCTGACCAACATGGGGAAACCCCGTGTCTACTAAAAATACAAAAATTAGCCTGGCATGGTGGCACATGCCTGTAGTCCCAGCTACTCGGGAGGCTGAGGCAGGAGAATCGCTTGAACCTGGGAGGTGGTATGTTGCAGTGAGCGGAGATCACGCCACTGCACTCCAGCCTGGGCAACAGAGCAAAAACCTGCCTAAAAAAAAAAAAAGTATCACATGGAGACGTGTGTCCGTTTGGGACTGTTTTCCAGCCTTTCCACACTCTCTCCCTCCCCATCTGTCCCTCCATCTCCACCAAGCTGTGTTTTGATGTTGTGTTTGCATGATTTGGTGTATCTGGCATTTTAACATTTGCAGGGCAAATTTCTCTTCATTTTGGGTTTTTCTCTGCCTGTTCTTTTGTGTTTATTCTTTCAGATAAACTTAATTCTTTTTCCTTTAATGTCCTCTGATAAAAATATGCTTCAGAGACCACTGCATGTCACTGGGTTATCAGTTTTAATAGCTGCAAAAATTACATGGAGTGCTTAGACCATCATTTATTTAAGGAGTCTATTTTGGTTGTTTTCACTTTTCCCCCATGCCCAGTGGCGATGGCTTTTGTGCAGTGTAGAGGTTGAAAGAAAGGGAGTTCCACTGCTTAAACTCAAAATGTGTTTCTACTATAGTGGGCCCTCCCTACCTATGGGTTCCAATTCATGGATTCAACCAACCATCAGTTGAAAATATTCAGAAAAAGAAGTGGATGGTTCTGTCTGTACTGAACATGTACAGACTTTTTTCCTTCCTGTTAGTCCCTAACAGTATAACACCTGTTTCCATAGCATTTACAGTATACGAGGTATTACAGGTAACTTAGAGATGGTTTCAGCTCTACAGGAGGATGTGCGCAGGTTACATACAGATACTATGTCATGCACAAGGACTTGAGCTTCGGTGGATTTTCATATCTTCAGGGGTCCTGGAACCAATCCCCTACAGAATCCTAGGGATGAATGTATTTGCCAGTCCTGTGACTTGGACCAGGCATTTAATCTTTCCCAGCCTCCATTTGCTAATCTTTATAATGGTGATAAGTGTTAAACCCTTCACTGTTTCAGTGGGGCACATCCCAGCACACGCTGGTGACCACTTTTCTGGAGTAGATTATTTGAAGCAGGATTGGAATCATCAGTCAGGGAGTAGGTACATTTCCCCTCCACATTTGCAAGTCACTTCGTGTTCCTAAACGGTTGTACCAGATCCCATGTCCTCCCACAGGGCAGGAAGTGCCCATCTCCTGACTCCACTGGTGGTGAAGGGGCTCAGGGCTTTTCATCTTGCCAGTCTGGTGAGCACAAGGCGCTTTTCATTATTGTTTACATTTGCATTTTTATTAGACAGCAGGAGGGTTTTAGCATCTCTTCAAGTGTTTATTGGCCATTCTCCTGTCTCCTGCAATTTGTGCCAATCCTCTGCCCATTTTTCTGTTGGGTTGGTTGCCTTTCACATATTGATTTTGTAAAAGCTCTTTATATATTCTCCATTTAAATCCCGTGGCTGCTTATAAATGTTATAAAAGACTTTTCCCTGGTATGATGCTTACCTTTTGACGTGTCCATGAGGCCTTTCTGTATTCAGAGGTTTTCAATACTCGTATAATCAAACCTGGTAGTTTTCCTTTTGGTTTTGAGGTTGTGTCTTGTTTGGGTGAGTCTTTCCTACCCCTTTGACTACAGAAATGCCCTTTCATTTATAATATCCTCCTATTATGAAACATATTTCCACATTTTCTAAATTTTTAATTTTTAGCTGAGAAATAAATTAGTAATGATTAAAGTATTAATTACTTTTATCTTGTTATTAATTATTGGTTTTATTTATTTACATGTAGTTGGCTTACATTTAGTTTAGTTTAACTTAATTACTTTAAAGTAATGTATAAATATCTTCAGTTTGTACCGCATGTTCTCACTCATAAGTGGGAGTTGAACAATGAGAACACATAGACACAGGGAGGGGAACATCACACATCAGAGTCTATCCGGGGGCTGGGTGCAAGGGAAAGGAGAGCATCAGGACAAATACCTAATGCATGCAGGGCTTAAAACCTAGATGACAAGTTGATAGGTGCAGCACATGTATACCTATGTAATAAACCTACATGTTCTGCACATGTATCCCAGAACTTAAAGTAAATTTTTAAAAAAATTAATTAATTAAAAATATATATCTTCAGTTTGTAAATGTCCCGGCAACACGGGAACAGAGTTAAAAGAGTGTGTGTCGTCCTTAGCTGCTCCCACCCCCTCATCTCCTCCCTAGCCATCCCAGCCACCAGTCTGGCCTGCGCCTTTCAGGTTTCTTCCTAGACGCTGGCATACATAGATCACTATTTTCTGCCATGTGGTATCTTTTAAACACACACGATTGTTTTGTGCAGAAACTTTCTATTTTTACCTCTCATAAGTGTCCTGTGGGTTCTTTCCATGTCACTGTGATGTGTGTGCGTATGTGAGATTCAAGTTCAGCTTGCTAATCTTGTAGAAAGAATTACGCTCCACTTCCCCTGTGCTCTGGCCCTCCCTAACACAGCAGCCCATCCCTGGAGGCTGATGGAGCCCCTCGAGCACTTCTGCTTACCATTTCTCTTTGTTCTGTTTGTTCAGGTTTTCTGCCTCCTGCTAAGCCAATTTATACATTCCAAGAAAATCTTCCATTTCATCCAGGTGAAACAGAACCTACTGGAATGAAGCTGGCCTCCCGTCTCCTTGATTTGAAGCAGCTTCTCCACATTGGTTATTATGCCATTTTTCTAAATCTAACGTTTTAAAATTTGTGCCTTTCCTTTCTCTTTTGCTTGACTTCCCAGAGGTTTTTTTAACCGTCTTTTCAAAGAAGTGGTTTTGGGTTTTATTTATCAAGTCTACTTTTATTATGGCTGTTTTAAAATTAAATATATTTATTTCTTGTTTCCCTTAAAAAAGCTTCTTGTATGTTTACTTAGTTTATATAATTTTATATGTCTTTTGTTGAAGCATATTAACAAACACTTGCAGCTATAACATTTCCCCTGGGAACTGCTTTGGACATATCCAAAGATTTTGATAAGTCACACACTTATTGTAGTTTGTTTCTGAAAAGTTTTTCATTTTAGTTTTTATTTTCTCTTTTATTCAAATTATCATGCGCTTTCTCCTTTTATCCTGTTTCTGACAAATTAATCTAAGGATATAAATCTCTCCCTAAATGTCAATTTTGTTGAGTTTCATAATTTTAATATGTAATACCCTATTGCTATTGAGTTCCAGGCATTTTATAATTTTCATTGTGAAAACTAACTTTGTTTCCAAAACACACTTTTTCTTTTTTTTGAGACAGAGTCTCACTCTGTCGCTCAGGATGGAGTGCAATAGCACAATCTCAGCTCGCTGCAACCTCTGCCTCCTAAGTTTAGGTGATTTTGTTGCCTCAGCCTCCCTAGTAGCTGGGTTTACAGGCTCTTGCCACTATGCCTGGCTAATTTTTTGTATTTTTAGTAGAGACAGGGTTTCGTCATGTTGCCCAGGCTGGTCTTGATCTCCTGACCTTGGGTGATCCACCTGCTTCAGCCTCTCAAAGTGCTGGGATTACAGGCATGAGCCACCATGCCTGGCCCCAAAATGCACTTTTAACATGGTCTTTGTTACTGCATGTTTCTAATTTTGTTGCTCCCTGGTGAGAGAATGTGATTTGTATAACAGCAATTCTGGGAAAGGGGCTGAAGCTTCCTGCTCCTTTAGCACAGCTAATTTTCCCAAACGCTGTCCATGAGCTTGGAAAGAGCATTGTACTCTGTTGGGATGGGCTCAAATCTCTCTGTAAAAATGAGTGTTCTTCTGTTGTTATTGTTTTGGTTTTTGTTTGTTTTGTTTTGTTTTTTGTCTCACTTGTTTTGTTTGCTCAGATCTTTTGATGATCTGGATAATCTTTTAATTTATGCAGGATGTTTCTCTGCTTGTGCAGGCTGGTGGGATGGGGGACTGGATAGAGGACAGGTGTCTGCTTGCCCAGGACTGGCAAACTGTCACTTGCCCTGGTTGTGCCTTGCCAGGAGCTCCCGTGCCTGTCTCTGAGAGTGTCATGAGCTCAGTGGTGGTAGTTGTGTGGTGGATGCACTTCCCCCTGGGTTGGGGGGTGGGTGGCTGGTCCTAACTGTTTGTTGTTGCAGATGAGACACGGGCGCACTTCTGCTTCCTGATGGATCTTGTCAGTCGTTTGACTTCTTCCTGGTCTGGGCTCCTGAGTTGGCCCTCTGCAGGCCAAGCAGGAATGGAGCTGGCTGCTACAAGAGTTCCTTCACTAGAGGGCATCTCTCCTCTCTCCTCCCACACATGGGAACACGCGGGTGGGCTTTCCTCCGCCCACTGTGGTCCACAGCCCGGCTTTCCACTCCTCACCCTCTGCTCTCAGACAGACCTGCTTTTCCCTGGTGTCTGTGAGAGGTGATTCTTCATTGTGCCAAGAATGTGGATTTTTTTGAGAGCAGGGACT
Organism: Homo sapiens; assembly: GCF_000001405.40. NCBI lineage: Eukaryota > Metazoa > Chordata > Mammalia > Primates > Hominidae > Homo > Homo sapiens. Next base: position 42,865,028 of record NC_000010.11, read on the forward strand.
CTCACAGATATTTGCACACCCATGTTCAAAGCAGCATGATTCACAAGAGTCAAAAGGTAGAAGCATTCTGAGGGTCTATGGGTGAGTGGATGGACAAGCGAAATGTGGTTATGCATACAGTAGACTGTTACTGAACCTTTAGCAGGAAGGAGATTCTTTTTTTTTCTTTCTTTTTGTGGAGAATGGGGTCTCGCTATATTGCCCAGGCAGGTCTCGAACTCCTGGGTTCAAGCTATCTTCCCACCTCTGCCTCCCTAACAGCTGGGATAATAGGCATGAGCCTATAATATCACCCGGCCAGGAGGGAAATTCTGAGAGGCATGCCAACACGCATGAGCCTTGAGGACATTGTGCTAGATGGAATAAGCCAACCACAAAAGGACAGATACATTGCGATTTCACTTACATGAGGGGCCCAGAATGGGCAAATTCAGAGACAGAAAGAGCAATGGTAACAAAAGGAGGGAGCTGGTGTTCAATGGGTTCAATGCTCAGTGGTGTTCAATGGGTATGGTTTCCTTTTGGGAAGATGAAAAGGTTCTGGAGATGGACGGTGGTAGGGGATATGCGAAAATGTGAGTGCACTTAATGCCAGTTAACCCACACTAAAAGATGGTACAACTGTGCATTTTATGTTAGGTATATTTTCACCACAATTAAAAAATTTGAAAAGAGCTTGGATTTTGGAGCTGATCTGCCTGTTTCAGATCCTGCCATGAAGTTCTACGAGCTTGAGCCAGTTCCTGGGCCTCCTGGTGCCTCAGTCCTGCATGTAACACGGCGAGCGCGTGTGCACACGGCTCTGGGAGTTCTCGTGCAGCACTCAGAGCTCAGCGTGGGCGAGGGCGTCACCCTTCAGGGGGCGTCCATGGGGCCTTGGAGAAGGGAGGCTCCGGGGCGCCACAGCAGTCTACCGGGAGAGGCCAGGCCAAGCGCTTGTTCACCCGCAGCCCTCTTAGGGAACTTTCACATGCTTCTCCCACTAGGCCTAGGCACCCCTCCCCACCCTCCCTGCCCTCCTGGTTCCCTGATCCTCAGTGACCTTGTCCTTCAAGACTGAACTCCAGAGTCCCCACCCGAGGACCCGCAGTGCCCGGCCGCCGCGAGCTCGCGGGGTGTATGCCCGCCCCGAGGCTCCACCGCGCCTGTGTGCCGGGAAGCCTGGCTCCACAGGACCCTCAGGCACTGGGCGCGCCGTCGCTGCAGCTGCCAGGAGCTCCTGAGGAAGTGGCTCGAGGCCCCGGGGCGGGTCAGGCGTAGGGTGGGCCCGCTGCCCTCACACCCGCCCCGGCCGCACACAGGAGGCGCGATCAGCAGAGTCGTTGGACAGGTTTGGACACCGGCTGTCTCTTTCGGGCCTCGGTTTTCGCGTCTGAAATAAAAGCGCGCATCCTGGCCCTGGCGCGGTGCCTCTGCCGCGGTAGAGGTTTCCACCATGAGCCCAGTGCGCCTTCCAGGCTCGAGGGAGAGGGAGTGTGCGTGCGTGTGAACGCGTCACACTCTTGTGTGAACGCGTCATACGCTTGTGAAAGACGGTGCTTGTGCACACGCGTGTGCGTGCGTGTGAACGCGTCAGGGTACCCGAGGATGCACACACGCACGTGTGAGTGTGCGCGAGTGCGTGCTCAGAGGACAGCTCTCAGCAGGCTGGGGACCTCCTTCCTCTCACCCCTGAGGGTTTTGGGGGACCAGCCCCCGTATCCGGGTGCTGCGGGATCCCCTGAGGCGAGCGCGCACCGCTGTGCTCGGGCTCCGGCTTTGTGGGGACCCGGCCTTCCCGGCCCGCACCACGAGGAGTTCCACGCAGTAGCCACGAGGTGGCACCGCAGACTCGCTACCGCGGAGCGCGGCGGCTCCCGGCTCCCAGCAGCCTCGCCTAGGGCTGTGGCCAGGGCGGTCAGTCTCAGGCCCAGGCCGCTGCTGCCAGGAAAAGCAGGAACAATCGCCAGTCACGCCTGCTGATGCCCCTGAAGTGCTTATGCTCCCAGGCATGGGCTGACCGCAACGTGCATTCTCTCCTTTTATGTCCCTACTGTTTGGAACCCTGTTTTTGTTTTTGTTTTTGTTTTTGTTTTGTAAATCTGCCGCTTAAAATACCCAGGGTGGAGCTAAAAGTACAGACACTGCTCAACTTACCCCTGGCTGCGGCCCGATAAGGCCGCTGAGAGTGGAAAATGACTGAGTCCACCTGACTACCGAATAGCACAGCGTGGGGGCCTACCTTGGCCTGCTGAGAACACTGCCCTGAGCCTGCGGTGGGCAGAAGCATCAACACGAAGCCTGTTTTGTAGTCAAGTGTCGGATACCTCATGTAATCATTGACTACTGTACTGAAAGTGAAAAACCGAGTTGCCGTGTGGGACTCAAACGAGGGTTTCTGCTGACTGTGGATGGCTTTTGCATCACTATAAAGTTGAAAACTGTTAAGTGGAACTGCGGTTAAGTCGGGGCTGTGTGCACTAGAGACCTGAGTTCTGCCGCTCCATAGCTGTGTGACTTTGGACACATATTTGAGCCTGAGTGTCTTCTACACAAAATGGATTTCTTAGCATAACATACACATGTGTACGCGCCCGTGAGCATACGCGTGTGTGTTTGCATGAACACATCTGTGTATGCACGAGTGTGTGCACATCTGTATGTGGCTGTGTAAGTCCGTATGTACATTTGTGTGCATGTCTGTGTGTGCATATGTTTGTACGTGTGTGTGCTGTGCATGTGTGTGTTAAGGCCCTGGGGTGGAGCTGAGTTGTTGAGGGGAGATGCTGGGAGGGCAGCCAGCACCAGGTGTTTGTTGGCCAGGAGAGAAGCTGCCATCCAGGTGCACTCTGGGGCTCCTGCTTCAGTGGCACAAGGCTTCGGGATTGAGGAAGCTGGGGGCTGGAGCAGGGCAGTCCTGCACCTCATGGGAGGTGCAGAGTGAGGTCAGGAGGATGGAGAGAGTGCCAGAGAATGGGGGGAATCTGAGGCATCAGGAAAGGAAGACACAGGCCACGGAGAGGGCAGCTGGGCCCTGGGTGAGGCCGGCCCTCAGGAAGGAGGTGCCACAGGTAGGGGAGTGCCCAGATGGAGAGCCCAGGGGTATGGACCCACGGGTGTATGACAGTGGGGGTACTCCTGAAACCGCAGTATTATCCAACAAGCAGGGTTGGGACAACTAGTTATTTCATTTAAAAAAACAGGTCAATGTCAGTCCTCATTCTATGCTTTAAAATAAGCTCCAGATGGACTCATGCTTTACATGTAAAGAAGAAAAGGCAAAAAGAAAATAAAGAAAAGGCTTGTAAGCAGGTAGTTAATTGGGGGCAATCCCAGGATGCAGGAGAGAGGGGATGGAGCCACAGCAGGTCTGGGGAAGGGAGAAAAGCCGGCCCCGAGACCAGGGCCCAAGGACCCATTCAGGCCAGCAGTGCCTTCTGTGCACTTCCGCAAGGTCACACGTTCTTCCAAAGTTGCCATCATGGAGAGGTAGGCTTCCACGTAGTCTTGACTCCACTCGATTTCAATCCTTGGGTGGCTTTTCCTGTGATCACACTCAGCCCTGATACAGCCATTGCTGGGGCCTCCCCTGGCTGGACGTTCCGCTTTTGGTCCACATTCTTTCCTCCTGCCCTGAGGCTGGCCATGGGCCTCCTGAAGGCTAGCTGGGAGGACCTCCCTTCCATGGCTGTGCTCTTGCTCTGCCCACGCTGTCGCCTCCATCTCTACCTCCCTTTCCATCCTCACCACCAGCGCTCGAGTCAGTGGGGAGCTTTTCACTCACCAAGCCCAGGCAGGTGCGTCACGTGAATTTCTCTTGAGCCTCCCACTAGAGGTAGTGGCACTGTTGTCACCCTATCTGCTGAGGATATGCTGGGGCTGGCAGGGGCTACCCAAGACCAAAGGTGTCGCTGTCTCCATCCTGTGCCCACCCAGCCCTGCCCCCTGGGATCCCTTCAAATCTTTTTTTTTTTTTTTTTTTTTGAGATGGAGTCCTGCTCTGTCTCCCAGCCTGGAGTGCAGTGGCGTGATCTCAGCTCACTGCAATCTCCGCCTCCCGGGTTCAAGCGATTCTCCTGCCTCAGCCTCACAAGTAGCTGGGACTACAGGCACCCACCACCACACCCGGCTAATTTTTTTTTTTTTTTTTTGTATTTTAGTAGAGACGGGGTTTCACTATGTTGGCCAGGCTGGTCTTGAACTCCTGACCTCATGATCCCCCTGCCACAGCCTCCCAAAGTGCTGGGATTACAGGCATGAGCCACCACACCTGGCCCCCTTCAAATCTTAACAGAGAAGCCACCAAAGTCTCCTTGGGTCCATCACATGGATGGACCTCCTGGGCCCTTCAGCCCCTGGGCTTCCCTTGAGGTCCTGGAGCTATGTGGGCTCCAGCTCTGGGAAGGTGGACCCCCACGTGTGTGTCCTGCCGTCACTGTCTCTAAGGAGTCTGGCTCACACTAAGTGAGCCATAAGGCCTTGTTCAAGGTCATCTGTCCCACTGATTTCAGACGCATGGTGGAGTCTGAAATCATCTGTCCCCCACAGTGCATTCAGAGCCCTGTCTGGACTAGGGCACACACACATGCATGCTCATATATGCATATGCACATACGCACACACATATGCATATGCACATACGCACACACATATGCATATGCACATACGCACACACATATGCATATGCACATACGCACACACATATGCATATGCACATATGCACACACATATGCATATGCACACACATGCAAGGCTGCAAGGCTCATGCACACACACACATGCACACACATGCACACACATGCACATGCACACACATGCACATGCATGCTCACATGTACAGGCACTCATGCACCTAGAGCCTTCTCATCCTTCACTTTGAGTCCCCCCTCCCCTTGCCCATCCTTGCCCATCCTTCAAGGGCTCAGTCAAAAGCCATCTTTTACAAATTGTCTCTGGTTGACTTTCTTTTTTTTCCCCTCTTAGAAGAAGCGATGCTGTCCTCAGTCATCGAGCATTCACTGGGCGCTTCATGTGTGCCAGGCCCCGACATGGGTCTTGGGCATGTTCCAGTTCTCATGTCCTCAGGGCTCCTTGGTGAGTCGAGGGTGAGGAGGACACGGAGGCACAGGAGGCCACGGGGCAGGTCTAGGTCCACTCAGCCTCCAGAGTTCAGCCCTCCCTGCTGAGTCGGGGTGAGCAGGACAGATGCCTGCTCCTGGAACTTGGTGGGTGAGGTGGACAGGCATGCAGGGAGGCGCCAGGCTCAGGGGCTGTGGAACAGAGAAAGGAAGCTTCCAGGACATCAAACAATTCCTGGAGTGCCAGGGCAAGAGGGGAATCTGGGTGGAGGAAAACGTGAACAGGGCAGAGGTTGGAGGTGGATGTGGCCCCCGAGCACGTTGGAGGCGACTGAGGTGCTTCTTGACTTTGGGCATCTTCGTTCATCCCTGCATTTGCACATTTGTTGAACACACCTACTGAGACACTTGTTTTCTTTCCATGGTCCATACATTAGGAACATAGAGTTAGCTTCCTGGGGAACTTTTTAAGAAGTATTCTTAGAGAAGAAACCAGGAGGCATCGTTGTGGGATGTTGGTCCAGGATCTTGGGTGTGTCCTTTGGTCTTTTGTGGGTCAGGTTAGCAGGAATTGTGTCCTGAGGTGTTGGGACTGCAAAGTACAGGTTCCCTCCTGCCCACACTGATGCCTTCAGGGAATGACCTGTCTGCTCTTCTAAGAAGAACACTTAACTCAGCCTTGGCTGACCTCAGCTACCTGTGCTTTCTTCAGCCAGGCTCTGTGTTTTGTGCTTTTACTCTCAAAACAACCCTATTATTATCCCTGTCCCACAGACGAGATGCTGAGCCCCTGAGAGGCTCAGTAGGTGCCTGAAGGTCTTCCAGCCAGGAGGTGGCAGAGCCAGGGCCGGCCTGGCCTGAGGACTCCGAAGCTCCCATGGGCACAGCTCCTTCATGCCAGCTCTGTGTTGGGATTTTCTGTGGTTGTCACAGCCATCTTCCTGGTCAGCTAAGTTACAGACAGGGTGAAACTAGGATGGCCGAGCTGGAACCAGAGCTCATTCCTGAGCAGGGCACCTGGGCCCTGCCTACGGTGCTGGGCAGGCTCCTGGTGTGGAGGTCAGGCTCAGATCCTGCAGTCCCTGTGGCCGTGGGGCTTTTCTAGGCACCCTCCTGACTGCTAACACCAGGAGGGCCTATGATATGGGACCGCTGCCCCATGACGTGTGCCAGGTTTCTGCACGTGACCACTGGGAAAGGCTGGCCCTGGGCTGGGTGGATCCGCACTGCCTGCTGGCCCCTGCACCCAGATGGTGCAGCCCACACCCCTCTGATGCCCACCCACGCCCGGCTCTGGGACTTCCCTCCTTCCGCTGTGTCTGACCCTGGTTGCCCTTGTTCTGCCACTGGCTTGTAGCAGCCCTTCCGGAAGCCATGTCCTCCAGGGAGATTTGATTATGTCCTGGTGGTGCGACCTCGCTAATGCAATCAGGAAGTTTTCTCAAGACTTCAGCTGCTTTGTTGGCAGCCAGGCCTGGCTCTCAGCAGCTCTGCAGGCTGGAAGGGCCCAAGAGACCCTTCACCCACCCGGTGTCTCCAGCAGCAGGGAGGGGTCCGGGGCACAGCCTATTGCTGCTCTGCTCTCCTCCCTTCTTGGGGTAAGCTCCTTTGCTCTGATTTTATTTGGAATCATCGAGAGCCTCTATCTGTCTAGAAAAAGCGCTTAGCAATGAGGAATCAGCACTGCAGAGAATACTCCAGAAAGCAGCCATTTTCCATCAAGATTAGGCTCTTAATTGAAAATTTTAAGAGGAGAGGAAATTAGGGGAGAATCCAGATATTCTCTCCATTATGGTAATCAGCTGTAATCAGAGCCTGAGAGCTGTACTCAATCCCGGGGGTTCTCCCAGGATTACCAGAGCTGCCACAGTCACCTTCACCGACCTGCACTGGAGTCAGTGGGAGGGGCTGGCGGGGTCAGGGGCACTCTGGCAAGTGGATCCAGGAGGGCTGGGCTGGATCCAGGGGGCTGAGTTCAGAGGGAACTCTGCTTAGCAAGTGTGAAACACAGGACTGGGCCTTCCAGGCAGAGGGAAGATTGAGAACTGCGGCTGAGCGAGTGCGTCCAGGGGCCCCAGTTTAGTTGAGGGTCTAAGTTTTCCCAGCAGGGCAAGGTTGAGGGTGAGGATGCTGCAGGCCAGTTTTCTATGGCCTCAGAGTGAGGACAAGAAGGGGGAGATGGGCCACAGGGATGAGGGTGCCTGCTCCCTGCAGCAGGGTGCACATCATGGCTGTGCAGAGGCAGCAGGCGGCAGGTATTAGGAAGAAGCCCTTCCCGTGTGTGTCCTAGGGGCTGGGCACAGGCTGGGCACAACCCTTTGCTCACGGTTGCAGAAGCCCATCCACATGGGGTCCTGCTGAACTGGCTTCGTGGGGCTGGGAAGGACTGGCCTGGCCTCTTTGCTCACTTCACCTTATGGGCAGTGTCCTGCAGGTTTCTGTGAGCAGAGCAGACAGAAAGGAGATGCCCAGTGACGCCAGCTGTCCCCCGCAGAGCTTCCTGGAGCCTGGGCTCTAGGCTGAGGGTCCTTGAACAGACGTCATCTCCCTGGCTTCAGCAGAATCACCCACAAACCCACCCTGTGCCCACCCTCCCATCACAGAGAGCAGCTGCTGGAGAACAAGGCATGAGACTTTGGAGACCTGGAGGAGCAGGAGACACAGGAGACAATGGCCAGGGTGGTCATGGTGGCACGGCTATGCCATCACTGATTTCTGCCCACCCGCCCCCTAAGTCTCACTTGCTGCTACTCTCAATTTCCTACTTAATGCTTCGGAGAGCACCAGTCCTGAGATGAGAGGCGGGATGTTCACTCTCTGGGAGTTGAGATGGAACCCAGGCAGTTAGAAAAAAGTGCCACAACCACGTGCCGGACCTACTACTTGCCAGGAGCTTCGTGAGTCATCCAATTCCTAAAACAATTGTGCTGCGTATGCTCCACCACGCCTGGGCGACTCGGGGAAATGGGGCTGCGGGAGGCTCAGTGACCTGCCCTGGGTGACACGGATAGCGTGGATGCCCTGTCCATGCATGGGGCTGTGCTAGGAGGACAGGACCATCCCCGGAAGCTGGTCCTGTGTCCACTGCTCACGGTGGCAGCTGCTTGGGCTGACAACCGCCCCTCCCTCCTGCTGGTGAGTCCTTGGATGTATTCAGGCACATGGCAGCAAGGTCTCCTGTGTCCCAGAGGCGACTAGGACCCACAAGTGAGCAGCAGGTGCCCCACTCCTTCATGCTAAGGCTCATCACGGGACGAAACCCAAGGTGGTATTGGAGCCAGGGGCTGTGGCCATGACAGCCACCCACTCCAGACGATATCCACATTCGGAATAGTTCAGAGTGGCCTGCCTTGATGACATCACGAACTTCTCCATGGAAATGTGTCACAGAACCAGAACTTAAGGGCATTTGGATGAGGTTGAGGTGAGATCAGGTCACAGAAGAACGTTCTCAAGTTAGGTGGGAAACAGCTGGAGACTCTGGGATGTCCTCAGGACCTTTATCTAAGCAAACACATGATAAGGTCTTTCCCAAGAAATAAGCGTGGCTTTTTGTCCTGGTTGAGGAGGGTTGTTGTGGATCTTTTCCCCCTTTTACCTTGGCTTCCAGGAAGCTCAGTGCCAAGTTTTATGCTCCACCCAGGCCTACTATCCTTGGACTGGTCCTCAGGTGCAGCCCTTGGTCTCTCCTTTCTTTATCGCATGAGCCCGCTTGGTTTCTGTACATTTTGTCCGCTGGTGCTGACGGCTGGACACCCTTTCCTGAAGGAGATGGGGCATAGAGTGAGTGGATGATGATGGGCTGTGACAGGGCCCACTACCAAGGATGTGGGCTACGAGGTGTGGGCTGGGAAGGAGGAGGAGGACCCTGCACCTCAGGGGGCAACCAGGAGCACATTCTGGGGAGCACACACCTGCGGTGTTATCACGGCCACTGCCCATGTCTTGGACACTGGAATAAACAGGATGTGGCGAAGCCTTCTGTGTATGGGGGAAGACTTCCTTACTCGCCACTGCTGTCACGCTCTATGGCCATCTTGACCCATCACTCAGGCAACATCAGACGCGTCTCTCTGTTCAAGGGCTCTGCCCCTAACCTTGTGCCAGAAAGAGGCTTGACAGTTTGTCCTGTCTCGAGGTTTCCTCTATATCTCTTGCTGGGGCTCCCATAGACTGTTCTGATTTTTACTGATGAAGACAGTGCCATGGTGAGCCTAGCAGTGCACACAGCTCTTCTCTTTCCCAATCATTTCCATGGGCGAACCCCTGAGTGTAGAATGACCACTCCAGTCAGATTGTGAATACAGTGAACTGTGGGCCATGGGCTCCCAGGACACTGCTCCGGCCTGGCTCCTGCACCCAGACTCATTGCTGTTGGCTTTGCCATGGTAACACTAGTTTGGTATAAAACTGCACCGTCTCCTTCTGTCTGAGTTTCCTTGACTGCTGTGGTGGTTGAGCAGTTCGCCCTACTTTGGGTTTTGGTCTTGGTTTCGTTGCTTTTAGTATTTCACCCATGAAAGATCTATTCATACCCATCACGCATCTATCTATCCAGAATTTGAATTCGTTAAAATGCAAGGGAATTTTTAATATATAATAATGTTAGCAATTGGTCTGTCATATTTGATACAAGCATCTTTCTGGCCTGTTTCCATCTTACTTTTGTTTCTTTTTCATCCACTCATAAGTTCAGACTGTTTTCTAGTCAGTCACGGCCCTGGTTCCACTAAGGAGGGGAATGTCCCTTGAGTCCCCGGCTGGCCTCCCTGGGAGAGTGCCACACCCCCACCCGAGTCCAGAGGCTCAGGAGCTGCTCTGGCTGCACGTGTTCCCCGGGACAGGTCTTGGGCACTGGGGGGTCTGTGCCTGGACACTGGCATTTTGCTTCATTCCCACTCAGGGCCCCTCCGCAGCAGGCTTGGTAGCTGGGGGTGGCCGGACACCTGGAGAAGGGCTGGGGGCACTGCACCAGTCTCCCAGGCTGGAGGGGCCACAGTAGGGAGTTCCCAGCTCAGCCCCAGGGGATGGCCACCCCTGAATCCTCACCGAAGGCATCCAGGCTGTCCCAGATCCTGCCCACACCTGAGACCTCGGCTCCCGCTTCTCTCCGCAGGCAGGCAGAGCAGGCGGCGGGATGTGTGGGTTGAACCCTGATGGCAATGGGAAGGGTCTTCGTGACACAGCTTCCCAGCACCCAGGCAGAGACAGGAGGCTGGGCTGCTAACCCGACTGGAGGCTGTGCTCACCCAGTCCCCTCCCTGTGCTTCTGGGGTCTCCAGACCACCCCACAGGGTACCCAGATCAGTGTGGGCTCAGCCCCCTGCCCACTGCACCCTCCTTCGGGGTGCCTTCCTCGTCTGTCATGATGTTCCTGATCCTGCACCCGTCCCCTCTTCCTCCAGCCTTCCCTGGCTGGCTGCTGTAGTCAGTCTCTAGGGCTCTGCACAGCACTTCCTGGTGGTGCATCCTGGAGGACTTCCCGGTAGAGGTGTCTGGCAGGCACAAGCTTGCTGTGTGCCTGGCCTGCAGAAATGCACGGTAGGCATGCATTTGTTGGATGGTTGTAACACTGACTCTGGGAGGTGGACTGAGGTTCCTTATGGGTCCTTCTAGCATCCCCTCTCCCCTTCAGAGATGAGTGTTGAAATTTGGGGTTCTCTGGGTGTGGCAGGAGGCTGGGGGGTGCTCCGCTCATGGCCACTTCATGGCGGGCTTGGGCACAGTTCGGAAGGCAGCCAGCTGTGTGTCCCCTGTCTCCGGCCTCCTTGTGTATGAGTCACCATTGGGAAGTCGCCGGCATTTGTTTTAATTTAACAGGACTTGGCTCATCCCCGGAGCTCTGCCACTGGCTCGTCCTTCCTTCCACTGTGGAGAGGAAGGGGGTGGGGTGCAGAGTGCTTGCAAGAAAGCACTTTCCCCTCATCATCTCAAAAAAAATTTCTTAGCAGAAGCAATGAGAGAAATTTACTGGCCTGTCACAAAGAGTCACTGCTCATCAGACGAGAGAAAGGAAAAGCAGAGGTCATCAATTCATGGGCAGTGTCTCAGGAAGGGATTAAATCATTTAGAGACACGTCCTTAAGAAATCATTGAAGGCTCATGCTGCTGTTTTCTTTCCTGGCCTTCCCATCGCATGCAGATGGCCCCTGTCCAGCTGTTCAGATGCTGCACCAGCACCATTCTTTTTGGAAATTTGGGCAGACCTCGTGTGTGTATGTGTATGTGCGTGTGTGTGTAATACACGCTCATGTGCCTACAAATTGTTATCTGTGTGATATGGTTACATAAACACACACAACTGTTGTCTAGCCATGATGGTTTCAGTTTTCTTGTATTTGTGTTATGTTGCGAGCTGCTACCAATTCATTCAGATAAATAAGGGCAGAAATAAATATAACCCGCCAGCTACAGGATGCTGGAAAGCTGGTTAGAGTCCTTGGGGGGTGGGGTATGGGGGGTGGGGGTGGTCTCTGTCACCGCAGTGCCATGCAGCGCCTGGCACGGTGGCGTCCTCGCTCCTGTCATGAGACAGTGGGAAGCCATAAGGCGCCTGGGGCTGGCGCATCCCTTGGGTCACTGCACAGTGGTGGGGAGCTTTAGCTGGGATGCCAGCTGGGCCTGGGTTCAGGTCCCAGCTCCCCACTAGTGACCTGTGTGGCCAGCTGTCCTCAACCTTCAGGGCTGTGTGAGCCTGAAACATGTGGTGCTGCATCTGGCATTTAGATTGATGTGTGAGGGTCCTTTTGGTCATTCGTGTGCCTGCTGCTCAGGTGCCTGACTCAGCAGGACAGCCCATAGGTCCCAGCATGACAGCAGGCATGGGGCATGAGGTGGGCATAACTAAGATGTTATGCTGGTTAATTTATGTGTCAACCTGATGGGGCCCTGGGGTGCCCAGGTCAGATATGATTCCGGGTGTCTGTGAGGACATTTCTGGATGAGATTAGTGTCGGAATCAGCTGCCTGAGTAATGCAGACCCTTCCCATGCGGTTGGGGAGCATCCACTCTGCTCACGGCCTGGAGAGAACAGAAAGGCCAAGGAAGGAGGACACCTGCCCTTTGAGCTGGGGCATGGGTCCTCTCCTGTCCCTGGACTGGGGTTCACACCATGGGCTCCCCTGGTTCTCAGGCCCTCGGACTCAGACTGAAGCCAAACAATGGCTCCCCAGGCTCCAGCATGCAGACAGCGGGTCCTGGGACTTCTTGGCCTCCACAGTTCTGTGAGACAGTTCCCATGACAAATCTGTGCCATGGACCTGGGTGTCTCCTACAGGTTCTGTTCCTCTGGAAGACCCCAACACACACATGAAGGTGGTGGACACAGCCCAGCCAGTTGTGAAAAACAAACAAGACAGACAGATAAGAGGTCTCTGTTGGAATTAAATAGAAGACTTTCCAAGCACTAATCTCCTCCTTTTGCTCATCCTAGAAACTGTGGCTGAGCACCCCCCTGCACCAGCCCTGTGTCCAAGGATCACTGATGGATCCCCTGCCCTGCCCAGCTCAGTCCAGGGGCGGTGCTTGCGTTCTTGGGGGATGAATAGAGATGCTCAGAGGCCAACTGCAGGGCCATGCCTGGGGGCTGGATGGTGCTCCCCTGTCTAGGGCACTCAGCTGCATAGGGTGCTCCTCTGCATAGGGTGCTCCCCTGCATACAGTGCTCGCCTGCATGGGGTGCTCAGCTGCATAGGATGCTTGGCTGCATACGGCTCTCAACTGCATAGGGTGCTCCCCTGCATAGGGTGCCCCCCAGCATGGGCACCTGGGTGGGTCCAGAGCCATGTGGCTGCCACCCTCTCCCTGTGGAAGGGACCCAGTGAGGAGAGCTCAGCAAGACCACATAACAGAAGGGGGTTGGAGAGGTGCCAGCCTCTGCCAGGAAGCCTCAGTGCACAGAGCAGCCATGGCTGGGCTGATAGACTCATCTTCAGTCTTATTGCCTTCTTACGGGAGACACAGAGGCAGAGATCATGCAGGGCAGGGTGAGGAGGGCCCAAGCTTTTCTCAGGGCCTAGGGCCCGGAGCATGGCCCTCCTGCCCACCCACCCCGGAGTGCCTTCCTGTCTCTTCACATGATATTAGCTTCCCTCACCATCTTCTGGTCCCCCAGCAGTGTCACCTGAGGCCTGCCTGGAGCTATGTCAGGAGTATCAACCGCACTGAGAGCTTGGTGAGCAATTCATAGCCTTGCCCAGTGGGAGTCTGAGCATCCCCTGTGGCCACCTGAGTGGATGTCAAGTGGGGCTGCCCTGCCCCCAGCCCATGCTTGACCCCGGGATCCTGAGCAGATTCCTGGGGCAGGTTCTGCCTTCCTTCCCTGGGGCTGTGTCTCTGTCACTGCTCAGGAGTGACAGTGCCTGGACATGCTCCTTGGGCTTCTGGGGTGTTGGTGGGTGGTCCAATGGCAGGGACAGAGGAGCAGTGTCCTTGGGATGGCCAGAGGCATCCTCCTATGGATAAAGTCGGTGGCCGATGGCTGGAGGGCTGACTGCGGGCCTGCTGGGGCCCTGCTCACTCACTGCAGTGGAACAGGAGCCCCCGATGCAGCCCCATCCTCAGCCCAGCCAGGGGTGGGAGGGAGAGGACAGGGCCCTTCGATGCACACCCTTTTCCCGTCCCGGAGAGAGGGGAGGCCGCTGCATCATGGCGCACCCTCCTGGGGCTTGGGTGAATGAGTGCTTACTGCTCTTTGGAGAGGCAGGTGACCCATCTGCTTTCTGCATTGGTTACGCAGCCCCACACAATGCCTGGGGACTCAGGGCAGGTCCTGAAGGTATTGGGCTTCTCTTCTGTCCTTCTCACTCCCCCAGAGAGACTGGGGGTTGAGTGTAGCCATAGCCAGCCCCCCTTTCATGATAATCAGATGGGCTCTGAGTGGAGACCACTGGGGCTGCAGGCACTTATGAGATGAGGATGCAGAGATAAAGCCCATGGTCCCTTCTCTGCAGGGGCCAGAGCCCACAGTTGTGCAGAGAAGGGATAAAGCCAGGGGAGCACACGAGCCCCCGGCCCACCTGGGAGGGCCCAGCAGGCTCCCCGAGTGAGCCCTGGGGTAGGATGGGCAGCCTGGAGGGGAAGAGGCTGAAGGGGCCACAGACCAGCCTGGGCATAGAGCAGGCTGCAGGTGACCAGCTCGTCCCTCTGCCCGGAACCTACCTGGGAAAGTGCCCATCCCAGCCCAAATGGGACGGCTACTCCCCTGGTGGGAGGCAGGGTGTGGGACTAAGGGGAGATGCTCAGATGGCGACAAGCCACCTGGAGCTTAGACTTGGACCTATGGGGTGTGGACCAAGGAAAGGTTGGGGGCTCCAGGCCTGGGCTATGCCTGGAAGGACGATGGGCAGGGGAGATGGGGTCCATCAGGGGCTTCTTTGATGCAGGCACAGAGTCGGAGCCGGGCTTCCGGGGAGTACACACCCTGAAAGGTGTGGAGGGGGCAGGATCAGGGACTCGGCGCTGGATGGTGTTGGGGTGAGGCAAGGCTTGGCCCAGGTCCCGGCTCTGCATCTGGGTAGGTGGCTGTAGGTGGGCAACTGCTCCTCATGGGAAGCTGACCATCTCTGTGCCGGGCTGGCGGACAGGAGGTGTCCAGAACAGGGCAGGGCTGAAGTGCAGGGGGCCCAGGCTGGAGACTCCCCGATTGGAGGGCCCCCAGTGAGGGGTCATCGAAAGCAAAGAGTGCCCCTCAGTGCTCAGGGCTAAAAGGGCCAGGTCCAGGACTGCTGGAGGAGGGCCCAAGAAGTGGGTCAGGGCTCAGACGCCAAGAAGGGAGGGGGGCACAGGGCAGGGCACCATCAGGGCCAGGAAGGGACAAGGGGGGCCAGGGTCCTTCAGATTTGCCAGTCAGCGTTCCATGAGGAGACAAGCGTGAGCCAGCAAGACGGTGGGCATGGCCGGTGGTTCTCCAAGGCTTCCTCAGGGCACGCGGTGGGCTGTGTGGGGTGTCACGTGAGAAACGGCACTGAGATTAGTAGGCGTGACAAAGCTGAATTCCTCACAACCGCTCCCCTCAGGGCCCACCACGGGCTCCTGCAAGGGCGGGGAATGCAGGTGCTGGGCCCCGCGGGAGGAGCAGCCACAGCGGGGGACAGGGAGGCCAGAGCCGAGTGGAGAGGAGTGCGGGACTGAGGAGGCTTTTATCCCCCGACCTTTTCTGAAGAGAGAAGAGATAGAAGCAGAGTCATGAGTGCTAGAGACGGGCAGGGAAGGAAATGGATTAAAGGAGCTGGAGGAGAGGGTCCCGGAGTGTACGGAGGAGTGAGACCCTGGCCCCACCGCCTCCCTGGGTGTGCGAGTGGGAGTGTCCAGGCATGCATGTGCGTGTGGGTGTGCGAGGGTGAGTGTGCGAGTCTGGGTACACGCGTGTGTGGTAGGGAGTACAGGTGGGGGCTGGCGCAGTGAGAGGTGGGGGCTGGACGAGGCAAGGGTGAGGGCCCCTTGGTCAGGGCCGCCCACTGCCCGCAGAAGCCCAGGGCAGTGAAGGCGCCCAGGAGCAGGTGGTTGGGTTGACTCAGGTTGGAGACCCCGCTGGGGGTCAGCAGAAGAATGAGGGGTGGTGAGGGGCGCTCCAGGCAGGGTGGTGAGGTAGAGAGAAGAGAGGCCTTTGCATTTTGCGTATTCTGTTGGTGGAGGAAATGGTGAGCCATCAAGGGCTGCTGGCAGCCTCCCCCTAAACCAGCCCAGGAAATGCTGGAAGAGAGAGACTCAGAGCAAATATAGACCCACAGGGATGCCTGGAGCACAGACAGGGTCAGGTTCAGGTTGCTGGGGAGGCCATGGCACAGGTGGAGGACAGCTGGAAGCCTCCACGTGGTGCTGGCCCCCTCCTGCTCCCTGGGCTGAGCCAGCCCAAGGGGCACGCAACCTCTGAGCTGGCAGTGGCCGCTCTGCCCCTGGCTACAGCAGGTATCAGAGCAGGCAGTTCAGACCCAACACAAAACCCAAACATGCCTGCAGGAGCAGCTCCCAGTTGCGCCCAGCTCCTAAAGAACACACCTGTGCCATAGAAGACAGACAGAGCAGGACTTAGAACAAGTGACCAAAGTCCTCAGAGGACTTCGTCGTAAGGGAGCATGCAATGAACATGAGCTCAAAAGAAGCGGCTGTCATGACAAACCAGTTGGGGATGTTGGGTGTAAAAAACATAATTTATAGATAGAATAGAATTCATTAATATAATGTATGAAACTGTAATATAATTCTAAATAAATATAATTGTTGAAAGGGGCTAGAAGATTTTACCAAGGGACTCCCCAGAAAGCATCAGGAGGGTATAAGGAGGTGGGAGGCAGGTTGAGAGGTGAGGAAGGTGGAACAAGACGGCCCCTGCCCGTCTCCAAGGAGTCCTGGGAAGAAAGGAAGAATACCGGGTAGGAGAATATATTTGAAGAAGGGTTGGCAGAGAATTTCCAAGAACTAAATACAGACACAAGACTTTAGATGGAAGTGTTCACAGAGTGGCAAGCACACACACCAGAAAAATTAGAATCACAGAGGGAAAAACAGTTACAGAGATACAAGAGTGAGTCTGACCTCAGAGTTCTCAAGGCCCGACAGAAGGCAGGAGACCAAGTCACCAGGTCAGTGGGGAGCATGGACAGGAGGTGTGAAGTGGGCATAGCTAAATAACGAGAAGGATCGAATTGGAATTTCAGCCCAATATACCATTAGTGTACACCACTAACACCCACATAAATGATGCTTTGTATTTTTCTTATCTACAAATACATGGAAATACAGCTGACCCTTAAACAATGTGGGGGCTAGGGGCACTGAACCCCCTCACAGTTGAAAATTTGCATATAACTTTTGACCTCCTCAAAACGTAACTATTAATAGTCTACTGTTCACTGAAACCTTACTAATAACACATACAGTCAATGAACACATGTTTTGTAGGTTATATGTATTATATTCTGTATTCTTTTTTATTTTATTTTTTGTTGTTTACCCACACTACACAGATGTATCACATGCTATATTCTTCAATGAAGTAGGCTAGAGAAAAGAAAGTGGTATTGAGAAAATAATAAGCCAGAGAAATTTATTTACTCATTAAGTGGAAGTGGAGCATTGTAAAGGTCTTCATCCTCATCTTAAGCAGGCTGAGGAGGAGGAGGAGGAAGGGAAGGGGTTGGTCTTGCTTTCTCAGGGGTGTCAGAGGCAGAAGAAAATCTGTGTGTAACTGGATGTGTGTGGTTCAAACCCATGTTGTTCAAGGGTCAGCTGTAAGTAAGTAAGTGGCATGTGGCCTGGAGAGGTACCACATATATGGGGAGGCTGCTGATGTTAAGTGTGTGAGGAAGGAGATAGGGACACGGGAGAAGGGGTTAGACCAACACAACAGTATCAGGGGCTGAAGTGGGGCCCTCACAGACAGATGAAAAGGAGGGGGAAGGGAGGCACCCTGCCAACTGGGGACCACATAGCTTTGTGCATCTGAAAGCCACTGAAAACAGGGAAATTTTATCACCTCTAGACCTGTAGGGAGGGAAAGGAAATAAGGAAACACAGTCCACTGGGGACCAAGAAAAAAGTGGTGGAAAGAAAATAAGATGGTAAAAGTCATTCAAAATATCCTTAAGACAGTAAAATGTAATGATGTTACAGGACCACCAGGTTCCTACACCTGCTGCGCAGTTACAGACCAATGCACCAAGACAGCAGGCTTTGCAGCAGAGAAAGAGTTTCCTGATCTCAGGGCAGCTGAGTGAGGAGGCAGGAGGGACCCTCACTTCATCTCTCTGAGGAGTTTTGGGCTGGAGTTTTTAAAGGATCGTGGAGGTCAAGGGGTGGAAAATTGGGGCCACTGATTGGTGGGGCTAAAGAGGATGCAATCATCGGGGTGTGGACACTGTATGTTCTGGTGAGTCAGCTGCTTGTGGGGTCCCTCAGACCAGATGGAATCAGCTGTTTGATTGGTATGCAGGACCTAGAAGGATATCTCAAGTGGACAACTTAACACTTCACAATGTTCAAGTTGCTATCTATAGAGGATAGTTGTTATCTATCTGAACTTAGGGGAACTGGGGCCTTGTAACGGATTACAAGGTGATTCTGAGGCAGTATGCATGGAATGGTAGTGAGGAAGGGTCAGAGAGCAAGCTGGCCTAGAAGCCAACACTCAGGACACTGCAAGCTTGGTTTATTTTCCTTTCTCTCCCTCCCTTCTTTCCTAATTAATTTTATAAAACGTATAGGGATGGATTCAATAAGATTAAACTCATCTATTCGAAACATGGATTCTCAGGCTGTGTTTTTTTACATTTTTGTTTTGTTTTGTTTTGTTTTTAAAGCAAGCTATCTGCTATGAAGTGTTAACAGAAAGGAAGTGGGTGTGGGAAGCGACCAGTAAGGCAGGGAGAGGTGCATGGGGTGGGGTGGAGGGCAGTACCAGGTAACTTGGAAGGAGGTCATGCACCTGGAAGATGCAGCCACCAGCCTCAGTGAGACAACAGCAAACCTAGCATGTCCCCAGGCATGGTGGGAACTTTGAACATACCTCACTCTAAAATTTGCATCAAACAGAATAAAAATCATGAAAATAAATAGATCTGAAATACAGATTTTAAGTTTGGGCTGCTGGGCAGATACAGAATCCTGTACCCCATGCGCCGGGCATTAACATTTTTTCCAGCACAGATGGAACATTTATAATACTGACCATGAAGGTGGCCACAAAGGAGGCTTCAACAAATAGCAGAGATGATAAGCAGGACATGCTCTCTAATCACAATGCAATAATGTTAGAAGTCAATCACAGGAAGACTGCCTTGAGCCCAGTTACATCTGGAAAACACAATAACTCACGGGCCCGAGGAAAAACGGTAATGGAAAATACAAAAGATATAAACCAAGCAATGATAGAAGCAGCATATATTGACTCTCATGGGATGCAGGTAAAATGGCACTAGAGGGAAATTTATAACCTTAAGTGCTGTGTTAGAGAACAAGATAGAAGGCAAATTAATGAGCTCTGCGTTCAACAGCAGATGTTAGGAAAAGAGGCACAGAACAGGCTCAGGGAAGAGGCCGAAGGCAGAGCCGGGCTGGAGAAGGAGAGCTCAGGGAGGCTAAGAGCAGTGGCCTGGGGAAGGGGCCTGGGGCCGTGGGTCAAGGATGGAGTCCTGTTGGGAGTGTGGGGAGTGGGTCAGGGATGCTGGATTCAGCATTTGAGGATGGGCTGTGCTGTGTGGATGAACCATCAAGATAGACATCAGGCCCCCCAGAATTTGGCAAGACTGGAGGTAGAGCCAAGTGAATCCACGCCAGAGTCCTGGATTACTATGGGCCATGGCAGTGGTGTGGAGAGACCACTCAGACCTAATGAGCCTGCAAGACTGTGGGTTCCGTCTGCTTACAGGGGAGAGCTGGGATTTAAGGGAACAAAAGCCTTGGGGAAAGGGAGCGGGCTGCTCAGGGGAAGTGGATATCAGTGAAAGCCAGGTTTTGTTTAAGGTGAGATGTCCGTGCAAGTTGAGTGGAGGGGTCATGGGGCACCTGTTTCTCTGAGTCCCCAGGGGGCAGGGAGAGGGATGGGTTAGGGCTGGGTGGGGACCAGGGTGGCTGGTGGTGGTGGTTATACCCAAGCACAGCAGGGTTGAGACTGACAAGCTCATCCAGCTTCTGAATCCTGATGGAGGCCCCAGAGCCTGGTGCCCTGGGGACTCTGCGGAGGGTGGTGCAGGAGCACGGCCCTCAGGTGCTGGGAGTGAGGTGAGCAGGGTCACCCCACACCTGGCCTGCCCCTCCTCCCTTGAAACCAGCGGTGTGTCTGAGCACTGGGCCTGAAAGCATGGCATCTGGAGGCCCAAGGCTAATGCCCATGGCCTCCTCTGCCTGCTCTGCTTGTCCAGGGGCTGAGCTGTCCTGGTCTCTCCCTCTGCTCCTTCATGCAGAGGTCTTCAGAGCACCCTAATGTGTCCAATCAAGGCCAGGCTTGTTGGTGAGACACTCTCGGTCCCCAGCTCCATGCTAGATGTCTCCACCCTCAAAGGACCCAGCATCTCATGACTTCATGTCCCACTAGCAGTCCCTGTGCCCAGTTCACCCATCCCCACTGACCACCAATGTTTGATTTTTCCTTCAGAAGCATGTGAGGAAATGGATTGTTGATTAGCCTGATTCAATCATTCTACATTGTAAACATATCAAAGCATCACCTTGTATCCCATAAATGTATACAATTATTATTTGTCAATAAAAAATAAAATTAAAAAAGATTCAGTTCCCAGCTGCCTCCTCCAGGAAGCGTGCAGCACTCTCCCTTGCTGAGGACCAACTTTACACCAGTTCTTACCCTGGACCCTGCAGAGGGCAGAGGGCACTTGGGCTGCCCATCAGGGACACATCCATGCCTCTCTAGCTTTCTAGGAAGCTTCCTGTCTCAGCCCAGGACTTTGGGAAGGTGGAGGTAGTCACCTCCTACAGTCAGGACAGCTGCAGTTCAGAGGGAAGAGGCACAAAGTCCTCAGGTTGAAGTTACCCAGCTGGAATTTCCTTTCTCCCACTGAAAGAGGATGGTGATATTTGGGACTCAGGGTTGATGTCACCATGGGAGGTCTACTGGGACAGATGCTGGGATGTTGAGCTCATGCCTGCAGCTGTACACAGTGGGCAGTGTGGCTGTGGCTCTGGGCACCTCTTTCCTTGGTGCCAGATGTGCTGCCTGGCCCTGTATGTAGGAGGCTGGACCTGCTGGGCCTTGTGGCAGGGCCTCAGGGTCCTTCTGGTCACCTCTTCCTCCCTGCAGGTGCCTCTGCTTTTGAGAAACTCAAAGCCAAGGACAGGTCACTGGATGTGCTGGGGGCACCAGGACTGGTGGGGTAGGGGGTCCTTGGTGCCAAGTTCACCCCAACCTCAGCAGGGAGAAGGGGCTTTGGAAAGGCCCTGGCCCAGGGAGGGGGCGGCCAAGCAGGCCTGGCTGGGGAGGCCCAGGCATTGCAGTTGGGCCAGGGGCCCGTGTGAGGGAGGCAGCCTCCCCTTCTCTAGGATGGGGCCAGTGCCCAGCTCTGCGAGACCCGTGTCCTGCACCCCACACCCCAGTGGAGCACAGCATGAGGCCCTCAGGCCCGATCCCGTGGTTGCTGGTTCTGCGAGGAGATTTTGAATCCCCACTAGATTGTCTTAAGGTTCATAGGCATTTTTGGGTTTTCTATGTCTTTTTCAGACACGTTCCAAGTTTGGTCTCTTCAGGTTACTGTCTGTTTTGTCAGTTATTGGCAGAATAATGTTGTATAGTAATTTGTAAAATGTCTGTTATATTTAAAGTTATGTCTCCATTTGATTTATTGTGTTATATGCTGTGCCATCCCTCTTTTCATTTTCTTGGTCAATTATTCTAGAGGTTGGTTTACTTTTATTAGTATTTTCAAAGAATCACCATTTTAATTTTGTTGACCCTTTCTTTTTTTAATTTTTAATTTTCGTGGGTACATTTTAGTAGGTGTATATATTTATGGGGTATGTGAGATATTTTGATACAGGCATGCAGTACACAATAATCACATCGGCTGGGTGTGGTGGTTCACGCTTGTAATCCCAGCACTTTGGGAGGTCGAGGCAGGTGGATCACAAAGTCAGGAGTTTGAGACCAGCTTGGTCAACATGGTGAAACACCGTCTCTACTAAAAATACAAAAAATTAGCTGGGCATGGTGGTGGGCACCTGTAATCCCAGCTACTTGGGAGGCTGAGGCAGGAGAATCACTTGAACCCAGGAGGCAGAGGTTGCAGTGAGCCGAGATTGTGCCACTGCACTCCAACCTGGGCAACAGTGCGAGACTCCATCTAAAAAATAAAAATAAAATCACATCAGGGTGAATGGGTTATTCATCCCCTCAAGCATTTATCCTTTGTGTTATAAACAATCCAATTATACTCTTAGTTATTTTTAAATATACAATTGAATTACTATTGACTACAGTCACCCTGTTGTACTAAATAGTAGGTCTTATTCATTCTTTCTAACTACTTTGTTTGTACCTATTTATCTTCATCATTTCTCTTACTCCCCTACTACCCTTCCCAGACTCTGGTGACCATCCTTCTACTCTCTTCCTCAATAAGTTCAAGTGTTTTAATTTTCAGCTTCCACAAATAAGTGAGAACATGTGAAGTTTGTCTTTCTGTGCCTGGCTTACTTCACTTAACATAATGACCTCCAGTTCCATCCATGTTGTTGCAAATGACAGGATCTCATTCTTTTTTATGGCTGAACAGTACTCCATTGTGTACATGTACTACATTTGCTTTATCCATTCATCTGTTGACGGACACTTAGGTTGCTTCCAAATCTTGGCTATTGTGAACAGTGCTGAAAACACAGGAATGCGGCTATCTCTTTTGATATACTAATTTTCTTTCTTTTGGGTATATACCTAGCAGTGGGATTCCTGGATTGTATGGTAACTCTATTTTTAGTTTTTTGAGGAACCTCCAAACTGTTCTCTATAGTGATTGTACTAATTTATATTCCCATCAAAAGTAGACAAGGGTTCTGTTTTCTTCACATTCTTGCCAGCATTTGTTATTGCCTGTCTTTTGGATAAAAGCCATTTTAACTGGGGTGAGATGATATCTCGTTGTAGCTTTGATTTGAATTTCTCTGAGATCAATGATGTTGACTCCTTTTCATATGCTGTTTTGCCATTTGTATGTCTTCTTTTGAGAAATGCCTATTCAAATCTATGCTGAGACACCTGGAGCTGGAGGTGGGATGACACAAGCACCCCTGTGGCTGCCACCACTAGGATTGTGCTGGGCCAAACCTGAAACCAGCACAGCACTGGGTCTCACCCAGGGCCCATTGTAACCACTACCTGGCTATTACCTATGTTTGCTTAAGGCCCTAGAGCTCTGCAATCAGTAGGGGTGAAGCCAGCCAGGCTTGTGTCCTTCCCTTCAGGATGGCAAGTTCCCCCAAGCCCTGGACAGGTCTAGATACACTGTCTGGGAGCCAGTGACTGGAGTCAAGAACCTTAGAAATCTGCTTGATGCTTTATTCTACTGCAGGTAAGCCAGCACTCAAATCACAAGACAAAGTCCTCACTTTTCTCTCTGCTTTCCACAGAAAGAGGAGCCTCTCCCATGGTCATGGCCACCACAGGCCTACATGGGATACTGCCAGGCTACCACCAATGTTCACTTTAAGCCCAAGCGCCCTTCAGTCAGCTTATGGTCAATGCTGCCAGGCCTGGTAGTCACCCTTCAGGGCAGTGGGCTCCCCTCTGGCCCAAGGCAGGTCCAGAAATGTCATCCAAGAGCCAAGGCCTTTGGAATCAGGGATCCCAGGAGCCTGCTTGGTGCTCTGCTCCACTGAACTGAGCTGGTACATAAGGTGCAAGACTAAGTCCCCTTTACTTTCCCCTCTGCTTTTCTCAAGCAGAAGCAGTCTCTTACCATAACCACCATAGCTGGGAATGTGCTGGTTCTCCCCTGAAGCCAGCATGTCTCAGAGTCTCACCCAAGGCACATGGCATACTACCTGGATATCACTACTGGTTCTTCAGGACCCAAGGGCTCTTTAGTCAGCAGGTGATGAATCCTGCCAGGACTCGGTCCTTCCCTTCAAGGCAGTGGGTTCCTTTCTGGCCCAAGGTGTGTCTAGAAATGTCATCCAAGAGCTAGGGCTCAAAATGAGGGCCTTATGACCCTGAACAGTGCCCTATTCTGTGGCTGAGCTGGTATCCAAGACACAAGACAAAGTTCTCTTTAGTTCCCTCTCCCCTCCTTAAGTGGAGGAAAGAAGTCGCTTTCGTTGCTGTGAGCTGTGCTGCCTAGGGCTGAGGGAAAAATAGCACAAGCATGCCCTCAGCCAGCCCAGCTGGTGCCTCACTAGGTCACATGCCTCCCACATCCACTGGCTCTGAGCCCAGCACGGCACTAGGACTTGCCTGGGAATTGCAGTCCTTGTGGCCTAGATTGACTTTCAAGTCTATTTAGGACCCCAGAGCCTTTGAGCCCACAGTGGTGGGGCTTGCAAAAACTTATGTTCCAACCATTGGGATGGATGATGATGCCCCTCTGTCTAGGGCTGGTCTAAATGCTTCCTCTGTGGGTGGGTGTCAAGCAAGTTTAGCCTGGTTTTTCTTTCTGCTCTGACAGAGCAGCACAGAGTTCAATGCAGGGTCCCATAATCACTGCACTCTCCTTCCTCCAGTGCACAGATTTTCCATGCCACAGGACCACTACTGGGGAGTGGAGGAGGGGTGGCTTCAGGGATTCAAGACTGTGTTTTCTACCTTCCTCGGTGCCTCTTTCAGCGATAGGAAGTTAAAACCAGGTACTGTGGTTGCTCACCTGATTGTTGGCTCTTATGAAGGCTTTTTTTTGTGTATGTAGATAGTAGTTAAATTTGGTGTTCCTGCAGTGGGGGCGATAGGTGAAATTTCTATTCAGCCATCTTGCTCTGCTCTCCCTTGACCCTTTCTGTTTTATCTTTATTTTTCCATTTCATTAATTTTTGCTCAAATCTTGTGCATTTCTATCTGCAAGCTTATTTCTAAACTTTTATTAATGTCTTCATCTGGGCTCCGAATAGCCTTTCTTAATAGGTAAAGATTATAAATTCCTGTAGGGTGTTCTAGTGGCAGCCCTCAATTTTTGATATGTATTATTTTATCAGTGTTGAGTTACAAGCAGTTGCATAGTATGAAGTCTTATGTGTCTCACTTTTTGCACTCAATATTTTGTTTGTGAGATGTTACATGTAGCCATAATTTATTTATTCTCAGATATTATACATAATCTTTCATAAATGAATATGTCACCATTTTTCCATCTCTCTGTTTGTGGATATCTGGCTTGTTTCCAATCTTTGGATATTATGAATAATGCTGCTGTGACCATCCTTGTACACAACTCTTGAGGTACATGTCCATACATTCATGTTGATTATGTATCTAGGAATGAAATCTCTGGGGCATAGGATATGCTTATGTTAAATTCTATTCCATGATGCCAACTGTTTTCCAAATTATTTGTACAACATGCACTTTCTCCAGCAGTGTGTGAGTACCTACTTCTCCTCCAGTCTTGCCAATGCTTACTATTGTCAGTTTTTAAAGTTTTAGCCATTTGGCAGATGTATAATGGCGGCTCAAAGAGGTGTGAATTTACATTTTCCTGACTACTAATGTGGTTAAACAATTTTGTATGTGTGTATGAATTCCCTGCTGCTATGGTTTGAATGTCCCCTCTAAAACTCATGTGGAAACTTAATCCCCAATGTGGCAGTATTGAGAGGTGGGGGCCTTTAAGAGGTGATTGCATCATGAGGGCTCTGCTCCTAATTCATTCATGGATTAATGGGTTAGTGAATTAATACATTATCATGAGAGGCAAACAGGTGGCTTTATAAGAAGAGGAAGAGAGATCTGAGCTAGCACACTAGCATGCTCAGCCCCCTTGCCATGTGACACCTTGAGCCACCTTGGGACTCTGCACAGAGTCCCCACCAGCAGGAAAGCTCTCATCAGATGTGACCCCTTGACTTTGGACTTCTCAGACTCCATAACTGTAATAATTAAATTCCTTTTCTTTATACATTGCCCTTCTTTGGGTAAGTCCTAGTTCAGGTCCTCCATATTCTTAATTATTTTCTGTCTACTAGTTCTAACAGTTGCTGAGAGGGAGATGTTGAAGTCTCCAACTATAATTATGAATTTGTCTCTCCTTTCAGCTCTGTCAATGTTTGTTTCATGTATTTTGAGGCACTGCTTTTGGTGCATATGCCTTTAGAATTGTTATGACTTCCTGGTGGATTTAATTATGGGTATGTTAGAGCTTAAGACTACCATTTTGTTATTTGTTTTCTGTTTGTTTCCTCTGGTTATCATTCCTTTTTCTCTTTTATTGTTACTTGAATACTTCTTAGTATTTCATTTTGACTTATTTATAGTGTTTTTGAGTGTATTTCTTCATAGAGTTTTTATTTTGGTTATTTCAATAGACATATGTGACTTATCGCAGTCTGCTGGTATCAATGTTTTGCCACCTTGAAGGACATGTGGAAACCTTTCTTCCATTTAGGTCCCTTATCTTTCTTTCTTTCTTCCTTTTTTTTTTTTTTTTTTTTGAGACAGAGTCTCACTCTGTCGCCCAGGCTGCAGTGCAATGAAGCGAACTTCCGCATCCTAGGTTCAAACAATTCTCCTGCCTCAGCCTCCCGAGTAGCTGGAATTACAGGCATTCGCTACTACCCCCAGCTAACTTTTTGTATTTTTAGTAGAGATGGTATTTCACTATGTTGGCCAGGCTGGTCTTGAACTCCTGACCTCAGGTGATCCACCTGCCTCGCCCTCCCAGAGTGCTGGGATTACAGGCATGAGCCACCGTGCCTGGCCCCTTTCACAATGTTATCTTGAGCATCAAATAATGCTATAATTTTTGTTTTGATCTTCAGATTCTTAAAATAAAACTCACATGAGAAACAATGGTCTATGGTTTGTACTCATATGCTTCGTTTTTATGTTGTTCTTTCTTATGCTCCATGGCTCCTTCTTTTATTATTTCCTTCCTGCTGAAGGTCTTCCTTTAGTCAATTTTTAAGGATAGGTCTGAAATTAACAAATTCTTCTAGCTTTCCTTCATCTGAGAATGTCTTTAGTGCCCCTTCATTTTGGTAAAATAGTCTTGCCAGATAGAGATTGTGGTTGACAGTTCTTTTCTTTCAGCACCTGAAAAATGTTGTACCAGTTCCTTCTGGCCTTAAATATAAAAAAGATTTATTATGACAATATATCTTTTATAAGAGGTTATATCACCCATGGTTTCAAATAAGAAATCCACTGTCAAACCAAACACCGCATATTCTCACTCACAGGTGGGAATTGAACAATGAGAACACATGGACACAGGAAGGGGAACATCACACTCTGGGGACTGTTGTGGGGTGGGGGGAGGAGGGAGGGATAGCATTGGGAGATATACCTAATTCTAGATGATGAGTTAGTGGGTGCAGCACACCAGCATGGCACATGTATACATATGTAACTAACCTGCACATTGTGCACATGTACCCTAAAACTTAAAGTATAATAATAATAATAATAAAAAGAAAGAGTAAAAAAAAAGAAAAAGAAAAAAAAGAAATCCACTGTCATTCAAATGGCACTTGTAGGTAAAATGACATTTTTTTTTCTGGTTGTTTTCAATATTATTGTCTTTAGTTTTAATAAGCTCAATTATGATGTGTCTTCATTATTACATATGTATAGATGACCTGTTGGCCCTGTTTCTCTGGAGAACCCTGACTCTTACATGGTCTATGAGCCTAGAATATTTTGTTGTGCCAGAAAGTATAGGAGTCCTAGAAAACTGATTAGGGCAAAACAAAGGACCCAGGATCCAGCTTGATGAGGCTCCCACTGGCCAGATCTGAGATAATCTGAGCATAAAAATGAATAATGACAGGATTGTAACCCGGTGACTAAGAACAGGATACATGCTATCATTTTAAGTTATAAAATGAATGAATGAACATTCTTTTTTACAAGGAATGGTGTGGAATTAGAAAACCACCATTTTGTAGCCACCATTGGAATAATTGATTCAGGCAGAAAACATCAATGGATGTTCAAATCATTAGATGGAAGTTAAATGAGAAATAGATTTATTTATATGAATTACTTTTTAATTTTAAAGGGGAAAAAAAGATACCATTACAATGGGAAAATCTGGCAGATACTACCATGATATTGAATGAAGGTTAGTAACATGAGTAACAAGACAAACCAGCATCATGTTGATGTCCTGAGAAGAATACAGCACCATTCCTGCCAGAAATGCATGGCCCAAATCTAATCACAAAGGAACATCAAACTCAAGTAAAACACATTGTACGGAACAGTGGCCTGCACTCTTCAACGATGTCAAAAATCAATGTTAAATTAGATAATTATATTATGGTTATATAAGAGAATGTCCTTGTTTTGAGACACAGGCTGAAATGTTTGGAAATGGTTGTGATATCTGCAAGGTATTCTTAAATGTTACAAAGAGAGAGAGAGCGCGCGCACAATAGAGCATAGGCAGGACAAAAATGTTACCTGATGACTCCAGGCAAAGTGTTTTTGGAGGTGGACTGTGTTACTCCTAAAACCAAGTGTGTTCTGCCAGCTCAGGGATTCTGGGCTGCTTGGATTTTTGAAACAAACACACACTCATCAGAGGGCTGTAAACAGTGCAGGTGATGCCTGAACACAGCTGACTGCTATCTTGGTTTAAAAATGCAGACTCTGGAGCTGGATGGTTGAATCTCTATTACACCCCCAATTTGTGTGATCTTGGTCAAGTTCATTGACTTCTTTAGGCTTCAGTTCCCTCATCTGTAAAACAGTATGAGAATAGTCGCTGTGTTCTAAGATTGCTTTGAAGATTAACATGAGTCGGTAATATCTATAATGCTTATAAGGGTGCCTGGCACACAGTAACGATGAATAAATGCTAATTATTGTATTTACTATTAGTAGTAATTGGACAGGCAGCAAAGAAGATCCTTCAACTTTCTGTCTCTTAATGGTCTGAAACTTCCATCTGTTACTATTTAAAAGAATTTGGGTAAGTCCTCGTACAGAAAATGAGTCTTTCTTAATTTCGGAATGATGGTAAAACATTGGGTTTTAGTCCCACCAGTATTTTCTACCTGGAAAGGAACTGAGCCAGCTGGGTGGGCAGTACAGAAATGGAAGGAGGGAGTAGGGAACTGATCCTGCTTGCAAAGACAAAAGAACAAGGAGACCCTGGGGAATGCAGAACCTGGCACCATTTTTCTTCAACTACCATGAAAATAGACAGACTGCCTGATACGGTTTGGCTGTATCCCCACCCAAATCTCAACTTGGATTGTGTCTCCCAGAATTCCCACTTGTTGTAGGGGGGACCGAGGGGAAGGTAATTGAATCATGGGGGCTGGTCTTTCCCATGATAGTGAATAAGTCTCATGAGATCTGATGGGTTTATCAGGGGTTTCCACTTTTGCTTCTTCCTCATTTTCTCTTGCCACCACCACGTAAGAAGTACCTTTCACCTCCCACCATGATTCTGAGGACTCCCCAGCCATGTGGAAGTGCAAGTCCAATTAAACCTCTTTTTCTTCCCAGTCCCAGGTATGTCTTTATCAGCAGTGTGAAAACAGACCAATACACTGCCTGACACTCTTTGATGAATAGTTTTTGCGTCAAAGAGTAAATTGGGAGTAAAATAACAGAAGATAAAAACAAAATATTTTGGAACCAAAAGAAGAATGCCTAAGCTATGCTCAGTAGTACATTCATAGTTTTAAATGGCCTTAAAATTTAAAAGAGAGAGTTTCATGAACCATTATGCTTATATCTTGGTTCTTCCAAAGTGCTGCTAAAGTCTTAGCCTGCTGCAATGAGTACCTGGGCAGGTATGTGAAATACTCCACCTTGGTAGAGATAACAGAAACATAACCTTGACCTTCCCATTAAAACTAAAGGGAAAATTCGACTGAAGTTTTCAAGTAGTACCCTTAAGGAATCACACATAGAAGGTACTCAATAAATATTATAGCTTGAATAAATAAAACAATGCCACTGAGAGCCTCAAGGGTCTGGAGTACTCTCAGATAACTGGCGTATTAGTTAGATGTTGCTCTGTAACAAACCACTTCAAAACTTAGAAGTTACCCAGCTGGAAATTTCCTTTCTCCCACTGAAGATGGGAGCCTATTTTAGGGGCCTAAAATAGTAACCTTTTATTATTTCTCATGAGTCCACAGGACGATGGGGCACTTCTGCTACTCTGGGCTGGATGTGGCTGATCTTAACTGGCTCATCAGTGATCAGCCAGTGGATTGGCTGGGCCTGGCTCATCTCAGATGACTTCAGCCCTCCTTCCCATGTCCTGCACATCCCTTCAGCAGGCTAAGCTGGGCTTGTTCTTATGGCAGTGCCAGAGGTCCAAGAAATGAGTGAAAATGCACATGTGCTTTTCCAAGCCTCTGATCCCATCCTGCTGGCCAAAGCATGTCACAGCATCAAGCCCAACATCATTTTGGGAGGGCCCTACTTAAACGAATGGCGAGAGTGATATATGAAAAATTGGGCCAATTTCTGCATGAATCCTCTATGATTGGGAATCACGTAGATAAGTGTTTTGGGACAGTTCATCCAAATGACAGACATAAAATAATGAAATGTGAAATGACAGACATAAAATAATGAAATGCGTGGCCATCTCCTTACCACAGTTGATTCTAACCCAGTTGTTGAATTATTTGCCATACCTCACTCAGTTCAGCATGGCTATCAGTATGATGCACCCTTCTATGTCTCTGAGGATTTATAAGAGATCTAAATTTTTTAAAAAGAAAGAAACTGGACTGCCATCCAACAGTTCACAAAAATCAATTTCAGATATATCAAAGACCCAGAGGTAAAAAGCAAAATTTCAAAGCTTTCAAAATTAAATGGGGGTGGGGGAATCTCTTAATATCCTTAGAGTAGAAAAAATTCTTTAAAAAGACACAAAATGCACTATCTATATAGGACGCATTTTCAAATCTAGCCATATTGAAATTGATGATTTTTGTTAATCAAAAGTTACCTCAAAGGGAATGTTTTTAAAAGTCATGATATGAGATAAAATATTTGTAGCACATGTAACCAACAAGTGACTAGAACCTGGGTACATAAAGAACTCCTGTAAACAGTGTTGTGCTGGAAGATGTTTAACAACTGACTCTCAGGCCCTAAAAGTCCTTATTTTTAGCATTTGCTTGTTTCCAGGATATAAACACTTCCATGTGGCCAATTTCAAGCCACTAAGGTAAGGTCACCAAGCAGGGCCTTGGGGATAGATGGTCGCAGTTGGCTCTCACAAGGCAGGTATAAAGGCTGCAGCACAAAAGTCAACATGAAAAACAAAACAACCCAATGGGGGCCAGGCACAGTGGCTCAAGCCTATAATCCCAGCACTTTGGGAGGCCGAGGCGGGTGGATCACCTGAGGTCCGGAGCTTGAGACTAGCCTGACCAACATGGAGAAACCTCATCTCTACTAAAAATACAAAATTAGCCAGCGTGATGGTGCATGCCTGTAGTCCCAGCTACTTGGGAGGCTGAGGAAGGAGAATCGCTTGAGCCTGGGAGGCAGAGGTTGTGGTGAGCCGAGATCACGCCATTGCACTCCAGCCTGGGTGACAAGAGCAAAACTCTGAGGGAAAAAAAAACCAATAGGAAAAGTGCAAAAGACTTCAGAAGGCTTTTATGAGGGCTGTCTTAGTTCATTTGTGTTGCTGTGAAGAGATACTTGAGTGTGGGTGGTTTATAAGGAAAAGAGTTGTATTTGGCTCAACGTTCTGTAGGCTGTGCAAGAAGCATGGAGCTGGCATTAGGCAAGGGCCTCACGCTGCTTCCACTCATGGCAGAAGGGCAAGGGAGCCCATGTGTGGAGATCACTCGGCAAGAGAGAAAGGCAAGGAGGTGCCAGGCTCTCTCTAACAAGCAGGAACGAATAGAGTGAGAACTCACACTCCTTCCCCATGGAGGGCATTAAAGTATTCATGAGGGATCCGCCCCCATGACCCAAACACCTCCCATTAGGCCCCACCTCCAACACTGGGAATCAAATTTCAACATGAGATTTGGAGGAGAAAAACAGACAATATCAAACTATAGCAGGGGCATAAAAGAAAACCTAAATGGACAATAAAAACCTGAAAAGATGCTCAATCTTGTAACTGATGAGGGAAATGCAAATTAAAGCCACAATCAGATACATTTCACACCCTCCAGATTGACAGAAGTTAAAAAGTTTGTCAGTTTGGGGTTGGTGATTCGGAGCTGTGGAAGCTCTCACCCACGGCTGGCGGAGCCTGTGCTAGTACAAACCACTGTGAGAAGCAGTTTGGCATTTCCTAGAAGAGGTGACTGTGCACACCCTACAACCAGCACTTTCATTCCTGTAAATGTAAACGTGCCCTAGGGAAACTCTTGCCCATGCACCCCGCAGGACACACAGGGTTCGCGGGAGGACCATTAGCAATGGGAAAAAATGAAAACAACCCATGTGCCCATCAGCAACAAAATAAACTATAATCTCTGTATATGATGGAATACAATTTCACAGCAGTAAAACTAATGAATTGTGGCTACAGGTATCAATATGGACAAATCCCAAGAACTTCATGGAGAGAGAGAGAATCACAAAAGAATAAACGTCACATAACTGCAATACTATAAAGTTCCTTATCTATACTAACAAAGACAGGGGTGTTTATCAGCAAACTCAATTTGGTGGTTGGAGAGAGGGGCAGGAGAGCAAGAGGGGTATGATCTGAGCGTGGGGCAGGAAGAGGGGCTAATCCATGCGACTGGAAATAGTTCGTTCTCAAACTGGGTGTGAGTGTGGAGGTGCTCACTGCATTGTTGCTGCTGAGACATACGCTTGCATTGGATAGATTCTTCCACGTGTGTATTTCAAATTTGGCTTCATCACAAGGCTTGTGGGGGAGTGACAAAGCAGTGTATTAAGTGTGACAGCTGAGGAAAGCCCCAGCAGCAGGGGACAGAGAGAGGGGCACATGTTGTCACCTGGAGGTGGGGTGGTTGCGGGAGAAACGTCCAGGCTACAAACCGAGTTGCGAATCACAGAGGGACTTAGGCCGGGAAGGGGCAGCACGGCGCCCTCCAGGCAGAGAAGCAGCCCCGCGGCCACCCTGATGCGGCGCGGACTCCTCCTGTCCAGTTCTCTGTCACACCTGCTGCCTGCCCCCTCGCCAACCCCTGCATACATGGCCCGCATATCAGAGGCGGACGAAGAAGCGGCCAGAACTTAGCCAGTCTTCCTTCTTCATCTTCCTTCCTCCTAGTAAAACACACACACACACACACACACACACACACACACACACACAAATGGGCATTAGCCTTTCCTCTGGTCGTGCCTCTATTTCAGCTTGAGATTTTCACCTTTCATCGCAAGGGTCTTCGCGGCAGAACGTGGCCGTCCCCACAGCCGTCGGGGGTTTCGGGTTGGATCCCGCGTTCGCTCCGCTGCTTGGCCTGCGCTTCAGCCTCTAGCGACCCAGCGGGGGCGCGACTTCCGAGCCGCCTCCGCCTCCCGCCTCTACCGCGGGGCCGGGGCGACCCCAGGTCTGCACGGCCGACCGCTGCGTCCAGAGAGATGGGGCCGAGCCTCCCTGCGGAGCAGAACCGTGGGACGGAGGGCGGTGGGCTCCGCAGGGAGGGGGCGCAGTCCGGGACAGACCCCAGCACAGGCTCCTTCCACCCTCCCGGGACAGCTCCGAAATCCCAGCCCTACGCCGGAGCTGCGGTTTGCAAAGCGCGGCTGGGCCTTAGGTCTTGCCCCCAGTTTCCTATGCCCTAGGACGTCCCCTTGGGGGCCAGCCACCCCCAGCCCGCGGAGGGAAGAGGGGCCCTTCCTTCGCGGACCGAGGGCGGCAGCCTGTGTGGGGATACCTGCGCAGGTGCAGCCCCGGTGAGAGCTCCTTACCAAGAAAGAGGGACATTCATTTCCCTCTCCAAGGTAGCAGCGTTGAAAGGCTTCTCCACAGCATTACTCAGTCCAACTAATGATGGGAAAAGGAGGGAAAAACGAGGGCGCCGAGCCGCAACCGCTTGCCTACCTCCACCTAAAACGCAAACACAGCCCGAGTCGCCAGTGACCCTGACTCAGGCGGCCGCGGGCGTTCCCCACGGCAGGACCTGGAGCCACACCCGGGCCCTCGGGGCTCCATGGCAGCGCGGCAGCGCCTCCTTCGCGGAGAAGCCCCACTGCCAGGAGAACCACTGCCGTCGGGAGACGACGTCTGTATTTGTAGGGAGTGAAAGGAGGCGCCGAGTCCCCCACGTTTCATCGCAGGGTCTTCGGGGCAGAATTCGGAGACACCTGTCACGATGGGAGCAGTCAGGGCTTTCCTGGTTTTGGGGCCTCTGGCTTAGGTGGGCTGGCAATGCCTCTCCTTTCATTCCTGATAAACATGCTGGGCCGGAGCACAGCGGCCATGGGGCTGTTTCTTGTGAGCCACGGCTAGTTCTAAACTGTACTGATTTGGACACCTGCCACCAGATGAGAAATTAGTAAAATGTGGTTACCAAGGGACTGCTTCTCTGCTCTAGCTGTGAACGGGGTCCTTAGCGGCCTGCATGCCCGCGCCTCTCCAGACTGAGACCAAAGACTTCCGCGCCACCGTCGGCAGCTCGCGAACTTAGACTTCAGACCGTCTGCCGCACTGCAATAAAGAGACCATGGTGGGGATACCTTTTAAATGATTTAAATGTGTCCTTCCTTCTGCAGCACACACACGTCCTCCTGAACTGGACACCTGGCCAGGCCAACGAAAAAGGAGAAGCTCTTTTGTAAGGTGGCAGGGACGCACCCCCTTAGCTAGAGACAGGCTTCTAGGTGGCTCGCCTTCTACTGGTAGAACATGTAGGGTTATCTGCTAAAGTGTGGGACCTGCTACATTGAAGCCAATCTTCTCTGAGCAGGACTCAATTTATTTTTTTCTTAATTGCAACACATGAAAATTTTAGGTCACCAAGAAACACTAGTCAAAGGGTTTCATTTTCTGTTTATGGCCTATTTATTACAATTCAGAAGAAAAATGACCAACTAGAAAAAAAATATGTAACACGTATCACGGACTGTCAAATGTCTTTTTTTTTTTAGACAAGGTCTCACTCTGTGACCAGGCTAGGGTGCAGCGGTGTGATCTTGGCTCACTGCAGCCTTGAACTCCCAGGCTTAAGCAATTCTCCCACCTCAGCCTTCTGAGTAGCTGGGACTATGGCATGCACCACCACACCTGGGTAATTTTTGTATTTTTTTGTAGAGACCAGGGTTTCGCCACGGGCCCAGGCTGGATTTTTTTCTTTATATGTAAGAAAACTTGGTGGAGACGGGGTTTCGCTGTGTTGGCCGGGCTGGTCTCCAGCTCCTAACTGCGAGTGATCTGCCAGCCTCGGCCTCCCAAGGTGCGGGGATTGCAGATGGAGTCTCGTTCACTCAGTGCTCAATGTTGCCCAAGCTGGAGTGCAGTGGCATGATCTCGGCTAGCTACAACCTCCACCTCCCAGCCACCTGCCTTGGCCTCCCAAAGTGCCGAGATTGCAGCCTCTGCCCTGCCGCCACCCCGTCTGGGAAGTGAGGAGCATCTCTGCCTGGCCGCCCATCGTCTGGGATGTGAGGAGCCCCTCTGCCCGGCTGCCCAGTCTGGGAAGTGAGGAGCGCCTCTTCCCGGGCGCCATCCCAACTAGGAAGTGAGGAGCGTCTCTGCCTGGCCGCCCATCGTCTGAGATGTAGGGAGCGCCTCTGCCCCATCTGGGATGTGAGGAGTGCCTCTGCCCGGCTGCGACCCCGTCTGGGAGGTGAGGAGTGTCTCTGCCCAGCAGCCCCGTCTGAGAAGCGAGGAGCCCCTCCGCCCAGCAGCCGCCCCATCTGAGAAGTGAGGAGCCCCTCCGCCCGGCAGCTGCCCCATCTGAGAAGTGAGGAGCGTCTCCGCCTGGCAGCCGCCCCGTCCGGGAGGGAGGTGGGGGGCAGACCCCTCCCGGCCAGCCTCCCCGTCCGGGAGGGAGTTGGGGGCCAGCCCCTGCCCGGCCAGCTGCCCTGTCCGGGAGGGAGGTGGGGGGCGCCTCTGCCCGGCTGCCCCTTCTGGGAAGTGAGGAGCCCCTCTGCCCGGCCGCCACCCTGTCTGGGAGGTGTACCCAACAGCTCATTGAGAACGGGCCATGATGATGATGGTGGTTTTGTGGAATAGAAAAGGGGGAAATGTGGGAAAAGATAGGGAAATCAGATTGTTGCTGTGTCTGTGTAGAAAGAAGTAGACATAGGAGACTCCATTTTGTTCTGTACTAAGAAAGATTCTTCTGCCTTGGGATGCTGTTGATCTATGACCTTGCTCCCAACCCTGTGCTCTCTGAAACATGTGCTGTGTCAACTCAGGGTTAAATGGATTAAGGGCAGTGCAAGATGTGCTTTGTTAAACAGATGCTTGAAGGCAGCATGCTCGTTAAGAGTCATCACCACTCCCTAATCTCAAGTACCCAGGGACACAAACACTGCAGAAGGCCGCAGGGTCCTCTGCCTAGGAAAACCAGAGACCTTTGTTCACTTATCTGCTGACCTTCCCTCCACTATTGTCCTATGACCCTGCCAAATCCCCTTCTGGGAGAAACACCCAAGAATGATCAATTAAAAAAAAAAAAAAGAAAACTTGGCAAAGGATATGGACAGACAGGAAATCCAGCTGGATCTTCAGCATATAAAAGATGCTCTACCACACTGGTAATAAGAAAACTATACTTTAAAACTACAAGATACTATTTTACAGTCTCAGATAGGCCAAGTTCAAAAATGAGGAGAGTGGCTCGTGTCTGGGAGGCTGTGGGGTCTGCGCGGTCACTCATTACTCTCCTTATGCCCCCTGGGGAGATGGCATGGCAGGCAGTTTACCTTCCAAAGGTAACAGTTCACACACTCTTTAACAAAGCAATTCTGCTCCTTTGTCCTACGGACTTGCTTGCATATGAAATGGCCTGCCAGTGAGAATGTGCACTGCAACGTGGTTTCCAGTAGCGAATATGAAACCAATCTACATCTCCATAAATAAGAGATGGGTGAGATAGTGATGCATTCACAGAACCATGAGTAGCCATGAAAAAAATGAGTGTCTTTATATGAACTAATATGCAGAGATCTCTAAGAAATATTATTAAAGGAAATGCAAGGTGCAGAACTGTGGGTACACCTACCACTAATGTAAAACACTAAAAAGCATTGTGTAAGGATATAAAAGAGGTTGCTCATAGTGTTCCTTCCAGGGAAAGAAAATGGGATGACTGTGGGAGAAGGGTTGGAGGAGATTTAACTTTCACTTTCAAACTTTTTGCTGTGTTCATACTTTGTCTATTCAAAAAAATTAACAAATAAAAATGCATTTAAAAATTAGAGGCCAGTATTACCTACAGTTTCCAGCCTTCTGTGTAAAAGCAGATGTATTCACATTCTCCAGAGAAACAGAACCACTAAGGTATCAATATTTCCATATCTCTATATCTGTCTATATATACAGATTTATTACAAGGAATTGGAGGTTGAGAAATCCAGACCCCAGGCAGCAAATAGTGGTATGTGACTTGCCTTCATCAACAGAAAATGCTGGAAGTGATGTTTTGGGGCTTACAATTCCAGTCTTTAGAGAATTGTTAGCTTCTGCTTCTCCTCTTCTAGAGTCCAGACAAGGTAAGGTGTTAAACTGTACTGAGACAGCCATGCTGTGAGGAAGCCCAAGTTATCCATATGGAGAGAGAGACAACATAAGGGAGCACTGAGGTTCTAGACTTGTGGGTGGAGACTTATTGGACCCTCTAGCCTAGCTCAGCTCCATATATGTAGTCCATGCCATGAGGTGGAGCAGAAGAGCTGCCCAGCCATGCCCTGCCCAAACTCTCAACCCACAGAATTGTGAGAAACAATAAATTGTTGTCTTAAACCACTAAATTTTGGAATGTTTTGTTGCATAGCAATAGGTTTGCCCCTAACATACTGGATGTCACAAGGTGACAATTCCTTTACAGGGACAGCTGAGTGACCATCCCATGGGAAACAAATATTTGCATTCCTTTATCATGTTACTGAGGCGACATCTAATTGTATCCTTCTTTTTACCTTACGTGAGACACTAATGGGTGGTTTTCTCCTTGATCTTTTACAGAAGCAAACACAGCATCAAACAGCAAGGGGCTTCTAATAGGGGATTTGCAGATGGCCAGCCTATCTCAGAATAGGACACAAAGATCTTGGGGTAC
This sequence comes from Homo sapiens, assembly GCF_000001405.40. Lineage (NCBI taxonomy): Eukaryota > Metazoa > Chordata > Mammalia > Primates > Hominidae > Homo > Homo sapiens. The sequence continues at coordinate 42,902,882 of NC_000010.11, forward strand.
CTTGTTTAGGATTCAGACAGTAGTCCCTGTGAATCCTATATACTTGCTATGAAAAGGAAAAATTGGCTTGTCAATTTGAGGTCAAAATGGTGGATAGGAGGCAGGACTAGCAGCTCCTACTCAGACAGAGCAGCACGTGGAGATTCACATCATGAACTACCTCAAGAACATACCAGGAAACCTGAGAGAATCCACAGACCCCTTGAAGGAGGTGGATTGCCACTGCAGGCTCCATGGGACAGCTGAGGAAACTGCCAGTCTGTTTGCTTTCTCACCTGGAAGGCTTGTAGCCTGGGGCAAGTTCTCAGCCCTGCTCACTGGCTGCCTGGAAATAAACTGAGTGCTGTTGGGGGACCACAGTGGGAGTGAGATCAGCCTTTTGGGCTGTGGGCTGCATGGCAGCTGGGTGACGCCTGTGGCTGCCAGCTTTCCCCCCCTTCCCTGGCAACCTGTGTGATGCAGCAGAAGCAGCTATAATCCCCTTGGTAACATAACTCCATTGGCCTGGGAACCACACCTCCACCCCCTAAAGCAGCAGTGGCAGGCCCCGCACAAGGAGAGTCTGAGCTCAGACATGCCTAACCCTGACCAGACCTGATGGTCTTTCTCTACCTGCCCTGGTAACAGAAGACAAAGGACATAATCTCTTGGGAACTCTATGGCCCTGCCTACCACCTGACCTTAGGGCAAGCTTGTATCCTCCCTATACTACTGCAGCTGATGTGCTCTTAAAAGCACCACCTCCTGGCTGGAGGCCAACCAAAACAAAACTAGCACCTTTTGTTGTTGTCATTGTTGTTGAGACAGAGTTTCCCTCTTGTTGCCCAGACTGGAGTGCAATGGCATGATCTCAGCTCACTGCAACCTCTGCCTCTCAGGTTCAAGCTATTCTCCTGCCTCAGCCTCCCAAAGTAGCTGGGATTACAGGTGCCCACCAACGTGCCCAGCTAATTTTTTTGTATTTTTAGTTGAGACGGGGTTTCACCATGTTGGCCAGGCTGGTCTTGAACGCCTGACCTCAGGTGATCCACCCGCCTCGGCCTCCTGAAGTCCTGGGATTACAGGTGTGAGCCACCACACCCAACCAAAACTAGCACACTTAATAAAAATACAACCAAGGACCCTCACAGAGTCCAGGCGCTGGTATCCACAGCTGAGAGACCTAAAGACGGATCACATCACAGGACTCTTTGCAGACACTCCTCAGTACCAGCCCAGAGGCTGGTAGCTCTTCTGGGTGGCTAGATCTAGAAGAGAAATACCAATCACTGCAATTTGGCTCTCAGGAAGTCCTATTCCAAGGGTGTGGGGGAGAGCACCACATCAAGGGAGAACCCTGTGGGACAAAGGAATCTAAACAGCAGCCCTTGAGTCCCAGATCTTCCCTCTGACATAGCCCACACAAATGAGAAGGAACTAGAAAAACAATTCTGGTAATACAACAAAACAATGTTCTTTAACACCCTCAAAAAATCACGCTAACTTACCAGCAATGGATCCAAACCAAAATGAAATCCCTGAACTGCCAGAAAAAGAATTCAGAAGGTCAATTGTTAAGCTAATCAAGGAGGCACCAGAGAAAGGTGAAGTCCTACTTAAAGAAATTTTAAAAAATGATATAGGATATGTGATAAACATCATAAAAAATGATATAGGATATATCATATAAGATATAGGATATATGACAGGTTTTCCTTCATACGTTACCTGATACTTTTGCCTCATAACTCTTAAGATTCTTTCCTTCATCTTGACTAGATAATGTGATGAATATGTGCCAAGGTAATGATCTTTTTGTGATGAATTTCCAAGGTTTTCTTTGAGCTTCTTGTATTTGGATGTCTAGGTCTCTAGAAAGGCCAGGGAAGTTTTCCTTGATTATTCCCTCAAATATGTTTTTTAAACTTTTAGATTTCTTTTCTTCCTCAGGAATATCAATTATTCTTATATTTTGTCACTTAACAAAGCAAGCACTAGTAGCTATTCTTACATCAGACAAAACAAACTTTAAAGCAGCGGCAGTTAAAAAAGACAAAGAGAGACATTATATAATGATGAACAGACTAGCCCAACAGGAAAATATCACAATACTAAATATATATTCACCTAACACAGGAGCTCCCAGATTTATAAAACAATTACTACTAGACCTAAGAAATGAGATAGACAGCAACACAATAATAGTGGGGGACTTCAATACTCCACAGACAGCACTAGTCAGGTCATCAAGACATAAGGTCAACAAAGAAACAATAGACTTAAACTATACCCTAGAACAAATGGACTTAACAGATATTTACAGAAGATTCTACCCAACAACTGCAGAATATAGATTCAATGCATCAGCACAGGGAACGTACTCCAAGACAGACCATATGATAGGCCACAAAACAAGTCTCAACAAATTTAAGAAAATAGAGATTATATCAAATACTCTCTCAGACCACAGTGGAATAAAATTGGAAATCAACTCTAAAAGGAACCCTCAAAACCATGCAAATACACAGAAATTAACCTGCTCCTGAATGATCTTTGGGTCAACAATGAAATCAAGATGAAAATTAACAAATTCATTGAACTCAACAATAATAGTGAAACAACCTATCAAAACTTCTGGGATACAGCAAACGCAGTGCTAAGAGGAAAGGTCAGAAGTTCAGAGTGTTAAATGCCTACATCAAAAATTCCGAAAAGGCACAAATAGACAATCTAAGGTCACACCTCGAGGAACTAGAGAAATAAGAACAAACCAAACCCCAACCCAGCAGAAGAAAAGAAATAACCAAGATAAGAGCAGTACTAAATGAAATTGAAACAACAACAACAGAAAAAATACAGAAGATAAATGGAACAAAAAGCTGGTTCAAAAGATAAATAAAATTGATAGACCATTAGTGAGATTAACCAACAAAAGAAGAGAGAAGATCTAAATAAGCTCAATCAGAAACGAAACAGGAGATATTACCACTGATACCACAGAAATATAAAAGATCCTTCAAGGGTACTATGAACACCTTTACACGCATAAACTAGAAAACCTAGATGAGATGAATACATTCCTGGAAATACACAACCCTCCTTGATTAAACCAGGAAGAAACAGAAACTCTGAACAGACCAATAACAAGGAGTGAGATTGAAATGGTATCTAAAAAGTTACCAACAAAAAAAAAAGGTCTACGACCAGACGAATTCACAACTGAATATATATCAGACATTCCAAGAAGAATTGGTACCAATCCTATTGACACTATTCCAAAAGACAGAGAAAGAGGGAATCCTTCCTAAATCATTCCATGAATCCAGTATCACCCTAATACCAAAACCAGGAAAGGAAATAACAAAAAAAAGAAAACTACAGATCAATATCCCTGATGAACATAGATGCGAAAATCCTCAACAAAATACTAGCTAACAGAATCCAACAGCATATCAAAAAGATAATCCACCATGATCAAGTGGGTTTCATACTAGGGATGTAGGGATGGTTTAATATATGCAAGTCAATAAATGTGATACACCACATAAACAGAATTAAAAACAAAAACCACATGATCATCTCAATACACACAGAAAAAACATTTGACAAAATCCAGCATCTGATTAAATGCTCAAATGATTAAAACCCTCAGCAAAATTCGCATACAAAGGACATACCTCACTGTAATAAAATAAAATATTATCACTGTAATAAAAGCCATCTATGACAAATCCACAGCAAACATAATACTGAATGGGAAAAAGTTGATAGGATTCCCTCTGAGAACTGGAACAAAACAAGGATGCCCACTCTTACCAATCTATTCAACATAGTATTGGAAGTTCTGCCCAGAATATTCAGACAAGAGAGAAGAATAAAGGGCATCCAAATCAGTAAAGAGGATGTCAAACTGTCACTGTATGCTGATGACATGATCATATACCTAGAAAACCATAAGGGCTCATCCAAAACGCTCCTAGAACTGGCAAATGAATTCAGCAAAATTCCAGGATACAAAATTAATGTACAGAAATGAATAGCTCTGCTATACGCCAACAGCGACCAAGCTGAAAATCAAATCAAGAACTCAATCCCTTTTACAATAGGTGCAAAAAATAAAAATAAAATACCTAGGGCTATACCTAACCAAGGAGATGAAAGACCTCTACGAGGAAAACTACAAAACACTGCTGAAAGAAATCATAGATGACACACAAATGGAAACACATCCCCTACTCATGAATGAGTAGAATCAATATTGTGAAAATGACCATACTGTCAAAAGCAATCTATAGATTCAATGCAATTCCCCTCAGAATATCATCATCATTCTTCACAGAACTAGGAAAAAATCCTAAAATTCGAATGAAACCAAAAAAGACCATAGAGAGCCAAAGCAAGACTAAACAACAACAACAACAAAATCTGGAGGAATCACATTACCCAACTTCAAACTATACTGCAAAACTATAGTTACCAAAACAATATGGTACTAGTATAAAAATAGGCACATAAACCAATGGAACAGAATAGAGAACCCAGAAATACAGCCAAATAATTACAGTCAACTGATCTTTGACAAAGCAAACAAAAACATAAAGTGGGGAAAGGACACCCTATTCAACAAATGCTGCTGGGATAATTGGCAAGCCATATGAAGCTGAATGAAACTGGATCCTCATCTCTCACCTTACACAAAAATCAACTCAAGATGGATCAAAGACTTAAATCTAAGACCAGAAACCATAAAAATTCTAGAAGATAACATTGGAAAAACCCTTGTAGACATTGGCTTAGATATAGACTTCATGACCAAGAACCCAAAAGCAAATGGAACAAAACCAAAGATAAATAGATGAAACTGAATTAAACTAAAAAGCTTCTGCACAGCAGAAGAAATAGCCAGCAAAATAAACAGACAACACACAGAGTGGGAGAAAATATTCACAATCTATACTTCTGACAAAAGACTGATAACCAGAATCTGCAAGGAACTCAAACAAATCAGCAGGAAAAAACAAACAAACAAACAAACACCCCAGAATTGGGCAAAGGACATGAATAGACAATTCTCAAAAGAAGATATACAAATGGCCAAAAAACATATGAAAAATGCTCAATATCACTATTATCAGGGAAGTGTGAATAAAAACCACAATGCAATACCGCCTTACTCCTGCAATAATGGCCATAATCAAAAAATAGATGTTGGCGTGAATGTGGTGAAAAGGGAACACTTTTACACTGTTGGTGGGAATGTAAACTAGTACAACCACTATGGAAAACAGTGTGGAGATTCCTTAAAGAACTGAAAGTAGATCTACCGTTTGATCCAGCAATCCCATTCCTGGGTATCCATCCAGAGGAAAATAAGTCATTATATGAAAAAGATACTTGCACACGCATGTTTTTTTTTGTTTTTTTTTTTTTTGTCTTTTAACAGCCAACAGTTTATTGTACACTAGTCTTGAGCAGCTTCAATCTGAATTCATCTCCCCAGGACAGGAAGAAGTCAGGAGATCTCGGGGAGACAGAGCTTATATCCTTTCTTATTCAGAACTGCCACAACCCCTATCCCTCACCAGTCAGGCCCCACATCACACCAGTGGCCCAGCTGGAATTCTAACATCAGCTAATTCCTTTATATTCTTGTCGTTCTTGACATTGCCAGAAAACGTAATCTCTCATGCTTTCCAATCCCAATAGTGTTTTCTCTGGGCCTCCTAACCCCCCTCTCTGTCCACAAATCTCCTTTTCAGTTGCAACCCCCATCCAATTTTAAACAACTTCCACATTTTCAATACTGAGGTTAATCATTAATTGAGCTGTAATGGGTATGTGTTGTCTACTAAGTGTTTTGGAAAGTCACTTTGACACTTATCTAATATTATAGGCATGCACTCATCCTTCCCATGACCCTTTTCCTTCCACATACTTTAGAATGTTCTTCCTTGATAGGAATGTAAGCTCTATGAGGGCATGTGTTTTTGTTTTATTCACTAATGTGGATCAAGTAACCATAGCAGCGCCTCTCGTATAGTAGGTATTCAATAAATAAGCATTGAATAAATGAATTTAATGAGCATACATTCAGCAAATATATGGTTATATGACAATATGACAATGAATGAGTAAAATAATATTTTCCCTTATGGAGTTTACATTCTAATGTGTAAATGCCGGAAGCCTATGACAAACAGACAATAAGCATGTAAACAGATATAATTCCATACTCTCATTAATCTATGGGGAAAATAAATCACATTAGGGAAATAGAGAATGACTGGTAGAAAGAATTTTGGTTATTTTAGATAGACTGGTTAAGACAATTCTCCTTGGGGAGGCAAATCTGGGCAGAATACTGATGTGAGGCAAAATGAAGATTTTGGACATAAAAAGACTTGGGAATAGGCAGGAGTAATAAACAGAGAATATAAAGATCTTGATATGGCAAAATGTTTTATGCATTTGAGAGAAAGAGTGGTTGGAGATAATGTTAGGGAGATGAGGAAAGGCCATGTTGTACAGGTCTTACAGGTTACCTATACCTGGGGGTCCCTAACCCCTGGGCCTTGGACGGATACCAGTACCGGTCTGTGGCATATTAAAAACTGGGTGGCACAGCAGGAGGTGAGCAGCGGGCTAGCGAGCATTACCTCCTGAGCTCCGCCTCCTGTCAGATCAGTGGTGGCATTAGATTCTCATAGGACAGGAACCCTATTGTGAACTGCTCATGCAAGGGATCTAGGTTGCACTCTCCTTATGATAATCTAATGCCTGATGATCTGAGGTGGAACAGTTTAATCCCCAAACTATCCCCACACTGTCCCTTCCCACAGAAAAATTGTCTTCCTTGAAACCAGTCCCTGGGGCCAAAAATATTAGGGACCACTGATCTATAGGATTTTCATTTTATTTAAATGTGATGTGAAAGCATGGGAAAGTTTGGAAAAGTCTCATGATCTTATTTAGGATGATAAAATCATGAATTAAAAAGCTACTTGGTGGAGAGAGAAAGCAAAGAGACCAGCAAGGAGGCTATTGTAGCATCAAGTGACAAATGATGGTGGATTGAGCCAGAATGGTGGCAGTGGAGTGGAATCAGGTTCTGGATATTCTTTGAAGATGGATTTGATATGGTAAGGGAAGGAGAGGAATTAAGAATAGGTCCTAGATTCCTCAGCTGAGCTGGGAAAATCCATTTTACTATTAGTGTTTCCTCAGGAAGAGAATGAGCTAATACATTTGGGGAAAATATTATCACTTCCTGAAAACTGAAAAGAAAATGATCATTTTTTAAAAATCTATTGTATCCTTTGTTTTCTCTTAACGTTCTTTTGTCTCCCAGCCTTTTATTTTGAAAAATGTTAACTTCAATAAGAATTTGAAAAAAATAGTACAACCATATACCCTTTACCTACGTTCACTAATTATTAACATTTTGCTACATTTGCTTTCTCTGTCTTTTCACATATACACACAAACACACACAGTTTTTCTCTGAAATATTTGAAAGTATGTTGCAGACATCATGAAACTGCACTGCTAGTATTTTGGTATATATTTACACATATTTACTGAGAACAAGAAGATTTTCTTATAGAAATACAAGACCAGAGAAATTTTACATAGCTACAGTGCTTTTTTTTTAAAATTTATCTCCCACTATCTCTTTATTTATTTATTTATTTATTTATTATTATACTTTAAGTTTTAGGGTATATGTGCACAATGTGCAGGTTAGTTACATATGTATACATGTGCCATGCTGGTGCGCTGCACCCACTAACTCGTCATCTAGCATTAGGTATATCTCCCAATGCTATCCCTCCCCCCTCCCCCCACCCCACAACAGTCCCCAGAGCGTGATGTTCCCCTTCCAGTGTCCATGTGTTCTCATTGTTCAATTCCCACCTATGAGAGAGAATATGCGATGTTTGGTTTTTTGTTCTTGTGATAGTTTACTGAGAATGATGATTTCCAATTTCATCCATGTCCTTACAAAGGACATGAACTCATCATTTTTTATGGCTGCATAGTATTCCATGGTGTATATGTGCCACATTTTCTTAATCCAGTCTATCATTGTTGGGCATTTGGGTTGGTTCCAAGTCTTTGCTATTGTGAATAATGCCGCAATAAACATACGACACATGCATGTTTATAGCAGTATAATTTGCAATTACAAAACATGGAACCAGCTCAAATGTCCATCAATCAATGAGTGGATAAAGAAAATGTGGTATATATGTATATATACCATGGAATACGACTCAGCCATAAAAAGGAACAAAATAATGGCATTCGCAACAACCTGGATGGAGTTGGAGACCATTATCATAAGTGAAGTAACTCAGGAATGGAAAACCAAACATCATATATTCTCACTCATAAGTGGGAGCTAAGCTATGAGGATGCAAAGGCATAAGAATGATACAATGGACTTTGGAGATCAAGGAAAAGGGTGGTGGGGGTGGGGGATAAAACTCTACACACTGGGTACAGTGTACACTGCCCGGGTGATGGGTGCACCAAAATTTTAGAAATCACCACTAAAGAACTTATTCATGTACAATAAATAAATAAATAAAAATTAACAGGGGGAAAATTGGTACATGGAATGTCAGGGGGCCTTAGGCAACGCTGCCCTGGGGCAGAACCCCCTGCTCTCCCACCAAGACACAGTGCCCTCCCCAACCCTATCAAGCAGCTGGCCCTGAAGGAACAGTGTACACCTGAGGGGCCCAGGCAGGAGGCTGGAGCTTAGGGCATAGGAGAGGAGCCAAGAGGTTGTGAAGACAGAGTAGCTGCAGGGGAGGTGCAGACTCCACCACCTAAAGGGTGCCTGCAGGGGCCTGAGAGCCAAGACCAAGGCTCTGCACCATGGGGTGGCCTCCTGCATCTCCCGCCATGTGGACTCTGCACAGGTTGGATTATATCCCTTGAACCTGAAGAGCCGCCTTAACATTTTTTGGGATTCCATGTTTGTGCTGACAACACCACCCCTTCCTTCCACAACACTGGGCATGGTGCCCAACTTGGACCATGGGTTGTCAATCAACGAGTGGATGATCAGCCCTCAGGCCAAGTCCTCCCACACCCTGTGTTTGTGAATACAATGTTATTGATCAAGGCAGTGCACATTGATGAAACTGTTGTCCACACCTGCCTTCACGCTGTAACAGCAGGGATGAGTTGTTGTGACAGAGACCATGTGGTAGCAAAGCCTGAAATATTTACCCTCTAGCTCTTTACAGAAAGGATTGTCAATCCTGAGGAAATCAACAGGAAGGAAACTATTCCAGTTTCTAAAAATGTGAGTGTTTTGTGTGGTGAAAGAGACCATACATTTCTAAGAGAAATGATAGAGACAGACTGGAGAAAATACTTGCAACATATGCATTTACAAAATTTAATAACTCTTGGCTGGGCGTGGTGGCTCATGCCTATAATCCCAGCACTTTGGGAGGCCGAGGCAGCTGAATCACTTGAACCCCGGAGGTGGAGGTTGCGGAAAGCCGAGATTGTGCCACTACACTCCAGCCTGGGCAACAGAGCAAGACTCCATCTCAAAAAAAAAAAATTAATAACTCTAATATTCCAAGGCTTCTACAAATTAATGAGAAAAAGGCAAACACAATAAAATAGAAAAATAGAAAAATGGGCAAAGGAGTTGAACAGAAAAAGCACACCAAATACAAATGATTTATGAATTTATGAGAGACAAATGTCATAAGTTATTAAGAAAACAGAAATGTCACAGTGTTTTTCACTCACATTGATAGTATTGAGTCTTGATAAGGATGAAGGGAACGCTGTGCCTTTGGGAGAAGCATCAATGAGCACACTTGTTTTGGAGAGGGTAATCTATCTAAACTAACACTAAATTTTTTAAAAATGCATATCTTTGCTAGATAGTATCATTTCTAGATGTCTAATCTATAGAAATAATCATACAAGTTCAAAAATAAATACAGAAGGATTGTCATCCTATCATTACATGAGATAACATTTTTTTAGAGAAAACCTGAACACTAATTAATGGAAAATGGTTACATAAATTGTAATGCATACATTTTGTAAAATAGGCAGTTATTAAAAGGAATGAAATGCATCAATATTTTCTAAATGTAATAACTACTAAGATATATTGTTGAGTAAAAAAGCAAGTTGAAAAACATTATGAATTGCATGATTGCATTCTAAAACATAAAATCTGTGTGTGTGTATGTGTGTGCACATGTGTGTGTATGTGTGCATGTGTATGTGTTCTAGGGAAAGGAGCGATGGCCACCTACCTCCTTCACTGGTGTGTGGTAGGCAGGGTTGCTGCTCTATAAGCTAAGATATTGATTTGGCTGCTTTAGCAAAGATCAAAATAACAGTGACTTAACAATAAAGAAGTTTGGTTCTCCCTCTCGTTAAAGTCTTGGATTAGTAGAAAGGCCAGAGGTCAAAGTTTCCAGAGTCCTACCTGTCTCATCACTGTGCCATTCTGTCAGTGCATCTCAGCTCCACACAGTTGCAGCTGGAGGACCATGGCCTGGGCAGCAGGAAGGGGGAATGTGGAGGAAAGGACAGATAGGCTCTGTGGAAGGCATGACCCAGAGTTCTACATGTGATTTAAATCACCTTCTTTTGGCCAAAACATAGTCATGTGGCCACACCACGTAGGCTGGGAAAAAAAGCAGTCCTTGGCTAGGCAGCCCCATGCCCAGCTAAAATGTAGAGGTATCTGTTATTAAAAGAAAAACAGAAGAAGTCAATATTTGGGTATAATGAGTAGTCTCTTCCTATGGATGTCCTGCTGTCTTCCTTGCCAACAGAAAATCATAAAATCGACAATGGAGAAACAGCAGACGGATTATGAAAGAATGCAATTTGTCTATAGCAGACTTATCCACAACAGTAACAGGCAACAGAAGATGGAAAATTATATTTGCAAAGTAATGAGAGAAACCAGTGTGAGCATAGCATCCTACATTATGCAAATGATCATTTAAGAGGAAGGGAAAGAGAAAAACATTTCAGAGCAAGACAGTGAGAATTGGCCAGGCACGGTGGCTCGTGCCTTTAATCCCAGCATTTTGGGAGGCCAAAGCAGGAGGATTGCTTGAGCCCAGGAGTTTGAGACCAGCCTGGGCAACTTGGTGAAATCCTGTCTGTATTAAAAACAAAACAAAACAAAACAGAAAAAAAAAAAGGTAGTGAGAATGTACCATTAATAGACATGTGCTGAAAGAACTACTAACAGATGTACTATATTTCAAGAAGAAGGAAATTGAACACAGAAGGAACTGAGGTGCAAGAAGTAATGGTATAGAAGAACACTGGAAATATATGGTATTTCTAGAAAGCTTTAGCTGAATCCATCAGTAATAATAAACGTAATAGTTCTGAATGTATAAAAGTAAGTTGGAAATTTCCAGCTGGAAAAAGATGGCTTAGACTAGTTTTCCTTGCACCTTCCCTCTACACACAGCTATAAACCCTAGAATAATGTAAGAGGCAACCAAAGGAGAACTCTCATAGGTGTTAACAGGAAAGTGAACTGGTTTGGGCCTCAGGGATGGATGAAGTGCAGCTGCAGGGAATCTTATTTCCCCTTACCAGATGGAGGACAGTGACCCAGGTCCAGTGTTTCCCATCCCCAACACAGTGACAGAAGGCAGCCAAGGAATCCTCATTCCTGTCCTGGAACTACAGGAGTCCCTCCTACAGCACCAGGTGTATTCATCTTCTGTTGTTGCTATAACAAAATTACCACAAACTTAGTGGCTTAAGTAACTACACATTTATTATTTTCCAGTTGTGGAGGTCAGAGGTCTCAAACTGGTCTCACTGGGAAAAACTCAAGGTCTTCAGGGCTGTATTCCCTTTGGAGCTCTAGGGGGGGATCCATTCCCTTGTCATTTCCAGCTTTAGAGGCTGCCCACACTCCTTGGCTAGTGGCCCCTTCCTCCATCTCCAAGCCAGCCACATCATGTTGAGTCCTGCTCATTCTTCCATCTCTTATTTTCTCTCTACTGCCTTCACCTTCCATTAACAAGAACTCTTGTGATTACATTGTATGTTTGTGGTTACACTACAGAATCCAAGATGACCTCCCCATCTCAAGGTCAACTAATTAACACCTTAATTCTATTTGCAATCTTTGTCATTACCATAACATATTCATGGGTTCTGGGATAAGGGGTAGACATTTTTATGGAGGCATTAGTCTGCTTACCACAGACTGCCCTCTGGCCCCCAAAGATACACATCTATCCCATATGCAAAATGCATTCCACTCCAAGATTCCCAGCCTTATCAACCCATTAAAGTAACAACTCAAAGTCCAAAATCTCATCTAACTTTCAGATTAGCTCCAAAGTGCCAAAATGCATCATCCGAGGCTCTGGGAGTGATCCATCCTGGGGCACAATTCTTCTTCATCTGTGAACCTGGGAAATTCAAGAAACAAGTTATCTACTCCCAAAATACAAAGGTGAGACAGGCATGGGATAACAGTGATAGATATTTCCATTCAAAAAGAGAAGAGGAAGAAAAAGGAGTTGCCAGTCCCAATCAATTTCAAAATCAAGCCAGGCACATTCCATTTTGTTTCAAGGCCTGAGAATAATTCTCTGTGGCTCAAGACTCAGACCCCCCTGAGCTAGTGGCTCTGCCTTTGGAGTCATCCTTCCTTTTTCTTGAAGGGTATCACATGTTTACAGCTGAGTAGTTTTATCATCACATTTTTTGCCTGTAGAATTTGAGAGTGGCGGGGGCGGTCTAACAGCCCTTTTTCATTTTGCTTTCTCTCTGTACTTTTCTTTCCAAGCTAGCAGTGTTTCTGTTGGTATAACATCCTCAAGAGCCTTGTGAGTCTCCCATGTTTGTCACAGGGATTCACACCATTGGATAAGAGACTCATCTAAGGATCTTTCATAGAGTTCAGTGCCACCTGCAAGGGAGATATACCAGGATCCCACCATCAATAAGTGGGCAAGAGAAGTCCTCACCTCCTCTGCAGCCTGAAACTCCCCTCTCCCATCAAGAAACAGCAGGCCAGGTGGAGAAGGCACTGGCAGAGGGCATCCTGTCATAAGTACCTCCTCTGGGAAGACTCTCTGTGCCCTATAAGCAGAAGAGATCCTGTCACAAGGGCCCAGCTTGGAAAGCCTCTGTTTTTGTGTGGGCCTGGGTCTTCCCACCCCACTGAGTGACACCAGGCCAACAAACCTAGGGAAATACCTTCAGCCCTCTGGGCAGCAACAGCAGGGACCAGTGAAGAGCCTAGCAGCACCAGCTAAACCAAACAGGTGAAAATGACACCACAAAGTTTCTGAAAATTAAACTGTTATTGGAACCATGGCCCACAAAAGTAGGTCATTACTCACATACTAAGCCTTAACAGGGTGATTGCCTTGCTACAATAGAAAATTTAAATAGAAATCAGTCTCCTAACAGAAGAAACAAAATGTCCAGAATACAATAACATACCAAGAAACAGGAAAGCAACAACTTGAATGAGAAAAGACAATCGAATAATATCAACATGGAGACGAATTAGGTATTGAAATATTCTGGCTAGGACTTTACAGGAACCATCATAAAAATGCTTCAAAAATTAATTACAGGGGCCGGGCAGGTGGCTCACACCTGTAATCCCAGAACTTTGGGAGGCCGAGGCAGGCGGATCACCTGAGGTCAGGAGTTCGAGACCAGCCTGGCCAATGTGGTGAAACCCCATCTCTACTGAAAATGCAAAAATTAGCCTGGCATGGTGGCAGGTGCCTGTAATCTCAGCTACTCAGGAGGGTGAGGCGGGAGAACCTCTTGAACCCAGGAGGCAGAGGTTGCAGTGAGCAGAGATCATGCCACTGCACTCCAGCCTGGGTGACAAGAGGGAAACTTCATCTCAAAAAAAAAAAATTAATTACAAATGAAAAAATAGAAAATATCAGCAAAAAGTAGAAGTTACAAATTTGTTGGGTTAAATTACATTAATAGATTTTATGATGTAGAACCATCATTTATTTTATTGTAAAAATACAATAAAATAAATTAAAAACTTGCTGGATGAGCTCAATGGTAGAATGGAAGTGACAAAGCATAAAATCTGTGAATATGAGAACAGATCAATAGCACTTGCTCATCATGTGAATAACATCATTAAGAATAACAGAAAAAAAATCATCTGAAAAAAATGAACAGAGCCTCAGGGACCTTGTTAGAGTAAAAAAAAAAATCTGACTTCCATACTATCAGAGCCTAATAAGAAGAGAAGAAAGAGTTGAAAGAATATTTGAAGAAATAATTCCCATTTTGATGAAAGATATAAATCTACAGATTCAAGAAACTATGATAATCACAAACAAGATAAACCCAAAGAAATCCATACCAAGACACATCATCATTAACTTAATAAAACTAAAGACAAAAAAAATTGAAAACAGCCAGAAGAAATGACATCTTAACCTACAAGTGTCATTTGAATAAGAGTGGATTTCTTATTTGAAACCATGGATGATAAATATCTTATAAAACATAAAGTAGAACATATTTTACATAGACTATAGTCTCTTATAAAAATAAAATATAAAAGAAAAATCTCTTTGCACTCCCATGTTCAAGGGTGGAAGAAGAGGGATGTCCCAGGGGAGGGAAGGAGGAAGAGAATTTGCCCTTCTCCCACCTTTTTGTTCTATCAGGTCCTCAACAGATGGGAAGATGCCCATCCACATTGGTGAGGGTAGATCTTTACTCAGTCCACCACTTCAAATGCCAATCTCTTCTAGAAGAACTCTCACAGACACACTCAGAAATAATGTGTTACCAGCCATCAGGGCATGTTTTAGGCCAGTCAAGTTGACACATAAAATTAGCCATCACTGTGTACTTTTCCTGCCCTGGTCTTTGATTTGGCCTAGTGGTGATAGGGAATTTAGAACCCCAGATCCAGTCTCTAGCTGTGCTCATTGCTCCTGGAGCACCATGCTTCTGGCTCTTTCAGAACAGAAGTAGAAAATATATGAGTTTTTCATTTGTTTGCTTTTTAAATCTATCCTGTTCCCTCAAATTCTAACCAACACCACAGTACTCTTCCGGTCTTAGAGCTTCAAACTTATGTTTGTTTTATCTGAATTCCTTCCTCAGGAAAGGACCCTCAGGCCTGTCAACGAAAGTATCAAAGAACTGAAACTCACAAAATCACCACATCCTGATAATGAGATGCCAGACCCCTCATTCATCATGATTGCTTCCTTAACCTCTCTAATTCCTGTTTTCTTATACATTATTACATTTCTTCCCAGGTATATAAACCTTTAATTTTGGTGGGTCAGGCAGAAGGATTTGAGACTGAACTCTCATTTCCTTGGCTACCTCAGTGATTGGCTGTGCAGCAAGCAGCAGGACCTCAGTGGACCCCTGGTGTTTTGGTAACATAATCACATCATATTTCTCCTTCAATTTATTGGGTTAAGTTACATTAATAGATTTTATGATGTAGAACCATCCTTACATTCTTGCAATAAACTGTATTAGTTGTGAATTGGTGGATTCGACTAATATTTCATTCAGGTTTATAAATAAAATGTCTGTAATTATCACTTCTGATGTTGTTCTTAACTGGTTTTGGAATCAAAACAATGTTCACTTTTTAGAATGAACTTGAAGACGTTATCTCTTTTGGTATATTTTGGAACAACTTGCTTAACTTGAACATTTGTATATAATTTGAAAATTTTGTAAAATTTACCTTCAAAACCATTTTGGCCTGGGGTTGTTTGTTTGAGGGGTTGACGGAAGGCAGAGCTTGGACTATTACAACTGTATTAATGTTTCCTGGTTTACCTGTTCCAATTTTTTTCTTCTTATGCAGTTTTGGTTTTCTATATTTTTATAAGATTTTATTCATTGAATTGAGGGCTTCAATTTTTCATTTACAATAAAATTCTCCTTTACAATTTTTAAAAATCTCCACTGTGTTTGCAGTTATTATCTCTTTTTGTTCTGTATTTCCTCTCATAGTTTACTTTTATGATCATCTTTTTTCCTTGGTGAGTCTTGTGAGATGTGTCTGTCTTGTTAATTTTTTCAATGACTTTATTTCTGCCTTCGTTAATCTTCTCCATTGTTTTGATTGATGTGTGCCCTGATGGTTATTATCTCCTTTTGTGTGGTTTTTTTTTTTTTTTTGGTTTTACTTTGTTGCTCTTATTCCAACTCTTGAGTTGAATGCTAGTTTGTTTTTAAAAATTGTATTTTCTGAAAAATGGTCTTAAAGCTATAATTCTCCTTCTAACAATTGCTTTATTGGCAGTCTGTGTTTTTATTATCATTTAGTTTTAAATATTCCGCAACTTCCTTTTAAATCCAAGAGTGATTTTGTAAAATGCTATTTATTTCCAAAAAAAAAAATTGGATTAAAAATCTCTTTTGGGCCAGGCACAGTGGCAGCACTTTGGGAGGCCAAGGCAGGTGGATCATGAGGTCAAGAGATTGAGCCCATCCTGGCCAACATGGCGAAAGCCCATCTCTACTAAAAATATAAAAATTAGCTGGGCATGGTGGCACATGCTTGTAGTCCCAGCTACTCGGGAGGCTGAGGCAGGAGAATTGCTTGAACCCGGGAGGCGGAGGTTGCAGTGAGCTGAGATTGCACCACTGCACTCCAGCCTGGTGACAGAGTGAGACTCCATCTCAAAAACAAAACAAAACAAAAAAACTCTTTTGTTGTTTTAGTTGTATTATATTTAGGAAACATGCTTTGTGTGAAATTCATCCTTTGGAATTTAAGAGAGCTTTCCCTATGTTCTAATGCATGGTCAATTTTTGTACATGTTCCTTGATTGCCCTAATTTAATGTGTATTACCTATTTTGGGGGGTTTAGAGTTCTTTATATATCTATTAATTATAGTGATCAGACCTTGATACGCATGCTAATTTTTTGGTCTGTTTTATCCATAAGTTTCTAAAGCAGTATGTTAAAATATCCTACTATAATTATTGATTCTTCTATTTATATCTATAATTTTTTCAGTTGTTACCTTACATATTTTGTTGCTATAATTGTGGGGACACAATTTCATGATGTTGATGTGTATATTTTGTATTTCTTTTAAGTAGTTTAAATATCATTATTCTGGAAATTTTATCCTAAATTTTATTAGAAACATACTTCATTGTTTCTAAGTCAAGATTTTTACAAATTCTGGCATCTCTAAAACTGAGTTGCTGAGTTGCTAATTAATGAGGATAAAGTTCTAGTTAAACAAAATGAATAAGTTCTAGAGATCTGCTATACAACATTGTAACCTATCTTTAACTATACCCTATTGAGCCATAATCCAGCCACTGTACTCCAGCCTGGCCCACAGAGCAAGACCCTGTCTCTAAAAACCAACAATAACTACAACAACAACATTGTATTGTACACTTTAAAATGTGTTAAGATGGTATATTTCATGTTAAGTGTTCTTATCATAATAAAATAAAATTTCAAAGTAAAATTGAGTTGTTTCTTTTACCTGCTGTCTGGGAGGCAGTAGATGTGACCTAGGTGTTATTGCCTGTGTTTATGTGAACATAATGATAACTGTTCTTTTTGTCATTACTTCAATTGAGTTCTGTGCATTTTTGGCACTAGATGTGCTGAATTTAATTGCTGTTTATAATTTATTTAAAAGCTTACATGATGATTTGGCATTGAAGTGAAAAGTTATATCGTAAGCAGAAAATTAACTATAAGAGGCTAGTGTGACCTATTTATATGTCATGCAGGACTATAGTCAAGGTATCAAATATCGATTTGTCAGAAACTTGCTGCTGACTTTGATCTGAAGCTATTTAACTTCTAAGAACATATGATTCCACTGAGGAAAAAAATGAAGCTATGAATGAAATAAAAAATGAAATACTAATAAAACTGAGTTTTTACAGAACAATTGCTAAAGGTGCTTATTATGAACACAGGTTAGAAAAATATTACATCACTCTGATGCTATGCATAATCACCAAAGGTCAAATGTTGTTACCATATTTAATTTTAAACCACAAACAATAACAAAATGTAAGTTATTTCCCAAAATATCTTATTGTGCTTGCACTAAAAAGAAGAAAAAGGCATTAGATAAACTGATGACAGAATAATTAAAAGAGGCTGGGCGCGGTGGCTCAAGCCTATAATCCCAGCACTTTGGGAGGCCGAGGCAGGTAGATCACCTGAGGTCAGGAGTTACAGACCAGCCTGGCCAACATGGTGAAACCCTGAGTCTACGAAAAATACAAACAATAGCTGGGCATGGTGGTGGGTGCCTATAATCCCAGCTACTCAGGAGGCTGAGGCAGGAGAATCACTTGAACCTAAGAAGCAGAGGTTGCAGTGAGCCAAGATCGCACCATTGCTTTCTGGGCAAGAGAGTGAGACTCTGTCTCAAAAAAAAAAAGAAAAAAAACTCAAAGAATCTGGAATGGATGTCTAGGAGACTAAGTAACTAAGCATATTTGTTTTGATGTATCTGATCAGCTAAAGAATAAGTTCACTAAGAAGTGAATTAGGTTGGTGGTTGTTCCATAATGTATGACTCCTTGAAGATTCCATCAGCAAACCATTTAACACTTATTTGAAGAAGGAACACGATTTCTGTTTGTTGTCTGAAAACCTTGCACTGATTGCAAGTTCTGGTAAGATCACTAAAGCACTGGCATCAACTTAAAAATGGCATCCATGTCTTGAAAGAAAAAAAAATCTCAGACAACATTGAAGCACTCTTAAACAGTGCTTCATCACAAATTCTATCATTATCACAGAGGGCATTTGAGTATGCTCAAAAGCTTGGGTAACTGACTGTGAGTGAAAAAGTAATTCAAAAGAATTATATTCTGATTTGGAAAAGTTTGTTTTCCTTTTATATATTAGGGCTATCTATTTCCAGAATTTTTAATTTAATTTTACTTTAATTTTTTTAGACAAAGTCTCACTCTGTCACCCAGGCTAGAGTGCAGTGGCACAATCTCGGCTCACTGCAACCTCTGTCTCCCAGGTTCAAATGATTCTCTTGCCTCAGCCTCCTGTGTAGCTGGGACTACAGGTACCCACCATCATGTCCGGCTAATTTTTGTATTTTTAATAGAGACAGGGTTTCACCATGTTTGCTAGTCTGGTCTCAAGTGATCCACCTGCCTTCACCTCCCAAAGTGCTGGGATTACAGGCTAGAGTTTTATTTTTAATTCTACCGTCTCTTTAAGTTTCTTCTGGAGACCACATACTGTTGGATATGTTTTTGTTTCAAATTCTGAGAGTCTCAGCCTTTTAATTGTTGGATTTAACCCATTTATATTTTGTAATTTCTGTTATATTAGTGATTATTTCTTCCAACTTCATATTTACATTTACTTTTTCCCATTATATTCTTTTATTGATTTAAAAGTTATAACTATAATTTATGTTCTATGACAGTTGCCTTAATTTAATATCCAAATATATGTTTATTTGCTTCTTTTATTTTCTTAAGCAAATATTAATATATACATTTTTCCCTTAACAATAAAAGTATTTTTGATGCTTATTATACCCTTGGCCTCTCTTTCTTGCTCTCTCAATCCCTGTCATATTGATATTATTTAAAATTTTAGTTCTTGGTTGCCATATATGTTTTTTTCTTTTCTTTGGTCTTAGAGTGAGGGCGTTTGTACTTTTCTTCCCTCCTAAGGCAAGGGTAACACTTGCTGATTCATCTGAGGATGCTTATTGCCCATACCTCCCGTATTATCCTTCTGAATCTGTAGCTCCTCTTTTTTATGTACTTTCCTTGAAAATATTTTAAATGTGAGTCTTTGTTGATCTTTGTGTGGCAAGCCTGATACTCTAAATGCCTGAGCACATTTTAAATATATACTTAGGTTTTAATGAAAAATTGGAGATAAAAATTTCAGTTTCAAAATTTTTATTTTCAATACTTTAAAATATTTCTCAGTTGTTCTATTGCTTCCAATGTTGTGTTTGAGAAGTTTGATGCCAATTTGATTCTTATTCCTTTGTAAGTGCTCTCTGCAAGCATTTAGAATTTTCCCTGTCTCCTAAATGTTTTAAATTCACTGTAATGTATCTGGGTGTGTCTTTTTCTTTATGTTTTCTGTTTGAGCCCTATTTGTCTTTATTTCTGGGACATTCATCTTTGCTTTTATTCAAATATTTCTTTTTCTCCCTCTTTCTCTTTTTCTTTTGAGACTCCATTTACCCCTACCCTTTGGATATTGGCACTTCTATATCTATCTTCCATATCTTTTATCTTATTTCACAGTTTTAATCTCTTTATTCTTTCCTGCCCTCTGAAGTGTTCTCAGCCTTCACTCTCAATTCCCTAACCTGCTTCTCAGCTCTGGCTCACTCTAGAAGGCCCATGTCAATAGACCTGTCCGTGGTTTTCTAACTTTTACCATCACACATAGCACTGCAGTGAATAACCTGCACATGTGAAAGGATCTCTAT
Organism: Homo sapiens; assembly: GCF_000001405.40. Taxonomy (NCBI): domain Eukaryota; kingdom Metazoa; phylum Chordata; class Mammalia; order Primates; family Hominidae; genus Homo; species Homo sapiens. Next base: position 42,923,342 of record NC_000010.11, read on the forward strand.
AGGATAAATGCCCAAAATTTGAATTGTGAGTCAAAGGACATCTGAATTTCTAATTTCTGATAGGTAAATTTTTCTCCACAGTGGTGGACCGAATTACACTCCACCCAGCAATGTGTAAGAGTGTGGTTTCTTTTACATTTTCCTAATGATGAATTGTGTTGAACATTGTTTCACGTGTTTATTGACCATCTGCATATCTTCTTTGGTGATATCTATTCGAGTCCTTTGCCCATTAAAAACATTGAGTTGTCATTTTGTTATTGGGTTGTTAATTCATATTTTCTACTTAATTGTTGCTTTTATACGTGAAAAGCTGTGGGTCTCAATATTAATTTTGTTCATTGCTACTGTAGTAAATTTTCTTATTATTTGTTGTACTTTTTCACTGTGTTGGATTTTTCAGGCATGCAATCATGTTATCTGCAAATAGGCTAGCTCCTCTTTACTGCTGTTTCTCTTGTCTATAATACTCGTGTTGGCTGGTACCTCTAATGCAATGTTAAATAACAATGGTTACAGGAGACATTCTCGTTTTGTTTCTGACACTCTCAGGAATCCTTCTAATGATGTGAATTTGCGGACTGGAATAGATTTATATTGATAATGCTATGAAGTATTAGTCTATATTGGCTTATTTAAGATATTAAAATCAGACTAGATTTAAGTTTTCTATGGTCTATGGAACTGATCATATGACTTATCTCTTTAGAGCCAATGATTTTGTGAATTATATTAATTTCCTGACATTCAGTCATCCTATTATTCCTGGAATAAATTCTGCATAGTCATAAGGAACACATTCTTATTCTAAGGCATTGTTATATTCTGTTTCCTAATATTTTATTTAAGATTTTTAAATTGGAATTAATAAGCAAAATTGGTGTGTATCTTCCTTTTCTGTGTCTATACTCCCTGCCAAATTTCAATGTTACTTTTATGTCACAGAAAACATTTAGAAGTTTTTCTCATTTTTCAATGTTTTGTAGCAGTTTAAAAAACACAGAAAATGTCTGTTATTTATTAAAGACAATGTAAATTCCCTTATAACATTATCAAAGGCTATTCTGGAGACTAGCTTATTGACAACTATATTAGTCTGCTGGGGTTGTCATAACAAAGTATCACAAACTAAGTGGCTTAAACAACAGAAATTTATTGTCTTACAGTTCTGGAGGCCGGAAGTTGAGATCAAGGTGTCAGCAGGGCTGTGCTCTGCGGAGAATGCTGGGGAAGGATCTGTCCAGGACTCTCTCCGCTTCTGGTGGTTCCTTGGCATGTGGCAGCATCACTCCAATCAGCATGTGGCATCCTCCCTGTGTGCCTGGGTCTGTGTCCAGACTTCCCCTTTTCAGAAGGACACCAGCTGTGTTGAATGACAGCCCACCTGGCTCCAGTGTGACCTCATTCTAACTTAACTAACATCTGCAATGACCCTGTTTCCAAATGAGGTCACAATCTGAGGGACTGGGGCTTAGGACTTCAACGCAGGAATTCGGGGGCATACAATTCAACCCAGAACAACAACCTTATCCATGTCTTCACTCTATTTAAACTTCCTAACTCTTTTGGAGCTCGTTGTGATAAGTTATATTTTTCTAAGAAACTATCCATTTGTTAAATGTTTTCAAATATAGCTGAATAAAATGGATCAAGTTAATCTTTATGATTTTATTTTCTGTTGCTTTTTCCTCTGCAAAAATAAATAATTAATTTTTAATTTTTGTTTCTGGTTATTTCTCCCTTATTGTTTTTTCTTTGTGGTGTTTAAAAAGCTATTTTGCTTATATTATTTAGCAGTTTACACATTCCACCCCACCCCATCCCCCAACCATGAACTTTTGTATTTATTTCTCAATTGTACTGTTTTTTCCCCAAATCACTGATTTATATTTTTCTTTGTTAATGCTTCCTTTATGCTTTCTTTCAGTTTATTTTTCTTTAAATGACTAAATGTACTTATTTTAAAATAATTATACAGTAAAATTGACATTTTTTACTCTTTGAAGGTAAAGTCCATGAATTATAACATATATACATTCATGTGACTACTGCCATCACCACGGTACACAGTTGTTCTATGACCTAAAAAGAAAACCCCCAAACAAGAAAACTTCGTGTGCTGTTGACACGCTTGCCCGGTCCCGGCCCCATCCCCCACTGATCTCCTTTGCTGTCATTCTGTTCTCCCCCACTGTAGTTTTGTCTTTTGGGCAATCTCATGCTAATAGAATCATCCCGTATATAAACTTTGGAGACCACTACTCTCACAAGCACAGTGCCTTTGAGATTCATTCAGATTGTTCTGGGTGTCCATACAGGCCAGTCTCTGTGGGGCTGCTGCACACCACACCCCCTCCCCACCAGCCCACCTCTGAGTGGGCCAAGGGCCCAGGGTCTATTTCCTGATAGAAATCTCAAGCAACAAGAGTAATTCCTGACAAGTGCCCATTTCCTTCCCTCATGACAAGATGCACAATTTATCTTCCGGGAAGGAACGCCCAGCCTTTGGCATAACTTTCTTAAGACTCCCAATCTGCTAATTCATTTCAAGAGAAAGGAAAAACCCTTTGTTTCCAGGTGAGTGCTGGGAGTGTGGTATGATGGGGATTCTTCAGACCCAGGAAGTGACCTGGCCAAGGGTCCCCTGGTCTTCTCCATCCTTCCTTCCCCAGGTTGCCCCCTGCTCTCTGACCCCCTTCGCCTGATTCCAGCTGTGTTTTTAGTGCTCCCTGATGTTCCTGCACCCTGAGACCCTCAACCACCCCACAGTACAACAGCTCCTGACACACCCCGCAGGGCTTTTCCATTTTTAGGTGGCTCAACCCTGCTGCAGCTTTTAACTCTGCTAGCCAGCAATTTTTTTTTCTTTTCTTTTTTTTTTTTTTTGAGATGGAGTCTTGCTCTCTTGCCTGGAGTGCAGTGGCACGATCTCGGCTCATTGCAAGCTCTGCCTCCTGGGTTCACACCATTCTCCTGCCTCAGCCTCCCGAATAGCTGGGACTACAGGCGCCCACCACCTCGCCCGGCTAATTTTTTGTATTTTTAGTAGAGACGGGGTTTCACCATGTTAGCCAGGATGGTATCGATCTCCTGACCTCATGATACACCTGCGTCGGCCTCCCAAAGTGCTGGGATTACAGGCGTGAGCCATCGCGCCTGGCTTTTTTTTGTTTGTTTGTTTGTTTTACCACAAATGTCATACAGGCTGGTTGCAAGAAAATGCAAGTAACACATAAATATATTAAGTAAAATATAAATTGTGCTTTCACTGCCTGCCTCCAACACCAAGGTCCATTTCAGAGGTGACCACTCTTTATGGACAGCTTGAGATATGTGCTTCCAGATTGTTTTGTGTGCATCTGCAAAGACACACACACACACACATCCCTCACACACGTGTTCACACATACCCCTGTACTTCTGTAGTAGACTCTTGGTGCTGTGTAGATTTTCTTCATCTGGCTGGTGCATCCTTCCCAGCTGCACCCTACTCTGGAGACTCAACCAGGGCAGAAGCAATCTGTCTCATCCAGAAATGTCTGGAAGTGGTACCCAGCCCGTAGAGCAGCCCCTAGTCAGCCACTGAGTAATACAGGCACAAAATCCCCGCCCCCTTGCTTGGAGGTGGGGCCGCTCTGTGGTAGCTTTCGCATTCCAGAGCTCCCCTGGGACCAGGCTGAGGCTTCCACTGGATCCCTTGCCCGGCTTCTCCCCTGCCCTTCTAAGCTTCCCCTGAGAGCACTTTCTCAGCAAATCTCTTGCACATAGGCCTGTGTAATAGGTATGCATAGGCACACGTAGCTGTTCTCAGAGAGGAGCTCCTGCTCACTGAAGCAGAGGGTGGTGTCTTTCTTCACATGACAGCACCCCATGGCCACCTCTGAATGTGAGTCTACTTCACTTTCTTATGGCAGCAGAGCTCCCCCTGGAATTGATTAATAGCCCTATTAGTGAGATTGAGCTCATTCATTCATTAGACACATGGTTTATGAAGTGCTACTGTATGCCAAGTACTGCTTTAAGCACTGGGGCTGTCTCCAACTTTTCTCTCTTACAGAAGATCGGAATATTTTTAAAGCATATTCAAGCATTTGTGTAAATGGTTCTGAAGCACAGATTCCTGGAGATGGAATTGTGGGTCAGAGGGAAACTGCATTTGCAGCCAGGATGGGTGTCTCTTGGGGAAGTGTTCCTCCTTCAGCTCCAGCGACAGCTCCTTGCTTTGTGTCTACTTTTCTCCCCCATCTCTGCCTTGGCAACCTCTCCTCCCCAGCCCTTCCCACCTACCCAGGGAACACCTGAAACCCTGGCAGAGCTGCTGCTGAGCCCTCCCCCATGCTGCTGATCTGGGCATTTGCCCTTCCTGCTGCCTCAGGCCCTCAGAAACCAAGGCCTCCCAGCCTGTCTTCTCTCTGGTCCCTGGTTTACGGAAGAGGATGTTGGGATTCAGAGAGGTTAAGTGACCTACTTTTCTAGACCAATTTGTTCAAGTTCCTCCCAAACATCTCCACCAGCCTGTCCCAGAGGCACTTCAAATTCAGCATCCTGGATTATTCTCTTCATGTCTGCCCTAAAACTTGCCTTTTCTGTTCCCTATAATAAATGCCCAAGAGAAAATGTCCCATGACAGCTGACTCTCCCACCCCTCCTTGTCAGGCACAGGTCTCCTGAGCTCTCCTGAGCCTGTCTCCTGGGTCTGCCATTGTGACTGTCCCCTGCAGCCCTGATCTGGATTTGTGGCCACCAGCTCCCTTACTGCTTCCACCAGCTGGACATCCTTGGTCCTCACAGGCCCTGGAGAGTTCATCTTCCAGGGCTGCTGTCAGCATCCCCCCTTGGCTCAAGCAGCCCGCCGGGGACTCAGGAGGGCCGGTGGCACCAGAGGCCAGCGCAGTCCGACTCAGGTCATTCCATGCAGGCGCCTTTCAGGTCCTCAGGACCTGGGGACCAGCACCACACACAGCTGTGGGTCCTCTCGAGCCAATACCATGTCTCAGCCCCTGTAGCCTGCCCCGTGCTGCCCTCCTCTTACCTCGCAGGACCTCCTTTCTTGGCCCCCTGGATAGCTGCCTCTTCCTTTCCAGGACAGCCTGGGACTCTGGGATTTGCCAATATATGTGTGGGGCATCAGAGGAGCTGAGTGCTGCCTGTGAAGGGCATTGACGACGTGTCGGGGAAATGGGAAAGGATGGGAGGGTAGACATCCGGGTTGGTGTCCTAGAGATCCAAGACGCGCAGCTCACCATGCTGCTTGCCTTCAGGTGCCTCATTGGTAAGTCAAAGGCAACAGATAGAGGCTCCCAGAAGGCCCTTCCCAGAGAGCAACTCTTTAGAGATCTAAGCATCTTCGGAGAAAATTTGGGAGCTTGGATGGTTTGTATCAGGCCTCTGTTTTTTCTTGGACTCTTTTGGGTATCTTCATGCCCCTCGAGTGCTTATCAGGATGCCACACGGCACAGCAGGTGGTGAATATATGTGTCATAAGTGAGCGAGAAGCAAGGCTTTTCATCAGGGAAAGTATGACTTCTCTGATGGAGCAATGTCACTCCATTTTACTTACCTGCAGGAATGTTTAACACGAGAGTGACCAGGACACTGCAAGTGGCTGTGTTAGTTGGTAAACCTTTTCAGAGGACAGTTTAGTAATCCATATGGAAAGTTCTAAAATTATGCAATGCCTTTAATTTTACTTACTGAAATTCTAAAGAAATAATTAAGGATGTGTGTAAGATTTAGTGGAAGGTTGATCTTTGCAAGGGCTATTTATAATAAAGTTGAAAACAACCTGTGTCCAATAACAGGAGATTGGTTAACTAAGTTCTGGAACTTAGATACAATGGAATTCTGAGTAGCCACTAAAAATTATGTTATTGAAGTATATTTCGGGTGTGGGAAAAAAGTCGTAATAAGTTACTGAATTGAGTCATGTTATAAAATAGTATGTACTTAATGGAAACATTTTAGAACAAAAATGTATATGCTACACATTTTTAAACATCTGTGAGGGTCTTGCTACTCAAAGTGTGGTCCCCGGACCAGCTGTTTCTGCATCATTGGGAGCTTGTCAGAATCACAGAACTGCAGCCCAGCACAACCTCAGGTGATTCCCATGCAGAGAGGTCCCAACGCTGGGTTGCGGCACCCACACAAACATCACATCTGTGTGTGGGGCTACTAGGAGTCTATTATTTCCCCTTTTTGCTTATTTATTTGTGGCAACTGTATGTTACTGACATAATAAAGAAAAAAGAAAGATGGACACACTCTGAAAAACACACAGTGGGCTTCATTGTCATGGAAGCTTTCCTGGCTCTTTCCTGTCTGGGACGCCCTCACTGAGTTCACTTTAAGTCCCGCTCCTTCTTGGGTGCATTTGACTCTGGTATGGGGGGCTCTTGGCTTGAAGAGTGGCACTTTCAGAATCACTGCTGCTTTCAAAGGGGCTCTGCTCCTGCCAGACAGGGTGGAGACTGAAGGCCCAAGGGCCTTCGGTCCCCCAGACCCCACCCAGGGCATGGGCCAGGCCCCTTGCTTGCCCTCCCACTCTGCCGCATGGTCTGCCCATTAGGATGCAGGCCGCTTGGCAGATTAGGTCATTTCTTTTCCAGTAAGTGAATTGGCTACTTATGCATTCTCCTGTAGCACCAACACCAGACACATTTCTCAATCCTCCTCCCCTGGTAGGACAAGGCCAGGAACAGACTGTTTCCACCTTCCTTACATCAATCTGTCAGGCTGCGGCAGGTGGCTCTGCTGGAAGGCCACTGCCCTCGTCCCTGGCTGTCCAGAAAAGTGTCTTTCCCCAGTTCCAGTGACGTCAGGTGGATGCTGCACCTGCAGAGGAGAGCAGCTGTCTCTGAAGCTGGCCCTCGGGTGACAACCCCACAGGCGATGGTGAGAGCGAATGACGCTTGTGGCTCTCAGAGTGTGGATTACATGTGGCAGGCCAAGGTCTTCGAAGCTCTGAAATAAGCAAGATCTTCTCCCCCCAGGCAAAGCATAGACTAAGCCCTGCTCTTTCTTCCAGTTGAGCAAGGAGGATCCAGAGGCTGGGGATGGGTTCCCATCTGACTTGGTTCTGAAGCCCATATCCTGGGAGTAGAGTTGCCAGCATGGTGCCTGAATATGGTGTATGGTTTCCCATGATCAAGGGTGACCAAAGTTTTAAAGACCCAAGAAAGTGCTGAGTCCAGTGGCCTGATTTCACTTGCTTTATTTTTTGCTGAGTACTGACCTTCCGTCAGGGTTTAGGGCCAACTTGTGTAGGTAGGGTGTGGGGAGGTCCGCACCTCGAGGAGCCCAGCATGGGTGTGGGGGGCTCGTGCTGGCTGGTTGCATCCGTGCCTGAGCTCAGCCTTCTTACACCTTTGCCCATGAATACCACCCCCTGCCCCCGCACCCTCATTTTCAGAAGGTCCCACCCAGGAAAGGGGAGGTGCCACCAGCTATGGTTTGGGACAAGCTGGGCCCTGCAACCAGTGCTTATAGTGGGGAGGGGGTGGGGAGCGCAGGGGAAGGCATGGGTCACAGTGTACCCCATACCTACCCAGCCCTCTGCCTCCTTCACCTTTGTCACCCCACTGTGTAGTTGTCACCTGTTCCCACCGCGTCTCCCACATGGCCCCTGTCAGCCTAGGGATCAGCCTGCTATCAGCACCTGCCGCCTAGTCCTAGCCGCCCACTCCAGGGGCCTCCTGCTGCACTTGCCCTTCTCAGAGCAGCCACTACCCTGCAGACCTGACCAGGGTGGAGCATGTACAGCCTGCACCATTGGGAAGACCTGGTGAGGCTCAAGCTGAATTATTCTACATGCTTTCCTGTGAGTTCCAAAAATGTCTGAAAAAACTGAAGAACACATTGAGAGTCCTCAGCCACTCCTCTCTCCTCCGTGGATGCATTTATTTCACTGTCTTTTCTTTCCTTCCTGTCTCTGTTTCTCATGGAGGATGCTGTGTCGGCCCTCAATACTGGGGGCTCACTGACCTTCCTCCAGCCTCATTCATTCCTCAGATGAGCAGTCCTGTCTCAGGGCTGAACTCCCCTCTCCATTAAATTCCTGCTTCTAAGGAGCCCCCAGACTGGATCAGGGGCTACCACATTCACCCACCTCTGGCAGCCTGTACACATGGATGCAATAATCCTGGAAGTTCCCAAGAAGGAAACCCCCACTGTGTGTTCTCCCAGGCCTCCTGGGGTGCTTCCTAGAGCAGGTGGGAGGAGCAGGAAAAGTGGCTTCACCAGCATCTCTTGATGGCTGTTGATAGAAATGTTATGCAGACGGGTGGGAGTGGGGAGGGATACAGAGCCAACGAGGCCCAGCACTCTCCTGAGGGCTAATCTTCGGAGTCCCTGGCAGGAGGCAGGGAGCAAGTAATGAAGGAGCAACGCCCAGCAGGAGGGAGTCATCGGACTGGAGACCAAGAAAGGCCCAAGGAGGCACTCAAATGCTGAAGGAATAAATGGTGGGCTCTGGACTTTAGTTAGCATTCCTTACAATGTGTTAGACGAGAAAGGGTCTGGGTTCAAATAGGCTAAGAAGTACTGCTCGCCCCCAGTTAAATGTGTTCATCTGTTGCAGAGCCTCTCAGAGCCTCTCTGTTCATTTTCATCAGAATTGAGAGGAAAAGTTGGCAGTGAGTAAAGGGAGCTGGGAGGCGACACGAGGAAAGGACTTTGTGGGTCATTGATCCATTGACCCCTCTCCTGTAAACTCTGCCTGCATGGCCATCACTCAAGGACAGCTGAAGGGTGGCCTGGAAGGGCCTGGAGGAAAGGTGGTCATTGGGGTGGAACCCAGGACAGTGGCTGTGAGGATGTGGGAGGTGGGTGGCCAGTGGTCAGGACAGGGTTCTCCCTTGGATAAGGCCTGGGCCCTGCGTGGTCACCGTGATCAGGGCGGGCCAGGGCACCTTGAAGTAAGGCAGGACAAGGAGGCCCGGAGGCCATGAGCTGTGGGAGGGACCTGCGCTCCCCCAGGGCTTGCAGAGCACTAGGTGGGCAAACCTGGCCGAGGCCTCACTGTGGCCCTGTCCTTTGGTTCTGGGTATCCCTGGCCTTTCCCGGGAGGGAGAAGCAGCAGCAGATTGTCCTACCTCGGACATAGCGGGCTCCTTCCTTCCAGGGGCCTGACTGACCTGGCGGCACTCGGGGTAGCCTGCTGGGCGTTGACTCTTGTCGGCTCCTAGCCCTGGTCTCCTGGGCAAACCCCTGCACCAAAAGAAGAAAGGCCCCCACCAGCTCCATCCTAATCTCGACCCGCTTGTCTGCAAGAGGCTAAAGGAGCCTACTCGACTCTCATTCTCTGATTTTCTGTCCTCCCCTAAAACCTCAGGCTCATCCCTGGCTCCAAGCCCTTCATCTTCTGCTCTTATTGCCTCCCGGCGCCCGGGATTTTGGGCTTTCTAACGCCCTCCGCAGCCTGCCAATTCTCTATCACCTAAGGCTGAAGAACTGCGTTTGTGAAGAGGGAGTGCATGGGGCCGGGGCGGGGCTCCCGTGGAGAGGGCGGGGCCTCCTGCGGAGGGCGTGGCCTGAGTGTAGGGTCGGGGGCTGTGGGCGGGGCGGGGCGGGGTCTGAGGGCCCTGCTGAGGAAAGCCGGTGCCTCCTGCTCCCCAGCCCTGTGCTCCCGCGCCCCCAGTCTCAGCGGGTTCCGGCTTAGTCCGGCACCCTGGGGGAATGCTGCGCTCTGGCTGGCAGCACGCCCTGCCTGCGCTCGCCCCGTCTTTGCTCCTGGTCACCATGCGTCCTGCACAGTTACCATCCGTGCCCACATGCTGCCCCGGGGTCGCCGTGTCCAGATGTGGCTGGGTCTTGGTGTCCCCGCTGCGCTCGTCCCTCCTGCCACCACCGTTTGCATATGGGCCTTTCCATTAAGAATCACGCGCTCCGGGCAGGGCCAGCGCGCTGCGGGCAGCTCCCTAAGACCCCGACGGGCGTAAGCCTCTCTGCCTCTCTGTCCAGTCTGGCCTGGGACAGACACCTGTGGACACCTGAGGCAAAGGGAAGTCGGGGCCCAGGGACATCTCAGGGGAATAGGGTCTCGGGAAAAAGGGAGAGGCTGGGCTACGAAGGGGAGCTGGGGTAGGCAGGGGAGCACAGCCCTGCAGGAGGGCAGGATGCCCGCCCGGGGCGGAAGAGCCGAGGGCAGGCCCTGGGGCGGGGCGCTGGGCTATGGAGACCACGCTCCTCCGCCCAGTCCTGTCTGTCCGAAGCGACGCGGCAGGGCACAGGCGTCCGCAGAACCCGCCAAGCGCGGGACGGGCCTCTGCTCCTGGCTCCGCCGGCCTTCCCAGGCCCCGGGAGCCAGGAAGGTCTGAATGGAGTGATGCGCCTGGACTTTTGTTCGGAAATCCCGCGTGGAGGGCGGCCTAGCGGGGAGAGGCTGGAAACAGGCGAGGAGGAGCAGGGCCGCGGTTGTACGGGACAACGGGAACCGGGTCTTCCCTCGCTAAGAAAGGGAAGGGTCTCAGCCTTACTGAGAGGAGCCCCTGTGGAGGAAGCGGGCCTGCACCTGCGGCTTCCCTGCACCCCGCACGCCGTGCCCAGGCACTTCCTCCCCAACACAAGCAAAGGTAGCCCAGCTGCAGCCGGATCCTCCCTGAGCGCAGCGCAGGGGTCACAGCCCCCGACAGCTGCGCAAGTCTATTCCTCCCCCGGCCTTTTCAGCGGCCGTCCAGAGCTCAGCATCAGCGCTCCTGGCACAGACCCCACTGCTGACTCCATTCACTCCCCTACCCCCCCTTAAGCTATTTGAACTTCTCACGCCCTCCACCTGCAGGGCCGGGTTATGTCACCGGCTGACGTCAACAGCTGTAGAGGAATAGGAGCAGGTTTCCGTTTTCCTCTCCCGGCACCTGGCCAAATGCCCAGATATGCACCCACTCCCTACTGCTGCCTCCTTATGGCTGCCCACCAGCCCCACTGAGATCGAATGGGGAGCCTGTAAATCCTGATGTCACCCAGTCTCGGGGCCGGGAGAAGCTCTGAGCCAGGCCCCCAAACCTGGCAGGGTCCAGGGCTGGGGGCAGGTCAGGGGCCTAGCCTGTTCTCCTGCTGCCTGCCATGGCTGGCTCCAAGGAGGGTGGAGGCCACACTCCACACACTTCTGTCACCCAGCAGGCTCTCTGGCCTCAGCTCCCACTGGGCTTGGACAGTGGGAGCACCAGCAGGGTTCAGAGCCACCTGGAAGCAGCTCACTCTCCAGGTCCCACCCCATCTGGGAGCAGCTCTCTCCCCAGGTACCCCCGCGGCAGCCGTGGGGGTGGCCTTCTCTACCAAAGCCTGCTCCTTGCTCCTGCCAGGGCCGTCTCTAAGGCGACAGCCACACCTGCTGTTGTCCCATCAGGCCTCAAAGAGGTCACGTTTCCCTGTCCTTTCCAGTCTCCTAAGCCCCACTTACGCCTCTAAACAGACTCTACCGATGCCCCAGGTCAGTGTTGGGGTCCTGGCTGGTGCAGCTGGTGGGTGTTTGCTCTCCTTGAATTCATTCTAGTCTTTGACAAGCATGCATTGAGCACCTGTTGTGTACACTAGGCCTGTTTAGGTGCCAGGACAGGAGGAGTATGACTTGGGTCCTGGCCTGTGAGAGGCCAGGGCAAAAGCAGTGGGGAGGAGGAAGTGGTGGGGAGATTTAGGGCCCCATGTGATCCCCAGTACCCCAATTCATGTCCCAAAACGAAAAAAAATGGTAACTCTTGGCCATGTTGTGCAATAGTCCCTAATCAGCAATGTCAGCTGAGGACACGTCCGGTCCACATTATATTTAATGATGGTCTAGCACTGTCATTACCCATTTTTTAACAAGATGGCCAAGAAAGCCACCCTTGAGGGCACCAGATTGTCTTCCTGCTGTTTCTGTCATGCTCTGCTTCTGCACACAGGAGACACACTCACAGGCAACATGCAGACACACATACATGGGAGACACACAGACACACACACACACACACACACACACAGAGGAGCGAAGCAGGAACTAGAGGCTGGCCAGCTCTACCTCTTCTCCACCAACATGTTTTGAGTCCCCTCGGACAAATCAGGCCCCATAAGGTATGGGGTCTCCCTCCCTGGTGGAGGTCACCTAGGTGGTTCAGTCAAAGCCCCCAGTGGTGGACAGGCCGAGAGCAAAGAGGCTTCTCTTGGTCCCTGTCACTCCTCCCTCCTACACTCTCCTTTCCCCCTTGGCCCCAAAGACCAAACCATCTCTTGGACTCAGAGGCCTGTGAGGTCTCCTGGGGGTCTCCAGGCCTGGATGCACCCAGCTGCTTCTCCTGGGCACCGAGGCTCCCGGCACGCCCCCTGTGACTGGGCTCTCATCTCATCTTCACCTCCGTGTCGTTCAGCTTGCCCTCCACCCATGCTGGTCCTACTGGCCATGGAAAGCCGCTGCTGCAAGACATCCTTCAGTGACTGTCCTGGCTTTGTGTCCATGCCCAGACTTAGGGGGAAGGGGAGAAGCACCAAGTCTTCAGCACAGAGTCAGTGAGGGGAGAGGAGGTGCTTCCAGTGGTTGGAAACGTTCGATTTCTTTTTAAGAGTAAGTTTTAGCTGATAAATTCCACTCCCGTCGATATCTTTTTCCAGAGAACACCTACGGAGATAAGGAGGTGTGCCCCACCCTGAGGGGCTCGGGGAGAGAGAACAAGCAGGAGGCTCAGCTTCCCCATCTTTGTGTCAACAGCCCCTTCAGCTCTGCCATCCTTTGTCTAAACTCACTCTCCCGCACTAGAGCACACTGTCCTAGGGGGTGCTGTGTCTGCTCCCCCTACCTAGGTCCCCTGCACCCCACCCCACACCCCCACCTGCTGAATGAATGAATTCAGCAAGTGAATGAACAAGTAAATACCCAATATTTCCTTGCACACCTTGCACTTTGCAGAAAAGAGTTGGGTGGGGGCAGTTTTAATTCTTCTGTGCTCTCTCTTTCCATCTATAAATCCCTACCCTTGACCACCTGGGCCATCCTCACACAGCCCAGGGACACACACAGGGCTGGCTGTCATTCTTGATACCCTTCCCATTGTATCCTTCCTGTCCAGTGGACCCCCTCAAAAGACAGGAAAATGACTGTGACCACTATGTAAATAGGGAGAGATGCCTTCAGGAGTCACTGCTGCCTTCAGGAGAGACCAGCACCCATGGAAAGGAGCCCTAAGGTCTCTACGGGTGTCTGTTTTCATTTGGACAAGTAGCTTGATGAATGCGGACATGCAGTGGTAGGTTGGAAGTAGAGGCAAGAGCGGGGCTGAAAAGAGTGGACCTGTCTGGAAAGAAGTATGGGAACATCGGGCATCTCTTGGAACACTGCAGGAAGGTGCAGGAAGGAACAGCACAGAGCGGCAGCCTCAGCAGGAGCAGGAGGCCACTGTCCACTGAGCACCTTCAGGTGTTTGCCAAAGTGCAACATGCACCCTTCCCCGAAGGCTGCCTCACACTCGGCCTTGGAGCTCCACGGTGGGATTTGGGGAACACAGAGACGTCCACAGTGAAACGACTCCATGAACTCAGCTGGCAGCAATAGGAGCTTCAGATCACAGGTGACCAGGAGAATACGTGCCCCTCAAGGACTATACAAACCTGGGGGAGGTGCTGGGTTTTCCACAATTCCACCCGACCTGTACCCTGGGACACCTGGGAGACCATAGGGAAGTGGGTGCTAGTGAGGCTACTGTTGCTGCCCCCCAGGCCCGTGGTGAGGGCAGGGTGCACCATCACAGCCGTTGGCCCCATTGGCAGAGCACACTCATATCACCCCCTGCTGCTTACACCAGCCTTGTCTGTACTCAGGAATAGGGACAGCAATCGTTCCCATTTTATAGATGGAAATCTGTGTCCTGCGGAGAGGACATAATTGACTGTACCTAGTAAGTGGTGCTATTAGGGCTGTTACTCGGACCCCTGTCCTGAGCCTGGACTTCCTCCTGCCAGGCTTGGAGAACCCCATCAGCCCACCCCTGCAGGAACCACCAGCTCCACACTGGCTTCCTAACCCACAAGCATCGCCAAATGTCCATCCCCCCGCCCCGGAAAACATTCAGTTGCATCTCTATCTTATACCCTTCACAAAATACATTTTGGGTGGACTAATTCTCACATGCAACATCCACAGTTGCCTTTATCTAAGTCTTAGAGTCAAAAACAAGAGGATAAGTTTATAAACTTAGGTTAAGAATCTTCTTAATTAGCACACAAAAATCAATAAATGAAAATAGTGATAAACTTGACTTCACCAAAATGAAAATTTTCCGTATGATAAAAGATTCCACAAACAAGCTTGAAGTCTTTCTACCAAATGGAGAAATAATTTGCCATGCGTACAAGTGGCCAGAAAATACAAACAAGTCCTACCAACCAGTAGGAAAAGACTAACAATGCAGCGTGAGGCACAGGCCAAGAAGAACAAGGGCAAGCGCAAACACAAGGTGGGAGGTGGGCAAGCTCACCACGGCCATGGCCATGGCCACTGAGGGATCCTGAGCCACGCCCAGGTCAGCACTAAGTTTCCATCAGCTGGCAAATGTTTTGAGTTCATAACACCTGGGAAGGGTGCAGGAGTGGGGAGCAGGTGTTTTCTTCATTGCCAGGGATTGTAAAGGGGTGGAGCTGCCCTGGGGCTTCCAGGCAGTGCTTACTGATGTGCCACTCATGCACCCAGGAGCTGGCACTTCCATCCTCAGACTCCCCCAAGGCTCCCCCAGTATACATGAGAGCAGGTACACAGATGCCCAGCAGCACTGCCTGGGACCCTGCGTGAAAACTGAAAGGTCTAGAAGCAAATGAAAATACCATTTGTAAGAAAATGGTAAAAGGAAACTATGTGCCTATGTTTGCGCACGTGCATGTGTGCGTTTGTGTGTGTGCATCCATGTGTGTACGCCCATGCCATGGAATACAATGCTGCAATGAGGTGGACAACGTCTACAATGAGGTAGACAACGTCTACAATGAGGTAGACACAGGATGATCTCCAAGGTCAGTGAAAATGTTCCGTGCACACCAGACCCACTGCTCTTGGAATCAAGATAAACCCACTCCCTGCCTTCCAGGCCCTCCCTGGCCCCTCCTTCACTGCCTGCCCTTGCCCCCAGCCCAGCTCCTGGGCCCTCTGCTCTCCTATGGCCTTTCTCTGACCTCTCATCCACCTCAAGGCTGCCACGCATCCTTCACTCTGTTCTCCCCACTGGAGCCGGCCCTGAGGCCGCTTCCCAAAGCAGCCTTTGCTAACCACTGCCCCTCAATGTGCACCATGCTCCTCGCTGAGGTGAGACAGGTGCCCAGGGGCCCTGTCTGATCACATGCTGCTCGCACAGCATGCTCTCCTAGCTGGCACCTGGGAGGTGGTGAACCTGCATGAACATCAGCTAGACGGCTAAGTGGTGGCACATAGATTCGGTGTCGTGTAAATGAGAGGCACAGAAAGCGGTGCTCTGGGCTGGGGGCAGGGGGTGGCTCACGCCTGTAATCTCAGCACTTTGGGAGGCCGAGGCAGTCAGATCACAAAGTCAAGAGATCAAGTCCATCTTGGTCAACATGGTGAAACCCACTAAAAATACAAAAATTAGCTGGGCATGGTGGCACGTGCCTGTAATCCCAGCCACTCGGGAGGCTGAGGCAGGAGAATCGCTTGAATCTGGGAGGCGGAGGTTGCAGTGAGCCGAGATCGCGCTACTGCACTCCAGCCTGGTGACAGAGTGAGACTCCTCAAAAAAAGAAAATGAAAGAAAAAGAAAGCAGCACTCTGTGTTTCTGTGGGCACGACCTGTGGGCTCATGCGCTCAGGAGGCTCTAGAGGCACTGACACTCATCTCCGCCCATGCCTCCTCTGGCCTCATGGACGGTGGCAAAGTGGAAACAATTTTAATCAAGGTCTGTATTTTTAACAAAAAATGTATTAATGACTTCGGATTCTTAGGACTTGTGATTTTTCACCTTTACACTGGTGTGACCGCAATATGCACTCGGTAGAACACGAACTTCAGATTTGGTGATATGCAATACAATGATCCCTTCAGATGCTGGGCAGTGGCGTGAGCACAGCTCTCGGCCAACATATGACTGCAGGCCAAACAGCTGCTACTCCAGGACGCTGTGGCGCTGGCTGATTCTGCCCAACTGTAGGTGAAAGTGAGTGCTCCAAGCGCGCTTAAGCGGGCTGGGCTCAGCTGTGATGCTTGCTAGATTGGGTGGATTAAATGCACTCTCAACTCACCTTATTTTCAACATATGATGAGTTTATCAGGATGTAACCCCCTCAAAGTTGAGGAGCACCTGTACAGTAAATGAAAATATAATGAGGAAAAGATTCTCCTGCTCAGTCGCTGTTTACTGAGGTATGATCTGGGGCGGGAAACTGGGCTTCAGCCCTCCACCACGGCCACCCAGAGGGCCCTCCTTGAGCATAGAGAGGGGCTTCTCATCGGGAAAGGCAGGGGAGACTTCCCGGGTGACGCTGAGCAGAAACCAATAGGCAGGCAAGACACAGGCAGGGGTGGCACGGGAAGGAGAGAGGTGGTCCCAGCCGAGGGGGAGCGCAGGAAAACCCCAGAGATGGAGGAAACCAACGTGCCCTGCCTCCTGCCCTGGATGGAGAGGCCCAGGCCCTGACCACCAAGGCAACAAAGGCCTGGCCCAGCGCGTGCGGCCAGAACTTCCACCCCTGTGCATCTGTGAGGGATGGAATCTGGAGCAGGACCTTTACAGGAACCCCTGTTCCTCTCAGGAAGGGACTTGGGGCTTCCTAGGTTGTCTACAATCCCCAGAGCATCCCTTTCTCATGACTGCCATGGCCCCACTTGGCACAGGCCTCAGCCTCCTTCCCGGTGCTCTGCGGCCTTTCAGCCCCTTCTCCCCTTCTGGGCCCCCTCCAGACTTCAGTGGGTCTGGAGACAATAAGAATTTCCTAATTCCAGGCTGCGGGTGATGGATGCAGCCCACCAGGCCCCTGCCACGGGGTCTTCAGGAAGCCATCTCCCTTCTCCTTGGACTCTGTAATTAAAGCTGGGGATAACCTACTGTATTTCCTAATTAGCAGCCTTAATCCCTCATGCACACCATTAACAGGCTGGCGCATCTTTAGATGTGATTGGTAATGTCGTTAGCCTAATCCATAATCAATACTTGGATAATTGCTTCCTTGGGTTTATATTTAGTCCTTGGGGTCTTGGGCTGGGGGGAACATCCATCTGCAGATGCACTAATGGCTGTGTGGAGGTCGCCCACGGACCGCTCACCCAGGACCCCCAGGAGCTGTGGCCTGTGGTCAGAGCAGGTGCTGCCACAGCACCGGAGACCCAGGCCCTGGTGCATCCAGGGATCTCTGCAGGCTGCGGTTGCGAAGCCTCCTGGTCCATCAAGGCCTTGGGCTCTGGTTCCAGAACACTAGGGGTTATTTCAGAAACAAGGTCAGGAGACCCCAGACCTCAGACCTCAGACCATGGCAGTGTCCGCACGTCCCCACCCCACACATCCCCACCCTTTCAGAAGAGTCTGCGGGGGGTACAGAGGATGGTCCCAGACTAGAGCTGCAGGACTGTCACAGCCTGCACATTCCTGCTCCACGCGGGCCCCAGCGCCCCTCAGCTCCAGGCACAGCCCCTGTCCTCGCCTCCCCCGCTTGCCAGGAAACCGTGGCCCAGCCCGACGTGATTTCCTTTCTCTCAAAGGCTGGCGGCAGCTTTGGCAGCTCAAGGACAGGCCAGGGCAGAAGAAGAGCAGCCTGTCGAAGGCAGCCCTTATGAATGGGATCTCATCTGACTGTAACTGGAATTCGTATGGAGGCTCCGCTTACAGGAACTTCCCCAGCAGACGAATCTGGGCCACAGAGTTCTGAGCTGGAATGCCCCAGGAGCCAGCCATAAATCTCCCCAAAATGAGGGTGCACAATCTCATTGCTCTGGAGGTGCGCTGCTTGCCCCTGGAGACGACTTGTCATTCTGCGTCCTCCAGGCTCTGCAGAGAGCCAGGAGCCGGGCCAGGGAGAGGTGGATGGGAGTTGGCAAAGTCACCGTGAAGGTAAACATTTTTATCATTTAATTAGGAGCCTCTCAGAAAAGCAAGCTCTGTTTCGTCTAGAGCTGGTCAAAGGAAATGAGAAGTGACATTTTCCCACCCCCACGTTCCCCTTGGCCCGGGAAACTCCAAGCTGGAGGCGCGGGATGTGGGCAGCCTCAGGCTGTGCACATCCAGGGCTGGGCCCAGGGGCAGTGGTGGGGCGTGCAGCCTTTGCTGTGCTCTGGCCGTGCCCGGCACTCTCGCTCCCTCATTTGCTCTCATAAACGCCGTCTGCATTATCGATCACCCTCTGGGTCCCTCCATAATGCAGGGGCTTCAAACCGCACCCGCTCCTTGAGGGTGCTGCATTCCTGTACTCTCTGCATCTCCCAAGCATATGTGTGACAGCAAGATGGCTGCAGATATGCAACTTCCAATAATCAATCAACTCTTAAATGATCCTCAATAAACCCTTAAGTAATGACCAGGAGCCCCTCACCAGCATATCTGTACCCATTTGTTGCTCCATCCATCCCAATGCATGACTGACAAGTGTTCACACACGTGTCACCCGCAGGCTCCACTCCAGCTTTGGAGGATGCAGGCAGGACGTCACTCTGGGGCTCCTGTCTCCTGGGGAGATGACAGTGAGGGAGGGACACTCATGAAGAACCTCCCTAGCCAGTTCCTGACTCTGCGACTGCCCAGACTCTGAGGGTACTGACCAACAGAGCTCACTCAGCTACACAGAGATGAACCTGGAGGCCTAGAAGAGGCCGGCCTGGCCTGGGTGCAAAGGCCCCAGGCAGAAGAGCCCAGATGTCCTCACTTCTTTCCCAGTATGGGGCACCCAAAACATGCAGCTCCATTTTAATGAGCAGCTGCTGTCCTTTTTCAGCTGCTATGGGCCCACTCTGTCCAGGCTGCAGCCTCTGGGCAGCCTGAATCCAGCCACCAGGTGAGGCACATGCATGGAGAACTGTAAGAACATTGAGACTTCGTGCCTCACTTTACAGGGCAGCAAATGGAGGCCAGAGAGGGCAAGATACATGGCCAGGGATGCACAGGAGCAGGATGAGGAACCGGGCCTTGCTCCCACCCTGCACTCGGAGGCCCAGGTCCACCTACTACAGACAAGGAGTCCGTGGGCCAGGGGTGGGACTCATCTGTGCACGGAGGGCCCAGGCTGTTTTTTCTCAGGAGGGACAAGGCTCTAGTCAACACTGCATCAGGGAGGGACAGATGTCATCTATTCAGCAGGGGGTTTTAGCAGCTTCCTTAGTTCTTGGGCTTCACTGGGTCCTTCTGCCAACAAGCATGGCCCCTGGCCCCGTGTGGACACTCTCCCAGGGCAGAGGCCATGGCTAACCAGCCTGAGCTGCTCCAGATAGCCCAGCAGAGATATCCAAGCAGCTGGAGCCAGCCAGCCCTCAGCACATGTCCATTTATTCTTGCAGCAGCTACTTACTGGGCCTGGGCGGAGACAAGATGATCCATTCTGGATGCATATATATGAAGAATATAAAGCAGGGCTGGTGGGATGGGGACATCATGCAAATGTAGTGGGGTGCTGGAGAAGTCTGTCTGCCAAGGTAGCCAACAAGGAGAAGCCAGATGTGCTGACAGCTGTCTAGGGCGGAGAGCAGCAGAGCAAAGGCCCTGTGGCAGGAATGGATTTGCTGTGTTCCAGGCAGGAGAAAGGCCAGCATGATGGAGCCAAGTGAGCCAGCAAAGTGAAAAGGCCAGAGAAGCCTGCAGCCTGGGGCATGGGTTCCATTCCCAGTGCAGGAAACTGGGATTTGAAGCAAGGGTTGGCATGGTTGATACTTTCAGAAGAGTCAGTCTGAGAGGGGCCCTGGATGCCAGGCTGAGGAGGTGGGACTTCCTTCTGGAGGAGAAAGGAGGACCAAAGAGGCTTTTCAGCAGGGAGCTGGCAGGTCACTCTCCAGCTGTGGGAGCCAGCCCCTTCTCCGGGAGCTGTGCGGGTGCTGGGCGCCATCAAGACAGCTCCGCTCCTCCCAGCCGTGAGACTTGGGACAGAGTCACCCTCTCAAATTCTGTTTTGTTCTCTGCAAAATAGACATAAAATTTTAGACAATAACCAGCTACTCCAGCCAAACACCATATAAAAAATGGTGGCTTGTTCCCACTCACACCATCAAAGGCCGAGTGGGGAGCCTGGACTTCCACCCTGGCCAGGCTGTAATGAGTTGCCCAATCTCCCTGTCTCCCTGATGAGTGGTATCAGAGAGGGCTCAGTGAGGGGCCAGGACCTTCATCCCCACCAGGCAGTAACCAGCCCCTTCCACCCCGTGGTGTCAGTGGAGGCTGCACAGGGAGCAGGAGCCTTCGGGGGAACCTGGACTCCTACTCCCACCTTCCACACTGTGCCTGCCAGAGTGGTGTCAGAAGCCGCCAGCTAAACCAGAAGGTTTCAACTCACATTCAGAATTTCATAACATACTGCACAAATAACACAATACAGGAGCTCAGCAGCAGCATGGGGGGACAAAGGAACACATCCATGAACTCCAAGAGAAACTATAGAAATTATTTAATCTGAACAACAAAGCTACAATAGATTGAAAATGAAAACAAAAAGAACAATCCCTCAGGAACCTGTGAGACTGTAACAAAACATCTAATTCATGTTATTGAGTCTCAGAAGGAGAGGAGAAAGAGGTGGGCCTTAAAAAGGACTCAAAGATACAATGGTTGAAACTCCCTAAATCTGGCAAAAGACACACACTTACGAATTCAAGAAGCTGAGTTACTCAAATAGGATAAACCAAAAAAATCCACACCACGACACATCACGGTTAAACTCCTGAAAAATAAAAACAAAGAAAAAATCTTAAAAGTAGTTGGGAGAGAAAAGACCCCTTCCTACCTATAGGGAAAAAAAATAAGAACGACGACAGATTTCTCATTAGAAAGCACAGAGGTCAAAAGTGGCACATTTTTCAAGTGCTGAAAGAAAATAACTATCAACTCAGAATTCTATTTCCAGTAAAATATTCTTCAGGAACAAAGGAAATTAAGATATTCTCAAATGAAAGAAAAGTAACAGAATTTGACAATAGCTGACCTACCCTAGAATGATTAAAGGAAGTTCTCTAAACAGAAAGAAAATATTAAAAATAAGGAATCTTGAAGCATCAGAAAGGAAGAGAAAAACAGTAGGAGTAAAAAATATTGGTAAACATTTCCTTCTCATTTTTGGTTTTCTAAATTATATTTGACCGTTTTCACAAAAATTATATTGTCTGATGTATTTCTGAATGCATGTCGAGAAAATATTTAAGACAATTGTATTACAAATATAGGAGGGTAAAGTAGCTTGAAGGGGCATGAGTTTTCTGTACTCTACTTAAACTGGTAAAATATTAACATCAGTACACTAAATTATGTATATATAATGTAATACATCAAATAGCCGTTTTAAAAGCTATACAAAAAGACACACTCAAAACACACTATAGGCTGGGCATGGTGGCTCATACCTGTAATCCCAGCCCTTTGGGAGGCCGAGGTGGGCGGATCACGAGGTCAGGAGATCGAGACCATCCTGGCTAACATGGTGAAACCCTGTCTCTACTAAAAATAGAAAAAAAATTAGCTGGGCGTGGTGTCGGGCACCTGTAGTCCCAGCTACTCGGGAGACTGAGGCAGGAGAATAGCGTGAACCTGGGAGGCAGAGCTTGCAGTGAGCGGAGATCGCACCACTGCACTCCAGCCTGGGTGACAGAGTGAGAAAAATAAAAAAAAAAACACTATAGACAAATCAAGCTGGAATTCTAAAAAACTTTAAATAACCCATAGGAAAGGGAAAAAAGCTCAGATATACTAAAAATAGTGAGAACAAACAGAAAACCAAAACAAAACATAAAATGGACAACTTAAGCCCTAACATGTCAATAATTATGTGAAAATGCAAATGGTCTAAATATACCAATTAAAAGACAGAGATGGACAGAATACACTAAAAATATGACCCACCTATATGCTGTCTATAAGAAACTCACTTCAAATATAATGATATGTGTAGGCTGGAAGTAAAATGACGGGAAAAGATACCTTACACAAACATCAATCAAAAAAAAGAAAGCAGGAATAAGTATATTAATACCAGATAAAGTATATTTTAGAGCAAAGAAAATTGCTGGAGACAGAAAGGGTCATTATATAAGGATGAATGGGTCACCCACCAAGAAGTCATAGCAATTCTAAACATGTATGTACCTAAC
Organism: Homo sapiens; assembly: GCF_000001405.40. Taxonomy (NCBI): domain Eukaryota; kingdom Metazoa; phylum Chordata; class Mammalia; order Primates; family Hominidae; genus Homo; species Homo sapiens. The sequence goes on from NC_000010.11 coordinate 42,945,577, forward strand.
AAAAGAGCCAAAAAATATGTGAAGCAAAATCTGATCAAACTAAAATGAGAAATATATAAATCTACACTTCTTTCAACAATTCATAGAACTACTATTCCAACATAGAACTACTTTCAATAATTCACAGAACTACTAACAGAAAATTAGTAAGGATATAGAACTCAGCAACACCATCAAAGAACGTTATCTATTCAACAGATGGAGAAAACTCCATGCAGCAAAAGAAGAATACATATTCTTTTCTTTTCTTTTCTTTTCTTTTTTTTTTTTTTTTGAGATAGAGACTTGCTGTGTCGCTCAGGCTGGAGTGCAGTGGCATGATCTTGGCTCACTGCAAGCTCTGCCTCCCGGGTTCATGCCATTCTCCTGCCTCAGCCTCCCCAGCAGCTGGGACTACAGGCGCACACCGCCACATCTGGCTAATTTTTTTGTATTTTTAGTAGAGATGGGGTTTCACTGTGTTAGCCAGGATGGTCTCCATCTCCTGACTTCGTGATCTGCCCACTTCGGCCTCCCAAAGTGCTGGGATTACAGGCGTGAGCCACTGTGCCTGGCCAAATACACATTCTTTTCAAATGCCCGTGGAACATATTCCAAAATAGACTGTATGTAGGCCTTAAAATAAACCTCAAAATTTTTAAAACAATTGAAATTTTGTAGAGCATGTTCTCTGACTGTAATGGAATTCAACTAGAAACCAACAGTGGAAGGATAATAAGAAAATCTCTAAACAATTGAAAACAAAACAACACATTTCTAAATAATCCATGACTCATAGGAAATCTCAAGGGATATATAAACAACGTTAGACTAAATGAAAAGAAAAATGAAAATGCAATATACCAAAATTAGTAGGATACAGCTAAAATAGTGCTGAGAAGATGGTGGATAGCACTAAATGCCTACATCACAGAAGAGGGAACATCTTAAGTCATTAATCTATTTTTACACCTCAAAAATCTAGAAAAGAAGAGCAAAATAAACCCAAAGCAAGCAGGAGGGAATAATAAAAATAAAGGCAGAATGAAATTTATGAAATTTTAAACAGAGAAACTATAGATAAAATAAATGAAACAAAAAAGCAGATTCTTTTAAAAGATCAATAAAATTGATAAACCTTTAGCAAGACTGACAAAGAAAAAAGAGAAAACACAAATCATTAATATCGTGAATGAAACAGGATATGACTGCAGACCCTGAAGACTGAAGGAAATCAAGAGAATACTATGAACAACTCTGCACACATAAATTTGACAACTTACATAAAATGGATGAGTCCCTCCAAAACCAACTACAATTCACTGAATGTGAAATAAATAGCCTATAGCCATTAGTAAAATTGAATTCATAATTTAAAACCTCCTCAAAAAGAAATCTTCAGGTCGAGATAGTATCACTGGAAAATTGTACCAAATGTTTAAAGAAGAATTAACACCAATTCTACACAGTCTTTTCCAGAAAATAGAACAGGAGCAAATGCTTCCCAATACTATTGGTAGTATTACCCTGACACAAAACTAATTCTGTCTTAGTCTGTAACCGACTAAGAAATAAAAGGAATTCAGACTGGGAAGGAAGTAATAGCTGCCCCTGTTTGCTAATGACATGATTCATCTGTAACAGACTAAGAGAGTGTTAAAAAAGAAAACCATAGGCCAATATTCCTCATAAATATAGATATAAATATTCCTAACAAAATATTGGCAAATAAAACTCAGCAATATATAAAAATAATTATATGCCATGATCAAGTAGGGTTTATTCCAGGGATGCAAAAGCAGTTCCAATATGTGAAAATCAATAAGTGTAATCCACTTGATAAACAGGCTAAAGAAGAAAAATCACATAATCATATTAATTGAGGAAGAAAATGTATTTGACAAAATTCAGCACCCTTGAGGGATGGGGGTATGGGGAATGACTGGCTGTTTAACAGTCTGGGCTTCCCTCTGGGGTGGTAAAAATATTCTGGAGCTAGACAGCGGTGATAGTTGCACAACATTGTAAATGTCCTAAATGTTACTGAATGTACAGTTTATACTGCTTAGAATGGTAAATTTTAAGTTACGTGTATTTTATGAAAACAAAAAATTAAATTCAATACCTATTCATAAAGAAACTCAGAAAAATAAGAACTGAGGGGAATGTCCTCAACTCAATAAAGAACATTGACAAAAACCTAACATTTAACATTATACCTACTGGTGAAAGACTGGATAATTTCCTCAAAGATCAGGAGAAAGGCAAGGGTGCTTCTCTTGCCACTTCTGTTCAGCAGCATCCTAGACTTTCTAGACAGTGCAATAAAGCAAGAAAAAGAAATAAAAGGCATTCAGGCTGGGGAGGAAGAAATAAAACTTCCCCTGTTTGCTAATGACATGATTGTCTATATAGGAAATTCTAAGAAATTTACCAAAAAAAAAAAAAAAAGCCAAAAAAGCAAAAAACCAAAACCAAAACAAAACCATCACTAATAAATAAGTTCAGCAAAGTCTTGGGATATGAGGTAAACATACAAAGAAACCGGTGAATTTCTATACACTAGCATGAACACAGGGACACTGGAATTAAAAATTACAGTAACTAAAATTGATGAAATACTTAGGTATAATTCTAACAAAACATGTTCAAGACTTATATGCCAAAAACTACAAAATGCTGATGAAACAAATTTAGAGAAATTTTTTAAAAATCTAGATAAATGGAGAGACTTACTGTGTTCATGGATTGGAAGTCTCAACATAGGAAGATATCAACTCTCTCTAAGTTGGTTTTCAGGTTTAACACAATTTCTATCAAAATCTCAGCAAGATTTTTTGAAGATATAGACGTCATTCTAAAATTTACATGGAAATGCAAAGGAACTGGAATAGCTAAAACAATTTTGAAAAAGGATAAAGTGGGAGGAATCAATCTATGTGATTTTAATATATTATTTAGCTACATTTATCAAGACTGTGTAGCATTGGTGGAGAGTTAGTTACATAGATTAATGGAACAGAGTAGAGAACCCAGAAATAAACCCACAGCAATAGGTCCAGCTGATTTTAGACAAAGGTGCAAAAATAATTCAATGGAGCAAAGATGATGCTGGAGAAATCAGACAGTTGTAGGCCAAAACCAACCAAACAGAAACCTGAACCTTCACCTAAATCTCACATCTGATTTTTTAAAATTAACTTAAAAAGGATAATGGATTTAAACATAAAATGTAAAACTATAAAACTTTTAGCAAAAAATAATAGAAACTTTTCAGGATTTAGAACTAGGCAGTGTTCTTAGATTTGATGCCAGAAGCAAAATCCATAAAAAGAAAAATTGATAAGTTGGATTCATCAGAATGAAAACCTTTTGCTCTGCAAAAGATCCTATTAAGAGGATGAAAAGACAATCTACAGACTGGGAGAAAATATTTGCAAACCACATATCTGACAAAGAAATAGTCTAAAATATGCAAAGAATTCTCAGAACAAAACAACAAAAAATCCAATTAGCAAACAGGCAGACGTAAAGCGATCTTTTACCAAAGAAATGGCAAATAAGCACATAAAACTGACTGTCAGCAATGTGTAAACTAAAACCACTACACCCTTATCAGAATGGCTAAAATAAAAATAAAAAAATAGTGACACCAGCAAATGCTGGCAAGGATACAGAGAAACTGGATCATTCATGCATTGCTGGTAAGAATGTAAAATGATAAAGGCACTCCAGAAAACAGTTTGTCAGTTTCTTTAAAAACTAAGTATGCCACTACCATATGACCCAGTAACTGCATTCCTGGCAATTTATATCAGAGAAATGAAGACTTATGCTTACTCAAAAATCTGTACATAAAAGTTCACAGCAGCTTTTTTAGATAGTAGTTGAAAACTGGGAACACCCCAGATGTCCTTTATTGGGTGAATGGTTTAAACACACTATGGTACATCCATACCATGGAATACTGCTCAGTGGAAAAAAGGACCAAACTCTTGTTACACGCATCAACCTGGGTGAGCCTGCAGAGAATCATGCTCTGTGAAATCGCCAGTGCCAAATTGTTACACACTGTATGATTCCATTTATATAACATTCTTGAAATGACAACATTACATTAAAATGGTGCAAAAGTAACTAAGGTTTAATAGAAATGCAGACTAGGTTAGCTTAATGGCTCCCAGGGGTTAAGGGCAGGATGGGGTTAGGGGCAGGGAATTCCTCTCCTTGAGGGAGCTGGGAGGGAAGTGGGTGTGGCTATAAAAGAGAAACGTGAGGGATCCTGGTGGGGAGGGGATGTTCTGTCTCTCCACAGTATCAATGTCAGCATCCTGATTGTGACATTGTAGTATAGTTTGTGTGTGTGTGTGTGTGTGTGTGTGTGTGTGTGTGTGGTTTTTTTTTTTTAAAATGGACTCTCACACTTGTTGCCCAGGCTGGAGTGCAGTGGCACGATCTCGGCTCACCACAACCTCCGCCTCTCAGGTTCAAGCGATTCTCCTGCCTCAGCCTCCCGAGTAGCTGGGATTACAGGCGCGCGCCACCATGCTCAGCTAATTTTGTATTTTTAGTAGAAAGAGCGTTTCTCCGTGTTGGTCAGGCTGGTCTCAAACTCCCTACCTCAGGTGATCCACCCGCCTTGACCTCCCAAAGTGCTGGGATTACAGGCATGAGCCACCATGCCTGGCCAACACTGTAGTATAGTTTTATAAGATGTTACCTCTGGAGGAAATTAGGTAAAAAGTACACAAGATCTCTCTGTTTTATTTCGTAGAACCGTATGTGAATTTACAATTATTCAAAATAAAAAGTTTAATTAAATAAAAAAATCACTAAAAAAAGTTGCCTAGAAGATTTAACAAAATTAAACCAATCTGTGAATTTAATGACATAAAGCATCCAACTTTATTGCTTAATTGTTAAACTTCATCCAAGCAATATGTAGACATTGCCTAAAATATTTCAACATATTACAAGGTTTATAAAGAAAAGTGGCAGTCCCCTGCCCTAATCCCCATCCCTAGAAGCATTCCATGTGAGTCTGTTGGCTGTTCCTTCTCACGTTTACTTTTATGATTCTAAGTAAAATGCTTAGGCTGCCGGTTCTTGGTTTTTCCATTTTAGTGTTAACCGAATGATGGACTTCTTCCCAGGGTAAATAACAGTCCTGTTCCCTTACACATCCCCTCCAACCGCCCCCACCCCACACACACATCCTTCCCTCTCCACTTCCTTCCAATGGAGTTAGATCATGATATTGGGTCAAATTAATGTTTTATTTTTAACACTTGGCTAAGTAAATACCCTTCACAGCTGAGTCCGACCGTTTTCTAGCCATCCGTATCGTATATTCATGCAATAAATGGTTATTGGCACCCAATGTTTGCCGGGCACTGTTGCAGGTGCTGGGGACACAGCACTGGAAAAGCAAACAGGGTCCTGTCCTGGAGAAGCTTCCATTTTTGAGGATTGGGAGACCAATAAGAAACAAGTTCAGGCATATTTTTTCCGGAGATAAGCACCAAGGAGGAGCCCCGGACGGGGTGCCATGAGCAGGGGTGCCCTAGGGAGGCCTGAGGAGAAGACCCTGCCAGGGGCTGAGGGGAGAAGAGGGGACTTGCGGGCTCCTAGAGGAAGAGCTCATCCAAGCAGGACGGCAGAAGCCCAAAGTCCTGGGAGTGAGCTCGCTGTCCCGAGGCCCAGGTGAAGGGGCTGATATGGTTGGGGGGAGTCCAGCTGAGTCCCTTCTTGCCACCCGGGGCCCCACTGCCACGGGGCGTCACTCGCTTCTCTTATTAATGCCGTCACCACCCCTTGGCTTCAGCTAAGTTTCAGCTTTTTCCACTCTGAAGCCAGCACCTCTCATCTGTTCCGTTCTACCCGCAGCGTTGCCCTCGTCCTCCCCCCACCCTCCGCCTCATGGGCGCAAACACTCGGGAGCACACGTGGAGGGTGGAGGCGGCACAGAGACCTCCCCAGGGAAATGAGGCTCCAGCTGGATTTGAACACGCGGGGAGGAGGTGAGGATGCTGCTTTCCCAACAGCTGGGCCGCCTCGTCCTTGTCACCGCTCTGGTTTCTCAGCCCAGGCTATTTTGGGTCAGGCTGCGAGGACCGCTGCGTCAGCGAGTGGGCGTGAGTGGCGGCGCCTACCTCCCCCAGTTGGGCCGGGCACAGTGCCAGGCCAGGCCCACCCAGGCTGCGCCAGGGGCCGCCAGCCTCTGGGCGGCAGGGGGACCCCTGGAACCAGGGAGAGTGGCCTGAGCAGGAAATCAGGTCCCAGGTAACACGGGCTTCAGCGGGCTCAGGCTGGGGAGGGGACAGGTGTCTCGGACTGCGGGCGGAGGAACCGCGCACATCAGAGGGCAGCGTCTCAGGGCGGGCTGGGATCTGGGGAGGGATTCGCCAGGAGGGGTCAGTGGCCCAGGCCTTCCAGGCTGAGTGGCGCTGGGCAGAGGCACGACCAAAGGCAGGAGGCTCTGGGACTATTTAGGGAGGAGGGAGGCTCACCGAGGACACAGAGGCCAGGCTGGGAGGTGGCCACCAGCCAGGGGCGGGGCAGCAGGTCAGGGAGATCGGATTTCCCCAGCTCCCACTGGCCCGCGCCTTGCAAGCCGGAGATTTCCCCTGCTCCGTGGAACCCTAACAGCTACTCTGGGGCCTTGCGCCCCATCCCAGGAGGCCCACCCCCTCTCCCGGCCAGTTCTACCTTCTCTGTCTCAGCAACCCCCACCCTTGCGACTGAATGAAGCACTCTGAACAGAGACCTTTTGAAAAAAGTCTAAATGTCCCCTTCTTAGGTGAGGGAAGCAAAAGGGAAAAATAGAATCGACACCAATGACCTATTCCAGTCTCCCCTCCCGACTGCAGAAACCAGCAGAGCCACATGGGCCCACAGGCGGGGCAGGCCCAGCTGCAGGCACCACCCTCCTCCCTGTCCTGAGCCGGGCTTGCTCTCAGAGCCTGCTGCTGTCCCCAGGCTAGGGATGCGCCTCCCAGCGGGAACCCCTGTGGAGGGAAAGCCCCGCCCAGCCCGAAGCTCAGTCGCGAGGAACTGCCGTCTGTTGAGCACTGCCAGGTACTTTTTGACTCATGGGTCGTTTTGCTCTAACATGTGTATCCCTTAAAACTCAGAAGAGAGTCTGGTCTTGTTTACTCGCGGTTTTTTTTGTTTTTGTTGTTGTTGCTTGTTTGTTTTTCTTTTGAACAAGGAGGAAGAATATCTATAGGCAGGAAGTCCCCAACTGTCCTAGTCCCCAGGCTGCTATTAAAAAGTACCATAGACTGGGGACTTAAACAACAAACACGTCTAACAGTTCTGAAAGCTGGAGGGCCAGGCAAGGCGCTGGCAGATCCACTGTGCGGTGAGGCCTCTCCTTCTGGCTCATCCCTGGTGCCTTCTCCTGTGTCCTCACGTGGTGGGCAAAGCAGCTCTCTGAGGTCCTTGTGTAGGGGCACCAATCCCATTCACCAGGGCACCGCCCCTGTGGCCTCATCACCTCCCAAATGTCCCATGTCTTAATGCCATCACCATGTGGGGGAGGGCTTCAACCTGTGGATTTCAGATACACACTAGGCCCACAGCACACACTCAGGCTGAGGCCTGCTCTACCATTTCCGCAGACCCCTCTGGACCCGTCGCGGTGCTAGTCTGCAGCTCTGTTCAGCACCTGCTGTGCTCGGCCAGGCTGAGGGCAGTGGGTGGGCGAATACTCCTGTTCCCTCCCCTAAAGCTCAAGCACCCCTTCCAGCAAGGTTCTGCTGTCCCTCTGTCACAATCAAGGGAAAACGAGGTACTGAGGGTCCCATGGCACGGCCCCGCAGCCAATCACCAGGACTAGGCCTGGGAGTCAGCCCCCAGCTGTCATGCCTGGAAACCCTGACCTCACTTACTGCCAGGCCCAGGGAGGGCTGTCACTTCCCTGGGAAGGGCCCTCCATGCTGGGGACATACTGAGAGTGCCGACTGATTCAAAAGACTGGAGGAGGGATCCAAGGCAGGAGGCCTCCTGAGGGCCTGAATGGCCACAGACTGTAGGCACAGGGATGGAGAGAGGATGCTGTGTGTGGGCAGGTCAGCGAGGAAGGTTGGTGGGACCCATGGGCCTAAGGGTGAGGAAGAGTCAAAGATGACTTGAGGCTTTCCAGGGGCACAAAATAGAGGATGGTGAGGCCATCAGGGATGGGGCAAGCTGTAGAGGGTGCCGTGAGGGGCTCTGGTGGCGGAGACTTGAGCTTTCTGAGTCTAATGAAAGAAAGAGAAATTGGAGAGAAGGGCCCCAAGGGGTACTGACCTGGGCCGGGCTCCAGCATCCAGTTCCTATAGGGGCTATGAAGGCCTGAGATTAGGGTCCGTCTCAATTTCAGGGGGATTTCTCTGCTGTGGCCAAAGCAGCCTGAAGCTAGGCCAGGAGTTTTGTCTCCTCACTGCCTTTTCTGGAGTGCCTTGTAGGGATTAATGCAGGAGGGAAACCCGGTTGATTTCAGGTGTGCAGGGGTCTTGGGGGAGAATTCTGGGTGAGGAGCCTACACCATTTGTCCCAGGTGCAGCTTCGCCCAACACGCACAGGCTCAGCAGGGCTGGTCAGGAACGATCTTGAACTGTCAGCACCCTCAATGAGCCTTTGTATGAACTGGAAACAGACGGTGACACTGAATCAGGGTACACCGGGGTCCAGGACTGGGGGTGGTCCCTGGAGGGATCACAGCCCCCCTCTCACAGGGCATGACCCCCATACCTGCGTGCTGTGCCCCTGAACCTTTGGGTCCCATGGGGTTACCAAGCAAGCACTGGCTCCCAGCCTTGTGACTTCAACATGGCCAGGAGCACTGTGCAGGTGGCCTCAGAGAAAAGGGGCGGGAGGGCCCAGACTTTTGCTGGGCACCCCACCTCCCAGGAGAGGGCACCTTTCTTTTTCTGTGGGAGGATCTGCAGCTGTGGGGCAGACCCCCAGCCCTCACTAGACTGCTCGGGTTTCCTGGAGGCTCCGGGCCAAGCTAGCCTGAGTGCGGAAGGTGGCAGGTGCCCCAGATGCAGTGTGCTCCATGCTCTCGGTGGCTGTGGCCTTCCTGCGTGTGTCCCCATCGGTGGAGTGGCATTGGCACGCTCCTCACCTGCTCGCCCACACCATTCCAGCCCTGATGATTAATTGTATAATTAGCTAGAAGCCACATGTTGCTCAGGTTGAATTTGGTCTAAAAATATTTTCTTATGAAAAACACAGCAGAACCTAAAAATATCTCCTCCACAGTTGCCCAGGGAAGCCTCCTGCTTGGGCCACCCCCAGCCATCCCTAGCTGCAACTCAGTTTCTTGGAGAGTCTGGAATGCAGAGGCAGAGGGCTGGCCAGGCACTGCTTCCCACCAGGGCAAGGTGAGCTGGGGTATCAAGACTGTCCCTGGCATTGCCAGTTCCCACAGGCTCCCAATGCCTACAGTAGGTCAGAGGCTGCTGGGGCTGCCTGGGAGGCTCCTGTGTGCATACAGGATGCATGCCAGCCTGACTTCACGGGGGCTGGGGCAGTGCCACAGAGGAGGCACAGACCTCGTGGGGTGAGGTCCTGGAAAGGGCTTCCTCACCCTGGTGAGCCATCAGGGAAGGCCTGCAAAGGACCAGTGCTGAGCTGGGTGGGACCCTGCACAGGCAGAACTCCCTGCTGACCTGTGCAGGGGAGTAAGGGATGCTGGAAGAAGACACTGGCCCTGCCCTAGAGCCCCTAAACTGAGCATTGCTGCGGCTGAGGCCCGTGCACCTGGTCCCATCCCTGCATAGGGCTTGGCTGACTGGCTACATGTCCTGTGGCTGGTGGGGACAGACATGAGCAGGGACATGGAGCACCTGTATCTTCCAGGCTTTAGCACACAGAAGCAACCACCCTGCTCTGGCACACAGTTCTCCCTGGGTGGGTTAGTCACAGGGGTCAAGAACTTACCATCTTGCCCTTCTCCTCTTCCCTTTTGGTGTCCTTAAATGGGGGCCACCATCTCCTGCTTCGGAGGCTCTGCCTTGGTCTCAGGAGAGGACCCCGTCCACCTGGCCTGTCTGTGCACCTTCTATCCCATCTCTGGGGTAGATGATGAACCCTTAGTGCCTCCACTCCCTCCTGGCCCAGTGGAGCCCTGGAGCACATTTCCGGGCCCTTCTCTCTGGTCCCAGGTGGGTGGCTCAGGCCCAGAGAGCTTGGCCCCTCTGGATGGACACAGAAAGGTGGGGGCACAGCCAGGATGGGCACTGCCTTCTCCTAAGCAAGCCCAGGTGCATGGATGGAGCAAGTGGGGGCTCCCTGCAGCCCCATCCAGCCCTGAGTCTCAGGCCCAGGGTGGTGTGGCAGGGATTTGGACTGAGTGTGGCTTGCAGAGGGCACACCTGCCTGGGGACAAAATCTGTTAACCCCAGGTTTAAACAATAAAGGCACTAACAATCTAACCTCCAGAGAATGAGGAGGTGGGCGGCTCCAGGTGCCTGTTGCAGTTAAACCCCATGAAGCCTGGCTCCTGTCTCTACAGTCCCCTCACCTTCCTTCATGCTTCAAAGATGGCTGCTGCAGCCCCAAGCATCACACGTATCACAAAGGGAAGAGATGGCACCAGCAAAATATCTTCTTCCTCCTCCCTCGTTTTTCAGAAAGCCAAAGCCCTCTTGCCAATAGCTTCTCCTTGTCTTGACTGAACTGTGCCCACGGTGGTCACATGGCCACTACTAACTGCTAGAGTGTCCAGTGAAGCCAGTGCCTGACAAGGGAGAGCCCAGCTGCTATAACTGGACTGGAACAAACAGAATTGCAGCCTCTGAAGCTGAGCACATTGCAACCCCAAACTAAAGCAGGTGCTGAAGGCAAGAAGAGGTTGGGAGAATGTTTTCCACAGGAGAAAACTTCATCCTTGTGATCTGGGGAGGGGCAAAGTCTGCGAGGAGAGGCTCTGCCTTCCCCCCAACCAGGGGCCCACATTTCCATCTCTGATAAATAATTGGTAGGTGTCGTTCCCTGGAGCAGATCTGTAACTCACTGAGGGGACCTTCCAAGCTGGTTCTGTGTTAAATACACAAATCTTACCACAGCCTTTCTGACAATCAGGCATCCAGGCCCTGCTAGATCCCTGTTGAAAGGAAACTCATCACATGTCAGGCAGCCCATTCCTTCTGGAGGCTTCTCTGACAGGAACCACATCCTTATTTTGAGCTAAAATGGGCTTCCCTTGGCTTCTAGTCATTAACCCTAGTCCTACTTTCCCACATTTTTTTTCAGCAACTTTCTGTGAATCTATTATTTCAAAACACAAAATTAAAAATAAGTTAAGGAGAGACACAAAAAGTCTAAGAAGTGCCTGAATTGTACTTCTAGAGATGAACATTACAATGTCTGAGATAAATAGTACACTCGATGGCATGAGCGGCAGATTAGACATTACAAAGTAGCTTAGTGGACTAGAGACATTGCCATAAAGACTACCCAAAATGAGCCACACAAAAAATTAGGAATACAAATGAATGTAAAGGGCATCAGCAAACTAGGGAGAAATCCGCAAGTAGCCTAATATATGTTGGAATTGTAGTGACCAAAGAAGTGTGGGAACAGAAAAAAAATATTTGAAGAAATAGTGGTTGAAGAGTGTCCAAACTGGATGAACACTTTAAACTCTAGTGCAAGCATAGCCAACCACAAGCGCAAGAACAAGAAGCAAGGAGAAAACTAACCAAGGTGCAATCATGATCAAATTGCTTAAAACCAGTAACAAAGAAAACATCATCAAAGCAGCCGGGAAAACAAGGACACGTTTCATCAAGAGGACCAAAGAGCATGAAGATAAGAGATTTTTCACCAGAAACAATGCAGGCAAGAAGTCAGTGGAGAGACATCATTAAAGCACTGTCTGTACAAAACTGTCATTGGAGGATTGCATACCCAGCAAAAATGCCTTTCAAACATGAAGGTGAAGTTGAGGCTTCTTCAGACATACAGAAGCTGAAATCATCAGCAGATCTTGTCTGCAAGAAATGTTAAAAGAAGTCCATCAGGCAAAGTGATACTGGATGAAGATCTGCACTTACAAACAGGAATGAAAATCACTACAGGTGAGAACTACACAGGTACATTTATTATTTAGGTCTCTTTAAAAGAAAATTGATTCTTTCAAAAAATAATATATAGTGGGGTCTGTGATAGGTAAAAGTGAAGCGTGACACCAATAGCATTGACAACAATAGAATAAGGGTGGGGAGAAGTATCTCACTATAAAAATCTCAGACTATGCTAAAGTCCTGTGATGCCAAGATCGCTTGAAGGGATTGTGATCAGTTAAAGACTCACACTATAAAGCTTAAAGCAAACACTAAAATAACAAACAAAGAGTTATAGCTAACGAGTCAAAAAAAAAGAGAGCTAAAATGTAATCACGAATACTTGATTAATGCAAAAGGAAGACAGAAAAAGAGGAAAAAGAACATGAAAACCAGAGGTGAGCAGCCACCAGAAGGCAGAAGAGGCAAGCAATGGATCCTGCCCCAGAGCACCCAGGGGGACTGTGGCCCTGCCAGCACCCCAATTTCAGCCCCATGATGCTGATTGCAGACTTCTGGCCCCCAGAACTATGGCAAGATAAATTTCTGTTGTTTTAAGACACCAAGTGTGTGATTTTTCTTACACTAGCCACAGAAATGAATGCATTGTATCACCCTGGGAGGGGCAGGCCACCAAGTCTCATCATCCCCTCCAACTCTGTGTCATAAAGTCCAGACAGTGCTGCTGAGAAGTTAGGGCTCCTTTCTTCTGCCTCCTGAATCATGAGTGGAGGCTCTACTCCAGGTTCGGGGGGCTGAGAACATGGAGGCGCTGACTACTCTCACCCAGCTCACTCACAGGGTATAGGTTCCACACCAGTCAAGTCAAGTGAAAAAGATCAGAGGCTTCCACCCCCACCCAGTGACAAGAGGAGTGTTGTAGACATTTTTCTCAGGGGTAGAGGCTACTCAGGAGAACACAAAGCTCCAAACTCCAAAGGTGTCTCTTGAAGACTGAGGTTATTTGAAATAGTGTGGGTAAATTCAAGTCTAAGGGCTATCTCAAAAACAGTGGAGATTTTATTAGCAGGCAAAGAGCAGGCTGATCACTCTGTGGGCAACAAGCCAACTGTAGGCCAGTGAGTTTACCAGGAAGAACCAAGAAAAGAGCCCTGCTGGGACCAGAAAAGAATCCAAATATTATCTCTGTCTAAAATTAATTTTATCAGACTAGAAAAATGCATGCCCCAGGACATTATCAAAATGGTTTATGGTTTTGTTTCTGAGGCACTTGTAGGTCCTGAAGATAATTGTACATATTCTCTTCTAAAAACTTTATATTTCTTTTACATGTAGATATTTCATCCTTAGAATTGATTTTTGTAAATGGTATGAAGTAGGGATATAGTTTTAGTTTTTTCCACATGGATTTGCAGTCTCCTAAGGACCGTTGATTGAAAAATCAGCCTGTTCCTCACTGATCACGCACACGTGAAGTATACAGATTGTGGGGTTTGTTTCTGGGCTCTGAATTCTATTCCTTGGCTTACATGTGTAGTTAGTTATTTTTGTCTGCAAGCATTTCATTTTACCTTGGAGTATTATTTGTGGGTTCCTCCAGGGACGATTTGTCTTCCATCTTTCCAGTACCTGGGACACCACCACTCTGTCTCGTTGAAAATTGAACTGCCAGCTTGAGGTTTTCAGACCACCTAAATCTTATGAATTCAGGCTGAAAAATCTACATGAAGACCACTGGCTTCTGTTGATAAATTCTCAGCAGGGATTTTCACCTCTTTCCTCTCGGCACTGAGGTTCAAAATGGCTGGTTTTCTTTGTTATACCCTTGAGAAAGGCAGATTTATTTCCAGTTGACCCTCACTTTGAGCAGACAGCTGATTGGGGTCTCAGCTCTGTGGGGATTTCCCACAGAAATCTGGGCCTGCCATGGGCTTTGACTTCTGCCCTCTGCCCACCAGGAAGTCACGAAACTGGAAGTTCAACTTCCCGTTGCTGGCAAATTCCCTCAGGAATTTGGCTTGCCTTTTGGGTGTCTGTATTCTACAAATGTTTTGACTTGAGAAGTTCTTGCTTTTGGCTAAATCTTTAATACGTTTTTAAAAGACTATTTATAAAATTTTGTCCAGGTTTTCAGTGCAAGAGCTGATCCAGGTACCTAGCTCACCATGTTATCCAAGTGTCCAGTACAACCCAATTTTTAAGTTTTTAAATTGTATAATTTTAAAATTATGAAGTGTGTTTTGTCTTTAGGATTTTGAAAGATCTGAGAGTTCTGTCTTATCCTGAGAGGTAACTAATGTCCCTTCCTTCCAACTCTTGCCCCTGTTACCTGAGTCCACCTGTAGCAGGTACTTTAACATACATAACGTGTGACCTGCTGGTGCTGGAGTGGGGTTCACTTCACTTCCACAGTGGCCTCTGCAGGGGCAGGGAGTCCTGGAGCCCTCCGTGTCCCAGACCCCAGTTCTGACTTTATTTGAGTCAAGAGCCTCTTTAAGAATCTGATGAGGCCGGCTGCAGTGGCTCACACCTATAACTCCAGCACTTTGGGAGGCTGAGGTGGGAGGATCACTTGAGCCTAGGAGTTTGAGACCAGCCTGGGCAACATAGGGAGACCCTGTCTCTACAAAAACTTTTTTTTAAAATTAGCCAGGTATGGTGGCATGGGCCTATGATCCCAGCTATTCAGGATGCTGAGGTAGGAGGATCACTTGAGCCCAGGAGGTTGAGGCTGCAGTGAGCCATGACTGCACCACTGCATTCCAGCCTAGGCTACAGAGTGAGATTCTGTCTCCAAAACAAAACAAAAAAAATTCTGATGAAAGCTAGACAAGGGCGTACAGAACACACACAGCAGACACAGTTTCTGTTGGATACACCTTCAGGGGGCCTGTGGATCCCTTGCAGTGGGATCCCCTAATTCTAAGACCCCCCACCCCACGCCTCTCTATAGCACTTCCCTGTGTTTGCTGCTGGCAGGACAGGAGGCAGCAGGGGCTAGCACAGGCCAGCCTGCTCAGCTGTGGGTGTTCTGCAGCGAACCTGCTGTGCCTGTGTCACATACCAAGGGCATGACTAAGGGCTACTGATGCAGAGTCAGAAGTGGCCCAGCCCTGGCCCCTACCTCCTCCCAGGCTCCTCTGAGCCTCAGCAGAGACTGTGGCCAAGTAGTGAAGTCTCTGGCGGACATCTGGACCTGCAAGCCATCCAGAGCATTGTCCTTGGCAGTGGCGAGATGGTCAGGTCAGCACCTGGGTCCTTCCCAGCTTAGGCACACTTTTTGCCAGGATAGGAGCTTCTCAGGCCAGGGCCTCTCTTGCCAGTGCAGGCAGTCATGCCTGGCATCAAGTCCAGCAGGCGCGGAGGGGACTGCAGGCCACAGCTGTTCAAGTGGGGGCCTCCTTTCTGCCCTGCGAGGCCCTCTCAGCCTTGATGAGATCACTTGGGGGCCTTCTATCTCTGGGACTCCAGAAATAGAGACAGGGAACTGGGAGTGAAAGCAGCCACATGTGCTTGGGCACCATGAGTGCTCACAGGTGCCAGAGGAGCAGACGGGACCAGGTCAGGGACTGCAGCCCAGGACCAGCCAGTGGGGCTTCTGCAGTGCCTCATCCTGTTCCTGCCATGCCTCACTGCCAGGAAAACAGCCACCCTTGACCACCTGCCCACCGGCCTCTCCCAAAGAAGACACTCCGAGAAGCAACTGCTAGAATTTTCTCAGGACTAATAGCAGTTGCTAACTGTCTCCAAAGCACACTCAGCTGTCCTTGGGGCTCAGCCAGCCCCACACATAGGAGGGACAAGGCCCACAGCGCACAGGCTCAGCTCCACAGCACAGGGCTTCTGTCCTGAGGCCCCGTAAGCCTCCTTCCAGCATGCCTTTCTGTTCATGGAGTATTCACTTTGTGATTGTGTAATCAAAAATCGTCTTGACAATACAGCATTCTCCCATACTAGACTTACTCAGAGATGGTCTGTGCTCTGAGGATGATGCTAGCATGGCTGCTGCCTGGGCACCTCAGAGCAGTCCTGACACAGCCCCCATGGAGCCCCACCTCGAGGAGAATGGGATAGCCTGGGGATCCTGGGCCCGGAGTGGGCCCCACGTGAGTCCAGCTTGCTCCAGCTGACTCTCTGTGGGCCTCCATTTTCTTGTCTGGAATGGAAGGAAATGATCCCTCCAGCTCATAATAATGATCATGTTTATGTCAGATCATCGTTCCTAGGATTTCCCCAAACCTCCACGTGCCTGGGAGAGGAGTGAGTTCTCCAGCTCCCTGGGACCCTCAGGGGTTACACACACCACCATCGGCCCTCCCATAAAGGCTGCACCTTGGCTCGGCCTCCACTGTGGGCCTGGCTGCAGGCTCTCACCCCAGCTGGTAGGAGCTGGGGTGAAGGAGGCCAGTTCAGGCGAGTCCTCTGCACCATCCTCTGCTGGCCCGATTTCCCGATCAGCACTGGATCAGCCTGAGTGCCTGAATCCAGAGCTCACTCTCCACTTGGGTGGGAGCATGGCTGCTTCCTGTCAGCCCCAGCGGTGTGACTGGGACCAGAGAGTCTCCTGCAGCCTGAAGAATTGTCCCAGCCTGCCCACCCCCGGCCTCCTGTGCTCCAGGCAGGCGTGGCTCTCCGTGTGGCAGATCTCACTCTTTGTCAGGGCCTCTGTGTCCTTCCTCCTGGGACAGGCTTGGCCTCAGAGGGTGGGAGGGAAGGGAGGGCCACTGCAGCCGCAGCTGCTGCATCAGGAGGGGCCAGGAGTCCCCAAGGTCGAGTCCAGAGCGCAGCAGGGAGTCCCAGTGCTGACGCTCTGCACATGTGGCGTCCTTGTCTTGCCCCAGCTGCAGGCTCCATGTCCAAAAGCACATGGAGGGAGAGCAGAGGTTTCCTGGGGACAGCAGCTGAGGCCAGGGGCTGGTGTGCTGGCTCACAGGCTCTGAGGCTGGGGATCACTGACATTGTGCTGCTGCGGCCTCCTGCCCAGGGAGCCTGCTGGCAAGGGGCCCACTGCGACCCGGGCTGCATCCCTGGCCAGCCCTCTCTCACTGGAGGCCTGGACTCACCCCTGCCAGGAGGGGAGCTCTGTGCTCCCTCTCTGCTCTGTGCTCCCTCTCTGCTCTGTGCTCCCTTCCTGCCTGTCTGGCAGCACAGTGACCACCTCCCCAAAACCCATCCCGGCACGGAAGTGGGGCCTCAGAGCAAGCAGAGGAAGAACCAGGGGCCCTTGGTGATACAGCCTGGAGGGGGCCTTGGCTGGCACTTGCCATTGGTGTCGGGCAGACACCGGCCCCTCCACCCACCAGAAGATCTCAGGCACACCTGCCCACCCTGAAAGCAAGCAGGCAGGGAGTGGCCCCCAGAGCTGACCAGAGGGAGAGAAGACAGGAACTGTAGAGACAAGAGGAGTCCACCGCCCAGCCTGGGGCAGCACCTTGGAAGCTGGGGTTGGGCTATCCAACTAGAAGGGACAGAAGCCAGCTGTGCGGTTGGTTGGTGGTGGGCTGGAAAGGGGCAGAGGGACTCAGGACGTGCCTTCTGATGGGATCATAGGGTCTCCATAATGCATTGGCCACAGGTGGATGAGGAAGAAGTTGCCTCAGGGTTGTCGTGGAACTCCCAGGAGGGCTACGCCACCCCCATGGGTGTCTCCAAGCCCCACGCCACCTGGTTTGCAGACCATGGGCCCCTAGTCATGTCGCCTATCTGGGCCTTTTTTTAAAAAAAAAAATTTATTTTGAGAGAATTGTAGAATGAGCATACAATTCATGCATGCACTTATAAGAAACGATACAGAGAGGTCTGAAGTACCCTTTACCCAATTTCCTTCAGTGATAACATCTTGCAAAACTACAGTACGGTATCACAGCCAGGATACTGACATCCGTAGAGTCAAGTTACAGAGTATTCCCTTACCACCAGGGGCCATCCGCAGCCACACCCACTTCCCTCCCTCCCTCCCCAGCCCCTCCATAACCCCTGGCAGCCACTCACCACTTCTCCATTTCTACAGTTTTGTCATTTCAAGATTGTTATATAAATGGAATCGTTACATTATGTAACCTCCCGGCATTGGCTTTTTTTTTCACTCGGCCCAGATCCCTGTAGATCCATCCAAGTTGTCCCATGTACCAGCAGTTGATTGCTTTCTAATGTTGAGTAGGATTCCATGGAGTGGATGCACTATGGCTTGACCATTCACCCATTGAAGGCTCTTTGCAGAGCTCTCGGTTTTGGGCTACTGTGAACAAAGCTACTATGAGCTTTTGTGTACAGGTTTTTGTATGACTACAAGTCTTCATTTCTCTGAGATAAATGCCTGGGAGTGCAATTGCTGGGTCACATGTCAGTTGCATGTTTAGTTTTATAAGAAACTAAGAAACTGTTTTCTGGAGTGGCTTTAACATTTTACATTCCCACCAGCATCATGTATAGGTGATGCAGTTTCTCCACATCCTTACCAGCATGTGGGG
The DNA here is from genome assembly GCF_000001405.40 of Homo sapiens. Taxonomy (NCBI): domain Eukaryota; kingdom Metazoa; phylum Chordata; class Mammalia; order Primates; family Hominidae; genus Homo; species Homo sapiens. The sequence goes on from NC_000010.11 coordinate 42,964,043, forward strand.
TTCTCACTGTTTTTTATTTTAGCTATGTTGATGTGTATATAATGGTATCTCCATGCAATTTTAACTTGTATTTCCCTAATGAGTAATGATGACAAACGTGTTTTCATGGGTTTATTTGCCATCTGGGTATGCTCTTATATGGAATAACTCTTCATATCTTTTGCCAGTTTCCTAATTCGCTTGTTTGTTTACTACTGCATTTTGAGAGTTGTTTATTCTAGATGTTAAAAGCCTTCATCGGATACATAGTTTGCAAATATTTTCTCCCAGTCTGTAGCTTGTCTTTTCATTCCCTTAACAGGCTCTTTCACAGAACAAAAGCTTCTAATTTTAAGAAAGTCCAATTGTTTTTTACGTCAATTCTAACAACGTGGCTAGTTCTAGATCCCGAAAATTTTCTGCTATTAAGAAAAAAAAGCTTTATAGCTTTACATTTACACCTAATCCATTTTGAGTTAGTTTTTGTATAAAGTGTGAATTCATTATTTTTGCTGTGATGTCCAGTTGTTCCCGCATCATTTATTGGAAAAGCTGTCCCTCCTCTGATGAATGGCTTCATACTTTTGCGGAATATTAGGTGGGCATATTTGTGTGAGTCTATTTCTGGGGTCCGTTGATCTATGTGTGTCTGTCCATCTGCCAATACCCTACTGTCTTGATTAGTAAGCTTTAATTTCAAATAGTGATTCCTTCCACTTATTCTTCCTTCTCAAGATGGGTTTTGCTGTTCTAGGTCCTGTGTGTTTCCACATAAATTTTATGGAAAAATAAGCTTGTCTATATCCACAAAAATACTTGCTAAAATTTTGACAGTAACTACATTAAACCTGTAGAATTTTGGAAAAATTGACATCCTTATATGTTGAGTACTGTACATGTTTTTTTAAGTTTATAATGAAGTATTTCATTGTTTTTGAAATGACTGTAAATGATATTATATTTTTAATTTGTTTTCACACCTTCTTTTTTAATGTATAGAAATGGATTGATTTTTGTGTGTTGATCTTACATACTGCAACTTGCTACACTCACTTATTAGTTCTTTTGCAGATTCCTTGGGATTTTCTACAGAGACTGTCATGTCATCTGCAAATACAGACAGTTAATTTCTTTCATTCCAATCTGCATGTCTTTTATTTCTTTTTCTTGACATATTGTAGTTGGTAGAGCTTGCAGTAGTCTACTGCATAAGAGAGGTGAGAATGGACACTTTTCCTTGTACCAAATCGTAGAAGGAAAATATTCAGTCTTTTACCATTAAGTATGTTAGCTATAGGTTTTTACAGATGCTCTTTATGAAGTTAAGAAAATTCTCCTTTGCTCCAAGTTTGCTGAGAGTTTTTATCATGACTAGGTGTTGGATTTTGTCAAATGCTTTTCCTGCGTCAACTGATAGAATCACATGACTTTTCCTCTGTAGCCTGTTGGTAGGTGTATTACATTGGTTGGTCTTGTAATTCTGAACCAACCCTGCATACCTGGGATAAATCCCAACTGCTCATGGTGTATAATTCCTTTTAAATGTTGCTGAATTTGATTTGCTGATATTTTGTCAACAATCCTTGTGCTGAAGTTCATGAGAAATGTTGGTCTGTACTTTTATTATCACATGTTGTCTTTGTCTGGTTTTGGTATCGGGCCTAGCCTAATAAAAGTGTTCTTTCCTCTTCTATTTTTTAAGACGGATTTTGTAAAATAGGTGTTAATTCTTCATAAATGTGTGGTAGAATTCTCCAACGAAGCCATCTGGGCCTGAAGATTTCTTTTAAATTTCACATTCAGTGTGTTTAATTGTTATAAGACTATTCAAGTTGCATGTTTCATATTGGTTGAGTTTTGGCCATTTGTGGTTTTTGAGGAATTGGTTCATTTCTTCCACACTGTTGAATTTATGAGGGTAAAACTGTAGCGTTCCTTTGTTGTCTTTAAAATGGCTGAAAGATCTGTAATATCTCTGTTTTATTCCTGATATTGGTGATTTGAGTCTTCTCTTGTTTTATCTTTGTGAATCTTGCCAGAGGTTTATTTTTTGAAGAACTAGATTTTTGTTTCCTTGTTTTTCTCTATTGTTTTCCTGTTGTCAGTTTCATCGACTGCTGCTCTTTATTATTTCCTTTGCTCTGCCTTGCTCTGGGTTTATTTTGCTTTTCTTTCTCGTGTTTCTTGGGTTAGTAATTTCGATGACTGATCTGAGACTTTTCCTCTTTTCTAATGTAAGCTTTCAGTGCTGTACATTTCTGTTTCAGGCTTTTTCAGGGTTTTTTCATTTGAAAGTGGAAGGTTTGCATCGGCACGCGGAATAGAGAAGACAGGCGTGCTTGAGAATGGGCTCTGCCGCCTCTCAGCCTGCTCCCTGGGTTGGTTATTTCAACTCCCAGGGGTTCCTAATCCAGAACCCGGCTGCCGTGCACAAGGCTATGGGTTTCTGGGAAGACTAAGGCCCCTGCTCAGAGCCGACCCTCAGCAAACAGCCTTTCCTCTCGCTCCTTTCTTTCCTGCTCCAGCAGTTTGATTCTGTGATTAACTTTAAAATAACATTTATTTTACACGATTACAAAATAAATATATTTTCATGGAAGAAAATTTGGAAAACACAAAAAGCTATCGAGAAAATAATCTATCTGCAAACCTTGCCACTCCACCCCGCCTGGACCTCTGCTCACTTTGGCAAGCACCCTCCTGACTTCTTTGACGTGAATTTGTTTTTCCATAAGTTATTGGGGTACGGGTGGTATTTTGTTACATGAGTAAGTTCTTTAGTGGTGATTAGTGAAATTTTGGTGCACCCATCACCAGAGCAGTATACATTGCACCGTATTTGCAATCTTTTATCCCTCGTCCCCTCCCACTCTTCCTCTCAAGTCCCCAAAGTCCATTGTATCCTTCTTATGCCTTTGCATTCTCATAGCTTAGCTCTCACATATCAGTGAGAACATACGATGTTTGGTTTTCCATTCCTGAGTTACTTCACTTAGAATAATAGTCTCCAATCTCATTCAGGTCACTGCAAATGCTGTTAATTCATTCCTTTGTATGGCTGAGTAGTATTCCATCATATATATATAATCATATATATGGAATACTACTCAGTAGTGTGCATATATATATATATATATAGTATTCCATATAGTAGTATTCTATATATATATGTATATATATATATATATATATATATATATATATACACATATATATATATGGAATACTACTCAATCATACAAAGGAATGAATTAACAGCATTTGCAGTGACCTGGATGAGATTGGAGACTATTATTCTAAGTGAAGTAACTCAGGAATGGAAAACCAAACATCGTATGTTCTCACTGATGTGTGGGAGCTAAGCTATGAGAATGCAAAGGCATAAGAATGATACAAATATATATATATTTCATATATATTTATTTATATGTATCTATATATGAAATATATTTATATATAGATATATAAATATCTATATACAAATAAATATTTATGTATATATAAATAAATATATTTATATATGTATATATAAATAAATATATTTATATATTTATTTATATATCTCTATATAAATATATATGAAATATGTATAAATATTTATATATACATGAAATATATATAAATATTTATATATAAATATACAGTTATATATTATATATCTATATATAAAATATATAGATATATGTAATATATATTTTATATATAGATATATAATATATGTATCAGAGTTTCCTTATGCACTCATTGATTGATGGGCATTTGGGTTGGTTCCACGATTTTGATATTGTGAACTGTGCTGCTATAAACGTGTGTGAAAGTATCTTTTTTGAATAATGACTTATTTTCCTCTGGTAGATACCCAATAGTGGGATTGCTGGATCAAATGGTAGCTCTACTTTTAGTTCTTTAAGAAATTTCCACAGTGTTTTCCATAGTGGCTGTACTAATTTACATTCCCACCAGCAGTGTAGGAGCATTCCCTCATCACCACATCCACGCCAACATCTACTGTTTTTTGATTTTTTGGTTATGGCCATTCTTGCAGGAGTAAGGTGGTGTCACATTGTGGTTTTGGTTTGCATTTCCCTGATCACTAGTGATGTTGAGCATTTTTTCGTATGTTTGTTGGCCATTTGTGTATCTTCTTTTGAGAACTGTCTATTCATGTCCTTAGCCCACTTTTTGATGGCATTGTTTGTTTATTTCTTACTGATTTGTTTGAGTTCGCTGTAGATTCTGGATATTAGTCCTCTGTCAGATGTATAGATTGTGAAGGTTTTCTCCTACTCTGTGCATTGTCTGTTTCTCTGCTGACTGTTCCTTTTGCCATGCAAAAGCTCTTTAGGTTAATTAAGTCCCAGCTATTTATCTTTGTTTTTATTGCATTTGCTTTTGGGTTCTTTGTCATGAAATCCTTGCCTAAGCCAGTGTCCAGAAGGGTTTTTCCAATATTATCTTCTAGAATTTTCATAGTTTCAGGTCTTAGGTTTAAGTCCTAAATTTTTGTTTTTATGAAGTGCATGTGTATTTGAAGTGTTCAAACACTTAACAGTATCTCACTTCACTTAGCAGTATCTCAATCATATCTTTGGGTTATCAAATATTTTTCTAAAATATGATTTTAACATATGTGGATATGTCATAATTCCACAGCTGATATATATTTAAGCTTTAATTTTTGTCATTATGAGTTGAATTGTGTGAACAAATTCATACATCTTTGGGCATGTCTCTGATTTTTTTCCTTAAGACAGATTCTTAGGAGGGGAATTTTTGTGTCAAAGACTATGATCATTTTTAAGATTACTGTCTAGAAAATGTGTCCCCAAATCTACTCCACCTGGAAGTATGGCCAACCTTCCTCTATGTGGAGTATTCAATTATTTTTTAAATATTGTATTTGCCTTTATTGTGAATGAAATATTATATTTTATTGTTTTAACTTGCATTCCATGCTAGTAAAGCAAGTGTAACTCTCAATGTCCAATCACAGATGTAAAGAACAATCTTGTTTCTCTCTTTCTGGACAATTCCAAGCCCCTATCCCTTCCTTGGACCTTTTCTGTGGTCTTTTTTCTGGGATCTTTTATGGAGACTTTCTAGGCTCAGTGACCACTGGCCCTGGCTACTGCTGAGACCCTGTGGCTCTGGTCTGCAGACCAGAAACTATAAAAATGGGCCCTTCAGGTTTGCAGTCTTTGATGTTCCCATTCCCTCCTTGGCCATAAGGCCCTCCCACCCCTAACTGCAGCACCCACCGCCTGGAGTCACAGGTGCAGCCCCAGCCCCTGGCAGCCCTCCCGGGCTCTGCAAGGCCCCAGCCCCATCTGAATCTCAGATGTTCTCCCTGGCCACCCCAGGACACCAGTATCCTCCATTCAGGGCACTGGGCTTTTAAGGGAGGGCCTGCCTCTGGGCTCTTCTCACTTCCAGAGAGGGCAAAACGAAAACAACATACATTCAGCAACTCAGAAATCACCTTGCTGCACAGCCAGTCTCCTGGGTTCACAGGTTTTTCCTCCTGTGTGTCTCCCTGTTCTCCTGCTCTTTCGTGATTGATAAGAGCTCTTTGTACAGGAAGGACAGTGGTCCTCCAGTTGTAGTGTGTGTGGCAGCGGTTCCCCGAGGGAGGCGTTATTTGCTCTTGAACTTTGCCTGCGAGCTGTGCCTGTGCATTGCTTTGCTTTTTAATTTTAAAGCGAGTTGAAGCCTCCTGTGTTTGTTTGCTTTCACTGTGCTTTCCTGATTGGAAAGTCTTTTCCACCCCCCCATTCAGCATCTTATGGTTTCTTTGCTAACACTGGAACTCAATTGCTCTGGAAGGCACTTGGGGGTTAGGGGTGGGGGATCCCATTTTCTCACTAGGTAGGGTGTGCCCCCGGCACCCCTAGGAAAGTCCCTCCAGCCCTCTGCATTTGCTGGATTGCACAGGAGGCCCAGGGTCTCCTGAGGGGGAGGAGATGAGGAGGATGCGGAGAGGTACCAAGGGGTCCCCCACCTTGCACCCTGCGAAGTCCCCCTTTCTCCCTGTGGAAGGGAAGATAAGCCTCACCTAGGCGCTGACCATGGGTGACCCCTTACTCTGCAGGTGGGTGAGACCCTTGGAGAGGCCTCCTGCTAGTGCTCAGCAGGGTTCCCAGACAAAAGGAATTGTCACCCTTTGGGTGGTGGCTCCATGGCACTGCAGGACCCTGGAGAGCCCCTCGGCTCCGGCCCAGGGGCAGAGAGCTCCATCCAGCCTCTGTTTCCCACCTGGGCCTTCACCTCAACTGTGCTCGAGGCAGGCAGGGTGGGGGTTGGGTGGGAAGGAGGCAGAGAGAGACTCTGGAGCTGGGTGCCTGTGAAGAGGGAGGCCATCCTTCTGAAGATGTCATCGGGGTCTGAAGGCACATTGGAAGGTGCACTCAGTCACCGAAATTAGACGAGGGACAATTGCGCAGACAAGGAGCCTTCACCCCTGTTAGTCGGGGACACAGCTCGGCCCACGCCCCACCTCCACATCTCCTCCCCATCCTGCTGTGGCAGAGCCTGCCCTCCAGCCCTCTGCAGCCCCGACCCCAGTCCGGCCCTCAGCTCCCAGCCCCGCAGCTGCAGAGGCTTCCTGGGGAGGGGCAGCTCCTGGTCCACCCCATAGCAGAGGTCAGGCAGCTATCTTGCGTCTGGCATCTGCATAGGACTAAGAGATCCATCAAGTCCAATTAGGGGAACAGCTCCTTCCTGCTCTGCTTAGCTGACTAATTCAATAGCAGCCACCCAGGCCTGGGCCGGCAGAGGCTCTCCCAAATCCAATGAAGGCCTTGCTCTGCAGCCCGGCTGCCAGCATCACCCAGGCATTTTGCTCACTCAGCACAGACCCAAGTCAGGCCCCAGCCATACCCACCACCAGGAGCTCCCAGAGCCGTGCTGCTGGCACCAGGCCTCCCCCAGCAAGCTCCCTTCCTCAGGGCTTCTGCCCTAGAGGGAAGGAAACTTGTGGCCATTGAGGGGTAGGGGAAGTGCCACAGCCCGTCCAGGCCTGTCATCCCAAAGGAAGGCCCACAGCTGCTTTCCAGGTCTTGTAGAAGCTCGTTCCTTCCCCGGGGTGCTCTTGCTCTGAACAATGCCCCAGGGCAGGTGGAGGGGCAGATGGAAATCAGCCACGGGGCTTTTGCAGGCAAGAGTGCAGGAGGGACTCTGCATGCCTGGGCTCAGGCCTCAGCAGAGCCTGTTGAGGGAAGGGATGGAAAAGAGTAGCTATATGGCCTCCCTCATGGGGTCCCAGCCCACAGCTGTGTCCCAAACATCCTGTGTGTCCCTCAACACCCAGCCTGGATGGGTTCCTTAACTGAGCTCAAGTCTTAGACCCGTAGAGGCCTGGCACCTCCAGGTTCACTCAAAGGGATTACAGAGACCAAGCCCAAACCTACCCATCCAATGCTGGGATGTGAGGCCCTGCCAAGGGGCTTAAGTCCAGCTGCGACAGGAGGCTCAGAGACATGAGCCAATTATGACTTATTAAGGACAAGGCGTTGTAATTTTTTTTAACTGCTTGATACACGTGATCAAGGCTTACTTCAGCCTCTATCTCCTGGGCTCAAGTGATCCTCCCACATCAGTCTCCCCAGTAGCTGGGACCACAGGCGTGCACCACCACGCCTGGCTAATTTTTTTATTTTTTGTAGAGACAGGGTCTCACTATGTTGCTGAAGCTAGTCTCGAACTCCTGGCCTCAAACAATCCTTCTGTCTCAGCCTCACAAGGTGCTGGGATTATAGACATGAGACACCAGGCCTGGCCAATACCCATTTTATAGATCATTTGAGTGAGGGTGTTTTCCCTGTAACTCACTCAGTCCCACTGAATTTCCGAGGCACATTCTGGAAAGAAGGCATGGCATCACTGGTAGGGGTCTGCCCCAGTGCACTAGGACACCACTGGGCCACGGTCTCTCTGCTCTTAGCTCACTCACTCCATCACTCTCGAAATGATGTAATATGTACAGACATCTCAGGATAAATAGGTCCATACCTTTGGCACCTTCTGTTAAAGCAGTAAGTTGTGTTGTTTATTTATTTTTGCTTTGCCTGCGAGTTGTTTTATTGCTGTTGTTGATTAGGTTTTTATTAAAAGTAATACCTGCACACCATACATCTCGAACAGTATTAAATTATATGAAATGTGCACAATGAAATGTAAAAGCCTACTCCCAATATTTCCTCTCTCCCAGATAACTGCTCTTGACCGTTTCTTGTGCATACTCTCAGAAAAACACTTATGCAAATTCAGCATGTGCGCAAACAGCGTGATGCTGCCCATGCTTCTGAGGCATGCTGTGTCTGTGACGCCTTTTTTTAGGTGTAATGGAATGGATGCCCACGTGTGGATGTGTGTGTGGGCCATGGCTGACCAGTGCCCTGCTGTTGGCCCCTGCAGACAACGCTCCAGGAAATTTTACTTGTTCAAATTTTACTTGGAAAATTCTGCAAGTGTGTTCTTAGGATAAATTTCTGGTAGTACAACCCAAAACAATGAGCTAAAAACAACCTGGGCCAAAACATCTGTGCAAGGAAATTTTTAAACGGATCTTGTCAAATTGTTTTCAAAAAGATTTCCACATCTTTCAACAGGGTATGATGTTATCACCACTTTCCAATGAAAAAAGAATGTCATTCTATTTTGTGTTTATTTAGTTATGAGTGAAGTCAAGTACTCTTTTTTACATTTTTGTCCATTTCTCCATTAGGGTACCTTTTCTTATTGGTGCCTGAGAGCACTTAGTCCGTTTAGGAAATAGGGCCCTTAGCTGTCATATGTGCTGCAAATATTTCCCCCCAATTTATTTGTTTGTTTATTTTATCATACCAAAGTCTTACAGTGTGTAAACAAACGTATTGATCATTTTAAAATTCATTTGGTTTGGGTTGCTCAGAAAGGTCTTTATTTTTTTAAAAAATCATGTTTACTTCCAGTAATTTTATGGCTTAATACTTTAGTCTGGAATTGATTTGGCATCAAATAACTTTATCAAAAGTAGCCTTATTTTTTCCTTGTGGGGGGTCTCGAGTCACGTCATTATTTATCGAATGGTCCCTCATTGTTCCCATTAGTCTAAGGCCACCCCATTGCCTGTGAAATTTCCATTGTGACATCTATATTTGGACTCTGCCTTGTAAATTTCTTATGCAATATCAAACCGTCTTAACTGTGGTTGTATAACACAGTCCATTTCACTATCGCTGTGCCAGCCTTTTAACGTCCTCCTGTAGCAGTTCTGAGTTGTCTTCATGTAGATTCCACACACTTGTTAAGATTACTTCTATATATTTTTATTTTATGTATTGCTTTTGTGAATGTAATCTTTTATTCCATTACCTCTTTATTTAGTCATGGTTTATGCATGGGAAAGCCCTCGATCTTTGCATGTTATTTTTGTTAGTAGCAACTCTGCAGAATGCTCTTATTTTCAGCCAAGTCTTTGGGTTTCATTGGCCAGCCCTGTACCTGTGTGTGACTCCATCTTCCCTTCCTCTCTTCTCCTGTGTCCCTGTCTCCAAGACATCAGCAGCTCACGATCAGACTCCTGCCATGCTCCCTGGCTGTGGGGGCTGCAGCCTTTGGGCTGATGTCCGCTTGTACGCACCTCCCTCTTCTCTGTCTCATCAGGGTTAATGGCTACTGAACTGCCAAACACCTTTGCAACGTTTGTTAAACTTTACGTTTTTTATTCTTCAGGGGTTAATTTTAGTCATTTACATAGCTCTAGAAAATCATCATTTTTACCTAAGTATCCAAATTTTCTGTCCAGCAGTTTGCAAAGCAGGCCCTGATGCATCTTTTCCATTTCTTTGCCTCTGTGGTTCTTTCTCCTTACTCATTTCTGCTTTTCTCTCACTCCCCACTGCCACTCCGCTTTTCTTACTCCATGGTAGGAGTGCCCATCTCTTTGTTGGAAGGCAACAGTCACTCTCCTGTCTGGCTCTGTCCCCCAGGAGGGCTGCTGGGGGTCTGTGCCTGTCTGGTGTTGTCAGACTCCAGCGCGGTGCCATTCAGGCTTGGGAGCCCAGTGGTTTCTCTGCTGATGAAGGGGCCCGTGGCCGTGGTGGGTGCTGGCTCATTCTTCATCCCCAGGAGCAGGGATGCTAGAATGGCCTCAGTTTGGGGAAGGAGCTGGGGGTACTCCTGGCAGGGGATGTGCTGAGGAACATCTTACCGTCCACTTGGATCCTGGGGGACAAGAGTTGGGTGGCAGTTGGAGACCCCTGGGCCCATGAGGGTGGGGATGACCAGCATACTCTGGCAGGCAGTGTGTGGGTCCTCTGAAGCAGCTCCCCCAAAAACCTAGTGGCATATGCCCCTGTTACAGCCCTGAGGATAAGGTGGGGAGGCTGGCTGGGGACATGGAAGTTGGTGCTGACTAACGAGAGGCCAGTCCCTGGCCCTGTGGCCTGAACTCTAGGTGTCTGTGGGGTTCTGTTGGCACAGACACACCACACGTCTATGTTCATGGAGACTTTGTCACTGGCAAAGGCAGGGGCTTCTCAGCAGGGAGGGGGTAGAGCCAGGCAGGGCAGCAGTGGGAGGGCTAAGGTCCCCCTGGGTCCCTGGGGAAGGGGCTGGAGGCAGCAGCAGGGAGACTGGGCTGTTCAGAGGGACCTGGAAAGATATTGGGTCCAGCAGAGCGACTTTGGAGTCCACAAGTGATGTGGAGTTGGGGAGGCCCTCACCCCACCCCAGGCCTGGACCCCTGAGCTGTCCAAAGCAGCTCCTGGTAGGCTGCGGCTGAAATGGAGGGCCTGAGGTGAGAGAGAGGAGCAGAGGGGCTCAAGCTTGGGGCCAGTCCACTGGGGCTCCACGAATGACCTGGGAGAGGCTCAGAGCTCGTGAAGGGGCCAGGGTGTCAGGATTGTTCACCCAGAGGCACCCCTGTTCTCATCCAGGTTACAGAAGAGCCTCAGGTCCAGTGGGAGAGGGGAGAATGCCCTGCACACAGTGCCAGCCCCTCCTTGCTGAGCTCTGCATGCCTGGGTGAGGGGCTGATGCTGCACCCCCGCTGGGGCTGCCTGCCAGGGCTCTGGACCCTCCCACAGGAGGCCAGGCCTGTGCCCAGTGGCAGGGGAGGGTGTCCTCTCCAGCCAGGGCTCCAGCCTCCCTCCAGGCTGCTCTAGCTGGCCCCAGGCAATTTGAAAAGCCCCCTGGGATTTCCTGACAGTACAGGCCCAGAGCTGAACTGAGCACAGCCCTCAGCCACCAAATGGGCCATCAGTCACCCAACCCTGAGAGCCCACCCCCTCCAGCCTCCCCTGCAGGCAGCATCACCCTGGGAGCCCTGCACTCCAGAGCCACTTCCTCCCTGAGGCCCTGCACCTCTGACAGCCACCACACCATGCCTGAGCCGACTCAGCCTGGATGAGGTGCAGTCTTCTCCAGGCCTCCCAGGCCCCACGCTGCAGCCACACAACCTACCGCTCCATCACAGTTACCCTAGGAGGGGGTTGGAAACACCAGGGCTGGCATGTGACAGACTGGCTAGCCCCTAGGTCCTTTTGAGGTCCAGAGAAGAGACTACAGGGTCAGGAGCAGGAGAGACTCACGCCTAGGGTGAGGGGGTGCTCTGCATCATTTTCCTGGTGCAGAAACAGGTTGGAGCATTGCTGAGGACCCTGAGCAGGATTTGAGCCAGGGTGCACCCGCAGGGCAGGACGGAAGATGCCACATGGCTCACCCACCCCTGGGGCCACATGCAGAGTTACTGTCAAGCCACGTCAGCACCCGCAGGGCCCAGTGTGAGCACAGCAGCGACTCCAAGTGGGTGGGAGCTGGCAAGCCACCTGCTGGCCAGGGATGCCTGTTCGCCTGTTAGAGGTAGCGATTCTCGTTCAGAGTGGACCACAGCCTGATGACCCCTGCTTTCAAGAAGGACCATCCCATCTTAAACAACAGCTCCATGAATACAACCCTCCCTGGGAGTGCAGTGAGGCCATTTTTACCAGGCTGCCTGTAAGGATGGGGTGGAGGATTGGATCTATGGATTAACATTCCCTTTGGGGACGCATCGCGGGCAGATGAGAAATTCCCGACAGCTTGATGGTCAGGGTCTCCATTACCCATATATCAAGGAGAGGAAGACGGATTCCCCACGCCGACTGCCTGCCCAGCCTCCCTGCCGACAGCCACCGCTGAAGGGCGGTTGATGGAGGTTGTGACTGTCCCTGTGACCACCCTCCTGAGGCCCTAAAGCACAGGAGAACTCCAGGCAGAAACAGATGCGGGGTAATGTAGCCCCCCTCAGCCCCAGCTCCTCTGGGAGGGGCTGTTTTGTAAATCACTGCCAGCCCCGCTCCTCCTGGCAGGTAAGATTGAGGCAGCAGGGATGTGCCCCGAGAAACAGAGCTGGTGGAGAGGTTTGAGGGGGCATGTGGGTGACTGCCTGTCCCCACCAAGGGGCAGGGGCTGCCTTTCTATCTGGGTCGGCAGACAGCCAGGCTGCCCCCAGGGAAGGCAGGGGTGGCGCCTGGGGTGGATGCTGGCATTGGAATGCCCAGGTAAAACCCTGACTCCATCCATGTTATTTATCCTCTCTGAGTCTTCACTCTGTCGTCCATGAGACAGGGGTGATTGTATGTGAGGAGGAAACCCATGTGCCTGAGAACAGCGTGGTGAGGAGCTTGCACATGTGGCACAGAGACGGTGCGCTTGTGATTAGGTGGCCTGAGGGAAGGAGTACTGTGGCTGTGGGTGTTGGGCTCTGCTCCTCAGAAGACCCCAGAGGGCAGGTGGCTGAGCAGATCTCCAGAGCTGGAGTGCCCAAGTGGATTCTGGGGTCAGGAAAGGAAGTGATATGATTGGGGGCCACAGTGGGACACTTGAGCCATGTGTCCAAAGAGCCTCTGCACTCACAGAGCCCTTTATCTTGTGGGGCAGAACACTCCCCCACCATGAGGACTCTTCTGCACATTTCAGAGGGCAGGACTGCAAAACCCAGGTTCCACCTCCCTCTCCCATTTTCTGGTACAGCATATGGTAGGTGCTCATTCATGCTGAGTGAATAGAGAGCTGGGCAAATGCTCACTGGCACTGAGCTTCACTGAACTTCTCACATGCTACTGTGTATTGAATCTTGTACATCTTGCAGAGCTTCGTGGTTGACCAAGCACTTGTCATCCTTCACTCTCCTTGCTTGTCCCGTATAGCTGAGGAATGCTGGGCACAGGCAGGCAGGATTGCTGTCGCCGTTGTACAGAGCACAGGCTGCCCAACTGCAAGGGCCGTAGAGAGCATCCAGGTGCCATGAGCACCAGAGGGGAGTACCTGGCCTCATGGTCAGAGACCAGGTCTAGTAGAGGAAGGGAGACAGGGATGCTCTCATTCTCAGAGCAGAATCCTTTCTTCACTTAACCTATTTTGTTAGCATTAAAAAAAGAGAAATAGGCTTGGGCCTTATTTATGCTCCTGGTTTTTTTAAATTGTTTTATTAATATCTACTCTTTAGTACTTCTTTACCTGCTTTTTGCTTTTCAATTTAAATACACTTAAGTCTTTCTTGTTGTTTAATTAATGTATACATTGAAAGGTGATATGTTTTCCTGTAAATACTGCTTTAGCTACATTCCACAGGTTTTGCTGTAATTTCCTATCCTACAATGCTGAATGATTTGAAATTTCCATCTTGATTTCAGTCATTTAGGAGGATATTTGTAAATTTCCAAGCATATTTTTATATACGTATTTCTTAATTGCTTATTTTCAATTTATTACACAGTCAGAGAGTGTGTACTATATGATATCATTTTTTAAAATTTCGTGGGACTTCCTTTCCTTTTACTTCCTGATTTTCCTAATTTTTTAATCTCATTGAACCATCCATTACTTTTTTTTTTTTTTTTTTTTTTTCTGAGATGGCATTTCGCTCTGGTCGCCCAGGCTGGAGTGCAATGGGTGCGATCTTGGCTCACTGCAACCTCTGTCTCCTGGGTTCAAGCAATTCTCCTGCCTCAGCCTCCCGAGTAGCTGGGATTACAGGCGTGTGCCACCACTCCCAGCTAATTTTGTATTTTTAGTAGAGACGGGGTTTCACCATGTGGTCAGGCTGGTCTCGACTTCAAGTGATCAACCTGCCTCAGCCTCCCAAAGTGCTGGGATTACAGGCGTGAGCTACTACGCCCAGCCCTGAGCTATCCATTTCTGATAAGAAAATGTTTTAAAGCTTACACTGAGGTGGCAAATTTGTCAGTTTCTCTTTGCAGCAAGATTATGTTATTAAGTGCGCACAAGTTCATGGTTAGTGAGTCCTACTGGTAAATGCATTGTAGTGTCCCTCTTCATCCTCATGAGTGCTTCCTGCCTTCATTCTGTGTCCGTTGTTAGTAATCCCATGTCAGCTTTTCTAATGTTTTGGTCTCGTATTTTCTGGGTATGTCTTTTATCCCTTTGCCTTTTGCTATAATTTGGTTTAGGTGCTTCTGTAATGTCAATTTCATTCATGAGGAATCAAATTCTGCTCTGTTACAGGGACCCTAGCTGATCCCCAACCCTTAGGAACAGAGAGCCTAGAAGTATCTATGCTCATGTCCATGTAATATACACACGTGCCCACACACACCTCACACAGTTCTTACACTCACACATATACACACTCACATATACACTTACACGCTCACACATGTACACATGACATACATTCATACTCACACATACACACCCACAAACACATATATACTCACACATATACACTTATACCACAACCCACAAAAACACATATACACATGACATGCACTCACACACATACATATTTATGCACACAACATACATTCATACACTTGCACACTCATGTACACATACACACTTATACACTCATGCATATACACATACAATATACACACATATGAACACATATACGCATGACATACATCACACACATGCACACTTATACATACAACATACATTCACACATATACACTCACAAATACACACTTATACACACAACACACTCAACTACATATACACTCACATCCATGTATTCACACATACTCAAAGCAATTTTAATTTGTAGGAAATCTCAGTTTAAAAATAGCTGCAGTTCCTACCTGGGCATCAGGTAACCTGGAAGAGAGGAAGGAGAGGACTGTAATTAGCGAAATTCATGATTCGAAAAGAAGCCTTGGCAAGGACTGGATTCGAGTCCTTTTGTGACCCTGGCTGGGCGAGACTCATCTCTTGGGAGCCTTTGTTTTCCTCCCTAAATGGGGATCACCTGAGGGCACCTCCTGCTGTGAAGCTACCAGACACCCTGAGGGGAAGGGATCCCTGGGCTCCTGTCAGGAGGATGTGAACTGCCTGGGTGGGGGCAGCATTCCCCCTACTTCTCCCCTCCTGGGTAAGAGGCTGGGTCTCTGGGGCAAGTGGAGTCCTGGCTTATCAGTCAGCCACACCATGAACACCCAGTTCTGCCTCCAGGTGTCAAATAGGCAATTTAATTAAACAGAAATTCAGCAGCCAGCAACATGACGTCATAGTTCCTGGAAACAGAACTGTAGCCACAATTCTAGTAGCTCATTCTGTCCTTCAAGAGTTTAAAATTTTTTAATGCCGGAGCTCCATTTGATCACCTTCACGCGGCCCTGGTGGGTCAGGCCCACCTGCTCGCTGGCAGCCCCTCCTTGCCTCTCTGTGGTCCCACCAGTAATTAAGCCTTTTAAGAGCTGGGGGAGCTTCAATATCGGTAATTCAATCTCCCCCTGTTTACTGATCTCTGCCATTAGCCGAGTTGAAAGCAAAATGTTTTAATTAAAAAGATTGGCAATAAGTTGGTGTAATGCCATAATTTGCACAGGGCCCCTTCTAGAGGATGACTTCGCCCTGCCTCAGTTGCTATGACAACTAATGGACAAGATTGTTCCAGTGTGAGAAGCAGCATGAGGAGGGGACAGGAGTGGGAAGAGGGGCCTCTGCAGGAGGACAGAGCTGTGAGGTGGAAAGACCAGGCCTCTCCGTGAGCTCCAGGGAGGTCTTGCCTCTTTGTTGCCATCCCTGTGGCTGGAAGAGTCGTGTCTCTAAGTGCCTGGGCCAAGGTTGTCATGGCCAGTGCCATCTGGGCTCAATGGTCCAGTACAGAGCAGAGGGCGAGACTCAGCAGCCATTCACCCTGGAGTGTACTGGGGCCCCGCCTCTGAACAGGGCAGCTGTGCGGCGGGCCAAGGCAGACCCCGGGTAAATGTCAAATAAATGCCCCTCACCTCCCCTCCCACACAGGGGCCAGGTAAAGGGACGTCCGCATGTCACCTGCCTTTGTGTGCTGACTGTCTGTTGGGACACCCAGGGGCCAAGGTGATGTCCTGGAGAGGAGCTGGCTCGGGAGGCACTCAGGCTGCAGTCTCCTTCCAGGACTCCCAGGCTAGACAGAGCAGAAGATGGCAACTGCTCTGGGTGCCCCACAGCTGATATTCACTCACTTCTCTGACCATGGGGCCAGATCCTCCTGAAGAGGTAAGCCCTTTGTGGGAGCGGATAAGGCGAGGCCTTGTGGAAAGGGACCAGGACATTCCGAGTCTTGATTTCCTCATCTGTGAAACGGGAATGAAAGCATCCTTCTCTCAGAGTCACTCTGAGGACTGACAGAAACCGCATGGTGGGTCCAACATCCTCTGCGGCTATGCTAGTGGTGTGGGTGTGCCTTGAGGAGCCATGGGGGGCAGGGGCCCTCGCCAGTCAGCTGCTGTCTGCACCCAGGGCCACAGGGCAAGGGTGGGCTCTGAAAGAGCAGGACAAACAGCCAGAGGACTTGGCTCCCCGCTCCTGGAGGAGGGCAGGTCTGACCAGCCAGGAGCAGGTTGGGGTGTGGGGTGAAGCAGAAAACCAAACTCGAGTGAAATAGAAAACATGGAACAGTTGTGCGTCCTCACACTACAGCACTAGTACATCTTCACACTACAGCACTTGTGGGCTGCGGGGCCCTGCAACTGCCAGTGCTGGGGCCCGGTCTTCTGAGCCACAGCACCACGTGCAGCAGGGACGTGATGGCTCACCCCGCTCTCCCCTCCACCATGAGCGCACCCACCTTTCCTCACCCTGCCAGGGCAGGACACACCTTTGGGGGCGCCCCAGGACATCCAGGTTTTGACCCCACAATGCTCAGGAAGGATGACTTGTGAGTGGAGGCTGGGCCATTCTGGGGGGTATGCTGAGGCGTGAGCCCAAAGGTGACAAGTGACACATGAGAGCAAGTGGCACCAGGTGCCATTCACTCAGCTCTGCTTGGGAAGCCCCCCTGGGGTGGTAGACAGTGTCATGCTCTGGTATTCTGTGCTGTGACCAGGGCCACCTCATTCCCATACAGGCCCCCAGATCAGTATCTCCACCAACCATACTCACCATGGGTGCAGGAACATCAGCTCCTCTCCTCCTGAGAGTCACTGGGCAGCGTGGGGGCAGGCGAGCTGGAGGAGGCGCAGCTTCTGGAGCTGGGAGGCCGGGTGCTCCTGCCCGGGAGCCCAAGGGCCCGTCTGACCTCAGAGAGCCTCCTTATCAGCCGCGGGGAGGGCGATCTATCACGTGGCCCATGCTGGTGTGGAAGGACAATAAAGCAGATATTGACCGTGATTCTAATCGGGTGAGCTGGGCCTCTCAGCCCCACAGAACACAGCATGCCGACTTATGGGTTCAGACGCGAGAGGAGCCAAGCCTGAGCAGGAACGAGATAAGAACATGCCCTGGGTGATTCAATTTAATGCAACCGTCGCTCCCAGCAACCTTGATTTGCTAAGTGCTGGGGAGCCCAGAGACGAAGGAGACAGGGGGCCAGCATGTTCTGGTCTGACAGCAGGCACAGGGCCTCGCCCTGGTGGGGTCAGAAGGCTAAGGGGATGTATGTCCTTGAATCCACTGGGCAGGGAAGGGCAGGGGGGTATGTGCAGCTGCCTGGAGGAAACCCCAGGCCCCACTGAGCCATGGGGAGCAAGGCCCTGACCAGCACTTGCTGCAGATGGCCCCTGCCTGGAGCCTTCCCACCTGCTCCTCTGCAGATGCCTCCCCTCTCCCTCACCAGGAAAGTCAGGGTATCCCGACTCTGTCCCGTGCCAATTATGTGCTGTCATCCAGCCCCTGCATGGCCAGTGCCACCATGGGCCGGTGACCGCGACACCCTCCACCCACGAGCCAACCACACACTCTAAGCCTGCTTGAGGCCTGTGGCACCTGGTACCCTGGGGGCCAGAACTGTTCCAAGACCCAACCCTGATCTCCTCCCTGTTTAAACTGGCTTATTCCTGCTACTTGGGTCTAAAACCCTTTGAGAGCTGGGCATGGTGGCACATGCCTGTAATCCCAGCACTTTGGAAGACCGAAGTGGGCGGATCGCTTGAGCCCAGGAATTGGAGACTACTCTGGAGAACATGGCAAGATGTCATCTCTATCAAAAAAAAAAAAAAACTAAAAAATGAGCCAGGTATGGTGGCTCATGCCTGTAATCCCAGCTATTCAGGAGGCTGAGGTGGGAGGGTCACTCGAGCTCAGGAGTTTGAGGCCAGCCTAGGCAACAAAGTGAGACCTCATCTCCATAAAAACTAAAAAATTTAGACAGGCATAGTGGCGTGCACTGGTAGTCCTAGCTATTTGGGAGACTGGGGCAGGAAGATTGCATGAGCCCAGGAGGTCAAGGCTGCAGTGAGCCAAGGTCGTGCCACTTGACTCCAGCCTGGGCAACAGAGCAAGACCTTGTCTCTAAATAAATAAATAAATAAAACCCTTCGAGACCCCCACACCATCATTCCCTCATCCCCCACCTAACCCAAGGATGCCCTATTGCCCATCTTCAGAATGCAGGCAACCCTCACCTGCATTCCTTCCTCAACTGCATGCACCCCCACCTGACCCTTCCTCACCTGGACACATTCTCACCCAGCTCTCTCCCTGGCACCATCCCCTCAGCTGTCATCCTCCACAGCTCTCTGGAGACAACTTCCCCCGTGTCTCCTAGCCCTGCCCTGCCCCTTCCCGCAGCAGCAGAAGTTTCTGGAGTGTGCACTGGGTCCCGCTGCTTGCCAGCTTGGTCTTGCTGCCATCCACCATGGCAGCCAGGCCAAACCCACCCTCCTCCCTCCTCTAAACACCCCTGGCCGGCACCTGCTTACCCTACAGTCTCATCTCCTCTCTCACCTGTCACATGCTCCCCACATGCAGCTCTTGCCGCCTCACCAGGTTCCTTACATTCACCCTATCTCCGGGCCTCTGCACGCACTGTGCCTTCTGTTTAGAAGCATTTATCCTGCATTCCTTTTGGTCACCTTCCTTCCTCCATGCAGACCTTGTCCCTGGGGCCCTCCCTCTGGCCCAGCTGCAGCAACTCCTGCCTAGAGTTCCTCTCTGTAACGCACTTACCCTGAGTCAATTCTCGTGCTTGTGTACGTGCCCCTTGCCCCACACCAGCTGCTCCATTCGGTCTCATCCACCGTTACACATGCCACACCCACAGCAGGGCCTCTGAGGCACCCAGTGCCACAGCCACACCAGCTGGATGGCTCTCTGTGCCTCAGCCTGCTCATCTGTAAGATGGGGGATCATTGTGCCCACTCCCAGGGCTCAGTGAGGGATGCACCCAGGTCTTTAGGACATGCTGGGTGTGATGGTTCTTCACTCCCTTCGTGGAGAGCTGTGTAACCTGCTTGGGATGATGCCATCAGGAAGGGCAGATGGCACAGGGTCATAAGGCCACGGACACCCAGCTCTGCTTGGAGCAAAATCTCTCCAGGGCACTGAGACAGAGGCCCCCCAAATAGCCCGCCTGCCATCTTCCCTCACGCATGGTCCCTGTGCTCTGCCTGGCCCACGCCTTTTTTGGCTGGGGCTCAGGCTCTCTGTGGAGTGGGGGCTGGGGGAGCAACAGAAGAGGCCTTGTTGAGGGTCCCAAGGGTCCCCACTTACATGCCACACGGACCCCAGTGCAGACCCATCTCCCAAGAGCCAGGTCCCTGATTGGATTTAGCTCTGGCCTCCCAGCACCTCACGCCCATATCCCCTGGCCTGTCTCTTTAGAGGATAATCAGAGGAAGTAATTCTATTTGAGAAACAATCACTCCTGTGGTATGATGGTGCACTCGATGTTAATGGACCCAGCATCCTTGCATACTAAGGACGCATTTCAGCCAAGCACAGGGTGTTTTTCGAGAAAGGTCTTGTTCCCCATCAAGGCTCTGCCCTCACTGAGCTATTAGCAGCCAGGCTGAGGACATGAGCTTGAGGGGAGGTGCAGACTCAGAGGTGCTCTGTGCACTGGGCTCCTTTGGGCACTGGCAGACAGGGCAGAAGTTCTGCCTGGGGAACTCGGGCTCTGGCAGGTGTTCTGTACACCCACCTGGCATAACATCAGCCTGCCCTGGTGCCATTTCCATTATCAGTCCATCTTACAGGTGAAGACACTGAGAATAAGAGAAAAAAGGAGGATGTCCGTATCCACACAGCTGGTGAGGGGGAGCTGGAAACCCTCCAGAACATTGCTCCCGTGCTCCCCCACTTCTGCTCACCCTCTGCTGACTCAGTTTCCCACTTTCTGCCTGCTCGTGGTGCTGCACCCGCTGCCAACATAACTGTAAATGCAAAAATGATGATGCCACACCTTCCCACAAAATTCTTCACCATGTTTCCAAGGCCTACAGAAGACGCTGGAGCTCTGGGATGCCAGTGCATGGGCACGCGCCACCAAGACAAGCCCCCTCTACCTTGGACCCATCTCCTGGCCAATCATACCTGGCAGGCGGCCCTGGCCCAGCCATACTGCACCCCCTGCAGGGTCCTGTTCTGGCCTGGGGACTTCACACTTAGCCTTGGCAAGTGCCACCCCCATGAGGGAAAGGCTCCCCCCACCCCTCGTGTCCTATCTAGGTGACAGCCACTCGCCCATTCAGGAGGATTCTGCCTGAGCACCTCTTCCCCGTCAATGTCACTCCCCGAGCCTGGGCCTGCCACAGAACCTGCCACGTCCACGCAAGGTCCTGCTCCTGGGTCTGCTCCTCATCTGAGCGGAGGGGAGAGGCTTCTCCAACGCTGGAGAGAGTGCAGCCTCCGGCAGCCTGTGGGGCCACAGGGCCTGGCCTGCCCAGCTTTCTCCTTCATTCATTCAGCACATACCCATTGAGGTCCCACTGCCTGTCAGGCCCTGCTGTGGGCTGCCATAACAAGATAGGTTACACCGGCTTGAGCAAACAGTCATTTCTAACAGTTCTGGAGGCCGGCCTCTGGACTGGGTTCCAGCAGGGTCAGTGGTGGTGAGGCCTCTCTTCCTGGTTTGCGGCCGGCTGTCCTCTCATGACATCTTCCCATGGTGGAGTGAGATCATGCCCCTTGCATCCCTCCTTATAGGTGCACTAATCCCATTCATGGAGTCTCCACGCCCATGACCTAATTCCCTCCCACAGCCCTCACACCCACTGCCATCACGCTGGGGTTTGGGCTTTCACATATGAATGGGGGTCACAGATAATCAGCCTAGAGTGGGCACTGGGACACAGCAGTGACAAAAAGACAAAACCTATGTCCCCGAGGGCCCACATACCCACTGAGGACAGAACTTGCCGAGGTGATGCTGAGCCATGTGGACACCTGGGGGAGATCATGCCAGGCATGGGGGACGCCAGTATCGAGGCCCTGGCTAGGGGTCCCTGGTGGATCAGTGAGGTGCCCAAGAGAGCAGCACATGGCTGGAGCAGTGGCACAGTGGGTTCTGACTTACATCTCAGGAGAATCCTGTTGTCTCGGGCAGAGAACAGGAGGACAGGCTGCAGTGCTGGTGGACAGGAAAGTGCAGAATGGGCCACTGCAGAGATGCAGCAGGTGGGCAGGAGGTGAGGGGTCAGATTCTGGGACCACGGGAACTGCTGGTGCGTGGGGTGAAGGAAATGAGAGAAGCCAGCACCCAGGGAGACGCCAGGACCTGTGGCCTGAGAAACTGGGAGTGCAGGGCTATCATCAGCTGGAGTGGGGCGAGGGCAGGCCTATGGGGAAGGAAATGGGGACAAGTGCCTTTTGAATACCTACTGGATGTCCAGGTGGACTTGTTTGTAACTGGACATTGTGAGCCTGACCTGAGGTTCCTGCCCTGAGCCCCCATCCCCGGCCCCCTTGCAGGGTCAGTGAGGCACGAGCACAGGGGTCAGTCCTAGGGACCCAGGCCTGGCCCTCAGGGGTAACTGGTGCCCATGTTGCCCTCAAGGGCTGTCCCCTGGTCTTGGAGAACATTCCCTGAGAGCTGTCCCCTGGCCAAGGGGAAGTGAGGGACACACTAGTGCCTCTCATGATACCTTGGCTGGAGCAGGGGCTTGGAGGGGCAGCCTGGGGCCCTCAGGTTCCTGCTCCCCACCCCATGCATCTCAGCCCTTCACTCCCAGGGAAGCTGCTGCATGCCTTCCCTAGAATCTGTCCCACAGGGGGTGAACTCCCTGCCTGTCACCACTGTTGAAGGATGACTTTTCTTCTCTCCACAAGCCAGGGAATTAATTCATGCCATCTATTTTACTGAGTCGGATCAAAGGTTGTCAAATTCCTTCACCCACTTAATGATCTGTAATATACCCTTCCATTTCCTGACCAGGCTATTAGATAAAATAGAATTCATAATGGCCTCCTGGCAGCATCTGTGCACCTGTGTACATGTGCAGGGTCAGTCAAGAGACCCTAGGATCTGCTCAGCCAGGATGTATCTTTTTTTCCAAGAGATTCTGCAAATCTCAATCCATATGGGGCTTTTAGTGCCAAACATACTCTATGGTCTGTGTGAGGCTGAAAATATATGACTCACGAGTCACCACTGCCCTTGCCCTGTCCGTGGTAGACATTATTAATCAATTACAGGCACTCTTCACCACTGAGCTCAGATGTAGCTCCTTCCACAGCCATCACACATGATACATGTCCTGGCCGGGGCAAGGAAACCTCCTGACCATCCAGATGAGAGACATTAATTGATGCTGCTCACCACACTGTTGTTTCTCCTTTTTTTTATGTGTACGGTGGCCTCTGAGCAGGGGTAATATGAGGTGACCAGGATCCCCCCGCTGAGCCTCCTGCAGGCTGCTTCAGTGGGCACAGCCCATGATCCTACTCCACAGTCAGGAATGAGCACCCCAAACCTGCCAAGCTCCCACCTCACAGGAGGTCTATTGTGTCAGCCTCCTGAGCTCCTAGGCATGAAAGCACCTTGCTGGACAAAGGCAGGGATTGCTAGCAGGCAGCAGCACACAGGCGATCATGGGAAGACCCGGGGCCCTGCCCGATCCACCACACACCCACACACCAGTCATGCTCCATCCTGTCACAATATCAAAGAGGAAGCATCAAGGCTGACAGCCACAGCTGAAAAGAGCTGTGCACAACCGCCACCTTGGTCCCTGTGAGGGGTCTGGTCACTGGCCTGACGGTGACACCTTCTCGGGGTACAGAGTCCCAGACTCCCTGTTGTTCCTGTCTTGGGAGCAGTATTGGCGCTGGCCTCAGGCCACCTGGGCCTCTCCACTCCCTTCTCCCCTAGCAGGCCTCTTGCTCAGAGCTCCTACGAGGTCTCCTCTCCCAGCTCCTCTGAGCTGGGCTGCAGGCTGGGTGTGTAGAGAAGAGCAGAGGAGGCTGGGAGAGCTCCCTGAAGTCACGTTACTGTCTGCTCAGCTCAGAGAGAAGAGCTTCAGAGACAGGGAGGACTGAGTTCAAAGGGAAGCCCTGGGGCTGGAGGTGACCCTACCTGGCTGCCGCAGAGGACTAGCCACATGCCTGCCACATGCCAACCATCGTCCCCTGTCACTGCAGCCTCTGTCATGTCAGCCTTCAGCTCCCTGGAGCAGTGAGGCGGGCTGTCCTCGCCCCTGCCTCGACCTGAGCCTTTTAAGCAAATCAGCAATGTAATTATTGATCTGTAAAAGAAAAGGAATTAATATGGCCGCCCACATCCTTTGTACATAAGAGTATTTAACAATGAACTCTGCTTAAACTTCATAAAAGCCTCTTCAGCAAATCAGCACAGAAGTATCGATCTGGAAGCTGGCCTGTGAATTCCAGCTGACTGCCTCTCCCACTGAAGGACCATTACTTGGTCTTACCGAATCTCCTCTCTCCATTTATGGCTGGGCGCTTCCTCCTGGGACGCTTCTGCTGCCTCTCCACAGGGACTGAGCTGCCCAGTTTTGCTGATCCTCCCTTTTCCTGGAGTCCAGCGTATCGACTGGAGAGAGTACTGGGGAGGTGCTCTTGGTTGGGGCTCTGCAGCCACCCTGGGCCTAACACCCCAGGCTCAGGCCTGCCCTAGAGACCCTTGGTCACCCTGCTTTTCATGGAGCAGAAGCTGGGGTACTCGGTGTGCACCCTCTTGTTCACCCTCCCAAATGGGCATTCTTGCTTCACCTTGCAGGGTCACCCAGATGCTGGGGGCTGGGGCCAGCCTTCCAGCCAATGGCTGAGCGCTTTCCTTCTCAGATATGTGAGTTGGGGCTGGCATCACCCACAATGTAGCAAGCTGGACCCACTGCCACTGAGGCCGTGGGCTCTCCCTAATGGGATCTTGTCCAGGTACCCGAGGAGGCCAGTGAGTCAGCAGGCTCTGCCAGAGCACCCACCAGCCCTGGCATCCAGCAAGATGGCTTTGCCCTTGGAGCCTTCCCATCCACCCTGGGCCCAGCCTGCCAGTTACTCTGAGCCTGTGGCTGTGCATCTGGCCTGGGACCCTGTCCTGTCTGCTGGGTAGTGTCAGGGTCCCATGGGAGAGTCAGTCCTATCTTGAAGCAGGACTCTGAGCTCACTGCCAGCTGCTCAGGGTTCTCCTCGGCTGCCCAGCTCTAGGAGCAGAGGCCTGAACCCTGTGACCTCTGTGGGGCCACTTGCAGATGGGGCAGGGATGGGCTGGTGGATGAGATGGGGTGGCTCTGCAGATGGGGTGGGGGATGCCGACAACTGAGGCAGTGAGTGCAGTGGCAGGAGTTGGGGTCTCTGGGTTGGGCCTCGTCCAGGGCTAGCATCTAGGGGGTCCAGAACCCCCTTCCTCTCTGGCCACCATGGCTGCCTTTGTGAAATGAGCTCTGGCCTTGGCCTCTAAGGCCCCTACAGCCCTGACTTTATGCATAGCAGCAGAACAGGGTCAGAGAGTCCAAACCACAGACCCCACGTCACAGGCCAGCCCCTCAGAAATGCACAGTGCCTAACAGGAACAGAGCCTCCAACACACTGGGAAGTGGCTGTGGTGGCGTCCGCCCCCGCTGATCATGTCGTCTGCCCTGCACCCTCCCACGCCTCTGCACTGGATGCAAGCTCACTCCACATGCCTCTCTCTGCCGTGGCTCCTGCCTTGTACCTCCTCCTCTCTGTCTCATTCTTCTTGTCTTTGCCTCCTTCTCTGTCAGTTTCTTTGTTTCTATTTTCTTCTCTGCTGGCCCCTGTTTTCCCTTTCTCTTTGTCTCTTTCTGATCTTTCTCTGTTAATCCTGACGTTCTGGTTGTCTTTCTGGCCACCCCCACGACCACTCATGTCCAGCATTCCCTGGATCAGGGTGGGTGAGGCTCATGCCCAGGTCTCAAGAGGAGGTCCGGGTGCTGGGCCCTGCCTGGCAACTTGGAGAAGGCTCCCCTTGAGAACACTCACTCCTCCAGGGGGATGGAGGCTGTGGGGGCAAGCTCTTCTCAGAGCAGGTGCACAGCAGTCCCTCCTGGCCCTGCAGGTCTTGCTGGTTGCCCTACCATGAGCCACATCTTGGGGCCGGCAGTGGGGAGGAGGAGACCTCTGTGCTGGCCATGATTTGAGGGACACCAGAGGACTCCAAGGGTGCCCCACCTCACAGCATCCCTTCCCCACCTTCCTCCAACCTGCTCCTGGCTGCCAATGGCCAGGACAGGTCAGGTCAGGTGAGGGGTGATGGGGACCACCAGAGGGCTGCAGGCTGCCACCCCCTCCATCCAGCTGCCGACCAGCTGGGAGAGGTGCTGTCCTCACACTCACACAAAGCCTTGGTGAGAGAACAGAGAGGGATGCTTGCATGTGGCATTGCACCCCTGGGAAGAGGAGCACCCCAGGAACTTGGGGTCCATGCGGTCCATGCCTCGGGGCCCTATAGCCTGGAGTCTAGGTCCCCAAGCTCCTCCAGGCCACCTTGAGGGCCTCTGCCAACACGCACTGCCTCAGGAGGGCATGCAGGCCACAGACAAGGGGCAGGGCCTCAGCTCTCACTAGAAAGAAGCCGAGGAGGGGGCCTCTGAGGAACTGGCGGGGGTCCCACAGGCAGGACAGCCCAAGGTCATGGCCTCTAACTCAGAGGGGGCCTCTGGAAGCGCCACGTTCACTAGGCACGGGCTGGAGGCAGCCCGTTCACTAGGGCGGTCTCCCGAAGACGTATCTGTTGCAGGGGCAGCGAGAATTCCAGGGGAACTCTAGAAAATGAGTGGCACCTGCCCTCCTTGTGACTGGTCAAGGAATATTGGGGCCTACTGAGCATGCTTGGGGTACCCTCCTCTGCAGATAGCCCATGCAGGTCCAGGGGCCTGATCCCACCTGCCACCCCCAGGCTGGGAGACTCAGAGCCCATCAGTGCTGGTGTCAGAAGAGGTCGCCCCTTTCCTGACCCCTCTGCTTCCTGCCACCCGGAGATCAAAAGGTGTCTCCTCGGCGGTTCCTGTCACCAGCCTTAATGCACGCTCTCCCCATTAGCACAGGGGCTGGGAGGGGAGGCAGCCAGGGGAAGATGGGAGCCTCAGATCTGAGCCCAGAGGAAGGAGACAGGGGTGGGAGGTCTAGGGAAGATTCAGCGATAGGCCTGCCCTCCTGCGGCCCTCCAGACACCAGTCTTAGAGCCCTCCTGCATGGGGAGACATGGGGCATACTGGGGAAGGGTGAGGTCCTCTCTGAGCCCCACCAGCCCTGACTTGACTGCCGCTCTGTGCTGAGTGCTCCCCGCACACGGCTCCTGGTGACAGCACCCGTGTGCTAGTACCGAGCCACAGGGTGGTCACAGATGCTGTCCGTGTGGTCTCCAGCCCGTGTCAGTGGGGAAGGGCCCACAGTGCTTTTCTGAGGCCAGAGCACTGTCATTGCCCCTCGAAGAACCAGCTAATGGCAGTTTCCAGACTAGAACCTGGTCTCCTCGTGGCCTGTGCAGGGTTGGGGTGCTCAGCCCAGCCTCAGGGGGTCACCTACACCCCACCCCCAACTGCCCGTAGGCCCAGGGAGCTGGAGAGCTTCCCTGCCTGCTTGCAGGCACTCACGGCCCTGTGACACACACACACTCATCCCCAATGAAGGTGCACCCCTGACCAGGTGTGGACCCCAGGCCAGGCAGCAAAGAGACAGCTGGCCTGACTTGGGTCCTCAGCCTGGCCCAGCCCCAGCCGCCGGCTTGAGCAAGCCCTTCCCGAGAGGTCAACCTCCCATCCAGGGCGTGAGGGTTGCAGCCTGATCCCACCCTGCTGCATCTGCCCTGTGGAGCCCTCGTCCTTTTTCCCTGGGGTCTCCCTCCCCGCCAGGCCAGGCTCTACCCTCAGGGCCGGAGGCCTCCTGGGGGAGGTTCATGTCTCACTTTGCAGCCTCCAGCCAGATGGCCTCCATAATTCATTTTAGTGAAATATGGCAACACTTTTATTGGCGATGATCCTATCTGGAGCCTGGGGACAGTGATGGCCAGACCAGGGCTGGTATCTGCTTTCACAGAGCTCCGAGAAAAGCCTGCATGGTTATGTTCGCGGATGTGCACTCATTTCGCGTTGCTGGGAGGGGGGGTGGGGCAGGGCAGAGGCTGCCTCTGGGTCTCCTGATTCCAGGCAGTCTGGGGCAGGAGGCCCACAGGCCCCTGCACTGGCCTGACAGAAGGCTCGGGCCCGGGGCAGAGGGGTGGGCTGCACCCTGCACTGATGCTCAGACCAAGCTGAGAGGTGGAGAAGTCAGGGGATATGCAAGGTGATGGGGAGCAGCTACCCAGAGCTGTGGGGTGGAGGCCATGGGTGCCACTCAGCCCTTGGAGGAGCTGCCTCCCACCACCTGCAGCACCAGAGTGGCCCTGCTGAGCTGCAGGCTTTCTCCCTGCATCTCCAGCTCACACTGTTGTGTGCTCTGTGCCCCAGGGCCAGCCCCATAGGATTCAGAGGCCAACCTCACTTCCTCTGCACTAGCAGCCCAGAGACCCCTGCCTGATAGATGAACCCCAAAACTGCAGTCTCAGTAGGACCTTAGTTGCAGTCACAAGTCCAAGAGGAAGAAGGAGACCCCATTCCTGGTCATGCTGTCTGCCAGGCTCCAGCCCGTCACCCCTTACCGTAGCCAGCCCAGACCTGGTGCATGGTGGAGCATCTACAAGCAGAAGGTGAGGCGTCCCCACCATGGGTCTGCTCTGCAGCCCTGCGGATGTCTCACCAGCCTGTATGGGGTGTGCTCCTGGGGACACCACCTTGGGGCTCCTCCAGGGAGCTGAAAGAGGGCAGGCCTGGGGGACACGAGATGGACAGGGACCTGAGAACTGCCCATGGCACCACCCAATAAGCCTGCACCTATCCCTTCATCCAAACAGGTCCAGGAAAAAGGCAATTACATCCCCAAGAAATGTGGCCAGTCAGGGAGCGTGAGAGCTTGTGCTGCTCTTGGGGGCCACAGAGACCCACCTGGCTGGTTCTGGATGAGACAAAGGCTGCAGACTGACACACCTATGCAACTCTCCTCCTGCCCAGGTGAGATCAGTCCCAAGTGTCAGCATGTCAGCCACCCCCAGGAGGGTCCTGGGCATGTTATCTGACCTCGCTCAGGCAGAGGTGAGGCTCAGCGGGTGACTGGGGCAACGAGACCCAGACTAGCGGGAGGCACCAGAAGGGATGCAGGCCTGGACAGGGTGGGGGCTGTGAGGCCCCAAGTGTGCCCGGCCAGGACACAGCTGTGCTTTACTTCCCAGAACGGATGGCCAAGGTGGTCTCAGACAAGGCTGTGCCTCTGAGCTACATTCCCACAGAGACTTCAGGGTGGCAGTGCAGCCTCAGCCTGCGCCAGCACCCCCAGGCCTTCCCGAGGTGCCTATCGACCTGCTGAACCCAGCTAATGGGCTCCTCTGGGCATTGAGTTCAGAGGCGAGGTTGCCTGTAAGCAAGATTCGCCAGTGTGCTTCATCAGCAGGCAGCCTCATGCAATATGTAACACCACATTAACCTGCACTCTCAGGGTAGACAGAGCCCCCGCCCCGGAATCCGGAATCCGGAATCTGCTGCTATGTAGAAGTGGCCTGGGACGGGAGGCAGAGCCTGCAGGCCCTGTCCTTTTCCCTGTACTTCCATCTCCCCACTCTGTGTACATGGGGTGGGCAGCAAAGCTGGCGCTTACACCATGGCACCCTCCCCTCCACCTATGGCAGGCCTTGGAAGTCACCGGCAACCCCTGCCCCTCCAAACTCAGACACGTCCTCAGGATCTCTCTCAACACAGTACTGCAGGCAACCACAACTGGGCAGCCCAAGTGGGTGAGCAAGATCAATGCGGAATTGCAAGGGGCCTCAAGTAGCAAAAACAACCTTCAAAAAGAAGAACAAAGTCAGAGGAGTTACACTTTCTGATTTCAAATTTACTACAAAGCTACAGCTGTTAAAACAGTGTAAAACTGGCATAGGGATAGACATATAAATCAATAGAATAAAATTCAGAGTCGTTTAAGGCCAGTTAATTTTTGTCATGGATGCCAAGCTCATTCAATGGGGAAAGAACAGTCTTTTCTACAAATGTTACTGGGACAACTTGATTTCTGCATGCAAAAGATGAGGTTGGACCCCTACCTCACACTATAGGCAAAAATTAACTCAAAATGGATCAATACCCTAAATATAAGAGCAAAAGCTGCAAAACTCTTAGAAGAAAGCATAGTGGTAGATCTTCATGACCTTGGATATGGCAATGGATTCTTAGATATGATATCAAAATCTCAAGTAAGAATAACAATAACAACAAAAAACAGATAAATTAGACTTCATCAAATTTAAAACTTTTGTGCACCAAACAACATTATCAAGAAAGTGAAAAGACAACCACAGAATGGGAGAAAACACCTGCAAATCATATATCTAATAATAGTTTAATATCCAGAATATATAAAGAACTTCTAAAACTCGAAAACAAAAGAACAAAACAACCAAATTTAAAAATGGGCAGGCTGGGCATGTAGCTCATGCTTGTAATCCCAGCACATTAGGAGGCCAAGGCAGGCGGGTCCATTTGAGCTCAGGAGTTTGAGACCAGCCTGGGCAACATAGTGATACTCCATCTCTACAAAAAATACAAAAATTAGCCAGGCATGGTGGCTTATGCCTGTAATCCCAGCTACTCTGGAGGCTAAGGCTGGAGGATGACTTGAGGCTGGGAATCAGAGGTTGCAGTGAGATCATGCCACTGCCCTCCAGACTAGGAGACAGAATGAGACCCTGTCTCAAAAAATAAATAAAAATAAAAATAAAATAAAATAAAAATGGGCAAAGGATTTGAATAGATGTTTCTCTGAAGAAGATGCACAAATGCCAATAAGCACATGAAAAGATGCTCAACATCACTAATCTTTAGAGAAATGTAAATTAAAGCCACCATCACTTCACCTATTGGCATGGCTATAATCAGAAAAGCTAAAAGTAACAACTGCTGGTGAGGATGTGGAGAAACTGGAACTCTTGTGCATTGATGATGGAAATGGAAAGTGGTATAACTGTTGTGTAAAATAGTGTGGTCATTCCTCAAAAAGCTAAATGTATAGTTACCATGGAATTGTGACCCAATAATTCCATTCCTAGGTATATACTCAACAGAATTGAAAACAAGAAATCAAAAAATGCTTGTGTCCCAAAGTTTATAGCAGCATCATCCACAAAAGCCAAAAGATGGAAACCAGGCAAAAGTCAACCGACAGATGAATGGATAAATACAGCGTGCTCCACCACACGGAATATGATTCATCCGCACAAAGGAACAAAGTTCTGACACACATGACAACAGAGATGAACCTTGAAAACATTATGCTGAGTAGAATAAGCCAGACACAAAAGGACAAATATTGTAGGATTCCAGATCTAAACTAGGCAAATTTATAGAGACAAAGCAGATTAGAGGTTACCAAGGGCTAGGGGTGGGGGATGGGAGGTTATTGCTTAATGGGTTCAGATTATCTGTTTGGGATGGTGAAAAAGTTTGCAGTGCACAAGAGTTCCAGTTTTGGAAGTAGATATCAGTGATGGTTGCACAACATCGTGAATGTAATTAATGTGAATTATACACTTAAAATGGTTAAAATGGCATTTTTGTGATGTATATCTTTTGCTACAAAAAGAACCATTTTTTAAAGAAGCAATGGTGAGCAAAGTTGGTAAATCTGTAGGTAGATCCAATAAAGCCTTGACAATTCAAAGAAAAGTAATAATTAATTTATGGCCATACAAACAGGGTGAGGCTAGTACTCCAAACAGCAAAGCCTAGCATGCCCAGTACCGGGCAAAGAGCAGGGGGAGACACGGGCTGTGTCTACACAAGGAGCATGCCTTTCTAGCACAGGTATTAAAACTTTAGGACAATTTATTAAAGAAATAGAAAATATGATCTCTGTGTTAGTTTCCTGTGATTGCTATAAGAAGTTACCACAAGTCTGGTAGTTTATAACAACAAAAATGTATTCTCTTGCAATCCTGGAGGCCAGGAGACAGAAATCAAGGTGTGGAGGAGGCAGAGCCATGCTCCCTCTGAGGCTCGGGGGAGGAGCCTTCCTGGCCTCTTCCAGCTTCCCACAGCTGGCATCATTCCTGAGCTGGGCCATGTCTCTCCAATGCCTGCTCTCTGTTTACAGGGCCTTGTCCCCTGTGCAGGTCTGGGTCAAAACTCCCTCTGCTTCTCTTTTATAGGATACATGGTATTTAGGGCCCTGGATGACCCAGGACATGCTCCTCCTCTCAAGGTCCCTCACTCGATCACATCTTTTGCAATACAGGTGATATTCACAGGTTCCAGATTAGACATGGGTGTATCTGTGGGAGTCATGATCAGCCTACCATAACTTCCAAGCAATTGGGAAGAAGAAAAAGAATACAGAAAATTGAGTATTTCTAATAGAAGTTAGGAAAGGAGAGAGAAAATGGAAGTCCAGAAGCCAGGACAAAAAAATAAGTGGTGGAAATAAATTTTCCTAGATCCAGAGAAAACAGTAACCATGAATGTACTGAACAGAGACTGTCAGATTGGACACAAAAGCAAAGTCTTGTGTCAGACGTTGCTTACAGAGGTCACAGTGAAGTATAGAAAGGTAGAAGGCAAGAGGGTGTGGAAAGCCGTGGAGTGTAAATACGGATGGGATGAAAGTTGGTGTGGCCGGGCCAATCCCCAACTTAGACTTAAAGACACAGAGAATCCCTGGGAATGGAGACAGCGACTCCCAGATGATGAAGCAGCAGAGAGATCCTCCAAGGGTGAGTGACCTAGAGCACTTTACCAGCTTTGTAAAGGAAAAGGCATTTGCCTGGAGGCTGCAGGGCCCAGTCCAGCCTAGCTCCAGGACAGCTCCAACCCATCCTCCCATGGGTGGGGTGTCCCTGGTCCAGGCTAGGGACGGTCCAGGGTGGGTTGGCAGGACCTGCTGTGATCGTGAAGTTGGGAACTGCCTAAACCATCTTCTCAGAGCCTGTGTGTCCAGAGGGAAAACCCAAGCACGTGGAATATGGTTTACAAGCCGTGGTTGCTGAGGACAAGGTTGGTAATGAAGGCGCAGGGAAGCCTGGGAGGGCAGAAATGCACAAGGAGGGGTGGGGCTGGAGCCCGGCTGGTCCTGGTATCCTGGGCTTGGGGGGACCCTGCTCCTTTCCCTGGGAGCCCTGAGGCCTCAACTGGATGACAGGAGGTGGATATGCTGGTCCCTGAGGCACAGGCAGTATGAACCTCTGCATGGAGCTGGGTCTCAGCAGAAGCCCACCCAAGCCTGGAGTTTCCCAGCCAGGGATGCACCTTTTTCATCCCAGCAGCCTCTGTCCCTCAGTCCTGAGCCCTCAGGGGCCCTCAGGGCATGAAAGCAGGAATCCCAAATCCACCTTCCAGAATTACACGGGCTGTTCTTGGTGGTCAGGTGGCCTCTCGGGGCCAGGGTCCTTTTTAAGACTGGAACCTCTCCAAGCTCACCAGCACTCTCAGTGCACGCACGCACGCACACACACACACACACACACACCAGGATTTTAAACTCAGTCCAACAAATCTCAGCATGCACCAGAACTATTTCAGCATTTTAAGAGCCTGTATTGATTTTGGAAGGAGCCAGGCAGCGTGTGAAGGCCATTCTGTCTGGGATCCTATGCTGAGTCTGGGGTCTCTGTATGAGGGATTATCCATGTGTGGGGAGCCTTCCCCCTTCAGAGCTTTCCAGCTTCCCTCTGATCACATGTCCTGAGCACACTATCCCAAACCTAACCCCAGCTGGGCTCTAGCAAGAGACGAGGTCCTGTCTTGCTGGGAAAGGGTCATCCTTCCCACCCGGAGGCCCCTGCTCTGCCCCAGTTTCCTGCCACAAAGCCCAGACAGTCCTGGGAACCTGGGCTGGTGAGTCCCTCCATCACCTTCAGAAACAGCCATGAGGAGCTGGCAGTGGGATGGCCTGGGGGTAGGAGCGTGGCTTCTGGAGCTAGACCACATGGGTTCAGATCCCAGCGGTGCCTCTAACTGGCCACAGGACCTTGGGCAGTCAGCTGACCCTGCCCAGTCCCAGCATCCTCATCTGGTCTTAGCTAACAGGGACACACCTGAGGAGGTGGTCTTCATGTCACTTCCACTGGGACCAGTTTTCAGAGCAGCTGCAGGGGTCATCAGTTAAGGCAGTACAGCCCACTTACAGAGGAGGCGGGTGGCTTGGGGTGTGAAGGACGTGCCCAGGTGACATGCTGCTGAGTGGCCCCAACCCCATCCAGGCACCAAGCCAGAGCCTGTCCCCAGGGACCCCAGGGCACATCAGCAGAAGCTGGAGGATGTGGGTCTCCTGGGCCTGGAATCTCAGAGCCCACATTGGTTAATTTCACACGTCCGCTTGACTGGCACACAGGGGGCCTGGATGTTTGGCCAGACATTATGCTGGGTGTGTGTCAGGGGGGCTCTGGGTGAGATGAACACTTGAATCCATGGACTGCAAAGCAGACAGCCTCCCAGTGTGGGTAGACCCATCCAACCTGTCGCAGACCTAAGCTGAACACAAAGGCCAAGTAGGAGATAATTCATTCTGCCTGGCTGCCTTAAGCTGGGAGCTTGGTCTTTTCCAGGCTTCAGACCTGAACCGAAGTACAGGCTCTTCATGCATGTCAAGCCCCTGGCCTTCAGACTGGGACAAACTCCATCAGCTCTCCTGGGGCTCCAGCTGGCCAGCAGCAGATCTGGGGACTTCTCAGACTCCACTATCTCATGAAGCAATTCCTTGCCATCCATCTCCTTTAATAAACACACACGCATCCTATCACTTCTGTTTCTCGGGAAAACCTTAACTAATGCAGAGCCCG
Organism: Homo sapiens; assembly: GCF_000001405.40. Classification (NCBI taxonomy): domain Eukaryota; kingdom Metazoa; phylum Chordata; class Mammalia; order Primates; family Hominidae; genus Homo; species Homo sapiens. The sequence goes on from NC_000010.11 coordinate 42,998,478, forward strand.
AGAGTGGGGCATGGCTCAGGGCTGCTGCACCCAGGAAGCATCTGTGCTCCCTGTGCTTCCAGGCAGGGACCCTCATGGAGGGGTGGGATGGTCGTACTTCCTCAGCCAGCACTTAGGGGCCGTGAGGTCCATAGCCATGAGCTGAGGGAGTGACCCCACAGTTTATGTCACTGTGGAGAAAGGCTCCCTGAGCTGTGGATCCAGCCAGTGGGTTGTAAACCTGACTAAGACACTCAAGCTGCTGCGGCCGGGGGCATGCCACAAACCCCCAGTGAGCCTCAGTTTCCCCCTGTAGAACAGGGGTGTGAGAGCAGTCTCCTCAGGGTGTAAAGAGCCCAGCAAATGCCGGGCACAGCTCATACCAGATAAGCATTAGCTGGTGGCAGAAAAGCTGGAAGACAGACTGCTGACCTCCACAAAAGGATCAGATTTGTGCCAGTCCTGGCCATGGACAACAGGTCCCAGGCTTGACCTGTAGGTGAAGAGCCCAGAGCCCAGGACCACATGCCAAGTGGGAGGCTCCTGGCCCAGAACACCACACCTGCCTAGCAGATGTGTCTCCTGGAAGTGGGAAAGCAGGACTCTCCAGGGAGCCCTGGGGATACAGAGGATGCAGCCCGCGAGGCCCTGGCCTTGAAGCCTTAGTGTCTCTGCAGGCCCCACCTGTGATTGGCCCCTCCAGGGTCACCCAGGAGGGTAAGATGCCCAGGGCCTGCATCTGTGCTGTGGGACACAGCCTGGCTTCTGAGGCCCATGGAAACCTTTCTCGGGAGCTTCTCAGGACCCCAGCCAGGACATCTGTGCCTGTCCGTGACAGCTGCCCTAGAACTGGCCACAGGCCTATGGCTGCCTTGCACTGTCAGCCCCCAACGCCCGTCGTGTCATCAGCATGTCTCAGATGCCTTCAAGGGCTGCCCACTCCATGATCCTTGTCCACAGCCCCAGCATGTCCCCTAGCGTCAGAAGTGTCCCCGGATCCTGCAAGCCAACCACATAGGACGTCCACCTCTGAGCCCCTCTGTTCTCCTACCCTCCTGCTGATCACAGCCCTGCTGCCTGGCCTCATGGTCCAGTGCATCTTTCTCCCTGGAGCTGCCACAGTGCACCACCTGCCTGGCTATGCATTGGTGACCCCTAGGAGCTCCAGGGGGACCTTCACACAGGCCCAGGACAACTGGGGAGTCCTGCCTGCCCTCCTTTGAGTCCAGAAGCCCTGAGCCAGGCTCTCTTCAGAGGGGTGGAGGTCAGCAGGCACCAAGGCCTGCAGTCCCCAATTCTCCTCTCCCAGCTGATCTCTCTTGCCACACCCTGTGCTGGCCCATGCCCGTGAGTCCGCCTGGCCACCCAGACGGGAGCTGATGTCTCCAGGAGACATACGGGACTTGCCATAGCCCAGGCCAGGGCAGTCCCTGGGAGACACAGGGCCTGGGAGGCTGCTTCACCTGCGGGGCTCCTGGGCAGGTGCAGTGCTCCCTGGAGTCCATCCTGGGACCTGTGGCCCAGCCCACCTCAGACTGGCCACAGGCCCTCTCCTGAGAACCCCTGCCTAGGCTCTGTAGCCTTAGAGCCTCACCTAGAAGCTCCCCCAGGCCCCTCCACTGGGCAGTGCTCAGCGCCCACCCCTCTCTAGTCTAGATTTTAGGGGGAGCCTGGGTCCAGGCTGCCCAGCCCAGCACATCCCCAATACATACCCAAGCCAGCCATGATTGCACCATGGGGCCAGGGGCAGTGGGGGTGGTTTGGGGTTGGTGGAGGCATCAGGGCCTGGGTCCCACAGCCAGCCTGGGCCTCCCAGGCCATTGAGCCCTCATCCTTCCAGTGCTCTGCGAGCAGGCGTCCCTTTGTGTGAGGACACCTGTGGTGCACCCCTTCAGTCAGGCATCCCTGCAACCCACTTGGGGGTGCAGACATGAAGGAGCCCATGGGAGGCAGCATGATGGCCCTCTACATCCCCAGGCTCCTGTGCTCCTTCCTTTCAGATGGCATTCATTGAAGGGGCAAGTGGAAGAAGGACGGGTTTCCCAGCAGATGCTGCAATTCAGCCCCTGGCTTGGGATTTGTGTCATTGATATTATTGATAAACAGAGAACACAGGTTGACAAAAGACAAGAGAGGCCACCAGAAATCCATGAAGACAGAGCCTCTTCTGGAGAGAGCAGGCTGTTGGCCACCCTGAGACCCCTCCCCAACTTGCGCCTGGCCTGGATTTTGCAGGGGACGGGGCTGGGGAGCTGGTGCTGGTGTAGCCACCGGCCCTGACACCCAGCCGCGTGACCTTCTCTCGTGGCCTCACAGTCCTCCCTTCAAGGGTCCCAGGCCTGCCCCTCGAGGCCCTCTGCCCTCCAGGAGCGCCCCCATGTCCTTCCCAGCATGGGCAGTGCCTTACAGACACAGGAAGGCTAATGTCAGTGGAGGGACACAGTGACAAGAGGAAGAATGTGCAGCGCCCTTCAGGAGCGTGGTGGGGCCCCAGCAGGGGAGGAAGGCTCCAAGGGGGATGACAGCATGGCTGTGGCAACGACAGTTCCATGATGGCAGTGGGGGTGGCGGTGGGGGTGGCTGACCTAACACAGGGGAGGTAACTGTCCAACAGGAGCCAGGCTCAGCCAAGGAGTACAGCCAGGAAACCTCCCCTTCCCTCCCCCTGCACACCACCCTGGATGAACTGAGGGGCCACCCAGGCACTGGAGCCTCTGCTGCTGTCACAGAGTCAGGCTTTGGGCATGGAGCAGCTGGCAGAGGGGTGGGTGCTGAAGGGCAAGTGGACTCCATGGAGAGGGCCCTGATACGGGGAGGCTCTGCTGGTCTCCGGGAGCAGGTCAGGACCTGAGCAGACTCTCTGGGCTCCTCAGGAGACCACCCAGGGCACACCCAGCCCTGCAAGGGTCTCTACGTGGTGCCGTCAGTGCCCTGCACCCCCTGGTAGGCTGCCCACACCTGTACCTGCTGCCCCACCCAGCAAGGCTGCAGAGCTGCGTGGTTCATGCCCACCTCCAAGGACCCCATGGGGCTGAAGGAGACAGCAGAGCTGCCCAGCTGCAAGGTTGTCAGAGGACCCCTGTTTTTCTGTATTTCTGACAGTAGGAGATGGTGCCATTGCTGGAAGATGGGCCTTTCAGGCTGGCACCCAGCCCCGCCCCAGGGGGCCACGCCACCTCCCACAGGCTCCTGCATGGTGGGCATGTCCCAAGCCAGCCTCATCTGGCCAGGTTGTCACTCTGGGTAAAGTGAGGTGGCAGCCCTGACCTGCCAGCAGCAGACAGTAGAATTCTACAGAGCATCCTTCAGGCTCCAGGGAAGGACAGAGCCCTGAGCAGCAAAGACTCCAGGAGGCATTGTGGCTTTGGAAGCTTTTCTTCAAAGCTTCCAAGCCCATGTTCAGGCCACTTTGCACCTGAGTGACAGCATTTAGCTTTCTTTGTGTTAGGAGAAACCCATGGATTGACTTTCTTTTCCTATTTCCTCCGGGGGTGAAGTATCATAAGCCAGGAAAAAGTGGGTCAGGGACTGTCTAGGTGACCCTGGAGAGCCTCGCCAGGAGCTCCAGGGGTCCATCAAGGGCAATGGGAGCAGGAGGGGTGGTGGCCACTTCTTGATGGTGAGGGGGGTGATGAGGCTCCCTTAGGCCCTGAAAAGGTCAGAATGGGGGGTAGGGAGCCACCTCCTGCCTGGAGCAGTTGATGCTCAGAGCTGCTCCCATGTGTCCTCATCCCTCCTTCCAGGTAATGGAGCCATGGGTTTCTAGGGGAATCCAGGGCTCTGGGGAGACTGGGATTCTGACTTTGATCTTTGACTGACTTTGATCAGTTCTCGTGTTTTTCCTGTGCATTTTCTGATGAGTTTATATCTGTCAGGAGCCTCAGGACCGTGCTAAGCCCCCAGGATCTGAGGGTAGGAAAAACCATGCCTTGGATTTCCTGCAGACATTTGACCATGGTGGAAGGCTCAATGAAACTTCCACCTAAACTTGGCAGATTGAACACTTCATTGATTTTCACTCTCTCCCAGAATCCTATCAAATGATCATTAGTAAATAGAGAATTCCAAACCCTACAAAGAAAAATACAAGCAAATGAACAATGAAATCAGTCAGAGCCTAGGAGGCTGAAGCACACTCTGTGGGCCTGGAGGGCAGATGGTTTCGAGGAAACAGCCCTCAATGCCACAGAGGGAACTGGAGGAGCAAAGTGACTGAACCCCCAGAGCTGGAACGCAGGCCCCCAGCCCAGCCTGTGGGAGGTGCAGCCTCATTCCCAGGAAAGGGTGAGCCAGAGAGGCCCTGCTTCTGGGCATATCAGGTACGTCCCAAGAAGAGGGAGGCACCAGGTTGGGGACAGGGGAGTGAACGTTTGTCTGGGAAGCAAAGACACAGCCCCTCCCGTTCTCCAGGAGGCAGCAGCCCAGATACCAGTGGCCAGTCATGGGCTCCTCAGACTGGAAGTGGGAGGACTTTTCTCGAGGGAAACTGAACAGGCCCAGAGAAGAGACAGTGAAGGGGAACCTTTAATTAAGATGCTGGCTCATCCATCACATCTCCCTAAAGAAAGCTTCCAATCCATTTTTTAAAAATAAGCTTTTTGTTTTAGAAGAGCTTTAGATTTACAGAACTATCGTGAAGATAGCACAGAGAGTTCTGACACACACCACCCCAGCTCCCCTGTTACTAACATCTTACATTAGTAAGGTGCATTTGTCACAACTAATGAACCATGTTGATGTGTTGGTATTAACGAAATAGCATCTTTTATTCTGATGTTTTTAGTTTTGACCTAGTCCCCTTTTCCAGTTCCAGGACATCACATGACATTTGCTGGTCATGTCTCTTGGGCTCCTGATGGCTGTGGCTGTTTCTCAGATGTTCCTTGTTTTCGGTGACCTTGCGAGTTCTAAAGAGTGCTGGCCAGGTGCTTTGTAGAATGCCCTTTTACTGGGATTTGGCTGATGTCTGATAAGATGAAGATAGTGTGTCTTGGGGAGGAAGACCACAGCCAAAGTGTCACTCTCATCATGTCACACCAAGGGTATCTGCTACTAACATAATTTTTCACTGTTTTTTTACATTTTAGATCCAGGGGGTACATGTGCAGGTTTGTTACGTGGATATACTGCATAATGCTGAGGTTTGGGCTTCTACTGAACCCATCACCCAAATAGTGAACACAGTACACAACAGGGAGTTTTTCAACTCTTGTCCCCCCTCCCCTTTTGGAGTCCCTAGTGTCTATTGTTTCCATCTTTATATCTGTGTATACCCATTGCTTAACTCCCACATATAAGTGAGAACATGTGGTATTTGGCTTTCTGTTCCTGTATTAATTCACTTAAGATAATGACCTGCATCCTAGCTGCATCCATGTTGCTGCAAAGGATGTGATTTTACTCCTTTTTATGGCTGCATAGTATTCCGTGGTGCATATGAACCACATTTTCTTTATCCAGTCCACAGTTAGTGGGCACATAGATTGATTCCACGTTTGCTACTGGGAATGGTGCTGTGGCTTATCACTGTGGATGCTGACCTTGACCCCCTGGCTGGGGCGGTGCTTGTCAGGTGTCTCTGCTACAATTACTCTTCCACACTGCACCCTTTGGAAGGAAGTCATTAAGCACAACTTCCACTTCGGGAGTGGGGAGTTTCGCTACCTGACCTTAAGGGTGGGGTATCAACATAATTTGTTTGGAATTCTCCTGCACAGAATATTTGTCTTTCCTCCCCCACATTGATTTATTTATTCAGTAATTTATTGATGTCAATATGGATATTTATTGTATAACTTGGGTTATAATCTGATACTACTTTATTTTGTTGCTCAAACTGTTCCAGTTTTGGCTGTTGGGAGCTCTTTCAGTTGACTCCTGTGTCTCTTTTGCATAGTCCTATCATTGTGGGTTGATTTTTTGTTTGTTTATTTGTTTTATCATGTTCTTGCTTTCTGGTGCTACAAAGTGCTCTAGGCTCAACTTCAATATTTCTTGCCACATTCCTAGAAACAACCATTCTCCAAGGATCTCTGGTTTCTTTCACTAGACAATGGTATTAAAAACCAAGATATGGGTGCTGGGGATGCTCATTTCTACTGGGGGCATTGTTGCTTCTAGGCCCTCTCAGTGGACAGAGCAAGGAAATCTGTATGGATGCTCACCCATGTGTGTATCCATGTGATGGTTAATTTTGTATGTCAGCTTGGCTAGGCTATGGTGCCAAGTTTTTTGGCCAAACATTAGTCTAGCTGTTACTGTGATAGTATTGTTTATAGGAACTACCCTTTACAACACCGGTAGGTCTCATCTCATCCAATCATTTGAAGGCCCTAAGAGTAAAGACTGAAGCTTCCTGAAGAAGCAATTGTGCCTCCAGACTGCAGCATAGAAACCCTGAGTTTCCAGCCTGCAAATTTCAGACTCAAGACTGAAACATCCATTCTTGCCTTAACTTCCAGCCTGCAGGCTTGCTCTATGTATTTCAGATTTACCAGGTCCCACAATCACATGATAGGAGTCAGATCCTTAAAAATTTCTGTGTGTCTACATGCACACACACACACAATTAGTTTTGTTTCTCTGGAGAACTCTAGTATAACACATATCTATGTCTCTATCTATATCTACATATCTATATTAAGCTAAACGTTAGTCCACATGATGTCTCCCCCTCTAATCTACTATCGCATGGATCATTCTCCCCTTCCAGCACCCTTGCTTCTTCTGTAACCTCCCACTCAAACAGCGAGATGCTGGTTCCCACCATCCACCAGACACTTATCAAATTGTCTGATCCACATGTATAGTGGTTTCAGAATTGTTAACCCATACTTCTGTGGGGAAAAACTTTGCCAAAAATAATACAGTGCTTACGTGCCTTTCTGTTTGTCTTTAGTCTTAGAAAAATCCGCTAATTCCCAAAATTACTTAGGTCAGCACCGTTTCTCCCACCCTCTTCAAATGAGATTATTTCATACATTTGTAATGCAGTTACATTATTTTGTCACATTCTGCATTCCATCCTGGGATCTCCAACATCCTACATGTTAAAAATATACATGCATTTGTGTCAAGTTCTGTGTATTTTGACACACGTTTAATATCTTGTATTCACCTTCACAAAATCATACAGAATAGTTTCACCACCTTAAGCTATTTCCTGTGCTTCACTTGTTCAATGCCCTACTCCCAATCCCCTGGCACCCGCCAATCTGTTTACCATCTCTACAGTTTTGCCTTTTTCAGAAGATATCATTGGAATCACATGGTATGCAATTTTTTCAAACTAACAATATACATTTATTAAAGATTTATTCATTTCTTTTCATGGCTTGATGGTTCTTTTTTTATTGCTGATTAACATTTTATTGCATGGATATAACATAGTTGGTTTATCCATTCCCTTGTGAAAGGCATTTTGGTTGCTTTCAGTTTTTGACAATTGTGAATAAAACCACTATAAACATTCACGTAGATTTTTTGTGGACGTAAGTTTTCAATCAGTTGGTAAATACCTAGGAGTGTGGTTGCTGGATTATATGGTAATCCTGTGTTTAACTTTATAATAAGCTGCCAGACTATCTTCCAAAGTGACTGGCCCACTTTGCATTCTCAACATCAATGAACGCGAGCTCCTGTTGCTCTCTATTCTCACCAGCATTAGGATTGTTCATTTTTAGATTTTAGGTATTCTAATTGGTGTGTATTAGTATCTCTTTGTTGTTTTAATTTGCAATTTCCTAATGACAAATGATGATGAACATCCTTTTATATGTTATTTTATGATCTGTATGTCTTCTTTAGTGAGGTGTCTGTTCATATCATTTGATGATTTTTAACTGGGTTTTTTTCATTGTTAAGTTTTAAGAGTTGTTTTGTATATTTTGTATACAGGCAATTTATCCGATAGATGTTCTGCGGAGGTTTTCTTCTAGTCTGTGGCTTGTTGTTTTATTCTCTTAAGTGTCTTTTAGGAAAGCAGAATTGTTTAATTAATAAAAGTCCAACTTACCAATTTTTTTCTTTTTTTTCCAACAACCTCTTGTCCAACAGAACCTTTTTTTTTTTGTCTTTTTTTTTTCCATTTTGTGGAGAACAGGATCTCACTATGTTGCCCAGGCAGGTCTCGAACTCCTGGGCTCAAACTATCCTCCTGCCTCTGCCTCCCTAAGTGTTGAGATTACAGGCATGAGCCACCATGCCTGGCCAGAACCTATTTTTAATGGATATATTTGCCAATATTTGGATGAGTATTTTTGAATCTATATTCATGAGAATTTCTGGTCTGTGGTTTTCTTTTCCTGTAATGTTTTTATCTGTTTTTTTGAATTAGGGTAATCATGGCCTCATAGAATGAGTTAGGAAATAGTCCCTCTTCCATTTTATATCTTAAATGTTTGGTAGAATTCACTGGTTCTTGTATTTGTGGAATGTTATTAATTATTGATTCAATTTCTTTAATAGGTATAGGCCTATTCCAATGATCTATTTCTGTTTCTGTAAGTCTTAGCAGCTTGTGTCTTTCAAAGCATTGGTTCATTTAATAATGTTATCAAATTTGTGGTCATAGAGTTGTTTATAGTATTCCTTTATTATCATTTAAATGTCTATGGAATCACTAGTGATAACTCCTCTTTCATTTCTGATATTGGTAATTTGTGTCTTTTCTCTAACCTGGCTTTTGGCCTACGAATTTGATTGATCTTTTCTATAAAAGATAGTTTTGTTTTTTTCATCTTTTCAATTTCATTGATTTATGTTCTATGTTTTATTATTTCATTTTTCCCTCTTGATTCATGCTTAAATTGTACCTCTTTATCTAGTTTCCTAAGTTATTAATTTTACATATTTATTATTACTGTTTTTTTTTTGAGACAGAGTCTCACTCTGTCACCCAGGCTGGAGTGCAGTGGCGCGATCTCAGCTCACTGCAACCTCCGCTTCCTAGGTTTAAGCAATTCTTGTGCCTTAGCCTCCTAAATAGCTGTGACTACAGGCATGCATCACCATGCCCAGGTAATTTCTTTTGTATTTTTAGCAGAGACAGGGTTTTGCCATGTTGGCCAGGCTGGTCTCAAACTTCTGACCTCAAATGATCTGCCTGCTTTGGCCTCCCAAAGTGCTGAGATTACATATGTGAGCCACCGTGCCTAGCTTTGAATTTCTAATATATGCATTTAATGCCATAAATTTCCCCTTTACCACTCCTTTCACTGTATCCCACAAATTGTGATAAATTATAGTTTATTTTCCTTTAGTTCAAAATATTTTTAAATTTCTTTTTCCTATTATTTTATTTTATTTTATTTTATTTTATTTTATTTTTTTAGACAGGGTCTTGCTCTGACACTCCACAGGCTGGAGTACAGTGGTGCGATCATAGCTCACTGCAGCCTTGACCTCCTGGGCTCAAGCAGTCCTCCTGTCTCAGCCTCCCAAAGTACTGGGACTACAGGTGCATGCCACCCCACCTGGCTTAAATTTCTCTTGAAAATTCTTCTTTGACTCGGCTGGGTGCAGTGGCTCATGCCTGTAATCCCAGCACTTTGGGAGGCCGAGGTATGTGGATCACGAGGTCAGGAGATCAAGATCATCCTGGTCAACATAGTGAAACCCCGTCTCTACTAATAATACAAAAATTAGCTGGGTGTGGTGGCACCTGCCTGTAATCCCAGCTACTCAGGAGGCTGAGGCAGGAGAATCTATTGAACCAAGGAGTTGGAGGATGCAGTGAACCGAGATTGCGCCACTGCACTCCAGCCTGGTGACAGAGCGAGACTCCATCTCAAAAAAAAAAAAGAAAAAAGAAAATTCATCTTTGGCTCATGTGTTATTTAGAAGTGTCTTGTTTAATTTCCATATTAAATACTTGGGGGATTTCCCAGCTATCTTTCCATTATTGATTTCTACTTTATTTCAACTGTGGTCTGAGAACATACTTTATACAATATCTATTCTTTTAAATTTGTTGAGGTGTGTTTTATGGCCCCAGAATTTGATGTATCTTGTTGAATATTCCATACAAGCTTGAGAAGAACCTGTATTTTGCTGTTGTTGCATAGTCTTCTATAAATGTCAATTAGATCAAGCTCATTGAAATTGCTATTCAGGTTAACTTTAGCCTTTATTTTACACCTGCTTCATCAATCAGCTACTGATAGACAGGTGCTGAAGTCTCCAACTATAATGGTGGATGTGCCTATTTTTAAGTTCTATTAATTTTTGCACATATATTTATTTAGGTGCATATAAGTTTAATATTGTTATGTCTTCTTAGAGAATTGAGCCAATTATTTTTACATAGTGCTCTTATTTATCCCTCATAAGTTTCCTTGTTCTGAAATCTGCTTTGTCTGAAATTAATATAACTGCTCCAGTTTTCTTTCAATTAGTGTTAGCATGGCATATTTTCTCTATTTCTTTGCTTTTAACCCATCAGAGTCTTAATATTTAAAGGGGGCCGGGCACAGTGGCTCACACCTGTAATCCTAGCACTTTGGGAGGCTGAGGGAGGCAGATCACGAGGTCAGGAGATCGAGACCATCCTGGCTAACATGGTGAAACCCTGTCTCTACTAAAAATACAAAAAATTAGCGAGGCGTGGTGGCAGGTGCCTGTAGTCCCAGCTACTCAGGAGGCTGAGGCAGGAGAATGGCATGAACCTGGGAGGAGGAGTTTGCAGTGAGCTGAGATCACGCCACTGCACTCCAGCCTCCAGCCTGGGCAACAGAGTGAGACTCTGTCTCAAAAAAAAAAAAAAAAAAATATATATATATATATATATATATTTAAAGGGTTTCTTACAGAAAACAAAAAGCTAGGTGTTCATTCTACTTCTTTAATCCACTCTGAAAATTTCTGTCTTTTAATTGTGTGTTTAGATCAGCAGTACCCAACCTTTTTGGCACCAGGAACTGGTTTTGTGGAAGATAATTTTTCAATGGACCAAGGGTTGAGGGAGATGGTTTGGGGATGAAACTGTTCCACCTTAGATCACCAGGCTTTAGTTAGATTCTCATAAGGAGTGCACAACCTAGATCCCTTGCATTTGTAGTTCACAATAAGCTTCAAACTCCTATAAGAATCTAATGCCACCGCTGACCTGATAGAAGGTGGAGTTCAGGCAGTAATGCTTGCTCACCCGCTGCTCACCTCCTGCTGTGCAGCCCAGTTCCTAACAGGCCTTGGACCAGTCCACAGCCCAGTTCCTATCAGGAACTGATAGGCCTTTGGGAGGTGATTAGGTCATGAAGGTAGGACTTGGTACTGAGAAGTGGAGGGGGCTGCCATAATAAATACCTAAAATGTGGATGCAGCTTTGGAGCCAGGTAATGGGTAGAGGCTGGAAGAATTTTAAGGTACATGCTAGAAAAAGCCTACGTTGCTGTGAGTGGTTCATAAGCGGAAATTCTGAGGAGGAATCTCAGGAGAAGAGGAGTGCTACAGAGACAGACTCAATCTTCTGAGAATATCTAAGTGGTTATGAGCTGCATATTGGTAGAAATACGGACAATAAAGGCCATTCTGATGAGTTTCAGACAGAAATGAGGAACATGTTATTGTTGGACAATGGAGGAGAGGCCATTTTATCATAAAGTAGCAAAGAATCTGGTTGAATTGTGCTCATGCCCTCGTGTTTTGTGGAAAGTCGAACTTGCAAGCAATGAAACTGGGTATTTGGCTGAGGAAATCACTAAGCAAAGTAGTGAAAAGGTAGGCTGGTTCCTCTCAATTGCTTAAAGTAAAATGCAAAACGAAGAAATAATTTAAAAGATGAAATTGTTTGTCAAAAGGGGAAGCAGAACTTAAAGATTTGGAAAATTCTCAGCCAATCCATATTGGAAATAACAAAAAAGCCTGTTCAAGACACCTTATGATAAAGAGATTACTATGGATCAGGCATCTCACCAGAAGCCTCATGCTATACATCAAAATAATGGGGAGATTCATCAGTCATCTAAACAGAAAACAGGACCTAAAATCTAAGACAATGGATGAATACCCGCAAAGACATTTCAGAGATCATCAGGGCTGCCCCTCCCATCACAGGGCTTCAAAGGAGGGACCACCACTACCCAGCAGCCTCACACTGCAGGCTGTGCTCTTTGCTCTCCATCACCACACTCTCCAGTCATCCCATGTGTGCTTTGGTGGGCCCCATTGCAGCATGCACTGCACCAAGCAAAGCTGTGGGGGGCAGAGCCGGATTTCAAAGGATGCCCTAGAGAGCACTGGGGCCCAGGCAGAGAACCACCACAGGGGCAGGGCCACTGCAGAGAGCTCCCAACTAGGAAAATATCCAGAGAGCAATGAGGGCTTGACCTCAGACTGGTAGAGCCACTACCATGCAATTCCAGGCCCAGGAGAGCAACAGGTCCACAACTCCAACCCATAAGAGCTGTGGCATGGGCTGTACACAGCAAAGCCATGGGGGTGGGGCTGTCCAAAGCCATGAGGGCAGACAAAGCTGAGGAGGAGAGATCACCATCCCAGTAGGTCCAGAAGGCTGTCTTCCACCCCAGTGGGTGGCATCAGGTCAAGGAATATTTCTCTTGAGCCTTAAGAGTTTGGACTTGTTGAGACCTCTCATACCTTTCTTTATTCTTATTTCTCCCTTTTGGGATGGGACTGCCTGTCCTGTAACTGTCCCACCATTGTATTTTGGAAGCAAGTAGCATGTTTGATTTTAAATATTCAATTTGGATTGCTGGAGAACAATGCCTTAAAATGAATCATACCTTGAATCTCATCCACATCCTATTTAGATGACATTTAGATAAAACTTTGGTCTTGAGACTTTCGAGTTGATGCTAGAATGAGTTAAGACTTCCAGGTCTGTTGGGATGAGATTAATGTATTTCACACCTAAGAAGGACATGAATTTTGGAAGGCCAGGGTGGAATGCTGTGGTTTGCATATATATTTTGTATACAGACAATTTATCAGATAGACGTCTTGAAAATATTTTATTTCAGTCTGTTTCTCCCTCAAATTCATATGTTGAAATCCTAACCCCTGAAATGATGGTATTTGGGATTGGGGTCTTTTGGGGTGATTAGGTCATGAAAGTGGAGCCCTCATACATGGGATTAATCCCCCTATAAAAGAGGCCTGAGGGAGACCCCCTGTCCCTTCCACCATGTGAGGACATCACAAGAAGGCACCATCTATGAACCAGGAAAGGGTTCTTCACCTGACACCAACTCTGCTGGCAACTTGATTTTGGACTTCACAGCCTCCAAAACTGGGAGAAAGAAGTTTATGTTGTTTATAAACTACATAATCTATGGTATTTTGTCAGCAGCCGAAATGGACTAAGAAAGCAGGTCTGCTGGTGATAAAGCCCCCTAGTTTTTATTTTTCTGAGAAAGTCTTTGTCTTTCACTTGAACAATAAGTTCACTGGATATAGAAATCTAGGTTGTTGGAATTTTTTTTCTGTCAACACCTTAAATATTTCACCCTACTACTAACTGGGTGGGTAGAGTGGGTTTTAATCTCCGCAAAATGCCCCATCCCAGAGGAATTATCACTATTTGTGTTGTCTGGTAGTTCCCTAAAAAGCTGCATGCTCAAGGCTTGCCTTTATTTGACCTGACTCAGAGCTCACTGTGTATAAACAGCTCTATACCTAAGGTGTTTATTGAAAAAATGAGAAATTTTTCTACACTGTAGCTGCCTGAGATAACAATAAGAGCTGTGGCTAACAAAGGCTAACTAAAAACCTTTAAAGTATAAACCAAAGATAAAATCCTAAGCCCCCAACTGACTGAATGAACCCCATCTTGGCCAAAGGGAACACAGAGAAACCTGAAAAACTAAATTCCAGGCCATGACGGGAAGGGAGGTTAGATTTGCCTCGTTATACTCCTGCCTTTTTGGAGTTTAGGCACAGGTGACCAGCATTAACATTAAAACTGAGATCATAAGACTGACCAAACAGACTCTTTGTGGCAATAAGATACCAAATTGCAACCCGACTTTGGTATAGTATCACATGACGGATAGCAGACTCTGAAGGAAATAAAAATATTTTATCCCAAAATATATTTCTTTGACATATTTTGAAATGGCTGCCACAAGCCAGCAGATTGATGTAGAGGAAATTTGCATCTGAAGAGAATCTCCATTAATGCAGCCAGGCCTTCCCTTTCTAGGCCTTTCCTAGATCTAGGAGAGAATGAGAGTCTGACACCTTTAAAAGTTTAAAAAGAAACATTTACTATCTATTCTCTCTGAGGGCTGCCACCTAAGAGGCTTCATCTACATAATAAAAACCTTGTTGTTCACAACCTCCTTATCTTAACTCAGGCATTCCTTTCTGATTTCAAGCCTTTAGACAACAGCTTAACTCTCTCAACCAATTGTCAACTAAAGAATCCTTAAAACCCACCTAGGACTTGCAAGCCCTCACTTTGAAATGTCCCGGCTTTTCGGGCTGAACCAATGGGTACTTTACATGTATTTATTTATGTCTTTACTGTAACTTCTGCATCCCTAAAAGGCATAAAACCAAAATGAAACCTGATTGCCTCAGGCACACTTCTCAGAACCTCTTGAGACTGTTCCCTGGACCAGGGTCCCTCATATTAGCCCAGAATAAACCTCTTTAAATATTTTACAGAGGTTAGTTTATGTTCATCAACAAAAGGAAAAACTGAAAAATGAGATATCCATAATGGGCTTAGAAAAGTGATGACATATTCCTACAAATCTAAACACCACATGCAAGTGCAGGGCTGTGTACATGCTCAGGAAAAAACCTGATAAAGATCTAGTCTCTCACTTATAGCTTAACTTGAGGTTCTGCATTTGCAGGAAGTGAAAGTTAAGGCAGATGTATAAACTGCAGGCCTGAACATTGACAGTGTGCTCCAACATATACACAGAGTTCCCAGCAAAGACTGGGAGACTCATTGGTCCAAGACATTCAAGGAAATTTCTGTCCAATCATTAGCTGACCACTATACCAACTAAGAAGAGACTTCGGTGGCTGCACATAACCAAGAATACAGACTTTACAGAATTAACCCAGGAAATCCACCAAACAAACAAGCAGAAGCAACAATAACAACAACAATAAACAAACAAAAAAGCTTGGTTAGGAAGGGGAATCTTATTTTCCATGTCGCCACATTATATTATTTAATATATTCAGTTTTCAACAAGAAAACATAGGAGATAGGCAAAGAAACAGGAAAGTATGGCCCATACACAGGAAAAAAGTCAGTCAATAGAACTGTTCCTAAGGAAGAGCAGATGAGATGTTGGACTTACTAGACAAAGACTTTACATCAGCTATTGTAAATATGTGCAAAGAACTAATGAAAATCTTGTATAAATAATTAAAAGAAAGTATGACAACGACATCTCACCAAGTAGATATATAAATAAAAACATAGAAACTACAATAAAAACAAATAGAAATTCTAGAATTGAAAAGTACATAATTAAAATTAAAAATCACTGGAGGGGCTCAACACAAGATTTTCACTTACATAAAACAGCATCAGTGAACCGGAAAATAGATGAAATAAAATGATACATTTGTAGAATAGGACAAAAAATTAATGAAATAAATGAACAGAAGCCTCAGAAATCTGTGGAACAACATCAAGTGTGCCAACATACAGACAATGTGAGTTAAGGAGGATAGGAGAGAGAAGGGGTCAGAGAGAATATATGGAGAAATAATGGCTGAAAATGTGCCAAATTTTATGAAAACATTAATCTATGTATCTAAGAAGCTTAATGAACTCCTAGTAGGATAAACTGAAAGTGATCCACACCTAGATCCTTCATAATCAAATTGTCAAAGTGACAAAGACAAGAAGAGCCTTGAAAGTAGCAAGAGAGGCTAGACACAGTGGCTCACGCCTATAATCTCAGCACTTTGGGAGGCTGAGGCAGGAGGATTACTTGAGCCCAGAAGTTGGAGACCAGCCTAGGCAACATAATGAGTCTCCGTCTCTACAAAAATTAGCCAGGTGTGGTGGTACATGCCTGTGAGCCCTGCTATCAGGAGGCTGATATGGGGGAATCGCTTAAGCCCAGGAGATTGAGGCTGCAGTGAGCCATTATCATGCCACCGCACTCTAGCCTGGGCAACAGAGCAAGACCCTGTCTCAGAAAAAAGAAGAAAGTAGCAAGAGACAAGCAACTCATCACGTGCAAGGGATTCTCAACAGGATTAATAGCTGAGTTCTCATCAAATATCATGGGAGCCAGAAAGCAGTGGAATGACATATTCAAAGTGCTAAAAAAAATGACTTTTAACTAAGAATTCTATATTTGGCCAAACTGTTTTTCAAAAAGAGCAAGAAATTAAGACATTCCTGGATAAACAAAAATTGGCAGAATTCATTATTAGCAGATTTTCACATAATGGCTCAAACAAATACTAATGGGAGTGCTTTAGCTGAAATGAAAGGACACCGGACAATAACTAGATTCACATAAGGAAATAAAAGTCACCAATTAAGGTATCTACAATGTAAATAAAAATGACAATTTGTTTTGTGACACTTTTCTTCTCCTATCTGATTTAAAAGACAACTACACAAAGCAATAATTGTGTTGATGAGTTTAAAATGTATAAAGATGTAATGTCATGACAATGGCAAAAAGAAGAGATAAGGAATAGATTTATATTGAAGCAAAGTTCTTTGTATAGTATTGAAATAAAATTCATATTAATATCAACTATACTGTTTTAATTAATATGTTATTGTAGCCCTCAGAGGCCCACTAAGAAAATAACCATATATATATATATATATATATATATATATATATATATATATATATAAAACAGACATAAATCCATTTTTCCCAGGAATTACATTAAATGAATTAAACACTCCAACCAAAAGTCAGAGATTGGCAGAATGGATTTGAAGAGTGTGATTCAACTATACTTCAACAAGACACATACTTCAGATTCCAATACACAAATAGGTTGAAATGAAAGGACGGAAAGGATATGCCATGCATACGGTAAACAAAACAGAGCTGGTGTGGCTACACCAATATACAAGATAGGCCTTAAGGCAAAAATTGTTACTAGAGACAAAGAAATACTTGTATAATGATAAAAGAGTCTACCTATTAGAAAGACATAACCAAAGTGGTTATGTCTTGCCATCTAACAACAGAGCTACTAGATATATGAAGATAAAAGTGAAAGAAAGGAGGAAGAAATAGTTCAACATAATAGCAGGAGACTTAAATACTCAACTTTCAATAATGGATAGAACAACTACACAGAAGACCAACAGGGGACCCAAAGACTTGAACAACACTCTAAACCATTAGACATAACAAACGTCTATAGCACACTCCACCGTACCACAGCAGAATACATATTCTTCTCAAGTGTACATAGGACATTCTCTAGGATAGATCATATATTAGATAAAAAAATAAATCTCAATAAAATTTTAAAGATTAAACTCATATAAAGTATCTTCTCTGACCACAATAGAACTAGAAATTAATAACAGAAGGAAAACTGGAAAATTCACAAATATGTGGAAAATAAACAATGCACTTCTAAAAACAACCAAGGGGTCAAAGAACAAATCAAGAGAAAAATTAGCAAATACTTTGCAATGAATGAAAATGAGAAAGTATGTGATATGGTTTGGCTGTGTCTCCATTCAAATCTCAACTTCAATTGTATCTCCCAAAATTCCCACATGTTGTGGGAGGGACCCAGGGGGAGGTAATTGAATAACGGGGGCTGGTCTTTCCTGTGCTATTCTTGTGATAGTTAATAAGTCTCACGAGATCTGATGGTTTTATCAGGGTTTACCCTTTTGCTTCCTCTGCATTCTCTTTCCTGCTGCCGCCGTGTAAGAAGTGCCTTTTGCCCTCTGCCATGACTATGAGACCTCTCCAGCCATAGAGAACTGTAACTCAAATTAAACTTCCTTTTTTTCTCAGTCTTGGGTATGTCTTTATCAGCAGCATGAAAACAGACTAATACAGTACAAAAACAAAAAATTGTTTCATTTAAAAGATAATCAGAATTGCAAACCTTTAGCTAGACTGACCAAGAAAAAAGAAGATTCAAATTACTAAAATCAGAAATGAAAGAGACATAAACATGCATATATCTTTATATTATTATAAAGAATTATTTATATATTATCCTAAATTATTACTTATATTCCTTTAGGTATATACCCAGTAATAGGATTGCTGGGTCAAATGGTATTTCTGGTTCTAGGTCGTTGAGGAATCTTCCACAATGGTTGAACTAATTTACATTCCCACCAACAGTGTAAAAGCATTCCTATTTCTCCACAGCCTTGCCAGCATCTGTTGTTTCTTGACTTTTTAATAATCACCATTCTGACTGGTGTGAGATGGTATCCCACTGTGGTTTTGATTTGCATTTCTGTAATGATCAGTGATGTAGAGCTTTTTTTCATATATTTGTTGGCTGAATAAATGTCTTCTTTTGAGAAGTGTCTGTTCATGTCCTTCACCCACTTTTTAATGAGAGTGTTCATTTTTTCTTGTAAATTTGTTTAAGTTCCTTGTAGATTCTGGATATTAGACCTTTGTCAGATAGATAGATTGCAAAAATTTTCTCCCATTCTGTAGGGTGTCTGTTCATTCTGATGATAGTTTCTTTTGCTGTTAGTTCCTCTTTCTTTTAGATCCCATTTGTCAATTTTTGCTTTTGTTGCAATTTCTTTTGACATTTTCATCATGAAATCTTTGCTCATACCTATGTCTTGAATGGGCCTAGATTTTCTTCTAGGGTTTTTATAGTTTTGAGTTTTACATTTAAGTCTTTAGGCCATCTTGAGTTAATTTTTGTATAAGGTGTAAAGAAGGGCTCCAGTCTCAATTTTCTGCATATGGCCAGCCAGTTTTCCCAGAACCATTTATTAAATAGGGAATCCTTTTCCCATTGCTTGTTTTTGTCAGGTTTATCAAGGATCAGATGGTTGTAGATGTGCAGTCTTATTTCTGAGGTCTCTATTCTGTTCCATTGGGCTATGTGTCTGTTTTTGTACCAGTACCATGCTGTTTTTGGTTACTGTAGCCTTATAGTATAGTTTCAAGTTGGGTAGCATAATGCCTCCATGTTCATTCTTTTTGCTTAGGATTGTCTTGGCTATACGGGCTCTTTTTTGGTCCCATATGAATTTTAAAGTAGTTTTTTTCTAATTCTGTGAAGAATGTCAATGGTAGTTTAATGGGAATAGCATTGAATCTATAAATTATTTTGGGCACTATGGCCATTTTAACAATATTGATTCTTCCTATCCATGAGCATGGAATGCTTTTCCATTTGTGTCCTCTCTGATTTCCTTAAGGGGTGGTTTGTAGTTTTCCTTGAAGAGGTCCTTCACTTCCCTTGTTAGCTGTATTCCTAGGTATTTTATTCTCTTTGTAGCAATTGTGAATGTGAGTTCATTCACTATTTGACTCTGCTTGTTTATTGTTGGTATATAGGAATGCTTGTTATTTTTGCATGTTTATTTTGCTGAAGGTACTTTTTGTTGCTGAAGCTACTTAGCTTAAGAAGCTTTGGGCTGAGACAATGGGATTTTCTAGATATGGGATCATGTCAACTGCAAACAGACCCAGTTTGACTTCCTCTCTTCCTACTTGAATACCTTTATTTCTTTATCTTGCCTGATTACCCTGGCCAGAACTTCCAATACTGTGTTGAATGGAAATGGTGAGAGAGGGCATCCTTGACTTGTGCCAGTTTTCAAGGGAATGCTTCCAGCTTTTGCCCATTCAGTATGATACTGGCTGTGGGTTTGTCATAAATGGCTCTTATTATTTTGAGGTATGTCCCATCAATACCTAGTTCATTGAGAGTTTTTAACATGAAGCGATGTTGAATTTTATCGAAGCCCTTTCCCACAGATAACCATGTGGTTTTTATCTTTAGTTCTGCTTATGTGATGAATTATGTTTATTGATTTGCATATATTGAACTAGCCTTGAATCCCGGGGATGAAGCTGACTTGATTGTTGTTGATAAGCTTTTTGATGTGCTGCTGGATTCAGTTTGCCAGTATTTTATTGAGGATTTTTGCTTCAATGTTCATTGGAGACAATATGTTTTATAAAATAGACATAAAAATACTAGCAAACCAAATCAAGCAATGTATAAAAAGGATTATATATCATAAGCAAGTGGATTTATCCAGGAATAAAAGATTGGCATAACATCCAAATATAATCAGTGTGAAACAATATTTTTTTTTGTAATAGACAAAAAAAGCATCTGATAAAATACAACACCTTTTTCTGTTAAAAAAAAAAAAAAAACTCAACAAACTTAAAATAGAAGAGAATTTCCTTAACCTTCTACAGGGCATCCGTGAAAAACCCAAAGCTAACACCATAACGTGGTAAAAGACTGAATACTTTCCCACTAAGATAAGGAATAAGACAAAGATGTCTGCTTTCACCACTTCTATTTAACACTATACTGGAGGTTCTAGCCAGGGAACTATTAAAAGGCATGCAGACTGGAAAGGCAGAAGTAAAACTATCTCTACAGATGACATAATCTTGTATACAGAACATCCTAAGGAATCCACAGGAAAATTATTAGAGCTAATACATGCATTCAACAAGGTTGTGGGATACAAAATCATTAGAGAAAAATTCATAGTATTTCAATACTTTGAATGAACAATTTGAAAATGAAATTAAAGGCCAGCCACAGTGGCTTGTGCCTGCAATCCTAGCACTTTGAGAGGCCAGAGCAGGAGGATCGCTTGAGCCCACGAGTTCAACACCAGCCTGGGTAACATAGGGAGACTCCGTCTTCTCTACAAAAAAAAAAAAAAAAAAAAAAAAAAAGCCGGGCATGGTGGTGCATGTCTGTGGTCCCAGCTATTCGGGAGGCTGACATGGGAGCATCGCTTAAGCCCAGGAGATCAAGACTACAGTGAGCTGTGATCACACCACTGCATTGCAGCCTGGGCAACAGAGTGAAACTCTGTCAAAATAAAGGAAAGAGAAAGGGAAAGGGAAAGGGAGGAAAAGGAAGGAAGGAAGGGGAGGGGAGGGGAGGGGAGGGAGGGAGGGAGGTAGGAAGGAAGGAAGGAAGGAAGGAAGGAAGGAAGGAAGGAAGGAAGGAAGGAAAAAGAAAAGAAAAAGAAAAAATTCCATTTACAATAGTATTAAAATTTTAACAAATAATTTGCAAGACTTGTTCACTGAAAACTACAAAGCATTTCTGGAAGGAATTAGAGAGCATCTAAATAAAGTAAGGCATCCCGTATTTATGACTTGGAAGATTTAATGTTTCTAAGATGACAATACTCTCTAAATTAATCTACAGATTTGATATCCTAAAAAATAAAACCAGATTTTTGTTTTTCATTTT
Organism: Homo sapiens; assembly: GCF_000001405.40. Classification (NCBI taxonomy): domain Eukaryota; kingdom Metazoa; phylum Chordata; class Mammalia; order Primates; family Hominidae; genus Homo; species Homo sapiens. The sequence goes on from NC_000010.11 coordinate 43,019,829, forward strand.
TATAATTTGTTTGTTTTTACTTTTTTGCTGATCTGATGTTAAAATTCATATGAAAATACAGGAGATTCAGAATAGCTAAAACAATCTTGAACAAAAAGAACAAACTTAGAGAACTCGTATTTCTTGATTTCAAAACTTACCACATTTGGTTATATTTGGTACAATAATCAAAACACTGTGGTACTGGCATGAGGATAAGTCAATAGTTCAATAGAATAGAATTGAGAGCACAGAAATAAGTGCTTACATTTATAGTCAATAAGTTTTCTACAAGGGTGCCAAGATGATTCAATGAGGAAAAAAAAGTAACATTTTAGATCTTTCCCTCACATCAACCATATACAAAAATTAACTCAAAATGGATCACGAACTTAAATGTAAGTGCTAAAACTACAAAACTCTTTTTTTTTTTTTCTGAGATGGAGTTTCATTCTTGTTGCCCAGCTGGAGTGCAATGACACGATCTCGGCTCACCACAACCTCCGCCTCCCAGGTACAAGTGATTCTCCAGCCTCAGCTTCCTGAGTAGCTGGGATTACAGACACGTGCCACTACGCCCTGCTAATCTTTTTTGTATTTTTAGTAGAGACAGGGTTTCTCCATGTTGGTCAGGCTGGTCTTGAACTCCCGACCTCAGGTGATCCACCTGCCTTGGCTCCCCAAAGTGCTGGGATTATAGGAGTGAGCCACTGCACCTGGCCTATAAAACTCTTTTTTAAAAAACACGGGAGTAAATCTTCATAATCTTGAATTAGGCACTGGTGGCTTTTTGGTTTTTTTGTTTTTTGTTTTTTGTTATTTTTTGATAAAGTCTTTCTCTGTTGCCCAGGCTGGAGTGCAGTGGCGCAATCTTGGCTCACTGCAACCTCCACCTACCGTCCCGAGTAGCTGAAATTACAGGCCCGTGCCAGCACACTCGGGTAATTTTTGTATTTTTAGTAGAGACGGGGTTTCACCATTTTGGCCAGGCTGGTCTCAAACTCCTGACCTCAAGCCATCCACCAGCCTCAGCCTCCCAAAGTGCTGGGATTACAGGCATGAGTTACTGCACCCAGCGTTGAATTAGGCAATGGTTTCTTAAATATGACATCTAAGGCAAAAGTGACAAAAGGAAAAATAATTGATAATTGGATTTTCTCATTTCCTCAAAATTAAATTTTCAGGGGGTTCAAAGGACACCATCAAAAAAGTGAAAAGACAACCCCACAGGATGGGGACAATATTTGCAAGTCATATATCTGATAAAGAACTCTCAAAACTCAATAGTAAAAAGATAATCCAATTTAGAAATGGGCAAAGGACTCATTTTTTCAAAGAAATTTTTCCAAAATTTTTCCAAAGAAGATATACACGATAAGCATGTGAAAAGATGCTCACCATCATTTGTCACCAGGGAAATGCAAAGCTAAAGCATAGGAGATACTGCTGCCCATTCACGAAGATGGCTAGAATCAAAAGCAGCCAACAACAAGGCTTGGCAAAGGTGTGGAGGGATCCGAATCCTCTCACGGTGGGAATGGATGATGGGGCCACTGCTTTGGAGAAGAGCATGGCATTTCCTCAGAAGGTTAGCGTAGGTGCCACGTGATCCACCAATTCCAATCCTAGGTATCGTTTTTGTTTGTTTTTTTGGGATGGAGTCTTACTCTGTCACCCAGGCTGAAGTGCTGGAGTGCTGGAGTGCGGTAGAATGATCTCAGCTCACTGCAACTGCAACCTCCGCCTCCCAGGTTCAAGCGATTCTCCTGCCTCAGCCTCCCAAGTAGCTGGGACTACAGGCATATGCCACCACGCCCAGCTACTTTTTGTATTTTTAGTAGAGACAGGGTTTCACCATGTTAGTCAGGCTGGTCTCGAACCCCTGACCTCAGATAATCTGCTTGCCTCAGCCTTCCTAAGTTCTGGGATTACAGGTGTGAGCCACCAAGCCCCACCCTAGGTATCTATTCATATCTAAGAGAGCTGAAATATATTTCTACATAAACACTTGTCCATGGATGTTCATCAGCAGCACTGCTTACAATCACCCAAAAGTGGAAACTGCCCAGTGTCCATCAGCTGAGGGCATTTATCTGAGGGGAGTTTTCGGGAGGCGGGAGGTGAGACCGCATGGGAGGAAAGCTCAGGGCCTGGAGTGCATTCAGCAGTGGCTGGGAAGACTGCCTCAGGGCCTGTGTGCTCCCTGCTGCACTCACACCCCTTGCTCCATGGAGAACTGAGATGAAACCTTGAAGATTCCAAATGCAGTTGATGGAAATGGCAGTTGCTGTGGTTATTATCTAGGGAGTGCCTGTGAGAATCTAACAAGAAAACACACTTAGAGAGCCCCACCAGCCTCGCGGAACAGGAAGCCTGCGTTCTGTGTTTCCAGTTCCCTCATTGCCCTGTCCTGTCCTGCCCTCCTTCCCACTCACTGGCTACACATAATCACCACTGGTATCACAGGAGGTCTTGGATCTGTGTGTGTGAGAGAGACAGACAGACATAGACAGACAGACAGAGTCAGTGGGAGCCAGAGAGAGAAAGCATGGGAGCTAATTTCTCCCTGGCTCCCAATGAGGAATGAGGACAGGAAAAGTCATGCAGCATCCAGGCTCCTTGGCGCAACTGGGTCCCAATTCCCATCCTCCTGCCATCAGCCTCGGTCTGTCCCCACCTTGCCACTGCCCCCGAATTAAATGCTTCCGAGCATTTTCTGGAACTGTTTTTCTCACATCGCCCACACATTCTTATTCCCTTAGTCGAGGCTCTGTCCACCTTCAGCCCACCGGACAGTCAATTTTCCCAGCCGCTGGTGAGTTTCTGGTTTGCCAAGACCCAGAGGCTGGGGGAAGCCAGACAGCAGGTGGCAGCTCTTCCGGCCGAGGAGAGGAGAGGGACAGGGCTGGCTCCTCTAGATGAAGAGGTGAGAGAGCTGTGCTAGGATCAGGCGGACAGTGTTCCTGGCAGTAGCAGCAGCAAGAGCACAGGCCCTGAGGTGGGGCTGAGCTGACCTACCCCAAGAGTGAATGGCAACCCCTCAGGGGCCTTAGAGAGTGAGAAGGGGTGGAGAGAAGTGGAGGAGGGTCGCCAGGGGCCAGGTCATGCCAGGCCTCATGGGGTCTGGTGGCAGCTTCCAGCTCTATTTTGGTTGCAGGTTTTAATCCCAAAAGTTGTGTTCCCTGGTCACACTTGAGAAACGTGGGCAGCTGCTATGTTGAATGGAGGTTGAAAAGAAGGGGCATTAGGGGGGTTTGCTGTGGTTGAAGTGGGGATGACCACATGGGCTAGGCGTTGGAGGGGGCAGGCTGGAGAGACGCGGGAAGACTGGGTGCATGAAATGATGTCCCCTGCCCAGGACTCGCTGAGGCCACGGCAAGTGCATGAGGAAGCACAGAGTCCAGGGACTTCTGGTCTCCAGCCTGAGCAGGAGGTAGACAGGATGTGAATCCCAGTGTGGGGATGGATGGGGCCCAGTGGAACCCTTGCCAGGTGGGCCCTGAAGCTCAGGGCCCTCTCAGGAATCATTTTATGTACATCATGGTGCAGGCAGGGTAGTGCTGTCCTGGGGCAATGTGAATCCATTATTTATTGTGGCACAGCAGTATTGTCATTTTCTTGTTTGTTTGCTTAGTTATTGTTTATCCTTGAAATAGAATTAATGGCTTGCTGAAGTATCCTTTGTGCCTAGAACAATGCTGGCACAGGGCAGGGGCTCAACTGATATTTATTGCATGGATGGATAAATGGATGAATGGATGGATGATGGATTATTGGTGGATAGATGGTGTATTAGTCAGGGTTCTCTAGAGGGACAGAACTAATATATATAAAGGGGAGTTTATTAAGTATTAACTCACATGATCACAAGGTCCCACAATAGGCTGTCTGCAAGCTAAGGAGTAAGGAGAGCCAGTCCAAGTCCCAAAACTGAAAAAAATTGGAGTCTGATGTTCAAGGGCAGGAAGCATCCAGCATGGGAGAAAGATGTAGTCTGGGAGACTAGACCTTTCTCCTCTTTTCACACTTTTCTGGCAGCTTTTCATATTCTAGCCATGCTGGCAACTGATCAGATGGTACCCAACCAGATTAAGGGTGGGTCTGCCTTTCCCAGCCCACTGACCCAAATGTTAATCTCCTTTGGCAACACCCTCACAGACACACCCAGGATCAATACTTTGGATCCTTCAATCCAATCAAGTTGACACTCAGTATTAACCATCACAGACGGATTGATGGATGAATGGATGAATGGATAAATGGATGGATGATGGATGGGTGGATGGGTGGATGGATGGATGGATGAATGAATAGACATGGAAGAAAAGGAAAATAGATGCACAGATGGACAGATGGATAAATACAAAAATAGATGGACAGATGGATGATGGATGGATGGTTGGTGTTAAGGACTTAATTGTGTCCCCCCAAATTCATACTGAAGCACTAATACCTAATGTGGCTGTATTTGGAGATAGAGCTTTTAGGAAGGCAATTAAGGTTAAAGGAGGTCCTAAGGGTAGGGCCCTGATTCAATGGGACTGGTGTCCTTACAAGAAGAGGAAGAGACACTAGAGAGCTCTCTCTCCATGTGTGCACAGAGGAAAGGCCCCGTGAGGACACAAGGAGAGGAGCCTCCTACAAGCTGGCAAGAGAGGCCTCACCAGAAACCAGCCCTGCTGGCACCTTGACCTTGGATTGAGTGTGAGAAACTCAATGTATATTGTTTAAGCCACCCAGTCTGTAATATTTTGTGATGATGGCCTGACATGGATGATATGGATGGATGGAGGGATGGACGGCTCCCCCAGCCCCTCTGAGTCTTCCCTCTGGGTGCAGGCAACCCTATTCAGGGACAATGTGAGTGCATGGCTGCTGCTGGAAAGACCAGTCTTGGGAACTGGGGTTATGTTTGACTTCCTGGCTCTTCAGCTTGATGCTCTCTAGTCCCAATCTGGGACAGGGCTCCTTTCCCACAATGTTCAAGTTTGCAGAGGGACCCTGGAAACCCTGAAGGCAATGCCTTGGGGCCCTCACACCTGGACCCATTCACACATTTCCAGGTATTGGTGCCTCCCCCGGGAGCCTGCCCAGAGCCCTTGCGGAGGACCTGGGGCAAGGGAACAGGGCGGGAAGCTGGGGCAAGGGAACAGGGCAGGAAGCTGAGAGCCGTTTTCCTCCGAGCTAATGGAACCTCTTCCATCACCACCAGCTTAGCCTTTAATCATCCTCACTTTCAAGTGGAAGGCAGAGCTCCCCAGACACTGGACGGGTCAGGGCCATCATCTTCCAACTAGGGGTGCACAGCAGGGCTAATGGACGGGACTGGGGCCAACAGCTGGAAATCAAATCATCTCCCAGAACCACAGCTCAGCAGACCCTGGGGGAGGGGCACCTCCACTCTCTGCGTAGCTCTTGGGTGCAGGCTGGCAAGGCTGGGGAACAGTCCTGAACTGCTCCACCCAGGCGTTACCCCCTGCACACTTCTTGGCCTCAAAACTTTCGTTATATGGAAGCTTGATGAGTAAAAGTTGGTCTGGTTGACAGCAGGTAAGGGCTTTCTCCCTTTCTGCCAGGCTGACCCTGGGAAGACACCAAATGGCATATTGGAATGGTCCGCTTCCACCCTCCCCAACCTGCCTACAGTGACCATAGCTGTGGGCGGCCACCATCCTGCCCAGACCACACTGACGACGCTTCTCACAGCCTCCCCTCTGACCCCTCCTCCTCCACCTGCCCCTGGCACCTGCTGTGGCCCTGCCACCACTCCCACTGCAGTCCCAGCAGAATGAAGAGGCTTGTTCAATGTGTGGTTTCAAGGAGTGAAGTGCAAAGCTTCCCCTTTCCTTTGCAGTCTCTCTTGATGTGTTGTGGTGGTTATGTTTGCTATTTAATGGCATTCTAGTCAAGAAAAGTTGAAATTATAAATTATAGAAAAAAATTAAAATTTTAATTTTAATGGTAAAATAAAATTTACCATTCATCTTTATATCATTCAATGCCAATTTTAAACATAAATTGCTGTGTAAGAGCATTTAACTCATGCAGAAACACCAAAATTTCTGTAACTCGTACATGCATGTATATGTTGTCCTTTTCAGAAAAGCGCAAACACTTCACTGAACTAACTCACCTGATTGAATTTCACTTCCTGGTGCAGGCGCATTGTACCAACCCTCTCTACTTCAGCCTACCAGGAGGGAGGAAGGCCACCGTCTTTCCTTCTCCTTCCATGTCATCCTCAGCGTCGGTGCTTGTGCAGTACAGGTAGGTGACAGAGCCGGCAAGGATGCCCAGGGCTGCTCCTCTGTGTTTCTTAGGAGCCCGCTGCCCCACCGTGCTCAGGCAGGGCAGCACGTGTTGGCCACGCTCACCAGCTGGCTGAGCTCCACCCGGAACCCTGTGCTGGGGCCTTGGGAGGCCTGATGGGGATGGGCTCACACTCATCCACACATCCCTTCTGCTCAGAGGGCCCAGGGCTTCATTTAGCACAAGTTCAGACATGAAACCGTTAAGAATTCCAGCGTAGCCGCAGCCCAGCACTGAACCCAATGCCTGCTCCTCTGACTGTCTACCTTGGCTGGTTCCTGTGTCACTGGAAGGAGGAAGGAACCCCTCCCCCGTCACCACGGTTGTTCTGTTTTGGGGCCTGGCACCATCACCCAACAACTATTTGCTGAATAAACGCATTGTTCACCCACTGAGTATTTGCTGAGCACCTACTGGCAGGGCGCCCTGAGGGCGCAGAGATACAGCTGAGGACAGCGCAGCTTCTAACCTTGCCATCCCCAAGGTGCGCGGAGCCCTCAGGGTGACCCAGCTTGCTGACGAGCAAGCGGAGGCCGAGCAGGTGAGACTGGCTGAGTCAGACCTGCTGCCGGGGCAGACGCAGGACAAGGCTGCTTTTTTGCCCCTGGACCTCAGGATCCAGGTCCGGGACGCCGCGGGCAGGGGCTCTGGACCGCGCTACTCGACCCCTCCCCCACCGCCTGGGTCTGCCAGGCAGGAGGGAGCCGCTGCAGCCAACCTGCTCCTCCCGCACTATCGATTTTCAATTGACCTCCGCCTCCCACTTTACACTTCAGAGCGCTCAGCGGCCTCCACACCTCCTGAGCAAGGAGGAAAGCCAGCTGGGCGCGGGGCCCCTGCTTCCTCCCCGAGGGAGTCCTCGGCCAGGCCACCACCACCAATCTCGCTCCTCTCCCTTTCCTCTCTGTAAATGACACGAATGGCATTGTAAGGACTATAACAGGCACTTGGCCTTTCTAACTTTTTATTTGAAAATAACATCACACCTACAGAGGAGTTGCAAGAACAGGACAATGGATTCCCGTGGGCCCTGTACTTAGGTTCGCCCATTGTTAACAAGACAAGGACTTTCTCTTTCGGGACACAGCATCATAATCAAAATCAGGAAATTTAACCATGATGCAGTACTCTTTTCTAATATTCAGTCCATATTCAAATTTCATCATTGTCCCAACCCCGTGTGTCCTTCAGAGCTCTTATTTTTCCCTAATGCAGGATCCGACTCCAGATCACACATCTCATTTCCTTATACTGTCTCTTCATTCAGAACAGTTCAGAGAGTCATAGCATATGATTCTGACAGGCGCAGTGCCCTGCTGTCATGCTCCCCACACGCGTGCCTGTTCATGCACATACAACACATGCACGCGTGCATGTGCACACATACATATGCATACATATGTGCACACACATGTCCATACACATCCAGCCTACAGCGGGCACTCGAGGTCCCCTGCCATCCTCCAGTACCTCCCCAGCCCTGTGGCCATCACCTTCTCTGCACACAGCACCCCACCAAGCTGCCACAATGCCTGTGTTGGGCTTTCTCTGAGTGGCCTCCCTCTGGGTCAGGGCCCAGTCCCCTGGGCCAAATTATGCCCATCCAGGCTGGCCTTGTGCCCAGCTGGCTTGTCCTGGCCAAACCTGCTCCAGGGGCACCTCTAGAGCTGAGGCCCGGGCCTGAGGGCAGTCCCCCAGACCTATCGGGAGGCATGTGAAGCTGCCAGCACAGCAGGAAAGTGGCTGAGCTCAGTGACTCTGGGACTCTCCGTGTGACCTCAGGCAGTTTCTCTGCTCTGTAAGCCACAACTCTCTCTATCTGGAAAATGGGAAGAACATTATTATATGAACACTAAATGCTCAGAAAGCCCTTCCTTCCTGGAATGGGTTAGTGGTACAGCACTGCCCTATCCCTTCTTCCCTTTTGAGAAGCACAGAACCCTATGGGTGCTGTCCCCAGGGCACTCAGGCCCCCACTGCTCCTTGGTGCCATCTGAGGCCAGGAATCAGCTCAGGCTCTGGCAAAAGGATTCTTGTTTTTCGTTCAAGCGCCACCTCTTCCTCTGCAGACACTCCTCTGCAGTCCTGCATGTACTGCACGCATGCACACATGCATGTGCAGTGGTCCCAGAAGGCAGCCCCAAATCTACAGGCTCCACAACCCCAGGGCTCAGAGCCTGGCCTAGCACAGAGCGACTCACAGGCCACCTGGGGCCATGGAAGGCCAGGACCTGGCACCCTCCTTGGCAGCAGAAAGGACAGAGAAGGTGCCAGTTGGAGGCATGGCCCGACACAGCGACACTGCCTAGTTCAAGTCACAGGCCCTGCAGGAAGAGTGCAGGGCTTGGATCCACTCATAGTGCTGTTCCAATGACCTGTGGGGTCTGAGTGCCCCAGAAGTCTCAAACACCAATGCTTGGGTCTATACATTCAGACAAGCCAGACTCCATGGGTCTGACCCCCAGGCAGCCTCCCGTGCCACCTTCCCCTGGATCAGGCGCACCATCCACACCTTGTCTGGCTTCACTCAGGCCTTTCTCAGTGCTAACCCACGTGGCTGTTGGTTTGCTGCTTAGGTGTGTGAGACAGTAACATGCATCTTCTCCCAGAGCTCACAGCCTGCTGGCTTTATCTGGTAGCACATCTGCTAGTGCTCCACTGACCTGTCTATTTTTCCTACCTCATTAGGGCAACTTTGTTTTTCTGAAGGTGATTATGACTACTTACTGAACTTGAATATACTAACAGATACTTCTCAAGTATACGTCTGAAGACGCTGCTCTGAGATGCACAGGAGTGTAGATGAGACGCTGTCTGAGATCAGAGTTTACTTCTTGCAAGGCCATCAGAGGAGAGGACGTCATGGAGGATGTGGTCATGGGTAGTGCCTCTGGCTCCGGACAGGCACAGTGTGCAGAGGACCTTGCAGGAGCATGGGTATGAAGGGAATAATGAGCGAGGGTAAGCCAAGAAATGTTCTAGGGGGCAGAGCCAGCCAGGGGCCAAGCCAGGACAGTTGGATGCAGCTAGACCCAGCAGGGCCTCCGCCCGGGTTGGACTCTGGTAGCATCCACTGCAGTCTCCATCCAGCCACGTGCTGGGGTCACAAGGCATGAACATGATCTCACGATGAAAGCTGTCTGTCTGTGACTGTGGGAGTGATTGCATTCCCATCCTTTCAAGCTTTCCCCAGCAGGAGTGGCAACGCTGAGCCTCACTCCCTGGGGCCTACTGTGACAGACGCCATGGCCAGCTCCTCAGGGTGGAGGTGAGGGTGAGGGATGCAGACCCCACAAAGTTCAACCCAGCCTACTCTTCACTGCAGCTCTGACTTGCAGATGTCAATGGGCTCCTTGGAATTCTTCAAATTCAGAGTCACAGCCCATTTGAGGGGGCAGCCTGAAGCTGGTTCGCTGGAACCTTTTTCTGTCCACGTTGAGTGCTTGCTAGAAGCTATGAGAGCAGCTCCTTCTCACTGTTGTGATGGCACAAACCACAGCCTTAACCCCTGTGTCCGCCTAGGCTGGAGTTGGGCTCCTTGACCCCTCCCTCTCCCTCACACTCCATACAATTAAGCCCCATTCACTTTACTCCCATAATCCCTCTAATGAGCAGGCTCTTCACCCACCTCCTGCCCCCTCACTGTGCTGCCCAGTTTAGGCCCTCATGAGCCCTCACATTGATTCCCTGCCTCCAGTCTCACCCTCTGCAATTTCCTCCCAACTTAAGTGCAAAACAGAAGTGGCATCATGGCAATCTTCAGTCTGAAATATCTAATGGGCATTCAGGTAACAGAATACTTGAGCATGGGCATCCAACTGCCTCTCCCAAATGCTAGCCCAAATGACTTCAGAAATAGAAAAGGAAGGAGAAACCTGTATCCATTTTGGAAATCCATCAGGGCACCATTTACACGCCACACGCAGAGCCATTTCCATAAGTTACAGTGCAGGCAAAAAACAGCCTGAAGGAAACTTGCAACCCTCCTTGCTGAGCAAGTACAGGCATGGGGGAAGAAACTGCAGGGGCCTGAGAAAGGCCCAGGAATAACCCAGCTATAGAGGATGGTGCAGATGATGAGGGCATGACATATGGAACCTCTTAGCACTGAGGGTCAGCATGTCTCAAAAGCAGACCAGGGCAGGGGGGCCAGGGCAATACTTTTCCTGAGGGGTGCGCAGTAGTCCAGGAAACAGGCTAGACAGACAAGGGATGGACCAGTCCAAGTAGAAAATTAATAAGAAAAATAGGTTCAAGGAAGAAATTCCCCTGTACAGAGAAAAAACACCCTGTTGGAACTGACCAGAACCATCTCCTCCATCTTGGGCTCTGAGTTGATTGTGAGGCCCTTAGGCCCTTAGCAGAGGATTCTGTTGTTATTTGTGTGGACAGCAAGGAGAAGCAATGATGTAAAGAAATGCCATACTTGTTTGAGGCAAATGCCAGTCTTTCATAGAGACCTTGCAATTCAATGCTAGGTCAATGGAAACAGCAGATATGAGAAAGAGAAAGGCTTTGCAAAGAAAAATAAAAACACACACTTCTCAAAAGATAGATGAAGAGTGATGAAAATGATTTACCAAAGGAAACAGAAATTGTCTTAGTCCATTTGTGCTGTTATAACAACATCATGGCCTGGGTAATTTATAAAGAACAGAATTTTTTCACAGTTCTGGAGGCTGGGAAGTCCAAGCTCAAGGCATCAGCAGGTTTGGCTGTCTGGTAAGGGCTGTTCTCTGCTTCTAAGATGGCTTCTTGAGTGCTGTGTCTTCACATGGCAGAAGGCCGAAGAGCAAAAAGGGTGAAATCCTTCCATCAAGCTCTTTTTTTTTATTTTTAAGTTTTATAGGTACATAATAGGTGTATATACATAGTAGCTATATATATTTATGGGTTCAATGAGATATTTTGATATAGGCATGCAATATGTAATAATCATATCAAGGGGTAAATAGAGTATCCATCACCTCAAGCATTTATCCTTTGTGTTTTAAACAATCCAATTATACTATTTTGGTCTGTCAAGCCCTCTTATAAGAGCATTTAATCCCACTCATGAGGGCAGAGCCCTTATGACTGAATCACCTCCCAATACTATGGCATTGGGGATTTAATTTTAATATGAATTGTGGAGAGGACACAATCATTTAAACCACAGCAGAAATAAATCTCAGAAACCATCCATTTGACGTTCCCAATAAAATATAAATTTAAAAATAGCTCTTAGGAGTAGTGACATTGCCAAAACGGCAGAGTAGGAAGCTCCAAGCCTTCATTCCCCCATAGAAACACCAAAAAACAGCCAGAAACTGGGTATTTAAAACTTTATAGGCACTTTGGAGAGCAGAAAAAGGTCCACAATAGCCATATTCACAAGAGTAGGAAGTTTTCTGGCATTTTTACACACTCTTGCCTCACTCCCTTCTTGGCACAGCACAGCCTTGGTCTGCAGGAGGCCACAGCCCAATTCTCAGTTTCCTCCATCAAACTGGAGGGAGCAGAACGGATCTTAGTTGCGATGTTCTTTTTTTTTTTTTTTTTTTTTTTGAAACAGAGTCTCTCTCTGTAGCCCAGGCTGGAGTGCAGTGGTGCAATCTCGGCTCACGGCAAGCTCCACCTCCCAGGTTCACGCCATCCTCCTGCCTCAGCCTCCCGAGTAGTTGGGACTACAGGCGCCCGCCACCATGCCCAGCTAATTTTTTTTTTTTGTATTTTTAGTAGAGATGGGGTTTCACCGTGTTAGCCAGGATGGTCTCAATGTCCTGACGTTGTGATCCGCCTGCTTTGGCCTTCCAAAGTGCTGGGATTACAGGCATGAGCCGCCACGCCCGGCCTAGTTGCAATGTTCTAACCTGTGTAGGGGCTGCCTGAAGAACTGCTCTCTTCCATGCCTAAATCACATCTCAGGCAGGGAAAAGTGGCAAAACTCAGGACTCAAGCAGGGAAAAAACAATGGGCATTGCCCATAAAGGTTTCATGGGGACTACAGACCCATAGACACCTGGGGTAAAAGATTACAGGTGGAGACATACAATAGAACATCTAAGGTCCCAAGGAAAACTAGGGTGAGACTCTTTGGAAAATTAAGACATTCAAAAGCCACTGTGTATATAGACAAAATTGGGGGTGGGGGTGCAGAAGCACACACACAGGCACAGGCAAGATGCATGCTTAAAAAATACCTGAGAAACTTTCACATCTGGCTGATCTTAAGTCTCAGAGCACACCCAGCAAAGCAGGAAATGATTGCCCTGGTAAAGAGTCAGTCTGAAAAGACAGAAAGAGGTGACTGCTTTCCAAATGCCCAATTTTCAACAATAAAAAATTATAAGGCATACAAAGAAACAAGAAAACATAGCTCATTCGAAGGAACAAAATAAAATGGCAGAAACTGTCTCTGAAGAAACATGGGCATTGCACATACTAGACAAATAATTCAAAACAATTCTATAAATATCCTCAAAGAGCTAAAGAAAACACAGATAAAGAAATGAAAAGAATCCAGAAATTTATATAGAATCAAAATGATAATATTAACAAAAAGATAGAAATGATAAAGAACCAAACAGAAATTCTAGAGCTGAAAAATGCAATAATGAATTGGAAAATTCACTAGAGGGGTTCAACAGCAAACTTAAACAGGTAGGGACTTGAAGACAGGTCACTTAACACTAGTCTGAGGAGCAAAAAGGAAAAAGAACGAAGAAAAGTAAACAGAGCCTAAGAGATTTATAGGACACCATAAAGCCAACCAATATATGCATAATAGGAGTCTCAGAATGAGGAGAGAGGGAAAAGGGTAAAAGAGTTTACTTGAAAAAGTAACAGCCAAAAACTTGCCAAACTTTTATATCCAAAGAAATTGATATAAAAATACAAGAAGTTCAACAAATTCCATTAGGATAAGCCCAAACAAGCCCACAGAAAGACACACTATAATCAAGCCACATTATAATCAAACCTTTGAAAGACAATGTCAAAGGGATAGTCTTGAAAGCATCAAGAGAAAAGTGACTCACCAAATACAAGAGAGCCACAGTAAGATTAGCAATGATTTTCCTAGAAGAAGCCCTGCAGACCAGAAAGCAATGCAGTGATATATTTAAAGTGCTGAAAGAAAGAAAAAGCTGTCAACTGAACATTCTATACCTAGCACAACTGTCCTTTTAAAATGAGGAAGAAATTAAGATATTCTCAGATAAACAAAAGCTGAGGGAGCTCGTTACCACTAGACTTACCCTACAAAAAATATTAAAAGGAATTATTTAAGTTGAAATTAAAGGATGCTAAATAGTAACTCAAAGCCATACAAAAATATAAAGTTATGCAATAAAGCTAAATACATAGACAAATATAAAAACCAGTATTATTATCATTTTGGTTTGTAATGCCACATTTTATTATTTTATAGAGTTTATAAGACAAAGGCATATAAAATAATTATGGATCTATGTTAATGGGAACATATATAAAGATGTAATTTGCGACATACCTCAATAACATAAAATGGGAAGAGCCAGAAGGTTGTAGAGCTTTTATATTCAATTGAAGTTCATTTGTTATCAGTTTAAAGTAGATTGTAATAACTTTAGGAGTTTTATGTAATTCACATAGTAATAGTAAAGAAAATATCTATGGAATACATACAAAAAAAATGAGAAGGCAGCCCTGATGTATGGCACATATATATTTATAATTGTTATATCTTTTTGTTGAATTGACCCTTCTATCATTACGTAATGCCCATCTTTGTCTCTTGTAACAGTTATAAGCTTAAAGTATATCTTATCTGACATTAATATAATCACGCTTGCTCCTTTTAGTTAATATTTGCATGCAATTTTTTCCCATTATTTTACTGTCAACCTGCACACATGTCCTGTGCCCTTAAATCTAGTGCATTGTAGACAGTATACAGTTGGATCATAGTTTTTCTTTTAATCCATTCTGCCATTCTAGGTCTTTTAATGGGGGAAGTTAATACATTTACATTTAATTAATGTAATTAATAATAAAGAAGGACTTACTATTGCTGTTTAGTAGTTTGTTTTCTGTATGTCTTATAGCTTTTTTGTCCTTCATTTCCTCCCTTCCTGCCTTCCTTTGTGCATAGCTGACTTTTTGTATTGACATCTTTTGAATACCTTCTTATTTCCTTCTATATGTATTCTATAGATATTTTATTTGTGGTTACTATGCCCAACACCACTAATCATTAGGAAAATGCAAATCAAAAACCACAGTGAGATACTATCTCATACTCATTAGGTTGGCTACTATTTAAAAAGCAAAAATGAAAATAAAAAATGTTGTCAAGAATTTGGATTGGGATGTAAAATGGTACAGCTGCTGTAGAAAACAATATAGCAATTCCCCCCACCTTCTCCAAGAATTACCATATGATCCAGCAATTCTGCTTCTGGGTATATACTCAAAAGAATTAAAAGCAAGGACTTCATCAGGTTTTTATACACCTATACTCATATCAGTGTTATTCCCAATAATCAAAAGGTGAAAGCAACCGTAGGGTTCACTAATAGATGAATGGATACACGAAGTGTGGTATATCTGTATGATGGAATATTATTCAGCCTTAAAAAAGAAGTAAATTATGATACATGCCACAACAAGGATAAAACTTGAAGACATTATGCTAAGTGAAATAAGCAAGACACAAAAAGACAAATATCGCACAATTCCATTTACATGAGGTGCCTAGAGTAGTCAAATCCACAGAGAGAAAATAGAATGGTGGTCGCCAGGGGCTGGCAGGGGGGAGAATGAGGAGTTGTTGTTTAATGAGTATAGAGTATCAGTTTGGGAAGATGAAAATATTCAGAGCTGAATGATGGTGATGGTTGTACAACAATATGAATAATGTACTTAATGCCATTGAACTGTACACTTACAAATAGTCAAAATGGTTATTTTATGTTATGTGTATTTACCACAATTTTTTAAACAGCTTTTGAAGTAAAAGATAAAAATGAATTAGATGACTGACTCGGATGAGGAAACCAGCTGAGCTAAGGAAAAGATGAAACGACTGTAATGAAACAAAAAGACTTTTCTCTGCTGAATACCAAGGGGCTTAGGGAAGGCACAGCTCCTCCTTAGGTGAGGAGTAGAATGAGCAAGGAGCAGAGATGTATCACTGGGGATCTGCACCCAAGGAGGCAGGTCACACAGTTGAGGTTCACACTTTGGAAAGGATGCAACCACTGAGGTTACATGGAAAGAAAGGAGAGACAAAAGGCTGAAATTAACCTGGAACAAAAGTAGCAAAATGAAGCTCAGAATAATGAGTTATTGGAGGAAATGGAAACTAAATCCATAAGGAGATGCCGCTACTAGTCACTACTAGTCATTTAGCCATACAACAGCTAAAACTAAAAACGGTGACAATGCCAAGTGTTAACAGGGATGTGGAGCAGCTGGGACTCTCAGACAGTGCCAGTGGAAGTGTAAGTTGGTACAACTATAACAGAAACCCAGTTGACAGGATCTACTAAAGCTGAATATATTCACCCCTATAATCCAGCAATTTCACTTCTAAGTATTTACACAAGAAAAGTGAAAATTTATGATCAAACAGCCTTGTACGTGAATATTCATAGCAGCTTTAGTCATAATAGCAAAAAAACTGAAATGAATCCAGAAGTATCACAACAGGAGAATGGAGAAACAAACTGTGATATGCCCACCCAACAGAATACTGCTTAGCAATAGAAAGAACCAAGGTGCTAACCCACACAAGAAGGACGAAGCTCAGAAACATGATGTTGGGCAAACGAAGCCAGCCAATTATCTGACATTCTAGAAGAGTCAAAACTACAGTAACAGGAAGCAGATCAGTGGTTGCCTAGGGATGGGGCGGGAGGCTTGACTGCAAAGGAGTACAAAGCAACTTTCTTGGGTGCTGGAAATATTCCAGATCTTGATGGCAGTGGTTACACGGGTATAGACATTTGCCAAAATGCATCAAACTGTCCACTTAAAAAGGGTGCATTTTATTATACAAATTATATAATACAGTTGTTGTTTTAAGTGAAGGATTTGAACTTTATATCCAGGACAGATGAGAGTGGGAATGAGACATGGATTGGGGACAGAGAGAAGTATAAGAAAGCAAGGAACTCACAGGAACTATAGAGGGCTCTGGGTTGGGATCTGGGTCCAGCTTATCAGCTCTCTAGAGGCAAGGAGGTCCAGTCAACACATGGGATATGTCAGGAAGGCTACATCAGAGTTCAATACTAAGCTGCAAGCAGTGAAGTGCAGAATCAGTACTTAAGAAAAACAATGTGGGATGTGGAACATTTGCACAGGAAAAGGTTTCAAGACATAAAAGCCATGCAAGAGAAAAGGAGAGCTGTGCAAGAGCGAGAAGAGAGGCCCTTGTGTGGGCCACTGATGTCCCCGGGGTTGAGGCCAGAGGTGGAGCAGCATGATCTGGAAGGAAAGCACAGGCGTCAGGTTGCAACAGAGGCTCTCATCTTGAGACAGCAAGCTGAGCTTTAGGGACCAGGGAGACCATGGCTGGTGGTCGCCGCCTGGAAGCTGAGGACAGAGTTGTTTATGATGAGCACCCTTCTAGAACATCCACCAGCGTTTGCAGCCCGCTCTGGGACAGCTGGAGAAAATGGCCTGGAGGCTGGTCCAGGGTGAGCAGAGGTCCCTGGCACACGTGGGCTCCTACCAGGAGGGCTGTCTCCTATGGCACCTGGCCTGAGTCACTGGAATGGCTCCTGAGCCCCCCACCCCTAGGCCCTGTGCTCCTGCCTGATGTTGCCCATGCCTGCGTGAGCCTGGCTGGTGCCAAGAGCCAAAGTGCTCAGATGATCCAGTGCTCATGGAGGACCACTGGGCCCTTGGCCAGGAGCAGGGGGCCCTCAAAGGCACCTCCACCCTTGACCGCCCCTCACTGACCCACTCCTAGCTCTGCACATATGTGCTGATAGCCTGAAGCCATGTACCTCCTGGTCCCCATCTCTAGGCACCCACGGGAGCTAAAGGTGTGGCCTTGGGAAGGGGGCTTCATGGAGGCTGCAGTGCCTGGGGTCTGGATGCAAATTACTTTTTGGGGTGGGATGAGCTGGGGTCTGGGCTGCACGCCCTGCCTGGTCTGTACTCCTGCTGCACTCTCACAGCAATGGGAAGGAGAGTCAGGTGGGAGCTGCGGCTGTCCCCGGCCCCTCTGCAGGTCTTCTGCTGTCCATTCTCACAGAGGGTGGTGGGAACGGTAAATAGAAGATGACGGAGAATGGCCAGGTGAATTCTAAGCCTGTGATATCTGTGTGCTGTTATTTTTATAGCTCTGATGTAAACCTGACTTCTCATCCAACCCAGACATGGGGTGTGGAGAACGGCATAGAGCTCAGAACTGGCCTGGGTGCTGGAGTGGGGCATGGGTGGGAGTGGACCAGGCTGACCTCTGGCTGGGCCCAGAGCTGCAAGGTCCCCAAGCGGTTTCCTGGACCAGGGTGAGCTGGAGACCAGGGGGGTTCCCAGAGGCCAGAGGGAAACCTGAGGCAAGGGCCTGCGGGGCCCGAGCAAGTGGGCTCTGGGAAGAGACCAAGGCTAGATAGAATCCAGCACTCGCCACTGGGCTGTCCTCTAAGGGATGGGGTGGGTTTGTGAATGTGAACCCCAACCTCGTGCCTGGCAGGGGCCCACAGCAGGCCCAGGGGCCCACACTGTCCTAATACAGAAGAGACTGCCACCCTCTCCAACTCCACTCACCTTTTTTGTTAAATATTTTTTCCCCCAACTAATTCCCTTGGTTTTCCTTTGTGAGTTTTGTTTTTGTTTTTGTTTTTGTTTTTTATGCTTGAAGTTTTAAAACTATAGAAAAGTACAGGGAACAGACACCAGCATATCCACCACCAGCGCCTCATTTCAAAGAAAGGGAAACCGAGGCAGCAGCCCACAGCTGGAGGCCTAGGAGTGTCCATGGGCATGGACTGTGGAGCCGCTGCTCACCAGGGAGCAAATTGTTCTGCCACCTCCTTACTCGGAGACACCGAGCCCAGCCCGAGCCACAGGGTGACAGGACGTGGAGGTCACAATAACCTCCCAAGCTCACTGTGCTTATTGTGTTTAAGGCTTTATCGCTTCAGTCCTTCCATACAGCACTGCCACTGGGACTTGGGTGGCTCCCTGGGCAGGCAGGGCTGAAGCTGCTCCAATGAAACAGCTGTGGCCAGGAGGCTGGGAGGGTGGAGGGAGGCGGGGTCCTCATCCAAGCATCCACACTCTGAGGAGGGCAGGGGCCACTCCCACCCAAGGACCTGCACTCCCCAAGGTGGGAGAGCCTTTCTGGCCACCGATGCTTCCCAAAGGCCCAAACCCACTCCAAGGGCACCTGGAGAGGCTTCAGGTCCTGAGCCCCCTCAGCATTGCACGGTACAGCCTCCTGGAGGAGGCAGCAAGTGAACTGCAGCCTGCCTGTGGGCACAAGAGGACCATGTGTGACCCCAGCTATGCCCCTGGCCAGTCCTCCATGGCCCCACAATGCCCTTCTGCCCTGGATGCAGTGGGATGCAGAGGGCGGGTCCCATGGAGGCTGATGCGCACTCTCTGCAGCTGTCGGCAGGGCTCTGAAGCCCCTGCTCCTCTCCAGCTTCCAAAGAACCTGCAGCATCCCTGGAGGCTGTGGTATCTGTCACTCAGGGCCAGAAAAGCTCCAGGGTGAAAAGGCAGGTCCCTCAGAGAGGCCCACACCCAGTCGCTCACTCAGGCCTAAAGAGAGCTCAGACTCAGTCATGGGAGCCACAGTCCCTCTAACTCCTGCCACAGGACAGGCTTCTCGGGCCCAAGTCACATCACAGGAATTGAGGGAGCTGGGAAGGAGTAGGTCAGCTAGGGGAGGTTAGCAGCTTGCCCAAGGTCCCTGGCTGAGTGCACCTCCAGGGCCGGGGGTATTTTGCACTTGGCTGCAGGGAGCTCTCCACCCAGGAGGAAAGCTTTCTCACCACTGCTCTTGCTGGCTTCTCCCTGAGCTCCTCCAGGCTCCCTACCCAAGCTGGTGTCCAGCAGCTGGACTCCAGGGTCCCCTGACACGCACCTAGTGCCCTATAGAATGCATGCTTCACCCCCACTCTCTCCGGGTGGGGCTGCCCTGAGCATTTGCTGTGCATTCTAATTTTCAGAGGGAGCCTGAGAACGTGAAATGGTTCCTGTCCCTGTTTTATCGATGAATGTACTGAGACTGCTGAGATCGAGCCACAGGGTAGGGTCATGGAGTTGGGCCTCTGAGTTTCCAAAGTGCTTAGGCAGCCCCTGATGCTGTCTTTTTAAAAAGGCAGAGCAAAGCCTGCCTCCTCTCTCTGCACAGACCCCTAGGTCCCAGAGGAGCTGCCGCACAGCCACATACACACACACCCACGCACACATACACACACGCCCACGCACACATACACACACATGCACACACACACGCACACACATGTATACACACACACACACCTGCAGGAGCCCCCCCCCCCCCGCCCCCACCGCCAGCAGGCCAGCCATTCCCCTGGCTCCGGGGAGCTAATTACATCACAGGAAACTGCGGTGTGAGTCTCACATCATCATGGTCCCCAGTGGAGCGCCGAGACAGAACACATGTGGTGGAGCTCTGGGCCAGGCCCAGCTGCCTCAGGTGTCCCCCCAGCTGGAGCGCAGCCAGGCGCTCCATGCAGCTCAGCCAGGGAAGGGCCTTCTTGCTAGGCCAAGGGTGGTTAGAGTGGTTCTGAGAGAGGCCTCGGGCCCAAGCAGCCTCCTCTGCTTCCTTCTTGGGTGTCCTGGCCTGGGGCATGTTGTCCCCAAAACAGGACAACGTTAGTCCTGTCGCCCTCAGGGAGGGTATGTGAGACCCTGCCTAGAAAGGCGGCACACAACACCTGGTGCAGAGGCACAAGGACAGTGTCTGTGACAACAGAAACACTGTCTCTGCCCACAAGGGGCACATTCAGGGACACGAGACCCACGTGCCCGAGGCTCCATCCTCACTCATGGCCTGGGACACACGGGTGCCACTCTCTTAAGTGACACTGCCAGTGAGCCCATGGCCCATGGGACCAGAATTCTGCTGGGGACTCCAAAATTCCTACAGAGGGTTGGAGGGCTCAGGCAGGGCACTCCAAAGAGACATGTGAGCTGAGGCTGAGGGGAGAGGGCGAGTCAGATCGGAGGGAGAAAGGGCATGGGGCCGAGAAAACAACGGCAAGGGCCCCTGGCTGCAAGCTCCAGCCAGAGAGGTGGGCAGTGCGGCCCAGGAGGAAACATGGCCGGAGAAGGAGGGGACAGGTCTCAAAGGGCTGGGCCTTCAGAAAGAAAGCGGGCTGTATCCCACTCACAGCAGGAAGCTACCAAAAGGTGTGCATGACAGTGACATGCACACAAGTCCTTTTGGAAATTTCATGCTGGCTAGTATTGGGGAGGGCACAGGATGGTGGTGGCTCCAGGGGGTGATGGTAACGATGGAGATGCGAGGGGTCCCAAGGACAGAAGACCTGCCATGCTGTGGGGGTGGGGTGCTGACAGGACCTGCCATGCTGTGGGGTATTGTGGGGTGGGGCTGACAGGACCTGCTATGCTGTGGGGGGAGGGGCTGACAGGACCTGCCATGCTGTTGGCGGGTGGAGCTGATAGGACCTACCATGCTGTTGGGCAGTGGGGCGCTGACAGGACCTGCCATGCTGTGGGGTGGGGTTGACAGGACCTGCCATGGTGTGGGGGACACTGACAGGATTTACCATACTGTTGGGGCGGGGGTGCTGACAGGACCTGCCATTGCTGTGGGATGGGGCTGACAGGACCTGCCATGCTCTTGGGGGCAGTTGACAGGCCCTGCCATGTTGTCAGTGGGGGTTAACAGGATCTGCCATGCTGTGGGGGGTTGGGCTGACAGGACCTGCCATGCTGTGAGGGAGCGCTGACAGGACCTGCCATGCTGGGGGAGCTGAGAGGACCTGCTCTGCTCAGGAGGGGGAAGGGGGAGAAGACAGAGAGAGGAGGGTAGAGGTAGTGGTGGTGGGGGATGAAGTCCAGGCATGAGTGAGGAGGAGGCTGGGTTAGTGCAGGAAGCTGTAAGTAGACATGGAAGGGAAGAGAGGTTCTGGGGTAGAATCAGAATCAAAGAACCTCAGAAAGTTCAGTGGAGAAGGATCCTGTGGTTTTCTATCTCCCGAAGTAAAATGAGAGGCCAGATTTTACCTCTAACCGCCATTCACTATAACCCATCCCTCTATAACCCCTGAAGCATTCCCTGGAGACCTCATGGGCTCATGGAACACACATTGAAAACCCTGCAGTGGGCCAGTGGGTGGCCTAGAGCCATGTCATGGGTTAGTGCTGGAGCAGGGCAGTTCCAGGACATTAGAGGCCAGCCCTGGGCCAGCTCCCCACCAGCTGAGGCTGAGTCCCACCAGCAGCATCCCTCACCTGAGAGCTGGCCTGAAGTCCTTTCTTCCTTTCCCCTGTCCCTGTTTCAGTGACCAGCTGCTCCTCCCTCCTCCTGGGCATGCTCCACTAAGGCAGGCATGCAAAGGCCAGTAGGGAGGCGGCCCCTGGACTTTCCCAGGCAGACAGCAGTCCCAGAAGAGCGTGCTGAAGGAGGGACAGACTGACTGCTGCGTCCTGGGTCACCCCCACCCAACTCAGCCCACCTCCCAAAGCTGGAGCCCCTCTCAATGTCTCAGCCATCAGGGCCCAAGAGCTGGGGCAGCTTCTCGAAGCTCAAAGCTGGCAGGGGCAATGCCAGGCTTTGCTGGCACCAGAGGGACCCTGTGGGTGTAGCACTGACTTCCCCCGAAGCCAGCCGCTGTGTCCACGCAGCCTGAGGACCCAAGGGGACCTTCTGGCTGTCCCAGCAGGAATCCCCACATGAGTACTCTTGAGCCAGGTGCCCAGCCAGCCTGGAGATCACCCAAGATCCTCAAAGGTTACAGAGGGAGTTCTGCCTCCTCACTTCCTGGTCCTGCACCCTCCCTGGAGCACCCCAGGAGACTGCCCCCATACTAGCCTTGGGAACATGGGCAGGTTGGAGACCAGCCAGGAATGAGCTCATCCCCTCTGGGGGCTGCCTCCTCATGGCAGGCCCTTCCCCGTGAGGGAGAGATGGGGGTCTTCCAGTTTTCTGGCTCTGCGTGGCTATCCAAGACCACAGTCCTGGGGGGCCTGGGAAGCCCAGGGTCCTTCAACCTTGGGCCAGGCCATGGGACCATTCCCCAGGGCAGAGCCAGAGTAAGTGCAGGCAGGAAAGTAGGGGTCACTTTTAGAAATGGGACCTATCTGCAGGTGTGGCTCCCTGTCCTGGGAGGAGAGGACAGTTACATTTTTTTCTTCCATCTATGCAATACTTAAAGGCCAAGAGGGCATTTGAAGCAGACCTCCCATGTTCACTCCAAGTCACACAGATGGCCTACACTCCCTCATTCATGTCTCTGCTCCCTACTTAGGAGGGGCTGCAGCCAGGGTAGGGGACCCTCACCCATCTCCCAGTGGGCTCTGGGCACTCACCTTTGAGGTCAGGCACAGCCACCCCTCCCTCTGGGCTTCAGGGAAGTTTGGGCCGGGTAGGCATAGGGTGCCTCCTGCTGGCACTCAGGGCCAAGGCACGGAGTCCCTTCTTGGGACTGTGGCCACGCTGAGGGGGCTGTCATGCCATGAGTCAGCCAGCTGTCAGGGACCTGGCCCCCAATTCTTCCCTCCTGCCCTCCCCACAGCCTGCTTCACACTGGACAGGTGCCCCGACTGGCTGGCCTGGGTGTCCTCAGGGGCCACAGCAGGTACCAGTGGCCGCAGCCCCTGGAGGGATGTCATTAAAGCCAGATCAGCCACAATCCCTGGCTCTCACAATCCCAGCCCTGCCGCTGACAACCCTGACGATAAGTGCACCCCAAAGAGGAAATGGGGCCCAGAAGCAAAGCTCTGTGCCATCAGTTCAGCTCTCAGACCTCTATGGGCCCTGCCACGACCTGATGGGCTCCATTCCTGATCAGGAGCTGCACTGGGCATCAGTCGCATGCCCATGGGGTGGGCAGGGGTGCTCAGCACCTCCAGGGAGCCCTGACTATGCAAGGCCTCCCCACGTCAGATGTGCTTTTGCCCCTCTGCTTGGAGTCCTAGTTCTGCCCCACGTGTGCCCAGAACAATCAGTGTCTCCACCCTCAGGCCAAGAGCCTGTGACCTTGGGTTGGAGCCTGGCCCTGGTGCAGGCCTGCGGATCTCCTTCCACCTGGCTCTCAGCCTCCAGCTACAGGGAGTCCCCAGATCTGACCCAGGGGGCCGAGACCCCAAAGAAGAGGCCTCTGTGTCCCAACCTTGCTGTGAGGCATGGTCCACTGTTGGAGGGGCTGCAGCCACTGGATGGCTTCTCATCGCCAGCCCTCCCCCGAGGGCGCAATGAGACTGCTCCACTGTGACTCCCATGGTCCCCGAGTCCCTGTGGAAAGAGCCCCAGAGGGAAAGGCGGGGTGGAACTGGGCTCCCAGCCCCCCTACCTGCCAGGGACATGACCGAGGCCCCTGGGCACCCCACTTTCACCTTGGGAAGGAGGCAGCATGGCCTGTGCAGTTGCCCCTCCTAATCCACAAACGTGTGGCCTTTCCTGCTGAATATGATGGTGACTGTCAGCAGTTGGTCTCAGCAGGATCATCGTGCCAATTAAGATGGAAATGCCACCCTGTGGGGGCTCCCCCCTCTGCCAGGGAGCTGAAGTGGAGGGAGTATGTTTATACCCAAATGCAAAGATACTGCCCAGCACAGACTTCTGTCCCAGGGGGCCGGAGAGGGATGTCATTAAGGCCAGATCAGCCACCACCCCTGGCTCTCCCTGCCGGGAATTCCCTGGACAGCAGGAGTAAGTGGCCCTTCCTTCCTTCTCTGCAAAAGCCCCAAGGTCACAGGCACCTCTGAAACATGCCCCACACTCCCCCTGCTTACCAGGCCTCATTTCAGGACCTCCTACCCGGACTACACTCCAGGCCCAGTGGCGAGACAGAGACACCTGCAGGGCTCCCGGATTGGGGGCGGTGAAAACCTGCACGGTGCACGCCCCAGCAGACCATAGTCCTCATGCCAGCTGGCCAGCAGCTGCACAGAGGCTGGTGGGAAGCAACTTCCTGACACAGTCACCCCTCCCCAGAAGTGCCCTGTGAGGCCAGGGAGGTGAGGACAGGCAACCCCTCCTCAGAAGTGCCCTGTGAGGGCTGAGGGAGAAGCACAGTCTCAGCTGGGCCTGGCCATGGAGACGGATCCCAGTGAACAATATTGATTGTTTGTGCAAAATGGCACCCCAGCCCCTCAGCCTGCTTGCTGCCAGGGCCCCTGGTGGAAGCTGACACAGACACAAAGGAGAGGAAGGGGCACAGTGCAGCAAAGCCGGAGGCAGAGCAGTGAGGCACAGCTGGGGGCCCCTGGGCCAGCACAGGCATCTGAGGCCCAGCCACAAGAACTGCAGTCCCATAGAGGAAGGGGAGGGTGTCGCCTCACTCCCAATCTGTGCAGCCCCTCAGAGCCCTGCACAGGGCCAACAGAGTCCGGGAGGGTCCCTGTGCCTGCAAGGGCTGCGGCCTAGGCCTCTGCAGAACAGGGGGAGGGGAGCGGCCGCACCCCTGTCTAGACGGCTCCTGCTGAGTACTAGCTCCTCACCTACCCGCCCTGGGTGCCACGGGCCCCAAGGCAGAGGGCATAAGCTCTGTGCAAACATCCTGCCTTCTCCCCAGGATATTTCCTTTAATAAAACACCATGGAAATGTCAGCTAGTCTAAACAAATAGCCAAGGTTTTCAGAGGACGAGCAGCCTGCATAGGAGAGCCTCCAGGGCCTGCTTTTCGGGGTGGCTTTGGGAAATTGTGTGCCAGAAAGGCAGTGGGAGCCCTTCCTGGTGGGGCGAGCACTGGGGGTTGTGGTGACTGAGCCCAAAGAGGCAGGGCCTGCGAGTTCCCCTGGGAGGAAGGGGCAGGCCCTGAGCCGGGTGCAGGGTGGCTGTCCAGGGTCCCTGAGGAGCCTGGGGCCTTCAGATGAGGGCTCCCTCCTGAGGACCCTCAGAAAGGGCCTGCCCCAGGGACACACGCAGAGGTGGGGGTGGGAGGCCTACAGCACATGCTTCTCAGGACACCCTCCTTCCCCTCCCACTGCAGGAGCCACTTCTGCAGCCCCATCCTCCTCCTTGTCCATAAGCTCCATGTTAGGGGAGGCCCCTGCTTGGGGAGGCCCCAGGTCGGCCGGGGGAGGTGAGAAGTCCAATAATGGGGTGAAACTTGCAACCCCGTGCCTGACAAAATGTGGCCCAGGCCCAGCGGTGGCAGGGTTGGGGTAGGGGTGAGATACGTGTTACAGCCCCCGGCAGCATCCAGGGCCTGCATCTGTGTGGGGGTCAAGTGTTCCCGTGATCCTACTGCCTGAGCAGCGGGCCGTGGCATCCCTGCTCTTCCTTGGCAGGGCAGACAGACCCAGCTCTATCCATGTGCAGGGCAACGTGGGCAGGGCCCAGACTGCCTCCCCAGCAAAGAAAGATTTTCAGGGTGTGGATCTCCATGTGGGTTCAGCCTCTGTGAATGGTGTGTCCGGGAAGGGGCCACACGTGCAAGAATTGCTGACCCTGCCTGGGCCAGTGCAGGAGAGTGAGGCTGGGCTTCCAGGCACTGGGCTCGGGCTGTGCCAGGTAGGCCAACGCTCCTCAGGAGGCCAGCAGATGCCTGCAGGGTGGCAGTGAGGGTGGTCCCAGCCCTTGGGGCCTCCATGCAGCCACCTGCATCTGTGGCCACGGGTGGAAAAGGTGAGCCCACAGCAGGTGGGATGGCCAAGGCTGAGCAGGTCCACAAGGAGCAGAGATGGAAGCCAGCAGCCAGCTCTGCACCAAGGCAGGGCCTCTGGGCACCGCCTGGGAAGAAGGGAGTGGGCTCTGGAGTCCTGTATGCTGTGCTAGAATCCCAGCTCCATTTCCTCGCCTGTGAACAGGGAAGTGGTTTCTAGCCAATGCGGTGTCAGAAGGAGAGAACAGGATGAGGTGCCTGGGCACGGCTCAGCACTGAGCACTCGGTCCCTCCCCAGTCCCTCTGACGAGGCACCCAGGCAGGCCCTCCCCTAGCAGAGGACACCATCCTTGGGCCTCTGGGTGGCAGATGGCATTTTCTCAAAATGCCCACAAGAGTATCTCCAATCCCACACATTCTCAGAACCTTGCTACTCTCCAGGAGCACACCTGTTTCCCCTTCCTTGGACCGGGTGCAGGGCAGAGGTGGTGGGTAGGGCCCGCAGAGGCCATGCAGAGTGAAATCAGAGACTGGGGCAGATAGGGCGACTCATTTCTGCCTGATTCCCTCTCTAGGGAGGTTCCCCTTGGAGCCTGGTCCCATGCTGTGAGGAAGCCCAGGTCCCTGGAAAGGCCACATGCAGGTGTCCCACCTGAGGGCCCAGCAGCAGCCTCCGCTGCCAGACCGAGCACCAGGAGCCCTCAGATGCCTCCAGCCAACCCAGCTGACACAAGTGGAGCAGAGACACACTGTCCCCACCACACCGGGCCCAATGTGCAGTTTGGGGAGCAGAATTAATATTGTCAGTGAAGCCACTGTGCTGCGGGGTGGTTTGTTAAGCAGCAGCATGACGGAGCATTGGTGCACTGGCTGAGTGACAACATGACTGCAGCGCCCCCATCTCTGTCAGACTCTAGCCAGGGGACGGGGCCCACTCAGAAAAGCCTGTTTCAGGAGACAGGACCTGGTGACCATTCTGTGCCTCCCATCCCGAGGCCCCAGACAAGGCTAGGCTTGGAATCCAGAATGCCTGGGCCCTCAGGACACAGTGCCCTGCCCCCCAGGAGCCAAGTGCTGAGACACGCACTGTTCAACGGCCTCATTCAGAGGATCATGCACCCGGGAACCCCACACAGTCAGGACTGGTGTTTTTCGTAGGAGGAATCTGAGGCTCCAGGATGGGCTGAGTCCCTTGTCTAATGCGCCCTGCTTGACCTTGGAAGAGACACGCTGGGGACTGATTTAAAGCCGCCACTCCATACGTTCTCCCTGCAGCTCCCATGCCAGCCACTGCCATCCCTGCTGCAGGAGCACAGCTCTCAGCCACAGACGCCCCCATCAATCAATATTTTTAATTACTTACATGATTGACTAATAAAATTCTCCACCAACTAATTGATTTTTTTGATCAGAGAGAGCCTTTGTTTTTATTAAAAGGCTACTTAGATGAATTTTTTTTTCACTTAAGTGGGAAGTTGTATTTCTTTTGGTCATTTTGGAAGAAGAAAAATAGGAGGGGGCTGGGACAAGGGAAGACCCCGAGGCCAAGAAGATTACAGGCCCAAACTGAGAGACCCATGATAATCATCAGAACCCCTTCACCATGTGCCCACCAAACACCCAGTGGCTCGGCTCTGGCCAGAGGAGCCCTGTGGCATGGGTGGGCAGACTGGGGACACATACCACCCAATCGCCAGCAGCTTCCATCATTTTTAAAGGTGAACTGTAAACTTTTCTCTGCATTTTAATAAAAGAATCGGGCTTGAAATTATAAAAGCAACTCATTCATTGTGTACAGTTTGGAAAAGAAAGGCAAATCTCATAAAACTATGAAAGTGGGCTTCCTGGCACGGGGCCCATGGTGCATGGGGCAGGTGACCTGAAGCTGTGAGAAGAAGCTGCAGGGTTGACTTCGGTTTCCCAGGGGCCCAAGGCCCCAAAGAGCCATGACCATAAAAACAATCTGGACAGCCACCCACCACCCAGAAAACTGCTCATGGGCTCACAGATCAGTGGGCTTTTTGTTGTTTTCCTTTTTCTTTTCCTTTTTATTTATTTATTTATTTTAGAGACGGGGCCTCACACTGTTGCCCAAGCGGCAGGCAGTGGTGCAATCATGGCTCACTGCAGCCTTGAACTCCTGGGCTTAAGCGATCCTCCCACCTCAGTCTCCTGATTAGGTGGTACTAAAGGTGTGTGCCACCACTCCCAACTAACTTTTAAATATTTCTGGAGAGACAAGGTCTCACTATGTGGCCCAGATTGGTCTCCAACTCCTGGCCTCAAACTGACCCTCCTGCCTCAGCCTCCCAAAGTGCTGGCCTCCCGTTTTCATTTTTCTTTTACCAGATTGGCATCTTACTGTAGATCAGGTGTGGCCATGTTCCTCCACTTGCAGTGACCTTTAAAGAGGTGTTTGTAAGTGGCTCCAGGGCAGCCCATCCTGGGACCTCTTCATGTGGCACACACTGAGGTTGTCTTCCCTGGGCAGCTGCTGGGCACAGGATGATGCTGGGCACAGGATGATTCTGGGCAGCTGGTAGGGCCAGGGAGCTTGGCAGCGACAATTAGGGTAAGGGATGGTGGGCATGTTTGGTGAAGGAGGGGCAGGGTACAGGGTCCCCACCACAGCCATGGGATGCTCCTTCTCTCCTGGCTGGAGGGTCTCAGCCAGGGGGACACAGTGGACAGGGGGTGTTGCCCCCAGCTCCACACTGGGCCTGCCACTGCCTCTGCCTGTTACTTCCACAGTCATGGTCACCCACTGATTTCACTGTGACCTCATCTCTTGTTGGCTGCTCCATGCCCTACGAGCAGAGCAGTACCCAGGATATGGTGGATGCTCTGAGACCAAGTTACAAATGCTTGCTGAGTAACCCTACAGAAATGAAGAACATTCTTACCGTGGCCTCCACATGGCCCTTCTGAGTGGGGCCCTGGGGCTGTGGGGAGGATGAGCCTGCTCCCTTAGGAGGGTCACTGCAGATGTGCAGAATGACAATGGAATGCAGAGGTGATGGGGGCAGAGCTGTCCCTGTGTCACAGCTCATCCACACAGACTGGGTGAGGGCTCTGTGCCTCATGCCAGCCCCATGCACAGAACTGAGTCCTCGAAGACAGAGGGACTGAGTGACTCCCCAGGCCACACAGCCTGTCTGGTTCTCCCCATGGGACGCTTCTCAGGCTCACCCGGAGCTTTCAAAACAGATTCCTTTGCCCGTGACCTGCTCTCAGCCTCATGTGAGGCCTCAGACCAGCAGGGTTGGAACAGAGCTAATGACATGGCAGGGAAACATGTGGATGGTTAGCGACATGAAGGCCCACCCAGCTGGCCCTAGAGTGTCTCGCCTGCCTGACAGCTCCAGTCTGTCACCCTGACTGGGCATGTCCAGAAGCCTGGCCCTCCGTCCTTGGTGATCTCATGCTGCGTGGCTTGCACCCGCTGGGAGCCGATGCCACCACGCCAATTGCTGCAAGCCTCTGAAAGGCACCTCGAGGTGTCCTGATCTGTCCCCAACATGCAACCTGCCCCTAGATGCCCTCCCCACCACAGCAGGAGGCAGTTTTGTCCTGCTCAATTGGAAACCCTGGGAGCTGAGTGACCCTGCCGTTTCCCCCGCCCACTGCCAGCCACATCCCTGCTGAGAAAACCAAGAAGGGAGTTGGAGCTTTGATCCTCACTAGCTGGTACTGATTCCCCCACCTGCAGCAGTGTCAGAGAAGACCACACAGAAAGCCAGAACTCCCATTCCCACCCAGCTGTAATGAGGAGTCCCCACCTGCACCTCAGGTGTCAGCAGAGGCTGAGTGAGAATCCCAAGCTTCTACTTCTACCTGGCAGTGAGAAGGTACTGCCTCCCTTTCCCTGACAGAGGCTGACAGAAAGTACCAGCTGAAACAGAGGCTTAAATAAGACCCAGAAGCCGGGCGTGGTGGCTCACGCCTGTGATCCCAGCAATTTAGGAGGCCAAGGCAAACGGATCACAAGGTCAGGAGTTTGAGACCAGCCTGGCCAATATGGTGAAACCCCATCTCTACTAAAAATACAAAAATTAGCCAGGCGTGGTGGCGCACGCCTATAGTCCCAGCTACTTGGGAGGCTGAGGCAGGAGAATCGCTTGAACCTGGGAGGCAGAGGTTGCAGTGAGCTGAGATCACATCACTGCACTCCAGCCTGGGCAACAGAGTGAGACTCTGTCTCAAAAGAAAAAAAAAAAGACCTAGGGTCTCATAACAAAATATGAGAATATCTAGGTTTCTAAAGAGAATTTCTAGTCATACCAAAACCCAGGGAATCTCAAACTAAATGAAACAGTCAATAAATGCTGACATCTACATGAAAGAGATGTTAGAATTACCTGACAAAGATCTTAAAGCAGTCATCAAAAAAGTGACTCAACAAGCAAATATGAACATGCTTGAAACAAATTGTAAAATAGAAAGTCTAGGCAAAGAAAGAGAAGATACAGTACAAAGAAGAACCAAAGGGGAATTTTAGAGTTGAAAATTACAGTAACAAAAATCAGTGGATGGGCTTAACAGAATGAGGACAAAGGGAAGAATCAGTGAATAGGAAAATGCATAGAAATCACCTGGTCAAATAACAGAGAGAAAAATAGACTGAAAAAAATAAAAGAGGAATCCAGGAGACTATAATACAAGACCTAACTTTCATGTCATTCAAGTCCCAGAGCAAAGGAGAAAGAGGATTGGCTGAAAAAATACTCGAAGACTGGAAACTCCTTGAATTTGGCAAGAGATGTAAGCCTGCAGGTTCAAGAAGCTTCATAAACCCCAAGCAGAATAAAACCAGACAAATCCATGCCAAAACACATCATAATTAAATTTCTGAAACATAAAAAAAAGTCTTGAAAACAGCAAGAGACAGCTATCTTGGAAGACAGTTCAGATGACAGTGGATTTGTCATCAGAATCACAGAGGTTAGCAGGCAGTGGTATAATATTTTTCAAGAGCTGAAAGAAAAGAACTGTCAACCCAGACCCTTTTACCTAGTTAAGTCATCCTTCTCATTCGCATTCTCAGATGAAGGGAAACTAAGAAAATTTGTCACCAGCAGACCTATGCTAAAAGAATGCCTGAAGAATCTGTCCAGACAGAAAGCAAGTAATAAATGAAAGAACCATGGAACATCAGTAAGGAAGAAAAAATGCAGCAAGCAAAAGTATGGATAAATAAAAATAGGGTTTTGTTATCCCAGAGAAATGAAGACATGTTCACACAAAAACCTGTGCACAAAAATTTATAGCAGCTTTATTTGTAATATCCAAAAACTGGAGAGAACCAGCTGTTCTTTATGAAATGAATGGTGAAACACACTCTGGAATAGCCACACCATGAAATACTGCTCAGCAGCAAGTAGGAACAAACTTCTTTTTTTTTGTTGTTTGAGACAGGGTCTTCCTCTGTCCAATAAGGTGGAATACAGTGACACAATCATGGCTCACTGCAGCCTCAACCTCCCAGGCTCAGATGATCCTTCCACCTCAGCCTCCCAAGTCACTGGGACCACAGGCAGGTACCACCAAACCTGGCTAATTTTTAAAAATTTTTATGTAGAGACAAGATGTCACTATGTTGCCCAGGCTGGTCTCCTGGGCGCAAATGATCATTCCTCCTCAGCCTCCCAAAGTGCTGGGACTACAGTCCTGAGCCACTGTGCCCGGCTGGAAGAAACTATTGATACAATCAGAAACCTGCATGAATCCCCAGAATTACTCTGAATGATAAAAGCCAGCCCCAAAAGGTTACATATTATATAATTCTAATTGAAATGCCAAAATTATAGAAATGGATAACTGATTAGTGGTTGCTAGGGATTAAGGGGTGGGAGGGAAATGGATGTGGCTATAAAAGGGCAACTAGTGATTCTTGTGGTGATGGGATATTCTGTATCTCCACTGTATCAGTGTCAAATCCTGGTTGTGATACTGTATTACAGTTTTGTAAGATGTTACCACTGGGGGAAACTAGGCAAAAAGTTCAGGGATCTTCTGTATTATTTATTACAACTGCATATCAAACTACAATTATCTCAAAATAGAATTTTTCATTTTAAAAATATGATGATAAGATTAGAAACAGACTTGTGTCCTGACTATATTGTTTAATTACTAGAGATTTTGCTATATAAAAATATTAAGTACTAGAGATTTTACTATGTAAAAATAATCTTGCAGTGGTGGGGGATGGGGAGTTATTCCTCCGGAAAATAAGACACTGAGATGCCTAGAGAAAAAGATGATGGATTTGACTAGATAAAAATGCAAAACGTTTGCATGACTAAAGGCCCTATAGACTTCAAAAGACAAACCACAGAATGGTTTATTATTATTTGGGTTTGTCCACTGTCTCCTCGATATTAGATTCAGGTCACGCATTTTTGGCAGGAATGCTGCAGACCTACTTCCGTGCCCTCCTTGATGCACCACACCAGGATGAATTTGGAAGTTTATTCCATCACTGATGATGATATCAGCTTTCACTATTTGGTGAAGTCAATATTCATTTGTAGTGAAAATTCACTACAAGACACACAAAATAGAAAAGAAATTTAATACAAATTCAAAAAGCATTTCATTTAGTAAAAACAAAAATGATCTAATAGAAAAATGAGCAAAGATTACAGATCATTTAAAAAATAACAGGAAGCTGCGAATACGTGAAAATAAGCTCAACATCACTAGTGATGAGACCAATGCAAATTCGAGTACCTGTGAGTTGCCTTTTTTGCTCCTAACACATTGGCAAAATTATTTTTCTCCTTAAACCTTGTGTTTGAAACAATTCCAAACTTAGAGAAAAGTTAAAGAATAGTGCAAAGAACTCCTATACCTCATCTCCCCAGATTCACCACTGTTCACATTTT
This sequence comes from Homo sapiens, assembly GCF_000001405.40. NCBI lineage: Eukaryota > Metazoa > Chordata > Mammalia > Primates > Hominidae > Homo > Homo sapiens. The sequence goes on from NC_000010.11 coordinate 43,052,749, forward strand.
TCTTCCTGTGTTCTCTTTTTTTTCCCTGTCCCTCCCCCACTCTCTCCACATGTATATGCAATTTCTCTCTTGAACCATTTGGCGATGTTACTTCTATTCACCATGCCTCCTTGCTCCCAAATATTAAATCTTTATCTTCCGTAGACAAGGACATGTTCCTACTTAGCCATGGTACATCTGTCAAGTACTGAATAGGAAAGTTAGCATTGATACAATACTGTTATCTAACCAAAATTCATATTCCAGTTTTGTCAGCTGTCCCAATGTTGTCTTTGACAATAATTTTTTTCCATCCAGGATCACGCTTTGCATCCAATCATCCTGTCCCAGTGGTCTCTTTAAACTGGGACACCCTCCACCTTCCTCTCCTCTAGCATTCACATTTTGGAAGGGAGATTTCCACTTAGGCTGTAGACTGTGCCTCCATTTGGGTTTTTCCACTGTCTCCTCAGGATTAGATTCAGGTCACGCATTTTTGGCAGGAATGCTGCAGACCTACTTCCATGCCCTCCTTGACGCACCACACCAGGATGAATGTGGAAGTTTATTCCATCACTGATGATGATATCAACTTTCACTATTTGGTGAAGTCAGTATTCACTGGGCTTCTCAATTAAAAGGTTATTATTTTTCCTTTTGTAACAAACCAGGACTTTTATGGGCAGATACTTTGAGTCTATGTGATTCCGTGTTCCTGCACAAACTTTCACCCTCAAATTTAGCATCTGCTGATGGTTGTTGTCTGAATCAGTTATTCTAATTGTCAAATGATTATCTTTCTAAATTCCACCTACTTTTACTAGCTGATGCTTTATTATACTATAAGGACAAGCTTTTCCTTATCTTTTTATTTCATATCGTTATTGGATGATGAGCTCATGGAGTCTTATTTTATTCAGGGGCCATAATTCATTCCTATCATTCATTCTGATGCCCAGAATGTCCCAGCTGGGCCAATGGGAGCCCCTTTGCTTGGTTCCTGTGCCCTGTAATATGCTTTCCTTGTTCTCTGAGTCCTTCCTTACTTTCAGTGAGATGTTCTAACCTCATTTTTTTTCTGCTCCAGCCCTGGAAACTTTTCTCCAGGGAGCCCTGGTTCCTTTTAGTGGAGACAGAATTTAGAAACCAAGATGTGAGTGCTGGGTGTGCTCATCGTTACTCTAGAATTCCTGAAGGCCTGGGGATGGAGCGCTCTCATTCTCACTTCGGGGAGAGAGCTGATGCAACAGTTTAAGGGGCATTTGGCCATCCTTGTCAAACGTGGCCATGTGCCCATCTGCACACAGACACACCATTTGCAGGAATCTGTTCGACAAAGAGGAGCACACAAGTGCATAACAACAACCCGTGGAAGCAACCAGAGTGTCCATCAAGGTCAGCTAAAAAAAAAAAAAAAACACTGAGCTCCCTCCCTTTCTAAACGACACTCAGCGTACATTGAAAATAATAAGACTGATTTGTTCAAGTTCAAGAATTACTAAAGGAGAAGAAGCAACTAATAGAGTGGCACATGTAATCTGATTTTTAAATACATTTAAAATAAAATGTGTGTGTGTGTGCGCGCGCATGTATCTTATATACATGAGTGTGTTTGTATAGGAAATACTCTGGAAGGACGAAGTCCAAGCTCCCAAGTAATGTTATCGCTCAGAGAGGGTAGTGAGCAGAGGTATGGAGGCTGGTAATACAAGCAGAAAATTATAGTTTTTATTTCATAAACTTCTGAACTATTTGAAGACTTTATAGCAGCCATATAGTTCCTCTATCTGTAATATTTTTTAAAAGTGTTAAAAGACAATAGGCCAAAAACGACAGCCGGCTCTCTAGCCTACAAAACTGGCCAGCACTGTTGAAATATACTAAAGTAGTTTTAAAAATAAAGAGAAAGGTACTCACCAGAAGTGGGATCAATCGGCCTTGGAAGCAGAGGAAGAAGAGAAGGAAGAGGAAACCTTGGCAGTGTTTATTGTACCTGCCCTGGAGCAGAGGTGGGGCCCTGGCCCATCTTGGTTCTCTGTGAAGTGGCCCTGCAGGCTCTTGGGGACATCCCCAGGCTCTTGGGAACATCCAGCTCCCCAGCTCTGATCCTACCCACCACTGGCTTCCCCTGAGTGGTCCACAGGGGGAGAGGATGTAGTGGCACCAGCCATAGGACCAGAGGTCCCTGACCTGGGCTGTACTGCTCTTCCTCAACTTCTGATCATATAGATGGATCCGCACGTGGTCAGGAGGATGGATTCTGGAGTCAGACTTTCTGAATTCACACCCTGGCTCACCGCTCACTGACTTGGAACTTGGAACATGGCAATTTCCCCCCTACCCAACCTCTCTGTGCCTCTCTGTGCCTCAGTTTCAACATCTGTAAAATGTCCCCATACAGTTGTTGGAAAGGTCAAATTAGTAAATATGCCAAGTGCCTAGGACAGTAGCTAGGATGTAGTAGACTCTCCAAAACGATTGTTTGTGATATTATTCCTAGAAGTCACAGTGGGCACACCCTTCTCTTTTTTCAGAATGTAACAGGAATGAGGCCAGGGTTTTACTCTTAGGTGTGATATTCCTGATCGTTTGCCATAGTGGTGTGTATTCGCTAGGAATGCTTTCAACTGCAACAGTTCCAAACATAGCAGCTTAAACAAATAATGTTTTGTTTTGCCTCCATTTACAAGAGGCCTGCCAGTAGGCAGCTGCTGGCCTGGGTTCAGCAGTTCAACCCCGTCAGAGCTTTGTCTATCTTTCATGCATTCTGCCTCAGGGTTGCAATATGGTTGCCCCAGTGCCTGGCATCACATCTATCTTCAATGTAGGAAGAAAGGAAATGGAAAGAAAAGAGCTGCATTTGGCTCTTTTGACAAGAAAACAAACCTTCTCAAAATATCCCAGCTGACTGCCACTTAGGTCTCATTTACCAGAACTGTGTCATTTGACCACACTTAGTTCAAGAGAGGCTGGGAATATATTTAGACTTTTAGCCTCAATAGTGCAGATCTCAAGGGAAAGGCGGTTGGAAACAGCCTCATGGAGCTTGCCACTATTTTCTTTATCCCATTAAGAAGATCCGTATGGCCCATGTTTGAGTGACATGTGTTTGAGTGAGGAATGGTTGGTGGCATACACCAAATGTTTTCTCAGCAGAGGGACCATCCCAGTGTCTCTATCCCGCTCCTACTCTAGGGGTCCAATTAAATGGAGTCCCACCTATTATGAAGCAGCAGCAGGGGAAATTCATCTGTGGGGGCAGCTGGGAGCTCCAGGACTTAGCAAACCTGACAGCCTGTGCAGACCAGGATGCAGGGCTTCCAACCCCAGCCACCTCCCTGCCGAAATGGCCACCACTGCCAGCTCCAGGTTGCTGGAGGAAGCTGGAGGCTGCCAGTTTGCTAGCTCCAGGCTTTGACAGCAAGGGCATCTCTGGTCAGTGCCTCCTGGATTGTTCAACCTGTTTCCATCTTCCAGGCTCTCAGGAGCACTGGGCAGTGCAGTGGGGTGGGGGCTTGGGAGCTCCCATGTGTGACAGACACAGCTCCCAGCTTCCCTTCACATCCGCAATGCAGGCCTGGCTGATGGTATCTAGTTCCTGAGACCCTGCAGTGAACTCAGATCCCAGATACTTTCCCTTGATAACAGCTTCACCTTTTTCATCTCTTTTAACAAATACCAACTCCTGGCTGAAACCCAGACTCCTGGCTGGATACCAAGTCCTGGCTGAAAACCCCTTGCTGCTTCCCAGAAACAGCCTGGTCTGACATGGTCAGTGGAGAAGAGAGTGGGCCTGGTGCCCACAGCCACTTACTGCCTTCTCTGGGCCCCAGTTCCTCCTGGTGAAATCGAGAGGGTGGGTAGGATGCTTCCTGGCTGCCCCCTCTGTGCACAACTGGTGGCTGTGGGTCCTGGTTGCCCCTCTGTGCACACTCTGTGGTTGTGAGTCCTGGCTGCCCCCTCTGTGCAAGCCCAGTGGGTGTGGGTTCTAGTCACCCCCTCTGTGCACACCCGGTAGCTGTGGGTCCTGGTTGCCCTCTCCGTGCACACCCCCTGATGTGGGTCCTCATTGCCCCTCTGTGCACACCTGGTGACTGTGGGTCCTGGTTCCCCACTCCGTGCACACCTGATGGCCATGGGTCCTGGTTGCCCCACTCTGTGCACACTCAGTGGTCACGTGTCCTGGTTGCCCCATTCTGTGCACACTCAGTGGTCATGGGTCCTGGTTGCCCCACTCTGTGCACACCCAGTGGCTGTGGGTCCTGGTTGCCCCACTCTGAGCACACCCAGTGGCTGTGGGTCCTGGTTGCCATCTCTGTGTACAACCTGTGATTGTGGGTCCTGGTTGCCATCTCTGTGTACAACCTGTGATTGTGGGTCCTGGTTGCCCCTCTGTGCACACCCATCTTGCTCCTCATCTGGATGAAGTCACTGCCCATGGTGGCCTCATGCAGCCTGTGATGCTGGGCTCTCACTTGCTCCACTTTCCAGATGAGGAAACTGAGGCTCAGAAAAGCTGTCCCTTGCCTGGATCTGAGCCTGGTCTTGCAGCCCAGAGCTCTTGCCACCTGGCTGCACCCCTGGCAGTGACCAAAATTGTTGGTCCCGACCCAGACCTCAGAGGGTCAGTGAAGAGTGTCCTGGGTTGGCTTCTCCTCCCCTCTGCAAATCCTCTCAGCCCACACTCTTTCAGCTTCTCACAGACCACATGAAATAATGTGATAGATGCAATATGAGATTAGGAGCTGAACCTCACCCAGGTCAGGAAATTCCAAGCGCAGTCTCCCAGCTCAGCTCTGGCTCCCGTATGCTGCCCCCAGGTCGCAGCGGGGTGTGCAGGGGACCATTGCAGGCTGCAGGGGCACCTGCATCCTCTAGAACTTCCTGAAGACCAGACGCTCTGATTTTCCAACCAGCACCAGCCCAGTCATTTCCCTCTGCCTCCCTGGGGACTGTCCCAGCCGCCATCCCTTGCTCCTGCCTCCCTGGGGACTATCCAAGCCACCATCCCTTGCTCCTGCCTCATGCGGGTTTCCTCTCTAGCCAGATCCTCCCCGTCTGTATCCAAAAATACTGTTACTTCCCTGTCCTTAAGACAGTGTGTTTGACTGCTTTGCTTGTTTGTTTGCTCCTCTTGATGGTAAAACTGCTCCAGAGATGTGGCCCCATCTGGGGTTGCCCCACTGAAGCCCTCCACAGAGACTTTGTGACACCTGACCACTAACCTCACCTCGCTAAACTGAGGCAGAGCTTGGCAACAGTGGTGACTCAGTGGCTCAGCCCTCCTCTTGAAACACCATCCTCCCGAGTTCCAGGACCCCTCTGCCAGGCCCCTCCCTCCTTCTCCATCCCCCACACCTCCCCCCATCTTCCCGTGGGGGGACCCAGTGCTCGTCTCTATTCACACTCTACAGACTCCGCGTGACACCAGGCCCCACCTCTGCACCCTCCACCTCAAGGATGGATACACCTTCCGGGCTGTACCCGTGAACCCCAGCCTCCAGGTCTACCCAAAACCTGCTCACCATCACCTTCTCAGGTACAAAAACAGCCCTCTTCCCTCACACCCCCACCGCCCAACCTGTGGTCTACCTTGGAAATAAACCTCACACCTCTGGTCATCTCTACTGCCACCCCACTCCCCACCCAAACCACTCAACAGCCACCTGGACCTGGGAACATGGCAGCTGCTGGAGGTCTTAAAGGCGCCCTTTCCCTAAGGTAAGCTGAAGCCCAGATGCCAGCACAGCCCCTTCTCCTCTCTGCCCTGGTCCCCACCTCCTCTCACCCCCTCACTGTACTCCAGTGCCCTGGTCTCCTGAGCACCCTCAAACACATGTCCCCAAATCCAATTCCGCCCCCAGGTCCCATGATTCCCTCTCTTCCTTCTACAACTCATTTCTCAAATAACTCCTGCCCTGCTATCCCATCTTAAACCGCACCCACCCTGGTGTTGGTTAGCCAGTGCTGAGGAACAAATCAGCCCAAACCTTAGGGGCTTCTGAGAACATTACAGTCTTAGCTTCTGCGGGTCAGGAGCCTGGGCATGGCTCACTGCCACGTCCCCCACCCCCAGCCCAGGGTCTCCCATAGGCTGCACTCAGGGTCCACTGGATCGGGTCATCTCAGGGCCGGGTCCACCTCAGGCTCCCTTACAAGGCAGGAATGGGCTCCCTCTCAAATTGTAGCAAGGGCTGCCCCAAGTCCCTGGCACACGGTCCCCCAGAGCGCTGCTGAGGACATCGAAGCAAGCAAGGCAAGAGAGGGAGCAGGCACCAGTGAGACAACCCACAGGCCTCTGTCAGACGGGGGCCTTGGGGGTGGCAGCCATCCCTTCTGCCTTTTCCATCCATTAGAAGTAAGTCCTGGCCCAAGCAGCCTCTGGGGAAGGGCAGCTCAAGAGTATGGCCCCAGCAGTGGGCGTGAAGCTCTCCTCCCCACTGCGAGCTTCTCACTCCCCACGTAGGCGGCTCCAGTGCCCAGCTCTTTGTCTGTCTCCTTCAAGGAGAATGCAGGCTCTTGAGGGCAGGGCACTCCCTGTCGTCCCAAGCTTCATCCCCACCACCTGCCCTGTCACAGCATCAGCACAGCTCACAGCAGGTGCTGAATAAACACTCGTGAACTTCAGAAAGCCCCTCACAGCACAGGAGGAGAAATGGCCATCCTCCCCAGAGACTTCGCTGGCATTTTCCTATGTTACAGCCTGATCCTAGGACCCACTGAAGGCTGGTTTCTGCAGGAGTGAGGAAGCCTGGGTGTGAGCCCCTGAAGCTGGGGCCATACTGGTTATCTCGGCCCAGCGGCCTGGAAATCACACCCTCCCCAGACTTGTCCCCACATCTGAGAGGAGAGACACATCGCAGAGCCTGGCCTCGAGGTCTCAGGGGTCCCATAAGGGGGTGGGGCTAGGTTCATTCTTTTACATATGTTTTCAAATATTGCTAAAAGTCATAAATTGGGCCAGGCATAGTGGCTCAGGCTTATGGTCCCAGCACTCTGGGAGGCTCAGGTGAGAGGATCTCGAGTCCAGGAATTCGAGGCTACAGTGAGCTGTGATTGCACCACTGTGCTCCAGCTTAGGTGACACAGACCCTGTCTCTTTAAAAAATCATAAATTGTTAGACATACTTTTGGGGAAGTCGTTTGGTACACACTCCTTGACCAGTATGTCCAGATCCTGGAATTACTGATTTTTTTCTATAGTCACACATGAATGCAGAGATGTGCAGTGCAGCTTTGTCTATAGGAGCAAACAAATAGAAAAGCTAGATGTCCTCGAGTAGGAGTGGATGAATTATTACAGCACAGCCCCACGGTGGAACACTGCACAGCCACTGGAGTCCCAGGCAGAGCCGCATCTGGGTGCATCACCATCTACCTCTTTATGTAACCAGCAGACAGCTATAGGGCCTGCACCTTCCGAGCACTGGAGGCAGGGAACCGCATCGCTGCCTTCAGGAACTTTATGTCAGGGTTAATGCCAACATGCAAATAAGAATGCAAACACACAGACAAATGCAGCTATCACAGGGGTGTAAGGAAGGCAGAGCAGGACAGGGAGATTGGGAACATGTTTCACACAGCAATCCGGGTGGCTGCGCAGATGCCAGGGCACAGTGAGGGAGAGGCTGCAGCAAGCTGGGGCCGGCCCCTCCCAGGCAGGAGGAATGGCCAGGCAGGGCAGGTGGGGGTGAGCCAGGGTGAGGAGGATCCTGTGGCACCTGGCAGCCACACTGGCATTCCATACTGATCTGTGTTACAACACAGGCACCCACCTATCAGAGCAGCCTGGGCCACTCGTTGCCAGCTGCAGACAAGGGTCAGGCTAACTGGTGCTGATAAGACACCAGCCCCCATGCACCTGGTGTGATAGGGCGTTGCTGCCTGCCAGTGTCACTCTGGAGCAGATCAGCAGGGGTGAGGGCAAGGGCAGGGGCCGGGAGGAGGCTGCATGACCCAGGGTGGGGAGGCCGACCTAGAGAAGCAGAGTGGGGCAGGTCGGGGAGACAGATATTCTGAGGGGCCCAGGACCTCCACGTTCTGAGACGCTCCGCACACAGCTTCTGGAAATGTTATGTGGAATGAACCATCATCTGGTCTTTCCCTTCTTTTTTTTTTTTTTTTTTTTGAGTTGGAGCCTCGCTCTGTCACCCAGGCTAGAGTGTAGTGGCATGATCTTGGCTCAGTGGAACCTCCACCTCCCAGGTTCAAGCAATTCTCCTGCCTCAGCCTCCTGAGTAGCTAGGATTACAGGTGTGTGCCACCACACCCAGCTAATTTTTGTATTTTTAGTAGAGACAGGGTTTCACCTTGTTGGCCAGGCTGGTCTGGAACTCAACCTCAGGTGATCCACCTGCCTCGGCCTCCCAGAGTGCTGGGATTACCGGAGTGAGCCACCATGCCTGGCCTTTTTCTTTCATAGACCTTTGAGATTGCCGAAGTCCCTTCCAAGACTCAAATCTACTGGCTCGGATACAGGACATGGGCATTTGGAGTAGACCTCCACCCAGACACAGGAAAGTAGCCCCCCATCTCCGTCCTCACTGGGGTCCACTTGGCAACCCAGCCCAGCACTTGGACACGGATGGCCTACTCTGCCCCAGTGCAGACAGCTCCAGGTACCAGGTGCTCCTGAGCCCTGGCCACAGGTCAGACCCCATTCTGAGAATGGTCAGAATCCAGAGAGAGGCCTCAGGTCCTGTGACCCCGAGGTGCTGACCAAGGACCTCGCATGTGTCTGGCAGCATGCTGGGCCTCACAGGAGGAAAGGGGGCCCTGGGCCCTTCATGTACATTGCTGCAAGGTGGGCGCTGTCATGTGACGGGGAGTGTGGAGGCCTCGGGTGGCCCACAATAGGCAGTGGGAGGACAAGGCCAGGGCCCAGCGCCTGCAATTCTCCATCACACCCTGTGTGCTGAGCAGCCATCCTTCACCCTCAGGCTCCTCCTCGTGGGGGCACAGGGGACCCTGGCTCGGGGAGTCCATCACTTGCACAGGTGTCACAGGCATAGAAGTCCAAACTCAATGGATGCCCTTGCCTCCAGCTCCCAGCTGAACATCCTGGCTGAAAGGGGCTGACCGCCCTGACTTTCCTCTGAGGTAGGTGAGCTCTGGGGGCTCCATGAGGGAGGTGGCTGTGTCCAGGCCACACATCCCTCTCCACCAAAGCGTCTGCCCTGATGACATCACCTCACACCGCCAAGCCATTACTCACAGAATTACGGCTTGTCTGGAAGTTGGATGAGATGTATACAATGCACCAGGATGACAAATCCTCCCTTTGAGTGGGTCATTTCCCGAAGGAGATTCCAAGGATTCACAGATCAGCGTATCCTGGCATTGCAGGCAGTGGAAGCCGAGGCCCCTGAGATGTGTCTGGGTCTAGTCTCGCTGTGCTAATGAGGCCCCAGGGCCAGAGTGGACACTGACGTCCCTGTGGGGCAGTGCCACATGATCACATCCATGTAGTGAAGAGGCATTCTGGACTTTGTCCCTAACTCCTGGTGGTGAACCATCTTTGGAACCTGATCCCTGGGCCCAGACTCCCTGGTGGGTCTGACCTCTAGCCCACAGCACAGCAGGTTGCAGATCTCATTGTCCAGAAACAGCCACAGCAATATTTCTGTGTTCCTCCAGGATCTGGCCACCACTCATTGAGAGGCAGAGTCTATTTCTCCTCTCCTTGAAACCAGGGGTGCCTTCACAACTGCTGAGATGAAGAGGAGAGAGGGTTTTAGGTGACTTCCGATGATGGGTCACAGACAGTAACGTGACTCTGGCCACCACATTGTAAGGAAGCCCAGCGGTCCCGGCCCACAGCTCCAGCAAGGGAGCTGTTAGTCAACCGACAGTCAACAACAGCCACCAGCCACCAGTTGCATGAGGGGAGCTCAGTGTTGCCAGCCCCAGCCCGCAAGCCGCCTGCCCTAAATGAGACAGAGCTGAGCAGAGACAAGCTACTGCACGGAGCGCTGCCCGGATTGCAGACTCAGGAGCAAGGCAAATGATGGTGTTGCTTTAGGACACTCAGCTTGGGGGTGGCTTCTCATTCAGCGCTAGACAGGGAGAACACACCCTAGGTGATTCCCCGGCCTTCCCTGGGACTTCTGTGTCTGCAGATCCCTGGTGCAGATCCCAGGCAGGCAGAGGGCCAGAGCCCATCTGCAGTGATGGTTCTGCATACTGGGCGGGCTCCGATGGGTCGAGAACAGCTCCTTGGGCCTGGGGGCAGGACTCAGAGCCACATTCACGGCTGCAGGAGTCATGGATCCGTGGCCACCAGGGTCTGTGACAGGGAAAGCGCTACAGGCTGGAAGCCCTGTCTGGGGTTATCTATTTAATGGGAGATAAAGTTTTCATAGTACTAAAAAGTATTAGTCTTCAGAATTAGATATTTGCTCATTTTTCCAAAGGCTGTGAGGTCTCTGAATCCCTCCTGCAGATCTGTGGCAAGCTGTGCACTGTCCTGTAGAGAAATGGCCCTTTCTAGATCTCCACTCTAAAAGCAGCAATAACAGGACGATGCGAGAGCAGAGCCTGGCCCCAAGCAGCGTGGGTCCCCAGGCATTAAGGATCCTCTGCAATGGGTTTCATTAGATGAGTTGTCTTTGGTTTTATTAAAATATGTATGCCCTTTTTATTAAGGCAGTATTGACCTGTGACCATGTGGGAGGACAAGCCCATGCCCCAGTCTCTGGCTGGAGGGTGTTGCCCCCTGGGCCTCCACAGGCTTCCTGATCAACCACCCTGCCATCCATGGGCACAGAAAACATCACCAGGACAGCAACAGGGGGAAGGCAGAGTGCAGCTCCCACCACGCCGTGGTCCTTGGGGTCCTCAGTTGGAGATGAGGGCTGCAGCTCCCCACCTAGGTCACAGCCCATGCCCCTCTATCCCAGCAACCACTGGACCAGCCTCTACCAAGGCCACCACCAAGACAGCACCAGGCCACCTTCCCACCAGTCAGCAGCTTCCTCTCAACCTCTATTCGTTAGTAAATAAATTCTGATTCATGAAGCCATAACAAAACAAACTAAACAACAAAAAAACCTATCTAAGACACCAACATCCCTGAAAAACAAACAAACCAAACAAACAAACAAAAAACAAATGGTGCTCTGCATTCCCTAAAGTGAATTCCTTTGCAATGTACATGAGTTGCTGGGGCTGCTGTAAGGAAGGGCCATAGACTAGGTGGTTAAGTTTACTGCCCCCCAGTTCCAGGGCTGGAAGTCTGGGATCAAGGCCTCCAAGGGCCACCCGCCCCCTTAGGGTGCTAGGGAAGGGTCTATTCCAGCCTCTCCTTACTCATAGACAGCTGTGTCTCCCCACGTCTCTCCTCATGGTCTCCCCTCTGTGTGTCTATTGGTGTCCAAATTTCCCTTTTATAAGGATACCAGTCATACTGGATCAGGGCCCACCCTAACGACCTCATCTGACCTTGATTACCTCTTTAATAACCTTAGCTCCAAATACAGTCGCATTTTAAGGTCCTGGGGCTTAGCACTCCAGCATGGGAAGTGGGGCCTGTCCTGAGTCAGCCCAGGGTGGGCAGTGGGTATGGGAGTTGCCCAGGCTGCTCAGAGCAGGGCACACAAAGGAGGCAGCAGCAAAGAAGCACTGGGAAGGGCTGGTTCTCCCATCATCAGGGACAAAGGACTGAGCCCCCCAACACCAGCTAGCCCTGCGGGGATTTTGCTGGGAGCTGTAAGACCAGGGTCCAGCAGAAGCAGAGGGCACACGAAGGGGGCAGGGACTGGGGTTTCCTGTAGGGGCAGAGGTGTGGGCAGTATGGGGAACCCCCAGGCCTGGAGAGAGGCTGACCCAGCAGGAGCTCAGGGGATGGTACTGGACCTCCAAACCTGGCTGAGAAAGAGGGACTTGGGTGTGGGGGTGGGGGTCACCGGGGCCTTGCCAGGAGGGGGCAGGGGATAAACACACTGTCCTCCCCTTGCTGGTCTCCCCCAGGGCCTCCAGGTGGAGGGACGGGTGGCACAGTTCAACCGCCCCCACCCCTCCGCCATCCCCCTTCTGCCCCATGTGGTGTATGCACAGGATGGGGCAGAGCTGAGCAAGCACAGCTCCTAAAGAGGAGGGCAGGAAACTTGCTGCTCTTACAGCCCTGCAGCCGCGGGGAGGCTTGATGCTCCCAGCAGGGGAAAGCAGAGAGGCAGCTCAGGCATGGCCAGCAAGGGCTTAGACTTACAACTCCTTGAGGGCATCAGCAGCACCTAGACTGGGGATGGCAGAGTGAACAGTGGCTCAGGCGAGCTTCCCCGAAGTGGGGAGTGCGGGCCCATCATTCTCACAGAGCCACAGTGGTGGTGGATCACACAAAGGGGAGACCATGAGGAGAGACATGGGGAGGGGACAGCTGTCTACAAGCAAAGAGAGGCTGGAACACACTCTTCCCTAGCACCTTCAGTAGGTGGGCAGCCCTCAGAGGCCTTGATCCCGGACTATCAATGCCATGAGCATCTCCAAGCCCAGGCCCCGGGAGGGGGCCCCACTGCATGGGCCTCAGACAGCTTCTGACCAGCCAGCCCCACCCTGCCCCACCCTTACCTGCCCTCTCCTTCCCTGGAGAAGCTTGATGAGAGGGGCCCTGGGCCAGGCCTCTGGAAATCCTTCTGCTGCAGGCCTAGAGCTCACCAGGGTGGAAGAGGGAGGGGATGGGATAGCCCAGATGGGCCCCTGCTCCCAGCAGCCTCCCCACCCCCTGAACACTCCCCTCCACCCCACCTAGCCGGGCAGGCCCAGCTGGCCCCATTTCTCATTACTATTGATTATGGTGGCAGAGACCTGCAGCACAGAATGTAAATCAGCATCCCTGGGGTATTTAACCTAGGAAGGGTTAGGTGGAGGTGGCATCCCTTATAAGTCCTGCATCTGATGTTTTTATATTAATTCCTATAGTGGCCAGATTAATTTTTATTCCACTGACTATTATCTCTTCTTCATTGACTAGGAGACATTTCTGAGAAGTGCATATGTGTTGAGTATCAGTCATTTAGTGGGGGGCTTCCCTGGCTGCAAGGTTTTCATTAAAGAAGGAAAATTCCTTTGCTCCAAAGACTCAGTCTGGAAATAATGCGCAGGCCAGCTGGTGTCACTGCCAGTGCTGCCGTCACCTGGGAGTGGGGTCTGCAGCTGCCTGGGAGCCTCAACTAAAGGGGCAGGGCCCCCTAGCCGTCCCTCATCCTCCCTCTCCTCCCAGCCTCCCAGGCCCAGCTTTGGCCTCACACAGGCTCTGAGTGAGCCTTCAGCAAGTGACCACCCCCAGCTCCTCAGCCCTTGCTCTGTGCTGGGGCCTCCCCTCCCACATCTCACAGAATCCGTGCCCCGACTCGGAGTGAGGTGGGACTGTCACTGCAGCCATTTTGCAGGTGAAGGCAATGCACTTGCTATAGATTCCCTGACACTCAGTACTGTACAGGGTCATGGATTATCTTGGGTGGGATCCAGGCCTAGATCACAGAAATGACCACCCTTTTTGATGGGGTGGCAGAGGCACTGGATGGGTGGCTTCCAAGGGCTCCGGGCCTTGCATGAGGAGTCCAGCTGAAAAAACGGGTGTCAGAAGGCCGAGAGCTGTCTGCAAACCCAAGTCTCTGCAGAGTGTGGTGTGGTGTGTTCTAGGAGCGTCCTTCCCCGCTGACCAGTAAGGCCAGGGCCAGGGGCATAAGTCCAGGGCACTGAGGCTGGGAACAGAGAGGAACATGGGGAGGAGGATGGAAGGGGGGCTCGGCAGCTCCGGGGATGCCTGGCCAAGCTGGACATGCTGCCAGTAGGTGGGGGAGTGCCTCCACTCTGAGACCCTCACCTGTCCCTCTCCCATCCTACAGGGTTGAGAGGAGTGGATCCCAAGTGTAGGCCCAAATGTGGAGCCAGCAGCAACCCAGCCACTGGGAGCTCATGGCAAGTGTACACCCCGGCCCACACCCCACATCCCACCCTGGGGCCTGGTGACCAGCCTCCACTGGCGCTTGGGAACCATGAGCAGGGTGGCTCAAGGGCCCCAGAGAAGAAACACCTGAGCTGGAGCCTCAGTTAGCTCACCTGTAAGATAGGGATGTTGCTGCCACCTGGGGATGCTGTGAGCTGAGTGAATTGGAGGGGCCAGTCCTGGGCTGCCTACTTGCCCACATGGTAGGGAGGATCTCCACCAGCTGTTCTCACCCCCCAAAAAAGAGGGCTGCCTCTTTGTCCAGAAGAGATGATTCAGGGACCAAAGCTTTACCTCCCTGAGGGATCTCATTCAGCCTTTCTTCCAGGGGCCAGACATGCATAACTAAAACCCAAACCTTTATGATTTGGAGAACGCTGATAAATTACAAATGCAAATGGGTAACCAGGCAACAGCCCCCCCCGCCTGATGCCAGGCTGGGTATCAGGGCTGGGAAATAGAGCAGAGGTCACTTCCTCCCACCTGGCACAGGTCACGAGAGCCTCAATGATGTGTCCTTTACAAAGCTGCTTTTATTTAGTTGGAAGCTGCTTCAGAGACAACTGTGAAGACAAAAAAGGTTGCTGTGTGTGGTGGCTAAGACATCAGCTGCATCTGAGGGGCTGGATTCTGCAAGGAAATAAACTATGAGGCAAGAGAAAGGCTTTAGAAGATCCTCCAACTGTTCTCATCGTTCTGTTAGCTGGTCTCCTGATGAGGTTCTGGGTGAGTCTCAGGGGCTGAGGAGGTGAGTTCAGGCCCCTAGGAGAAGAAGGAGGGGGGAAACATTTCCCTTCCCAGTGTGGGCCTTTCTACACCTACCCCTCATTTACAGCCTGGGATGAATCCACCAGGGCGGCTGTTCACACACAACCCTGTCCTGACCCCGTCCCAACCCCGTGCGCACCACCTCCCACCCAGGAGGGTGCCTAGGTCCCCATGAGTGCAGGGCTGGGTGGGTGAGGGTTTGAGGCAGGCCCTGAGGGCCAGGCCCAGGGAGGCAGGATACCCACAGAGGTGGAAACCTTAGGCTGACTTTATCTTGGCTCCAGTGCCGGAGCTGTTGAAAACGTGGCCCCAAATGTGCACAGAAGTCAGCAGGGTGAAGGGTGAGCTGCCTTGCCTGCTCTGCCATCAACATGGAGGCCTGGAAGCTTTTTGCAGCCCTCAGGAGGGGTCCTGGAAAACAGTGCAGACACCCGTCCCGCCGGGCCTGGAAAACAAGCGAGCAATCAGCTCAGCCTGGCCCTAGAACCACCCACCCAAACTGGCCCCAAGCCACAGCACGGACGATCTGGTGTGTAGTGCTTAGATGCCAGCCTCACTCGAAGATGAGTTGCAACTGGGGCTGCAATTCCAGGAGGGCACCCACACCTTCACAGCTCAGCCCCATCTTGGGCTGAGACTAGAGCAACTCAGGCAGGATGGAGCCAGCCCCACCAGCGGCTGCTTGGTATCCAGGCCTAAACTGGGCAAAGGGCGGCTGCAGGACCCTGGGCAGGGCCCAGGACGGATGGGTGGGCAGGAGGGTGGGGGCCCATCTCTAAGCCGGAAGGAGAAGCTTCCAGACATGATTGCATCTGACCTTCTCCTAGCGTCTCCTCTCTCTGGCTCAGGGCCCACTGTGAGCTCAGCTCCGCACTCCTGGGTTTCATCCTGGGGAACTTTGTAAAGTATCCAATCTACAGAAAATTGCCAACCTCTGGAAGCCTCAGCAGGACCAATGTCCTCCATGCAGAGCCCTTCTTATCCCCTAGGACCGCAGGCCCAGGCTCCTCTGGGGGTCAGGGCGGGGCACAGCTAGGAGGGAAGGGGAGTTGCTCTGGGTAAGTAAGATGCTTCTAAGCTTCTAAATCAGGTTCCAGAGAGACCCCCACCCCTGATCCCCCACCCCCTGCTGGCCTGGAGCACTGAGGTCTTCCAAACCTTCCAGAACATTCTCAGCTGAGCACTCCCAGCCCTGGGCAAATCCCAAGGGAACCTGGAAAAGGAAGCCCCTCCCCTTGCTGGGATTATCGTACCCTTATGCTTAAAGGGCCAGAGGGAGAAGAATGTTTCTGTGCTTTTTAGAGAAACTCTCTCCACAAAACACTTCCTGATGCTTGTCTGACACCAAAAATCTATTAAAGTCATAAAGTTCTCCTGCAGAACGCTTCTCAAAAATGTATTTATCTAAAGGGCATCTGTGTTTGGTCTCCAACGCAAACGCTCCAAATGTCGGGCCCCGGGTGATTTATTTGGGCGCCTTGTTCTCTCCCTGCGAGTTGTTTTCAGCTCAAGCCCCTGGTTGCGTCGCTCCTTCCCCTGATGTTTATAGATGGCTTCCATCCGCTCAGAGCCAGGCCGGCCAGGAAGAAGGGGCTTGGAGGAGCAGGTGAGCGTGCATCAAGGGGCTGCAGAGAGTGGGGCAGCGGACAGATGCTCCCAGCAGACCCCTGCACTCCCCACCTGCTGGCTGAGCACACTCCTGGCTGTCCTCCCTGCCCAGAGGGCATTCTCCTGGCAGACATTTGAACAGCAGCTAGGAATCCTCACCAGGTCCCCAGCTGCCCTAGATGCTGGGAGTTCAGCAGTCAACGCACCTGAACCCACGCAGGCAGACGGGGAACATGAGACAGACCAGGAACAGACAACAATGAAGAGTGATGCAGGGAGTCTGGGGCCACAGACATTGCAAGGCCTTCCTCAGGCCACAGGGAAATGCAGCACAGCTAGGGCGCTAGGCTCCATGCAGCGCCAGTGCCAAGCATCTAAGCAGGGTGGGAAGAGGTGACTTCTGAGTGATGAGTAGGAGTTGGACAACAGAGGGGCTGGGAGGAGCCAGGAAGATCCTCCCAGGCAGGTGGGGGTCCAGGACAGGGAACACCTGGGAGTCTGAGGGATGGGGAGTCTGGGGCAGAGGAGAGAGGGCTGGATGCTGAGGTCCCAGCATTAGTGATCAGGCCTGGGCCTCTGGCTGCATACAGAGTCCCCTGACAGCTCTTCATCAGCCTCTTAATACGCAGTAGCTCATCAGCCCCTTTCCAAAGAGGCCCCTGAGGGCAGGGCTCTGCCAAGGCTGAGCTGTGTCTGTGCTCCTAGCCATGCCTGCTGTAGGAAGGAAGTCCTGGGGCTGGGCCTGGAGGGAAGCAGAAGACTCTCCAGATAGGGGGTGCCCAGGGTGTACCCCTGCAGTGCCGCCCGTCTCCTCAGGGCTGTGCATTTTCAAGCTGCCTGGAAGCCAGGGCCCAGAGGGAATGCTGCAAGAGCAGAGTTCCCTGGAACAATTCAACCGGCTGCTTCTCTGCTCTCCTTCCAGCAGGGAGGTGGGTGGCAGGAGCCCATCTTCCCCAGGCACCCCCAAGGAGAGGCTACGGAGATGTTTTTTAGAGCTGCATTGCTCAATAAGTATCCTGGCCACATGTGAATATTTAATTTTACATTATCTTAAATTCAATAAAATTAAACATTCAGTTCCTCAGTCACACTAGCCACATTTTAAGTGCTCAGGCAGCACAAAGTTCAACATGGTCATCGTCGCAGAACCTTCCCCTGGACAGACAGAGCAAGCAGGGAGGGGCCTCTCTGGTTTGTATGAGGGGTCCAGGCATGGCGGGAAGCCCTGGGCAGGCCTCAGCTCAGGTAGCAGCACAGGGTAGTGCAGGGGCTGGAGGGGAAGTCCTGAGGGCTCTGCCTGCAACCAGCCCCAGGGCTTCCAAAGCAACAAAGGCCTGCGGGAGAGCCGGAAGGGGTACCAAGTGCCTGGGCCCAGTGCAGTACCTGAGCAAGTACCAAGTGCCTGGACCCTCTGTAGACACAGGGGCTGGAAACCACGCACGACCTGCACCCTGCACCCCACACCCAAGGGCAAGCAGGAGGGAGGAAAGGAAGGTGGCCGGCAGGCAGCTTACAGTTCCCTCCTGTCCCTGCAGCTCACAGCAGCTCCCGAGTGTGGAGCAAGGCAGGCTCCCCTGTGCACCCACAGGCCTGGAGGGCCCTGGCAGATACACACCTTGCCAGAGCCACAGCCACCTCCATCCTGGGCCCATGGCAGCCTGCAGACACCACTGGGGCATTCAGTCACTGGCTTCCTGTTTGTCAGCATCCCAAAGCACCACAGGGTTTTTTGGCTCCAAAAGACCTCCTGGGCCAAAGTGAGCCTCTGAAGGTCCTGCGGGCAGGACACCTCTCAGAGGACGGAGGGCGCACTGCAACTTCCAGGGAGGCCAGCCAGAGGCTGCTGAGAGGATGCTCTCCGGGAAGGGTGAATGCCTGCCTGTTCCTGCTGGGGCACTGCGGGGAAGCCAAGGTTGGCTGGCCTCCCACCACCTCCCGGTGTCTCCAGGGCAGCACTGTCCCCCAGCACCATCTTCTTTGCCCAAGGTCAGCTCCCGGGGCCGCCCAGGCCTGACAACCATCACCTACATCTCTTCTGCCTTGGACCCCTGCACACATGCCTTGAGTTTGGGAGACTGTCCCCTAGATGTACGGGGAATGGAGGGACTTGGTTTTCTCCACTGCAACGTCTCTGTTTCCAAAAATGGTGCCTGGAATATAGCAAGGGCCCAGGAGATATCTGTCAAATAAATAAGTGGGCTTTTCAAGAAGGACGAAGGGCAATTGTGCAGACTGGGGGAAAGAGAGATTCTCCTACCAGTGTTGGAGCAAAAAACAAATCCTCAGTGGTCATTTTGGGTTTGGCGACTGAAGAGGAGAAATGCTGAGAACACTGGGAGCAGGCGGGGGCACACTTCCTCCCTGGAACCCCGCTGAATGGCAGCTCATGGTGGCCTTGGATGCCAGGGTTCCTCCTTCGAAGTGGCTCCTCTGTGGCCCTTCTGTAGCCCCTCCAGCTCAGACCTGGTTGTAGTTGAGAAGCCCAAGGAGAAGTTGTAAATAGGTTTTGCAATGGCAATGGTGAGCTTAATTTTTCATTGACCTTACCTCCAGCTAATAACGAATCGGGGGGCGCTCTTTCACTCACAGAAGCAAAAAGGAAAAGAAAGGGCTTCCTAGTGACGAGATAATTTGTCAGAAAGTTATGAGTGGGCACGGCAGGGCTGTATAGGAAGTGTGTATTGAACAATACGACACACTGGCTTCTAATTGCTGCTGCCTTTCTGATCAATAATACATGTTTTCAAAAAGCCTTCTGCTTGCATTTACACAATGGACTGTAACTACTGCAAAGATCCATTAAGGCCTATTTTAAAAAGCGCATTCGTAAAAAGTTGTCTAAATCTGCATTACAAGGCAGATTATGAAACTGCCTTGGGAGATGTTTTGTCTAAAAAGCATTCAGCCTGTATCTGCTGGACAGCTGACTCGAGCTTCCACTCTCCACGTTGCTTGGAGCCAGGATGCCTTCTCCAGAGGATGCACCAAGCAAGGCACCGGCAGGCCTGAGGTCCTGTCCACAGACCAGCCGGCCTCTGAGCCCCTCGGGCTGGGGCTGCCTTATGTGAGCCAATCCCCCAGGAGCCTGGGTGGCCGCAGACATTAATCAACCCACCACTCCCGAATGTGTAATTCAAGGTCAGATAAGTGGTCCTCTGCGGCAAATAGGACTCTGGGGACCCAGGTCCCTCCAGCACTGAGAAGGCTTCTGGTTGCATGGGGAGGGCTCAAAGCCTGTGGCCAAGCCAGGATGCAGAAGACAGGTGTGTGCTCTAGCAAGCCAGTCTCGTTGACCACCAGCCCCACACAGCACACAGGTGCGTGCTGTCACCTGTGCAGGTGGGAAGCCCGGACTGTTTGGGTCCAGGGCCCCCTGGCTTTCTATGCCACCCTAGCACCATCCAGTGACTGCTTGGGCCTCATGGCCTCAGCTCCTACAGCTGACAGGACAGAGGCTGATGACAGCGGCAGCTCGTGCTGATGGCCAGCGTCCCTGGGCTAAGGACTCTGTGCAGACTGACTGTCTGCATCCCCGGGGAACTTGGGGAGAAGGAGCTCTGCCTTCCCACTGAGGCACGGAGACTCTGGGTAACCCGCCAAGGACATGGGGACAAGAGACAGAGCGCAGACACACTCAGAGCCCCCTGCAGCCTTCCCACCATGCTACTGCCCCAGGCCACACCTAGACAGCCCCCTGTAGGAGAGAAAACCCTGGCAGAGGGGCAGGAAACACTGCCACTGTCTGCTGAGCCCACTGATGCATCATTGGGCTTTACCCTCAAGGCAGTGCCCATGTTATTGCTCTCATGTCACAGAGGATGACACCGAGGCCCAGAGAGGACCACAGAAGCTGCTGAGTGGTGTGGCTAGCCTGGCTCTGGTGCTGAGCGAAAAGGATGGAGATTCCTCCAAGGGAAGGGGAGGAGAAGACGGGCAGAGGGGAAAGAAGAAAGGAGGGCGAGGGAAGGAAATTCACAAGAGAACAAAGTGTGGGGACATGGAAAACTGAAGTGGGCAAAGTGATAATGATAGGTTAGTGGGAGTAGGTGGGCAGGCTGGTGGGAGGAGGTGGGCTTTCTCTGAACCCCCCAGGGTCTCTGATGGATATGTAGGCCCCTGTTGCTTTTGTTCGGGCACCCGGCTCCTAATCAGGCCCCAGGGAGGATGCAAAAGGGGTCTTCTCCCAGGCCAGGTTGAGGGCTCTTCTGCAAACACCCCTGAGGGCACCTGAGGCCCACAGGCAGGCAGGACCTGCACAGTTAGGTAAAGCCTGTCCTGCACAGCCACACCCTGCAGGCCCAGGCCAGGTGTTCTGTGAGCATGCTCATGGAAGCAGCATATTTGGCATAGGGTGGGCTGGCTGAGCAGCCCCTCTGAGTGCCCTGAGAGCTAGCTGGTGGTCACTGGCTTCCTCCTCGCAGCTGCCCTGGAGGGCACCAACAGCAAGGCCAGGGAGGCAAACCGTGGGGAGCAGTAGACCTGCCCCTCACCTCAATAGCCCGATGGGGGAGCAGAGGGCAGTGGCAGACAGATGGGAAACTGAGGCACCGACCACTTTGCTAACAGTGCACACAGCCAGCCTCAGAGTCTGTGCTTCCAACCACCATGTCACACTGCCCATGGGAGGGACCTGGACCCCTGCCCACGCCCACTCTGAGAGGCCTCGGTCAGCAGTTCCAGGAATGCCACCCAGCCTTCCAGTATCACCAGGACCGAGCTGCGCTCTTGAATGTGTTTCCCCCTACCTGCAAGTCACGAGGCACCCCCAGAGCCAGAGTTTCCTGTCACTGCACTCAGCCTCACTCCAACCATGCTTCTCAGTGCAGGCAGAGACCCCCATGTCACCTGGGTCAGAGGACACAGAGCATCCCGCCCGCCTCCCGCCAGGCAAACCTGCACAGGCATGGCCCAGATCTCTGTCCATGATGGGTTTCCCTCCTCCCTCCCTTCCCTGTGCTGCGTTTTGGTGCTTTGGGGTCAGACCTGAGGTGCTCCAGGTAATCTTCACCTGCTCAGAAGCAATGAATGACCTCCAAGTTCTCACATGCTACAGGAAGATGGTGTGAGCCGCCTGCCCACTGAGCATCTTACCCTGCACTGGGGCAGAGCCTTGAAAATACCATCTCCTCACAGTCACCAGGGAAGGACACTGTTTCAGTCCCCATTTGAGAGATGACAAAACTGAAGCTGAGGAGTAATGTATGCAATGTCACACAACTATGAATGGCAAAATTCAAACTCAGGTCTAATCACTCCAAGCAGATGCCTGCACCAGAACCTCTTGGGGAATTTTTTTTTTTTTCTTAGAGATAGCGTCTCACTGTGCTGCCCAGGCTGGTCTCGAACTCCTGGCCTCAAGTGATCTTCTTGCCTTGGCCTCCCAAAGTACTGGGATTACAGGTGTGAGCCCTTAGCCTGGCCCCTGAACTTTTTTTTTAACATGGATTTTTAGGGAGTGGGGGACCCAGGATGTGTGTCTTCATAAAAGCTGCCCTGAAGATTCTCCAAGGGGACCTGCGGGCAGGGACAGGAAGCACTGACCACACTGTGATGTGCCCTCCTCCAGCTCCCAGAGAGCCCGCGACCCTCAGCAGGGCAGTGTGGCCAGGGTGCCCGAGCCCAGGCCCAGGAAGGCCCAATGGCTACAACTTATTAAGGGCTTCCTGTTTGTCGGGCACTGGGCTCTACCCTCACATGCACCCCTCTTTCTAGTTTCACCCCTTCTTCTGAAAGGGAGATGTTTATAGCTGGGGAAACTGAGGCTCAGAGAGATGACTAAGGGGAGTCAAGAAAGAGAGGCAGAGCCCCCTGCAGGCCCTCCCCACCCCATGGACTGAGAGAAGCCAGGGCCAGGACTCCTGGGCAGCCAAAGACCGGCACGTCTGCTTTGCACTTCACCTGGCCCCCACCTCCCCTTGTGAGACCTCAGGGGGTGGCCTCGCTTCCCCTCTGCTGGGCAAGGAGCTCCTTCCTGCTGCCTGATGTTCTGGATACTGAGCCTACACCCAGGCAGGGCTGAATCTCCTTTCCCCGCAGTCCCTGAGGCCAGCAGGCTCTGGGCCTCACAACTGTCCTCTGCTGAGCGACCCTTTGGTCAGATCCCTGGGCGTGCACGTAGCAGGGAGGTATGCATCTGTGTGCGTGTGTGTCCACGTATGGGAACACAGGTGTATGCATGTATGCATGTGTACAGGGTACACCCATGTGAGGGCCCCCCAGACCTTTTTCCAAGGAGTAAATGACACCCTCTCATAGTGTCAGGTGTTCACTCAGGACCCCCAAGGGTGAGGGTGGAGCGAGAGCGTGGAAAGGCCTAAGGTAGGCTAGGCAGGAGCACAGCCCCAGATGGCCCCTTAAGATGGCCACACAGAGCCCAGCCAGACATCAATGTCAGCCAAGGGCTGGCCAGGGTGGTCCCCGGGAGGTGCAGGGGTGGGGCTATTTAAGCCTACCCACTTCTCTCTTCATTCACCTAGGAGGCAATCACAGGAGCTTGTCTGTAGCCAAAAGATGCCCCCAGCCCCTCCCTACCTATCAGGTCCCTTCCCTGGGCACAGGCCTGAGTGTGTAGCCTAGGTAGCCACTGGCACCAGAGATGGAACCTGTCTGAACCCAAGGGAGCCCCTTGTGGCCAACTCTAGCTCCATAAACTGGAAGGGTGTGGCAGGCAGCCGGAGTCCAGTGGCCCACAGTGTCTCTCCTGGGCTGGCAGGCCTGTGCCCCGGCCACCTGCCCCTCAGCAAGCCAGGTCTGGACATCACGGTTGGCTGAGTGCAAGCCAGCCTCTGTCTTGGCAGCTCCCCCTCCTGCCTGTGAGGGTGACTTCACTTTGACTTCATATCTGCAGTGATGTGCAGATCACTTATTCAGCCCTGAGCTCAGCCAGGCAAGAGGGCGGGGTTCTGCACACAGCAAGCAAGGGAGCGGCTGGCTCAAGGGTGCCCTGGGCCCAGGTTCCCTGGCTTTTCCTCCTCAAGGGCCCATGGGCTTCCCTTCTTCCATCCCTCTGCGCCTAAGTGCAGGCCAGACCTCAAAAAGCAGCCGGGGATGGGGCGAGAACAGAGGACTTCCCCACTGAGCCCACATCCAACCTCACCCAGAACCCCTTCTCAGGTCCAGTTGCTGCTCCCTATTAGGGGTAAATGTGTTTATGCGCATCATTTCCATCATTTCTTTGGGGGAAAATTGGATTCTTTCCTCCTCCTCGCTACTCGCTCTCCGACTCTGCCAGCCCATCTCCTGAGAGTTCTCCTGTGTAAGGGATGCAAGGGCCACCAGCACCAGGTCTCTGAAAGGACGCCGGAGCCAGTTTCCGGTTTCCAAGGGTTGGACCAGTGCTGGAGGGGGGAATCACAAACTGCCCTTCCAGGACCCTACCCTCTCTACTACCCCAGGATGCTGAAAAAGGCTATTCTGCCTCTCTTCCCCTGCTCAGCTCTTCCCCGCCTCCTGCCTCCGGCCCCAGCAGAGGCCGCGCTCCCACTGCGCCTCTCGCCTCTGAGAAATGGCGCAGCAAGCGCTCCGCGGAGAGCCTGGAGGCGGGGCGCCCTTCTCTGAGTCCGCGGGGTCGCACCCCGAGCCAGTCGGCCAGACCTGCATCCCGCGTAGCATCCCTGCCCTCTCTGTGCAGCGGAAAGGGCAAAAGGCAGGGACTGCAAGCGGGCGCGCACCGGGTAGGAAGAGCGGCTCTGCGTAGGTGCGCGGACCCGGGCTCCTGGGTTCCATCCCCGCCGCGCACCTCGGGGTCCGCACCCGGCTCCTGCCGGGCCCTTTTCGGCCGCACCCCGCTCCCGCACCCCGCTCCTCCCCAAGCCCCACCCGGCCCAAGCCGCGCGTCCCGCACTGAGCTCCTACACGCGCCGCGCCCCGGCCGCACCCCGCGCAGCCAGAGCAAGCACTGGAGCCCCGCCCCTTCCCGCACCCCACCCGCCTCCGGCCCCGCCTGGCCCACCCCTGGACCGCCCCCGCCCCGCCCCGCCCCTACCCGCTCCTCCGGCGCAGCCGGCGCTTACCTCGCTTCAGTCCCGCGACCGAAGCAGGGCGCGCAGCAGCGCTGAGTGCCCCGGAACGTGCGTCGCGCCCCCAGTGTCCGTCGCGTCCGCCGCGCCCCGGGCGGGGATGGGGCGGCCAGACTGAGCGCCGCACCCGCCATCCAGACCCGCCGGCCCTAGCCGCAGTCCCTCCAGCCGTGGCCCCAGCGCGCACGGGCGATGGCGAAGGCGACGTCCGGTGCCGCGGGGCTGCGTCTGCTGTTGCTGCTGCTGCTGCCGCTGCTAGGCAAAGGTGAGTTCTGCCGGCCGCCGGCTCCCGCAGGGGCCAGGGCGAAGTTGGCGCCGAGCAGCGGAGCGGGCGCGTTCAGAAGCGCCTTTCTGTTTGCCGTGGGCAGCGGGCTGTGCGGTCGCCGGCCACCCGGCCTCGGCTGGGAGCGCAGTGGCTGCGGCGGGCGGCGGGCGAAGGGCAGGACGCCTCGGGCCGGGCGCCTCGGGCCGGGGCTGGGCGGGTCTCGGGCGGGAGCGGAGCGCGGGCCGGGCCGCGGGGGTCGGTGCTCAGAACCCTAGCCATAGCCGCAGGTCTCAATCTGGCCGCGCCCTGCGCCAAAGCCGCGTCCTGGAGCAAACGGGACAGCCGTTTCGGGGCCGACCTGGCGGACGGGTCAGGGAGCCCCGAAAGCCCGCGATTCGTGCGGAGAGTTCTGTTTCGGCAGGAGACGGCTCCGTCCTGGTTTCCTTTTCCCGCTCAGCGTCCGTGCGTTCCTCCCCCAGCTCTGCCGTCCTGGCCAGCCGAGGGATTCGGAGGCTCTTTTGAAAAGATTGCTTTTCCCTCGTGCGTTTTTGCCGCCCTGTCTTTAAACACCTAAAAACCGTGGTTTCTGGGGTGGCTCCCCCCGAGGGGCCGCCGTGATAGGCGTCCCACCCGGCAGCCCTGGAGTCGTGTGGCGCTGCCTGGCAGAGATGCTGAAGATGCGGCCATAGGAGGCCCAGGGCTTGGGGTGGGGCAGGGGTTTGCGCCGCCAGCCAGCGTTGGTGCTGGGCCTGGTGAAACCTCAGGTGCCTTAGGATCCCAGCATTAGGTGTGGCCTTGCAAAGATGGTCATCGACCCCACCCAAACTCTGGCAGAGTGAGCCGCAAGGCTGTGGAATCTTTGACCCCTTGGCACGCGTTTAAGTGTCCCTCAAACTGGCCCTGACTTGATCCCCTCCAAGCGCTTGTGTATGAACCAAGTTTCCCTCTAAGAGGGAAGGAGCCCTGGCCATCCTCCCTCACTCCTTACAAAGGGCTTTCTCTCCCCACAGCCTTTGGGAACAGAAGAAGCCATGGTCAGTCACCCTGTCTCTGGCCCCAGGCCCTGCACAAACTGAGTTTCCAGGCCTGCCTGAGACTTCATTTGTGTGACCTGCGCCTCAGCTCAGCATATGCTGAGGCCAGAGCGGGTCCCCAGTCCACCTAGCGAGGGACAGGGGAGAAGCCCTTGCCTTTCTATCTTTTCTGAGTGTTAGGACTTTGGGGTCCCAGTGCTGCAGGGGGAAGACACGGGGCAGAAGCAAACAAGGCGCTCTGACGCTGTCTTGGGATTCTGGGCTGTGGCTTTGGCTTTGAGGTTGTGGGCAGGGGGCCAGGTGTGAACTGCTGCTGGTGTGCTGGGCAGAGGACTTCCCCACACCCTTCCACAGCCTTGCGTTCAGTTGGGGTGGCCAGTGAGGCTGTGGGGGCCAGGCTCTGGGGGCCGGCTTGTGGCACTCAGCAGGCATGCAGGTAGCTTTCCGTGCCCAGACCCCTGGCCCACAGACAGCTTCCCGAATCCAGAGATGGTGAGCCCCTAGCCCCTGGGATAACCCGGACACCACAGTTGGAGGCACTGGGAGTGAAGAGGCAGCCCCACTCCCTGGAGTAGACAGCTGGGGCCTTTGAAGAGGCTGCAGAGCTCTTTCCCAGGAGCCACAGCTCCGGAGGTTCGAGCCGCACTCTTGGAGCTGCCAAGGACCGCCCCAGTGAGCCCCTCGGTGCTCCCCAACCACCCCAAGGGGACAGCTCGGCCTCAAGCGCCCTCTTGCGGACGCTGCACTTTAGTGGCTGGGCCTGATGACAGGCACAGACTGGGTCTCTAGAGGATGAGGGTTCTTCCACAGCTCACACATGCACACTCACACTGGATCACCAAGACACACTCCTGCCCCTTCTCACAGCACTTGCTGCCAAGGCTGTGGACATGCACAGCGTGGTTCCTTCACACCCTGCCTCACCCACGTCCACACAGGGACCCCAGCCCCTCTCATCACTCATACACACAGGGACGCCACGTGTGTATATAGGGACACACACTCCTCATACCTGCAGGGCATAGCCTGTCAGCCCCAGGTATGCTGGAACCAGAGTGAGAGAACCTCCATCTAAAAGTTACATTCATTTAAAAGTTGCTCTTAAAGGTTTCTGGCATTTCATTGCTCAACACAGATACAGCTGTCCCCGTTGCTTGGATGAGGAAACTGAGTCTCAGCTTCTGGGGTTCCCCCCAGGTCCCAGGCTGACCCTGCACCTCAACCTCCCACAGCTCCTCAGCAAGCCTCTTGTCTCTTGTCTTCCTGGCCTGACTTCTTGGGTCCTGTTTTGCAGCAAGGAAGGACATTCCCTCTCTGCCCCTGGGCCCCGGGGCCTTCTGTTCCCAGCATGGAAGAGCTGGGCACTGTGACTTGGCAGGGCCCGGATCCAAGCTGCCAGACCACCCTCTGCAGAGGGCCTAGGCAGCCCACCCCTGCCTGAAGCACCAGGTATCAGCGCGGGCAGCTCAGGCCAGGGGTACAGCTCCCCCTGCTTCATCCTTTTCCTTCTCCCCTTTCTCTGGCCAGAGGCTTCACCAGGTTCACCTGGGCCTGGCTTGCTTCCTCCTCCACTCCAGCTCACTAACCCTGTCTGGCCTCCAGAAGCTGCCTGCAGCCCTCACTGGTGGGCTGTGCCTGCTGGGGGCCTGCAAGCAGAGAGCAAATGGGGAAGTGCATTGAGCTGATTCACTAAATTGCCTTTCTTCTGCAGAATCACTTTAGGGACAGGCTGAGGAAATCACTGTTTCCTTGGTGGTGTGAAGAAAATGGGATGCGATCACCTAGCGGGGAGCTAATAGCCTTTTAGCCAGTGGAGGAGAAAACCAATTAAAAATTATGATATCTGTTAAAATGGAACCTGGGGTGCCAAGGGGAAGGGAAGGCCCGGAAGCTGCCATCTCCCCTGAGACCTTCCCCCTCTGCAGCCTGGCCGAAGACCCTCTAGGTCCCCTCGTCTTAACTGGATAAGGCTAATACCAGCAGTAGCACCCCATGGGGGCTCACAGTGCACTGCCCCTGTGCTGTGCCTACTCACTTCATCTTTTCCAACAAGTCTGCAAGGGTCATGGTCTTGGCCCATTTCACAGGTGAGGAAACAGGTTCTCATAGCCTATGGACTCGAACCGGTAGAGAGGATGCGGGAGCTCCCCAGCCCTGGCCCTCTGGCTTGCTCCAGCCCGTTCTCTGGGCCAGTGGTGTGGGTCCAGGGTGGGGCTAAGGAGGGCTTCCAGGGAGGTTGCCCTGAGCCTGCCCACCCACTGGTGAGTCCCCCCACCTCGGGCTCCAGGTGCCCTCAGGACATCCCAGCCCAGATCCCAGAGTAATGTGTGGCACCATGCACAGACGCTGAGATACTCTCTGGGTCTCGTCAGCTTTAGTTGATGTCTGGGAGTCCTATGGGTCTGGGGAGGAGCACCAGGCATGGCTGTGCCAGCAGAAGGGCCGACTGTGTGTGCTCTGTGGATGGCAGGAAGGCATCTTGCTGCCAGTGGCGGTGCAGATGTTCGGCTGGGACACCAGGCTGTGGCCCTTGCAGCCAACATATGCCTGAGGCCCTGGCATCGGATGGAAGCTACTGCTCTGAAGACAAGGGTGCAGGGATGGGGTTTGGGCATCAGGGATGGGGGTACAGCTGTGTTTCCTCATGCAGGACAGGGCCTTCCTCCTCATTTTTCCCATCCTCCAGGACAGCCTGGGAGAAGAAAGCCAGGGAATAGGGGCAAAGCAGGGTGCAGCCCCCCATGCTCCCTGCTGCCCTCCTCCCCTCCTGCAGAGGCACTTCCTTTCCACTTCAGGAGCCCCTCCCCCAGAAGTGGGCCCCCCCCATCCCCCCTTCCTTCTTTGGAGGCTGCTTCCTGGTGCCAGGTTATGCTCCCTCCCCGTTCTCTGCTGTGCCCTCTATCTCCCCACTCCTCTGCAATTATTTTTCAGCAGAGTGACTTAATAGTAACAATAACAGTAACAATAATAGTAACAACAGCAGGCTGGGAGCACTCCTGAGGGAGCCTCGGCTCCTGCCCTGCTGCTCTAGGGCTGGGGACTCTCCAGAGCTGTCTCATGGCAGGGAGAGACCGTAGTCAAGGAGACCCTGTGTAGGGACTTCCGCATGCGTGTGTGGCAAGGGGCGGGGACTGGGCAGTGACCACCAGGCAGGGAGCACACCTCAGTCATGGTCACAGAGAAGGTGATGATGGCACCAGGGCTGTCTCTCCGTGCCCGTCTGCACCTGGGCCTGCCAGAGCCGTCTTCTGTGCCCCATGGGGTAGGGGAGCACCCCATGGCCCCTGGGAGGCTGCCAGTCAGTGGGACTATGAGGTCAAATGGGGAGGTCCCTTGGGGTCCATGACCCAGGCACTGCACCCCTTGGGGCTGGAAGGGGAGAAGGCCCCAGGCCCACCAGAGCCCCTCTGGCTCCCCCACTAGAACAGCAGCCAGGGCCGGCTCAGGGATTGAGGCGAAGCCTTGGTGCTTGATTCTTTGTCCCCTGAGGCAGGCTGTACCTCTCATAGGAGAACTTTGGAGGACGGGCCTTCTCCTGACCAAGGCTCTGGGACACTTGGCAGCCCCTGAGGTCCTGCTTTACCTCTCTGCTTTCTCCCCCCTTCTCTGAGCTCTGGGGCCAGGCCTGGGCACTTGGATTGGCGCTGAGACAATGAGGCCTGAACCTCCATGGAGCTCTGGTCCCGCAGCTGTGTGATCATGGGGGCCTCAGGGACCCCGCTCCCCTCCATTCCCCAAGCCTAGAGGCCATGAAGCCTGTGGGTCCCTGAACTGTCCACCCTGAGACTGCAGGCAGGGCAGGGCTGGGCAAGAGCAGGCAGCAAGCTGTCCTTGTTCCCACAGCTCCTCCTGGCTGGGCTCTTGGCCCCTGAAAAGCCTGGGGCAGGGAGATGGTGCCAGCAGGACCTTAAGGACAGCAGTTCAGGTCGCACCTGGCCCTGGAGGGAGCAGGTGGCCAGCTCCAAGCAAACACCTCTGTTTGCTTTTGCCTCAAGGAGTGGCTCCACAAAGTGTAGCAGCCCAGGCACCACCACAGAAAGGTCACCGCTGCACCTGGACAGGTGTGCGCCTACCTGGTGGACCAGCGGGCATAGGCTTTCCTCCCTGATATCAGGGATACCTGGAGGGCCTGGTGCTGGGGCTCTGTGCTCAGGGGAGAACCTGTGGCCCTACAGCCCCAGGTTCTAGACCCCCTCCCAGATTCGGGTGCTGCAGCTGCGCTTCCACTCCTGGCCCTTGCTCCTCTGTGCTGCTGCTCTCCATGCCCTGCAGGAGCCAGGGTTCCAAGGAAGCACCTGAGGGGCAGTGTGGCCCCAGGGCAGGAGCAGGACAGTGGCCACCAAGCTGTTTCCAGTTCCCTTGTGTGCCTGTGACTCCAGAGGATTCTCGCCCTTGTGTTCCTGAGAGGGAAAAAGGAAACATGTATTTCCTAGAATTTAAGTAATGACTGGGGAGATGTGTGCTCTGGGTGCCGGGACGAGGGTGGGTGAGCTGGAGGTGCAGCATGAGCTGGTGCAGTTCTGGAGGGAGGGAGAGGGCTCATTGGGTTTCTTCCTCATACTACTTGGCAGTGCAACTGGCACAGACCCGGCAGCTGTTGCTGGGCTAGGGGCCAGGGGCTTCCTCTTGCTCTGTTCCCCTTCCTGCTCCACCACCATTGCCTGTAGGGCGTCTGCCAGCCCCAGGAAGCCTAACACTTAGCCCAAGTGGGGCTCTGGGCCTGGCCCTCCTCACCCAGGGAAACAACGGGGCTCATGGGCGCTTGGTGACATGGGCACATTGCTCTGCCATCGTAAGGGGCCAGCCTGGCTATGGGACCCAGCACCGGTGGGCAGCCCACAGGTTGTCTCTGCAGGAGACTCCTCTGGCAGGTCACATACAGGATGCCCCACAGCACCTTGAAAACTCGTGACCCGGGAAAGCCTCAAATTGTCTTTGCTCCCCTAGCCTCCCCACCACCTGTATATGCAGGGGCATGTGAGACTGTACTTGGTGACAGGAATGCCCCCCAGTCTCAGGGGCTTAACGCCATCTACTATGTCCTTCTTGTGGCATAGCCTGGCATGGCCCTTACCCACTGGGTGGCCACACCTCCCAGCCCTTGTGCCTGGCTATGTGCACAGGAGGGCACAGAGCTTCAAGAAGCCTGAGGCTTAAGGAGCTTTGAGGCCTGGGAGGGGGCCACCGTCACTTTCCCTGTGTTCCGTGGGATCCTGTCACATGGTCGTTCTCACCCCAGGAGGCTTCAAGTACAGAGGACGCGGGGATGGGGGCACGCAGGGGTGTACCTGCACACACTTCTGCCTACCAGCTCTCCATCCCTTGTCCTGGTCCACATAGCAGGGGCTCCTGGCGGGCCCAGCAGCTGAGGGGGACAGAGGGGGAAACAGGGTAGCAAATAATTATGGTTTACTCTTTTTTAATTGTGAAATTTGTGTAACATAAGTTTAACCATTTATAAGTGAACCATTTGGTGGCATTTAGCACATTTACAGCATTGAACAGGCATTGCCTTAGTTCCAAAAAATTTGCATCACCCCAAAAGGAAACCCCATACCCATTAAACAGCTGCTTCCTGTCCCCGGGCAACCCCCAGCCTGCGTTCTGTCTCTGCGGCTTGGCCTGTCCTGGAACATTTCATCTGCATGGACTGTTGTCTGGCTTCACTCAGCATAAGGTCTTCAGGGTTCCTCTAGGCTGTGGCACACATCAGCCCCTTCCTGTGAGGGGTAAATAGTGTGCCGTCACCCATTCATCTGGGGATGGACACGTGGGTGCTTTCCACCTTTTGGCAGTTATGAAAAATGCTGCCAGGGACATTCCTGTTATAAATACCTGAGTTCGTGCTTTCAGTTCTTTTGGGTACATACCTGGACATGAAATCGCTAGGTAATTCTGTTTTATATTTTGTGGAGCCGCCAAACTGTTTTCCACAGTGGTTGAATTGTGTTACATTCCCAAGGGTTACAATCTATCCACATTCTCACCACCACGCATTATTCTCTGTTATTCTCTGGTTCATGTCTCACTCTGGCCGTGCAGCCAGTGCACAGTGCTAGCTCGTTGTGGCTTTGGTTTGCCTTTCCCCGGTGATGGCGTGCTGGGCATCTTTTCCTGTGCATGCTGGCCAGTTGCATGTCTCTTTGGAGAAGCATCTCTTCGAGCCCTCTGCCTGTTGTCTAACTAGATGGCTGTCTTGCCATACAGCTGACTTTGCTGTTGCATCTGCATCAAGAGCTGCAGAGAAGCAGCTTTATCCAGGGCCGTCACTGTCAGTGATTGAGCCCCAGGTCCCTTGTGAGGAGAGTGTGGATTCGTCTGATTCCTCACATGGGCATTGAATCACCACTGCCCTCGAGGACCTTGAGGACATTCTCGGAAGACCTGGACTCTGAGGCCACGTTGAGCACCAACATCTGGAAACCATGGTGTCACTGCTTGTGCATAAGAAGGGGCCTCTCAGGAACCGCCCTGTGAAGGATGGAGGAAGGGGAAGGTGCAAGGAGCCAGCAGACCCCCACCCCACTGACAAGACGAGACTCAGCAGCAGGGGAACCAGGGCCGCCCTCTCTCGCTCATCCTGAACCCTGACTCTAAAAATAACCAGGCTGATAATCGGATCCGCTGTAAGTTGATTATCATCATTGCCGTGGTGTGATGTCATGCTGCCAGGCCCTGGGGCAGTTTTCTCAGGACAGCGGTGGATGCACCTAGGCAGCTCTGGAGGCCAGCATGGAGCTGGGGGGCCCTGAACCGAGGGTGGCAGGCAGCCTCTGTGGGCTCCTGCAAATCTGCTTGGTGGGGGTGGAACACTGGCATCCATAGGCAGGCACTCTGTGCTCCCAAGGAGGAGTTCCTGTCCCCATTCGCAGCTAGGGACAGAGCCAGGGAAGCCAAGTGCCCAGCCCTGGCAAACAGCGGGGAAGCACAGGGGCATGGGCTGGGCCGCTCTGCCCTGCGTTTCTGCTCCTTCCTGCTGCTGAACTCTCTCCTTTCTGCTGCTGAACTCTCTCCTTTGGACTAGGCCTTTGTCTTCTTGCCTCATCGTCAGTGGCCTGGGAGGACACTTGCAGTCTTAATCCTGTTTTGGCCCCATGTCCCTCACCCCCCAGGGGCCACCTAGGCCAGAGCCTGTCCTGATTTCCATCTCGGCCACCGTCTGCCCCTCGGCCCCTGGTCAGGAGCTCATTCTGTGGATACTCCTGCATAGACATCACGTGGACTCAAAGGGCATGAGGACCTCGGCTGAGAGGAGCTTACACATCAGTGCAAACCTCTCATTTTACACAGGGAGAAATCGAGGCCCTGAGGGAGGCGTGAGTTGTCACACATGGGGGTAGTGTCAGATGAAGACTTGGCACCACTTCCCTGGGCATCCCCTTCCCTGCATGGCATCCCCAGCCTTGGGTTTGGATTCTTCTTCACCCTTGATGTTGAGGTCTTTGCTCCCAGGACCTGGATAACAGCATCCAGATGCAGGTGGTGCCCCCGCATCGGGCTGCCTGGCTGTGACCTGGGGCATCAGGATTGTCAGCTTGTCTGGCCCCAGGTCTGTGCTGGGCTGAAACCTACTGTCTCAGAGGCTCCTGGCTCTCTCCCTCTGCTCTCCACTGCTCTTAAGAGCAGACCCTCAAGCCTTTTTTGTGTCCTCTCTCCAGGGAGAGCCCAGCTTCTACTCTGCAGCCCAATGCAGAAGGGGTGGTAGCTCACGGTGCCTCGGCTTCTCTGCATGCCTGTCACTGAACAGAGAAGCCCAGGCCAGACTGCAGCTTAATTCCTAGCCTCTGTGTGGCCTCCAGCAGGGTACCTAAGCTAGTGCTGCCTCATTTTCCTCCTGTGTGAGATGGGAATCCTCATGGTCCCTACCTCTGACAGTTGTTTTGATGCAGTGGGTGATGCAGATGAAGCGCCCGGAGCAGACCTGCTCATGAGGAGCACACCGTGGATTCCTACTGGTTAATGTTGAACAGGGATGAGAAGGGGCTGGGGTAGGGCGAAAATGGGCAAGACCATCTCAGCTTGAGGAACATGAGCTGACAGATTGACTTAAATTTGCACATGGACATGATCTGAGTCACTGCCTTGCTGAGTGCATGGGGACAGTTGCCCAGGCCAGAGGCACCAGGGTCAAAGCCAGTGGTGATGCCCTGGCCCCGTTGCCCCAGGCCAGGGCCAGTGAACAATGTAATCAGCTGGGGCAGACTCTACAGCCCTGCAGCCAAGGGGGCCAGTGACCCTTACATGGTCATCCACAGGCCACTTGGGTGGCCAGTCCTGTTCAGCCAGGCCTTGCCCTAGGAAAGAAATTAATTATAACCTAATTGGCAGTTTCCTTTGCATAGAAGCCGGAAGCAACTGCCAGTGAGGCTGGTGATTAACTCTGCAGCAGCTGGGAAATTGCAGTTGGGCAGGAGCGCCCATCATCCTGGCCAGGCCGCTGCAGCTGGTCTGGGTATGGAAGTGTGGGTGGTGGCCATCGTGCAGCTTAGGGCCTGGGCCCCTCAGAGCAGAAGGCTGGGTCTGTGTGCAGAAGGTAGCCTTGGGCTGCCAGGTCCCCCAGTGCCCAGTTGCGGACCTCCTTCTCCCAAACCTCAGCCATGCCTGGACCCCTTCCCCACTCACGGCAGAAGGCTGCATGGCTTTTAGGGGTGTCAGGAGGCTCATGTCCTGGTTGCAGTTCTACCATGGGTGTGCAGCGGGAATTCTGGGCTTCTGTTTTCTGGCATGGGATGGGGTGAATGATATCTCTGTTCTACAGCAGGGGCTCAGACTGGATGTGTGAGAAGAGCCTCAGTTAAGGAGGGCCATGTTCGTGCGTGCAGGGATCGTGGTGCCTCCCAGGCCAGGGCCGGGCCCCATCTCTCCTCCTCCTCAGCTGCTCTTCCAGCTACTGGCCACCCTGCCTGGCTGGAGGTCCAAGAGGAGAGGTATCTGAGGAGATCCTGCACTCCACACCGGGTCTCCTGCCCAGCATTTTGGAAGAACCAATTCTTAAGTCTGGTACTGAGGCCGCACTGCCATGATGATAACTGGTGTCACCAGGACACCAGGGAAGGAGCTGCCCTTGGTGTTTACTGAGCGCCCGGTATATGCACTGAGCTGTCCATCATCTGCAGAGACCAGTGTTTTCTTGATGGTTTTACAGAGAGATGCTTAAACCCAGTGAACTAAGAATGGGACAGGCTGTCAGATTTTTCTCAAAGGAGGTATTGACTTGTTAGCGGGTACAATTAGGCCGAGGAACCAGGGGCTGATGCAGTGTGCTCCCGAAGAGGGGCTTCTATGGACTCCAGTTACCAGAGCCTGCCCCAGGATTTTCCTTCACACCTGCTCTTTATGCCAGGGATCAAGCAGGGTTATAAATACAACAGCGGGCAGGATGAGCCAGTGGTGGCCCTGTGGGTCTTCACAGCCCAAATTTCCTTCCATGGTTAGTGTAGGTTAAACCTGGCAAAAAGCTGCTTTCATTTGGAAGTCTCAGGATGCCAGCAAAGTGATGAGAGTGGTAGGGATAGAGGTGAGATGGGGGTGGTGCTGGTGATAGTGATGGTCATGGTGTTGGTGTTGGTGTTGGTAGTGGTGGTATTGGTGATGGTGATAGTGGAGGTCGTGATGATGGTTGTGGTGGAGGTGATGGTAATGTTGATGGTGGAAGTCATGATAGTGAGTGGTGGTTGTGGTGGTGGTGGTGGTGATGGTGAAGACGGTGGTGGTGGACGTGATAGGGATATTGATGGTGGAGCTCATAATGGTGAAGGTGGTGATGGTGGTGGAGGCAGTTGTGGTGGTGATGGTGCTGGTGGAGGCAACGGTGATGGTGGTGGTGATGGTGAAGACGGTGGTGGGAATGGTGGTGGTGGAGGCAATGGTGGTGGTGATGGTGGTGGTGGAGGCCATGGTATTAGTGAAGGTGATGGTGAAGGTGGTGGTGGAGGTCATGATGGTGAAGGTGGGGATGGTGGTGGTAGAGGCAGTGGTTGTGATGGTGGTGATGGAGGCGGTGGTGTTAGTGGAGGTGATGGTGATGGTGGTGGTGGAAGTCATGATGGTGAAGGTGGGGATGGTGGTGGTGGAGGCAGTGGTAGTAGTGGAGGTGATGGTGCTGGTGGTAGTGGTGAGGCAGTGGCGGGGAAGGTGGAGGTAATGGTAGTGGTAGAGGTGACGGTGATGTTGATGGTCGTGATGCAGCCATCTTCTGTGAGCATTTGCTTGGTGCCAGCCACTGATCTGTGAACTTCATGTGCATTAATTCCTTCTAGCTCCCAACACTCCTGTGTGGTGGGAGCTCTGAGTCTCAGTGGGTACAGAGGAGAAACTGAGATACAAATATATGTCCCTTGCTCCAGGCTCATTACCACTGCAACACACACTTTCTCTCCATCACCCAGATGGAGTCCACAGCCTTGCCTGGAATCCACAAGCTTGCCCAACCTTCTTCTTCTTCCTAAGTTCATGCCCTCATGGCCCGAGGAGCTGGCCTCCTGTCTCCAACCAGCATTCACCTCCGGCCCTGTGCTGTTGCTGCTCATCTGAACTGCCTCTACCTCCTGCTGCTTTTCCCCTCCTTTCACTCTGGCTCTGCCCCCAGCCCTCCCGTCCTGCCGGGCACTGGCTCCTGCTTGTGGCTGCAGCCCAGAGCAGTCCCTTCCCTTTAGCCTCCACTTGCCTGTCTGTGGCTGTCTCTTGGTCAGGCATTTTTTCAGAACGGGCAGCGTGGGGCAGCCCCCTTGGCCCCTCAGCCTGGGCTAGGCACTCTCCTCCATCCAGTGCTGGGCCCTTTAAACAGGTCAGGCAGCGTCCGCTCAGCAGAAGCGTGTGATGACTTCCCCAGCCGGCTGACCTCAGGGAGGGTGCACATGGGTGCCCCCAGTCAGCTCTCCTGACGTCCCTGCCGGGGTCAGGTGTCCCAGGGTCTCCAGCCTTAGGGTCTAACACATTCATCTCTCCAAAAGTAAGGATTCCTTGCCAGGGAAAGGGCTAACAAGCTGCCTGTTTTCTTGGCCAGCAGGCATCCTCCCCATGAGCCCAGGGCTATGGGTGACCAGCAAGCCATTAGCATATGCGTGTCCATCTGTCCTGCCTGGCTGGTGGGCTGCCAGGATAGCCGTTCCTTTTGCTGCCCAAGGAAGTACTCAGGACCCAGTTACTGTCACCTCTCCCAAGGCGTGCAGGTGGCGTAGGAAGTGCATGTCCGTTCTTTCTGTAGGACACACCTCAGGACCCCAGGGGACATTGTCAAGAGGCAGAACCAGGGTGCTCCTGCTGTGTACCAGGGCCGACAGCATTGTGTCGGGGAGCCCGCCCCCACATGCAAGGACACACCACACACAGGGAGGCGTGGAGCACATGTGGCCTGTCCCACCTGCTAACAGGCCGGCCATCGGGGCCCTCCTCTGGCTCATAGGCAGGGCATCTGGAGGAAGCCGTCCCTGCCAAGAGCAGGTTGAGTGTATGGGCACTGTCTGTCAGCCTCATACTCTTGTTATCATCAGACAAGAACCCTGAGAGTTAAGGGAGGCAAAGGCCAGCAAGGTCAGGACTTGGGGCAGAGATCGGGGCTGGGACAGGAGCTTGTTCAGGACAGTGGGCAGGACTCCCACAGGTGGAGAGGACAGGGATGGCCATGCACCTGGGAGCCCTGGGCCAGGCTGAGCGAGCGAGCACCAGGGCCCGGAGTGAGGGGCTGATGGCAGGGGCATGCAGGCAGCTGCACATACCAGGCTCTGTGTATGAAAGGGAAACTGGACATGTGTGAGTAGGCCCAGGCCTGGCAAATGGCTCAGAGAGACACCTGTGAACAGCTGTGTTTGGTGGCTGCCCTGGGCAGGGGTGAGGCTGAGAGCCCACTGAACCTCCTGAGTCAGAGGTGATGAGAGCCACCCCCAGGTGCAGGGAAGACACAGGGAATTTAGGAAGAGAGCAGGACGCCAGGCAGGGTGCACTTAATCGTCACTTGGAAACCAGTGTCCAGTAGTGGCTGCCCGGGAGCCTCTTGGGTTGGCACTGGGCTCGTGTGAGGAGGAGGCGTGGCAAAGGGAAGGGCTCTGTGACAGAAGGCAGTTGAGACTGGGCCGCTTCTGGGCGCTGCCTCCTCTGCTGAGGCCTCAGATGGGTCCCTGCCTTGCTCAGGGCTGTGTGCTCCATGCTAAGCCTTGTCCTCCTGGGGGCTCAGGCACAACCAGGTGACTCTCAAGCCAGGGCCACATGCGTGCACCATGGGCCCCTCCCACATCCAAAAGCAAAATTATATTCTGCAACTGTGTTGGTATAAGACAAACACAATCCAGGCCACTTTATTATTATTTATTTCTTATTATATTTATTTCATCCTTTTGATTTTAAAATGAATTAAAACAAAAACCTTTTTTGCGCACCCAGGCGCATGCAGCAGTGGTGCCGGTCAGGAGCAGAGGTTCCTCCTCTGCAGGCTCCTGGCCCCCTGGGACCCTGGCACCGAGGGCTGGCCCTAGCGGCCCAGCCCTTGTGAGCCCTCACACCTGCCTAGAGATGGCGCGCTCCCTAGCCAGTCAGGGCGCTCTCGTGCCTGGATGCTGTGGTCTCATGAGTGGACAGCAGCTGAAGTGGGAACTGCAGCAGATACTGGCCGTGCCCAGGTGTGTACCTGCCCCAGGCAGGTGACCAGGGCAGCAGGGTGATGCCAGATGGGGCCAAAAATTTCATGCTTCTGTTTGACCTTGGTTCTAGCTGAAGATTTAGCTGTGTACACATCTTTAAAACTGGGATCCCCCTATAAAAACCAGATGCACAGGCAGCCGAAGAAAGAATGGATGAATTGGGCTACATCAAAATGTAAAACTTCTGTGAACCAAGGCCACAATCAGAAGAGTGAAAACACAGCCCATGGAATGGGAGAAAAACTTGTAATTCATAGATCTGATCAGTGTTAATCCAGAATCTGTAGAGAACTCCTCACACTCAACAACAGCAACAAAAAAACCTGATTCCAAAATGAGCACAGGGGGCCAGGTGCGGTGGCTCACTCCTGTAATCCTAGCACTTGGGGAGGCTCACGCAGGCAGATCACTTGAGGTCAGGAGTTCGAAAGCAGCCTAGCCAACATGGTGAAACCTTGTCTCTACTAAAAATACAAAAAAATTAGCCAGGCGTGGTGGCAGGTGGCTGTAATCCCAGCTACTTGGGAGGCTGAGGCAGGAGAATCGCTTGAACTCAGGAGACAGAGGTTGCAGTTAGCCGAGATCGTGCCACTGCACTCCAGCCTGGGTGACAGAGTGAGACTCCATACAAAAAAAAAAAAAAACCCAACAACAACAACAAAAAAAATGAGCACAGGGCCTGGATGGACATTTCTCCGAATAAGATTTACAGATGGCCCCAAGAAGCACATGAAAAGATTCTCAGCATTGCCACTCATTAGAGAAATACAAATCAAAATCACCATGTGATACCATCTCACACCCATTTGGATGTCTACTATCAAAAAAAAAAAAAAAAAAAAAGAACCAGTGTTGGTAAGGATGTGAAGAAACTGAACCCTTGCGCACTGCTGGAAGGTAAATAGTGTAGCTGCTGTGGAGAACAGCAGGAAGGCTCCTCAAAGGTTAAACCTAGAGCTGACTTCGGCTCCAGCACCTCCACTCTGGATACATACAGGAAAGGAAGCAGGAAGCAGTCAGGATATATTTGTATGTCCCCATTTTCAGCAGCATTATTCATAGTAACCACAAAGAGGAAGTTACCCAAGTGTCCATTGACCAATGAATGGATAAGCAAAATATAATACAGACATACAATGGAATATTACTTGGCTTTAAAAAGGAAAAAAAATTTGCCACATCCTATGCCATGGTTGAACCTCGAGGGCATTATGTCACAGAAGGACAAGCACTGTATGATTCCACTTACATGAGGTCCCTGCAGTCGTCAAATTCGTGGAGACAGTAGAATGGAGGATTCCAGGAACTGGGAGAGGAGAGGAGGGGGAGTAATTGTCTCATGGGTACAGAATTTCAGTTTTACAGGATAAAAAGAGTGCTGTGGAAGGATGGTTTGCATGGCAGTGTGAATGCACTTAATGCCACTGAATTGTACACTTAAAAATTTTAAGATGATAAAGTTCATGTGTATTTTACCACAATTTAAAATAACTTTTTAAAACTAGAATCTCTCTTTATATACACCTCCAAATTTGTTATTTACAGTAGAGCCTCCCTTGATCCGTGTTTTTTCCCTAAATGCAAAGTTAGATTATAGTCCCAGGCAAAAGCAGCCTCCAGCTGGGACAGAGCCGAGGACCCAGGTTTGTGCAGCATGCTGCAGGTGGTCCTACCCGAGTGAGTCTGGCTGGCAGCTCCGGTGCCCAGGGCTCCTCAGGCACTGATAGATCATTTCCTGAGCTGAAAAGGAGTGGTTTTGTCCTCAGCCTCAGGCTTGTTTGCTCAGCACAGTGGCTGGCCCCACAAGGTTGCTGGTGCACTAGTGGGCACTGCACGTGTGCACAGGGCGCATCCACACAGCTCTATCCTGCCACTGACAGCCTGCCCGTGGCTCCAGTGCCCGTGAGACCATGTCACAGTATCTCCCCGTCCTCTTACTCCCTTCCCCTTCCCAAATTCTGACCATTTCCCAAATGTGCCCAGCCCTTTCACACTCCTGTTTATGAAACCATTGTACTGGCTCGTTGATTCATTGATTCATTCATTGGTTCATAAATTTATTCATTCAGCTCACAGAAAGTGAGTTGGCAGATGTGGCAGGAAGGTAGGCACCCTGTAAGAGTGAGGAGGAAGTGAGTTGGAGGGCAGAGGGGGCCCTGGGAGCCCTGATGAGGAGCTATGTTTTATTCTGCAAGCAGCGGACAGTTAACACAGGGCTCCACAGAGGGTGCCATGATTCAGTGGACCCTGGCTCCTCTGTGCGAGATTGCCTGTCCTGCCCAGCATGTGGTCCAGGGTTGGACAGGGGTGGCAGAGGGGACTTGGGAGGTGGGGTGAGGGGTGAAAGAGAAAGGGATCTGGGGACTGAGGTGTGTGACCTGAGCAGTGAGGTGGGGCCATACCGTGATGAGATGGGGAAGAGTTGGGGACAATTTGGGGTGAGGAGGGGCCAAACTGAGGCAAAGGAGTAGAGAGAGCAAGGCATGGAGATGCCCAGGCTGCTGATCAGCATGCTGCACACCAGCATAGAGACAGGATTAACAGCCCAGGGCCTGGATATGGCTGGTGAGTGAGCCACTGCCACCATCTGGAGGACAGGGTGCAGAGGAGGAAACCAGCCGAGGGGGTGAGCAGCCTCGGTAGCATCCCAGCGACGCTGGACAGCACCAAAGACAGAGGAGGTCCTGGGAGCAGCTGGGAGAAAGTGGGTTACCCAGGAGGGGCCGGCCTGAGCATGGGCCCTCAGCAGCAGCAGTGAGGCTGAAAGACGGGAGCCAGACCTTATGTAGAGTGGAGGAAAATAGCTGTCCACATGGAATTCTCCACCCAGCAAAAATGGGCCTTCCATGAATGACGTCAAAAAATGAGGCAAGAAGAAGGCCAGGCGCAGGCTCCTGCTGGTGGGGGTGGGACACAGTGGCAGGTGGGGAGGCGGGAGGAGCAGCAGTGTGGCCAAGCATCCAGTTCAGCAGGGCCACGGGCTCCAGGGTGTTTGTTCAGCATAAATGTTCTGTGAAATGTATTCGTTGTACATGTCAAATATTTGACTATAGTAAGAGAAAACGTGAGTGGGAAGTGGGAGGGAAGCGGTGGGGGGGTGGGGGTGGGGTAACAGGTCACATCCTGAGAGGATAACAGTGCTCAGCATGGGGCTGGAGGGACCCCCATAGGGACAGCTGGCCTGGGGAGGCGGGGACCGCCTCTTTCCACCCCCAGCCCCCAGGGAGGAGCCCTGGGGCCTGTTTCCCATTCCCAGGAAGATGATTGCATTAGGAAATCGTCTCTTAAGGAGATTCTGCTGGGCCATAATAAAGCTGTCATCTGCATCGTCTGCCACCCATCAAGGGCAGGCGTGGGGCTGGTGTCGCATGAGGGGTTCTGCAGGAAGGGCCTGCTCTACACACATGCCCTACGCTGCTTCTAATTCATGCAGTTTTTGGATCATATCGTTGTTATTGTTTTCTTTTTTGGAAGTCCCAAATTTCGGCCCTTGTGCTGCCATCCTAGGGAAGTTTTTCATGGTCTGGAGCTCCATTTGTGTTTCTGTGGCAGGGTCACCATGCCATGGCAAGGGTGACCTCACAGTGCCCCATCAGAGCTGCCGGGTGGTCGGCAGTGGGGGAGTGAGAGACCAAGGGCCACAGCCAGGAGCCAGTGGAGAGCTGGTGAGCCCCTGCCTCCACAGACAGGGCCAGGCCACGCTTAGTATGTGTGCACCGAGGGTGCAGGAAAATGTGTGTGCTTGTGTGTGAAAGCGGGTATATACCAGTATGAGCAAATACATGTGCTTGTTAGAGCCCTATTGGCAGTGTGAGAATGTGTGAGCATATGGGAGAACAAGTGTATAACAGTGTGTGCCCCCGTGGTGTGTAATGGTATGCGTCTGAGAGAATGAGTGTGTGTGAGAGAAGGAATGCATGTGTGCAATGTGTCCGCCTGAGTCTGACCAGGAGACAGCCCCACGTGGTCCCTGAGACAGGAGCAGTAACATCAGAGGCACTAAGCTGTGATGAAAGAGGGATGAATGGGGGTGGGGAGAGCTCTGTGGGGCACCCTCAGCTGCAGGTGGGCACCAGGGAAGGAACCCCTTCCCAGCTGGGGTCAGAGCCTGAGGGAGGAGCTGGATGCTAGGCTGGGGCTGCTGTGCAGGCTCAGGTCTGGCAGGAACTATCCTTAGGGCACGGGAGCTGAGGCTGGGGGCTGCAGGAAGCTGATGGCTAGGCTCAGGTATGGGCTGCATCAGTGCCGAGGGATTGCATGCTTTGGGTATGTGCTAGGGTGGAGCACATAGCACACCCTGTCTCGTGGACTGCCCGGGCAGCAGGACCTAGAAAAGGCAGGTGTAACAACCGGAGACAGGAGCAACCCCTGGCCTGTCCCAGCATCTCTCCAAAGCCCTCCACCGATGAAGCTTGGCCTTGTGCTGCCTGCAAAGTAACCTGCTCCAGGCCCGCCTGGGCATGAGAACATGCACACCTGGACGGAGTGTGTGGATTGACAAGGTGTGTGCACGCGCACATGTGGGACGAGGGGGCTCAGGACTGGTCCCCTCTGCATCCAAAGATGAATAATTTAAACAGCCCAGCCACGTGTGGAACATTGGAAACAGTCTAGCACTTCACTCTGTCAAACACTAGGGCAGACTCTTTCCTGCTGAGCTGGGCAGGGTGGGAGCAGATGGGGTCTTAGGTGGGCATGCCTCCATCTCTTTTTCTGTCTCCTGCATGCCCTGTGCG
This sequence comes from Homo sapiens, assembly GCF_000001405.40. Classification (NCBI taxonomy): domain Eukaryota; kingdom Metazoa; phylum Chordata; class Mammalia; order Primates; family Hominidae; genus Homo; species Homo sapiens. The sequence continues at coordinate 43,095,737 of NC_000010.11, forward strand.
TGCATACATATACACACACTCATGACACACACTACATAGGCCTTGAAGGTTTCTGAGGTCTCTCTGAATGTGAGCAGCAACTTGGGTCTTTGGCAAGTGTGCTGTGAGCAAGCAGGACCTTCCCCCACCCCATCCTGCATGGTGCCTGGGCACAGCCAGCCTGAGGAACCAGAACCACGGTGGCGGGGGTCATTGAGGGTTGATGTGGGAATCCTCTTAGTTTCTCAGACAAGCGACACTGCCATTTGCACCGTCGGTGGGTGTGGTGTGTGCCAGGCCACCGCTGTGCTGCAGAAGTACAGGGTGGGCCCAGCCCTGGCAACCAAAGCTGTCCAGGCAGACACCTGTGTGCTAGGTTTGAGGGAGGATTCTGTCACCACGTGGCATTTGGGCTTTGAAGGCATGGGGTGGGAAAAGCTTTGTAAGTCCTGCTGGTGACCTTCCCATGGTGCCAGGAGTGGGAGTGTCTGTCACCAGACGTGGGTCTCGACCCACGGGCCTGGCCTTGGTCCACAGGCCAGGCGGCCCTTCTAGGCAGAAAGGCGGCAGCAGGATGGGAAGCCAACCAGCAGGGCACTGGGCCTCCTGGCAGGCTCAGCACCTGCTGGCGCCTGGCTTCCACCATCACTTTCTTAGCTGTTATCCTAACCCCCGAGACACAAAGCCTCACAGCATGTCCAGCTATTTCACTTGGTCAGGCTTCTCGCCACCCAGCCTTGCTGTTCTTATATGTGAAATGGGCAGTGAAGGGATCTGCACCCAGTGGCTGAGTCTGCAGTGAGAGCCTCATGATGATACACCCCTGTGCAGAGGTGCACGCCTGGCTGCACCTGCACTGGCCGTTCCTCCTCTCCTTAGCATGCCTCCCCCACTTCGAAGCTGGGGAAACTGAGGCCCAGAGGAGGCCAGTGTTCTGCAGAGTCTGCACAGTCCGGTGGTTCCTGATGCCAGCAGCTGTTCCCCAGCTCTCCCCTGTGGCTGACCCACCACGATTGGCTGCATCATTTGTGGGCCCCTTGATCTAGAATTATGAAGAATTTCAAGACTGTAGCAAAGAGCATTAAACCAAGCGTGAGACCTCTGAGCAGGGCCCACTGGGACTGCCCAGGCTGCAGTCCGCTGAGGCAGGTCCTGCACCCACCTCCTTCATTCTCCCACCTTGGACCATGTGTTTTTCCATCTAGAAGTGTCTGTGACAAGCGGGAACCTTAAGACAGCTGTGCCCAGCTGCAGAGACCACCTGGGAGGCATTTTAAGTGCATTTAAGTCTGTTTCTGCTCGCAATCATTGCCTGACCCACAAATCCCTTTTGGCAGCAGGGAGACCAATTGGGATTGGGCCCCCCACGATCCTGTAGGGGTGGGCTCTGCCAGATGGGAGCAGGAAGGCCCGTTCTCCCCTGCACATGTGGGCTTTGTGGTGGGGGCTTTGGGAAGCCCAGGCCTGTCCTACCTCTAGTCCCTGGACCACTAAAGGTGCTTGCACATCATGGAGGCCCCAGAGGAGCACCTGTGGGATTCCCAGACTGGATCTGCTCCTGCGACAGATGGGGTGCCAGGGCCCTACCCACTCTTCTGCAGCCTGGGCATCACCAGAGCCACCCCACGGCCACCCAAGGGCAAATGGTTCTTATTGGGAAGACCAGGGCCAGAGGTGTGTGTCCCAGAGAAAACTAGACCCAGCTGAGCTGCATTGCCTCTCCCCACCTGAGCTCAGCCAACCCCTAGCATCCTCTCTGGGGTAAGAACATGGACCCCACTGCCTGCATGGATAGCCCAGACATAGGATGCCACATGGGATTGGGAGGGGGCTCATCGGGGCCAGGGCATCTGGACCCTCCTCGCCCTGTGAGGCCACTATGAGTTACAATCTCTCACCCTCTGTCGCCAGAAATGCAGCACCCCCTCCCACCCCGAGGGCACTGTCATGGGAGCAGTGTTCCTGATGTACAGTGAGCACTTCAAGAGAAGCTTTCTCCTGTTCTATTTTCCCACTGTGGGACTCCAGACGTCTCACCTGTTCTCTTCCAGGCTCCCCTTGGCACTTGATTGTTTCCCCCAGGTGTGTCCTGGAGGAGCCCAGCGGCCCTGGGGGCGTTCTCAACTGCTGCTGCAGGCCCCGCCCTCCAGACCCCTCAGCGACCTCAAGCAGCAACCGTCTGGGTGGGAGCAAACTGATCAAAAAGAGAGATCGATTACATACAAGTGCAGTATTCCTAATGTGTCCTTTGGATGTTGGTATTGTTTGGGCATTCTAGAGTCTATTTGCAGGTTCTTAATGGATTTTAAGCATTTTTTGCCTATTTATCCATCTTTTTAAAAATTCATACGATTTTTTATTGTGGAAAAATATACACAAAAATGATTTACAATGTAACTATTTTTAAGTATACATTTCAGGGACATTAAGTACATTCACATTGTTGTACAGCCATCACCACCTCCGTCCCTGAACTTTTCATCTTCCCAAACTTAAACTCTGTCCCTATCAAACACTAACTCCCCATCCTGTCTCCCCCAAGCCCTAGCAATCACCATCCTATGTTGTGTCTGTGAATTTGACTACTCTAGGGATCTCACATAAGTGGAATCGTGCAGTGTTCATCCTTTTGCAATGGGCTTATTTCACTTAGCATAATGTGCTCAAGGGTTATCAGTGTTATAGCCTGTGTCAGGATTTTCCTCCTTTTTTTTTTTTTTTTTTTGAGACAGGTCTTGTTCTGTTGTCCAGGCTGGAGTGCAATGGCACAATCTCGGCTCACTACAACCTCCGCCTCGTGGGTTCAAGCCATTCTCCTGGCTTAGCCTCTCAAGTAGCTGAGATTATAGGCGCCCGCCTTCATGCCCAGCTAATTTTTGTATTTTTAGTAGAGACGGGGTTTCACCATGTTGGCTAGGCTGATCTTAAACTCCCGACCTTAAGTGATCTGCCCACCTAGGCCTCCGAAAGTATTAGGATTACAGGCGTGAGCCACTGCGCCCGGCCAGATTTCCCTCCTTTCTAAGACTGAATATTCCATTGTATGTATAGACCATGTTTTGTTCATCCATTCATCCATTGATGGCCACTGAGGTTGCTTCCACCTTTTGTCTATCGTGAATAGTGCTGTTGTGAACATGGGTGTGTAAATATCTATTTGAGACTTGGCTTTCAATTCTTTTGCGTATGTACCCAGAAGTGGGATTGGTAGATCATATGGTAATTCAATTTTTAAGTTTTTGGGAACTACCTTCTTGTTTTTCATGATAACTGTATATTATTTTCCATTTTCACCGACAATGTACATGAGTTCCAAAAACTATTTTAAAAGCTTTCCACTGTGGGAAATGTTGGCCACACACAGTCAGCAGCATAGTGCACCGTGCCCCTGCTTGGGCTCACTCAGCCACAGCCGAGGCTAGCATCCTGCCTTCTTCAAGGAAGCTACGCCTCTGTCCACAGCGCCTTCAGTGATTCATTTTTCAGTTATTTAGGTAAAAATTACATAGATAGGCCGGGCACGGTGGCTCATACCTGTAATCCCAGCACTTTGGGAGGCAGAGGCGGGCGGATCGCCGGAGGTTGAGAGTTCGAGACCAGCCTGACCAACATGGAGAAACCCCATCTCTACTAAGAAAATACAAAATTAGCTGGGCATGGTGGTGCATGCCTGTAATCCCAGCTACTGGGGAGGCTGAGGCAGGAGAATCGCTTGAACCCGGGAGGTGGAAGTTGTGGTGAGCCAAGATTGCACCATTGCATTCCAGCCTAGGCAACAAGAGCAAAACTCCATCTCAAAAATAAATAAATAAATAAATAAATAAATAAATAAATAAATAAATAAAAATTACATAGATAAGATGCACGGACCTTAGCTGCACAATACTGACAAACGAATATGCCCACGTGATCTGCACCCTTCTCAGGATATGGGACCTTCACATTCCCCAGAAAGTGCCCTGTGGCCCTTCCCAATCTGTCCACCTCCCCCACACCCCCGCCTGCCACAGGCAGCCAGTCTGATCCATTGCCTAACATCCGTCCAGAATCATGCCATGTGCGCTCTTCTCTGCCTGGCTTCCTCACCTTGGCATGGTTTGTGTGTGTGACCCATCCAGGTGTTTGCGTGTATCCATAGTTCATCCTTTTCCATTGCTGGGCAGGATTCTGTGGCATGGCTGGACCACGGTGTGCCTGTCCATCCACCTGCTGAAGGGCCTCTAGGCTCTTGACTTCTGTGAATCATCCTTCCATTTCCAACTATGGCATTTGATAGACGTATGTTTTCACTTTTCTTGGATGAATGGAGTGGAATTGCAGGGTCATATGGTAGGCGTATGTTTAGATAAAGATTTATGACTTTCCTGTAAAGTGCTTTCTTCATTTTTTGGCAACTGTTGCCTGCCCCACATGGGTGGCAGTGTCTCCTGCCCTTGAACACTCTGGCTCTGGGTGACCTGTTGAGAAGTCTGTATGGTTCAGGTGCCCTTCCGGCTTGGATGATTGAGAATAGGCTTGTCACTGAGGATACTGCTTCCCCTGTTTCCTTTTCTTTTTCTGTTTTAAAGCAGTTCTTTTCTAGCCCGTGTGTAACTATACAAATAATTGAGTGTTCATGTTCTCAGGAACAGAGATGAAAAACTCCTGCTAAGATCGGAATTTTAAATTAATGATTTTTTTTTTTTTTGTCCTTGAAGAAGCCTTATTCTCACCATCCCTCACTCACTTCCCTACTTCCCACAGTGGCATTGGGCCTCTACTTCTCGAGGGATGCTTACTGGGAGAAGCTGTATGTGGACCAGGCAGCCGGCACGCCCTTGCTGTACGTCCATGCCCTGCGGGACGCCCCTGAGGAGGTGCCCAGCTTCCGCCTGGGCCAGCATCTCTACGGCACGTACCGCACACGGCTGCATGAGAACAACTGGATCTGCATCCAGGAGGACACCGGCCTCCTCTACCTTAACCGGAGCCTGGACCATAGCTCCTGGGAGAAGCTCAGTGTCCGCAGTAAGGGAGCCGCCCCAACACCCACCCCGTGCCCCACCCCACCCCTTCCTCAAGCCGCCCTTATCACAGCCGCTGACACTGAAGCTTGGCATGGCTTCCCCCCCACCGCTGGTGTGGAAGGCGTCAGGGGTTAAGTGAGGCTGGCCTGCCTCTGTGTCCAGCCTGGAGAGAAGCCAGGACAAGCTTCAGGGCTGCGTGAGGCTGTAGGAGTTTGGAGACACACGGGAATCATCCGGGTACACTCTTCTGCCAGACCCGAATCCCTCTTCCAGTGGGGCTAAAAAGGATTAGGAGGTTTCGAGAGAGGGAGTAAGTGGGGCTGGAAAAATCCCAAGGTTTTGATTTAGCAAATGACCTGCAACTCTCTGGAGAAGCGGCAGTTCCCAAGGAAAGCCTGACTTCTTATCAGCAGCTGGCTGCCCTTGTACCTGGCAGGGACTTGGGCCTGTCCCAGGTGTCCAGGGAGGAAAGAGGAGCAGTCAGAGCCAGAGTCACGGCCACATGTGACATTGGTAATGGGAGGGGTGGGGGGGAAGCAGAGCCCCTGTGACAGGAAACGGTGATGCTGCACCTGGTAGCTCCCATCCCTAGCACCCCTCCAGGGCCACAGCTTGCACAGCCCTCACAACCACCCTGAGCCCTGTCTGCTGGTGAGAGGCAAGCCTCAGGCTATGAATGCAGAGCAGGCATCCCTGCCCTACCCAGGCCTATCTGCCAGGGACAGCCAGGGTGCAGGGGAGGGAGGAGACTTGGGTGGGCAACTCCCTCCGGCGCAGCCCAGGCAGTTCCTGGAGGAGGCAGCATCTGAGGTTGGTCGTGGTTCTACGCACTTAGTTGCTGCCCTCTTCATCCTGAGCCTCCAGGGTGGAGCTTGAGGAATGGGAGTCCCTGGGTGGGGGCCAGTGTGGAATTTGCCCTGGGCCTGCATTTCGTAGGAGGCCTAAGCCCTCCAAGGTGGGGAGAGGCTTCATGCACAGCCAGTTCCTGTGGAGGAAGAAACCACAGGGTAATTTAACAGGGAGAGTTTGTGTAAAGAATTAATTACAACAGGGGATTGGAGCAATGAGGGACAGGCTAGCAAAAAGCAAAGAGAATGCCAGAGAATATGGGAAGAGCAGCTCTGAGGAGCAGCCGCCCACCTAGGGCTGAGATGGAGGCTGGGAAAGCCCTCGCAGCCCAGCTGAAATGGCTATGGCGCTTCGGTGATGGAACTTGCCGGAAATGCCCCCTCTAGGCATTGGGGAAGTATGTCTGCGGCCACTCCAAACCTCCTGAGGAGGGTGTGGCAGGGGGGGTGCTGGTCACCCCTTACTGGAGAAGTTGCCACCATCAGAGTTGGGGAGCCTTAGACCCAGTGCTCAACACACCTCCCTGAGGAAGGGGCCTCTAAGCCAAGAACTGAATGATGAGAGCTAGGCCTGTGGGGCATTGGTGCTGGGCAGCAGGGCTGTGCAGCAGAGGTAAGGAGGTGGCAGGCAGAGCTGGAACACCAGTCTGAGCCTTGTGGACCTTGGTGGGGACCAGGGTTTACACCAGCCCTGGAGCTCCTGCCTCCTCCCCATTCCCGACTGCCTGGCAGATGTGGCCGATGCCCCCACAGACCTGACTTCTCTCTGCAGACCGCGGCTTTCCCCTGCTCACCGTCTACCTCAAGGTCTTCCTGTCACCCACATCCCTTCGTGAGGGCGAGTGCCAGTGGCCAGGCTGTGCCCGCGTATACTTCTCCTTCTTCAACACCTCCTTTCCAGCCTGCAGCTCCCTCAAGCCCCGGGAGCTCTGCTTCCCAGAGACAAGGCCCTCCTTCCGCATTCGGGAGAACCGACCCCCAGGCACCTTCCACCAGTTCCGCCTGCTGCCTGTGCAGTTCTTGTGCCCCAACATCAGCGTGGCCTACAGGCTCCTGGAGGGTGAGTGCCGACCTTGTGGGGCCGCCCCACAGTGCCTGCTACTGCTGGTCTTGCTCTGCGAGCCCTTGACACAAGCCATCTGGTTTATTCTTCACCTTCATGCCATCAGTTCATTCAATATTCCAGAAGTACCTCTTGCATGCCTGCCAGGGGCCAGGTACTGTTCTAGGAGCTAAGGATATAACAATGAACACAACGGGTTGGAATCTTGCCTGCCTGCAGCTTTCATTCTTGTGGGGCAGACAGAGCGTCTGAGCATGCCAAGGAAATCAGGTGGCTTCTGGAAGGAGCTAGCTGGGGAGGAAACTGGGAAGAGGGAAACGCTGAAGAGGAGGGGAACAGACGAGGAGACCTCCATTCCTCTATCGTAAATTGGGTGGTCAGGGTGGGGGCTAGCAGAGCAAAGGTGGGAGGGTGCCGGGTAGGCAGGCCTAGCCCCTTGGAGGGCACCACAGTGTGACCCTCGTGTGCCTGGAGTGCACTGAGCGACAGGGAAGAGCTGAGGCTGATGGGGCAGAATAGTTCCTGGGGCAGGGGGCAGGTCTGGGAGTGGCTTGCAGGGCTTTCTCCGGAGGAACATGGGGAGCTATGGAAGACTTTGGAGGGAGGGAGTGCTGGCAGGACCTGACTTAGTTTTAAAAGGATTAGTCAGACTACTGTGTTAGGAATGGTTTGGGGTGGGAAGGTTCAGGGGCGAAGCTGGGAGACAATCAGAAGGCTACAGGAGAAACCTCTGAACAGGAGGATGTGGGGTGTGATGCCGGGATACGGGTGGAAGCCGAGGCATGGCGAGAAGCAGGCAGCTGCAGCCAGTCAGAGGGTGGGATGAGCTGGATCCCAGTGGAGAGGGGAGAAGGCAGCTGACTAGGTGCAGGGAGGCCCCATTTGACCATCAGAAAGTCAGGAAGTGGGGCTCAACCAGGTCACAGAGGCTGCACCGCTGGCAAGTGTGTCCTAAATTCACACTAACTTTATCACACAAACATGGCAAGAATATTAAAATCTCAGTAAAGGAAGACAAGCCATCACTTATGCTTCCCCAGATTCCTTTCATTCTCTGGGGCAGGGTTGATGGAGCACTTGGTTTTTTGCATGCTGCCCTTTTTCACTAAAAATTATGTGATTAAATTTAGTTTAGTGGGGGGTTTTTTGTAATCACACTCAACAGAGGAAAGCATTATATGATAAGCATTTCCCACATACGTAATTCATGCGCAAGGCATGGTTCTGCCTGGGAGGCTTGTGGAGTTGCCCCCGCCTCCTTGGGGTGGGTTGTGGGGTCTTCAGCGGTGACCTTCCGCCTTCAGCATGCCCCCTTTTCTGGATTATTTCTGGAGGACAAATCCGAGGTCAGGCTCGTTGAAGACTGTGTTGTGGTTCCTGGCCCTGCTTCAGGGGCGATGTAGTCTAGCGCGAGCTGCCATGCAGGGCACGGAGCATTCGCTTTTGTCTCGACATCCGGCCTTCAGAGGATGACCAGCCTGGCGACGCACTGGACAAGGAGGTGTAGAGTGGGGATGCACACTAGGCGGTCGGAAATCATTATGCGTTAATGTCACATCATACCCCAGATGTCCACTGTGTTTGTTTTCAAGTGGTAGAATCGTGGCTTTCTCACGTTCTCTAAAATGAACACATATTGCTTCCATAATTGAAAAAAAAAAAAACCTAACAGTTTTTAAAAAGCAGCCAAGGTCACCAATATGGTGAAAGGCCGTCCCTACTAAAAATACAAAAATTAGCCGGGCATGGTGGCGGGCGCCTGTAGTCCCAGCTACTCGGGAGGCTGAGGCAGGAGAATCGCCTGAACCCGGGAGTTGGAGGTTGCAGTGAGCCAAGATCGCGCCACTGCACTCCAGCCTGGGCAACACAGCGAGACTCCATCAAAAACAAAAAAAAAGCAGCCAAGGCCAGTAGCTGGCTCTCTAGGGCTGCAGTGCAGCTTGGGCTGAGGCAAAGCCACCCTTCCCCACACAAGGCCACTCCTGATCAAGGCCAGGTGGGCGGAGGGGTGTCCCAGTCCCTACTGGTTGATCAGGGTGCCTGGTCCTGGCTCTTCCCAACCAGCACGAGTGAGGACGCAGCTGCAGCAGGACGTAAGCACAGTCATCGCTGCAAACTGCAAACTCGTAAGCACAGTCATCGCTGCAAACTGCAAACTCGTGCTCCGAGCGCTGCCCTCCCCTGTGGAGCGGAGGAGGGGAGGCCTGGGGCCGCGGCGGTGTGCGCCCCGCTCTGACCGCAGAGCCCCCTTCCCGAGGAAAGCGGCTGGCCCGGTCCCGGCTGGTGATCACGCGGGGCCCCTGTCTGCTTGGTGCGCAGGTGAGGGTCTGCCCTTCCGCTGCGCCCCGGACAGCCTGGAGGTGAGCACGCGCTGGGCCCTGGACCGCGAGCAGCGGGAGAAGTACGAGCTGGTGGCCGTGTGCACCGTGCACGCCGGCGCGCGCGAGGAGGTGGTGATGGTGCCCTTCCCGGTGACCGTGTACGACGAGGACGACTCGGCGCCCACCTTCCCCGCGGGCGTCGACACCGCCAGCGCCGTGGTGGAGTTCAAGCGGAAGGAGGTGCTTGTCCGCGCGTGCTGTGGTCTACCCAGTGTCTGTCTCCGGCCACAGTTCGTTTCTCGGTCGGTTTAGTGTCCGTGTAGCCACCCAACCGTGTGGCCGACCATTCGCGCTTTCATTTGTCCTTCGCCTCCGTCTGCGCCGTCTGTCCTAGGGGGAGGGGAAGGGGGAGTCCTGCCAGCACCCAGCTGGGCCTTGCCTCGGGAGGCAAGGACCAGGACGAGGCCCGAGGGCTCGCGTCTGGGGCATACTTGTGCCGCTGCAGGCGGGCGCGGCGCGCTGCCCGGGCGGGGAGCATCTGCCGGGAGGGCACTCCCTCCCACCAGCAGTTAGCCCCCAACGGGAGGGCCCTTGAGTGACCACGAGCAGAGCCGGGGATTGGAGAAGGACGGGAAGGCGGATCACCTCCGGCGCCGCCCGCCCCGCCCTTCTCCGGCTCGCGCTGGTGGAGCGCGACCGCCACCTGCTGGGCCTCGGCCTTCCTGCAGCCGGCCCACCCAGCAGGGGCCGTGGGAGAGTGGGCGTGGGGACTGAGGTAGGTAGTACGTTGCCTTGTTCCGCTTCTCTGGGCACACCACGTGCAGGTTTGGCAGGGAAAGGGGGTCTGGTCGAAAGCACAATTTGTGAGTAAAGGCTATGTGGGCCTCCCTGGGGTGACAGCAGAGGCCTGGTGGGCAGAGCCATCCAGGTGCCCAGCGGCTTTCCTCACAACCCCCTCCAGCCTGGGGTAGGAGGATGCTTGGAACAGAGCGCTCTGATGTACACCTGGCCTCGGAGCTCGGCTCTGCCGGCTGTTCCTGTGTGACCTTGACCTGACCTTCACCCTGTGGGGCCCAGCTTCCTCAGGGGAGAGTGGAGGTGCTCATCCTGCTCTCTGGGGACCTGGATGGGACCTGCCAGCAGGGTGCCTGGGCATCGGCTGTAATTCTCCTTATAAGAGGTCTGCATTGTACCTGTTACACAGGCGAGGCTCAGTGGCTCAGGGAAGGTGACGGCCAGGCTGGCCAGTGACCCCGTGGGAACTTGAACCCAGGTCAGACTGTCCCCAGACCTGGCTCTGACAACACACATCTGGTCCACCTATGGGCTGTGTGGGACGTGCAGCATTCTAAGGTCTCTGGTTTTGGGGGGTCTGAGGGGCCCATCTCGCCTGCACTGACCAACGCCCTCTGCATCCTGCAGGACACCGTGGTGGCCACGCTGCGTGTCTTCGATGCAGACGTGGTACCTGCATCAGGGGAGCTGGTGAGGCGGTACACAAGCACGCTGCTCCCCGGGGACACCTGGGCCCAGCAGACCTTCCGGGTGGAACACTGGCCCAACGAGACCTCGGTCCAGGCCAACGGCAGCTTCGTGCGGGCGACCGTACATGACTATAGTAAGAGGGGCTGGTGGCACGGCCTGGCTAGGCCCCCAGGAAATGAGGTGCTCGCTCTTCATGGGCAAGCAGCACCCTACACACATGCACACCTGGCATGGCCCTCTGTGGCCCAAGCCACTTCCCCTCCACCCTCTGCCCAGCACTTCCTGTGTCTCTGCCAGGCCTGCCCTCCAGCCACCAGCAGGGCTTTCACCATGGGACCTCTCTCCCTGAGCTGATCCATGGCCGACCCTGGCAGGGCCCCACCACACCCCCCTGCTGACCTCACCAGGGCTCACCACCGACTGCAAACACACATGTCACCTGAGGCTTTCCTCCAGCCCCTGGCACTCCATCGTTGCCCCTAAGGCGTCCCAAGTGCTTACGGATTATTGCTCCAGCCTCAGCAGCTCTCTGCTAAACAGGCTGGTGTACAGAAGCAGCCCCGAGCCAGGTCAGGGCTTCTGAGCCCATTATCCTGCCTGACTGCTGACATGCCACCATGCTCACCTGCTTGCAGGGCACCTTTCAGCAGCGGCCTTGCTTCCTGCCTCCCTCCGCCACCTCCTGCAGATTTCTCCTGGGATCGCCTTCCAAATAAACCACCTGCATTTGGGGTCTGTGTCTGGTGGAACCCCAGGCCATGAGTCCTTCACCCCTTTCTGCCTGGCCTGGTCCTGTTCATTCCTCAGTCCTCCCCACCTCACCAAGCCTATGGAGGCCCCACTTGTCAGAGGGGAGACAGCCTCCTTGCCCTGGCACTGAACACCCTGTGTGCCAGAGTGCCCCTCCCATCATTGTTTCCACCACATGAGATCCACAGTGGCAGCACGCGGCAGGTACACCGATGGCATGACTTCCAGGGCTTGGCCTGCGGGGTCATTGGGTCTGCTGGAGGTTCCTGCAGTGGAGGGTAGTTCTGCCATGCTCTGGGGGAGCTGTCTGGAGGGCTCTAGTGTGTCCTTCCCAGGGCCTTGGTAATGTAGACCTTTAACCCCCCATGCCTCACACACACACACACACACACACACACACACACACACACACACCCTGTTACCCAAAAAACGAAACTCTGTAAAACATTTTAAAGAGGTTTATTCTGAGCCAGGATGAGTGACCACAGCCTGGAGAAAACACAAACCCAAGAAGCCTTGAGTAAGTGGTCCCCAGGTCCAAGGTGGTGGAGTTACAGTTTGCTTTTATACATTTTAGGGAGACAGGAGTTACAAGCAAGGACATAAATCAACACACAGAAGGTATACATTGGTTTGGCCCCAAAATGCAGGGTATCTTAAAACAGGGGCTTACAGGTTAGAGGTAGATGCAGAGATTCTTTAATTTACAGTTGGTTGAAAGAGTTAAGCTTTGCCTAAAGACTTCAGGTCAGTACAAAGGAATGTTAAGGAGGCCTGCTATGTGTCGCCTGATGCTATACAGGGTCAGGAGGGAAAGTAAACCACGTTATACCTGGGTAACTTAAAAAAAAAAGGTTTTTAACAAGATTTTATGGACCAGGCATAGTGGCTCACGCCTGTAATCCCAGCACTTTAGGGAGACCGAGGCGGGTGGATTGTTTGAGTCCAGGAGTTCGAGACCAGCCTAGGCAACATGGTGAAACCCTGTCTCTACAAAAAAAAAAAAAATACAAAAAATTAGCCAGGCGTGGTGGCACATGCCTGGATTCCAGGAACCTGGGAGGCTGAGGTGGGAGGATGGCTGGAGCCTGGGAGGTCAAGGCTGCAATGAGATGCAACAGAGCAAGACTCTGTCTCAAAAAAGAAAACCAATGTTATGGTTTGTAGGGTGTTTCTTAACCCTTGCCTGGCATGGCCTTAGGTCCTGTTTATAATTTGGTATCTTACTGCCACAAAGAGTCCGATCTGTCAGTCTTATGATCTCTGTTTTAATGTTAATGCCGGTCAGTTGTGTCCAAACTCCAGCAGGAAGAGGGCCTAATAAGGCAAGTCCACCCTGCCTTCCTGTCATGGCCCAGAATTCTGTTTTTAAGGTTTTTCTGGTGTCCCTTGGCCAAGAGGGGATCTATTCAGTTGGTCCGGGGACTCAAGATTTTAGTTTCAGTTTACAACTCTATACACAAACACCCCATACACACAGGCACCAATACCCTATGCACAGACACCACACAAATGCATACTACACACTTACACATACCACACACACGCATACCATGCAAGCATATCATACACACAGACACCCCATACAATGCGTACACATGCACACACACACAGGCTGCCTCAAATTGAGAAGGGTTCCTTGGACTTTCAGTTCAGTAAATCCCAACGTTTGAACATTGGTGCTAACTTAGGACCAGCCCCAGGCCTGTTGCATGGCACTGTATGTGTGAAAGTGCGTGTTTGCACCAGTGTGAGTGCAGGGCTGTGTCTGGGAAGAGGTGTGCTACACATGAGGAAGCAGCCAGAGCAGCTTGGTGGTCATTGTTGTGCCCCTACCTGCAGGGCTGGTTCTCAACCGGAACCTCTCCATCTCGGAGAACCGCACCATGCAGCTGGCGGTGCTGGTCAATGACTCAGACTTCCAGGGCCCAGGAGCGGGCGTCCTCTTGCTCCACTTCAACGTGTCGGTGCTGCCGGTCAGCCTGCACCTGCCCAGTACCTACTCCCTCTCCGTGAGCAGGAGGGCTCGCCGATTTGCCCAGGTGAGCCCATACCTATTGCCTGTCTGGGGAAGATTGAAAGGCCAAGGGACATGGGGGCACAGGGAGGCAGGTGACACTGCCTCTTGGCCCAACCAGCACAGAGTAGACTGGGTGGAGTCCTGAGCCCAGGGCCAGGAGGTACAGCTGTGTGCACAGAAGAGGCCTGGGAGAGCTCACAGTGGGCAGGGCTGGGGGCTCCTTGGGCCTCTCTTTTTTTCCCCTTTCCATTCTTGGTATCTTTAAAATGTATTTTCAAAAATGCAAGAGCAATACTGGGTAAATCTGCATATGGTGACTCGGAAGAATCTTCCTGGTGGATTGGTGAGAGTGGCTTGCAGAGATGTTGGTCCCACGTGACTCCCTTTGTGCAAAAGCAGATCTTCCCTGACAGGGATCTGCAAGTGTGCAGAGATCACAGTGCTGTCCACAGTGGTGCCCTCAGGGGGAGGCAGGAAACGCTTCCACTTTTTACTTTTTGTAACTAGGTTTGCTAGAAAGCGTATATTTATATTTGTCTTTGGAAAATAATGATTAGAAATAGAAGGCATAAAAGTAATAAATATTCATTAAAGAAGATGAGGCATGAGGCATGAGGCGTGATCCCTTCTACCCATAGGCGCCAGTGTTGCACATCGTGGTGTTCTTTCTGGGATGTTTCTCGTAAGCACTTATTAAGTTGACTTGAAACTGCAGCACGCATGTTCTCGCATGCCGCTCTCCCTTGCAGAGCAGCCCGTGGCGCCTCCTCTTCAGGGGCCATCTGCCAGTTCTTTCGGGTGGTTCTGTGCCCGCATCAGCTCCTGGCAGCCACCCGTGTCCAGCCCACGAGGGAGCCCACCCTTGGACATATCTAAGCTCCCCGACCACCTCCTTGGCCTTTAATGGGAGTGGGATCAGAGACAGAGGGGCGACAAGACAGAGGGCCCCGGGGGGTCTCATGGGGGGCGGGGCAAGAGCAGGCATTGCTGAAGTTGGGTCACCTGCCCTCTGTCAGGAGCAACGGGGGCCTGAATCCCAGTCCAGCCTCAGCCTCACTGTGGTCTCACCTTTCTCCCCAGTTTGTAAAGCTGTGAATTAGGGACAGGAACCCTGAACAATTTTGAGAGTCACATGAGCATTTGGAAGTGGGCTTTGTAGGGGAAAGTGAGGAGGCCCAGGAGGCTGGTTTTTGCTGTGGTCACTTGTGGGCCTGGGAGAGCCCAGCCCTGCTCTGGCCCGCCCCCATCTCGCCATCTGTGGAACTTTTGGTTTCAAGCAGCTGCAAGAGTTGCCAAGAGGTTGAAAGAATTCAGCTGCCTGACTCCAGGTCCTGGCATCCCCAGGAGAGGCCCCTCTTTCCCAGGGGCTCTGGTCAAAGTCCCAGAGCCTGGCATCCCCAGGAGAAGAGGCTCCTCTTTCCCAGAGGCTCTGCTCAAAGTCCCAGGGAGGCCCCCTGGTCCTGCATGGGCTGGGGCAACCATGCTCCCGAGTCTTGTGGCTGGGGTTCAGTGCTCTGACCAGGGGACACCAGGGCAGGGTGGACCTCTAAACCCTGTGCACTGAGGGAGGAGTGAGGGGTCCCCAGAGCACTGCTGGGGCAGCTGGGAGCAGCCAGGGAGGAGCCTGGGAGACATTCCGGCGGCTTTGTTGTCTGAGTGAGGGAGGAAAGGGGAGTAAAGGGTTGAGTCAGGGCCTGCCTGGGGCTTTTCCTGCCACCAAACTGAACCTCGAGGCCCTGGGTTGCCTTGACCTCCAGCTCCCAGGAACAGGGGCAGCTGGTAACATGTGGCCTGAGTGGAACGGGGCAGGGCAGGGCTGGGGCAGGTGGGTGGGTATGAAGGCTCTGAGGGGTGGAGGACAGGGTGCTCGGGGGGGCTGCTGTCTCCAGGCCCAGTTGGGGGCTGTTCCAGGACTTAGGCTGTGTGGGAATCTCTACCCTCAGGCCATTACAGGCCGGTCCAGCTGCCTGGCTAAGGTGTTCCCCTGTGCCCCCCTAGATCGGGAAAGTCTGTGTGGAAAACTGCCAGGCATTCAGTGGCATCAACGTCCAGTACAAGCTGCATTCCTCTGGTGCCAACTGCAGCACGCTAGGGGTGGTCACCTCAGCCGAGGACACCTCGGGGATCCTGTTTGTGAATGACACCAAGGCCCTGCGGCGGCCCAAGTGTGCCGAACTTCACTACATGGTGGTGGCCACCGACCAGCAGACCTCTAGGCAGGCCCAGGCCCAGCTGCTTGTAACAGTGGAGGGGTCATGTGAGTGCCTGCTCCAGGGAGGGAGGGTCGGGGTCCTGGGGGCTTCTGGAGCCTGGGCCTCCTGCCCTTTGAGAAAAGCAGTACAGCTGCAAGGCTTAGCTGGGGAGTGGGGAAGGCATGGACCAGCTTCACCCTGAGTGACCCAGCAGTAAATGGTTGCTCCTTCCAGATAACATACAGGACCTTGGGTAAATTTGAATTTTGGGTAAACAACAAGCAGTTTTTTGGTATAGGTGTGTTCCATGCAACTTTTGCAGCTTCTCGAAAGACACACCTCTAGGTCCATCCATGCCCTCTTAGGAACATGCTGACACAGCTGCCATTCATGCCATTCATTGTGTATCTGAAATGTAGGTCCCACAGGGCGTCGTTGGCTGAATCTGGCTGCACTCACATCCTTCCTCCTGTACTTACCCCAGCCCAGGTGACCCCTGCTTTGTGACCATGATGTCCTGTACCCTGCCCTGCGCCCTGTGCTCCTGGCACTGTCTTTGCTGCCCTGGGTCTGTCACTCCGGTCCCCTTGGGCTCCATCCGTGGGCAGCTCAGCTGGTGCTGTTCCCTGTCCTTGGGCACTAGCTGGACGCTGGGCCCAGGCCAGCCCCCTGTGACCCTGCTTGTCTGCCACCTGCAGATGTGGCCGAGGAGGCGGGCTGCCCCCTGTCCTGTGCAGTCAGCAAGAGACGGCTGGAGTGTGAGGAGTGTGGCGGCCTGGGCTCCCCAACAGGCAGGTGTGAGTGGAGGCAAGGAGATGGCAAAGGTAAGCCCTGGAAACGCCCAAGGGAGGCCTGCAGGGGCGATGGCACCGGTGGAAACGGGGTCCTGGGGCCCTGCCAGCCTGGGGTGGCTCTCCCTGCTCCAGGTCTGCTTCTGGCACCTCATCCCCCATGTGGCTCTCGATGCCAGCATAGCGGGCAGCAGTGCAGGGCTTGGGAGAGGGCTTGTGAGTACAGTGAATGGTCCCCAGGCCGGATTCACTCTGGACTTGGGAAGGTCTGAACCAAAGTTGGGATGTGCTGGGGACAGAATGGCGTTTTTCTGGGAGGTCCTCGGCCAGGGGATGTGGTGTGGGCAGGGGACTCATTGTCTGCATCAGCCAGAGGCCAGCCTGGGTGTGCCCACCACCATGAGGGGCCCTCACCATGCAGCCCTGAGAGGGTCCCGGCCTCTTTGCTGTAAGGGCCACCTGTGTGAGGAACCCCCCATACCTCCTCTCCCATAAGCCATGGCTCCCCAGGATGCTTCCGCTGGCAAGGCTCTGTATATGGTGTTTCCCTACTCAGGCCTCCAGTTGCTCCTCCCTAGAGGGGCAGGATCTGCCTAGGAGGTGGTGGGGGCGTGTGGCGGGGCTCCCACATGGGTGACAGCCTGCTGTGTGTCCTGTGCAGGGATCACCAGGAACTTCTCCACCTGCTCTCCCAGCACCAAGACCTGCCCCGACGGCCACTGCGATGTTGTGGAGACCCAAGACATCAACATTTGCCCTCAGGACTGCCTCCGTAAGCAGGGTTTAATCAGGGCATGGGAACAGGTAGGAGATAGTAGGGGAAACCTGGATCCCACAGGCACTTCAGCCAGAGTTGCCAGGGCTGTCAGTTCTATGCATCAAGCTGAGCCTCCTGTGCATTTCAGCATCACCCTAGCCATGGGGAGGGAGCAGGCAGGGTCAGGGACAGGGGGAAGGCAGGGACCCACAGACTGTCCAGGCCCCTGCTGAGGTCCCAGAAGTCGGCACACACAGATTTCAGAAGCAGAGAATGGTCAGTAGGGACACTGACAGGGAAAGTGCGGCCCTGAGCCAGACGAGGGACACTGCAATGTGCGGGTCAGGCCACCAGGCTCCAGTTTTGGAGGCAGAGTCCTTTGTTCAGATGAAATGTTAGGAGGGGGCCTGGCTTCACCCATGGCTTCAGAAAGGCACTGTGACCAAGCCCTGCCCGGCTAAGCCAAGCTGCTGGGCCCCTGGCCTCACTGGGCCTATGCTTGCGACACCAGTTGGGGAGGGGGCTCCTTGGGACACTGCCCTGGAAATATGGGCGCCTGGGGTGGTCAGGCGCCCCAGGAGGCTGAGTGGGCTACGTCTGCCCTCAGGGGGCAGCATTGTTGGGGGACACGAGCCTGGGGAGCCCCGGGGGATTAAAGCTGGCTATGGCACCTGCAACTGCTTCCCTGAGGAGGAGAAGTGCTTCTGCGAGCCCGAAGACATCCAGGGTGAGTGGGTGGCGGCCGGGACCACCACCACCTCCCAGCCCCACAGAGGTCTCAACAGCACATCTGAGGTCCCAACAAGGGAGGAAATTGCTGGGAGGCGAGTGGGCCCCATGAAACTTCCCTCCCTCCCTCTGGGCCTCTGTTACTCCACCCAGGAGAGGGGCCAGGGCCCCTGTAAAGTGTCTTCTGGCCATAAGTTCTATGATGGACAGGCCAGAAAAGCAGTTCTTCCACCAAACAACTTGTCAGCCTGACAAGTCACTGTCCCTGTGACCATGCAGCTGGGACCCACCCAGGAACACATTTCAAGGTCAGCAGGTATGGTGGGTTGCACAGCCACACTGACTACACTCAGGGGTGCTGTTCTGCCTGAGCATAGGGACACGTTTCTGTCATTGAGTTTTCTGGTATTATATAGCCCTACGTCCCTAGCCACTTAGCATTTTCATAAAGAAAATGCCAAAGACATTTGGAACAGAGGAAAATTTTGACCTCCCCTGCCAGCCCTCCAGTGCCAGCTGGTGTAATGAGCACAGCCTCTGCTGTGTGACCTTGGCAGGCTGCTCAGCCTCTCTGAGCCTCTGTCTCCATCTGTAAGAGGGCAATAGTGGTCTAGGAGGGGGCAGTAAATGGCAGTACCCATGCTCGATGGGGTGTTCTCAGGCCTTCCCACACCTCCATGGCCACTTCCCAGCTGGCGCGGACACGGCAGGCTGGAGAGCCATGAGGCAGAGCATACGCAGCCTGTACCCAGTGGTGCCGAGCCTCTGGCGGTGCCAAGCCTCACACCACCCCCACCCACAGATCCACTGTGCGACGAGCTGTGCCGCACGGTGATCGCAGCCGCTGTCCTCTTCTCCTTCATCGTCTCGGTGCTGCTGTCTGCCTTCTGCATCCACTGCTACCACAAGTTTGCCCACAAGCCACCCATCTCCTCAGCTGAGATGACCTTCCGGAGGCCCGCCCAGGCCTTCCCGGTCAGCTACTCCTCTTCCGGTGCCCGCCGGCCCTCGCTGGACTCCATGGAGAACCAGGTCTCCGTGGATGCCTTCAAGATCCTGGTGAGGGTCCCTGCGGGGCAGGGAAGATCCCCTGCCCTCCCCAGCTGCCTTCCAGGGAGGGAGGCCAGCTGGGGAGACAGAGGCCATCCTGTGAGGGGCTGCCAACGCTGGGCAGACGAGGCCTGTGTTCTGCCCCCATTTCCATAGGGCGCTGTGTGGGGACAGTCTGTGGGGTGGGACTGTGATGAGGTGCCGTTCCCATCTAGGTGAGAGGCAGTGGTCAGGGTCACAGCATCGGGCAGGGGAGCAGCAGTGTGGATGGAGGGGCACTGAAGTCAGAAGGGGGTGCCTTTCTGGGGAGCCTGGCCTGCAGGTCTGCATGTGCTACTCAGAGCCTCCAGGCTGTGCCGAGTATCCTGGAGCCTCCTTGTCCCGGCCAGGCAGGCCTCTGCCCTCTCCTGGTGGTGGCCTGCCCCTTCAGTGTTCCTACTAGCACTGTCCAGGGCGCTGGAAGCCAAGCCCAGTTCTGGAAGTAACAGAGGCTCAGAGCCAAGGGTGTGAGTGAACGGTGAGCCACGCAGCTTATGGTGGCGTGAATAGCTCCTCGGCAGGAGCCTCCAGGGAGGAAGCTGAGCACCCAGTGGCCACAGGGCCCTGGCAGTTCCCATCTCAGGCTGGGAGGTGGCCTGGGATTCCTGGGAGGGGCCATATCCCACAGTGCAGCTCAGCCTGAGGCCTCGGCCCTGGAGCCTCCGTTCAGGCAACACCCAGCCCTCGGTAAGGGTGTGAGCCAAGGAGGCCTTCCCAGATGTGGCCACTGCCGCTTCCCCACCAGCTTTCCTAATTGGTGGTCCCCATCCTGGCCTGGCTGCAGCTTAGCCTCATGGCAGGGCTCTAGGATGAGCCACCAGAGTCCTTCATAAACCCAGTGGGTTTGTGTGAGGCTGCCCAGGAAGGCCGCACTGGTCTGGGCTGCTGCTGGCAGAGACCACCACCCTAACCCCAGTCAGCTCCAGAGTCACACTCATCAGCACCAGGTCTTGGACCCATGACTCAACCTCAGTATTTGAGAGGATCAGGTTGATGTCGCCCTCATGTGCTTATTGCAGTCTCTAGAGTGTGGTAAACAGGTTTCCAGTGCCAGCTGTGGAGGTGACAGCGGCAGGGAAGCCATGGCAGTGTCGACACTGACCTTGACTGTGGGTTCCCAGGGAATGTGGGGCCAGACCAGGACAGCCCAGGAGCAGGAGACCTGGGGTGACGGATGCCCAGAGCTGGCACATCAAGGGAGGGTTCCTGGATCATGGCAGGCTTTGGCCTCCCTGGTCAGAGTTCAAGTACTGGGGGCCAGGGTGGGGGTCTGGGAAGGCATCCGGAGCAGTCCCAAGTGGGCCCAATGTGTGGATAGAACTTTGGTGGGAGGGCAGGGTGGTAGTGCCAGCAGGCAGGGTGAGCGGGTGCGTGAGGGCCAGTGGCAGCCCTTGAGGAGCAGTGCTTCCACACTCTGAGGCGGAACATGGTGGCGCCTTTCTTTGCAGGGGTGGCTATGTAGAGAAGTTGTCCTGGACACTTCCACTGTAGTCAGAGGTCCTGGGCTGGGCCTGGTGCTCATTTAGTCCTGGGGCAGGGGTCAGGGGAGACAGTAGACCAGGAACCAGAGAGGGTCGAAGTACTGAGTCCAAGCCATGCTGTGACCACACCTGTCATGTAGCAGCTTTCAGGGGCCTGGCTGTGGGGTCCTGCCCAGGGCAGAGACAGGCAGCGTTGCCGCTGGCTCAGATGACAGCCGGTTCTCTGCACATTGGAACTTGTCCATGGGGCCTCCTTTAAGGGTCTTGCCTTCTTCCTCCCCTGTCATCCTCACACTTTTCCCCCCTCTTCTCCCCCTTCCCTCATTTCCAACATAGGAGGATCCAAAGTGGGAATTCCCTCGGAAGAACTTGGTTCTTGGAAAAACTCTAGGAGAAGGCGAATTTGGAAAAGTGGTCAAGGCAACGGCCTTCCATCTGAAAGGCAGAGCAGGGTACACCACGGTGGCCGTGAAGATGCTGAAAGGTACCTGCCAGGCACAGGCACAGTGCCCCTGGGGGAGTCTCCGGGGCGGGGGGCGGGTGAGGCCCCTCCTGCCCAGCATGGGACCCTGAAGAGCCCCCAATGCTGTTCTAGAGCGGCTGCAGTTGGGGGACCCCTACCATGGGCCACTTGGGCCTAGAGAAGCAGAGCGAGGACTTTGCTCTCCCTGGAAGGCTCTAGAGGTGTTGCTGTGCCAGTGCCACTGAAGATCTAAGCTTTAAACATTTAAAAAGCCCTTTGATTTTGAGCTGACAGCTGTCTTCACTCCAGTCTGCCCCATTCATTCCTCTCAGCCCAGTGTCTCCTGGGGTCTTGGTGAAGAGACCACCAGTAAGGACTGGCCCTCAATCTCAAGAGACCCCCATGGGCCTGTCTGGCCTGCATGCCCAGTCATGCCACAAGTTTGGCTCTCGATGGGCACATGCACCTACCCACACAGGCATGCGACTGCACTGAGTAGCCCCCTCTTCTGTGGCCAGGCCCCAGCCCTGTGAACAGCCAGGCTGAATGGCGGTGAGGGAGAGTGGTTGGTGTACATAACAATTATCTGCAGTAGTCGGGGGCTGCACAGCACAGGGTGCTTCCAGATGCCTACCCAGCCCCAGACTGGGTTCACCTCCAAGCCAGTAAAACCCCGGACTCTCCAGGGGCACAGGGAGACCCTTGGATTTCCATTGCAGCCATGCACAGCCCCAGGCTGCCCACACCTGGTCCAAGGGGTCCTGGGGCCCCAACTCCCAACTGTCCTCTCCCTTCCAGACAACCTTTCAGGACAGAGGAGGTGGCACGGCACAGCTGGGCAGTGGGACAGCTGACCTGGGAGGGATGGCTTAGCCATGTGTTCTGACTCTTGGAATACCTTCAGGCCCAGGCACCTGCTGGGCATTCCAGCACAGCTCTGGCCACCATCGGGACGCATGTGCTGGGCAGGTGATCCCTGTGGTGCCTCGTCCTGTTTCCATCATGCCTCTACAGTTAGACTCTCTGGGGAATCATGCTATTCATTAAGAATAAGCCAGAATGTCAGGTGTGCAGTGCACTGGTAACACTGCTTTATCTCAGGTGCTAATGTGGGTCTTCTTGGTAACTAACGGAGTGTGAGCTGCTGACGTGTGTGTGACGGATACATCAGCAGCACAGGAGATGCCTGGGCTCCAGGCTGGCCATCTCAGACAGGAGCGGGAAATGGGGAGCCTGGTCGCGGTGTGTGGACCTCCTTTATGGCTCTCCACCTTCTCCAGGGCCTCTCCCGACAAGTGGGTGTGTGGGTACCCCTCACCTTTCCAGAATGATTAATGCGGGGAATTTCTGTGGACGACTGTCTTCTAAAGACAATGACTACAGGAACATAATGCCACATACACAGGTGGCCCAGCCCTGGGACACTCTGGGGAAAGATCCGGCATGTGTGGTTGCTGGCTCCTCAGGGTGCTTCTTCCTCAGGGTGGATGAGGCCCCTGTCCACTGATCCCAAAGGCTGGGAGAAGCCTCAAGCAGCATCGTCTTTGCAGGCCTCTCTGTCTGAACTTGGGCAAGGCGATGCAGGTCCATCCTGACCTGGTATGGTCATGGAAGGGGCTTCCAGGAGCGATCGTTTGCAACCTGCTCTGTGCTGCATTTCAGAGAACGCCTCCCCGAGTGAGCTGCGAGACCTGCTGTCAGAGTTCAACGTCCTGAAGCAGGTCAACCACCCACATGTCATCAAATTGTATGGGGCCTGCAGCCAGGATGGTAAGGCCAGCTGCAGGGTGAGGTGGGCAGCCACTGCACCCAGGCTGGGGGCTCCATACAGCCCTGTTCTCCCTCTTTCTCCCTTTCCCTACTGCTCCTGCCCTGTTTCCTGTTCTCCCTCTTTCTGGAAGCCTGGCTCAGGCCCCAGCCTGGAGCTTGTGTCTAGCTGAGTCCACGGGCTGAGTGGTCACTTTCCATCAGAGGGGCCCCGCGCTAGCGGCACTCCCTGGGCCCACAGGGCTACTCAGAGGTCTCTGGTGTGACACTGCCATGTGTCCTCACCCAGTTCGGGGCTGGGCCCGTGGGGCAGGGAGCTCTAGGAATGGACAGTGCATCCTGGGTACTAGGGTACCCTGGGTACCACAGGGCACCAGGTGTGCTGTGACCTCAGGTGACCCCAGCCCCGCCCTGCATGGCAGGAACATTGTCACCATTTCTCAGATAAAGACCCAGGAGACCAGCCTGGTTTGTTGGTTTTCCAAACCACCATGCTGCTCAGGGGCTTCCCAGCATGCGTGTGTGGGTGTGTGCGAGAGGGATAGGGAACCCAAACACCGGGAGTGCGCAGCAGGCACTGTGGTCGGCACCAGTAGAGTTGGAGGCTGGGCCTGGGACAGGACAGGTGGGAACAGGGAGCAGGCTGTGTGCAGAGCCCAGCGCCAGGCAGGAACCCTTGCATCTGCGCAGGCCTCTGCCTCCATCAGCATCCCCAGCCTGCACTGGGGCAGGACCCAGGAGGCAAAAAGGCTTGGCGTCCTAGCATCAGGGAGGGGTGCCTCCCAGGGCAGTGTCGCCTGCCTCAGGCACCTCGAGAAGGAGGCACCCACACGAGCAGCAGGAGGCAGAGAGCAAGTGGTTCAAGAGAAAGCTGAGGCTTCAAGGTCTGCGCTCTCCACAGAGCTGCAGCAGTGCTGCCTGAGGCAGGGCTGTGTCCACCCCCTTACTCATTGGGTGGCCGGGCCTGGGGACCCTGCGGCCTCCCACCCCTGGCTCCTGGAAGACCCAAGCTGCCTGACCCGCACGCCCAGGGCCCCCTCTCTCCGCCCCCAGGCCCGCTCCTCCTCATCGTGGAGTACGCCAAATACGGCTCCCTGCGGGGCTTCCTCCGCGAGAGCCGCAAAGTGGGGCCTGGCTACCTGGGCAGTGGAGGCAGCCGCAACTCCAGCTCCCTGGACCACCCGGATGAGCGGGCCCTCACCATGGGCGACCTCATCTCATTTGCCTGGCAGATCTCACAGGGGATGCAGTATCTGGCCGAGATGAAGGTGCGTGCATATGGCTCTGCACCCAGCCAGCCCCGGCCAGGCCACACCCTGACCCACCACGCCCCTGCCACCCACACCCTGGCCTGCCACTCCCCCACCATGCCACACTCTAGCCCACCATGCCCCTGCCATGGCATGCCATGCTATGGCTCACCACGCCCCTGCCATGTCACACCCTGACTCCACCACGCCCCTGCCATGCCACACCCCCGGCCCAGGTCTCACCAGGCCGCTACCCGGGCCACACACCACCCCTCTGCTGGTCACACCAGGCTGAGCCAGTGACCGCTGCTGCCTGGCCATGGCCTGACGACTCGTGCTATTTTTCCTCACAGCTCGTTCATCGGGACTTGGCAGCCAGAAACATCCTGGTAGCTGAGGGGCGGAAGATGAAGATTTCGGATTTCGGCTTGTCCCGAGATGTTTATGAAGAGGATTCCTACGTGAAGAGGAGCCAGGTGCCCAGTCCCGGGGATGAGGCGGGGCTCCCAGGGATCCCAGGTGCACCATGGGGCAGGCAGTGCCCTTGGGAAGCCTAGGAAAGATACCGAAGATTAGTGGAGCTCTAAGCTTTTTATAGCCCTCACCCCAAATCTTTCTGACCCTGGGTCCCCAAGGACCCAATTAGAACTCCGCTCAGCCTCTGCCATGTCCTTCTCCTCCAGGGCCTCCAGGGCACCCCTCCCTGGCAGCATACTGACCCGAGGCCCTTGCCGCACTTTTCAGAGGCCACCTCATGCTGCGGAACTAACAGTCCTCTTCTGCAGAATAAAGGTCACCGTTCTGATATGACCTTAGCTCTTTTCTCAAAGAAGGGTGGGATGAAATTAGCAGGATCGTCATTCTTTGCAAAAAGGAATGAACTGCTTTACAAGTGAGGCTTCTCCCGCACAGGGGCCTTGGACACTGGGCTGGGTGAGTTTAGAGGCATAGGAACCCCCTGGACAGGATCCAGAAACGCAGCCCAGCTTTGTCCAAGTCTATGAAACAGGCAGTGGGCACCCTTGGGGACACCTGGTTCCCTACCATGGTCCTAGTCCCGGGACAACTGCCTTGGCCCTCTTAGTTTTTCTGCCCATGTCAGCCCCTCTCCTGCAGCCTCCCAGTGGCAGCCCAGGCAGGGCAAGTTCAAGGGGCTGCTCAAAGGCCATGCCGCCCAGACGTTCAGAGCAGACCCTGCTCAAAAAAGAAGAAGAAGAAAAAAAAAAACCACAAAAGGCGACTTCCTATGATTCAGCTTTGCTCTGAGGGGTCTGGAGAAGCCATTTGTGTTGCCAGGGGTTGTGAGCTGTTCCGTTTCTTCTGGGGTTTCCCTTGTGACAGCAGATCTCAGAACTGCTGTGGGGGGAAGTGGTAGGGGCTGGCCCCTGCCCTGTGGAGGGTGTGGACAGAGCCTTCCTGTTGATGCACTGGTCCTCCAGGGAGAGAAGCTGAAGGCATTCTTATACAAGACGTGCAGGCTACACTGTCACACACTGCTGCCAAGACAGCCACACTGCACTAAGGACATAAATCCCTCATGTGTTTAAGTAAAAGAAGTGACAGTAAGATTGTGTTCCAACCCAAGGCACACATTTTAAAAATGGACTTGCACCTTCAGGCTTGTCTGTGGAGAAGCTGTTTCTCAAGTCACCCTGGAAAGGATTTGTTAGGTCAGACCCCAGCACTGATGAGGGATGTAGGGGGCTGGGGGCACTCATTCAGAGATGCTAAAAGCACCCTGCAATACAATAAGAGAGAAAAAACAGCCTCCCCCAAGGCACACAGACAAATCCCTTCCCTCAAGGCTCCTTCAGTGTGGTAGCTGCTGGCAAAGTGCCCAACATGGAAATGCTAGATGTTGGTTTCCCAAACACATTGGCCCTCAGAACCCCAGGGGAGATCTTGCAGGGGGAGTTCCAGGCCCATGCATAGGGAAGCACTGCTCTGCACTACCAGCAGGCCTGTGGCATGTGACAAGCTGGCCCTGTGTGCCTGTGGGTGGGCAGCTGACTCCCGCCAGCATCTCAGCAATCCACAGGAGGTTCAGGCTGGAGCTCCAGCCCCTTCAAAGATGTGTGTGGCCAGTTCTGTGCCCAGGAGTGTCTACAGCACTCCTCTGGTTACTGAAAGCTCAGGGATAGGGCCTGGCCTTCTCCTTTACCCCTCCTTCCTAGAGAGTTAGAGTAACTTCAATGTCTTTATTCCATCTTCTCTTTAGGGTCGGATTCCAGTTAAATGGATGGCAATTGAATCCCTTTTTGATCATATCTACACCACGCAAAGTGATGTGTAAGTGTGGGTGTTGCTCTCTTGGGGTGGAGGTTACAGAAACACCCTTATACATGTAGTGGGGCCACGACGCCCGTCTGTGCAGCTTGGCCAGGGAATTGCACTGGCCCTGAGCACCTGTCTGCAGTGCTAGCCCTCTGCAATGACCCCCTCACTGAGGGGCCTTCATGATGTGTTCGTGAGGCAAATGGCTGGGCCAGGCCGGGCTGCAGTTCTGAAAGCTCCGGTAGAGCATGAGAGCCGAGCAGGTGGCCAGTAACCCAGCCTCCCCCACCCTTGCTAGTCCCATGCCTCCCTCTGGGTCCCTTGGTGACTCAGGCCCAGCCCAGCAGTTACCCTCCTGTGGTCCTGAGTAGGGCTTTGGGCTCAGGCAGAGCACCCAGTGACTTGCCCCCACCCACAAGTGGAGCTTGGGGACTCCACCTGAAGATGGCCTTGTGTGAGTTTATAGATTGGTGT
This sequence comes from Homo sapiens, assembly GCF_000001405.40. NCBI lineage: Eukaryota > Metazoa > Chordata > Mammalia > Primates > Hominidae > Homo > Homo sapiens. The sequence continues at coordinate 43,122,476 of NC_000010.11, forward strand.
GCCCCAAACTGCTCAAAGGTGGAAGCCAAAATCTCATTCTTCCAGGTCCAATGACAAGAGCTGATCACTTTTAAAACACAGGATTCTTGCCTCTAAAGTGTTCTACAGTCAGCAGAGGTGTGATGTGCCTCTCTTTTTTTGTGGGGGGAGGGGATAGGGTCTCACTCTGTCACCCAGGTTGGAGTGCAGTGGCGCAATCCTGGCTCACTGCAACCTCCACCTCCTGGGTTCAAGCGATTCCTGTGCCTCAGCCTCCTGAGTAGCTGGGATTACAGGCACGTGCTACTTCGCCTGGCTCATTTTTTTGTATTTTTTGGTAGGGACAGGGTTTCACCATGTTGGTCACACTGGTCTTGAATCCTGACCTCAAATGATCCACCCACCTCAGCCTCCCAAAGTGCTGGGATTACAGGCGAGAGCCACCACGCCTGGCCAACATGTGCATCTTAAATACTGTGGGCTGTGAATAAGCAATTGGACAACAGCTTTCCGATTATATAAGCTGACTGTAGGCTAGTTGGAAAAGGCAGAGAAAAGCATAAAGAAGAGACTGAATGTCATTGGACCACACCGCCCAGTGACCTCTGGCTGCCCTCTGGTGTGCTCCGTGGTGTGCACATGTATGCTTTTTATTGCCCTAAATGGGCTCATGCGATGCTGTTTTGTGATATGATTTTGTTCCCATTGCAAAGCGAGTTTTCCTTCACAGTTAAAATGTTTTTCTATAGCTTTTTTTCCTTCTAAGATTTTATGAAATTTTCCAAGCACATAGAAATGGCAAAAGAACTATACAAGGCACTCTGAGTCTGGTGGCCTGCATTCTCACCGCTTTAAGTGTGAGAATCTTAAGAATTATTAAGATTAATTCATGATATTAATTAATGTATCATTAATTCATTAATCATGAATTCATCTTAAGCCTCATGTGTCCCTTGTGCGTGTGGCTGCTCTGATGGGAGTGGCTTGGGCAAGGACTTCAGCTTCATGGAGTAGGGGCCAGGCAGGCAGGCAGCCCTTCCCCACCTTCATGCTACATCCATCTGAGCAGCCAGACCCAGGCTGACATCTGTGAGCATCTGTGCTTGAAGCCGACAGGGTCAGCAGGTGCTTGGTGGTGGGGGTGGATATCTGGGCCCCCCGGAGGGCTCTGTGAGGGCCAGGTGGAGCCACTCACTGGTCCTTTCACTCTCTGCAGATGGTCTTTTGGTGTCCTGCTGTGGGAGATCGTGACCCTAGGGGGAAACCCCTATCCTGGGATTCCTCCTGAGCGGCTCTTCAACCTTCTGAAGACCGGCCACCGGATGGAGAGGCCAGACAACTGCAGCGAGGAGATGTGAGCGGGGACTGGCTTTGGCCCAGCCTCACTTGGGAAGGGAGGGGACATCTGTGTGCATTCCCTCCCCATCCAGAGCAGCCCCAGGAGAAACCAGGAGAAGTGGGGGGTGGGGAGTGGGCAGGGCAGAGGTTAGAGAGCCATCCTTGGGTGTGGCAGTAGATGCTGGGGGTCCTACCCCACTGAGGGCTGGTGGGCTTCCTAGGGGGTCTTATAAAAATGAGTGAGAGCAGAGACTGGTGCAATGCAAGCTCAAGGGCTGAGAGCTGTCCCAGCAGGACACTTAGGGAGGAGAAGGTAATTCCAGATGGCCCAGGGGGCACGTGTTAAGGGGTGCCTGAGTGGAGGTGCAGAGCCAGGCAGGGGCAGCCTGGGCTGCAACCTGAGAGGTTGAAACCTTTACACTCTCAGGGGAGATGGTCTTAGAAACCAGGCTGAGAACAGATGAGAAAGGGCTGCCCAGAGGCAGAGATGCATGGTACATGCATTCCACAGAGTGTGCACACTGCTGGGGCGTGGAGGGGGCATGCTGGGCCGAGAAGCCAGGTACCACCTCCCTGGGCCCCCAGCTGGTGGCCAGCTGGAGCGCTGTGGTCTGCCTGGGCACCCAGGCAAGCAAGGACGGTGCAGGACAGACGTGTGATTGCCAAAGGTTCTTGTTTGTCTGTCTCCACACCTAAAAGCCCTCAATCAATTCATTCTTCTTGAGAGTTTTAAGGACTGGCACTTCTCACTTAGCTGCCAGAGCAAGCATAGTATCCAGTGAGCTGTTTACCAGTGTCTTTGCAAGGGAAGTAAAAATGAATCTCCCTTGGAGGGAAGGGAAGCTTGTAGGATTCTGGACCACAGCTCTGAGAGACCTGAGCACAGTGGCCCACGGGCTGGGATCCTGCAACAGGCCATGCCCCAGTCCCACGAGGCTCAGAGATGTCAGCGATGCAGAAATAGCTTTGGAGTTGGAGACAGAGCACACTGGGCCCAGGGTACAGGGCAGGGTGCGATGGCTGTGGTGGGCTGTCCTTCTGAGACCTGGCCCTGCTTGGATCATATTGGCCTGTCTGCTCTTCCCACCAGGTACCGCCTGATGCTGCAATGCTGGAAGCAGGAGCCGGACAAAAGGCCGGTGTTTGCGGACATCAGCAAAGACCTGGAGAAGATGATGGTTAAGAGGAGAGTGAGTGCCTGGGTCCAATTCCCACAAGCTGAAAGTGGCTTGGGGAGACTCCAGCCTCACCCCAGGGCAGTAGTTTTAGCCCTCAGAGTTCCCAGTGTGGGGCCACAGTGGGATTGTGCAGAGAGAGAGAGTCATGCTCTCCCCTGCATGCAGACAGCAGATTGAACCCTTCTCAGGCCAGGCCGCTTGGGCTTCTTTTCAAGTCATGAAGAAACCAAGATTCTTGACATTTAGGAAAAGCTCTCTACAGACAGGCATGGGAGGAAAATATTCCAAAGCCAAAAAGAAATAGTTTTCCATAATGGAAAATGAGAAAGTTGAGTTAAAGCAAGTGCCCAAAATTCAGATGCCCAGAGGGGGGTCCGGCTGGAGGAGGGCAGTGAGTAAGGAGCAGTGGAGACTGTGGCAAACAGCCAGCCCCCTCCAAAGGGTTCCTTGCTGGAGTACCTGTGGCCTGCAGAAAAAGGAGCCAGGAATGGGCTGGGTCTTCTGAATTTTATGAGGTTTATGTTGTCTCCCAGTTTTTATTGTTAACAATTCATTTAAATTTCCCAGAGCCGAACGCAGGCCAAACAAAGCATATCGGGGGGTGGCCAGAGTCAGCCTGTGTGCCTGGAAGTACAGTTTGTGAGGTCTACACATTTTCAACCAATATTCATCAGGCAGCTGCTAGGACCCATACTATGTCTCAGAGGCTGGGAATGCAGATAAACAAGACCAGCACAGCCCTGCCCTCACGGGGTTTACACACAGGCCTTGTCTTAACATTGGCACATTTACTGAGTTGTCACTTCTTCCGACTTGGATAGCGGGATGCAGGACCTAGGACCCCATAGGAAAACTTCACATCACTGTCTCGCTTGGATGAAAACTTCAAGTCCTGAGAATGCAGCGTTGTTCAAAACAGAAGCGATCACTGGTGCTGGCCTTCCTAGAACAGTGCTGAGAAACAGCCGGGAAAACGCTGGGCCCCTCTGTGCACATTCAAGCTGGGCATTGAAAGGAGCAGACGCCAGTGGCCCCTCGTGCTGGGGAGCCCGTGCCTGTAGCAGGGTCCTGTGCACCCTGACAGCGCTGTCAGATTTCAGAACTCAGCCCTGACGTGACGTTCTAGATGGCAGGGGTCCTTGGGGAAAGCTGGAAAACATCCTGCAGGCTGGGGCTGCGTCCTGGCATGTGGCTGCAGTGGGCTCCCCCAGAGCCCAAGGGTTTGTCAGCGGGCTGGTTCCGTGCTGCCCATCTCCGGGTTGGGCCAGGGGCAGCTAGATGAGGCGTCCCCCAAGGCTGCCCTCCAGGCCCTGGAGATAAGACGCTGAGGGAGCACATTTCTTTCCCCAGGGAGGTGACTTTCCAGGGGAAGAGACAGAATAGACAACACCCAGGGGAGTGATGGGGACCTCAGAGCAGGACCAGGCCAGCCAGGAGTCCTGGGAGCTCTATGCAGCCTGGCCCTGGTCTCTTGGAGAGGTCAGGAGATTGGTGCGAGGTGGAGACACAGCCAGAGCCTCTGCCCTGAGGATGGCTTGTTGTATACTGAGTTGTATCTAGTTGTGGCACATGGCTTGGAGTGACCGGCCATCTCTGTCTTCCAGGACTACTTGGACCTTGCGGCGTCCACTCCATCTGACTCCCTGATTTATGACGACGGCCTCTCAGAGGAGGAGACACCGCTGGTGGACTGTAATAATGCCCCCCTCCCTCGAGCCCTCCCTTCCACATGGATTGAAAACAAACTCTATGGTAGAATTTCCCATGCATTTACTAGATTCTAGCACCGCTGTCCCCTTTGCACTATCCTTCCTCTCTGTGATGCTTTTTAAAAATGTTTCTGGTCTGAACAAAACCAAAGTCTGCTCTGAACCTTTTTATTTGTAAATGTCTGACTTTGCATCCAGTTTACATTTAGGCATTATTGCAACTATGTTTTTCTAAAAGGATGTGAAAATAAGTGTAATTACCACATTGCCCAGCAACTTAGGATGGTAGAGGAAAAAACAGATCAGGGCGGAACTCTCAGGGGAGACCAAGAACAGGTTGAATAAGGCGCTTCTGGGGTGGGAATCAAGTCATAGTACTTCTACTTTAACTAAGTGGATAAATATACAAATCTGGGGAGGTATTCAGTTGAGAAAGGAGCCACCAGCACCACTCAGCCTGCACTGGGAGCACAGCCAGGTTCCCCCAGACCCCTCCTGGGCAGGCAGGTGCCTCTCAGAGGCCACCCGGCACTGGCGAGCAGCCACTGGCCAAGCCTCAGCCCCAGTCCCAGCCACATGTCCTCCATCAGGGGTAGCGAGGTTGCAGGAGCTGGCTGGCCCTGGGAGGACGCACCCCCACTGCTGTTTTCACATCCTTTCCCTTACCCACCTTCAGGACGGTTGTCACTTATGAAGTCAGTGCTAAAGCTGGAGCAGTTGCTTTTTGAAAGAACATGGTCTGTGGTGCTGTGGTCTTACAATGGACAGTAAATATGGTTCTTGCCAAAACTCCTTCTTTTGTCTTTGATTAAATACTAGAAATTTTTTCTGTTTCCTAACTTCATCATTGATTGTTTGAAATCTTGGAGTTTCAAGCATTTTTTTCAAGCTGAGACGGTTCCTTTTGCATGCCTCCTGACTCACTGACTCCTCACTGGCTTTGTGTCTAGTGCCACACTCCATTTGTGCTGACGATGCTATGAGGCTGGCCCGTGTGCACCCTCGATTTGGAAGGTCCTCTTCTCCGTTGTAGGCTCAGACAACAGACGAGTGCCTCCTTTACGTTAGAGAATGTTTTATAGAACGTTTCCGCTGCAGTAAGCCATTGAGTGCAGCAGTGTGCTGTTGCCCTACACTGCCTTAGAAAAAGAGTTAAGCAGTTCGACAAATATACATCAGATTAGAGAGTCTCAAGTTCATAAAAGTCAAAATTGGTAGTGTCTGTTAAGTTACATTTACCAAGAGAGCACATGATATTTCCCCTAACTATAACAGTGTTTTTGGAAACCTGGAACACAAAACCATTAATATAATTGGCACAGAAACCACGAGTTTGGTTTGAACATCAAAGGGAGTTTTGCCAAGGCCTTACTGTCTGCACTTGAAGTTTTGGTTCTTCAGTGCAGAACAAATGATCTGTTTTCATTTTTAGGCATGTCAGACCCGAACTGGCCTGGAGAGAGTCCTGTACCACTCACGAGAGCTGATGGCACTAACACTGGGTTTCCAAGATATCCAAATGATAGTGTATATGCTAACTGGATGCTTTCACCCTCAGCGGCAAAATTAATGGACACGTTTGATAGTTAACATTTCTTTGTGAAAGGTAATGGACTCACAAGGGGAAGAAACATGCTGAGAATGGAAAGTCTACCGGCCCTTTCTTTGTGAACGTCACATTGGCCGAGCCGTGTTCAGTTCCCAGGTGGCAGACTCGTTTTTGGTAGTTTGTTTTAACTTCCAAGGTGGTTTTACTTCTGATAGCCGGTGATTTTCCCTCCTAGCAGACATGCCACACCGGGTAAGAGCTCTGAGTCTTAGTGGTTAAGCATTCCTTTCTCTTCAGTGCCCAGCAGCACCCAGTGTTGGTCTGTGTCCATCAGTGACCACCAACATTCTGTGTTCACATGTGTGGGTCCAACACTTACTACCTGGTGTATGAAATTGGACCTGAACTGTTGGATTTTTCTAGTTGCCGCCAAACAAGGCAAAAAAATTTAAACATGAAGCACACACACAAAAAAGGCAGTAGGAAAAATGCTGGCCCTGATGACCTGTCCTTATTCAGAATGAGAGACTGCGGGGGGGGCCTGGGGGTAGTGTCAATGCCCCTCCAGGGCTGGAGGGGAAGAGGGGCCCCGAGGATGGGCCTGGGCTCAGCATTCGAGATCTTGAGAATGATTTTTTTTAAATCATGCAACCTTTCCTTAGGAAGACATTTGGTTTTCATCATGATTAAGATGATTCCTAGATTTAGCACAATGGAGAGATTCCATGCCATCTTTACTATGTGGATGGTGGTATCAGGGAAGAGGGCTCACAAGACACATTTGTCCCCCGGGCCCACCACATCATCCTCACGTGTTCGGTACTGAGCAGCCACTACCCCTGATGAGAACAGTATGAAGAAAGGGGGCTGTTGGAGTCCCAGAATTGCTGACAGCAGAGGCTTTGCTGCTGTGAATCCCACCTGCCACCAGCCTGCAGCACACCCCACAGCCAAGTAGAGGCGAAAGCAGTGGCTCATCCTACCTGTTAGGAGCAGGTAGGGCTTGTACTCACTTTAATTTGAATCTTATCAACTTACTCATAAAGGGACAGGCTAGCTAGCTGTGTTAGAAGTAGCAATGACAATGACCAAGGACTGCTACACCTCTGATTACAATTCTGATGTGAAAAAGATGGTGTTTGGCTCTTATAGAGCCTGTGTGAAAGGCCCATGGATCAGCTCTTCCTGTGTTTGTAATTTAATGCTGCTACAAGATGTTTCTGTTTCTTAGATTCTGACCATGACTCATAAGCTTCTTGTCATTCTTCATTGCTTGTTTGTGGTCACAGATGCACAACACTCCTCCAGTCTTGTGGGGGCAGCTTTTGGGAAGTCTCAGCAGCTCTTCTGGCTGTGTTGTCAGCACTGTAACTTCGCAGAAAAGAGTCGGATTACCAAAACACTGCCTGCTCTTCAGACTTAAAGCACTGATAGGACTTAAAATAGTCTCATTCAAATACTGTATTTTATATAGGCATTTCACAAAAACAGCAAAATTGTGGCATTTTGTGAGGCCAAGGCTTGGATGCGTGTGTAATAGAGCCTTGTGGTGTGTGCGCACACACCCAGAGGGAGAGTTTGAAAAATGCTTATTGGACACGTAACCTGGCTCTAATTTGGGCTGTTTTTCAGATACACTGTGATAAGTTCTTTTACAAATATCTATAGACATGGTAAACTTTTGGTTTTCAGATATGCTTAATGATAGTCTTACTAAATGCAGAAATAAGAATAAACTTTCTCAAATTATTAAAAATGCCTACACAGTAAGTGTGAATTGCTGCAACAGGTTTGTTCTCAGGAGGGTAAGAACTCCAGGTCTAAACAGCTGACCCAGTGATGGGGAATTTATCCTTGACCAATTTATCCTTGACCAATAACCTAATTGTCTATTCCTGAGTTATAAAAGTCCCCATCCTTATTAGCTCTACTGGAATTTTCATACACGTAAATGCAGAAGTTACTAAGTATTAAGTATTACTGAGTATTAAGTAGTAATCTGTCAGTTATTAAAATTTGTAAAATCTATTTATGAAAGGTCATTAAACCAGATCATGTTCCTTTTTTTGTAATCAAGGTGACTAAGAAAATCAGTTGTGTAAATAAAATCATGTATCATAAAATGTGTAAACTTTTTTTCTTTTTAACATTCTAGTTGGAAACAACAGATTTCTGATTTTGTAGTTTCCATACAATATTTAAAACATCACAAAGAATTCTATCATGATAACCACTGAGGCATCAATAGTGGTCGAGGACTAGGGGCTCTGGAGATATCGCTGGCTTATCTGGTACATTTGCGTGTGAATAGGCACATTGATAGAAACTGAAAAACTCAGCTAACTCCACTGTTCAAGGAATCCCTTCCTTAAAAGTGTCCATCCCTAGAACAAAGCAGCAGCCAGTGTCAAGTTTAGGTCTTCACAGTTCTCTAGCAATTTGCTTGTTGCTGATCTTTTGAAGTTGGCCTTAGAGCTGTGGGAGACAGAATACAAAATGCCAAGTCCTGAGGAAGGCCATTAGAAGTGTGAGGGAAAATGCTGTCCTGAACCACCATGAAGCCTGACATACTCACTACTTCTGTTTATGTCTTCCCCGAGGAATTCTCTGAGCTTCTCATGCCGGGCGTGGAGCTGATGGGTCAGTGGGCAAACGGGAGTTGTTGTCAACATCAGTCTCATCTGCGATTGCATTGTGTCAGATGCCAACGGCCTGTGTCACACACATACACGTGTGTATACGTGGGCCTTTGCACGCCTCGCCAGGTGGTGTACATGCAGGCCTTGGCACGCCTCGCCCAGTGCCCGCCCCAGGCCCATGAGGCCCCGCTTCCCAGCCGTGGGTGTCTGTGTCTGCTCACGGCTTCCTCCTTCAGCCTGGACCACGGGCTGGAAGTGAACGTAATCTCCAGAGCCAGCTGTTTGCTGTAGCCTTTACCTCTGAAAGTAGAAATCTACGCCAAGAAAAGTTAATGCTAAAAGCCACCCCTAATGTAGACTCTACATTAGGACTATTTGTGTGTGTATGTTTGCTGTTTTATTTTCCCCTAAAAACACATTTTCTGCCAACCTTCACGAAGGATTTCTTCCCACCACGAGGCCAGCTTATGTGGGCAGAAATCTAGTTGAATGTGCCTGAGAACAGGGCTTGAACAAATACTTCATACACAAAAGAAATTTTGAAGGGAAAGCATAATTTCTAACATATAAAGAAAGCCTCTCCCGCAGGCAGGTGGAGCAGTTAGCGGTGCCTCTCTCTGCCTCGGGTGCGTTCACGCATAGTGTCTGGCACACCTTGTTTTATTGCTCTTTGCTTTATTGCGTTTTTCACAAATTGAAGTTTTGTGGCAACGCTGAGTCGTCGAGAAAGTCTATCAGGGCCATTCTTCCAACAGCCCACACTCACTTCATGTCTCTCTATCAGTACTGTTAAGCAGTAAAGAATCTTTAAACCAAGGTATGTACATTGTTTTTTAGACATAGTTCTGTCACACACTTAACAGACTCCAGTACAGTGTAAAGTGTAACTTTTATATGCACTGGGAAACCAAGAGACTTGTGTGGCTCACTTATTTGGGATCTTCAATCTTCTTTGCTTTACCGGAGTGGTCTGGAACAGTATCTCTGAGGTTCGCCTGTGTTTAGTGGTCCTCACAACTGGGGGGTGGTTCTAGGAAGTCCTAGGGAATCCTAACCTCTGTGGCCCTGAAAAAGCAGAAAGGTGGGTCTTCAGGGTGCATGCAGCAGTGTGCGTGGCCCCACACGTCTTCCACATGAAGATGCTCCAGGTGCAAGTCCTAGGCTTGTGCGCCTGCAGGGAAAGCACCCTCTCTGCCAGGGCTCCTGCTGTGGCCCTGTCCCTTCTCCATGGCAGCAGCCTTGACCGAAACTGTGTAGAGTCTCCCACCTCTTCAGGGAGCTGGGACTCAGGAAGGATCATCTTAGCTGAGGTCATAAGAACCTGCATGTAGAGAACTTTTCAGCGTGGGGCCACTACTGTGTCCTGCTGCTGAGGCCAGGTAGTGGCCGTCTGAGGGCTGCAAGGGCAGGCTGCTCCCAGGAGTTAAGGAGGCAAACACTCTGAACACCCTGGAGAAATCACAGTTTATCTTTGCAACTACAAATTTGAGTGCTGTGTCAAGTGACCAGGTATTTTTGCAGATGTCTCTGAGGTGTTAAATCACAGGACCTGGCCAAGCAAGATCTCTCAGCTGGACCCCGGGCAGGGGATCCTTTATGGGGGCACATCTCACTGTGGGGGCTGCAGAAATGTGAAGGTCATCATGGAGGGAGCTTGCGGTCTGAAACTACCCCAGCCACTGTGACTACCACACTGGGAGAGATCATAGACCTGCATCCTCTCAGATGACACTGAGCAGTTCAAGCTAAAAATGTGCTGGTAAGCAAGGTAAGTGAATTCTAAAGCTAAAAAAAATCATTTTTCATTTTCTGAGAAGGAAACAAGTTTGATATTTCATACACAGACAATATTTACCATGCAGACTGTCAATTTCTTGAATAAAAATATGAAATTCATTTAAAACATTCAAGTTTTTGTGTATTTTTCTCAATGTATTAACAGAAGAGCAACCTGTTTCTTGGCTGCTCGATTGTCTCACCTGCACATCAATCCTTTTCTATACTCTCCCATGGAAGAAGGGGTCTCCAGGGGCAAGAGACTTTGGTCAGAGGACTGCAGGGAGCCAGGCAGCACCCATGTCTTGGAGCCTCCCCTCTCCCTAGGGCGTGTGCCTTGCTCCATATTTTGTGCCTTTCTTCTGGGAGTTTTCAAGAGCTTGAGAATTTTCCTGGAGACTCTGGCCACAGGGCCTGAAGCTCTTAGATTGCTCAGAACCCCATGGTAAAGGAGCACACTGAGGGTTTGGGGGACTTCAGTGTCTGGGAAGAAAAGTAAGATCATAGCAAATGATTTCTAAAAATAAGAATGACACCAAGGATGGAAGAGCTGTAGTGTCTCACAAGACAGTCACTGGAAAAAGTAGAGGAAGTGTGGTTGGACACTATTTTTAAAGAGATATTCACACAATTACCTCTAATCTTTAACTTTGTAGAAATAAGCAAAGGCTACCCATATGAGAACCCACAGGAGCCACTGGTTCTGAACTTGCTATAGCAAGAGAGTCAGCCAGGATCACTTACTTTTGGCAGACACTCAAAAGCAGGCAGAGGAGTGGGAAAGCCTTATAGTAAAAAATAAAAGGTGGGGAGGGTGAGGAGAAGCCTTCAGGGATGCTGTGATTGGGGCTTGTTGGCCTGGGGAAGCTGGAGGCAGCTAACCAGGAGGAGGGCCTCTTATGTGATTGGTTTGGGGGACACAGGTGGCTTTCTCTGTTTAGTTCAGTGGGCAAAAAATAGGGAAGCTTGCAGTTCCTGACCAAGTCCTAACCATTCTGGGATAATTGTTACAGAGGCTGTGGTTTGGCTTCCTGGCTAGTTCTGCAGAGAATCTGATTCAAATCCTCTGGCCGTATGTGGTCTGGCCATTGTCTGTTTGCATGTTCAGTCTCTTAGTCCCCCTTGTCGGTCATTTTCTTGTTTGTAAAAGGTTGGCCAACTCAAGGAAGTCTAGAGATCCAGCTCTTCACTGCTCAGAGATTATTCAGTTGTCTCTCTGGTCAACCGTATTGTGAGATCTTGATCCTTCTGTTGTTATAGCATCACAGTGCTCATTTGACAAGAATGGGATGCAGTGGAACAACATCAGGACCACTATGACAGAAACAAGAGCAACTGTCCCTGTGAGACGCTTTGAACGCAAACCTCAGCTGACCAATGCAGGCCAAGAGCAAATCCCATATAGGCCATGAGGATCAACCTTAGAAAGCCAAATAGCTTTTGCCTCAAGGTGATGTGTGACCTGTTCTACCTTCTCTTGTTTCACTGATCCAGATGCAGTATTAGCAGTGGCAGAGGCCATCACCAACCAACAAGAAATCTACAGCAATGAGACTGTCCATCACTACTCATGCCAATGAGTTGAGACTGATAGGTGCCCCATCTAGGGAAGAAGGGGCATTGCTAATGACTTCTGCCAGGGTTAATGATAAGTTTATGACAACAGGATTCCCACAGATGAGAACATTGCTCTGATTGTTTGCATAAACAATGAGTCAGTAACTCCCCAGTTAGAGTGCTGAATAACCAAGGGTGATGTTACGGTTTTTGCAGTTTTACACCAACCGGTTTGTGGTAAATCGTTACAGCAACCCTAGGAAAACCAACGCACCATTTCTATGTATGGTTAATGCATGGCAGGTGTTTAAAGGTATTGCAGGATATTGGTGCTTTTCCTTTCCCCAGTGCACCTCATTGATCTCAAGTGAGGGATTTTTCTTTTTGTCTTGATTTTTGTTTTCTAAGTTGAACAATCTTTTTTTCTCAGTGTCCTTTCTGTATACAGTATCTATAAGTGCCCTTGTCAGTAGCTGACTGGTTGGGGAGGGGCTACCCAGCTGTTTGATCAGCAGGGCCACAAGTTAATTTTAGGTCCTGTCTTATTTTTGTTCTAAAGCACTTTTAAAATGTCTGCCAGGTGTTGTAGTTCAGGTTAAGGGGCTATTTCCCATTCTCATTTCTGTTTTTGATTAGGTCTCCGATTTCAGATTTAGCTCCTTGACAACAAGCAATGAAAGGGCCACTTTCTAGACTCCCAAATGATACAATGTATTTTCTAGCCTATCCCAAAAAAAACTCCTGCAGGTCCTTTTGTTTGTTTGTTTGTTTTTGCATGACAAGGGATTATGGTCTAATCTTTTTGGTGGGGGGAATGTTTGAGATATGGCTTTTAGAAGACTTTGCCCTATGTTTTGAGCCTCTTTGTTAACTCTTCAGTTTTATTGTGGACAGTGGGATCCTAGGATCCCTTTTGGGGGAGTCTAGTCAACTTTTGCCATTCAGGATTTAGCATGCAAGGTTCTGGTCAATGTGTACAAGTTGATATGGGTTAGGTAACACTGGGTCACATGCTTCCCCCCGCCGCTTTGCGATAGGGTCTTGCTCTGCCACCAAGGCTAGAGTGCCCGTGGTGCAATCATGGCTCACTGCAGCCTCAACCTCCTGGGCGCAAGTGATCCTCCCATCTAGCCTCTTGAGTAGCTAGGACTACAGGCACACACCACCATGCCTGGGTTTTTTTTTCCATAGAGATGGAGATCTCACTATGTTGCTCATGCTGGTCTAACTTGTAGGCTCAGGCAGTCCTCACTGATTCACCTTCCAAAATGATGGGATTACAGGTGTGAGCCATAGTGCCTGACCAAAGTATTCTTAATTATTTTATGCATAGTTGCTGATCTTGCCTGGGTTTGGGGAAATCCTTAATTATGGTTATTAATTTAGCTTGGGTCTAAGGTTTAAATTCCACAGTTGTCTGTATATGGGGCTCATGGAGGAATAGGCCTTCAGAGAGGCAGCTGGCATCCTGGGGTCATAGGAGGGTTGTTGTGAAAGGGCAGGGATCTGGACAAGAGGAAGAGAAGTGTGGACAGATGTGTGGAAGGGAAGAGATCAGAAGGATAAGGGGGAGAAGAGGGAGAGCTGTATTAGGGAAGCAAATGGATGATAAGCAGAAGGATTTACTAGGAAAATGAGTCTAGGTTGTTGCTGCTTAAGTTTGCCAAATCGCTCATCAGCTTTAGCCAGAGTCTTTCAGGGAAGCACTTTTTGAATCAGAATATCATTTGGAGACCTCTGACTACCAATCAAAAAAGGCTGCTCATTGGGCCTAAGAAATCTTATTCTCTTTCGTTTCTAAGGCATCTCTCAAATGAGCAATTTTGTTCAAGTTAGATGTTCTCCAAATAAGATCTTCACCAAATCAACCTTGGTGAAGTTAATGCTTTTCAGAGATGGGCGTAAGGATTAGAATTGTTAGAGAGTATATGTAAGAAGCAGGAGTTTTTTCTGGAGGAGGAGATTTAAACTTAGACAACACCATGAATGCTGGCTGGTGAGGCTGGCGAGAAATGGAATGTTTGTGTCTCTCAGGACATGAAAGCGAGACGGAAGGAGAACCTCATTCAGTTTTACTGGAAACCCACAGCAAAGTTTCTCCAAGTAGAGGCCGGTGTGATGAGAACTGCTAAATCATGAGCTGCGAGGCTGGCTCAAACAAGAGGCTTATGAGCCCCATGCCTGTGTCCTTTCCTACGGTTTTCCTTCTTATGACAAGCAGCACTTTTTGACAGCACAACACTAAACACTAACACAAAATACAGTGAAAAGGGATAAAAAGAATGGCCTGATTCCACTAGAGATGCCAGACAAATGAGAATCAATAACAAAACCAGAGTACCAAACTGAGAATAAATAGCCAGAGACCTCCACGCAGAGTGAGGTGAGCCCTAGTGCTGACCACATCGGCGCACCTGATAGGCCGAGAACATGGAGGCATGAGGGGCCTCTGGGTGGCACAATGGGTGGAAGCCTGGGGACCTCAGGGACAAGCAGTACAGACTTACCATGGGATCACCAGGAAAACTGTGGAAACCAGCAAAGGCTATTTATTCACAACTTGCTATAGCAGGGGAATCAGCCAGCATCACTTACTTTTGGTAGAAATTTAAAAGGCCCGAAAGAGATGGGAAACTTTTATTGTTTTGTTTTGTTTAAGTATCAGATTGGAAATTATTGGCAGGAAATGTTTTTAATTACATTTTTCTGATATTAAACCCAACACAGTTGTACTTTAATATTTTCCCTAGGAGAACTACTTATTTTACAACTATATCCCAGTGTATCACCCATGATCAGCCACATAATTTGAATCATGCATTATCTTCTCTCCACATTCAAATTACATACATTTAGTATTTGGCTACTTAAAAAAAAATCATTAAAAAGTAACAATTTAAATCCATTGATGGGAGAACCTCAGTTAGTTTCAAAACAACAATTCTTGCCAGGCGGGGTGACTCACGCCTGTAATGCCAGCACTTTGGGAGGCCGAAGCTGGAAGATCGCTTGAGCCCAGGAGTTCAAGGCCAGCCTAGGCAACAGAGGGAGGCCCCATCTCTACCAAAAAAAATATTAACAATTAGCCGGGCATGGTGGCATGCACCTGTGGTCCCAGCTACTCGGGAGGCTGAGGCGAGAGGATCGCTGGAGTCGGAGGTGGGGAGGCTGCAGTGAACCGTGATCGCTCCACTGCACTCCAGCCTGGGCGACAGAGCGGGACCCTGTCTCAAAAAATAGATGAATAAATAAATAAAAACAATTATAATGGAAGTTTGGATAGGAATTTAAAACATGTGGCAACTAACCCTGACCCTGCGGCTTCAGTCTCCCCGCCGCTAGCTGAGGGCCGTGGCCGCTGCACAGAGGCTTGTGAGGATTCGGGGGTTCAGGCAGCGCCCGCCGCGCATCTGCCAGACGTGCGGCCACAGGGTAGGAGCAGTAAGAAGGATCCAGGGAAAAAAGTCCACGAATGAGAAAGGAAACCCAGCGTTTGTAGGGCTAGGAGAACAAAGAAAGAAAATGCTGGCGGCGGAGGGCGAGGCTCTGCGGTGCGTGGCAGATGGGAATTTGCTCGGTGGCGGCTCCTCTTTCTGGAGAGCTTCCCAGCGTCCCCTCCCCCGCCAGCCCGCGGTGACGCGCCCGGCACCCACCACAGCCGGCTCTCGGCGCCGTCGCGCCTTCGCTCGCCCGCTTAGGCCGTGCTCGCGGTGGCGTGGGAGACAGAGAGCCCAGGGAGGACCCTGGAACATGCAGTGGTATGGAAGACGCCTAAGAAAGGGCTTCTCTTTCCACTCACGAAAATCAGTGTGTGAGCTCGAAGCCATTTCCCAGCGTGTCCGCCTCAACTCCCTCATTCAACAGATGAGGAATTCCTCCAGGGAAATGCAGTGATGCGCTCACGGCTGCCGGCGGCCCAGCGCCAAGGGGCGCTCCACAGCCCCGCGGCCCGAAGCCCTCGACTCGGCTGCCACGCAGGCCCCGCGGCCCCGCTCGGACTCCCAGGATCGGCTTCCGAGCGGGACAGCGCTGCAGTCCACGAGTCCGGGCAGGGGCGCCTCCAGGCCGGAGCGGTTTCCTGCCTCGGGCACTCTGCTGTCTCCACAAACGGTTTTTGGAGGCACACACACGGATACTTTAAACACGTCGGTGATGAATCGGTACCCAGCTGCCAGTGGCGGAGCTTCCTGGGCGGGGCCGCGGGCGCGCGGCGGCTTCATTTCCTCGCGCGCGCCGGAAGTGGCCTCTCAGGCGCGGCGGCGCGCCCGGGGGTGGGTGGCTGAGGCGGCGGCGGGCCCAAGGCGTGAGGCGCCGCCCGGGTGTCCCCGCGGCGCAGGAGGCGGTGGAGCGCAGAGCGGGCGAGCGCGGTGAGTACCTGGCCCGGCCTCGCCCGCCGGTCCGCGACTCCCGCCGGCTCCGGCCCGGGCGGTGCGGGCGCCGGGGCTGCGGGCTCCTGTGTGGTCGGGTGGGGTCGCCTAGCGGACCGGTCCTGCGGGGGGCCCTGTCTCTCAGGGATGAGCCTGCCGGAGTCGGCACCGGTTTTAGGGAAAGCGCGGCCAGAGACGATTGGTTCGCTTGTCAGTGTTGGGTTTTGTTTTGTTTCGTTTTGTTTTTACCTATTCATCACCATCTCTGCTCCTCTCAGTGGATAAACTTTTTAATCAGTGGTGACCTCGTCATCGCGTTAAAATAGTTCTGCCCTCAGCCCCTCTTTATCTGTAGATGGCAGAGCGAGCGCCGGTAAAGATGCTCTGTCGTGGAGGGCTCAGTGGGGCGGAGGAGATGGGGAGCCTCTGGCGTTGTCGGAGAATGCACCTTAAAAATGACTCTACCCTTGAGCAACGCAGGAAGCACGACAGTGATACTTCTGTTTGTGATGATGGTATTGGCGGTATGATAGTTTGATTATACATCTGAAGCTTCTCTTCCTGAGTCCTTGGCTTGTTAAACTTGGAGGTATTTTCTAGCGTGCTTTTGAGATAGATATGGGATGTCGTGACGTTTCACCGTCATTCAAGGCTCGCGGGAGCAGGGCCTTCATGTCTGGTAATTAATGTTGTTTTTTGAATGTTGTATTAAAATAGTAGCTTCGATCTTGGAAGTAAGAAGCCAAGTATTTTAGGACTGAGTGTTAGCGTTCATTTTGTATTATTGTTCTTGTACCATTTGTTTAAAGTTGTCATGTAACTAAAAGAATGAAAAAAGATGGATTTCCAGTATTTGTGGCTCAGAGGATTTTGGCCTAAATAAACACAGTTCCAACCAGTTTAGAAGCTGCATTTTTCTCTTTGTTTTTGTCGAGGCATAAAATACATATGAAATCAATAAGAGCACGAATCTTAATTGTACAGCTCAATGAATTTTTACATACTTATTACCCTGTGGAACCACCAGATATATCAAATTATAACCATAGAACATTTCCATCATCCTATTTTCCTGTGCTTCTTCCAAGTCAGTTATATCCTTGTTTTCCCATCTGTATTCTAACTTCTCTTATCTGCTTTTAGTTTTCTCTGTTTTGAGCTTCATGTTAATGGAATCACGTAGTATTCTCAGCATATTGTTTGTGGGACACACCCATGCTATTTCATGGTATTGTATTATTACTGTGTAATAGTCTATTGAATAATATGTGACTACTCTTCAGTTGATGGACATTTATGTTCCCAATTTTTGTATATGATGTGTTTTGGATATTAAGAATACTGTGGGCCTGGCGTGGTGGCTCAGGCCTTTTATCCCAGCGCTTGGGGAGGCCGAGGCAGGTGGATCACTTGGTCAGGAGTTCGAGACCAGCCTGGCAAACATGGTGAAACCGCATCTCTACTAAAAATACAAAAATTAGCCAGGCGTGGTGGCGGGCGCCTGTAAGCCCAGCTACTTGGGAGGCTGAGGCGGGAGGTGGAGGTTGCAGTGAGCCGAGATCGTGCCACTGCACTCCAGCCTGGACGACAGAGCCTGACTCGGTCTCAAAAAGAAAAGAAAAAAAAAAGAGTACTGTGGACATTCTTGTAAATTAAATGTCTTGGTGAGCATCTGTATGCATTTCTGTCAGCTATAGAATGACTGAGTCATGGCATAAGCAGAAAATTACCAACATGGAGTCATTACCAACCATACCATTACCAACCAAAGGCAGAAAATTTAACCAACATGGAGTCATCTTTTTTTTAATGTAATAGAATTTGTTATTTTAACTAATATAACATTCAAGGTTGGTTTTAAAAAAGCATAACTATTATGAGTTCAAGACGTAAGTGATTCATTCATTACCATGTTATTATTTACCCTTTGAATTGCACATTTATGACTGTCTTCTGTCGGACTGTCATTGTTTGTTTAACTGTTAGACAAGTCTGTTAGAGCTGGTGAGGATCTGACTCTGAAGTTTAGCATAACATTTACTTAAGAACTGTATTACTCAAGTTAGTGGTTTTTTAGAGGAAATGAAATACCAAAAGGATATGACTGAAAGTGGATTGAAGAATCACGGGACTGCAAGTCAAAGAACTTACATTGTTATTGTCATGCTACACAAGCACTAGGTATAAGTGTAAAATTGAATTATAGGGCTAGTTACAAATGTGAATTCACAGCAGGAGTACAGTGATTTTCATATGGACTGAGATACTACTAGCACATTTATAATGTGAACACACAACAAAAATCACTAAACATTTGTGGGAAATCGGTAGCATCTAAGAGAAGCTTCAGACCAAACAAATACAGAACTAGGCACTGAAGCAGTGGAGCTAATGTAAGACAAAAGAAAGCTTTAAAGTAAGTATTAGTATCTTCAAATTTGTTAAGGTATTATGCCTACTGAACACATACAGGCTGCCATGAAAAAAAGCAATTGATTCTTGAATATTTAAACATGGAAAGTAGGAAAGGGCCAGGTGTGGTGGCTCATGCCTGTAATTCCAACACTTTGGAAGGCCGAGGCAGGAGGATCTCTGGATTCCAGGAGTTTGAGAGCAGCCTAGGCAACATAATGAGACCCTGTCTCTACAAATAATTTTTTTTTTTTTTGAGACGGAGTCTGGCTCTGTTGCCCAGGCTGGAGTGCAGTGGCGCCATCTCGGCTTACTGCGAGCTCCACCTCCCAGGTTCACGCCATTCTCCTGCCTCAGCCTCCCGAGTAGCTGGGACTACAGGCGCCCGCCACCATGCCCGGCTAATTTTTGTATTTTTAGTAGAGACGGGTTTCACCATGTTAGCCAGGATAGTCTTGATCTCCTGACCTCATGATCCACCTGCCTCAGCCTCCCAAAGTGTTGGGATTACAGGCGTGAGCCACCGCACCTGGCCACAAATCATTTTTAAAATTAGCAGTATGGTAGTGCACACCTGTCGTCCCAGCTGTTCAGGCAGTGGAGGCTGCCACTGCACTTCAGCCTGGCTGACAGTGAAACTGTCTCAAAAAAAAAAAAAAAAAAAAAAAAAAAGAAAGTGGGAAAGACTACCCATGACATGCAAAGTAGATCTAGAAGAGTCAATATACATCTAATAGGAGTTCCAGGAGGCATTAGAAATAGGAAAAGAAGAAATAACCACAGAGATAACAGAGATCGCGAAGGTAGGAGTGTCCAGGCACAGTCTTGGGCATCCTGAGCCAGGGAGAAATAAGTATCAGAGGACAAAGGACTGGCAAATATAGATCAACCCTTCCCTCTCTGGTCTGTTTCTTTGTCTGTACAGTGGGGACGAACAAGAAGTATGCCTTTTCTGAGAGCTTATGGAAAGATGTGTTAGGTTTGCTGACTGTTCCCCACTCTTCTTCCCTACCAGCTCACAGAAGGGATTGGGGTTGTGTGCCCTTATATGTTGTTTAACCTTTTTATCACATGTATTTATTTTGTGAAATTTTTAAAGTGTAAAAATTTTTTAGAAGTTAAAGCAGGGGTTGCCAGTATGGCTGGCTGCCTGTTTTAGTATAGCCTGTGATCTAAGACTGGCTTTTACACTTTTTATTTTTTTTATTTTGTATTTATTTATTTGTTTATTTATTTATTTATTTATTTTTGAGACAGAGTCTCACTCTGTTGCCCAGGCTGGAGTGCAGTGGCGTGATCTTGGCTCACTGCAACCTCTGTTTCCTGGGTTCAAGTGATTCTCCTGCCTCGGCTTCCTGAGTAGCTGGGATTACAGGTGCATGCCACCATGCCCGGCTAATTTTTAGTAGAGACGGGGTTTCACCGTGTTCCTCAGGCTGGTCTTGAACTCCTGACCTCGTGATCTGCCTGCCTCAGCCTCCCAAAGTGCTGGGATTACACGCATGAGCCACCGTGCCCAGCCCTATACTTTCTAATGCTTTGGGGAGAAAAAGAAAATAATGCTTCATGACCCATGAAAATTATATGAAGTTCAAATTTCAGTGTCCCTTGGAACACAACTATACTCATTCACTTACATATCATCTGTGACTGCTTTTGTGCTGCAAAGGCAGAATCAACTGGTTGTGACATTTACTGTCTGACCTAAAATATTTGCTGATTCCTGGTTTAGAGGTCAGAAATGGACTTATGCATATATAGGAATTTTGCTAATGATAAAGATGGCATTTCAAACTAGTGACAAGAGCATGGATTGCATGGTAAATGGCAAGAATTAGCTATCTATTTGAGGGAAAAATTACTTTTATTAGGATTACTTCAGGTAGGGAAGCTAAAATCAAGAAATAGGAAAAGATTGATAGATTTGAGTCTATTACCACCACCACCACCACCAACAAAACTTTGCTTAATAGGAAATAATATCTAACAGTTACTGAGCACTTATGCTTGTCATGTTTTACTTGAATAAGTGTTATAATTATACTCTAAGGTAGGTTCTGTAATTATTCCCACTTAACAGAGGAGGAAACTGAAGTTTACATATATTATGGAATTTGTCTGTAATGAAGAGTAGAAAACCATGATGCAGATCTTTGAATTCAGGCCATCTGGCTCCCAAGCCTATTGTGGACAAGACAAACTGAGAAAAAATATTTGCAACATGGTAACACCATTTTGTAGGTACTATCTACATCAGCACATAAAGATGTACCTAATTCCTTTAAAATATTCTGTTGTATAAATGTCTTCAGTTAATTTAACCTTTCCTCTATTGATGAACATTAAGTTGCTTATAATTTTATTTTGCTGTTACGTGTAACACTGATAAACATCCTATGTATGTGACTTTATATAGTAGTATGGATACTTCTGTAGTATAGAATCAGGAAAGTGGAATTGTGAATTGCTGGATTAAACGGCCTGTGCATTTAAATCAAGTTTGCTCTCCAAAAATGTGTGTGTGTGTGTGTGTGTGTGTGTGTGTGTGTGTGTGTGTGGAATCATAATAAAGGAATCATAATATCTTGGAAGGAACATTGACTGTTCAGGCAAAACTGCCTCATTTTTGAGAGGAGGCCCTGAGAGGTGAAGTGTTATGCCCAAGATTACATAGCTATTAAGTAGCTGTTACACTTGACTCTTTAACTGGTTTTTGCTGTGCCACAGTTTGGCACATTTTTCTCCTTTGTCTTGCTGAAATCCAGGTACCATGATTATAGTTTTCTCCAGAAACACGCTGTTAAAAGGATCCATTTGATATTACTTGTCCTTGGTACTCAGCACAGTGCCTGACACACAGTAGGTAATCAAGTATTTGTTGAAAAAGTGCTGCTTTCAGATGATCAGTACTTACAGACCACTTATTCAATAACATGTTGACAACCCATGCATCACTGTAATACTTATCAAGTAATCAAGAACTTATCAAGAAATGAAACATTCTGATCTCCTCCTTCCTAGATATTTACACTTCATAATGCTTTAGTTTTCTGACTGGTTATGTTTTCCAAATAATTGTGTGGCTTTGTTTTTGCTTTGTAAAAAATGAACTCAAAATTATAAATTTAGTTTTTGAAAACCTTAATGAGAAATTGTTCTGTGCAGAAAATTTAGGAAGATTATACAGAATATGTTTTATAATACACTCAAATGGATTATATCTTTCAGAGGGCAGTAGATTAGTCTTCCAAGTTAGCTTGACATACTGCATGCAATGTACATGTCCTGGAAATGATGCATAACATTTGTGTTCATAGTACCAAAAATTGTGTATAATCAAGATTGAGTAAAAACTCCTTAAGGGTCTTATTATTATGTAAGGGACCAGTGCTGTAGCATTAACTATCTTTAACACTTCTGTTGTCTCCAAGTCACAAGGCAAGGAGAAAAGATATGGTAAGACCTTTAAAGGAATATGTAAATATGTAGTACTCTATTTTTGGGGAGATGAGGGGCTTAGTTTTGTTTTTTAAATGCAAATTCATAATCAACAAATCTTTATACTTCAGTAAACAAACTGGAGGGGTTTTTTTTTGTTGTTGTTTTACAAATGCCTTTTTGGCACTGCTACTGAATCTGACTTGGCTTTATTTTTTAAACAGCTTCATTGAGGTATAATTGACATAAAATAAACCACATATTTAAAGTGTGCAATTTGATAAGTTTTAACATATGTATACACCTGTGAAATCATCACTGCAACCAAAGTAATGAGCAAATCCATTACTCCCAAAAGTTTTTTCACCCCTTTTTATAATTCCTTCCTGGTACCACCTCCCACAGGCAATCATTGACTGATTTACTTTCAGTTAACTACAAATTACCTTGCATTTTCTAAAATTTTATATAAATAGAATCATATAGTAAGTACTTCTGTTGCCTGGCTCCTATTACTCAGAGTAATTGTTGATATTTATCCATGGTGAAGCATGTGTCAGAGTTTATTCCTTTTTATTGCTAAGCAGTGTTCCATTGTGTATCTGTTTTACTACAGTTTGTCCATTCACCTGTTGGTGGACCCTGGGTTGTTTCTGGTTTTGGGCTCTACACCTAGAAGCTGCTATGAACATTTGTGTACAAGTTTTGGTATTGTTAAAGTATAAACTGAGGCAGAATAAAATTTTAAAGAGTTTTGTCTGAGCAAACAGCAATTCATGAATCAGACAGCAACAAATCAAAAGTGATTTGGGACTCCACCAAAGGAATGCAAGTGGAAGACTTCTATAGGATGAACAAGGAAACAAGGCAAAGAAAATATTTGATTAATTATATTTATATAGTTGCCTTGTTTAGTCCATCCTATTGGAAAGTCCCTAGTTATGTAAGTTAGTTGATGGCTTCTAATTGGCGTAGCCTAAGTTTGTTTGTTTCTTTTTTTTTTTTTTTTTTTTTTTTAAGAGACAGGGCTAGAGTGCTTTGGTGCGATCGTAGCTCACTGCAGCTTTGAACTCCTGGGCTCAAGTGATCCTCCCACCTCAGCCTCTCAAGTAACCAGGGCAACATGAACTACAGACATGCATCGCCACGCCTGGCTAAT
Organism: Homo sapiens; assembly: GCF_000001405.40. Taxonomy (NCBI): domain Eukaryota; kingdom Metazoa; phylum Chordata; class Mammalia; order Primates; family Hominidae; genus Homo; species Homo sapiens. The sequence goes on from NC_000010.11 coordinate 43,145,577, forward strand.
TTTTTAATTTCTTATAGAGGCAAGGTCTCGCTAGCTATATTGCCCAGGCTGATCTCAAATTCTGGCCTCAAGTGATCCTCCTGCTTCAACCTCCCAAGGTGCTTACAGGCATGAGCCACCATGCCCAGCCTGATTTTTCTTTAATATAGGCACAGACAAAAAATAACCAAAGTTTACATTTGCAAACAGCCCAAATTAAGTTTTGCTTCTATTGCTTATATTTGCAAGGTCAAGGTTGTTTTAATGGCTTAACTGGCTTTGTCCAGGGGATTTACAGACCTGGTCTCCATCTTATTTTAATAGTATGAATATGTGCTTTCATTTCTTTTAGGTAAATATCTAGGAATGGAATGGCTGGATCATATGAGTAGGCTTACTCACTTATTAAGAAACTTGGCCTGGACTACATAGCAAGACTCTCTCTCTAAAAAAAGATTTTTTTTTAATTAGCCAAGTGTATTAGTCTGGGTTCTCTAGAGGGACAGAACTAAGAGGATATATGTATATATGAAAGGGAGTTTATTAAGGAGAATTGACTCACACCATCACAAGGTGAAGTCCCATGATAGGTCATCAGCAAGTTGAGGAGCAAGGAAGCCAGTGGTGGATCAGTACGAGTCCCAAAAGTAGGGAAGCTAACAGTGCAGCCTTCAGTCTGTGCAGCCAAAGGCCCAAGAGCCCCTGGAAAACCACTGGTGTAAGTCCAAGAGTCCAAAAGCTAAAGAACTTGGAGTCTGATGTTCTAGGTCAGGAAGCATCCAGCATGGGAGAAAGATGAAGTCCATAAGACTCAGCAAGTCAGCCCTTCCATCTTCTCCTGCCTGCTTTATTCTACCCCCGCTGGCAGCTGAGTAGATGGTGCCCAACCAGATTGAGTGTGGGTCTACCCCTCCCAGTCCACTGACTCAAATGTTAATTTCCTTTGGCAACACCCTCACAGACACACCCATGAACAATACTTTGTATCCTTCAGTTCAGTCAAGTTGACACTCAATATTAGCCATCCCACCAGGTGTAGTGGCTCCCACTTGTAGCCCCAGATACTCGGGAAGCTGAGGCAGGAGGATCACTTGAGCCCAGGAGTTAGGCTACATTGAGCTATAATATGATAGAGGCACTGCGCTACAGCTCTGGTAACAGAGCAAGATGCTGTCTTTTTTTTTTTTTTAATAAGAAAATAATCTAACTTGTTAAGTTCATAACTTATTAACAAAACTATTTTATATTCCCATCAGCAGTGTATGAAAGTTCTAGTCCTTCCACGTTAACAACACTTGGTATGGTCATTCTTTTTAATGTTAGCCATTCTATTTTTAGCCCTTCTGTGTAGTGGTGTCTTATTATGGTTTGATTTGCATTTCCCTAATGACTAACAATGTTGAGCATCTTTTTTTTTTTTTTTTTTTTTTTTTTGTGGAGACGGGAGTCTCGCTCTGTCGCCCAGGCTGGAGTGCAGTGGCGGGATCTCGGCTCACTGCAAGCTCCGCCTCCCGGGTTCACGCCATTCTCCTGCCTCAGCCTCCCAAGTAGCTGGGACTACAGGCGCCCGCCACTACGCCCGGCTAATTTTTTGTATTTTTAGTAGAGACGGGGTTTCACCGTTTTAGCCGGGATGGTCTCGATCTCCTGACCTCGTGATCCGCCCGCCTCGGCCTCCCAAAGTGCTGGGATTACAGGCGTGAGCCACCGCGCCCGGCCGAGCATCTTTTTCAAGTGTTTATTTGAAGGGTTCAGGCCTTTTCCCACATTTTAATTGAGTTGTGTTTGTTATTATTTCATTTTGATCATTTTAAAATATATTCTTGGTACAAGTCCTTTATAAGACGCATGCTTTGCCCATATTTTCTCCAGGTCCATCACTTGTCTTCTCATTCTCTTAACAATGTCTTTGAAAGAGCACAGATTGCTAATTTTGATGAAATTCAATTTATCATTTATGCTATTGAATATCATATCTAAGAAATCTTTGCCTAACTCAGAGTGACAAAGATTTTATCCTATGCTTGCTTTTGGTTTTTTTCCATTTAGGTCTATGATTCACCTTGAATTACATGCTAGTGGATGTGGAGTGGTATCTAATTGTGCTTTTGATTTGCATTTCCTTTTTGGCTAATGGTGTTGAGCATCTTTTCATGTATTTATATAGGCCATTTATATATCTTCTTTAGAGAAATGTCTGTTCAGATCTTTTGCTTGTCGAGTTATCTTTTTTTTTTTTTTTTTTTGCTTTTTAAAGTAAGACAGACAAATGATTTACAAATGTTCTCTAATTGTATGGGTTATTTCTTCACTTTCTTGTTGATGTCCTTTGCAACACAAGTTTTTTTATTTTGATGAGGTCCAGTTAATATTTGTTTTGTCTTTGGTGTCATATCTAAGAAGCTGTTGCCTGATCCAAGGTCACAAATATTTACACATAGGTTTTGTTCTAAGAGTTTTCTAGTTTTGACTCTTATATTCAGATATTTGACCCATTTTGAGATAATTTTTGAATGTGGTGTGAAGTAGGAGTCTAGTTTCATTCTTTTGCCTGTAAATATCCAGTTGTCCCAGTACTATTTATTGAAAAAACTATTCTTTCTCCCATTGAACTGCCTTGCTATTCTTGTTGAAAATCAACTAACCATAAATGTGATGATTTATTTTTGGGCTTTAAGTTCCATTCCATTGACTATATGTCTATTTCTATGCCATACCACATTGTCTTAATTACCTGGGGCTCTGTAGTAATTTTTGGAATTGGGAAGTGTTTTCCTTCAATTTCATTTTTCTTGTTCAATATTATTTGGGTTATTCTGGGTTTCTTGAATTTGTATAAATTTTAAGATCAGCTTGCCAATTTCTGCAAGAAGTCCACTGGGATTCTTGAAGAGGATTGTGTTTAATCTGTACATTAATTGGGGAATATTACCATTTTAGCAATATTAAGCCTTCCAATCATGAGTGTGGTGTCTTTCTGTTTATTTAAATCTTAACTTTCTTCCAACAATGTTTTGTAGTTTCTATGAATACAAGTCTTGCAGTTCTTTTGTTAACATTATTCCTATTTTATTCTTTTTGATGCCATATTGTATACAGGATTGTTTTTTTAATTTCATTTTCAGATTGCTTGTTGCTAATGTAGAGAAATACAATTGATTTTTGTATATCGATATTGTATCCTACAACTGGCTGAACTCATTTATTAGTTATAATAGATTTTTAGTGAATTCCTTAGGATTTTCTGCATACAGATCATATCATCTGCAAATAAGGATAGTTTTACTTCTTCCTTTTCAATCTGGATGCCTTTTATTTCATTTTCTTGCCTAATTGCCTTGGCTACAACCTCCTCTAGTACAATATAAATAGAAGTGACAAGAACAGACATCCTTGTCTTATTCCTGATCTTGGGGGAAGGCATACAGTCTTTCATCATTAAATACAATGTTAGCTATGGGTTTTTTGTAGGTCCCTTTTCTTAGATTAGGAAGGTGTCTTCTAGTTTATTGAATGGTGTTTGGTTTGGTTTGGTTTGGTTTTTTGAGATGGAGTCTCGCTTTGTCGCCCAGGCTGCAGTGCAGTGGCGTGATCTCGGCTCACTGCAACCTCCGCCTCCCAGGTCCATGTGATTCTCCTAACTCAGCCTCCTGAGTAGCTGGGACTGCAGGTGCATGCCACCACCACACCCGGCTAATTTTTTGTATTTTTAGTAGAGGCGGGGTTTCATTGTGCTAGCCAGGATGGTCTCTATCTCCTGACCTCGTGGGATCTGCCCACCTCGGCCTTCCAAAGTGCTGGAATTACAGGTGTGAGCCACCGCACCCAGCCCCTATTGAATGGTTTTTATTAGGAAATGGTGTTGGATTTTGTCAAATGCTTTTTCCATGTCTGTTGAGATGATCAAGTGAATTTTGTCTTCTATTGATATGGTATATTGCATTAATTGATTTTCAGATGTTAAACCAACCTTGCAGTCCTGGGATAAATCTTATTTGGCCATGATGTATGATTCCTCTTATATATTGCTGGGTTCGTTTTGCTAGTATTTTGTTGAGGATTTTTGTATTTATATTCATATAGGATATTGGCCTATGGTTTTCTTTTAATGTCTGGATTTGGTAGCAGGATGATACTGACCTTATAGAATGCTTCCTCTTCTATTTTTTGGAAGAGTCTGTGAAGATAATTCTTATTTAATAATAATAATTCTTATTTAAATGTTTGCTAGGCTGGGTGTGGTGGCTCACGCCTGTGATCCCAGCACTTTTCGAGGCTGAGGCGGGTGGATCACCTGAGGTCGAGAGTTCAAGACCAGCCTGACCAACATGGAGAAACCCCATCTCTACTAAAAATACAGAATTAGCCAGGCGTGGTGGTGCATGCCTGTAATCCTAGCTACTCGGCAGGCTGAGGCAGGAGAATCCCTTGAACGTGGGAGGCGGAGGTTGCGGTGAGCTGAGATCGCGCCATTGCACTCCAGCCTGGGCAACAAGAGCGAAACTCTGTCTCAAAAAAAATAATAGTAATAATAAATAAATGTTTGGTACATTCCACCAGTGAAGCCTCTTGGCCTGGACTTTTCATTGTGAGTAGTTTTTTTATTATTATTAATTCAATCTTTTGTCATATAAGTCTATTCATATCTGGTATTTCTTCTTAAATCAGTTTTGTTAGTTTCTATCTTTCTAGGATTTTGTCCATTTTATTCAGTTATCTTTTGAAGAGATTTAGATAATAATGAGCAAAAATCTTAGTTACCAATGTCGTTAACATTAATGATGTTTTTCATTGCTTTGTATAAATCCATATTCCTTTCTGGTATTATGTTCCTCTGCCTAAAAGACTTACAGTACAGGTATGATGGTGATGAATTCCTTTAGCTTTTTATGTAGAGAAAGTATTTTGCCTTTTTCAAAGATAATTTCTCTGGGTATAGAATTGTAGGCTGGCATATTTTTCTTTTTAGTTCTTTAAAGATCATTGTTCCACTGTCTAATTACTTTCAGTTTTCAAAGAGTAATCTGTCATTATTATCTTTTGTTCCTTGTATGTGATGTGCATTTTTCATGTGGCCAGTTTAAAGATTTTCTCTTTACATTGGATTTGAGCAATTTGATTATCATGTACCTTGCTATAATTTTCTTTATGGCTATTTGGGATTGGTTGAGCTTCTTATGTGTGTTTATAGTTTCCATCAAATTTGGGAAATTTTCAGCCTTATTTGTTTAAGTATTTCTCCTGACTCCTTCCCCCTTCTTTGGGGACTCCAGTTACATGTATATTAGGCTGTTTGAAGTTGTCACAGAGCTTATCAATGCTTTGTTTATATTTTTGATTCTTTTTTCTTTCTGTATGTTGCATAGTTTCTTTTGCTACATCTCTAGTTTACTAATATTTTCTTCTAAAATATCTAATCTGCCATTAATCCCATTCAGTGTATTTTTCATCTCAGACACTGAAATTTTCATCTCCTGAAGTTTAACTTGGATCTCTTTTATGTCATTCATACCTCTACTTAAATTTTTGAACATAAACATCATTTTAAAAATACAGTTATGATAGCTGTTTTGGTGTCCTTTTTCTGCAGATTCCCACATCTGTCAGTTCTAATCATTGGTCAGTTTTAATTGTTGATTTTTTTCATTATGGATCATATTTTTTTATACCTGGTAATTTTTGTTGAGATGCCAGATATTGTGAATTTTATTTTGTTGAGTACTGGATATTTCTGTATTCTTATAAATATTCTTAAGGCTTGTTGTGCTATTACTTGGAAATAATGTGATCCTTTCAAGTCTTGCTTTTAAGATGTATTGGCAGGATTAGTGCCATGTTTAGTCTAGAGCTAATTATTTCCCACTACTGAGACAAGATTTTTTTGAGTGCTCTACCGAGTGCCCTGGGAATTCTGAGGTTTTCCAGTCTGTCTGTTGGGAACATGCACTAATCCTGGCCCTGTATGAATGCTGGGTTCTGTGTCCTCTAATTTTGTGTGTGGTCCTTTCCTTAGCCCGTTAGTTGCCTCATAAGCCTTTACTTATCAGTGCTCTGCCAAATACCCATGGGATATCCTATTCAGATTTCTGGAGTTCTCTCTGTGTGCAGCTGTATCCACTCTGGTACTATATGCTTTAATCCTAGATACCTTGGTCTCTTCAGACTATGAGCTGCATCCCATGAACTCAGGGAATCTGCTGGGCTCTGCTTAGGTTCCCCTCCTTGTGTGGCTCAGAAACTAAGGCAGTAAGCTGGCAACCACTTGTTTCTTGTTTCTCTGGGGATCACTGTCCTTTGTTACCTGATGTTAAATATCTTGAAAATCATTGTTTCATATTTTGGGTTTGTTGGCAGGAAAAGTTGTTTGTTTGTTTTTGGTTGTTTCAAGACAACCAAAGAGAGCAAATCTGAGAGTAAATCTGGCCCGTTACTTCATCTTGGTCGTAAAAGGAAGTCAGTTTTTTAAGCAGTTTTAGAGAGTTAGAATTGATGGCTTGTAAGGTTTCTTTCAATCCTGAGATCTTTGGCTTCATATTACATACCTTTAACAGCTTATTTTCCCATCTTCACATTATCCTTTTCTCTCCTCAAAACACTTAACTATCTGCATTTGTGCTTAGAAGGCTTGTTGGGATTAACTCTGGGCTGTGAATGAACCGTATTCATGATACAAACACATTTCATAGAATGATGACAATCAAGATGTAACAACAGAAAAATGTTTTCTATAATATTCTTAATATATTTATATGATAGAACAGCTATAATGTAATCTTCTAGATTATGGCCAAAGAGTTTCTTTCGGGAACTAGGCAAATAAGATTTTAATTGAAATCTTTCATTTTTAATAACCACAGAATTATGCAACTTTTACATTCTGAAGTAATTACAGTATCCTTTCATTTTATTGGAAAATATTCAACTGTAATATTAAGTAGGATATCTCAAAACCTGTATTTCCCTTAAAGGGAAGAGGAAGAAAAATGACCTTAGCTTTTTAACACTGCCACTGATAATTTCCATTCTATTTTATTGAAAAGTAAACCTTCAGTAGTGACCTATTGTCTGAGTTATAGCTCATAGTCTAAAATACATTGTGTATATAAAGAAAACATATGAGGTACCATATTAATAAAAGATAGTGGTAGTTCTGTTACCCAGTTTCACTTCAGTTTTGAGTATAACATGCTTAAGTATGTATATCTTTATTAATTAAAGTATGTATATCTTTATTATACAAGATTATGTCTCCACATTTTCAGTTCTTTTTCCTAATAAATGGGCTAGTAATAGTTAAAACAGATACCGCTAGGTTTATCTTTTAAATAATGAAATTCAAGTGTTTTCTTATGCTAGGGATTATGGTTTTGAGGTATGGTTAAGTCCTGGAAATAATACTAGTTATTTTTTGATTAGATGGTATTTCTTAAAGCCAACTATTTTTTTTCTGTTTTTTTCTACATCACTCAAACAAGATTTATAATCAGTAAGAGAGATGCTGTAATAGTAAAAGACTCCCTTGGCCAGGCGCGGTGGCTAATCCCAGCACTTTGGGAGGCCGAGGCGGGCGGATCACGAGGTCAGGAGATGAGACCACGATGAAACCCCGTCTCTACTAAAAATACAAAAATTAGCCGGGCGTGGTGGCCGGCGCTTGTAGTCCCAGCTACTCGGGAGGCTGAGGCAGGAGAATAGCGCGAACCCAGGAGGCGGAGCTTGCAGCGAGCCAAGATCGCGCCACTGCACTGCAGCCTGGGCGACAGAGCAAGACTCTGTCTCAAAAAAAAAAGGACTCCCTTGTAGTGAGTTAAATTTTTCAAGATACTTGGTTATCATTTCGTTTACTAAAATAATAAATGACTAAGGAGAGTTAAGACCATTATTTGTGGTATATTGGCCATAAGAAGTTTTCTTCTGTCCTATGTTTTATACAGACATGTTACCAAAAAAAAAAAAATACGCATTGCAGCATTTGCCACAGAAAGCATCCAGGTTTTTCTACTCATTAAAAAAGTGGCTAGGACTGATAACCTGTAGTGATCTTCCAGGTTTTGCTGCAGTGAGAAAACCATTACTGTTAAAAACCTGCTGTCATATCACATTATCCTTCTCAACAAGCACTTTGTTACAATGGAAGTTCTCTTTGCAGTGGAGTCCTCCTTGCCTCCCTTGTCCTAAGTTAAACCTCTATTTTTAGAGTTAAGAATCATTAAAGACATGGAAGAGTTCGCACAACTGGTTGTGGCATGAACGATAGCATGTAATTTTATAAATGTATAAATGGTTTTTGAATTTTTTTCTCTGCTGATAAGGATGATTAAATTCTTCATGTTTTTTCTTTATATAGACTCCAAACCTTTCTAGACTTGTAGGAAATCTGTTGATGCATAATACAGTGGAAAGAATTATGTGATCTAATGTGCAAATAATCTACTGGAGGACATTGGATATAAAAATGTTTTCTTAATGTGTTTTTCAGATGTCTGTGAGCTTTTGAAGTTGTTCTTTCCCCCACTTAATTTTAAGTCTCCTAGATTGGCTGAGCTGAGCAGTAGAAATTAATGAGGTAGAATGCTTGAGTTGAATAAACTGGGAGAAAATCTCTCTCTCCAGTAAACCGTTATTACTGTAACAGAAACAGTTTCTATAAACTCAGTTCCCAAATGGTCATAAGCTTTAGTTGGGAAATGGTGCGGTAATTGAAATACTATGTTAATAAAGAGTTATAGGCAATATAATTTTCAAATAATTAGAGAACAGTAGAATATATGTAATACAGACTATGCTGACGTAATTTTAATGTTTCTTTGATTCAAGTTATAGCTGTGTAGACATAATAGTTAAAAGTATTATACATAGTTTATTGTTTTTTAAGGTATTTTAAAAAATTCTCCCAGGCCAGGCTCAGTGGCTCACACCTGTAATCCCAGCACTTTGGGAGGCCAAGACAGGCAGATCACCTGAGGTCAGGACCAGCCTGGCTAACATGGTGAAACCTTGTCTCTACTAAAAATACAAAAATTAGCTGGGAGTGGTAGGCAGATGCCTGTAGTCCCAGCTACTCAGGAAGCTGAGATGGAAGGATCACTTGAACCCAGGAGGCAGAGGTTGCAGTAAGCCAAGATTGTGCCACTGCATTCCAGCCTGGGTGACGGAGTGAGACTCCATCTCAAAAAAAAAAAAAAATTCTCCTAGTATTTACTGAATATTCTAAATTATATTAGTACCTCTCATAGTTCTCTGCATGTAGTAGTCACGTAGCTAAGTTTACTGAAGCCACAAACAAATTTGATATCCTTAAGGGAACAAAATTCTGATTGATTCTGATCTGTGTCTTTCAGAAAAATCACTACCAATATAATGGATTTTATATATCAGATTGCTTTATTCTGGATATCATGGTAACAATACAGAAAGTATACATAATTTCCCATTTCTGCAAGTAGTCATGACTGCTGAAGAAAGAAAAACTTAAAGCTACGGCAGAATTATTTTATGGAAATTCTGATTTTGTTTTTAATTTTTGATAACTTTTTACTAAAGGTATGAACACACAAAGAGCTTATTTTGTTAGGCAAATACACATTAATAAGAATGCCTAGAAGAGGACTGATTCTTCACACCCGGACCCACTGGTTGCTGTTGGGCCTTGCTTTGCTCTGCAGTTTGGTATTATTTATGTACCTCCTGGAATGTGCCCCCCAGACTGATGGAAATGCATCTCTTCCTGGTGTTGTTGGGGAAAATTATGGTAAAGAGTATTATCAAGCCCTCCTACAGGAACAAGAAGAACATTATCAGACCAGGGCAACCAGTCTGAAACGCCAAATTGCCCAACTAAAACAAGAATTACAAGAAATGAGTGAGAAGATGCGGTCACTGCAAGAAAGAAGGAATGTAGGGGCTAATGGCATAGGCTATCAGAGCAACAAAGAGCAAGCACCTAGTGATCTTTTAGAGTTTCTTCATTCCCAAATTGACAAAGCTGAAGTTAGCATAGGGGCCAAACTACCCAGTGAGTATGGGGTCATTCCCTTTGAAAGTTTTACCTTAATGAAAGTATTTCAATTGGAAATGGGTCTCACTCGCCATCCTGAAGAAAAGCCAGTTAGAAAAGACAAACGAGATGAATTGGTGGAAGTTATTGAAGCGGGCTTGGAGGTCATTAATAATCCTGATGAAGATGATGAACAAGAAGATGAGGAGGGTCCCCTTGGAGAGAAACTGATATTTAATGAAAATGACTTCGTAGAAGGTAATGTGAAAAATATGTTGGTCAATATTATGTTAGTAAGACAAATGCTAGTATTGTATGCTGGTATTGTATTGTAGTATTGTACTGTAGACAAATGCTAGTATTGTATTGTAGACAAATGTTAGTAATATAAGTCAGTCATTATCCACAGTATTAAAACACTGAAAGTTTTTGCACTTCATTGCACCAAGAATTTTAAGTGGCCTTCTGGAAAAAGGTATGAGATCATAATAAAAATGGAGAATAAGGACTAGGGAAATAGAATAAAACAGCTCTTGTTGCATGTGTATGATTTATATTCCTCACTTACCTGATCTTGGTGTTCTTTTTTATGTTTTTAAAAAATGTGTAAACTAAAACTCAAAACTTGAAAACCATTTGATAAAGGAAAGAAAAAATTAGTAGACTCTTAGCTATTTTTCGTATTGGAGGAAGGAGAAGCTCATGTCTGAACAAGGGGTTATACATAGTTTAAAAAGCACATTTGGCATTTGGAAAAGTAAGGAAATACCTGTTTTCCTAATACATATTTCAGAAAGGGTATGGAATTTTTATGTATCAAGATGGGATGTGACTCAGAGGTTGAAGAACACTGCTATAAAATTTAAGATATTGATTGATATTAACAGTAATAATTCTAGATCCCTACCCATCTCCTTTACACTCACTGCTAGACATTTAATTGCTGACTTAAACCATTTTAAAAATAAATGTTTCTTGAAAGTTCTCTTTGCTTGATTCTATAAACTGTGTTATCACAGTGGTCCCCAGCCTTTTTGGCACCAGGGACTGGTTTCATGGGTGACAATTTTTCCATGGGATGGTGAGGATGGTTTTGGGATGAAACTGTTCCACCTCAGATCATCTGGCATTAGTTAGATTCTCATAAAGAGCGTGCAGTGTAGATTCCTTGCATGTGCAGTTCACAACAGAGTTTGCTCTACTTTGAGAATCCAGTGCAGCCACTGATCCGACAGGAGGCGGAGCTCAGGCGGTAATGCTTGCCAGGCTCCCATCACTCACCTCTTGCTGTGCCGCCTAGTTCCCAACAAACAGGCCACGGACCAGTAGCGGTCTGTGGCCTGGGGGTTAGGGACCCCTCGTATAGCACATGTAGACTTTTTGACTCCAAATCATCATGGCCATCACTTGCTGCACTGTAGCATTATTATAATACACTGAGGCCCTTGGAGGCCATCAGGGAGGGCATTATGCTTTGCAGTGGCATTGCAGCTGCCTTTCCTTGTGGCCTCCTCTTTTTTCTGCTGTCACTTCCTGCCATTTTTGATGGATTATTTTTCTCAAAACTCTTCTGATTTTTCTGCAAGCTCAGCTTTTTGTCTTCTCACTGTATGTTTGTAGCTTATGGCAGAATTGGAAGCTGCGGAGGAAATAAGATAACTAAGTAACATGTGTAAAATGTCCTCACATCAGCTCTACCTAAAAAGAAAGGGAGCTGTGCCAGTTTTATATTCTGCAGCTCCTGCTTTTGTCTTATAACTCTCCTTGGATTCTGATACTTCAGGATTTTTCTCTAAATGGAACATATTCTGTTCCTCACTTTTCCTCTACTGTGCCACTGTCTGCCCACTGCAGGGAGAATAATTACTAATAATTAGTAATGACAACTAATTCCTATCCCTCTTCTAAACTTTAGCTCAGATATCACTTCTTCTGAGAAGTCATCTGCAACCTCAGGTCTAAGACAGCAGTACTTCTGTGTGCTCTTGTCACCTGTACATTCATACTGCTTGTCACAGTATGTGGCATTGCCCATTTCCTGGTTTGTGCTTCCTACTAAAGTGTAAGCCTCAGGAGGGTTGGGACCAAGTCTATTTTATTCACCATTTTATACCCAGATATTTACTGAGTGACTCACACATCTGTAGGTCTAACCTTCTTCTCTCTCCTGAGCGCCATACTTAAAAATCAGATTGCCACTGGGCGCAGTGGCTCACTCCTGTAATCCCAGCACTTTGGGAGGCCGAGGTGGGCAGATTATGAGGTCAAGAGATCAAGACCATCCTGGCCAACATAGTGAAACCCCGTCTCTACTAAAAATACAAAAATTAGCTGGGCGTGGTGACACACGCCTGTAGTCCCAGCTACTTGGGAGGCTGAGGCAGAAGAATTGCTTGAACCCGGGAGATGGAGGTTGCAGTGAGCCAAGATTGCACCACTGCACTCCAGCCTGGTGACAGAGTGAGACTCCGTCTAAAAAAAAAAAAAAAAAAAAAAATCAGATTGCCTCGTAGATGCGCATGCTTTTCTCTCAAAGGCATCTCAAATCACTGTGTTTAAATCTGTACCAATTTTTCTTTGACTTCACTCTAGTCAGTGATTTTATATGTATGTATGTATACACACATATATATATACAGATATATATATATATCACATAGCACTATATTGTTATTATTTGTCTATTTTTCTGTCTCCTTCACTAGACTGGCCCTGTCCTCAAAATTGAGACCATGTGGCACTCTTTGTATCACATAACTGACACGAAGGCACTCGATTTCTTTTAGTTGACCTAAACCAATAGAAATTTTGGCTCTTGGGTCTAGATTTTAATATTGCTAGAAGTAATTTCTTTATTTATCATGATTACCATATTGATAGGCTCTAGTATTTTTAAAAAGTCGTATGTAAAAAGGAACAATTGTCATTTGTAGTATATTTTATAGATTGAATAAAATAACAGAACAGTGAACTTTTTTTTTAACCTTTTCTTTTAAGCGAGTAATTGTTACTGTGCAGTGGGGATAAGTATTTTCACAAATAGGTAAAAATCCTGCAGGTCTAGTTTAATACCCTTTATGTTTAAGTGAGTAAAATCTGTCTTCCCATTGAATTTGTAAACTTTGACATGGAGACGTCTTTGTTCCTAACTCTTTCCTTTAGGTTATTATCGCACTGAGAGAGATAAGGGCACACAGTATGAACTCTTTTTTAAGAAAGCAGACCTTACGGAATATAGACATGTGACCCTCTTCCGCCCTTTTGGACCTCTCATGAAAGTGAAGAGTGAGATGATTGACATCACTAGATCAATTATTAATATCATTGTGCCACTTGCTGAAAGAACTGAAGCATTTGTACAATTTATGCAGAACTTCAGGTAACTGTCAGGGCTTAATGATTAAGCTACATTCTCCTAAAAAAAATCACGTTTTACTCAGATTTCCTTAATTTATCTTCACCGATTATAATTACTTAGAATAATTTTACAGGCTTTAGGGGAACTTTATTTTTTTATATTCTCTCTTTTTTTAAAGCATGTGTAGTATATTGTGTTATAGACAATTTGAACTATGAAATAAATTAAGAGTGACACCTATTAGAAACTAAATTTGATGGCCTTGATAATTGTTTTGAATTCATTTTAAGACAAGTTGAATTTTTAAAAAATCAACTTTACTAAGGAATAATTTACATGCAGTAAAATCCACATATTTTAAGGATATAGGTATCATGACTCTTTTTTTATTTTTATTTTTTTTTTTGAGACAGGGTCTCACTCTATCACCCAGGCTAGAATGCAGTGGAGTGAGCACAGTTCACTGCAGCCTCAACCTCCTGGGCTCAAGTGATCCTCCTGCCTCAACCTCCCAAGTAGCTGGGACCACAGGTGCATGCCATCTTTTTTATTCTTTGTAGAGAGAAGGTCTTGCCATGTTGTCCAGGCTGGAATTTAATGTCTTTTGACAAACGTATACACTCACGAACCACCACCCCAATTAAGATACAGAATACTTGTGTCTCACAAGAAAATCCCCTTGAGAATGATTTGAGTTTTTTAATTGAAATACATTTAGACATACAAACATTAAACTAAAAATTGGAGAAAGTTATTTCAGCTTGCAAAGCAGAGAATTTGTAAAGTTTTTTTATGTTATCAAATTTGTATATTTTAAAATGCTGAAGTGTTAAATAATTATCTACACATTATGAAAACTATTTGTGGAAAATGCTTTTTGATTTAACAGTTTCCATGTTTCTAATACTTTAATATTTTTAATGTTTTAGATACTTTGATATACTGGTTTAATGCTTTGTGATCCTAGTCTTTATTCTCATATTGAAATTGTTGGATTTAAAAGGTTAATTAAAACTGGTCTGCAGCTGAATGTCTGGCAGTCATACTTCCAAGTGAGATTTACTGTTCCAAATAGCTCACTTGAGATCCGATTTCCTAAAGCATTTTTTTATTGCCTTTCTTGGAATTACTTTCAAAGGCCACATTATTATTTACAGTAAGTAATCTCAGTCATGGCAAATATTTATTCCTTAATGATAGTTACAATTTTTGGAATTAGCCAGTCTGAAGACAAAATAACTCTTAATCCAAAAGGTCAGTATTTATTTATGTGGTTCTGAACCAGTTGAGTTTATTTCCTTGAATAGCTTGTGATTTGCTTCTGAAAGCAATCCAAAAGCAAAAGTTCAAAAAATGTTTTGAAATAATGGCAGCAATGTCAGACTGCTTCCATGGCCCTCCAAGGGGTGCACTCATTCAGGCATAGACCTTGTGCCTTCCATAATTCATCAGTATTGCCACATTTATGTTTACTACTGTGTCAGTAATGCCTCATTTTCTTGTTAAAGCTTCATGTGGTTGCTTTCTTAATGAATAGTGCCTCATGTTTTCTTGAATAAACTTTTATTTTTCACTTCTGTTAGGGATGTTTGTATTCATCAAGACAAGAAGATTCATCTCACAGTGGTGTATTTTGGTAAAGAAGGACTGTCTAAAGTCAAGTCTATCCTAGAATCTGTCACCAGGTTGGTGAACCACATCTGCAGTGAAGGCCTTGATATATAACATTGCTAAAAGAGAATTTCAGATATGTAATGAGTTAATAATTTTTAGTAACTATTATTTAAAAATTGGCTGAGCATGTGGGCGGTGGTGGTGATGATAAGTTCCTCATTTCACATGCAACCCTACATGACTCAACTTCCCTTCACTGCTTAGCAAGCAGCCTGGCATGATGCTTTCTCTGTGGCCCACTCACCTTCTGTGTATTTGCTGCTGCTTTCCTTTTTTTAAAATCTAATTCCTTCACTTTGACATAATCATCTTCTGAATTTGTCTCTTTTTTGTCACCTTTCTTTCCTTCCATTTCCTCAGGCTCCTTCTTCTCCCCCTGCTAACAATGTTGAGGTCTCCCATATCCTTAAGAAACTCCCACTCAACTCTGAAGTGCCCAGCCACTACTGTTATGTTTCTGTCCTTTCACAGCTCAACATCACGAGACAGTAGTTCATAGCTAAGCAAGTCATATAGTACCTGGCACATAGTAGATGCTCAGAGGTTTGAATGGATGAATTAGTAATCCCTTAGTACTTAATTATTAATTCTTTAGCCTCTCAGCCTTTTTCTTTCTAAATCATGGGCCCAAAGATAACGACTTAACTGCCAAATTCTTTTCTGTTATTCTTTTTCATTGCTTTTTTACCTTTGACAACCTAACCAGTATTTCTGTCTTAAAATGTTCTTCTTGTGTTTGTAAAATGTAACTATTTTGTAAATGTAAGTATGATGTAATGTAAACTATTAGGTTGATTATCATCTCTAACCACACCAGCTCTATATCCTTTACTTGCTTCTTTACCTTTCTGCCAGTTGTGGCCATTTGCCAAGAGCCCAGATTTGATCAGCCATTCTTCTCAAATCATTCAACTCACATTCATTGAGTCCTGCCTACTGTGTTCCAGGTACACTGCTTGGGAGTTTGACTGGGGTAGTTGGAAGAAGAGTGGGCGTAGATGAGTGAATCTGAGTCCCTGACCTGCAGGGATTCTCAGAGCCTTGATGTATATAGACACAATTCACTGTCTTCCCCTTCCCTACACCAGCTCCTCCTCCTGATGGCCCTCTTTCAGTTCAGAGTAAAACCATTTTCACCATCTGGGCATGACTTCTGAGAGCCACAGTCTTTTACTTATTCTTTGCCTCCAGTTACCTCTAATTAGTTAGTTCCTACTTAATTCACAGGACCTCTTCTCTATCTCTTCCTTGCTACTGCCACCACCCTAACCCTGGTTCCCCCTCCCTCCATTTCTTCCCTTCCTGTCCCTCCTTAGTGTTTTTAGATCACCTACTAAGTGCCACAAGCTCACACTGGTAATACTGAAGTATTGTCAAGACACTTCTGTGGCAAATGGTGTAAACCTACCTTGAGCTTGCTTGAGGAAAATAGGAGCAGTATTGAAGAATCTCGGATACCTCCCAGAAATAAAGGGATTGTTACAACCAAATTTGGGGAAGAAAATCAAAACAACTCTTGTTTCTCAGGGATTGGAACCAGAGACTTGAATACCATCAAAATTCTCGTCTCCTTGTCTGTTTTTCTCTGCATGTTGACTTCATTCTCCTGTTGCAGATTGGCTTCTTCCACATGGTGAGGGATATGACTGTTGGCGGCTCTGGGCTCACATCTTCTCAGCTTTGCCATCAGAGAGGAAAGAGCTTTCTCCCAGCTCCAGTTGAGAAAATCCCAGGGAAGGACATTTTGCCCACTCTTGAGCCAATCACTATGGCCAGGTTGGGTGGGGGTATTGGGACTGGCCCAGCTTAAGCCTGGTCTCCACCCCTAGGAAATTACTGTGGTTGGGGTGGGCAGAGAGTGAGGGGTATTCTGTGATCAGTGCCTCCACTTGATGCTGAGTATGTGGGGTGGCAATGGGCAGTTTTCCCCCAACAGAGGAGAGATTTATATTCCTTAAGACGGGGAGAAGAGTCCTAGGCATTCAGAGCACTTGGAGTCCACTCCATGCACTATTTGAGCCTTTGTTCCATCTCTCCATTACCCATTCTGTACTGTTGTAAGTGTAATCCTCCTAAAATGTTACTTTTTTGATTAGGCTGCACCCTAGTGCAGTGAGTGATTCTCCAGCTTCAGTGCCAGAGTCACCAGGAGGACTTGTGAAAATGTAGAGGCTTCTCTCCAGCCCTAGCATCTGATTCAGTGGGTCTGGCTGTAGTCTGAGAGTTTGCTTCTCTAACATGTTAACACAGGAAGCTGATGCTGTGGGTTTGGGGGCCTCACTGTGAGAACCACTGCCCTAGCAGAAAAGTCCTGCTGATTCTCTTTGCCTTTAGGATACTGACCAATTTCTTTAACCTTGCATGGGAGGTACTCTTCACTCTGACCCTTCTCTCATTGTTCCCATTTTAAGATTCCGTTGACCCTTATCTCACTGTTCCCATTTTAGGGTCCTTTTCTACCAATCTGATTTGTCTGATCCCTTTTCTCTAAAATGCTTTCTACATTCTTACCTCTTTGCCTTTGAGAATAATTATTTTGAATGACCTTTACACTCACCACTGAATTCAACATTTTAACCAAGGCATAACTCACGTTCCACTTCTAACATCTTCTCTAACTACTCCAGACATGAGCGATGTATTTTTCAGAACTGCTGTTCATTCATTCATTCAGCAAATATTTATTGAACTCCTACTCTATCAGGGGACACTGCATCCATAGTAATGAACAAAACAAAATCCCTGCTCCCACAGAGTGGGAGAGACACTGGAACAAATATGTCTAGCAATATGAAGGAAAACAGCTGAGGAAGAGGATGGAGATGAAGGAGTGGGAGGTGGCAGCTGCTTCTCAAGTAGTATTAGGGAGGATCCCTCTGATAAGGCGACATGTGTGCAAAGACCTAACGGATGCAAGAGGAGAGTGATCTTTGTGTGTGTTATCCATTTAGAATGCATTATTAACAGACATTACAGCTATTTTTCCATTTGTGTATTTTTCAACTCCCCAAAAGGTGTTTAAGATTCCAAAGGTCAGTGGCCACTTTAACACTTTTGGAGCCTCATACCACCAACATGTGCCTCAAATTGGGCATTTGGTGAATATCTCTCCCTGATGATAATCATACACATGAAGCTGGGATTTTCTTTCCCTTTGTGAATGTAGAACCAATATAATCAAATATTTGAAGTGTAAAACATATTTTGTAAGCTGTGTTGAAGGAAGAAAATTGGTAACTTTAAGTGGGACTTATCATTTGTTGTGTGTGCTTTCCTCATAGTGAGTCTAATTTTCACAATTACACCTTGGTCTCATTGAATGAAGAATTTAATCGTGGACGAGGACTAAATGTGGGTGCCCGAGCTTGGGACAAGGGAGAGGTCTTGATGTTTTTCTGTGATGTTGATATCTATTTCTCAGCCGAATTCCTTAACAGCTGCCGGTTAAATGCTGAGCCAGGTGCGTAAAATGTTGGTAGATGAGCTGACTATAGAATTTAGAACGTTGTCAGCATGTCCTATAGTTTGAATCAAGTGATTTTGAGGGAGAAGTTTTAGTTAAACCCCAGTATTTTTTTAAGTTATATTAGGCATAATTTAACTGGAATACTAAATAGGAAATTGAAAATTTGACCCTTTGAAATTCATATCCTTTGTTCTCTTGGGTCCAACTTCCAGTGACTACATTTGAAGCCAAATATGGAAATGCAGAGGAACAGGGTATCTACAAATTGATGAGGTGGGAGCAGTGCAGGTCAGAAAAAGAGCTAAGCAGATGGTATGGAGATGTGTGTGAGAGTCTGAAGCACTCAGCTTTGGGCATATAGCGTCCACACATGCAAAAATACCCCCATGCATGTGTGCACACACACTCACATGGAAGTCTAGATGCAGATAGTGCTTGGTCTCCAGACTGTGCATTTTGGGATGATTTACTATACTTTGCTTTAAGTTGTAGATATTTTTTGAAAATTAATGAGATAGCCAGGTGCAGGGGCTCACGCCTATAATCTCAGTACTTCGGGAGGCTTAGGCGGGTGGATCATGAGGTCAAGAGATTGAGACCATCCTGGCCAACATGGTGAAATCCCGTCTCTACTAAAAATACAAAAATTAGCTGGGCATGGTGGCGTACGCCTGTAGTCCTAGCTACTCGGGTGGCTGAGGCAGAAGAATTGCTTGAACCTGGGAGGCAAAGGTTGCAGTAAGCCAAGATCATGCCACTGCACTCCAGCCTGGTGACAGAGTGAGACTCCATCTCAAAAAAAAAAAAAAAAATTAATGAGAAGATGACATTTTTTGAAATCAAATTTTAAATGCTTTTTAGTTCATTTAAAAGAATTAAAAGTATTAAAGAGGCTGGGGGTGGTGGCTCATGCCTGTAATCCCAGCACTTTGGGAGGCCGAGGCGGGCGGATCACGAGGTCAAGAGATGGAGACCATCCTGGCTAACACAGTGAAACCCCGTCTCTACTAAAAATACAAAAAAAATTATCCGGTCGTGGTGGTGGGTGCCTGTAGTCCTAGCTCCTCAGGAGACTGAGGCAGGAGAATGGCGTGAGCCCAGGAGGCGGAGCTTGCAGTGAGCTGAGATTGCGCCACTGCACTGCAGCCTGGGCGACAGGGCGACATTCTGTCTCAAAAAAAAAAAGTATTAAAGAATCTCAACAGGATGAGTAAGTTGAGGAAATCTGTTATACAAACATGGTGACTATAGTTAATAACAATGTATTGTATACTTACAAATTGCTAAGCCAGTAGTAGCATTAAAAAATGTTCTTACCACCAAAAAAAAAAAAGGTTAATTATGTGAGGTGATGATATATGTTTATTAGCTTGATTTAGTCATTTCGTAGTGTATGAATGTAGCAAAACATAATGTTGTACACCATTTTTATTAGTCAATTAGAAAAACATTGGGGTGGGGGGGTGCTGCTGAGCACAGTAGCTCACACCTTAATCCCAGCACCTTGGGAGTCTGAGACAGGAGGAGCACTTGAGTGCAGGAGTTCAAGACCAGCCTGGGCAACATAGTGAGTCCTAGTCTTTAAAAATAAAATTTTTGGCCAGGCATGGTGGCTGAATGCTTTTTAGCTCATTTAAAAGAATTAAAAGTATTAAAGAGGCTGGGCGTGGTGGTTCATGCCTGTAATCCCAGCACTTTGGGAGGCCGAGGCAGGCGGATCACCTCAGTCGGGAGTTCGATACCAGCCTGGCCAACATGGTGAAACCCCATCTCTACTAAAAATTAGCCAGGCGTGGTGGCTTGTTCCTGTAATCCCAGCTACTTGCGAGGCTGAGGCAGAAGAATTGCTTGAACCTGGGAGACGGAGGTTGCAATGAGCTGAGATCGCCAGCCTGGGTGACAGAGCAAGACTCCGTCTTAAAAAATAAAAATAAAAATGTTTTAAAGAATCTAATAGCAAATGGGGTTTTTTTAATGTAGAACTATTCATATGCAAATGATTGCCTTCTTATTAATTAGGTTAGAGATAGTTTTCAGGAACTCTTTGAGAACCTAATGAATAAATGAAGGTTAGGTTTATTTTACAGCATGAAATGCAAAATGTGAAAGTTGAAGGAGACGTATTTGCTTAGTTTAAAAGAAATATTTTATATCCAGAAATAGATTTGCCTCTGGAAAATTGAACTCCCCATCCCTAAATGTATTTGAACAAAGGTAGAATGAGCATCTGCTAGGGATCTTGTAATAAAAAGGTTGCCATGTTACTCCCACACTTCCTGACAATCACTGAACACTTCATGTGATCATATCTGATTGAAGCCAGCCATAGCAAGGGTTGCGTCTCCTGAGGGAAGATGGGCTAGTTAGCCTTTATGGTCCTTTTAGATCAGTCAGTTTGAATGCTGATGACAAGGTCTTCTCCAAGGGCTATTATATCAAGTAATTTTAACCCTTGTCTTCCCGACTTTTCCAGATTTTGGTTCAGATTTATTCTATATTTTCATTATTCTCTGCATATCTATTCATTGTACAGTATTCTTTGAATTTACTCTTTCTAATGATTCATTTTTGACAGGTGGATTTAACAGACGTTTCTAAGTTTCATAGTGATTATCAGAGGTTAATCTACGTTTATTACTACTGATTAGATGAAACAATGAGTAATAAATGACTCACGTAATGAATACACATCTCCCCAAAGTCAAAGGGAATAAACGTGAAGCACCCTTTAGTTTGTTTTTTCCTCTGTTCTTTTGCAAGGTTATAGTTAACCTACTGATATGTTACAAAATCATCATATTCATCAAATTAACATGATGTTCTGTAGCCTGAATATTAAAAAATAGATAAAATCATGTATAATAAGACTTTGATAAAACTTAATAGATATTGCAATAAAGAACAGTTCTTCATAACTTCTTTTTATGTTACAAACCTATATTTTAATTTGTAGGTAAGAAGGTGTTTTACCCTGTGGTGTTCAGTCTTTACAATCCTGCCATTGTTTATGCCAACCAGGAAGTGCCACCACCTGTGGAGCAGCAGCTGGTGAGACTTTCACATTTTCAGTTATGAAAGACTCTAAAGATCTTTTCTAGATGTTTGTTGTGTAAGTAGAAAACAAAGTTTCAATAAAAAACTGTATTTCCATGAGCAAAGTGTTAAAGAAAAACTATAGTTATTGTAAGCACATTTCCATAGTTCCTCTTTATACCCCCAATAAGATGCTTTTCACATTTATTGCTTCAGAATTAAGTGTAGGGGGAGCAGAGTTTAGGTCATAAAGGAAAACCTCATGTCCCAGAATGTGGAAATTGTACAGTCATTTCTACCAGCTTATTTTTACTAATACTAAAAATTTGATTTTAAAAACCCTACTAACTAGAAATTAAATCTACTCTGCTAAATAAGAGGGAATAGTATACTCTGGTAAATTACCTGGAAAGTCATAGAATATAAATGCCATATATCAAAACTTACAGTTATTGCCAAAGCTAATTTTATGTAAGTTTTTTAAAATTTTTAAATAAACATTATTTTATAATAATTTAGATTTAGAGAAGTTGCAAAGATAGTACAAAGAGTTCCATACTTCACCCAGTTTCCTCTAATGCTAACATCTTATGTAACCATGGTACATTTGTCAAAGTGAAGAAATTAATATTGGTAAGTTACTGCTAAGTACACTAGGATTACACCAGTTTTTCTACTAATGTCCTTTTTCTGTTTCAGAATCGAGTCGAGAATACCAAATTGCTTTTAACATAATCTTTTATTATTAATACTAAGAAAAAGTAGAAATGATTAAGAAGTCACTTTAAGATGTTTAAAAAAATGAAAAATAACTTCAAGGAAAGTAATAAAGGCAGAAGTTAATAAAACAAAAATAGATTGAGAAATATAGAAGCTTATGTTTATGTACAAAAAATTTAATCATAAAGTAGACAGATTTCAGGTAAAAAGGAAAACATTGGAAATTAGAATATGAAAACATTGAGATAAATCAATTTTATAGGGTAAGTTTTCTAAATTATAAATAAATGAAAGATTTGAGAATTTATAAAATATGAACACAGGCTAAGTTCATGTTAGTATTTTATGAATAAAAGAGGTGCAAGTGGGCCGGGCATGGTGGCTCACGCCTGTAATCCCAGCACTTTGGGAGGTCAAGACGGGTGGATCACAAGGTCAGGAGTTCGAGACCAGCATGGCCAATATGGTGAAACCCCGTCTGTATTAAAAATAAAAAAATTAGCCAGGCGTGGTGGCACGAGCCTGTAGTCCCACCTACTCAGGAGGCTGAGGCAAAAGAATCACTTGAACCTGGGAGGCGGAGGTTGCAATGAGCCAATATCACGCCACTGCACTCCAGCCTGGGTGACAGAGTGAGACTCCATCTCAAAAAAACAAAACAAAAAAAAGGTGGAAGCTCTGAAGAAATTAAGAGCCATTTAAAAAACAGTTATCAAAAAGTTACCCTGTAGGTATATAAATACAATGTTTTAATTTATAAGCTTTTCCAGACTCTCAAAGAGCAGGTAATATTAGCACCATATGATGTACTTAACATATTTTATGAGGCCACCATTATCTTCATATCAACACTTGGCATAGTACACACAGACACACACACACACACACACACACACACACACACACGCCTCTACCTTATCTATAGGCCAGTATTATGAATATAAATACAAATAGGTTCAAAATGGCAAACTGAGCACCCACGTCTGCCATATCTGACGGTGAATTATTCTGAAGAAAAGGGTACATTAGTACTGGAAAATGAGAGAAGGTGTTAGCAGCCGTAAGTCTTGAGAACTTTCTGTAAGACGATAGCAGTTAGCGTAAGATTTCTGGAGGAGAGAACAGACTAGAATGTGTTCAAGAGAACAGTGAGTGAAGATGGGGCTGCTTTGCATCCTCTGAGCTCATAGCAGACAGAATGGAGGGAGCCTGGAATAAACATGCTTCTCTAGGTGTGCTGAGAAGCAGGCATCACAGGGATTGACCCTCAGTCTAAGGCAGTGCATGTGGTCCCTGGAGCTGGAGAGGCTGGTCGGGGTGGCTAGGGAGCCCCTAGACTACAAAAGTGAACTACTGTTAGCGCATTCCCCCTGAGACCCTGTTCTAATCTCCTTGACTGTGACTGGAGATAGGCCATTGTAATCAAAGCTAACAGCCATGGACTTCTGAACAATACTTGAAACAAAAGTGAGTAGCAATTAACCAAGACTAACCAAACATTTGAGGAAAAACAATACTATGAAAGAGGCACCAAGTGTTAATACACAGAAAAATTAACACATGAGTATATGAATACAGATAGAAAGTAATTTTAAAATATATCTTTGAGGAGATTAGAGAAAATGTTAAATTCATAAAACAGGATTTGTTGCTTTAAAAAATCAGAACTTGGAAATTGTGAAAATATTTTTAAAATCAGTAAATGGTCTGAATAGCAGAATGGTTACAGTTGAATCAAATTTGTAAACTGGAAGACAACCCAACTGGACACGTAAAGTTCACGAGATAACATGAGAGAAAAATTAAGACAAGGAAGATCAAGCCAGAAGCTCCCAAATTATTAATAGGAGTTCAGAAAAGAGAGAATATTGAGTGGAGGAAATGGAAGAAAGTTTCCAGAGCTAAGCAGAAACAAATCTTCTGGTGTTTGGAGAACAACAGTAAAAGGACAATTCTAATAGCTTCCAGAGACACTAAAAATAGCAAAACCCAGTTTGTTCACAAAGGAGTGACAATCAGATTGGCATTCGTCTTCTTTTTGAAAACACTGGTGTTAGAAAACAATAAAGCAATACTATGAAAATTCTGAAGAAAAGTAACTTTGATTCTAGAATTCATATTCAACCTACTATTTTAGGACAAAATAGACATTTTTGAGCTTTCAAGGACTCAGAATTTATTTCTCAACAGACCTTTGTAATCGAGTCCAGCAAAATGATAAATGTATACATTGAGAGAGGAGGACCTGAGAGTAAATAGTGGTGAACAACCAAAAAAATTAAGTCTAAACATTTGTTGATGTAATAGTGTAAATAGTTATGTTGACATAATAAAAAGGCAATTAATACCAATTTGGGATTAAGATGTCAGCGGGTTATGTACATGGTATACTTATGTGTATTACCTAGCTGTCAGCTGAGAGGGCCTAGAACCAGTGACACCCTAACAGTAACAAGTACACTCAGCTTCCAAATCTTAGTTTCTAATACTATTCTCCAATCAAACGAGCCAGAGGTCCACGGAGAAATGGTTGATTCCAGGGCAGGGGCAAAAAATATACAAGAAGACCCTGGAGCATCTTACAGTGCCAGAAAGTAAGAAAGCACTCAATAAAAAGATAGGGGGAATATGTCGAAGGGGCACAGGAGCCAACAGAAAGAGCTCCCAGTGCCCAAGCTGGAACAACCTGAGCAATGAAATAAATAACTTAAACCTGGATTATAACCCAAAGCATCAAGTAAATAGCCATGAGTCTATACTGATACAAATGAGTGAGTGAATGAGCAGATAAATATTGAGTGACTAGACTAGATAGGAAAGAAAAGTTAAGTCTTCCTTACAGAATTCCAAATAACTTATGTAGATACTCCCTCTTCCAGTAGGTGGAACTAGGGGACTCACTTTCAAAGAACATAGTATGGAAAGAAAAAACAAACTTTTCACGGGAGAAACCCAGCAGACACCTTAACCAAGGGATACCATGTACCCATGACATGACATAATGAGAAGGACACTTTAGCTCACAGTCCTCTTCCAAAAACGTAGATAACTTCCCCAGGAAAGTCACAGGGAAAGCTGCAGCAAGCCCACATTGAGGAGCATTGTACAAAATACCTGACCATTCTTCCTCAAAACTGTCAGGGTCACCAAAAACAAGACTGAGAAACCATCATAGCCAAGAGGAGACTAAGGAGACATGACAACCAAATGCAATGTGGTGCCCTGGACTAGGTCCTAGAATAGAAAAAAAAGACAGTAAAGGGAAAGCTGGTGAAATCCAAATGAAATCTGGAGTTGAGTTAAATAGTAATATAGCAATGATGGTTCCTTAGTTTTGACAAATGTACCACAACAATGTAAGATGATAACATTAGGGGAAGCTAAAACTGGATGAGGGGTATACAGGAACTCTCTTTACTGTTTTGCAACTTCTTTGTAAATCTAAAATTATTCCAAAATAAAAGGTTGTATATTAAAATTAATTAAAACAAAAAGAGGCAAATAAAGTCAACATAGAAGCGTGAAGGGAATGTAAAAGCATGCTAATACTCTTTTTTTTTTTTTTTGAGATGGAGTTTCGCTCTTGTTGCCCAGCCTGGAGTGCAGTGGCATGATCTTGGCTCACTGGAAACTCCACCTTCCCGTTTCAAGCGATTCTCCTGCCTCAGCCTCCCAAGTAGCTGGGATTACAGGCACACACCACCACGCCCAGCTAATTTTTGTATTTTTAGTAGAGATGGGGTTTCACCATGTTGGCCAGACTGGTCTCGAACTCCTGACCTTGTGATCTGCTGGCCTCAGCCTCCCAAAGTGTTGGGATTATAGGCATGAGCCACCGCACCCGGCCAAAGCATGCTAATATTCTTGCCTGGTTTGGAGGGTTGTAGGGGAAGAATGATTTGAATGCTGATTCATTCTAGGTGTTGCATAGCAACTTAAGTTTAAGCACTTCAAGTTCTAGTTTCACCACTTGTAACCTTTGCAAGTTGCTTAACTTTTCTAAGCTTCAGTCTCCTCACTTAAAAGACAAAAACTTGTTTTCCTTGATGTTTAAAGCTATATTAGAAGTAAATAAGAAGGAAAAAAATGGGTAAGACAGTTGATAATTCACATATTTAAATAGTCAGCCTTACTAGGAATAATTTAGAACAGCAGTATAATGCTTTGTTTCTGCTGTTAGGTCACTGCTTTTAAAAAGCAAAGCCATGTGAGCAAGACTGGGGGATGGGAGCTCCTCCGTCGCTTCTGTTGGGGATTCAGGCCAGTTCTCTGAGTCGAGTTCTAAACAGATTCATCCCTCTGATCCAGTAATTTCCACCCCCAACAGTCTTTCCTGGGGAAGTAATCGAGCTACATGATGGTAATATGCATAAATTGATAACATTAAAAGCAAGCAAAACTCTAATAATAAAAGGATAAATTGAATTATGGTACATTCTCTGGTGAATATTGCATATCAAGGAAAATGTGAAAAATGTAAATACAGCCGTGTAAATGAAGAGGAAAATGTAAAGCTAAAAAGCGGGAAATAGCGTATCTATATTTTAGGTAACATTTAAATGATGATAATAGCTAATATTTTTATGAACCCCTTACTATGTGCAGGGTACTTGTTCTGTTTTGCCTACACATTAATTCATTTAATCCTCCTAACAACCTCTGAGGTATGTAGTATTACTGCCCCATTTTTCACAGCTGTGCTGCAGTCGAGTGCCTGTCCAAGTACACACTGGCCTGAGTAGGCCCAGGAGGCTGGGTGATGTGGCTCCGCAGCCTCCACTCCTGTCCACTGTGCACACTGCCTCTGTTATATTAATTCATCAAATATTGAGGGTCCCTTTGATGCCACGCACTATCCACCACTGGCACCCTGACACTTAGACCCTAACAGATATGGCTGTTGCTCGTGAGGATCTTTATTTATTAGGAGGTGACAGAAAGTAAAATCAGATAATGCATGCCACGTGGATCATTAAAACAGACTGAGTTGCAAAGAGTGACTCCGTGGTTTCTGTGGCTTGTTTGGTCAGAAAGGTGTTTCTGAGATGAAGCTGAGCAGAGCTGTCCAAAGAACAGGAAAGAACCAGCTAGGCTGTGATTGGGGGATAGTGGTTTCAGGCAGAAAGAACAGCTACTGGGTTTCCTAGGGTGTTTGGAGCACAGCCGGTGAGGGGCACATAGCTGGGCCAGGGCATGTAGAGCTTGTTCAGCCTCTGGAAGGCATTGGGATTTTATGCTAAGTATGTTGGAAAGCCTTTGGAGGGAGAATGGATTGTGTGTGGCTCTGGCTGGCAGCAGCCAGTTAGGCTTTCACAGTAGACAAGGGGAGATGATTGTGGCTTGGGTGACAGTGTATTATAATTACGGAGAAAGGTTTGGATATGATTCAGAGATAGGGCTGACAGAGCTTGCTGTTGGATTAGATGTAGGAAATTAGCAAAGGAAAGGAATGGGAGAGCAGAGATTGGGATTCAACTGGAGCCATAGTAGCCATGTGTTGTTTATCAGACATCCAAGGGGAGGTGCCAAATTGCTAGTTGGCTACAGGGATCTGGCATTCTGTGAGAGGCCAAGGCTTGGGTATATAGGTTATGTGTGGATAACTGCATCTCCCACATGCTTAGGAGGCCAGATAAAACAGTGCAAGAAAATATTAACAATAAGGATTATGGACAATTTGAGTTTCCTTCTACTTTCCTTTGTGAAAATGTGTTGCTTTAAAAATCAAACCAATGATTCCTTTTTCCAAGTCTGATAATATTTGAAGAATTTTTAGAGAAACTAAGTTACAAAGTTATAGTACTTATATAATCAGAATTGGCATGGTGTAGAGATGTCAAAGTGGGTGTTTTGCTTTTTAATACTTTGTATCAGGGTTATATTTTAACAAAGAGATAAGAATATTAGAGACAGGAGTGGTGGCTCACACGTGTAATCCGAGCACTTTGGGATGCCGAGGTGGGTGGATCACCAGAGGTCAAGAGTTCGATACCAGCCTGGCCAACATGGTGAAACCCTGTCTCTACTATAAATACCAAAATTAGCCAGGTGTGGTGGCGCACACCTGTAATCCCAGCTGTTCAGCGGACTGAGGCACGGAAATCGCTTGAACCTGGGAGCTGGAGGTTGCAGTGAGCCAAGATTGTGCCACTGCCGTCCAGTCTGGGCAACACAGTGAGACTCTGTCTCAAAATAATAATAATAATAGAGTCTAGTCTTCATTTTGCCACTAAAATTATGTCTCTCTATATATTTATTTATTCAACACGTATTTATTGAAAGCTTGTCATGTGCCTGGCATTGTTCTAGGTGCTAGGAATATAGCAGTGAACAGAATCCACAAGTCCTCCCCTCAGGGAGCTTTACATTCTAGAAGGGGAAGAAGTTCTCCCCCTCAGCTCAAAAAAAAAAAAATTGAAAAGAAAAATGCCAAACTCATCCATCAGCTCCAATCTGAGCTGAGCCCTCAGGGCTGCCTGGTTCATTATGTGTTTTCCTGTTGATTCTCCTATTCTGTACAGCAGCAATTTCAGACTGTGCCCACTCTTCTCAAAATTTGTCACCTCTGCAGACCTTGATATTCCTGCTATCTGCAGGAATTTCTGTGTAGGTGCCTTACAGATCACTCAGATTCATTATGGCCAGAACCAACTCCATGTTGTTCCTCTCTGGGCTGGCCCTTCCCCTGGGCTTCATCTTAGGGATAGCACCATTACATACCCACTGTTCAGGACGGAAGCCTGCTGTCATCTTGGTTGATCCTTCTCCTTCACTCCCCACTCCTGCCCATTCAATCACTTGCTGACTTCTGTGAAGTCTCTGACCTAAATCTTTTCCACATTCCACATCCATACACTCTTTTGCTTTTGGTACATACCACAGTAGCACACACTAGACTAGCAGCTTCCCATCCCTAGTTATAGCTGTTGCCTCTTTTCTTTGTAGCATGTATCACCACCTAAAATGTATATTTATTTATTTACTATTTTCCCACCCAAACAAAGGCGCTTTGATGGCAGGGACTTTGTCACCTCTGTTTATTGCTAAGCCTCAGTTACTAGAACCATATCCAAAAGATTAAACACTTGTTGAAAGTATGAATAAAATAAAAGGTTTATCAGGCTTCAACTTGTAAGCAGAAGTGATTCCAAGGACTCAGTGTCATCAATGCCCTGGTTTTATATTTCTTTCTCTACTTAGACTTAAGTGGTGACAGCCTCATATTAAAGCTGGTTTCTCGCATGGTAGAAAAGGACTTTGGCAGTTCCAAGCTTCATAGCTGCATCGTGCACTAGAGGTCAACAAATGTTTTCTGTAGAGAGCCAGATAAGAAATGTTTTAATCTTTATAGGCCATACAGTTCTGCTGCAACTACTCAACTCTGCCACTGCACTGTGAAAGCACCCATAGACAATTTGTAAACAGATCAACACAACTACGTTCCACTAAAATTATTTACTAAAGCAGGCAGCAGGCCAGATTTAGCCAGAGGCCATCGTTTGCTGACCCTGCCCTACGACCAAATGTCCTTTCTAGTGAGTCTCTTAGAAGAACGAAGGAGCTTTGTTTTCCAAAGTTCCCAACAACCACCCTGGTTTACCTACTTGGCCTGATTTTTTTTTAAATACCTATTAGTGAGCCAGTAAGTAAGTGAGCCACTATGGTAAGTGGGGTGAGACTGTCTCACTAGTATAGAGACTCATGGCCCACTCCGAATCTACTGGTGACAGCAGCTTCCCTGAATTCATGGGCTGCCCAGGGCCAGGTAATTACCAGAACAAAACTGTACCAATCAGGAAGGGGGTTGGGGGAATGGATACTGGGTAGGCACCAGATAAAGTCTACTGTGTAAGGTTGATCCTGTGTGTTACAATTTGTTTATGCAACTGTTGTCCTAGAATGTAAGCCCCTTGAAGTCAGGCACCACAATGATAATTAGTAACCTCAGCTTGCACCTTGTACAGGCTTTGAGTTCTATTTTTATTTGTTTTGTAAGGATTTAATAACATAAGTGCATGTGATCCTTAATCAGTCACATAAATGACAGGAAAAAAGTATACATTAGAAAATAATTTGTTTCATCGTTGATTAAAACTTCTGCTTCTTATGGAATTAAATTGTTTTCTGTTTTTTTTTTTTTAACTAAGGTTCACAAAAAGGATTCTGGCTTTTGGCGAGATTTTGGCTTTGGAATGACTTGTCAGTATCGTTCAGATTTCCTGACCATTGGTAAGTATACTTTACATTTAAGGATAGGACTTTATTTACTCCAGACTTAATGGTATTTTGCTAAAAGGTCTCAGATTTGAGTGTTTTCCTACTAAAGTATGAGTGTCTAAGGTTAGCTAAAAAGAGAAACTGGATATACAAAAGGCAAAATAAGTTTATAATTAATGTTTTGAATAGGAAAAAAATGGTCATAAAAATAAAGTATAATATTTACTTGTTCCTTTAAAATCAAAACACCTGTTTTTAAAAATATCTGTTTAACTTGTTACCCATAGTTGCAGGTGTTTAGAGTAGTCTTACAAAAGCTTTCTCTATAACTTTACTGTTGTGCCCATGGGTTGTTACAGCTGGGAGTAATCTTGGTTATCTAGACCAAGGACTTTCACATTTTTTTGAGATGAAACCTCCTTTACTTGTCTAGTGAACTGTTACACAAAATCCCAGTATTTAATACAAATGAAAGAAGACCTGCTCTTTCTAGCGCGTCTTGGAATCACACCTTAGTCATGCATTCCCCTAAGCCTAAAGATGGCCCATGAATAATTTGTTCTAACTATCCTGCATGCTCTGTTGTCCAGGCTGAAGAGCAGTGGCACAATCTTGGCTCACTGCAGCCTCTGCCTCCCAGGCTCAAGCGATCCTCCTACCTCAATCCCCAAGTAGCTGTGACCACAGGCGTGCACCACCACACCCAGTTAATTTTTTTGTTTGTTTTGTAGAGGCGGAGCTTCATTATATTGCCTAGGCTGGTCTTGAACTCCTGGGTTCAAGCAATCTGCCCACCTTGGCCTCCCAAAGTGCTGGGATTGCAGGCGTGAGCCACCATGCCCAGCCCCTAGCTTCAGTCTTACCCAGCAAAATATAAAGTGTCAAAGAATAGTTTAATAAAGCAGGCTGAAACCTGATTCCATGTCTTCTGATTCATTTAGGGCTAGCTACCTTTCTACAGCATAGAAGTCATAGAATATATTTTATATACATTCTAGGTCCATATCACATTCGTTTTTATAACCAGCCTTTTGTTTTGGAAATCCCCCCACCTTGTCTCCTTATCATTGTAACACTTGAATAATGGAAAATCAGGAAATAACAATAAAAGGGGCGTTAAATTAAACTGATGCTCTTTTCCTTGATTTCTTGCTTAGTTAAGCAAGCAGCATTTCACTATTCCTCAAAAATAGATTTGTGTACATTTTTTCAGTATCTTGAATGCTTTGAGTTCCTTATCTCTTTTTTATGACAATTTTATTGAGATATAGTTTACATATCATAAAATTTATTAATTTAAAGTGTACGGTTAACCAGGTCATGTAGCTATCACCACCATCAAATTTAGAGCATTTCACCCCAAAAAGAAATCCCATACCCATTAACAATCACTCCTCACATCCTACCAACCCTCTTTCCCCCCAAACTTAGGCATCTACTGGTCTACTTCCTATAGATTTGCCTCTTCTGGGAATTTAATAGAAAGCAAATTGTACAATATGTGGCCTTTTATGACTGGCTTCTTTCACTCACATAATGTTTTCAAAGTTCATCCATGTTGTGACATGTTAGGTACTTCATTCCTTTTTATAGCCAAAAAATGTTCTATTGTGTGGTTATACCACATTTTGTTTCTCCATTTGTCAGTTTATATGCATTTGAGTTGTTTCTACTTTTTGGCTATTATAAATACTGCTGCTGTGAACATTTGTGTTTAACTTTTTGGGTGGACATAGATTTTCAATTCTCTTGGACATATGCCCAGGACTCTGGCTGGGTCATATGGTAATCCTGTGTTTGACCTTTTGAGAAATTGCCACACCGTTTTCCAAAGTGGCTGCATCATTTTACATTCCCACCAGCAGTGTTTAGGAGTTCCAGTTTCCCCACATCCTCATTAATACATGTTATTATCTTTTTGTTTCTAGTATCACCCATGATAGTGGATGTGGTATTGATTGTGACTCTGATTATAATTTTTCTTATGATTAATGTTGTTGAGCATCTCTTGATGTGTTTATTGGCCATTTGTATATCTTTAGTGAAATGTCTGTTCAGATCCTTTGCCCATTTTAATTGGGTTATGGAGTTTCTTGGGCTTCTTGAATATGTACATTAATGTTTTTCATCAAATTTGGGAAGTTTCAGCCATTATAGTCATCTCTCAGTACCTGCATGGGATTGGATCCAGGATACCATGTGGAACCAAAATCCATGGTCGATCAAGTCCCTTATGTAAATATACATATTTTCATATTACCTGTGCATATCTGCCCATATACTTTAAACCATCTCTAGATTGCTTATAATACCTAATACAGGCCAGGCACGGTGGCTCACGCCTGTAATCCCAGCACTTTGGGAGGCCGAGGCGGGCAGATCACGAGGTCAGGAGATCAAGATCATCCTGGCTAACAAGGTAAAACCCTGTCTCTACTAAAAATACAAAAATTAGCCAGGCGTGGTGGCAGGCGCCTGTAGTCCCAGCTACTTGGGAGGCTGAGGCAGGAGAATGGCATGAACCTGGGAGGCGGAGTTTGCAGTGAGCCGAGATTGCACCACTGCACTCCAGCCTGGGCAACAGAGTGAGACTCCATCAAAAAAAAAAAAAAAAAACCCTAATACAATGTAAATACTATGTAAATAGTTGTTATATTGTATTTAAATTTTTATATTTATTGTTATTTTTTATCGTTTTTTTCCCTAATATTTTTGAACCATGTTGGTTGATTCTATGGGATGTGGAACTCATGCATATGGAGGGCTGACTGTATTTCTTTGAATACTTTTTCTGCTCCATTCTCATAGTTTTCTCCTTTGACACTCACTGTATGTATGTTGGTACATTTAATGGTATCCCACATTTTTCTTAGGCTCTGTTTATTTCTCTTCATTCTTTTCTCCCTCTGTTCTTCAGATTGCATAATTTCTATTGATCTATCCAAGTTCTCTGATTGTTTTTTCTGTTAGATCTACTGTTGAGCTACTCTAATGAATTTTTATTTCAGTTACTATAGTTTTTAACTTCAGAATTTCTATGTGGTTCTTTTGATATATATATAATTTCTTTATTAATACTCTATGTGATGAAACATTGTCATCTTCTGTTACTTCCTTAAGTGTGACTTCTTTTAATTCTTTGAACATACTTACAATGGCTGCTTTGGAATTTTTGTGTATTAAAGCTAATGTCTGGGCCCTAACACAGGCAGTTTTTGTTGCTTGCCGGTTTTTTTTTTTTTTTTAAGCGTATGTCACATCTTCTTGTTTCTTTGCATTCCTCATTATTTCTTTTTCGAAAACTAGACATTTTAGGTAATACACTGTGGCAACTCTGGATACTGATTTCCCTCTACCACCACGGCTTGGTTTTTTTTTTTCCTTGTTTATTTATTTATTGACATGGCTGGACTATTTTAACAAATTATTTCTTCCTCCTTCCCCGACCTTTTGGCAATATGAAGCCTCTGCTGTTGCTCCTCAGGGCCTGTGCAGTTATCCTAGGATGGCATTGGATTTAGCAGGGCTCTCTTTATCTCTTTCCATGCCTCCATTGGTATCACTCCTATTAGACTCCACTGACTGTTCACTAATTGCTGTCTTGTTTTTGACAATGCTCTGGGGCATAAATTGCTCCATAATCTGTCCCTACTAAATTGGGCCCTTTTGCAGGGATAGTTTTTGCAGCAAGTCTTTGAGATTTGTTCAGACCCCAGGAGGTATATTCTTACTATCTCTCTCTGTGGTTCTCTCTAGTAAATTAGCTGGCCTACAGTTTAGCTGTTGCCCTCCTGGAGTTACCAGCCTCCTCTTAATTGCTTACTACCAAAATCTCCATTATTTTCAAGAGGCTGGAACTTCTCTAAACTCTGAACTTCTCTACATTCTATTTTAAATAAAGTCAGTTCCTTAGGGAAGAACTTTGGAGCACTTTGTTCTTATGGACTTCCTCTCCCCCGGGGGAAAAAATCCATGAGGTTTTGCCCTGAGGATGGGGACAGTGACACACTTATTAAGCAGAGTGACCACCTCTGCCCTATGAGCAGGACACTGGGTAGGGGCAGGAGGACCCCCAGTATTCTCAGCTGGCCACACCTGGAAGTGGAGCCTCCACCCTGTTGCTGTGGGCTGGGTGAAAAAGAGCTGCACCTGTTTAGAACTTAGACTCTTTATTTGGAGCTTCTGTTCCCTTGTTTCCTTTCTTCCTGGTATTCCCATTATACATATGTTACATCTTTTGTAGTTGTCCCACCGTTCTTAGATATTTTGTTCATTTTATTTTCAGTCTTTTTTTTTCTTTGATTTTCTGTTTTGGAAATTTTTATTGTCATATCCTCAAGCTCAGAGATTGTTTCTTAAGCTAAGTCCGGTCTACTAATGAACCCATCTAAGGCATTCATTTATTTCGCAGTGTTTTTGATCTCTAGCATTTTTTTAAATTCCTTAGATCCATCTCACTGCTTATGTTCCGCATCTTGTGTGTTATCTGCTCTTTCCATTAGAGCCCTTAGAGTATTATACATAGTTGTTTTAAATTCCCAGCCTGATAATTCCAACATCCCTGCTGTATCTGAATCTGGATCTGGTACATGCTCTGTCTGTTCATACTGTGTTTTTCTTAACTTTTAGTATACCTTGTCATGTTTTCTGTTGAAAGTTGGACTTGATATACTGCGTAAAAGGAACTGCAATAAATAGGCCTTTGATGATGTGGTGGTGAAGTGTGGAGGGAGCGGAAGTGTTCTGTAGTCCCATAAGTAAGTCTCAATCTCTTAGTGATCCTGTATCCCAGACTCTGAATTTCACACATGCTTCTCAGTCTCCCCTCCTCTCCTGGACAGGATGACTAGAAGGGGCTCTAGTTGGGTAGATTTCTTCCTCCAAGTCAGTTAGGCACTGATAAAACCCCAGCAGGTTAGGCTCTGGTTAAATAACTTCTCCTAAGGACAGGCTTTGTTAATAATGACAACATGCTGTGGCATACTTTAAAATGATTACCTTTTCCCCTTCCCCACTGCTGGACGCATTAAGAGATTTTTCTCTGATCTTCACCACTGAGGACCTAATAGAGCTCCTAGAGGTAAAACTCACATGAGTATGGGGGTCCCAATATGACCAGGTCCCCCTGGAGTTTTTAACACTCAGACTTACCTCCCCTGAGCCTCCAGCAATTTGTCGATTACAGTTAGGGTTTTCCTACCTGGGTACTGGTCCCCACAGAGATTTCTGCTCCAGTAAGTTGGAATTCTTTGTATCTGCCTATCTGTCTCACCAGTTTTGAGGGCAGTGGTTTACCCTGTGACCTCACTTCTCTGTGAGAGACCTAAGAGGAGTTGTTGCTTTTTCAGTGTTCAGCTTTTGACTTGTTAGGATGGAGTGATGACTTCTAGCTCCAGGCATGCCAGACCAGAAACTGAGAATGCCCCATTTGTTTTAAGTATATGTACCATCTCTAATATTCTAAGAGCTTATATCTACAAGGAAGAAAAGCTGATATGTATCAGACATAGCATTTAGTAAAGCTCTGATTGTTTAATACTTTTCAGAGATCCCCAGATTATTGTCCATCCTGTTAATGTGAAATTAAGTGGGATAGAATTATTTGACAGGAGCCGGGCATGGTGGCTCGAACTTGTGGTCCCACTTACTAAGGAGGCTAAGGCAGAAGGATCACTTGAGCCCAGGAGATGGAGGCTGCAGTGAGCTATGATTGCACCTCTGCACTCCAGCCTGGGCAACAGAGTGAGAACACATCTCTGAAAAATAAAAATTATTTGACAGGCCAGGCACGGTGGCTCACGCCTGTAATCCCAGCACTTTGGGAGGCCGAAGTGAGTGGATCATCTGAGGTCAGGAGTTCAAGCTTACGAAGATGACGGGATTAAGAGATTAAAGTAAAGACAGGCAATCACAAGGGTATTGATTGGGGAAGTGATAAATGTCCATGAAATCTTCACAATTTATGTTCAGAGATTGCAGTAAAGACAGGAGTAAGAAATTATAAAAGTATTAATTTGGGGAACTAATAAATGTCCATGAAATCTTCACAATTTATGTTCTTCTGCCATGGCTTCAGCCAGTCCCTCCATTCGGGGTCCCTGACTTCCTGCAGCAGCCCACTCCAGTTAGCCTTCTGCCCCATCACTCTATCAGAATTGTTCTGGGGAAGTTTATAAGTAACATTTATGCTGCCAGGTCCAGTCAGTTCTTCTTAAATTCTTCACTGAATAGCACACACTTGACAACTTCTTCCTCAAGACACTTTCTTCACGTGGCTACTACAATGGCACCTTTTCCAGAATTTTCTCCCTCACCTGGGGCCACTTCTCAATCTCATTTCCTGACTTAACTTTCTTTACCTCTATTTAACCTCTAGAAATTGGCATTTCTTAGTGTTTAGACCTAGGCCCTGTTTTCCTTCCAAATTCCTTCAGTAATTTCATTCATTCCTGTAGCTTTAAATAATCTATGGACCCATTCTCAAATTTATATCTCCAGCTTGGCCCTTTCTTCTTTTTCCACTCTGGGGAGTTTTTCTATAGCCCAGAAAAGCGTGTGTCTCAAAGGACAGAAAATGTGGCTGGTCGCAGTGGCTAATGCCTGCAATCCAGCACTTTGGGAAGCCAAGTGGGCGGAACACTTGAACCCAAAGTTCGAGACCAGCCTGGGCAACATGGTGATACCCCATCTCCACCAAAAAAAAAAAAAAAGCTGAGTATGGTGACATGCGCCTGTGGTCCCAGCTACTCGGGGCTGAGATGGGAGGATCGCCTGAGCCACGGAGGTCGATGCTGCAGTGAGCCATGATCACACCACTGCACTCCAGCCTGGGTGACAGAGTGAGACCCTGTCTCAAAAAAAAAAACAAAAAAAAAAAGAAAACATAAAAAGTTAATGGTGGTGAGATTATAGGTGACTTGTATTTTCTTCTCCTTTATTTGACTTTTTGTAGATTTTCTACAGGACTTTGAAATTTACAAAGTGTTCTTAAATATTTAACCCCATTTTGATACTGTCAACAACCAACCTTGAGCTCCTTGAGTCCAAGTGTCAGCTCAAAACTGGACTTCCGGTGACTGGGAGTCACTCCTCCATGCCAGGTGTCTCGTGCTACCTTTTTGCTGAACCATCCCATCCCTTTTGAAGCAGAACATTTAAAATTTTATATATATCCCTGTGCTCTGGCTAATAATAGGCAGTTATTTATAGTGTCAATTTTGATCTTACAGGTGGATTTGACATGGAAGTGAAAGGTTGGGGTGGAGAAGATGTTCATCTTTATCGAAAATACTTACATGGTGACCTCATTGTGATTCGGACTCCGGTTCCTGGTCTTTTCCACCTCTGGCATGAAAAGCGCTGTGCTGATGAGCTGACCCCCGAGCAGTACCGCATGTGCATCCAGTCTAAAGCCATGAATGAGGCCTCTCACTCCCACCTGGGAATGCTGGTCTTCAGGGAGGAAATAGAGACGCATCTTCATAAACAGGCATACAGGACAAACAGTGAAGCTGTTGGTTGAAATCATAATTAATGCGTTACTGTATGAACCACAAAACAGCACTATTTATTTAGCCTTACTTCTACTTCCAGATGCAGTGCCTCTTTTGGAGAAGACATGTTTATTTTTCATGTTCTTTCTGACATTACTTTAGCAATTCAACTTGATGTGAGAAGAAAAAACAAATGTTTCAACACAAAATCTCTGTTTTGTGAGAATACTGCACTATGGAATAATTGACAAATTGAAATCTCATATTTGTCCCAAAAGTTGTTTTGAGTTAGTTCTACCTGGTGCCCATGTTCTGATTGTGTGTGGGATTGCATGGTGTCCTGATTGCATCTAGGTGGAGCGGATGGAATGTGCTGGGCCACTGTTGGGTGGAGAGCAGCACATTCTTACAGAGGAGATGGAGCGTTATGAGCATAGTATGTGGATAGGTATCTTCACCTGCCCGCCCCTGAGTCAGCCTCCTTGACTTGATAGCTTGAAGAATCCTTTTCCACTGAAATAGAGGATAATTAATTGACACATCTGAAATCCCCAATCAATCAATCAAGAGAAAGGTAGAACTAAAAACTCCTTAACTTACTGTTGCTTACACCCCTGAAAGTCTGTTTTTAAGCAAATGGGTAATAGTAGAAAATAGGTTAGAATCTATGGCTTGATTAAAAATATGTTATTACATTATCATGTTCAGGATTAGGATTAGTAGTCAGTTGCTGTAAACTATTTTGAACAAACAGAAAAGAACACGGAAACATTTTTAACAGAGCATTTAATTATGTTGGAATACAGGATCCTAGCTCTGTCTGGGAACATTAGTTTATTTGAGCCAGCTCTATCAGGGTCTTCCCATGGTGGTTCAGAATAGATGAGCATAGCATGGTTTTGTTTGTTTTTGCTTTCAATTTTCTAATTTGGCATGGATCCATATGTATTTACTATCCTTTTTCTAATATATTAATATATGCTACATTTGTATTTGCATTACTATAATACTTTGAGTTGAAAAAGAGTTTCATTGTGGAGAGAAAAAGCAAATGGTATGCCACAAGATCACTCTGATTTGAGAAAAGGGAGGAGGGGAAGATAGTCTGAATGGAAATCTGAAATACGGAATGTTTTAGAGAAATATGTCACTTGCATATAGAATGTTTTAATTGAGGTATAAATTAATGAGACAAAGTGAAAAAGAAATTATATTCAGATAGGACTGCACTACATTATTTGTCACACATGGATCTGTTACCATCAGGTCAATTCCTAGTATGCATAAATTTTTTAACCCTTTTAAAAGAGACCTATGTTGAAAACCCCTGAAAATTCACTGAAGAAAAATCATTACTCTTTTTCTCAGTAAATCATATCATCTGAAATATTACAAATTTCAAATTTCTAGGTGCTATATTAATTCAATATTACAATAACTCTTACCTAATTATTCTTACAAGTTTTAAGTTGTGGTAGTTTAGTGATTTTTTTAAAAGATGTGTGAAATGTTCTCTGCAAAATAATTCAGGCCACTGTCTCCTTTTATATATTATTATAATTATTTATTATGAAGACCAGTGAATTACGATATTTAAAGTGAGAGAACTTAATTATTTGCAAAGGTAAGTTACAGCTTGTTTTTTGAGAGAATCAAATGAGTTTACTTTTGTTCCTGTTGTTTTTAACTAGCTTTAAGTTTAAAGATGGAAGCTAAGCAATGGAAATGCTATACGTTTTTGACATTTATTAAATGGTACCAATAAAGTATTTTATTACCAAAAGTTAAATGAAAATGTGATAAATTTATTTCTATTGTAAAGTATCATAAAGACAGAACATTACGTATAACATGTAATTGTGTACTTTAAAAATGAAACACGAGTGCCGCAGCTGTTCACGTTAAAATATGGGGCATTACCAGGGGACAGGCCCCTTGTGCCCCTTCTTGATCACCTGTGCTCACCCTCTCCATAACAGTCACACTCTGATTTTTATGATCGTTTTTACTTGTTTTTCTTCTTAGTTTTCCCAGTTACGTATCTCCCAATAGACTGTTTTGCCTGGTTTTGAATTTATATACATTATTATTTCATTATATATTCTCTTTCATTCAGTGTTTTTGAGGTTCACTCATATTATTCTCAAAATTAGTTCATTTTTATTATTGAGTAGTATTTCATTGTACTGTAGGGAGGGGAAAAACTCCCTCCCATCTTCTCAGGGTCCCAGCTGGCCTTGAAGATTAAATTGGCATAGGATAGATTAACAAGAGAAAAGCATATAAATTGATGTAATACAAATTTTATGTGGTGCAGGAGCCCTCATAAAGAAATAAAACCAAAAGAAGTAGAGTCAGTTACTTACATACTGAATTGGACAAAGACTAGTAAACTGTGAAAATGTGACTGTATTTTGCGGGAGCCTTAAAAAATAGTTATTCTAACAAGGTCTGTACAATATTCTCCTGGTCTCAAACTTCTCGTCATTGAAGATAAAGATGTTTGTTGCCTTTTCTTCCAGTATAGAGAGTGTCTTTCACACTGGAATCCATCTCCTGCTCTTAAGAAACAGCACAAAGGTCAATCACCTTTTTGCACCTGCTGTTTTTCATGTGTCTTTAATTTAAATAGTATGCCGGAATGGCATATTTTAACCCCTTCAGTATGAATGTACTACTATACTTCTTCTACTGTTACTAGATACTTGGGTTGTTTCCAAGTTGTTTTTATATTCTCTTGTTGGTAACTATTTGGGTTGTGTAGATTTTTGTGGTTTGCTTTTGCTGTTGCATGCGTGTTGTCGTGAACATCTCCTGTAAGTGTGCCAGAATTTCTCCAGGAGTAAAAATGCTGAGCCATCGGTTGTGCACATGTTTAACTTTCCAAAGTGGACCACCTTCCACCACTGGGTGAGTTCATTTTGCATCCTTGACAGTACTTAATTTTGTCAGGCTTATTAATTCTTGCCAATTTAGTGGGCTTTAGGCATGAACTGTAGTTATGATTTATCTCCAGTCTTTTTGTTCATTTTTACCAGTTCACAGGGATTCTTCACATATTCCGGATACCAGTTCTTGTTGGTTTAATGTTTGCAGATATCTTCTCCCATCAAGACCAATGTGGTTTGTCTTTTCCCATTTTTGGTGGTACTTTTTGATAAATAAAAAACTAACTTTATTGTGACTATCTTTTTTCTTTATGATTTCTACTTTTTTCAATAGAATTTATTTTTTAGAGCAATTTTAGGTTCACAGAAAAATTGAACAGAAGGTACGTGGAGTTTCCTTAGATCCCCCTGCCCACACACATGCACAGTTTTTTCTGTTACCTACATCTGTCACCACAGTGGTACATTTGTTACAACCAGTGAACCCACATTGACACAAAATAATCACCTAAAGTCCATAGTTTATGTTAGGGTTCATTCTTGTTGTACATTCTATGGGTTTAGACAAATGTATAATGACATCCAGTGTTACAGTATGATACAGAACAGTCTCACTGCCCCAAAAATCCTCTAGGCTGACTATTCATCTCTCCCTACCCTCTAACCTCTAGCAACCACTGATGTTTTCACTGTCTCCATAGTTTTGCTTTTTCCAGAATGTCATATAGTTGGAATCGTACAGTATGTAGCCTTTTCAGATTGCCTTCTTATCTTAGTAGTATGCATTTAAGTTTCTTCCATGCCTTTTTATGGCTTGAGAGCTCATTTCTTTTTAGTAATGAATAATATTTCATTGTCTGGATGTAACCACAGTTTACCCATTCACCTACTGAAGGGTATCTTGGTTGCTTCCAAATGTTGGCAATTATTAATAAAACTGCAATAAACATCTACGTGCAGGTTTTTGTGTGGACATGTTTTCAACCTTTGAACAAATAACAAGGAACACAGTTGCTGGATCATATGATAAGAGTATGTTTAGCTTATTAGCTTTGTAGGAGCGTGCCAAACTGTCTTCCAATGTGGCTGTACCATTTTGCATTCCCACCAGCAGTGAATGAGAGTTCCTGTTGCTCCACATCCTTGCAACCATTTGGTGTTGTCAGTGTTTCAATTCTGGCCATTCTGTAGGTGCATAGTAGTATCTCGTTGTTTTACTTTACATTTACCTAATGACATATGATGTGGAGCATCTCTTCATGTGCTTATTTTCCATCTGTATATCTTCTTTTTTTTTTTTTGAGACAAGGTCTCACACTGTTGCCCAGGAGGCTAGAGGCTGGAATGCAGTGGCGCTATCATGGCTCACTGCAGCCTCGACCTCCTGGGCTCAGGTGATCCTCCTGCCTCACCTCCTGAGTAGCTGAGACCACAGGCATGCACCACCTGCCCTGGCTAGTTTTTTTTTGTTTTTTTTAATAGAAACAGAGGTCCCCCTATTTACCCAGGCTGATCTCAAACTCCTAGGCTCAAGCAATGTGTATCTTCTTCTCAAGTGATGTGTATTTTCTTTAATGAGGAATTGGTTTCTACTTTTTATTGATTTATGACCTCATAATAGGGAAGGATTTCTTTAAAAATACTGTTGTATATTCTCAATATCTCCCATGTAATTTCACTTTTCTCAGGTCTTTAACCTAAGTGGAAGAGATTTTTGTGTATGATGTAGGTAAGGATTGCATTTCACTTACTTCCAGCACTACATCCATACTTTACCTACTGATCTGCAAAACCATTCTTATATCCATCAGATGTCCCTGTGTGCATGAGTCTGATTCTATGCTCTCTTCTGTTCCGTTAGGCTACCACTCTATCACTGCACCATTAGCATTGCATGGTATCAGTTACTGTAATTTTATGCTAGTGAATATCTGGGACACATTTTCCACTCACCTTGTTCTTAAAGATCGTTATGGCTATCATAGGCTTTGTACTTTCATATAAATTTTAGAATACGCTTATTAGGTTTCATAAAAATGTATGAATTTGATTAGAATATCATTGAATCTGTAAGATCACTTTGGGGAGTCTTTATGATATGAAGTCTCCCAATCTATTCTATTTGGCTTTATTGTTTTTCAATTACATTTTATAATTTTTCACACTGTGGACTTACACATGCTGTTTTTCAGATTCTTCATAGTTACTCTGCATTTTTGATACCATTGTACCTTATCTTTTATTGTGTTACTGGTGTTTAGAAATCATTGATTTTGCATGTTAATTTTTGTGTTCAGAAACTTTGCCAAAAACTGTTAATTCTAGTAATTAGAATTCTTTTGCATTTTTCTTGTTTTACATCATATCATACATATGAATAGTGAGTTTTGTTTCCTTTCCATTTTTAGGTCTTTAGTTCTTTTTCTTGTCCTCCTATGCTTGGTAGGATTTGTTGTGCAATGCTGATGGAAGTGGTAATAGTGGGCTCCCTGCCCTGTTTCTGATTTCAAGCAGTGCTTTCAGGGTTTCATCAGTAAGTGTGATGTTTGCTGGAGGTGTTTTCGTAGACAACCCTGTCAACTTAAGAAACTTCCCTTCTGTTATTACTTAGTGAGTTTTTATCCTACCTAAGAGCATTTATCAGATACTTTTACTACATCTGTTGAGATGTTCATATACTTTTTCCCCTCTTTTAAAGTATTAAATTGATGAATTAATAGATTTTCTCAAGTAGCTTTGCATTCTTGGGACAAATGCCAGTCAGTCATGATGTGTTATTTTTATTTTACATTGTTTGATTTGGTTTGCTTTCATAT
The DNA here is from genome assembly GCF_000001405.40 of Homo sapiens. Lineage (NCBI taxonomy): Eukaryota > Metazoa > Chordata > Mammalia > Primates > Hominidae > Homo > Homo sapiens. The sequence continues at coordinate 43,189,218 of NC_000010.11, forward strand.
ACATACATGTAAGTATTCACATTTACACATCTCATATGTATTCATGTCGGGGGTGTGGGTATGTATATACTTCAGGTGTTTTTAATCTATGTTCATGAATGAGATTGCCTATGACTTCCCGTTCTCTTCCTTGTTGGGCATTTTTGTTTATTTATTTGTTGTTTTAATTGACGGGATCTTGCTCTGTCTCCAAGGCTGGAGTGCAGTGGGGGCGATCATGGCTCACTGCAGCCTCAACCTCCTGGGCTTAAGTGATCCCCCTACCTCAGCCTCCCAAGTAGCTGGGACCACAGGCACACACCCCTGCACCTGACTCATTTTTGTTGTTGTTGTTTTTGTTTGTTTGTGTGTAGAGACGGGGTCTTGGTTTGTTGTCCAGGCTGGTCTCAAGCTCCTGGTTTCAAGTGATCTTCCCACCTTGGCCTCCCAAAGTGCAGAGATTACAGGTGTGAGCCACCATGCCTGGCCCTCATTAGGCTTTTCTGTTGAGGTTATACTAGCTTATAAACTTAAGTTACAAGTGTTCCTTCTTACTCTGTTTCTAGAAAAGTTTTGTAAAATTAGAATTAATTTCTTCCTTGAATATTGAACTGCCTGGAAGAACGGCCTGAAAGCCACTTGGGCATGAACTTTTCTATCTAGGAAGATTTTTGATCAGTTGTTCAATTTATTTAATAATTATAGAACTATTCAGACTTTCTATTGTTTGTAGAATAAGCTTTCATTGAGTTATTTTGGGTAAATCATAATTTTCTAGGAATTTATACTGATAAATTTGAAAATTCAGATGAAATCAATATCCTCCTATTATCTGTGTGATATGTATACGATTTATAGTGATATCCTTTTTTTCTCATTCCTGATATACTTATGCCTTCTATTTTTTCTTGATCAGCTTTGCCAGGAGCAGGCAGATTTTTTTCAATCCTTTTAAATAACCCTTACCAGCCATGTATGAGAGATCAGTTGCTTTACCTCCTCCCCGACACAGTATTTCCAGTGTTTTTAATTTAAACTCTTTAATTATAATTTCTAGTGGGTGTGTACAGTTCTTATTTTCATCTTAGTTTATAATCAGGGAATGATGTCAAGTACCTTATCATATGCTTATTGGCCATTTAGATATCTTCTTTTGTGAAATGCCTGTTGAAGTTTTTCTGCCTTTTTTAAAAAAAATTAGTTTGATTTTTTTTTTAGTTGATTTGTGGGGGTTACTTCTGTATTCTGAATTTGAGTCCTTTGTCAGATTTACATATTACACATACCTTCTCCTAGCAACAGCCTCTCTTTCACTATGTTAATGGTATCTGTCAGTAAACAAAAGTTCTTAATTTCAATAAAAACCAATTTTCTTTTATGGTTAGTGATTTTGGTGTCCAATTTAAGAACCTTTCCTACTCCAGAATTTTTTTTAATTCTTTTTTTGACACCTCATTGCATTGCCTTTCATATTTAGGTCTGTGATCCATCTGGAAATCGTTTTGTATATGGGTTACAGGAAGAGTCAAGATCCATCCTTTAGTTTTTCTTTTAGGGAAGGTCTGTGGATAGCAAACGCCATTTAGTTTGTCTGTAAATATCTTTATTATCTCTCATTTAATAAATAGTTTTAAAAAGTAGAGAATTCTAAATTGGCTATCATTCTTCTTTTTAGCACAATGAAGTTACTATTCCACTGTCTCTTGGCTTCAGTTATTTCTGCTGTGAATCATCAGCGTAACAGCCATCATCCATTGAAAGCAGTCCACTCTCTTCTTTTCTGTTCTGTGTCACTATGATACATCTGCATGTGGGTTTGTTTTTTTTCTGGTCCTGCTTGAGATTCTTCGGGTTCCTTGGATTGTTACTCTGAAAAATTCTCAGCTGTTTTATTTTCAAAAATGATTCCTGCCTCATTGTCTCTTTGCTTCTCTAACTCTGATAACATGTTAAAACCGTTGTGTCCTCCATGCCTCAACCTGTTTCTTGTTTTCCAATGCTTTATTCTGTGTTAGATTCTGTTAATTTCTTCAGAATTATGATCAGATTTGGAAAATAACCAAATAGAGCATCTAGAAATGAAAACTACAATAATTGAATTTTTTAAATCCAGCAGATGGGTTGAACAAAATTAGACACAGCTAAGGAGGTTTTTTTTTTTTTTTTTTGAGGAGGAGTCTCGCTCTGTCGCCCAGGCTGGAGTGCAGTGGCGCCATCTCTGCTCACTGCAAGCTCCGCCTCCCGAGTTCACGCCATTCTCCTGCCTCAGCCTCCCGAATAGCTGGGACTACAGGCACCCGCCACCACGTCCGGCTAATTTTTTGTATTTTTAGTAGAGACGGGGTTTCACCATGTTAGCCAGGATGGTCTTGATCTCCTGAACTCATGATCCGCCCGCCTCGGCCTCCCAAATCCTCCCAAAGGATTACAGGCGTGAGCCACCGCGCCAGGCCCTAAGGAGGTATTTTTTTAAAAACTGGAATATAAGTCAGAATGTTTGTTTCTACTGGATGTTTAGGGGCAGTACCAGTTCAGGGCCAGTTCAAAGAATTCTTAGCTTGAAGTTTGTTGGACCAGTGTTGATTTGTGCTGCAAAATTTTGTGAAGCTCACTGACTCATCATTATCAATTATGAAGGTAAAATTTCCCTGCCTCCATTCAGTGCTGAGATTCAAATCAGGGAGCTTTTCCTAGGTCCCTCGGTGGGGTTTGGGTGGAGCGCCTTATTTCAAGCTCACTGCTGCACCGAGGGGTGGCTCTTTGGGATGCCAGCTTTATGGGCTGGGGTCTCCTATTTGATTCTTCATCTTGAGGTGGGCCCTGGACTTTTTTCTCTACCCCTGTGGACTTGAAAACAGCAGCTCATGGTCCTTACCCTCAGGGCAAAGCAGGCTGCAGAGCTTCCCTGACTTCTCTGGCTCCCTGCCTTCACTTGGATTTTTAAATTTTGTACAACTTTATCTGTTGTTTTCAGTGGGCACGCACTTCATCTCTCACACTGCCAGAAATGCACAAGTGGCGCAGTTTACTTTCTTACACTCTTCCCTGCACTGTTGCTGAACCACTCAGCCCTGCTGAGCGCGCCTGAGCATCTGCACCTGAGCATCCTGGTGCTGTGGGTAGATACTTGTGGGGTGTTCAGCAGCCCCTCACCTTCCTCACAGTATCCTGACTTCCTTGTTGGGAATAAAGATTGAAATTGTGTTAACGTGGTCTAAACTGGCCTGCAGATGGATTGTAAGTTTTGCTTCTTGAAGTTTTGAATGCAAATTTGTGGGAATTCTTTCCCATTTATATTTTTATGCTGGTTGGATTGAACAGTGACTGTTAGGTGAACAGTGACATGTTAGGTGAATGCTAACATGCTTCGTATTGACCAGGACCCCAGGTGTTCCTTTGAGAAGGGGGCCTTTGCTTCACTTTTCCCAAAAGGTGCTGTGGCCTTTTGCAGAAGTGCTGCTTGGCGTCCGCAGCACCAGGGCCAGTCCATAGCAAGCACCGACTGTGCTGACAATGAACCAGGTGCCTGCTCTGTCTGCCTTTGCTTCTTAGAAGCCTTTGCTTCACTTTTCCCAAAAGGTGCTGTGGCCTTTTGCAGAAGTGCTGCTTGGCGTCCTCGGCACCAAGGCCAGTCTACAGCGAGCACTGACTGTGCTGACAATGAACCAGGTGCCTGCTCTGTCTGCTACCACGGCCCTGCAAGAGAGCCGTGATCAGATGAAAAACATGGAGGCTATAAGGTAAACAGCTTGTCCAAGCTTCTCCAGCTGGGGGCTGAAACCAGCTCTCACTCCAGTTTCCCCGGCTCCTTGCTCCCTCCCTGCTGCCTTGTGCCTCCCTGAGGAGCAGGGTCTATGTTCTCGTATGGGCGTGGTCGGTGTGTGTCACAAGCAGTGTGTGTCACAGAAGTCTCCATGGCTTACTACAGATCCTTAGCTTATCATTCTGCTACATCTGACACTCTGACATCCATTTGTTCCTGCAACGTTTGTGAAGGGTGACACTCAGCCATCACACAGGGATGTACTGGTCACAAGGCACACAGACTATCACCCACCGAGTGCTTCTCACACGTACTGTGTGGCCCAGGGATTGGACTAGGCCCCCACCGTATTGCCAATTCAGGAGGTGTGTGGAGAGGCCTAAGAATGGACATTCAAACAGGTTCCCAAGGACCCACACTTGAAAGCCACTGCCCTGGAGGAACTGCCCATGGCAGGGGATGGCCCTCCCAGCTCGAGGTTGTATCCAAGGCCAGAGCAAATTATGCACTCCCCCTTCTTCAGCTGAGGCAGATGAACACTTCCAAAAATAACTTCTTCACCAGGAAATTAGGGATGCCATTGGATTTAAAGACCTAAAAAATGTCATTCACTAAAAGCTCAAGCATCATCTCCATGTCCCCATTTGCTCCACAGACACCCGAGCACCTGTCCTGCACTGCCCACTGCATGGGGTGGCAAGGCCCCGAGGCCCAGCTTCTGTCCAACACGGGCCCCTGGCTGTCCAAATTCACATCCCAAATTCAGCCCCTGGGTCACACTAGCCACATCCCAGCAGACAGGACCCACATATGGTTGGCAGCTGCTGTACTGGACAGCACAGATACAGGACATTCCCTTACCCCAGAAAGGTTTCTGTTGGGTGGCGCTCACCTCGTGGGAATGATGACACTGAGCACATAGTGAAAGATGAGCTGAGTTATCCCTGGGGTGCAGTCCCCACCCTGTCCAGGCCTGAGAACCGTGGGAATGGGCAGGTTGGAGGAGCAGAGGGGAGTACCATGTCCTGTTCTGGAGCCTTAGTTTTTTTCCTTCAATTCCCGAGCTCTCATGTGCTCCCCCAGTGAACCCCTCTTCTCTGTTGCGCTTGAGTATAAAACTCATGACACCAGGAGTGGCCCCTCCAGACCTGCATTCTGCAGGCTGCCCTGCAGGATCGCGTCCAGGGGCTCTCCAACCTCCCCTGCCCCCAGAGAGGCCATCTGACTCCTCTGCAGTAACACAGTCCATACAGCCTGGCTTAACTAGGTATCCTGAACTTACTTACTTATGTGACCATGCAATACAGCAGCCAGTGACATCTTTTTGGAGCTCACAATGAGGAAAGCAGGACTGAACGTGCCTCCTATAGCTTCTTTCGAGTCTCACCTTATTCAGTGGAAAGCCCTTTGTCACACAAAGTGTTGCCAGCTGGAGACAAAAGTCTCTTGCCCAGTCCCTCCTGGGAAGGCCACAGCAGGCCTGGCAGCCTCACCCTCCTCCCTGCCCCAGGGGACCCATGTCTCCGGCCAGCAGCAAGGCCACCCCCTCACTGTACACACACAGCAGGCAAGGGAGGGGAGTGATGTATTCTTTTATTGAAGCAAGTATGTCCAGTCACACCAAAACTGACGTCCTGCATTATGGTACAGCTTCATACTCAGAGTTCATCTCAAATACCAAAACATCAAATCAGGGTATGTATCAAATTGGGAAAATAAAGTAGCAGACAGACACTGTTTCAAGTAGGTACTAGAACTGATCACCCGTGAAGTGCACGTGGGTGTGTACAGAAACCGTTCTAAGGCTGTATTCCAAATATATATTCTCAAGTTTTAAGCCTTTCTCATCTCAAAGACATAAACAAAGCAATATGTACTATCAATATACAATCTGTACTAGCTAGAACCTCAGAAAGTGCAAACACACTGTGACAATACAGTGGAACTATTCCTGCTCCACCCAGGACCAGAGGCATGGGCAGCGGGCCCAGGGCTGCCTCCTCCCCAGGCCCAGCCTTTCCCAATGTCTTCAGGCTCTTCCAGGAGCTTTGGGAATTGGGACCTGGCCCATCCTCACCCAGGCTTCCCCATTGATCAAGGCTCCTGCGGAAACTGGGAATGCAGAGGGACAAGGATGCGGAGTTCCTGCGAGGGAGACGGTCCACGTGGATTGACCGTGTGCTTTCTGAAGGACAGCTGTCCTGCGCCATGGTCAGTAGGGCCCAGGGCTCACACCACGAAGTCAGACATGGGAAAATGGAGTGTGCTCCTCTAGCTGGGTGTAGAAAACACCTCTCAGTATTGGGCAGTTTTATCTGAATGGGCTCCAGCAGTATGGCCTGGCGAATTTTCTGTTTCCAATTCCAATTAGGGCGCTGCCTACCCAGGTGGGAAGAGGGCTGTTGGCTGCCCTCCCCTCTGTAGATGATAGGTTTCAAGACTAGCTCTAAATGTCACCACCCTGGAGTCGGCCATGTATTTTTCTTCATCACAGCTCAGTGTGTCTTTCAGTCACAGCCCAGAAAACTGACAACTCCATGCTTCCCTCCCTTACCTTATTTTAGATTTCCTCCTTTCTAAAATGTAGTTGAAGAATGATTTGCTGGACACATTGTCACAGAAAATATGCTGCCAGGTGCCCCCTGCCCCTCCCTGACCCCACAAATCCCTGAAAGGAAAATGAAAATGTAAACTTTGGACAGCCCGTACTCAAAGGCTCACTTCCAGAAGTGTGCGGACGCGACCTCCCAGCCACCAGCCCTCCTATGGAGCCTCGCAGCCCAGGCTCCTGAGGGCAGGCGCCCAGGTGGAGTGGGACTCACCGCAGCCCAAACCACAGAGCAGGAAGACCAGACCCCAGTACCCTCTAAGGCACTAACCCCGACGTCAGAGACACTGGCTGGAAAGGCGTCCGAGCAGGCAGGGCTCACGTTGGTTTTGGCTGGGTTTTTTAAAATATTTTTTTCATAAGATGTTAATAATCAAAAGTAGAAAATAAAAATCTACATTTCATTAGAATAAGATGTTATCATGGATACCATCTCCCATGATACTCTCCCCTCCCCCTCCCCAAAGCAGGGCCCTGCCCTGTTATTTAAAATAAACAAAAAAAACTTTGTAAGTGCCAAAGGTTGATGCGTGAAATAATTACCATTTTTTTCTCATAAAAGTTATATACAAAATGGACCCCAACCAGTGAGGCCTCCTCATCTCAACCCACATCAGTCAAAATTTAAACCCAGTTAGTGCACGTGCTTCCTCTGGCGTCGCGGGCTGCATCCGCCTCAGGCTCTGTTCAGAAGGGTGGTCCTAGAGGGGGACAGGACAAGCAGTGCTCAGGCCCGAGCAGGGCGGCTTGGGTCCAAGCCATCCTCAGCCTCCCACCAAACATGCACCAGGGACCCTGGACCAGGGACGCGGCAGTGCCCAGGCTCCCTTTCCAGGAGGGTAACCCTCGTGCCCACCCTGAGTCCTCCCTCTTCCTTACAGACTCCCATGTTCCTGACGCCCTCCTACCTGAGGGTCTTCCAGCTGTCTTTTTCCATGTGGTTCTCGGGACCCTCACTTTCAAAGGAGGCGACGAAGAGAGCTGAGAGATGGGAAAGTCCCTCAGAGCCTGTGTCCCCATGCAGTGTCTGCCTGAACCCAGCTGTCCCTTCAGGAGTACAGCCCAGCACAAGGGGACAGTGACCTCTGGCTGGGCTGAACACAGTTCTCTGCTGTGCGGGGCTCTCAGGCTGCCTGTTGGGGACTCTAGGAAGGTTCCTCGTGTTGCAGCACCTGACCTAAGCCCATGTGACCCTCTCCAGTGGCTGCTGGAAACTGAGTCTCTTGTCCTTCTCTTCCATCCATCCCATGACCCACCCTCATGCACACTCGCCCCTGCGAGCAGAGCCAGCCCTGTGTGGCATGGAGCAGCCAGCAGGCCATCTCCCAGGGCAACCCCAAAGAGCACCGGGCCTGGACAAGGAGTCAGGTGGGGTGGGAGGCATGCTGCGTTGGGAGGCAGCCCTCACCTTCCTCGCTGTAGATGGGCGCCGTGAGCAGGTAACTCTGAATCTTCTTGTCCTTCTCGAAAGGACACTCTACCTGTGTCCATGTCATGAACTCATGGATCTGTCTGGAGATCTCCCAGAATTTCTGAAGGGAGCAAAACCAACTGATGTTCATCTGTCACCTTAAGCACCAAACCCTCGGTCAGGGCAGGGGACGTAGGTTTTGGCCTCAGCCTCCTGCTCACTTCACTGGTCCCAGCAAGATGGGACAGTGGCCCTGCACGCTGACCCCGTGGCCATGGTGGCACGCCATGCAGCCTCAGAGCCAGCAGGTGTCCCCCAAGGCCACTCTGTCTGGCCCTCCACCTGGGCCATCAGGCCGGCAGCAGGGTCTCTGCCTGTCTGTGCAGGGACCCAAAGAAGGCCCCACTGATAACTCCAGCCTGAGGCAGGCACCCCATCCAAACCCAGCCCAGCGGCGCCAACCAGAACGTGTCATGATGTCCCTTCTCTGGGACCTTCGGAAGGATCCCAGCTCCTGCCCACACCTCACCTGTGTGAGGTAGGCATCCGGCAGCCCACAGCCACCTACACCTGCCCTGCCACCTATGTCCCACCCTCCCATCCTCACCAGGTGCCCTCAGGCCCACGAGGCAGGCTCTTCACTTCCATCTAGAATTCTCTGCCGCCTCCTCCCTGCTCAAGTCCCTTCCTATCTAAACCCCTCCTGACCTCCAATCCCACAGGGGTGGACAGGGCTCTCTCCCTGGTAGGGCCAGGCTGGAACCACGGTCCTGGATAAATACAATTCCCTGTGACTCCAAGCTCTGCAACTAGGCCATCCACCCAGAAGTACCGGCAGGCGCACCTCATACCTTGCAGTCAAACAGCACCCCGTGACCCACTATGAGGCTTTCAGTCTTGAAGGCCCTTGTGAACCTCAGGCAGGGCTCAGGAAACCCACAGATCCCGACCCAGGGCTAATGCCTGGCGGCTCCAGTAGCTCAGACAGTTTCCGCCTGGCCTGCCCTGTGCTGGGATGAGCTCACCTTAAAGTTAATGTGCCCGTTGGGCAGGTGGTTGGTATGGATTTTGTGCAGGAAGTAGATGTCCTTAACGAAGAGGTTGAACACAGGGATGACGATCTTTTCACGGCTGCTGTTGGCCATCTGGGACCTCTGCGTGGCCCCCTGCAGGGCTGTACGGTAGTTGCAGAAGTTGCTGGACGGGTCCATGTGATGCTGTGGGCACAGGGAGGACCTGGTGAGCATCACAGCCCCATGCCCCTCCGACCTGCTCCAGATGCCCCTCTGCAGAGCAGGAGGCAGCAGACAGAGAAGGCACCTGGCCCCTGGGCAGCCTGGGAGTTAGCACGGGGGAGGGGACGCCCAAGGGTGCCTGGCTGAGCCCTGGGGCCAGGGCTTCTGAGTTCAGGTCCTGGCATCCTCTGGAAAGCCACAGAAGTGTCACTGCCCTGCCTGCCAGGCCTGACCCTCGCCCTCCTTCCTTCAAGACTTCCCTTTGCTCCTCTACTTAGATCAACACCTCCCAGACCTGACCAGCTCCACAAGACACATGCTTTGCAAAAATGGACTCTGTGGTCAAACACATCTGAGGAAGGCTGCAGGTGACCCTGTCTGCCAGCCTCTGGGCCATCTAGACCAGCCAGGACCTGGAGACACTGACCAAGGAAAAGGCAGTGTCTTCCAACACAACCCCACTCTTGTCAAACTCTTGCTTAACCGCATTCCACTCTGGAACTCGCCTTAGGTGATGCCGGGTCTGCCTGAAGTAACCGAGGACAACTTAAGTCCCCACTGCTGGAGGACGAACATGCCAGGCCAGCTCAGCCAGCACTGTAGGTGCTAGCCCCAGGGAGAGGAGGGCAGCCCCCCACCCCCACTGTCAGGGCCCCCTTCGGGCCATTGCGGGACGAAATGGGTGCAGCTCGCAGCTGTGACGGGGCTCAGGTGCCTACCTCCAAGACATCAAACTTGGCTGTCTTGACCTTGGACCAAGTTTTCTTCAGCCTTGCCACAGGACTGAGGTTCATGCCAGCTGCAGAGGACAGCAGGTAGGGTCAGGGCCGGGGGGGTGGGCCATGCAGCAGCCCCACCCTGGGTGCCCAGTCACTCACAGATGATGGCCATCATGGAGTTGAAGTTCCCGATGTTGAAGCACTCCCGGGCCACATCAATGAAGAACTCCAACATGCGGGTCCGGTGTTTCTTCTTCACCACCTGGAAGGTGGCAGGTGACCTCAGCATGGCGCTGCCGGGGGACAGCAGGAGCTGGGGCCGCCGGGCAGAGGAACAGAGGGGCAGGGAGGACCTCGGGACTTAGCTTCTGGCCACAGCGGGCTGATCCAGGTCCATGGCTGCGTCTGGGAGGTCCAGACATGTGCACGGCCTATGCTCAGGCTCCTCAGTCATCAAAGGGAAGGCACCATCTGCCCCAGAGGGCTGTGAGGGCTGGCAAAGCCTCACACAGGCAAGAAAAATGGTGCTGGGCACAAGGGGAGCACTCCACGGATGGGGTGTCTGTTGTCATTGAAGGAATCGCTGTATGTCGGGGTTGGGGGACCACCAAGGCCCTGACAATGCAACAGGGACTTTGTGCATTCACTCTTAAAGTTCCATCATCTAATTCCTGGGGCAAGATCAGGGTCTCACTGGGTGTGGGCATGGCAGCCACCCCACCATGTCTGCCATGGGCACTTACCCGGCACACCTCAGTGGCCACCAGCATGCTCAGGCAGTTGAACCAGTTGTCATAGGCCTCCAGGCTGTAGGTCTTGGTCAGGTCCCCTCGGCACTGGAAAGGACACAGCAGGTCATAGGGGGCCTGGAGGACCATGGCTGGACAACTTAGTCCCCACAGCTGGCCCTGGTCCCCAGCTATGGCTCAGCCTGCACCGCAGCAGCCTCAATCATGCCTGCGTGCTCCTTGCTGCCCAGTGCAGGGCTGGCAGGCCAGGCTGGCTCCCTGGCCCAAATCTGTGACCTCTCCCAGCATTCATCATCCATGACCAGCACAGCCATCTTGGAGCAGGTGCTGCCTCTTGAAGCAGGTGCTAGGAGGTCCAGTGCCACATCCATCGGGGCTCATGGCCCAGCACTCCGGAGACGCTCGGGGCGTGCTGAGTGAGGCCCACACCCACCCTGCATGGAGCGCAAGTGCTGGGCAGACAGGGCTGGCAGGGGTGCCACAGGCCTTGGCCCACTTACCCTGTGGTTGTCCAAGGAGTCCATGTGGCTGACGATCTGCATCAAGTCCTCAGGGTAAATGCTGCTGACCCTGTCCTGGGGTGGAAGATAGCAAAGGGAAGGTGACAAGCTTCCCCTGGAGAAGGGACAGCACTGCATAGGCATGCGGACAGGGAGAGGAGGAGCTGCCCAGGGCACAGGACCTTCACCTCCTCCCAGGCCAGTCCTCCATCCTAGGGCCACTGCAGTCCCCACTGCAGGACGACACTGCTCCAGCTCCTCCCACTGACACAGCACTGCTGTGTTCCTGAGGACGTGAGTGCCAGGCACAGAGGTGCCCGCCACTCAGACGGACACACATCTGGCATGAAGTGTGGCAGTCAGGGCTGGCAAGCGCACTTCCCTGATGGCTCAGTGTGACTAGCAGGGGCCTGAAGTGCTGTGCTGAAAGAGGCACTGTGGTCCCACAGCCCCCACCCCCAGTCAGGGCATAAGGCAGCACTGACCAGCTCAATGTGAGTCAGCTGCTGGGCCAGCACCAGGGGGTCGCAGCACACGCCCAGGATGTCCTTCTGGGCGGCTGGTGGCTTGGTCTTGAGGATGGGCCCCTTGTCTACAGCCGGTGGCCGGAGCTTCTCTCGCAGTTCCTGGAGCTGGCTCCGGGCAGCCAAGGACAGCAACAGGCTCTGTGTCATCTGGGCAATGGCCTTCTTCACTGTGCCATTCTCCTGTGGGGTCAAGGGCAATAAGGGTGCCAGCATGGGCTGGCAGCAAGGCCACCACCACTGTGGGTAGGATCCATCTCACCTCCAGGGATGTGCCTAACCAACGTGAGCCCACAGCCCCTATCTAAACCGCAGCCTTCAGGCCTTCAAGGACAAAGTGGGGCACAGCATGGGCTCCTCTGAGGACTGCTGAGGAGGGGTCTCAGTGGGCTGTCCTGCTGCAGGACGAGGCTAAGGGCAGAGACAGGCTCAAGACTGAGCTTCTGGGTCTGAAAAGCATGGCTTTTTCAGAGGCGGCCCACTGAGCTGCTTCCTGAAGCAGGAGCAGCCCATAGAACAGTTTAAGGCATGGGAAAGGCTTCTGCCAAAGCCAGGAGTCTCTGCCCCCTAGTTGGGAGCAGCCTGGGGTCCCTGGCTCCTCCTGGAGTACTCGGGGTGAACAGGAGCTGCTAAGCACAGGGAATGCTTCCACTGTGGAGGCCCAGTTGGCCCAGGCATCTCCAGTTCTCTCTCCACCAAAGGCAAAGGTGAAGACATTTGAAAAATGGGAGACCGGTTTAAAGCCTTACCCCCACCTCCTCTCACTAATCCAAGACAGGCAGAGCCTTACAAACTCTCAATAGGCTCCCACTCCAGGGACAAGGACAGCAAGGGCCAGGAGAGGGTTGAGACAATGATTGCCAGGCCCGCAACCGGGCTGCAAGGTCCCTGCTTGCAGTATCATGGGTGACCCTGGCCCACTGCTGGCCAGCTGAGCTGTCATCTGGGGGAAGGGAGGTTGAATGGGGCCAGCCAGCAACCCTCCTGGGGGAGTAACATGGAAGGGGACCACATACAGAGTTGTCCCCGAAGCCCCCACCCTCCCGAGGGCAGACCCTGGCACACACCCAAAGACCCTGGCCAGAGCCCAGGGAGCACTCACCTCATCACACTGGGTGACACGGTGTGTGATGGCTTTCAGCTCGGCCATGGCCTTCTCATCCTGGAAGTCATAGGGGAAGGCCTCGGTCCACTCCTTCAGGAGCTGCACGATCTTGGCTGAGAAAGACTTCAGCTTGGCCTGGGGCAGCAGGGGATACAGAGTAAGGCCCCACAGGGCAGAGTAGGGTACTAGATGGCAAATGGTGCAAGCTTCCCACATCCCCAAGCCACACCCCAGGCCCTGTGCTGGGCACAGCCCCCAACTGCGTGCCACCTGCGGTTTGGCCAAACCTGAACCGCCACATGACTCCTGTTTGGTTCCTTCTTCCTTCCCCTTAAGTTGACTTTCTTTTTCACTTAAATAAACTTATATTAAAAAAACCCACCCCATCTCTAAGGTGACAAAAAACTAATTCCATTTGCTATAATTAGAAGTTACCCATAAAAGCAATACAGTAAAATAACCCAAGCCAAGCCATCCAGTTAGAGGAGAGCTCCCGTCTGCCCCCTGTGGTTGAAAGGGCGACAGCGCTGAAAGGGGTGTGACCCCGAGGGGAGGCGACGCGCTCCCGCGCCCTAGTCCACAGGCATGCACGACCCCACCCAGCACAGGGCCTAGGGCATGGGGACTGGCCCTCTTGGCTGAAACGACTCCGACCCTCTCGGAAGATGCCCGCGCGGCCTCTGCCCCCGGGGAGAGGGGACTGTGCCCGATGCTCAGGCGCCGCGCCCCCATCCTCCAATCCCCCAGAACGCACCACAGGCCAAGCCCCTCCTGCGCCAGCCAAGACTCCGCGCCAGCCCACACCAGCCCCACTCAGACCGCTGGACCCCGCCCCCGGCCCCCGCACCACCCAGCCCGCAACTCTGCAGCTTTCTTCGCCCACGCCGCACAGCCTCCAAACCAGCGGATTCCGCCCACGTTGCCAGCCTAGGCCCCCCACCACCCGCTCCCACCACGCCCCTAACCCGGACCCAACCCACAGCTCCAGCCCAGACCTCACCCCAGCCTGGTGTGGCGTCACGCCCCAACTCAGACCCGCCCCACAGCCCCAGCCAGGCCACGCCCCAACCCTAGCCCTGACCCCGCCCCCAGGCCCCACCAGCCCAGCCAGGCCATGCCTAACCCTAGCACTGACCCTGCCCCGAGACCCCACAGCCCCAGCCAGGCCACGCCCCAACCCTAGCCATGACCCCGCCCCCTGGTCCCACCCTGGACCCCACCCTGCAGCCCCAGCTAGGCCACGCCCAACCCTAGCCTTGACCCCGACCCTGCCCCAGCCAGGCCACGCCTCAACCCTAGCCCTGACCCCACCCCCTGGCCCCACCCTGGACCCCATCCCACAGTCCCAGCCAGGCCAAGCCCCAACTCTAGCCCTGACCCCATCCCCCAGCTCTACCGTGAACCCCGCCCCATGCCTCCAGCCCCTAGCCTTGACCTCGCCTCCTGCCCCCTGCCCCCGCCCGTGCCCCAGCCAGGCCCCGCCTCACCTTTTCAGGCCCGGCTTCCAGCTGCTGCTTCTGCTCCACGCAGATCTGCCCCACGCGGGCCAGCAGGTCATGAGGGGGCATAAAGACCCGGGAGCTCAGGAGAAAGGTGAAGATGTACGTCCTCTGAAGGCAGGAGACGGAGAGAGGGCGGAGGGAGGGTGAGGCAGGCCCCCGGGGGCTCACCGCGCTGCTTCACCTGGCCCGGCTGCCTCCCAGGCCCAGCACCGCCGGTCCCGAGGCCATGCCTTCACCTGCCCGGTTCCCTTCGCCTTGCAGGCCCTTCCTCCTCTTACTGCTACCCCGGCCCTGCCTACCTAGGAGGCACGGCTCGAGCCCCGCCTCCCAGCAGCTCTCCCAGGCCTCCTAGCAGTCTTCCTCCGCTGGGATTCTCCCCCTCTCTGCCCCACGCCACCATAGGGCTAACCCCAGCCTGGGACGTTGGTAGGGCTCCATGGTGCTCGCTGCGCCAGGATGCAAGCCAGCTGCTGTTTCAGATCCTCGTGGGCCGAGCTGGAGGTCAGCGGTGGGGAGGGTGGGGGATGCAGGGAGGTTGGCACAGGAGCGGGGCCTGTCGGGAGCAGGGCTGATCCATGGGGCGGGGCCTCATCAGCAGGGGCGGGGCCCCATCAGCAGGGGCGGGGCCCCATCAGCAGGGGCGGGGCCTCAGGGGCAATGCTGGTGGGGGCCCCTGCACTCTCTGACCAGCTCTGGGCCTAGACCCTGACTGCCAGAGCAGGGCCCCTCCATACCACATCCACGTGCCTTCCATCGAGATCCTCGTGGGCTGGGTTCTTGGGCCTTTTGTCTAATGAGGGTCAATGTCTGTGGGAACTTCACTCTAGCTCCTGCTTGTGGACAGGGTAGACTTGCAGGTTGAGGAGACTGCCTAGGGCTTCCTAGAGGGACTCTGCCCCACGTGGCTGCTGCAGGCTGGGCTGCCCAGAAGCCTCTGCCTCCACTCCCAGCCCATATAACCCGGTTTTTCTTGCCCCAGCCAGAAGCAAGCCAGGTTGTGCTTGCTGGGAGTACAGGCCTCCTGGAGCAGGACTCAGGGGCCTGGGCTGACACTGCCCACCGCAGCCCTCCCTGGAGCATCAGGGACTCCTCTAACATCCTGCAAACTTCCCACACCCTGCCCCAGGCTATGCAGCATGGCGAATTGAGGGGTCAGAACCAGCACATCTCTCAGGGTCCCCCTTCTAAGGAGACAACTAAGACGTGGAGGAAAGGCCCACCATGGAGCTCTTGGCCAAGGGCAGGGCACCCAAGGGGAGAGCCTGTGCATCTCCAAGGAGGAGCATGGAGACCATGTGTGCATGTTTGTGTGCATGTGTGAGTGTGTTCAGCTACCGGTGCACATGGGGAAGGGTGGGGTGGCGGGGGAGGGGTAGGTGCTCGGCAGAGGAGCCAATGCCCAACTGGAGTCTCGTGGGAAGCTGGTCAGATCTCAGGGCACAGGGACCACACTGGGTGACCGCCAAGGTGGCTCCTCTGGGGTAGGCCTCTGAGAAGGGTGGCTTCTCCAGCTGTGGCATGAGGCCTCTGCCCCACAGACGGCCCTGCCCTGGACTACCTCAGGGCCTTGGGCCCCTCCCCTGGCTCTGCCCTGTGGGCACTCACCAGCCTGTCTGCACTGCCATCTCCAGCCCCAGCCAAACCCTGACAGGGCTTACGGGACAGACAGAAGGACAGATGGAGGAGGAGGAGGAGTGGGCAACAGAAAGGCAAGGCCCCCTCACCCAAAGCCCAGGAAGGCAGTGGAGGTCTGGCAGGTGGTGAAGCCAGGCTGACTGCAGCCCCGTTCAGTGGAAGCTAGAGGGCAGCATCCCTCCCGCCCACCTCCCTGCAAGCTGTCTGACTCCCAGGCTGACAAGCAGGGCAGGGAGGGAGAGGGGATAGCATGATGCGGGCAGGACTGGCCCTCCCAGAGGGTAGATGCTCAGCTCACAAGAGGGAGCTGGCAGGCCCAGTGCCACTGCTGCT
Source organism: Homo sapiens (assembly GCF_000001405.40). Classification (NCBI taxonomy): domain Eukaryota; kingdom Metazoa; phylum Chordata; class Mammalia; order Primates; family Hominidae; genus Homo; species Homo sapiens. The sequence goes on from NC_000010.11 coordinate 43,205,281, forward strand.
AAGAGACATCACCCTCCAGGGGGAGGGAAGGCACACTTGACAAGGGAACACTTTCTCTGTTCCAAGACTGTATCATGCCACCTTGAGGTGAAAAGGGAGGATTAGGGTTGTTGCCTAAGAACAGTCCCCGAGTCAGCCTGAACAGTGCTCTGCTGACAGGGCAGGGCAGGCCGGGCCATCTCCTCTTCATTCTGGACCACCAGGGTTTATGTACAAACCAGCTTCCCAGCTCAGCCCTGGGCTCCAGGACCTCGGCTGGGCGTGCCCTCGCCAGGACCCCAAGTGCTGGCTTTGCCCTTTAAAACTCCTCTTCCTCCTTGGAGGCCCTGCTCAGAACTCAGGGCCCTGCTCGGCCCTTGTGTGTTTCTGCTTCCCGTGTCCCTAGGATCATCTCCTCCTACCTGGGGCAGCAGCAGGGAAGTCACAGCAGGTTCCCCCAGGCCACCTGCTAGCTGGTGGTGTATGCAGAGCAGAAGGCAGAGAAGGCCCTAGAGGTGGGCCTGGGCCCCCCACTGCCCTGCCCCTCCTGCAGCCCTGTCCAGCTCTACCACTCTGTGGGGGCCTCCCTCCCACACCCGACATCTCCTGGAGCCCAGGTCACCCCATTAGTCTCACTCCACAAGGCCCCACGTACTCACATCGGGGTAATAGTCCACCGTGGGAACAAGGTGCTCCATCAGGGCCTCCAGGGACCCAGAGATGAGGTGTCCATCTTGGAAGATGAGGTCCCCGGAGCCGCCACCGGCCCCGCCTCCACGCTCCCCCATGCCAGGCTGCACCTGTCCGCTACAGCTGGGCCCAAGGATGCTGGAGAAGACAACGGACGTCTGGGGCATAGTTTCCTGGGAGAAAAGAGCAAGGACATGAGGCATCAAAGGCGCCTCCACAGCTCCACAGACCCTCCTCCCAGGCAGCCTGCAGCGTGCATGCATGTGTGCAGGGGTGCGTGGCAGGGGCGCAGCGGCACTGGCAGAGGGCACCCCCATTCCAGGGCAGGGCAGGCGGGCTCCTTGGTGGTCCCCCAGCCGCTGCACATCTGATCACTGTGTCTTCAGCTCCCTGTGGGCCAGACCTCATTCCAGGGCCCTGGACACTCAAAGCCGGCAGAGAAGAGAAACTCTGGGAAAAATGTCCAAGAAGGGACAGGGAGCCTGCGGTGGGCAGTCAGGGCTGCCTGGGGTGAGAGGGCTGTGAACAACTGATGGGGCTGGCCGCGCAGCTCCCAGGATAAGAAAGGAACACCCTAGGCATGAGGTACAGTGAGTGCCAAGGTCCTGACCCAGAGATGTGTGCAGCGGGGAGCTGGGAGGACAGTCTGAGGACTCAGGGCCGGACACACAGGCTGCATGTGCTGCTTCACTGAGGTGGGAGCCTGGGGCTCTGAGCACAGTGGTCTGACTTACGGTGGCTGCCACGTGGATGGTGGGTCTTGCCACAGCCCAAGGAGAGCTTGCTCAGGCAGGCGGTAGCAGGAGTGGCGAGCAGGGCCACTCCACATGGTGAAGGTCTTGGGCCAAGTGGCTGACCAGTATGAGGCAGGGCTGTGGGCAGGGCTAGAGAGAGATCTGGAACTGGCTTTGGGGCCTGTGAGTCTGAGTGCCCCTGAGCTGCAGATGTCTGAGCAGCTGGGCCTCCTGGAGGCCTCGGTGCCCACACTGGGACTGTCCTCCACAGCATGGCCCGCTGTGATGGGGCTCAGGGTCTCACCACACCCTGCAGCTGGGAGTTCTTGTGAAGCCTAGGGGAGTCTGAAGCCCTCTGGGCCTGTTTCCCCAGTGCCCCAGACAGCCAGCCATGCCTGGGAGGAGCCAAGTGGGGACTGGACGATGCAGCAACTGCCAGCCTGAGGGCCAGAGGTGGCCTGCCTGTGGCCTTGCCTGCACACAGAGCCAGCCTCAACCTCCTGGCCCTCAAGGGAAGGCAGCACAGGTGCCAGCGGCTGAGGTCAGGTGGAGAAGCGAGACCCTCCTGCCATTTTGGCCTTAGTTTCCCCACTGCACAGAGCAAATTGTTGCCATGATTACTTCAGTGCCATGACAGGACCGTGGGCCTCTGCCCTGTAGGGGCCTTACAAGGAGAGAGCGGACCACCTGCCCACACCCCCCACGTCAACACACACACACACACACACACACACACACACACACACACACACACACACACAGCACGTCCCTGTCCCTCCCACCAGGGAAAAAAGAGCATCTGGCCCAGACGTCACTGGTTTTCCCACCAAACACCTAAAGGTTTCCTTGGAATTCTTAGAAAGTCTTTGGCAAGGAGAGCAAGAACGCAACCAAAGGCCCCACGATGACGCTGGGTGGAATGTCCAGGCCCCCAGGCTCAGTGCTGCCCCCACTCCAGGACAGGGAGGTCATGGCTCAGACTCATACAATGCTCCCTTCAAACTCAGGCCAGCAGCGGTGCCTCACACAAGTTAGAATGCACATTCTCAGGCCTAGCCCCAGACCTGCTGGTCAGAAACTCTGGGGTGGACTGCTTCTGTACCCCAACGCGCTCTCCACTCCAGCCCAGGAACCACTGATGTGAGCCAATCCTTCATTTTTCAGATGGTGAAACTGAGGCCCAGTGGGAAGGAACTCAACTAAGGAAACCCCAGGAGTTCCAAGTCCAGCCTAGGTGTCACCACCTCCAGGAAGCCTCCCTGGGTTTAACCTAGACTGTTGACCCACAAAGCCAGAAGTGGCTGTATCATTCACCTGTGTATCCTATCGCTGGCCCAGGGTGGCACTCAGTGACCATTTGTGCAATGAAGTCACGAAGGCGGGCTCACAAACCCCTTGTTGCCCACAGCTGCTCAGCACTGTCTCAGGCATCTGAGGCCAATGCACTGTGGGACAACCTCCCCAAGATCACACAGTTCTGGGTTCAAAAGGCGACCAGCAGGTGGTAACCTTGGTCAGTTGGGCCTCCTCACCCCAAGCTCTTGGGGTCATCAGAGAGGGCATTTGCCGAGCCACTGGCCTCTCCCACTGCAGGCTGCTCTGGTCAGGAGGTAGTATGTGGGGGATGCACTCTGACACCCCACAAACTCAGCCCCAGCCGATCCCCCACAGGGCAAGGCCACTCCATGTCCAGCCTGCAGAGAGACCTGCCTCAGTGCTAGGAGGCCTGCCTAGGAGTTGAGGAGCCATCCTGGGGACCCAGCCCACTGGTCAGCAGCCAGAGAGGGGCTGGGAAGGCCACGCCTTCGAGGGTGGGGGCCTGGAGGAGGAGCATGCAGGGGTGTCCCAGGCAAGCAGAGGTTCTGCACATGCTCAGAATCCCTTTGGGGAGTCAGCAGAGCCTGAGGGGGACCGTGTGGAGCCGCACTGACCTGAGAGGTGGGGTGCTCTGGGTTCCTTCTGTCCTGCCTACCTGGAGACCCACCTGGGGACACGGCCCAGGGCTAGGTCTCCTGCATCCAACAAACCAAGACCCTGCAGGTCTGGGGGATGCCCCATGAGCCCCTACCCCCGAAAGCTCAAACCTAGCAGGGCCCACCCTGCCCAGCCACGGAGCACTTCGAGGAGGGTCTCCAGGGCTCAGTGCCAAGTGGAGAGGCAGGTTCCCTACATGGCTTTTCCCGGGCAGGAATGCCGGCCCTGCAGCAGGCCCACTCCTTGTTCCTGGGTGCATCTGGCCAGCCCTCCACCTTCCCAGCTGTGAAATGGTGATGATGACAGCACTTCCACTGCGGGGTCCCCTGCCGGCCACCCCCACCCAGCCCTGAGGTCGCTTGTTCTTGCACCTGCTTCCTCCTTGCCCCAACAGCAGGGGCAGGCACTTCGACAGGCAGCTGCAAACCTGTGTATCTGAACAGCTGTGTCCACCACCAGGCAGCCCCTTCCCAAGGAAGAATTGCACACTGGGCTCTTGGCTCCAGTCACAGCAATAGCCATCATGATACACCGATGGCCAGGGTGCTGAACACTGAAAACCGCAAGGCTACAGTTGAAGAATCCCAGTTACTCTTCCCAGTCACCCCCTATGCTCCCAGAGAACCCGTTATTCCCTTACGCAGACGAGGGGTGAGTACCTGCCCCAGGTCACAGCCAGAGGGCAACAGTGCCAGGATTCATGCCGAGCAAGCAGCAGGGGTAGGCAGGGAGCCCAAGTCCGAGCCTGGCTCCACCACCTGTCTTGGCTATGTCAAGATCCTCAAACCCTTGGAGCCTTAACTTCTTTGTCTGTAAAATGGGCACAGGGAGCACTACTTCAGAGGTTTGCAGGGAAGATCAGAGGAGCCCCTGTGTAAGGTGCTGGGCACCAGGTGCCTCCTCACCCCCAGGAGCTGATTCCCACCAGCATGATTGCTCAGCACCCCTACAGACCACACAGGAGGCACTGCTTATTCTAGACACACTGGCCCTTTGTGTTTGGGCACTGTGGAGAGCTCAGGAAGCCCCCCCACCAGGGCTAGGCAGAGATAGGGCTGTGGCGGGCCAGCTTGCTCAACCAGCATTTGTGGGAACCATCACCTCCACCCCAAGTCCAGCTGGGGCTGGCCTGGACAGAGCAGGCCACCCTGACCCCAGAGAGCCAGACCCTGCATGGATGCTCTAAGGCCAGGTGTGGTCCCCAGAGCAGGAGCAGTACCTTCTCCTGAGCCAGAAACTGGTGGGAGTGGGCCCAGTGCTCCCCTTTCAGGTAGCTCAGCTGCACACTGGCGTTCTAGACCCTTCCCCTACAGCCTCTCAGTTCCAAGTGTGGCCGCTGGACCTGCAGCTAAAGCATGACCTGTCGATTGTCAAAGAGCAGATCTCAAGTTCCAGGCCAGGCCTGCTGGGTCACATCTGCTGCTGAGCAAGACACCAGGTGAATCATGTGCAGGTGAATGGAAGGCCCGGGAAGCCCACCTGTGTGAGAACCTCAGCCTCCAGGTAAGCTGCACCGGCTAACTCAGAGCAGGGGCCTGGTACGGAGGCTCATGCCTGTAATCCCAGCACTTTGAGAGGCCGAGGTGGATGGATCGCTTGAACTCAGGAGTTGGAGACAAGCCTGGGTAACATAGAGACCCCTGTCTCTACTAACATTCAAAAAAAAATTAGCCAGGTGTGGTGGCACAGGCCTGTGGTTCCAGCTACTTGGGGAGCTGAGGCAGGAGGATCACTTGAGCCCAGGAGGTTGAGGCTGCAGTGAGCCCTGATCACACCACTGCACTCCAGCCTGGGCAATGGAGCCAGACCCTGCCTCAATCAATCAATAAACAAACCAGGGCAGGCCCTCAGCTGTAGTATGTGCACACCAGCACCATGTGGGGATTTTTCAAAGACACCGTGCCTGACCCCTGCCTGGACAACTGATTTAACTGGTCTCAGGGGCAGGAGAGGCACTGGCATCTTCCACAGACTTCCAGGAAGCACGGGGAGCCTCTCTCCTGCCTCAGCTGCTCCTGGCTGCACCAGACCCATCTCGAGGCAGCAGACCCTGTGAAGGGCTCAGGAAGCACCCTCCTCCCACCCAGGATGTAGGCACAGACGGGGCCGGGGCCAGCCAGTGTGCCAGACCAGTCTCTGTGGGAACCCTCACCTCCACCCCAGGTCCAGCTGGGGCTGGCCTGGAAGAGCAGCAGCCCCTTGCAGGGAGTGGGGGACAGGCTTGCACCCAGTAGCCCCTCTGACTCCTTGGAGCAGCAGCCCCTTGCAGGGAGTTGGGGACAGGCTTGCACGCAGTAGCCCCTCTGACTCCTTGGAGCAGCAGCTCCTTGCAGGGAGTGGGGGACAGGCTTGCACGCAGCAGCCCCTCTGGTTCCTTGCAGCCCCTCCTCTGTTCAGGCAGGAAGGAAAGCACCTCCTAATTATAGAGCTAATCAATGCAGAAGAAACGTGCTTATAGCAAAGCAGAGAAGAGTGACTCACTGTCTCCTGGAGGACGCGCCTCACTCCCTTCTCACCTCCCACGCAGGGCCGGTGGACACAAGGGCAGTCCCAGGGGCCCAGCCTGCTGGTGAGAGGGGTGCCCTCTTCCATCTTGGAAGAGAGCAGATTTCCATACCTGGCTTTACTTGGCTCTCTGGGGGCACCATTCGAGAAGGGGGTCCTCCCTGTATCTGAGCCTAAGTCTTCCTGGCTGGGCCTCCAGGGTCACACCCCTGACCTGCACAGCCTCAGCAGCACTGTAGGAGGCCTGGAGTGGAGGCTGCCTGGGAGAGGCTGAACCTAGAGGCCCCTTGCCACCTGCCTGCCAGGATGCGCTGCAGCAGGACAGAGGGCAGGCGGCAGACAACCAGGCACAGGGCTCTCCCCAGGCCTCCACTACTCTGCCTCATTGTGGCTATCCCAGCCTTTTCAGGCTTGGCCCAAGGTGCCCCACCTGGCACATATGCTGCTGTCCCCCAGAGGATGAAGTGACTCGTGGGGTCCTGCTGCTGTCCCTCCTTGGTCTGCCACAGGTGATACCATCCTGAGAGGCCCCCCACAGCTGCACCCCCAGTCTCTCATGCCCTTGTCCACACCCCCGCACACCTGAGTCCTTTCCTGCAGTTGCAGATCCTGGGCCTGGGACTGCATGCCAGAGAACAGGCTCTGTCCCCACACCCACGGGAAGCCTCTGGGTGGCCCTAAGCCTGCTTCCTCGGCTGGACACTGGGTGTGGAATGTCTTGTCCCACCTCCCTGCAGGGTTGCAGTGAGGTTGAAGGGAGAGACGGAAGCTAGTGCGGTTGTGTGCCTGGAGCAGAACCAGGTATGTGGTTCTGTGCCACCCACATCTAGGCCTTGCCTCAATGGTGCCCAGTGGCCCAGTGCTGGGTGCCACTGCTTCTGACCTGTGGCCTCTGACCTAGGCCCTTAGGGCCATGGGCACACACCACACCGCCAGCCCTGGGAGAGGTTGGGGCTGGGGCAGGTTAACACCCTGTAGGAATCCTCACCCCAGAGGCACTGTTTTGAGACACAGAAGTTTCACAGAGCCTCCCCAGAGATGCCTGGGATGCCAGCTGTTGTTGGAACACATCCCGGCATCTCTCCACTCGCTCCCAGCCTCCTGCTGCCCGGGACTGTGCTTCCCAATAAAGCGAGCACAGCCAACATTTCCGTGAGCTCTGATCTCAGGTTTAAGATGGGCTCTGAGACCTTGCACCCCGCCCCATGGAGTGAGTAGGGTAGAGGAGGGGCTGTCATCTGGTTTCTCAACCCCCTCTGACTCTAGAACAGCCACGTGCTGATGGCGCCAAAGTGCCAGGAGGGGAGAGGCCAGGAGCCTGCATCCACATGTGGGCCAGGCCTCCCATTGGTGGTCGGCCTGGGGCAGTTCCTCTGTCTGTGTGAGCCTTAGTGGCACTGGCACCTGAACCTCATGGTGGCTGTGGGGAGTGCGGGGTGGCAGGGAGACACATGGAGTGTGGCTTCCAGCCCAGCACAAGTGCTCACACGCAGGGCGTGCTTCAGTGCAAGTGAACACTGCTCCTGGGGCTCTGCTCAGCCTGGGTGAGGGACTGTGGGAACACAGCCCTGGATCTCCAGGACCTTTTCCAGTGGGTACGTTCTGGAGCTCAGCCTCAATACACCTCAGGGGAGAGGCACTTTTAGGGGACACAGCCTAAAACTTTAGCTTCTGAATATTCACAGCTCCCCCCACAACACTCACACACACAGGTTCACACAGGTGCACACATGCACACACAGGTGCACAGACCCCTTCGCACCAAGGAATACACTGTGCCAATCACACAGCACTGAGAGTGGAGGTCACTATGTTAAGTGGAGCAAGCCAGGCACAGCAAGACCAACGCTGCATGTTCCCACTCAGGTGGGAGCTGAAAACCTTGCTCTCATGGAGGTAGACAGTAGAATAATGGCTACCAGAGGGCAGGAGCGGGAAACAAAGATAGCTTGGGCAACCGGTACAGACTCACATTTAGATAGAAGAAATAACTTCTAATGTTCCATAACAGACTCAGGTGGCTATAGTTTGCAGCAATGTATTGTATACTTCAAAAGAGATAGAAGAAATGTTTCCGACACATAGAAATTACAAATGCTCAAGATGATGGATACCCCAAATACCCTGCCTTGATCAGCACATAACCCATGCATGTAAAAAATACATGTACCCCATAAATATGTAAAATACTACATATGAATAAAAGAAAAGAATAGCTTGAGGAGAGGAAAAAAGCATAGAGAGCAAGAATGGAAGTGGCTAGACTGAGGGTCCAGGGTGAGAAGAGGGGAGGGGGCAGCCAGGATCTGAGAAACTTTCCAGCCTTTTAAGAAAGTAAGAGGAGGGACCCTATGTAGCCCCAGTGCTATGAGAGATCCTGGGAGAGAGAGGAAAAGGGAAGTTTTTGTGAAAGAGTACGAATGACATTCCTTTTTGCAGCCTCTTCAAGGACGTTGGAGAGTTTTTTATTGTTTTTTGTTTTGAGACAGAGTCTTGCTCTGTGGCCCAGGCTGGAGTGCAGTGGCACGATCTTGGCTCACTGCAACCTCTGCCTCACAGGTTCAAGCGATTCTCCTGCCTCAGGCTCCCGAGTAGCTGGGATTGCAGGTGTACACCACCATGCCCAGCTAATGTTTGTATTTTTTAGTAGAGACGGAGTTTCATGATGTTGGCCAGGCTGGTCTCGAACTCCTGGCCAGCCTCAAGTGATCTGCCCGCCTCAACCTCCCAAAGTGCTGGGATTACAGGGTTTAGCCACTGCACCCACCTGCTACCCAGCTATCTAATGTGACCCATGCCCGTCCCCCAGGCAGCACACAGAGAGAGGCCATCTGCCTCTGGCCTCATGTGTGCAAAAGCTGGATGCGCTCCTCGGGAGGGGCAGCCACACAGTGTGTACACCTTTCCTGAGCTGGTGCACAGTCCTTCCCTCCATTCAAACTGCAGCCATGGACTCTGAGACCTTGCACCCTGCCCTATCACCCATGAGCTCCTGAGAGCTGCAGCTACGATGGAGGCCCAGCAGCTCTGAGCCCAAGCCTGTGGCCTCACTGCAGCCAGAGCCTGCTGTGCGTGTCGTCTTCCCGTGCACCCACTCATGTGTCCAGGCCTGGGCAGCAGCTGGGTCACTTTCCACTCCCGAATGTTCTTTCTGTGTCCTGCACTGAGGATGCCCAGTGATGAGGAGACCCAACAGAGCCACAGGAGGCTTGACACCACCGTGGCCTCATAAAAGATCCCCAGGGAAGGGGGACGCAGGGGTCAGTGAGCATTCACCCACCCCGCCCCCCTTCGTAGGTGTGTGCACAGAGCACAACTGTCCAGCTCCCCAAAAGGGGCTATGGGAGGAGCATCAGAAGGTGGCCCTATGGGGTAACTGGCCATCCTCCAACACCACCAGCCCCACCACAGCAGAGAGTAGGAACAACAGGCCAGGAGGGGACAGAGTCTCCTGCACAGCTGGTCAGGAACAGGGTCAGGCCTCCGTTCAACTCCAAAGGGAAGAGCAGTATAAGGCAGGCTCCTAGCACACTGTCGGAATTCTAGGACCCCTTCTGGATCCTGGAGTCTGCAGTTCTGGAAACTTCCAAAGCAGGGATTAACCTTCACTTGACTAACCTTGCTTTGCTTTAAGTGTGCATCGTTAGGAGTTAGAGTGAGCTGTGTGCTGGCCATTCCATGACTCATCTCAATGCAATTCTCCCTCACCCAGGGAGACAGCCCGGAGAGGCCCGTTTCTCAGATGGGGACACTGAGGCTCAGCTCACAGGACCCAAGAGGCCGTAATGTGCAGGACTGCCCAGGTCTGCCCTGCTGTTCCTCGGACCTCAGCATTGCCCCTGAGAGCACCTGGCAGGGGCATGGCCCCCTGAGCATCAAGTGCAGGCTGAAGCCCTGGCCTGGACATGTGGACAAGCACACATTCCCACGACCTGCAGATGATTCGGGGGACCGATGAGCTCCCAGAAGCTCATCTGTGGACTTCAAATTAAGAAACCCAGCTTCCTGGAAAACTGGGACAAAAACAGCCCTCAGGGCCCATCATGCATGAGTCCCAGGGATCTGCCAGGAGGTGGAGGAGGGGTTCGAGCCAGCCCCCTGCCTCTGCCAGCCTTGGCAGGGGGCTTCTTTCTGAGGCAGCACGTGGGCTTCTATTTTTTAACCTACTCAACAAAAACGGAGACTATTTTTAGCTCAGCAAGCTGCAGGGCATCACAATTAGCAACTGAAAATTACACATCTCGCCTGTCTCCCCTCTCTTGGCTGGCAGGGAGAGCGTGCTCCTGGAGGGAGCTGGGGGCAGCCCTGTGCCATGATCCTGGTGGGCCTCAGGAGGGGAGAGACCTGCGCACCTACCTGTGCTGGGCTGGATGCATGCCACGGACCCGACAGAATGGGCTCTTCGCCCTTCAAGGGATAACCGGCCAGTTCTCTGAAATTACCGGCACTGGGGTGGGGAAGGAGGTGGGTGTTCCCGGAGCCCTATTCTTTGCCCATTCATTCATTCACAAGTGGTAATGATCCCTGCCTAGATACTGGAGATACACCAGGGGAAAAAAACAGGGTTCTCTGGCCCCAGAGAGCACCCCACAGAGCCTGTGTGGTGCCACGCACAACGGCCACAGATGGCGACATGATATTCTGGGTTAGGAGAGAATCAGTGCTCCGACAGAGGAGATGGAAGGTCAGGAATGTGAGTGGGAAAGCGGTAACCTCTGCCTGGGCGGTGAGGTTGGCCTCCCTGTGGAGGTGAGGCCTCAGCCGACTGGAAGGAGCTTCTGGGAAAGGACGAGCAGAGTGAGTGGACAGAAGCGCTGGCGCCAAAGCCTGGGAGCTTTTGGCCCATTAGATCTCTGGCAAACCCTCCCTGGGGCACCTCCTGGCTGCCTCACTTACTCCAAAACATGCACTGACTGATGATGTGTGTGTCGGCCTTGCTAAACCTGGACCTGTGATGTGCCAGGATCAGGGTCCCCAGCAGTGCCAGGCTGCCCCCCAACCTGGCCTGGTCCCCACCCTGCCAGGAGCGGGGGCGCTGGAGCCACCAGCACCCCGGGCACATCCCACCACCACCGCCATTGCCATCGGTACTCAGGGTCTATGCCTACAGTGGGTGGGCCGCCTGCCCCACTCTGTGAGGGTCTGGGCTCCTCCCACCAGGACATCGGGAATGAGGCTCCCCTCCCCAGGAGGCTCCCCCAGGATGCAGCAGGTGATTCCTGGTTTCCTTGGGGGACCATCTTGTGGGGGTCCTCACCTTACCCTGCGGGGAGGGCTCAGCAGGGAGTCAGGCGCAATTTGTAAGTGAAGTGCTTGTTTGAGTGTATGGGAGGCAGGCACCATGATTACAAGATTCCCCATGCAAATGCACATCTTTTGCTAAACCTTCAGTGGGCCCTTTGCCTTAGTGAGGATTTTGCCCCCCTCCTGGATAGTAGACAGTGCTAGGTAGCCCGCCCAGGGGCTGCCCCACCCAGAGAAGGCCGTTGGGATGTGGCAGTGGGCCACGTCACAGGGAAGAAACTGCCCGCCTTGGGGAGGGTAGAGGGCTGAGTGTGCCCACTTGGCTTGAAGACTCAGCCACCCTCAGGGAGGAAAGAAGGAGGGGCACTGCTCCTGATGGGATAAGAACCTGCATGGGGTGGCAGAGGAGGGGGAAGGAGGTTAGGGGCCTCCTCCCTTCCACCCAGCATGCAGCAAGGACAGACTTCACCCCATCTCCCTCCTGAGCTCCATCAGGACCGGTCAGATAGTGGAGGCAGCTGCGCCTCCTTTGCCGCTCACCCTTCCCATCTTACACACCCTTCCCCATCTTCTGACCCTGCCAGTCCAGAGCTGCATTCTCAGACCAGTAAAAAGAGCCCTCCGGGATCCCACCTGCACTGAGAGGCATCGTGGAGGGGGAGAAATGAGGTAGGGGCCACCCCCACCTACTGGATGTCACTCACTGGCAGGGGAGCACAAGCGAGGGGAGCCGATGGCCTGCAGAAGACAATGGGGCCACTGCACCCTCAGCTGGTGGAGCGTGCTGGGACCCGACCCTGAGGGCACCACCCCAGCATGGGGCTGGGGGACCTGTATGGAGCTGAGAGGAGGAGTGCCTGCCCCAGGCAGCCCCCAGTCCTTCCATCCCCCTTTGGCTCCCATTTCTCTAACACCCCTGTCCTGGTGACATGTGTCCCTCGCTCATGCTCCCTCTTCCCACGCCAGGGCTACAGTGCTCTCTCCAAGCTGGTGCTGCAGTCCCAGGCGCTGGACGACCCGCCTCAGCGCCTCCATCCCCACTGCACCTAGGCCCTCCCAGCTCTGTGGAAGAAGGCTGGGTGACCAGCCACTGCCCAGCCCCTCTACCACACCTAGGTCCTCCCAGCTCTGTGGAAGAAGGCCGGGTGACCGGCCATTGCCCAACCCCTCTGGACGTCATCTATCCACAATGTGCAGGCAAGTGACACCTGCCTGGGAGAGTCTGGGGCTTAGTCTCCACCATTTCTGAGATTCTAGTGCCTGCTAGAGGGACTAGAGCCAGGACTCTGACTCTGCCCAGGTTGGCCCCAGGCCTGCCCTCAACAGCAGGTGCGCCACATCAGAGCCCCTTCCCACAACCGGGCTGCATCCACCTCCTACTCCCTGACCCAGGGCAGGAAGGGTTCTCCCCCAACCACCCAGCCAACACTCAGATGTCCTCCCCATCCCCAAATCCCAGCTCTCAGACTGTCCTGACTGAGCTGAAACGTGTCTCCCTTAACTCCAGGGAGCCCTTGTCCCATCTGCTGAGGCCATGCACAGCAGATGGGCAGGGGGCAGCTGCAGGCCCAGGCTGGATCTAGGCATGGGCTGGGCGTCCAATGGGAAGGGAGTGGGCCCCACCCCAGCTGGGAGCCGGCACCCTCCTCTGTGAGATGCCACCTCCAGCACCTGCTTCCCAGGCGACCGTGAGCACTAAGTGAAGCCACAAAGCTCAGGACAGGCTCAATGCCTGGTGGGTTCTGATGGCATCGGCACTGCAGAGCACTAGCGGTCCTATAGGTTTCCCAGCTGCCTCCCTAGACACACAGCTCTTGGGAGCTGGTGCTGCCCCCTCCCTCATCCCACTTCTGGGTCCTTCTCACCTCCCATGCAAGGGACAGCCAGTGCACCTGCTGCAGACAGCAACAAGTGAGGAGAAGCTGCCTCCTGCTTCTAGGCAGGTGGACCCGTTGACCTGGTTGCACTGTCCTGTCCCAGGCATGGGGGACTCAGAGCTGGCTCTGGTCTAGGGATGGGGGGCGTTGGGGGTGACACTCCCCTGCAGGTCAGGCTCTCCAGTCCTCACCCTCCTCTCTCTCAACCCTTGTTCCCTCTGCAGCAGCACAGTCCTTGGGAGCACATGCTGGCCCCATTCCTGCAGCAGGGCAGGGAACTCCCTGCAGCCCCTGCCTCTCCATCCTCCAGGCCAGGCAGGCATCAGAGGGCAGGGGCCACGCTGTTTCACATAAGCCAAACTTCAAGTACTGCGAAGAAGGGCCGGATTTACCTTTGTGAACCTTCCGGGCTGGCCAGGGCAGTCTCAGGGCCTGGCCAAGGGCCTCAGGCCGGACTCCAACAAGGAGGCGGCTGCCATGGGAACCAGCACGACAGCGCCTCACAGGGCGCCCGCTCCAGAGGCCTGGCCACAGGCGCGACGCGGATAATTAAAGCTTTGTTACAGACACATGATTCATTTTTTCCTTCTGAATTCCCTTCTATTACCCAATACAATTTGAATTGACTGAAGGAATCTGGTCGTCTCCTCTTCACGCTCCTCAGATTCTGCCCAGTCTGGGTTTCTGCCTCTCCCTTTTCCCTTTCTGTCCAGTCAGCTTCTTCTGGGCCTGCTCAGGGCATAGAACATCATTGTCCACCAAGAACCATTCCATTCTTGAGACTCAAGAGGCCCAAGGATGCAGCAGGTGGGACTTCAGAGAATCCCTGCCCTTTCCCGGCAGGCGCTGGCAGCCTGGCCTCCCACTCCAGCCGCCTGGGGAGCCCTGCTCCCCCCTCCCCTTGGCCTCGCTCCCTCTTCGGCCAACGCCATCAGATTCTGCAGGGGTAACGAGAGCCTCCTGTAGATGGGTGGGCAGCCCTGTGCCTCCCAGGGACAGAGCTGGGCACAGGCTTGGATGGGGTCATGTGCAAACTCACGCAACCTTGGTAGCCAGTTCTGTCCTTTCCAGGGAGACCCCTAGGGTGCCACGGAGGAGGGGGCTGGGAAGCAGTGTGCAGATTCCACCCCAAGTGAAATCACCCCTCTGGGGTCCCTGTCCTAGATGGGTTGTCCACTGATGATGACAGGACAGAGCAGGGTGTCCTGCTGCTCATCAGTTCTGGGCAGTGGCCAGGGCGCCTGCTGGCTCCAGTAGGAAGGCACCAGCAATCTGTCCTGCCCAGGCCCACCCGGGCACACTGCCCACATCCAGCCAGCCCTGGAGTCAGCCCCGAAGCAGCAGCCCATGACCAAGAGAGAGGGACAGTGAGCGGGCAGGGTCAGGGCTGAGGGCCTCCAGAGGCAGGAAGGGATGGCCAGCCGCGTAGGCCACACACAGACCTGTCCCGGGTGAGCTGCACCTCCGCCCTCTACAGCCACCTAGGGTGCTGGGATATGGAATAAAAGACATATGGTTCTTTTACTTTTAAATGATAACTAATTACGCTGAGCAAAGATTTTTCCTTTGTGTTCCAAAACAAATAAAAATCCATTTCCCTCACTTGAATTGTCCTCCTGGCAGATGGCTGTGGGAGCAGGGAGCTCTCTCTGGGCCAGTCATGGGGGTAGGGGAAGGGGGCACCCAGCCCCCTGCTGGGTCACAGAGCCATGGGCATGCTCAGTCTGGCAGCCTCTGGGAAACAGCACCCAGACACACGTCCTGACTGCCACCCCCATGCCGTGGACACAGGCAGCTCTTCTGTCACATGCTGTGCGTCTGTCCCCTGGCCCTGGGGGCTGGTAACCGGTGGTTAGACACTGACCAGCCCCAAGAGTACCAGTGCACAGGAATGTGTAATAATGTGTTGTGGTCCTTAGGGTCTCAAAATAAACGGCCAGGCACAATGGCTCACACCTGTAATCCTGGCACTTTAGGAAGCCGAGGTGGAGGATCGCTTGAGCCCAGGAGTTCAAGACCAGCCTGGGCAACATAGGGAGATCCCTGTCTCTACAGAAAAATTAGCCAGGGGCAGTGGCATACACCTGTAATCCCAGCTACTCAGGAGGCTGAGGTAGGGGGATTGCTTGAGCCCAGGAGGTAAAGGATGCAGTGTGCCAAGATCATACCACTGCATCCCTGGGTGACAGAGCCTGGGCAACAGAGCAAGACCCTATCTCACCGGGTGTGGTGGCTCACTCCTGTAATCTCAACACGATGGGAGGCCAAGGCAGGCAGATCACTTGAGGTCAGGAGTTCAAGACCAGCCCGACCAACATGGTGAAACCCCATCTCTATTAAAAGTACAAAAAATTAGCCAGGCACGGTGGTGCACACCTGTAATCTCAGCTACTCCAGAGGCTGAGGCATGAGAATTGCTTGAACCTGGGAGGTGGACGTTGCAGTGAGCTGAGATCACGCCACTGCACTCCAGCCTGTGTGACAGAACAAGACTCTGTCTTAAAAAAAAAAAAGGGGGGGGAGTACTTATGACAAGTAACTCAGCTTAGAGTGAAGTTGCTGAGCCCTCAGAGTGATTAGCATAGGTGTGGTGGACTGCAATGATCAGATGATATCTGCTGTGGCCAGGCATCCCTGAGACCCAACAAGAAAGTGATGTCAAAAGGCACCTGAAGATGATGGCCAGGGACACTCCTGCGGAGGGCCATAAATACAAAGAAGCTGCTCATGACCAAGACACCTGCAGAAGCACTGCCCTCGAGAACTCCGAAGCCTCTTTTCCATTGGAGGCCACCAGACGCCCTGCTGGGAGAAGAGGAGTGATCCCATCCCTCCACCCGGGGGTCTGCGGTCCCTCTGCTCTGAAGGAACTTGGACCCTGGGCAATCAGCAGCTGGTCTCCCCATCCCCCGACACTGTGGTTCGCTCCCGCCTCTCTTATGACTGCCTGGGTGTGTGGAATATATTTGCATGATTGTTGGGGTGTGAAAACGTCCCAATAAACCATGAATTTGTAAGCATTTAATTGGCTGCTGAGTCATCCTGAAACCTCCCCACATCAGTTAGTGCCACCAGGCTGATTCGAACCTAAGCCAGACACAGCCGTCTCCATGCCTCCCCAGGGTGGCCCTCCTGCTGCTCCCCCCTTCTCCAGATGAAGGAACAGAGGCCCAAAGGGCCTCAGTCACCAGCGCCAGTCTGGGAAACTGGTGGAGCTGGGATTGGAACCCTGTCTGATGTGCTACCCAGGGCAACCAGCACAGGGCTCCGGAGAAGGAGAATGGTGTGAGGTGACAGCAGGGGGAGCCAGCCAGGCCTGTGGGATGGACAGGGCCTGACCCAGGAGGAGCTGCCCCTGCTGCATTTGCAGGTTAGGCTGCAAGCGCAGGGCAGCGAGGTGGGGTGGGGGAAATCAGGCCAGGGTCCAAGGGGCCCGTGCTGCATTCTAGCCCCTGCAAAACTGCCCACAAGCCTCACCACCAATGAGTGGCGTAGGCAGAGGGCCTCCCACCTGCTGGGCCCTGTGACACCATCTGGGGGCCTCTGAGGCCCTGCTCTCCACTTCCCAGATGAGATACAGGTGTGGGGCTGAGGACAGGGCACAGCTGGAAGCCGCCCAGGCCTCCTGCCTGCAAGTTGGCCCTTCCTGTCCGTGTGGCCCGGGCACATACAGTCATGCGTCCATTCGCGACGGGGATACCTCCTGAGAAATGCATCTTAGGCGATTTCGTCGTTGTGCAAACCCCAGAGTGACTTACACAGACCAGGATGGCACAGCCCACTACACACCCAGGCTCCGTGGTACAGCCTATTGCTCCCGGGATCCCAACCTGCACAGTGTGTGACTGCACTGAATATACTGGAGGCAACTGTAACACAACGGTAAGGATTTCTACAGCTAAACATAGAAAAAGCACAGTGACAATATCATATTATGAATCTCAGGGGACCACTATGTGGTGCATGACGCTGTCTTTTTTCCCAGCACACCCTCCTAACACTCTCAGAATCTCCAAAGTGGTAAGTGTCTTCTGTGTGCTGATGGACTTCTGGACAGCCTGGCTGGGGGCTGGTTGTCAGGGGAACCAACCATGTGATGAAAGGGTGGGGACTTTCACTCCCACCCCCAGCTCTAGGGACAAGAGAGAGGCTGAAGGTTGGGTCCATCACCAATGGCCAATGATTCAGTCAGTCACACCCACATAATGAAGCCTCCACAAAATCCCAAAAGGAGCGGCTTCAGAGCTTCTGCGTAGGCAAGCAGGTGGAGGGCCCTGGAGTGCAGTGCCTGGGAGGACAGGGAAGCTCCACGCCCCTTCTCACATGCCTTGCCCTGAGCATCCCTTCCTCTTACTGTTCATCTGTGACCACTGTAAAAACCTGCATAGTAAGTGGGTAAATGGAAGCAAGTGCTTCCCTGAATTATGTGAGCTGCTCTAGCAAATTAATTGAATCTGAGAAAGGAGTCCCAGGAGTGGTGATTTGCTGGGTGGGTCAGAAGCACAGGCCACAACCTGAGACTTGCAAATGGCATCTGAAGTCGAGGGAGGGGGACAGCCTTGTGGGACCAAGCTCTCAACCTGTGAGATCTGACTTCGCCTCCAATATTGTCCAAATTGAATTACAGGGCACCCAGCTGCTGTCTTAATGTTAGAGAATCTGGTATTAGAATGTTGTGCTAAATGGCTGAGAGTGGAGAGTAAGAAAAACACTTTATTGGTTTTTTTTTTATAACCCTATTAGAGGTAAACTCCCAAGAACACAAAGCTATGCCCAGGAAACACAGTGAGCACCTCTTCATGCTAGATTCACAACCAGAAATTGCCCAGCAAGTGGTAGATGCCCAAGGGATGAAAATATTGCAGTGCATGCTCTCTGGACAGGGGACCAAGATATGTGAAAAACTGTGTCTAGAAACAGAAAGGCACATTCTACTGTCCAGAGTCTCTGCCACATGGTCGTATGTTATACCACCAATGAAACCCAGTAAAGTCCCCAAATAGAAGTGTGCAGGTGAGAGAATGACATAAGCACAATGTACTATAGTTGGATATTAATATATAACTGATAAACAAAATACCCACTTCATAAAAAAAATCCCTAAATCACACCTGTGTTAAAGATTCAAATTCCAATTACAGATGTCAGAAAAATAACCTTTATAGGAAAACTCTGTATCGAATTTGATATGGCCAAAGCTGTACTCACAGAAAAGTTCATAGACTTCAATAATGTATTGAAGTAAACACTAAGCACTTGATTCAAAAAGCTTAAAAAAGAGCTTCTCAACAAAACAGTGAAACAAACTGGAAGAAGAAACTACTAAAAAGCAAATTAGATGACTTAATCAAAGAATAGAGTAGAACTCCTTATAAACTTCAAGAGCTGATTCTTTGAAAACACAGATTTCAAGGATAACCCTCTTGCAATTCTAATCAACAAAAGGAAAGAAGAAAGGGAGGGAGGGCCAGGCACCCTGGATCATGCCTGTAATCCCAGCACTTTGGGGGGCTCTAGTGAGAACCTGTCTCTATTTCTTTAAAAAAATTATAAAAATTTATTTTAAAAAAGAAAGGGAGGGAGAGAAGAAGGAAGAAAGGAAGGACATGAAAAATACATTGGGCATGAAAAAAGGGAATCTAACTCCAGATATGTAGAAGAAAGTTTAAAACAAACAACTACCTAAATCTGTGGTAAATGATCTGCAAGAACTTTTAATGGTTACTTATATTATCTAGAAAATATAAGTAACCAAAAATAGAGTAAAACTGTTTAGAACCCAAAAAGACCAATAACCATAGTACAAATTAAGTTGAGAGCCAACTAAGCCTCTGGAAAAAATAAAAGAAAGCCCTGGCTGAAATAGTTTCTAAAATGAATTATTTCAAGCCTTTGAGGATAAGATAATTTTATATGATATATAAACTATTTCAACTACACAATTCATATTGAAAAGCCTTCCTATTCATTTTATAAAGCTAAAATAGCATGATTTATAAATGTGACAAATATGTCTCCTAGTAGAAAAGTATGCATAAATTCTTACCTCTGAAAATAGTGAAAAATACCCTCAGCAACATAGCAACACATCAGTAAAATGAACTCAGCAGCATTTTTAAGCACAATAGAGCCTGACCCAGTGGGCTTTATTCCAGGAACAAGAGGATGATTTAGCTCAGAAGAGTTAATAAGTCAACACATTAATAGGTCCAAGGAGGAAAGGCATTTGATGATTTTGCTAGATATAGGAAAGCCTTTGATGAAACTGAATATCCATTCCTGGTGTGCACTCTTGGCAATTAATGTAGGATTCCAGCACACTGTCCTTGATGACGAATACCTATTGGAAATATGGGCCAGTTTCAGACTTAGTAAAACATGAAAAGCCTCCTCATTAAAATGAAGATCAAGCCAAAGACAACTGCTATTATTTAATGTTACTTTGCACCTTTTAGAAAACATAATAAGATAAGAAAACTAAAGATACATTAGAAATAAAGAAGTTGGCTGTTCCTTATGTGTAAGTAATATAATTAATTTCTTGGATTTTCCAGGAAGCCAAACTAAAAATCTGTTCAAACTAGTAAGGTATCAATAATCAATTACCTAACATAAACTTTTAAAAAATCAATAGCTTACTTATCTACCTCCCCTGGGCATATGTGTCTGCCCATAAGTCTGTGTGGAGCTGTTACAGAGATGCTCACACCAGTGGCAGTAGGGGAGGTGTGTCTGTGTGTCTCTGTATGTGTCTGTGTGTCTCTGCATATGTCTGTGTGTCTGTGTTTCTCTGTGTTAGTGTGTCTCTGTTTCTGCGTGTGTGTGCCTGCATGTGTCTATGTGTGTCTGTGTCTCTGTATGTGTCTGTGTGTGTGTCTTTGTGTCTCTGTGTCTGTGTGTGTCTCTGTGTCTGTGTGTGTGCATGTGCCTGCATGTGTCTGTGTGTGTGTGCATGTCTGTGTGTGGGGGTCTGTGGGGGGGGGGTCTCTGTGTCTGTGTGTTTCTGTGTGTCTGTGTCTTTGTGTGTGTCTGTGTGTCTGTGTCTCTGTGTCTGTGTCTCTGCATGTGTCTGTGTGTCTCTCTACGTCTGTGTCTCTGCATGTGTCTGTGTCTGTGTGTGTGCCTGCATGTGTCTCTGTGTCTGTGTCTCTGTATGTGTCTGTGTTTGTGTGTCTCTGTGTCTGTGTGCCTGCGTGTCTCTGTGTCTGTGTCTCTGCATGTCTCTGTGTGTCTGTGTGTCTCTGTGTCTGTGTGCACCTATGTGTGTCTCTGTGTGTGGGTGTCTGTGTATGGGTGTGTGTGTGTGTGTGTGTGTGTGTCCACGGATCTCTCAGCTCTCTAAGCTCCACTACCATCCCCCAGGAACACGATGTCCACAGTGGGCCTGCTCTGCCAACCAGCTCAGCTACCCTGAAGCCACTTTTCCTGGTCACCCACCCAAAACACCACACCACTGCCCCCTCAGGCTGGGCACTCTAGGAACATGCCAGTCCCTGTTTTAAGGACATCTGTTGTATGTGGCCCCAGGGAGGTCCCCAGAGAAGTCATACTCAGGTTGGGGCCAGAGTTGAAGGCTGAGCCTCCTCACCCACGGGGAGGGGGAGAGAGAGGAGGGCGGCGCTCTGACGCATACTTACCGGCCCAAGGCTGGGCAGGGGTGGCTGGCGGCAGTCACAGTGACATTTGGGAAATGCCAGGGGCTGGGTCCCAGCCCGGAAGGCGGGTGTGGGCGGTGACAGGGGTGGGGGCTGGGTTATTCCCCGAGGCTGAGACCACAAGACACCAGCTTTGCCAACAAAACTCCACTTGGCCAGTGGTGCCAGGGGCCGCAGGGCCAGGGCCCAGCCAGCAGCAGGGGCCAGAAGAAGAAACAGAGGGCCAGGTTCAGTGGCTAATGCCTGTAATCCCAGCACTTTGGGAAGCCAAAGCGGGCAGATCATCTGAGGTCAGGAGTTCGAAACCAGCCTGACCAACATAGAGAAACCCCGTCTCTACTAAAAATACAAAATTAGCCAGGCATGGTGGCACATGCCTGTAATCCCAGCTACTCAGGAGGCTGAGGCAGGAGAATTGCTTGAACCCCAGAGGTGGAGGTTGCAGTGAGATCATGCCATTGCACTCCAGTCTGGGCAACAGGAGCAAAACTCTGTCTCAAAAAAAGAAAAGAAAAGAAAAAAAGAAACAGAGAAGCTGAGGGGATCTTGGCTGCCATCCTCCTCCGAGATCCACGCCATCCATGG
This sequence comes from Homo sapiens, assembly GCF_000001405.40. NCBI lineage: Eukaryota > Metazoa > Chordata > Mammalia > Primates > Hominidae > Homo > Homo sapiens. The sequence continues at coordinate 43,226,524 of NC_000010.11, forward strand.
GCTCCCACCTGACTGTCCCCGGGTTCCCTCAGGAGCCCCCACGCCTCGTGTCCCATCTGCCTCTGAACTCCCATTGTCCTGGAACCCACAGGGACCCAGGCAGCCCAGAACCCACACAGTGGAGCCCTCATGACCCAGGAACCAGCTCTGACCCCTGACCTCCTGGCTGACCTCAGGCAAGACACAGCCCCTCTGGACCTCAATTTCCCCAGATGTAAAACAAGAAGTAGAGAGCCTGTACAGGCCACTTCCCGCCCTCATCTTTGTTCCTTCCTTTCTTCCTTCCTCCTTCCTTCCAGAACTTGTTCAGTCAAGTCAGCATCCCTTGAGGCCTTTGTGGCCTATGCCACACACTCAGAACGGAACAGCCCATGGACCTTAGTGTCTGTGGGAAGACAGACACAACTCCATGGCATGGCATGATCTCTTCAGGATTGGGGGTCTGTGCCGGGTGTCGTGGAGGCACGGAGGTGGGGAACTAACTCTGTAGGGAGTAGTCAGGGAGGGCTTCATGAAGGAGGTGATTCTGAGATCAGCTTCCAAGGATAACCAGGGGTTTTCCAGTGGGTTAAGGGGGAAAAGGGAGGTTGACATGACAGTTTGGTCTCCTTCCTCTGGTCACTCACCAGCAGTTCCCTGGAGGGCGAGGTCCAAGAGCCCAAAGGTGTGGGAGATGCAGGCAGCTTCCCCTGCACTAAGTCAATCCTCATGCATCCCACCAATGCCAGTGTGAGACTCTCTCCCCCAGGCAGCCCTTCCTGACTGCCTGCCCCCCCGACAGATGGCACTGCTGCAGCCCATGTGTCTGTGAGTATGTGACCCTGGGTTGTGCTGTCCCCAGTGCCCCCTGCATCCTGGCCAGGCCTGGACCCCCAATGCACAGAGGTGGTGGGCTAACATGAGAGGCCATGGCTCTGCTCTCCTTCCCCTGGCCTGTGCCCCGCTGAGGGCTAGAGTCCTCATCCCACCTCTCCTGGGGAAGCTGAAAGAAGGTGGCTCAAGCTAGCAGGCCCAGCAAGATGGGCTTTGGGCCTGGGAAGGCTGGGGCCCAGGGCTGTACTGTCCTGAGCCAGCAGGTGCAGGTGTGGGTAGGGTGGCCAGGAGGCAGGGCAGCAAGGAGCCTGCAGGGTGGAGCAAGCCAGGCTCTGCATGAGCACATGCAGCCTAGACCTCTCCCTGGACTCTAGACTGCCCACACCACTGCCAGGCAACACCTCTGGGGTGGGAAGTGTTGAACTGTCCCTGCTCCCACCTGCTGTGCCTGCCATCTTGCCCACCTCTAAGGGCAACACCCTCCTTCCTGCGCCAGCCTGACCTTCCCCATCTCAATGAAAACAGCCTACCCACCAGCACGGCCTCCAGGTGTTGCCTTCAGAATACCCCCAGAATCAGTCCTTCCCTCCTCCTCCTTCTCTGCCATCTCCCAAGGCTGGGATTCTCATCTGTCCCCGGACCACTGGGGTGGCACTCTGCTAGCTTCACCCCTCCCAGCAGCAGCCAGCAATGCCATGGCAGCCCCACGGGGAGCACATCCTGCTCCACCACCTCCCACTGCAGCCCCGTCACCCCCACTGGCTCCCCCAGCCACGCCACCTCGCTGGCCTCACTGTCCCACCTCCTCTTGGGCTCTGCTCCTGATGCCCCAGTCTCCAATCTGGCCCCAACATGCAGGCAGCTTCCACTTCAAAGCTCTGCCCTGGCCTTTTCCTGGTATGCCCCCCGCATAGCTCCCTCCCTCCCCTCCTTCAGCAGGTCCTGTGCACACGTCTCCTCTGGCCACCATACCTAAGGCACAGACAGCCCCCTCCTTCACTGGTGGTCAGCACGCTGGGCACCAAGTGTGTCAGACCCCTGGTTGCTGGGGGAGCAGGACTGTCATTGGAGGTCCGAATGAAACGGGGTGGGGCCGTGGGGTCCACCTGTCTCACAGCAGTGACTGGAGTACTGGGCTGGGGCATTTAAATGCCAGTGCAGGGCCCTCCCCACTCCCCTACTATGTGACCCCGTCAGCCTGGGTCCCTGAATGAGGGTGGCCTGGACCAGGGCTGACACCAGTGAGTGGAAACTGCACCATGTTGTGAGCTGAGGGACTTGGGGGCTGCTCTATCGCTGCAGAATGACCTGAACTACCCTCACCGATGAACTCCTCACAGGCCCTGCTAGCTCTCCTACATTGCTTCTTCTCTAGCCCTCAGCACCAGGTAGCACTCCACCCATTTTACCTACACATTGTGCTTGTTCCTCTGCTGTGTGGGCACCGTGAGGACAACACTCTCCGTGCTGTGGTGTTTGGTTCCCTGCTGAACCGCAGTGCCTGCACACAGCAGGGGCCCGATAAATGCATGCTGAGTAAGTGAAAGAAGGAAGGGACAGATGAGTCCTGCATCTTTCACGTGGCCAGGGCTGGCCGGGGCTCAGCTCCACGCTGTGGGCACTCAGAACCCAGGGGGCTGCCGCACCCGAATCACACCGCCTTACGCCTCTGGGGATGGGTCTCCATAAACAGCGTGGGAAATGCCAGTGCTCCATGCTCAGGTCCTCTCCAGGACCAGTTCTCCGCCTGCACCCTACAGCGCCCTCGCCCTGGAGCGCACACTCCTCGAAGCCCCACGGTGGGCTCCACTCTCCCTAAACGCACAGGCGCGCGTGGGGCTCACAAGGCACAGGCACGGCTGCGCTCCCTCCCATGTGCCGTGAATAAGCGCGCCCGCGCTTCCGCAGCCCTCCCCCGCCTGCACCTCACACAGACCACACACCGCGGACCACCCCTCGCCCGGCACATCCTCCTCAGAGCAACAGGTGGTTCTGCGCCCCTCAAGTCGTCCGGGCTCCTACACGCCCGTCCCCACCCCTTCCAGGCTCGCAGGAGCCACTGTGCTCTCGGCGTCCGCGGGCCGCGCCGCGAAGGGCAGGGCAGGAGCAGAGGCAGGCTGGGCGCCGCCCACCGGGCAGTAGGTGCTCCAGCGGGGACGCACAGAGGGCGGCGCGCGGGTCCTCAGGGCGGGCACCCTCCCGCACGGGTCGGGATGCAGGGGACCGTCGCACCCCTCCCGAGCCCGACAGCGCAAGAACCCTGCCCCGCGGCCTTGCGCCTGGGCCCGCCGCAGCCCTACCTGGGGCTCCAGGAACATTCTGGCCGCCGGCTCCCCGCGCCGTCCTGCCCGGTCCGGCGTCCAGCGAGCGGCGGCTCCTCTGCCCGCGAGCCAAGCAAGCACCCACTCCTGCGCCGGCCCCTGCCGCTGGACGCCTCCGCTGGAGGGGTGGGACCCCGGAAGCAGGGAACCGAGGGGCTGGGCTGGGGACCGCGGGGTCCGGGCGGGGCAGAGGGGCCGCGAGGCCGGCCAGGAACGCGGGGCGGGGCCGAGGCTAGGAGCATGGCGCGGAGGTGGGGCAGGGACCCGGGGCGGCCTGGAGCGCTGTCAGGAGGAGCTGCCTGGGCCGGGCGCGCGCCTGGCGCTAGGTGTGGGGGCGCCGTAGGTGCCGGGGTGTGAGGCTGGACGGGGCGTCCGGGATCGGCCGTGCCGGGGGTCGGTGCTGGCGCGCGGGGCCGGCGAGGGGGCGCAGCGTGGGTCGGGGCTCGGCGCGGGAAGGGGATGCCTCTTACCCGGCCCCGGCCTCACCTGATCGTAGACGTCCACTACGGAACTACAGCAGGTGTTCTGCCAGCATTCGACTTGAATGCCTTCCCTGACAGGGCGCTCACTCCACACAGCTCTGGCCTGAGACAGGCGTCGCACAGAACTCCCTGTCCTTCCATTTCATTGGAACTCGGGGGACACGGCAGCTGCTTTTGTGGGAGGGCTGATCCGAGCCGCAGCGAGGGGTGGGCTGGGCACATGGCACAGTGAGGCTCCTCCCGCCCCCAGAGCCCCAGCCTCAGAAGGAATCTGCCAGGTGATGGGGCTACCCCTCTGCGCATTCCTGTGGTGGACCCCACTCCCTCAGATGATGCGGACGGGAAAGATGCGCGGAGCCGAAGAGCGCCCTCTCTGGGGGTCTGGATTGGAGCACCCAGCACCTGAGCTGGGTGAGAGACCCCTTGGGCTCTGGGGGAGTCCGAGTTGGCCGGCGGGGCGGCCGCTAGGGAGGAGCAGGGTATGCTCAGCTTGAACCTCACAGAGAGGCTCTGACAACTCTGGAGAGCTCTCAAGCCACGGGCTGATGGACAATCGTGACCCTGACAACATCTGGCCGCCCCAGGATGCCCATACCCTCACCCCACCTCCACCCCCACGGCTCTTGCCCAGGCCTTGCCAGAGGCCCTCTGCCTCCCAGCTTGTTTGCCTGCTCACTTACTAGCAGCAAGAGTACCTACTAGGCTGGCTCGATGGGCAGTTGTCTCTGTCTTGGGAAAGTAGGGGCTGTGCTGGGTTCATTCACTGGCCTCCCTCAAGCCAGCTCAAGGGCCTGGAGACAGGAGTCCTTCTCCTGGAGTGCTGCCCTCTCACCAGCTCTTCTCTACCAGTGAGTGTTGGCCTGGCCTGGAACCGCTTCCCACTGCTCAGAGCATGCACTATACATTACTGCGTGGTATGCAGCGCCTGTGGGTGGGCAGTGCGGGGAGTACGAGGCAACCAGGCAGAAATGGCACAGTGGCCCTCCAGCTTTCACAATGTCCTCCCCCACTTTTGCTTCTGCATCTTGTTTCAGGCCAGCCAGAAGATGCGAAGCTCATGGTGACCTTGGCAGGCAGACAGGTGGCATCAGGATGGTCTGGGCCTGCAGGGCCACCCTGTCCCTTCAGGTGGCTTCATGGAGAGCACCAAGAAGGTGAAACCTGGTGTCTTGCCCCTGGGGAAGCCTTCGAGGCACCTGCCCCTGCCTTCCTCAGCCCTGTACCGTAGCCCTGCAGAACATCTGGGCCCTGGGGTGGCCCCAGTGTTGTCTCAGGAAGTCCATGTGAGCAGTTGGCCCTGCTGCCTCCTGACCCCAGAGCAAGCATCCCCTCTGCCTCCCTGAATGTGACACTCTAGAGGAGGTGGTGGATGGGTGGGCAGCCCCACAAGCCTTCTTATGCAGTCACAGGGTCACTTCCTATCACGCTCATCCCAGATTGCACCAGTGTCACCCAAGGACCTTGATAAGGCAGACGCTTCCCCGGGAGGAATGGGGCCCTTGCCCCCATCTCTGGCTGACACAGATGGTGCTGTCTCCTTTACCCACCAGTGTGATCTCAGCATTCATGTGTGACCTGACCCACATCCTTCCTGGTGCCTGAGGATGCGAGGAGGCTGCTATGCTGGGGCTGAGCCCTGCCAGGCGTCCTGCTTGCATCCCTGCAGCTGGGGCTGAGGCTGTCCTGCAGGGAGGGCTGGTGGGCCCTGAGGCAGAATCCCACTGCCACTTCAGAAAGTAGAGAAGAAGCCAGGTGTGGTGGGGCCAGTGGCCATCTGCCGGGACTTCAGGGAGACCAGACACACAGGAAGAGGCACTTTCTCCAGACACCTCCTTTAGGGGCAGGGCACAAGGCCTGGAACAAGGCTGCCTCTGACCAGAGCAACAGAGCCTGCTCTGAGGATGGCAGAGCCTAGAGCAGGCAAGCTGTCAAGATTCTGGGTTGAGGGTCACAGGACAGGAGGCTGGACTCCCGCTGATATGATTTGGGTTTGTGTCCCCACCCAAATCTCATGTTCAATTGTAATCCCCAGTGTTGGAGGTTGGAGGCGATTGGATCATGGGGGCGGAGTTCTCATGAATGGGTTAGCACCATCCCCTCGGTGCTATTCTCCTGTTAGTGAGTGAGTGAGTTCTGGAGGGATCTGACTGTTTGAAAGTGTGGGGCACCTCCCCCTTCTCTCTCTTGCTCCTGCCATGTGAGACACCTGCTCCAACTCTGCCTTCCACTATGAGTGAAAGCTCCCTGAGGCCTTCCCAGAAGCAAATGCTGCCATGATTCCTGTAAAGTTTGCAGAGCCATGATCTAATTAAACCTCTTTTCTTTATAAATTACCCAGTCTCCGGCTTTTTTTTTTTTTTTTTTGGAGATGGAGTCTCCCTCTATCACCCAGGCTGGAGTGCAGTGACATGATCTCAGCTCACTGCAACCTCCACCTTCTGGGTTTAAGCGATTCTCTTGCCTCAGCCTCTCAAGTAGCTGGGATTACAGGTGCACGCCACCATGCCCAGCTAATTTTTGTATTTTTAGTAGAGACAGGGTTTCACCGTGTTGGCCAGGCTGATCTCAAACTTCCTGACCCAAGTGATCTGCCCACTTCAGCTTCCCAAAGTGCTGGGATTACAGGCATGAGCCACCGTGCCCGGCCAAGGCCCTTCTTTATAGCAGTGTGAGAACAGACTACTACACTCGCAAAGGCTCCCTCTCAGAGTCCACCCTTGCTGTCTCCACACAGCAGCCGGGGGGGATCTCTTAGAACCTGAGTCAGAAGCTCCGTGACTCCCACCTCAATCTCGATGAAGGCAGAGTCCTAACGAATAGCCCCATCAGGGACCTCAATGCTCCCTGCTCAGCCTCGACAGGCCCTGCCCACCCTCCCCCTGCGTGCAATGTGCTCTGCAGTGTCTGTGGCCCCCCACCCCGACAGGCCACCTTCTCACTAACACAGCTGCAATGCCATCCTCTGCCCCAGCATTGTCCTGCCATGGAATGGTTTTCCTTAAGGTTACTGGGTCCAGCAGAGCCTTTCCACCTTCTGGTTCATTCGTCTGCTCTCCTGAGAATGTGAGCTCCATGAGGGCAGGATCTTTGTTTTGTTGACTGCTACATCCCAATGACTGTAACATGTCTATGCACAGAGGCACTCAGAACCTATGTGTGTGCACGTGTGTGTGTGCGTGTGTGTGTGTGTGTAGACAGATACAGAGACACAAGTGTGAATAAGGATATGGTTGTATATATCCAGCACAGGACTCATATCCAAAATATATAAAGAACTCATGTAAATAAAAAAGTCAGAAGACTCAATTTTTTACAAATGGGCAAAAGACTTGAAGACATATTTCACTGAAAGAAGGCTATCCAAGGGGTGATAGGCCTAAGAGAGCACCCAGCTCCATGACTCATCTGGGAAAGGCACTAAACTGCGGTGTGGCACCCTGCACACCCAGCAGCAAGGCTACCATCAAAAGGCAGAAAATGCCACGTGCTGACGAGATAGCACAACCCAAATTCTCAGCTGCTGGCGGCGCGGCAGGGTCAGCTGGTGCAGCCAGGCGGGAAAACAGCCCGATCATGCCTATGAACACCGACCACACCAGGCCCAGAAATTCCATCCTGGATGGAGGCTGTGCAGAAACACTAGAGACTCACACCAAAGGACACACGCAGGAGTGTCTGCAGCAGCCCTACTCACAAGGGCTTCGAACTGAAAATGAACCAAGCATCCCCCACAGGGGACTGGGTTTCCACCGAGCTGTGGCATGTGTCACTCAATGGAACGCTCCAGGCCGAGGATAACCCACCCAGACAACCACAGGCAAGGGCAGGGAGTCAAGGACACCAGGCACAAAGAGCATCTAAGGTTGGCCCCACGTGGAGCCAGCTCAGGGCCGGGGAGGGCACCCTCACCCCCAGAGGTCTGGGGTGCTGCCCTGGGGAAGGGGCTGGAAGGGGCTGGATCTGGGTGTCCCTGCGGAGTCACCCCATGAAAAATCACCAAGTGTACACTGTGGCTCTGGCTCAGGCATGTTTCTGTGTGTGTTACACTTCAATCACATGAAGAAAACTGAAGGAGAGAAAAATAAGAGAGAACATCTGGGCCAGGACAGGTAGAAGCTGTCGGCACCTCAGGGCCTATCTAGGTCTGCTGTGGCCACGCCTGAGGGAAGAAGGGATGTGGAGGAAGGGACCTGAGCCTCCCTCCGCTCATCCCCCCAAGAACAAAGGCAGAGTTGGGGCAAACCCTGCTCCCTCTTCTAAAAGGCACAGCCTACAGGGTCAAGCAATGGCAAGTGAGAGGCATCCACTGGTTTTGGAGGATGGAAGGTGGCCTGAGGCAGGTGACAGACCTTGCAGAACAGAGAAGCAGGAGCCCAGTGCCCCACAGGGGGCTGATGAGGACCACGCCGGTGCTACAGAGGCCCTGATGAGGCTCAGCCCACAAGGCCTTGGGTTCCAGGAGGAGGGTCAAGGGACAGAAAGGCCCTGGCCCCCCACCCTGCCCTGCTGATGCCACCTCATTACTGGGCCACACCACACAGTCCAAGAGTTTCGGGTCCAAACCCTGAAGGTGATGGCGCATACCTCTCTATCCTCTCCAGGGCATGAAGTGGGGCCCGAGATGCCAATTCACAAGGGTGCTGGCAAAACACGAAGCAAAATGAACCAAGCCCTCAGTGAGCTCCAGAGGCTCCTCAGACAGCCCCTGCCTCCTCAGGGGTCCGAGGGCTCACGCTGTCTGCCAGACTCAAGCCTCCTGCACACACAGCCACGGTCTGCAGAGAGGCCCCTCCAGGCTCCTCCAAGGCTGGTCAGTACCCCTGGGCAGAGGCCACTGATGGCCCTAATCAAAACCACACCTAAACACACCCACAGGCTCCAGGGAAGGTTGTCTGGCAGCCAACCCTGTCCCTTGGGTCAGTGGGGAACCCCTAAGCCTTCCAGAATTTCCCTCAGGCCATACCATTAGTGCTCCCTTTTGGAGAATAATATTCCATGCACTGAATCACTCATGGCTTTAGGCATAAAGCGTGAAGGAGGGGGTGAATGGGAGTCAGCTGAGCTTTCTGATGCGCAAGGCAACATCCTTCCAGGCACCAGCATACCTGGGCAGGAGCCCACCGGCCACAGCGTCAGGCACACCTCTCCCCAGTCGTCTGAGTCAGAGCCTCCACATCTTTGAGAAGCTCATCAAGATACCATGGTGTATTTAGCCCTTCCACATCCTATTCTGCCTCCTGGGGTCCATGAGTCTTTCCTGAGGCTCTTCCTGGGGTCCTGTGTCCATGCGCCTTGGCCACCCCTCCTCAGCCACACTCAGAGAATCCAGGGTTTCAACAATGCAGCAGTGTGGGGAAGGCAGGAATGCCAGGCTGGGAGGCTTCCTCCAGATGGGGCTCTCAAACCTGACCACACTGCCCAGGAGCTTGCTAAAAAGGCAGTGCCAAGGCGCCATCCTCAGAGATCCTTCCTGCCCCCATTGGTGTGTGGGACTCAGTGCTCAGGGAGGCGGCACCAGTTAAAACTCGGCTTGGGATGCAGGGCCTCTGGTCCAGGGGAAGAGAGCCCACCACACTGAGTGCCAGCCTGCCACATGCACAGGGGACAGTGGAGAACGCATCCAGGGATCGGGGGGACACAAGGCATGGGATGGGGACACAGCATCATGCCCAGCACAATGGGACCCAACAAGGGAGGAGGCTGCAGCCACACAGGCAGGACGGGTTGAGGGCCAAGACAGGGCCCGGGAAGTCACTTCCCCGAGATGAAGCAGATGATGACCAACAGGGACCCCTCCCATCACAAGGCTCTGGATACCCACCCCATCACCTGAGCAGAGACCTGCACAAAGTGAGACACAGATAATACCCCTGACACCCCAATGAGAAAGAGAGAAGAGGGACAGCACATGGAAATAGGGCAGACCCAGCCAGAAGCAAACTACTTCATGGTGACAAAAAGCTTGCAAGTTAAAGCCTTGAGTCATCACTTGGCACCTGTGAAATCTGCAAAAATAATGTTAAAGGTAATATAGAGTGTGAGCTTAAGCGTCAGGGAAAAGCCAGGGTCACTGGCAGGAAAAGGAGAGAAATGGACAGCAGGTATCCCCAAGCACCTCCCTGGAGCAAAGACATGGCAGCAGGCATCGTCTAGGGCACCGCGCATCCATGTGTGTTTGTGTGACCTTGTGTGCGCATGTATACATGTGCTTGAGTGTACATGTGTGCCTGAGCAGGTGTGCGTATGCACATGTGTGCTTTCTGCATGTGTGCATAGGCATGGGTGTGTGTACATAGTTGCATGCATGCATTACGAGTATGCAGGCCTATGCATGTGTGCATGTCTGCACCTGCGCCTATAAAACAGACAAGCATCCACATACCAAAAGTCTAATCAGGGTGCCTTCCTCCACTGGCCAGCATACACCTTCTCTCCGTCTCTCGCGCCCTCCCTCCTCCTCTTCTCTCCATTTAGCCTTATCAAGTGCTTCCCAAGTTCTCTCCAATTACTATGAATGGCTTCATCACAGCATAACACAGTACGTGCTCATCTTCTAAAACCAGGACATGAGGCATCCCTGCTCCCACTAAGACTGTGCAAAGTTAAGGCTGGAGCAGCAGTGGCCCACTCAGGGCTCGCCCCTCCCTCGGAGCCCTTCACAGGCTCCTGGAGAAGAGAGACTCAGAGGAGACCCTGCCTGAGAGCTCACACCTGAGATCACCTGGTGTGTAGGGGACAAGGGGGGGATGCTTAGGACCATAGGGGGGTCTCAGGGCCAGCCTGGCCTTGTGGGAGGGTCTCAGGGCCAGCCTAACCTTGTGAGGGTCTTAAGACCAGGCTGGCCTTGTAGGGGGTCTTAGGACCAGCGTGGCCTTGTGGGGAGTCTCAGGACCAGTCTAACATTGTAGGGTATCTCAGGACCAGCCTGGCCTTATAGAGGGTCTTGGGACCAGGCTAACCTTGCAGGGAATCTTGTGACAAGCCTAGCCTTGTTGGGGGTCTCATAACCAGCCTAGCCTTATAGAGGATCTCAGGGCCAGTGTGGCCTTGTGAGGGGGTCTTGGGGCCAGCCTGCTCTATGGAAATTGGAGGCACCAGTCAAGGAGAGAGGCTTCTGTCTCCCTGGGTCCTTGGTTTCCACCCATCCTTGGCCAGTACCTTCACTCCTCCCCGACCCCGGAGGCTCCTAGTCTGTTCTCCTGCTTCACCTGCCCTCCAATGGAGCCCCTGGCCATCATGGGCCCAGGCCCCGGAGCTGATCCCTGACCCCACTGTTGTGCCCCTAACTCCCACTCTCCCCCTCCTCCCCTCCCCTCCCCCCCACCTCCATTTCCCCTCAGCCTCTGCCCTCTCCAGACCACAGACACAGTCCTCCTGACCCCGGCTCCTCCTGAGCTGCCTCCCAACCTCTCTTTTCTTCTTACCTACATTTCTAGAAAGAGCAGCTGCATCTGCTATTTTGCAGCCAATTCTGCCTCCTCCCTCCAGTCCCTGCTGTGCTCATCAGAGGCACCAGGCTAACGCACGGCGTGGGTTCCAACCAAGCCCAGGCCTGAACGCACTCATGCCAGGATGCCTAGCTGGCTCCGCTCTCCCCAAACTCAGCTGCTACTCCTCAGGGATCCCACGACACCCAGCCCCATAGAAGTCCCAGGGACCATCCCAGCATGGCCCCAGCACATAGACCACAGAGCTTCTCTGCCTGAATGTCCCAGGACCGCCATGTGATGTCTCCTCTCCCACAGGGAATAGAGCCCTGTCCTGCAGACACTCAGGCACAGGCAAACAGAGACCCAGCCATTGTACCTGTGGGCGGGGATCTGGGCTCAGCACAGCCCACCTGCCCATCAGGGGAGTGGGCCACACAGGCCAAGGCGGCCAGGCCTGACGCAGGTGTGCCTGAGACCCGCCTTCAGGAGGATTAGCCATCATAGATTGAGACCCGCCTTTGGGGGGCGGAGGGAGGGGGGGTGCTGCAGATTGAGACCTGCCTTCAGGAGGGTTTGCCATCACAGAGTAACACCTGCCCCTCAGGAGGGTTAGCCATGTCGACTTAAAGGGGTCTTCAGGGGAGTTAGCCGTGGCTAGTTTATGTGTGCCTACAGGAGGGTTAGCCGCCGCAGATTGAGACCTGCCTTCGGGGGTGTTGTATCGCAGATTGAGACCTGTCTTCAGGAGGGTTAGCCATCGCAGAGTCAGACCTGCCTTCAGCAGGGTTAGCCATCGCAGATTGTCTGGTTTCCTACCCTTGAGCTGCTCAGTGTACTTCACCGAACTGCAGTACTTTAGATAGCTCTACTACTACCGTTTTTGACAGTTTACTTATATTTCATTTAAGTTTAGTGGGGGAAAGCCTGGGTTCCCCAGCCTCCTTGTTCACTGCCCCAGCCCCATGTCCACATACACTCCTGCAACTCTGCAAAGACACCAGGGTGCTGTGAGGGTCCCGTGGGTTTCCCCAGGTCCTCTTTTGGCAGGTCCCTATAACATGTTGCAGGGCAGGGGAGAGGCTGTCTGTGATGGGCAGGGCCCCTGACTGCCATTCGGGCAAGTGGGGATACTGAGGGACCCTGAAAGATATCAGGGTCAGGCTGGTAGGGCATGTGGGCAGCAATGCATCTCAGGGAGTCCTGCCCCCTCTTCCATGGGAAGGGCCCACAGCTGCCATCCCCATGAGCCAGAGAGGATGACACTCTAGGCTGGTGGAAAGGGACCTGATATCAAATGGAAATGAGGCAACCCACGAATACACAAGTCTGCACGTGCTTCTGTGCATGTGTCTGTTCCTAGAGCAGACACAAATGTTCCAGAAGTTTCTTTCTTAGTCATTCACAGAATCACAGGCTCTCGAAGAAGGGGTATTATTCATTCTAATCAGTGGTGCCTGGAATGATGCCCTGTAGTTTCTTTACTTGCCCCAGACACCTGCAGCTCCCTGGAGAGAGCCCCTCAGCTCCTGGCAACTCCATACGTTCTGTGGCAGCTGCAGGGTATTCCACTGGGTAGGTGGGCTGCCACACATGTAAGAGGTCCTCTAGCAAAAGACACCAAGGTGCTTTACAGTCTTTGGCAACGAAAAACACTCCTGCAATGGGCATTATTGATGAAAAGTTTTTATTCAAATGTGTGACCACATATAAAAGATGAACTCCTAATACTTGATGTGCTGGGTCAAAGGTTATGATCATTGTAAGTTTAAAGAGACATCCCAGAAGTGCTTTCAATAGAGTATAGCCAGGTAGTGAAAATGGTGGAGTAAGGACCTCCAAAAACCCTCTCTTCCATAAACGCAACAAGAAAACCAGCAAAAAACAAAAAGGTCAGAATCCACATTTTTAGAACTTCCAAAATTAACTAAACGCTTGCAGAAATCTTAGGAGGATTTATTCAAAAAACATAACTGAATCTCAGTAAGAATTGCAAATTTTATAGCACTTGAACTTGCCCTAGTCCCATCCCTGACTCTCTATCCCAAGTGCCTTGAAAAGTAGGACCCCACATTCATCATGAAAACCACTGGCGTAGCAGCCCCTGGAGGGAAAACAGCAATGGAACTCTTTCAAAGCTTCATTCTCAGAAAACTGTCATTATTTGACCTGTCCAGTAGTTCCCATGGAGACCCCACTTACAAGGATGTCTGTATTTGACCTGACTCAGAGGTCTCAAGTACAAAAATCATATTCCCCAAGGTTCATTGTCAAAAACAATTACTGGTATTTAATTTCACAAATGCCTGAAGCAGTAGATAACAGTGAAGCAAGCAATAGACTAACCAGAAAGCTTAAAAGGAAAGTTTCAGTAATGACATGATCATAGGGGTTTTGAAAAACTGCAGTGCATTCCTGAGAATCTAGAAGGTCAAGTGCATGCTCAGGGCTGTGCACATGCTCAGAAAAGTACTTGGGAAACCCTAAGCACTCACTTCTGGCTGACTTTGAGTCTCTGTGCAAGCAGGAAGAGAAGACTAAGGCAGAGTTATCAGCTGCTTAGCTGAGAGCTGAAAGCATACCCAAAGACACAGAGCCCCTTAGCGAAGACTGAGAACTTTATTGACTCCAGGCACTTATGAAAATTTCTTTCCAATCATTATTTGACCGCTAAGATAACTGAGCAGAGATTTCAGTGCCACACACAAAAGAATACAGACTTTGCAGAAGTAATCCAGAAATGTCACAAAACAAACAACCATTACTACAATAAACAGCAGCAACAACAAACCCCAAAGAGTGGGGAGAATCTGATTTCCAGAATTGACTTACTAAACAAAAACTTTCAATCAGCTACTTTAAGTATATTTTTTAAAGACTGAAGGAATTGATGTTTAAAGAACTAAAGGAAAGTATGGAAGCAATATATCAAACAGAGAATATCAATAAAGGAATACAAATTATAAAAAAGAACCAAGCAGAAATTCTGGTGTTGAAAACTAAGTAAATGAAATGAAACATAGCAAGAGGGGCTCAACAACAGGTTTGAACAGAGAGAAGAAAGAATCAGTGACTTGAAAAAACGTCCATTGAGATTATCCAGTCTGAGGCACAGAAAGAAAAAAGAAAGGAACAAATAAATAGAGCCACAGACACCATAATGGACACTATCATATGTATAAGAAGAGTCTCAGAAAAAGAGGAGAGTGAGAAATAAGGCAGAAAAAAAATATTAGAAGCAATAATGGCTAAAATTTTCTAAGTTAGATGAAAATATTCATCTCCATATCCTAAAAGTTCAACAAACTCCAGGTAGATTTCTTATCAGGAACCATGAAGGGCAGGAAGCAGTTGAGCTGACACGTTCAAAATACTGAAAGAAAAGAGGTGTCAACCATGAATTCTTTATGCAGCAAAATTGTCATTCAAATATGAAAGGGAAATTACCTGACAAATAAAATAGAGAACTCGTCAGAAGAAGACCTGCCTTATAAGAACTACTAAAGAGAGTCCTTCAGGCTGAAATAGTAGGACAATAAGCAGCAACTTGAAATCATGTGAAAAAATAAAGAGGACCATTAAAGGTAACTTTACTGGTTTTATATTTATTGCTATATATTAGTAAATATAAAAGATAGTATAAACACATTTTATGCACTTAACTCTATTTTTCTCCTATTTGAATTAAAAGACAACTGGTCTATGACCATACTACCCTGAATGTGCCTGAATTAAAAGACAACTGCATGAAACAATAATTATAAGTATAGATTGATGAGCACACAAGGTATAAAAATGTAAATTTTATGGCAGTAACAGCACAAAGGAGAGGAGAGGCAACAGAACTACAGAGGAGCAAAGTTTTTGAATACTGTTGCAATTGAGTTTGTATTAATCTGAACATTGACATGTACATATAACATATACATAGTTATTTGTTAAGATATTAATTATAACCCTACAGGCAACAGGTAAGAAAATAACTCAAAAATATACAATAAAGGAAAAGACAGAAATTAAAATGGTACACTAGATAATATCTAAATATCTATTTAACACAAAAGAAGAAAATAATGAAGGAATAAAGGAACAAAAATGGCATAAGACATAAAAAACAAATAGCAAATCCTACCTTATCAGTATTTACATTAAATGTAAATGAATTAAACACTCCAGTTAAGAGTCAGAGATTATCAGAGTTAAAAAAAAAAACATGATCCAACTACATGGCTTTCTAAAATAGACCCACTTTAGAGAGAAGAACACAAATAAGTTGAAAGTGAAAATATGGCCGGATGCAGAGGCTCACGCCTGTAATCCCAGCACTTTGGGAGGCTAAGGTGGGTGGATCACGAGGTCAGGAGATTGAGACCATGCTGGCTAACACAGTGAAACCCCATCTCTACTAAAAATACAAAAAAATTAGCCAGGCATGGTGGTGGGCACCTGTAGTCCCAGCTACTCAGGAGGCTGAGGCAGGAGAATGGCGTGAACCCAGGAGGTGGAGCTTGCAGTGAGCCAAGACTGCGCCACTGCACTCCAGCCTAGACGACAGAACGAGACTCCATCTCAAAAAAATAAATAAATAAGAAAGTGAAAATATGAAAAAAGACATTCCAAGCAAAAAGTAATCAAAAGAGAGCCAGAATGGCTATATTAATATTAGAGAAAATAGACTTTAGGACAAAAATTGTTACTAGAGACAAAGAAGGATATTTTATAATGATTAAAGGGCTAATCAACAAGATATAACAATTACAAACAAATATATACCTAACAACAGAGTCCCAAAATTCAAGAAGCAAAAACTGATAGAATTGAAGGAAGAAATAAGACAATTCAACAAAAATAGTTGGGGAATTCAATAGCCCCACTTTCAATAATGAACAAAAACTCTAGACAGTAGGTCAGTTAAAAAAAAATCGCTCCCTCTCCCTCTCCCTCTCCCTCTCTCTCCCTCTCGCTCTCGCTCTCCGTCTCCCTCTTTCTACCGTCTCCCTCTCTTGCAGAGCCTGGACTGTACTGCCATGATCTCGGCTCGCTGCAACCTCCCTGCCTTGGGCTCCGGTGATTCTCCTGCCTCGGCCTGCCAAGTGCCTGGGATTCCAGGCACGCGCCGCCACTCTTGACTGGTTTTTGTATTTTTGGTGCAGACAGGGTTTCGCTGTGTTGACCGGGCTGGTTTCCAGCTCCTGGCCTCGGGTGATCTGCCCACCTCGGTCTCCCGAGGTGCTGGGATTGCAGATGGAGTCTCGCTCACTCATTGCTCAATGTTGCCCAGGCTGGAGTGCAGTGGCGTGATCTCGGCTCACTACAACCTCCACCTCCCAGCCGCCTGCCTTGGCCTCCCAAAGTGCTAAGATTACAGCCTCTGCCCGCCCGCCACCCCGTCTAGGAAGTGAGCAGCGTCTCTGCCTGGCCGCCCATCGTCTGGGATGTGAGGAGCCCCTCTGCCCGCCCGACCCATCTGGGAAGTGAGAAGTGCCTCTGCCCGGCCGCCACCCCATCTAGAAAGTGAGGAGCGTCTCTGCCTGGCCGCCCATCGTCTGGGATGTGAGGAGCGCCTCGGCCTGGCCGCCCCGTCTGGGAGGAAGTGAGGAGCGCCTCTGCCTGGCCGCCCCCGTCTGGGAAGTGAGGAGTGCTTCTGCCCGGCCGCCACCCTGTCTAGGAAGTGAGAAGTGTCTCTGCCTGGCTGCCCATCGTCTGGGATGTGAGGAGCCCCTCTTCCTGGCCGCCCCGTCTGGGAAGTGAGGAGCGCCTCTGCCCGGCCGCCCCATCTGGGAAGTGGGCGCCTCTGCCCAGCTGCCCCGTCCGGGAGGTGAGGGGAGTCTCTGCCTGGCCACCCCGCCTGGGAAGTGAGGGGCGTCTCTGCCCGGCCACCCCGCCTGGGAAGTGAGGGGCGTCTTTACCCGGCCGCCACCCCATCTGGGAAGTGAGGAGCGCCTCTGCCCGGCCGCCCCGCCTGGGAAGTGGGTGCCTCTGCCCGGCCGCCCCGTCTGGGAGGTGAGGGGCGCCTCTGCCTGGCCGCTGCCCCATCTGGGAGGTGAGGGGCGTCTCTGCCTGGCTGCCCCGCCTGGGAAGTGAGGAGCGCCTCTGCCCGGCCGCTCTTCGTCTGGGAGGTGGGGAGCACCTCTGCCCAGCCGCCCCATCTGGGAAGTGGGCGCCTCTGCCCGGCCGCCCCATCTGGGAGGTGAGGGGCGTCTCTGCCTGGCCGCCCTGTCTGGGAGGTGAGGAGCACCTCTGCCCGGCCACCCAGCCTGGGAAGTGAGGAGCGCCTCTGCCAGGCCGCCCCGTCTGGGAAGTGTACCCAACAGCTCCGAAGAGACAGCGACCATCGAGAATGGGCCATGATGACGATGGTGGTTTTGTTGAAAAGAAAAGGGGGAAATGTGGGGAAAAGAAAGAGAGATCAGATTGTTACTGTGTCTGTGTAGAAAGAAGTAGACATAGGAGACTCCATTTTGTTCTGTACTAAGAAAAGTTCTTCTGCCTTGGGATGCTGTTAATCTATAACCTTACCCCCAACCCCCTGCTCTCTGAAACATGTGCTGTGTCAACTCAGGGTTAAATGGATTAAGGGTGGTGCAAGATGTGCTTTGTTAAACAGATGCTTGAAGACAGCATGCTCGTTAAGAGTCATCACCGTTCCCTAATCTCAAGTACCCAGGGACACAAACAGGGCCGAAGGCCGCAGGGACCTCTGCCTAGGAAAACCAGAGACCTTTGTTCTCGTGTTTATCTGCTGACCTTCTCTCCACTATTATCCTATGACCCTGCCACATCCCCCTCTCTGAGAAACACCTAAGAATGATCAATAAATACTAAAAATAAAAAAATTAAAAAAAAAAATCAGAAGACTTGAACAACACTTTAAGCCAACTAGACCTAACAGACATCGACAGAACACTCCACTTAACAACAACAGAACACATACTCTTCTCAAGTGCACAGGAAATATTCTCCAGAATAGACCTTATGTTAGGCCATAAAGCAAATCTCAATAAATTTAAAAGGACTGAAATTATACAAAGTATGTTCTGTGACCACAATAAAATAACAGAAGTCAACGGCAAAAACAATCTGGGAAATTTACAAATATGTGGAAATTACACAACATATTCTTAAATAACCAATGGAAAAAGAAGAAACCACAAGGGAATTCTCAAATTTACTTAAGTAAAAATACTATGAAATAAATGGACATGAAAACATAACATGCCAAACTTACGGAATACAGCAAAAGCAGTGCTGAGTTTAAAAATATATATATAAAACTATAAATGTCCACATTAAAAAACAGAAAGTTCTCAAATCAACAACCTAACATTCCACCTTGAGAAACTAGGAAAAGAGAAGCAAATTAAATTAACAAATAACAGAAGAAGAAAATACTAGAGTGAAAGTAAATGAAATAGAGAGTAAAAAAAAATTGAGAAAGTTAATGAAAAACCAAAAATGGGTTCTTTGAAAAATAAAACTGACAAACTTCTAACTACACTGAACAAGAAAAAAATAGAGAGAAGACTCAAATTAGTAAAATCAGAGAGGATATTACCACCAGCTTTACAGAAATAAAAAGCACTATAAGGGAATACTATGAACAGCTGTTTGCCAAGAAATTAGATAAACTAGATGAAATGGGAAAATTCCTAGAGAAACACAAACTCTCAGACTGAAACTTAGGTCAGAATAAACCTATAACAAGATATTGAATTAGTAATCAAAAAACTTCTTGCCCACAAAGAAAAGCCCAGGGCCAAAGTCACTGGTGAATTCTGCCAAACACTTAAAGAATTAACACCAATCCCTTACAATGTCCTTCAAAAAATAGAATACAAAGCACTAACCAATTCATTCCATGAGGTCACTATTGCCTTAATACTCAAACTAGGAAACAAAATCACAAGGAAAAAAACTATAAACCAATATAAACCATCCATAAATGTAGATGCAAAACTCCTCAACAAAATATTAGCAAATCAGATCCAGCAGCATATTTTGTAAGTATTCATCATGACTAAGCCATACGTATTCAAGGAATGTAAGGTTAGATCAACATACAAAGATCAATGTAATATACCATATCCATAGACCACATAATCATCACAATAGATGCAGAAAAATCATTTAATAAAATCCAACATCCTTTGAAGATTTAAAAAAATGCTCAACAAACAAGCAACTGAAGGGAACTTCATCAATCCAATAAAGGATATCTGTGAAAAATCCAGAACATCACAGTTAATTGTAGAAGACCAAAAGCTTTCCTCCTAAGATCAAAAACAAAACAAATATGTCTGCTCTTGCCTCTTCTATTTAACATTGCTCTGGAGGTTCTGGCCTCGGCAATTGGATAAGAAAAAGATATAAAAGACACCCATATTGAAAAGAAGAAGTAAAACTATCTCTATTTGCAGATGATCTCATATATAGGAAGTCCTAAGAAATACACATACACACACAGACACACACACTATTAGAACTAATAAATAAATTCAGCAAGGCTATAGGATACAAGATCAATATATGAAAATCAATTGTAATTCTATATGGTAGTAATGAACAATCTGAAAATAAAATTAAGAAAACAATTCAATTCGTAATAGCATCAAAGAGAATAAAATAATTATAAATTTAACAAAAGTATAAGACTTGTACACTAAAAACTACAAAACATAGTTGGGAGAAATTAATGTAGACTTAAATAAGTGGAAGGACATCCCATGTTCATGGATTGTAAGACAATATTCTTCAGATGGCAATACTCCCCAAATTGACCTACAGATTCAATGCAATCCCTATCAAAATTCTAGCTGGCTTTTGTTGTTGTTGTTGCACAAATTGACAAGCTGTTCCTAAAATTCGTGTGAAAATGAAAGGGACCTGGAACAACCAAAACAGTCTTGAAAAAGAAGTACAAAGTTGGAGGACTCACATTTCCTGACTTCAAAACTTACTACAAAGCTACAGTAACTAAGACTGTGTGGTAATGGCATAAAAATAGACCTATAAATCAACAGAATAAAGGTGAGAGTCCAGAAATAAACCCACACCTCCATGGTCACTCAATTTTTGTCCAGAGTGTCATAATAATCTAATGGGGAAAGAATACTCTCTTCAACAAATAGTGCTGGGACAAGCAGATAGCCTCAAACAAAGGAACACATTTGGATTTGTACCTCGTACCACATATAAAAATGAATTCCAATGGATCAAAGACATAAATGCAAGACCTAAAACTATAAAACTCTTAGAAGAAAACAAGTGTAAATCTTTGTGACCTTGCATTAGGCAATAGTTTCGTAAATATGACACCAAAAGCATGTGCAGTCAAATTTTAAAAGAGATAAATTGGACTTGATCCAATTTGAAAAACTTGTGCTTCAAAGGACACTATCAAGAAGAAATGGGAAACACTACCCTCAGAATGGGAGAAAATATTTGCATGCCATATATGTTATAGGGTCTAGTATCCAGAATATATGAAGAACTCTTACAATTCAATGATAAAAAGATAGCCCAGTTAAAAACGGGCAAAGGCCCTCATGGACATTTCTCTAAAGAAGATGTACAAATGGCCAATAGGCACATTAAAATTTCTCAAAATTATTAGTTATTAGGATTTCAAATGCAAATCAAAACCACAAGGAGACACTATCTACTGGGGTGGATATAATAGAAAAGACAGTAATAACAAGTGTTACTGAGGATGCTGAGAAACTGAAACTCTCATACTTTGCTGGTAAGGATGTAAAATTGTGCAATCTATTCAGAAAATGATCGGTATAGTTCCTTAAATTGTTAAACAGAGTTATCATAGGACCCAACAATTCCGCTCCTTGTATTCCACAAAATATTTAAAAACCTCTGTCCACACAAAAACTTGTGCACAAATGTTCACAGCAGCATTCTTCATATTAGCCACAAAGTGGAAACAACCCAAATATCCATTAACTAATGAGTGTGGTTTATCCATATGATGGAATATTACACAGCAATAAGAAGGAATGAAATACCAACATGCTACAACACTGAAGAACTTGAGAACAGTATGCTAAGAGAAGGAAATCTGACAAAAAAGGCCATGTTGCATGATTCCACTTATTCAAATATCCAGAATAGGCAAATTCATAGAGTCATAAAATAGATTAGTGGTTACCAGAAGCTGGTGGGTTGGGGAAGGGGCAGTTTGAGGGATAATTAAGAAGTTCTGGGCTGGGCGTGGTGGCTCACACCTATAATCCCAGCACTTTGGGAGGCCTAGGCAGACAGATCACCTGAGGTCAGGAGTTCAAGACCAGTCTGGCCAACATGGTGAAACCCCGTCTCTACTAAAACTACAAAAAAATTAGCCAGCCATGGTGGCACACACCTGTAATCCCAGCACTTTGGGAGGCTGAGGTGGGAGGATCACTTGAGCTCAGGAGTTTGAGACCAGCCTGAGCAATATAGTAAGACCCCCCATTTCTATTTATAAAAAATAAGATTAAAAAAAAAAAAAAAACATGGCCGAGTGTGGTAGCTCATGCCTATAATCCCAGCACTTTGGGAGGCTGAGGCGGGTGGATCACTTGAGGTGAGGAGTTCGAGACCAGCCTGACAAACATGGTGAAACCCCGTCTCTACTAAAAATACAAAAATTAGCTGGGCATGGTGGCACATGCCTGTAATCCCAGCTACTTGGGAGGCTGAGCCCAGAGACTCGCTTGAACCTGGGTGACAGAGGTTGCAGTGAGCCGAGATGGCACTACTGCGCTCCAGCCTGGGCAACAGAATGAGACTATGAGACTCGGTCTTTAAAAAAAAAAAAAAAAAAAAAAAGAGGTTCTGGAATTAGAGATGATGGTTCCATTTGTGAATACACTAAAACCCACTAAATCATGCACTTTAAAAGGGTAAAATTTAAGTTATGTGAATTATATATTTCAATTTCTTAGAAGAAAAGATGACGATGACCAACATCCCACTACCAGGACAGCACTCGATGACCCTCACAGGCACCACAATCTAACAGGTGAGAATGGTCTCACTGCAGGCTTAATTTGTATTTTGTTCATTATGAATGACAGTGAGCTAATAAGGCATTTTTTTTTCTTGAATGGTGTGTTTGGGGTTTCCCCTTTATTCAACTAGTCTGTAGATTTTTTTCTTATTCATTTTTCTTTGGCCTGAGTTTAAGGCTAGGTAATGGTATTCATTCATCCAATAACTGTATCTTGAGGGCTTAGGGTTGCCTCGCCCTGTTCTAGGCAGTGGAATATGGTCATAAACATGACCCACAGAGTCCTGGGCCTCATGAAGCATAAATGGTCAAGGGGAGACACAAATACTAAACAGGGAAACACACACCAGCCGGCAACAAGTGCTGTGGAAAAAACTAGAGCAGGTGGGGAGAGCCAGGAGTGGATGGGGGCTCTGTTGGTGATAATATGGGCCAGCTGGAGAAGGCTCCTCAGATGAGGTGACTTCTCACCCACATGAAGCAATCCACGTAGGGAAGAACTGACCCCAGAGGAAACAGACACTCCAGGCAACAGAGGAAAGCATAAAAAGCAATTGTAAGGGAGAGAGACCTGGTCACCTGTGTCCATCTGAGGAGCAGGACGCCATGGCTGAGAATCAACCAGACTCTAAGAACAGTAGCCAAGACCTGTAGCCATCTCCTCACTGCCCCACACCCACACCACTGCCAGCTCCCACCTGCTGCTGTGCTACCCACTTCCCACGTCTGACCATCTGTATGTCCATCCTCCCTGGTAAGCCCTCATCCAAGTGGCCATCCACTCTCCAATGCAGGGTTGCAGGGCCCCCACTCCACCCCAGCTAACCATGCTCTTCTGAGTCACGGTCCTGGGGGAAGGGGGTTCTGTTGGCCTCAGCTTCTGAAAGCACTTCCGTGGCTCCAAGAAGGAAGACAGTGCTGGTGATTTGGCCAGCAAGGCCCAGCCTCACCCTCTCTCCCCATTGCTGTTGGCTGGCTCTGCTCCCCCAGGCACACAGCGGTGCAGGGTCCTGCCCAGGCCAGCTGACATCACTGCCAAGATGGGACTGAAATGTCAGTGTCTGCACACAGCTCGGGCCAGCAAGGCATCCTGGACCCTGGCTGGCCCTGGGGCTTCCTGTTCCCCTTGCCTGCCAAGCAGGGCCAACTCTGTGTCCCTCAGAAGGAGCCAGCTGGGAAGGCCTGTGGTCAGGAGGAGGTGGGCCCCAGAGTGTCCCCCAATCCTCAGAGTCCAAAACAGAGGATGTTCCTGCCCCCACCACCGGCCCCCACGCCAGGAAGCTGCTGCAGCCACCAGGGTCTGATGCTGCCTAATCAGGGAAGGTGCTCCTGCAGGGACTTTCACGTGTGTTTAAAAGCAAGATTTAAAAGCAAGATTATTCAGTGCTCTCCCTCGGGGAAAGTCCCCTGGGGAGAGGGCACAGTGCTCACAGCAGGGTCCAGCGGCCAGGGCAAGCACACCACCTCTGTGTCTCCCACCGAGGGAGCTGGCAAAAGCCCTTCACCTTTCTGAACTTCAGTTTCCACTTCTAGAAAATGTGGTGAATGCCATGCACCTGAAGGACCGGTGCAGCTCCCTGCGAGGCACCTTCTCTGGCACTGTGTACCCTTGGCCAATGCGCAGTCTCGGAGCTATGGAGGAGCGCTGCCTGGGAGCCAGCTGCCCGGACACTGGTTTCACTACAGCTGGGGAGAGGAGGGCCACCTGGAATGGGGGAATGGGGAGAGCACCTGTCATGGACACACCTGAGCAGCTATGACGGTTTCCCTGTCGGGGGACGCAGAGACCACCTCCCAGGTCCATATGCCATCACCAGCCATAGGACACAGTCGTCCCAGCTGACCCAGGACAGTGCCAATTCCGCCTGTTGCTTGACATAAGTCACTCTCAGAAAGTGCCCCACCCCACCCAAGACGACTGCTAGAAACAGATTCCTGGGCTCCGCCCCCAGGCCGAGTGAATCAGAGTCTGGGGGTGTGGCTCTGAGGTTGGAATCTTCTGCCAGCTCAGTGGGAGACCCCAGCACACAGCCAGACTTGAGAAGCCCCAAGTGTGGGGTGTGCCGAAGGGGAAGGGGGGGGTCAGGCACCCTAGAGGGTTCCTTCCATGCTCCATTCCACAGAGGCTCCTTGCTTACATCTGCCCCTCACCTAGCCCCAAGGTCAGGTCAAATGTCAAAAGCACATGAGGGGCATTGTGGCTCCGCTGTTTTCCCACCTGTCACCTGGTCAATGGCGGCTTCCCAGCTGGAAGGGGCAGAGAGGGCTGGAGGCTTGGGAGTGGTGGTCCTGGGGAACAAGGCTCAATGGACCCAGGCACTGACCCGCAACCCTGCTGAAGCCAGAGACACCTGGGTGGAGGTGGAGACGTGCAGGCAGGAGCTGCCCAGGGCCAGGCAGAGGCTCCAGCAGCGAGCCTCACAGCTGAAGGGAATGTGTGAGGAGGGGCCTGGGCCTTGCTCTAGGGAGCACCTCTGAGGCTGCAGGGCGTGGAAGGAAGTGCCTATTCCCTGATGGAGGCCGGGAAGGTGCCAGAAACCCAGAAATCCAACAGGAAGGGCTGCAGGAAGAGGCCTGCTCTGCTGGCTGGGCCCTGATGGCACTCTTCTGCAACCCAACCTCTGAGACTCAGTTTTCCTTCCTGCCGCAGTCCCAGCATGCAGCACTGATCAGCCAGCGGCAGCCGCCTGGGGCCCTCATGAAAAGCACCCTGTGGGTTCGGCACCAGGTCCCTAATATCCCCCCAATATGAGGACTGTGTGCTTCCCATCTGCACCCCGCTGCTGCCTGAAGCGTCTTGTGGGGCCCCTCACCGTGCTAGGATTTGCACCTCAGCTGGAGTCCCCTAGGAGGCACAAAGGCTGGAGCAGGAACAGTGTGGCTTCCAGAACACACTCACGCATGCCCAGGAAAGAAAAAGCCACACAGATTGATTTACTGCTTCTGCTTTGCCACTGAGCACAAGGTGTCAGTGTGCATGATGGACGCCAGCCGCTGTGAAAATTGAGATGTCAGCCCAGAGCCCACAGCCCACACCACCTCACCTCCAGACGCAGTCAGGGGTGGCACAGTCCTGTTAATTGCGAGCCCTGAGCAGACTGCGAAACGTGCTTGTTGAGCGCTACCTGGGGAGCTCACCCTGTCCAGACGGTTGGGAATCCACACTCTCTGGCTCACGGGACACCTCTGCTTCTGCCTCCCTGTGCACAGCCACCCCTCCAGGACTGTGAGGGGGACCAGGCCTTCGTCTGGCCCAGCACTGGTGTGGACCAGACCCCTGACCCTCACAAGTACCAGTTCTCTCCTTGCTGTTGTCAGGTTCGGAAGGGACAGGTGAAGGTGCTGTGCCACAGGGAGTCTCCCCAACAAGACGGACCCCTGGTGATGCAGGAGCAGGCAGACAGGGAGGCCCTGCTGGATGGTAGCGGCACCCTGAGGACACACAGGGTGGTGTCGAGCTCCCACCTGGCCCTGGCCATGAGGAGTGTTGTCAGAGGGTGAGGACGCAGAGGGCACCTGTCGCCATTGATGCTGGGATGACCAAGGACAGTGCCTGGGGCAGGCCCCCAGAAGCAGAGGGGGCTTGGGGGAATAGAGGGCTGACCCAGGCACTCCTGTGTGTGCACGGTACTGCCACCCACCCACATGGGTGTGCATACACAGGCACACTCCACATCGTGGACACATCTTTAGTTTCAAGGGTGTCAGCAGGTGGGACACAGAGCAGTGCACCCCAGAAGGAGCAGACAGACCAGCACACCCACCTCTCCACAGCCAGGACTAGGTGGGCAGGGGAACCAGGCCAGGAGTCAAGGGCCTGGCCAGGCACTTGGAGTTGGAAGGCAGGGAGGAAGGGGTGGGCTACGGGGCTGCGGGACAGGCCGGGGCTCGGCATCCAGCAGCTCTTTCTAGTAGGCAGGCCTGCCTGGGAAGGAAGGGCAGGGCATTAATGGGTAGTCAGTGACTCTGTCTTCCAAACCCAACTGCCTGGCCAGGCCCTTGACTTCTGCTTAGCCATGGACTCCCAGGAAGGGAGGGGACGTGACTGTGAGGCAGACACAGTGCACTTTCTTTTCTGAAGGTCTGATTTCCCCTCACATGTCCTAAGCTCAGGGGCTTTTTAGCACAGACAGAGGACCCGGTTTCAGGGCTCGGCTGCCAAACTCACCTGACTCCCACTGGCAATAGAGCCCCTCCACAGAGGCTTGCAGGCTCCCTCTGCTGCACACCCAGTGACTGGCTCGCGGCGGGAGGCAGCACCCGAGAGAGGACCCTGTGCCTCCTGCTCACCCTCGACACAGACCCACTGGGACTAACCGCTCCCCTGCACCCTGGCACTCATCGTCCGCACCCCACTGGAACCCACAATCTGCTGCCAACAACCCCAGCTCTCCTCACAGAGCACCGCACCCCACGCCTTCAGGACCAGCGAGTTCAAAGGAGCCCATCGTGGGCAAACCCCCATGGTCTCCTCTGTCCATGCCCCAGACAAAGGGGCTGTGCACACCCAGCCCAGGGAGGGCCCACAGGCGGGGGTGCCCCCACACACTTCCACGCCCACCGTAGCAAGGCCACCTGCAGGAGGGGCCTGGCCAGGTCCAGCCTTCCTGACACCCACCCCACACCCCCCACCACCTCATCCTGATGTGTTCAGCGGGTGCCACAACCTCCAAACTACCCCGTGTGTGGATTTGAGGTCCTTGTAGCTCCCCAGACTGTAAACTCCCAAATCCCCGGGGAGGGCTGCCTTGCTCACCTCATGTGAGGGATTAGGCTCTCAAGAGTGGGTATGGCCCCCAAATATGCCCACAGCCTGATCTCCAGAACCTGGGAATGTTCCCGTATTCGGCAAAAGGGACTCTGTAGGTGTAATTAGGCAGAGGCTCTTAAGGCTGCTGGGAGATTCTCCTGGGTGGGCCCATTGTATTCACAAGTCCTTAAAGTTGAAGAATCTTTCCCCGCTGCAGTCAGAGAAAGTGTGAGGACAAGACAGGGTCAGGGAGATGGTGGCGTCAGGGGACCCAACACCTGTGGCTGGCTCGGAGCTGTAGGGAGCCTCACACAAGGCCCAGAGGGGGCTCTAGGGGCCCTCAGGGGCCAACATCCCACAGGGGACGGGGACCTCAAGGAATGAGATTCTACCAACAGACACCTGCGTGACCACGATTCTGCCTGGAGCCTCCGAAGAGGCAGGCCGGCCAGCGCCTTGACCTCAGCCCCTAAGACCCGACCCAGCCTCTGACCTACTGGCCGAGATAAGAAGCATGTGGTGCGGAAGCAGCTCCATCTGTGGGACTTTTTTGCAGCAGCAATAAGAGGCAGGGGCAGCCCACCCTGCTTTGAGCACCAGCCGGCTGGCCACAGGCACAGACCACAGGGGCAGGACCCCTCTAGGGCTCACCCGGCAGTGCCCCTAAGCTGGGCCTGGGGCAGGCCTGCCTCCCCATGGGGTCTGGCACCATCCTCCCCACCCTCAGGCCCACAGAGGGCAGACGGAGACTCACATGCCAGGCCCAGTGCTCGGTGGATGGCCTCCCACCAGGGCTGTGCTCTGTGACCCCAGCTGTGCAAGGAAGTGGGCTGCAGGAAAATATCCCCTGCAGGAAACCCTGGAGCCAGGACACTTCAGGGAGGGCGGGAGACAAACAGAGGGGGCCTTCAGGGTCCTCTTGGGAACTGCAATGTGCCAGTGGCACCAGGACAGCTGTGGGGCCATGGAGGGCTGCAAGGGGCCATGTAGGTAGACCCCCCCAGTGCTGGCGGCCTCCACTTGTTGCCCCCTTAGATCTGTGTGGTGGGGCACTGGCCCTCCTGCTGAGGGCACGGGTTTCCTAACAGGCACCTATCCTTCAAGCTCCTTGGGCCTGGCCCAGACCTTCCAGCCCTGTGGGCTGTGCTCTTCCTGCTGGTCCTGCCTGCCCTCTCCACCTCGGGCCTCACGGCTGCACCGCTAACCCCCGCCCCCGGACCTGGTCTACTGTTGCAGGGCCCGGAACTGACACCTTCACACTCAGGTCACAGCGCAGTGACACCCGGCCTCTGGGCCTCAGCTGCTGGCAGAAGGCTGGGTGGGGGCTAGGTGGGGGCTGGGAGTCCATAAGGCTGTGCTCCCTGAGCAAGTCTCTGTGGTCACAGGCAAGGATGGAAACCGCTGCTGTAGCTCAGAGGTAAAACGGGTCTCTGTGGGATGAGCTCCAAGCAGGGGTCCAAGCAGGGGCTCCTCCTAGGGTCCCCAGAATAATCCCTGACTAAAGGGAGGGAACAAAGGAGACAGTCCCTTTATGGCACACAAGCAATGACACCAGTGACTCCATTGGGTCTGACATTGGGACCTCCTTGTGTAGCTGGTAGCCCCAGGGCCCACTGGAGGCCCCTCTATCCCCGCACTCCTGACACACTCGGCTGGGAACACTGGGGACTTTCCTCCTGGGCAGAGGCTCCCCATTCCCAGGCATCTGGAGAGGAAACCGGGAAGTGTGGGGTTTCCAGCACCTCCGGGAAGCCCCAGCCACCACCTGGTCTCTGCCTGGCAGAGTCCAGCCCCACCAGCCCAGCCCCTCCAGCCGGTGTCGGGCTTGGCTGCAGTGGGAATGCCCAGCAGGAAGGACAGCAGGATCCAGGAAATCTCCCAAAGTCACTATGCTGCACGGCCCCACCCAGGCCCCAGCGCCCTCCAGGCCCCTCACACCACCTAGGCCAAGCCGCCCAGCCCTGCCCGCCTAGGCTGCCCACTCAGCATCGCTCCTTCCTGCCCCACCCACTGCCATCTGGGCCTGGACGGCTCCAGGATATCCTGGACAGTGGGGCAGGCTGAGGTGAGAGAGCTGACCACTGTCCTGACCCAGCCCCAGGGCTGCACCCTCATCCAAAGGCTGGGGACAGCTGCCCCCACCTCCTCTTAGGCTGCAAGCTCTGGGGGCAGGCACACTCCTCACTCCTTGTCTCACAGCCCTGCCCAGAGCCTGCACCTGGAGCAGGACAGGAACATCACAGCTCTGCCATGTACCCTCTGCAGCCACCACTCTGAGGAGGTGAGGAGTGTCACTGGCATTTCATAGCAGCACAGACTGAGGCCAGAAACCGGAAGTGTCTGTCCAAGGACACAGGACACTGGTCAGGGCCAGAGTTAAAACCAAAACCCAGACTCCCATGTCAGGGGAACCCTGGAGCCAGGGCTGGGGGTGCTGGGGTGGGAGTAGGCACAAGTGTTGGCTCAGGACCACCAGGTGGTGGGTGTGTGGCCATTCCTGGGCACCTGTCACCCTTGGCTTCTCTGGGCTGGCTCCTGGCGCTGTCTGCCCACTGGCACCCCACTCCCCCAGAGGAGCACCAGTCTAGAGTGGGGGTGCAGTGTGGTCTGGGCTTCTCCGATGCCCTCCTTCCTCCCCTGGTTGCCAACAATGCTAAAGCTGCACGCCTGTGATCAGGGAGGCCCTCTCAGCTTGACTGCTCTCTCCTGCCCCCTAGAGCTACCATAGTGTTTAGACAGAGGCCATCCCCAGCCTAGGGGGAGCACTGTGCAGGAGGAGGCCCCCAGGGGACCCAGAGTGAACTGACTTTAGGGAGCCCATGCTAATGACTGTCCTGGCCACACTGTGCCCCACAAGCCACAGGTGGAGTGAGGATGCTGAGGGGGCCTGGAGCCAGGACAAGGCAAGCCAGGCGGGGGCAGGTGCGGCAGGTGCTGCTGGAGTCCCCCAACCCCTACCCAGAACACACAGCAGCCTGCATCCAGGCAGCCAGTGCGGAGCTTGGTTCTTGATCCGGCTGTGACTGGCTGTGTCCTCCCTGGACCATGTGCTCAGAGATGGGACAAGGGCTGAGCGGCTTGTCACAGGCAGAAAGAAGAACAGGAACAGGAACCTCAGGGAAAGAAAGGGCTGGTTGGGGGTGGAGGGGGTGGTGAATCAATAGCCAAGGGAGGTGGGTGAAGAAAGTGAGGTGCAGCAGGTCAAATACGCAGACCAGAGTGGCCTCTCCAGGATCCCTGCCCACATTGTAATGCATGGGCTACCTCTCTCGGCTTCCAGGGCACTGCACACTCAGTGCGACTCTGGACCTCAGCCGCTTCCCCCACACAGTCTCCCGTCCCTGGTTCTCTCCACGTTGGGGCTGAGGATGTGTCTGGTGTGGACCAGCGCACACCACAGCCACAGAGCAGTGCCCCCACTCGCGCCATCTGCACACAGACACAGATGAGCCGTGAAGGTGGCATGAAACCCCGGGCCTCTGTTCCCCGACTTTCTTGCCATTCCCTGGTTGCCGGCAGGAGTCCATCTTGGGGCCCAGCTGTTTCCTCTACAACCGGAAACCCCCTTCCTCCCTTCATGGTTTTGCCCAAACCTGGCCTTCCCAGGGTGGCTGCCTTCATCGCTCCCTCCTGGCACCTCTCCCTCCTTCCAGAATCATTAGGCTCATTTCTGTCTATTTTTAGGTTGTGTCTGCACTCCCAGAGTCTGGGCCATGCCTGGCGTGCATGGCCTGCAGTGGGTGAGGTTGTGATCCGACATCTCTCCCCAGGTCAACTTTCCACTCTCCAATGGTTCTGCCTGAGTCCATCTCTCAGGTGGGGGTGAGGGTGAGCAGCACCTTGCAGAATCCCTCACATGGCTCCAGAGGTCACAGCAAGAGGGAGGAGCCATGAGGCCTGGGTTCACACCCTGGACTGGCCACTTCTCGTTATCAGCACCAGCAGGACTCTTGACCCCTCCAAGCCTCGCTGACACACTGGTGATGATTTGCATGCCCACCCTGGGCCCACTTGTGTCTAGACACCCCTCACCAGGTGGGCAGCTCATCAGCCACATGGGGCCTTGCCCAGCGAGTCCCACCCATGCAGTGTTTGGTGGGGAAGGAGGAGCACAGGTCCCGCCCAGGAGGCAGGATTCTGGGACTGGGCCTGCCTCTGCCGCCTGGGGGCCTCTCCTCCACACCTCAGTCCCATCTGGCCTGCAGGCAGGTTCCAGCAAGCTACATTCTCCTTCCTAGGAGGGTGGGGATGTTCTCAGACCCCGTAGTGCCCTGCGCTTCCCCCGGGCCTCCCCAGGGGGTAGTGACTGCACACAGCGATGGGCAACAACAGGGTCCAGGGTCCCGTCAGCGGTGCCCTCCCCATTCTAAAGCAGGCCTGGGACTCACATTCTCCAGAGCCAGCCCTGGCCCTGCATTATGCTGCACTGACCATTTTCACATGTGCTGTATAATGTCTGGTTGAGGCCAGGGGTTCTCCCCTGGGCTCCCACAGGGCTGCATGGCTGTCCCCACTAGCCAGGGAAAGGTGTGTCCCCTAGGACTGACAGACACTCCTCCCACCATCCAGGCAGCCAGTGCTCTGGCCGAGGCAGACAGCTGCAGCCTGGAGAGGACAGACAGGGCGAGGCAGGGGAAGGCAGCTGCCTGGGCCAGGACATGAGGGCCTCCAGTGTTACATTTACAGGAGGCTCAGAAAACAACTAGGCTGGGCAGGTTTCCAGTGGGCATCTGGGGTGAACTCCTTCCCCATTCAGGATCTCAGGCGAAAGCTGCCTCTATACTAGGTGGCTCACAGCTTCGGGGAGGGGTACCCTCATGGAGGTCTGCCTGCTGGAGCCCCCAGAACCCTGCGCCAGTCAACTCTTCATTGAAAGATAGGGAGGCGCAGTTTCGTTTAACTCAATTTTGCAGCCTCCATCATCTGAGTGGGTGGGTATGGAGTGTCTCATCTTGAGGTGAGGGATTCTGTGAGCGGGAGGACCCCATGGCTGGCCTGGCCTCTCAGGAGGCTGAGGTGAGGGGGCTGTGGAAGGTGAAGTCGCCCCTCCTAATATGGCAGCAGGAGGGTGAAGTCTAGCCTCGGTCACCACTTCCCCTGCCCCATGCCACCTGCCCTCCTCTTTCATGGCCAACCCAGTGCCCCACCTACCTCAGGGCCATCTGCCACTCTGCGCTTGACACCAGAGGACAAGTGCATTTCCTTGGGGCAAAGCTGCAGGCCACAGCAGGCGGCTGGCCCCTTGGGACGAGGAGAGCAGCTCAGTTTTGGTGGGCCGAGGGGCACCACCAGCAGGGAGCCTCAGAGAGCCTAGCAGGCTTGGGTGAGCTACTGAGCTGCAGGCTTGCTGGATGGATGCCCCACAGGCCAGCCCCTAGGAGCAGGACTGCCTCTGTCTCCTCTTTGTGCCACCCACACCCACCATCCACCCACTCAGCACAGCCTCTTCATGCCTGGTGGGCTCTCAGGGCAGCTCATGTGCTGCCACCTGGGCTGGCCCTCCTGGCAAGCTGGAAGAGCTCACTGGGCACATGGGCCTCCTGACCACCAGGCCCGGGAAGGACAGCTGGGGGCCAGAGTGGAGAGAAGGCTGCAGCAGGGGCTGATGTGCAGGCCCCAGACTCCCCGGCCAGTGCTCCCCACCCTGCACTGCCTTCACTGGCCTGGGGCTGGCCCTGGTCTCTGGTTCCCCCATCTCTGGCCCATGCAGCCTGAGCCCAGAGTTGACAACATGACCATCAGTCAGTCCTTCCCTGGACAAACAGACAAAGCTCCTCATGCCAGCACAACACTTGGTCCCAGGGCTGGCAGCCAGGAGCACAGAGAAGAACCCACAGACACTCACAGTGACCCCAGGAAGACAGATATCCATGCAGTGTGGCAGTGCTGTGGGATGCAGGAGCAGGCTGGACCTGAGGTTGCATTCTGAGCACCCCAGGGACCAGCTGAGGGCCTGCAAGCACAGCGGGTAGCCTCTTTTCTGGGGGTAGTAGCAGTGGCCCCTGGGACTTGCAGCTGGGCCCTACCCAGACTCCCCCAGGGCTGTGCAGCAGTCATCCACACTTGCAGCCTTCTGCAGAAGACTGGAGTGCCAGCATCCAAGGGCCGAGCAGTGCAGGGGCCTGACTCCAACTCCCCTGCCTCAGAGGGAGGCTAGCTGTGGGGTCAGTTGACACTCCGGAGTCCCCATGGAATCAGGCTAGACTTCCGCTACAACTGCACTTCTGTCCAGCCTCCTCCTCTCCCTGCATGGTGCTTGTCCTTCCCACACAGATGTCTCCTGAGAGCATACCCTCTCTAAACCCCTTCTATCAGAATCCCCAGCCCATGCACTGAGTCATAGCCCTCACAGGCAGGAACGAGATGAGAGGGCACAGAACAAGCACTCAGAAGCCAGGTGCCACCGCTGCACGTTCAGGGGCTCAATAGGCCAGAGGAGGGGGGCGTCCTCACCTCCAGGAGGTGGAGGTGCTCCCCACTGGGGCCATCCAGCTGAGCCCCAAGGTGGGAGTGTGCATTCAGGAGGCACACAGGCAGGGGAAACCACTCACAAAGGCAGGAAGGGGGATGGCCAGCTCAGGAGCTGGACGGAGGGGCAGGGCGGGGACGGCAGGAAGGCTCGGAGAGATGAAGGGAGGCACCAGAGAACCACACCACCTGCTAACATGCTCCCTAGAGCACGGGAGCGACCTGGCCTCAACCTCTGCCTCTGCCCCTCTCTGCAGACCCCAGAGGCTCACTGGCAAAATCAGTGTAATGATGCTGGCATCAAAAAGAGGCACATTAAGTCACATGTCAGTGAAACGCCCAGCAGAGCCCTTGGACAGTAGGCTGGTCAGGGGCCCTCCCAGCATCTGGGTATAAATGCACACACCCAGAATGAATGTGTACACCCAGAGCCCCCAGGCACATGACTGTACACCACACCCAGGCCTGGGCACCGGCAGGGTGGACCGAGGGCACCAGCCTCCCCACACCTGCTGCTCCTTCCTCTCCACTCTGCAACCTGGGCCCTGCCTGGCACTGGTGCTGTCCTGGAGATCCCCTCCTGTGTCTTCCCCTGACAGCGTCCCCGGTTGCCTCACATAAGACAGCTCTGCACTCGGTGCACCACCGGATGCATCTGGCGTCCTGCCCAGGGCTGAGAACACTGTGCTGCCCTGGAGTCCAACCCTGGGTGCTATGGCAGGCCAGAGAGCCACTGTGGAACCCTGGTCCCCACGGGCAGGGCCAAGTGGCTCCCCAGACCCAGACCCCACGGAGAAGCTAGGGTCCGCCCCCCTCTCAGGACCCCAGCAGGCAGACTCCCGTGCCCATAGGAGGCCTGGCCACTGTCCCGCCCCCTCCCACCTTTCCCACTGCGGGAGCCAAGGAAGGCACCTGGGTGTGGACTTCTCCTGTACAACTGGGCTCTCCAGACGTCAGCAGGCAGCAGGGCATGTAGCCCTCGACGGCCGTGATCCACAGCGCTCAGCATTCTATTTTTATCATTTAACCCCAAACTTTCTATTCCATTGTTTCTTTGACCCATCATTCAAACATGTGTTTCAAATTTTCTAAATATACAACTCTTTTAGAGTTATCTATTTTGTTATCACTTTCTCTCTTAATTGCACTGTAGTCGGAACACTTGGCCCGAATAGCAGCTTCTTTGACATTTGTGCGGGCATCTCCGAGCCAGCACTGACTGCTCAGCCTGTGCGCACCCACCAGGCTTGGTGGGTGCCTGGTGACCGCAGCTGTGGGTCTCCCCTCCAGGCCCCACCCATGTGGGAGCGCCCTCCCCCTCGGCCCCGCCCCCTCTGGGAAGTGGTTCTGGCTGCCGTGGCCTTTCCATGAAGAACAGCTGGGACCCCTGGCCATACTTGCCAGCACAGTTTACTATCAGCCCTCTCCACCACCACCACTCCCCGCAGGGCAGTTGATCTGGCCCAGGTACCTGCAGGTCACCTCACAGCAGGTCTAACTCACTCCAGCTTGGTCAAGGTAAGCCCAGCTCCCAGAAACACCTAGGCCAGAGGAGGAAGGGGCACGGGGCATAGAAGGCCCTGTCCCCGTAGCGGGGCTGAGCAGGAAGGGCCCTGCCTGCAATGGACAGTGTGGGCAGGACTTGGGCTCTCCCAGGTGCCACCAATGCTCACCTGGCCTGGCCTCGCCAGTGGGGGACTCCACTCCTCATCCAGCCACCCACTGCTAACAGCAATAATAAAATGAATAATTGATGCAGCCCCCTGCCTGCTCTGAGTAATTAACTCATGAAAGCATCAGGGCACCCCCAGAACTCCCAACCTCATCCAAGCCCCATCCTCCCAGCTGGTCCACTCACCCTGCCTCCAGCCCACCCTTCCTCCCCCAGCTCTGAGGGCAGAGGCTTGGGTCCTAGCAACTGGGGCCAACCCTCCTCTCCTCAGCCAGCAAAGCCGGGGCTGCCCAGCTCTCACCCAGAGCCTGGCTCGGGGCTGCACATTACCTTCATCCAGACCACAGCCCTGGGAGAAGCAGGGCTCACAGGGCATGCTCAGAGCACCGGCCAGAAAAAGCTGGGCACAGAACTAGCCTACAGAGAAGTCCAGGCAGGAGAAATCTGGACCTTGGAGTCTGCGTCTGTACAGGGACAAAGTGCAGATCCTCATCCTGGGAAGTACCTGGTGCTGTGGCTGGGCATGTCTCCCCAGGCCCCAAGGAGGAGGCCTGCCCCAGTGCCCCAGCTGTGGCTGGGGTCCAGGACACACCCGGATGCACTCAAGGCTGCCTGACATTCACATTTGGCGGGTCTGGGTACCAGAGACCTGGAGAGCCCCATGGGCAGAGAGAGTGGGGGAGGGTCCACCAGATTTGGGCAGCCTTGGTGGGGGTGGGGAAACAAGCCCTGCTGATAAACCATCAGAACGCGCCCCCTCTCCTCTCCCAGCTCCCGCCAGCCTCCTCCACGGAAGCTACTCTTTGTTAACAGCGTTGCCATGGCAACCAGATCCAGGGAGAACTCTCTCTTCAAGGTAGAGTCTGAGGGTGACACTTGGAGAAACAGAAGTGGTGGTGACAACAAACAGGGTGCTGGCCTCCCAGCCCCACCCCCCAGGATTCCTTCCTGGTCCAGGACCCCAGACACCAGCCCCCCAGACTGTCCCAGAGCTCTCAGGTCTGCTTCCCTCTCCTCTCCTCTCCCTGGCGTGGGTGCAGCAACGTGGCCCAGGCCAGGCACCTCTGCCACACCATGCACGGTGGCTCAGGCACTTCCATGCACCTCCCACGGATGTTCGCTGAATCTGCCAGCATAGCCACTGTCTCGTGGCTGGGCTCCAACAGGCCTGGTGCAGACTAGACCCCAGGGGATCATAGACAAGTACACCCAAGGCGGCTGCTGCAGAGCAGCCCCGGGCCCCCTGCACAGCAGGAAAGTTCAGGAAGGCACCCAAGGAAGGCTGGGAGCCTCCTGGCAGGAGGGAGACCCAGCAGAAGCCATGCCCTGAGTAGGGGAACAGACTGCTGGGTAAGGAGGCCACTGCAAATGTCCTGGCCAGGGGATGGTGGCCCGGCCCACAGAGGTGGCAGTGAGCAGGGAGAGGCAGAAGGGGCAGAAGAGAGGTCTAGAGTGGGGTGTGCTAGACTGGCTGACAACTCCAGGCAAAGGGAAGCTGGCAGAGGGGGTGAGGGAGAGCCAGCTGCCTACCTGCTCAGATGGGGAACCTGGGGCAGGCAAGGTTCAGGGGCGTGATGATGTGCATCGTCACCCGGGAGGCGTCCAGCAGGCTCACACACTGACAGAACCCAGAGGACAGGTGGGGGCTGATGAGAGCTGGAACCGGATCAGCACGGAGGAGGGAACAGATGCTGTGGCTGGGTAGAGGGTTTGAGCCCAGGTCTTGAGGAACAGGGACTTTGAGTGTCCCAGGATGGGAGGAGGAGAACCAGGGGCCGGCCAAGCCCAGGAAATGGGTGTCTGGGAACAAGGCAGTGGACATCCACGGCCTCTCAAGAAGACATCCCTGGACTGAAGGAGGTGTGTGCAGATTGGCGTGGGTGGGAGTGAGTGGGAAGTGAGGATTCAGAGTGAGCAGAGAACATGTCTTCAAAGTCAGCCCGCACAGGCGACCAGGGTGCGGACGGCTGAGCAAGTTTCGTTGTTTTTAAAAAAGGAAAAGCACCTGTCAACCGGACAGCCACATCTTTGCATCCCACGTATGAAGTGCCCACCCTGGGCTGTTCTGTCTAGAGTCCCAGCCCAGGCCTCTCTTCTTCAAGCTGGTGCTGGCCTCTGCTCCCTGAATTCACAAAGAACCCCACAGCCAGCTCACAAGAGACAAGCAGGTCTCGGAGCCCCTGCTGGCTGCCCTGGGCAGCACAGGCCGGCAGCTCAGCCCCTACCCCAGCCCGGGCAGTGCCCAGGGCAGGGCGGGCAACCACAGGTGGGGAGAAGCTTCCCAGAACAGGATCACTGGGTGTCGTCCTGAGTTGTGCCCAAAGGCACCCATGTGCTTCCTGGGAGGTGCTGCAGCAGAGCCGGGACAACCGGACTACTCTCCCTGCCTGGCTTCCCTCTCCATGGTCCACCGGGCAGGGGTGGCCACAGCAGCAGTCACACCCCCACCCCGTCCATCACAGCACAGGCCCCGCTTGAGTCCTCACACCTGTCCACTCCTGGCCGGTCACCCCTCACAGCCCTCTGTCATGGTGCCTGGAGCAGCCTCTACCAGCCTGTCCCAGGTGGTGAGCCCTGAGGCCAGAGCCCCTCTCCCACTCTGAGCAGGCCAGGACCCCGAGGGGCTTTCGGGCTTCCCTTCACACAGTGCCCGCCAAGCCACTGCTGGCCATACCAGCTGACCTTCCCAAACCCTGCTCCCGGGCTGCTAGCTGGGGAATTCCTGGTGTCCCAGCGCGCAGGGACATTCTGCATGGGTTCCTGGCAGCTCGCCACTCTGGGCCGGCCCAGAGCCCACTCTCACATACCCACAGCCCCAGGCTCTGTGCCCAAAAAGTGGCGACAGGGATACACCCAAAAAGTGGGCAGTGAGCCCTCTCTGGACCCCCGCAGGTCAGGCTGACAGCCATAGGGGAGGGCCTCTGACACCCCCAGCAATCCACCAGTGGGTATCAGAGGCCCTCCTCTATGGCTGTCAGCCCACCAGTGCCACTTCAGTCCCCTCCCTCCGCACATCACACCCTTGCTAGGTAAACACTCATCCTCCCCAGCAGGGAGTGGGCAGGGGAGGGCAGAGGAGCCGGGAGGCAGGCTGGAGTGGGTGGGAGTTACAGGAGGCAGATTGGAAGCTCCAACAGAAAAGCAGCCAGAGTGCCGGACCCAAGCAGATGGCCTCAGGAGAAAAAGGGGGAAGGGGAGGGAGGGTCCGTCAAGGGGCAGCAGGGAGGGGTGGGGGAGAATGCCTTGAGTCTCCTCCCCATCTGCTATCTGCTATGCCCCTGGCACCTACCCCCAGCAGCCCAGCGCCCCTCCCCTGGGGTGGGCCATGCAGAGAAGAGCATCCCTCCACCAGCCCCTCTCCTGAGGACAGTGGGGGGGCCAAACCCCCTGCCCCCATCCCTGCCTTGGCACAGCACCTTCACTTGACCTATTTGACAAATAGGGCTTCTGTGAAACCCACGGTTCTATTGCCAAAAACCAAAGGCCAACCAAAGCTGTCCCATCCTGCCCCTGGCATCATTCTACAGGTGGGGACCGGCGTGCTCAGGGGCTCCTGGCCACACTGTGTCCCAGTGCCCACTCGCTCTCCTCCCTGGCTGGCCCCTCCCACCGCTGGGGGCCACTGTGTGCGTGGCTCTCCCCACCGCAGCCACTGTCCAGCACAAATGCCATTTCTCCCTCCTCCTCCTCCTCCCCTGCCTGCAGTTGCTAAGTTACACCAAAAAACCCCTCTGCTCTGTGTGAACTGTTCCATTTCCACGATTTGCCAGGTGGAAGGGAGCCATCCGGCTGGCAGCTCGAAGATGCCTCCCAGAGAAAAACAAACTCACTGGCTGGCCTTCAGGCCAAGGCACACCTGGGATACCTGCTTGGTTCACAAACCCAGGGGCATGTGCAGGAGGACACAGCTTCTCTACTTCACTAGAGAGCCTGGGGGATCCACACAGCTCATGCCCTTCTCAGGAGCAGGGAGTGTGGGCCTGCTGCACCCGCCTCGCTGGGTCACTACCACCCACAGCCCTAAGGACACACACTGGCTGGAGGGGCAGAGAACCCACCCACGTGTCCCTGGCCATCCAGCCAAGGTCCTCCATGTCCCCCTGCTCCGGATCTCCCCTTCCTGGGCTGGGGTCCTGAGGTTCCAAAGCAAAGTGTCACTGGACATCAGGGTGGAAATGTCCTCAGAGGTCATCAAAACCGTGTCAGTCTACAGATGGGGAAACTGAGTCTCAGAAGCCTGCAGCCTGCCCGTGGTTCACGAATCAAGACCTGTAGCCTTTCGGCTGGAGGCCCCCTAGAGCCGCTTAGAGTCCAGGGCACCGAGGTGGACAGGCTGGGCTGGCAAGACTGCATCCGGAGGGGGCGGGAGAACCCTGGGGGGACAGAGGGAACCAAGGCCTCTGGGAGGCTCCCCTGCACCCAGCCTGACTCCTGTGTTTCAGGATCCTGCGGCCGACGGCCATCGGGGCCCTTCCTGCGCAGGACAGTGGGAGAAGAGTGGCAGTGGTGGGGAGGGTGAACCAGGGAGAAGCTCACTGCTCTGAGCAGGGAGGGAGGGAGCCCCGGCCACCACCAGGTCTCTGCCCCCAGGTGGCTCCCAAGAGGCAGGCAGCGGCCTCTCTGTAAATATCCACCAGGTCCAGCACCCAGAGGCAGCCAGAAATGCAGGGCACAGGAACCTGCCAGCGCGTCCCTCCACACACAGCAGGGGACTCCCGCCCCCACCTCTCACTCACCGACCCTCGGACCAGAACCAGCTGCACCTGCCCCGTTCCTGGGGCCGGCAAGGCCTGGGGCAAAGAGAGCGTGGTCCTTCAAATGACCCTTGCCCAGCAGGGAGAGGGAGACACCTGGCATGGCCCTGGACCTCTCCCCCAAATGCAGAGCTCAAGCCCCAATTCCTCGCCAAACAGCAAGGGCGTGAGATACCACGGCGGGGCCCAGAATGCAGAAGAGCAAATGGAAACTTCCAACTGCGCAGCCCTGAGCTCCTCCGATTCCCCAGCCCCCACCCCCACGCCAGGCCCCGGGCAGCGAACCTGCCCGCAGTGCCCACGCCCGCCCGCCGCGTGCGCTCCTGCCACGCCCGGCCCGGCCCGGCCCGGCCCGCCAGGTGCCCTGAAGGGGCGGAGGGTGCAGGGGGTCCTGGCGCCGTCCAGCCCGGGGCGGAGTTCTCAGCAACTCCGCGCGCCGGGATCCCGGCCGCCCTCCCCGCGCGCGTCCCCCGCCCCGCGCCCGGAGCCCGCGCCCCGGCCCCACGACGGCCGCGCCGGGAGGGACCCCGGGCCCGCGCACGCCGCGCCCTGCCCGCGCCGGCGACCGGAGGGCACGGCCCCAGGCGCGGGCGGGGGCCCCGAGGCACTGAGGGTCCGCGGCCGCTGCCTACCTCGGTCCGGGCCAGCGTCGCTCCCGCGCCGCCCTCGCGCCGCAGTCGGGCCCCGAGCAGCGCGCGGCCGGCGCCGGCGGCGGCTCATGCTCGGCGCCCGGGCCCGCGGCACCCGCCCACCCGCGGCCGCCCCCGCGCTGCGCCAGCTGCGGGCAGAGCAGCTCCCTCCGCAGCCGGCGCCGGGGAGCGCGAGCGAGCGAGCGAACGAGCGAGCGCGGAGCGAGCGCCGAGCGGGCACGGAGCGGGCGCGAGAGCGCGGGGAGCGGGGGAGCGGGCGGGCGCGGGACGCGGAGGGAGGAGGGTGCGGGGCAAAGGTGCAGGGGGAGGTAGGGCGCGGGACGGGGCTCGAGCAGAGGGCACTGGGACAGGGCGGGCGCCGGGAGAGGGCGGCCAGGCTTTCATTTAAAAAGGATAAGGCATCACGCCTGTAATCCCAGCACTTTGGGAGGCCGAGACGGGCGGATCACGAGGTCAGGAGATCGAGACCATCCCGGCTAACACGGTGAAACCCCATCTCTACTAAAAATACAAAAAAAAAAATTAGCCGGGCGTGGTGGCGGGCGCCTGTAGTCCCAGCTACTCGGGAGGCTGAGGGAGGAGAATGGTGTAAACTCGGGAGGTGGAGCTTGCAGTGAGCCGAGATCGCGCCACTGCACTCCAGCCTGGGTAACAGAGTGAGACTCCGTCTCAAAAAAAAAAAAAAAAAAAAAAAAAAAAGGATCAGGCAGCAGACAAGCTAGGAGGCGATGCGGCCACCGCATTTAAAAGGCCCTCTGGGGACTCCCGCAGAGCTGGCAAAATTTTTGTCAGTGGAATCAGACGGTGAAAGCCCTTCTGTGGGCAAGTCCTGGCCCCTTGGGTCACTCCCCTTAACCATCTTAATCGCCCTGTAAGGTCGGTGGTGGATTTGTTCCCATTGGACAGGTTAGTAAACTGATGCACAGGGAGTGCGGTTACCCTGCAGGGTCTCAGAGCCTATAAGTGGCAGAGCAAGGCTCCAAAGCCACCTTGAAAGATTTCAGAACCACTAAAGCAGGACACAGGTCTTCTGGCGTCCACTGGAACTTCCTGTCGCTCTGAAGGGTCACCTTCTCTTGAACGGACACCCTGTGGCCTGACCCCAGGGTGGCCCAGAGTGACTCTTGCAGGCAGTCAGACGAGGGCCAGTGAGAAACAGGTCTGGGGCGACGATGTCCCCAGGTGGAGGGGTCTGTGTGAAAAAATGGGGAGGAGCCCCACAGCACCCCTTGAAGAGGCTGAGGACCTTGCTTACTCACTTAGTCCTTGTGTCTTGAACACCTGTATGCCAGGTGTAAGATGGGGCACTGGGATTCGGCTGTGAATGTCTCTGTCTGGTTGGAGTTTGCATTCTTGTGGGAAGTAGGCAGTGAATAAAAATACACATAAATAGTTCATGTGTCAGATGCTGCAGATCCCACAGAGAGGCCCAGCAGGGAGAGGGAGCCAGCGAAGGGAGGGGGAGGGGAGCTTGTAGGGTGGGGGATTCTTTTTTATTTTTTAAGGGGAGGTGTCACTGTGTGGCCCAGGCTGGAGTGCAGTGGCTATTCACAGGTGCAATCACTATGCTCTACAGCCTGGAACTTCCTGACTCTAGTGAGCCTCCTGCCTCAGCCTCCTGAGTAGCTAGAACTGTAGTTTCTCACCACCACCCTTCCCTGCTGGGTTGGGGATTTTATTTTGGGTGATCAGGGAAATCTTGGCTGAAAGGATCATATCTGAGCTAAGACCTAACTGAGGCAAGCTATGCTGAATCCGAGGAATGAACATTTTCAGCAAAGAGAACAGTACATGCAAAGGCCCTGAGGTGGAGGATGCCTTAGAAGGAGGCCAAGTGGAGATGAGTGAGTGTGGTAGAGAGGAGCCTGCAGGAGCTGCCAGGTGGACCATATCGCGAAGAGCCTGGCCAGCCATCAGCCCTCTGTGGCTTT
The DNA here is from genome assembly GCF_000001405.40 of Homo sapiens. NCBI lineage: Eukaryota > Metazoa > Chordata > Mammalia > Primates > Hominidae > Homo > Homo sapiens. Next base: position 43,268,794 of record NC_000010.11, read on the forward strand.
GACTCAGAGGGAGGTGGAGGGTTTTGCACAAAGTAATATGATCTTACTATTTTTTACAAACAATATTTTATTATGTAAGATTTTAAACGCTTATAATAGTAACGGCTAAAAAGGTATATACAATAAACTCAATGGCCCAACTTCAACAATTATCAATACATGGCCAATTCTGTTTCATCTGTATGCCCACCTACCACTCCCCATATTATTTATTTGTTTACTCATTTTAAGTAAACTTTTATAGCTTTTTTTTTTTTTTGAGACAGGGTCTCATTCTGTCCCCCAGGCTAGAGTGCAGTGGCACAATCATAGCTCATTGTAGCCTCGAACTCCTGGGCTCAAGCAATCCTCCCGCCTCAGCCTCCCAAGGATAATTTTTTGTAAGTATAACATGCATAGACAAAAATCATAAAGTTGTGCTCCATGAATTTTCAATAAGAATACACCCATTCAGTGAGAATATTAATAGCTCTCTGCACCTGGATTTTCACTGTAGAAAGGTTTTTAATGACAGGTTCATTTTCTTTAATATATAGGACCATGTAGATTATTTGCTTCTTCCTATGTAACTTTTGCAAATTGTGTTTTTTATGGATTTTGCCCATTTTCTCTAAATTTTCAGATTTTCTGACATCCTCATATTGTTGTTTATAACATCTTTTATATTATCCCGCAGATGTTTGTAGAATCTGTAGCTATGTCCCACTTGGATTCTGATATTGGGGACCTCTGTGTTTTTCACTCTCTTTTTTTGATCAGTCTTGTTAGGGTTTTGTCAGTTTTATAATTTTTTTTAAAGAAACAACTTTTGACTTTGTTCAGCTTTCTCTGTTGTACTTTCTATTTCATGAATCTCTGCTCTTAGTTTCATTGTGTTTGTAGCTCTCCTTTGGGGGAGTATTAACTGTCTTTCTCTCATTCCTTCCTTCTTCCTTTTTAGTTTCTGAAGTTGGAGGGTAGGTTCATTGGTTTTCAGCTTTCGTTCCTACTCTATGGACTTAAAGCTATATATCTGCTTGTTAAGCACTGCTTTACTCTCTCTCTCACAATTGGTGTTTTTTTCTCACTATCATTTTGCTCAAGAGACTTTTAAATTTCCATTTTGACTTCTCTTTTGGCCCATGACTTATTTGGAAGGACATTGCTTAGTTCCAAATATTAGGGGATTTTCTAGCTACCCTCCTGCTGCTGAGTTCCAATTTAATCACACATCAGGCAGAGATTTTCTGAAATCTGTTGATACATTCTTTATGGCCCAAAATATGTTCTGTTTTGATAAATGCCCCATATGCCCTTGAAAAAGAGTGAATATTCTGTATATTTCAGTTAAGTCAGGTTGGTTAATCAAAGCCAAATCTTCTATATTGTTAATTAATTGGATCTCATATTCTATCAGTTCCTGAGAGAGGTGTCTGAAAATCTCCAGTATGGTCCCAAACTGGAAACAACCCAAAAGTGGCTGACTGGATAAACTAACTGTGTGTGGTGTATCCATACAATGGACAACTACTCAGCAGTAAAAAGGAGCAAGCCATTATTCAATACAACAACTTGAATAACTCTCAGATGCGTTAAGTGAAATAAGTCAGACTTCAAATGATCCATTGGACTTTTTTTTTTTTTTTTTTTGAGACAGAGTCTTGCACTGTCTCCCAGGCTGGAGGACAGTGGTGCAATCTTAGCTCACTGCAACCTCCACCTCCCGGGTTTAAGTGATTCTCCTGCCTCAGCCTCCCGAGTAGCTGGGATTGCAGGCTCCTGCCACGACACCTGGCTAATTTTTTGTATATCTAGTAGAGATGGGGTTTCACTATCTTGACCAGGCTGGTCTTGAACTCCTGACCTCGTGATTCACCTGCCTCAGCCTCCCAAAGTGCTGGGATTACAGGCATGAGCCACGACCCCCAGCCCACTGAACTTTTATATGACATTCTAGAAAGGCAAAACTGTGGAGATAGAGAACAGCTCAGTGGCTGCGAGGAACAAGTAGTAGGGGAAAGTGTTGGCTAGAGCCTTGGGAAATGTTTAGGCACCATGAAGAGTGTCCCTGTATCTTGATTTGTAGTGGCAGTCACATGACTATGCATTTGTCAAGACTTAAAGTAGCTGCACAGCAACAAGAGTGAATTTTACTGTATGTAAATTGAAAACTAATTTTTTTTTTGAGATGGAGTCTCGCTCTATTGCCCAGGCTGGGGTGCAGTGGTGCAATCTCGGCTCACTGCAACCTCCGCCTCCTGGGTTCAAGTGATTCTCATGCCTCAACCTCCCTAGCAGCTGGGATTACAGGTGCGAGCCACCACACCCAGCTAATTTTTTGTATTTTTAGTAGAGATGGGGTTTCACCATGTTGCCCAGGCTGGTCTCAAACTCCTGACCTCAAGTGATCCACCCACCTTGGCCTCCCAAAATGCTGGGATTACAGGCGTGAGCCACCATGCCCAGCCAAAAAATAATTTTTAACCTCCAATATAATTAGGGGGCTTTTGTGAATACTTTCTCATCGCTTTTCATTCAGGTGTTGCCTATGAGTTTTTGGTTTTCAACCTCCTTTTACCACCTCTGTTTTTACCTGGCAGGCACTCTTCTGCAGGATGGTGTTCTGGCCACCAGATTCAGGGAAAGGGGGGATGGGAGGCACATCTCCAAGGATATCTGCATAGCAGGACGCAGCAGTACTTTGAGTGTTGCTTCCTTTGGGGCTTTGAGGTAGAGGAACTTCTGCTGGCTATGGAAGCTAAAACCTGTACATCAATGACACTTCAGACACCCACTGTTTACTGTGACACAGATATTGTCCTGCCCAAAATGTGCTCCCCCTTCAAGATCTCTCCAAGGTAGACCCATCACCACATGGCACTGGTTGGCAGCATGGATCATTGACTGTACCAGGTCCTCTAGATCGCTGAGCCCCCACAGACCAGCTCTTCCCAGGATTTCAGCTTTCCCCCTCCTGATTCCACATGCCAGTTCATTCAGCTTTGTTTCCACAGAATGGATTTTCAGTTATTCCATACCAATACCCTACATTTCCCTGTTCCTTTTACCTTCATGTCTCCCACCTGGCAGAATTCCTGTGACAGAGGAATCCAACTCTGCCTTCTCCAGGTCTCCCATTAGGTTTTCAGCACTGTAGAGCAGTGGTCCCCAACTTTTTGGCACCAAGGACCAGTTTCATGGAAGGCAATTTTTCCAGACAGGGCAGTGTGTGGCAGGGGAGTTGGTTTGGGGGGTGGTTTCAGGATGAAATCTTTCCAACTCAGATCATCAGGCATGAGATTCTCATAAGAAGCACACAACCTTGATCACTCACATGTGAAACTCACAATAGGGCTTACACTCCTATGAGAATCTAATGTCCCCACTGATCTGCCAGGGGGCAGAGCTCAGGCGGGAATGCTCCCTTGCCTGCCCGCTCACCTCCCACTGTGCGACCCCATTCCTAAGAGACCACAGACCAGTGCCAGTCTGTGGCCTTGGGGTGGGGGGACTCCTGCTGTAGAGGATATCATAGGGTCCTGCTATTATGCCAAATTCACGATAAATTCTTCTGTGGAACAGAGAACTCAACACTACTCTGTCATCCTGCTATGTTCCTGTCTCTCTCTTTTTTTTTTTAATTGTGAAATATGTCCTACATACTGAAGAACTGTGAAATGTAGATGTGCAGTCTCAGGAGCAAACCCATGACTGGGGTGAAGCAGTGGGGCACAAGCCCTCCCCACCACCTCCTCCCAGAGGTAACCACTATCCCGATGTTTATTTCCCTAACCCCTTAAACTTCCACCCCTAGATAGGTATGCCGGGTTTTGAACTTTTGGGAATGGTTTCAAACTCTTTCTACTGTCACTTGTTTGTGTCATCAATATTATGTTTGTGAAATCCACCCATGTTGATGGGTGTAGCTCTTGTTCATTTATGCCAACTATTGTTTGGTACTCAATGGAAATACAGCACCTCCCCCTGCCCCTACATGCAGGGTTTCACTTTCCGTGTTTTAGTCACTGGCAGTCAACTGGAGCCTAAAGATAGGTGAGTATAATACAGTTAAGATATTTTGAGAGAGGGAGACCACATTCACGTAATTTCTATTATGGTATATTGTTATAATTGTTCTGTTTATTATTGGTGATTGTTGTTAATCTCTTACTATGTCTCATTTATAAATTAAAATTTATCATAGATGTATATGTATAGGAAAAAATAGTATATATAGGCTTTGGTACTATTTGCAATTTCATGCATCTGCTGGGGGTCTTGGAGGGGACAGCTAAGGAGAGACTACTGTATTCTGTAGTATCCCACCATCAAAAAAGTTGTATATGAGGTAATGCATATGTTAACCACCTTGATTTCACCATTTCACAATGTATACATATTTTAATATAACACATTGTACACTATAAATACATACAACGCTTATTTGTCCATTTAAACAACTAATTAACTTTTAAAGGCACACTGTAATACATTTATCCAATCTACTGCTAATAGACATTTGGGGCATTGACATATTTTTGCTATTATGAACAAAGCTGTTATGAATATTCATCCATTCACTGAACAAATGTTTCTTGAGTACCTACTGTGAACTGGCCACTATTTTAGGCATGGGGATACAGCAGTGATCAAGACAGACGAAAATTCCTTCCCACAGGGGTATTCTAGAGGTGGCTGACTACAATGAGCAGGAAAAAACAGGGAAATTGTGTTTTATGTTAGAGGGTGGTAAGCACTCACTGGGAATGAAAAACAGAGAAGGTGAAAAGTACCAGGGTAGAGGCTACACAGCCCTGAGTTGATATGTAGGTGGAGACTTGGGGTGAGGACAGTGCTGTGCAGCTGTCCAGTGATAGCTCCAGCAGAGGGAGGGGCCTGTGCAAGGGGGCGGTGGGTGGGTCCACACTGAGACCAGTGGAGAAGGGCCTGGGCAATGCAGGGCAGCCTGACTCCCCAGGCCGAGGCCAGACCTCACAGGTTAAGAGTGCCCTCACTGAAAGACACACCACAAATTTGGAGGCCCCAGGCCACCTGCACTTTTGACCAACTGGGTACAAATTTAGCGGGTCCCCCTCAAGTGGAATTCACTGGAACACGCTCGGAACTCAGGCAGCGCTCTGCTCATGACGACAGCTTCACCATAGCAGAAAGGGCCGAGTCAGGACCAGCCACAAGAAGAGTCTCAAAAAAATGAAGAAGTCTTGAAGGACGAGGTCTGGGAGGGTCCCAGATGCAAAGCTTCCATGGCCTCTCCCAGGGAGTCAAGGACATCACCATCCTGACACATCCGTGGGTAAAAACATGCAAAAGGCATTGCCGATGAGAGAGGTTCACCTCAGCTTGTGTGTCTAGAGTTGGGTTTCTGCGTCCAGGGCTTCATTGCACAGGCATGACTGAGCCACCAGCACCACGTGCTTTGCGCTGCAGCTCCTCTTCCCAGAAGTTGGGATGATAGCATGTGGCTCCAAGGCCCACCCTCTAATCACGGGGTTGGTCTTTCAGGCCTGACCAGCCCCACTCTGAGCCATCTTGGCATAAATTCAGATGTGGTCTGAGGTGCCCACCAGGAATAACAAAGACATTCCTGTCACTGGGGAAATTCCAAGGATTTAGAGGCTCCCTTCCAGAAACCAGGACAAAAGCTGTCCCAATTCCTCATTCCAGAGCAGCCTGTGTGGCTGGAGAAGAGTAAGTGTGGCCAAGAATAAAAGGAGGCAAGATCAGAGGGTTATGAGGAATAGACCCAGGGAGTACTGGGTACCTGTCTCCTGGTGCCCAGGTGCAAGAGTTCCCCAAACGTAGGCTGGAATTTGCAACTCCTGGGTTGTACGCAATACACATGTTCAACTCTTGGGAAATGTCCCATTGTTTTCTATAGAATAACGACCCCCCAAATGTCTGTGTCTGAATCCCTGGAATCTATGAGTATGTTTCTTTACATGATAGCAGGGACATTATAGATGTGATTAGTGGAGGATCTTGAGATTATTCAGATGGGTCATCTCATCTCAAGGGTCCTTACGAGAGGGATACAAAGGGGTTTGAGTCATGGAAGGAGACGTGATGACAGAAGCAGAGGCCAGAAAGAGTGAGACTGGGCACAGTGGCTCACACCTGTAATCCCAGCACTTTGGGAGGCCAAGGTGGGCATATCGCTTGTGGAAGTTCAAGACCAGCCTGGGCAACATAGTGAGACCCTGTCTCTACAAAAAAATACAAAACTTAGCTGGGCTTGGTGGTGTGCCCCTGTGGTCCCAGCTACTCCAGAGGCTGAGGTGGGAGGATCACTAGAGCTGGGGAGGTTGAGGCTTTAGTGAGCCATGATTGCATCACTGTACTCCAGCCTGGGTGACAGAGCAAGACCCTGTCTCAAAAAATAAAAGAAGAAAGAGAGAAAAAGTTTGAAGATGCTCCACTGCTGGCTTTGAGGATGGAGGAAAGGACTAAAGCCAAGGAATGCCTGCAGCCTGTGGAAGGTAGAAGAGCCACAGAGACAGCTTCCCCTCCAGCCTCCAGAAGCAACCAGCCCTGCTGACACCTTGGTTTTGTCCCAGTGAGACTGATTTTGGACTTCTGACCTCTAGAAGCATAAGATTGTGGGTTTTTGTTGTTTAAGCCACAAGATCGTGGTAATTCGTTACAGCGGTAGGAAACTAATACACAATCTTTGCCCACCCCTCTAAGTGATGACTTCCCTACTTTGGCCAGCCTGTTGATTAAATTGTGTTGTCTCATTGTGGATTTCATTTTTACTTTCCTGATGATGAATGATATTAAGCATCTTTGCAGATATCTATTAATCGTTTGGGTTTACGCTTTAGCAAAGTGCCTGCTCAAGATTTTTGCTCAGGTTTTTTCCCCCATGGTTTTTAGCATGTATACAGAATTGTGTAGCCATCACAACAGTCAATTTTAGAACAATTCTATCACCCCAAGAGGAAACCCCAAACCATCTAGCTGCTTTTCCCACCCTTCCACCCCCTCCCAGTCCTTTGCAACCATTGATCTACTTTGTCTTTATAGATTTGCCTATTCTAGACAGCTCATGTAAATAAGAACCATATAACATGTGGCCTTTTGTGTCTGGCTTCTTTCATCTTGTATAATGATGATTTTCACTGTTTTTAAACTGACAAATTTAAGTTGTATACATGTATTGTGTACAACATATTGTTTTGCAGTATATGTGTATTGTGGAATGGCTAAATGAAACTAATTGACAGGCACTACCTCACATACATGTCATTTTTGTGTAATGAGAACACTTAAAATCTACTGTCTTAGCAATTTTCTTTTTTGTTTGTTTAATATTTATTTTTTATTTTTATTTTTATTTTTTTTTGAGATGGAGTCTTGCTCTGTTACCCCGGCTGAAGTGCAGTGGCACGATCTCGGCTCACTGCAAACTCGGCCTCCCGGGTTCACGCCATTCTCCTGCCTCAGCCTCCCGAGTAGCTGGGATTACAGGCACCCACCACCAAGCCTGGCTAATTTTTTTTTATTTTTAGTAGAGACGGGGCTTCACTGTCTTAGCCAGGATGGTCTCAATCTCCTGACCTTGTGATCCGCCCGCCTTGGCCTCCCAAAGTGCTGGGATTACAGGCATGAGCCACTGCGCCTGGCCTATTTATTTATTTTTACAGACACCTTCTTATTATGTTGCCCAAGGCTGGTCTCTAATGACTGAGTTCAAGTGATCCTCCTCCCTCAGCCTCCCCAGTAGTCTCTTAGCAACTTTCAAGAATCAATACATGGTTATCAACTATAGTCATCATGTTATACAATAGATCTCCTGAACTTATTCCTCCTGTCGAACTGAAATTTTGCATCCTTTGACCAACATCTCCCCAGCCCCACCCACCCCCAGACCCTGGCGACCACTGTTCTACTCCCTGCTCCTATGAGATCAACCTTTTTAGATTCCACATATGAGTGAGATCATGCAGCTTCATCCGCCTGTCACTGGCTTAGTTTACTTACTATAAGTCTTCCACTTTCATCCATATTGTCCAAATGAAGGATTTCCTTCTTTTCTAAGGCTGAATAGTATTCTGTTGTGTATAGGTGCCACATTTTCTTTATCAATTCATCTGTTGATGGACACTTAGTTTGCTTCCACATCTTGGCTCTGTAAATAGTGCTGAAAATAACATGGGTGCAGACACCTCCTCAGCACACTGATTTCATTCCCTTTGGATATATACAAGGTAGTGGGATTGCTGGATCTTTGCTCAGTTTTCTATTGTTTATTCTTCTCATTGATTTGAAAGATTTCTATATATTCTAGGTGCTAGTACAATGAGAGTTAAATGTGTTAAAAATATCTTCTCCCCCTTTGTAGCTTATGTTTTACTCTCTTTGTGCTGTCTTTCGATGCAAGAATGTCTTAACTTGTGTAATAAAGTCCCCCGTGCGACTCTCTTCCTTTATGGCATGAGCTTGTCAGCCTCCTCTTCTCTAAATTCTCAAAACATTCCCAACAATTTCAAATCCTCCAGCCTTCTCCCAGCCTTCTCTCTATTCCCCTGCCTGTCAAAGAATGACTCTCCCTCTTTTACATCCTAGGGAAATTTGAAACCACTGTTAGGAACCGTCTCAACTCTTACCCCCAAGTTTATACACTTACCTGCATACCTCCCTTCTTCCTTCCCATCATAAAGTTGCACATGGTCTCTTTTTTTCTCTATAGGTCACCCTCTCTCCCTCTGCCCTGGGTACCATCCCCACCACCCCATCCTCTTTAATATTGTGCCATTAAATATATCTTTCTAGGAGAGGGAAAACTATTTTTCCTCTACCCTTTTAGGTTCTCAGCTGGGGCCCCTATTACAAAAGGCAGATTGACAAGAGAAAAACAGACAGAGGCCGATTAACATGTACATCTCATATATACATTGGAGATATATATATACATATATGCATTGTATAGATATATACACTTATTGTGTGTTTGTGTATATATATATACACACACACACACACACACACTTATATACATTGGAGAAACTCAGGGATGAGTAAACTCACAGAGGTGGCTAGAACTTGGGCTTAAATACCATCTTCAGCTAAAACAAAGGAAGAAGGGTGTCAGGGAGGCTAGTTATAGGGATGTGACCAGTAAAAGCACAGTAGCAAGCGTAAGGTTTGGTATGCAAATTTAATTCAGTGCCTCCTCCATTGATAAGAGTCTCTTATGATTTAGAGCCATCCTTTTCTTACTGGTATAGAGAGAGACACCCTTACAAATTGACACTTTTTAAAAATAAATGTCCCTTATAAAGGGGTAATTATTTTATTATTTATTTATTTATTGAGATATGGTCTGGCTCTATTGCCCAGGCTGGAGTTCAGTGGCATGATCTCAGTTCACTGCAACCTCTGCTTCCCCTGTTCAAGTGATTCTCCCATCTCAGCCTCCGGAGTAGCTCAGATTACAGGAGTAATCCACCACACCTGGCCAGGATTGTGACATTTTCCATAAAGGCCAATATATACATACAGCAATTTGACTGGTTACAGCTTGCTGCATGCCAAGGAAGATTGCTTGAATATTCTGTGAGGAGGGGTGATGATCTGCAGGGGTCTCATCTCTGGCGCAGCAAAGCCTTTCCTAATCACTTACAAGAAGAAGCAGAAGTTGCAGCTGCAGGCTATGTGACTCAGGCTGCATAGCCACATTCCTCTCAAGGCTCAGAATAATTTAAAGTTCCAACAGCTTTAAGTTTGAATTATTTTACTTCACACACCCCAAAATATGCTTCTTTGGCATGAGGATTTCTTTGAGCTCATTACCTTGAGAAACAGCAAGCTCAAGAGAAGCTCTAAAAGCAGAATATAAAGTACCCCTTTAGAGCCAGGAATGGTGGCTCATGCCTGTAATCCCAACACTTTGGAGGCTGAGGCAGGTGGATCACCTGAGGTCAGGAGTTCGAGACCAGCCTGGCCAACATGGTGAAACCCCCATCTCTACTAAAAATACAAAAATTAACCAGCTGTGGTGACATGTGACTGTAATCCCAGCTACTTGGGAGGCTGAGGCACGAGACTCGCTTGAACCCAAGAGGCGGAGGCTGCAGTGAGCTGAGATCATACCACTGCATTCCAGCCTGGGTGACAGAGTGAGACCCTGTCTCAAAAAAAAAAAAAAAAAAAAAAAAGGAAGAAAGAAAGAAAAGAAGAGCATCAGAAAATGAATAAATGAAGGTAAAATAAAAACTGGAGGTAAATGAAGGTAAAATAAAAAGTGAAACGATGTGTGTTATTATTTTGTGTATGTGTTTGTAGCAACTTCAATTACCACTTCTGTTTCCATGCTTGTGTTTATCCATAAAATAAAAGGATGAAAAAATGTTAAAAAAAAAAAAAAAGTGAAACGAATGACAGCAATGATACAAGGGATGGGGGAAAAATTAGGACTATTTTATTTTATTTTATTTTATTTATTTTGAGATGGAGTCTCGCTCTGTCGCCCAGGCTGGAGTGCAGTGGCACGATCTCGGCTCACTGCAAGCTCTGCCACCCGGGTTCACACCATTCTCCTGCCTCAGCCTCCCGAGTAGCTGGGACTACAGGCGCCCGCCACCAAGTCCCACTAATTTTTTGTATTTTTAGTAGAGACAGGGTTTCACCGTGTTAGCCAGGATGGTCTCGATCTCCTGACCTCGTGATCTGCCCACCTCGGCCTCCCAAAGTGCTGGGATTACAGGCGTAAGCCACCGCGCCCAGCCAGGACTATTTTATTTTTATAAGGTACTTGAACTCCCCATGAAATGATGTAGCATTTTTGTTTTGTTTTGTTTTGTTCTGTTTTGTTTGAGATAGGGTCTCACTCTGCTGCCCAGGCTGGAGGGCAGTGGCACAATCATGGCTCACTTCAGCCACCATGCCCAGCTGGCTAATTTTTTATTTTTTGTAGAGATGAGATCTCACTATGTTGCCCAGACTGGTCTCAAACTTCTGGGCTCAAAAATCCTCCTGCCTTGGCCTCCCAAAGTGCTGGGATTACAGGCATGAGCCACTGCACCTGGCTAATACAGTATTATTTGAAAGTGGTCTTGGACTAGCTGTAAATATTTAGTGCAAACTCTAGGGCAACCACTAAAAAAATGTTTAAAAAAAGAAGTATAACTGATATACTAAGTATACTTATCAGCATAACTGATATACTAAGAAAAGAGAGAAAATACATTGCTCAATTAAAACCACAAAAGGCAGAAAAAGTGTAGTAGGCAAAAGTAGGAAAAAAGGACAAGGACAATGTATAGAAAACAGCAGCAAGTATGGTAGATATTAATCCAACTATATCAATAGTTACTTGAAATGTCAATGGTCTAAATACTAACTAAAAGAGACTGTCGGAGTAAATCAAAAAACAATACTCAACTATATGTTGTCTATAAAAAATTTACTTCAAATATAAAAACACATATAGATTAAAAGAGATGGAGAAAGACATACCATGCTGGCACTCATCAAAAGAAAGAAGGAGTCGCTAAATTAATTAATTTTTTTTTTTGAGACAGAGTCTCACTCTGTTGCCAGGCTGGAGTGCAGTGGCGTGATCTTGGCTCACTACAACCTCCGCCTCCCTGGTTCAAGCAATTCTCCTGCATCAGCCTCCCAAGTAGCTGGGACTACAGGCGCATGCCACCACACCACGCTAATTTTTGTATTTTTAGTAGAGATGGGGTTTCACTATGTTGGCCATGATGGTCTTGATCTCTTGGCCTCGTGATCCACCTGCCTCAGCCTCCCAAAGTGCTGGGATTACAGGCGCAAGCCACCTTGCCCGGCCAAAATGGACCAATTTCTTGAAAGACGCAATTTAACAAAAACCACACAAGAAGAAATAAACAATCTGAATAGGCCTATATTTACTACAGAAATTGAATCTGTAATTAACGACCATCCAAATCAGAAAGTACCAGGTTTAGATGGGTTTCCTGGTGAATTCTACCAAACATTTAAGCAAGAAATTATATAGTCTCTTTCACAAGATAGAAGCAGAAGGAACATTTCCTAGCTCATTCTATGAGGCCAGAGTTACCCTAATACCAAAATCAGACAAAGACATTACAAAAAAAAGATTCAACTATTTAAGAAAATATAATCTATACATACCCTTAGCTGGGTTCATGGAAACTACAATAAGTGCAAAATTCTGAAAGCAAGAAACATGTGGGGGACCACTGCTCTCTCTCTGCAGTGGGGTCTCCTGCTCTGATCCAGTGGGTGGCCTTTACCAGAAAAAAACAGAATCCACCTGACATTGGATCAAGGCAGGTGCCGGGGTCAGTCTGCAAATTAGTTATTAGTAAAGCTGAATTTCTGTATTTTAAATAAATAGATATAAATGGATCATCCTGCTTACCCAACACTGGAAACCGCTGCTATATTTGGGAACAAATAGTCACCAAATACCAGCCCAGTGCTGAGTTTGTAACATGAATTACTTTATTTAATTATCACAACTATATGAAGTGGATTCTAAGATACCACCCATTTATGAATGAAACTGGTGGCTGGGCGCGGTGGGTCATACCTGTAATCCCAGCACTTTGGGAGGCCGAGGCGAGCAGATCACTGAGGTCAGGAGTTCAAGACCAACCTGGCCAACGTGGTGAAACCCTCTCTCTACTAAAAATACAACACAGGCATGGTAGCGGGAGCCTGTAATCACAGCTACTCGGGAGGCTGAGGCAAGAAATCACTTGAACCGAGGAGGTGCAGGTTGCAGTGAGCAGAGATTACACAACTGCACTCCAGCCTAGGTAACAGAGCAAGACTCCATCTCAAAAATATATATATATATAGATATATGCAGATATAGATATCATGGCAGCCATAGCTGGGGCAGCATCCCCGTTCTTTGCTTAGTGCAGTCACTCTTCTTATTGGACATAAATCAAGTGCGACCTTATGCCCCACCTTCTCAGTGACCCAAGGCTCCAGTCCCTTCTCAGAGGGAGGGTAAAATCCAGAGATGCCCCAGCCGTCTTGCCTCTAGTTCTTGGATCTTCACAATAAGCGATGGTCATGGGGCTCTGCCAGTAGTTGGGTCAGGATTTCTTTCTATTTGGTGTTGTCCCATCCTTTTCTGGAAGAATATCTTGAATATCCAAGTTTCTGATTTGTCAATGTCACACCCCTCCAATTTCTGGCATCGATGCACGCTTTTTCTATTTCTGTGTTCTGTTCTTGGCTATTTCAATGGAAATTTGGAAATAACTTAGAGGTGCATGCAAATGTAGCCATTTTATCTGGAAGTCTCTTGCATCAAGTACAAAAGCTAAATGTTCTTTTTGCCTCTAGAATGTGATCATGGGCAAATTTTCTGAACTGAGGCATTATTTGTCTCATCTGGGCTAATGGCTTGTACCTGAAACTATTGTCTAGAGTGTATTTCTGTCAAATTAGTGGAGGCAGGAGGAGCTGGAAGGTAGAGGAAGGCAGGATCTTCAAATGTTCCCAGGATGCACTTTTCAGTTCACCCCACCCGGACCTATTCAAAGGCTGCTGTTTACAAGGCTCTTTCTAGGGTTAAGGTTTTCAGTGTGAGCTCTGTGAGCCCCTGAGGAGTGGGAAGAGACTGAGTATGAGACTCCAGCATCCCCCATTTTTTCCACTTCACCCAAGCAGCTTCGTGAGAAGATCTATGCTAGGAACATGGTCCAAATCCTGGTTGGACATTTACAGATGATGTAAGCAGGACCGAGCCAGGGGCACCATTCCAGAGTGGGAAGGGAGCAGGGGCTCCTGGGTTTCAGTCCTCGACCTAAGTCAGGAATTCCTGAGCCAGGAGCCAGGAAGTCCTATCAGACCTGGAAGGACCCTGTCACAAGAGGTGGTGGGGAGTCCTGTCCTCTCTGTACCTGAGGGTAAGGTACACTTTGCCTCCTTAAGGAGATCCAATGTCTCTCATTTCACAGAAGAAATGGGGATGTTTCTATTACATGGAAAGTGAAAGACAGCAACATCAAAGCAACACTTATTTAGGGCTATGGGCAAGACTGATGTCTCTCCACCCTGGAGAGCTTCCGCCTCTGAAGTGCGGAATGCGCCCCAGCAGCAGCTCTGCAAGGAACGAGTCCACATAGGGCTCTCAGCACCCGCTTCTGAGGCTGAGGACAGCCAGGCAGTGTCAGACATCTGCTGTCGTTAAGGCTCAGGATCCTGCAACTCTGCAGCCTAATCCAGCTTTCTGCGAAAGTTGGAACCTCTCTCTGTCTGAGGGTCCTTGGCTGCCGGCCACAAAGACGTGCGCTGTTGGTCAGCACCGAGGACAGCACTTGGGGGCGGTGCTCCGGGGAATTCCTGGGTGACGAATACCAGGACAGAAGGACCTTCTTCCCGACAGCAGGAAGGATCAGGCTGAGGGTAGTAGTGTGCCCGGGTAGTAGTGTGCCCAGGTACCCTGCAAATGTCATAGGCAGCTGACGAGCCCCTTCTCGTCATCAGCCAGGGTTAGGATTATCTAACTGCACCCTAGGGGCTAAGAGGCCAAAGACATGAGTGGAAGCCAAGGGAGGGTTGGGGGGCCAGATGACCTCCCTGGACAGAGAGATGCTATATGTTCCCCAGAATGGCAAGCCCTGCCCAACCAGCACAGACCAGCTCTGTGGCTCTACCTCCCGGCCCAGGACACACCTTCTCTCTCTGGCCTGCCTGCTCACACTCTTGACCTTGGGGTGCTGTGCTTTCCAAGGGCCCTTGGTGTGGAATGGAAATGCCTTTACTCATCCACCTTTAGTGGAGAAATCGTGAGAGCAGCAGGGGCCAATGCAAGAGAGAGAAGGCCCCACTGGGATGAGGCTGCCCAGTCCTGCCGCAGGTGCCAGCACGGCTGCTGCACTGGGGTAGAGCTCCATTCAAAGCGAAGCTCTCTGTTCCCAGCGTTATCGAGTGGTGGGACACTGTTCCCTCTTTGCCCCTCGAAGGGCTGCCCTCTGCTGACCACTTCCTGTCCCCCACCCACTAATCCTTTCCCTGCATCCTCTCTGATCCTCACAGCACCCTGTGGGGTGGGTGCTACTGTTGTTCCCATTTTGCAGGCAGGAAAGACAGAGAGGACAAGCGACAGTGAGTGGTGGAGCTGGGACTCTAACCCAGCTCTGTTTGCTGCTAGCATCCTTGTGTTGTGCTGCATGGCTCCAAGGGTTCTGTGGTAAGGTTCACACCACAGCTGAGCTCCAGGGCCTTCCTTTCTAGGTAGCCAGAGGCCATTTAGATTTGGAGCTGGGCACAGTGGCTCACGCCTGTAATCCCAGCACTTTGGGAGGCCGAGGCGGGTGGATCACCTGAGGTCAGGAGTTTGAGACCAGCCTGGCCAATATGGTGAAACCCCGTCTCTACAGAAAATACAAAAATTAGTCGGGCATGGTGGTGCGCGACTGTAGTCCCAGCTACTTGGGAGGCTGAGGCAGGACAATCACTTGAACCCAGGAGGTGGAGGTTGCAGTGAGCCAAGATCACGCCACTGCACTCCAGCCTGGGTGACAGAGTGAGACTCCATCTCAAAAACAAAACAAAACAAAACAAAAAATAGATTTGGAGGTCAGACCCAAATGGCCATGCTCGGTGCTAGGCTTACAAGGTTCCTGTGCCCTGAAGCTGAGAGTCCCTGGAGGAAGGCCCGTATTAATGCTCACATACTCACACAAGGCCAGCCCCTCCTAGCCTCCAGTGTCTCACCTGGTCTGTGAAGGGCATGACTGACAGTCGTGCCTCTCCCATAGCCCTGTCCAGGGTACTGAGCAAGGATCCCACTGAGAAGTATCTGGTCCAAGGTACATACTTCAGAAACATGACCTCCTTTCTGGCTACATGTTGGAGACCCAGGAACTCAGCCTGGTTTTTTGGACACTGAGTCACCAGCAGGTCTCCAGCCAGGGGCTGTGAAGGTTGAGCATGGGGGCCTCCCTGGCCACATGGGGCTGGCATCCCAAACTAAAAGGTGAGGGGGTCCAGGGGCACATGAACCAGAGGCAGAGAGAGATGGGGGTGCTGTGAGCTAACTTCAGTCCTAGCACTGCCACTTAACTGTCTGTGTGAACTGGGCCAAGTCCCTTGTGCACCTCAGAAGCAGTTTCCATGTCAGTAACAGGGGAGTAAACTGAGGGCACCTCTTTGGATAAAGGAGGAGGGAACACCAGGGAAGTGCCTGGCAATGGCAACAGAGCACACGAACACATGCACACACGTGCATGCACAGCCCCCCCCCCCAAAAAAAATACTCTTAATTAGCCCAGCAGTGCGAGCCCTCACAGACTGGGTTTTGAATGGTAAAAATAGTGGTCTGAGAGTGGTGAGCCCCTGGAGGCTAACGGCATTCCTCAGGAGGTACAGTCTGTGTCCCTCTCGTATGGGGCACATTGAGCCTCCTTAAGACAGTGCGGATGGTGAGTCCCTGAAGAGGAACATGGGGCCCTGTGGACCCTGCCATCTGCTTCCCTCATCTCCTGGGCCCAAACTGGCACTGGTCAGGAGAGTCTGTGGGGACTCCCTTCTCATCTCCCCTCTTTCCCTCCTCCTCTCTCTTCTAGAAAGAAGACAGAGGGAAGAGGATGCACTGCCTTCCTGCTAATGGAGGGGGAGGCTTGGGCACTCTCTTCTTTCTAGAGGTTGATGCGTTTGTCAGAATCCAACTTCTGTCCCTGCTCACAGATTAAATCACTCATTTCTAATTGGGATGGAAAGCTCCTGCATGGGTGCCACTGTGAATGGCATTGTTTTTCAACTAAACGGATCATAACTGATCAGGAAGGGTTCTCCACACTTCCAGTGCTTCCCGGAAGCAGCCAGTGGATGCCAGGTTGCGGGGGAGGCTTAAAGCAAAGGCCCCTAGAGAAGCCGCAAGAGGGTTTCCAGGGCCAGGTCAGACCGTGTTACCATACCCCATGCACATGCGGTGTGCAGCACAGGGCAGGCTCTCAGCACACACTTGCTGAACAAATGAGGGGGGTGAATTAATGAATGGAGGGAGGAAGCAGGAGCGGACATGGGAAATGCAGAGAAGACTCACATTAGTTTAGCCAGGCAAGATGACCCTCAGGTCCCAGAACACGCTCCTCACTGGGGAGGACAGGCAGCCATTTCGCAGAAGAGACAGCCTGAGGGGTTGGGAGGCTGGCTGCAGCCCATGGCAGGGACAGGCCAGAGCCCAGCCTTCTGCCTGGGCTTGGATGGGTCATTGTCAGGCCCCCAGCCATTCTGCCAAGAGAACTGGGGTTGGGGGAGGCTTCCTATGGTGACCCCAGGAAAGGAGCCACAGCTGGCCCTGGGGGTGGCCCCTAAACCCCTGCCTGGGCTAAGGGATGGGAGAGTAAGCTTCTGCCTCATCCCAGGGCAGAGGGTGGCTTTGCTCAGGGAGCATCCTGCAGCTGGGCTACTGCTCCTAATTTTCACGCCTTGTGTGACCCCACCCTCGCCAGCCCTCCTTGAGGGCAGTGGGGCAGCTGAGCCTCTCCCCCATGCTCTGGGGCTGGTTTGGTGGAGGGGACCACACCAAGGGGCTGTGGATGCTGAAGCGAACTCCCAACTCTACTTGCAGCATAGCTGACACCGCGTGATGAAGCCAAGAGCGCAAACTGAGGCCTGGTCAAGCTGGGGAGAGGGCACAGGAGACAGAAAAGGATTCTTTCAGAGGGAGTGGGAGCGGGACAGGGAAAGAGGAAACAGAAGCGGATGTGGAGAAAGAATAATCCCGCCCCACCGAGGACTGTGGGGTGCTATGGGCTGCTCCACAGGGTGCATGTCTGTGCACGTGTCTGCGAGGGCACCTGTCGGTGTCTGGCGTGTGTACCCAGAGTGCAAAGGTGGCATACTCAGGCGCACTCGGGCACCCCCTGCAAGACAGCAGAGCTTGTTGGAATCTCTGGAACCCAGAGCGGGGAGGTGCTTGGCCTTCTTTGCTCCGGTGAGTCCCCACAGACCCTACAGGCCTGTGGCACAGGCACTGACCAACCAGGCCACAGGGAGTTGATGAGACCCTGTGACACCTGAATGCACCTCAGTGCACAGGTGCCTCCCAAGCATGCCCTGTGTTCATTCCCATGTTGGCCTTTCAGAGAGGAATGTTCTACCCATTTTACAGAGGACAGGGGGAGACCAGTGAGATCAGTTTTCTAGTCCCGTATTGCCACAAATGGGAGGCTGAGCCAGGAGGATCCCTTGAGCCCAGAGGTTCGAAACCAGCCTGGGCAACATAGGGAGACTCTGTCTCTACAAAAAATTAAAAAGTAGCCTGGTGTGATGGTGCATACCTGTAGTCCCAGCTACACAGGAAACTGAGACAGGAGGATCACTTGAGCTCGGGGAGTCGAGGCTGTAGTGAGCTGTGTTCACACCACTGCACTTCAGCCTGGGTGACAGAGCGAGACCCTGTCTCCAAACAAAAACAGTAACAACGAAAAGAGACTCCTGGGCTGTGCTGCAGGCTCTGGGAGGAAGCAGCAGAGGGGCCTGGGCTCCGAGGGCTTTGAGACCCTGGAGAGGACCTGGGAGTCAACACCTGTCCTCCTCCTTCACTTGCTCCAGGACAGGGTGGAAGTGTAGGCATTTGGGCTTCAGAGGCCAGGCGGAGTCTGGAGCAACCCCAGGCAGCAGAGTGGCCCCACTCCAGGAAACTCCTCCAGGTGAGCCCACAACTGACCACAAGGCTTGCCCTGCCCCCATGTGCCTTGGGCAGAAGAAACAGAACAGTCACACCGGTAAACAGGAAGTGGAAGGGCGAGGAGGAGCCCAGTCGTGAGTCACTGTAATTTAAACACCCAAGGCAGACAAGTAGCACAAAAGAGGAAACCAACACATCTCATGGAAAACACATTCAGGGACCCAGAGCTAATACAACAAACAGAATAAGACTTTAGAATAAGTATAATTAATATCCACAGAGAGATGTGCGTAAATAGGAAGCCAGAACATATTCCACTGCAAATCTTGACAGCATCCAGATTGGAAAGGAAGAGGTAAAACTCTCTGTTTGCAGATGATGAAATCTTGAATATAAAAAGTACTAAGGAACACACACACACACACACACTCACAGCTAATAGCAAGTTCAGCAAGGCTGTAAGGTGCAAGGTGAATATGCAAAAATCGGTCATATTCTATACACTAGCAATGAACAAACTGAAAATCAAATTAAGAAAACAATATAATTTGGAGGGACACCATAACAAAATGCCACCAATTGGGTAGCTTATGGGTAGCTTACAAATATATTGTCTCATAGCTCTGGAGGCCAGAGGTCCAAAACCAAGGTGATGCAGGGTTGGTTCCCTCACAGAAGGCCGTAGGGGAAAGCTCTGTCCCAAGCCTCTATCCTTATTTCTGATAGCTCCTTGGCTTGCGGCAGCAAAACCCCAGGCTCCACATGCAGTTCTCCCTGTGTGCCTGAGCCTGTGTCTGTGTCCAAATTTCCCTTTTAATAAGGACACCAGTTACATTGGATTAGGGCCCACCTTGTTCCAGGGTGACCTCATTCTAAGTCAATTATTTGCATCTGTAGTTACCCTATTTCCGAATAGGGTCACATTCTAAAGTACTAGGAAGTGAGACTTCAGCATATGAATTTTGGGGAGATATAGTTCAACCCATAACAAATTCTGTTCACAAGGGCATCAGAAAGAATAAAATATTGACCGGGCACTGTGACTCCCAGCACTTTGGGAGGCCAAGGCAGGAGGATGGCTTGAGGCCAGGAGTTTGAGACCAGCCTGGGCAATATAGCAAGACTCTATCTCTACAAAAAATATATACATAATTAGCTTCTCAGGAGGCTGAAGCAGGAGGCTCACTTAAGCCCAGGAGGTTAAGGCTGCAGTGATCCGTGTTGGCACCACTGCACTCCAGCCTGGGCAACACAGAAAGACCCTGTCTCAAAAAAATTAAAAGACTGAAAATTTATGAATAAATTTAACAAAAGAAGTGCAAAACTTGTACACTGAAAACTATAAACACAGTTGGGAGAAATTAAAGAACACTTAAATAAATGGAAAGACATCCACATTCATGGATTGGGAGACTTAATATGGTTAAGACGGCAATACTTCTTAAAGATCTCTGGGTTCACAGAATCCATATCAGAATCCCAGGTGAATTCTCTGCAGAAAGTTACAAGCTGTTCTGAAAATTCATATGAAAATTCAAGGAACCCAGGATAGTTAAAAAAATCTTCAAAAAGAAGAACAAAGTTGGATGACTCACAATTCCTGATTTGAAAACTTACTACAAAGCTACAATAATCACCAGGTGTAGTGGCTCACAGCTACAATCCCAGCACTTTGGGAGGCCGAGGCAGGAGGATCACTTGAGTCCAGGAGTTCAAGACCAGCCTGGTCAACATAGGGAGACCCTGTCACTAAAACTAATTTAAAAAGTAGCCAAGTGTGGTGGTGTGCACCTGTGGTCCCAGCCACTTGGTAGGCTGAAGAAGGAGGATCGCCTCAGCCAGGGAGGTCGAAGCTGCAGTGAGCTGTAATCCAGTGCCACTGCACTCCAGCCTGAGTGACAGAGCAAGACCCTGTCTCAAAAAAATAAATAAAATAAAATAAAATAACTTTTAAAAGAACACCAAAACAAGCCAGGCTTGGTAGTACATGACCATAGTCCCAACTACACAGCAGGCTGAGGCAGGAAGATCACTTGAGCCCAGGAGTTGGAGGAGTCGTATGCAATGATCACACGTGTGACAATAGCCACTGCACTCCAGCCTAGACAACACAGAGAGACCTTGTCTAAAACAAACAAACAAACAAAACCCAAATAGAAATTACCAACCACTTAGAAATGGGTGACAGAACAGAATATTCCACTTTTTAAACTTGTGAAATGTTTCAAAGCAATATCCACAGAAAATGTAGAAGCCTTAATACGTTTATTAGAGAAAAGGAAGATTAAAAATAAATGAACTACTATCTTAGTTCAAAAACAGGAACACTAACATTAAAATAACCCAATAAAGTTGAATAAAGTGATTGATAGAGAAAAAAGCAAGGCTGAGTGCGGTGGCTTATGCCTGGAATCCCCCTACCCCTCACCTGTGAGGAGGTGGATGGATCACTTGAGCCCAGGAGTTTGAGACCAACCTGGACAACATAGTGAAGCCCTGTCTCTACTAAAATACAAAAATTAGCCAGTCGTGGTGGCGGGCGCCTCTAATACCCGCTATTTGGGAGGCTGAGGTGGGAGAATGGCTTGAACCTAGGAAGCAGAAGCTGCAGTGAGCCAAGATCGTGCCACCGCACTTCAGCTTGGGCAACAGACCAAGACCCTACCTCAAAAAACAAACAAACAAACAAACAAACAAACAAAAAAACAAAAATGAAAAAACAGAGAAAAAAGTAGAAAGTCATGAAATAGAAATAAATGGGAAAATTAGAAATTCAATAGGAAAAAAACTCACCCTCAGAATGGAGTGATGCTGTGAGTTTCGATGGAAGCAGGTGAGGCTCAGGGGTTTGCATGAGCGTTCCCAACCTGGGTAGTGCAACTTGGGCAGACGGTCAGGAGAAGAGAGAAAACACAGACAGATGATGTGGGGAAAGATGAAGTGGGTGAAGGAAATTAGTCTTCGTGGCCCAATATGTATGAGGAAAGCTTTGAAATCATAGGCATCATGGAAAAATGTATGGAAAAAATACAAATTATCAAAATGAGTGAGAAAACCCCAGTAGACTTAAGAACTACAGGGAAGGAAATGAACAAGAGAACACAAGGTTTATCGTAAAATGCAGTGTCATTTTTTCAGGCAATGTGACTTTCTACACTGTCTAGAAAATTGAACTAACAAACTATAAGAATAATTAGGACAAATTCAACTATGTGGCAAGATCTACACAAAGCCCTCCTAGCTATCAGCAATGATGAATTATAACATAGAAAAGAAAAATGTCATTCATGATAGCAACACTGTTACAGCACATAGAGGGGAAGCCCAACAAAAAATGAGCAGTACCAATGTGGAGAAGACTATAAAGTGTAGCATGTATTGCACGAATAGAGATATACTGTGTTCCTCAATGGAAGATTGAACATGGTACAAATGTCAGTTTTCCCCTAAATTAGTGTAGAATTTAAATTTGGCATCAATTACAATCAAACAGGATTTCCGCTATAAAACTGACAAGCCAATTAGAAATAGAAAATGTACAAAAAAAGACAAGTGTGAAAAAGAGAAGAATGCAGCAGAGATTCTCTGTGATACACAAAATATGCAATAAATGATTTTAATTGAAACAATATATAAAAATAAACATATAGCCAGCCTGGACAACATTGGAAGACCCCATCTCAGCCTAAAATAATAACAATAATAGAAATCATCTAGGTGTGGTGGTGTGCACACCTGTAGTCTGAGCTACTCAGGAGGCTGAGACAGGTGGATCGTTTGAGCCCAGGATTTTGAGGCTACAGTAAGCTATGATCACGCCACCACACTCCAGCCTGGGCAACAGAGTGAGACCACCTCTAAAAAAATTTAAAAAAATAATAATAAATAACATTTTAAAAAAGAATAAATATATAAAATACTCACTTTAAAAAAGAACAGTGTCCTGAAATAGGCCCATGCATTTAGTAACTTCCTATAAACTAAAAGAATGTGAAAATATAGGCTATTCAAAAAATGGTTCTGGGTTGACTCACTATATTTGTAACATAAGATAGAGAGCTATCTCACAACACTCAAACAATCCAGATGATGTATTAATCTAAACCATTGTAAGAAAATTATAAAACCTTCAACTCATAAAAAAAGAAAATTATAAAACTTAAAGAAAATATGCAAAAATATAAGTGAAGAAAATATAAAAGGATATATATTGAGGTAGAAAAGTCATTTCTTTTTTGAGATGGAGTCTTGCTCTGTCGCCCAAGCTGGAGTCCAGTGGCGCAATCTCAGCTCACTGAAACCTCCCGCTCCCGGGTGCAAGCGATTCTCCTGCCTCAGCCTCTCGAGTAGCTGGGACTACAGGTGTATGCCACCACCCCCGGCTAATTTTTGCATTTTTAGTAGAGACAGGGTTTCACTACGTTGGCCAGGCTGGTCTCGAACTCCTGACCTCAAGTGATCCACCCACCTTGGTTTCCCAAACTGCTGGAATTACAGGCGTGAACCACCACACCTGGCCAGCAGAAAAGTCATTCTTAAGACATGAATTATAAAAGCTACAAATGAAAGATTAATACATTTGACCACATCAAATTTAAAACAAAAATGTTCTATAGAATAAAAGACACTAGGCAAAGCAGGATAGCTCACACCTGTAATCCCAGCATTTAGGGAAGTTGAGGCAGGCAGATTGTTTGAGTCCAGGAGTTCAAGATCAGCCTGGGCAATATACCATCTCTACAAAAACTAGCAAAAAATAGCTGGGCATAGTGGCATGTGACTATAGTCCCAGCTACTCAGGAGGCTAAGGTGAGAAGATAGATTGAGCCCAGGAGGTTGAGGCAGCAGCGAACTATGATGGCACCACTGCACTCCAGCCTGGATGACAGAGAGAGTCCCTGTCTCAAAAACAAACATACAAAGACACTAATTGCAAACCTAAAAGGCAAGTTACAGTGTAGAGGAAACATTGGCCACAGCTATACCAGGAAAAACAATCCCTGATACACGATTAAGGAAAATTCAACAACTAAGTAGGGAGAGGACATAAACAAGCAAATCAAAGAAGAGGAAGCACAGGCAACTGGGATCCATGAAAACATGCGTAATCTCAAGACACAAGACACATTTTTCACTCGTCAGTTTGGCAAAAACTGTGAATTATGAAAATGTTTAGGATTGGTGGGGTGTAAATAGGTGCAGCATTTCTGGAGGGCAATTCGTCCATAGCTACTAATGTCCCCAGTGTCTAGCAACATGGAAAAGTGTAAATAAATGATCCCTATTCGGCAGTTTAGAAATGAGGTCGTCCTATATGCATTAATATGGATTACATTGCTAAGTGGAAAAAGCATGTCACAGAAGCTTGAATCCATGGGACACTTTTCATGTCATCCATTTGTGTTAACTCACAGATGAAGCTCAAATTACACAAAAGTGAATTAAGCAGAAGCCCTCAGGAGGGACGTACACTGGAGGGTTGCCCTGTCATCTCCAGGGAGGGCCCCAGGCTTGGTAGCGGAGAGCAGGTGGCCTCACGAGGACTGCTACTGCATTTGAATGATCTCCCTGCTTTAATTGACAGAACAGGTGTGTGTATTGTGCATACAACGGATTCCTGTGCTGTCTTCTCAGGTCACAGAATCCCAGGGAGACATAAGGAAGAGGCGAGGACTCAAATGCTCTGCCAATCATTGGGAGTAACTTGTCCCTAGGGCAGAAGAAAGAGCTGCCCTCTTCTGTCCCTAAAAACATGTTTCTCTTCCTTAATAATATCACGGGGTGGGGGGGAGCAGGGAGAGAGAGACTGAGCAAGAGGGAGGCGCCGGAGTCCCTTTCTGATTCTGAGACAGTAATGCCCAGGTTTTGCACACCATGCTGTCCACTTTGCCAGCAGGACTGGGTGGCATGGCACTTCTGATAGAACGTCTGCTGTCTTTCTCCAGATTCCATTCTGTGCCCTTCTGCGAGGTCGAAGCTGGTGCTTCCTTGATCATACCAGCAGGTGTCAGCAGAATGTTCTGGACACCATCCCAGACGCTGGCTTCTTCCTCGTGGTCCTTCAGTGGTTTGTTGGAAACACTGAGGGCTGGGGTCGTCCAGTCAGGTTCCAGGTGAAAGTGTGCAGAATCACCTGCCGCCCGCCCAGCTCCTGACTCTGAAGTGCTGAGAGTGAACACAGCTTCAGAACAGATGAAAGGCACTGCTTCTCTCCCATCAACTCCACACACCCAGTGATAACAGAAAAGGGCAGTCCAGTCTTCTAGTCACCCTTCGATGTGATGGGGCAGCTGCAACCCAATTTTAGATGCTCCGAGAGGTTAAATCAATTCCCCAGGGCACACAGCCATAAACGGCAAAGACAGGACTTGAAGTCGAGACTGTGGTTCTGAATAGTGCCCTGTCTACACTACATGACCAAGAGGGCATTTCTGGAGGGCTTGAGGTTGCGTGTGTCAACCCCTGTGAATCGCAGGGTGACCAGGAGCAAAAGGCTTGCCACAGCTGAGACCCCCCAGGGTCTTGCTCTGGGCCTTCCCCTCCCTGGACCAGAGCAGCCCCATCTATGAAAAGATCATGCTGTACTCTAGGGTATCTGAGAGCCCCCGAGCACCACGGCTCCATGACTAAGAAACTCCAGAAAAAAACTGTGAAGTGCGGCTTCACTTCTCTGCATCTGGACTCAGGATGCGCCTCGTCCAGCCTGAGGACCCTGGACTTCATGCCTGGCAAAAGGCTGTGCCACTGAGGTTTCCTGAAATAACACTGCCCAATTCGGGGACATGCCCTACAGTCCTCTGGATCCAGGGAACACCTGTGAGCAACAGCCTCTGGGCTTGGACAGCCGATCCTGCCCCTCATGTGGACGGCTGGCCCACTCCCCCAAAGTCCCCGATCCTAGAGGGAGAGACAGAAATGGGGAGGTCTGGGTCTGTCCAGCAACCAGGATAGGCACCTCCTTCTTGATCCTGGAGACAGGCTCAGGGGGTGAGCACAGAGGGGACTTCCCAGGGTCGAGAAACTGCTTCCGGTGAGGTGAGAATGGATAGATCACCTGAGGTCCTGTGGTTACCCCACCCACCCGACCTGTGGTCCCCCTACCTCCTGTGGTGACTCCACCCCTTCCTGCATCCACCCAGCTCCTCCTGTGGACACACCACATCCTCCTGGGGACATCTCATCCGCTCCTGGGGACACCTTACCCCCTCCTGGGATCCTCTCACCCCCTCCTGGGGTCATCTCACCCCCTCCTGGGGACATCTCACCCCCTGTGGTCACCCACCCCCTCCTGGGGTCACGGTCTCCCCACCCCCTCCTAGGGTCATCTCACCCCCTCCTGGAAACATTTCACCCCCCTGTGGTCACCCACCCCCTCCTGGGAACATCTCATCTCCTCTGAACACCTCACCCCCTCCTGGGGTCACCCACCCCCTCCTTTGGCCCTCCTTGCCACTTTCACTGACCTCTCAAGCCCGCAGCCTCTGTGTGGTCCCCTGAGCACCCCGAATCCCTGTACCTATAGGTAGAGCTGGACTCCAGGGCACTCTGGCTTCATCCCCTGCTGGGCTCAGCCCTGAGATCCCCCCGGAGGACTGCAGCAACCCTGAGTTGCTGCTTGCCTGGCCCCACAGCTCTGTGGAGCCGCTCCTCTCCTCCTCACAGGGCTCTGAGGAGGGACCTAAAAGGCGAGTGGACAGCCAGCCATGGAGGGTGCCACTTGCTGGGAGTCCCTGCCATCCCTCCCGGCTATTGGGGGCCTGCCTCCCCTGTTGACAGCAGGCTGGGGATGGGATGAGCTTTGGCAAGGAGGTCTGAGTGGCCATGGCCTGGGCACCCCCAGGAAGAGCTGAGGGGCCGGATTTTGGGCTCCCTTCACTCCTCACCTCCCACAAGCCTTGCAGGTCCCATTTGTGGCTTCTGCATCCTAAGGCCCCGGCTGAGGGGACTCGCAGTAGACGGTCCATGTGGGTAAGAAATAGTCCTCTGGGTCACAGTCTCTGAGATCTGGGCCCCTTCATTACAGCAGCACGTCTTAGCCTGAGTGGGCTGGTGTCAGACACAGCGAGTGGCGGTAAGTGTGGGCCCCTCACCATCTCCCCTTCAGGGATGAAGAGGGCCTTGTGCCAGCAAAGTGAGTAAGAAAGAGCAGTCCCTCAAGAGGAGAGCAGGGAAGGGCAAGGGATGGCCGGGCCGAGGGCAGTGGCTGGGAGCCACCGAATGGAAAGGGGCGGGCAGTGGAGGGGGCGGTCATGAGGCTGGGAGCTGTGCCAGTGTCCAGCAGGCCGCACCCCTCCGCCTCCTCTCACCCCTCACAGGAAGGTGTTAATCCATACATCCGGAGACCCAGAGAAACCAAGTAACATTGCATTCCTGGCTGTGTTTCTTTTTTATTTTCTGTTTTGGGGATTTTGTTTTTGGAGTTTTTTTGAGACAGGATCTTGCTCTGTTACCCAGGCTGGAGTGCAGTGATATGAACATGGCTCACTGCAGCCTTGAACCCTGGCCTCAAGCAATCCTCTTGCCCTCAGCCTCTCAAATAGCTAGGACTACAGGAGCACATCAATACACCCAGCTAACTAGTATTTTGTGTACAGCTGGGTCTCACTGTGTTGCCCAGGCTGGTCTAGATCTCCTGGTGTCAAACAATCCTCCCACCTCAGCCTCCCGAAGTGCTAAGATTATAGGTGTGAGCCACCACGCCAGGCCTGTGTTTCAGTGCAAAATAATATCATTACATATCTTTCAAATCTCTCCAGAATGATGAACTTTTGCAGGTGCCTCATTTGATGAGGTCAAGGATCCCATCTTAGATATGCAGGCAGAGGCCATGCCAGCTAGTACAAGCCTAAGGCATGTAGAGGTAGACGGCATGGCCGAGGGATCATAGACTGGGTGCACTGGTCAGGAGTGGGTGAAGTAGGTAGAGCCTATGGGGGGGAGGGCGCAGCCACATAGAGAAGTCCTGTGTCCCCACTCCTGCCCCAGGCTCCTCCACAGGTGTCCCAGCAATGGGCAGGTTGGTAAGAGTCAGGCTGGGCTTTTTACGAGGAGAGGTAGAGACATCTTCGTGGCCTTACCCTGGAGGAGAGAGACCACCAGCTGGTGAGAGACTGTTGTGCTGGTACTGCTGGGGAAGCCTGCACTCCACCTAGCGTTAATGAGAATAGTGTCTCCTTGGAGGCACAGGGTAATCTCATGGGGGACAATTATCTCAACAAACGTGAAGCCCAGCCACAGAGATTTGAGTGGAAGGAACACAGATTTCTGCTCCTGTTAATTTCATGCTTGACTTAACCGTCCTTACGTGATTGTGGCACTGGTGACAGTGCACTGGAAACACTTCTTACTCTTCTTCCCCAGCCAAACCTTCTCTTTCTTTGTCCCAAAGATTTGAACTCTTGCTTTTGACTCAAGTTCCCTGTCTTAGAGATTCATGGGCATCATTGTGGGAACATGTTTATTTTGCCTCTCCTGGCTGGGTGTGGTGGCTCACACCTGTAATTCCAGCACTTTGGGAGGCTGAGGTGGGTAGATGGGTTGGGCCCAGGAGAAGACCAGCCTGGGCAACATGGTGAAACCCTATTTCTGCAAAAAATACAAAAAATTAGTTGAGTGGGTGGCACGCACCTGTAATCCCAGCCACTCGGAAGACTGAGGCAGGAGGATTACTTGAGCCAAGGAGGTTGAGGCTACATACAGTGAGCTGTGATCACGCCACTGCACTCCAGCCTGGGCGACAGAATGCAATCCTGTCTCAAAAACAAACAAACAAACAAAAAAAACCTATAATAGTAGGTGCTCAATAAACGTTTATGTTTTAAAAAGGAATATCATGATCATCCACACTTTTAGAATGATGAAATTGAGGCTTGGGAGAGTAGGATGTTTGCCCAAGGCCATTCAGTGCATAGGTGGCAGAACAGGAGTGGGAATTCAGATCCCTCAGACCCCAAAAGTTGAAATCTGCCTTTGCAGGTGGGAATAATTCCACCCCTCCTCAACAGCCACATTGGACTGAAGATGGGAGTTAGGGAAAGAGGCATTTGGGGAGGACATAAGTAAGAACTTGTCAGCAGGATGGGCTACATGGTTTTGAATAGACTGTGATTTAGGCTGCACATTGATCTAGGAGCTCTTGATTGCATTTCCAAAGGTGGTCACGTATGCTCTTTCCACGGTATGACCTGGATACACCTCCATCGAGAGGTGGAGTCCAAGTCCCCACCCCTTGACCTGGGTGGCCCTCAATAACTGCCTTAACTCATAGCGTATGGCTTCTGAGACACAAGGCCACACAGCTTTGTCGTGGGCCTCTCTTGGGGCAGGCGCCTTGGGATCAACTGCAGGTGTGAAGCCTGGCTGCCCTGAGGCCACCATGCTGGGGAGGCCACATGGAGACTCTGCCAGAGATAGTGATGCAAACACCCTCTGAGGCGGGAGGATCACTTGAACCCAGAAGTTCAAGACCAGCCTGGGTAACATAGAGAAACCTCATCTCTGCTAATAATAAATTAGTTGGGCATGGTGGTATGCGCCTGTAGTCTCAGCTACTGGGGAGGCTGAGATGGGAGGATCGCTTGAGCCTGAGAGACGGAGGCTGCAGTGCGCCGTGATCAAGACCCTGTCTCTAAAAACAAACAAAAAAATCCTTTAAAATACTCTCTCGACTCTATTTTTCTTGTGCCTCTTTTTGCTCCCATTTCCAGGAAAATATGCTCAAAAATTCATCTACTTTCATGGTCTATACTCACTCCCATCCCATCACTCTTGAATCTATTCCAAATCATTTCCTCAACCAAAACTGGTCTTGTAAGGCTTCAGTGGCCTCCATGACAGCCAATTCTTTTTTTTTTTTTTTTGAGACGGAGTTTCGCTGTTTTCACCTAGGCTGGAGTGCAGTGTTGCAATCTTGCCTCACTGAAACCTCTGCCTCCCATATTCGAGTGATTCTCTTGCCTCAGCCTCCCGAGTAGCTGGGGCTACAGGCATGCGCCACTACACCTGGCTAATTTTTGTATTTTTAGTAGAGACAGGGATTCACCACGTTGGCCAGGCTGGTCTCGAACTTCTGACCTCAGGTGATCCACCCACCTTGGCCTCCCAAAGTGCTGGGATTACAGGCGTGATCCCACAGCCTGTGGGATTACCCAGCCCACAGCAGCCAATTCTAGAAACTAATCCTTAGTTTTCTATGATGACGTAGCCTATCATGACCTATCTGTATGGGCTCACCCCTGCCTTCCTAAGCCCCTCCTTCCCCTATGTCCTCCTCCTCCACAGCCCCTCCTCGGCCTCCTAACCTGTCCCAGGACACCCCTGCCCTGTTCCCTCCCCTCAACCCCCTTTCCTGGTTCCCCCACCTCCCACTGGCGTGCCCAAGACTCAGTCCTCGGCTCCGTGCCTCCCTCTGCATCTACCTACTCTGTGATCTGTCCCTCTCTGGCACTGCAGACACAGTGTGGGTGCTATCAGGTCCAGACTCATACGTCCAACCTGGGCCTCGCTGGCTGGAACCAGAATCCCAGCCACCTTTGGGTGATGATCTGTGGCCGACTGCCACTGCTACTACTTGAGACTGTCACTACAACAATTACTACTGTTACTGCCTAAGACTGTCATTACAGTAGTTACTACTGTTACTGCTTGAGACTGTCATTACAAGACGAACGTAGAAATGATAAAAGACAAAAGTAACTATTTTAAGGAAAGGCTAGCATGGGGAAGAAGAAGAGAGAAGAGAAGAAAAGGGCTCTCTGCTTGTATTAAGCAAAGGCAGCCGTCTGAGCTTCTACAGCCCTTCGTATTTATTGGGTAACAACAGCAAGGAGGAGGAGGTAATGATTGGTCAGATGCTTAATTGATCACAGGTTCATATTGTTACTAACAAGCTTCAATTATGTCTAATCATAAGAAACATTTGTGCAGCTTCCAACATCTCCTCCTTTTTGTTTTTAAATTAATTGAGCAAGGCAATTGCAGGCTGTGCAGCCCTTAATTGCGAGTTGGTGATCCAGCTTCATTTTTCTTAGCCCTTATTCAAAATGGAGTTGCTCTGGTTTGAATGCTTCTTACATATTTCCCCCTTCCCTTTAACAAGAGGACCCTTAATCCTAAGGGTTGCAGAAAGATGAAGGTCTCTCTTCTGCAACTTCTTCATGCTGAACAGGGGCGAAAATATTCTTGCCTATTAGGTTCTCTTGTATTCAGGGTAGAGAGGAGCTCAGTCAGAAAGCATTGGTCCATTAAGGTACAATCGATGGATTGTACCTCTGAGTTCCAGCACAAGGTAAAACCCTGGCACTCCAGCAGTTTCTCAGCTTCCTGTGTGGTTTTCTTGATCTGTCCCCATGTCACGGGGGTTGGTGTCAGCGTGACTCTGGTTGGTCCTCGTTCTGTTTTCGCATTCAGATTCAACTGGCTCATTGCTCATACTGGGGGAACCAGGCCTGTAGTTGGAATCCATGGGTCCCTCCAGTCTCCCTTTCCATGGTTGCACACATCTTGACGGCACCCACATGGTTTGTTCATCTCCTGCAAAAACACAAGCATACCCTCGACCCCACATTAGTAAATCTGTAAAAGCAAAGGTTTTTGTGGCTGTAGCCAGGAGGCATGCCACTGCTGAAGCAATTGTAACTCAGCTTCTGCCTCTTTAGTCAATTGCCATGGGGTAAAACTTTCCACTGATAATGAAAGACAGGCTCTTTCTGATTAACAGAAGACACGGAAAAAGCAAATCGAGGCTTATCCTTCTCATAAACAATCCTCAAGATCTATTACCACAAGAGACCAGTCTCTTGCTCCTGTATCCATAAGCCCACAAAACTTATTTTCTTCAATGTACACTGCACAATTGGGTCTATGAGATGCTATGGGTTGTGATAGATAAATTTATCTCCTAATTATACCTCCCCAATCCCTGATCTCCTTACTTCTTACTTAGAGAAGGGTACAATTTACAGGAAATAAGCAACAACTGAGCAATACGCTCTCCTGGTTCAAAAACCCAAAGATCTTGTGACATTACCACTACCTGAATTTCTCCTTCACAATCAAAATCAACAACTCCTGGACCTCTAAGTTAAGATAGCTTTTACCAAAATCAGTCCCATGTATATTGTTGGCAAAGGTCCCCAAATACCAACGGGAATCTTAGTGAGTTTGTTTCTTTCAATTAACATAATTTTTTCTCTAGGAGAGCTAATCCTGCATTTCCAGGTGTTCCTGAGGAGAGGGAATCAATGTGCCTCTGGAAACCCACCCCTGAAACGGAGTTGTGGCCTGGACGGGGAATGCCCTCATAGTTTGAAGTGCCTGGGTCCAGGTCCCCTTTTCGCTTCCCGTGCCATTTTGATGAAATTTTGAGTGGCATTGATTAGCCCAATGATTTCCTTTATTGCAACGAGGGCAAAGTCCTCATGTTTTTTCTGTGGAGAGGGGAACCGTGTTTTAAGATCCCTTCTGCCCAGAGGTCTGGCGGTGTTCTTTTTTGAAACATCCAATTTTTCTACACTTGACATTGTGTAATTGACATTGTGGACCTCCCAAGTAGAAAGCAATTAAGCACCAGCGGTAGAACACAGGTTAGTCTTAAGACCACGTGATTAAGCAAGTTAGTTAGATAAACTCCCTACACTCCTTTGTTTCTACCCTAATTTATTTAACTAAAGGTAAAGGGACTAGGCTGCCTTCAGCCAGATTTATTACCGAAGTTATGCAAACTCTCAGGCCTTCCAAGAGGGTTTGTGGCTATTATAACTAAAATTTTTCCCACCAGCTTGACTGAACCCCCACATCTCTCCCTTTTTTGTTTTCTGCATCAGGTCTTTTGCATTGGAGACTGCAGATGTGTGCAGCAACAGGTTTGTCGGGCATGGCAGTCATTGCTCTTATTCCAGCTTTGCATCCTAGAATTAGCAAATAACATAAAACAATCATGAGTACAATTTGCAACATTCAGTTCCAGTCAGAGTGACCTCCAGGAGTGGGGGTCTAACCAGGAGAGATGATTTTGCACACCTTTCCATATGGCTGTTTGTTGGGTGTGTAGATCTATGGTGTGAGGGGATTCTAAAATTTTTGTTTTAAGTTGCTTTATGTCTGCTGTTAAATTGTCATGAAAGGTTCCCCAGAGGTGTTGTTTCACCTCATCTCAACTATGTATAGATTGATTCTATGGTAGAGAAGTGACACAGATATGTTTATGCTCCCAGTCACAGTTTAATTGCTGTCGGAATGCCAGTGCATCTTGTCGCTCCCCCACGTATTCTAAAGCTGCCTTGTGGGCTTGCAGACGTGCAAGAATTTTTTGATCTATACCTTGCTGTAAGACTTCATTAGACACATTTTTGGCCAGATTATCTACAAAGGCAGCTGTTTGTACTGACTCAGTAATAGATGCGAGAGCAACGCGAGCAGTTGCCAGGATGACTATGGCTGAGACTATAAAAGCCATAAGTGTAACTATGAATCTTTTGTGTCTGACGTGGGATAGGGTACGTTCTACATTCTAAGGTGACAAGGACAGAGGAACCTTGCCAATCATGAGTCAGATTGACTGGTAGGAATGCCTCAGATTGTCTCCTTAATATCACGACACTAGTAATTTTTAAATTAGATATATTGTGGTGATACATGAGGCAAACCAAGCCTGTCCCTGCACCCGGGTCACAAACGTGGAGTTTTGAGGTGTAATGGAAATGTTAGTTCCCATAAGGAAAACATATGGATGGGTAGAGCAAATCAGGCACTGATCAGTGTGATTATGAATAAAGGTTATGGTATAGTTGCGACTGGATTTATGACATGTCCCATGCCAGGTGTTAAGGGAGGTGCTAAGATGTCCCAGGTGCCATAAGTTTCACTGGGGTGGCATGGACTTTACTTAGGGTCTGGGATATCTCATCCCCCCATCAGCCCAAATTATAGGGGAACGAGACGTGGCTTTGAAACTGTGATTGATGCTGTGATGGATGAAGACATTAGTAAGGCTGCCCTACAATCGGCCATGGGGGCACCAGTCTAAGATGTTATAATTGCCTAACTGGAGGCTATGGGCTTGTCTCCTGTGACAGACCTCCCAGCTAAAGTGGAATCCATTACTTTCCTGGCTTTGTTCTTTAGCACAGGAAGGAATGTTTGGGAAAGCGGTGTTGATTGCATTGCCCAGTTTGAGGCTTCCTGCAGCTAAGAATGCTAAGGCATTTCCTTCACAGTGATGTAGCCATACTTGTTTTGGGGCAGGTACACAGTAAGGGTTAGAGCCTTTATAACTTACACACAGTGGGAGGATAGTGGAGTGATATGTAATGTTATCTGGCATCTTAGTCCAATGTGTGCCATTATTGCGGGACCTCACTGGCGGTAAATCTATTCCTCCTAACTAAGCAGTCACGTTATTATAGGCTGGGAAGGGAGCGTCTGCCCAGGTGACAGGGCAAAAGAAAGGTGGGTCTAAGATATGAGTCCAATACAGTGTAGTAGCAGGTACAGGTTGCAGACAAAGTGAGAGCATAAAAAGGATTAATACCCTATATGAGATGCAATGTACAACAGAAAGCATAGCAAGAAATAAATTATCTGGAGTAAATGGTGTTTGTGTCTGGAGCAGGATTCATTCAGCCTCCTGAATTGTCCTCTTCAGCATCCCCCAGGTAACATCCAGGACTCACGTCATCCGCGGAAGCCACATTGTCCAGGGCTGTGGGTCTTGCAGGGTTAACTCCTTTATTTCTGGTACCGGATTCGGTCCTAGCTACACCATGGTATGGTTTGATGCATCATGCTGGAATCCAAAGAGGACCTGAGGGGGTGTGGACACAAGCATACCCTCTTCCCCACGTTAATAATTCATTTGGACCACACCATTCATTACAGTTCACATCTTTCCATAAAACTGCTGGTTTTATGCCTTGAGAGGTTTTATCAAAGTGCTTTTCTACAGCTGATTGAATGAAATTTGTCATCTAAATTTTTAAAATTAAGGGTAAATAAGGCTTGTGCCAATAGTGTTGCAGGGTCTTTACCCATACTCCTCCTTTTTTGTTTTTTGAGCATATTTTTAACAGTGGAGTGGGCACATTCTACTATTGCTTGTCTTTGGGGATTATATGGGATGCCTGTGGAATGTTGGATATTCCACGTGTGACAAAATTGTTGAAATTGTGAGGTGGCATAAGCCGGACCATTATCAGTCTTAATTTTTGCGGGTTGTCTTATAAATGTAACAGTTAAAAGATGTTTAATGACGTATCGAGTGGACTCTCTAAGCAGAGCATGTGCACTAATTAAATGAGTGTTGGTATCAATGGATACACGCACATATCTTAGTTTTTTAAATTTAGGGATGTAGGTAACATCTGTTTGCTATAACTGATTAGGTTCTAGTTCTCTAGGGTTAACACCTGTTGAAGGAGGGGACATGCCTGTGAGCTGGCCATCTGGGCATTGTAGGATAATTTGTTTAGCCAGTCTCTGTGTAAGTTGAAATTGTTTAGATAAGTTTGTCCAATTTTGGTGGAAAAATTGATGTGATTGGGTGGCTTGGTCAAGCAGTGATGTCATAACCTGAAGGTCTGCTTGTTCATTGCCATAAGCCAATGGGCCAGGCAGTGAGCTGTGGGCTTGAATGTGTGTAATAAAAATAGTATGTATATGTTGATCTAGCAATTGCTGAAGTCAAAGAAAAAGAGCACACAGGGCTGGCTCCAGAGTAGACTTAATTAGTGCTGTCTCAAGGTTCTGTAGTAAATACACAGAGTAAGCAGAATTACTAACTATATTGATGGGCTGAGTTGAAAAAGTTTCTAAGGCCAGTATCAGAGCCCTAATCTCAGCTCTCTGCTAGCAAACAGATTGAGTGATTGAATTTGGTCTGTACTAGACTGCCACTTTTCTGTTTACTAGACCCATCAGTAAACAGTGTTAAAGCATCAGGTAGGGGGGAATGAACTATTTTTGTAGGTAAAATATTTACTAGACTTTTTGGGAATGACGAAAATGGGTGAATTTTAAGGGCTGTTAGAATATTATCCATAAAATGAATAATCTTGCAATCAGGAAATTTTTTTTCACTAGGGAGCAGAGCTTGATTTTAATTGCTCCTTAACTAACTCATGGGACTTTTGTAATTTCTCCCCCTTTAGAGGTTAGTTTTGCTTAAATTGGATTTGGAGAGTCACGCTAGGGGTAAGAGAAAGAGAACAGTGGCCATTATCAGAAAGAGGTTTTTCAAATCTTAAATTTTACTTAAATCTTAGCATAGAATTATACTTTGGGATGTCGCTCCTCTACAAGGAGCACTCGAAATTTTGCCGTGGGCCGCCTGCGGAGCTGGAGAGCTGAGGAGGCGGGTCCTGGGGCAGCGGCAGCGTTACCGCTTGCAAAGGCGCCCCTTTTTTCTGTGCTGATTTTCGCCTGTGAGACTTCCTCCCACGGGCGCCGCTGGCTAGTCAGACTTTCCCGCGTGCCTCCTGCCCCGCCCTAACAGGCTAACTTTTCCGCGCCGGGCCTGGCTCTTTGCTGCAGCTGCCGCCCTCGGTGCAGAGTTCCCGGGAGCACTTGCTGGCTTCGGTTTCGCGAACTTCCTGGCCGCGGAGCTTTCCCTTCTACTTAATGCTTGCTAGCTCGGCCGCACCGCTCCCCGCCCCCCGCCCCCGCCCCCGCCCCCGCCCCCGGGATCGGGCCTCTAATGCCTTTTCTTAACACCTTATGTAGCTGATTGCCTTGCCGATCTTGCATTACGGGCAGACTAAGGGCCCTCTTAATGCCGCTTGCCTAAGACAAGGTCCCATAGCTGGAGCATGTTTCTTGTCTTTTTTCCTACTTATTGGAGGAGGGGGCTCAGGTGAAACCTCCCTTTCCTCTTTGTTATTTTGCCCCGGTGATACTGGGGCTGAGGGAACACAAGGCGATAAGGTGGGTGACAGTTCCTCCTCTTTCCCCTTTTTAGGCTCTTGCATGTATAATGGAAGCAGGGCTGCTCTAATTAAAGCCCATAGCGTTAAAGCTGTTACTGGGACCTGTTTCCCTTGTGCATAATGTTGTTTAAGATTTCTCCCCACAGGCCGGGCGCGGTGGCTCACTCCTATAATCCCAGCACCTTGGGAGGCTGAGGTGGGCGGATCACCTGAGGTCGGGAGTTCGAGACCAGCCTGACCAATGTGGAGCAACCCCGTCTCTGCTAAAAATACAAAATTAGCTGGGCGTGGTGGCACATGCCTGTAATCCCAGCTACTCGGGAGGCTGACGCAGGAGAATCGCTTGAACGTGGGAGGCGGAGGTTGTGGTGAGCCGAGATTGTGCCATTGCACTTCAGCCTGGGCAACAAGAGTGAAACTCCATCTCAAATAAATAAATAAATAAATAAATAAATATTTCTCCCCACTTGTTCCCACAGCTTCATGTTTAGTGTGCCTTTTTCAGGGAACCATGGGCTTTGGGATTCAACAGTTTGCATTAAGTCCTTTAATTGAGCCTGCAAAACTGATGGTCTGCTAGCCTTTAGCAACTGTTTCAACACTTTTATATACTGTTTCTGTTGAGCTGATAACTGTTGTCCCATGATGAAATCTCAGCATGAACAATCTCCCCCGAACTTGGAAATCCCAAGTGGGCACCAATGACTTACTGATTACTCACTGACCACGTGTTTCCTTTTTCACCTTCCTTTCTCGGGTCCGTTCTGCTTCCTTCCCAGTGTTCATCACGTGGGGGCACCGGCTGTGGGGGTCTGTCCCGCAGACCCTGACCCAAGGATGGATGAATAAAGTACACTGATACACAGATACTCTGCTTTGCCAGTCCAGCTGAGCGTCTGGGCAGCTTACAGACTACATGCAAAGTGCCGCAAACAGTTGCCACTGCGGCCAGAACAGCTAGTGAGACTCGCATTTATTCAGTAAAGATTAATTGACAAAGGCTTGAGTCAACACCACTAGAGGGTAATTGACATTGCGGACCTCCCAAGTAGAAAGCAATTAAGCACCCTCAGTATAACAAAGGTTAGTCTTAAGACCACATGATTAAACAAGTTTGTTAGATAAACTCCCTACACTCCTTTGTTTCTACCCTAATTTATTTAACTAAAGGTAAGGGGACTAGGCTGCCTTCAGTCAGATTTATTACTGAAGTTATGCGAACTCTGAGGCCTTCCAAGAAGGTTTGTAGCTATTATAACTAAAATTTTTCCCACCAGCCTGACTGAACCACCACAACTGTCCACTACCATGACCAAGAGACACAGGCAGCTGATGGACATTTGAAACGTGGCTGGCCCAAATGGAAATGTGCTGGAGGGTAAAATACACACTGCATTTTGAATGCTTTGTAAGAAAAAAAAGGATGTGAAATTTCTGGTTAATAACTGTTATATGGCTGAGCGCAGTGGCTCACACCTGTAATCTCAGCACTTTGGGAGGCTGAGGTGGGAGGATCACTTGAGACCAGGGGTTTGAGACCAGTCTGGGCAACAAAGGGAGAGTCCATTTCTACAACAGCAACAAAAATATTAGCCAGGTATGGTGGCACATGCCTGTGATCCCAGCTACTCTGGAGGCTGAGGCAGAGGTTTGGGAGGGGTGGCCAGCTTGTATTCCCTTATTTGTCCCCGCCCACATCCTGCTGATGGTCCATTTTACAGAGTGCTGATTGGTCCATTTTACAGAGTGCTGATTAGTGCATTTACAATCTTTTAGCTAGACACAGAGCGCTGATTGGTGCGTTTTTACAGAGTGCTCATTGGTGCGTTTGCAATCCTCCTAGCTAGACAGAAAAGTTATCCAAGTACCTGCTGGACCCAGAAAGTCCAGCTGGCTTCACCTGTCACTAGGAAAGCTGAGTGTGCATATGGGCTCCACACGCTGCTGGACTCTGTGGCCCCTAGGCACTCTGGGGCCACACTAGGAGCCCCCAGACAGGGCCCTCTGCTCCTGGTTGAGGGCAGGGTGTCACCCCATTCCTCACCAGGAGGGCTGCATCTCTAGTGTAGCCTGCCAGCCTGCAGTGCCATCACCCTAGCTTATGGTGATGACGAGGCTGAGCCTCCTGAAAGGTCTGTCAAGGGGCAGCAGAACCCCCCGCAGACCCAGCTGCTGGGCCACGGAGCCTCCCCACTGGCCCTGCCAGCCATGCTGGGACTTCTCACCTGCGCCTGACCTGCTCCTGGGAGGGGGCTTCTTCACCTCCCTCCCGCATAAAATTCCGCCAGTTTTGGCCAGGCATGGTGGCTCACGCCTGTAATCCCAGTACTTTGGGAGGCCGAGGCGGGTGGATTACCTGAGGTTAGGAGTTCGAGACCAGCCTGGCCAATATGGTGAAACCCCATCTCTACTGAAAATACAAAATTAGCTGGGTGTGGTGGCACATGCCTGTAATCCCAGCCACTTGGGAGACTGAGGCAGGAGAATCGCTTGAACCTGGGAGGTGGAGGTTGCAGTGAGCAAATAATCATGCCATTGCACTCCAGCCTGGGCAATGAGAGTGAAACTCCATCTCAAAAAGAAAAGAAAAGAAACTGGGCCGGGCACAGTGGCTCATGCCTGTAATCCCAGCACTTTGGGAAGCCAAGGCGGGTGGATCACCTGAGGTTGGGAGTTCAAGACCAGCCTGTCCAACATGGAGAAACCTCATCTCTACTAAAAATACAAAATTAGCCGGGCGTGGTGACACATGCCTGTAATCCCAGCTACTCGGGAGGCTGAGGCAGGAGAATCACTTGAACCCAGGAGGCGGAGGTTGTAGTGAGCCGAGATAGCACCATTGCACTCCAGCCTGGGCAACAAGAGTGAAACTCTGTCTCAAAAAAAAAAAATTCATCCATTTTAGGTGTAAATCAATAATTTTTAGCTAATGCATGCAGTTGAGCAACGCTCACCACAATCCAGTTTTCAGACACTTCCATCAGCCCCTGACCCCATCGCGACACCACTTTCCGTCTCTGTGGATGTCCTTCTCTCAGCACTTGAGGCAAATGGAATCAGATCATATGTGGCCTTTTGCGTTTGGCTTCTCTCACTTAGCATGACCTTTTAAAGGGGTGTCCATGCTGTGGCATATTTTTTTAATTGCAACTGATTTCTTCCTCTCAGAGAAGGCAGCTGCACCCATTCCTGAACTTGCAAAAGAGGTGTTTTAATTTGGGGGGCAGAATGCCCCTCTTCCTGCAGCCCATTCTGAACCTGCCCTCCCCTGCCCTGGTCAGCACACCTCCCCTTGTGCACCTGGAGATCGTCATACTCTTCAGATCTGATTCTGGAGAGGAAAGGAAATATCAGCTCTGTGTCACTATTTTCAATGGAAAGACCATGAGACATCTGCTCCCCAGCCCAGTCCCTTGTCCTGCACTGACATCTCCAGGTGTGGCCCTGGGCATCTGCGTGTTTAAAATGCCCATGGTGGACAGAGTTGACAATGGAAACTCTGCTTTCTGCTTAACTCTTACATTCCCTCTTATTTTTTCAATTGAGAACTAATCTTTGATTTAGAAATTATGACATTCCCAAGTTCTACTCCAATCTTTTTTTCGTATTTATGTGTCACATGTGGCTTATTTAATAATTCTTTGGCAATTGTACATCTCAGTCTCACAATTGGCCTGATGGATTAACATTTTGTTTACTCAAATAATTGTGCTTGGATGATAAATTAGCCTGTTAACACTTCTTTCTTAGCAATATGCTCACTGACAATAGGCTTCTTTCACATGGCTGTGTGCTCACTGCATGGATGGGATGGAATCCAAAGGTCCCATCCTCCCGACCCAAGCAGCGCACGTGGTTTCCCAGTAATCTCTGTGACGCAAAACCTGAGAGAGGGAACGGCCCACAACATGCAGTGTCCTGAGTGGACACTTTTCCAATTCTGTTTTGCCCTGTTTTGGTCAAGGAGTGTGTTTGCGCATGCATAGAAAGAGGGAGAATGTGTGATACACACACGTATGCTATTTAGGTACTGACACCAAGGGTATTAAACACATATTAACTATAGAAAAGCTGATGTTTGGAGCTCATCTTTCTGCCTCTCATGCTGCCTCTAGGAATCCCCTAGGGTACGGAGG
Source organism: Homo sapiens (assembly GCF_000001405.40). Taxonomy (NCBI): domain Eukaryota; kingdom Metazoa; phylum Chordata; class Mammalia; order Primates; family Hominidae; genus Homo; species Homo sapiens. Next base: position 43,309,458 of record NC_000010.11, read on the forward strand.
TGGAAACAAACACTTTCCTGCTGTGGGAACAACCACGGTGTTGAGTCTGTCCCACCTCCTTTCCTAAAGCCAGCCTGGGCATGCCCACAGGGGCAGGGGTCCCCGATGAAGGGGGAGCCTCATGGTATGCCAGAGCAAAACGCAGGAGACAGCTGTTTCATTTGGTAGGTGTTCTCCATACATGATTACAACACCTGCAAACTGCGGCTAACTATGGCACAGTGATGTGCACATCTGATCCCGTGCTTGATTTTAAACGGAATGCTCCTAAAGTCTTAAATGTGGCAGTTGCAGGTCTTGGTAGATAACCTTTAACAAGAAAAGGAAGTTCCCTTATAAATGTAGTTTGCAAAGAGGTTTTGTCTCTTTGTTTTTCTTTCATGCATCCACCAGATAGATCATGCTTTGAGGGCTTTTTTGTGGTACTTTAAAAGCACTGTACTCTGGTTTTTTGGGTTTTTTTGTAGGTTTTTTTGAGACAGAGCCTTGCTCTGTCACCCAGGCTGGAGTGCAGTGGCACGATCTTGGCTCACTGCCACCTCCACCTCCTGGGTTCAAGCGATTCTCGTGCCTCAGCCACCTGAGTAGCTGGGATTACAGGCATGAGCCATCATACCCCACTAATTTTTATATTTTCAGTAGAGACAGGGTTTTGCCATGTTGGCCGGGCTGGTCTCGAACTCTTGACCTCAAGTGATCCGCCTGCCTCAGCCTCCCAAAGTGCTGGGATTACAGGTGTGAGCCACTGCGCCCAGCAGCAATGCACTATGTTTATTTTTATGGCGGTTGTCCTTAAGATCCACACTTACATTTATTTACTTGTATTTGTTTCATAAATTTAACAGTTGTCTATTTCTTTTCTGCCACAAAAAGAATTTTACAAATTCTCAAGCCCCTCCCTTTGTCTCTCACCCCTGTATGTGCTCTGCCTCACTGGGAAGGTTTCATGTATACTTACGATGAGCAGGCTCACAGTGCTGTCTCTTAGCCTGGGTATTATGTAAAGAGACACCCATTCCTCTGAGAATGAAGAAAGAGAATTTCAGTATTTTGGTTTTTTCTTTTCTTTTTTTTTTTGAGACAGAGTCTCACTCTGTCACACACGCTGGAGTGCAGTGGCGTGATCTTGGCTCACTGCAACCTCCATCTCCCAAGTTCAAGCAATTCTCCTGCCTCAGCCTCCTGAGTAGCTGGAATTATAGGCACCTGCCACCGCCCCTGGCCTTTTTTTTTGAGAATGGGTCTCGCTCTGATGCCCAGGCTGGAGTCCAGTGGTGCGATCTCAACTCGCTGTAACCTCTCCCTCCTGGGCTCAAGTGCCCAGGAGGGGCTCAAGGCTGAGGTCCCTCAGCCTCCCAAGTAGCCGGGACCAGAGGCATGCACCACCATGCTTGGCTAATTTTTCAATATTTTTGTAGAGATGGGGTCTCACTATATTGCCCAGGCTGATCTTGAACTCCTGGGCTCAGGCAATCCTCTCGCCTCAGCCTCCCAAGGTGCTGGGATCACAGGCTGAGCCCTCGCCAGGCCTAAATGCACATTTCTAGCTCTGAGCTGTCTGTTGATGGCCTTTGCCAATTCCTTCTCATTTTCCTTTTTAGTGTCTGTTACGTAATACTTGTTGATTGTAGAAATTAGAAAAAACAAAGAAACTAAAAGGTAGAAAAAAGTGTCAGTCGCCTAAATTCCCAACATAGAGCCACATTACATGTTTCACTCTGTGGCGTTTCAGGTTTCTCTCAGATGTTCACCACATAGACCTGATGTGGAAATTGCCACACTGTAAATGGTGATGCTACATGTTCAGACATTGAGATGACCTCATAAATTTCCTTCAGGTATTAACTTTAGGAAATGCTCCTTACATAAACCCCAGTGCTCCAATGTTGACATGGAAAGAGACATTCAGAGTAGAGGAACAGCTTTCATTGAAATCTTGATTTTGTTCTCAAATTACCCTTAGGGATGACATGATCCCTTCCAAACCAGCACAGACACGACTACAGTCCATTCTCCTCTGCTGGATGTAGTTTCAGGATTTTCCCATCTTTATTTCTTTTTAATATTTGAGAAGCATAAAGATTTGCTTATGAGCTCTTAGATTATTTAAAATTATTTGTTGTGTTAACAGACACCGGAAAGGATAAGAAAAAATAAATTTTAATTCCTCCAAACGGTTTTATATTAGGCAATTATTTTTTACTTCTTTAATTTGCTTACATCATACATAGAAAAACAATCATAGAACTCATCTGAAATACCTACTGTCAACGGGGCGCAGTGGCTCATACCTGTAATCCCAGCACTTTGGGAGGCAGAGGTGGGAGGATCACTTGAGGCCAGGGGTTTGAGACCAGCCTGGACAACATAGTGAGACCTGGTCTCTACAAAAAATACAAAAATTTGCCAGGTGTGGTGGCTTGCACCTGTGGTCCCAGCTACTCCTGCTTGGGAGCTGAGGTGGGAGAATCACTTGAGTTCGAGGCTGCAGTGAGCTATGATCCCGCCACTGCACTTCTGCCTGAGTGACACAGCAAAACTCTGTCTCTAAAATGGAAAAAGAAATATCACTATTGGCTGGGCGCGGTGGCTCAAGCCTGTAATCCCAGCACTTTGGGAGGCTGAGGTGGGAGAATCACCTGAGTTCAGGAGTTCAAGACCAGCCTGGCCAACATTGTGAAACCAAGTTTCTAAATACAAAATTTGGCTGGGCATGGGCCTGGCGCAGTGGCTCACGCCTGTAATCCCAGCACTCTGGGAGGCCGAGGCGTGTGGATCATGAGGTCAGGAGATTGAGACCATCCTGGCTAACACAGTGAAACCCTGTCTCTACCAAAAATACAAAAAAAAATTAGCCGGACGTGGTTGTGGGCGCCTGTAGTCCCAGCTACTCGGGAGGCTGAGGCAGGAGAAAGGCGTGAACCCGGGAGGCGGAGCTTGCAGCGAGCCAAGATCGCGCCACTGCACTCCAGCCTGGGAGACAAAGCAAGACTACGTCTCAAAAAAAAAAAAAAATGAGCTGGGCATGGTGGTGGGCACCTGTAATCCCAGCTACTGGGGAGGCTGAGGCAGAAGAATTGCTTGAACCTGGGAGGCAGAGGTTGCAGGGAGCCAAGATTGTGCCACTGCACTCCAACCTGGATGATAGAGCGAGACTGTCTCAAAAAAAGAAAGAAAGAAAGAAAGATCTACTGCTGTTTATTTTTGTTTCCTTCTTTCTCTTCCTTTTATTCCCTTTTTCTTCTTTCTTTCTCATTGCCCCTCCCTCTCTCCCCTGTTCTCCTTCTTTCTCTGTAGGATGGACCCGAGAGGGCAGACGCTCCTCCGCCGCATGGTGGCAGAAGGGCAGGGCCGAGATGTCTGGGAGACTATGAAGTCTGGTTTAGGGTCTTTCAATGTGGGGCTGGTTAGGATTAGGGTAAGGGTCACAACACAGCAATTTAGAAGTGGCAAACACAGCAAGGTGAGGGTTCAGAGAGCCCTAGGAGTAAACTTGTTTCTGCTTTCTACCGAAGAGTTGATGGGCCTTTCTGGAAGTTGCTGGAATGAATGATGAAGTTGTCTCCTAGAAAGCAGGACTGTTCTGGGAAGGCAGCCCCAAAGCTATGGCCACTGGTGCGGATGCTAAGCCGTGGGCTCGGCCTTGGCGCCCCCCGTGGTCAGAGGACACCGCCAGTGAGGGGACGATCCATGCAGTTCCCCACAGCTGAGTGCCATCCAGGATGGGTGTTTCAGCCCCCGTGCAGTTCCCCTGCTTCCCTTGCTGGATGATCATTTTGGGATCATTTGCAGGGCAGCACCTGCACAGCAGCATTTTGACTCAAACACTGAGCCAGGCGCGGTGGCTTACGCCTGTAATCCCAGAACTTTGGGAGGTCGAGGCAGGCAGATCACTTGAGGTCAGGAGTTCGAGACCAGCCTGGCCAACATGGTGAAAGTCCACCTCTACTAAAATACAAACATTAGCCAGGCATGGTGACGCACACCTATACTCCCAGCTATTCAGGAGGCTGAGGCACGAGATGAAAATCACTTGAACCTGGGAGGTGGAGGTTGCAGTGAGCCGAGATTGAGTCACAGCACTCCAGCCTGGATGACAGAGCGAGACTCTCTCTCAAAAAAAAAAAAAAAAAAATCAAACACTGGGCTGGGCATGGTGTCTCACGCCTATAATCCCAGTGCTTTGGGAGGCTGAGCTGGAGGCCAGAAGTTCCAGACCAGCCTGGGCAACACAGCAAGAACCTGTCTCTTCAAAAAACTTATGCACAACTCTAGCTCACTGCAACCTCAAACTCCTGGATTCAAGTGACCCTCCCACCTCAGCCTCCTGAGTAGCTTGGACTACAGGGATGCCACCACCCCAGCTCATCTGCAGCATCCCAGTCATCAGGTAGGTCTAAAGCAAAAGAAAGCGATAGGGTCCTGTAAGGCCTGTGAGAGTGAGGCTGCCTGCACCTGGGCTCCACCAGCTCCCTGCCACCTTCTAGGCTCTAGCTCAGTGACAGCCCAGTGCAAAGAGCAGCTCCTGCCAGAGCCCCGGCACTGTTAGGAACATCAAGACAGAAAGGCTTCCATTTCAGATGCCTGGCCTGTTGTGGTTTCTGCTCCAAAAAAAATCACCTAATGGTTGAGTCCAGTTGCCCAGGAACAAGAGATTGCAATGAAGCGAACCTGGGTGAGTTCCAAAGAAAACTGAACAAGGGACAGGCGCTCTGGCCAGCATGCTTCCCCGCGTCTGCCACTTTGAGGGTAAATCACACGCAGGACCAGCCCCAGACCACGCTGTCTTGGCTATCCCAGGACCACAGCGGGCACAGACCTGGCCCTTCACTGACAGCACCCCCACCCCGACCCACAGCAGTGCCCCTCACGGAGCCTTGAAGCTATGGTAGGGGGCATTCAGTGATTCATGCAGGTCCGTAAGTGAGCCCCAGAAGACCATGGGGCCCTGGCCTGCCTCCCACACCCTCGTCCCCAGCCCAGGCCTGAGGCTCCCCACAGATGCTGCCCCTTTGGGAATGGGAGCAAAATGGGACCCAGAAAGAGTCTGTCTCAGGCCTTCCAGAGCAGGATGGGTCTCCTCCAATAGGTGCCTCTTAACCCACCAGGGGTCATGGACCCTTGGAGAGCTGAACAAATTGGCTGTCTCAGAAAATGCACTTTGTCACCTACACACACAATTCTGAATACACCTATCCTGCACACCAGCATGAACGCGATTTCACAAACCAGGCTCCATGGGCCTCAAGTACGGACTGGTCCTCGAGGTAGACTTGCTTCTGAGGACTGTTAATGGGCCCCTCAGACCCTAGAGGAGGCAGCGCAGATCAGACCTGGTGCCTCCCACGATCAGACTGGCGGCCGGCGGCCTGGCAACTGGTGGGGAGGAGGTTTTTACTCAGCCACGAGCTGCTGGCCAGGTCCAATGGGGAGACAGTCAGGGGCTTGGACATGGAATCAGTTCACTGTCAGACAGCCCAGGTCCCGGTGATGAGGATATCTACTCATCATGATGACAACACTCAGGGCAGCTGGGCCACGTGCTGGACAGCCCAGCTTTCAGCAGGGGTTAGGCCGATGGTGCACAGGACAGGCTCAGCCTGGGGAAAGGATGTCCCTGCCATTTTGCTAGCCTGGAAGTGCTCTGGAAGGAGGACAGAAAACCTGCCTTAGCCAGGGCATCCCAGGGCATTGAGACAACAGGAGGACAGGCGTGCGCACCTCCGGGAGCAGGCGGGAGGGGGGCTGAGGAGGGGCTGGGGGCTCTGGGCCAGGGAGGCAGGGGATGGCCTGGGGCTGGAGGTGTCTCAGGACAGAAGAAGCTGGGCTTCACTGGCAGCTGCACTGGCCCTGAGTACTCCTCACCTCCTGCCCTGCCGATCGTCAGCCAAGCGTTCTGGAAAGAACAGCGTGAAAGCAGAGCCAGCCAGAGAAAGCCAAGGAGAGTTCATGGAAACAGCAAGAACGGCATGGTGTCGGAAGGCAGGACCACCTCTGTGACCTCGGGGGCAGTGCTGCCCTCTGCGAGGCAGATAGGGATGAGCCTGCGTCTGCTGCCCACCCAGCAGCGCCTGAGCTAAACCCCCTGCGCCACCATGAACAAACATCTGGCATCAACTCACTCGCTGCCCCCACCCCCCCTCAATCTGCTTTGGTAGAGAAGAGCCTGGGTTCAGGCTGAGCACTGGCTATGCTGACCCTCCCCGTCACCTGGGGAGACCGGCGGAGGTGGCAGCATGAGGAAGTGGACCCCAGAGAGCACAAGTGACAGAAGTCCCGGGAGCCAGAGGGTGGGGCTGGACTTTGACTCACAGCGCCTGATTTCAGATGCTGGGTTGGCCACACGCTAGCTGTGCAATCTTGGACAAGTGACTCCACGTCCCTGGGCTTCCTCTCACTTTTTCAAAACTGGTGGTTGTAGGCATTGAATGAGTTAAAGTACCAAGTGCTCAGAACTAGGACAAGCACAAGGAGTTATCCAGGGCTGGTTCTCCTGACAGAGAATGTCCTCGCTGCAGAGGTTGTGAGAGAACTTCATTAACCTTTGGGGATCCCGCGTCCTCACAGCTCCATCCTGAGGCCGCCTGGGATGCTGGTGCTGCGCCTTTGTCAGGCCCCAGCAGGAGGGCCATAATGAACTACAAGTCCTCAGACCCGGATCCCTTTGGTAGAACTGCTAGGATGAATGCTGCCCACACTGGAGTGTGCAGCAGATTGCCCTGGAGAGTGTTAAAATAACATAAAACAAAACTATTCTTGAAAAAATTACATTTACACTAAAGTGGTCCATCCCCTGGAGGCCAGGGGAGGCCCCTCTTCAGGCCCAGATTCTATTCTAGGACCATAATATTTCCATGAAAAGGAGAAAAAGTGCTGCCTCAGAGACCCACCCCCCACCAGGGGAAGCCTGGGCCTGGGACCCCTTCAGTAGGGGTCTGAAGCCCAGGTCTTCCTGGAGATGCTTTTACACTGTTTGGTCTTTGAAATATTTCCATTTTGAGATGTTCTTCTCTGAAAACTCCTCCTCATTCAGAGCCTGCCTACAGCCGGCCCTGGAGCATGGAGGTCACAGTCTGACTTGGTACAGGGACACCACCTGGGTTTCGGATGAGTGGACAGTTTTCTGTCATTTTTCCCTGCACTTCTTGTCTCCTCTTCTTGTTTAGATGATTTTTTGCTTATTCCTTTCTATTTCTGCAGTTCTTGTTTTCTCTTTTCTTTTTTTTTTTTTTCCAAGATAGGGTTTTGCTTTGTCACCCAGGCTGGAGTGCAGTGAAGCAATCAGCTCACTGCAGCCTCCACCTCCCTGGCTCAAGCGATCCTCCCACCTCAGCCTCCTGCGTAGCTGGGACCACAGGTGCACACCACCACACCTGTCTAATTTGTTTGTTTGAGTTTTTTTTGGTAGAGATGGGGTCTCACCATGTTGCCCAGGTGGGTCTGGAACTGCTGGGCTCAAGCGATTCTCCAGCCTCAGCCTCCCAAAGTGCTGGGATTACAGGCGTGAGCCACCGTGCCTGGCCTGGCTAATCCTTTTCTTTTCTTTCTTCCTTTCTGTGGATCGAAGGCCTTCTCTGCCACTCACCACAGCACTGTGCTTCCTGCCTTCCCTGCCCTGGGAGCCTCTGCAGGCCAGAGCCCCAGCAAGTGCAGCCTTGTGGCTGTACACCTGAACTGCCTTCCTTCCCTGTGGCTGGAACTTCCTCCCAGATTGTCGCTGTGCACCTGGCCTGGCTTCCAGAGGCCTTGGGTGATTCCCTGGGTGAGGCCCATTCCTAGCCTTGCAGGTTTTCAGAAGGTAACTTTGCTGCTTTGGCCAGAAGGCCGCAATGTGGCAGTATTCAGCAACGTGGCATTTCTGTGCAGAGTTTTAAACTTTGGTTCAGTTCGTTGCTGATTCATTTGATGTCTTAAGGAGCATGGAGCTCCAAGAATAAAATGGTAATAAGTGAGGACTTCCAGTTCTGATTCTGCACGTAAGGAGCTTGGAAGATATCTTTCAGTAGATATCTGGCACTAGGTTCCCTGCAGCCTACTCCCAAGGAAATCATTTCCGAGCTGGGCTTTTCCAACCTCGAGTTTGGCCAGGCCGCATCCCCTCTCCCCAGCAGCCCTGCCGCCTCCCTGCACTCTCATGCATGCCTCTGGTTTGCAGTGATGGCTGCTCCCTCCGCCAATGTCACCTGCTGTTCATGCAGCACGTGGCCGCACCTTCTGGTCAGTGCTCTGACTCACCTGCCTGTCAGTTATTCTTCTGTGGGCCAGGTCTTCAGGATGATCCTTTGCTGGTTCCTTGTCCCTAAGTTATCTCCAAAGGTGAGTTTTTCCCAAACCAGGTTTTTGCAGGACGTTTGTGCTGGGGGGATCAAGGGCTGTGTTCTAGGCTTGTGCAGGCTTTGTTACAATCCAGTTTGGTGTGTCATCATTTTCCTCATTTTAAAGGAATAAATGAGGCTGGGTGTAGTGGCTCAAGCCTGTAATCCCAGCACTTTTGGAGGCTGAGGTGGGAGGATCGCTTGGGCTCAAGAAGTCAAGGCTGCAGAGAGTTGGGATGGTACCACTGCACTCCAGCCTGGATGATAGAGTGAGACCCTGTCTCAAAGAGAAAAAAAAACGAATAAACAAGATATCATGTGTGAGAGAGGTTATAAAGGTAAGGTATAAATAATAAATAGAAAGACTCCGCATAGAAAGCAGGACATGCCATGTCCTCAGGTGGCCTCTGTGTGCTTGAGCCTGAGTCAGCCTCTCAAGGGTGCGACCGCTGGCCTTGGAGGTGAGCGCATCCCCTGACCCACCCCAGGCTCCACTCTTGTCCTTGGTGTGAATTGTTTCCTTGCTGCTTGTTGTGGTTTTATTTTGTGTTGTGCCCTGAAAGAACACACCAGGGGGTTTCATGTGCCCTCCCCTTCCTCTGTGCCTGGTCTTGTCCCTGCCTCACCCTCGGCCAAGGGGCCAGCCTCTGCAGACCTGCCTTTGTGATGTCATCTTCCCTATGATCAGACACTAAACTCAGGAAGGCACCAAGACTGGCGGCATGGCTTTACACCCAAACCATCTTGGTGCTTCATGACAGCCAGATCCCTCACCTCACTGCCCGAGATGGCAGCCACATGAGACAGGCCCTGGAAATAACAGGTACCGTGATGTCCTTGACCTTTAATTAGCTCCACATTTTCTATTTGCTACTCACCGAAGAGCTGACCTGCTGACCTGTTTATGCAGCCCACAGGGCGGAAAAAGTTCTAAAATCTAAAAGTGAAGCTCAGAGGCTAATTTTGTATATGCAAAATGTACAAGATATGAATAAAGTGTTATATTAATAAAATGCCCTAGAACTCGTACTCTTTCCAGAGGGAATGGGAAGGCCTGGGGCCGCATCCATGTCCTGGCTGTGCTGTGCTGCGTGCCCCTGGGGAAATCCCTACCAAATCACTCTGGGTCGAACCTCATGAGGGGTTACTTCTCCTCTCGACTCTTCTGTTGCCAGCTAGTGTCATTATTTAATCAGGCTGTCAGGTCATCTCGGGATAGATGGTTTCTGCTTTTCTGCCATGCTTGCCTGGAGACTCAGTTTAAGCTAAAAGCTAGAAACTGTATCTCCAACAGAGGACTGTCTCAAAGCCAGGGTGGAAAGAGCCGGATTGGACACTCAGCAAATGACACCATGAGGACATGGCTGGTGGTGCAGGCATCTTCGCACCAGACAACGTTACATGTGAGACTGCGCCCAGGAGCCGAGTGAGGTTTCTAGGACTCTCAGGAGGGAGCAGAAGGAAGCAACTCCCCATGACTCCATGGCTGGCTGGGGCACAAGCTCACATTCGGGAAGCCACAGAGGGGAGCGTCTTGTCACTTTGTGCCTTAGCACTGCGGTGCCCTCAGTGTGGGGTGAGCAAAATCACACCTTTTCTAGGAATAGGCCCTTACACTGACTGACAGACTCCACAGATAAACAGTGATGTGGCTTCCCCCGCTCATGGGAAGTGCATGGTGAAGAAGAGAATGCACTGAGTGAGTAATGTCCGAGCGTGCCTGCTGCCCCAGCCTCCTACCCCACAGGGGAGATGCCTGGGGTCCGGCTCGGGACGCACGGCAGTCCAGCTTCCCTAGGGACACCCCTGCCTGCTCGTCCTCTGCTTCAGGCCTGATCATCATCGCCAAGGAGAAACCTCATGTTTTTAAGAAGTCCCTGTGGTGGTCAGCCAAGGGACTGCTTCTTTGCTCACAGCAAGGCAGGATGCTGAGGAGGAGTTTGAGAGCCAGGCTGAAAACAGTGAGGTGGATGCAGGAGCCAGCTGGGATCCTGGCCAAGGGGGTGGAGAGAGAGTCGCAAGCTGGCTGTGGCTTCTCTGCATTTCCAATTTGCCTTTCTATAGAATAATGATAAGAGAGCCTCCCCACTGGTGGGTCATGTATTTTCAATGAGTTAATATGTGCAAAGGGACGGGCATGGAGGTCAGAACTTCAAGACCAGCCTGACCAACATGGTGAAAACCCGTCTCTACTAAAAATACAAAAATTAGCTGGGTGTGGTGGCACAAGCCTGTAATCCCTGCTATTCAGGAGGCTGAGGCAGGAGAATCACTTGAACCCGGGAGATGGAGGTTGCAGTAAGCCGAGATCACGCCACTGCACTCCAGCCTGGGCGACAGAGTGAGACTCCGTCTCAAACAAAAAAAAAAAATTGCAAAGAGCATCAAACAGTGCAGCGTCATGAGTGAGCTCATGCTCTGGCCCCTTATTTTCATTTAGTGCCACTGGAGACCTTGAGGAAGGGGGTCCCTTTGAAATTTGGTGACCAACATCCATCCATCTCAGCTCTGTCCTGGAGGTCAGCTAAGATCATGGGTAAGTGCTTTGCCAAGACCACTCGCTACAATGTGTCTCTGGAACAACATCCCCTTATTGCCGCAGTGCAGTTCCAAGCTCCTGCTGGAGCCGGTGCCTGTCTGGACACCTCCCCACCACCCCTACTGGAGAACCTAACATTCCTGCCTCCGTTTTTGCCTGCAGTTCTTCAACATAGAATCTCTGCTCCCAGGAGCAGGGTGGTTTTTGTTTTTGTTTTTGTTTTTTTTGCAGGGGGGTTGGGTGCGTATCAGTTGTCAGGCCTCTGAGCCCAAGCTAAGCCGTCATATCCCCTGTGACCTGCACGTATACATCCAGATGGCCTGAAGCAACTGAAGATCCACAAAAGAAGTGAAAATAGCCTTAACTGATGACATTCCACCATTGTAATTTGTTTCTGCCCCACCCTAACTGATCAATGTACTTTGTAATCTCCCCCACCCTTAAGAAGGTTCTTTATAATCTCCCCCACCCTTAAGAAGGTTCTTTGTAATTCTCCCCACCCTTGAGAACGTACTTTTCGAGATCCACCCCCTGCCCACAAAACATTGCTTCTAACTCCACTGCCTATCCCCAAACTTATAAGAACTAATGATAATCCCACCACCCTTTGCTGACTCTTTTCAGACTCAGCCCGCCTGCACACAGGTGAAATAAACAGCCTTGTTGCTCACACAAAGCCTGTTTGGTGGTCTCTTCACACGGACACATGAGACATCAGTAATTCTATTTCGAACATGCTCAATTTGAAATGGGCATTAGATATCTGATATGGTTTGGATCTGTGTCGCCACCCAAATCTCCTGTTCAATTGTAATCCCCAGTGTTGGAGGTGGGGCCTGGCGGGAGGTAATTTGATCATGGGGGCGGAGTTCTCATGAATGGGTCAGCACCATCCCCTCGGCACTGTTCTCCTCTTAGTGAGTGAGTTCGGGAGGGATCCGACTGTTTGAAAGTGTGGGGCATCTCCCCATTCCCTGTCTTGCTCCTGGTCCTGCCATGTGAGACACCTGCTCCCGCTCTGCCTTCTGCCATGAGTGAAAGCTCCCTGAGGCCTCCCCAGAAGCAGATGCTGCCATGCTTCCTGTACAGCCTGCAGAACTGTGAGCCAATTAAACCTCTTTTGTTTATAAATTACCCAGTCTCAGGCCTTTCTTCAGCAGTGTGAGAACGGACTAATACAGCATCCAAGCATGATGTGTGTGAGGCAGTTGGCTGCTTGAGCCTGTGTCTATAAAAACAAGCTGGAGACAGTGGCTTGGGGAGTCAGCATGCAGATGAAATTTAAAAATCATGGCTCGATACCTTCATTTAAGGAGGGTGAAGAGATCAAAAGAAGGGTCCAAGGCTGGATGGAGGCTGCACCACTGCCACCACAAAGGTGAGAAAGTGAGACCCAGGGAGGCCCCCTGAGAAAGGCTGAAGACCAGGGAATGCTGTCTCAAGCCAAGTGAGGAAAGGCCTTCAAAGAGATGGTGAGGTCCACCGGAAGGCTGGGCAGGGTATGGGAGGGAGATGGCTGACCTGGAGATTCGGAGAGGGTGCAGTGACTGGTAATACTGAGGTCTAGAGTCTCATGGGTGTTCACAGTGGGACAGAGGTGTTATCATAAGGATGGCATATTATAAAGGATGCTTCCAGGTTCAAGTACAGGAAATCCTGGCCAAAGTGGCTTAAACAACAGGGTGTTGGCCAGGCATGGTGGCTCATGCCTGTAATCCCAGCACTTTGGGAGGCCAAGGCGGGCAGATCAGCTGAGGTCAGGAGTTCAAGACCAGTCTGGCCAACGCGGCAAAACCCCATCTCTACTAAAAAATACAAAAATTAGCTGGGCTTGGTGGCACGCACCTGTAATCCCAGCTACTTAGGAAGCTGAGGCAGGAGAATGATTTGAACCCGGGAGGCAAAAGTTGCAGTGAGCCGAGATCGCACCATTGCACTCCAGCCTGGACGACAGAGCAAAACTCCGTATCAAAAAAAAAAAGAAATAAATGAAGAAAAAGAAAGAAAGAGAGAGGGAGGGAGGGAAGGAAGGAAAGGAAGGAAAGGAAAGAAAGGAAAAAAAGGAAGAAAGTCATGGATGCCTCCGCAGCTCCCCACGTCATTTACCAAGGCCACTTGCCCATACCACAGACAGAGAGTCCTTGGTTTCTGGTCCTGCCAGTCAGAATTGGGCGGAACTGCCAAGTTGGCCCAACCCTACTCCAATCCCTGACAAAGGGAGCGGCCTTCAGGAGGCTCGGCTCTCTGTGCACTTTGCTCAAGATACCTGAAGAATGATTACTTTGAGGAAGAAAGGAAGACTTTTAGGAAAGAAGCGACTTTGTTTTCGCGGTCAAGGAGCGAAGGCCCCAAGAGACCAAGGTAGACGCTGAAGGAATCCGGGAAGATGACAGAAGCGGTGAAGAGACGCGAGGTGGGGCCAAAATCTTCACTAACCAACAAGGAGGGCTGCGGGGGCTTTGGAGGGCCTCTTTTCTCGCAACCGTGGCCCCTCCGCCCCTCACCTGCCCCTTGAGTGTCTGTGCAGGGGTCTCACACGCGAGCTTGGCTACTCAGACCAAGCCGGTTTACCGTCACCATGGCAACAGCGCGTCCTGGGCTGGGGCGGGGCCAGACTGCCAGTGCCTTTGTGGCGCATTAGGAGCTAAGCCAGTGATTGGCCATCTGGGCGCGGGGCGGGCTGAGTCAGTTGGAGGGGGCGGGGCTGAGGCTCCGGTGAACGCCGTAGGCCCGGGCTGGGCCGAGGGAGATGATGGATGCCGCTTCTTGCCACTCCCCGGGGGCACCACAGAGAGCGGGGAGCCTGCAGAGAGCAGGGACAGCGGCTTCAAACGCACTGTTTCCGGGCAATGTCACTAATACCAAAGTCATGCCTCCCACTGGACACTCCTGGGCTCCCATCCTTCCTACCAAGAAACTTTCTCTGTGAAACCCACGAAACAGCTAGAAATGGAGCCCAAAAGATAGCCAGGATAACAGACCACAGAGAGGATCAAGGCCCAGCAGGACCTGGCGACTCTAACGCTCTGGCACTAGGGTGTCTAGAATGGGAAGCCCCCAAGGGGCTGGAGTGGGATGGGGGTGTGATGCAGGCCGCCCACCAGGTTCCCTCCGGGCAAAGCGGCAGGGCCCCGCGCTTCCTGAGCCTTCACGGAGGTCTAGTGGTCCCTCTGCCTGAAAACCTGTCTGTTTGTCAGGAGGAGTTCGGAGCATATAATTTTGGGGAGCCATTTTCTTCTAGGGAGTTCACTTTCCTGTGCGGGGCGGCGGAGGAAGACAACACATAACTGAACGACAGATGAAGATAAATTATAAAAGAACATTGTTTAAGTGTTTAATCAGACAATGAAGAGAAACCCAAAACAATGAAACCTTTTCAAGGAAGTAAGGTACACAATAAAAAATCTCTTGGAGGAAGTATCAAAGCTTAAAGATGAGTGGAAAATCGGCTTGCTTTTTGGGGACCAAAAGAAAACAGATTTTTTGTTTGTTTGTTTTTTGAGACGGAGTCTCGCTCTGTCGCCCAGGCTGGAGTGCAGTGGCGCAATCTCGGCTCACTGCAAGCTCCGTTTCCCGGGTTCAAGCCATTGTCCTGCCTCAGCCGCCCGAGTAGCTGGAACTACAGGCGCTCGCCACCACGCCCGGCTAATTTTTTGTATTTTTAGTAGAGACGGGGTTTCACATGTTAGCCAGGATGGTCTTGATCTCCTGACCTCGTGATCCACCCGCCTCGGCCTTCCAAAGTGCTGGGATTGCAGGTGTGAGCCACCGCACCCGGACTTTTTTTTCTTAACACAGAGTCTTGCTCTATCGCCCAGGCTGGAGTGTAGTGGCTCGATTCTGGCTCACTGCAACCTCCAGTTCCCAGGTTCAAGTAATTCTAGTGCCTCAGCCTCCCAAGTAGATGAGATTACAGGCATGTGCCACCGCGCCCAGCTAATTTTTGTATTTTTAGTAGAGACGAAGTTTCTCCATGTTGACCAAGTTGGTCTTGAACTCCTGGCCTCAAGTGATCCATCTGCCTCAGCCTCCCAAAGTGATGGGATTACAGGTGTGAACCACTGCTCCCAGCCGAATTTTTAAAATATACTTGAAAGCTGGTTATCTATGAGCTGATGGCAAGTTTTTTTTTTTTTTTTTAAAGACAGAGTGTCACTCTGTCGCCCAGGATGGAGTGCAGTGGTACAATCATAGCTCACTGCAGTCTCAACCTCCCAGGCTTAAGCAATCCTTCCACCTCAGCCTCCTGAGTAGCTGGGACCACAGGCGCACACCACCACACCTGGCTAATTTTATTTTTTATTTTTATTTTTGTAGAGATGGGGGTCTCATTATGTTGCCCAGGCTGGTCTGGAGCTCCTGGGTTCAAGCGATCCTCCCACCTTGGCCTCCCAAAGTGCTGGGATTACAGGTATGAGCCACCATGCTTGGCCCCAGTTGCAAGATTTTATTAAAAATTTTATAGGTCAAAAATGTAGAGGTTAAAAGACCCTCCTGAGGAAGCTAAACAAAGTGCAGACAGGTACAAAGCTGAACTCCATCGGCTCAAAGAAAACAGTGCCCGGCAGAAGATGCCAGAGCAGTTACATTCAGGAAGCTCCATGCCAGTGGGAGCAGCCCCCTGAGTGAGAACTCCCTGGACTATCTGTTCTAGAAGCCCTGCCTTACAGAGTGGATGATGTGAAATTGTGAGCAGTTTCAGCTGTAGGCAGCAAAAACTTGGCCCAACAACAGAAAGAGAAGATAAAACATCAGAGGAGAGAGAGGACAGATGTCACCCAGACAAATTCTTTCTTAACAAGGGTTGAAAAAGGAGGCGGCTAGTTCCCATGCAGTGTGAGCCATGGGTGGTGGGCAAGATCACAACACACTGCACAAGGCAGAGGCAAGATGTGAGAATGAATGCAAGTCCTTGCCGGGAGTCCCCATGACCCCATCAGCCACAGGCCGGGGCACTGCAACAGAGGCAGACTGCACATGGACGTGTGGTGTCTGCATGGGCTGCATGGACCCTCACATGCCCACTCCACAGCTCCATCACAGGCCTCTGCAAAGACCTCCTGTTGCCCCGCCTTCTCTTATTAGTTTCCTGGGCTGCTGTAACAAATTACAACGAACTTAGTGACTTAAAAGAACAGCCTAGTTTTTTCTCACAGGTCCTGGAGTCCAGAACTCTGAAGTTAAGGTGTCAGCAAAGCTGCACTTCCTCCAGAGCCTCTAGGGTAGAACCCATGCCTTGCCTATGGTGGCTGCGGGTGTTCCTGGACTTGTGGCTGTACACCCCAATGTCTGCTCCCACCATCACGTGGCCTTCCAACTGTGTGTGTCTAATCTCGCACTACCTCTCTCTCACAAGGACACTTATGATGGCATTCAGGGCCCACCCAGATAACCCAGGATGACCCTCACCTGAGGATGCTTAAATGAATCACACGTACAAAGACCCTTTTTCCAAGTAAGGTCACATTCACAGATTTCAGGAAGAGAACATGGACACACATTGCTGGGGTGGCATTTTTCAGCCCACCACACCTCCCAGTCTTTCTCCTTCTAGACCCCTGATCACCAGCCCAGCCATCAGCCACTGTCCATCAGTTTCATGTTTACTCTAACCTCAGTCCGCTTCTTTCCACATAGTGAATGACGGTTGCTCTGTCAGAATTTCTGCCTATTGGGAGGACTTTCCCCCACCACTGTTTTTCAGGGCTGTCCCATGGCAGGCTATAGCACAGCAGCATTTGGGGCTTACATCCACCTATCAAGCCATGACCCAAGTTTGGCCCCTTTACTCCCACCTCTACCCCAATTCTGAGCTGAGTGAGACAGGGGCCCGATGCAACCTTTGCAGACAATATGGGGCCTGGGCCACCTGCTTGTGCAGCTCCTGGCTGCCACATGGCCCTGCTCTGGCCCAGAATGGAATGCACCATCACCATCATACTGTGAATGGGGCTGTTGGGCCCACCACTGATTTTATAACTTGGGTTCTAGCCGAACCCAGCTCAGGATGGGCAGTTCTGGCTGCAGAGTCGCTTGATGTCTGTTGCTGGGTGCTCTGCCTCCATCAGGGCCCGGTGGCATGCTGGGAGCTGTTCTGGTTGGGTTTGGTTTTTTGGGTGGTATATGTATAATTATCAGTTACAGATGGTGTGGTCTTGATCCAGAACCCTAATTGTCTGTATTGTGATTCTCCCATGGGAACCTGTCGTAAACTCCAAATGCCCTCTTTTTCTACCATAGATACCTCGTATACATTAAGGTCTGCTGGATCTTATGATGGAAGGAGCAGGGCTGCTGACCCACATCCTGAACTTGCTACAGAGCCCTTTCCAGCTCTGGGCCCAGAGCCTTCATATAGCTCAATAAGGGGGCCAGAGCAGCATGCCCACCTATGGGGTTTGCTACCTTTAAACCCAAGGGAGCCTACTAAGCATCGTGCTTTATTCTCGTTGGTGGGAAGTATGAGATGCAATCATTTGTCTTTTACTTTGGAAGGAATGTCCAAGCATGTCCCAAACCACTGGATCCCTGAAGTCTCCACAAATGTGTTTAGCAGGCTGGAAGATACAAGGTCAATATATATATCAATTAATTAGGTATACAAAAATAAAGTGCATTCAGAGGCCAAGCAAGGAGGATTTCTTGAGACCAAGCGTTCGAGACCAGCTTGGGCAACATAGTGAGATCCCATCTCTACAAAAAGTTTTAAAATTAGCCATGTGTGGTGGCTCCTCTCACCTCAACCTCCTGAGAAACCTGTAGTTCTAGCTACTTGAGAGGTTGAGGCAGAAAAATCCCTTGAGCCCAGGAGTTGAAGGTTACAGTGAGCTATGATCATACCACTGCACTCCAACCTGGGTGACAGAGAAAGACCCTATCTCTTAAAAAAAAATTAAATTAACTCAAAATGGATCATACACCTAAACATAGTTTTTGTGTTAGCTAAAACTATAAGCCTTATAGTTTTACCCATGCTATCATGGGTTATATATTAACCCATGCTATCATGGGTTAATCTCAGCTGATCTGGATTAACCACATTGTGACGGTTAATTTTAGGTGTTGACATGACTGGATTAAGAAATACCTACAAAACTGGCAAAACAGTACTTCTGGATGTGTCTGTGAGGGTGTTTCAAGGAGACTGATGTGTGAGTTGCTGCACTGAGTCGGGAAGATGTTCCTCAATGTGGGCAGCCACCATTCAATTGGCTGGGTGTCCAGAGAGAACAAAAAAGGAAGGAAAAGGATTTTCCCTCTCTCTCCTGGAACTGGGACACTCTCCTCTTCCTGCCCCCCGGTTCTCACGACTTCAGCCTCAGACAGAGACTTACATAATTGGTTTCCCTGGTTCTAAGGTCTCTGGACTTGGACTGGGCCATGCTACCAGCATCTCAGAGTTGCCAGCTTGTAGACAGCCTGTTGTGCGACTTCTCAACCTCTGTAATCAAGTGAGCTAATTCCCCTAACAAACCCCCTCTCATATGTCTATATCTATCGATAGCTCCTATTGATCTGCCTCTCTGTAGAACCCTGACCAATGCACACATGCTTATTACAAGGTATTGACCCTTGGCCAATGCTGTGCAATGGATTAACTAAAGATAAAGATGTTCTATAACTATGAGTCTGTGAGTTGCTTCAGGGCAGGACTACCAGCCTGTCAGCATTGTTCAATAATAATTGAACTCATTATTTGTACCTGGTTTTAGAGGGGTCTGGAAAATTTTGAAAGCTAAAGCTGGTCACAAAGTCGGAACATACCTATGTGATCAGCTCACTCTAAGACTCCCACCATGAGCCGACTTCAGGCTTCTTGGGACCGAGGTGCTTCCACACACAGTGTTCAAGGGCAAGATCTGAAATCAAAGTGCATCCTATGTGTCCCAGTGTTAAAAATATCTAGATCTCAAAGTCCCTTTAGTGCATAGCCTTCTGCTTTTGCTACTGTGCCTATAAAAAAGCACAAGTATAAACCGAGTCCTGCACGTCCTTTCAGCAGCTGAACTCTTAGGGTGATTAATGTGTAATTCACACAAATTCCTTAAAGAAGGCATAGGAGAACATCTTAACAACCTTTGGTTTGGCAAAGATTACTTAGATAAGACACAAACAGCATAATCCATGAAGGCAACAAATCAATAAATTGAACTTTCTCAAAATTAAAACTTTGGCTCTACAAAAGACTGTTAGAAAGAAAAAGGGAGCTATATACTGTGAAAAATATTTGCGAAATATATATCCAACAAAAAACATGAATCTGGAATACATAAAGAACTCCCATAACTCAATAATAAGAAGACAAACAACCCAATTTTTAAAAATCCAATTCATATGTGAGCAAAAGACATAAATATATATTTCACCAAAAAGGGTATACATTCGCAAATAAGCTTATTAAATGATGCTCAACATGATTAGCTATTAGAGAAACTCAAATAAACCCACAATCACTATACACCTATCACAGTGACTAAAATAAAGAACAGTGGCCTCTCCCTCTCCCTCTCCCTCTGGTCTCCCTCTGTTGCTGAGGCTGGACTATACTGCCGTGGTCTCAGCTAGCTGCAGCCTCCCTGCCCCGGGCTCCCGTGGTTCTCCTGCCTCGGCCTGCCGAGTGCCTGGGATTGTGGGCGAGCGCCGCCGCGCCTGACTGGTTTTTGTATTTTTGGAGGAGACAGGGTTTCCCCTGTTGACCGGGCTGGTCTCCGGCTCCTGACCTCAAGTAGTCTGCCTGCCTCGGCCTCCCAGGGTGCTGGGATTGCAGACGGAGTCTCGCTCACTCAATGCTCAGTGTTGCCCAGGCTGGAGTGCAGTGGTGTGATCTCGGTTCGCTGCAACCTCCACCTTCCAGCTGCCTGCCTTGGCCTCCCAAAGTGCTACGATTACTGCCTCTGCCTGGCCGCCACCCCATCTGGGAAGTGGGGAGCGTCTCTGCCTGGCTGCCCATCGTCTGGGATGTGGGGAGCCCCTCTGCCCGGCCGCCCCGTTTGGGAAGTGAGGAGTGCCTCTGCCTGGCCGCCACCCCGTCTGGGAAGTGAGGAGCGTCTCTGCCTGGCCGCCCATCGTTTGGGATGTGAGGAGCGCCTCTGCCCGCCGGCCTCCTCTGGGATGTGAGGAGCGCCTATGCCCGGCCACCCCGTCTGTGAAGTGAGGAGCACCTCTGCCCGGCTGCCCCGTCTGGGAAGTGAGGAGCGCCTCTGCCCGGCTGCCACCCCGTCTGTGAGGTGAGGAGTGTCTCTGCCAGGCCACCACCCTGTCTGGGATGTGAGGAGCCCCTCTGCCCGGCTGCCCCGTCTGGGAAGCGAGGAGTGCCTCTACCTGACCGCCCTGTCTGGGAAGTGAGGAGCACCTATGCCCGGCCGCCCCATCTGGGAAGCGAGGAGCACCTCTGCCTGACCGCCCATCATCTGGGAAGTGAGGATCGCCTCTGCCCGGCCGCCCCGTCTGGGAGGTGAGGGGCATCTCTGCCCGGCCACCCCATCTGGAAGGTGAGGAGCGCCTCTGCCTGGCCGCCCCGCCTGGGAAGTGAGGAGCGCCTCTGCCCGGCCGCCCTTCGTCTGGGAGGTGGGGAGCACCTCTGCCCGGCTGCCCCATCTGGGAAGTGGGTGCCTCTGCCTGGCCGCCCCATCTGGGAGGTGAGGGGCGTCTATGCCCGGCCACCCCATCTGGGAGGTGAGGAGCACCTCTGCCCGGCCGCCCCGTCTGGGAGGTGGGGAGCGCCTCTGCCCAGCCGCCCATCGTCTGGGAGGTGGGGAGCACCTCTGCCAGGCCACCCCATCTGGGAAGTGTACCCAACAGCTCGGAAGAGACAGCAACCATCGAGAACGGGCCATGATGATGATGGTGGTTTTGTCGTAAAGAAAAGGGGGAAATGTGGGGAAAAGAAAGAGAGATCAGATTGTTACTGTGTCTGTGTAGAAAGAAGTAGACATAGGAGACTCCATTTTGTTCTGTACTAAGAAAAATTCTTCTGCCTTGGGATGCTGTTAATTTATAACCTTACCCCCAACCCCGTGCTCTCTGAAACATGTGCTATGTCAACTCAGGGTTAAATGGATTAAGGGTGGTGCAAGATGTGCTTTGTTAAACAGATGCTTGAAGGCAGCATGCTCGTTAAGAGTCATCACCACTCCCTAATCTCAAGTACCCAGGGACACAAACACGGCCGAAGGCCGCAGGGACCTCTGCCTAGGAAAACCAGAGACCTTTGTTCTCGTGTTTATCTGCTGACCTTCTCTCCACTATTATCCTATGACCCTGCCACATCCCCCTCTCTGAGAAACACCCAAGAATGATCAATAAATACTAAAAAAAAAAAAAAAAAAAAAAAAAGAGAACAGTGGCTTGGTGTAGTGTCCCACACCTGCAGTTTCAGCACTTTGGAAGGCTGAGGGGGAAAGACTGCCTGAGCCCAGGAGTTCAAGACTAGCCTGGGCAACATAGTGAGACCCAATCTCTACAAAAAATAATTAGCTGGGCATGATGGCTCACACCTGTAGTCCCAGCTATTTGGGAGACTGAGGTGGGAGGATCGCTTGAGCCCAGGAGATCGAGGCTGCATTGAGCCGAGATTATGCCACTGCACTCCAGCCTGGGTGACACAGCAAAACCCTGCCTCAAAAAAAAAAAAAAAGAAAGAAAAAAAAATAGTGATAACACCAAATGATAGTGAGGATGCAGAAAAACTAGACCACACATTACTGTTAGGAATGTGGCCAGGCACGGTGGCTCATGCCTGTAATCCCAGCATTTTGGGAGACAGAGGCAGGTGGATTACTTGAGGTCAGGAGTTTGAGACCAGCCTGGCCAACATGATGAAACCCTATCTCTACTAAAAATATTTAAAAATTAGCCAGGAGTGGTGGCGGGCACCTGTAATCCCAGCTACTCAGGAGTCTGAGGCAGGAGAATGGCTTGAACCTGGGAGGTGGTGGTTGCAGTGAGCCAAGATCAGGCCACTGCACTCCATCCTGGGCAACAGAGCAAGACTCCATCTCACAAAAAAAATAATGTAAAATGGTACAGGCACCCTGGAAAATAGCTTGGTAGTTTCTTTCTTTTTTTCTTTCTTTTTTTTTTTTTTTAAGATGGAGTTTTGCTCTTGTTGCCCAGGCTGGAGTGCAATGGTGAGATCTCGGCTCACTGCAACCTCCGCCTCCTGGGTTCAAGCAATTCTCCTGCCTCAGCCTCCTGAGTAGCTGGGATTACAGGTGCGCACCATCATGCCTGGCTAATTTTTTGTATTTTTAGTAGAAACGGGGTTTTACCATGTTAGCCAGGCTGGTCTTGAACTCCTGAACTCAGGTGATCCTCCCGCTTCAGCCTCCCAAAGTGCTGGGATTACAGGTGTGAGCCACCATGCCCAGCCGGTAGTCTCTTATAAAACTAAATATATACTGGCCATAAAACCCAGAAACCACACTCACATTTATCACAGAGAAATGAAAACTGTTCACACCAACACCTGGCCACAAATGTCCACAGCAGCATTATTCACAATTGCCAAAAACTGGAAAAAACACAAATGCTCTTCAATGGGTGAATGGTTAAAGAAACTTTGATACCCCCATACCATGTAATACTACTCAGCAATAAAAAGGAACCGACAATTGATATATTCAACAACTTGGATGGATCTCAAGCAAATTACGCTCAGTGAAAAAGAGCCAGTTCAAAAGGCCATATACTGTGTGATTCCATTTATATAACATTTTTGAAATGACAAAATAGACAGATGAAAATCAGATTAGCAGTTGCCAGGGTTTAGGGGCAGAGGAGGAGGGGGCGGACATAGGTAAAGGGTTAGCATGAAGGACTTCTGTGGTGATAATTATTCTGTATCTTGATTGTGGTGCTGGTTACACGAACCTACACATGTGATAAAATTGCATTGAACTATTCACACGCATACATACAACACACACAAGTGAGTGCATGTGACACTGATGAAGTACAAACAAGCTCTGAGGACTGTATCAACATCAGCGTCCTGGCTTTGATATTAAACCATAGTTAGAGAAGATGTTATCATTGGGGGAAACTGGGTGAAACGTACACGAAACTTCCTCGAACTTTTTTTTTTTTTTGCAACTTCCTGTGGGTTTATAATCATTTCGAAATTTATCCTCTTTTTTTTTTTGAGACAGAGTCTCACTCTGTCACCCAGGTTGGAGTGCAATAGCCTGATCTCGGCTTACTGCAACCTCTCCCTCCCAGGTTCAAGCAATTCTTCTGTCTCAGCATCCCATGTAGCTGGGATTACAGGCACGCACCACCACACCCGGCTAATTTTTGTATTTTTAGTAGAGATGGGGTTTCAACATGTTGGCCAGGCCGGTCTTGAACTCCTGACCTCAAGTGATCCGCCAGCCTTGGCCTACCAAAGTGCTGGGATTACAGGCATGAGCCACTGCACCTGGCCCAAATTTTAAAATTCTTAACATATATTATTTTTAAAATGCTTCTCCACCCACTCCTCTCCACCGCTGTACTTCTGTTGCTATCTCAGGCAGTGGTCCATGAAGGCCAGCACCACAAATAAAGCTACAACTGCTCAGTGTTTATGTAACACCCAGATAAAACCACCCCCACCCTTCTCCATGTCATCTCAATGTAGTGACATAGCCAAAAGTAACGCAGGTCCAAAACCCTGAGCAGTCATGGAGAGCTTTGCTTCAAGTTTTCTTGGGAGGACTGTGGAGAGTAGGCTCCCATCTCATGATGCAAAGCAAAACTTCCTGATGTCGTCCTTCCCACCCCCGACCAAAGCTGCGCTTTAAAGCAGATCCTCCAGTATCTCCTCCCCTCTCCCCATCTGCTTCTCTCCCCCTAAGCTTCCAGCCTTCTCTTCCTCTCCCCTCCCATCCCCTCCAACAGGACTGCTGGATTTCCGGCAAAAACTCCCAGGTCTGTTCTAACATGGATCAGCCTGGGCTCTTCCCATCTCTGCCCACTCCCACAGCAAAGGCCCCATAAGGAGCAGCCAAACACTCGCACCTCCTCATGACACAAAGGAAAGGGAAGGCTGTGAACAGCCACTTGCGCTGTAGCATTTTTGTTTCTGTTTTTTTTTTAAAAAAAAATGGGTAGGCCGGGCACGGTGGCTCACGCCTGTAATCCCAGCACTTTGGGATGCCAAGGCAGGCAGATCACAAGGTCAGGAGTTCGAGACCAGCCTGACCAACATGGTGAAACCCCATCTCTACTAAAAATACAAAAATTAACCGGGTGTGGTGGCACGCAACTGTGATCCCAGCTACTTGGGAAGCTGAGGCAGGAGAATTGCTTGAACCCGGGAGGCAGAGGTTGCAGTGAGCTGAGATTGCGACGATGCACTCCAGCCTGGGTGACAAAGCAAGACTCTGTCTCAAAAATAAATAAATAAATAAATAAAATGGATAAAAGATTTGGAGAATCACCTCAGCAAAGAAGATAAGCTGATGGCAAATAAGCACAGGAAAAGATGCTCAACATCATTAGTCATTAGGGAAACACTCATTGAAACCATGAAGAGACACCGCGACACACCCACTAGGATGGCTACAACCAAAGAGACTCACCATGGCAAGTGGTAGTGAGGGTGTGAAGAAACTGGGACATTCATGCACTGCTGGTGGGAATGTGAAATGGCACAACCATTTCGGAAGACAGTTTGGCAGGTTCTTATGAAGTTAAGCATACAGCCAGGGATGGTGGCTCACACCTAATACTTTGGGCTTTGGGAGGTGGAGGAGGGTGGATGGCTTGAGCCCAGCCCAGGAGTTAGAGACTAGCCTGGGTAACATGGCGAGACCCTGTTTTGCCATGTCACCCAGGCTCTGTCAACCAGGCTGGAGTGCAGTGGCACAATCTCCACTCACTGCAACTTCCACCTCCCAGGTTCAAGCGATTCTCCTGTCTCAGCCTCCCAAGTAACTAGGATTACAGGTACGTGCCACCACAATGTGCTAATTTTTGTATTTTAGTAGAGATGGGGTTTCACCATGTTGGCAGGCTAGTCTTGAACTCTTGACCTCAGGTGATCCACCCACCTCAGCCTCCCAAAGTGCTGGGATTACAGGCGTGAGCCACGCGCCTGGCCTGCAAGACCCTGTTTCCAAAAATAAAAAAGTTAAACCTGCCATATGACTCAGTCACTTCACTCGTAGGGATTTACCCAGGTTTCATGAAAACATAGTCCACACAAGACCTGCACAGTAATATGTATAGACACTTTATTGGTAATAGTTAGAAACTGGAAACAACCCAAGTGTCCATCAACAGAAGAATGCAGCCAGGCACAGTGGCTCATCCCTGTAGTCCCAGCACTTTGGGAGGCTGAGGTGGGCGGATCATGAGGTCAGGAGTTCAAGACCAGTCTGGCCAACATGGTGAAACTCCACCTCTACTAAAAATACAAAAATTAGCGGCACATGGTGGCATGTGCCTGTAATCCCAGCTACTCGGGAGGCTGAGGCAGGAGTATCGATTAAACCCGGGAGGCGGAGGTTGCAGTGAGCTGAGATAGAGCCACTGGGCAACAGAGCAAGACTCCATCTCGGGGGCAAAAAAAAAAAAAAAAGAAGAATGCATAAATTATGGCACATCCATGCTATGGAATACTGTTTAGCAATTTTAAAAGAATGAACTGCACTCCAACCTGGGTGACAGAGCAAGACCCTGTCTAAAAAAGAAAAAAAGAAAAAATAATAATAAACTATTGATATTCACATCACTACAGATAAATCTCAAAATAATTATGCTAATGGAAAGAAGCCAGACAAAAGAGTACACATTGTATGATTCCATCTATATAAAATTCTAGAAATCGCAAATGAATCAAACAGAAAGCAGATCAGTGCTTGCCTGTGGCATTGCCTTGCCTCTCCAAGGGGTCCTTGGGGGAGGGAGAAAAGGATCACAGAAGGGCATAAGGAAAGTTTTCAGTGATGGATGTAGTCATTTTTTTGATTGTGGTGATTATTTCACCGGGTATATATATATATATATTCTTCCAATTTTGGCCGAGTGCGGTGGCTGTCACCTATAATCCCAGCACTTTGGTAGCCTGAGGCAAGAGGACTCCTTGAGCCCAGGAATTCAAGACCAGGCGTGGTGTAGCCGGGCGTGGTGGTGCACACCTGTAGTCCCAGCTACTCAGGAGGCTGAGGTGGGAGCATTTCTTGCGCCCAGGAGGTGGAGGTTGCAGTACGCTACGATCATGCCACTGCACTCTAGCGTGGGTGACAGAGCTCACTTGAATCTGGGAGGCAGAGTTTGTGGTGAGCCAAGATTGTGCCATTGCACTCCAGCCTGGGCAACAAGTATGAAACTCCGTCTAAAAAAAAAAGAAAAGAAAAAAAAGAAATCAATGTGGCTGCTCTCAAAACACCAGATACGTCTATTGAATCATGCATAGAACCTGGGAAAGGGACCTCTGGGTGGATTCCTGAATGCAGTGGACCTACAGTGAGTTGGGCCTGGGTCAAAACTCTATTGCCTAACTCTCATATAGCCCCAACACTACCAGGGGACCACAATAAGGCTTTGGGTCCCTGGGTATCAATGCCAAGATGGATTCTGTGTCTAGCAGCACTTGAAATGTTTAAATTCCTCTTTACCTAGTATGTGGCAACTCTAGTAAATAGCCATAAGTGCCACTGGGGAAGAACTGAGGAATCATGACCACTCACTCACTGCCGTGAAGGAGTTGTTCCTCCTGGAAACCCAGCCTCTCCTTCAGGCACTGGGGTCTGGTCTGAAGTTTTTCACTGGGGTAGCTGCCCTCAGCCTCCATCTCCCATCTTGGATTTCTTTTGGTTGTGTAGATTAAGCAATGACTTTGTGGGCTGTTCTCCTCCTTGGCCACAGGAATAACCTGCTCAATTCGCCACCTCCACAGCTCTGGGAAGGTCGGATGTCCCTGGCTGCCACAGCAATGTTGGCACCTCTGCTTAGAGAGGGCCATGCTTTCTCCAAGCCTCCAGGGGCTACACAGGCAGCATGTTGGCCCCACCTCCTGGGCTCTTTCTAGGATGTTATATCCTGTATCTTAGAAGAGTGTTCTCACAGCAGCCTGGGCAACATAGTGAGACCCCCATCTCTACAAAAAATAGAAAAAGTTAGCCCGTGATGCTGGCACATGCCTGTAGCCCCAGCAACTCAGGAGGCTGAGGTGGAAGGACTGCTTTGAAGTCAAGGCTGCAGTGAGCCATGATCGCACCACTGCACTCCAGCCTGGGCAACAGAGCAAGACCCTGTCTCAAATAAATAAGTAAATAAATAAATAAAAATAAACTCTACTTTATCCAACTTTATGTTCTACCCCCTCCCTACCTTGTCCCAGGACCCTCAGGCCTGCCACACACACGTGCACACGCACAACTCTCTCTGACTCGCTCTTCCTAGTCACCTTGGCCAAGTCCTGCAGCTTCTTTAGAATTTGGTCCCTGCCCTTTCTTACTAAGCCCAATGCCTCCCCAGCCAAGTGTAGTCTCAAGTTCGGGTGTGACCAGGAGCAGGTGGCTGGCCCTGAGGGTGGCCATTGCCTTGCAAGTCAGTGGCGGCTGGGCACCTGGGTGCTTCCCTTCAGACGAACCCATTCCAAGCTTCAGGGAGCCTCTGTCCCCACAGAGGGAGCTAAACTGACCAGGACTGAGAGTTCATAATTTTCTCTAATTATGCCCTGGGCTCAATTCTCAGCATTTTTAGCCCTCCAGTAGCAGGAAATAGTCTCTTTAGCTGCAGCCTCAAGGCCCCGTGACCAACACTGTGCTATGGTGTGATTGGTGGTGAATCATGCTTAGCCTTTCACTGTCTTTCTCTAACCGATGGTCTCAGCAGCACCCATCCAACTCCAGGCCTTATTGACGTCCATCCCCAGGACCTCTCAGAAAACTGAGCTATGGCATGTGGGGAAAAGCAAGAGAGATCAGATTGTTACTGTGTCTGTGTAGAAAGAAGTAGACATAGGAGATTCCATTTTGTTCTGTGCCAAGAAAAATTCTTCTGCCTTGAGATTCTGTTAATCTATAACCTTACCCCCAACCCCGTGCTCTCTGAAACATGTGCTGTGTCAACTCAGAGTTAAATGGATTAAGGGCGGTGCAAGATGTGCTTTGTTAAACAGATGCTTGAAGGCAGCATGCTCCTTAAGAGTCATCACCACTCCCTAATCTCAAGTACCCAGGGACACAAACACTGCGGAAGGCCGCAGGGACCTCTGCCTAGGAAAGCCAGGTATTGTCCAAGGTTTCTCCCCATGTGATAGTCTGAAATATGGCCTCGTGGGAAGGGAAAGACCTGACTGTCCCCCAGCCCGACACCCGTAAAGGGTCTGTGCTGAGGAGGATTAGTAAAAGAGGAAGGAATGCCTCTTGCAGTTGAGACAAGAGGAAGGCAGCTGTCTCCTGCCTGTCCCCGGGCAATGGAATGTCTCGGTATAAAACCCGATTGTAATGCTCCATCTACTGAGATAGGGAAAAACCGCCTTAGGGCTGGAGGTGGGACCTGCGGGCAGCAATACTGCTTGTAAAGCATTGAGATGTTTATGTGTATGCATATCTAAAAGCACAGCACTTAATCCTTTACATTGTCTATGATGCAAAGACCTTTGTTCACGTGTTTGTCTGCTGACCCTCTCCCCACAATTGTCTTGTGACCCTGACACATCCCCCTCTTTGAGAAACACCCACGAATGATCAATAAATACTAAGGGAACGCAGAGGCTGGCGGGATCCTCCATATGCTGAACGCTGGTTCCCCGGGTCCCCTTATTTCTTTCTCTATACTTTGTCTCTGTGTCTTTTTCTTTCCTAAGTCTCTCGTTCCACCTTACGAGAAACACCCAAAGGTGTGGAGGGGCAACCCACCCCTACATGGCGTCCCCAGTGCACATTCTCCCATTCTAATTCACCAACTGTGGAGGTTCTAAGTTCTAACAATTTCGCCTGCTTCAGCATGCCAGGGGCGTCAACCTGCCACCCACCACCAGGGTTAGCGCCAGCAGTGATGTGAAGCAGCTCGCACATCCCACGTGGAGCCTGCTTCCTCCACCTGCCCTGGAACCAAGCCCCTAGGTCAGGTTCTCTGGAAAACTCGAACTGGTCCTGTGCAGGCAGGAGCCACCCCCATGGTAGAGTGAAGGAGACAGGATGCCACAACGGAGGCCTCGCCCGATCCCTGGGGGAGCTCTGGTGCTGGGATGGCTGGTCAGGGACATCCTGCCTTGAGGCAAGGGAACTCTGCCCTTCCAGGCTACTGGAGGTGCCAAGATACCAAAAGGAGGGGCATGACCATGGGCCGCGGGTAATTCCTGCAGGGGACTCAGCTGAGAGCCACCAGTAGCCACTCTTCCCAGTGGCTGTGGGACCGAGTGCCTCAGTCCTGAGAGGATCTTGCCCATGGGCACAGAGTGCCAGAGACCTTGGAAAGTCCCTCTGAGCACGACTCCTCTGTGCCTAACCCTGAGCAGCTCCAGGGCTCCACCCTAAACTGTGTATTGCTTTGGACGTGCCAGCAGTTCCAAATCCTGGGGGGCCAGCCGGGCAGACAGCATCTGGTGTGGAGAGAACAAAGAGTGAAGCTGACTGAGCACACGGTGGATTTGAACTGTTGCATGGGCGGGAGGTGGGGTGGATGAGACAGGGAGGGGTCAGGGGGATGCTATGGCTGGAGCTGAGGTGCTGGACATTATGAGGGGAAGAGGAGGCCATGGGGGAGGTTTTCTGGTGGGGACCAGACATGGCTAGAGCAGTGCTTGAGAAAATTCCATCCAACAGAATGGATGTTAAGAGGGGATAATTCTGCATTCCCTGAGCTTTGGCTGTACCAGTGGGGGCAAAAAACCACTCCAACCTCCAGGAGTGTCAGGAGAGCGACACAGGCACACAAGAGGCAGAAAGGCCTGTACGAGGCCAAGTGCTAGCTAGCTGAGGTCCGAGGCAGGGCCACGTGGAGGGGACCTGCAGGGCTTCCTGGCTAGTGTGTCCAGGGGGCCCTGCCCGAGGGCTGTCCAGTGGGGAGGCGTTGGCCTCATCTCCAACTGTCAGGAAGGGAATGTGACTCTCCAGGAGGAGGAGACTGGCCCAAAGCCACGCAGCCATGCAGCGGTGGGGTCAGGACCTGCACCTGAGTCGGCACTAGAACCACCTCCTTAACCACCAGTCCACACTGCCCACATTGAGGTGGTCAGGAGGTCAGGAACGAGGAGCACCAAGGAGCAGCCTTGACAAAACGGCCCACAGAGATGCCAGGGCTAGGAACCACACTGCTGCAAGAGGACAGAAGGGGAGATGCACGCTGGGAACAGACACTCAGGACGGAAATGTGTCAAGAAGGAAAGAAGAATGCACACGGCAGCCTGAGGGGCTGGCAGTGTCCGACGGGGCTTGTTACAGAAGTGGGGAGAGAGTCCACGCCAGAGGGGCTGGTGGGGCAGGGGAGGACAATGGGCTTCAGAGGGGCCGTGTGTGTATGGAGGAGAGTCATAAAGACAGGAAGAAAGCCAAGGGGAGGAGCCCCACGGAGAAATAAGACGGGAAATTCATTCAGGGTGGGGTAGGAGAGGGTCAGGGAGAGAGGGAGGACTCCTTTCTGCTTTGGGGTAGAAACGATTAGAGTGGTTTTGTTGTTGTTGTTGTTGTAGTTTTTTTGAGACAGAGTCTTGCTCTGTCGCTCAGGCTGGAGTGCAGTGGCATGATCTCGTCTCACTGCAACCTCCACCTCCCAGGTTCAAGTGATTCTCCTGCCTCAGCCTCCTGAGTAGCTGGGATTTACAGGCATCCACCACCATGCCCAGCTAATTTTTTGTTTTTTTAGTAGAGACAGGGTTTCACCATGTTGCCCAGCCTGGTCTCAAACTCCTGAGCTCAGGCAACCTGCCTGCCTCTGTCCCAAAAAGTACTAGGATTACAGGCGTAAGCCACCACGCCCAGCCTACGATTAGAGTTTTTTTAAGTGCTGGGGTAGGAGGCAGTAGACAGGAGCCCCGGCCATGGGAGAGGCTGGCCTGGGGCATTGTGTGGGGCAGTGAAAATGCTACGGGTAGAATTAGGCGGGAAGGAAGAGGAGTGTGGCAGAATTCCATTCTAAAACAGGATAGTTAGGGAAGGTTTCACAGGCAATATTAGAGGAAGATGTGAAGGTGCTGAGCTATCAAGGGTGGGAACCAGTGTTAACACTCTACAGGCAGGAGAGGTCTGGTGCTCTTGGTGCCTGGTGCTATGGCTGGAAAAGCAAGTGTAGCTGGAACAGAGTGGACAAGGGCGAGAGGAAGAGGAAGTGAAGGCAGAGAGGGGACAACAAACTTCACACAGGGTCGTGGGAAATACTGTGCAGACTCCGGGTTGGATTCTGAGGCAAGTTGGTGCCCTCAGAAGGTTTGCAGCTGAGGAGGGACACGGGTGGGGATGACTGAGCTGCTGTTGACTTGGCTGACAAGTGAATGAGGAGAGCAAGTGCGCATGCAGGGAGTCCGGCCAGGAGGCTACGGCAGGAACCAGTGGGAATGCAGGAAGCACGGACTGTGACTCATATTTCTGGAAGTACCTGCAGCCTTGACAAGAAGTATTTGCTTGTGGGTGGTGTGCTGGGTGTGAGAGATGAGGCGTTCGCAAGAATCCTGGCTAGGTGAATGGGATGACTGGTTTGAAGGAGATCAGTGGCTGTACGTTCAGCTCAAGGTGTCTAGGAGATGTCCAGGTGGAGATGTTGGGGGAACAAATGCATTAGAGCCTGGGGTTGAGGAGAAAGGCCCAGGATATGAGGAGCATTTGGGAACTGTGTGCCTTCAGGAAGAAGGGATGAGGTCACCAATGGCAGTGGATGTTTTAGAGAAAAGTTCCAACCCTGACAATCCCGGGGGGCATTTCAACATTAAAAGATTGGGACAGTGATGAGGAACTAGTGAGGAGACCAAGGGCTGGTCAGCGAGGTAAGAGAACCATGGGACAGAGGTGCTGGAGGCCAATAAAAAAATATTTCAGGCCAACGGCAGTGGCTCATGCCTGTAATTCCAGCACTTTGGGAGGCCAAGGTGGGCGAATCACTTGAGGTCAGGAGTTCCAGACCAGCCTGGCCAACATGGTGAAACCCTGTCTCTACTAAAAATACAAAAAATCAGCTGGGTGTGGTGGCACACGCCTATAATCCCAGCTACTCAGGAGGTTGAGGCAGGAGAATCACTTGAACCCGGGAGGCGGAGGTTGCAATGAGCCGAGATTACACCACTGCACCCCAGCCTGCATGACAGAGCAAGACTCCATCTCAAAAAACAAACAATTTCAGAAAGAAATGATCAACCATGATATGGTCGGGTGGAAAAGGCAGGTGGAGTTGGAGGGAAAGGAGGGAGAGTGACTTAGGGTGGGAGGAGAGAAAGTGGAAACAATGAAGGTGGACAACTCAGCGTGACTTTGCTGTTAAGGGGCACAAAGCACTGAGGTGGTCGTTGCAAATGGAAGTGGGGTCAAGAGAGGGTTTTAGGAGAGAACCGTGCTGTATGGAGGGAAAGAAGGTTGGCATTCCCCTTGACAGGGATGGAAGAGGCCCTCAGGCCTGACAACACACACAGGGTTAAGGTGCTCCCACCTACTTCTGGCGTCTAACCCTCATTTTTTAAATTTTTTTTTTTTTTTATATGAGGAGCATTTGGGAACCGTGTGCCTTCAGGAAGAAGGGATGAGGTCACCAATGGGAGTGGATGTTTTAGAGACAATTTCCAACCCTGACAATCCCAGTGCAGTGGCCCGATCTCAGCTCACTGCAACCTCCGCCTCCCAGGTTCAAGCGATTCTCCTGCCTCGGCCTCCTGAGTAGCTGGGATTGCAGGCGTCCGCCACCAAGTAGGGCTAATTTTTGTATTTTTAGTAGAGACAAGGTTTCACCATTTTGGCCAGGCCAATCTCGAACTCCTGACCTCAAGTGATCCGTCCGCCTTGGTCTCCCAAAGTGCTGGGATTACAGGCGTGAGCCATGGCGCCCAGCCTTTAAATCTTTTAAAAACTAAAAATTAAAAAAGAGAAAGAGAAAAAATCAGCATGTTTCCCCGCGGGGGGCACCGTCTCCGTACCCCCGGGAGACGCGCAGGAAGGACATCCTGGAGTGAGGAGACTGGGGAGACCTGAAGGAGTGGAGGGCAGGGAGGGAGGGAGGCTGCGCGGACGGTGGCGCGAGCAGCTCACCGCGTGGTGCACAGGACGCCGGGCTGGGCCGGAGCCAGAGGCAGGAAGGTGGGCAGAGGCTGCAGCGGGCGAGTAGGAGCGCTCCTGATGGCTGCTCTCAGGAGAAACCAAGGCCGAGTGTGCAGAGTCGGGCAGGAAAACGCCTTGAGAGAGTGGCTGACGCAAGCCAGCAGAGGGTGTCAGGGACAGCGTGTGCGGGCTGCCATGCGCTCGGGTGCTGCGCAGGGTGGAGTCCTGGGGCTTGGCCCATGGAGTGGTGTCGCGCCCAGGGTTAAGGGGGTGCAGGCGGTGAGAGCAACGGAGCCCAGGCTGGTCCGGCCCTGCCAGGCTAAGCTCGGGGGCTCCCCCCCTGTCCCCCCAGTGCCTGCTGCGCTGGGCCCAGGCCGCCCGTGCCCTGCCAGGCCCTCCGGCCCCCCACCCTCCACCCCAGGGCCTGCTCCTCACCCCAGGGTTCCATCTCCCTAGTTTCCACCAGAGACTGGGTACGTGGGGGCGCTGGCAAGGCGAAGGAGGAGGCCTGTTTATCGTCACCATGGAGACGGTGGCGGGGTGGGTCACCAGGCTTGGTGGGCCCGGGGCGAGGCCGGGGAGAGGCTGCTTTGCCCCCAGCCCTCCCTTCTCCTACCCCCACCCCTTGTCCTGGGCCCGCCAGGCCCGTGAGCCCGCTTCAGGAGGAGCGCATACCCGGCTCCGACCTGCAGAACCGCCAGGGGATAGAGTGCGGTCTGTGATAATTAACACAGAAAATTAACACATCTTATTCTAGTTTATTTCTGTGCTCATGTAAATAGTGAATGATTTAGAATCCTACCACAGTGTGACAGTGTCCGCTTTCACACCCTCGGCTGGTTCTGACGCACTCCCGGCGTAGGAAGTTCTGGTGGGTGCCAGATGGTTCTGAGTTAACCTTTTCCAGTTGGTGGCACTTTGTCCCCGATCTCATTTCACCCTCAGGACAGTGCTGTGGAGGGGTCGCTAAGAGTCCGAATCAGCAGGTGGGCACTGGTAATAATACCAGTAATAAGAACCAACACAGGACAGCAGGTCTGTCCAGCTCCACCCTCTGCTACTTTTTTTTTTTTTTTTTTTTTTTTGAGACACGGTCTGGCTCTGTCCCCGAGGCTGGAGTGCAGTAGTGGGATCTCAGTTCACTGCAACCTCCACCTCCCAGGCTCAAGCGATCCTTCCGCCTCAGCCTTCTAAGTAGCTGGGACCACAGGCAGGCACCGCTGTCTAACTAATTTTTGTATTCTTTCTAGAGATAGGGTTCCGAGATATTGCCCAGTCTTAAACCCCGGACTCAAGCAATGCGCCCCTCTCGGCCTCCAAAGTACTGGGATTACAGGCGTGAGCCACCAAATCCGGCCTATTATGTCATTTTTACAGTTGCCATTTTCCCCCAAATGTATAGAAAACAATGTGCCTCATATTTCACAAATGTTGGTATCTTCCCAGCACCGTGAGCAGGGCACTGTTCACAGTGGGTCAGGCTGAGTTGGTCCCCGCAGCACTGATTCTGTTGACCCTAATGGCAGCAAGCAGAGGGCAGTTTATTGGTGTCTGGCCCTCTGTGTCCCTAATAGAAGCCCCTGCAAGCTGCACCCTTCCATTCCAAGGCTCTGGGCCTCTGGAGGTGGAGTTCTCTCAGCTGGCCCCGGGAGACAGCGCAGTGGCCAGAGCTCTGGCTCATCAGGTCAGGGAAAGAAAATCACCCTCAGAATCTCTCATCTCTGGCCAGCGTTCTTCCTGGTGACTGAGTCACAACTGTCCTGTTGTCCATGGGTGTGGTCATGGCATAGTGCCTATGGGTGGTTTTTCCTCTGGAGTCTCCCCAGGACTCTTGTGACCCAGAAGTGCACATCACACGCGTGCTGTGCACAGGCCCCTCGTCCTCAGTGGCACCCTGAGATCAGGCAATGGGCAGGCGTTTATAAATGTGCAGCTGCTCCAACCCGGCACCAGAATGGCTGTGGTGTGTGTGAGGCACTGCTCCTTCCAAGAGCTTTCAGATTTGGGGTGAGGTGTACAGAGGAAGCAGCCACCTGTCACAGAAGACAGAGTAGTAAAGTTAAGAGAAAAGTGTGTCCAGGCACAGTGGCTCATGCCTATAATCCCAGCACTTTGGGAGGCTAAGGCAGGAAAATCACCTGAAGCCAGGAATTCAAGACCAGCCTGGGCACCATAGTGAGACCCTGTCACTGCAAAAAAAAATTTTTTTTACCTTAGCCAGGCATGGTGGTGCATGCCTATTGTGCAGCAACTGGGCAGGCTGAAGCAGAAGGATCTCTTGAGCCCAGGAGTTTTAGGCTCCAGTGAGCTGTGATCACACCACTGCACTCCAGCCTGGGTGACAGAACAAAGACCCTGTCTCAAAAAAAATTACAGAAAGGTATAGACAAACAGCTGAGGAGTGTGAGATCCCAGCAGTCAGGAGGCTTTCCTGAGAAGGGAAAATTGGCCCTGGGCTCTGGAGAAGACATGGAACTTCTGATGTGGGATGGTGAAGGGTATGGGCACTGCCAAAATCCCCCCTGGACTCCCCCAGCATCCCCTCTGTCCCTGCCTCCTCGCTCCTCCTGCTTTGAAGCTGAGCTGGCATTTGCTTCTCTGTCTCATCACTCTCTTTTCTTTATTCAAGAAAAGCTGGCCGGGCACGGTGGCTCATGCCTGTAATCCCAGCACTTTGGGAGGCCGAGGCGGGCGGATCACAAGGTCAGGAGATCGAGACCATCCTGGCCAACATGGTGAAACCCTGTCTCTAATAAAATTACAAAAAAATTAGCCAGGCATGTGGCAGGCACCTGTAGTCCCAGCTATTCAGGAGGCTGAGGCAGGAGAATGGCGTGAACCCGGGAGGCGGAGCTTGCAATGAGCCGAGATCGTGCCACTGCACTCCAGCCTGGGTGACAGTCTCAAAAAAAAAAAAAAGAAAAAAAGAGTGTTGGCCAGGCGTGGTGGCTCACGCCTGTAATCCCAGCATTTTGGGAGGCTGAGGCAGGCAGATCACCTGAGGTCAGGAGTTCGAGACCAACCTAGCCAACATAGTGAAACCTTGTCTCTACTAAAAATACAAAAATTAGCCGGGCATGGTGGTGGGTGTCTGTAGTCCCAGCTACTCAGGGGGCTGAGGCAGGAGAATCACTTGAACCCAGGAAGCAGAGGTTATAGTGAGTGGAGATCACGCCATTGCACTCCAGCTTGGGTGATAAGAGTAAAACTGCATCTCAAAAAAAAAAAAAAGAGGAGTCTTAGGAGTAAATTTAACAAAATAATTGCAAAATGTGTACTCTTAAAAATACAAAACATTGTTGAAAGAAATTAAAGTGCTAAATAAATAAATAAGGTTGGGTGTGGTGGCTCACACCTATGGTTCCATCTACTCAAGAGGCTGAGGTGGGAGGATCACTTGAGCCTGGGAGGTTGAAGCTGCAGTAAGCCATGATCACACTACTGCACTCCAGCCTGAGTGACAGAATGAGACCTTGTCTCAAAATAAAAAAGTTAAATGCCGGGCACAGTGGCTCACTCCTGTAATCCTAGCACTTTGGGAAGTCGTAGGCAGGCAGATCACCTGAGATCAGGAGTTTGAGACCAGACTGGCTAACATGGTGAAACCCCATCTCTACTGAAAATACAAAAATTAGCCAGGCATGGTGGCAGTTGCCTGTAATCCCAGTTACTCAGGAAGCTGAGGCAGGAGAATTGCTTGAACCTGGGAGGCGGAGATTGCAGTGAGCCAAGAGTGCGCCATTGCACTCCAGCCTGGGTGACAGAGCAAGACTTTGGCTGGGTGCAGTGGCTCACGCCTGTAATCCCAGCATTTTGGGAGGCCGAGGCGGGTAGATCACCTGAGGTCAGGAGTTTGAGACCAGCCTGGCCAACATGATGAAACCTCGTCTCTACTAAAAATACAAAAAAAAATTAGCTGGGCATAGTGCCTGTAATCCCAGCTACTCAGGAGGCTGAAGCAGGAGAATTGCTTGAACCCAGGAGGTAGAGGTTGCAGTGAGCCGAGATCGCGCCATTGCACTCCAGCCTGGGCAACAAGAGCAGAACTCTGTCTCAAAATAATAATAATAAAATAAAAATAAAAAAGTTAAAAGTATGGTGTGTATATATATATACACACACACACTCATACAAACACACACACACACACACACATATATGTACATGTATAGTATCAGCCATGAGGTCCTGCCAGAAGATGACGGCTCCTAATGCCACTTCCCAACACAAGAGTTCAGTGCCCACATATGCAAGGCTGAGAGCCTCACAAAGAGCAGGGCAAGGTACACACATCAGTGATATAAAGCATATAGGATACAATATATTTATACAACATGGAGGGGATTTACATGCTATCTAAGCAAGAAAGGTATTACACATCTATCTTCCTACACGTAGAAATGTAGAGTAGTTTAGTAATCACCATGCATAAATACATAGAATGGATAACTATAGTGGTTACATAAATATTGAAAGAATGATGAAAAAATGTAGAATAGTGCTAAAATTAATTCTAAGTGGAGAAATGATATAGATATAGATATGCAAATATACACACATATGTCTCTCTGTAAATTGGTAAAGTTATACATTTGCATATATATATCGCAGTTGGATAAATATAATGTTTAAAGGGACATTATTTATAGAAATACTATAAAGTATGGGGCACAGTGGCCTGCACTGTAGTCCCAGACTTGGGAAGCCAACC
Organism: Homo sapiens; assembly: GCF_000001405.40. Taxonomy (NCBI): domain Eukaryota; kingdom Metazoa; phylum Chordata; class Mammalia; order Primates; family Hominidae; genus Homo; species Homo sapiens. The sequence goes on from NC_000010.11 coordinate 43,347,195, forward strand.
TGGGAGGATCGCTTGAGCCTAGGAGTTTGAGACCAGCCTGGGCAACATAACAAGAACTTGTCTCAAGAAAAAAAAGAAAGGCCGGGCGCGGTGGCTCACGCTTGTAATCCCAGCACTTTGGGAGGCCGAGGTGGGTGGATCACGAGGTCAGGAGATCGAGACCACGGTGAAACCCCGTCTCTACTAAAAACACAAAAAAATTAGCCGGGCGTGGTGGCAGGCGCCTGTAGTCCCAGCTACTCGGAGAGGCTGAGGCAGGAGAATGGCGTGAACCCGGGAGGCGGAGCTTGCAGTGAGCCGAGACTGCGCCACTGTACTCCAGCCTGGGTGACAGAGCGAGACTCCATCTCAAAAAAAAAAAAAAAAGAAAAGAAAAAAAAGAAAAAGGTAAAAAATACCATATATTCACTTTTTTTTTTTTTTTTTGAGACAGAGTCTCACTCTGTCACCCAGGCTGGAGTGCAGTGGCATGATCTTGGCTCACTGCAACCTCCACCTCCCGAGTTCAAGCGATTCCCCTGCCTCAGTCTCCCAAGTAGCTGGGATTGCAGGTGCCCACCACCAAGCCCAGCTAATTTCTGTATTTTTAGTAGAGACGGGGTTTCACCATGTTGGCCAGGCTGGTCTCGAACTCTGGACCTCAGGTGATCCACCCGCCTCAGCCTCCCAAAGTGCTGGGATTACAGGCGTGAGCAACCGTACCTAGCCACACATTTCTTGATAGATAAGATACATAAAGTTATTCAATAAATGTATATCCAGATACTTAATGGTTAGGGAAGCTTAGTTAAGGCACCTGGACACCAGGAAAACATGCTTTTCCCACCAAAAGCTCCAGATGGTCCTGTCCGGTCCTGTCCAGTCCTGTATCAAGATGCCAGTGGGGAAACTGAGTGCCTGTTGAGGCAGGCACCCAGGAGGCAGCACAGCCAGTGAGGAGAAGGGAAGGGATATACAGGAATGTGAAGTTTATGGTATTCGAGGTGCACTGAGCACGCTGTGTACGAAGGGCTGGCCTAAGCCCTGCAGGGGCATTATTCATCTCATCTTCTCTACCCTGAGATGGATGATACCATCATCCCCAAGTTATAGTAGAGGAAACCAGGGCCCAACAAAGAAAAGCTGCCACACCAGCAACTTTATAAATCTTTACAATGATGTGAGAATTTGTGGGCTAGCCAGATTTTTAAAGAAAACTTCAAGTTTGAGCAAATTTGCAGACACTCAAAATCTACTCTCCCTAACCTGGAAGTGTCTCTGCAAAAATAAAAACAAATAAAAAGTAAAATGTCATGACAATTAGTGGACTAGTCCGGATTTTTAAAGAAAACTTCAGGCTTGAGCAAACTTGCAGACACCCAAAATCTACTTCCTGTATCCTGAGAGTCTGCACCAGGGAGAGCAGTGGGGAGGGTGGAACTGATGCCGAACTGTCCTAGACCGCCCCCTTCTGGCCAGAGGAGGTGGGCTCAGCTGTCTCCATGAACAAAAACCGCCCTCTCTTGGCTAGAGGCAGAGGCCAGTCCTCAATAAGGGCCCTGTGTGTGTGTGACAAGATGCACTAACCACTCGCTTCGTGCCTAGTGGGGCTGTGGCCAGGGTGGGGCGTTGCTGGCTTGGCCTGGAGAGGGGACACAAAGGGACACATCTGAAGCCACAGAAATTTCAGAAACAAGCAAATGCAGGGTCACTGGGAGACACCTGGACACTGCAAAGATGCAGAGATAAAGAAGGAAACAACAGTTCAGCAGAGGGAGAGAGAGAGATGGAGCAAGGACAGGGAGAGAGACACCCAGAGAGAGATAGAGAGACTCTCCCAGACAATACCAACCAAGCCAGAGAGATGCGGAAGGACTGAGATACACAGAAGCCGTCCCCGCCCCGGCCCTGCACCCCAAGACATGGTGGAAAATGAAGCATCTTCTCTGACCTGAGCTGAGACAGGCAGGGAGCCCCTAGCAGGAAGAGCTCTTCCCTTCCCCATCATGTGGTGTCTAGACAGTCTTCCCGCCCCAGCCCAACACCCGATTTCAGAAGCTCCCAGGAGCTCTGCATCCTAGTCCTCCGGGATTTGTTGGTACAAATGGGCTTGCTGTGGGTCTTTCCCCAGGATGGGCTAGGACTCTGTCTGTGGCAGCAGGCCCAGTTTCCCAGCTTCCTAAATTCCACTGCCATGTCTCTTTGCCTGTCTCATTCTCCTGGTGAGTATGCTTGCCTTTTCACACAAAAAATGGAGGTTTCCTCCCAACCAGCTCTGTCCCACTGAGGCTGATAAAGAACTGTGAACCTGGCTGGGCATGGTGGCTCACTCCTGTAATTCCAGCACTTTGGGAGGCCGAGGTGGGTGGATCACTTGAGATCAGGAGTTCGAGACCAGCCTGGCCAACATGGTGAAACCCCGTTTCTACTAAAAATACAAAAAATAGCCGGGCGTGGTGGCTCACACCTGTAGTCCCAGCTACTCGGGAGGCTGAGGCAGGAGAATCGCTTGAAACCGGGAGGCAGAGGTTGCAGTGAGCTGAGATGGCGCCACTGCACTCCAGCCTGGGTGACAGAGCGAGACTGTCTCAAACAAAAACAAAAACAAAAACAAAAAACTGTGAACTTTGCTGGGCATGATGGCTCACACCCCTAATCCCAACACTGAGAGGCTGAGATAGGGGGATCACTTGAGGCCAAAAGTTTGAGGCCAGGTTGGGCAACAAAGTGAGACCCTGTCTCTGTAAAAATACAAATTAAAGAACTGTGACTTGGAGATGCCAGTGACTCTTCCTGGGCTTTGATGAAGACCCCTTCCTGGCTGAGGAACAGAACCTGTCCCAACCTGCCTGGACCAGCCCTGGGGCCTCATCTGGCCCCCACCCAGTGGCCAAGGCTTTATTATCAGAACCAGGACTGCCTCCTCATGAGTGCAGCCTCCTGAAGATGGCTGGGAAGTCCATCAGTTGAAGGCCTGGGGAAGGAGGAGATGTGAACTCCTCCTCAGTCAGGAGATGACATTTACCTGCAATCTTCCTCTTATCTTCCCCCACCCGTAGGCCACATTCAGCATTCTTCAACAAACACTCTGTTGCCTGTGCCCAGAGACCCAGATGCTGGAACCTGACCGCCCGGATCTAATTCTAGTCCCACCACTTACCAGCTGGCTGACTTGGCAGGCAACTTCACCTGTTGTGCTTCCGTTTTCCATAGATAAGATGGAATCTGGCTAACATCAACGTCACTGAGCAGGCTGGGTGCAGCAACTCACGCCTGTAATTCCAGCACTTTGGGAGGCTGAGGAGGTGGGAGGATCACTTGAGCCAAGGAATTTGAGTCCAGCCTGGGTAACATAGCAAGACACCCCCCAATAAAGAATCGAGCCTGCCCAGCCTATGGGTGCTGATTGCTCCAAACAATCCCTGCATTCCCCCATAAAGTCCAGGCTGCCCGAACCATGGCCAGTAATACTGGAGAACAACCCCTCCAACCGAGCTGCCCAAACTGGCTGCCAATCCGCAAGAACGGCCCCTTATCCAGCCTGCACCCCCACCCTCTCCATGGCTGCTAATCCTGGAAACAATCCCTCTATTCCCACTTCAGAAGCTGGCTGCGCCTCCCCCATGAGACACCTCTGCGCCCTCCCCGAATGAGCCGCACGTCTGCTTCTCCAAACGGCCGCTGTGCCCGGTGCTCAGCGCATCTCAACTCGCGGCAGGCCGCCCCGCGAGCCGCCTCTCCCTTTCCTGCGGCTCGAAGGGACCCCAGCGTGAACCGTGTGCTTGTTTTTCATTGTCTCCATCTCGGGGCTTCCTTGTAGAGTTTGGAGCTCCGCGTGAACAGCGCTCTACGCGCTAGTTCCATCGGCTCCTCGGTGCCCGCACGCAGCCGCGCGTGCCAGTCAGTGCCTGGGTCACCGCGAATTCCATCCCAACCCGCTCCGGCACCGCGACGGTCTCTCCTGTCACTGGAGACGTTTCTTGTGTCAGTGCAAATATATGTCGTTCCTTGTTTTTTTCTATTAAAGACAGTGCTTGGTGGGAACATTTCTGCACTACTGGAGTTTCTGAAGCTTCAACCCCACGCACCAGGCCCACCCACACCCGGGCCCCCGTTCCCCCGCCCGACCCACCCACAACCAGCCACCTAGCTCAGATCCCGGCCCATGATCTGCACCCCACGCCCGCCCCACACTCAAAACCGCTCCCCAAGGCCGCCTAAGCCCGCACCCCATGGCCTGAGTCTCCTCCCACACCCGGCTTTCCCCGTGCCCAGCAACTTCTGCAATGCCCGATCCCCCAGTATCCTGGCCCCCTGCATTCCAGACCCCCACACCCTCTAGCCATCGTCCCCCACGTCCCGGCCCCACCCCATGTCTGACTCTCCCACGCCCAGGGCCTCCCTCACAGCTTTCCCTGTCACACTTTGGTCACCTTCCCACACCCAGACCCCTGCCCAGCGCTGGGCCCACCCTAGTTCCAGGCCCCCTCCACACCCCCCAAACCTCCCCTACCCACACACACCCAGGGGCTCTGCCAAGGCTCTTGGGGGTTTGGTGGCAGCAATGTAGTTAATGAGCATCCTCAATTCAAAGAATGTTCAAGACTGCACTGCACTGGAGAACGTGAGAGCCCTGAAATCTTGCTGCTCCTATGTGAAAAACACTTGAAAGAGGTTTTCCCAAATTTGACAATATCCAAAACTTTCACATTAGCAATGGGGAGCATATATTCAGGGCAACTGGTATGGGGGGAAATGTTAGCAATAATAAGTGGTGAACTGGAATGCACATTTTCTAAGCTATTAGTAAAAAAAATTTAAGAGAGGGAGTCGGCTGGGCATGGTGGCTCATGCCTGAAATCACAGCACTTTGGGAGGCCGAGGCGGGTGGATCACCTGAGGTCTGGAGTTCCAGACCAGCCTGGCCAACATAGTGAAACCCTGTCTCTACTAAAAATACAAAAAAAAAAAAAAAAAAAATCAGCTGGGTGTGGTGGCGGGCGCTTGTAATCCCAGCTACTCGGGAGGCTGAGGTAGGAGAACTGCTTGAACCCAGGAGGCGGAGGCTGCAGTGAGCCGAGATTGCGCCATTGCACTCTACCCTGGGCAACAAAAGTGAAACTCCACTTCAAAAAAAAAAAAGAGAGGGGGTCAATCACACCAGAAGACCCGTTTATCCTTCATTCTTTCTCAAAGAAATTGTTATAATATTCTAAATCATTATCATATGAAGCAGTGATCATGATTATGCAGTTACTGGTAGCAGCAAAATGTAATTATGAGGGAATTAATTTTAAAATTTATCTTTTGGAATTTTGTTATGCTATGCTTTTGAAAATTTGCAGTTGTTTTGCTTTTGTCATTCTAAAATCATTCTTTTATCATTATAAATAAATACAAACTTTGAGACAAACTGATTATATTCAGAATTCTGTGCTCTTTTCTTTTTTCTTTAGAGATAGAGTCTCACTCTGTAGCCCAGGCTGTAGTGCAGTGGCGCCATCTCGGCTCGCTGCAACCTCTGCCTCCTGGGTTCAAGTGATTCTTGTGCCTCAGCCTCCTGCTTACAGGTGTGCGCCACCATGTCCGGTTAATTTTTTTTTTATTTTTTCGAGATGGAGTCTCTGTCCATCTTTTGAGCCGAGATTGCAGTGGTGCAATCTCAGCTCACTGCAACCTCTGCCTCCCGGGTTCAAGCAGTTCTCCTGCCTCAGCCTCCTGAGTAACTGGGATTACAGCTGCGTGCTGCCCGGTTAATTTTTGTATTTTTAGTACAGACGGGGTTTCACCATGTTGGCCAGGCTGGTCTTGAACTCCTGACCTCAGGTGATCCGCCCGCCTATGGCCTCCCAAAGTGCTGGGATTACAGGTGTGAGCTACTGTGCCCGCCCGGCCTAATCTTGTGTTCTTTTCTTAGAGATAACTCTACCTATGGTGCCAACTTCAGCTCCCACTTTCAGATCTGCCCTCCTCCTCTAGGGGCAGGTGTGTCCGGTCCTGGGGCATCCCTGCTGAGCACCACGTGTGCACAACTTCAGCTTTCAGAGACAATGTTGATTGTTTTCTAAGGCAGGTGTGCCAATTTAGGACTGGAAATGAGTCCCATGCACCCCCAGTCTGCCCAAACCCAGGAACCTAGAGGGGTCCTAATCACCTGTGTCAGTGAAAAGGTGGAAAATAGCAAACTCTACCCATCCCTCAGAGCAAAATGGTTTCTCCAATTCCTCTGTGGTGCAGGCTATAAATTCAGACCCTCAGTGTGGAAAATCCCAATGTTGATCATTAGAAGTTAATATATTAAAATATTTTACCAGTTTATTAAGAACTTAGAGGCAAATAATAGCTCTCAAGAATTTATACATCAAACCACAAGACATTTTAATTTTACATTATAGAAAAAACCTGGTGCTCTATTTTTAAAAACATGATTGGATTTTTTTCCCCATTGTTTACTAAATTTCGACTTCTTCAATAGTTCTTTCTGGTTTGGTAAACATTGCTCTGAGTCACTTCTCCTTCTCTTTTGTAGTCTGATCATAGGAGAGCACACTACCAGCTCCCTTTGTTTACTGGGGAGGCCAAATAACAAATGGTTGGTATTTTATATTAGCTACTGCTGTGGAGACAACAAATACATGTGGAGCTCTGATTGCATTTGAATCTAGGTTTCAGGTGGCCACAAATTCAATAATTTCTTTAACTTATTTAACAGACAAGCCTCTACAAACTACTGACATTCATGGTCACATTCTATGCCAACAAACACAGAACCAAGACCTTTCCAAATCGTAGTGTCGTGGGATTCTTTCAACTTTAACATTCAGTGCCAGTAAAAACATTCTTTTATTCTACTCCTACCAAGTAAATAAGTGATTCCCCTTATCAGATGCTTAATCTCATCATAACTAACTTATTTTTATAAAGATTTAGATAAAGGAGTTCAGTGGAGAGACATTTATTGGAATGAACCACTGGTTTGAGATAAGAAACCCTTTTCATAAATTATGCCTTAATCTAAAATCTGGGTAAGTATTTTACTTCATTGGCTCAGTTTAACTGGAGGAAATAGCAAAGAGAAATTTATGACTATGGCTTATAAATATTTAAAACCTGTTTCTTCAGAAACAGTGATCAAGGATTACTGAGAAAAAAAAAAAGAAAACCTGTTTCTCTCACTGACTGACTCTGACCTCTGAGAAAGCTGTCTCTCTGCCCCAGCACTCTGCCTCACAGCCTGCTTTATGAATCTTCACTACACCCGTCAGTCAACACTGGGAAGATAACACATCTATTTCTTCCTCCCACTCTAAGCCCACTGTGATATCATCCATTGGAGGCAGGAGCTCTGCGCTGTCCCTTTGCAGCCCCTGGAACTGCAGTGAGCTGTGTGTATTGAGTCAATCCATAAATACCAAGTAATTATATAAATAAAAATTATAGGAGACCCTTGTTTTGGACTAAGCTCCTGCTAGGATCAGCTTAGTCCTAAACAAGGGTCTCCTGGGTGGATCACCTGAGTTCGAGACCAGCCTGACCAACATGGAGAAACCGTTTCTACTAAAAATACAAAAAGAATTAGCCAGGCGTGGTGGCACATGCCTGTAATCCCAGCTACTCAGGAGGCTGAGGCAGGAGAATCGCTTGAACCCGGGAGGCAGAGGTTGCACTCCAGCCTGGGCAACAAAAGCAAAACTTGAAACTCTGCCTCAAAAAAAAAAAAAGAAAAAGAAAAAGAAACAAACAAAAAAAAAACACAGGGGTCTCCTATAATTTTTATCTAACATAACTTTCAAAGCATTTTCATTCTAATACAATTACTCCAAAACAGAGTCACCTCTGGCCTTCCATCAGGAGAGAGATAACAGTCCAACTTCCCAAACAGGCCAGCTTCAGTGGCATGATAATGAAGTTCCCTCTGCCTTTAATCCTTACAACAAAAAGGGACCCGAGGTTAGTCAATCAGTTCTTTTTTCTATTGTTCTGTCTCATTCTTGCCTTAGGAGGAAAGCAACCTTAAAACGACCAATTCACTTTTTCTTTTTTGTTTCTGCTTTCTTTAGCCATTTTGGTCTATAAAACCAACCTCCTCTGCTCAGTTCCCTGGAACATTTATTCCATTTTATGAAAGGAAGTGTTGCCTTATTTGAGAATCACAAAGCCAACTAAGAATTTTTAAATGGGCCAGGCACAGTGGCTCACTCCTGTAATCCCAGCACTTTGGGAGACCAAGGCGGGTGGATCACCTGAGGTCGGGAGTTCAAGGCCAGCCTGACAAATATGGAGAAATCCCGTCTTTACTAAAAATACAAAATTAGCCAGGCGTGGTGGCACATGCCTGTCATCCCAGCTACTCAGGAGGCTGAGGCAGGAGAATAGCTTAAACCCAGGAGGCGGAGGTTGCAGTGAGCCGAGATCACATCACTGCACTCCAGCCTCAGCAACAAGAGCGAAACTCCTTCTCAAAAAAAAAAAAAAAAAAAAAAAAAGGAGCCAGGCACAGTGGCTGATGCCTGTAATCCCAGCACTTTGGGAGGCTGAGGCAGGTGGCCCAGTCTCCACTAAAAATACCAAAATTAACCGGGCATAGTCACACACAAACCCTGTTGGCTAGGCTGGTCTTGCACTCCTGACCTCAAGTAATCTGGGCCAACACTGTAACTGCCCAAGGGGTTCACCTTGCCCACTGCGTAGACAGAGCCAATTCATCAAGACAAGGAACTGCAATAGAGAAAAAGTAATTCATGCAAAGCCAGCTGTGTGGGTGGCTGGAGTTTTATCATTACTCAAATCAGTCTCCCTGAGCATTCGGGGATCAGAGTTTTTAAGGATAACTTGGTGGGTAGAGGGGGAGCCAGTGAGCCAGGAGTGCTGATTGGTCAGAGATGAAATCATAGGGAGTAGAAGCTGTCTTCTAGCACTGAGTCAGTTCCTGGGTGTGGAACACAATGTCAGACAAGCCAGTTTATTGATCTGGGTGGTGCCAGCTGATCCACAAGTGCAGGTCTGTAAAATATCTCAAGCACTGATCTTAGCAGCAGTTTAGGGAGGGTCAGAATCTTGTAGCCTCCAGCTGCATGACTCCTAAACCATTATTTCTAATTCTGTGGCTAATGTTAGCCTAGTCCCCAGGCAAGAAGGAAGTCTGCTTTGAGAAAGGGCTGTTACCATCTTTGTTTAAACTATAAACGGCAAGCAATCCTGGCGAGGTGGCTCACCTCCCAGCACTTTAGGGGGCAGGTGGATTACCTGAGGTCATGAGTTTGAGACCAGCCTGACCAACATGGTGAAACCCCCGTCTCTACTAAAAATACAAAAAAATTAGCTGGGTGTGGTGGTGGGCGCCTGTAATCCCATCTACTCCGGAAGTTAAGGCAGGAGAATCCCTTGAGCCCAGGAGGCAGAGGTTGTGGTGAGCTGAGATCTCACCTAGGTCCTGCCACTGAACTCCAGCCTGGGCAAAAGAACGAAACTTCATCTCAATAAATAAATAAATAAACAAACAAACTACAAACTAAGTTTTTCCCAAAGTTAGTTCAGCCCACATCCAGGAATGAACAAAGGCAGCTTGGCAGTTAGAAGCAAGAAGTAGTCGGTTAAGTTAGATCTCTTTCACTGTCTCAGTCATAATTTTGCCTAGGCAGTTTCAACATGGTGAAACCCCATCTCTACTAAAAATGCAAAAATTAGGCTGGGCACAGTGGCTTACACCTGTAATCCCAGCACTTTGGGAGGCCGAGGACCAAAGTGGATCACCTGAGGTCAGGAGTTCAAGACCAGCCTGGCCAACATGGTGAGACCCCCTCTCTACTAAAAATACAAATTAGCCTGGCATGATGGCAGGCGCCAGTAATCCCAGCTACTCGGGAGGCTGAGGTGGGAGAACTGATTGAACCCAGGAGGTGGAGGTTGCAGTGAGTCGAGATCGCACCATTGCACTCCAGCCTGGGCGACTAAGCAAAACTCCATCTCAAAAAAAAATTAGCTGGCTGGGTGCGGTGGCTCATGCCTGTAATCCCAGCACTCTGGGAGGCTGAGGCGGGCGGATCACGAGATCAGGACATCAAGACCATCCAGGCTAACACAGTGAAACCCAACACAAAAACAAAATCAGCCGGGCGTGGTGGTAGGTGCCTGTAGTCCCAGCTACTCAGGAGGCTGAGGCAGGAGAATGGCGTGAACCTGGGAGGCGGAGGTTGCAGTGAGCCGAGATTGTGCCACTGCACTCCAGCCTGGGCGACAGAGCGAGACTCCGTCTCAAAAAAAAAAAAAAAAAAAAAAATTAGCTGGGCGTGGTGGTACATACCTGTAGTCCCAGCTACTCAGGAGACTAAGGTGGGAGGATGAGTTCCAAAGGCAGAAGTTGCAGTGAGCTGAGACTGCACCACTGTACTCCAGCCTGGGTGACAGAGTGAGATTCTGTATTAAAAAAAGAAAATGGGGCCAGGTGCGGTGGCTCATGCCTGTAATTCCAGCATTTTGGGAGGCCGAGGCAGGAGATCCACCTGAGGTCAGGAGTTCGAGACCAGCCTGACCAACATGGAGAAACCCCATCTCTACTAAAAATACACAATTAGCCGGGCATGGTGGCTCACGCCTGTAATCTCAGCACTTTGGGAGGCCGAGACGGGTGGATCACGAGGTCAGGAGATCGAGACCATGGTGAAACCCCGTCTCTCCTAAAAATACAAAAACTTAGCCGGGCACAGTGGCGGGCGCCTGTAGTCCCAGCTACTCGGGAGGCTGAGGCAGGAGAATCGCTTGAACCGGGAGGCGGAGGTTGTGGTTGCGGTGAGCCGAGATAACGCCCTTGCACTCCAGCCTGGGCAACTGAGCAAAACTCCGTCTCAAAAAAGAAAAAAAGAAAGAAAATGGGCCCACCGCAGTGGTTCATGCCTGTAATCCCAGCACTTTGGGAGGCTAAGGCTGGCCGAGCACTTGAGGTCAGGAGTTCAAGACCAGCAGCCTGGCCAACACAGTGAAACCCCATCTCTACTAAAAATACAAAAATTAGCCAGGCGTGGTGGTGGACTCCTGTAATTCCAAGATAAGGGAGGCTGAGGCAGGATAATCACTTGAACCTAGGAAGAAGAGTTTACACTGAACTGAGATCGTGCCACTGTACTCCAGCCTGGGCAACACAGCAAGACTCTGTTTCAAAAAAAAAAAAATAATGCTTGGGACCAGAGATATTTCTGATTGTGGAATTTTTTGGATTTTGGAATATTTGCATATACATAATGAGATATCTTGGGAATGGGACCCACGTCTAAATAATTTATGTTTCATATATACCTTATACACATAGCCTGAAGATGATTTTATATATTTCTTTTTTTTTTTTTTTTTTTTTGAGACGGAGACTCCTTCTGTCGCCCAGGAGGAGTGCAGTGGCGCAATCTCGGCTTACTGCAAGCTCCACCTCCCGGGTTCACGCTGATCTCCTGCTTCAGCCTCCCGAGTAGCTGGGACTACAGGGGCCCACCACCATGCCCGGCTAATTTTGTTTTTGCATTTTTAGTAGAGACGGGGTTTCACCGTGTTAGCTAGGATGGTCTCGATTTCCTGACCTCGTGATCTGCCCTCCTCGGCCTCCCAAAGTGCTGGGATTATAGGTGTGAGCCACCGCATCCAGCAGATCTTATATATTTCAAATAATTTTGTGTATGAAACAAAGTTTTGACTTTTCAATATGGCCTGTCACATGAGGCCAGGTGTGGAATTTTCTACCTGTGGCGTCATGCTGGTGCTCAAAAAGTTTTGGATTTTGGAGCATTTTTGGATTTCAGATTTTTTTTTTTTTTTTTTTTTTGAGACAGGGTTTCACTCTGTTACCTAGGCTGGAGTGCAGTGGCACAATTACAGCTCAATGAAGCCTGATCTGCTGGGTTCAAGGGATCCTCTCACCTCAGCCTTTCGACTAGCTGGGACCACAGGTGTGCACCAACACACCTGGCTAATTTTTATATTTTTTGTAGGGATGGGGTTTCACCATGTTGCCCAGGCTGGTCTCAAACTCCTGAGCTGAAGGGATCCACCCACCTTGACCTCCCAAAGTGCTGGGATTACAGGTGTGAGCCACTACACCCAGACAAATTTTGGATTTTTGGATTAGGTATGCTCAACCTGTATGTTGAAAACAAGGTGCCAGGGAACAGGCTCTCAGTGACTGCAGGCATCAGGTGATGTGCCAGGGAGACACAGAAAGGAAGAGGAGTGTTTCAACATGTGGCCAGTAAAAGACTTCCAAGAATGGCCGGGTGCGGTGGCTCACGCCTGTAATCCCAGCACTTTGGGAGGCCCAGATGGGCACATTGGCTGAAGTCAGGAGTTTGAGACCAGTCTGGCCAACATCGTGAAACCCCATCTCTACAAAAAATACAAAAAAATTAGCCGGACATGGTGATGTTCGGCTATTCAGGAGGCTGAAGCAAGGCAGGGGAATTGCTTGAGCCAGGGAGGTGGAGGTTGTAGTCAGCCGAGATCGCACCACTGTACTCCAGCCTGGGCGACAGAGCAAGACTCAGTCTCAAAAATAGAAGACTTCCAAGAATAAAAATATATTACTTAGGTTAAGTTCGGTGGGTGACAGAGGAAGGAAATAGACTCAACTCAGGCCAAAAAAAAAAAAAAGGAGGCGGCAATATGGAGTAACTAATATTAAACAAGAGTTAAGTAAATCTTCAAATGGAGATTTGGAATAAAAATAGTATGGTGCAACAAGAGCGAAACTCCATCTCAAAAAAAAATGGTATGTATGGTGTTCAGATTCCACTAGATATATTACAACTCATGTAGCCATTTTACTTTAAAATATAAATATTAAAACATACCAGAAATTGTATCTTTTGCAACTATTTGAGCTTATGATGAGAAACTTTAGCAACATAAAACTGTGGAATGGATATGTGGTTTTTCAGAAATGAGAGCAAACATTCAAAGACTACTCTATTACATAAATACGGGAATAGAAGAGTGGCCCAGAAACGAAATAGCAGGAGCTTCTAGGGTTCAGCAAGAGAGGGCTGAGGGAGACTGCCCAAGAAGGGATTGAAGCGGGGCCTAGAATGCCAAAGCTTGTACTGCACTTTACGTGTGTCACAGGAGGACAGAAAGGGGTGAGTCACAGAGCTGTTTAGGAGGCAGAATGGACAAGAATTGTTTGATTGGTTATGGGGATTTGGAGGCAAATAAAGTCTAGGATGATGCTCAGGCCTTCGGCTTTACCACTTGGATGGAGCACAGAGAGTAGGCGGGGTGGTTTAAAGAAGAAACCAAGTATTTATTTCAGGAAATGTCAAGTTTCAGCAAACTATGAGACATGCATGTGGAGACAGGAGGCAGGCAGTGGGCCTGGTGGTCTCCAGCTAAGGAGAGAGGTCAGAGAGGTGAGTTTCCAGGAGGGAGCAGCCAAATCTCAGAGCCTGCTGAGGGGGTTAAGACCTAATTATCCATCCAAAAGTGTATCCATCCACCCAAATATTACTCAGTTATTTTATTTATTTTTGAGACAGAGTCTCGCTCTGTCGCCAGGCTGGAGTGCAGTGGCGCGATCTCAGCTAACTGCAACCTCCGCCTCCCGGGTTCAAGCAGTTCTCCTGCCTCAGCCTCCCGAGGAGCTGGGATTACAGGTGCGCCACCACGCCCAGCTAGTTTTTGTATTTTTAGTAGAGACGGGGTTTCACCATGTTGGCCAGGATGGTCTCGGTCTCTTGACCTCATGATCCACCAGCCTCAGCCTCCCAAAGTGCTGGGATTACAGGCGTGAGCCACCGCGCCCGGCCAATTTATTTATTTTTATTGAGACGGGGTCTTGTCATTTTGCCCAGGCTGGTCTCGAAGTCCTGGGTTCAAGGGATCCACCTGCCTAGGCCTCCCAGTGCTGGGATTACAGGCGTGAGCCATGGCGCCCTTTCTACTCAAGTGATTTATCAATCATTTTACTCAATAGTTAATTCACACATCCATCCAGTTCCCACAATGAATTCCATCCATGTGCCAAGGTCTCTGGGACAGGAAGCTGAGTGACCTGAAATCACAGCCCTGGGAGAAAAGGGAGGTGAGTGGTCAAGACAGATACACCCATACCTGTGATGTGGGGTTTGGGAAAGGTGGGCCTCCCAGAGGGGAGGCAGGTGAACAGGAAAGGTGGCTTCCCAGGTGAGGCAATTGTTGAATTGGACAGAGTGGAAATGGCTCACAGTGGTCCTTGGGAGAGGATGAGAATTAGGATGGAGAGAAAAGATTGAATACGTGAGATATGGAAGAACTAGAAGGATGGGCTCTCACTGGGGGGGCGGGGGGGACAGGGAACCGAGTTGCCTAACTTCCCTTTGGTGGAGTCAGACTGTATGCTGAGCGCTGTGACTTTGGACCACTGTCCATGTCCTTGAGGGGGTCATATCCTGAGGAGCTGGCACACATTTCAGCAGATATCTCCATATGACTGGGTTTAGTGGTGGCCTGTGGGACCACGTGGGAAAGAGACCCACCTGAGATGGGAAATTCTGAAAGGTCAGAGATGGTGGGGGAACGGAAAAGTTTAACAGTTGTTGACTGTGAAGTGCCTGCAGGAAATGAAAGGGAGGTGCCCAAGAGCTAAGAAGTCTGGTATAGGAGAAGCATGAGTAGGAGCTGCAACAGGGGGCTAAGAGGTGACCTGTGCAGTAGAAGGAAAGCACTCGCGTTCTCCCAGGTGCGGAACGAGCAAACGTTGATGACAAATGACTTTGCCTACCATCTTGAACCCTTTCGGCTTCTCTTCTTGCACAGGTCTTCATTCTCACCCTGCTACACAGCCCCTACCAGAACGTTCTGAAATGCAAACCTAACAACTGTCTCACCCCAGCAGGAAACTCCCCAGGGTCCCGGGCCCCCTGCGGGGTTGCAGGCCTCACTCTTCGCGCCCATCCCTCCGCCCTGACCGCCCTGAGCTCGCCCCCAGTGCTGGCCCTTCACGTCCAGTTATCCCTCCCAGCCTCCAAGGTCCCCGTTACCGAAGACCGCCACCATCACGACATAGCGCAGCACATATGGGTAAACAAATGGACTGAGACTCAAGCAAAGAAGTAACCCGAGACGCGCGTTACACGGAAAACGACTGCGCAAGCGCGGTAGAGCAGGGGCTTGCAGGTGAGTGGGAGCAGCCAATCCACGCGAAGGGGGTCGGGACCACTTCCGCGGAGGAAAGCCCCGCCCACACCTCCTGGGCCCTCGCCTCACTGGCGGTTTCTCCCGCGAGCCAGCCTCATAGACATTCCTTGGTGCTGATTGGCTGGCGGCCAGCGCAGTCCTCCTTCCTCTGGCTCTCTCGCGGCCCCTTGCGGGAAGGCCTCCCAGAGGCCGTGGGGTCGTTTCTGGCGGCCTAAGTGGGCCTAACTTTTAGAGTCCCGAGGGTCGTCGCTGCCGGGGAGATCTCCGCCCCATTTCCGTGCCGCCTTGTCCTCAGGGCCCAAAGCCCCCTGCGCTAAGGGCCCTGTCCCATCTCTGCCCTACACGCGGGAGTCAGCCTAAGGCGGAGCCCTAGGACAGCAGCCGCGCCTGACGCTGCTCGCCTGCCTAGCACAGGCAGGGGGTGAGCGGAGTCGGCTGCCTCCCTCCCCAGGGCCCTCCAAGGGAGTGGGCTCCACATCCATGGGCCCGAGGAATCTGCGGAGAGACGGGAAGAGCAGGGGACACTCACAGGGCGGGGGTCCAGGCGGGAGTCCAGTAGTCCTCGTGGAGACAGCTGGGAAAGGCCTCGGGGCAAGGGACCTCGGATTTCCTCCTCTGCCTCAAAACAGACAGTCTAAGCTGGGTGCGGTAGCTTGCGCCTGTAATCCCAGCACTTTGGGAGGACGAGTTGGGTGGACCACCAAGTCAAGAGATGGAGAACCATCCTGGCCAACATGGTGAAACCCCATCTCTACTAAAAATTAGCCGGGCGTGGTGGCGCGCGCCTGTAGCCCCTGCTACTTGGGAGGCTGAGGCAGGAGAATCGCTTGAACCTGGGAGGCAGAAGTTGCAGTGAGCCGAGATTGCGCCTCTGCACTCCAGCCTGACAACAACAGAGCAAGACTCCGTCTCAAAAAAAAAAAAAAAAAAAATGACCACGCACAGGCAGCAAGGGGCAGGGGGTGGTCCACGCTCAGCCTTCAGTACACATTTGTGGAATTAATCCCTCCCAGGACAGGTTGTGAAGAAAGCTTGTTAACCTCAAGATTCAGAAGCACCGTTCACAGCACAAGCTTTGGAGTCAAATTCAGGCTGTTAACTTGCTGCGTGCGCCCCCGACTTACCTCTTTCTGCCTGTTTGCTCATCCGTAAAATGGGAACTGTGACTGAGTCTACTTTGAATCTGATTATGCTGCATGAACTCAGAAGACAGGGCTCAGTTGAGTGACTGCTCAGTTTACAAGAGCTGTTACTGTAGTTGGGAAGCGCCCTGAGACATACATGGTAAGATTGGTAACCTAGGATAAAGGGGGCCACCATGAGAGAGACCCCAGAGGGAAACTGTTCCAGAGAAGAGAAATGTCTTGCTAAGGTCACACTGCCCTGGTAGCGAGCACAGGGCAGCCTGCTCCGCCCAAGTTTCCAGCCTTCTCAGCTGAGTTCTGGCCCATCAGGCTAAGCCGGAGACTAAGCCTCAAGAAAGCAGGCATTCGTAGGAAAGGGGTCCTGTAAGTCCCAAAAGCCACCTTTGCTTTGGAAGGTCTCCAAAAGGAACCTCAGATGCACTTCTCCAGAAGGCCCTAGCATTTTTGCCTGCCCCCATCCCCACCCCGCAACAACTTCTGCCCTCTTCAGGGATCCACCATTCCTATTCCTATTGCTGTGAGGTATTATAACCTTTAACAGGTGGAAAGAAAACTTCACCTCAGCCAGGTGGTATTGATACCCATCCAAGGCAGGGGACAAGTTGAGGCTTGGACAGATCCAGAGATTGGGAATCCAGGTCTTTGAGTGTACCTTCTGCAAGCACAATGGTACATCACCTCATCCACGGTGTGTACCATGCCTTAGCACTGTGTGCCCTCTGAGAGGCCCCCAATTTCTGGCCACACACTCAATCTGCAGCAACACCTTTTACACTGGAAGTGATGCAAAGTCAGTCCCTGGGTTAATGAACATATCTTCTTAGGTATTAAACCCAGTATTTATAAATAAATGACCACAGAATGGTGTAGAAAACTTTAAAAGTTTTGGATATTAAGTGTTGGCTGGGCCAGGCGCGGTGGCTTACGCCAGCACTTTGGGATGCCAAGGCGGGCGGATCACTTGAGGTCAGGAGTTCAAGACCAGCCTGGCCAACATGATGAAACCCTGTTGTCTCTACTAAAAATACAAAAATTAGTCAGGCATGCTGGCACGTGCCTGTAATCCCAGCTACTTGGGAGACTGAGGCAGGAGAATTGCTTGAACCCGGGAGGCAGAGGTTGCAGTGAGCCGAGATCGCACCCATTGCACTCCAGCCTGGGCAAAGAAGAGAAACTCTGTCTCAAAAAAAAAAAAAGTGTTGGCTGGGGGTGTTGACTCACACCTGTAATCCCAACACTTTAGGAGGCCAAGGTGAGAGAATCACTTGAGCCTGGAAGGTGGAGGCTGCAATGAGCCGTGATTGTGCCACTGCACAACAGCTTGGGTGACAGAGTGAAACCCTGTCTCAAAAAAAAAAGTGTTTTTTCATCCATTAGGAGTGTTTGGATGAACTCTCTCATGGTGTGATTCCTGAGGGTTGGACTGGCAATGAAGGCTGTGTTCAGGAAGTTTCTTGCCCTGCTTCCTGGACATGCGTTTCTTACCAAAACTCCTGGAGCGATGCATTGGAATCGGACTTCTTATATAGTACAAATATGGGAAAGCTGGGTGAGAGGCACTGAAACCTACAGGAAATCAAACCTTGGGTGATGAGACTGGAAGGGTAAAGGAAAAACAACACCACTTTGCCTGAGCCTCAGCTGGGTGGGTGCAGGTCAAAGTTCGGAGGTATCAAGACGTTTCAAAGAGAAAATTACAGGATCCAGCTTCAGCTTATCTTCTCTCTCTGGCTCCAGCACTGCAAAGTATACAAAGGACCTGGTGCAGAGGAAGGGAAGTCTGTGGTCCAGAGTGGCACCTGAAGATGAGCATTTCGCAACTGGGACTCCTCCCTGCCACCTGGCCTCCCCTACTCAATGAGCTTTTCCCTGTTGCTCTATGAAGAACATAGATGTGTCCATGAAGGTATTAATTTCCCTGAGGAAAGGTAATAAAGACTGGAATGTACCCAGATATAAAATAAAAGGGAAGTGGCAAGTATCTTACCTGGCACACAGTGGGAACATAACCTGAGATTTCTATTTTCCAAGATGGACTGAACGTCACAGGCATCAGTAGAAGGCTGAGATGGTCTATTTTGAGGAGTGCTGTACGTGTTCGCGTGTGTGTGTGCACGTGCACACCCATACACACACACACACACAGACTGAGATTTTAAAAGACCCAGTAAAGCCACACCCAGTGGCTCGTGCCTGTCATCCTAGCACTTTGGGAGGCTGAGTTGGGAGGATCACTTAAGACCACGAGTTCAAGACCAGCCTGGGCAACATAGGGAGGCCCCGATTCTACAAAAATTTAAAATATTGATTGGGTATGTTGGTGCATGCCTGCAGTCCCAGCTACTTGGGAGGCTGAGGTGAG
Organism: Homo sapiens; assembly: GCF_000001405.40. Lineage (NCBI taxonomy): Eukaryota > Metazoa > Chordata > Mammalia > Primates > Hominidae > Homo > Homo sapiens. The sequence goes on from NC_000010.11 coordinate 43,365,831, forward strand.
ATGATTACTTGAGCCTGGCAGCGGGTCAAGGTTACAGTGAACCATGATAGCACCACTACACACCAGCCTAGGTGACAGCAAGACCTTGTCTCAAAAAAAAAAAAAAAAAAAAAAAGGCCAGGTGCAGTGGCTCACACCTGTAATCCCAGCACTGTGGGAGGCCAAGGCGGGTGGATCACAAGGTCAGGAGTTTGAGACCAGCCTTGCCAATATGGTGAAACCCCATCTCTACTAAAAATACAAAAATTAGCCAGGAGTGGTTGTAGGTGCCTGTAGTCCCAGCTACTTGGGAGGGTGAGGCAGGAGAATCGCTTGAACCCGAGACGAGGAGGTTGCAGTGAGCCGAGATCACACCATTGCACTCCAGCCTGGGTGACAGAGTGAGACTCCGTCTCAAAAAATAAAAAATAAAAAAAAAGACCTGGGAGACCCAGACAGAAAGTGGGAGAAAATATACCCTGCTGCAGTGACACCACCCTCAGAGAAACCACGATGGCAAGGGAGCTGGCTCAGGACATTGAGTCCTCAAAACAATGCTTTCACTAGTCTCCTTTAATAAATGAAGAAACCGAGACCCAAGGAGGTAGAAACCTTCTCCAATGTCACCTGGCTTGGGAGATGGGCCCCAAGTTTAAACTCTGCTCAGTTACTGCAGAGCCACTACATTCTATTTCCTGCATAGAGAATGGCTGGGGGACACATGCCCAGAGACCAGCAGAGAGAGAGTGGGAGGCAGAGGCCAGGAAACACAGGGTCAGGCAGGCCAAGATCTGCCCTCCAGGAGACCATGGCACCCAGAGAGGCCACACCATAAAAAGCACAGCAAGGCTGGGTGCAGTAGCTCATGCCTGTAATCCCAGCACTTTCGGGTGGATCACCTGAGGTCAGGAGTTTGAGACCAGCCTGACCAATATGGTGAAACCCAGTCTCTACCAAAATTACAAAAATTAACCTGGCATGGTGGCATGCGCCTGTAGTCCCAGCTACTCTGGAGGCCGAGGCAGGAGAATCGCTTGAACCCGGGAAGCGGAGGTTTCAGTGAGTCAAGATCATGCCACTGCACTCTAGCCTGGGCAACAGAGCGAGACTCCATCTCAAAAAAAAAAAAAAAAAAAAAAAAGCACAGTGAGGCGGCTGCCCTAGGCAGTGAGGGTGTCGCCATCCAGCCACCAGGCTGGGGTCCTGACCTCACCATCCACCCTACATGTGACATGGGGCAAGTCACTCAACCTTTCTCTTCCTCAGTTTTCTCACCCTTAAAGTGGGGATTGTGAAAATAAAGTTTACAACACCTAAAACACTTTAAGCTTTAAGAGAGATGTGACTATGATCTGAATCACATAACATTTCACAAGTCTGCTTCTTCTTTTTTTGAGACGGAGTCTCGCTCTGTTGCTCAGGCTGGAGTGCAGTGGCGCGATCTCAGCTCACTGCAAGCTCCGCCTCCTGGGTTCACGCTGTTCTCCTGCCTCAGCCTCCCGAGTAGCTGGGACTACAGGCGCCCGCCACCACGCCCGGCTAATTTTTTGTATTTTTAGTGGAGACGGGGTTTCACCGTGTTAGCCAGGATAGTCTCAATCTCCTGACTATATATATATATATATCTCATCCCATATATATATATATCTCATCCCATATATATATATATATACACACACACACGCACGCACACACACACAGGGTTTCACCCTGTCACTCAGGCTGGAGTGCAGTGGCGAGATCTCAGCTCACTGCAGCCTCTGCTTCCTAGGCTCAAGCTATCCTCCTGCCTCAGCCTCCCAAGTAGCTGGGACCACAGGTGTGCACCACCACGCCTGGCTAATTTTTTCTATTTTTGGTAGAGATAGGGTTTCACCATGTTGTCCAGGCTGATTCCATATGTTTTAATTTAAAAAATGAATAAATTGGCTGAGAGGAGTGGCTCACCACTATAATTCCAGCACTTTGGGAGTCCAAGGCAAGAGACCAAGAGTTCAAGATCAGCCTGGGCAACATAGTGAGACCTAGCCTTCACTTTTTTTTTTTTTGAGACGGAGTCTCGCACTGTTCCCTGGACTGGAGTGCAATGGCTGATCTCGGCTCACTGCAACCTCCACCCACTGGCTTCAAGTGATTCTCCTGCCTCAGCCTTCCGAATAGCTGGGATTACGGGCTCCCGCCACCATGCCCAGCTAATTTTTTGTATTTTTTAGTAGAGACGGGATTTCAGTATGTTGGCCAGGCTGGTCTCAAACTCCTGACCTCGTGATCCTCCCACCTCGGCCTCCCAATGTGCTGGGATTACAGGCGTGAGCTACCACCCCCAGCCTGACTCAGCCTTCATTTTATATACAAATATTTAAATTTTAAATAAATAAAGTGTTAAATAGAACTTCCTCCTAAAGAAAGACTACCTCAACTGATCAGATCATTTTTTTTTTGAGATGGAGTTTCACTCTTGTTGCCCAGGCTGGAGTGCAATGGCGCAATCTTGGCTCACTGCAACCTCTGCCTCCTAGGTTCGAGCAATTCTCCTGCTTCAGCCTCCCAAGTAGCTGGGATTACAGGCATGCGCCACCACGCCCGGCGAATTTTGTGTTTTTAGTAGAGATGGGGTTTCTCCATGTTGGTCAGGCTGATCTCGAACTCCCGACCTCAGGTGATCCACCTGCCTCGGCCTCCTAAAGTGCTAGGATTACAGACGTGAGCCACCACACTCGGCCCAGATCATTATAACTATGCATTAAACCTTAAATTTTAAAAGTTAAAATTCAGCCAGCGGCAGTGGGTGGCTCACATCTGTAATCCCAACACTTTAGGCAGCCAAGGGAAGTGAATCACTAGAGCCCAGAAGTTTGAGACCAGCCTGGGCAACATGGCAAAACTGTCTCTACCAAAAAAAATACAAAAATTAGCCTGGCGTGGTGGCGTGCACTTGTAGTCCCAGCTACGCAGGAGGGTGAGGCAGGAGAATTGCTTGTTCCAGAAGGTCGAGGCTGCAGAGAGCCATGACTGTATCATTGCACTTCAGCCTGGGCGACAGAGGGAGACCCTGTCTCAAAAAAGATTAAAAAAACAGCTAAAATCCTGTTAAACGTTCCTAAACTGTGTCTATATAAACGATCCCAGGCCAGGCACGGTGGCTCATGCCTGTAATCCCAGCACTTTCGGAGTCCGAGGCAGGTGGATCACTTGAGGTCAGGAGTTTGAGACCAGCCTGGTCAAAGTAGTGAAACACTGTCTCTACTAAAAATAGAAAAAATTAGCTGGGCATGGAGGCTCGGGCCTGTAATCTCAGCTACTCAGGAGGCTGAGGCACAAGAATCACTTGAACCCAAAAGGCGGAGGTTATAGTGAGCAGAGATCGTGCCACTGCACTCTAGCTTGGGCAACAGAATGACTCTGTCTCAACAGAATGAGACTCTGTCTCAAAAAAATAAAAATAAAATAAATGATCCCAAACTTCTACATTTTACGTATTTATTGTGAGACAGGTCTCCCTCTGTCACCCAGGCTGGAGTGCAGTGGTGCTTTCTGGGCTCACAGCAGCCTTGACCTCCCATGCTGAAGCGATCCTCCCACCTCTGCTGGAGTATAGGTGTGTGCCACCACGCCAGGCTGTTTGTTCTATTTTTTTTTGTAGAGATGGGGTCTCGCTATGTTGCCCAGACTGGTCTCAAACTCCTGGGCTCAAGTGATCTGCCCACCTTGGCCTCCCAGAGTGTCAGGATTTAACCCCCACACTCCACCGAGACTTTAAAACTCTGACTTCCATTCTTCTCTTTTTTTCTTTTTTAAGATGGAGTCTCGCTCTGTCGCTGAGGCTGGAGTGCGGTGGCACGATCTCAGCTTACTGCAACCTCCGCCTCCCAGGTTCAAGCGATTCTCCTGCCTCAGTTTCCCAAGTAGCTGGGACTACAGGAGCGCGCCACCACGCCCGGCTAATTTTTGTATTTTTAGTAGAGACGGGGTTTCACCTTGTTGGCCAGGCTGGTCTTGAACTCCTGATCTCATGTTCTGCCCTCCTCAGCCTCCCAAAGTGCTGGGATCACAACCGTGAGCCACCGCCCCCAGCCATGACTTCCATTCTTTACCATCCTTACTTCCTGAGCAGGCCATCCTTAACCTTTACACTTAAATAAACTCCTTTAAACTAAAATCTAACCTGTTTGACTATTGTAGATTGACAGGCTAATGAGAGTATGAACCTCCAAAGACTTCTGTGAGGGCTAGGTGCAGTCATATATGCAATGAACTCAAGTAAACAGCTGGCTGAGGAAACACCGGGACGCCTCCTCTGTGCTAAGCCCCATGCAGCATGCACACAGACACAGGCCCACCTCAGCCTCCCAAAGTGCTGGGGTTACAGGCGTGAGCCGCCTTTCCCAACCAATATTTTATATTTTTACACAAGTGACAGCATCCTATTCAGACTGCCCTATACTTTTTTTCCACTTAAAAGTATGTCTGGGCCAGACATAGTGTCTCACACCTGTAATCCCAGCATTTTGGGAGGCCGAGGCAGTGGATCGCCTGAGGTCAGGAGCTCGAGACCAGCCTGCTCAACATAGCGAAATCCCATCTCTACTAAAAATACAAAAATTAGCTGGGCACAGTGGTGTGTGCCGGTAATCCCAGCTACTCGGGAGGCTGAGACAGAATTGCTTGAACCTGGGAGGTGGAGGTTGTGGTGTGCCAAGATCGAGCCACTGCACTCCAGCTTGGGCGACAGAGCGAAATTCCAGCTCAAAAATAAATATATAAATAAACAAACAAACCAACTAAACCATCATTGCCCTCCCCAGCCCTCCCAGCCCAGAGACCCCCATCCCTTGTCAGCCATCCCCCCTTACCTTCTGGACAGGGACAAGTGTCCCTCATTTGGAAAAGAATTAAGGAGGGGTAACAGCAGACTAGGGAGGCCTGGGGTCCTCCACACGCCTGTGTGGGGTGACTTTGGCCCCCAGCAACAAGGCAGGCCTGAGGTCTGCAGAGGGAGGCAGCCCACTCCTCAGCCGGGGGCGTCTATCCTCCTCCTGGCCCCATCCCTCACCTGTGGGGGAGGCTAAGTGGGTGTCAGGGCCCTGTCAGAGGGTGAGCCACCCCCGGGGGTGCCCATCGGCCACCAGCCTCCCTTCAGTAGACACCCAGCCCAAGTGACAGCAGTGGCATGGCACTGCTGAGCACAGGGAGCCTCAAGGTCAGTGCCTGGCTCCTGGTATCCTCCGTGGTCCCCAGGACACCCCCACACAGAGGTCCCAGAACCCCCAAAGCTGGCACAAGAGCCCAGGAACACCCTGCCCAGCACCCTCCAGGTCCCTCTTTTAGGATCTGGGTGAGCTAAAGAAGCCAAAAGAAAGGCTGGGCGCGGTGGCTCACGCTTGTAATCCTAGCACTTTGGGAGGCCGAGGTGGGCGGATTGCCTGAGCTCAGGAGTTGGAGACCAGCCTGGGCAACACATTGAAACCCCATCTCTACTAAAATACAAAAAAAATTAGCCAGGTGTGGTGGCGTGCACCTGTAGTCCCAGCTACTCGGGAGCCTGAGGCAGGGGAATTGCTTGAACCCAGGAGGCAGAGGTTGCAGTGAGCTGAGATTGCATCACTGCACTCCAGCCCGGGTGACAGAGTGAGACTCCATCTCAAAAAAAGAAAAAAAAAAAAAAAAAAAAAAAAAAAAGAAGCCAAAAGAGGGTCTTCGGCCCAGCCCGCCCCTCCCCAACAGCCCTGGGTGTGGCAGGGAGCCTGACCAGTTCCCTCCAGCCTGCGTCATGGAGCCCTGGGCGTGGCTGCAGGGTTTAAAGAGCCGACCCACGTGCCCAGCAGCCTCCTCAGATCCGTTCTCTGCGCTGCCAGCTCAGGTGAGCCCTCGCCAAGGTGACCTCGCAGGTGAGCAGGCGTCCACTTTGGGGCTGCTGGGTGAAGGGGGTGGGTGCCCAAGAATTCTGAGTAATGAGGAGCCTGTTGAGGGGTCTGAGGACAGATATGGCTGCAGCAGCCGCTTGAAGGCCTCCTGCTTTGCACCCACTATCATATGGATGGTGGGTTGGGGGTTGGAGGAAACAGAAGCCAGCCCTTGGCTAAAGAATATATGAGCTGGTGGGGTATACCTCTGGTCCCAACTGCTTGAGATACTCAGGTGAGGAGATCACCTGAGCCAAGAGAGTTCAAGGCTGCAGTGAGCCGAGATCACGCCACTGCTCTCCATCCTGGGTAACAGAGCAAGACCCTGTCTCAAAAAAAAAAAAAATAGTAATAATAATAATAATAAAATAAAAAATGTGACCTAGAGTTGAGACCCTCGTATTCCAGGAACTCCAGGTTGGTGAAGGTAGAGAGACCAGTGAAGGCTGGGGGAAGCCAGCTTTGGAGACTGCTCCTAGCCCAAGAACCGATGTTCAGAAGCAGTGCCTAACAGTCTCTCCCTCCAGTGCCTCCCTCCCACTGCAGAAGGACCATGTGTTTATTTATGGATGTATTTATTTATTTATTTTGAGATGGAGTCTCCCTCTGTTGCCCAGGCTGGAGTGCAGTGCCAGGATCTCGGCTCACTGCAACCTCCACCTTCCAGGTTTAAGTGATTCTCCTGCCTCAGCTTCCCAAGTAGCTGGGAATACAGGCGCCTGTCACCACACTCAGCTAATTTTTGTATTTTTAGTATAGATGGGGTTTTGCCATGTTGGCCAGGCTGATCTTGAACTCCTGACCTCAGGTGATCCACCCGCCTCAGCCTCCCAAAGTGCTGGGATTATAGGTGTGAGCCACTGCGCCCGGCCTATGGATGTATTTATTGTAACAGGTTTTTAGTGCTTACTGTGTGCTAGGCATAGTTCTTAGGCTTGACAAATAGTAGTTCACGTAATTCCATCGCTATAACCTTATGAGGTTGCTACTATTCTGATGATCCTCCTTTTACAGGACACTGGTGAAGGAGCAGTGAGGAACCTGCAGAGTCACACAGTTGGTAAGTTGCTAAGAAGGGACCCAGCCCAGACAGCTGGCCCTGGATCTGTGATCTCATCAGGAGGCCAGAGCTGGGTACAGCAGATGATGACAATGGCTTCAGTATTGAAAACTTGACCACACTAGGCTAACAATATGCAGAGGGCTGGGAGGGGGCCTGCGCTCAAAGACTCAGCCTCCCTAAGGACAAGTAAATGGGGTCCTGGCTACTTCCAACCTGAGGGGGAAATGTCATACCACAGGAGGTCTATACTCTGAGAGCAGAATCTGGGTCTGCTGGAGTAGGGTCCCCTGCCAGGGCTGGCAGGGGAGGTCCTGGCTGCTGCAGTCATCTCATCCCAGGACTCAGCACTCCCTCCCTCCTCCACACCCTTGCTTTTGTGGAGGCTCTCTGGGAATTCAGACTGAGGGTGCTGGACTCTGGCCACCCCAGGCCCAGACCTTTGGGAACAATAGCCTGGGGCCTGATAACAATGCCCTTTGTGTGGGGTTAGGAAGGCAGGCTCCAGACCCTGACTTAGAATAGCAGCCACCTGACCCTGGGCATCTGATTACACCTCTCTAAGCTCCATTTTTTTTTTTCTTCTCTGAAATAGAGACAATAATAGTATCTTCCTCATGGGGAGGAGTAGGGGGTGGGTTTGTCGCATGGATTTTAACAACGCCTTCTACAGCACTTACTCTGTGCAGGCACAGTTTTGAGCTCTTAGCTTGTGCTTACTCAATCCACACAACTCCCCCAGGCCACCACCATCTCTAGATGGGAAGACAGAAAGTAGTTACTTTCCCAAGATCTCCCCACAAGCAAGTGTATCCTTGGGGTTTGTACACCTACTTTCACCATGGGGCTCTGCCTGCCCCCGCCCCTGCCTCCTCTCGCTGACCAATTGAGCTGTGAGCCTGGAGCAGATCCGTGGGCTGCAGACCCCCGCCCCAGTGCCTCTCCCCCTGCAGCCCTGCCCCTCGAACTGTGACATGGAGAGAGTGACCCTGGCCCTTCTCCTACTGGCAGGTGAGTCCTCCCAGTCTCCTGGGACCCTCTTGCATTCACCCCACCCACAAAGGCAGCAAAAGCCAGACAACATCTCCTTTGGGAGTCTGGTGTTCAATCAGCATGCTTTATTTAAACTGCCAATTTAGAGAGAAACATGAAGGAAATGACAGTACAGGTAGGATGAGAATATTGCAAAAAGGTCCTAATAGCTCCAGAGGAATTGAACCATGGAAAACATTAACCACCTGTGGCTTGAAGACAAAAGCAGGGTGGCACAGCGGCTCAGGCCTGTAATCCCAGTGTTTTGGGAGGCCAAGGTGGGAGGATCACTTGAGCCTGGGAGGATCACTTGAGCCTGGGAGGTCGAGGTTGCAGTGAGCTAGGATTGCACCATTGCACTCCAGCCTGGGTGACAGAGAGAGGTTCCGACTCATAAAAAAGACAAGCATTCCCTGTTTCTTCAGGGGGCAGAGACATAACAAACCATCCCAGTCAGCATGCACACAGGAGCATCAGGAAGCCTGGGACAGCAGGGCTTGGGCGGGGCCACACCCTGAGGCTGTGTGGGGCTGGGGAGGGCGTGAGGAAGGGAACTGGTGGCTCCAGGGTCACCCCACAACCTCCGGGCTGGGGTCCTGCTGTCTGGCTTACTTGGACACCAGTGTCATGAATTCCCACACATTTTCTCTGCTCCTCCCACACAGGCCTGACTGCCTTGGAAGCCAATGACCCATTTGGTGAGTGAGGCCCCCAAACAGCCTGCCCACTCTGCCCACATCTCCCCTCTGACACCCACATCCTGTCTCCTGGTTCTGGTTCTGAAGTCTTTTTGCCCCACTTTTTCTAGCCAATAAAGACGATCCCTTCTACTATGGTAAGAGCTGATATTCCCACCCCCACCCTACCCTTGCCTATCCTGGACCTCTTTGCTAGACAAGTTGGTGAGGGGTAGTGTGGACCTAGTGTAGACAAAGTGGGATGGGGGATTAAACCTGGTCTCTGTGAGAGCGTCGCTCCAACAAGGGGAGGGTGGCCACAGGATGCTTAGGAACCCTCCTGGAGAAGGGCTGGTGCCTGGGTGGTTAGGCACCCCGATAAATCACCCCTACCCTCTTGCCTTCACTCACCCTCACCCTCCCTTTCCCTAGTCCCCAGCCCTCAGGCAGTCCTCCTCTCCTCCTCTCCCCTGGGCCTCAGCTCCAGGACAGCTTTCCTTGATCATCCTTCAAAGCCCTTTCTTTGCGCATGTCCACTTCTTTTTTTTTTTTTTTTTTTTTTTGAGACAGATTCTGACTCTGTCGCCTAGGCTGGAGTACAGTGGCATGATCTCGGGTCACTGCAACCTCCATCTCCCGGGTTCAAGCAATTCTCCTGTCTCAGCCTCTCGAGTAGCTGGGACTACAGGCGCCTGCCGCCACGCCTAGCTAATTTTTGTATTTTTAGTAGAGATGGGGTTTCACCATATTGGTCATGCTGGTCTCGAACTTCTGACCTCAGGTGATCTGCCCGCCTCGGCCTCCCAAAGTGATGGGATTACAGATGTGAGCCACCGCACCCAGCCTCACTTTTTTTCTTCTTAGTGTTTCCCCACGAGACGCAGAATGATGCCTCTGTTGCTGGCTTGTCTTTATGTATATGGCAGCGGCTGGCACAAGCAGGGGCTCAGGAGTGTCTTTTGAATGAATGACTGAGGCCCCAGGCTGGTGCAAGCTCACTCTCTGTACCCACCCCAGACTGGAAAAACCTGCAGCTGAGCGGACTGATCTGCGGAGGGCTCCTGGCCATTGCTGGGATCGCGGCAGTTCTGAGTGAGTGGCAGGACAGGTGGGGCTGGAGGACAGGGTGGGGCTGGCGGACAGGGTGGGGCAGAAAGAGAGAGTGCTCTCATTCCAGCACTGACCCTGGCGCTGACCCCTCTCTCTCTCCCAGGTGGCAAATGCAAATGCAAGAGCAGCCAGAAGCAGCACAGGTGAGCCTGACCCTATGGTGCCCTCCTCCTTCGGGGCAGAACTACGGGGGGACAGTCCTGACCTGGAGAGTGGACAGCATCCTGGCCACTCGCTGGGCTTGCAGCTGGCTTTGTTATTCAGATAGTCAACCCTGAAGGGCCCCAGTCAGGAAAGCTCTGACCTCGGTATTGTGGGAAGTGACCATGGAAGGAGAGCAAGGACTTGCACTCCTGGGGCCGGGCAGCAAGAGTCTGGGATATAGGGGAGAAGGTCCTCCAGGCTAACCTGATACTACTCTGATGTGGTCCTTTCTCTAGTCCTGTACCTGAGAAGGCCATCCCACTCATCACTCCAGGTGAGACGGGCTTCTGTGGGCTGAGGGGGTGTCTGTGTAAGGACTGTGTCTGATGGCCTGCCCGCCACTCTCCGCAGGCTCTGCCACTACTTGCTGAGCACAGGACTGGCCTCCAGGGATGGCCTGAAGCCTAACACTGGCCCCCAGCACCTCCTCCCCTGGGAGGCCTTATCCTCAAGGAAGGACTTCTCTCCAAGGGCAGGCTGTTAGGCCCCTTTCTGATCAGGAGGCTTCTTTATGAATTAAACTCGCCCCACCACCCCCTCCTCGGTAGTCTTGTGATCCATCGTCTTTGGGTCTGGGGGTGGGTAATCCCTTGGATTGCTGACTTTCCCTGGATGCCCACTCCCAGCAAGCTTCCCAGTCCCTGAGTCCCTGCCGCCCAACTGTCTCCTATGGCTCCCACTCCAGCAAGCCCCACAGAGAGACCCATGCACTGTGAGATACCACAGTGTTATAACAGAAGACCTTTCCATTTCCACCACTTGCACGGGGGCCCTAGAAGTCCTGATGCCTCAGGTACCCATGACTTCCTTTAATCTAGAGCGACCCCCAGGGCTCACCCCCCCATTGAGACCTCAATTGAGACCCCCCATTGAGACCTCACCCAGTGAATGCTCTCTATGGTAGAAAATGTAGCAATTCCTTTGACCCATCCCAGTAAAATCCTCAGCTCACCCCATGGGCCCCCCTCCTCCCAGGAAATATCCTGTGAAATTCCATGAAGAAGTATGTCTCGAGAAGCCCTGCATAGTGCATGTGGGAGACAAACACCATGTGTGCAAATCCAAGTTCTTTGGCATGCCTGAACTCCCCTCCAGGAAGACTTCCCTGGCAATGTCCCTGTGGCACCCCAGGCAGGGGTGTGAAGTGCCACTTCTGCCTGGTGCCCATCCTGCAGTCCTGCCCCTTGACAGCCCAGGAGAAGGAACTGAGACCACTTCTAGCCTCTGCCTCCAGCAAAGGCCAGAGAACAATGGAGTCCCCGCCAGGTGGCAGCTCCCAATCTGAGGCCAGGGCTTGGGCTGGGCAGCTGTCTCCAATGATGCACCCTTCCTCCATGTCTCAGGGTGGGCCACATCCTTGAGAAGTATGATGTATCCTAGACTTAGGGTCACCTGCCTTGTGGGTGGGGTCAGAGACTTGTGCAGGGCCCCAGAGGTGTAAAAATGAGGTCCACATGTCTTCCAGGGCCTTTGAAACAGGACACGTAGGGACTGAGAGCAAGGTTCCAAGGTGGGGCTGAGTGGGACTAAAGATACCTGGCTGAGTCCAGCCACTATCAGGGAATCTTGGGTGGGTCACAGAAGGCCTGGCAAGCCCCAGTGCTTTGGGGAAGCTGTCCTGTACCAGCAGCCCCAGGTGGTATGGCCAGCCCAGAGGCAGCGCTGAGTCTGCACAGGTGGACCTAGGGAGGGGCCTGTGCGCAAACCACCCTGGTGGAGGGAATTAGCAGCACGACTGGAATGCAGGCGATAGGATCACTGAGGAGGCAAGGCCCAGCCCTGCAGGACGCAGAGGCAGGGGTGGGAGCCACCCAGCAGGGCTGGTAGAAGGGGGCTCCTGAGCACGCCTCCTCATCCAGGGGGTGCAGTGCAGAGCTCTCTCCTCGTTGGCACGGGAAGACGCTGGTGTGAGAGACTGCTTTTGAGAACATGAAAAGTGCGGTAAGAAAGCCAAGTCTGGAGTGGCAGACCCAGGGGAAGCCACACAAAGGTGACCGGAAGCAGTGCATGCTTTCTGACTGAGGAACCCAGGGCCACGCAGTCACGACTATCAGGAGCTCTGCTGTTTGAAATCCTAGCAAACCCTGTCCTTGCATGGTGGCCCCATGACCCTGACAAGAGATGCAGCCTCAACTTCCAACCCCAGTGCCCCACTGGGGAGCAGAGGTTTCTGGACGTGACAGCCACCCACCTCCACCTTCACATGTATCCTGGGGCCACGTCGTGGTGGAGACCTGCCGCTCTTCTTTCAAGCTCTCATGCTGCTTCATTTAAACTTCTCCTGGACAGGTGTCACAGTTCCCCCAAGTCCTATAAGTGACCACTTATGTAGGAGGCCCCACCACACGAGTCCCTAGGTGTGACTGTCCAGTGACAGGCTTATCTCTCTGATGTGGAGGGTGACGGCTCTCGCTCATGGAACCTGGGAAAATCATGGTGGGAGGAGTCAGAAACTGATGGGAGGCCAGGTCTGGATGACAGTGGAGGATGGAGTCAGTGTTAGCCCCAGATGGACAAGGCCAGGCCCTGGAGTTGGGACCCTGGTTCCCAGGGGAAACGAGCTCTCCTCTCTCCCTTCTGGGAGTGAGGAATGGGCTGACTAGGGCATGACAGAGGCTCTCCAGGCTTCCCTTTGTGGGATTACTGGCTGTGCGTCAGAGACCCCTTCCTGGGGCCTGTTTCAGAGCTGGTGGGTGATTTCCCCTTGTCATCCTCTCCTAGTTGAGGGGCTGTGGGGAGAGGTAGGGGGGACCAGAGAAAGCAAAGTGTCATTTCCACTCAATTGGGGATTTACTGAGTGACAGACACCACTGTAAACACTTCACACATGTCAAATTTTCCTAGCAACCTATGTGATGCGGATGACATTAGGGTTAGGGTTAGGTTAGAGGAGAGGAGGCACCCAGAGGTTCTCATGGGCTAACGAATTCCACAGCCAGCCTCCAACCCTGGTGTCCTGCTCCTGAGCCCTGTTTCCAAAGGACTGGGGCCTGTTGCCTTCCCGATGTTTATCATTGTCAAAGACAGAGCCCAGGGACTGTGCTGCTGGGTGACTATACATCCTTCCTCACTTTTTTATTTTAAAAATCTTTTATTTTTCAGGGCTGGGTTCAGTGGCTCACGCCTGTAATCCCAGCACTTTGGGAGGCCGAGGTGGGAGGATCATTTTGAGGTCCAGAGTTCAGGAGCAGCCTGGCCAACATGGTGAAACCCTGTCACTACTAAAAATACAAAAATTGGCCGGGTGCAGTGGCTCATGCCTGTAATCCTAGCTACTCAGGAGGCTAAGGTGGGAGGATCACTTGAACCCAGGATGTGGAGGTTGCAGTGAGCCGAGATCGCACCACTGCACTCCAGCCTGGGTGACAGACCGAGACTCTGTCTCCAAAAAAAAAAAAAAAGAAAGAAAGAAAACAAACATCACAGAGACATTTACTCACAAAGTAAACCAACTTCTAACCTAGCACCCCAAAATAATCAAGTTTAAAAGTTTGCAAAAAAAAAAAAATTGTTCTCTAGTCTTTCAGATCATCTTTTCCCTCTTGTACCTGGGAGTTGGCCTTGTGAGTTTGGAATCAGAACTCAGGCTATTGCCAGGCACAGTGGCTCAAGCCTGTAATCCAAGCACTTTGGGAGGCTGAGGCGGGCAGATCACCTGAGGTCGGGACCAGCCTGACCAACATGGTGAAACCCCGTGTCTAGTAAAAATAGAAAATTAGCTGGGCGTGGTGGCACATGTCTGTAATCCCAGCTACTCAGGAGGCTGAGGCAGGAGAATTGCTTGAATCCGGGAGGCGGAGGTTGCAATGAGCTGAGATCGTGCCATTGCACTCCAGCCTGGCAACAGAGTGAGACTCGGTCTCAAAAAAAAAAAAAAAAAGGTATTGTTTCAGAACCCAAAGGTGAGGACTAGAGAAAGGACTTATTATTCTGATTTAAAATAATACTTTTTTTTTTTTTTTTTTTTGAGACAAAGTCTGGCTCTGTCGCCCAGGCTGGGGTGCAGTGATGCAATCTCATCTCACTGCAACCTCTGCTTCAGCCTCCCAAGTAGCTGGAACTACAGGCACATGCCACCACACCCGGCTATATTTTTTGTAGAGATGAAGTCTCGTCATGTTGCCCAGGCTAGTCTCAAACTCCTGAGCTTAAGCCTCCCAAAGTGCTAGGAATACAGGCGTGAGCCATGGCACCCAGCTCTCTTTTTTTAATTTCTGTATTTTTTTTATTTTCTTCTTTTTTTTCTTAAAACTGGGTCTCACTCTCTCACCCAGGCTGGAGTGCAGTAGCATGATTACAGCTCATGGCAGCCTCAACCTCCCAGGCTAAAGCAATCTTCCCACTTCAGCCTCCAGATTAGGTAGGACCACAGGCGCGTGTCACTATGCCCAGCAAATTTTTTCTTTTGAGATGGAGTTTCGCTCTTGTTGCCCAGGCTGGAGTGCAATGGCATGATCTCGGCTCACCACAACCTCTGCCCCCTGGGTTCAAGTGATTCTCCTACCTCAGCCTCCTGATTAGCTGGGATTACAGGCATGTGCCACCATGCCTGGCTAATTTTGTTTTTTTTTTTTAGTAGAGACGGGGTTTTTCCATGTTGGTCAGGCTGGTCTCGAACTCCCAGCCTCAGGTGATCCACCCACCTCAGCCTCCCAAAGTGCTGGGATTACAGGCAAGAGCCACTGCACCTGGCCCAGCTAATTTTTTTTATGTAGAGATGGGCTCTCACTGTGTTGCCTAGGCTGGTCTGGAACTCCTGCGTTCAAGCAATCCTCCCACCTCAGCCTCCCAAAATGCTGGGACTACAGGCGTGAGCCACAGCACCTGGCCTGCATCTTTTTTCTCAACTAAAACAAAACAAACTAAAACAAAACTAAAACAACTAAAACAAAACAAACTAAAACAAAACAAACTAAAACAACTAAAACAAAACAAACTAAAACAAAACAAAACAAAAAAACCTTACATTTAAGATAATTGTAGATTCACATGCAATTGTAAAAAATAATGGGGAGAGATAAGCCAGTTTCCCCCAGTGGCAACTTCTTGCATAGCTATAGTACACTATATCACAGCAGAATATTGAAACTGCTAGAAGCATTGGCCTTACTGAGATTTCACCAGTGTTACATCACTCATTTGTGTGTGTATGTACGTTTAGTTCTGTGCAACTTTATCACCTGTGATGCCTGTGACCACCACAGTCAAGATCTGGACCAGTTCATTACCAGGATCCCTCATGCTCCTCTTTTATAGCCAAACCCATTTCCCTCCCTACTTAGGCCCCCTAGGCCTAACCTCTGGCAACCACTAAACTGTCCTCTATCTCTATAGTTTTGTTATTTCGAGAATGTTAGGACCGGGCACGGTGGCTCACACCTGTAATCCCAAAACTTTGGGAAGCCGAGGCAGGTGGATCATCTAAGGTTAGGGGTTCGAGACCAGCCTGACCAACATGGTGAAACCCTGTCTCTACTAAAAATACAAAATTAGCCAGGTGTGATGGCAGGCGCCTATAATCCCAGCTACTCGGGAGGCTGAAGCAGATGAATCACTTAAACCCAAGAGGAAGAGGTGCACTGCATTCCAACCTGGGCAATAGAGTGAGACTCCGTCTCAAAAAAAAGAAAAAAAAAGTGTTAGGCTGGGTGTGGTGGTGCATGCCTGTAGTCCCAGCTACTTAGGATGAGGCAGTTGGATCACTTGAGAGTTTGAGGCTGCAGTGAGCCGTGATCGCGATCATGCCACTGCACTCGAGCCTGGGTGACAGAGCAAGGCCCAGTCTCAAAAAAAAAAAAAAAAAAAAAAAGAGAGAGCTATCATCTCACCACTGCTCTTTAGCTCTTTAGCATGGGCAACAGAGTAAGATTCCTTTTTTTTTTTTTTTTTTTTTTAGAGACGGAGTCTCGCTCTGTCACCAGGCTGGAGTGCAGTGGCATGATCTCGGCTCACTGCACCCTCCGCCTCCTGGGTTCAAGAATTCTCCTGCCTCAGCCTCCTGAGTAGCTAGGACTACAGGCGTGTGCCCCCACGCCCAGCTAATTTTTGTAATTTTAGTAGAGATGGGATTTCACCATGTTGGCCAGGATGGTCTGGAACTCCTGACCTCAGGTGATCCGCCCGCCTCGTCCTCCCAAAGTGCTGAGATTATAGGTGTGAACCACCGCGCCCAGCCCAATTCTTTTAAAAAAACAAAAACTGATAATAAAACTGAGATGCCTTGAGACTTGATGCATCTGTCAGCACCCAAATCATGAGGGTGGTCTTAGTGCAGGTGACTTATCTCCCATACTGCTAAGTACTTGGGGGCAGCTTCTTGAAAGGTAACTAGGCTGGGCATGGTGGCTCATGCCTGTAATCTCAGCACTTTGGGAGGCTGAGGTGGGCAGATAGCCTGAGGTCAGGAGTTTGAGACCAGCCTGGCCAACATGGTGAAACCCTGTCTCTACTAAAAATATGAAAATTAGCCAGGTGTGGTGGTGGGTGCCTGTAATCCCAGCTACTTGGGAGGCGGAGACAGAAGAATCGCTTGAACCTGGGAGACGGAGATTACGGTGAGCTGAGATCGCGCCACTGCACTCCAGCCTGGGCAACAGAACGAGACTCCGTCTCAAAAAAAAAAAAAGAAAGAAAAAGAAAAGAAAGGTAACTAGCCCTCTCCTGCAGAAAACGTGGCCTTGATTCAGAACACTCAGAGTTTCAGGGTTTGGCCTGAGTGTTTACTGAGACTTATCAGAGGTGCCACATGAAATCATTTAGGAACACAGGTACCTCTTTGATGGGGCCTATGCTGTCATTTGTAGCAGATGGCAGAGGAGCTGGTGGAGTCCTTGCATCCTTCTGGTCACCTGATAATTAGCAGGAGTAGTATTTCCTTTTTTTTTTTGAGACAGGGTCTCACTGTCATCCAGGCTGAGGTGCAGTGGTGCAATCTTGGCTCACTGCAACCTCCGCCACCTGGGCTCAAGCGATCCTCCCACCTCAGCCTCCCAAGTAGCTGGCCTACAGGTGTGAGCCACCATGCCCGAGTAATTTTTGTATTTTTTGTAGAGTCGAGTGTCTTGCCATGTTGCCCAAGCTGCTCAAACTCCTCAGCTTGGCCGGGCACACTGGCTCACACCTGTAATCCCAGCACTTTGGGAGGCCGAGGTGGGTGGATCACCTGAGGTCCAGAGTTCAAGACCACCCTGGCCAACATGGTAAAACCCCATCTCTACTAAAAATACAAAAATTATCTGGGCGTGGTGACACCCACCTGTAATCCCAGCTACTCAGGAAGCTGAGGCAGAATCGCTTGAACTGGGGAGGTGGAGGTTGCAATGAGCCGAGATCGCACCACCGCACTCTAGCCTGGGTGAGTGAGACTCCGTCTTTAAAAAAAAACAAAAAAAAACAACTCCTCAGCTCAAGCAGTCCACCTGCCTCAGCCTCCCAAAGTGCTGGCATTACAGGTGTGAGCCACTGCGCCAGGCCTCAGGGTATTTTCAAGGGTCAAAGCAGCTTTCTCCAAAATCCAAAAACTACTACCCAAAATTATGCCTCTTTCAACACCCGGCATTTTTAGTGACTCAAGGGATGAAAATTCTTATCAGGCCCTTACTTGCTTACACATTAACCACTCGCTTTTTGCCCAGTATTCCTTGTTCCCATAATGAAATTATGAACTGCTGAAATACTGTTCCTTGTGAAGGAGGGGATAACTTCAGGGCCATAAAAAAATTTTGCAGAAGTAATGAATGTCTTTAAACACACTGCGACCAGCTGCAGACACCCAGAAGTCTGGTTATTCAAGACACTATGTGAGACTAAAGAAACACAGACTTTTCCCCCCTCGGTTCTCTGAAACTGCCCCTCCCTTAGTCTCTAGCTGTGTAAAAACTCCCCATGCCTGGCATGGTGGCTTATGCCTATAATCCCAGCACTTTGGAAGGCCGAGGCTGTAGTGTACTATGTCGATTGGGTATCTGCAGCAAGTTCGGCCTCGCTATGACCTCCCAGGAGTGGAGGACCACCACGTTGCCTAAGGAGGGGTGAACTGGCCCAGGTTGAAAACGGAGGTCAAAACTTCCATGCTGAGGCTGTGCGCGGTGGCTCACGCTTATAACCCCAGCACTTTGAGACTCTCTCAAAGTCACTGCACTCCAGCCTGGGTGATATAGGGAGACCCCCATCTCTAAAAAAACAAAACAAACAAAAAAACTCCACGCTGCTTCTTTTTGTTAAGGCAGATTTCTCACCTTGGCCAAATCAAATAAACCTTTATCTCCAAGCACCTTTGTCTTGGTGTTTGGCATCAGCTACACATCAGGTACGCAAGCCTGAATTTGGGGTTCTACAACATAACAAGATGCAGTATCTTGACTTTTACCTTGCAGGGAATGCCCTAGTCATGCCCAAGGCCACAGGTTGAAAAACATTTCCTGTAGTGTCAGTAAATATTTTAGGTTTTGTGGGCCATGTGGTCTCTGATACAACTACCCATCTCTCTGCCTGCTGTAGTACCTGGGCAGCCATGGACAGTATTAACAAATGGGCACGGCTGTGTGTAGCAACAAATGGGCATGGCTGGGTGCCATGGTGCATGCCTGAAATCTTAGAACTTTGGGAGGCTGAAGAATACAGATCACTTGAGCTGAGGAGTTCAAGACCAGTCTGGGCAACATAGTGAGACCCCATCTCTACAAAAAATACAGAAATCAGCCGGGCATAGCGGTGTGCGCCTCCAGTCCCAGCTACTTGAGAGGCTGAGGTGGGAGGATAACTTGAGCACGGGAGGCTGACACTGCAGTGAGCCAATATCATGCCACTAGACTCCAGCCTGGGCATCAGAGAGAGACTTGTCCCTCCCCAACAAAAGTTAACAATCCTGGAGCAAGGGGATGTTTTGCTGTCCATGTTATGTTGTTACCTTGGGATGTCAGGTCATCTAACACATTCCCTTTCCCATCCCCTGGAGCCCTTTCCACCCATGCATCCTAAATCTAGCATAGACTTCCAGGGTTGTGAAGGTACTCTTTGAATCTCCACCACTCTACGAAATCTGAGGTCTCATCTTCATGGCATTCCAGCCCCATTTCCAGCGGAAACTCCACCTGTTTCTGTGGGTCTCCCTCACCTACAGGCCTCTCCTTCCCCATGCAGTGCTGACACTTGAAGCATGGTAGGCCCATGGGTGGGCAGAGATCCCAGATCAGGGTTACAGCAAGGACAGTTCTCCCTAGGTTTCCCCCATGCCAGTCTTCCGAGTGCCTCTTTCTGCGTCCCTGTACCCTGCCATTCCTGGTGATGCTGCTGCCCTCACATCAGGCCATCCAAGCATGCAGAACATAAGCATGCAGAACACTGGAACGAAGGGCTGTACCTAAGGTGAGCCTCTGAAGCCCAATGAGGCTAGAAAAGGCTGAAGACTTCACAGACCTAATTTTTAATGCAGCTCTCAGGGGTTTTACCAAGAGCATTTATTTACTCTTTAAGATACTAATGAAGACCCTTAATATTGGTAAAATCATAACATATAGGTTACATTATACAGCTAGTGAAGTGGGAAAATAAAGTTGAAGAATTCCCAATGGTAGATAGCATTTTTGCACAGAATGGTTTTAAATAAACTCCACATTTTAAAGTCCTGATGGTTTGTATTTAGCATAAGGTTTAAAATGATAGTAATACTGTATGCTATATATAGAGCTGCCTGAATTTCAACATTGCTGTTGCCAAGGTAGATAGCAATTTGAAAATGGGTCTCAAGCTTGATAATGTGTATCCTGTCATAACCTAATTAACAAATGCGCCCTACAGAAATCAGGAGCGTGACCAAAAAAAAAAGTTTAAATCAGCATTTTATAAAAACTAGAAACAAAATAATTGCTTTCACAATGTAGTACTTGAAACTAAAGTTCTCCAGCTATCAACAGATGTGACTCCAGCATCAAGGGCCTAGCAGGAAAATTCTGAATGGTTTACAACAGTGCACATAAGTTGCAGGTGGCTGGGGCCGTGTGTCTATTTGATGCTTCCCAGAATGTGTGCTGCTAGTCACCATTTCCACCATTCACATATTTAACATTTTTATTAGACTTTTATTTAGCCTCATCATAAGAATATAAGGGAGATCATAGATTTGATGTATGAAATTTTTAAATTCACACTAAAATACATTACGATTAAAATGAATTATCTTCAACCACCCGTTTTGCTATCTTTTGCTGAGTAATCTGTGCCAGTCATTGTGAAAAAGTCTTTATTTTAAGAAAAAAATTTAGTTAACAAAAAATTTAACAAGTTTCACTTAGCAAAATACACCCAAAAGGAAATCACAGTACAAAGAAAGTTTTAAGTCAAGGCCTCACCAATTCCTACAGTATTAGTATTGTGTCTCAATTCTCAAAACTAACTTTTAAAAAGCTTAAACTTAACCTAAAGGATTTTAAATGAAAATATAAACTAGAATGAACAAACATGAGAAATATTTCTTTGAATCAGGGAGCTAGCACCTTTGAGTTTTCCAAAAAAGCACGTCTCCCCAGTGTGTTCACTGTGATGTGGTGTAAAAGATCCACATTTAACATACTTAAACTACTTAAACTTAGATAACATCACTCTGAAGTATACTACCAAAATGTTAATTGAGAAAAGCTGAAAATAGTTTTAGTTTACTCATTATCACATGCTAGAAGAAAATTTTGCATGAGAAAACACTGAAGAGGTAATTTTTTAATCCAGATTTTTCACAAACTCATGGTGCAAAATGGGTCCCCCAGCTTCCTCTATTATAACTGCTCTTAATTGCTTGTTGGCTGCCTGTGAAAATGATTGAAGTAACTCAAATGTTCCTAACAAAACTAGTCATAGCCACCCATGCTGTTCTGCCCACTGTAGCCGGCCCCGTAACAGCCACTCACTGACTGGCTCTCCAGGCCACTGTAAGTGGCCTGGGCAGCAGACACCCCCATGCCTTGCATCACCTGGCTGCTATACGCCCCATTGCTGGCCCCTGTTGTTGAATTCAAGAAGAGTTCTATATATCTGTGCTGCATATTGGCCCTGTCTTTGGACATAGCTGCCACAGCTTCTTCATGAGTAGCAAACTCAACATCTGCTTCACCCGTCACTCTTCCATCTGGGCCAATCTCAATATGGACTCTCACAGGGTTGAGAGGAGAGAAGAAGTTGTAAATGTCGTTCTCGGTCGCTTTGTACGGCAGGCCCCTCATGTGGACACAGTGGCCTGTGGTGCTCTGCACTGTGAACTCACTGTCGCCGTATCTGTGGTCATACATTCCGGAGAGACAGTAGCTGAGGTCTCTCCCGAACAGGTCGGTGGTGAAGCCGTAGCCATCACTGAGGCCACTGTACTCCTCGTAGCCCCCGTAGCCTGTGCTGTAGGCACCAGGCCTCATCCTTTCCAGGCCTGCCTGCTTCACGATGCCAATGTACCTCCTGGCAGTCCCGGGCCGGTCATAGGGCCCTGGCCGCTGCACGGACATGAACTTCAGAGGGGGATCTGAGTATGACCTAACTTCCTCCTGGCTGCTCTTAAACACCTCAATGTACCTGTGCCCTATCCTCTCCTTGTGTTTCCCTAGAGCCTTCTCAGCTAACTCCTGCGAGGCAAACTGCACGAACGCTTCCCCTGTAATCTTGCCTTCGGGGTCCACAGGCAATGTGATCCCGTTTGGCACAATTTCCAACCCTGAGAAGAACTGAACAATTTCTTCCTTTGTGCATCCAAATGGGAGTCCTCGAAGCCGCACGAAGCCATCGTTGGCGCTGTCGGCACTGTTGGGACCACTGTGCTTCAACACCCAATCCATCTCGGTTCTGTGGGACTTGAACACCTCAATGTACCGGTGTCCCATGCTTTCCCTGTCTTTTTTCAGGGCCATTTTTACATCATCTTCTGATCCAAGTTCAACAAAAGCCTCACCACTCTGCCTGCCCTCTCTAGTGTAGATGAAATGGACACCTGCGGCCCCATCATGAATCGTGCAGTCAGAGAGGAAGTTCTGCACGTCCTCAACAGAGCAGGACCAGGGCAGGCCACGGAGCTTGACCACAAAGCCTTCACCTCCCTCAGGGCCCAGCATCATGGACACTTGTCAGGGTGGGTGTCAGGTGATCTTGGGTGTGGCTTTTTTGTGGCTGGAAAAAAAAAAAAGAAAAATTTATTTAGTATGCAACAGAAATTTTCCCCATTTTACAGACGAGAGAGGTAGCAAGACATTAAGAAATATACCAAATACAATTGAGAGCTAAGAGTTAACTCCAGGTCTCTCAAAAAATTACATTATCAGTCACAGGCAGTTTGAAAAACAAATCAGGAGTTTACAAGACAGGACGATGCATGTGAATGTGGTGCCTTGAACACAGAGAAATGTAAGTTTCAGTCAGTTTAGAGCAAGGGCATTTCCTTGTTATATTTATTCCACATATTTGTCATGATAATATGTGGCAGTTCACCTATAAGAGCTCCTGAGTTGTTCCTCCTAAACTATACGCCTTACATTTGGTAAAATAGTAAATTTAGTAAATCTGCTTGTCTATGGTAGGATACTTTTACTTTCATGAGTAAAAATAAGGGATGGGAACATAGCAGGCTGTTTTTAAACCACAACATAGGGTAAGATTTTCTAGTGTTCTCATCAGCAGTAATGTTGCCAGGATACAAGACAGCAATGGCTTCCACTGTCTATGGAGTTATGATTTTGCTCCTAAATTGTCAATTCAAACTAAATACCAGTCAAGTATGAGGCCAAACTGATGACATATACAGACAAGCAGACAAATTCACCAGCAGACTTAGTTATGTGCACTGCAAATAAATGGAGAAACCAGATCAGATGATTCACAGGTTCACATAAAATATAGCAGAATTGCTGCCTTGTGCTGAAGATCTGGAAGAGGGCATCGGGAAGAAAGGGCAATCGCAAGAGGGCTGAGAAATGCCCTTCCCACCAGGGTGGTACATGGCACCTGAAGTCCAAACTCAGAGTAAGGCCAACCACACACTGGAAGGCAGTCTTCTGAGAAAGAGGAGCAGCTGACCTAGACAGCAGGGTCTATAACATAGTCACAAGCAAGAAAAACACTGCAGTATCATGGGGCCAAAGACGTATTTTTATATGAACACTGTCAAGGGTGACGCTCAAAAAGAGCATAGGAGTATATGGAATTTTTTTTTTTTTTTTTTTTTTTGAGACAAGAGTCTCACTGTCGCCCAGGCTGGAGTGCAGTGGTGCTGTCTCGGCTCACTGCAACCTCCGCCTCCTGGGTTCACGAAATTCTCCTGTCTCAGCCTCCTGAGTAGCTGGGATTACATGCACCAGCCGCCACGCACGGCTAATTTTTTATACTTTTAGGAGATACGGGATTTCACCATGTTGGCGAGGTTGGTCTTGAACTCCTGACCTCAGGTGATCCGCCCACCTCAGCTGCCCAAAGTGCTGGAATTACTGGCGTGAGCCACCATGCACAGCTGGAAATCGAATGTTTCAAAGTGTCATTTTACATCAAGCATAATAGATATAGCTGGTGGCCTTTTCAAGAAATATGGGCTCATCATGTGGGGAAAAAAGCTCCATAAGAAAACCCCACAATTTAAAAAACAGACAAAAAGTAAAGGTAAGTGTAATTTAAGAAAAGGAAAAGCAAATTCATACTAAATAAATGCTCAACTGCACTAGCTTCAGGGAAAATTAGTAATTTTAAAGTTTGATGTAGCCATTGCAGATAATGACATATTATCATACAGTGCTTCATCATTTCAAATTGACAACGTCTAAAAGGATAATTGTGTAAATCTTTCAAATTTACCTGTGTCTACACCAGATTATAAAGATAACAAGATGTGTCTCCTCTCCCAATAACAAGCATAATGGCACAAATGAAACAGAACAGTATGTGATATCCTGAACACATCACCAAGACCAAACACTCGGCATTTACTCACGAACTGTGATTTGGAATGCAAGGGCTTTCAAAGTATACAGCCTAACTAAAAGATGTCACCCTTGCTAATGAGAGTGGAACATGGAAGCCTCTGGGAAGAGAGTCAAGGGGAGCCTAACCTGGATTGCTCATTGCCCACCTCAAATTATTGACTATGTACATAAACTCCATCAACTTTTATAAAATAATCCTGAACGGCAAATGATTGGGCATAAATAATCCTATCCCCAATTCTCAAACTGTGCTTTGGGTCTGCAACAAACCCTGGGGTTTAGCCTCCACCTTAGAAAGTAATGGTCTCCGCCTCCCCAGGGCCTTATCTAAATCCCCTGCATATGGCCACTGCAACATGCTGATCTGGCAGAGCAAGGTCACAGCAGATTCTTCCTCTCCTGTCCACGGAGGGAATTCTGTGCTAACAGTTCAGAAGCTCCTCCTTGGAGAGTCAGGGCAAGTTTGTATTGTGTCTCTTGGGATAATGGGTCTGGGACAGCTCAATTACAGGTGGGGGCTTCTTATGCAATTCCATTCCCAACACTGGGTCAGGCTAGGCACCGCCTGTCCTTTTGTCTTTGACCATACCCTGGTCTTGCTCCTCACTCATGAAAAGTATCTGAAGGCCTCCCTCGAGTTCTGTTCCTAGCCTTAGGTCCAGCCATCGTTCCGGGTAGGGGAGATGAAGCCATAATCCACTAACCATTTTCTCCTGGACTCCTACCTCCAATGATTTCACCATTCCCTGCAGGAAACCCCACCTAATCACATCCTACTCCCTCCACCACAACTGCTATCCCCCTCCTTTGTAGAGACCTTGGCTTCCTTATCCACACAGCCTCTTTCTCTCCTCATTCTTCATAATCCAGCTTAGAGCAAGTATCATTTTACATTCCTTCCTCACAATACATGGAATTCATTCAATGAACTTCTTAACTGTACGCGCCCAGTAAAACCAGAGCTCTGGAAGATTCCAAACAAATATCTGACTACTCCATGGATGTACTGAGTGGCTCAGCTGCACACAGCCAGGCGAAACGGTGCCTCTAAGCTACAATTTCTCAGCCTCAGGACTACTGACATTTTGGACCAGACAGTTCTTTGTGTTGTGGAGGCAGGCCCAGGCACTGTAGGATGTTTAGCTGCATCCCTGGTCTCTGCCCACTAGATGCCAGTAGCACCCTCCACCTCCAGTTCTGACAACCGAATGTCTCCAGACATTCCCAAATGTTCTCTGGTGGCTAATGCTGCCCCCAAGTTGTGAAATACTGTAGAAATCAGGGTGAGGCCAGGCACAGTGGCTCCCACCTATAATCCTAGCACTTTGGGAGGCCGAGGTGGGTGGGACCACTTGAGATCATGAGTTCCAATAGACAAAACCTCTGTCTCGACTAAAAATACAAAAAACTAGCCGGGCGTGATGGTGGGCACCTGTAGTCCCAGCTACTTGGGAGGCTGAGGCAGGAGCATCGCTTGAACCTGGGAGGCAGAGGTTGCAGTAAGCCAAGATCGCACCACTGCACTCCAGCCTGGGCGACAGTGCAAGACTCTGTCTCAAAAAAAAAAAAAAAATTACCTGGACGTGGTGGTGGGCGCCTGTAGTCCCAGCCACTACGGAGGCTGAGGCAAGAGAATCACCTGAACCCAGGAAGCGGAGTTTTCAGTGAGTGGAGATCGCACCATTGTACTCCAGCCCGGGTGACGGAGCGAGACTAACTCCAAAAAAAAACCCACCACACAAGAAAAAAAAAAGAAAATCAGAGTGAACAGCCATAGAGTAAGCGGGCCCTCAATATCGCCCACTGTCCTACCCCAGCACCCTGCTTGTCCAAAGCCCTTCAGATGTCTGGGGCAGCCTTACAGACTCTCACCTCCTCTCCAGCTGGTTGACATTACTCTTGGAAGTGGACTTTGTGAAGTCAAGTCAGAGTCCAGGAGTTTGTAAGCACGTAGTGGGCCCCTTACAGCGGACATCGTGAACAACAGCTCTGCTCTGGGTCCAACCTCACATACCCCGGAGCCATGCTTTCTTCTTTTTTTCCTTTTCCCCTTTCTCCACTGAGCCCTGTCTACTTGGTAATTAAACATGCTCAGTTCTACCCAATCATGTCATACCTCCCCTGTGCCAACTTTGCCTCTAGCTACTTGTTGATTTGTTCAGCAAAATCTTGTCAAAAGGCCTCTACTGTCACTTCCACTCCCCTCCATTAAAACTGCATGATCAAGGCCACGTGTGGTGGCTCACCGCCTGTAATCCCAGCACTTTAGGAGGTCAAGGAGGGTGGATAACCGGAGCCAGGAGTTCAAGACCAGCCTGACCAACATGGTGAAATCCCGCCTCTACCAAAAATACAAAAATTAGCCGAGCATAGTGGTGGACACCTAGGTTGAGCGCAGTGGCTCACGCCTGTAATCCCAGCACTTTGGGTGGCCAAGGCAGGCAGATCATTTGAGGTCAGGAGTTCCAGACCAGCCTAGCCAACATAGTGAAACCCTGTCTCTACTAAAAATACAGAAAAATTGGCCGGGCACAGTGCCTCACACCTGTAATCCCAGCACTTTGGGAGGCTGAGGCAGGTGGATCATGAGGTCAGGAGATCGAGACCATCCTGGCTAACATGGTGAAACCCCGTCTCTACTAAAAATACAAAAATTAGCCAGGCGTCGTGGCGGGCGCCAGTAATCCCAGCTACTCCAGACGCTGGGACAGGAGAATCGCTTGGACCTGGAAGGCAGAGGTTGCAGTGAGCTGAGATCGTGCCACTGCACTCCAGCCTAGGCGACAGAGACTCGTCTCAAAAACAAAAACAAACAAAAAAACTGCATGATCCTACTATACAGATCTCCATGGCAAGAAAAAGAGCAAATGTTTTTATCTTCATCTTACTTAACCATTCTTTCCTGGAAATCCTCTCCCTTTCACTCCTGTTGGCAATTACTGTTGGTTTTCCAGTTAATTCCTTAGACAGTCTCTGAGTCCTTCCTTAACCATTAACTGTAGGGAATCAGGCTTGGGCCCAAGTCCTCTTCTCAGTGGACTCACCTGCTCCCAGGGTCTCCATAATCATCTCCAGGGTCAGGAGATACACAAACCCCCAGTCTTCGGCTCCCTGAAGCCTAGACGGGTAGACACAACTCCACTCCACAGGTTCTCCTCTGTGCCACAACTAAACCTCACATTCTCTCTTCTGTCACACTCCAATAGCAACATGACTGCCCCTACCTGCACCCAGAGGCTCTAGAAGGAAACTGGAGTAATCCTTGACCTTCTCCCAAGCCCTCAAATCCAATCAACTCAACTCCCTTGGGTGATCCCATTCTCCACAGTATCCTCATCCCTAAATCCTATTCAACTCTTCCATTTCCTCAGCAATAAAGGTGCCTCACAGCTCTACCCTGTTCCTAACACGTTGAATGGCAGCCTATGAACTCAGTAATTCTTTTCTTTGTAATGGGAGTTATCAAATTGTCATTTTCTTTCTGTACCTCATATTGTTATTTCTCCTATTCTAATTCCTGTATGTACAAACAGCCAATTCCAGATTACCGATATATCTTTTAAATAAGTCCAAGCATAGGCCGGGCGCAGTGGCTCATGCCTGTAATCCTAGCACTTTGGGAGGCTGAGGCGGGCAGGTCACCTGAAGTCAGGAGTTCAAGACCAGCCTGACCAACATGGAGAAACTCCGTTTCTACTAAAAATACAAAATTAGCCAGGCGTGGTGGCGCATGCCTATAATCCCAGCTACTCAGGAAGGCTGAGGCAGGAGAATCGCTTGAACCTGGGAGGCAGAGGTTGCGGTGAGCCAATGTCGCGTCACTGCACTCCAGCCTAGGCAACAGGAGCAAAACTCCATCTCAAAAAAAAAAAAAAGTTTTCCAAGCACAGTGGCTAGGCCTTACTGCAATCCCATCTACGGCTCACGTGTACTTTTAAAACTCATTACTGTCCTGCATCCAAGTCCTCAGTGGTTTCCCACTGACCTCAGAACAAGGACCACAGGCCCAATGGGGTCCCTCAGGCCTTGCAACTTTTGCCTGCAACACTCTTCTACCTAAGCTCACATCACTTCCTTTTTTCTCCTGGAATGTGGCAAGCTCTCTGCCCCTTCAGGGATGTGACGCACATAGTTGACACTCATGGTTAATTCTCTCCCCAAATATACTCTGTTCAACCTTCTGTCTACCTAAATCCCACTAATCCTTAAGGTCTAAGCTCAAATACACCACCTTTCTCAAAGGTCTTCTCATTATCCAAATTAAGTCTCATGCTCTACACTAACCACAGCACTCTTGTGTTGTTAAAGGGGTCTTAAACCCACAATAGGAGCCTACTGGGGAGAAACTTGTGCCTGTTTTGTTGGCCACCATGACCCCATCCTCAGCACAGACTTGACCCAGCTGGTCCAAGATTAGCCAGGATTAACTGTTGCCCATGTGTAGGGGGGTCAACACCTTCCTCAAGAAGGCAGTGGCCTGGCTAGGCTGAAAAAGACATACAAGCAGCATAAAAAATAAAAACATTTCATAGAAGAATTACTTAAAATGCCTAATCTTTTACATGTCATAAGTGTTTTGCATCAGGAAATGTTTCAGAAGCAAAATTACTTCCTCTCTGAAGGCAAGGCGAAGAGACCATTCCTTTCCAAAACACATGTGTACACTTAAAACACTTACTGCTTATTTTTACTCCAGAATTGGTTTTCTGTTCCATTTCTCAGAAGTCCTAAGGCTTTTCATTAACTAAAACTCAAGCTGAAAAGAGCCCTGTGGTGTCCTGCTCAAGGTTAATGTTAGGGACAAAACTTTTTTCACTCCAGGCTGCTAAACAAATTTGAGTATAACAAATATAAATACTGCAGCTGAAAAGGGGCTCTTCTTAAAATAGCTTACCTTAAAAACAACCACGGATGCCTTCAGTGGGAGACACTTCTGGATGGTAATGAAATGTCCTAAAAAAAAAACAGAGCGATATTGGCTGTGTGGTCTCAGATCCTAGGCACTGGCTCTGGGATCAGAACTCCAGGTAAGGACAGAAACAGCTGGGAAGCCCTTTATATAGCCCGTGGGTTTAAATTAAATCTCACACCCCATCCACCTAACAGCATTTTGGAAGTATTATCTTTTCACAGGGCAATACAGAGCACAACAAAAGGGAAACGCCTTATTGATCTTGATGAGATTTACTCTTGATGAGATTCTCCTGCCTCAGTACCTGGTATTACAGGCGTGCACCACCCCACCCAGCGAATTTTTGTATTTTTAGTAGAAATGGGATTTCAATATGTTGGCCAGGCTGGTCCCAAACTCCTGACCTCAGGTGATCCGCCCGCCTCTGCCCAATTCTAAGTTTGTACACTGAGGACCCTAAGTGCTGGGAGGAAATTTAAATATCGGGGGCAGGGCACTTGGGAGGGAGATGGGTGGGGGAGAAGTGACAACCACAGGGGACTTGACCTTAAGACCCCTCTTTCACTGGGATAGCATGGGCAAGGAGCAAGGGTGCTTGCTAGAAATTGTTCAGTCTGATTTATAGGAACCCCTCTGTAAGCAGTGTGGAGACACATCCAAAAGACACTTTCAGTTTTATTGGGTAACTTCTTTGAAATATGCTTCACTAGAACATACATCATAATCACTAGATCACCAACATCCCAGTAAAAACGCTGCCCCAAAGGACTAGGACACGGGCTGAGGGCTATGGAATTCTGAGAACTAAGCTGCTTGAGTTTTGGAAATGTGGAATTAGTAAAACCAGCTAATTATGCTGAACCTGTTGTCTTAACATGAAGATAATCAAATCTGCCTTGTCTTGCAAACTTCCAGTGATTATTACTTAAGACACTATTGGGGGGGTGTACAAATGGAAAGCATTACATTTATTAGGAAACCTATTCAGGGGTGAAACAGTTTCAAGTACTCTGGAATCAGGTTTTCAAAAGGCTTCAACAATCCGACTTGTTCAAGGATCTAAAGGGTGGAACCCAGTCATCTTAATGATCTGATCCACTTATGCCCTTGTTTATCCCTGCGTGATCCACAGACCAACACCCTGAGGCGTCTCTGGGGACATGCACAAGCTGGCAACCAGACCCACGTACACCCATTTACCCCAATGGACCAGCCGCTGTAAGCCTGTAGACCACGGCCACTGCGCACCGCCAACGCACGCAGAGGAAGAGTCTGGTCTCCCCGTCCGCAGCGCCAAGAAAGCGCTGGGGGCGGGGAGGGCTGCTCAGCTCCCCCAGGTGACTGGACCCGGAGGTTTTCAGATCGAGCTTGCACGGGGGCCACCTAGATAATTAAAACACCAACCCTAAAACAGATCTGGGTGGGGGCTAAGAATCTGCATTTCCAAAAAGCGCTCCCGAACGAGCTCTTCGCAGTGATACAGGTTGGACGGGATTAACGCTTGCCTTCAGGCAGAGCCAATCAAGATAAATAGGGCGCGCCGGAGTCCTACCAGTTCGGCTATCTGCAGAGTAAACAGGGCCGTTCAAGCACCACCCACCTCGTTTTCTTTTGTTCAGGACAGGACTCGAGGAAGGATCCTGGCCTCCCCTCCTAGACACACTCCCGTGCCCCCGGGAAACCGGGCAGCACTCTCGCCAGGAGGCTGGGAGCGCGTCTGGCCGCGCCGCCCCCATTACTCACTTAGTTCCACTCTCAAACCAAAGTCCACCCGGCCGGGCCCGCGGACTTTCATGCTCTAGACTTACCACGGAGGCGAGCAGGACTGGTTTCTGTTGCTACCAGGCAAGCGCGGCTGGCAGCCAAGAGCCCCGAAATTCCACCGAAGCTCAACCACGCAGAGGGCTCCGGGGAAACTCCAGGTGCATGTTTTTGTTCTCAACCTGCAACAGAAATCCAAGTGGTGGTGGGGTCCCTTCCGCAAGGTGGGAGGCCCGGGCGCGCGGTAAACGTGTTTTGGCGGGAAGCAGCGCCGAGGCCCCGAGACAAGGTGACGGCGACGTTCCCGCGGCCTGCTCACGGCACTCCAGCAGCCTCGGACCGCCCGGCCCGGCAGGAAGGTCGGCCCCAGGGCCTGCGCGGGCTCGGGCGGGAGCTTCCGGGCGGGGGGCGGAGCGAGCGGCGCAGCGGGGAGAGTGGGGGCAGGGACGGGAGGGTTCCCGGAGGGAAGGGCGCCTCGCGGGAGGGGGAGGGGAGGGGAGGGGAGGGGAGGGGGCCCCTGGCGGGCTTCCGGGGCCCTGAGGGCGAGAGCGAGGGCGACGGCAAGGTGGGGTGGGGGCTGCTCCCCGGCCCGCCAAGCTAGCGCTGCCTAGGCGGGAGCTCGGGGACCCGCGGGCCGAGCGCGGCTGAAGGGAGGGAAGGGAAGAGGCGCTCGTAGGTCTGCGTCCGTCTCCGAGCGACCGGGGCGGCGGAAAGGGACCTGGGGGGGGCGGCCGGGACTGGAGTGGCGGGGCCGGGGCGCCCGCGCGGCGGCTCACCACGCCAGGGACTGGCCCGTCGGCCCCGAGGAGGCGCGGGGTCCGGAGTCCGGGAAGCGGAGGCCTCGTGATCCAAGACCGGCAGCCGGACGTGGGTCACGGGGTGCAGAGGAGGAAGTGCCATTGCCGGGCCCGCCAAGATGTCACCAATGGGAAACGCGTGCCTGCAGGTGCGGCCCCGTGGCCCGCGCGCTGGGCCCAGGCAGGAAGTGGGGGAAGGAGAGAGTCAGGGCGGCGGGAAGACATTTCTCCGAGTTCTCCCGAAGGGAGCCAGGCGCGAGCGCGACCTGGGGAAAGTCCAGAGTGCCAGCCACGGGGAAGGGCGGGCAGTGCAGAGTGGAAGAGAAGCCAGCAAGTTAGACACAGCCCCTCTCTGGGAGGCCGCCTCTAAAATGGAACTAGCGGACGTACCTTGGTTTGTACATTTGACCATGGACACACGTAAAGATTTTGAAAAAAAATCTTTGAAAAAAAATTTTTTTAACGCAATTCCTAAACTTTTAACTAACGCAATTTTGTGGACCTCTGAATCTTAATTCAAATGAACTGGAGAACAACTATAAAGCAATTTCGATAATATGATCAGTGACATTTTATATTGCAGAATTGTAAATTTTGTTGTCATTATACTGTAATTTTATTTCTTTAAAAGACCCTTTTTAGAGCCACAAATATTTGCAGATGATACCTGATTTCTTGAATGTTTCAGATTACG
Source organism: Homo sapiens (assembly GCF_000001405.40). Classification (NCBI taxonomy): domain Eukaryota; kingdom Metazoa; phylum Chordata; class Mammalia; order Primates; family Hominidae; genus Homo; species Homo sapiens. The sequence continues at coordinate 43,397,900 of NC_000010.11, forward strand.
TGGAAAGTGGAAATATACATGAAACAAGATGTGCTATGAACTAGTAATTTTTATTAAAGCTCCTGATGTATACATAGAGTTTCATTACACTTGTTTCTACTTTTGTGTATGTTTGACTGTTTTGTTTGTTTGGTTGGTTTTTTTTGAGACACAGTTTTCACTCTGTCACCCAGGCTGGAGTGCAGTGGCATGATCTTGGCTCACTGCAACCTCTGCCTCCTGGGTTAAGGCGATTCTCCTGCCTCAGCCTCCCGAGTAGCTGGGACTATAGGCCCATGCCACTATACCCAGCTAGTTTTTGTTTTTAGTAGAGATGTGGTTTCACCGTGTTGGCTAGGCTGGTCTCGATATCTTGACCTCGTGATCCCCCTGCCTCGGCCTCCCAAAGTACTGGGATTATAGGTGCGAGCCCCATGCCCGGCCTGTTTGGAGTTTGTTGTTGTTGTTTTTTTTTTTTTTTGAGAGACAGTCTTGCTCTGTTGCCCGGGCTGGAGTGCAATGGCACGATCTCGGCTCACTGCAACCTCCCCTCCCAGGTTCAAGCGATTCTCCTGGCCTCAACCTCCTGAGTAGCTGGGATTATAGGCGTGCGCTACCACACCCTGGCTAATTTTTGTATTTTTAGTAGAGACAGGGTTTCACCATGTTGGTCAGGCTGGTCTCAACTCCTGACCTTGTGATCCACCCACTTCAGCCTCTCAAAGTGCTGGGATTACAGGTGTGAGCCACCGCGCCCGGCCTGTTTTACGTTTTTAACAGAATTATTATTATTTTGAGACAGGGTCTGGCTCAGCTGCCCAGGCTGGAATGCAGTGGCACGATCATGGCAATGCAGCCTCAACCTCCCAGGCTCAAGCAAGCCTCCAACCTCAGCCTCCTGAGTAGCTGGGACCACTGGCATGCAACCACACCCGGCTAATACAACTGTTTGTAAAACTGAGAGAAAGCAAGTCTTTAGAATGCACTTACTAAATAACACGAATTACAGGGAACAGTAACATACTGCATATAGTGATGTAGACTGTGGGAAACTACAAGGACAAATGAGCCAGTCCTACCTCAGAATAGTTCCAGCCAGATAAAAGAACCCACAGAATTATGGTTATGTTATAAAATAAAGCAATTAAGTTTTAGAAATCCATCTTGAAATATTTGTGATGGCTTGGATTTGTTTGAAGTTGTCCACAAAGTAGTAGGTGGGGAGATGGAGAATAACTGTCCATGATTAGTAACTGTTGAATCTGTGTGACAGGCACATTAGCCTCAACCTCCTGGGCTCAAATGATCCTCCCACCTTTAGCCTCCCCAACGTAGCTGGGACCACAGGTGCATGCCACCAAGCCGGGCTAATTTTTTTTTTAATTTTTTAGTAGAGGCAAGGTCTCTCTATGATGCCCAGACTGGTCTGTAACTCCTGGGCTCAACTGATCCACCTTGGCCTCCCAAAGTGCTAGGATTATAGGTATAAGCCACTGTGCCTGGCCCAAGGCAAGTTTTAATTATTGATCAGTCACCATAGGGTTCCTGCCTGTGAGGGAACAATGTGTGCAGAAGACTTGAGCCAGGGGTTGTATTGTGCAACTGCAGCTAGGTCTGAGATCAATGGTAGGAGATGACATAGCCTTAAAGGCCTGGTTTGGTGTTCAAAGGCCAGTGGGAAGGCATTTAATGGAATGTGGTGTGAAAGGAGTTTTGCTTTTTAACACAACAGTCTAGATGCTATCTGGAAAATGAATGGTGGGAAGAGATACATGGAGACAAGATGGGAAGGAATGAAACAAGTCTAGGAAGACTGGTGGGAGAAGAATGTGAAAGAATGTGTAATGTAGAGAAAAATGACTGAGTCTGGAGACTGACTGACTCACCAAGAAATACTACGCACCTAAAAGATACAGGAACTGTAGTGGTAAAGAGACACAGTTCCTGCCTTGGTGGGTCCAGTAACAGTGGAGTAGGAAATCAAGAAATGTACAAATATATGATGACAAATTTTAGAATGAACGAAAAACAGAAAATAGGCATTAGCTCAGATTGGGGTTCTGAGGAAGTGACATTTAAACAGACAGGAGCATGGGTGAGTGGGAACACTGAGTGATGAATTTCATGTAGAAAGAAGGGAAATTCTTTTTTCCTTGATAAATAGCTGAGGTTTAAAGTAGAAGCTGGCCAGGAGCAGTGGCTCAAGCCTGTAACTCCAGCACTTTGGGAGGCCGAGGTGGGAGGATCACTTGAGCCCAAGAGAGTTCGAGACCAGCCTGCGCAGTATAGTGAGACTCCCATCTCTATATAGGAAAAAGATAAAAACTGAGGGAAAAAAAAGAAGTTAAAAGCCCATTATTCTTTTTTCCTTCTGTACATTATCTCCCCTCTGGACACTTGTTCAAATTATTTATATTTTTTACCAAAGCCCTTTACTGGGATACATTTTGGTGCTGGATGCTTTGTATTCATATTCTTATTTCGTGGTGAATCCTTTAGATTGAAGAAATTTTAGGACACAGCTTCTGCTGCTCGTGTCTGTTCACCACATGAGAAGCACAAGATGCATCTTGGGGGCAAAAATTCCCCATCATGGTATATAGTATGTGAGCAGATCATAGACCATATTTGTTATGGATGTTTTCCTTTTCTGTTGGAAATATTGAAAATTGGGTTTAATGGCCTCAAAAGTATCTTCCAACCCAGCAATTTTATAAAATTCCTATTCAGTCACTCTTAAGTACTTCCTGCTGTCATGAACTCAAGAATTATGATACAAGACACTAATTCCATTTAAAAAAATGCACCAACGCACACATTTGTACTTAACTTTTCAGGGGCACATGTATCTGAAGTGTGAGAATTCTAACCCAATTCACACAACGTGCCAAATTCAATACACAGAGCTATCCTAAAAGCTATTAAGGACTGAGAAGTGGCCAGGCACAGTGGCTCATGCCTGTAATCCCAGCACTTTGGGAGGCCGAGGCGGGTGGATCACGAGGTCAGGAGGGCTAATACGGTGAAACCTCGTCTCTACTAAAAATACAAAAATTAGCCAAACGTGGTGGCAGGCACCTGTAGTCCCAGCTACTCAGGAGGCTGAGGCAGGAGAATGGTGTGAACCCGGGAGGCGGAACTTGCAGGGAGCCCAGATCGCACCACTGCACTCCAGCCTGGGCGATAGAGCGAGACTCCGTCTCAAAAAAAAAAAAGACTGAGAAGCTGCAGATGGAGCATATATTAACATTTTAAATGTTTACTCCATTATTACTACATTTATATCCACCAAAGGGGATCTGTCCTGATCTGCATGCAACAGGAAAGCTGTTTTCCATTACCATCTATCAGGTCCTTTCACTTACTTGCTGTAGCTAAGTCTGGGGGGATAACACACTGCTTCCCTCAGCGTTCATTTCTCAAAAGCTGTGTTACTAAAAAGCATCAAGAGTAGTATAATGTAATGTTAGATAAATTTTATCTATACTGTTTGTACTGAAATTAATATAAGGGACAAATTCTGACCGATCATAAAACAAGCAACCATTGCTGTTTGATATTGACTGCATTTTGCAAATGCCCAAGAATCATGATATCTAAGGTAAATGTTCCTTAAAACGTTAATAAAAAGCAAAACTGCTACTAGACTTCTGTTCCTAAAAATAAAATCTGTTCTTAACTGAGGGCAAATATCATTATTTGGATTAGCTGGAGTAACTGGAAATAATATCCAAAGAAATGGGTGTGTATAGATTCCGCTAAACAAAAATACAATTGATAGGAAGATCAATTTTGTTTTTCCCAGACCACCTCCTGTACCTCTCTCCCTTGAGCAAGCAGCCCCTAAATAGGTGCATAGTCAAACCCTGGAGCTGGAGAGAAAGGAGGCCTGTGGGGTATCCTCAGCCCCCTGAGGAAGGTACATTCCTTGGGATGGGAATTCTTCCTGAAGCCTCCATGGAAACATGACACCTTAGTCAGGTTCCAAGCAGCAGGCCCTGAGCTGAGACTGCTGGCCCTGAGCTGTGCTGCCCAGGGGACCACTGCATTCTGCCTTGGGGGAATTGTGCAGAACAGAGAGATGGAAGGAGGAAAGGAACATGACAATTTACAGAAGAGGGGCTCCGGCACCCAGAAATAACATACCACACCTCAGGTTTCAGGGAACAAGAAGTGCTAGACAAAAACCATAATGATTTTAACAGGAAAAAAAGAGCAACTTCAGATACCACTCCATTACAAAACTTAAAAAAAAAAACTTTCTGGAACTAAAACTGAGTTTTAAATTTAAAAGTTAGTAATGAATTCAAAGAAAGGAAAACGAAGTAGAATAAACATCAAAACAGAAACAATGGGGGAGAAGATAAGAGATTTGGAGGACATACTTTTTCCAAAGCAGTTTCCTCTATACTTTAGGAGTTTTACCAACACACGCCTGTGCTGTGTCTTTTCAAAATATCCTAATGGGAACTACAGGGATCTTAAGCCAGGAAAATTCACTTCTAATCCTTTATCGCTTCTCTTGCTGCCTCCATCTGTGTCTTTTTCTCCTTCTGGAATTCCTACTATTCACATTATTTCTCCTGCCTGAAAAGAAACCAACCCTATCAACACCCTCATCTTAAGACTTCTAGCCTCCATAACCGTGAGAAAATTTGTTACTAGTCTGTATTACTTTGCATGGCAGCCCTAGCATACTAATACAACGTGTTACCAAACCAGACAAAAACATCACAAGAAAACTAACTTCTGAATTCTATGTACTTTAAGAGGATCGTATATGGTATCTAACACCAACTTAAATTAGAAAAGATATGTATTTGTCATAAACATCATAATTCTATTAGATGGCACTATTCTAATCAAATAACTTATGATGGATTTATCGGGATATAACAGTAAGTAAGAGTATCTGTATTTGTATTAGGTGAAGCATTTTGTCTAACAGGAGGCATACCGTTAGGATAAATCTAATAGGAGTCTTAATCTGTCATGCCTTTTCTTAATTATGATGGCTTTTTTTTTTTAAACGGGGTCTTGCTTTCTTGCTCAGGGTGGTATGCAGTACTGCAATCACAACTCACTGCATCCTCTATGTCTTTACAAGTGTTCGCTATCATACCTGGCTAATTAAAAATTCTGTTTTTGAAAAGATAGGGTCTTGCCATCTTGCCCAGGCTTATCTTGAACTCCTGAGCTCAAACCATCATTCCACTCTCGGTTCACTGCAACCTCCACCTCCTGAGTTCAAGCAATTCTCCTGCCTCAGCCTGGGATTACAGATGCACACCACCACACCTGGCAAATTTTTGTATTTTTAGTAGAGATGGGGTTTCGCCACATTGGCCAGGCTGGTCTTGGACTCCTGGCCTCAAGCAATCCGCCTGCCTTGGCCCTGCTGGGATTAAAGGTGTGAACCACCCCGCCCAGCCTGTGTCATTTTCAAGAGATCTTTTTCCTAGCCCCAGCCCATATAGTTATCTGAACTTACAAAGCGTTGATGTTCTTCTCTAAATTTTTACACTTACATCTACAATGAACTTGGAATTGATTTTTTCATTTCCAAAAGAGTTTTACAATTAATCAAGTATCACAGGCTAATTTCACTCAAGAACTCAGATGCAAAAGTCCAAACCAAGTATCAGTCAACCTAATCCAGCAATATATAAAGCGATATTATGACCAAGTTGGATTTCAGGAATGCAAGTGTAGTTGATCATTTCAAACTCAATCACTGCAATTTCTCATACTGATGTATCAATGGAGACAAAGTATAGAGGTACTTTTTTAATGTTTTATGAGAAATGCTAAGCTGAATTTATGTCAAGGAAGAACTGAGGCCATATATAGTGGCTCACACCTGTAATCCCAGCACTTTGGGAGGCCGAGGTGGGCAGATCACTTGAGCTCAGGAGACCACCCTGGGCGACATGGCAAAACCCCTTCTCTACAAAAAATACAAAAAAAAATAGCTGGGCATGTGGCACACACCTGTAATCCCAGCTACTTGGGGGGATGAGGCAGGATTGCCTGAGCCCAGGAGGTTGAGGCTGCAGTGAGCTCTGTCCACACCAGGGCACTCCAGTGTGGGCATCAAAGTGAAACCCTTTCTCGAAAAAAAAAAATGTGGAGGGCTGGGCGTGGTGGGTGACTCACGCCTGTAATCCCAGCACTTTGGGAGGCCAAGGCAGGTGGATCACTTGAGGTCAGGAGTTTGAGACCAGCCTGGCCAACATGGTGAAACCCCCCACCCCCTGCCACTCCACCATCTCTACTATTAGATGGGCGTGGTGGTGCTGCACACCTGTAATCCCAGCTGCTCACGAGCCTGAGAATCGCCTGAACCCAGGAGGCGGAGGCTGCAGTGAGCCTGGATCCTGCCACTGCACTCCAGCCTGGGTGACAGAGTGAGAATCCGTCTATAAAAAAAAAAAAAAAGGAAAACAAAAACAAAAGTACATCTTAGAGCGATCACATGAAAAAGTATTCCTGCTAATAAATGAAAAGGAATCGATTATTAAAATATCACTAATTTGAAAACCATTTAAGAAAATAATGGATCTACATAATGATCATTAATAGCTGCTGTAACATGACAAAAGAGAAGATACCAACCAATATGTGCCTCCGGTTGGAGCACAGCACCTCAAGTAAGTTTTCTTTCCAAAAACTCTCATCTGAATCAAAACTACCTCCAGACTGGGTGCGGTGGCTCACACCAGTAATCCCAGCACTTTGGGAGGCTGAGGCGGGTGGATCACCTGAGGTCAGGAGGTTGAGACCAGCCTGACCAACAAGTTGATACTCCGTCTCTACTAAAAATACCCCTGTAATCCCAGTTACTCAGGAGGCTGAGGCAAGAGAATTGCTTGAACCCAGGAGGCAGTGAGACAAGATCACACCATTGCACTCCAGCCTGGGCAACAAAACCAAAACTCCGTCTCAAAAACAAAAATAAAACCAAAACCAAAAACTACCTCTAGAGGTAACTATCACTTTACAGGAAATATAAAGAACAGACACTCAAAGACCACCACGGAAAAACAATCAGAAAAATGCGAAGTGTGGGGAAGGAATGCTGCAAGACAGCCCGACAAATATAACGGGGGATGGAGCCTTTTAAGAAAGGGGAACCTCTAGATGATCACTTACACAGCATCCATTCACCACGCTTGAAATGTGTAAGTGTAAAACTCACACTGGATTTTGACAAGTTCACAGGATTTTGTTTTTAATTATTTTAGTCAAGATCATGGAGAAATGAAAAAGTGTTTTAAAATTACATGCAAAATAGTAGTGGATATATATTAGGTTAAATTATTAATACAATGAATCATGTTTCCTTTTACCACTAAAGAATATAAGATTACATTTATAGCATACATTATATTTCTATTGGACAGTGCTGCTCTGAATTTAAAAAGTTATCTACAAAATATAAGGTGTGACTTTGGATCCTGACTCAAACCAACCAGCTGTTTAAAATATTTAATACATGCCGGGCGCGGTGGCTCACGCCTGTAATCCCAGCACTTTGGGAGGCCGAGGCCGGCGGATCACGAGGTCAGGAGATCGAGACCATCCCTGCTAACATGATGAAACCCCGCCTCTACTAAAAATACAAAAAATTAGCCGGGCATGGTGGCGGCCGCCTGTAGTCCCAGCAACTCGGGAGGCTGAGGCAGGAGAATGGCATTAACCCGGGAGATGGAGTTTGCAGTGAGCTGAGATTGTGCCACTGCACTCCAGCCTGGGTGACAAGAGCAAGATTCCGTCTCGGAAAAAAAAAAAAATTTAATACAGAAACACTTAAACCCTGGATACTTGATATTTTGGAATGTATTTTTAGGCATGACAGCAGTATCATGGTTAGGTTTTAAAAGTTCTTAGAAATACTGCGGATTTATTTATTAATAAAGACCTTATTGGTCTGGGATTTGCTGTAAAATAAGCCAGGGCGGTCTTGGCTGAGCTCAGTTCTCCCTCTGCCCACCCTGTTGCCCTCCACAAGAACCGTAGCTCAGGGCAACTAAGACAGGGCAAGGGCCCTGGCAGGGGAGGGGTGTCCCGGTCCAACTTGGGACCCAGTTGGGACTGGGTCCCAAGTCCCAATTGTGTCCCTGGACACATGACTTCTCCCAACCTCCATTTTCTCATCTGAAACATGGGGCTAATAGCAAGCCCTTCTGGAGTAGTCCTGAGCATGTAATTAGAAAATGGAGTAAAACTTCTAGGACCTAGTAAGAGTCAACTAATGTGGTTCTCCCGAAGAGCAGAGAACCAGAGCTCAGTGGGGGAGAGGGAATTAGAGAAGTCACCTCCAAGGAAAGGGCCTGTCACATTTCTGCAGCCCCTGCAGGCATCTACCCCCACCGGGCTCTCATTTGCCTCCAGGCTTTCCAAGGTTCTGGCCACGTGGGAGAAGTAACTTTCTATTTACTCAGTCTTTTCCCTTAAATAAATTCCATTTTTTACCTGAATAAAGCTTTATAACGCTACCCTTAACAGAAAACTTGGCAGTTTACAAAAAAGTGGCCGGGCACGATGGCTCACGCCTGTAATCCCAGCACTTTGGGAGGCAGAGGCGTGAGAATCGCTTGAGCACAAAAGTTTGAAAATCAATCTGGGCAACATAAGGAGACCCCATCTCTACAAAAAATACAAAAATTTGCCGGGCGTGCTGGAGAGTGCCCGTGGTCCCAGATACTCGGCGGCTGAGGTGGGAGGATCCGTTGAGCACAGGAGGATCTCGGCAGCGAGCCGAGATCACACCATTGCACTCCAGCCTGGGCAACAAAGTGAGACCCTGTCTCAAAAAATAATACATATTTTTTTATAGAGACGGGGTAGGTCTCTGGGGCCCAAGCGATCCTCCCACACCTCGGCCTCCCTAAATGCTGGGATTACAGGCGTGAGCCACCTCGCCCGGCCGATAATGACTCTAATCTACAGAATGCACACCGGAATGTAATACCTACAAGGGAAAAGATCTTCTTGCTTAGGAATAAAGCAATCTCTCTCTTAATATTCATTAAAGTAGTAATGTCTTATTTTATAGTTTATAAATTCTGTGAGAGCAACGAGTCACTTTGCAGGAATAGCACTTAAGGTATCTTTCACCTACCTGGAGAACCCAAGAAATTTTCATCTTACTAGGAATTCAGAGACAACCACGTATTTAACTTTTAAAAATATAACTAAGTAGAAAGAATTATATGCGTGTATTTTTGGAAGAATTAAGATGACTTTTGGGACGGAACGACTGAAAACTACGCTTTCAGAACTCCCTGCCGCCTGAGGCTGTGGCCCTGACCCCGGCGCAGGGCCCGCCCCGCGCGGTTCCGGGAAGCCGCCGCCGCCGCCCGTTGCCCTTCGCGCGCAGCCGCCAGCGCGCGCCTCGCGTCCCGCCACGCAGATGGCCGGCCCGAGCCCCCAGCGCCCGCGAGCAGTTTCGAGAACTAAAGAGGCGCGTCAGCTCGTCCCCGGGCCGCCCGCGGGCAATGGCCGAGCTCGGCTCTCCTTCCACCCTCCGCCGGGACACACGCGGAGCCGAGCGGGGGTCCCAGGCGCCTAGGGGGAGGGGTTCCCGCGCCCGGGGCGGCCTTGGGGGGAGGGCGAGTCGGGTGCCTTGCTCCTCAAAACCCTGGTCCACGACTCTGCGGTTGGGGGAGCCGGGCAGCCGGCGCAGCAGGAGCCGGGCCCCGTCCACAAGTTTCCTACGAGCAGGGCGGAATCGACGAAAATACTTAATACAAACAAACAAAAGGAAAAAAAAAAGGACGACTAAGCTGAAGAGCGCGCACGAGTCAGATTTTCACCCCAAATACAAACACGATACCTCTAGGAGCAGGAGACCAATACAGGGACCGCGCTCCGAGGACACGCGGCGCAGCCGAGGAGGAAAAAGGGCCCGGGGCCGAGAGCTAAGGCTACGGGAACCGGGCGTGGGAGGAGGGCGGAGCCAACTCCCCACAAGGAAGTCTTGTGCAACTCTCAGGCGCCTGCAGCCACGTGAGCGCGCGGCTTTCATTTTACTCAGGTATTATTACTATTATTACTTCTTTTGAGACAAGGTCTCATTTCCGTCGCCCGGCTGGAATGCAGTGGCACAATCACTGTCACTGCAGCCTCGACCTCAGAGCAAGCGACCCTCCCGCCTCAGCCTCCCGAGTAGCTGGGACAACAGGCGCGCGCCACCACACGTGGCTAATTTTTTTTTCTTTACTTTTCAGTAGAGACAGTCTATGTTGCCCAGGCTTGTCGGGAACTCCTGGGCTCAAGAGATCCTCCCGGCTGGGCCTCCCACTGCGCCAGGCCTGTTCTCACTTTCAGAGCCCTCCGGCAGTCGCCAGCTCCCCGCCAGGGGGCCGGACTAACGCACCCGGCCGTCCGTGCCTTCCCCGCGCTTTCCTGACTCCAAAATCTCAGCCCGCGGTGCTCACCGCGTGGGACCACTGTCTGGGCGTGCGGCTCTCGACCTCCGACGCTGCGTCTCCCGATCCCAGTGGGTCCAGTTCTTGCCGGTCCCACGTACGGGCCCCTCGACCTCGAATCCCGTCACCCAAATCTCAGCGCCACGGCCCCTCATTATGTGCAGTCCTCGCTCGGTCCCAGGTTTGCGGCGCTTAAACTCAGATCGCTCTTCCCTGATCCCAAATCCCAGCCCCAGCCCAACGATCCCCACCCCAATAGGCCCAGTCCCCAGGTAGTCCGGGTACGGGGCCCTGGACTTCGGATAGTCTCCCTAATCTCAAATCCCACCCCCCGTCCCCACCCCCAGGGGGACCCGGTCCCCGCTAGGTCCCGGGTGTGCGGCCTTCGACCTCGGAGACTTCGGCCGCCCCTCACCTCGGCCTCCGAGTCTCTACACTCCCGCTCTCATATCAGGCACCCCGGTGGTCCCTTGGAGCACCTAGAGGAGGGTGGGACGCGGGGAACTTGGCAGTTGTAGCAGAGGCAGTTGAGGCTTGTTGACCATCACCATGGAAACCCCCGCCTGCGAGCACGGGGCGGAGCCTACGAGGGGCGGGGTCAGGCGCGCTGCCGGCCCCAATCCTCAGCGCCTGCCCGTCGAGCGCACGCGGCTTTGCCGGAAGCCCTCCTGCTCCCGGCGAGCCAGGCCCCGACTAGGCCCTACTGCCCGGCTCAGCCCTTTGCCCTGGACACCAGGAAACAGAAGCCCAAGGAGCCCGCGTCCCCACCCCCTGCTACCTGCCGGCGTGACAGCGATTCGGTGGCCCCCCGAACCCCACCTTGAGGAAGACGCGGCGCAGTCCTGCTTCCACGACGGAGCCGGAAGGACGCAAGGACCGCGGCAGGGCGGAGTTTCTGCGTCCGGCGTCCGGGGGCGGGGCCGCGACGGCGCATTGTGACGCGCCAGAGCTGAGCCGCCGGTTGGCCGGCTGGGCGCGGAGCAGAGCCGACACGGCTGGCGGGGGAGGCGGTGGAGGCGGACAAGCGAGGACGTTTCTGGAGAGGAGAAGGGAGGGGAGGGGAGGGGATAGGGGGAGGGGGAGGAGGAGGAGGGAGTGGAGCGGCGGGAAAGATCCCTCTGACTGCCCCTGAGGCCCTGGAGGAAGGACACTGGTGAGCCCCGCAGGACACTGAAATGTGCGCCGAAAGGACGCCTGATGGAAGACTAGGATGGGAAAAGGAAATGAGAGCCGATGGCAGGGCGTGGTGGCGCAAGCCTGTGGTCCCAGTAATTTGGGAGGCTAAGGCGGGAGAATCGCTTGAGCCCGGGAGGTCGAGGCTGCAGTGATCCGTGACTGCTCCATTGCGTCCAGCCTGGGCGACAGAGCGAGGCGCTGTCTCAAAAAATAAAATAAGGAAAGTAGTACACTGAAGGCCGGGCGCGGTGGCTCACGCCTGTAATCCCACCACTTTGGGAGGCCGAGGCGGACGGATCAGGCGGTCGGGAAATCGAGACCATCCTGGCCAACATAGTGAAACCCCTACTAAAATACAAAAAAATTAGCCAGGCGTGGTGGCGCGCGCTTGTAGTCCCAGCCACTCGGGTGGCTGAGGCAGGGGAATCGCTTGAACCCGGGAGGCGGAGCTTGCGTGAGCCGAGATCGCGCCACTGCACTCCAGCCTAGCGACAGAGCGAGACTACGTCTCAAAGAAAAAAAAAAAAAAAAGGTACACTGAGTACTCCGGAGACCGCCTAAAGGGGTCTCAGAGCAGGGCGTTAGGAGGGATTTGTCAGGTTGAAGTTGCTCAGGTGATAAATTCCGTGGTGTGAGAAGCCCCCAAACCTCAGAATGTAACTCAGACCCAGGTCGAGGGCAAGATTTTCAGTCACAGAGCACCTGAACACACAGATTTGGTGGCTAATGGCTAAGCCAGGGACAGATTTTCTTTCTTTTCTTTTTTTTTTTGATGTATTGTAGGGCTAATAATTGTAACCATTTTATTTTGGTGGATCTTCTTCATGAAGAGATGATGTCAAGGCACTCATCACAGGTTAAGCTGAACATTGTTACTATTGTTATTATTTCCAGACTGAGTATCGCCCTGTCATTCAGGCGGGAGTGCAGTGGTACAATCACGGCTCACTGCAGCCTCGACCTCCTGGGCTCAAGCGATCCTCCTGCCTCAACCTCCTGAGTAGCACCACCACTCTCGGCTAAATTTTGTATTTTTTGTAGAGGCGAGGTTTCGCTGTGTTGCCCGGGCTGGTCGGGAACTCCTGGACTCAAGCCATCCGCCCACCTACGCCTCCCAGAGTGTTGGGATTACTGGATTGAGCCACGCATCTGGCTGAACGTTATTTTTTAAATCACCAGAGAAAGTAAAGGAGTGCTCAAAATAGTGTCAGATGATGAGTGGGATGATTGTGATGAAGGAAGGAGTTTGTTAAAAGAAAAAGCTAGTTCCAAGAAAGAGAATGGAAAGAGTAAAGCAGGAGCTGTCAGAATAGGTAAAAATGTCCAAAGAGAAAACTGCATAATTTGAGGCAAAATTACAGAAAATAGTTCCTGCAAAAATCAGATAGGTATTCAGCATCATAGGAAAGGGGCGAAAATCAGATAGGTAGGTATTCTTAAGAAGTTGTGGCCGGCCGGGCGCGGTGGCTCGCGCCTGTAATCCCAAGACTTTGGGAGGCCGAGGTGGGTGGATCACCTGAGGTTAGGCGTTTGAGACCAGCCTGGGCAACATGGCGAAACCCTGTCTCTACTAAAAATACAAAAAAAAATTAGCCGGGCGTGTTGGCGCGTACCTGTAGTCCCATCTACCCTGGAGGCTGAGGCAGGAGAATCGCTTGAATCCAGGAGGTGATGGTTGCAGTGAGCCGAGATTGCACCATTGCCCTCCAGCCTGGGTAACAAGAGCGAAACTCTGTCTCAAAAAAAAAAAAAAAGTCATACAGTGACTGCATCACAGCTCATGCTGTAGAAAGATGTTTCTGGAGAGAAAAATTCAAGTAGCCAATTTAAATCGAATATTAGGAAAATTAAACCAAAAGGGCTCACGCCTGTAATCCTAGCACTTTGGGAAGCCGAGTCAGGCGGATTACCTGAGGTCAGGAGTTCAAGACCATCCTGGCCAACATGGTGAAACCCTGTCTCTACTAAAAATACAAAAATTAGCCGGGCGTGGTGGCACATGCCTGTAATCTCAGCTACTCAGGAGGGTGAGGCAGGAGAATTGCTTGAGCCCAGGAGATGGAGGTTGCAGTGAGCCAAGATTTTGCCACTGCACTCTAGCCTGGCCGACAGAGCAAGACTCTGTCTCAAAAAAAAAAAAAGAAAGAAAATTAAACCAAAAGACTAGTAATGCTTCAGAAATTAGGGACTGTTAAACCAGCTGCAAGAAGATATATTCATGCAATCTTTGTATTAAGAGTCTCTCTGGCTGGGTGCGGTGACTCAGACCTGTAATCCCAGCACTTTGGGAGGCCAAGGCCAGTGGATTGCTTGAGCCCTGGAGTTCAAGACCAGCCTGGGGAACATAGTGAGACCCAGTCTGTATTTTAAAAGTTAAAAAAAAAAAAAAGCCTCTAAGCTAAGTGGACCTTTGATCCCCTCACTCAAATTTGACAGTTCTCCATTATTCATAAATGAGGTAATAGTTGTTGGAGACGGTCTTCTCTGAATGCAAGACTAGTACTTTGGCCTGATTATAGAACTTCCTGCCGTCCTAAGGAGTCATCCCAGGTGTCCACTATATCTTTTTCAGCATTGAGTACCAGCACAGTCACATGTAGGCTTTATCCCACAGTGAAGACTTGGCATCACTCAGAATGATGCCACAGGTCCTAGGCCTTTTCCACACTGGGCTCACTTCACCAACTCGCAAATGCTCATCCACACCTGGTCCACCTGGACTACCTCCTTATCTGTAGCCCTTTCACCTCTGTGTCCATAGAAATGTCTTACCTAAGCTCTGAAATCTAAACATTCAGAGAGCACCTTGATGCTTGAGAGCATCTACACAGAGATGAACCTTTAAGATCTATGGTTTAAAACAATTGAATTCCAAGATGTTGCCCCTTACAGACTGACCTGCCTGATTATTTCCTGTTGTTTATGTACATTGATTATTATCAAAAACTTAATACTTTATTTTTTTTGAGACGGAGTCTCGCTCTGTCGCCCAGGCTGGAGTGCAGTGGTGCGATCTCAGCTCACTGCAAGCTTCTCCTCCCGGGTTCACGCCATGCTCCTGCCTCAGCCTCCCGAGTAGCTGGGACTACAGGCGCCCACCACGGCGCCTGGCAAATTTTTTTTTATTTTTAGCAGAGACAGGTTTTCACCGTGTTAGCCAGGATGGTGTCAATCTCCTGACCTCGTGATCCGCCCGCCTCGGCCTCCCAAAGTGCTGGGATTACAGGCGTGAGCCACCGCGCCCAGCCAAAAACTTAATAGTTTTTAATAAATATTGTCAGGTTTTTTTTTTTTTTTTTTTTTGAGACGGAGTTTTGCTCTTGTCACCCAGGCTGGAATGCAATGGCACGATCTTGGCTCACCGCACCCTCCACCTCCCAGGTTCAAGCGATTCTCCTGCCTCAGCCTCCCGAGTAGCTGGGATTAGAGGTGCCCACCACCAGGCCCGGCTAATTTTTGTATTTTTAGTAGACACGGGGTTTCGCCTTGTTGGCCAGGCTAGCCTTGAACTCCTGACCTCATGATCCACCCGCCTCCGCCTCTCAAAGTGCTGGGATTACAGGCGTGAGCCACCGCGCCTGGCCAATATTGTCAGTTTTAAAAAATAAGTTCCCCTCTAGACACTACTTATCCATACAATTGGTTACAGGTTTGGAGCGTTACAGAGGTTTTTAAATCTTCTACTCAGTAGTTCTTGAAAAATCACCTTACCTATTAAGCTGAGATTCCCCCTTCCCGCAAGACGGTGCCATTAAGTAGGCAGGGATCACCAAGGTTCAGAGATGTCTCTTGCTCAAAAATCATAGTATCTGTTAAATAGCAATAACCGTAGCTAACACATACTGCATTCTCACTATGCTTTGTGCTATTCTACTTAATCCCACTGAAACCTGGTAACAACCCTGCAGTAGATACTACCACCATTTGGCGGAAAGAAACTGAGTCACCCAGCTTCTAGATGGCTGAGCTGGAAGTTGTATGGAGGCTGGAGGCCCCATCTGATTCCAGGGTCCGTTCTCAACTACTGCAATCTAGATCCTAGCGAGAAACGGGCTTTTCAGGCTGTCTCCTCCCTTTCCCATCTGAGAGGAGAATGAAGGAAGTGAGAAAGCCAACTGACCTGTCTAGTCAGTATAGGCCCTGTCTAAATGTCACTTTTCTCCTTGAAGCGAGGTGCTCTAGGAGGCAGAGATAACCCAGGTGGGAAGAGGCACATTCGGCAGTGACAGCCTTGTCTGGTTAATTTTCATGACCAATATAGAAAAGTGCAACTTTGAGGCCGGGCACGGTGGCTCACGCCTGTAATCCCAGCACTTCGGGAGGCCGAGGCCGGCGAATCACGAGGTCAGGAGATTGAGACCATCCTGGCTAACACGGTGAAACCGTGTCTCTACTAAAAATACAAAAAATTAGCCAGGTGAGGTGGCGGGTGCCTGTAGTCCCAGCTACTCGGGAGGCTGAGGCAGGAGCATGGCGTGAACCCGGGAGGCGGAACTTGCAGTGAGCCGAGATGGCGCCACTGCACTCCAGCCTGGGCGACAGCGAGACTCCGTCTCAAAAAAAAAAAAAAAAGAAAGAAAGAAAAGTGCAACTTTGAAGCTGCTCTGATACTCACTGAAGTGAGCTACCACCAGGAAGGCTGGATCCCTAGGTTATTTGCAATTCTTTCAGAGAACTTGACAGTTCTTTCAAATAGCACTTTTTACTGTGTATTAAATAGTGAAAGAAGGATTATGGGATACCTGAGCTTGCTGGTTACTTGCTTGAATTGGTTTCTTTGCCCAATAAAGGACCACAGCTTGATTAGGTGGTAGTGGCCAGTGTTGGTGGAGTGGCTGCCCTTACTTTGCCCATTTCCCCAGCAGGCCAAGCAAGCAACTGAGGGACTCACTTGGATGTTAGTAAGCTAAGTTCTAGCTCTTTCTTCACCCTTTTATTTTATTTTTTTGAGGCGGAGTCTCACCCTGTCGCCCAGGCTAGAGTGCAGTGGCACGATCTGGGCTCACTGCAAACTCTGCCTGCCAGGTTCAAGCAATTTTTGGATAATTTTTGTATTTTTATTTATTTACTTTTATTTTATTTATTTATTTTTGAGACGGAGTTTCCCTCTTCTACCCCAGGCTGGAGTACAATGGTGTGATCTGGGCTCACTGCAACCTCCTCCTCCTGGGTTCAAGCGATTCTTTTGCCTCAGCCTCCTGAGCAGCTGAGATCACAGGCACCCACCACCATGCCCAGCTAAAGTTTTTTTTTTTTTGGTATTTTTAATAGAGATGGGGTTTCGCCATGTTGGCCAGGGTTGTTTCGAACTCCTGACCTCAGGTGATCCGCCTGCCTCGGCCTCCAAAGCGCTGGGATTACAGGCATGAGCTACTGCGCCCAGCCAATTTTTGTATTTTTAGTAGGGACAGGTTTTCACCATGTTGGCCATACTGGTCTGGAACTCCCGACCTCAAGTGATCTGCCTGCCTTGGCCTCCCAAAGTGCTGGGATTATAGGCAGGCATGAGCCACCACACCTGGCCAGCTCTTTTTTCATTCTAAGTCATCATCTTTTAGTCTGATCATGAGTTTTCCTACCAAAAACTGTGTACAGTTAGATGCCTTCAGCTCTATGGAGCCTCAGAAGAGTCAGAAAACTTCATTTGGATCAAAATGTGCAAGGGACAGGACAGCATGCACCTTCTCTTTCTCTCTGCCTTTCTTTTTCTCCTATTAACTTACATTTAAAAAAAAATTATGGAATATTTGAAACATACAGAAAATTATAGATATATAACAAATTTAACAGACATTTTGCTCTTTTATTGTTTTTGGACAAAAGATAACAGATAGGCCAGGTGTGGTGGCTCACACCTGTAATCCCAGCACTTTGGGAGGCCGAGGCGGGCAGATCACAAGTTCAGGAGTTCGAGAACAGCCTGGCCAACATGGTGAAACCCCATCTCTACAAAAAATACAAAAATTAGCCAGGTGTGGTGGCATGTGCCTGTGCCTGTAATCCTAGCTTTCGGGAGACTGAGGGAGAAGAATCACTTGAACCGGGGAGGTGGAGGTTGCAGTGAGATTGTACTCCAGCCTGGGCAACAGAGCAAGACTGTCTCAAAAAAAAAAAAAAAAAAAAAGATTATAGATAAACCAGTGCTCTGAGGTGCTTTTCGGCTCTTTAAAAAGCATTACTGGGCCAGGCGCGGTGGCTCATGCTTGTAATCTCAGTGCTTTTGCAGGCTGAGGTGGGCGGGATCACCTGAGGTCAGAAGTTCGAGATAAGCCTAACCAACACGGAGAAACCATGTCTGTACTAAAAATACAGAATTAGGCGGGCGTGGTAGCACATGCCTGTAATCCCAGCTACTTGAGAGGCTGAGACAGGAGAATCACTTGAACCCGGGAGGTGGAGGTTGTGCTGAGTGGAGATCACACCACTGCCCTCCAGCCTGGGAAACAAGAGCGAAACTCCATCTCAAAAAAAAAAAAAAAAAAAAAATTGCGAGGCGCGGTAGCTCACGCCTGTAATCCCAACACTTTGGGAGGCCAAGGCGGGCGGATCACCAGAGATCGGGAGTTCGAGACCAGCCTGACCAACATGGAGAAACCCCGTCTCTACTAAAAATACAAAATTAACCAGGCATGGTGGCACATGCCTGTAATCCCAGCTACTAGGGAGGCTGAGGCAGGAGAATCGCTTGAACCCAGGAGGCGCAGGTTGCGGTGAGCCGAGATCGTGCCATTGCACTCCAGCCTGGGCAAGAAGAGTGAAACTCTCAAACAAAAAAAAAAGCATTACTGGCCAGGCGTCGCAGCGGCTCATGCCTGTAATCCCAACACTTTGGAAGGCCGAGGCTGGCGGATCACAAGGACAGGTGTTGGAGACCAGCCTGACCAACATGGTGAAACCGGTCTCTACTAAAAATAGAAAAATTAGCTGGGCGTGGTGGTGGACGCCTGTAATCCCAGCTACTCAGGGGGCTGAGGCAGGAGAATCGCTTGAACCCGGGAGGCGGAGTTTGCAGTGAGCCGAGATTGAGCCACTGCACACTCCAGCCTGGGCAACAAGAGCGAGACTCAGTCTCAGAAAAAATAAATAAATAATAAAATAAAAAGCAGGCCGGGTGCGATGGTTCACACCTATAACACCAGCACTTTGGGAGGCCGAGGTGGGCGGATCACGAGGTCAGGAATTCGCCACCAGCCTGGCCAACATGGTGAAACCCCGTCTCTACTATAAATACAAAAATTAGTGGCTGGGGGCAGTGGCTCATGCCTGTAATCCCAGCACTTTGAGAGGCTGAGGCGGGAGGATCACGAAATCAGGAGATCGAGACCATCCTGGCTAACACAGTGAAACCCCGTCTCTACTAAAAATACAAAAAAAAAAAAAAAAATTAGCCGGGCGCAGTGGCAGGCGCCTGTAGTCCCAGCTACTCAGGAGGCTGAGGCAGGAGAATGGCGTGAACCCGGGAGGCGGAGCTTGCGGTGAGCCAAGATCGCACCACTGCTCTCCAGCCTGGGTGACACAGCGAGACTCCGTCTCAAAAAAAAAAAAAAAAATTAGGCGTGGTGGTGCGCGTCTGTAATCCCAGCTACTCCAGAGGTTGAGGCAGGAGAATCGCTTAAACCCGGGAGGCGGAGGTCACAGTGAGCCGAGATCATGCCACTGCACTCCAGCCTGGGCGACAGAGCAAGATTCTGTCTCGAATAATAAATAAATAAAAATTAAAAAGCATTACTGTAAATATATTTTTTTACTTTGGTAACTCAAACCATTCAGCCTGTGTCCTCTCCCTCTCATTCCCCCACGGAGGAGAAGAAACCTCAATGGCGAAAGCAACACCAAGCGCCGGCTTCACACTCAGGAGAAAACTGCACCTCCTGTCGTTTCCGGGGGCTCTACACTTTCACAGAAAGTACTCTAGTAGCAGACTATAGAAATGATCCCTGAAAGCCGCCTAATTTTTGAATGATAAAATATTTCTAAATTGGTCAGGCACAGTGGCTCATGCCTGTAATCCCAGCACTTTGGGAGGCTGAGGAGGGTGAATCACCTAAGGTCAGGAGTTTGAGACCAGCCTGGCCAACATGACGAAACCCCTTCTCTACTAAAAATACAGGCCGGGTGCGGTGGCTCACGCCTGTAATCCCAGCACTATGGGAGGCTTGAGGCAGGTGGATCACCTGAGGTTAGGAGATCAAGACCAGCCTGGCCAACATAGTGAAACCCGGTGTCTACTAAAAATAGAAAAATCAGCTGGGCGTGGTGGCACACATCTGTAATCCCACCTACTCGGGAGGCTGAGGCAGAAGAATTGCTTGAACCCAGAAGGTGGAGTTTGCAGTGAGCCGAGATGGCTCTACTGCACTCCAGCCTGAGCCACAGAGCGAGACTCCTTCTCAAAAAAAAAAAAAAAAAAAAAAACAACAAAAAACCTGAAGATAACTTTATATAGTCAGTGGGGAGTATTGAAGTTTCAGGATCAGAGATTTAATAAAATTTGTGGCCCTTTAGGTAAATATCTTTAAAGAATATTGTTTCAGGCAACGTAGTTTGTGTGTGGGTGTGTGCTGTCTTGACTTAGATTTTAGGCTCTGGCTAAAAGCCAGTTAGTTCCTCTTCTTGAGCTGCCGATTATGTCTGCACCCCCAACCACCTCTGTTATCAGGCTCAAACACTCGGGACCATTATACACCGTAATCACTCCAGGGCCAGTTACCAGACAACTAGGGCCAGCCCCATGCCCCTGAGCCCCCGGAAATTACTCAAATTAGCCAATCCCAAACCTGTTGGCCTTGCCTAACCCTTCTCTTCCTGCAAAAACCACAACAAAGGCTCTTCTGCAGTTCCCCCCTCACTCCCTCTGCCTAGTGACCCCTTCTGCTCCTGCTGAGTGGCCTTGTGTGAAGCCCCAGGGAAATGAGAGTACAAAACTAAAACTTGGGCCAACGTGGTGGCTCACGCTTGTAATCCCAGCACTTTGGGAGGCAGAAGCAGGCAATCACTTGAGGCCAAGAGTTCAAGACCAGCCTGGCCAACATGGTGAAACCCTGGCTCTACTAAAAATACAAAAATTAGCTGGGCATAGTGGCGCGCACGCCTGTAGTCCCAGGTACTCGGGAGGCTGAGGAGGGAGAATCGCTTGAAACCGGGAGGTGGAGGAGCAACCTCCTCTGGGAGGCTGGAGCTCCACTACTCTCCAGCCTGGGTGACGGAGTAAAAGACTGTCTCAAACAAAAAACAAAAACAAAAACTGTAAAACTGGTTTGTAACTCCTGTGCTGCATCTAATCTCACCATACCTCACCCAAGGTAAACTGTTTTGTTTGTGTTTTTGTGTTTGAGACAGAGTCTGGCTCTGTTACCCAGGCTGGAGTGCAGTGGCTCGATCTTGGCTCACTGCAGCCTCCACCTCCTAGATTTAAGCAATTCTCCCGCCTCAATCTCCCAAGTAGCTAGGATTACAAGCATGTGCCACCAAGCCCAACTAATCCTTGTATTGTTAGTAAAGATGGGGTTCCACCATTGGTTGGCCAGGCTGGTCTCAAACTCCTGACCTCAAGTGATCCACCTGCCTCAGACCCCCAAAGTGCTGGGATTACAGGCATGAGCCACCGTGCCTGGCCAAATCTGAGCTTTTTATAAAATCTTCATCATAATGGTTCTTAATAATGTTGACTTTGAAGTTTTCTTCCCTCCAACAACAGAGAGTGGGGAAAAAAGATAGTTCATAAAGATCAGTTGATCTTTTTAAAATAATTTTTTTTAAGACAGAGTCTTGCTGTATTGCCCAGGCTGGAGTGCAGTGGCACGATCTCAGCTCACTGCAAGCTCCGCCTTCAGGGGTCACGCCATTCTCCTGCCTCAGCCTCCCGAGTGGCTGGGATTATAGGCGCCCACCACCACGCTCGGCTAATTTTTTGTATTTTTAGTAGAGACGGGGTTTCACCGTGTTGGCCAGGATGGTCTCGATCTCCTGACCTCGTGATCCGCCCACCTCAGCCTCCCAAAGTGCTGGGATTACAGGCGTGAGCCACTGCACCTGGCCTAAAATAATTTTTAATTGACAAATAATTGTACATATTCATGGGGTACATAGTGATGTTTTGATACATATAACGTATAGTGATCAGGATAATTAACATCCATCATCTCAAATATTTATCATTTCTTCCTGTTGGGAACATTCAATATTTTTCTCCTAGCTATTTGAAACTATTATGGTGAACCAAAGTCATCCTATGGCATAGAAAACCAGATAGCTGTACTTATGTATATCCTTTAGCAAATCTCTCCTTATCCTTCCTTTCCCCCTACCATTCCCCTTTTAAATTTTTTTTTTTTTACTTTTTGGAGACAGGGTCTCACTTTTTCGCCCGGGCTGGAGTGCAATGGCGCGCAGTCTGGTCTCACTACAACCTCTGCCTCCTGAGCTCAAGCGATCCTCTCATCTCTGCCTCCAGAGTAGCTGGGACCACAGGCTCTCGCCAGCACGCCCCGCTAATATTTGTATTTTTCTTTTTATAGAGACGCGTCTCGCTATGTTGCCCAGGCTGATCTTGAACTCCTGGGCTCAAGCAATCCGTCTGTCTCCGTTTTCCAAAGTGCTGGGATCACAGGAGTGTGCTACCGCGCCCAGCCTTGTTTTTTTAAATTATTTTTTGTTGAAGGGTCTTGCTGTATAGCCCAGGATGGAGTGCAGTGGTGCGATCCCGGCTCACTGCAGCCTCGACCTCCCGGGCTCAAGCGATCTCTCCGTCCTCAGCCTCCCAAGTAGCTGGGACCACAGGCGCGTGCCACCACCGTGCTCAGCTCCTTCCCAGTTTAACTGTGGTTAAAACTGGTGTGTGAAGGCAATGAGAGAGACCCGCGAAAAATGAGAAACAAGGGTTAGGGCTGACGTCTTTTGCGGACAAAGAAAAAGAAACCAAAGTTTCCTCAGAAAACTTAAGTTGCCTCACAGCCGCCTGGTATCAGGAAACACTGAGCCCGCCCAACGCGGGATCCTCCAGGGGCAGGCCGCCTGAGGCCCACCCGGAGCAGGCGGGGCGGCCGCAGGACCACGTGGCCCAGAGCGCCCTTCCAGCGCTGCCGGCGGCGGGGCGGGTGCCGGGCGCGCCTGCTGCGCGGGGCGGGACGCGGACTCCCAGGCTCTGCGGAGAGCGGCTGCCACTCGCCTCTGTTTTTTTCTTGAGACCTAGTCTGGCTCTGTGGCTCAGGCTGGAGTGCAGTGGCGTGATCACCGCTCACTGCAGCCTCAGCCTCCTCTCGCCTCAGCCGCTCGGTAGCTGGGACCACCAGCGGGCGCCACCACTCCCGGCTACATTTTTTTGTATTTTTAGTAGAGACGTGGGTCTCGCCATGTTGGCTAGGCTGCTGCCGAACTCCGGGGCTCAAGCGATCCGCCCGCCTGGGCCTCCCAAAGTGCTGAGACTGCAGGCATGAGCCACCGCGCCCGGCCGAGAGCCTCTTTTGGCTCCTCCTTTCGCCTTTCCGGGGCCAGGCGTGTGCAGCTCTGTGAAGGGTCCCCTCCCTCTGCGGGACGTCCTCGCTGCCGAGGTCAGAGGTGCGGAGAACATGAGACCCGAGGTGCGTTCCAGCATGTTCCTGCAGCCCTCCACTCCCGCGGTTGCGTAACTCAGATCCCTGAAACACATCGCACATACACGTGACTGGTGGTTTCTCTCTTTAACCCTGATAGATACAGGAGTCCACTAACAGAGATAAGGAATTGTACCATGTACTCCATGCTTCAATAACTGGGTGCTTAGAGACAAGCCTGAGTTCTTACTGCCATCCTAACACCCGCAGCAGAGGTTAACCTACTATCGGACAAGTGGTCAACTTTTCTGCCTTCGGGAAGACTTGGGGCTGGGCTGAGAGAGATAATCTAGAACTTTTATAGTGATCCCGTGTACATTTCCCTAGAATGATGGATTAGGGTATAGTGATTAAATATATAATGTATACTTTAATATACATTAAAAAGTTCTGGAAGGATGTACTTCAAAATGTTATCAGTGGTTTCTTCCATTTTTCCCGTTTGGAATATTGGAACAACCGACTATGTTATTTTAGCCCTTTCTCCTTCCTTCATTGCTTCTCCAAATTCAGGGGCCTCATTGGAGCAAACTTGTTTGCAGGTCATCTGGGCACCCTCTTGAAATAAATCGTCTCTCTTTGCTCTTACAGGTCTCAACTGCTTCTTACCAATATTAATTCCAGTGACTACTATCAGAATATGATGAGCAATCCACTCATCAGAGAAGCTGTTTCTACACTCTCCTGAATGACCATTTTATAGATGCTGGGAAAAAATTGTATTAAAGACTATGAGTTAGCTGGGCTTGGTGGCTCACGCCTGTAATCCCAGCACTTTGTGAAGCCAAGGCGGGAGCATCGATTGAGCCTAGCAGTTCAAGACCAACCTTGGCGGCATAAGCGAGACCCTGTCTCTACAAAAATTTTAAAATTAGCCAGGTGTGGTGGTGTGCACCTATAATCTTAGCTACTTGGGAAGCTGAGGTGGGAGGATTACTCAGCCTAGGAGGTTGAGGTTACAGTGAGCTGGGATCACACCACTGCCCTTCAGCCTGGGTGACAGAGCAGGACCCCGTCTCTTAAAAAAAAAAAAAAAAGTGGTGGACTTTGTTATCCTTATGCATATGACTCATCAATATATCTGTATTTCCATATAGAAAGAACACTTAGACCGGGCACAGTGACTCACGCCTGTAATCCCAGCACTTTGGGAGGCCAAGGCTGGCGGATCACTTGAGGCCAGGAGTTCCAGACCAGCCTGGCTAACATGGCAAAACCCTGTCTCTACTAAAAAATACAAAAATTAGCCTGGTATGGTGGCACACGCCTGTAATCCCTGCTACTCCGGAGGCTGAGGAATGAGAATAGTTTGAACCTGGGAGGTGGAGGTGGCAGTGAATCAAGATTGCTTCACTGCACTCCAGCCTGGGCGACAGAGTGAGACTCCATTTCAAGAAATAGATAACTAAATAAATAAAATAAAAGAGAACACTTAGAAAGGAACATGCTATAGCAAACTAAAATTATAGATGTCAAAAATTTAATCTGGATTACCCAGCATCTCCTATAAGAAACAAAGGGGCCCTCTCCCTCTCCCTCTCCCTCTCCCTCTCCCTCTCCCTCCCCCTCCCTCTCCCTCTCCCTCTCCCTCTCCCTCTGATGCCGAGCCAAGGCTGGACGGTACTGCTGCCATCTCGGCTCACTGCAACCTCCCTGCCTGATTCTCCTGCCTCAGCCTGCCGAGTGCCTGCGATTGCAGGCGCGCACCGCCACGCCTGACTGGTTTTCGTTTTTTTTTGGTGGAGACGGGGTTTCGCTGTGTTGGCCGGGCTGGTCTCCAGCTCCTAGCCGCGAGTGATCCGCCAGCCTCGGCCTCCCGAGGTGCCGGGATTGCAGATGGAGTCTCGTTCACTCAGTGCTCAATGGTGCCCAGGCTGGAGTGCAGTGGCGTGATCTCGGCTCGCTGCAACCACCTCCCAGCCGCCTGCCTTGGCCTCCCGGAGAGCCGAGATTGCAGCCTCTGCCCGGCCGCCACCCCGTCTGGGAAGTGAGGAGCGTCTCTGCTTGGCCACCCATCGTCTGGGATGTGAGGAGCCCCTCTGCCTGGCTGCCCAGTCTGGCATCCAGGCAGACTGGATTAGGCAGTGGTTAAGAGTCATCACCACTCCCTAATCTTAAGTACCCAGGGACACAAACACTGCGGAAGGCCAAGGCCGCAGGGTCCTCTGCCTAGGAAAACCAGAGACCTTTGTTCACTTGTTTATCTGCTGACCTTCCCTCCACTATTGTCCTATGACCCTGCCAAATCCCCCTCTGCGAGAAACACCCAAGAATGATCAATAAAAAAAAAATAAATTAATTAAAAAAAAAAATTTAATCTGTTATTTGTTACTGGAATATGTTCATTCTTGCACTTGGGACTAGAGTTAAGAGTATTTTAGAAATTGCAAACCAAATAATGAAGCTCCCATGTAGATCTGACTCAGAAAAACACAGAACACTGTGCGGAACACCATCCCTTTTCTCACCTTATACCCCTATTCTACCTCCTCCATCCCTGGAAACAAGGCAACAGTCCTCTTTTGTAGTTACACAGTACCTTGCTTTAGACATTCTAACTGCCTTCATCCTCTCAAAACTAGATAATTTAGGTAAGACTTAAGAAGTTTCAGACTGCTGGCCGGACACGGTGGCTCATGCCTGTAATCCCAGCACTTTGGGAGGCCAAGGTGGGCGGATCACCTGAGGTTGGGAGTTCATAGACCAGCCTGACCAACATGGAGAAACCCTGTCTCTACTGAAAATACAAAAATTAGCTGGGCGTAGGAAATGTATATATTTCCATAAAGTATTGAGTCTTCTGTTTAATCACATCAGTAGGAATCTAAAAGCAATTTTGGATTTTTTTTTTTTTTTTTGAGATGGAGTCTTGTTCTGTCACCCAGGCTGGTGTGCTATGGTGCAATCTCAGCTCACTGCAACCTCCGCCTCCCGGGTTCAAGTGATTCTCCTGCCTCAGCCTCGTGAGTAGCTGGGACTACAGGTGCGTGCCATCACGCCCAGCTAATTTTTGTATTTTCAGTAGGGATGGGGTTTCACCATGTTGGCCAGGATGGTCTTTATCTCTTGACCTCACGATCCGCCTGCCTTGGCCTCCCAAAGTGCTGGGATTACAGACATGAGCACCGCACCTGGCTAATTTTGGAATTTTTTACAAAAAAACTAGATTTTGTTTCTGCTGCCACAAATATTAATTATTCCTACTCAAAAGCCTGGCAGCTGTCTGCCCACTGCTGTGTAGAACATATTTATGTGATCACTACTTCGCATGGTAACTCTGAGAGATGGGTGGTTTTATCTCTCGGAGGGACTTGTCCAATGTCATAGAAATACATTATACAGCCAGACTTGATTGTACAAGGCCCAGATATGCATGGATTTCGCTTACCATGGTTTTGTTAAGTAACATCAGTCTCCCAACAACAGGGTTCAAATATCAGTTACTACAGTATGTTAAGTATGAGCAATTACATAAAATATAAACTTCGTTGCCAGCTCGTCAGTGCACAAAGCACTGTGAATAACAAATGTACATGATCAGTGACAAGTTGCGTAATTTCTTTGAAAGTCTGTTATTTCGTTCACTCATGCACAGAAAGGCATGTGGTTGTGTTGCTTCTTGTCTCCCACCATACCGGGCCTCTTGGTAGGTTTTTACAAAGAAAACTAATTCTCAATATTTCTTTCTTTCTCTTTTCTTTTCTTTTTTTTATTGTTGTTGTTGGGGGATGGAGTCTCACTCTGTCACCCAGGCTGGAGTGCAATAGTGTAATCTCAGCTCACTGCAAACTCCGCCTCCCGGTTCCAAGTGATTCTCCTGTCTCAGCCTCCCAAGTAGCTGAGACTACAGGCGCCCACCACCACACCTGGCTAATTTTTGTATTTTTAGTAGAGACAGGGTTTCACCATGTTGACCAGGCTGGTCTCAAACTCCTGACCTCAGGTGATTTGCCCAACTTGGCCTCCCAAAGTGCTGGGATTGTAAGTGTGAGCCACTGCGCCTGGCCTCAATATTTCTAATGTATTAAATTACATAGTACCAGATAAATATTAGTTTTACTATTTTCATTTCCCTGTACATTTCAAACTGAAAGAGTTTTTAATGTTTTGGCAAAAAATTTTGAAAGTCACAGAACAATCATAATTTTTCTCATTGATCATTAAGATTGCTTTGCATGGTATCAGCTTGTATGCTCACTTTTACAGTCTTACACTACTTTGTACTTATGGTATGGTACTTATAGTACTTTTTACTGGGCAAAGCAAGGAGACACACACATGCATACACACATAGCAAATAAATCAGTCTGGCTTGAGAGGAAGATGGTTAGAATAGGACTCAGGCACAGTGGGTTTCTGTGCAGCTATTCACCATTTAGGCAACTTTTCCAAAGTTGCTTAGCTTAGCTTCCCTGGGATAAGTTTTCTGGACAGCAAAATAATGGGTCTTTTTTTTTTTTTGAGACAGAGTCTCGCTCTGTCGCCCAGGCTGGAGTGCAGTGGCACCATCTCGGCTCACTGCAAGCTCCGCCTCCTGGGTTCACACCATTCTCCTGCCTCAGCCTCCTGAGTAGCTGGGACTACAGGCGCCCGCCACCACGCCCAGCTAATTTTTTGTATTTTTAGTAGAGATGAGGTTTCACCCTGTTAGCCAGGATGGTCTCAATCACCTGACCTCGAGATCTGCCCACCTCAGCCTCCCAAAGTGCTGGGATTACAGGCGTGAGCCACCGCGCCCAGCTATAACGGGTCTTAACTGGGACTCTTTCTCTTCTATCCCAGCCAGTCTCACTTCTGCCAGCCAGGCCTAACTTTCATCCCTTAAGAGAGAGAGGGCCACTTGATTCAATATACAACGAAGTAATGAATACTGAATCTATAAGTAAGTCTACCGATATCTGTAAAAGCAGTGAAAAGCAATTTGGTTTCCTAAAAATGTTAACTATAAATATTATTTCCTATCAGTTTGCTGATTTCCTGTAAGTTGGCTGACTTAGCCACAAAGTTAGTTTTCATTCATCTTGACCACACCTGACAGGTCTGTTTCCATGGCTGGGATCCTCTCCCCATGGTTCTTTCTGGTGCTGAAATGCACTTGGG
The DNA here is from genome assembly GCF_000001405.40 of Homo sapiens. Classification (NCBI taxonomy): domain Eukaryota; kingdom Metazoa; phylum Chordata; class Mammalia; order Primates; family Hominidae; genus Homo; species Homo sapiens. The sequence continues at coordinate 43,426,179 of NC_000010.11, forward strand.
CAACCATGCCCCTTAAATGTGCCTTTATGGGTTAGATGTGGTGGCTCATGTCTGTAATTCCAGCACTTTGGGAGGCTAAAGCAGGAGAATTACTTGAGGTCAGCTGGAGACCAGCCTGGGCAACATAGTGAGACCCCCCTCCCCCTCAATCTCTTTAAAAAAATGTTTTTGGCCGGACACGGTGACTCATGCCTATAATCCCAGCACTTTGGGAGGCCGAGGCAGATGGATCACCTGAGGTTGGGAGTTTGAGACCAGCCTGGCCAACATGGAAAAACCCCCGACTCTACTAAAAATACAAGATTAGCCAGGTGTGGTGGCGCTTGCCTGTAATCCCAGCTACTCAGCAGGCTGAGGCAGGGGAATCGCTTGAACCCAGGAGACAGAGGTTGCAGTGAGCCGAGATGGCGCCATTGCACTCCAGCATGGGCAACCTGAGTGAGACCCTGCCTCAAAAAAAAACAAAAAAAAAAACAAAAAAAAACGGCCAGTCATGGTGGCTTACGCCTGTAATCTCACCACTTTGGGAGGCCAAGGCGGGTGGATCACCTGAGGTCAGGAGTTTAAGACTAGCCTAACCAACATGGTGAAACTCTGTCTCTACTAAAAATACAAAAATTAGCCGGGTGTGGTGGCGGGCGCCTGTAATCCCAGCTACTTGGGAGGCTGAGGCAAAAGAATCGCTTGAACCCGGGAGGTGGAGGAGGTTGCAGTGAGCTGAGATCATGCCATTGCACTCCAGCCTGGACGGCAGCCTGAGACTATCTCAAAAAAAAAAAAAAGAAAAAAAAAAAGAAAAAGAAAATACATGTAGGCCGGGCATGGTGGCTGACGCCTGTAATCCCAGCATTTTGGGAGGCCGACGTGGGCCTATCACTTGAATTCAGTAGTTTGAAACCAGCCTGGCCAACCAATAGTGAAACCCTGTCTCTAATAAAAATTTAAAAATAAGCCAGGCATGGTGGTGCGTGCCTGGAGTCCCAGTTACTTGGGAGGCTGAGGCAGGAGAATCACTAGAACCCAGCAGGGAGGCTGAGGGAGCAGAATCACTAGAATCCAGGAGGCGGAGGTTGCAGTGGGCTGAAATCACACCACTGCACTCCAGCTTGGGTGACAGAGGAGACTGTCTCAAAAAAAAAAAAAAAAAAGAAACCAAAACCAAAAAAACCACAAAATACATGTGAACATGTGCTCACTTCAGCAGCATATATAGTAAGATTAAAATGCACATGAACTCTTACGGAAAAAATATTTCTAGTAGTCAGCAAATACTGAAAATTTATTGAGCTCTGTGCCTGATGGTATAGAAGTTAAGAAGAATTAAACTGTTCTGTCCTTGCTTTTATTTATTTTTTAACGTGTTGGATACCAGCATCCTTGCTTTTTTTTTTTTTGAGACAGAGTCTCGCTCTATCGCCCGGGCTGGAGTGCAGTGGTGCGATGTTGGCTCATTGCAACCTCCGCCTCCTGGGTTCACGTGATTCTTCTGACTCAGCCTCCTGAGTAGCTGGGATTACAGGCATGCACCACCATGACCAGATAATTTTTTATATTTTTAGTAGAGACAGGGGTTCACCATGCTGGCCAGGCTGGTCTCAAACTCCTGACCTCGTGATCTGCCCGCCTCGGCCTTCCAAAGTGCTGGGATTACAGGCGTGAGCCACCGCGCCTGGCCAGCATCCTTGCTTTTTAGAGCGCTTACTGCCAAGCTGAGGGATAAGTCAGATATTATACGTTTTCAGAAAAGAAGACACATGCAGGAGCTGCATGTAATTGGAAACAAACAGAATATTTGAGAATTGAAAAGTTTGATTAAATCACACAGCAATGAAATATAAAGACTAATATAAAAATAGCACATTTCCAATCAATCCTTATCTGAAATAAATGTATATTGTGCACCTGTTAGGAACCCTATACTGTACTAAAAACTAAATTAAAACCAACCACATTAAGCCCTTGAAGCAAAGTCAGAGCAAACCCTCCTGAAGCCTATGGAGCAGCGCTCCTTCACCCTCCGTTTCAGATATCAAGTCCCTGTGCTGTTCATAAATGAGACAACCTTACAATAAGCTGCTTTCAATTCATAGACATTGGGTCAGTGCCTTTGGTGTGAAGTCATCCATGTTAGGGTACAATTTCATGAGTCGACAAACGGAGTTAGAGTAAGCTCCCTATGCCTCCATTCTGAGAAATTTTGCATCCACAGAGTAAAAGTCGATGGATAGCATATTAGGAGGCTGCATTTTTCTTCTATACTTTTTTTTTTTTTAGACAGAGTCTCACTCTGTTGCCTAGCCTGGAGTGCAGTGACGCAATGTTGGATCACTGTAACCTCTGCCTTCTGGGTTCAAGCGATTCTACTGCCGCAGCCTCCTGAGTAGCTGGGATTATAGGCATGTGCCACCACGCCTGGCTAATTTTTGTATTTTTAGTAAAGTTGGGGTTTTACCATGTTGGCCAGGCTGGTCTCGAACTCCTGACCTCAAGTGATCCACTCACCTCAGCCTCCCAGAATGTTGGGATTACAGGCATGAGCCACTGCGCCCGGCCTCTTCTATACATATTAGTAAAACTCCCACAGCATACTGCAGCATATTGTGAAATAACAGAATAATAAGCAAGGCTTGTCAGATAAAGGGGTTCCAACCCTTCAGGGTAAGTCAAGAAAGGCAGTACCTTAGCATACAGACTGAGCAACAGGTCAGGTTTAAGATAGGACTTCCATTGTTCTGTCTCAGACTAGAGCTCATTGTATGATACAGGGGCCATTTAGCCATGAAAAGTTGTTGAGCACCTGAAATGTGGTTAGTTTGGCCAGGCGCGGTGGCTCACGTCTATAATCCCAGCACTTTGGGAGGCCAAGGCTGGCGGATGACGTGATCAGGTGATCGAGACCATCCTGGCTAACATGGTGAAACCATGTCTCTACTAAAAATACAAAAAATTAGCCAGGCGTGGTGTCACGCACCTGTAGTCCCAGCTACTCGGGAGGCTGAGGCCGGAGAATCACTTGAACCCGGGAGGCAGCGGTTGCAGTGAGCCGAGATCGCACCACTGCACTCCAGCCTGGGTGAAAGAGCGAGATTCTGTCGCGAAAAAAAAAAGAAATGTGGTTAGTGCCACTGAGAGGCTGACTTTTTATTTTATTGTATTGTATTATTTTTTGAGCCAGGGTCTTGCTTTGTCTGTAATCCCAGCACTTTGGAAGGCTGGGGTGGGTGGATCACCTGAGGTTGGGAGTTCGAGACCAGCTTGGTCAACATGGTGAAACCCCGTCTCTATTACAAATACAAAAATGAGCCAGGTGTGGTGGCATGCGCCTGTAATCCCAACTACTAGGGAGCCTGAGGCAGGAGAACTGCTTGAACCCAGGAGGCAGCGGTTGCAGTGAGCCAAGATGGTGCCACTGCACTCCAGCCTGGGCAACACAGCAAGACTCCGTCTCAGAAAGAAAAACAACAATAAACTCCACTGTATGTATATACCACATTTTGTTCATCCATTCATCTAACCAGTGGACACTTGACTCACCTCTATCTTTTGACTATTGTAAATAATGCTGCTATGAAGATGAACATACAATATCTGAGTTTCTGCTTTGAATTCTTTTGCATATATACCCAAAAGTGGTACTGCTGGATCGTATGTATGGTAATTCTGTTTCCTGAGGATCTGCCAGAACTCTTTTCCATAGTGCTGCACCATTTTACATTTCTATCAACAGTACATAGAGCTGACATTTCTTCATGTCCTTGCCTTAAATTTAAAAACAAATACTCATTCAGTTATTAGAAGACTTTTTTTTTTCCTTTTGAGACAAGAGTTTTGCTCTTGTTGCCCAGGCTGGAGTGCAATGGCATGATCTCGGCTCACTGCAACCTCTGCCTCATGGGTTCAAGTGATTCTCCTGCCTCAGCTTCCTTAGTAGCTGGGATTACAGGTGCCCACCACCACGCCCAGCTAATTTTTTTGTATTTTTAATAGAGACAGGGTTTCACTATGTTGGCCAGGCTGGTCTCGAACTCCTGATCTCAGGCAATCCACCCGCCTCGGCCTCCCAAAGTGCTGGGATTACAGGCATGAGCCACTGCGCCCGGCCTAGAAGACTTTTAAGTATGTTTAGAACAACTTGGGTATGTGAATCTACTTTTTCAACTATTATTTTATTTTATTTTTGAGACAGAGTGTTGCTTTGTCGCCAGGCTGGAGTGCAGTGGCCTGATCTCGGCTCACTGCAATCTCCACCTCCAAGGTTCAAGCGATTATCCTGCCTCACCTTCCTGAGTAGCTGGGACTGCAGGCACCCACCACCATGTCCAGCTAATTTTTGTATTTTTAGTAGAGACGGGGTTTCACCATATTGGCCAGGAAGGTCTCGATCTCTTGACCTCGTGATCTGCCCGCTTCGGCCTCCCAAAGTGCTGGGATTACAGGCTTGAGCCACTGCACCCAGCGTCAACTATTATTTTTATGGATTCTAAATAAAAATTAAGTATACCCAGGAAGATATAGCATATGCATTGAGATGTGCTGTAATACCAGGTTTCAAAGACAATACAGAAAAAAAGAATGTCAAATGTCTCATGGATAACTTTATTAATCACATGTGAAATATAATAGTTTGGATATATTGAATCAAATAAAATATTAACATTAATTTCACCCGTTTCTTTTTACTTTTATAAATGCAGCTAGTAGCAATTTTTTTTTTTTTTTGAGACAGAGTCCTGCTCTGTCGCCCAGGCTAGAGTGCAGTGGCGCGGTCTCGGCTCACCACAACCTCCGCCTCCTGGGTTCAAGCAATTCTCCTGCCCCAGCCTACGGAGTAGCTGGGATTACAGGCATGCGCCACCATGCCTGGCTAATTTTATATTTTTAGTAGAGACAGGGTTTCTCCATGTCAGTCAGGCTAGTCTTGAACTCCTGACCTCAGAGGATCCACCCACCTCTGCCTCCTACAGTGCTGGGATTACAGGCGTGAACCACTGTGCCTGGCTGGCTTATGTATTTCTATATTCTATTCTACAGCACTGCTACAGAGGTAGCCTCCACTCATACCACATAATTATGAAAGCCATCAGATTCTGGAAGACAGACTCCAAGCTGCAATTGCTGTAAGTCAAGTAATCCCTCTTCTCCCTCTTTTCTGCCCTTAACATGCACATTTATTTTCCTTTTATTATTGGATTCCCTGAATGGAAACATCTGTCCACTATTACTGCAGAAGGCTGGGCTGTCCCATGGTGACTGTCTGGTGTCCAGGCTTGAGTACCCTATTTTCTGTTTTGTTGGTTGTCCTGTACAGTGTTGATTAATTTCTGTGTCTGGGGAAGTCTAGGAGTAGGGGATGGGGCTGGGTGATGCTGACAACACCAAGAAAAGCTCAGGAGATGTGTCAATGTGTTTGCAGAGTCTAAAGAGATACCTTCCTTCCTTCTCTTTTGATTTGACAATGCCGCCTTACCAAAACTTTTCCTGTTCCTCCTGCAGATTTGTGGGTTTTATTTTTTATAGAGACAGGGTCCCACTGTGTTGCCCAGGCTGGTCTCAAACTCCTGGGCTTAATTGATCCTCCTGCCTCAGCCTCCCAAAGTGCTAGGATTATAGGTGTAAGCCACCACACTCAGCCACATTTGGGGTTTTAAATTTAATTTTATATTTATTTTAATTAATTATTTTGAGATAGAGTCTTACTCTGTTGCCCAGGCTGTAGTGCAGTGGCATGATCATGGCTCACTGTAGCCTCAACGTCCTGGGCTCAGGTGATCTTTCCACCTCAGCCTCCTGAGTAGCTGGGACCACCAGCACTTGCTACCACACCTAGCTAATTTTTTTGTATGTTTTCTGTAGAGACGGGTTTTAGCCATGTTCCCAGCCTGTTTTAGCTTATTAAAAAAAATTTTTTTTTTTTGAGACGGAGTTTTGCTCTTGTTGCCCAGGCTGGAGTGCAGTGGCGTGATCTCAGCAATTCTCTGCCTCAGCTTCTCGATTAGCTGGGATTACAGGTGCCCGCCACCACACCAGGAAAATTTTTGTATTTTTTATAGAGACAGGGTTTCACCATCTTGGCCAGGCTGGTCTTGAACTCCTGACCTCATGATCCACCTGCCTCAGCCTCCCAAAGTGCTGGGATTACAGGCGTGAGCCACCGCACCTGGCCTAAAATTTTTTTTTTTAGAGACAGGGTCTCACTACGTTGCTTAGGCTGGTCTTAAAGTTCCAGGCTCAAATGATTCTCTCACCACAGCCTCCTGAGTAGCTGGGATTACACGCATCAGCCCCTGTGCCTGGCTACATCTGTGGTTCTTTTTTTTTTTTTTTTTTTGAGATGGGGCCTCCCTATGTTGCAATGGCACGATCTCAGCTCACTGCAACATCTGCCTCCCAAGTTCAAGCGATTCTCTCACCTCTGCCTCCCCAGTAGCTGGGACTACAGGCTTGCGCCACTATGCCCAGCTAATTTTTGTATTTTTTTTTTTTTTGAGACAGAGTCTCGCACTGTTGCCTAGGCAGTGGCGTGATCTCGGTTCACTGCAACCTCTGCCTCCCAGGTTCAAGCGATTTTCCCACCTCAGCCTGCCGAGTAGCTGGGATTACAGGCGCCTGCCACCATGCCTGGCTAATTTTTTTTTGTTTTTTGAGGCGGAGTCTTGCTGTGTTGCCCAGGCTGGAGTGCAGTGGCGCAATCTCGGCTCACTGCAAGCTCCGCCTCCCGGGTTCACGCCATTCTCCTGCCTCAGCCTCCCGAGTAGCACTTTGGGAGGCCGAGGTGGGCAGATCACCTGAGGTCAGGAGTTTGAGACTAACCTGGCGAACATGGCAAAACCCCATCTCTACTAAAAATAAAAAAATTAGCTGGGTGCAGTGGCTCGCGTCTGTAATCCCAGCACTTTGGGAGGCCAAAGCAGGAGGATCACTTAAGCTCAGGAGTTCAAGACCAGCCTGGGCAACATGGTGAAACCTTGTCTCTACTAAAAATGCAAAAATGAGCCAGGCGTGGTGGTGTGTGCCTGTAGTCCCAGCTACTTGGGAGGATGAGGCAGGAGAATCGCTTGAACCTGGGAGGCAGAGGTTGCAGTGAGTCAAGATCACACCCCAGCACTCTAGCCTGGACAACATAGCAAGACTCAGTGTCCAAAAAAAAAAAAAAAAAAAGAAATGTTTGTTTTGGCCAGATGCAGTGGCTCACAGCTGTAATCCCAGCACTTTGGGAGGCCAATGCAGGAGGAGGATCACTTGAGCCCAGGAGTTAGAGACCAGCCTAGGTAACATAGCAAGTCTGTGTCTCTCCAAAAAAATTTAAAAATCAGCTGGGTGTGGCTAGGAACGGTGGCTCAACCCTGTAATCCCAGCACTTTGGGAGGCCAAGAAGGACAGATCATGAGGTCAGGAGTTTGAGACCAGTCTGGCCAACATAGTGAAACCCCCTCTCTACTAAAAACACAAAAAGTTAGCCGGGTGTGGTGGTGTGCGCCTGTAATCCCAACTACTCCGGAGGCTGAAGCAGGAGAATCCCGTGAACCTGGGAGGTGGAGGTTGCAGTGAGCCGAGATCGCACCATTGCACTCCAGCCCGGGAGACAGTGCGAGACACCATCTCAAAAAAAAAAAAAAAAAAAAATCAGCTGGGTGTGGTGGTGACCCCCTGTCGTCCCAGCTACCGGGAGGCTGAGAGGCTGAGGTGGGAAGATTGCTTGAGCTGTCAAGGCTGCAGCGAGCTGAGATCCTGCCACTGCACTCCTGGCTAGGGGATGGTGCAAGACCCTGTCTCAAAGAGTTAAAAAAAAAAAGAAAGAAAAATTTATTTTGATTTTTCATTAGAGTATAGGCTCTGAAGTTTCATTTGTGCATATGAGTTACGTATCCTTCATATATAAGTGTATCTATATTTGCCGTGTCTACCAGTCAGACTACAAAAGGCATACATATGGTGGAATGATGATTTGCTATTTCAGTGAATGCATATATTCCTCACTGTGAACTAGTTATTATTTGGGGCTGTTAGTTGCTGCAATGAGACATCACACCTCTGAAACCATGGGGTGTCTTAGGAGACTTGTTAGAGGGCTTGTTATACCATTTGGACTTGTGGCTGGTGATTTTGGGGAGGGTCCAAGGACAGGGGTGTGTTTTGGATTGGTGCTGTACTAACAGGGGCAACTCAAAGATTATTATTATTTTTTTTTTTGAGATGGAGTCTCGCTTTTTCACCCAAGCTGGAGTGCAGTGGCGCGATCTCGGCTCACTGCAGGCTCCGCCCCGCGGGGTTCACGCCATTCTCCTGCCTCAGCCTCCCGAGTAGCTGGGACTACAGGCGCCCGCCACCTCGCCCGGCTAATTTTTTGTATTTTTAGTAGAGACGGGGTTTCACCGTGTTAGCCAGGATGGTCTCGATTTCCTGACCTCGTGATCCGCCCGCCTCGGCCTCCCAAAGTGCTGGGATTACAGGCGTGAGCCACCGCGCCCGGCCACTCAAAGATTATTTCAACAATTTTAGGTGGGGCGCGGTGGCTCATGCCTGTAATCCCAGCACTCTGGGAGGCCGAGGCAGGCGATCACTTGAGGTCAGGAGTTTGAGACCAGCCTGGCCAACCTGGTGAAACCCCATCTCTACTAGGTGGCAGGTGCCTGTAATCCCAGCTATTCGAGAGGCTGAGACAGGAGAATTGCTTGAACCTGGGAGGCAGAGGTTGCAGTGAGCCGAAATTGTGCTACTTCACTCCAGCCTGGGCGACAGAGCAAGACTCCTTCTCAAAAAAAAAAAAAAAAAATTTTTTTTAAATCCAGAAAGCAGGAGGAATAGAGAGGAGCTAAAGCTGTCATTGGAGAAAAAGCAGTAATTACTCATGCTAGCTGAAGAAGGGATGTTTATTCTTCTGTGTGTGTGGTTGCGCAGTGCCAGTTTTTATTTATGCAGGCAAGATCACTGATCGGAATTATTTTCTCCTTCCCTCAGTCACAGAAAGAACTCGTCTGATATCAATTTTCTGTGAACCTGTTTATGTTCATCAAGTAATCCAGGCCAGCTACCGTGGGTCTCAGGGCTTTTTTTTTTTTTTTTTTTTTTTTTTGGGACAGAGTCTCGCTCTTGTTGCCCAGGCTGGAGTGCAATGGCGAGATCTCGGCTCACAGCAACCTCTGCCTCCCGGGTGCAAGCTATTCTCCTGCCTCAGCCTCCCGAATAACTGGGATCACAGGCATGTGCCACCACACCCAGCTAATTTTGAATTTTTAGTAGAGTTGGAGTTTCACCATGTAGGCCAGACTGATCTTAAACTCCTGATCTCAGGTGATCCACCCGCCTTGGCCTCCCAATGTGTTAGGATTACAGGCGTAAGCCACCACGCCCGGGCTTTTTATTTTTTTTCTTAATGATGCTGCACCTAATCACATTTAGGTGGCAGGCAAAAGAATATTGCTTAGCTGCTTTGCTACAGAAATGACAACTCTTGGGCAGGGGCGCGGTGGCTCACGCCTGTAATCCTACCACTTTGGGAGGCCGAGGCCAGTGGATCACCTGAGGTCAAGAGTTCGACACCAGGCCGGGCACGGTGGCTCATGCCTGTAATCCCAGCACTTTGGGAGGCCGAGACGGGCGGATCACGAGGTCAGGAGATCAAGACCAACCTGGCTAACACGGTGAAACCCCGTCTCTACTAAAAATACAAAAAATTAGCCGGGCGTGGTGGCGGGCGCCTGTAGTCCCAGCTACTCGGGAGGCTGAGGCAAGACAATGGCGTGACCCTGGGAGGCGGAGCTTGCAGTGAGCTGAGATCGCGCCACTGCACTCCACCCTGGGTGACAGAGCGAGACTCCGTCTCAAAAAAAAAAAAAAAAAAAAAAAAAAAGAGTTCGACACCAGCCTGGCCAAAATGGTGAAACCCCATCTCTACTAAAAACAAAAAAAATTAACCGGGCGTGGTGGCGGACGACTGTAATCCCAGCTACTCGGGAGCCTGAGGTAGGAGAATCACTTGAACTCGGGAGGCGGAGGTTGCAGTGAGCCAAGATCGCGCCACTGCACTCCAGCCTGGGCAACAAGAGCGAAACTTCGTCTCCAAAAAAAAAAAAAAAAAAAAGGACAACTTTTGATCCCTGAGGCTGCTAATTCCAACTGTGTGCATGTGCTTAACAAATACCTCCGCACCCAGGCCTGGGAAGTTGGCTGATTTGTGTACAGCAAATACGGCAGGCCTGATGTAGCAGAACTCTGACGAAAACGAACTGGACGCGTATTTCTCCTGCAGCGAAGGTCACGCTGCTGACAGCCTCTGCTTTGCACTTTGTCCCTGGGAAGGAGGCCTGTGGCCAGTCCTACCTCCTGGAAAGCCGGGGTGCGTCAGAGGACCTGATGCGGAGCGGGGACCCCATCCTCTCCGTGTCTCCCCAAGAGCCGGCGGCAGAGGCTGCCTGCGCTCCTTAAGCTAGGTCAGTTCTCTGGCCCGCAGTTCTCGTTCTCCTAACATCCTCCGCAGAAAACGACCTTCATTTTTTCCTCTTGCGCCAGTCTTGAAGCGGGGCGTCCTTTGGGCTCACGTTGCGGCGCCCAGCGGCCTCAAGCGTCAGCTGCCTCCAGGGCCTCAGGAGCAGTGGCTAGGGCCTGCCCTCCAGCGCCCGGGGTCCTCGGCCCAGCCCTGCTCCGAGCGCGTCACAATGGCGTCGCGGCCCCGCCCCCGGACGCCCAGCCGCGGTCCCAGCGACCTTCGCTTTCGTGGGGAAGCCGGACTGCGCCGTGTCTTCCTGAAGAAGGCTGGGGTAAGAGTCCGGCCAGCGGACAAGAGGGCAGCTGGTAGCAGGGTGGGATGCCCGTGGCATAGGGCCGAGCCCCCGCTAGGCACGCGGGAGCAGCAAGGCTTCCGGAAGCGCAGGGAGCGCTGGACTGGCGGGCGCCCGGGATTCGCGCAGGCCCCGCCCCTCGGCGGCCCCGCCCAGGGAGCGCTGCGGCAGTTTCCATGGTGAGATGGTCAACAAGCCTGTAAGTTCCTCAGCTACGACTACCAGGTACCTCGGGTTCCTCCCTCCTCCGAGAGACCGCCGAGGTGCGGGCTGTGAGAGGGGGAGCGTGGAGCCTCCGAGGCCGAGGTGAGGGGCGGCCGGCGGGCAGGGGCCGGGTCTGAGGTCGAGGGCCGCACACCCAGGATCGAGCGGGGACTGGGCCCGCTGGGGGTGGGGACCGTGGGGCTGGGATTTGGGATCAGGGCGAGTCGTGGCAGAGAGAACCCGGAGGATCTTTGACCCCAGTGCGGGAGCGGCCAGCCCACCCTAGAGAAGCGAGACAAGGGCAACCAGAAGGAACCGAGTCTGAGGAAGCGCTTCCTCTGGGCAGGGATATTGGGAGAGTCCTGGACGAGTGACCCTGGACCTAGGAGGCATGAGAGGTCTACACACACTTGCAAGGATACCTTCATGATTGTTGAGTTGTGGTGAGAAAAGAGGCTCTTTTTAGTTTATTTTTTAAGGCAGTACATTCACATCCTTAAGAGTCAGAAACTTGCACAAGGCCTTATTACTCAAAACTCCCTTTTCCCAGTTCCTTCTGAGGAAATAGTTGCAAATCTTTGAACTTTTTTCCTCCGGAAATTTTCTTTTTTTCTCTTACATCGGCAGCTCTTCACTGTGTTCTTCCTTCATTAGCTTTACTAAGTTTGTATTCTTTGGTTGGAAATATTTATTTATTTATTTATTTATAAATAGAAACAGGGGTATCACTATGTTGCTCAGGCTGGTCTTGAACTCCTGGGCTCAAGTGATTCTCCTGCTTTAGCTTTCCAAAGTGCGGGGATTACAGGCTGAACCACCGCCTGCCACCGAAATATTTCTTCATTGAGTTCCTTTGCCTCCTAGTGTTACTTTTCTGCTGTGTGTGTAATAGCCATTTGTTTTTTCTTTCTCCTTTCTGGTCATATCCTTAAATACATTTTGCACTAATTCCTTTTGAAACCTCATCATGGAGAGAACTTGAATTTAGCAGATTAGGGGTGAGTGCAGGCTTTTGTCTTAGGTTCCATATATATATATATTTTGAGGTGGAGTCTCCCTCTGTCGCCCAGGCTGGAGTGCAGTGGCGTGATTTTGGCTCACTGAAACCTCCACCTCCTGGCTTCAAGCAATTCTCCTGCCTCAGCCTCCCAAGTGACGAGGGTTACAGGCACGTGCCACCACACCCGGCTAATTTTTGTATTTTTAGTAGAGACAGGGTTTTGCCTTGTTGGCCAGGCTGGTCTCGAATTATTGACCTCAGGTGATCCACCTGCCTCAGCCCCCCAAAGTGCTGGGATTACAGGCGTGAGCCACTGCACCCAGCCCCCATATATTAAGAAATATACCCTTGTGTATTGTTGGTAAGAATGTAAAATGGTACAGCAGCTATGGAAAACAGTATGGCAGTTCCCTCAAAAAATTAACAAATAGAATTGCCATATGATCCAGCAGTACCACTTCTGGGTCTGAATCCAAGAGAAATGAAAGCGGGGACTCAGTTACTTGTACAGTCATGTTCATAGCAGCATTATTTGCAATAGTCAAAAGGGAGAGGTAACCCCAGTGTCCATTGATAGATGGATAAACAAAATGTGTCATATACAATAGAATATCATTCAGCCTTAGGAAGAAAATCTTGGCTGGATGCAGCGGCTCATGCTGGTAATCCCAGCACTTTGGGAGGCCAAGGTGGGAGGATTGCTTGAGTCCAGGAGTTCCAGACCAGCCTGAGCAACATAGCGAGATCCTGTTTCCACAAAAAATAAAATAAAATAAAGAATACAAAAATTAGCTGGGCAGGCCGGGCGCGGTGTCTCACGCCTGTAGTCCCAGCACTTTGGGAGGTCGAGGTGGGTGGATCAGAGGGTCAGGAGTTTGAGACCAGCCTGGCCAATATGGTGAAACCTTGTCTCTACTAAAAGTACAAAAATATTAGCCGGGCATGGTGGCACATGCCTGTAATCCCAGCTACTTGAGAGGCTGAGGCAGAAGAATTGCTTGAATCCGGGAGGCCGAGGTTGCAGTGAGCCGAGATCACGCCACTGCACTCCAGCCTGGGTGACAGAACGAGATTCCGTCTCAAAAAAAAATCAGCTGGGCATTGTGGCATGTGCCTGTAGTCCTAGCTACTCTGGAAGCTGAAGTCGGAGGATTACATGTGCCTAGGAGGTTGAGGCTTCAGTGAGCCATGATTGCACTGCTGTACTCCACCCTGAGTGACAGAGCAAGACTCCATCTCTTCAAAAAATAAAAATAAGATGGCCGGGTGCGGTGGCTAACGCCTGTAATCCCAGCACTTGGGGAGGCCGAGGAGGGCAGATCACCTAAGGTCAGGAGTTCAAGACCAGCCTGGCCAACATGGTGAAACCCTGTCTCTACTAAAAATACAAAAATTAGCTGGGCATGGTGGTGGGCGCCTGTAATCCCAACTACTCAGGAAGCTGAGGCAGGGAGAATTGCTTGAACCTGGGAGGTGGAGGTTGCAGTGAGCCGAGATGGCACCACTACACTCTAGCCTGGGTGACAGAGTGAGACTCCATCTCAAAAATAAATAAATAAGTGAAAATAAAAAAGAAAATGTCATATGCTGCAACATGGATGAATGTTGACGATATTATGTTAAGTGAAGTAAACCAGTAATGGACAAATATTGTATGATCCCCACTTATATGAGAATCTGAAGTAGTCAAATTCATGTAAACAGAAAAGTAGAATGGTGGTTGCTAGAGGCTGCGGTAAGGAGGAATGGGAAGTTGTTTAATGGGTACAGAGTTTCAGATTTGCAAGATGAAAATGTTCTAGAGATCTGTTTCACAACAATGTGAATCTACTTAAGACTGAACTGTACACTTTAAAAAGGTTAATTGGTAAGTTTTGTTTTATATATATATATATTTTTTTTTTTGAGGCGAAGTTTCACTCATGTTGCCCAGGCTGGAGTGCAGTGGAGAGATCTCAGCTAACTGCAGCCTCTGCCTGCCCGGCTCAAGCAATTCTCCTGCCTCAGCCTCCCGAGTAGCTAGGATTACAGGTGCCCGCCACCATGCCTGGCTAATTTTTTATATTTTTAGTAGAGACGGGCTTTTGGCATGTTGGCCAGGCTGATCTCAAACTCCTGGCCTCAGGTAATACGCCCGCCTCGGCCTCCCAAAGTGCTGGGATTACAGGTGTGAACCACTGTGCCCTGCCTATATTTTTAATCAAAGGAGTTTAAGGACGGGCACAGTGGCTCACACCTATAATCCCAGCACTTTGGGAGTCCGAAGTGGTAGGATCACCTGAGATCAGCAGTTTGAGACCAGCCTGTTCAACATGGTAAAACCCTATCTGTACCAAAAAATACAAAAATTAGCCCGGCATGGTAATGCTTACCTGTAGTCCCAGCTACTTGGGAGGCTGATGTGGGAGAATCTCTTGAATCTGGGAGGCAGAGGCAGCAGTGAGCTGAGATTGCGCCACTGCACTCCAGCCTGGGCAACAGAGTGAGACTCTGTCTCAAAAAAAAAAAAGAAAAAAAGAAACAGAAGACTACCCTCATATTTGTGGTCCTTTGTGTAGTTCCGCCTCATGGCTCCCTCCTTTGCCCTAGGGTAACCACTGTCTTCAACTTTATGCTTGTCACTTAACTTGCTTTTCTTTATAATTTGACTAAAATTGTTTGTATCCCAAAAAAAGACATATTGAGTAGTTTTGCATAACCTTGGACTTTTTTTTTGTTGTTTGTTTTTGAGAGAGTCACTGTGTTGCCTAGGCTGGAGTGCAGTTGTGTGATCATAGTTCACTGTAGCCTCGATCTTCTTGGCTCCAGAAATCCTCCCACCTTAGCCTCCCAAGTAGCTAGGACCACAGGTAAATGCTACCACACCTGGTTAAATTTTTTTTTTTTTTTTTTTTTTTTTTTTTTTTTTGGTGGAGACAGGGTCTCCCTGTATTGCCCAGGCTGGTCTTGAACTCGTGGGCTTAAGCAATCCTTCCACCTCAGCCTCTCAAAGTGCAGGTATTACAGGCATGAGCCAGGCTGCTTTCAAACTCCTAACCTCAAGTGATCCACTTGGCTTGGCCTCCCAAAGTGCTGGGAGTATAGACATGAGCCACTGCACCAGACCGCTTTGCCTTTTTTTTTGAGACGGAGTCTCACTCCTTCGCCCAGGCTGGAGTGCAGTGGCACGATCTCGGCTCACTGCAACTTCCGCCTCCCGGGTTCCAGCAATTCTCCTGTCTCAGCCTCCCGACTAGCTGGGACTACAGACACCTGCCACCGGGCCCGGCTAATTTTTTGTATTTTTAGTAGAGACGGGGTTTCACCTTGTTGGTCAGGTTGGTCTCGAACTCCTGACCTCAGGTGATCCACCCACCTCGGCCTCCTAAAGTTCTGGGATTACAGGCATGAGCCACCGCGCCTGGCCAATTTTTGTAGAGACAGGGTTTTGCCATGTTGCCCCAGCTAGTCAGGGTCTCTCTGTCACCCAGGCGGGAGTTGCAGTGGTGCGATCTCGGCTCACTGCAACGTCTGCCTCCTGGGTTCAAGTGATTCTCCTGCCTCAGCCTCCTGAGTACCTTGGATTATAGGTGCATGCCACTGTGCTTGGCTGATTTTTGTATTTCTAGTTGAGACGGGGTTTCACCATGTTGGCCAGGCATGTCTTGAACTCCTGACCTCAAGTGATCCACCCGCGTTGGCCTCCCAAAGTTCTGGGATTACAGGCGTGAGCCACCATGCCCAGCCTTCCCCTGTCTTTACATATAAATTTTAGAATAAGGTTGTTTATAAAATATCTTGCTGTGGTTGGCCATGTAGGCTTATGCCTGTAATCTGAGTGCTTTGGGAGGTAGAGGCGGGAAAATCAAAGTCAGGAGTTCAAGACCAGTCTGGCCAATGTAGCTAACCCTGTCTGTACGAAAAAAAATTTTAAATTTAGCTGGATGTGATGGCACATGCCTGTACTGTAGTCCTAGCTACTTGGGACACTGCGGTGTAAGGTTTGCTTGAGCTCAGACGTTTGAGGTTATAGTGAGCTATAGTAACACCACTAACACTGTACCCTAGCCTGGTCTACAGAGGGAGACCCTGTCTCTAAAACAACAACAACAACAACAACAACAACAACAAAAAAAAAACAAAGAAAAAAACTCTTGCTGTGAATTTGATAGGAAAAATGTTCAATTTATATATTGTTTTGGAATTTTGGAGAGCACTGACGTCTTTATTCTATTGAGTCTTTTAATCCATTAACATAGTACGTCTCTTCATTTGCTTAGATTTTCCTGAATTTATTTATTTATTTATTTATTTATTTTTTTGAGACGGAGTTTCACTCTGTCACCCAGGCTGGAGTGCAGTGGCACGATCTCGGCTCACTGCAACCTCCACCCTCCGGGTTGAAATGATTCTCCTTCCTCAGCCTCCTGAGTAGCTGGGACTACAGGCGCCTGCCACTGCGCCTGGCTAATTTTTTGTATTTTTAGTAGAGATGGGGTTTCACCATCTTGGCCAGGCTGGTCTTGAACTCCTGACCTCGTGATCCACCCGCCTTAGCCTCCCAAAATGCTGGGATTACAGGCGTGAGACACCGCGCCCAGCCCTGGAATTATTTTATAAGCATTTTGTAGTATTCAGGGTACAAGTTGTGTTCAGCGTACAAGTCTGATATGTGTTTGTTAGATTTATAGCTAAGTGTGCTTGCTTCGACAGCACATATACTAAAATTGGAATGATACAGAGATTAGCAATTTAAAGTATTTTTTAAATTTATAGCTTAGTAATTTTTTCAATTATTACAAATGGTATTTTATTTTTAATTTAATTTAGGTGTCCATGTTTTATTGCTAATATATAGAAATACAGTTGATTTTTTAGTTGAGCTTATGTTCTATGACCTTTCTAAACTTACTCGTTCTAGCTTTTTTTTTTTTTTTTTTGAGACAGAGTTTTGCTCTTGTCGCTCAGGCTGGAGTGCAATGGCATGATCTCTGCTCACTGCAACCTCTGCCTCCTGGATTCAAGCAATTCTCCTGCCTCAGCCTCCCGAGTAGCTGGGATTACAGGCACCCGCCACCACGCCTGGCTAATTTTTATAATTTTTAGGAGAGACGAGGTTTCACCATGTTAGCCAGGCTGGTCTCGAACTCCTGACCTCAGGTGATCCACCCACCTTGGCCTTCCAAAGTGCTGGGATGACAGGCCTGAGCTATCCTGCTGGGCCTAGTTTTTGTTTTTGTTTTTTTTTTTTTGAGATGGAGTCTTGCTCTGTCACCCAGGCTGGAGTGCAATGGAGCAATCACGGCTCACTGAAACCTCCCCCTACCGGGTTCAAGAGATTCTCCTGCCTCAGCCTCCCAAGTAGCTGGGATTACAGGCACATGCCACCGCACCCAGCTAATTTTTGTATTTTTAGTAGAGATGAGGTGTCACCATGTTGGCCAGGCTGGTCTCGAACTCCTGACCTCAGGTAATCCACCTGCCTCAGCCTCCCAAAGTGCTGGGATTACAGGAGTGAGCCACCATGCCCGGCCCGTTTTTTTTGTTTTAATCAATTTTTTTTGTAGAGATGGAGGTCTCACTATGTCACCTAGGGTGGTCTCAAACTCCTAGCCTCAAGCAATTCCCCCCAACTCAGCCTCCCAAAGTGTTGGGAGTACAGACACGAACCACTGCACCTAGTGGAGGAGTTGTCTTTTTGTATATTGCTTGAATTTTTTTTTTTTTTTTGTAGACACAGTCTCTCTCTGTCACCCAGGCTGGAGTGCAATGGCGTGATCTTGGCTCACTGCAACCTCTGCCTCCCGGGTTCAAGCGATTCCTCTGCCTCAGCCTCCTGAGTAACTGGGACTGCAGGTGTGCACCACCACACCTGGCTAATTTTTTGTATTTTTAGTAGAGATGGGGTTTTCACCATGTTAGCCAGGATGGTCTCCATCTCCTGACCTCGTGATCCGCCTGCCTCGGCCTCCCAAAGTGCTGAGATTACAGGCGTGAGCCACCGCGCCCGGCTCCTAAAAGTTTTCTAACAAAGCTCCTTCTCTCCTTGTCCTTTGGCTAGAAAGCGACAGATTTTCTTAGGCTTTTAAAATCTGTACCCATTGATGTTTTCAGATTGCTGGCTTCTGTAACATCTAGTCTGGGATATATGAGGCAAAAAGAATACCCAGTGAACCCAGCACTGTGTCGTTCTTTGAGTTCCAAGATCCCGTGCTGGTCTGCTATTTTCTACCTTTCAGTCCATATCATGTTTATTTATATATAATTTCAGGGTATTGAGCTTTACTTAATGGGAGGAGTATGAAGCAGTACCCTGAACTGGAAGTGTTGCTTTCATTTTTGAAAGACATTTTTGTTGCCGGGCGTGGTGGCTTTCCTTTGTTTAGGTTTCATTGAGCTTCTTGGAATTATAGGTTTACAGGTTGTTCGTTTTTTGTTTGTTTGTTTGTTTTTGAGATTAGGTTTCACTCTGTCACCCAGGCTGGAGTGGCATGATCTCAGCTCACTGCAACCTCTGCCTCCGGGCTCAGGTCAGCCTCTCATCTCAGCATCCCAAGTGGCTGGGACCACAGGCGCACACCACTCCAGGCTAATTTTTTTATGTTTTTGGTAGAGATGGGGTTTCACCATGTTGCCCAAGCTGGTCTTGAACTCCAGAGCTGAAGTGATCCTCCTGCCTCGGCCTCCCAGGCAGTGCTGGGATTACAGGTGTGAGCCACTGCAGCTGGCCTTAGATTTATGGGTTTTTATTGTAAGGGTAGAAAGATTTAGGCCATCATCTCTTTGAATATTTTTTATGCCAACAACCCCCCATCCTCCTTCCAGTTATGTATATCTTAGGCTGCTTTAAATCATGACACAGCTCAGTGATGTTCTTTTCATTGTTTTGGATTTTTTTTTCAGAAATGAACTTAGTTGCCTTTAAGTTCAGTAATCTTTTCTTCTGTAATGTCTAATCTGCTGTTCATTTCATTCAGTGTATTTTTCATCTCAAACGTGGTTTTCATTTTCAGAATTTTTTTTTTTTTCTTTAGAGACGAGATCTTACTAGGTTGTGCAGGCTGGTCTTGAATTCCTGGGCTCAAGCAATTTTCTCACCTCAGCCTTCCAAAGTGCTGGGATTATAGGTGTGAATCACCACAACTGGCCCACTTTCAGAATTTTGACTGGATGTTTTTATATCTTTCCTATACTGTAATTCTCATTGTAGGTCATGTTTTCTTGCCTGTTTGCATGCCTGGTATCTTATTGGATGTTAGGCATTGTGAATTTTACTTTTTGGATGCAGGATATTTTTGTATTCCTGTGAATCTTCTTGAGCTTTATTCTGGGATATAGTTAAGTTACCTGAAAACAGTTTGTTCTCTTTGGTTTTTGTCTTTTCAGGATTATTAGGCAGGTCCAGGGCATTGTTCATTCTGGGGCAAATTATTCCCCACTGCTAAGGCTAGATCTTCCTGAGTACTTTACCCAATGGGCCATGAATTATGACATTTTCTTTTTTTTTTTTTGATCCTCAAAAATTTTATTTTATTTTGTTTTAATTTTTTTTTAGTATTTATTGATCATTCTTGGGTGTTTCTCCGAGGGGGGATTTGGCAGGGTCATAGGACAATAGAGGAGAGAAGTTCAGCAGATAAACATGTGAACAAAGGTCTCTGGTTTTCCTAGGCAGAGGACCCTGCGGCCTTCCGCAGTGTTTGTGTCCCTGGGTACTTGAGATTAGGGAGTGGTGATGACTCTTAATGAGCATGCTGCCTTCAAGCATCTGTTTAACAAAGCACATCTTGCACCGCCCTTAATCCATTTAACCCTGAGTTGACACAGCACATGTTTCAGAGAGCATGGGGTTGGGAGTAAGGTTATAGATTAACAGCATCCCAAGGCAGAAGAATTTTTCTTAGTACAGAACAAAATGGAGTCTCCTATGTCTACTTCTTTCTACACAGACACAGTAACAATCTGATCTCTCTTTCTTTGCCCCACGTTTCCCCCTTTTCTATTCGACAAAACCGCCGTCGTCATCATGGCCCGTTCTCAATGAGCTGTTGGGTACACCTCCCAGACGGGGTGGTGGCCGGGCAGAGGGGCTCCTCACTTCCCAGACGTGGCGGCCAGGCAGAGGCGCCACCCACCTCCCAGACGGGGTGGCTGCTGGGCGGGGGCGCCCCCCACCTCCCAGACGGGGTGGCCGGGCGGAGACTCTCCTCACTTCCCAGACGGTGCGGCTGCCAGGCGGAGAGGCTCCTCACTTCTCAGACGGGGCGGCCGGGCAGAGGCACTCCTCAGTTCCCAGACAGGGTCGCCGCCGGGCAGAGGCGCTCCTCACCTCCCAGATGGGGTGGTGGCCGGGCAGAGGCGCTCCTCACCTCCCAGACGGGGTGGCGGCCGGGTAGAGATGCTCCTCACCTCCCAGACGGGGCGGCCGGGCAGAGGCGCTCCTCACATCCCAGACAGGGCGGCCGGGCAGGGGCGCTCCCCACATCCTAGACGATGGGCGCCCGGGCAGAGACGCTCCTCTCTTCCTAGACGGGATGACGGCCGGGAAGAGGCGCTCCTCACTTCCCAGACTGGGCTGCCGGGCAGAGGGGCTCCTCACATCCCAGATGATGGGCGGCCAGGCAGAGACGCTCCTCACTTCCTAGACCGGGTGGCGGCTGGGAAGAGGCTGCAATCTCAGCACTTTGGGAGGCCAAGGCAGGCGGCTGGGAGGTGGTGGTTGTAGTGAGCGGAGATCACGCCACTGCACTCCAGCCTGGGCAACATTGAGCACTGAGTGAGCGAGACTCTGTCTGCAATCCCGGCACCTCAGGAGGCCGAGGCAGGCAGATGACTCGAGGTCAGGAGCTGGAGACCAGCCTGGCCAACACGGCGAAACCCCGTCTCCACCAAAAAAAAAACCAGTCAGGCGTGGCAGCGTGCCCCTACAATCCCAGGCACTCGGCAGGCTGAGGCAGGAGAATCAGGCAGGGAGGTTGCAGTGAGCCGAAATCGAGGCAGTACAGTCCAGCAGAGGGAGACGGTGGAAAGCGGGAGACGGAGATGAGGGAGAGGGGGAGACCGTGGAAAGCGGGAGACGGAGACGACGGAGAGGGGAGAGGGAGAACAACATTTTTTTTTTGAGACAGAGTCTCGCTCTGTTGCCCAGGCTGGAGTGCAGTGGCACGATCTTAGCTCACTGTAACCTCCACCTCACGGATTCAAGTGATTCTCCTGCCTTAGCCTCCTGAGAGCTGGGATTACAGGCATGTGCCACCATGCCCAGCTAATTTCTGTATTTTTAGTAAAGACGGGGTTTCACTATGTTGGCCAGGCTGGTCTTGAACTCCTGACCTCAAGTGATCTGCCTGCCTCGGGCTCCCAAAGTGCTGGGATTACAGGCGTGAGCCACCACGCACAGCCTGAATTATGACATTTCTAATCTGCCTGGTGTAGGAACAGGCACTATTCCATGCCCTGTGTGAGCACTGGGCACTATTCCCTCTGATCTTTTTAGATGGTTCTTTTGACAGATGTGGGTAATGCCCTTATACTCATGTACTGATCAATACACTGCTGAGCTCTCAAGTGGGACGCTGCAGGTCTCTGGGGTTTTCTCTCCATGCAGCTCTTTCTTCTCTGGTGCTGTGTTCTGTGAATTCTAGCTGCCTGTGTCTCCCCAGACTATCAAATCTATCTTTTCAACTCAAGGAATCTGCCAGGCTCTGCCTTAGTTATTTTTCCTTGTAGCACATTCTACAAACTACTCAAGTCAGTTAGCTGGGGCACTTGTAGGACTCATCTCATTTGTTTCCTATCTCTTAGGGATTACTCTCTGTTTTCTGATGTTCAGGGTCTTGGAAACCATTTTTTTTTTTTTTTTTTTTTTGAGACGGAGTCTCACTCTGTCGCCCAGGCTGGAGTGCAGTGGTGCGATCTCGGCTTACTGCAAGTTCCACCTCCCGGGTTCACGCTATTCTCCTGCCTCAGCCTCCGGAGTAGCTGGGACTATAGGTGCCTGCCATCATGCCCGGCTAATTTTTTGTATTTTTTGTAGAGACGGGGTTTCACCGTGTTGGCCAGGATGGTCTCGATCTCCTGACCTCGTGATCCACCTGCCTCAGCCTCCCAAAGTGCTGGGATTACAGGCGTGAGCCACCATGCCTGGCCAATTGGAAACCATTTTTGTCCTTACGTTTTGTCAAAAAATGTTTTTTTTTTCCAATATAACCTGGTCCCTGTTACTCAATTCGTCTTGCGCTGAAGTGGAGAATTGAAGATGGGGCATCAAGCATTCATTTCATCTCTTATTGAATTCTAATAATAAAAGTACAGTTGACCCTTAAACAAAATGGGTTTGACCTGTGTGGGTCTATGTATATGTGGATTTTTTTCTTTTTTAAGGAGATGGGGTCGGCTGGGTGCGGTGGCTCCTGCCTGTAATCCCAGCACATTGGGAGGCCGAGGCAAGTGGATCACTTGAGGCCAGGAGTTTGAGACTGACCTGGCCAAGATGGCGAAACCCTGTCTCTACCAAAAATATAAAAAATTAGCTGGGCGCGGTGGCGCACACCTGTAGTCCCAGCTATCGGGGAGGCTGAGACAGGAGAATCGCTTGAACCTTGGAGATGGAGGTTGCAGTGAGCCAAGATCTTGCCACTGTACTCCAGCCTAGGTGACAGAGGAAGACTCCGTTTCAAAAAAATAAATATATAAAAATAAAAAAAATGAGCTGGGCATTGTGGCAGATGCCCATAGTCCCAGCTACTGGAGAGGATGAAGCAGGAGGATCACTTGAGCAGGAGATAGAGGCTGTGGTGAGCTCTGATTGCATCACTGCACTCCAGGCTGGGTGACAGAGTAAGAACCTGTCTCCGAAAAAAAAAAAAAAAAAAAAAGGCTGGGTGCAGTGGCTCAGGCCTGTAATCCCAGCACTTTGGGAGGGTGAGCCAGGCAGATTGCCTGAGCTCAGGAGTTTGAGACCAGCCTGGGGGACATGGTGAAACCCTGTCTCTACTGAAATACAAAAAATTAGCAGGGCATGGCGGCGTGGGCCTGTAATCCCAGCTACTTTGGAGGCTGAGGCAGGAGAATCGCTTGAACCTGGGAGGCGAAGGTTGCAGTGAGCCAAGATTGTGCCACTGCACTCCAGCCTCAGCGACAGAGCGAGACTCTGTCTCCAAAAAAAAAAATCAACTGTATATCTAATGGTACTGAAAAGAGAGAAACCACAAGACACTGGTATATATTGACATACACAAGTCACAGAGAATAGAAATGGACTGGATGTTGAAGCACAGTGATGCATATATTATTATTCAAGTCAACTCACTATTTAAAGCTAATTTCATAGGAAAATTCTACTTAATTCAGTCTAACATTATGTAAGTAACCAAGGAAGAGTTAACAGCTGTGTTACAGAAGTGAACTATAAGCTTGTGAATTCAGTATTTAAAAAAAAATTCCTTTTCAGTATTTTGTAATGCTTCAACATGCATTTTGAGCTTATTTCTGTTTATATTGTTGTAATGTTCCTCAGCAGTTAACATGTATTGAAGCATTTTTTTTTTTTTTTTAATGAGACTGAGTCTCACTCTGTCGCCCAGTCTGGAGTGCAGTGGCACTATTTCAGCTCACTGTAACCTCCGCCTCCTGTGTTCAAGTGATTTTCCTGCCTCAGCCTCCCAAGTAGCTCGAATTACAGGCACCCACCACCACTCCTGGCTAATTTTTGTATTATTAGTAGAGACGGGGTTTCCCCATGTTGGCCAGGCTGGTCTCGAACTCCTGACCTCAGGTGATCCACCTGCCTTGGCCCCCAAAGTGCTGTGATTACAGGTGTGAGCCACCATGCCAGGCCTGAATGTTTACTTTTACTTTTAATGTAAGTTTTAATTTAAATACTGATACTTGATTCAGTTATTGGAAAACTTTTTTGTTTTGAGACGGAGTTTTGCTCTTTTTGCCCGGGCTGGAGTGCAATGGCACGTTCTTGGCTCACTGCAACCTCCGCCTCTCGGGTTCAAGTGATTCTCCTGCATCAGCCTCCCGAGTACCTGGGATTATTGGCATGTGCCACCACACCCGGCTAGGCTAATTTTGTATTTTTAGTAGATACAGGGTTTCTCCATGTTGGTCAGTTTGGTCTCGAACTCCCAACCTCAGGTGATCCATCCGACTTGGCCTCCCAAAATGCTGGGATTACAGGTGTGAGCCACCAAGCCCGGCCTCTTTTTTGCTTTGTTTTTTTTTGAGACGGAGTCTCACTCTGTTGCCCAGGCTGGAGTGCAATGGTGAGATATCGGCTCACCACAACCTCTGCATCCTGGGTTCAAGTGATTCTGCTGCCTCAGCCTCCTGAGTATCTGGGATTACAGGAATGTGCTACCACACCTGGCTAATTTTTTGTATTTTGAGTAGAGACGGGGTTTCACCATGTTGGCCAGGAGTTCGACTCCTGACCTCAGGTGATCTGCCCGCCTCGGCCTCCCAAAGTGCTGGGATTATAGGCGTGAGCCACCATGCCCAGCCGGAAAGCTTTTAAGTGCCCAGAATAATTTGGGTGTGTGAATGCCTTTTTATCCATAGTAAATTTAATAAAATCTAATTATAGATCAAGTATTTCTGATGTAAATTTAGCATCTAAATTTAAGTGGCTGTGAAGTATAAAATAACAGTAGATACCAATGACTTAGAAGAAAAAAAAGCCTTGACATCTCTATTTCCTCGTCTCTAAAGGTGATAACACTTGCACTATGGTGATCCTACTAGTAATACATTTGGAGCCACGTTGTAAACTTCAGAGTTTGCACCATTATTATTATTTTTTTATTATTATTATTTTTTGAGATGGAGTTTCGCTCTTGTTGCCCAGGCTGGAGTGCAATGGCGCGATCTTGGCTCACTGCAACCTCCATCTCCCAGGTTCAAGGATTCTCCTGCCCCAGCCTCCCTAATAGCTGGGATTACAGGCATGTGCCACCACGCCCAGCTAATTTTGTATTTTTAGTAGAGACGGGGTTTTTCCATGTTGGTCAGACTGCTTGTGAACTCCCGACCTCAGGTGATACGCTTGCCTCGGCCTTCCAAAGTGCTGGGATTACAGGCGTGAACCACCATGGATGGCCTATTATTATTATTATTAGAGATGGAGTTTTGCTCTTGTTGCCCAGTCTGGAGTGCAATGGTGCGATCTCAGCTCACTGCAAACTCCACCTCCTGGATCCAAGTGATTCTCCTGCCTCAGCCTCCTGAGTAGCTGGGATTACAGGTGTGCGCCACCAGGCCTGGCTAATTTTGTATTTTTAGTAGAGACGGGGTTTCACCATGTTGGTCAGGCTGGTCTCGAAGTCCTGATCTCAGGTGATCCACCCGCCTTGGCCTCCCAAAGTGCTGGGATTATAGACTTGAGCCACTGTGCCTGGCCAAAGTTTGCACCATTATTATTATTATTATTTTTCTTTTGAGATGGAGTTTTGCTCTTGTTGCCCAGGCTGGAGTGCAATGGCGTGATCTCGGCTCACTGCAGCCTCCACCTCCCGGGTTCAAGCAGTTCTCCTGCCTCAGCCTCCTGAGTAGCTGGGATTACAGGCATGGGCCACCACGCCTGGCTAATTTTGTATTTTTAGTAGAGACGGGGTTTCTCCATGTTGGTCAGGCTAGTCTCGAACTCCCGACTTCAGGTGATCCTCCTACCTCAGCCTCGCAAAGTGCTGGGATTACAGGCGTGAGCCACCGCACCTGGCCAGTTTGCACCATTATTATGGGAGCACTTGCAAAGCCTGCCAGTTGATGGTAGGGTGGAAAAGAAGAGGACAACTAGAAGAGAGTTCCTACACCGCAAAGTAAACTTTGCTGGCTCTGCGAGGAGCAGGAAACCTGCATGATGAGAACAAGGACTGGGTGGCACTGCAGGAAATGCTCAATTCGAGTTTCACTTCCTGTGTTATCACTTTTTCTTTGCTGCAATTTCATCTTTGTTGGTCAATTCTCTTTTAATTTTCCATTTTTTTACATTCTATGTAAATGTAGTTTTTATGAACTAGAGAGTCTGACTCCATATTTTATCTTTGACTACTGTCAGCTCTCAAGCCCCACCTCTTCCCTCCCCTTCTGTCCCACACCTGGATGGCTGATTCAAAAGCCCAGGTGCTTCCTCTTTTGGCTCTAAAGGCAAGTTCAAGCCATGCAGGCCCCAGCATGTGCATTGGAGCCTTCATTTCCCCCCCACTCCTTAACCTTAATAACACCCAAAGCCAGTCTCTCTTCCCTGCTCTCAAGCCATTTTTTTTTCTTCTTTTTCTGGAGACAGGGTCTTGTGTCACCCAGGCTGGCGTGCAGGGCCCTGATCACAGCTGCCAGTAGCTGGAACCACGGGGGTGTGCCACCACGCCTGGCTAATTTTTTAATTTTTTTTTTGTAGAGATGAGGAGTGCCACTGTGTTGCCCAGGCTGGTCTCAAAACTCCTGAGCTCAAGTGATCCTCTCTTGGCTTGGCCTCCCAAAATGCTGGGGTTACAGGCATGAGCCATTGCACCCAGCCTTAAGCTATTTTTGAACCCATTTGGGATTCATCCCTGTTCTCCCCAGAAAGCCTCATGTGAGTCATAAGCCTTTACATATTCTCTCTGTGCATGTGGGGCTGTCACCAGTTTTGAAAAACCAGGTTTTGGGTGGGGAATCTATCTCGTATCTTTGGGTAATATCACAGATAAATACAGCAGACATTAACATTTTATTCAGTAACCACTGACAGTAGGGGAAAGAGCTGAGCTCCATTCTGATTTGTGCAGTGATGATCGGGCTTTTTTTCTTTTTTTGGTGGTTGGATATTTTATACCTTTTTTTCCCCAAATACTCTCCACTGAATGTAGTCGACTGGTGATTTTAAAGGGGGAATGAGGGAGTATGGAGGGGTATGAGTTGGGGCTCAGTAGAGTTGGGGATGTGAAAAATTACAAGGGACCAGTGTAAATGTGATGAGGCCAGCGGTGTCTGCCTGCTGGCAATGGTCAAAGTTAGATTCCATCCTCCCACAGAGACTGGGAGACAGAGGCCTTATCTTTCCCAATCACTACATTTCAAAGCAATGGCTCCTTGAGAAAGCAATGTTCCTTGAGAAAGACACTTCTTAGCTGTAGGAGATACACACTTGCATACACATACACAACATGTGTATCACATAAACATCTCAAAGGGACAGAGGACAGATTCATAATTGTAAGTCCTTTTTAGTAAATGCTCTTAAGAGAGGGCGGTCAGGAGCCTATGGTCAGATATTGGCAAGAATAGTAAGTTATCCTGGCAGCACTGAGATTTCTCAGGCAGGCATTTTAATGGTGGGGACAGGGGTCATCCTGGGAACACAGGCTATGCTACTAGAAGCCATGCCAATTTGTCTCTCAGTGCAGAGTTTCAGATGGAGTTATGGGGGGAGAGTTCTGCAGTTCTCAGTAACCACAACAGTATATATCACTGGAAGATGAAGCCCACACAACTACAGATGTTACTGTTTCTGAGTGAGCCGAATAACAAACTTACAGTGAGCAGTCACCAACAGACAGAAGTGATGTGATTGGTTACTGATCATGACATGCATTTGTTATTAATGTGATGATGTGTAGACTGAAGAGCTAGCAGCCTGCACTTTATGCGAAAACTCACAGTTAATATACTGTGTACCTGAAATTTGAGTTGTGTCGTTGGGGGACTGGTGTTATTAAATCATGGTGACTGAAATTCGTGCATATCAGAACTGTACCAAGCAAGGGCTGCCTGATGAGTATAATGCTCTCATGTTTTATGGGAATTTATATAAATTTAAAATAATATGAATAAATATTTGAAAGTTGTATGTTATGCACAAGGTTTGAAATAATGCAATTCTTTTAATATTTTAAAAAATTGTTAGGACTCAGATTTTCTTTTATCTTTTCTTTTTTTTAAGGTACGGAGTCTCGCTCTGTCGCCCAGGCTGAAGTGTAGAGTGCAGTGGCATGATCTCAGCTCATTGCAACTTCCACCTCCTGGGTTGAAGCAATTCTTCTGCCTCAGCCTCCGGAGTAGCTGGGAATACAGGTGCAGGCTGCCACGCCCGGCTCATTTTTGTGTTTTAGTAGAGATAGGGTTTCACCATGTTGCCCAGGCTGGTCTCAACTCCTGAGCTCAGGCAATCCTCCCGCCTTAGCCTCCCAAAGTGGTAGGATTACAGGCGTGAGCCACTGCACCTGGCCCTCGACTCACAGATTTTCAAAATACTTTTGAACAGTAAGCTGAGGACAGTGTTTATTATGACTATACTGGTCTCCTTTCACTAGCTCACAAAATTTAACTACATCACTTGTCAGTCTCCTAAAAATGCAGTGTATGTGCTTTGAAACTTGTGAATGATCTGCTGATTTGTGCTATTTTATATTCAATGTTGTTGAAAGAATAGTTTTTAAACCAAGTAATGCAAAAATTTAGTGTAACATGAATGCTTGTGCTGTAAAACATACTGGAAAATCAATAGCTCTGGAATAAACTTTGGATTTTTAATTAAAATTGATTTTGATGTACTTATGCTGTTAAATTGGTAGAGACTAGTCTGAAAAGCTGAGAAAAGATAAAGCAGAATTAAAACAAAATCTATCTTATTCGTAGAGCCATGTCAAGAATGCATTCTCTCTACACCTATTCCAATGGGCACATTAGTACTTGATTATGCAGGGAGTGAATCATGCCAAGTCTTCACGTACACATTGCTCCTATCACTGCTGTGCAGTGAGCCGTGACTGCGCCACTACACTCCAGCCTGGGCAACAGAGCCAGACCTTGTCTCAAAAAAAAAAAAAAAAAAAAGTCCTTTAAGGGATACGAGGCTGTGTGTGATAGTCGTTTTCTTTTAGTTTGCACTTTTTTTTTTTTTTTTGGAGACAGTCTCGCTCTGTTGCCCCGTCCGGAGTGCAGTGGGTCCATCTCGGCTCACTGCAAGCTCCGCCTCCCGGGTTCAAGGCCTTCTCCTGCCTCAGCCTCCCGAGTAGCTGGAACTATAGGCGCCCGCCACCACGCCCGGCCAATTTTTTTTGTATTTTTTAGTAGAGACGGGGTTTCACCGTGTTAGCCAGGATGGTCTCGATCTCCTGACCTCCTGATCCGCCCGCCTCGGCCTCCCAAAGTGCTGGGTTTACAGGCGTGAGCCACGGCGCACGGCCTAGTTTGCACTTTTATTCACCCCCAAATTCTGTGTATTGCAAGTAAGTCTCAAATTTTGAGAAGCGAGCACCATCCCATTGGCATCGTGACTACCAACCACCACATCACTCAGCTGCTTTGCTTTCCGGGAGAATCCCTGCGCCGTGGGTTCGCTCGCCTTTCCATGCCTGCCGTGCAGGCGTCCTTTGCGGTCTTTTGTCCACGTCCGGGTCAACGCCTGACGCGCCCCTTCCCGGCTGGACGACGCAGCTCAGGGCGGGGCGAGGCGAGGTTGTGTCGCGGAACCTGACGGGAAACGGCCCCTCTAGGTCCGTGGCGCGGCGCGCTTGTGGCAGCGACGGGCACTGCCGCGCATGCGCGGCCCATTTCCGAGAGTGGCAGGGCTGGGCGCGGTGGGGTCGCCTCTGGGGTCAAAGAGCACGCCGAGCCCGCCGGAGGGCGGGGCCGCGGCCTTGGCCCTTTGGCGCGTAGGAGACAGCGCGCCAGGCTGGCAGCCGGCCTTAGCGGCGTTTGCTGCTCTTGTGCGGACGCCACTGCGCGCCCTAGTGGGGACTACGGGGACGCTTCGCGCTCCAGGAAGGAGGCGGGCACCGCCCGCTCTAGCACAGTCCGGGAGCTGGACCTCGGGGTTCACCGCTCTGCTTGCCCACTAAAAGCCCATTCGGCGGAAGTCCAGCGTTGCATGGTTACAGTACTGAGCCCCAGACATCGTTGCCAAGTATAATGCAGGCTCTGTTTTATCCTGGGGCACTTGTAGTCAGGGTTCGTGGGCCCGCACTTCATAATGGAGGGCTGCGGGCCTCGTCTGAACCGTCCAGCCAGTGTGTCCTCAGTCGTCTTGGTTGGGTTTTTGAAGAACCAACCCGAGATTCTGGGGCACAGGGAGTTACAAGACTTGGGGCCCTGATGTAAGCCCCAAATAAAATGATTTTGGCCCCTAGGGCCAGATCCGAGTTTCTAAAAACAGAGCAGCACTTGTAAGGTAGAGGAAGCGTGGCCCACCTGAATGGGGACTTCTCACCAGAGTTTCACAGCAGCGGAAGACGAGGCTGAGGAAGAGCACGGCCCATATTTGCACGGAGAGGCAATATGTAATGCCTGTGCTCCACAAGCCACCCCAGCTGACTCAACAGGAGTTTTGCTCCAGCTGTCAGAGAGGTGAGCTGGGCCTAAGGCTAGGGTTAGGCTTGCCCAGGAAATGTCTCTCCATTTTCAGGGTTGAGAGAACCTGGTTGGGAGGGAAAGAAATATTACTACCTCTAAGAAAATTATTTTTCTTTTTCTTTTGAGATGGAGTGTCGCTCTGTCGCCCAGGCTGGCGTGCAGTGGTGGGATCTCGGCTCACTGTAGCCTCTGCCTCCCGGGTTCAAGCGATTCTCCTGCCTCAGCCTCCAGAGTAGCTGAGATTACAGGTGCGCGACACCATGCCCGGTTAATTTTTGTATTTTTAGTGAAGATAGATTTTCACCATGTTGGCCAGGCTGGTCTTGAACTCCTGACCTCAGGTGATCCGCGCGCCTCTGCCTCCCAAAGTGTTGGGATTACAGGCGTGAGCCACTGCTCCTGGCCAAGAAAATTATGTCTTAAACACCCCAACGGCCTTTGAATTTTTCTGAATTATTTACTCATTCCAGATACCGAGAGCTTCCCATACTATGCCAATTACCGCAGGTGGCCTTGAGAGATGTGGGTGCTTCCACCATGCTTACTCAGAAAGTAGTTCAGGAAACAGTTTCCTGGATTACCAATTTCTGCCTGACATGAAAGATGAAAACCACTGAACTCCAGAGGGGTGAATGTCCAGGTCATCCCATTCATTAGCTACTCCAGAGGCTGAGGCAGGAGAATCCCTTGAGCCCGGAAGGCGGAGGTTGTAGTGAGCCGAGATAGAGCCACTGCACTCCAGCCTGGGTGACAGCGTGAGACTCCATCTCCAGAAAACAAAACAAAACAACAAAACAAAAACCCTAGCGCGGTGGCTAACGCCTGTAATCCCGTCACTTTGGGAGGCCGAGGGGGGAGGATCACAAGGTCAGGAGTTCGAGACCAGCCTGGCCAACATAGTGAAACCCCGTCTCTACTAAAAATAAAAAGATAGCTGGGCATGGTGGCGCATGCCTGTAATCCCAGCTACTCCAGAGGCTGAGGCAGGAGAATCGCCTAAACCCTGGAGGTGGAGGTTGCAGTGAGCCGAGATTGCATCACTGCACTCCAGCCTGGGCGACAAAGCAAGACTCTGTCTTGGGGAAAAAAAAAAAAAAAAAAGAAAAAGAAAAGAATTCCTCATGAGATCGCTTGAACGCGCGAGTTGGAGGTTGCAGTGAGCCGAGATCACACCACTGCACTCCAGCCTGGGCAACAGAGGGAGACTCCGCCTCAATTAAAAAAAAAAAAAAATTCCTCATGAGACATTAAGAGTTACAGCTCTTTGCCGGGCAGGGTGGCTCATGCCTGTAATCCCAGCACTTTGGGAGGCCGAGGCGGGCGGATCACGAGGTCAGGAGATCGAGACCATCTTGGCTAACATGGTGAAACCCCGTCTCTACTAAAAATACAAAAAATTAGCTGGGTGTGGTGGCGGGCGCCTGTAGTCCCAGCTACTCGGGAGGCTGAGGCAGGCGACTGGCCTGAACCCGGGAGGCGGAGCTTGCAGTGAGCTGAGATCAGGCCACTGCACTCCAGCCTGGGTAACAGAGCGAGACTCCGTCTCAATAAAAAAACAACAACAACAAAAACAAAACAAAACAAAAAAAAAGAGTTACAGCTCTTTTAGAATTTGTCTGGCAGGCTTTCCAGTTTTTGCCAGTGTGAACCCAAAATATCTGAGATAGGCCTCAGTTAATTTAGAAAGTTTATTTTGCCAAAGTTGAGGACACGCGCCCATGACAGCCTCAGGAGGTGCTGATGACATGCGCCAATGTGGGCAGAGCACACTTTGGTTTCGTACATTTTAGGGAGACATGAGACATCAATATATGTAAGATGAACATTGGTTCAGTCCGGAAAGGCAGGACAACTGGAATCAAAGGTGGGACAACTTGAAGGGCAGGTGGCTTCCGGGGTCTTAGGTACAGAAGAGACAAATAGTTGCATTCTTTTGAGTTGCTAATTAGCCTCTTCAAAGGAGGCAATCAGCTTTGCATTTATCTTAGTGAGCAGAGGGGTAACTTTAAATAGAGTGAGATGCAGGTTTGCCCTTAGCAGTTCCCAGCTTGACTTTTCTCTTTAGCTTAGTGATTTTGGTGCCCCAAGATTTATTTTCCTTTCACCCTGGAAAGCCCCTTAAAAACAAAAAACAAAAAACAAAAAACAGTTCTTGGCATTGAAGTCTAAAAAACATTGTTTTTCCGGTCTTCCTGTAGATGACTTAGTAGAGAGTCTTCAGTCTTTCAGTGAGTACCAGAAATCAGTGCAGTCTGCTGCTTGTAATTGAGTACTTCGTGTGGGTCGAGTACTCAGTCAGTACATTTCTAGGGATGGAGGCACCTTGGTCCCATAGACCTCTTTCTGATGGTCCTGCTTGATCCAGGCATAGAAGCTGGGATAGCTGCATGAAAGAATGGATTATGTCACCTTCAGATACACTCCTTAAATGTATGTGTAGATTGTACAACAGCAAGGTTAAAGCTGTATTTTCTGGCAAGTATCTCCACATTTCCCTTTCTTATTTTGAACAACATGACTTGCTGGATCTGCCTGGTAGGGGTATCCAAATGTCATGGATACTTTAGTGCTTGCCTTAATTGAGCATTCTGTCCAGTTGATGCTCATGTTTAATCTCCCTAAAATGTCTTCTCAGTTGGTTTCTGATCTAGTCCTTCCTCTGTAATTATTTCTTTTCTGTCTTGTCCGTGAAGTCTTCTTCCTCTTCCTGCCTCTCATTATTGCTGTTCCCAAGGTATCCAGTCTTTTTCTTTCTTTCTTTCTTTCTTTTTTTAGGTGTAGTCTCACTTTGTCTCCCAGGCTAGAGTGCAGTGGCATGGTCTTGGCTCACTTCATCCTCCGCCTCCCAGGTTCAAGTGATCCTCCTGCCTCAGCCTCCCAAGTAGCCGGGACTACAGGTGTATGCTACCACACCTGGCTAGTTTTTGTACTTTTAGTAGAGACAGGGTTTTGCCATGTTGGCCAGGCTGGTCTCGAACTCCTGACCTCAGGTGATCCACCCACCTTGGACTCCCCAAATGCTGGGATTACAGGCGTGAGCCACTGCACCTGGCCCTTGGTTTGCTGAGACTTTTTATCATCCAGTGGGTATTGAACTTTTAAAAAAAAATTTTTAAGTCAGGTCTCACTCTGTCACGCAGTCTGGAGTGCAGTGTTGCGATCACAGCTCACTGCAGGTAACTCTGACTTCAGTCTCCCAGGTAGCTGGAACTGCAGGTGCACAGCACAATGCCTGGCTAATTTGTTTATTTTTTGTACAGACAGGGTTTTGCCGTGTTGCTCAGGCTGTGAGTTTATTATTATTATTATTATTATTATTATTATTATTATTATTATTATTTTCTGAGATGGAGTCTCGCTCTGTCGTCCAGGCTGGAGTGCAGTGGCTCAATCTCAGCTCACTGCAAGCTCTGTCTCCTGGGTTCACGCCATTCTCCTGCCTCAGCCTCCCGAGTAGCTGGGACTACAGGCGCCTGCCACCACGCCCAGCTAATTTTTTGTATTTTTAGTTAGAGACAGGGTTTCACCGTGTCAGCCAGGATGGTCTCGATCTCCTGACCTCATGATCTGCCCGCCTTGGCCTCCCAAAGTACTGGGATTATAGGCATGAGCCACCGTGCCCGGCCGTTGAATTATTATTATTTTTTTAGCTAATAGACCAGAAGAATGAATTTAATTATTATTGAGATGATTATATTGTTTTATTCTTTTTCAGTGGATTGATTGATATTAACCTATGGATTGAGTTAATTTTATTAATGTTTTGATTTTCAAATGTTAAATCAGCCTATTTTCCAGGAACAAAGTCATATTGTTGCTTTATCCTTTTAAAATATATTCCATGACAAATTGTTAGATATTTTTGTGTCTTTGTTCCTGAAAGAGTCTGTTGTTTTCTTTCTTTCTTTTTTTTTTTTTTTTTTTTGAGACCAAGTTGTCGCCCAGGCTGGAGTGCAGTGGCATGATCTCAGTTCATGGCAACCTCTGCCTCCCGGGTTCAAGCGATTCTCATACCTCAGCCTCCTGAGTAGCTGAGATTACAGGTGTCTGCCACCA
This sequence comes from Homo sapiens, assembly GCF_000001405.40. Lineage (NCBI taxonomy): Eukaryota > Metazoa > Chordata > Mammalia > Primates > Hominidae > Homo > Homo sapiens. The sequence continues at coordinate 43,460,532 of NC_000010.11, forward strand.
TGCCCAGCTAATTTTTTGTATTTTTAGTAGATATGGGGTTTCACCATCTTGACCAGGCTGGTCTTGAACTCCTGACCTCAGATGCCACCCGCCTCAGCCTCCCAAAGTGTTGAGACTACAGGTATGAGCCACCATGCCTGGCTGTTATTTTCCTTTCTTAAAAGTCTTTTTTTTTTTTTGAGAAAGAGTCTCACTCTAATGCCTAGTCTGGAGTGTAGTGGCCCTATCTCAGCTTACTGCAACCTTTGCCTCCCGAGTTCAAGCGATTCTTGTGCCTCTGCCTCCCAAGTATCTGGGATTACAGGCAGGCACCACCAGGACTGGCTAATTTTTGTATTTTTAGAGAGACAGGGTTTCACCATATTGGCCTGGCTGGTCTTGAACTCCTGGCCTCAAGTGATCTAACACCACCTTGGTCTCCCAAAGTGCTGGGATAACAGGCGTGAGCTATCACACCCGGCCTCTTCTAATATCTTAATTTTTTTTTTTTTTGAGACAGAGTTTCGCTCTCATCGCCCAGGCTGGAGTGCAATGGCGTGATCTCGGCTCACTGCAACCTCCACCTCCCCAGTTCAAGCGATTCCCCTGCCTTAGCCTCCTGAGTAGCTAGGATTATAGGCGTTAGCCACCACACCCGGCTAATTTTTGTATTTATAGTAGAGATGGGGTTTCATCATGTTTGTCAGGCTGGTCTCAAACTTCTGACCTCAGGTGATCTGCCTGCCTTGGCCTCCCAAAGTGTTGGGATTACAGGCGTGAGCCAACATGCCCGGCCCAGTCTTTTGTTTTTTTTTTTTTTTTTTGAGACAAGGTCTTGCTCTGTCACCCAGGCTGGAGCGCAGTGGTGTGATGATCATAACTCACCTCTCCCTTGAACTCCTGGGCTCAAGCAATCTTCTGATCTCAGCCTCCTGAGTAGCTGGGACTACAGGCATGTACCATAATGCCTGGTTACTTTTTTGTATTTTTTTTAGAGATGGTGTTTTGCTATGTTGCCCAGGCTGGTCTTGAACTCCTGGGCTCAAGTGATCCTCCTGTCTTGGCCTCCCAAAACATCGGGATTACAGGTATGAGCCACTGCCCCCGGCCTTTGTTAGGTTTATATCAATTTTATGCCTGTTTCAGAAAACATGTTTAGTGTTTTCTCTTTATTCTCCATGAGTGCTTGTGTAAGATTGGTGCTATTTATTCCTTAATTGCTTGTAAAATTACAGCAGTGAATTTTTCTAGGGTCTGGCTTTTCTTTATGAATAATTTTAAAATTATAGATTTAATTTCTTTATATTAGGGAAATTATCCTTTAGAACTTGATACAAGTCCTAGTTGTTTGTTTCTACCTTGTCATTTGTCATCCCCAGGTGGGTGGCAGGTGTGTTTGTTCCAGGGCAAAGCTATGTCTCACACACACTAGTTCACATAACCCCATTCAGACCAAAAATTGTTCACAGTTTACTTTGCTTTTTGTCTCTTTATCTCCAAGGTTGGTCTGTAGTGAACTCAAAGCCTTAATTCTATCCCAGTCCTTTTAGTTAAGGTCAGCAGTGACCTCTAGTGGTGAAATCTTCAGTCTTCCTCTTAACATGACTTTCTTTTTTAAAAATTATCTAGTGAATTACTCTTTCTGTTTGTTTGTTTTTGAGATGGAGTCTTGCTCTGTTGCCCAGGCTGGAGTGCAGTGGCACGACCCCAGATTACTGCAACCTCTGCCTCCCGAAGTGCTGGGATTGTAGGGTTGAACTACTATGCCTGAACCCTCTTACGTGGCTTTCTAGCCACGTAATCATTGATTACAGGCACACCTCGTTTTATTGTCCCTTGCTTTAATGTACTTTGCAGATATTGTGCTTTTTTTTCTTTTTTCTTTTTTCTTTTTTTAACAATTAAAAGTTTGTGGAAACCCGGCATTGAGCAAATCTGTAGACAACATTTTTTTTTTTTTTTTTGAGACAGAGTCTCCCTCTGTCACCAGGCTGGAGTGCAGTGGCGTGATCTCAGCTCACTGCAACCTTGGCCTCCTGGGTTCAAGCGACTCTTCTGCCTCAGCCTCCTGAGTAGCTGGGACTACAGGTGTGCACCACCATACCCAGCTAATTTTTGTATTTTTAGTAGAGGTGGGGTTTCACCATGTTGGCCAGGATGGTCACGATCTCTTGACCTCGTGATCCACCTGCCTCAGCTTCTTGAAGTGCTGGGATTACAGGCATGAGCCACTGCATCCGGCCTTTTTTTTTTCTTTCTTTTTTTTTTTATAAATAGAGATAGGGGTCTCATGTTGTCACCCAGGCTGGAGTGCAGTGGCATGATCTTAGCTCATTGTAACCTTGAACTCTTCGACTCAGGGGATCCTCCTGCCTCAGCCCCCTGAGTAGCTGGGACCACAGCCATGCCTGGCTATGCCTGGCTAATTAAAAAATTTTTTTTGGCCAGGTGCGGTGGCTCATGTCTGTAATCCCAGCACTTGGGGATGCCAAGGCGGGTGGATCAACTGAGGTCGGGAGTTTGAGACCAGCCTGACCAACATGGAGAAACCCTGTCTCTACTAAAAATACAAAATTAGCTGGGTGAGGTGGTACATGCCTGTAATCCCAGCTGCTCGGGAGGCTGTGGCAGGAGAATTGCTTGAACCCAGGAGGCAGAGGTTGCGGTGAGCCGAGTTCACGCCATTGCAATCCAGCCTGGGCAACAAGAGCAAAACTCCATCTCAAAAAAAAAAATTTTCTTTTTGGGCCAGGCGGATGGCTCATGCCTGTAATCCCAGCACTTTGGGAAGCCGAGGCAGGTGGATCACCTGAGGTCATTAGTTTGAGACCAGCCTGGCCAACATGGCGAAACCCTGTCTCTACTAAAAATATAAAAATTAGCCAGGCGTGGTGGTGCACACTTGTAGTCCCAGCTACTCGGGAGGCTGAGGCAGGAAAATTGCTTGAACCCGGGAGGCTAAGGTTGCAGTGAGCCGAGATCATGCCACTGCATTGCAGTCTGGGTTTCAGAGTGAAACACTGTCTCGAAAAAAAAAAAAAATTTTTTTTTTTTGGTGGAAACTTGGTCTCACTATGTTGCCCAGGTTGGTCTTGAACTCCTGGCATCAAGTGATCTTCCCATCCCACCTTGGTCCCCCAGAGCTCTGGGACTGTAGGCACGAGCCACCTCACCTAGCCTCACAACTGTTTTTCTTTCTTTCTTTTTTTTTTTTTTTTAGCATGTGCTCATGTTGTGTCTCTGGGTCACATTTTGGTAATTCTTGCCCTATTTCAGACTTTTTTTTATTATCTATTATGGCAATCTGTGATCTGTGATTTCTGTTATTATTATTGTAATTGTTTTGACCGTATATAAGATGGTTAAAATTAACAAATGTTGCCTGTGTTCTGACTGCTTCACTGACTGGCTGTTCCCCTTTCTCTCTCCCTTTCCTCTGGCCTCCCTATTCCTTGAGACACAACAATATTGAAATTAGGGTAGGTAACTACCCTGCAGTGGCCTCTCAGTGTTCCAGTGAGAGGAAGAGTCATACATCTCTCACTTTAAATCAGAAGCTAGAAATACTTAAGCTTAATGAGGAAGGCATATATCAAAAGCCAAGACAGGCCTAAATTAGGCCTCTTGTGCCGAACAGCCCAAATGTAAATGCAAAGGAAAACTTTTTTTTTCTTTTTTTTTTTTTTGTTTTGAGACAACGTCTCACTGTGTCACCCAGGCTGGAGTGCAGTGGCATGATCTTGGCTCACTGAAACCTCTGCCTCCTGGTTCAAGTGATTCTTCTGTCTCAGCCTCCTGGGTAGCTGGGATTACAGGTGTGTGCCACCATGCCCGGCTAATTGTTTGTATTTTTATTTTATTTATTATTATTATTTTTTTTTATTGATCATTCTTGGGTGTTTCTCGCAGAGGGGGATTTGGCAGGGTCATAGGACAATAGTGGAGGGAAGGTCAGCAGATAAACAAGTGAACAAAGGTCTCTGGTTTTCCTAGGCAGAGGACCCTGCGGCCTTCCGCAGTGTTTGTGTCCCTGGGTACTTGAGATTAGGGAGTGGTGATGACTCTTGATGAGCATGCTGCCTTCAAGCATCTGTTTAACAAAGCACATCTTGCACCGCCCTTAATCCATTTAACCCTGAGTTGACACAGCACATGTTTCAGAGAGCACAGGGTTGGGGGTAAGGTCATAGATCAACAGGATCCCAAGGCAGAATTCTTCTTAGTACAGAACAAAATGAAAAGTCTGCCATGTCTACTTCTTTCTACACAGACACAGCAACCATCCAATTTCTCAATCTTTTCCCCACCTTTCCCCCTTTTCTATTCCACAAAACCGCCATCGTCATCATGGCCCGTTCTTAATGAGCTGTTGGGTACACCTCCCAGACGGGGTGGTGGCCGGGCAGAGGGGCTCCTCACTTCCCAGTAGGGGCGGCCGGGCAGAGGCGCCCCTCACCTCCCGGATGGGGCGGCTGGCTGGGCGGGGGCTGACCCCCCCACCTCCCTCCCGGACGGGGCGGCTGGCCGGGCGGGGGGCTGACCCCCCCCACCTCCCTCCCGGGGCGGCTGGCCGGGCGGGGGGCTGACCCCCCCACCTCCCTCCCGGATGGGGCGGCTGGCCGGGCGGGGGGCTGACCCGCCCACCTCCCTCCCGGAAGGGGCGGCTGGCCGGGCGGGGGGCTGACCCCCCCACCTCCCTCCTGGACGGGGCGGCTGGCTGGGTGGGGGGCTGATCCCCTCACCTCCCTCCCGGACGGGGCGGCTGGCCTGGCGGGGGCTGATCCCCACCTCCCTCCCGGACCGGGTGGCTGCCGGGCGGAGACGCTCCTCACTTCCCAGACGGGGTGGCTGCCGGGCGGAGGGGCTCCTCACTTCTCAGACGGGGCGGCTGCCGGGCGGAGGGGCTCCTCACTTCTCAGATGGGGCAGCTGCCGGGCAGAGGGTCTCCTCGCTTCTCAGACGGGGCGGCCGGGCAGAGACGCTCCTCACCTCCCAGACGGGGTCGTGGCCGGGCAGAGGCGCTCCTCACATCCCTGACGGGGCGGCGGGGCAGAGGTGCTCCCCACAACTCAGATGATGGGCGGCCGGGCAGAGACGCTCCTCACTTCCTAGATGGGATGGCAGCCGGGAAGAGGCGCTCCTCACTTCCTAGATGGGATGGCGGGCGGGCAGAGACGCTCCTCACTTTCCAGACTGGGCAGCCAGGCAGAGGGGCTCCTCACATCCCAGACGATGGGCGGCCAGGCAGAGACGCTCCTCACTTCCCAGATGGGGTGGCCGCCGAGCAGAGGCTGCAATCTCGGCACTTTGGGAGGCCAAGGCAGGCGGCTGGGATGTGGAGGTTGTAGCGAGCCGAGATCACGCCACTGCACTCCAGCCTGGGCACCATTGAGCACTGAGTGAACGAGACTCTGTCTGCAATCCCGGCACCTCGGGAGGCCGAGGCTGGGGGATCACTCGCAGTTAGGAGCTGGAGACCAGCCCGGCCAACCCAGCGAAACCCCGTCTCCACCAAAAAAATACGAAAACCAGTCAGGCGTGGCGGTGCGCGCCTGCAATCACAGGCACTCGGCAGGCTGAAGCAGGAGAATCAGGCAGGGAGGTTGCAGTGAGCCGAGATGGCAGCAGTACAGTCCAGCTTCGGCTCGGCATCAGAGGGAGACCGTGGAAAGAGAGGGAGAGGGAGAGGGAGCTGGAGCTTGTTTGTATTTTTAGTAGAGACAGGGTTTCACCATGTTGGCCAGGCTGGTCTCCAACTCCTGATCTCAGGTGATCTACCCGTCTCAGCCTCCCAAAGTACTAGGATTACAGGCATGAGCCACTGTGCCTGGCTGGCATATTTGTTTATAGCATGGTTTACTGAATTTTTGTTTTCTTTTCTTTTTTTCTTTCTTTCTTTTTTTTTTTTTTGAGATGGAGTCTTGCTTTGTCACCCAGGCTGGAGTACAGTGGTGTGATCTCAGCTCACTGCAACCTCCGCCTCCTGGGTTCAATTGATTCTCCTGCCTCAGCCTCCTGAGTAGCTGGGATTACAGGTGCGCACCACCACACCCAGCTAATTTTTGTATTATTAGTAGAGACGGGGTTTCACCATGTTTGTCAGGCTGGTCTCCAACTCCTGACCTTGTGATCCACCCGCCTCGGCATCCCATAGTGCTGGGATTACAGGCGTGAGCCACCATGCCCAGCTGGTTTACTGATTATTTTAAACAAATTATTGAGTCCTAATGTTCAGAAAAAATATTTCTTTCAAAATGTTACTGCTCATTGACAAGCTAGTCACATAAGAGCTATGAGGTATGAAATTAATGTTGTTTTCATGCTTACTAGCATGCATCCATTCTACAGCCCATGGATCAAGGAGTAATTTTTTTTTTGAGACAGTTTAGCTCTTGTTGTCCAGGCTGGATTGCAATGGCGTGATCTTGGCTCACTGCAACCTCCACCTCCTAGGTTTGGCGATTCTCCTGCCGCAGCCTCCTCAGTAGCTGAGATTACAGGTGCCTGCTGCCACACCCAGCTAATTGTTTTGTATTTTTTTTTTAGTAGAGATGGGGTTTCATCATGTTGACCAGGCTGGTCTTGAACTCTTGTCCTCAAGTGATCTGCCTGCCTCAGCCTCCCATAGTGCTAGGATTATAAGCATGAGCCGCCGCACCCGGCCAAGGAGTAATTTTGACTTTCAAGTTTTATTTTTTATTTTTCTTTTTTTGAGACGGAGTCTTGCTGTGTCGCCCAGGCTGGAGTGCAGTGGCACAATCTTGGCTCACTGCAACCTCTGCCTCGCGGGTTCAAGTGATTCTTCTGCCTCAGCCTCCCGACTAGCTGGGACTACAGGTGCACGCCACCACGCCTGGCTAATTTTTGTATTTTTAGTAGAGACAGGGTTTCACCATATTGGCCAGGCTGGTCTCAAACTCCTGACCTCGTGATCTGCCTGCCTCGGCCTTCCAAAGTGCTGTTATTGCAGGTGTGAGCCACTGCGCCCGACCTTCAACTTTTATTGTTTAAGAAATAAATTTGTAGCCAGGCGTTGTGACTCATGCCTGTAATCCCAGCACTTTGGGAGGCCGAGGCTGGTGGATCACCTCAGGTCAGGAGTTTGATACCAGCCTGGCAAACATGGTGAAACCTTGTCTCTACTAAAAATACAAAAATTAGCTGGGTGTGGTGGTGCATACCTGTAATCCCAGCTACTCGGGAGGCTGGGGCAAGAGAATCGCTTGAACCTGGGAGGCAGAGGTTGCAGTGAGCCGAGATTGTGCCACTGCACTCCAGCGTGGGCAACAGAATGAGACTCTATCTCAGAAAAAAAAAAAAAAGAAAAGAAAAATTTGTAAGGCTATAGCTGGCATGGATAGTGATCCCTCTGATGGATCTGGGCAAAGTAAATTGAAAACCTTCTGGAATGGATTCACTGCTCAAGATGCCACTAAGACCATTTACGATTCATGGGAATAGGTCCAATTAACAACATTAATAGGAATTTGGAAGAACTTGAATCCAACCCTTATGGATGACTTTGAGGGGTTCAAGTCTTCAGTGGAGGAAGTCACTGCAGATGTGGAAATAGCATAACTAGAATTAGAAGTGGAGCCTGCAGATGTGAGTGAATTGCTGCAATCTTATGTTAGAACTTGAACAGATGAGGAGTTGCTTCTTATGCGTGAGATAAGAAAATTGTTTCTTGTGATGTAATCTATTCCTGGTGAAGATGCTGTGAACATTGTTAAGATGACAACAAAGGATTTAGACTTACATAAACTTAGTTAATAAGGCAGCAGCAGGGTTTTAGAGGATTGAATCCAATTTTGAAAGAAGTTCTACTATAGGTAAAATTAAACAGCATCTCATGCTACAGAGAAATCTTTCGTGAAAGGAAGAGCCGGCCGGGTGCAGTGGCTCATTCCTGTAACCCCAGCACTTTTGGAGGCTGAGGCAGGTGGATCACCTGAGGTCGGGAGTTTGAGACCAGCCTGACCAACATGGAGAAACCCCGTCTCTACTAAAAATACAAAATTAGCCGGCCATGGTGGCACATGCCTGTGATGCCAACTACTCGGGAGGTTGAGGCAGGATAATTGCTTGAACCTGGGAGGCAGAGGTTGTGGCGAGCTGCGATCGCGCCATTGCACTCCAGCCTGGGCACCAAGAGTGAAACTCTGTCTCAAAAAAAAAAAAAAAAAAAAAAAAAGGCCGGGCGCAGTGGCTCACGCCTGTAATCCCAGCACCACTTTGGGAGGCCGAGGCAGGCGGATCACGAGGTCAGGAGATCGAGACCATCTTGGCTAACGCGGTGAAACCCCGTCTCTACTAAAAATACAAAAAATTAGCTGGGTGTAGTGGTGGGCGCCTGTAGTCCCAGCTACTCGGGAGGCTGAGGCAGGAGAATGGTGTGAACCCAGGAGGCAGCGCTTGCAGTGAGCCAAGATTGTGCCACTGCATTCCAGCCTGGGCTACAGAGTGAGACTCTATCTCAAAAAAAAAAAAAAAAAAAAAAAAAAGAAAAAGAAAGGAAGAGTCAATCAGTGTGGCAGACTTAATTGTCCTTTTATTTTAAGAAATTGCACAGCCATCCCAGCCTTCAGCAAACCACCACTAGCAGTCATCAACATTGAGGCAAGACCATCTACCAGCAAAAAGATTATGATTCACTATAGGCTCAGATGATTGTTAGCATTTCTTTTATTTTACTTTATTTTTTGAGACATAGTCTGGCTCTTTCACCCAGGCTGGAGTGCAGTGGTGCGACCTTGGCTCACTGTGACCTCTGCCTCCCGGGTTCAAGCGATTCTCCTGCCTCAGCCTCCTGAGCACCTGGGACTACAGGCGTGCACCACACCCGGCTAATTTTTGTATTTTTATAGAGACGGGCTTTCAGCATGTCGACCAGGCTGGTCTCGAACCCCTGACCTCAGGTGATCCACCAGCCTTGGCCTCCTAAAGTGCTGGGATTACAGGCGTGAGCCACCGCGCCTGGCCATCATTTATTTATTTATTTTTTTAAATAAATAAGAGACAGGGTCCCTTATGTTGCCCAGGCTGATCTTGGGCTCCTTGGTTCAAATGATCCTCCCACTTCAACCTTCCAAAGTGCTGGGATTACAGGCATGAACCAATGTACTTGGCCTGCATTTTTAGGCCATGAAGTATTTTAAAATTAGGATATGTCTGTACACGGTGGCTCATGCACTTTGGGAGGCCAAAGTGGGTGGATCACTTGAGGCCAAGGGTTTGAGACCAGCCCGGCCAACATGGTGAAACCCTGTCTCTACCAAAAAATAGAAAAATTAGGTGGGCGTGGTGGTGTACTCCTGTAATCCTAGGTACTCAGGAGACTGAGGCATGAGAATTTCTTGAACCCAGGAGGCAGAGGTTGCAGTGAGCTGAGATCACACCACTGCTCTCCAACCTGGGCAACAGAGCGAGACTCTGTCTTCCAAAAAAAAAAAAATTAGGATATGTACATTGGTTTACTAGACATAATGCTATTGCACACTTAATAGACTATAGTATAGTGAAAACATAACTTTCACATGCATGGGAAACCAACATACTCGCATGACTCAAGTGACATTTGCTTTATTGCAGTGGTCCGGAACTGAATGCACATTATCTTTGAGGTATGCCTGTGTTTTTCCCTTCTGGTTGACTTTCTTCACTTGGCTTACAGGACACCACACTCTTTTAACTTTCCCTTTTAATTTTTTTTTGGTTGCGGGAACAGTGTTTTACTCTGTTGCCCAGGCTGGAGTGCAGTGGTGCCATCACGGCTCACTTTAGCCTTGAGCTCCCTGGGCTTCGGTGATACTCCCACCTTAGCCTCCTGAGTAGCTGGGACTACAGGTGCATGCCACTATGCCCAGCTAATTTTTCTATTTATTTATTTAGAGACAGAGTTTCACTTTTGTTGCCCAGGCTGGAGTGCAATGGCGTGATCTCACCTCACCGCAACCTCCACCTCCCAGGTTCAAGCGATTCTCCTGCCTCAGCCTCCCAAGTACCTGGGATTACAGGCATGCGTCACCACACCTGGCTAATTTTTTTGTATTTTTAGTAGAGATGGGGTTCTCCATGTTGGTCAGGCTGGTCTTGAACTCCCGACCTCAGGTGATCCACCTGCCTCGGCCTTCCAAAGTGCTGGGATTACAGGCGTGAGCCAGCACACCCGGGCAATTTTTCTATTTATTGTAGAGATGGGATTTGCCATGTTGCCCAGGCTGGTGTGGAAGTCCTGGGCTCAAGCAATTTTCCTACCTTGACCTCCCAAAGTGTTGGGATTACAGGTGAGAGCCACTGCACTTTGCCTTAACTTTTTCCTTTTTTTTTTGAACAGAGTCTCACTGTCACACAGCCTAGAGTACAGTGGCACGATCATAGCTCACTGCAGCCTCGACATCCTGGGCTCAGGTGTTCAAGTGATCCTCCCACCTCAGCCTCTTGAGTAGTTGGGACTACAGGCATGCACCACCACACTAATTTTTGTATTTTTTTGTAGAGACGGGGTTTCACCATGTTGCCGACCTTAACTTTTAACTTTCCTTCTCTCATCGTTTGCTGGTTCCTCCTTTTCTTCCTGTCTCTGAATGTTTATGTGTAGTCCTTGGTCATTGTGATGCAGGATTTTTCTTGGCCCCTTTGTTGGACTCGTGACAGGGCTGTCCCATTTACTCGGCCCATTGCGCTCAACCCCTTGCAGGATGGAGCACGTGAGTGAGTGCGGGATCTGGCTGGCTGCTCCGGGCACTGGCAGGAGCAAGCTCCGTGTCCAGAATGGCCAGCCAGATCCCACACTTGCTCGCACACTTGGATGGCGGTGCCAAGGCGAGGGTGCCCACTACCCCAAAACCCTAGAGGGAGTGTTACGGTGCTCTGTTAGTTTTGCTGTCTGCAGACAGCTGTGTGTTTGCAGCTCAGTTGGCCCCTTGTCTCGTTGCATGGGGTGGCTGCCCTCCTCTGGTGAGGACAAAGGGCCAGCGTGACAGTCTTTCTAGGTACCCGCACTCAGTGGATCCTGAGCTTTTGTCTGGTGTCCAAGAAGAATGTCACATGGGCAAACTGAAGGATGGTGAAGTCAGAGAATTTTATTGAGCAATGAAAATGGCTCTCAGCAGAGAGGGGAACTGGAAAGGGGACGGGAAGGGCAGGTTGCCTTCCCTGAGGTCAGGTTGCCCCTTCCCTGAAGTCAAGCCATCTCTCTGAAGTCAAATTGTCTCTCTCTGAAGTCAAACTGTCTCCCCCTCTACTGACTGAGTCTGGGGTCTTTCTTTATAGCACTCAGAATGGACAGTGTGTGCTCATTGGTTTGTGAGTATGCAAAAAATGTTAAAGTGAAGACACCACTCAATGGTGGGCATAACAGTGTAGAAAACCAATTAGGAAAGGGTAGCTATATATAAAATAGGTGAAGAGTGGGGATTAGAGGAAAGCATGCCAAAGAGGAAGATAAGTCCTCAGTCTGGTCCAAGGATTTAACTTGTATCTTGGCTTTCAGGCTTTAAACTGTCTTTGGCTTGGAGGTTTCACTGGGGACCTGCCCCTATTTACCTTGGCATTTGGCTGCCTCCATTTGTTATCACTTGTACTTTGTCTGGCTGAGGCCTCTCCCTTGGCAATGTTTTGTCAGCAGTACTCTCTGGGGCCTGATCCCTCCTGGTAATCTCTCCAGCTCAGATTTCCTTCTTACACTTTGGATGCATATGTTAACTGTCCACTCTGCATCTCTGCTTGAGTATTTTATAGACCCAAGCTCAACATGATTAAAACTGGCCTCTTGGATTTTCTCTCCCAAACCCACAACCTCTGGAGCATTCCTTCCCCTTCTTGTTTGATAGCAGACCCCTTGGAATTATTTTTGAACTGTTTTTTTCTTGTCTTACACATCTTATTTGTCAGAAAAACCTCTGGGGCATACATCCAGAATATATCCACAGAGTCTGACCTCTTGCAATCCTCTCTATGACATCTTTTGCCTGGATTACAGCAACCGTTGCAGAGCAGTCTTGCTGCTGCTCAGACCTTGGCCTCTGGCATAGCATTTAGAGTACCTGTGTAGGAAGAGTCAGGTTGCTAAGCGCCAATCCTCTGCCCAACATCTACATTTTTCACTGAGTAAAAGCCAAAGTTCCACCAGTGGGTTATGTGATCCATTACATCTGTGACTTCACTTCCTTCTCAGCCTCTTGATCACTATGCTCCAGCTCGACTTGCCTTCTTGCTGGATGTACCAGGCATAACACCACCTTTGTCTTTGTACCAAATGTGCCCTTTTCCTGGAGTATGTTTCCTAGGGAGCCTTCCAACTTATTCTGTTATAATTTATAAAGGATTTATAATTTATAAGCATTTATAATTATGTCAACCATATTTAATAAGTTGATCATTGGCTGGGTGGGTGCAGTGGCTCATGCCTGTAATCCAAGCACTTTGGGAGGCTGAGGCGGGAGGATCACTTGAGCCTGGGAGGTAGAGGTTGCAGTGAGCCATGTTTGTGCCACTGCACTCCAGTCTGTGTGACAAAGCGAGACTCTGTCTCAAAAAAAAAAAAAAAAAGGTTGATCATCCTTTGTATATGGTGACTTTACCATATATTAGGACACTTTTTTTTTTTTTTGAGATAGAGTTTCCCTCTTGTGCCCCCAGACTGGAGTGCAGTGGCATGATCTCGGCTCACTGCAACCTCTGCCTCCCGGGTTCAAGCAATTCTTCTGCCTCAGCCTCCCGAGTAGCCATGCCTGTCTAATTTTTTTGTATTATTAGTAGATATGGGGTTTCACCATGTTGGCCAGGGAACTCCTGACCTCAGGTGATCTGCCCATTTCGGCCTCCCAAAGTGCTGAGACTAGAGGTGTGAGCCACCGCGCCTGGCGTAGGACACTATTTAACTCTGTTTTGGGACTTTTTCTTTTCACTGGGGTATTTTTCTTTTTATTAGAGGAGTTCATAATAAACAGTAATATCTAGCAAGATAAGCCCATTTATAATTTTTGTTTTTGACATACCTTTTTTCCCTTTTTTCTTTTTTTTGAGATGGAGTCTTGCTTTGTTGCCCAGGCTGGAGTGCAGTGGCGCGATCTCAGCTCACTGCAAGCTCCGCCTCCCGGGTTCACGCCATTCTCCTGCCTCAGCCTCCTGAGTAGCTGGGATTACAGGCCCCCTTTTTTTTTTCCCCAGACCCAAACATCAACTTACCTTCGCCACCTTTTATAAAAGCAACTTAAGTACAACAGCCAGGCTGGGCAAGGTGGCTTATGCCTGTAATCACAACACTTTGGGAGGCTTGAGGTGGGAGGATCACTTGAGCCCAGGAGTTTGAGACCAACCTGGGTAACATAGTGAGACCCCATTTCTCCAAAAATTTAAAAATCTGCCCGATGCAGTGACTTATTCCTGTAATTGCAGTATTTTGGGAGGCTGAGGCAAGCAGATTGCTAGAGCCCAGGAGTTAGAGACTAACCTGGGCAACATGGTGAAACCTTGTCTCTGTGAAAAGGCAAAAAAATTAACTGGGGATGGTGGTATGCATCTGTAGTCCTAGCTACTCAGGAGGCTGAGGTAAGAAGATTGCTTGAGCCCAGGAGGTCAAAGCTGCAGTGAGCTGTGTTTGTGCCACTGCATTCCAGCCTGGGTGACAGAACAAGACCGTGTTTCAAAAAAAAAAAAGCAGGGGCTGGGTGCGGTGTGGCTCAAGCCTGTAATCCTAGCACTTTGGGAGGCTGAGGTGGGCCGAGGTCAGGAGTTTGAGATGAGCCTGACCAACATGATGAAACCCTGTCTCTACTAAAAATACAAAAATGAGCCAGGCGTGGTGGTGCGCCCCTGTAACCCCAGCTACTCAGGAGGCTGAAGCAGGAGAATTGCTTGAACCTGGGAGGTGGAGGTTGCGGTGAGCTGAGATCGTGCCATTGCACTACAGCCTGGGTGACATGCCTGGAGCCCCATGTACTTGGGAGGCTGAGGCAGGAGTATTGCTTGAACCCAGGAATTTGAGGCTGTAGTGTGCAATGATCATGCCTGTGAATGTACTCCAGCATGGGCAAAACAGCAAGACCTGGCCTCTAAAAGGAAAAATGATTTATTATTTATTTTTTGAGACAGAGTCTAGCTCTGTCACCCAGGCTGGAGTGAAGTGGCGTGATCTTGGCTCACTGCAACCTCCACCTCCCAGGTTCAAGTGATTCTCCTGTCTCAGCCTCCCCAGTAGCCGGAATTACAGGTGCGCACCACCAAGCTTGACTAATTTTTGTATTTTTAATAGAGACAGGGTTTCACCACATTGGCCAGGCTGGTCTTGAACTTCTGACCTCAAGTGATCTGCCTGCCTTGGCCACCCAAAGTGCTGGGATTATAGGCATGAGCCACCACACTCAGCCTAGGTTTTTTTTTTAATCAATTTTTTAAAAAATATCAATTCTACTAAAAGACTGCCACCTCACAGATTGAATACCAGGCCACCACACAGTATCTTAAGAGGCCAGGCTCCTCCCCCCTGTACAAGGCGCAAACTTCCCCTGCCTCCACCTCATTCTCCCAGTGTGCAGGTGGGTCCCCAGTCTGTTGCAGGCATGTGCAGACAAGACCCTGGGCAGATTCCCTTATCTGCAGAAAAGCATCTGATGTAAACACTTGTGGGGTTGGTTGGAGATTCTCCGGGGACCCTCCCTTATCTGCCTCCTGCGTCTATCACTAGCAGGACCTCGTATAATTTTTGTATGAATTAAGAAAGTAGGCCGGGCCTAGTGGTTCACATCTGTAATCCCAGCACTTTGGGAGGCCAGGGCAGGAGGATCGCTTGAGCCTGGAGTTCAAGACCAGCCTGGGCAACATGGTGAGACCTTGTCTCTACAAATAAACAATTAGCTGGGTGTGGTGGTGCGTGCCTGTTGTCCCAGCTACTTGGGAGGCTGAGGTGGCAGAATCGCTTGTGCCCCAGTGGTCAAGGTTGCAGTGAGTTGTGATCATGCCACAGCACTCTAGCCTGAGTGATAGCGCAAGACCCCGTCTGAAAAAAAAAAAAAATTAATATACCGGCAGAGTCCTCATACCAGGATTTCTCATTTTCCTACAATGTATAATATCAATAGTAGGCATCCTATGTAGCATTTTCTCTTCAACTATCAACAGTGAACATGACAAGGTGTTAGATCTCACACATGTTGTATGCTCTCCACTTCTGATCACTGTAGAATGAAAACAAATGTACTGTTCTAGGGATCAGTGTCCTTCAGTGATGTGGCTGTGGGCTTCACCCAGGAGGAGTGGCAGCATCTGGACTCTGCTCAGAGGACCCCGTACAGAGACATGATGCTGGAGAACTACAGCCTCCTCCTCTCAGTGGGTAAGGATTATGTAATTTGCAGCTTCAAATAACATTTATTTCCTTTTTAGCTGCTGATTACAGATGGTTTCTTTGTATGAATATGAGTTAAAGGCTTG
Organism: Homo sapiens; assembly: GCF_000001405.40. Lineage (NCBI taxonomy): Eukaryota > Metazoa > Chordata > Mammalia > Primates > Hominidae > Homo > Homo sapiens. The sequence continues at coordinate 43,475,946 of NC_000010.11, forward strand.
AGACTCAGGAGTTGAAGCTTGATTGATCCCTTCTGGGCACTGTAAAGAATATCTGTGGTGTTTTCTGTAATGAAATGCTCAAGTGGACCTATTTTTGTGCAGGCACACCTTTGTCCTCCGCAGGCTATCTGGCCCACGTCCTGTGTCATTTTCATTCACAGGATATTGCATTACCAAACCAGAGGTGGTTTGCAAGTTGGAGCATGGACAGGTGCTGTGGATATTAGAGGAAGAGTCCCCAAGTCAGAGCCACCTAGGTGAGTTAATAAATATATAGGAAGCTATAATCCCAGGGAGAAATTTGATCCTAGGGAGATACTTCACATATTGACATCTTTGAAATTTTTCAGAGATATGTTTTTAGAGTTACCAGAACTTTGGAAGTGACTAAGAAGAGTTGGCCTGCTTGCCTCAGATGTATATGTTATTACACACTAGCAGATAACAGCTAAATGGTCTTTGTTTTTTTCCAAAACTTAATCCTTGCCTCTCTCAGTTTAGTCAAATGAATGTCATTTGACTCTTCCTTCTATATCAATTTCAGTTATCTTCTTTTCATCATATATTATGTATTTATTCAATATGTATTAATTTGGCAGCTACGATGTTGGCATTTCCATCTGTGTTAGAGATATAGCTCTAACACCATGGCTGTGTTATGTTGGTAGAAGAGAATGAGATGTAGTGTGTGCTTTATGCAAGGGCCTTTTTGAAGTCAGTAGTTTAATAAACACAGATTTGAATTGTGTGTCAGTGGAATATTCTGGCCAGATGGTATACCCTGTGCTGTGAACCTTAGGCCACAGTGTCACGTGTGCAGGACAGCAGTGAGCCAGGCTGCGTGGAAGTCAAGGGGTGATGGGGAGCATGTGAGAGATGCTGTCAGAGAGACTGCTCGCTGAGGTGCCGATATATTCGGAAGTTGTAGCCAAAACAGAATTTGCTGCTAAATTGGATTATGGGTATAAGAAAAAGATAATAAGCATGATCTCAAAGGTTTTATGCTGAGGCACTGGCTGTGTGATGATACCATTAACTGGATGGGAGAAAATGGGGAGAAACAGTTTTGGGAAGAAATAAGAGATAGACACATAAATTTAAACAAATATTCTTTGTATAAAATAGTAATGATGCCCAGTTGGATATAAAACAATAAAAATAAAATACTGAAAAATGACCCAACATGTGAATCAGTTACCAGTTGATCTGAATTGTGTTCTAAAATCCTTTCTTTTTTTTTTCTTTTTCTTTCTTTATTTCTTTTTTTTTTTGAGACAGTCTCTCTCAGTCTCACAGGCTAGAGTGCAGTGGTGCAATCTTGGCTCAATGCAACCTCTGCCTCCCAGCTCAGAGATTCTCATACCTCAGCCTCCCTAGTAGTTGGGACCATAGGTGTGTATCACCACGCCTGACTAATTTTTGTATTTTTAGTAGAGATGGGGTTTTGCCATGTTGGCCAAGCTGGTCTCAAACTCCTGGCCTCAAGTGATCTGCCCCCCTTGGCCTCCCAAAGTGCTGGGATTACAGGTGTGAGCCACTGCGCCTGGCTTCTAAATTCCTTTCATTGTTAAGACGAAATAATGTTGCATTAAATATAAATGGTAACATGTAATGAGTAAATGCTAAAAGAAAGTAATACTTGTAACTTCTAAACTTTTAAAAAGAAGAAAATGGAAAAGAAAAAAATTAAATGTGTTGGATTAGACTGAAAAAAAAAAAAATGAGGTCGGGCTTGGTGGCTCAGGCCTGTAATCCCAGCACTTTGGGAGGCCGAGGCGGGTTGGTCACCTGAGGTCAGGAGTTCGAGACCAGCCTGACCAATATGGTGAAACGCCGTCTCTACTAAAAGTACAAAAATTAGCCGGGTGTGGTGGCGGATGCCTGTAATCCCAGCTATTCAGGAAGCTGAGGCAGGAGAAGCTTGAACTGGGGCAGCAGACGTTGGAGTGAGCAGAGATCGCACTATTGTACTTCAGCCTGGGTGACAAGAGCGAGACTCCATCTCGAAAAGAAAAAAAAAAAATGAAAAAGTGGGGAAAGGCAGGTAAAAATTAGAAAAACTGGAAACTCTTAAGTGAAAAAGAGAAAACCAATCCAGATATTTTAGAAATCATAATACAGTTAAAGGGGCTAAACCATCTTATTAAAAGATGGATATTGTCAAATTGGATTTTCAAAAACCAAGTTATATAGGCTCAGTGCAGTGGCTCACTGCTGTAATCCCAGCACTTCGGGAGACCAACCCAAGAGGATTGCTTGAGGTCAAGAGTTTGAGACCAGCCCAGGCAGCACAATGAGGACCCATCTGTACAAAAAATAAAAAATTAGGCCAGGCGCGGTGGCTCATGCCTAGAATCCCAGCACTTTGGAAGGCCAAGGCGTGTGGATCACCTGAGGTTGAGAGTTCGAGACCAGCCTGACCAACATGGAAAAACCCCTTCTCTACTAAAAATACAAAATTAGCCGGGCGTGGTGGCACATGCCTGTAATCCCGCTACTCGGGAGGCTGAGGCAGGAGAATCACTTGAACCCAGGAGGGGGAGGTTGTGGTAAGCTGAGATTGCGCCATTGCACTCCAGCTTGGGCAACGAGAGCGAAACTCTGTCTCAAAAATAAATAAAAAAAAAATTAGCCAGGCATGGTCATACACCAGTAGTCTCAGTTTTGGGAGGCTGAAGTGGGAGGATCGCTTGAGCCCAGGAGTTTGAAGCTGCAGTGAGCTATGATCATGCCACTGCATTCCAGTCTGGATGACAGAGTAAGAGCCTGTCTGTAAAAACAAAACAAAAATCAAGCTATATGGAGTTTGAGAATCATATATGAAATGTGAACATGAAACCTTAGAATATAAAAGGAATATAAATGATATATGGTCCAAATAATAAACAAAATAGAATGTTACCTCTCAGTGGACCCAAATTTAGCTTTTGAGTTTATTTTTGATGCAGTTCTTTTTTCTTTTTTCTTTTTTTTTTTAATGAGATGGAGTCTCGCTTTGTCTTCCAGGCTGGAGTGCAGTAGCCGATCTCTTTTGATCCTATCTCAAAAAAATTTTTTTTCTAACTTAGATAAACAAAGAGAAAATTTATATATATATATATTTGTGTGTGTGTGTGAATATATGTATGTATGTATGTGTGTATATATATATACACACATATATACACATATATATGTGTGTATATATATATATAAATTTGTACTGATGAGGTCTTGCTGTGTTGCTCAGACTGGTCTTGAACTCCTGACCTTAAGCAATTCTTCCACCTCTGCCTCCCAGAGTGCTGGTTTAGAGGCTTGATCCACTGTACCTGGCCTACTTTTATTTTTTAATTGAATGAAACTCATTCTGTTTTTGCTGTTATCATTTGAGTGAATTGGTCCCATTTATAATCTAAGAAGCATGATACTATTTTAGTGATCTATTTTTCTTAAGTTTGAAACATTTTGGTATGTTATTTCTTAGCAATTATTTCAACATTACTCATCAATTATGTCCAACTGTGGTAAAATAAACTAAAATAGAAAAGAATGATGGAATTGCTTGTAAGGATAATAGAATAGTAAAGAACACTGTCACTATTACATCATCCTTCAATTTTCTTATTGAGCTGCTTGAAGCATTACTTGTGACAAAAATATAAAAGAAGCCTGGAGAAACCTTATTTGTAGTTTCTTTCTTTTTTTTGTTGTTTTTATTTTATTTATTCATTTCATTTTGAGATGGAGTCTCACTCTGTTGCCCAGGCTGGACTGGAGTGGTGTGATCTCATCTCACTGCAACCTCCGCCTCTCGGGTTCAAGTGACTCTACTGCCTCAGCCACCCGAGTAGCTGGGACTACAGGCACCCACCACTGTGTCCTGGCTATTTTTTATTTTTTTGTATTGTTACTAGAGACGGGGTTTGCCGTGTTGGCAAGGCTGGTTTCAAACTCCTGACCTCAGGTGATCCTCCTGCCTCGGCCTCCCAAAGTGCTGGGATTACAGGTGTGAACCACTGCACCTGACTCTCTTTCTTTCTTTCTTTTCTTTCTTTCCTTCTTTCTTTCTTTCTTTCTTTCTTTCTTTCTTTCTTTCTTTCTTTCTTTCTTTCTTTCTTTTTCTTTCTTTCTTCCTTGCTTCCTTCCTTCCTTCCTTCTTTCTTTTCTTTTCTTTTCTTTTCTTTCTTTTCTTTTTTTTGAGATGGAGTCTTGCTCTCTTGCCCAGGCTGGAGTGCAGTGGCACAATCTAGGCTCACTGCAAGCTCCACCTCCCAGGTTCAAGCCATTCTCCTGCTGCAGCCTCCTGAGTAGCTGGGATTACAGGTGCGCACCACCACACCCAGCTCATTTTTGTATTTTGAGTAGAGACAGGGTTTCACCATGTTGGCCAGGCTGGTCTCGAGCTCCTGACCTCGTGATCCACCCCCATCAGCCTCCCAAAGTGCTGGGATTACAAGCGTGAGCCACCGCACCTGGCCACTTTTTATTATTATTTTTTTATTTTTTGAAATGGAGTCTTACTCTGTCACCCAGGCTGGAATGCAGTGGCATGATCTCGGCTCACTGCAACCTCTGCCTCACGGGTTCAAGCGATTCTCCTGCCTCAGCCTCCCGAGTAGCTGGGATTACAGATGCACACCACCACACCTGGCTAATTTTTGTATTTTTAGTAGAGATGGGGTTTTGCCATGTTGGCCAGGCTGGTCTGGAACGCTTGACTTCAGGTGATCCACCTTCCTTGGCCTTCCAAAGTGCTGGGATTACAGGCGTGAGCCACTGCGCCCACCTCTCTCTCTCTCTCTTTTTTTTTTTTAATAATTCAATGGGCACAGTTGAGAGTTCAGAGCTTTTATTTTCTTCCATTAATTGCAAAGAGTAGAAAATTGACAAGAGGAAGACTCTTCACAATTATTAGGCAAATCAGAAGATGAAGCAGAACCACTGTAGACTCTAATAATTACAGTATAATTGATCGCATAAGTGAAATCTCAGACTATGAGTTAGATGATGATATTCTAGATGAATAAAGGTATGCATATGATCCTGTTATAAGAACAGCCTGGGCCGGGTGCAGTGTCTCATGCCTGTAATCTCAGCACTTTGGGAGCCGAGGCAGGTGGATTTCTTGAGCCCAGGAGGTCAAGGCTGCAGTGAGCTGTGATGCTGCCACTGCATTACAGCCTGGGCAACAGGAGTTTGACACCAGCCTGAGTAACAAGGCAAAAAACTCCATCTCTACAAAAAATACAAAAAATTAGCCAGGCATGGTGGTACATACTTGTAATCCCATTTACTCGAGAAGCTGAGGTGGGAGCATCACCTGAGCCTGGGAGGTTGAGGCTGCAGTGAGCCATGATCACACCACTGCACAATCCAGCCTGGGTGACAGAGCCAGACACTGTGCCAAAAAAAAAAAGAAAAAAAAAGCATGTGAATATGTCTCTTTTTCATGAAAAATATGTTAACATTTATAATCTGTGATAACTTATTATTATTTCTAGACTGCTGCATAGATGATGACCTGATGGAGAAGAGACAGGAAAATCAAGACCAGCATTTGCAGAAAGTTGATTTTGTCAACAATAAAACACTGACTATGGACAGAAATGGTGTATTAGGAAAAACATTTTCTCTTGACACAAACCCCATTCTATCAAGAAAAATACGTGGCAACTGTGACTCATCTGGAATGAATTTGAATAATATTTCAGAATTAATTATTAGTAATAGAAGCTCCTTTGTAAGGAACCCTGCTGAGTGTAATGTACGTGGGAAATTTCTCCTCTGTATGAAGCGTGAGAATCCTTATGCCAGAGGGAAACCTTTGGAATATGATGGAAATGGGAAAGCCGTCTCTCAGAATGAGGACTTATTTAGGCATCAGTATATTCAAACTCTTAAGCAGTGTTTTGAATACAATCAGTGTGGGAAGGCTTTTCATGAAGAGGCAGCCTGCAGTACCCATAAGAGAGTGTGCTCATGGGAGACCCTGTGAATATAATGAACATGTGAGAGCCTTTTCCGATAGACCAATATTCATTGTTCATCAGAGAACTCACATAAGGAAGAGTCACCATGAATTCAATGAATGTGAGAGGAGGTCTGGTGAGAGGCCACCTGTAAATAAACACCACAGGGTTATGGAGATGAAATACTATGAGTGTAATGCGAGTGAGAATAGTTTTGGCAAGAAATCACTCCTCATTCTACAAAGTTACAGAGGAGAGAAAACTTGACTGTAGTAGACATTTGGAAGTATTCTGCAAGAAGCCAAATTTCACTCAACATCAAGAAACACATATAGGAAAGAATGCCTATAAAATTAATCAGTATGCTAGTACATTTTGCTGTAAGCCAAAGCATTCTGTATATCAGAAAACAGATACAGAAGAAAAACTCTATGAATGTAGTGAATGTGGGAAAACCTTCAGCCATAAATCCTCTTTTATCCTACAGCAGAGGATACACAGAGGAGAGAAACCCTATGAATGCACTGAATGTGGGAAAACTTTTGGATATAGGTCATGCCTTGCAGTACATCAAAGAACACACACGGGACAAAACCTATGAATGTAATGAATGTGGAAAAAACTTCTGTGAGAAGTCAAATCTTCATGTACATCAGAGAACACACACAGGAGAGAAACCCTATGGATGTAATGAATGTCAGAAAGCCTTTGGTGATAGGTCAGCTCTAAAAGTACATCAGAGAATACATACTGGCGAGAAACCCTATGAGTGTAAGGAATGTGGGAAAACTTTCTCCCAGAAGCCAAACTTCATTAATCATCAGTGAACTCACACAGGAGAGAGACCCTTTGAATGCAATGAATGTCAAAAATCCTTCTCTGTGAAGTCAAAACTTAGAGAACATCAGAGAATTCACACAGGGGAGAAACCCTATGAATGTAATGAATGTGAGAAAATGTTCTACCACAAGTCATCCCTCACAGTACATCAGAGAACCCACACAGGAGAGAAACCCTATGCATGTAGTGAATGTGGGAAAACCTTCTACCAGAAGTCATCCCTCACAACACATCAGAGAACACACACAAGGGAGCAACCCTATGAATATAATGAAAGCTTTTACCAGAATCCCAACTTCACTAAATGTCAGAGAGACAACATAGAGGAAACCCTTGTCAACATCCTGAAGGCTCAGAAACCTTCACCTTCTTGGACTCGTTCCATAGCAGAAACAACCCAGGTTGGGGTGAGAACACCCAATAAAGATGAGAAATCTTTTGCCTAGAAGTGATATTTCATTGAACAGCAAATAATTGATATTTTATCTTCTTTTCTTTTCTTTTCTTGTTGTTACTTTTTTGAGACAGAGTTTCGCTCTTATTGCCCAGGCTGGAGTGCAATGGCGTGATCTTGGCTCACCGCAACCTCTGTCTCCTGGATTCAAGCAATTCTCCTGCCTCAGCTTCCCAAGTAGCTGGGATTACAGGCATGCGCCACCATGCCCGGCTAATTTTGTATTTTTAGTAGAGACGGGGTTTCACCATGTTGGTCAGGCTGCTCTTGAACTCCCGACCTCAGGTGTCCACCCGCCTTGGCCTGCCAAAGTGTTGGGATTACAGCCACCATGCCCAGCCCTTCTTTTTTTTTTGAATCAGAATCTCACTCTGTTGCCCAGGCTGGAGTGCAGGTGCACAATCTCAGTTCACTGCAACCTCCTCCTCCCGGGTTCAAGTGATTCTTGTGCCTCAGCCTCCCAAGTAGCTGGGACTACAGGCATGTGTCACCATGCTCAGCTAATTTTTGTATTTTTTGTAAAGACAGATTTTCACTATGTTGGCCAGGGTGGTCTGGAACTCCTGACCTCAAGTGATCTGCCTGCCTTGGCCTCCCAAATTGCTGGGATTACAGGTGTGAACCACCATGCCTGACCAATAATTGATATTTTATTTTATTTTTATTTATTATCCTTTTTGAGATGGAGTCTCACTCTGTTGCCAAGGCTGGAGTGCAGTGGCATGATCTCGGCTCACTGCAACGTCCGCCTCCCTGCAACCTCCATCTCCTGGCTTCAAGTGATTCTTCTGCCTCAGCCTCCTGAGTAGCTGGGATTACAGGTGTGTGCCACCAGGCCCAGCTAATTTTTGTATTTTTAGTAGAGACAGGGTTTCGCCATGTTGGCGAGGCTGGTCTTGAACTCCTGACCTCAGGTGATCCACCTGCTTTGGCCCCCCAAAGTGCTGGGATTACAGGCATGAGCCACCACACCCGGCCTTTATTCTCACCTTAGAATCACAAGATGGTAGTGCAGGTAGAGTATACAGTATTTAACTATTTCTGCCTCATTTGAAAGATAAAATGTATGGAGCCTGAGAGAATCAATGAATTATTACAGGTCACTCCTTTGTTACTGATCAAGATAAGAATTTGGTCCAGGCGCGGTGGCTCACACCTGTAATCCCAGCACTCTGGGAGGCCAAGGCAGGTGGATCACCTGAGGTCAGGAGTTCGAGACCAGCCTGGCCAACATGGGGAAACCCTGTCTCTACTAAAATACAAAAAATTAGCTGGGCATGATGGTGGGCACCTATAATCTCAGCTACTCGAGAGGCTGAGGCAGGAGAACTGCTTGAACCTGGGAGGTGGAGGTTGCAGTGAGCCGAGATCATGCCACTGCATGCCAGCCTGGGCGACGGAGCAAGACTGTTTCAAAAAAAAAAAGTTTCGTGATTTCTTTATTCCTTTGCATAGCTGAAACAAGTCTTATCAAAAGATTGTGAAACTGTAATCAAATTAGAACAAATATTTAAAAAAATCTTGTACTGAAGCATTCATTCTATTTTTTAGAGTTTCTGTGAATTGTTCAACAATATTCCCAGTATTATATTCATAGGAAAACAGATAAACAGCACAACATGAGTGTTTCCTACCACATCAATTTTAATGAAGACACTTTCTATATTAGGATCCTGTCATTTATGAATTGTTTGTATTTTAAATTTTTTTGTGTCTTAGCGACATAAATTGTTAATCATTGGGATACATGTGTTTACTTTCACCCAGTGAAAAATTGCATGTCTAAGCTCAACACAATCTGGTCATAGAGATGTCTCCACATTGTTCAAATGGTCTCTTCTGTGTAGCATTTTAGGAAGTTGGATCCAGGAGCAGCAAGGCGGGCCAGATTTCTCCTAACTTTATTCTTACCTCCTCTTTCCCAGCATTACCTTTACTCTTCACATTTTTCCAAGATCAGTAGAAAATGAACAGATCCCAGGTGAGTTGTTTAGTTGTTATTATCAGCTTTATTTATAATGCAATGTATGAGGCTTTTAAGGCTCATTAGAATGGAAATATAGAAATCAACAGGAAAATAGACAATAGCAGACTGATAGCATGATTTAATACATAGGTAAGTACAAGTTTTATGGTCTTTCATAGTTATCAAAATTGAGCTGTAAATTTGAATCTTTTTGATAGCCATTGCACAATGCAGACATCTGTCACATGATTTACATTTCCATAAAGAAAAACCATATTGATTATGAATGGGGCATGAAGACTTCCTGGCAATGAGTCTAAAATTGTTCTCTTTTTGCACTCTGTATGGGCGATGAAGTGTACAACCTTCCAATAACTTAGAAATTCAACCTCTTTCAGTAGTTCTTCAGTGGGAACAAAGGACTCAAGAGCTATGAGAAAACTCAGTGAATATAGGTTTTCAGAGAATCAAAATATTGTAGTCTAGTGTGGTATGTAGATTAGTAGAGTAACCACTAGCCATATGTGGATATTGAAATATAATTAAAATATATTTCATAAGTCACATAGTAACATTTTAAGTGCTTAGTTGCCACATGTGGCTAGTGGCTACCAAATTGGACAGCACTGCTCTAGGCCATTTTCTGGTGTTGCTGCTTGATACAGGGATAAAATGTAGAGTATCTGGAGGAAGAAATCAAGTGCATCTTCAGACTATTTCAGTAAATCATTTTTTTTCCCCATTTAGGCTGTATTTATGGGGTAGTATAGACAGTTCGCAGTTACACTCTCTGGCATTTGTGCCTGTAATTCTATTTCACATTTCAGACCTTTCTTTTCTGAACAAACCAGAAGAGGTAAAGGAACTGAGAAAGTGTGATTAATGGTATAAATTGAAATGGATATGTTATGTTCCAACATTAATATAATAGTTGATAAACCAAGATTCAGAGCAAAACCAAAATACACACATTACAAAAAATATGAATGGCTGAATTTCTTATCCAAGACAGACTATTATACTGGTTTAAAAAACCAAAATGCAGCCATATTGTTTCTTAAAAACATGCTTTTAAGAAATCTAAAAGCCTGGGCAGGGTGGCTCACACCTGTAATCCCAGCACTTTGGGAGGCCGAGGAGGGTGCGGATCACCTGAGGTTGGGAGTTCGAGACCAGCCTGACCAACATGGAAAAACTTCGTCTCCACTAAAAATACAAAATTAGCCTGGCTTGGTGGTGCATGCTTGTAATCCCAGCTACTCGGGAGGCTGAGGCAGGAGAATCGCTTGAACCTGGGAGGCGGAGGTTGCGGTGAGCCGAGATTGCGCCATTGCACTACAGCCTGGGCAACAAGAGTGAAACTCCTTCTCAAAAAAAAAAAAAGTCTAAAAGAGATGAAGGAAGGAAAGCAAAGAAATGGGCAAAATATTTTTGGCAAAAGCAATTAAAAGGCAAATAAGAGCACCTTTATTTATATCAAAGTGGAACTTGTACCCGTAATGGTATGAAAATAGATATCACACAATGGTAAATAGCAAAATTAGGCAAGAGGATAAAAGCCATCTTTTTATATAGCCAAATACAAAAGCAGCTGCTACCTTGGTTATAGAAAACTATTAAGAGAGGCAAGAAACCTCTTTCAGCTTATGACAGATCAAAGAGATTAAAAATAAGGAAAGATAGCCAGCTAGCCTGTATTCTACCCAATGGAATATTTTACTCTTCAAGGAAAAATTGCAAAGATTGAAGAGATAATCATACCTAAAATTCAGTGGTATTTATTCTGTGTCAGATGGTTTTCTAAATATCTTAAACTTATAAAATCTAATCTCAACAACAAACGTGTAACATAGATATCATTGTTTTCCCAAAATAAAACTGAAGTAAAAAGATTAAGTGCCATGCCTATTATGGGATCTAGGTCAACAAATTTTTCATCACTCATTTTTCATCATTAGATCATATTCTAGTCACTAAGAATTTTTTTTTTTTTTTTTTTTTGAAGCAGAGTCTTGCTCTATCACCCAGGCTGGAGTGCAGTGGCACGATCTCAGCTCACTGCAACCTCCGCCTTCCAGGATCAAGCGATTCTCCTGCCTCAGCCTCCTGATTAGTTGGGATTACAGACGCGTGCGACCATGCCTGGCTAATTTTTTGTGTTTTTAAATGAGATGGGGTTCCATCGTATTAGCCAGGATGGTCTCGATTTCCTGACCTCGTGATCTGCCTGCCTCCGCCTCCCAAAGTGCTGGGATTACAGGCGTGAGCCACCGTGCCCGGCCCAGAAACATTTTTTTCTTTTTTTTTTTTGAGATGGAGTTTTGCTCTTGTTGCCCAGGCTGGAGTGCAATGGCGCAATCTCCGCTCACTGCAGACTCCGCCTCCCGGGTTCAGGAAATTCGCCTGCCTCAGCCTTCGGAGTAGCTGGGATTACAGGCATGTGCCACCACGCCTGGCTAATTTTTTGTATTTTTAGTAGAGATGAGGGTTTCACTGTGTTAGCCAGGATGGTGTCCATCTTCCGACTTCAGGTGATCCCCCAGCCTGGGCCTCCCAAAGTACTGGGATTACAGGCGTGAGTCACTGTGCCCGGCCCGAACATTTTTAATACTAAAAAGTAGAAATTTGTTAGAAGTAGAATTTTGAGGCCGGGCGCAGTGGCCCTCACCTGTATTCCCAGCATTTTGGGAGGCCGAGGTGGGTGGATCACCTGAGGTCAGGAGTTCGAGACCAGCCTGGCCAACTTGGCAAAACTCCGCCTCTACCAAAATACAAAAAAAAAAAAAAAAAAAAAAAAAAATTAGCCGGGCATGGTGGCAGGCGCCTGTAGTCCCAACTACTCAGGCTGAGGCAGGAGAATTGCTTAAACAGGGAGGCGGAGTTTGGAGTGAGCCAAGATGGCTCCACTGCACTCCAGCCTGGGTGATAGAGCAAGACCCTGTCTCAAAAAAAAAAAGAATTTCAAGATATTACATCCTTAATTGTGAGCTTTAAAACTAAATAGATAAATTACTTATGATATATAATCATAAAAGAAATCATCCCTTAAATAAAACTTTGGACTTAAGATAAATATCAAAATCCAAATTATTAATTATCTGGAATAAATTGTAAGGAGAATACATGACAACTTTAGGGCAACAAGTAAATTTATTGCAGAATAGTGTAACTTATTTTTAAAACTAAACTGAAAATAATTATGAATTATATATTTGCTCAAAGAAACTGGAAAAAAAGCAAAGCAGGACAAGGTTAGGATAAAATCATGAATATAATTAAAACATAATAAGGAGCAAAGCTAAGTGTAAAACTAAAAGCAGTTTGTTGCAACTGGTCATAAAAGTGATTAAATCTAAAGCTGGCATTAATAAGGAAGCAAGGTAATAAAACAAAAATATAAACAGCTTTGAGAAAGTACACCTAATAACAAAATCTTGTAACACAACAAATGAAAATCACAAAAAATATAGGGAGACTACATCGAGGATTATACCAACGAATAAATACAGGATGTTCTATTAGAATATCCTCTCCATGAAAGTAGTAATTTTGTTCACAACAATCTTTCCAACACTGTAGCAGCACATGCTCAATATATATTCACTGAATAAATGACTGACCAAGTAGGGTTTATATCAAAGAAAGTATGGCTACTTCAACAATAAGAAACTTACTGGAGGCCAGGAGTGGTGGCTTACTCCTGTTATCCCAGCACTTTGGGAGGATGAGGTGAGAGGATCGCTTGAGGCCAGGAGTTTGAGACCAGCCTGGGCAATATGGCAAAATCCTGTCTCTACAAAAAAAAAATATGAAAAAATTAGCTGGGTATGGTGGCCTATGCGTGTAGTCCTGGCTACTCGGAAGAATCACCTGAGCCCAGGAGGTCAATGGTGTGGTGAACAGTGATCACGCCAGCCCAGGCAACAGAGACAGACCCTGGCTCAAAAAGAAAAACCAAAACAAAAACACTCCCCAACTTCTTGGAGATACTACATCAACATATTTAACTTGAATACAGAATTATATGAAAGTCACTAGGCTGGGTGCAGTGGCTCATGCCAAGGAAGGAGGATTGCTTGAGGCCAGGAGTTCAAGACCAACCTGGCCAACATAGAAAGACTCCATTTCTAAAAAAGTGAAAAAAATTTAAAAAGTCACTAGCTAACAGGTAATTAGATACACATTTATTTATTTATTTATTTTTATTTATTTTTTGAGATGGAGTCTCGCTCTGTCGCCCTGGCTGGAGTGCAATAATGTGATCTCGGCTCACTGCAACCTCCACCTCCTGGGTTCAAGCAATTCTCATGTCTCAGGCTCCTGAGTAGCTGAGTTTATAGGCGCCGGCCACCAAGCCTGGCTAATTTTTGTATTTTTAGTAGAGACGGGGTTTTACCATGTTGGCCAAGCTGATCTCGAACTCCTGACCCCAGGTAATCTTCCTGCCTCCGCCTCCCAAAGTGTTGGGATTACAGGCGTGAGCCACCACACCTGGCCTAGATACAAATGTTAAACATGTTAGCCAATAACAAGTTCCAAGTAGAAATGGAAGAAAAATGGGAATACTTGTAATGTCAAAAATGATAAATTAGGCAAAAATTTAGTTTCACTGAGAAAGGTACATTGGAGCAAAGTCCTGAAGGAAGAATCATAAAAAATACTAAATCCAATAGAAGGCTTAAAAAGAGAAAAAAGATCAAAGAACAGCTGGAACAAGAAGAAAAATAGAAACAAATAAGTTATAGACTTAAACAGTCACATCAGTATTCACGTTACATACAAATGCCCCAAATATCCAAAGGCAGATGTTGCCAAATTGGATTTTAAAAAAAGCAATGCCCATTTATATACTATAGACAAGAAACTCATATTAATATAAAGACAGAAATAGCTTAAAAGTAGAAGGATTGAGGCCGGCGTGGTGGCTCATGCCTATAATCCCAGCACTTTGAGAGGCCGAAGGCGGGTGGATCGCCTGAGGTCAGGAGTTTGAGATGATCCTGGGCAACATGGTGAAACCCCATCTCTACTAAAAATACAAAAAGGGGTAGCCAGTGTGGTGGCAGGTGCCTGTAATCCCAGCTACTCGGGAGGCTGAGGCAGGAGAATTGCTTGGCCTGCTGAGCTGGAGGTTGCAGTGAGCTGAGATCGTGCCACTGTACTCCAGCCTGGGCAACAGACCAAGACCCTGCCTCAAACAAAACAAAACAAACAAAAAGAAAATAAATAAAACAAACAAACAGATTTTCTCCCATTTCTTCTTGTGATTTTCCCCCCATATTCAGTTGTTTTGCTTATCTTAGTTCTTACTGTTATAGCCTGAGTTTTCCTGAAGTAGCTCTACTTTTTTTTTTTTTTTTTTTTTTTTTTGAGATGGAGTTTTGCTCTTGTTGCACGGGCTGGAGTGCAATGGCACAATCTTGGCTCACTGCAACCTCCACCTTCTGGGTTCAAGCTGTTCTCCTGCCTCAGCCTCCCAAGTAGCTGGGATTACAGGTGCCCGCCACCACGCCTGGCTAATTTTTTTTTTTTTTTGAGATGGAATTTCACTCTTGTTGCCCAGGCTGGAGTGCAATGGCATGATCTCGGCTCACCACAACCTCTGCCTCCCAGGTTCAAGCTATTCCCCTGCCTCAGCCTCCTGAGTAGCTGGGATTACAGGCATGCACCTCTATGCTTGACTAATTTTGTATTTTTAGTAGAGATGGGGTTTCTCCATGTTGGTCAGGCTGGTCTCGAACTCCCAACCTCAGGTGATTTCCCCGCCTCAGACTCCCAAAGTGCTGGGATTACAGGCATGAGCCACCATGCCTGGCCTTTTTTTTTCTTTTTTTTTTTTTGAGACAGAGTCTCACTCTGTCTCCTGGGGGCATGATCTCGGCTCACTGCTACCTCTGCCTCGCAGGTTCAAGCGATTCTCCTGCCTCAGCCTCCTGAGTAGCTGGGACTACAGACATGTGCCACTATGCCTGGCTAATTTTTAATTTTTGTATTTTTAGTAGAGACGGGGTTTCACCATGTTGGTTAGGATGGTCTCAAACTCCTCACCTTAGGTGATTCACCCGCCTCAGCCTCCCAAAGTACTGGGATTACAGGCCTCTACTTCGTTTTTTATTCATTTTCCATAAGTGAATAACTCTATGTTTAGTGCAGGTTGCTAATTTTATTGTTGTTTCAGAGAATTTTATTCTTATTCTTTGTGTCCTGTTCTCCAGGTACCTGTGTGGGTTCCCTCAGACCTGGCCCCAGTACTTTTGCCTTTCCTTGGGAGCCATCTGATTCACTGCTGGTTTCAGCAGCCACCAACATGCCAGTGACTCCGCAGTCCTCAGCTTCATTACGGGCTTCCCTTCTGAGCTCCAGAACCACTCATCCAGCTCCCTCCTGAAGATCCCTGCCTGCCCGTTCCACAGACACTTCGAGCACAACATGTCCGAGACCCCTCTAGCCCTTACCTTTTGCCCAGCCTCTTTCTTTGCACTTCCCAGTCTTTGCAAATGGCACCTGGATTTACCTGGAGGCTCATAAAGAAACTCTGGGAGATAATTTCCCCATCTTTCTTTTGCACCATGAATTTGGGACCAATATCTCTTAATGTCTTATTTTGTAGGATCAATTCTTCTTTCCAGGAGTTAGCTAACGTCTTTTGTAAAGAGCCAGATAGCGAATATTTTATGCTTTGTGGACCAAGAAATAAAATCAAGGATATATGTAGGACTTATTGAGCAAGAGACAGAAGAAATTTACACAATTTTTGTTTTGTTTTGTTTTATTTTGTTTGTTTGTTTTGATATGAGGTCTTTGGCCTCACTCTGTTGCCAGGCTGAAGTGCAATGGTGTGATCACGGCTCACTGCAGCCTAGACCTCCTAGGCTCAAGTGATTCTTCCACGTCAGCCTCCTGAGTAGCTGGGACCACACAGCCACCACGCTGCCACATCCCGCCATGAGCTGCTAATTTAAAAAATTTCTGTGAAGATGGGGTTTTGCCACATTGCCCAGGCTACCGCCAGTTTTTGTTGATGAAATTCAAAATATAATCATGATTGTGTTATAGTGTTTTGCAATACAGGTCTACTAATGAGAAAAGTGGAATTCTTTTGGGGTGGTTAACATTTTGCTTAATTGAGGTTCTTTGTTACTATTCTATGTCATCAAAATCTATTGCAAATCATCATCTGCTAATGTTGAATTGTAATGAGCTTTCACATATTTCATCTTTGAAAATGTGTTTCACATAGGTACTACCAGTTACTGATATCAGTCCACAAACATGATTTTATTTTATTATTTTATTTTATTTTATTTTATTTTGAGATGGAGTCTCGCTCTATCGCCCAGGCTGGAGTGTAGTGGCATGATCTCGGCTCACTGCAAGCTCCACCTCCTGAGTTCACGCCATTCTCCTGCCTCAGCCTCCCAAGTAGCTGGGACTACAAGCGCCCGCCACCACGCCCGGCTAATTTTTTTGTATTTTTTAGTAGAGACTGGGTTTCACCATGTTAGCCAGAATGATTTCGATTTCCTGACCTCGTGATCCGCCGGCCTCGGCCTCCCAAAGTCATGATTTTATTTTTTAAAAATAAATTTAATGTGTATTTTTGAGGCTTACAACATGTTATGGGATATGTATAGATAGTAAAGTGTTTAGTGAAGCAGATTAATGGATCTGTCATCTCACATAGTTGCTTTTGTTGTGACAAGAGCAGCTACAGTTTACTTAATAAAAATCTCTAATAGAATTTTACTAATTTTAGTCCTTATGTTGTACATTAGAACTCTAAAGGTGTTCAGGCCAGGCGTGGTGGCTCATGCCTGTAATCCCAGCACTTTTGGAGGCCGAGGCAGGTGGATCACCTGAGGTCAGCAGTTTGAGACCAGCCTGACCAACATGGAGAAACCCCGTCTCTACCAAAGATACAAAATTAGCTGGGTGTGGTGTCGCATGCCTGTAATCCCAGCTACTCAGGTGGCTGAGGCAGGAGAATTCCTTGAACCTGGGAGGCGGAGGTTGCGGTGAGCTGAGATTGCTCCATTGCACTCCAGCCGAGGCAACAAGAGCGAAACTCCTTCTCAAAAACAAACAAACAAACAACAACAACAACAAAACTCTAGTGGTGTTCATCCTACATATTTAAAAGTTTGTATCCTTTGACCTACATTTCCGCATTTCCTTTACCACCCCTCCAACACCTGTGGAAACCACTGCTTTATTCTCTGTCTTTGTATTTGAACTCTTTCTAAAAATATGGCTAACAACCTGGCGTGATGGCTCACACCTGTAATCCCAGCACTTTGGGAAGCCGAAGAGGGTGGATTGCCTGAGACTAGGAGTTCAGATCAGCCTGGGCGACATGGCGAAACCCTGTCTCTACAAACAGTAAAAATATCCAGGTGTGGTGATGCATGCTCGTAGTCCCAGCTACTTGGGAGGTTGAAGTGGGAGGATCACTTGAGCCTGGGAGGTCGAGGCTGCAGTGAGCCATGATTGTGCCACTGGACAGCCTGGGAGACAGAGCAAGACCCTTCCTCAAAAAAAGAAAAAAAAAAAAAAATATATATATATATATATATATATATATATGGCTTCCAAATAAGCTGTGATGAAATATTCCAGCTAATTAGATAAGAAAACTACCCACACTCCGCTGTGCCTTAAAAATCTGACACTCAAAGCCCATTTCTCTTGTTTTGACGTGATATGCACTGGTAATAAAAAGCTAAAATAGGCCAGGCGCGTTGGCTCATGCCTGTAATCCCAGTCCTTTGGGAGGCTAAGGCAGGAGAATGGCTTGAACCTGGGAGGCAGAGGTTGTAGTCAGCCAATATTGCGCCACTGCACTCCAGCTTAGGCGGCAGAACAAGACTCCATCTCTAAAAAAAAAAAAAAAAAACTAAAATAAAATGTCACAAGATGGCATTAGGCTTGGCACTTGAAATGCAGCGAAGTTATAACTGAATCCATGTCTTGTGATTTGTAGTGTGCTGGGCAGCAGTGAGAGTGCCACATACAGTCTGTGGTGACTACTTGTCCCTGCTGTTGTGTGAAAGCAGCTTAGACAATACACAAACACACAAGCTTGTGTTCTTATAAAATTTTATTTATGGACACTGAAATTTGAATTTTGTATAATTTTTACATATATGTGTCCCAAAATATTCTTTTGATTTTTTCCTAACCATTGGAAAATGTAAAAAATGTAACAACCATTCCTGGTTCCTGTACAGAATGGGGCAGGCCAGATTTGGCTGTGAATTGCTTGCCAACTCCTGCCGGTTCTTACACCTGAATGTGGGTGGTCATCCTGCCCTCTGGTCTTTGCCTTGCATTTCCTCTTAAGCTCTTCTCCACTCTTCTTAAAATCACTGCCCCTAAGATGCAAACCTGGACATCTAACTCTAGTGCTTACTTCACCTCTTTATTGGCTCCCTGTTACCCACAGCTGTGATCTTGAAGTGGTGGGTTCGAGATATACCTTAGGGAGTGCTTAAGAAAATCAGTACACTTGAGGCTGGGCGTGAGGCTCACACCTGTAAGCCCAGCACTTGAGGTCAGGAGTTTGAGACCAGCCTGGCCAACATGGTGAAACCCTGTCTCTACTAAAAATACAAAAAAAAAAAAAAAAAAAAAAAAAGCTGGGCATGGTAGTGCGCGCCTGTAATGTCATCTACTCAGGAGGCTGAGGCAGGAGAATCACTTGGACCTGGGAGGCAGAGGTTGCAGTGAGCCGAGATCACACCACTGCACTCCAGCCTGGGCAGCAGAGTGAGACTCCATCTCAAAAAAAAAAAAAAATCAGCACGCTGGAAGAAAATACTAGCCTAGCTGTTTACATTATTTACACTCACAAAAAAGAAACTTTATAGTACATATGTTTAACTTATGATAAAATATTTAGGGAAAGGAATTTATCCCAAATTACTTATAATCATCTAGCTCTTGATTTTGCTTCTGCATCTGTATCTTAATATAGCTCTATCCTTTCACCAACAAACAGTACTATTTGTAGTTCTATTAACCTGCCCTGTGTTTTCAGTGTCCCCAGGCTTTTTTTTTTTTTTTTGCTTTGTCTTTGGCCCATAATACATTGTTATTATTATTATTAGAGACGGAGTCTTGCTCTGTCTCCCAGTTTGGAGTACAATGGCATGATCTCGGCTCACTGCAACCTCCGCCTCCCAGGTTCAAGCGATTCTCCCACCTCAGCCTCCTGAGTAGCTGGGATTACAGGTGTATGCCGCCACACCCAGCTAATTTTTGTAGTTTTAGTAGAGATGGGGTTTCACCATGTTGGCCAGGCTGGTCTTCAGTTCCTGGCCTCAGGTGATTTGCCCGCCTGGGGCTCTCAATGTGTTGGGATTACAGGTGTGAGCCACCGCACCCAGCCCCATGATACATTATTGATGTGTGAGGACTCAATGCGTTAATTTCTTAAGGTAGCAAAACAGAATTGAACACTTTCCCGGGTGTGGCCATTACCTTTTAGATTCTTCTTGCATTTCTTCTGCAAAACCTTATTGCAGGCATATTTTTTAACTATGTCTTTCAATGATATAATTAACCCTTTGAGAGCAGTGTTTTAAAGTATTAATTTTTATATCCCCAGAACATAAGACAGTTCCAGCACATTGGGGAACTTTAGATTTTTTTCCCACAAATCAATAAATTAATACATGGTTAAGGTACTTTTGTGATTTGTTCTCCCACAGGATATAATGCCAAATAAAGGACAGAGTAGGTATGCTGTGTGACATTTTTTCTTTGAGTATCAATAGTGAACATGACAAGATATTAGATCCCAAACATTGCATAGTGTTTGTTGTAGTCACTGTAAAATGAACACAGATGTACTTTTTCAGGGATCAGTGTCGCTCAAGGACGTGACTGTGGACTTCACCCAGGAGGAGTGGTAGCATCTGGGCCCTATTGAGAGGACCCTGTACATGAATGTAATGCTGGAGAACTACAGCCTCCTCATCTCAGTGGGTAAGGATTGCGTTTTATATACTTCAAATAGCATTCATTTCTTTTTTAGCAGTTGATATACGTGATCCTTTATAGAGATGAATTATTTTTTAGGGTTGAAATTTAGGGTTCAAAGGAGACCCTGGGCTGTAGGTATAAGGTGACCTTTTTTGGTCACTGGAAACTTTTTTCCCCTCTCCTAGTGAAAAGCTTAAGTGGAACTATTGACTACAGCTCCTAAAACTGCACCTTTTTCTTCAGAAGGCTTGAAGCTATAAGCCTGGCTGAGTCCTAAGTCATTTCTCATTCACAGGGTATTGCATTAGCAAGCCAAAGGTGGTCTTCAAGTTGCAGCAAGGAGAGGAGGCATGGATATTAGAGGAAGAGTCCTCAAGCCAAAGCCACTTTGGTGAGTAGTGAGTACCTACCCACTGTAAGCCTAGTGAGATTGGTCCCTGTCCATTCAGGTGTCTGCTCTTTGCTATTTTAAAGGAATTTTATATTTCATTTCATTTATTTATTTATTTTTTGGGTTACAAACAACTGAAATTTATTTCTCCCAGTTTTGGGGGCTAGAAGTCCAAGACCAGGGTGCTAGCATGCTAGCATGGTCAGGTTCTGGTGAGGGCCCTCTTCCAGGTTGCAGACTGCCAATGTCACGTTACATCCTCACATAGTGGAGAGAGAGAGCTAGAGAGCTCTTTGGGGGTCTTTTTTTAAGACTTTTATTTTAGGTTCAGTGGGGTACATGTGAAGGTTTGTTTACATAGGTAAACTCATGTCATGGGGGAGTTTTATTTTTTAGAGGCACCACTGTAAAAGTGGCCTAGAATAATCGGTCTGTTTTCCTTAATAAATATAATACACTTCCAAGTAATGACCTCATAGCTGAGTGTTCTTGGGTTTTCACTTGAATTTTTTAGACAGAGTTATTATTCTCAGCATTTACAAAAATCTAATTCTTGCCTATCTCATTTTAGATCTTTTTCTTATTTATTCCCTTTCTATTGTCTTATTTTAATTGTGTATCATTTATTCATTCAACAAGTATGAAGTTTTTTATTAATTTACATGCCAGTTAGGTTTACAGCTGGGGATAGACCTGTGGAAAATATAATGATCCTACTGTGAGGAAGTTTATACTTTTGTTTTGGAGGAGACTAAAATGTGGTGTGATATTTTAGCAAATGTTTTTAAACCCCTTTGGGGTCAAAATCAGAACACAAATTTTAATGATGTGAGGGAGAATGTGAGCCGTGTAGTTTCTGAATATTCTAGGCATTGGAGGATTTTGAGCAAAGAAGTGACAGGATCTGACTCACCTCTCTCTGGCTTTCATGAAGAGAACATGCCAGCTGAGGGGTGGCAGATTGGGGAGCAGGCAGCAGTAAATCCTGCAATGGCCCACAACAGTGATGGCGCCTGCACTAGCTCAGTAGAGTTAGGGAGGTCATGTGAAGGGTTTTATTTCTGGATGTTTGTTGAAGGTGTTCCCCAAACAGGATTTGTTAGATTGGTTTTGGAGTACAAGAAAAAGTGGTGTTTGATACATAAGAGATATATAGGCTGGGCGCGGTGGCTCACGCCTGTAATCCTAGCACTTTGGGAGGCCGAGGCGGGAAGATCATGAGGTCAGGAGATCGAGACCATCCTGGCCAACACGGTGAAACCCCATCTCTACTAAAAATACAAAAAATTAGCTGGGCGTGGTGTCAGGCGCCTGTAGTCCCAGCTATTCCGGAGGCTGAGGCAGGAGAATGGCGTGAACCCGGGAGGCAGAGCTTGCAGCGAGCCGAGATTGCGCCACTGCCCTCCAGCCTGGGCGACAGAGCGAGACTCCGTCTCAAAAAAAAAGAAAAAAGATATATATATATATATATGTATATGGAGAGAGAGAGAGAGAGACATCTCTTGTGTCACACAGCATACCTACTCTGTCCTGTATTTGGTATTTTATATATATATATATATATATATATTTTTTTTTTTTTTCTTTTTTTTTTTTTTTTTTTTTTTTTTTTTTTGAGATGGAGTCTCACTCTGTTGCCCAGGCTGGAGTGCAGTGGCATGATCTCGGCTCACTGCAACTTCTGCCTCTCGGATTCAGCATACCTACTCTGTCTTGTATTTGGTATTTTATATATATATATATATTTTTTTCTTTTTTCTTTTTTTTTTTGAGATGGAGTCTCTGTTGCCCAGGCTGGAGTGCAGTGGCATGATCTCGGCTCACTGCAACTTCCGCCTCCCGGGTTCAAGTGATCCTCCTGCCTCAGCCTCCCAAGTAGTTGGGATTATAGCTGTGTTGCCACCATGCCGGCTAATTTTTGTATTTTTAGTAGAGACGGGGTTTCGCCACAGTGGCCAGGCTGGTCACGAACTCCTGACTCAAGTGATCTGCCCACCTCGGCCTCCCAAAGTGCTAGGAATACATGCGTGAGCCACCGTGCCCAGTCCATAGAGCTATAATTTATTGAGTTGGCGAAAAATGGGATGCAATAGTGCTGAGAGGAAATTGATAAGAATGTAGGTAAATCTAGGCTGGGCGCAGTGGCTCACGCCTGTAATCCCAGCACTTTGGGAGGCCTAGGCGGGTGGATCACGAGGTCAGGAGATTGAGACCATCCTGGCTAACATGGAGAAACCCTGTCTCTACTAAAAATACAAAAAATTAGCCGGGCGTAGTGGCGGGCGCCTGTAGTCCCAGCAACTCGGGAGGTTGAGGCAGGAGAATGGCGTGAACCTGGGAGGTGGAGCTTGTAGTGAGCCGAGATCGCGCCACTGCACTCTAGCCTGGGCAACACAGCGAGACTCCGTCTCAAAAAAAAAAAAAAAAGATTGTAGGTAAATCTAAACAAACATTTCTTTGGTGAGTAATACTTGTTGCGTGTAAAAAGGACAAACACATAATACTGAAAAATAGCACATAGGTCAGTTAGCAGTTAGACTTCTGTTCTAAAATGTTTGTTTTTCCGAAGACACGTTAAGAAATATGCATGGTAAAATTTAATGAACAAATGCTAAAATAAGCAAAACACTATCACTTTCAAACCTGCAAATGAGAGAAAGTGGAAAATTAAAACCAACCATTGTAAACAAATTGAATCAGACCCAAAAAGGGTAATAAAGTATTGGAGAGTAAAGAGTGGAAAGTGTGGAACACCTAAAAGCTGCACCCCTGACCAAAAAAATAAAGAAACGGCCAGATATTTTAATAATTACAGGAAGTGAAAATTGACTAAATTCTCCTGATAAAAGACAAAGATAAGTTGGATTTTGAGGGTTTTTTTTGTTATTTTATTTTATTTGTTTGGAGACAGAGTCCTACTCTGATGCCCAGGCTGGAGTGCAGTGGTGTGATCACAGCTCACTCAAGCCTTGACCTTCTAGGCTCAAGCGATCTGCCCACCTCAGCCTCCCAGAAATTCGAGACTAGCCTGGGCACACGGCAAAACCCCATTTCTATAAAAAATACAAAAATTAGCCAGGCAAAGTGCCATGCATCTGTAGCCCCATCTACTTGTGAGGCTGAGGTGGAAGGATCTCGTGAGCCTGGGCAGTCAAGGCCGCAGTGAGCGGAGGTTGCACTGTCACACTCCAACTTGGGTGATGGAGTGAGACCCTGTCTCAAAAAAAAAAAGAAAAAGAAAAAAATTGTCTGCAGACAGATGATTAAAAATACTCTGAGTATATAGCAAGTTGGCAAAT
Organism: Homo sapiens; assembly: GCF_000001405.40. NCBI lineage: Eukaryota > Metazoa > Chordata > Mammalia > Primates > Hominidae > Homo > Homo sapiens. Next base: position 43,499,830 of record NC_000010.11, read on the forward strand.
GTAAGATCAATGTATATAATCTGTTGTCTTTCTAAGCACCAGTCATCTATTTCATTTTATTTTATTTTATTTTTGAGACAGTCTCACTCTGTCGCCCATGCTGGAGTGCAATGGTGCGGTCTCGGTTCACTGCAACCTCCGCCTCCCAGGTTCAAGTGATTCTCCTGCCTCAGCCTCCTGAGTAGCTGGGATTACAGGCATGCACCACCACACCTGGCTAATTTTTGTATTTTTAGTAAAGATGGGATTTCACCAGGCTGATCTTGAACTCCTGACCTCAGGTGATCCGCCTGCCTCGGCCTCCCAAAGTGCTGGGATTACAGGCATGAGCCACCATGCCTGGCTTCATCTTTATATTTTTTTAGAGGCAAGGTCTCACTATGTTGCCCAGGCTGGTCTTGAACTCCTGAGCTCAAGTGATCCTTTCACCTAGCCCTTCCAAAGTGCTAGGATTACAGGCATGAGCCACCACGCCTGGCCACACCAGTCATCTTTAGAAAACATGATTCAGGTTTGAGTGCAGGAGATCAAGGCTGTAGTGAGCTATGATCATACCACTGCACTCCAGTCTGGGTGACAGAGTGAGACCCTGTCTCAAAAAAACAAACAAAAAACAACCCCCCACCCCTGGCTCCAATTCAAAGAATTTAAACCATTTGCAATAACAAGGCCTTTATTTTTAATTTTTTTGAGACAGGATCTTGCTCAGTCACCGAGGCTGGAGTGCAGTGGTGCAATCTCAGCTCACCGCAACCTCTGCCTCCCGGGCTCAGCTGATTCTCCCACCTCAGCCTCCTGAGTAGCTGGGACCACAGGCGCACACCACCATGCCCAGCTAATTTTTTTTTTTTTTGTATTTTTGTGGAGATGGGGTTTCTTCTTGTTGCCAGGCTGGTCCTGAACTTCTGGACTCAAGCGATTCTCTCACCTTGGACTCCCAAAGTGTTGGAAATACAGACATGAGCCACTGGGCCTGGTCAGCAAGGCCTTTAATGGAGAAAACAAGAAAAGTATATTGAAAAGCATTAAAGGAAACATAAATATGGAGATAGGGAACACCTAATAATATCTTGAAATTGTCACGCTCTCTAAATTTACCTGTAGATTCAGCATACAGTTATGCCTTGCTTAGTGACAAGGATACACTCTGGGACATGTTAGGCAACTTCATTGCTGTGCAAACATCATAGAGTGTGTACTTACACAAACCTAGATGGTATAGCCTACCACACATCTAGACTATACGATATAGCCTGTTGCTCCTGGGCTATAAACCTGTACAGCATGTTACTGTATGGAATACTGTAGACAATTGTAACACAATGGTAAGTATTTATATATGTAAACATAGAAAAGGTACAGTAAAAATATAGTATAAAAGATGAAAAAAAATGGTATACCTGTATAGGCACTTACCATGCATGGATCTTGCAGGTCTGGAAGTTTCTCTGCATGAGTCAGTGGGTGAGTGGTGAGTGTGAAGGCCTAGTACGTTATTGTACACTACTGTAGGCTTTATAAACACTGTACACTTAGGCTACACTGTTTATAAAAAATATTTTTCTTCAACAATATATTAATTTTAGTTTACTGTAACTTTTTTCCTTTACAAACTTTTAACTTTTCTAGGCCAGGCTCAGTGGCTTATGCCTGTAATCCTAGTACTTTGGGAGGCTGAGGTGGGCAGATCACCTGAGGTCAGGAATTCGAGGCCAGCCTGGTCAACATGGCGAAACCCCATCTCTACTGAAAATACAAAAATTAGCTGAGCATAGTGGCATGCGCCTGTAGTCCCAGCTACTTGGGAGGCTGAGGCAGGAGAATCTTTTGAACCCAGGAGGTGGAGAGGTTGCAGTGAGCTGAGATAGTGCCACTGCATTCCAGCTTGGGCAACAGAGTGAGACCCTGTCTCAAAAAAAAACAAAAACAAAAAAAACCCACAAAACCTTTTAACTTTCCTTTTTTTTTTCTTTCCAGACAGGGTCTTGCTCTGCCACTCAGGCTGGAGTACAATGGTGCAGTAACCATTTACAATAGCATTAAAAAAATTAAGATACTTCAGAGTATATTTAACCAAATGAGGCAAGACTTGTACACTGAAACTACAAAACATTGTTGAAAGAAACTAAATACTACAATGTGTGGCTATTCCTCAAGGATCTAGAACTAGAGGTACCATTTGACCCAGCCATCCCATTACTGGGTATATACCCAAAGGATTATAAATCATGCTGCTATAAAGACACATGCACATGTATGTTTATTGCGGCACTATTCACAATAGCAAAGACTTGGAACCACCCAAATGTCCATCAATGATAGACTGGATTAAGAAAATTTGGCACATATACACCATGGAATACTATGCATCCATAAAAAAGGATGAGTTCATGTCTTTTGTAGGGACATGGATGAAGCTGGAAACCATCATTCTCAGCAAACTATTGCAAGAACAGAAAACCAAACACCGCATATTCTCACTCACAGGTGGGAATTGAACAATGAGAACACTTGGACACAGGAAGGGGAACATCACACACTGGGGCCTGTCGTGGGGTGGGGGGGGATAGCATCAGGAGGTATACCTAATGTAAATGATGAGTTAATGGGTGCAGCACACCAACATGGCACATGTATACATATGTAACAAACCTGCACATTGTGCACATGTACCCTAGAACTTAAAGTATAATAAAAAAAAAAGAAACTAAATACCTAAATAACTCATTATTCACGTTTGTGCTGGTGCTGTTCTAAATCTACTGCACTGACAGTCCTAAAAAGTATAGCACATACAATGATGTATCATACATAATACTTGATGATGACAATAAATGCCTATGTTACTGGTTTATGTATTTACTATACATTTTATCATTATTTCAGAGTGTACATCTCCTACTTATTTAAAAAAGGGCAGGCCAGGTGCGGTGGCTCATGCCTGTAATACCAGCACTTTGCGGGGCCAAGCCGGGTGAATCACTTGAGCCCAGGTATTCAAGACCAACTTGGGCAACATAGTGAGACCCCATCTCTACAGGAAATATAAAAATCAGCCAGATGTGGTGGCACATGCCTGTAGTCTCAGCTATTCAAGAGGCTGAGATGGGAGGATCTCTTGAGCCTGGGAGTCAAGGCTGCAATGAACTGTGATTGTAGCACTGCACTCTAGCCTGGGAGACAGTGAGACCCTGTCTCAAAAAAAAAAAAAAAAAAAAAGGTGGCTGTAAAACAGCTGCAGACAGTCTCTTTAAGAGGTATTCCAGAAGGCACTGTTATCATAGAGATGGCAGCTTTATGTGTGTGTTAATTGCCCTTGAAGACCCTCCAGTGGAACAAGATGTGGAGGTGGAAGACAGTGAGAATGATGATCCTGACCTTGTGTAGGCCTGGGCTAATGTGTATGTGTGTGTCTTAGTTTTTAATGAAACATTTAAAAAGTAAAAATAAACAAATAGATATATAGATAGAAAAAAGCTTGGAGAATAAGGATATAAAGAAAATATTTTTGTACAGCTATACAATGATTACAAAAGAGTCAAAATGTTAAAGTAAAAAGTGTTATGGTAAACTAAGATTATTGTTGAAGAAAGGAAAACTATTTTAAAAATAAACTTAGTGTAGCCCAAGTGTACAATGTTTATAAAGTCTAGAGTAATAGTACTGTTCTAGGCCTTCTCATTCAATCACCATTGACTGACTCACCCAGAGCAACTTCTAGTCCTGCAAGCTCCATTCATGGTAAGTGCCCTATACAGGTGTGCCATTTTTTAGTCTTTTTGTTTATTTGTTTTGAGACAAGGTCTCTCTCTGTCGTCCAGGGTGGAGTATAGTGGCATGATCCTGGCTCACTGTAGCCTCAACTTCCTGGGCTCAATCGATCCTCCCACCTCAGCCTCCCAAATAGCTGGGACTACAAGGCATGCACCACCATGCCCAACTAATTTTTGTATTTTTCTGTAGAGACAGGGTTTCACCATGTTGCCCAGGCTGGTCTCTAACTCCTGGTCTCAAGGAATCCACCTGCCTCTACCTCCCAAAGTGCTGGGATTACAGGTGTGAGCCACTGTGCTTCAGCCTTTTTATCTTTCACGCTGTATACTTACTATGCCTTTTCTATGTTTAGACACACAAATACTTACCATTGTGTTACACTTGCCTACAGTATTCAGTATAGTCACATGCTATACAGGTTTGTAGCGTAGGAGCAATAGGCCGTATCATATAGCCTAGGTGTGTAGTAGCTATACCATTTAGGTTTTTGTAAACATACCTAATGACATATTTCTCAGAAATGTGTCACTGTCATTAAGTGACACATGATTGTACATTTAAATTGATTATTGATAATGAAGGATTTATGCCATTGTGGTTTTTGTTTTGTATATGTCTTATATATTTTTTGTTCCTAAGTTCCTCCTTTACTGGCTTATGTGTTAGATACATGTTTTCTTTCTTTCTTTCTTTTTTTTTTTTTTTTTTGAGGCGGAGTCTTGCACTGTTGCCCGAGCTGGAGTGCAATGACGCGATCTCGGCTCACTGCAACCTCCGCCTCCCAGGTTCAAGCGATTCTCCTGCCTCAGCTTCCCAAGTAGCTGGGATTGCAGGTGTCCGCCACCACTCCTGGCTAATTTTTTTGTATTTTTTAGTAGAGATGGGGTTTCACTATGTTGGCCAAGCTGGTCGTGAACTCCTGACCTCGTGATCCACCCATCTCAGCCTCCCAAAGTGCTGGGATTACAGGCGTGAGCCACCATGCCCGGCACATGTTTTCTTATGTACCATTTTGAATTTTTTCATTTCTTTTATGAAATAACTTTTTTAGTGGCTGCTTTGGGGATTACAGTTAACATCTTAATTTATACCACTCTAGTTTGTGTTGTTGTTGTTGTTGTTTTTTTTTTGGAGACAGTGTTGCCCAGGCTGGAGTGCAGTGGCACGATCTTGGCTCCCTGCAACCTCTGCCTCCTGGATTCAAGCAATTCTCATGCCTCAGCCTCCTGAGTAGCTGGGACTACAGGCACCTGCCACCACGCCTGGCTAATTTTTTGTATTTTAGTAGAGACCGGGTTTCACATGTTGCCAAAGGTGGTCTCAAACTCCCGAGCTCAGGCATTCTGCCCACCTAAGCCTCCCAAAGTGTTGGGATTACAGGCGTGAGCCACTGCACCCAGCCTCCTTGTTGCTGTTTTTTAAAGAGATGGAGTATTGCTGTGTTGCTCAAGCTGGAGTGCAGTGGCTATTCACAGGTACAGTCACAGTGCACTGAGACCTCGAACTCCTGGGCTCAAGCGTTCCTCCTGCCTCAGCCTCCCTAATAGCTGGGATTACAGGCATGCACCACCATGCTTGGCTTTACCACTCTGGTTTGAATGAATACCAACTTGATATTTATAGTATACAAAAATTTTTCTCCTATATAGCTCTGTCCCCCTTAAGTTATTATGTCATATTTACATTTTTTTTTTTGTTTGAGACAGAGTCTTCCTCTGTCACCTAGACTGGAGTGCAGTGGTGTGATCTTGGCTCACTGCAACCTCTGCCTCCCGGATTCAAGTGATTCTCCTGCCTCAGCCTCCTGAGTAGCTGGGATTACAGGTGTGCACCACCATGCCCGGCTAATTTTTGTATTTTTAGTAGAGACGGGGTTTCACCGTGTTAGTCAGGCTGGTCTTGAAATCCTGACCTTGTGATCTGCCCGCTTTGGCCTCCCAAAGTGCTGAGATTACAGGTGTGAGCCACCACGCCTGGTCCATAATTACATTTTTATACAATGTTTGCTCATCAACATTGTCTTATAATTACTGTTTTATGTTTTATTCATTTTCTTTGAGATGGAGTTTTACTCTTGTCACGCAGGCTGAGTGCAATGGTGTGATCTCAGCTCACTGCAACCTCTGCCTCCCAGGTTCAAGGAATTCTCCTGCCTCAGCCTCCTGAGTAGCTGGGATTACAGATGCCTGCCACCATGCCCAGCTAATTTCTGTATTTTTAGTAGAGACAGGATTTCACCATGTTGGCCAGGCTGGTCTTGAACTTCTGATCTCAAGTGATCTGCCCGCATCAGCCTCCTAAAGTGCTGGGATTACAGGCGTGAGCCATCACACCCAGCCCATTTTATGTTTTTTAAACCACATAGAAAAGAGGATTTCAGTTGTCAAAAATGCATGAATACTGACTTTTATGTTTGCCTGTGTGATTACCTTTACCAGTGTTCTTTTCCTTTTCATTTGGATTTGAGTTACTGTCTGGTGTACTTTCACTTTGCCGTGAAGGATTTTTAGCATTTCTTGTCAGGAACATTTACTCATGATGGAGTAGCCACAGTTCTACTCCCCACTTTGCTCCTGTAGATGAAGTCCCTGAGCCGAAAAACCTTCCTTATCAAAAGGACCAGGCCCAGGCCCGGCTCTGTGGCTCATGCCTATAATCCCAGCACTTTGGGAGGTCAAGGTGGGAGGATTGCTTGAGCCCAGGAGTTCAAGACCAGCTTGGGTAACATAGTGAGACTTTGTACAAAAAATTGAAAAATTAATAGGGCATGCACACCTGTAGTCCCAGCTACTTGGGAGGCTGAGGCAGGGTGATCACTTGGGCCCAGGAGGTTGAGGCTACTGTGAGCTGTGATAATGCCACTGCACTCCAGCCTGGATGACAGATTGAGACCCCATCTCTAAAATAAATAAAATAAAATAAAATAAATTCCAGGCACAGTTCCTGCTTATCCCTGAGTAGTATGTTTCAGTTTCCTGCCAGCTCTCAGAATTAAACCAGACAATTGCATCCTCCTGCAGGAACTAGGGGAATAAAGCTCTCTTGATAGTGAAAAGCCTGCCTCCCAAAGCCCTTGGTTGTTCACTTATTCCCGAGTGAAATATCTCTGTGGTCTTGCCTGTTGCAGTGCCCTCCTCTCCTGGGCCGTAAGTACAAGTGACTGATAAATGCTGTCAAAATCACCTATGAGGTGTTGAGTATGCTTCAGCCATCCCACGACCCAAGGGTAGGAATTCCTTCCTCACCCACAGGGTGAAGAGGAGGGGATGACAATTGGCATAATGAACAGGATGGTCCCAGGGCCCCTGGTGAGCTGTAATTAACTGTTCTTGGTGGATAACTGGCTCCATGATACAGCAAAGGCTGCCTGGGTCCAAACTGGCCATTGCTGGTGGGCTTGTGCTTTGGCCTTCATTGTTTTCACTTCTTCCCACCCTAGGTGGCTCTCATCTCCAACATGAGGATTGTTATTTGACTGTACAGTGGCATTCTGTGCTCTTGGGTTTGGTGTGTTTATAGGTGGTTTATGAGGCTCCCTCCTGTAGAGGCAGCAACAACACAGCACCCTAACCAGTTGGTGCTTGAGTTCAGCTTACCACGAGTCAGGCCAGATCTCTTTTGTTGCTGTGTCTACTCTGTGAACCATCACTGGCTACCTGGGGGAGCTATACAGATGTTATTTGTGATTGTGCACCCACCCCCTGGGACAGGTCTGCCCTTCCTGAGGTTAGCGGAAAGGAAGAAAGAAGACCACTACTCCAGGGAGAATTAAACATGGCACCATGGATGCCTAGTGAGTGTTTTTCAGGCAAGAGTAATGGCCTTGCCTGGCACTTGTGCTGTTGCTTCCCCTGCTTCTGTTCAGCGTGCTCTCCTGGTGTCTAAGAGCATGAAGGTGCAAATCTGTTGTAGCCCACAACCGAGGAGCTGATGAAAAAATAGAAGGAGCATTTGGTACCAGCCTCTCCTGCTGGAGAATGTAGCTCAACTGCTTTCCCCATGCAAAACCCCTAGCCAGTGCACCTGGGCTTTGCTTAGTATGGCTGCTTACCAAGAAGCCAGAGGGCTAAGCTTGTAATGGCACAGCTTGTTGGCTCCCACCTGGGCCATAAACAAAATGACCTTCCTGGATGTGGATCCTAACCCTGGAGATATTGATTGGCCCTCCCTGTCAGAAGGGGCAGCTGCCTACAAGGTGGGCCATTGGGCCCCTGAACCTTTCCCTGTTCTCATCCAGAAGGTCCACATGGTGATGGGACAGTGACTGAAATGGAAAGCTGCAACTTATTGTGGCTAGAAATCTAAAATATTGTTTGGCAATTTATATATAGACAGCAATAAAAAAGCCTGTGTCATGGAAAAGGCGGGACTGTTGCTAAGGATAGTTTCAGTCCACCCACCACTGGGCCATGGGCCTTGCAGGTTTCCACTGCAGTACTTTGCTGCCCGAGCCTCCATTGCAAGAAAAATCCTCCTCTGTAGGGTCATAGGGAAAAGCCACCCTATGGCACCCTGTGGCATTGTGAGGGGGTTAATTCAAACCCAGCTTAAGCCTGAGGTTCTTAAACCCTGTAAACCAACCATTGCCTTGCAGGGAAGGAGGAGGCCTCTCACCCTGATGATAATGATTTGAGGCTCTCTGGAGAAAGAAATCTATAAATATGAGCAGAATAAAAAGAACTTCCCCTCCTTGTCTGTATGTTTTTAGGGGAGTTTCTGAATATAAAATAGAGACTAAATAAGTATGCCTCACCTTAACTGTTGTCTCTCCAAGATACCACATGGTCATAGCACTTATGACCTTAAAATGTACCGTGGTGGACATGGAATCAGTGAGCAATAAATTAAAATGAAGTCATTGGCACTTAACAACTTGGCTTAATGAAAAGGGACCTTGTGAAAACCACAGTTAAAATAATATCGGGCTGGGCACGGTGGCTCATGCCTGTAATCCCAGCACTTTGGGAGGCCGAGGCGGGTGGATCACCTGAGGTCAGGAGTTTGAGACCAGCCTGGCCAACATGGCAAAATCCCGTCTCTACTAAAAATACAAAAATACAAAAAACAAAAACAAAAACAAACAAACAAAAAAACTAGCCAGGTGTAGTGGTGCATGCCTGTAATCCCAGCTACTCGGGAGGCTGAGGCAGGAGAATCGTTTGAACCTGGGAGGCGGAGGTTGTAGTGAGCTAAGATTGCATCACTGCACTTCAGCCTGGGTGACAAGAGTGAAACTACACCTCAAAATAAATAAATAAATAAAATTAAATAAAATAGTTAATGTGGCCAATGTAAATTAAAACAGGGCCTTCAAGAATTAAGGCTGGGCACGGTGGCTCCCAGCATTTCAAGAGGCTGAGGCAGGCAGATTGCTTGAACTCAGGAGTTCAAGACCAGCTGGGGCACATGACAAAACGCTCTCTGTACTAAAAATACAAAAATTAGCTAGGCATGGTGGTGCACACCTGTAATCCCAGCTACTCGGGTGGCTGAGGCATGAGAATCACTTGAACACAGGAGGTGGAGGTTGCAGTGAGTCAAGATTGCACTACTGCACTCCAGCGTGGGTGACAGAGCAAGACTCTGTCCAAAAAAAAAAAAAAGAATTGAAACTTGTATGAAGGGGTGATTATCCCACTGCACCTGCATCTAGCAGCCAAACTTGGCCTTTTTAACCTGGAAAGCATGAATGTGAATAGTGCCTCATGGTGGATTACTGGAACCTTAAGGTCCTCAGACCTGATACCCAATATTATTGAAGTTACTGACTCTATCTAATAAACAACTGGTAAATATTTTGCTATTGTAGATTTGGCTTGTATTAGGGTTCTCTAGAGGGACAGAACTAATGGAACATATATATATATATATATATATATCATGGGAGTTTATTAAGGATTAACTCACACAAACACAAGGCCCCACAACACGCCATCTGCAAGCTGAGGAGCAAGGAGAACCAGTCCAACTTCCAAAAGGATTAGTTCCAAAAGGATTGGAGTCCAATGTTCGAGGGCAGGAAGCATCCAGCATGGGAGAAAGATGTAGGCGGGGAGGCTAGGCCAGTCTCTCTTTTCACGTATTTCTGCCTATATATATTCTAGCCTCGCTGTCAGCTGATTAGATTGTGCCCACCCAGATTAAGGTGGGTCTGCCTTTCCCAGCCCACTGACTCAAATGTTAATCTTCTTTGGCAACCCCCTCACAGACACGCCCGGGATCCATACTTTGTATCCTTCAATACAATTAAGTTGACACTCAGTATTAACCATCACAAGTCCACCGGTTGTCAACTTGAACCCATACACATCTCCTGAGATCATATATAATCTTCAAATAAAGACAATAATAAGGTCATAATTATGCCTAACATAATACAACTGTCCTTCATACAATGGGAAACGTACCAATTCCCAACCCAAATACTATTACATAAAGTTAACAATACATAAATGCTGATGTGAAGTCAATAAATCTTATGTCACATGATAAAGGGAAAGGAAATAAAATGAAGATTTTTTTAGTACAAGTATATATATGCACAAACATGTTCTTAACAAAAGAGGGAGGAAATATGACAATTACAGTCCTCGTTTCTGCAGCTGGTCACATGGTCATAGCTGGTATTGATGACTACCTTCATCTATTACCCATTCTGTATTCCCTTTGCCTTCAGCAAGCACCTCAGCAGGTCATGGTTTTTTTCCTGGTGGAGTGACCCAAACCTTCATTCCTGAAGGGTCTGGGTCATTTGTAGTCCTGGCTGGATTGGGCTGTTGTAGTTTCCCATTGATCTAATTACAGCACATGGTAATACCAAGAGACACCCTAATGGATCTCCTGTATTCCATGCATACTCTTCCTTACCTCCATTGTGGAGTAGTAGACTGATTCCATCTTGATAATCCGGGACAACCATCCCAGGCAACACTGTAACTCCCTTTTTTTTGTTTGTTTTTTTTGAGAAGGAGTCTCACTCTGTCGCCCAGGCTGGAGTGCAATGGCATGATCTTGGTTCACTGCAACCTCTGCCTCCCGGGTTCAAGCAATTCTCCTGCCTCAGCCTCCTGAGTAGCTGGGATTACAGGCACATGCCACCATGCCTGGCTAATTTTTGTATTTTTAGTAGAGACAGGGTTTCACCATGTTGGTCAGGCTGGTCTCAAACTCCTGACCTCATGATCCGCCCGCCTTGGCCTCCCAAAGTGCGGGGATTATAGGCGTGAGCCACCGTGCCCGGCCCTGTAACTCCCTTCTTAGCCGGTTCACTTAAAGGTAGAAGAAGCCCAAAGTGTTCAGGTGGCAATCTTCCAGTTTAATGGAATTGTTGTTGGGTCTCCTGGTGGCAGTGTTCCTCCCTATGGAACTAAGACCTCTAGGCCAGCAGAACGTAATTTTGCGGGAACAGGAAGCAAAAATTTTGCTTGTGGAACACTAGGGGTGATGGTAACTGGTGCCACTTTCACTTCCATCCCTTGATTCCTGGACCCATGAATCCTGGCTATGGGAGAAACAGTACCATATATTGGATGCTGATTCAGAGCATACACAGCCTTCTGGAGAACTTTGCCCCAGCCTTGCAAAATATTGTCACCTAGTTGGTGTTATATTTGTGACTTCAAAAGGCCATTCCACTGTTCTGTCAATCCAGCTGCTTCAGGATGATGGGGAACATGGTTAGATGAGTCAATTCCATGAGCATGAGCCCACTGCCGCACTTTTTTAGCCATAAAGTAAGCACCTTGGTTAGAGGACGTGCTGTGTGGAATACTGTGATGGTGGATAAGGCATTCTGTGAGTCCACAGATGGTAGTCTTGGCAGAAGCATTGTGTGCAGGATAGGCAAACCCATATCCAGAGTAAGTGTCTATTCTAATGACGACAAACCTCTGTCCATTCCATGATGGAAGAGGTCCAATATAATCAACCTGCCACCAGGTAGCTGGCTGATCACCCGAGGAATGGTGCCATATCAAGGGCTCAGTGTTGGTCTCTGCTGCTAGCAAATAGGGCACTCATCAGTGACCATAGCCAGGTCAGCCTCGGTGAGTGGAAGTCCATGTTGCTGAGCCCATACATAACCTCCACTCTTGCCACCATGGCCACTTTGTTCATGGGCCCATTAGGCGACGACAGGGGTGGCTGAGGAAAGAGGCTGAGTGCTGTCCACGGAACGGGTCATCCTATCCACTTGATTATTAAAATCCTCCTCTGCTGAGGTCACCTGTTGGTGAGCACTCACATGGGATACAAATATCTTCACAGTTTTTGACCACTGAGAGAGATCCATCCACACACCTCTTCCCCAAGTTTGTCACCAATTTTCCAGTAATGCTTCTTCCAAGTCCCTGACCATCCAGCCAAACCATTGGCTACAGCCAATTAATCAATATATAATCGCACATGTGGCCATTTCTCCTTCCATGTAAAGTGCACAACCAGGTGCACTGCTCAACGTTCTGCCCACTGGGAAGATTTCCCTTCACCGCTGTCCTTCAGAGATGTCCTAGAAAGGGGCTGTAGTGCTGCAGCTGTCCACTTTCAGGTGATGCCTGCATATCGTGCAGAATCATCTGTGAACCAGGCCCTAGTCCTCTTTTCCTCTGTTCACTGATCATAGGGAACTCCCCATGAGGCCATCGGTGCAGGCTGGGGGAGAGAAGGCATGGTGGCAGGAGTGGAGACCATGGGCATTTGAGCCACTTCCTCATGTAACTCACTTGTGCCTTCAGGACCTGCTCGAGCCTGATCACATATATGCCACTTCCGTTTGATGATGGAATGCTGCTGCGCATGACCCACTTTATGGCTATATGAGTCAGAAAGCACCCAGTTCATAATAGGCAGTTCAGGTTGCCAGGTGACTTGATGACCCATAGTCAAACCTTCAGTTTCCACCAGAGCCCAGTAATAGGCCAAGAACTGTCTCTCATAAGGAGAGTAGTTATCTGCAGAAGATGGCAGGGCCTTGCTCCAAAATCCTAGAAGCTTCCATCGTGATTCACCTATGGGGGCCTGCCAAAGGCTCCAAACAGCACCCTGTCTGTCACTGACACCTCCAGCACCATTGGATCTGTTGGGTCATATGGCTCAAGTGGCAGAGCAGCTTGCACAGCAGCCTGGACCTATTGCAGAGCATTCTTCTGTTCTGGACCCCACTCAAAACTGACAGCCTTTCGGGTCACTTGATAAATGGGCTGGAGTAACACACCCAGATGAGGAATGCTTTGCCTCCAAAATCCAAATAGGCCTACTAGGCATTGTGCCTTTCTTGGTTGAAGGAATGGTCAAATGCAGCAACTTATTCTTCACCTTAGAAGGAATATCTCAACAGGCCCCACACCACTGGACCCCTAGAAATTTTACTGAGGTAGAAGTTCCCTGAATTTAAGTCAGTTTTATTTCTCATCCTCTGGCACACAAATGTCTCACCAGTAAGTCCAGTGTGTTTGCTACTTCTTGCTCACTGGATCCAGTCAGCATAATATCATCAATGTAATGGACCAGTGTGATATCTTGCGGCAGCGAAAAGTGATCAAGGTGTCTCCAAATAAGAAAAAGCGATCAAGGTGCTTCCGAATAAGATTATGACACAAAGCCAGAGAATTGATATACCCTGGAGGTAGGACAGTAAAGGTATATTGCTGGCCTTGCCAGCTGAAGGCAAATTGCTTTTGGTGGGCCTTATGGACAGGAATGGAGGAAAAGACATTTGCCAAGACAATGGCTGCATACCACCTACCAGGAAATGTGCTAATTTGCTCAAGCAATGAAACCACATCTGGTACAGCAGCTGCAATTGGAGTCACCACTTTGTTAAGCTTACAATAATCCATGGTCATTCTCCAAGATCTGTCGTCTGCACAGGCTAAATGGGAGAGCTGAATGGGGATGTGGTGGGAATCACCACCCCAGCGTCTTTCAAGTCCTTGGTAGTAGCACTAATCTCCACAGTCTCTCCAGGGATGTGATATTGTTTTTGATTTACTATTTTTCTAGGTAAAGGCAGCTCTAATGGCTTTCATTTGGCCTTTACCACCATAATAGCCCTTATCCTACCAGTCAGGGAGCCAATATGGGAGTTCTGCCAGCTGCTAAGTATGTCTATGCCAATTATGCATTCTGGCACTCAGGAATGACCACAGGGTAAGTCCGGGGACCCACTGGACCCACTGTAAGTTGGGCCTGAGCTAAAATTTCATTAATTACCTGATCTCTATAAGCCCCTACTTTAACTGTAGGACCAGTGATGTTTTGGGTCCCCTGGAATCGTTAGCTCAGAGCCAGTGTCCAGCAGTCCCCGAAATGTCTGATCATTTCACTTTCCCCAGTGCACAGTTACCCTGGTAAAAGGTTGGAGGTCTCCTTGTGGAAGGATGGGAGAAAGAGTCACTATGTAAATTGTCGGTAATGTAGTAGGGTTCTTCCTCAAGGGGACCTGGTCTCCCCTTCATTCAAGGGGTTCTGGATCTGTAAACTGGCTCAAGTCTGGAAATTGATTGAGGGGTTGTGATTCTCTAGTTTGTTTTTTTGTTTGTTTTTGTTGTTTGTTTTTGAGACAGAGTCTCCCTCTGTCATTCAGGCTGGAATGCATTGGTGTGATCTCGACTCACTGCAACCTCCACTTCCTGGGTTCAAGCAATTCTCCAGCCTCAGCCTCCTGAGTAGCTGGGATTACAGGTTTGTGCCACCATGCCTGGCTAATTTTTGTATTTTTAGTACAGATGGGGTTTCACCATGTTGGCCAGGCTAGTCTTGAACTCCTGAGCTCAGGTGATCCACCTGCCTTGGCCTCCCAAAGTGCTGGGATTATAGGTGTGAGCCACTGTGCTGGCTGATTCTCTGTTTTTATAATTCAAATTAGACTTTTGTCCCTTCGACTTAGAAATTTTCTGCTTATATAAATTAAGTAGGAATGCAGTAGGCTTCCTATCACTTTCACTTGTAGGAACACCATGATTAGCCAATGCTAGAGCTCTACATTAGTCAGGATCTTCTGATTGCCACTTTGCCTCTGCTGTCCATCAGAGTAGCCACGCCCACCTTGCCTTTGATGGTTGAGTGCTGCCACTTGGCCCCTGCCACCTTGGGATCCAATTATTCCCATTATATTTAAATTTTGTAGTTGAGTGTCTGCAGTTCCCACTGTTAGATCTGACATACAGAGAAGAGCAATTAGAGGGCTCTTCAAAGATGCAGGTGTTGCCCTCACAAATCTGTTTCACAAGGCATTGGTCAAGGGTATATCTTCTGGGCCCTCCCAGCTGGGATGAGTAGGTCTAAAGTGACTAATCCACTCCACCATCCCAATCTCCCTAAGCCTTTGTATCCCTTCCTCTACGTTAAACCAAGGGAGATGAGGCATATCCAGCTTGCTCACAGTGGATCATCTTCTTATCTGTATTTTAGCTAACCAAGCAAATAAACTATTAGAACCTTTTTTAACTACCCAAGTGGCAACATTGAATGCAGAGTCCGTACTTAGTGGACTCAAATCAATAAATTCAGCCTGATCAAACTTTGTGTTCTTTCCACCATTATCCCACACCCTTAATATCCATTCCCATGCCTGTTCTGCAGATTTATTTATATGAATTAGAAAACTCAAGCAGTTCCTTTTGAGTGTAGTGCATACTCTCAACCTCACCTCTAGGGGCCTGTTGGGACTTTAGTTATAGGTCTAGAAGCAAACGGGTGTTGGGGGTGGCTCCTGAGGAAAATCAACATTATCTTGCCTGGCAACCATCACCATTGCCTCAGGCAGCACAGGGTTTATCTCCTCAGACAAAGGTGGAAAGGCTGATGGCAGCATGGGTCAGGGAGGGGATGTTGCCACTACCAGGGATGGGGAAGCTGTTTCTTCTGGCAAAAAAGATTCATCAGAGTTTACAAACTCAGTGTCCTCAGCTTCATCAGGGTCCTCCCACACATCACCATTCCAAGTTGCAGGTCCTATTCTTTTCCAATCAATGCCCTTACTTTTGCAATAGATACCTAGCGTGGCTGTGCATTCACCTTTTGTTGCATGTCAGCCACTCTCATGGTAAGAGCTTGTGTCTGTTTTTCCACAATTTTCGCTCTTTCTCTACAGGAGATAAGACTCACTCAGGGCAATCTTAGCAGATTTGAATCTCAGTATCTGCTTCTGAAGCTGGGAGAGAGAATCCCTGAGTTCATTTTCTCTTTTTTTTTGACGGAGTCTCGCTCGGCCGCCAGGCTGGAGTGCAGCGGTGCAATCTCGGCTCACTGCAACCTCTGCCTCCAGGGTTCAAGTGATTCCCCTGCCTCAGCCTCTTGAGTAGCTGGGACTACAGGGCGCACCACCACACCCATCTAATTTTTTTTGTGTGTGTGTATTTTAGTAGACGGGATTTCACCATGTTGGCCAGGATGGTCTTGATCTCCTGACCTCGTGATCCGCCCGCCTTGGCCTCTCAAAGTGCTGGGATTATAGGCATAAGCCACCGTGCCCAGCCTAGTTCATCATTTTCTTTCACCACTTTGTCCACTGAATGTAGGAGCAACCAACCAGCTTCATTATGTTCCTTGGTTCTCCACATATGGTCAAAGGTATATATAGGGTTACTAAACTCCTTGCCTGTCATGAGCAATGAATCAGGAGTGTCAAATGCGTTTATTTTGCATAACTATCTAAACAGTTCATGCCAAGGACTATCAGTGTTTTTCATACTATTAGAAGTAGAGTCCTTGGCATTTTTGGGTCTAATCATAGCAAGCAGCTAACTCCAGAAACTCCAAAACCAATGAAAGACCTTCATACTTAATATTCTCTTCCTCTAGAACAACTCCTGGTACCAAAATCTGTATTACGGTTCTCTAGAGGGACAGAACTCTAATGGAATATGTGTATTTGTGTGTGTGTACACATATATATGTATAGAGGGGTTTATTAAGTCTTAACTCACATCATCACGAGGTCCCACAACAGGCTGTCTGCATGCTGAGGGGCAAGGAGAGCCAGTCCAAATTGCAAAACTGAAGAGTCTGATGTTTGAGGGCAGGAAGCATCCAGCACGGGAGAAAGATGTAGGCTGGGAGGCTAGGCCAGTCTTTTTCACATTTTTCTGCCTGCTTATATTCTAGTCATGCTGGCAGCTGATTAGATTGTGCCCCACCCAGATTAAAGGTGTGTCTGCCTTTCCCAGCCCACTGACTCAAATGTTAGCCTCCTTTGGCAACACACTCACTGATACACTCAGGATCAATACTTTGTATCCTTCAATCCAATCGTTGACACCTGGTATTAACCATCACATGGCTAATATGCCCTGTTCAGAGCCTATTTCAACAGCCTCTAGGCTGTAGTTTTCCTTCATCTCTAAAGGGACACAGTATGCCTCTACCAGGTTATCCATGGGGTACCGTAGCAGCCTTGTCATCACATAGTCTTTGTAGGCAAGATCTCAACTGCGTCCAAATTTCTCTAAGAGGACAACTATCATATTACATTGATGACATCTTCTGAGAAGATACTTTTGACACACTAATTCAGGACATACAAGTACTGAAAAAGGAGCACACAAAAAGTGGTCTCCACACGTTGTGTGAGGGGTCTTGCCACCTCTGTTAAATTCCTGAAAGTTATTTGGTAATCTGAGGGCCATTTCATCCCTGACACCATCAAGAAACAGCTATTGACTTTCTCAGTACACACAATGTTAATACAAATATCTTTCAGTCCTCTTTGAGATCTAGAGGTGACATATTCCTCATTTACAAGTTTTACTTAATTTCACTGATGCTGTTACTTGCAAGTTGGCCCACCTTGGATGGATTCCCTTCAACAAAAGGCTTTAGAATCTGTCCACATTGCAATATGACAGGAATCCCATGAGTCTCCTCAAAGACTCCTTTACCATAGGGGCTTTAGCAGCCTTCTCTCATAACTCATGGTGGCCACAAATTGCCCATGAGCCCCTGACGCAAGAAACTGCCCTCTTTGACATTGCACTGTACATCATTAGAGCAGCAACTGTTGGTCACATACTGGGGTCTCTTGGAAATAGAGGCTTTTACAGGTCCTGAGCTTGTGACCCTCCATACCAGCTGCCCATTGTTCCTTGGGTCACAGAAGCAGGGCGCTGCAAGTTTGGCACAGCTACCAAAACCTCCTTGATGTAGGATGGAGCCACACCCGAGCCCTCTGGCATACTCCATCTGTGGGAGGGGTGGCTTTCTTTGTTCTCAGTTTCTTGGCAAATACCATGGTACTGGAGGAGGTCCTTGGCTACCTGAGGATCCCTGTGAGATTAACTGAACAGAAATAGGAGTTTCTAGACTATACATGCTGGAGCTCGGTGGAATGTTGCTGCTTTCCATCCTTTATTCAGGATGCTCCTGACCAAGGGTCAGCACCAGTGGCCACTTTCAGGCAGTCGTCCTAGCACTGGATGTCCTAAACCTGGCCAAAAAATGATACTCTCACTACATTTTTAGGCCATTGCCTAAGAGTTGCCCCCTTTGGGGTAAAGATCTCTGGGAATCTCTTGCCTCACAGATACCCAGAATAAAAATCAAAGTAACAGGTGTCAAGGCCACAATACAGGACCTCACCTGAACACACCTTTCTGACCAGACATTACTGATAGTGACCAAGGCACTTCGCAGAATACACAGTGGTGAGCTTTTGGAAAAGGCATTCAATGAAAGTTCTACCTCCCATCTAGGCCCCAAGCAGCTGGTTTAGTTGGGAGTTCTCTGATTTAAGTTACAAAGGAGCAAATGGATACCCCGCCGTGTATCACTATTGCTACAGACATTGACTGAATTTATGTCCCCTAGGTATAGCACTTCATATGCCAGTGCCACACAGGTTCCCAGACTGTCTTCATTGGCCATAAAGGGGGACACCTCTAAAGTTTATGTTTTTGATGACCATCTTGCCATATTGCCCCTTTCTGATGCCCCTTTTGATGACCATCTTGCCATATTGCCCCTTATCTATCAAGATTGATAAGCACTCAATCTTGAAGTGCTTATCCACCTCTTGTCTGCCCTGCTCAGACCATCATACTCTGTTTCTGGCATGAAGCCTGGCACACAATTGTCCCATAATAACATATCTATTAGATGGATGGATGGCGATTCCCAGGGCTCTTCTATGCATCTTCAAAAACTACCCTATGGACCTTCTGTTCTCTCTTACAGCAATTCTCTCAAAACATTATTCACAACTCTCTTATACATTCTCAAGACTTAAAGCTTGTGATTCTCAAATTTTATCACTTTCTCACTTGTCCCGTTTGCTCTAGACTCCTACAGTATTTTACCTACTTACGTTAAATTCTTCTTGGGTTTTAATTCTAACTTTCTCAATACAGCAAAAGCTAAAAAGTAAAATTATATCTCACAAATTTAAAATTTTCACTTCATATTTTTAATTCATCACTTGACATTTTTAATTCATTAGGTCTACTATAACTGACAAAAATGAAACCACTTTAAATCTTCTAGCTCTCTCAAAAATTTTTTTTTTGAGATGGGGTCTTGCTGTGCTGCCCAGGCTGGTCCTGGACTCCTGGGCTCAAATGTTTCTTCTGCCTCAGTCTCCTGAGTGGCTGGGATTACAAGTGTGAGCCACCATACATTATCACACTCTTACTGTTGTTTTGCAGTTCTTGTTTCACTTTTATAAAGTGTCTTCAAAATACCTTCTTATTCTTACTTTCTACTGACATCACCCACAAGCAGATCCATATATTTGTTATGATCTTGCTCTGATTAATCTAATTCATGATAGAATTAGACTTAAAATGTAAAACTTCAAACTTCTGATTTACCTTGTTACTAGCCTGGCAGGATAAATCTATGATTTCTCTCCTCTTACCTAACACCTAAAATGTAAGTTTTTTTTTTTTTTTTGAGATGGAGTCTTGCTCTGTTGCCCAGGCCAGATTGCACTGGTGCGATCTTGGCTCACTAGAAGCTCCACCTCCCAGGTTCAGGCATTTCTTCTGCCTCAGCCTCCCAAGCAGCTGGGACTACAGGTGCCCGCCACCACACCCAGCTAAGTTTTGTATTTTTAGTAGAAACGGAGTTTTACCATATTGGCCAGGCTGGTCTCGAACACCTGACCTTGTGATCCGCCTATCTTGGCCTCCCAAAGTGCTGGGATTACAGCGTGAGCCACTGTGCCTGGCCTAAAATGTTAGTTCTTTAACAAGCCTCACGTGTGGCCACATTTAGCCTGACCAAATTTATTTTTCTCTGTTGCCCCAAACCCTGCCTAACTCCATTTGGTAAAGTCACCTAGATGTCTTTCAAACATGTAGTGCTCCTTATCTTGTTTGCCCTTTTCATTCTAGTGTGTATCTTTCCTGTCCAGATGGTTAAATGAATGAATAAGTGAAAAGTGGTTAAAGCAGTACCTTGCATATATAATAAAGTCTTATTGCTGTTGTTCTTGTTACATACATTTTAGGTTACAGCTGAAGTTTGCTATTTTTTTGTGTGAAATATCCATTAGCTGCATTATTCATGTACACAAAATGACTGTATGTTAATCTAATATTAGACTATCTAATACCTGATTATCTGATACCTGACCAGATTAAGTTCTTGACTAGTTTTTTTTTTCCACTTAAATTTTTCTACCCCCAGAGAGAAAGATCCCTCTTTCACTCTTCCTTCCTTTACTAGGTAAGATGCAGTAGATATTTCTTTGTTGATTGTATGGCCTGGGTTGTGAGTACTCTTTTACATTTATTCACACAGAAAACCAAGGAACTCTTTTTAAGTAGACATGCTAAGGTGAATATATTCAGCTTGATTATTGGGTGTAAATTGGCAAGAAGTTTAAGGTTTGTGTTTTGAAATAGCCTTCCAAGAAATTGTGATGCATGCAACTTACTAGTATGTGTCCACTGATTTACTACTCATTCAGATAATTTAAAAGAAATCGGAGATAGAGCAACACTGCTAGGACCTTAGGGTGCATTTGTGGCAAAAGAACAAAACCAGCATGAAAATATTTTAAAGTTAAACAGTTAGAAAGAAATATTTGTTATAGAGCAGTGACATACAAAGTGATAAAGTTAATATCACCACCTTTTAACTGTAAAGATTTATGAAGATTTTTTGGGATATTATGGGATAATAGCTATTTCTTGAAGGCATCCAGCTGCTGAGTAGGCTAACATTGAAAGGCCCAGTACCCAAGTGGATGCTTATAACGCAGGTCTGTGGTTGGGGATGAGCAATTATGGAGGAAAGATGGTTTGGATTGTGGACAGCAGAGGATGGTGACTGTGGTAATAAGGAGTGACAGTTGCCAATAGCAAATAGAATCCATTTGTCAGATCTGGTCTGTGAGTGTCGACTTTATCTGTTTTGTTTCTTAGTCCTTTGGGACACTAGGCTCAGGGATGTGGTAGGTTTTTGACCATAGTATTGTTAATATTGTGTTGAATCTGGGTAAGAACAGGGTGATAGTTGTCAGAGGAAGCTTCATAATAAAAAGATATGGTTGATTATCATGATTCATGGTATTCATGTTCTGGAAAGTTACCACAAGCACTGAATTAATGAATATTGAATCATTGCTCCCAGATGAAATACAGGGTTAGTTCCTGCCAGCCTCTGCCCACATTTTTGTTAGCTAATCCATACATAATCCTTTTTAATATGGGTTTATTTTTAAAAATATACCCATATATATAGCTGATTTATTAATATTGAATTTATGGCCAATGGCACTACATCTCATGAATAAAGCTAATTTAACACACATATATTCTCCACAGGCACATCACAGCCTTCTTGCACTTAGGAACACGAGAGACAGTACTTCAGTCCTACACTAGCGGACTATTTTAAACAGTGAAATCACCAGCAAAACCCACAAAACTGAAAAATGTGGCACTAACAGTACCAGGGACGGGCACTTGTTTATAGTATGAGAACTGAAACAAGAAGCTAGAGCATGGCCTTGTTCAGTTTCACCTGGGAATATGTGTGCTGGGTGACTGAAGTTTTTAAGTGCTCAGTGCATGTTCTTGACAATGAAAGCACCAAGAGTCTTGATTTTGGGTTTACAAATAAGTTTTAATGAGTAGATGAATTTGTTGTCACAAAATCCATGAATAATGAGGATTAACTGTATGAAGATCAGTAAAGATTCTAAGATTAGGTTGAAAACTATGGTCTTTAAAGCTCACACTGGAAAGAGAAACCAGACATGCTGAAATAAATAAATGGTTAAAAAATTATATATGTATATTCATATATGTAATATATACACACGTATATATTATATATTATATGTATATGAAAAGTAAAGGATGACTTTATATATACAAAAAGAGTTGTGTGAGGTACAAGACTGTTTATGAAATAAATTGATAAATAGGGAAATTTTATGATTTGATGGCTATGACAGGTTCATTAATGACAACTGTGGTAAAAGAAAATGAAGATACAACAGCAGAATAAAACTACATACCTGATCTTGTTTCCATAGCCTACATGTATGCTTTCTCTGGACATTGGCTTTTGGTGTGAATCAGCTAGAGTAAGAATTACTGTCTGGGCAATAGGAGTTTTCTTTTGCACATGGAAAATTATTGCTGTCTGAAATTGTAATTTGGTGTTGATGAGTGGAAGAGAAAAGAAGAGCCAGGCAAAGTGGCTCATGCCTGTAATCCCAGCACTTTGGAAGGCTGAAGTGGGCAGATCACTTGAAATCAGGAGTTTGAGACCAGCCTGGCCAATATGGTGAAATCCCATCTCTACTAAAAATACAAATACCACTTGCTAGTATGTGTCCACTGATTTACTACTCATTCAGATAATTTAAAAGAAATCAGAGATAGAGCAACACCTGCTAGGACCTTAGGGTGCGGTGGCTCATGCCTGTAATCTCTGCACTTTGAGAGGCTGAGGTGGTAGGTTTACCTGAGGTCAGGAGTTCGAGACCAGCCTGGCAAAGATGGCGAAACCCTGTCTCTACTAAAAATACAAAAATCAGCCAGGCACGGTGGCGGGTGCCTGTAATCCCAGCTACTTGAGAGGATGAGGCAGGAGAATCACTTGAACCTGGGAGGTGGAGGTTGCAATGAGCCAAGATTGTGCCATTGCAATCCAGCCTGGGCAAAGAGCTAGATTCTGTCTCAAAAAACAAAAAATAAAAAAAATAAAAACAAAGAAAAGAATTAGTGATGCATTGGAAACATATGTATTAGTGAGTATTTTACAGCAGGAGATAAAAACCTACATTTGCCTCCTCCAAACTTAATTTTTTCTTTGCCGTCACCCCTCAAACACTATCACCTGATTTTTTTTCTGGCAATTTTACCTACTATTCAATGCTTTCGATGATTCCCCTTCATGCCTCTACCATTCATCCTAAAATACCATTTGCTGTATTTGTTTATTCCACTTTATCCAGTTTTGAAGGTCACATTTCTAAAGTGCCAGATTACTGTGTTTTTATTTGCAGATTCCTCTCCTTTTTTCATATTCAGTTTGTTTTGTCTAATCCTAAGGGAGTGAGATGTATGCCTTCAGGATTACTTTCAGACCAGATGCCTGGGCTATCCTAGAGCATTTGCATGTTACATCCCCTTTCCACATGAAATGTGTTAATATTTATAAGATATGGTAAACTATTCTCATTTCTAGAATTCTGGAAAGTTGACCTGATGGAGAAGAACCAGGAAAACCAAGACCAGCATTTGAGGAAAGCTGGTTTTGTCAACAACAAAATACTGATGGAAGACAGAAATAGTGTTTTAGGAGAAACATTTAATATAAATTCAAACCTTGTTCCAATGAGAAAAATACCTGATAAATATGACTTATGTATAATGAACGTGAATTATATTTCAGAATTAATTGTTAGTAATAGAAACTCCTTTGGAAGGAAGCTTGATGAGCTCAGTGCACATGCGAAATTGCTCCTTCATATGACATGAGCATCCTTATGCCAGAGAGAAACATTTTGAGTGTGACAGAAATGAGAAAGCCATCTGTTAGAATGAGGACTTATTTCAGCATCAGGATATTCAAACTCTGAAGCAAATTTTTGAATACCTTGAGTGTGGGAAAGCTTTTCATGAGGAGGCAGCCTTCAGTACCCATAAGAGAGTGTGCTTCTGGGAGAAACCTTGTGAATATAATGAACAACTAAGAGCCTTTTCTGACAATCCAAACCTCCTTGTTCATCAGAGTACTCACAGAAGGGAAAATCACTACGAGTTTAATTGCTGTGGGAGGAGGTCTGTTGGTGAGAAATCTCTAAATAAACACCATGGAGGAATCATGGGGAAAAAATACTATGAGTGTGAGAATAATTTTGGCAAAAGTCACTCTTTATTGACACTGAAAGAACTCAAAAAGGAAAAACAAGCTTTGAATGTAATGAAGGTAGGGAAATCTTTAAGAAACCAAGTCTCTCTCAACAGCATACATACGCAGAAAAGAAAACCTTTCAAAATAGTCATTATGGGAGTTCTTTTTGGCATATGTCAGTTCTCCCTAAACATCAGCAAACACACGTAGGAGGAAAGTTCTATGAATGTAATGAGTGTGGGAAAGCTCTCAGCCACAGTTCATCTATCATAGTACATAATAGGATATACACAGGGGAGAAACTTTATGAATGTACTGAATGTGAGAAAACCTTCACAAATAGGTCAGGCCTTACAGTTCATTGGCAGATACACACAGGGCAAAAACCCTAAGAATGTATTGAATGTGTCATGCACATTCGATACATACAAATGCAAAGTGTCATTAGGTTATGTGACTTATATCTGAAGGGAAGCCTTTAGATATAAGTCAGTCCTTACAGTACATCAGTACATCAGAGAACACACACAGGTGATAAACCCAATGAGTGTAGTGAATGTGGGAAAAAATTCTGTGAGAAGTCATATCTCCAAGTACATCAGAGAACTCACACAGGGGAGAAATCCCATGAGGGTAAAGAATGTGGAAAAACCTTTGTTTACAATTCATTCCTCATAGTACATCAAAGGATACACATAGGTGTAAGACCCTATTAATGTAACGAATGTGGGAAAACATTCTCACAAAAGCCAGACTTCACTTATCATCAGAGAACTCATACTGGAGAAAGGCCCTGTGAATGTAATGAATGTGGGAAGTCTTTCTCAGTGAAGTCAAAACTTATTGTGCATCAGAGAACTCACACAGGGGAAAAACCCTATGAATGTAATGAATGTGGGAAAACCTTTTCCCAGAAGTCATCTCTTACAGTACATCAGAGAACACACACAGGGGAGAAACCATATAAATGTAATGCATGTGGGAAAAGTTTTTCCCAGAAGTTATCCCTTACTGTACATCAAAAAAGACATAAAAAGAGAAGCCATATAAATGTATTCAATGCAGCAAAACATTTAACCAGAAATCAGCACTTACTAAACATCAAAGAGCTCAGGAGAGAAACTTCATAAATATAATGAATGCAGCAAAACTTTTTACCACAAGTCATCCCTCACAGTACATCAGAGAACCCACACAGGAGAGAAACCCTACAAATGTAATGAATGTGAGAAGACTTTCTACCAGAAGTCATCACTTATAGCACATCAGAAAACACACAGAAGGCAGAAATCCTGTGAATCTACAAATGTGGAGAGCCTTTTATCAGAATTCACTAATCTGAGAAAGTACAGAGAGAAGTCCCTGTTAGCATCTTCTGAAAGTCCAGAAACCTTTTCTTACTTAACCTACTCAGTTTACATTAAAAACAGTGAAGGGGAGAAACTTTGTAAGTATGAGAAATATTTTGCCCAGAAATAAAGGGCCATCTTAGTGAGCAGCAGATATTTGATATTTGAAACATCTTACGAATATTTTGAATAAGTTGTAACTTTGAAAATGATTCAGTTTTGGTTATACATGAGAGATTTTAGCTCACTGGAAATGTCAGTTTGGTAATTGAGACTAAAAACTTCCTTTAGAAATATTATACTAAAATTCTTGTTTCTGATATACCAAAATTTTATTGAAAATATTCAGTTACAGACATACTGTGTACTAGGAATCTAACTTCAAAAAGCACAATTAGGTCGAATAGTCATAAATACACCAAATACAAATGCAAAGTGTCATAATGTTGTGTGAGTGTGCTTTATTTTTATTTTTTATTTCATTTTATTTTATTTTCTGTGTTCCGTAAAACTTTACTTACTCAAGTCCAACAGAGCTTAAAGGTTAAAAAAAAAGTACTTACAAAGACAGGCAGCGGGCTGGACTTGGCCTACAGCCACTAATTTGCTGACCTCTGTGCTAAAATCAAGGTGCTGCTAATGCAATCAATACTTTTTAACAGCACCTTACATGCACGCCATTATCCTTCAAAGGCAGACATTTGGCTGGGCGCCGTGGCTCACGCCTGTAATCCCAGCACTTTGGGAGGCCGAGGTGGGCAGATCACGAGGTCAGGATATCGAGACCATTCTGGTTAACACGGTGAAACCCTGTCTCTACTAAAAGTACAAAAAAAATTAGCCAGGCGTGGTGGCGGGTCCCTGTAGTCCCAGCTACTCAGGAGGCTGAGGCAGGAGAATGGCGTGAACCTGGGAGGCGGAGCTTGCAGTGAGCCGAGATCGCTCTGCTGCACTCCAGCCTGGGCGACAGAGTGAGACTCTGTCTCAAAAAAAAAAAAAAAAAAAAGGCAGACCTTTATGCTACATGCTTTCATTTTGATTTTTCAAATGTTCAGTTTGCAGCTTACAATACAAGCGCTGTAAGGGAATAATATCTTGTGGGACTCAATACAGAACTTCAATGTTAAAGCAATTTTTCATTGTGTTAAAGCACAGAAGTGTGAATAAGGCCAGTATAATGGGAAGAAATAATTCTACCCAAATACATCCTATAGTAATAAATCTGCAATCAAGAAATCCACTTGGGTGTTGGAGTAAATGGCCTTGAACAGAAAGAACTAGTATCTAGGAAATGCATAATCATATAAATAAAAATTTCTAAAATAAAGCAAAAGGTTACATTTCTAAGCCTTAAAGTATTTTTCTTTCTTCACACTTGAATTTTTATTCTAAGTGACTGAACAAAAAATACACCATCAAGATGAAAAGGCAATTCAGAAAAGAAATACAAGCACCTAGCAAATAAGTGTAAATATATGCAATCTCCAAAAAAAGTAAATTATAACCAGAAGAAAGAATCGGTTAAAAAAAATTAGGGTGCATATAATTTGCATTCGAAGCTTTCCCTTACAAGCCTGAATCCTCAGTACCAGATCTTAATCTTCTATATCTCAGGTCAGCCCCTCCAAATATAGCTGCCTCATCAGATATTTCAGTTTAGATCTGGCCAGATGATCAGGCTATTCCCCTAACTAGTGTGGGCCACAAAAGACTCAAGTGACATTGAGAAAAATCAGAGAAGATGAACCAGGCTTGGTAGCTCATGCCTGTAATTATCTGGAGGCTGACTGGGGAGGATTGCTCGAGCCTGGGAGTTCAAAGCCATCCTGGGCTCACAAAAAAATGGTGGGGGGCAGGTGGGAATTTTGATGCTTAAATTCCTTGGTTCCTTCTGTAGTGGATTTCTTCTTTTTTTTTTTTATTATACTTTAAGTTCTAGGGTACATGTGCACAATGTGCAGGTTTGATGCATAGGTATACATGTGCCATGTTGGTTTGCTGCATCCATCAACTCATCATTTACATTAGGTATTTCTCCTAATGCTATCCCTCCCCCAGCCCCCCATCCCCTGACAGGCCCTGGTGTGTGATGTTCCCCTTCCTGTGTCCAAGTGATCTCATTGTTCAATTCCCACCCATGAGTGAGAACATGTGGTGTTTGCTTTTCTGTCCTTGTGATAGTTTTTTGAGAATGATGGTTTCCAGCTTCATCCATGTCCCTGCAAAGGACATGAACTCATCATTTTTTATGGTTGCATAGTATTCCATGGTGTACATGTGCCAAATTTTCTTAATCCAGTCTATCATTGATGGACATTTGGGTTGGTTCCAAGTCTTTATTATTGTGAATAGTGCCACAATAAACATATGTGTGCATATGTCTTTATAGTAGCATGATTTATAATCCTTTGGGTGTATATACCCAGTAATGGGATTGCTGGGTCGTATGGTAATTCTAGTTCAAGATCCTTGAGGAATCGCCACACTGTCTTCCACAATGTTTGAACTAATTTACACTCCCACCAACAGTGTAAAAGTGTTCCTATTTCTCCACATCCTCTCCAGCATCTGTTGTTTCCCGACTTTTTAATGATTGCCATTCTAACTGGCAAGAATGGTATCTCATTGTGGTTTTGATTTGTATTTCTCTGATGACCAGTGGTGATGAGCATTTTTTCATGTGTCTGTTGGCTGCATAGATGTCTTCTTTTTTTTTTTTTTTTTGAGACGGAGTCTTGCTCTGTTGCCCAGGCTCGAGTGCAGTGGCGTGATCTTGGCTCACTGCAAGCTCTGCCTCCCGGGTTCATGCCATTCTTCTGCCTTAGCCTCCGGCGCTTGCCACCATGCCCAGCTAATTTTTTTTGTTTTGTATTTTTAGTAGAGACAGGGTTTCACCATGTTAGCCAGGATGGTCTCGATCTCCAGACCTCGTGATCCACCCGCCTCAGCCTCCCAAAGTGCTGGGATGACAGCCATGAGCCACCGCACCCAGACAGATGTCTTCTTTTGAGAAGTGTCTGTTCATATCCTTTGCCCACTTTTTGATGGGGTTGTTTGTTTTTTTTCTTGTAAATTTGTTTGACTTCTTTGTAGATTCTGGATATTAGCCCTTTATCAGATGGGTAGATTGCAAAAATTTTCTCCCATTCTGTAGGTTGCCTGTTCACTCTGATGGTAGTTTCTTTTGCTGTGCAGAAGCTCTTTAGTTTAATTAGATCCCATTTGTCAATTTTGGCTTTTGTTGCCATTGCTTTTGGTGTTTTAGTCATGAAGTCCTTGCCCATGCCAATGTCCTGAATGGCATTGCCTAGGTTTTCTTCTAGGGTTTTTTATGGTTTTAGGTCTAACATTTAAGTCTTTAATCCATCTTGAATTAATTTTTGTATAAGGTGTAAGGAAGGGATCCAGTTTCTGCTTTCTACATATGGCTAGCCAGTTTTCCCAGCACCATTTATTAAATAGGGAATCCTTTCCCCATTTCTTGTTTTTGTCAGGTTTGTCAAAGATCAGATGGTTGTAGATGTGTGGTGTTATTTCTGAGGGCTCTGTTCTGTTCCATTGGTCTACATATCTGTTTTGATACCAGTACCATGCTGTTTTGGTTACTGTAGCCTTGTAGTATAGTTTGAAGTCAGGTAGCTTGATGCCTCCAGCTTTGTTTTTTTTGCTTAGGATTGTCTTGGCAATGCGGGCTCTTTTTTGGTTCTATATGAACTTTAAAGTAGTTTTTTCTAATTCTGTGAAGAAAGTCATTGGTAGCTTGATGGGGATGGCATTGAATCTATAAATTACTTTGGGCATTATGGCCATTTTCACAATATTGATTCTTCCTATCCATGAGCATGGAATATTCTTCCATTTGTTTGTGTCCTCTTATTTTGTTGAGCAGTGGTTTGTAGTTCTCCTTGAAGGGGTCCTTCACATCCCTTGTAAGTTGGATTCCTAGGTATTTTATTGTCTTTGTAGCAATTGTGAATAGGAGTTCACTCATAATTTGGCTCTCTGTTTGTCTGTTATTGGTGTATAGGAATGCTTGTGATTTTTGCACATTGATTTTGTGTCCTGAGACTTTGCTGAAGTTGCTTATCAGCTTAAGGAAATTTTGGGCTGAGATGATGGGGTTTTCTAAATATACAATAATGTCATCTGCAAACAGGGACAATTTGATTTCCTCTTATCCTAATTGAATACCCTTTTTTTCTTTCTCTTGCCTGATTGCCCTGGCCAGAACTTCCAACACTATGTTGAATAGGAGTGGTGAGAGAGGGCATCCCTGTCTTGTGCTGGTTTTCAAAGGGAATGCTTCCAGTTTTTGCCCATTAAGTATGATATTGGCTGTGGGTTTGTCATAAATAGCTCTTATCATTTTGAGATATGTTCCATCAACACCTAGTTTATTGAGAGTTTTTAGCATGAAGGGCTGTTGAATTTTGTCAAAGGCCTTTTCTGCATCTATTGAGATAATCATGTGGTTTTTTGTTGTTGGTTCTGTTTATGTGATGGATTATGTTTATTGATTTGCATATATTGAACCAGCCTTGCATCCCAGGGATAAAGCCCACTTGATCGTGGTGGATAAGCTTTTTAATGTGCTACTGGATTCAGTTTGCCAGTATTTTATTGAGGATTTTTGCATTGATGTTCATCAGGGATATTGGTCTAAAATTCTCTTTTTTTGTTGTGTCTCTGCCAGGCTTTGGTATCAGGATGATGCTGGCCTCATAAAATGAGTTAGGGAGGATTCCCTCTTTTTCTATTGATTGGAATAGTTTCAGAAGGAATGGTACCAGCTCGTCTTTCTAGCTGTGGTAGAATTCAGCTGTGAATCCGTCTGGTCCTGGACTTTTTTTGGTTGGTAGGCTATTAATTATTGCCTCAATTTGAGAGCCTGTTATTGGTCTATTCAGAGATTCAACTTCTTCCCGGTTTAGTCTTGGGAGAGTGTATGTGTCCAGGAATTTATCCATTTCTTCTAGATTTTCTAGTTTATTTGCATAGAGGTGTTTATAGTATTCTCTGGTGGTAGTTTGTATTTCTGTTAGATCAGTGGTGATATCCCCTTTATCATTTTTTATTGTGTCTATTTGATTCTTTTCTCTTTTCTTCTTTATTAGTCTTGCTAGTGGTCTATCGATTTTGTTGCTCTTTTAAAAAAAACCAGCTCCTGGATTCATTGATTTTTTTGAAGGGTATTTTTGTATCTCTATATTTTTCAGTTCTGCTCTGATCTTAGTTATTTCTTGCCTTCTGCTACCTTTTGAATTTGTTTGCTCTTGCTTCTCTGATTGTTTTAATTGCGATGTTAGGGTGTTGATTTTAGATCTTTCCTGCTTTCTCTTGTGGGCATTTAGTGCTGTAAATTTCCCTCTACACACTGCTTTAAATGTGTCCTAGAGATTCTGATATGTTGTGTCTTTGTTCTCATTGGTTTCAAAGAACATCTTTATTTCTGCCTTCATTTCGTTATTTACCCAGTAGTCATTCCAGGGCAAGTTGTTTAGTTTCCATGTAGTTGTGTGGTTTTGAGTGAGTTTCTTAATCCTGAGTTCTAATTTGATTGCACTGTGATCTGAGACACAGTTTGTTGTGATTTCTTTTACATTTGCTGAGGAGTGCTGTACTTCCAATTATGTGGTCACTTTTAGAATAAGTGCTATGTGGTGATGAGAAGAATGTATATTCTGCTGCTTTGGGCTGGAGAGTTCTGTAGATGTCTATTAGGTCTGCTTGTTGCAGAGCTGAGTTCAGGTCCTGCATATCCTTGTTAACCTTTTGTCTTGTTGATCTGTCTAATATTGACAGAGGGGTGTTAAAGTCTCCCATTATTATTGTGTGGGAGTCTAAGTCTCTTTGTAGGTCTCTAAGGTCTTGCTTTATGAATGTGGATGCTCCTGTATTGGGTGCACATATATTTAGGATAGTTAGCTTTTCTTGTTTAATTGATCCCTTTACCATTATGTAATGGGGTTCTTTGTCTCTTTTGATCTTTGTTGGTTTAAAGTCTGTTTTATCAGAGACTAGGATTGTAACCCCTGCCTTTTTTTGTTTTCCATTTGCTTGGTAGATCTCCTCCATCCCTTTATTTTGAGCCTATATGTGTCTCTGCACATGAGATGGGTCTCCTGAATACAGCACACTGATGGGTCTTGACTCTTTATCCAATTTGCCAGTCTGTGTCTTTTAATTGGAGCATTTAGCCCATTTACATCTAAGGTTAATATTGTTATGTGTGAATTTGATCCTGTCATTATGATGTTAGCTGGTTATTTTGCCCATTAATTGATGTAGTTTCTTCATAGCATCGATGGTCTTTACAATTTGGCATGTTTTTGCAGTGGCTGGTACTGGTTGTTTCTTTCTATGTTTAGTGCTTCCTTCAGGAGCATTTGTAAGGCAGGCCTGGTGGTGACAAAATCTCTCAGCATTTGCTTGTCTGTAAAGGATTTTATTTCTCCTTCACTTATGAAGCTTAGATGGATATGAAATTCTGGGTTGAAAATTCTTTTCTTTAAGAATGTTGAATATTGGCCCCCACTCTCTTCTGGCTTGCAGGGTTTCTGCCGAGAGGTCTGTTCTCTGATGGGCTTCCCTTTGTGGGTAACTCGACCTTTCTCTCTGGCTGCCTTAACATCTTTTCGTTTGTTTCAATCTTGGTGAATCTGACAATTATGTGTCTTGGGGTTGCTCTTCTCGCGGAGTATCTTTGTGGTGTTCTCTTTATTTCCTGAATTTGAATGTTGGTCTGCCTTGCTAGGTTGGGGAAGTTCTCCTGGATAATATCCTGAATAGTGTTTTCCAACTTGGTTCCATTCTCCTTGTCACTTTCATGTACACCAATCAGATGTAGATTTGGTCTTTTCACATAGTCCCATATTTCTTGGAGGCTTTGTTCGTTTCTTTTTAGTCTTTTTTCTCTAACCTTGTCTTCTTGCTTTATTTCATTAATTTGATCTTCAATCATTGATACCCTTTCTTCCACTTGATTGAATTGGCTATTGAAGCTTGTGCATGCGTCACGAAGTTCTCGTGCCATGGTTTTCAACTCCATCAGGTTATTTAAGGTCTTCTCTACACTGTTTATTCTAGTTAGCCATTTGTCTAATTTTTTTTTTAACGTTTTTAGCTTCCTTGCGATGGGTTTGAACATCCTCCTTTAGCTCCGAGAAGTTTGTTATTACCGACCTTCTGAAGCCTACTTCTGTCAACTCGTCAAAGTCATTCTCCATCCAGCTTTTTTCCATTGCTGGCGAGGAGCCACAATCCTTTGGAGGAGAAGAAGCACTCTGATTTTTAGAATTTTTAGCTTTTCTGTTCTAGTTTCTCTGCATCTTTGTGGTTTTATCTACCTTTGATCTTTGATGATGGTGACCTACAGATGGGGTTTTGGTGTAGATGACCTTTTTGTTGATGTTGATGCTATTCCTTTCTGTTTGTTAGTTTTCCTTCTAACAGTCAGGTCCCTCAGCTGCAGGTCTGTTGGTGTTTGCTGGAGTTCCACTCCAGACCCTGTTTGCCTAGGTATCACCAGTGGAGGCTGCAGAACAGCAAATATTGCAGAACAGCAAATATTGTTGCCTGATCCTTCCTCTGGAAGCTTTGTCCCAGAGGGGCAGCCACCTATACGAAGTGTCTGTTGGCCCCTACTGTGAGGTGTCTCCCAGTTAGGCTACATGGGGGTGAGGGACCCACTTGAGGAGGCAGTCTGTCCGTTCTCAGAACTCAAACACTGTGCTGGGAGAACCACTGCTCTCTTCACAGCTGTCAGACAGGGACGTTTAAGTCTGCAGAAGTTTCTGCTGCCTTTTGTGCAGCTACGCCTTGCGCACAGAGATGGAGCCTAGAGGCAATAGGCCTTGTTGAGCTGTGGTGGGCTGTGCCCGGTTTGAGCTTCCGGGCCACTTTGTTTACCAACTCAAGCCTCAGCAATGGCAGACGCCCCTCCCCCAGCCAGGCTGCTGCCTCACAGATCAATCTCAGACTGCTGCCTTAGCAGTGAGCAAGGCTCTGTGGGCGTGGGACCTGCCAAACCAGGCACGGGAGACAATCACCATATCTGCCGGTTGCTAAGACCTTGGGAAAAGTGCAGTATTTAGGTGAGAGTGCCCCATTTTTCCAGGTAGTCTGTCACAGCTTCCTTTGGCTAGGAAAGGGAAATCCCCTGACCCCTTTTGCTTCCCGGGTGAGGCAACACCCTGCCCTGCTTTAGCTCACCCTCTGTGGACTGCACCCACTGTCCAACCAGTCCCAATGAGATGAACCAGGTACCTCAGTTGGAAATGCAGAAATCACCCGTCTTCTGCGTTGATCATGCTGGGAGCTGCAGACCAGAACTGTTCCTATTCGGCCATCTTGCAATGCCCTCTGCGAGTGTGCTTTATAAGAGAAAGATTATATGTGTTGATTTTGTCACAGGAACTCATCATAATCTTATGTAAATGTGCCCTTAATTTAATAATTTTAATGATGTGTTTAAAATTTCCCACACTTAATGTTTTTCTTTTTATAGCTATAAGAAAAAATGTATATTTTAAATAAAATATTTGTAGAGAGTAAATTGATGTGTTGAAATCTTGTTACATTCTACTCATACATAAATAAGTGTTAGCATTTGATATGGTTTGGCTCTGTGTGCCCACACAAATCTCATGTTGAATTGTAATCCCCATGTGTCAGGGGAGGGGCCGGGTGGGAGGTGATTAGATCATGGGGGTGGAGTTCCTCCTTGCCGTTCTTGTGATAGTGAGTTCTCATGAGATCTGATAGTTTAAAAGTGTAGCACTTACCCCTTTTCTCTGTCTCTCCTGCTCTGCCATGGTAAGATGTGCCTTGCTTCCCCTTCACTTTCAGCCATGATTGTAAGTTTCCTTAGGCATCCTCAGCCATGTGGGACAGGACTGTGCGTCAATTAAACCTCTTTTCTTTATAAATTACCCAGTCTCATATAGTTCTTTATACCAGCGTGATAATGGACTAATACACCATTATTACTAAACTACTTACCCGGTAAGGAATCCAGAGAGGCCAGACATGGTGGCTCATGCCTGTATTCCCAGCACCTTGGGAGACGAAGGCACCAAGGCAGGAGGATTGCTTGAGCCCAGGATTTTGAGACCAGCCTAGGCAACATGATGAGACCCTGTCTCTATATTAAAAAGTTATTATTAAAAAAGAATCCACATAGTGTGACTGTAAACTCAGAGTCAGCCAAATGGAATAATAAACTATGCAACAGTTAAATACAAAATTATTTAAAGGATTTTTGCTTCCACCTATAAAAGGAATTTTTGCTTCCACCCATTCTCCAGTATTTGTGGTCTTAAACAACTGGCAAACTGGCCAAGATAGATGAAATAACTAGAAAACTGGAAAAATGTATGAAACAACTGTTTTAAGACTTGGATATTAGGAATTGCACAACCATGATTCTTGAAAGAAAGGAAGCAAATATGGCCAGTCTTATGATTGGCACAGCTTCTTGTCAGAAGGAAATTCCTAGACTATGGCATAGATAGAGATAACTCCAAACATATTCTTATTCTTTGAAGCATAAATATTTCAGAGTTCAAGAAGTTTAAGGCAGCTGTAGTATGTGGACTAGCATACTGGAAAGGGAGCTAGCAGAGACAATTTGAGAAATCTGAGTACCAATCTGCATATGCAACGGGTCATGTTCTTTAAGGCTTGGCAAAGAACAGCTGCTGCCAAAGGAGCAATTATTGGGGAACTCAAAGACAAACACTTCCCAGATCTCATACAGAGTTGGGAATAATTCAAGCTCCCACCAGCCAAGACTCTTTCTCCTTCAGTTCCTGAGATGACAGTCTCTTTCTCCATTAGTATGGATTTTTGAAGATCCCATGGATATATTGGGAGTGGGCAAGGATTGGGCATGTTTGAGATGCTGTATTGATCTGCTTGGGCTGCCATAACAAAATACCACAGACTTGGTGGCATAAACAACAGACATTTATTTTTGCATAATTCTGTAGGCTTGAAGTCCATCATCAAGGTGCTGGCAAATTCTCTTTCTGGTAAGTGCTTCCTGGCTTCTGGATTGCTGCCTTCTCACTATATCCTCACATGGCACTTCCTCATGGCTTGCAGGGTGGGGGATGGGGAGATAGAGCATGTGCTCTAGTATCTCTTATTTGAAAGACATATTCTATTAGATCAGGGCCCACTCCTACTACCTTATTGAACCTTCCCTGCTGCCAAAGAGGCCCTATCTCAAAATAAAGCCACACTGGGGCTTATCGCTTCAATATATGAATTTTGGGGGGACACAAACATTTCATTTATTATATTCTGCTCCTAGCCCCTCAAAGTTCATGTCCTTGCATTTGAAATACATGCATTCCATCCCAACAATCCCAAAAGTGTTACTCATTCCAGCATTAATTCTGTAGATCTGAAGTCCAAAGTGTCATCTAAATATTATCTAAATCATGAAAGGGTGACCATTGAGGTATGATTCATTCTGAGGCAAAGTTCCTTTCCAGGTATGAAACAAGTGAAACCAGACAAAGTATGGGCTTCCAAAATGTAGTGGTTGTATATGCATAGGATAGACATTCCTGTTCCACAAGGAAGAAATCTGAAAGAAAGGAGTGACGGTCCCAAGCCAGTCCAAAACCAGCAAAACAAATTCCATTAGATCTAAGGCTTGAGAATGACCTCTTTATTGGCCAAGCATGGTGGCTCATGCTTGTAATCCCAGCACTTTGGGAGGCCAAAGCGGGTGGATCACTTGAGGTCAGGAGTTCAAGACCAGCCTGAAACATGGTGAAACCCCTTCTCTACTAAGATTATAAAATTAGCTGGGCGTGGTGGCACATGCCTGTAATCCCAGCTACTTGGGAAGCTGAGGCAGGAGAATTGCTTGAATCCGGGAGATGGAGGTTGCAGTGAGCCAAGATCATGCCATTGCACTCTAGCCTGGGCAACAATAGCAAAACTCTGTCTCAAGGGAAAAAACAAAACAAAACACCTCTTTGGCTCAATGCCCTTCCTGCCTGGGGTGGTGGCCTCAACCCCCATGGCCCTAGGTGGTTGTTCCACCACATACTCTGTCGGGTGGACCTGCCCACAAGGCCCTAGGCAGGGTTAACCTGGCCTGTTTAAACTGAAGAAATGGTGGCTTTATTCTTTGAAACCAAGGAGGGAGCCTTTATGATCTTTGGGGTCATTCTTCCCTTTCAAAGAATAGTGCATCTCCCAACCAAATAGCTCTGTTGTCCCATCCTGCAAAATCCAAGAAGCCCAGCAGTCTTCCCTTTTCCATCACCTTCAGTTCAATTTGACAGTATTTCTACTTATATAATCCCTTAATCTCTCTGTTGAGCGGCAATCCAGTCACATCCTCAGTGTTTTCTTCAGAACATGCTTCTCTTTTGCAGTGTGGATAGGCTCAGAATTTTACAAATCTTTAAGTTCTTGTTCGCTTTTGCCAATCATTTCTTCAATTCTCTGTCTTCTCAGATTTTACTGTAAGCAATCAGAAAGACCCAGGCCACACCTTCCTTGTTTTGCTTAGAAATCTCAACTAAATATCTGGTTTTATCACTTGCAAATTCTACTTTCCACAAAACTAGAACACAACTCAGCCAGCTTTGCCACCTTATAACAAGGATTGCCTTTCCTCCAGTTTCCAGTAACACGGTCCTCATTTCTGTTTAGGCCTCACCAGAATGGCCTTTCACATCCACATATCTATGAACATTGTGTTCATGTTGACATATGTATTCTGGGACAATAGAGGCTCTCTCTGTTTCTCTTACTTTCTTTTTGAGCTCTCACCAGAATTTCCTTTAATCTTAGTATTTTCACCAACAGTCCCTTAAGGCAATCTAGGCTTTTTCTAGCATGTACTTTAAAGCTCTTTTGGCCTCTTCCCATCACCCAGTCCCAAAGCCACTTGCACATTTTTAGGTATTATAGCAGCACCCCACTTTATGGTGCCAAAATCTGCATCAGTATGCTTGTGCTGCCTTAAGATACTACAGAAGGGGCCAGGTGCAGTGGCTCATGCCTGTAATCCTAGCACTTTGGGAGGCCAAAGCCAGCAGATCACTCGAGCTCAGGAGTTCGAGACCAGCCTGGGCAACATGGCAAAACCCTGTCTCTACTAAAAATACAAAAATTAGCTGGGCATGGTGGTGGGCACCGGCAGTCCCAGCTACTCAGGAGGCTGAGGTGGGAGGATCGCTTGAACACAGGAGGCAGAGGTTGTAGTGAGCCAAGATAGCACCACTGCACTCCAGCCTGGGTGACAGAGTGATAATCTGTCTGTAAAATAAAATAAAATAAAATAAAATACAATTCTACGGAAGAGATTGCTTAACTAACAGAAACTTATTCTCTCACAGTTCTGAAGGCTAGAAGTCCCAGACTGAGTTCCTGGAAGATTAAGTTTCTTGTGAGTGCTCTCTTTGTTCCTGGCTTACAGATGGCCACCTTCTTGCTATGTCCTCACATAGCCAGCCAGCCAGCCTTCCTTCCTTCCTTTCTTCCTTCCTTCCTCTTCCTTCTTCTTCCTTCCTTCTTCTTCTTTTCTTTTTCCTTCCTTCGTTCCTTTGTTGTGGAAAGTCAGGGACCCTGAACGGAGGGACTGGCTGGAGCTGTGGCAAAGGAACATAAATTGTGAAGATTTCATTTTAATATGGACATATATCAGTTCCCAAATAATACTTTTATAATTTCTTACACCTGTCTTTACTTCAATCTCTGAACATAAATTGAGAAGATTTCATTTTAATATGGACATTTATCAATTCCCCAATAATACTTTTATAATTTCTTATGCCTGTCTTTAATCTCTTAATCCTGTTATCTTCATAAGCTGAGAACATACGTCACCTCAGGACTATTGTGATAATTTTGTTAACTGTACAAATTGATTGTAAAACGTGTGTTTGAACAATATGAAATCAGTGCACCTTGAAAAAAACAGAATAACAGTGATTTTCAGGGAACAAGGGAAGACAACCATAAGGTCTGACTGCCTGTGGGGTCAGGCAAAATAGAGCCATATTTTTCATCTTTCAGAGAGCCTATAAAAGGATGTGCAAGTAGGGAAGATATCACTAAATTATTTTCCTAGCAAGAAATATTAATAAATAATACCCTGGGGAAGGAATGCCTTCCTTGCGGGAGGACTATAAGTGGCCGCTCTCGGAGTGTCTGTCTTAGGCAGTCTCTGAGATAAGGACTGAAATACGCCCTGGTCTCCTGCAGTACCCTCAGGCTTACTAGGATTGGGAAACTCCACCATGGTAAATTTGTGGTCAGACTGGTTCTCTGCTCTTGAACCCTGTTTTCTTTTGTTTAAGATGTTTATCAAGACAATATGTGCACAGCTGAACATAGATCCTTATCAGTAGTTCTGATTTTGCCCTTGTCCTGTTTCCTCAAAAGCATGTGATCTTTATTCTGCCTTTTGTCCTTTGAAGCATGTGATCTTTGTGACCTACTCCCTATTCGTACACCCCCTCCCCTTTTGAAATCCTTAATAAAAACTTGCTGGTTTTGTGGCTCAAGTGGACATCACAGTCCTATCGATATGTGATATCACCCCCAGAGGCCCAGCTGTAAAATTCCTCTCTTTGTACTCTTTCCTTTATTTCTCAGCCAGCCATCACTTATGGAAAATAGAAAGAATCTACATTGAAATATTGGGGGCTGTTTCCCCCGATATTTTTCCTTCCTTCTTTCTTTTCTTTCTTTCTCTTTTTTCTCTCTCTTTCTTCTTTCTTTCTCTCTCCTTCCCTTCCTTCCCCTCCTTCTCTTCTCTTCTCTTTCTTTTTTTCAGAGTCTTGCTCTGTCTCACAGGCTGGAGTGTAGTGGTGCCATCTTGGCTCACCACAACTTCCACCTCCCAGGTTCAAGCAATTCTCCTGCCTCAGCCTTCTGAGTAGCTGGGATTACAGGCGTGAGCCATCATGCCCAACTAATTTTTGTATTTTTAATATAGACAGGGTTTCACTGTGTTGGCCAGGCTGGTCTGGAGCTCCTGACTTCAGGTGATCCACCTGCCTCAGCCTCCCAAAGTGCTGGGATTACATGCATGAGCCTCCTCTTTGTCTCTTTGCCTTCTTTCCTTTTTTCCTTCCTTCCTTCCTTCCTTCTTTCCTTCCTTCTCTCTCTTTCTTTCTTCTTTCTCTCTCTCTCTCTTTCTTTCTTGTTTTAAGACAGAATCTTGGCTGGGTGCGGTGGCTCATGCCTGTAATCCCAGCACTTTGGGAGGCTGAGGTGGGTGGATCACGATGTCAGGAGATTGAGACCATCCTGGCTGACATGGTGAAATCCCATCTCTACTAAAAATACAAAAAAAATTAGCCAGGTGTGGTGGTGGATGCCTGTAATCCCAGCTACTCGGGAGGCTGAGGCAGGAGAATGGCATGAACCTGGGAGGTGGAGCTTGCAGTGAGCTGAGATCGCACCACTGCACTCCAGCATGGGTGACAGAGTGAGACTCCATCTCAAAAAAAAAAAAAAAAAAAGAGTCTTGCTCTGTCACCCAGGCTGCAGTGCAGTGGCACAATCTTGACTCACTGCAACTCTGCTTCCCAGGTTCAAGTGATTCTCTTGCCTCAACCTCCTGAGTAATGGGATTATAGGCATGTGCCACCACACCTAGCTAATTTTTGTATTTTTATTAGAGAGGGGGTTTCTTCATGTTGGGCAGGCTAGTCTTGAACTCCTAGCCTCAAGCCATCCACCTGCCTCAGCCTTCCAAAGTGCTGGATTTTGGGTGTGAGCCACTGTGCCTGGTCTCACATAGCCTTTCTTTGGTGCTTCAGTGCAGAGAGAGAGAGAGACAGAGAGCTCCCTGATGTCTCTCCCTATAAGGATACCAATCCTATCAGAGCCGGATGCCACCCTTATGACCTCATTTTACCTTAGTTGCATCCTTAATTGAGGATGTAATTTGGAGGCAGAATCTCCAAATACAGCTGTATTGGGGATTATGACTTCAACATAGGAGACGCAAACATTCAGTCCATAACAAAAGCTTAAAATGAGCCTTTCAGGCCCCAATTACTCAGCCTTTTCTCCTCCCATTGGAGCCTCTATCTCTTCATCTATAAGTGGGTAGAATTATCTATATCTGGAAGAGTGGAACTAAGCCTTGAACAAACCATTATTACTTGTCTAATGTGTGCCCCCTGCCTCGTGCTCAGTGGGTCCAGGAGAGGGAGCTCAGATGTTAAGGCTGCACAAGTACAGCTTAGCGCCTGGGTGCCATCATGTTCTGTGGTCTCAGAGTAACATTCTGTTAAAGAGAAAGGGAAATTGAGAGAGATTAGGAACCACACTCAGTCTCCGTGGAGTGTTAGGGCCCTCATGTCTTCCTCAGCATTGATAGTTCCTGGGTTCATGGCTGATATGGTCAGGATGTGTGTCCCCTCCACATTTCATGTTGAAATATGACCTCCACTGTCAGAGGTCGGGCCTAGTGAGGTACTGGATCATGGGGGCGGATCCCTCATGAATGGCTTAGCACCATTCCCTTGGTGATGAGTGAGTTCTTGGTCAGTTCTCTGGAGAGCTGAGTGCCGGTTGTTTTAAAGAGTTTGGCCCCTCCTTCCTCAGGTCTCTCTTCTTCCTCTCTTGCCATGTGATGCACTGGCTCACCCTTTGCCTTCCAGCATCATTGGAAGCTTCCTGAAGCCCTCAGCAGAAGCTGAGCAGATGCTGGCACCATGCTTCCTGTACAGCCTGCAGAACCATGAGCCAAGTAAGCCTCTTTTCATAAATTACCAGCCTCAGCTGTTCCTTTATGGCAATGCGATAATGGGCTAACACAGTGGCCCTGGGCTCAGGATTAACAAGGCTGTGCTAGCACCAAGCAATCATACTGGAAGGCTGAGGTGGGAGGATCACTTGAGCTGCGGAGGTCAAG
Organism: Homo sapiens; assembly: GCF_000001405.40. Taxonomy (NCBI): domain Eukaryota; kingdom Metazoa; phylum Chordata; class Mammalia; order Primates; family Hominidae; genus Homo; species Homo sapiens. Next base: position 43,541,161 of record NC_000010.11, read on the forward strand.
GCTGTGATGAGTTTCCTGGAGTCAAATGATTCTCATGCCTCAGCCTCTTGAGTAGCTGGGATTATAGGTCTGCACCATCACACCCAGCTAATTTTTGTATTTTTAGTAGAGACGGGGTTTCACCATGTTGGCCAGGCTGGTCTTGAACTCCTGGCCTCAAGTGATCCTCCTGCTTCAGCCTCACAAAGTGCTGGGATTACTGGCACAAACCACTGTGCCTGGCCCAAGTAATTGTTTTGTATTGATTGAATTTTTCTTTGTTTCTTACACTTCAGTTTAGATTTTAGGGTATATGTATACTTATAAAAAAATGAGATCATGTCTTAAATATTCTTTCTTTTTTGAGACAGAGTCTTGCTCTGTTGCCCAGTGCCCAGGCTGGAGTGTATTGGTGTGGTCTCGGTTCACTGCAACCTCTGCCCTCTGGGTTCACGCGATTCTCCTGCCTAAGCCTCCCAAGTAGCTGGGATTACAGGTGCTCACCACCATGCCCGGCTAATTTTTGTATTTTTAGTAGAGTTGGTAGAGACAGGGTTTCACCATGTTGGCCATGCTGGTCTCAAACTCCCGACCTCAAGTGATCCACCTGGCTCAGCCTCCCAAAGTGCTAGGATTACAGGGGTGAGCCACTGTACCCAGCCAATGTTCTTGTGTAACTTGCATTTAAAATTTTGTGATATGCTGTGAACTCTTTCCATGCCCCATTCTATCTTGAAAATATGCTTAATGGCCAAATATTTTTCCACTTTTCAAAACTGCATTTGGGTTTACCCATATCCTATATTTTGACATTTAGACAACTTCTGCTTTTGCTCGTGTAGGGGATTATTCCATTAAAAGTAGACAAGATAATTTTGATCAACCTGTGTAATAAAGAAAATGGACAAAGCTGAAAAAAATATTTTAGGCTGGGTGCAGTGGCTCTTGCCTGTAATATCAGCACTTTGGGAGGCCGAGGCAGGCGGATCACATGAGGTCAGGAGTTTGAGACCAGGTTGGCCAACATGGTGAAACCCCATCTCTACCAAAAATACAAAAAATAGCCAGGCTTTGTGGCACATGCCTGTAATCCCAGCTACTGGGGAGGCTGAGGCATGAGAATCACTTGAACCCAGGAGGTGGATGTTGCAGTGGGCCAAGATGCATCAATGCACTACAGCCTGGGTGACAGAGTGAGACTCTGTCTCGAAAAAAATAAAAATACTTTCAACATTCTTTCTAAGCACATAAATAATAAGACAGTGATCACTGGGGTATGATGTAAAAAGAATGGGAATTCCATGTCAGCACAACGTATGAGGCTGCCTTTGCTCTGGAGACTCAGGCTGACCTGAGAGAGGTAATAGGCTGAGGTTTGCTTTTAAGGGTGTTGCAGGGATGATGGGGCAGAAAGAGACCTCTGTGGCCCATGGATGAGATGGACCAGGATACCTCTGCCTTGACCGGACCCTTGGAAGATTCTGTACAGGTAGCATGAACAAAAAGAAAATCAGCCTTCCCACAAATTGCAGTGGACTTCAAGATGTTTGGAAAGCCCAGAACATTCTTCAGCCCTGAAATCTCCTTTTATTTTTATTTTTTTTTTTGAGATATGGTCTTGCTCTGTTGCCCAGGCTGGAGTGCAGTGGTGTGATCATGGCTCACTGCATTCTCAACTTCCTGGGCTCAAATGATCCTCCCAAATAGCTGGGACTACAGGCATGTGCCACCATGCCCAGGAATTTTTTTTTTTTTTTTTTTTTTTGTAGAGATAGGGTCTGTTGTCCAGTTGCCCAGGCTGGTCTCAAACTCTTTGACTCAAGCAATCCTCCTGCCTTGGCCTCCCAAAGTGTTGGGATTATAGGCATGAGGCACTGCACCTAACACGAAATTCCTTTAAAGATATCAAGGAGTGTGTCCCCCGTTAGCAGCAAGAAAAATTCCTCTGGAGGAGGAAACATCATCTTAGGTCTCTCTCTCTTCTTTTTTTTTTTTTTTGAGACGGAGTCTCGCTATGTCATCCAGGCTGGAGAGCAGTGGTGTGATCTCGGCTCACTGCAACCTCCACCTCCCAGGTTCAAGCAATTCTCTGCCTCAGCCTCCAGAGTAGCTGGGATTACAGGAGCCCACTACTATGCTTGGCTAATTTATTTTTATTTTTATTTATTCATTTATTTTTGAGACAGAGTCTTGCTCTGTCCCCCAGGCTGGAGTGCAGTGGCACAATCTCGGCTCACTGCAATCTCTGCCTCCTGGGTTCACGCCATTCTCCTGCCTCAGACTCCCAGGTAGCTGGGATTACAGGTGCCCACCACCACGCCCGGCTAATTTTTTGTATTTTTAGTAGAGACAGCGTTTCATCGTGTTAGCCAGGATGGTCTTGACCTCCTGATCTCGTGATCCACCCGCCTTGGCCTCCCAAAGTGCTGGGATTACAGGAGTGAGCCACCACACCTGGCTTCTTTTTTTTTTTTTTTTTTTAGAGCTAGAAGAGAACATCATACACATAAATTCATTGCATTATACAAATAAACACCTGATTGACAGATCACATCATGTGAAATTTATATAGAAAATAATTGATACAGGTTATAATAATTTATGCAAAGATAATATTAGAAAAATTGGAAAAGATTAAATTATGCAGAATTGAAAATTCACTTAAGAATAAAAGAGGCATCTGGGAGGTGAGGAGTGCCTCTGCCCGGCCGCCCCGTCTGGGAAGTGAGGAGCGCCTCTGCCCGGCTGCCCATCATCTGGGAAGTGAGGAGCACCTCTGCCCGGCTGCCCATCATCTGGGAAGTGAGGAGCACCTCTGCCCTGCCACCCATAGTCTGGGAGGTGAGGAGCGCCTCTGCCTGGCTGCCCTGTCTGGGGAGTGAGGAGCGCCTCTGCCCGGCTGCCCCGTCTGGGGAGTGAGAAGCGCCTCTGCCTGGCTGCTGTGCAATCTTCCAAGTGTGAAGTGACAGCCTTTCTGCAGGTGTACCCAACAGCTCCAAAGAGACAGCGACCATCAAGAACGGGCCATGATGACGATGGCGGTTTTGTCGAAAAGAAAAGGGGGAAATGTGGGGAAAAGAAAGAGAGATCAGATTGTTACTGTGTCTGTGTAGAAAGAAGTAGACATAGGAGACTCCATTTTGTTCTGTACTAAGAGAAATTCTTCTGCCTTGGGATGCTGTTAATCTATTACCTTACCCCCAACCCCGTGCTCTCTGAAACATGTGCTGTGTCCACTCAGGGTTAAATGGATTAAGGGCGGTGCAAGATGTGCTTTGTTAAACAGATGCTTGAAGGCAGCATGCTCGTTAAGAGTCATCACCACTCCCTAATCTCAAGTACCCAGGGACACAAACACTGCAGAAGGCCGCAGGGTCCTCTGCCTAGGAAAACCAGAGACCTTTGTTCACGTGTTTATCTGCTGACCTTCTCTCCACTATTATCCTATGACCCTGCCACATCCCCCTCTCTGAGAAACACCCAAGAATGATCAATAAATACTAAAAAAACAAACAAACAAACAAAAAAAAAGAGGCAGCAGGGCACTGTGGCTCACTGTAATCCCAGAACTTTGGGAGGCTGATGTGGGTGGATTGTCTGAGGTCAGGAGTTCAAGACCAGCCTGGCCAACATGGTGAAACCCCGTCTCTACTAAAAATACAAAAATAAACTGGGCGTGGAGGCAGGCGCCTGTAATCCCAGCTACTCGGGAGGCTGAGGCAGGAGAATCGCTTCAACCCAGGAGGTGGAGGTTGTAGTGAGATGAGATCACGCCACTTCACTCCAGCCTGGGCGAAAGAGCAAAACTTTGTCTCAAAAAATAGAATAAAATAAAACAATAAAATAAAATAAAATAAAATAGGCGTCACTGTTTTGCTGCAGAAAATCCTCTTTCAAAGCAAATTCACTGGTATTGGTATAATTCTGATAAGTGTGTTTACATTTCTAAATGTTTTCAAACATTCTGGTATCCAAATGCTGTGTCAAAAGATGCTAAAATGTCTTGTGCCACCCACCTTCTTACTACAATCTTACATACTTTCATTGTGCCCCATAATGATCTTCATGGATGCTATATCCATTTATAATTCCATGGGTGAGGCCAGGCACAGTGGCACTGTAATCCCAGTGCTTTGGGAGGCTGAGGCAGGAGGATCACTGGAGTCTAGGAGTTTCAGTTTGCAGTGAGATATGATCACGCCACTGCACTGCAGCCTGGGTGACAGATCCAGACCTTTTCTCAAAAAAAAAAAATCCATAGTTGCATTGTTCATTATTTAATCAATCTCTATTTTATTGTGAAGACAGGAGTGGTCACCATAGTTTCCACAGCACAAAGGACACGTTTTCCTACATGCCAAGTACTCTTTAAGTGTTGAGGTGAATCTGTGAAGTAGTTTAATGATTGCTGTCCCTTATTTTTATAAACATTTGCATAAACAGAGCTTCTAAAAATTGCAAGTAACTGAGGTTTGCTTTTGGAGTACAAAGAGTCATCAATGCTTGGGTGTTTGCAAAAATATTACCTAGGCAGGACATCCAGGTTCCATCTCATAGGGTAGACACTAATGGAAAGAGGGACTTGTAAATCACTTAATGAGATGGGATTTAATTAGAGTCACCAGTTGTTACATCTAGCAATCCCACCCACCCTCCCTTCCAAATCTAGCTATTTTTTCCTTTGAGAATTATCACTGCAGAACTTGTTCATCAACTAGTATATATCTGGTTCTTTCATATTTCCCATTTTCCTTTCATGAGAAGATTCAATGAAGATGTGAAAGTGTGTCTGAAGTGGGTTCCCTTGAAGTTTGTTTTTAATTTTAATTAATTAATTAATTTTTTTTTTGATACAAGGTCTTGCTCTGTTGTCCTTGAACTCCTGGCTTCAAGTGATTACTGCTTTGGCCTCCCAAAGTGGTGGGATTACAAGGATGAACCATCATGCTCAGCCTAGAAGTTCTGTTTTTATTTATTCTGCAAAATTGTTGTGTACCTTCTCCAGTCTAGAAACTTCATTAGCCTCAAGGGAAACAACTGAACATGAATTTCAATTCCTGCTGCAAAGACTTTTGTATTCACTACCAGGTCCCTTGTGGATTTTTATTAGGGACAGTCCCTAAGTGATAATTTTGCCATAAGAAGTGAGGCCCTGGCTGGGCGTGGTGGCTCACACCTGTAATCCCAGCACTTTAGGAGGCCAAGGTGGGCAGATCACGAGGTCAGGAGATCGAGACCATCCTGGCTAACATGGTGAAACTCCGTTTCTACTAAAAAATACAAAAAATTAGCTGGGCATGGTGGCGGGTGCCTGTAGTCCCAGCTACTCGGGAGGCTGAGGCAGGAGAATGGTGTGAACCCAGGAGGCAGAGCTTGCAGGGAGCAGAGATCACACCACTGCACTCCAGCCTGGGCGACAGAGCGAGACTCCTTCCCCCCGCCCCCCCAAAAAAAGTGAGGTCCTCCAAATAATTGGCTTATTATTGGAGTTAGGGCTTTGGAAGGAAGGATACAGATACTGAAATCTTGAAAACTTAGGCAAACACCACTGAAATGGTAGGAAAATTTGAAAATTGAATATTGGTTTCTTTTTGCTGCATTCAGCAAAGTTCTGATAATAGATTTAAACTAATACTACATCTAGGCATATTGGATGCAGAGGTGGAAGGAAATCATGCATTTCTTTTTTTTTTTGTGAGTCAGGGTCTTACTCTGTTGCCCGTGCTGGAGTGCAGTGGTGCAATCATAGCTCACTGTAGCCTCAACCTGCCAGGCCTGAGCGATCCTCCCACCTCAGCCTTCTGAGTAGCTGAGACTACAGGTGAGCACCACCACGCCTGGCTAATTTATTTTTATTTTTGTAGAGATAGGGTTTCACTTTGCTGCCCACTTTGAAGTTCCAGGCTCTGGTGATCCTCCTGCCTCAGCCTCCAAAAGTGCTGGAATTACAGGCATGAGCCACTGAGCCTGGCCCCAAAGGGCTTTTTTTTTTTTTTCCTCTTGAGACAGAGTCTCACTCTGTTATCCAGTTTGGAGTGCAGTGGCACAATCTTGGCTGACTGCAACCTCTGCCTCCCAGGCTCAAGCGATTCTCTTGCCTCAGCCTCCTGAGGAGCTGGGATTACACCTGGCTAATGTTTAAAATATTTTTGGCCAGGCGCAGTGGCTCACATCTGTGATCCCAGCACTTTGGGAGGCCAAGACAGGTGGATCACGAGGTCAGGAGATCAAGACCAGCTTGGCCAACATGGTGAAACCCCATGTCTACTAAAAAAAAAAATTATCTGGTTGTGGTGGCACGTGCCTGTAATCCCAGCTACTTGGGAGGCTGAGGCAGGAGAATCGCTTGAACTCAGGAGGTGGAGGCTGCAGTGAGCTGAGATCACATCACTTCACGCCAGCTTGGCGACAGAGCAAGACTCTGTCTCACAAAAAAAAAAAAAAAAAAAATTTTTTTTTAAGTAGAGATGGGGTTTTGTCATGTTGGCTAGGCTGGTCTCAAACTCCTTGCCTCAAGTGATCCATCTGCCTCAGCTTCCCAAAGTACTGGGATTACAGGTGTGAGCCACCACGCCTGGCTCCAAAGGGCTTTTAAGAAGAAACTTTCCTATGCATTTATTTACTAGACAAATCCATTGAGCTTGTGGCACAGACGGGTTGAAGTGTGTTACCTCTTCAGCAGAACTGGTCCTTTTTTTCAGTTGCATTTTTATTTACTTAGAAGTTAAAGTCATAGAGTATGAATAAAAATCTCCTGCCTAAAAAATGTTTGATTAAAAATGTCCAGTTTATTATACATATTTAAATATTATGAATGTGGCTGTTAGACTGATTTTTTTTTCTCTGCAAGTTTTTATACAGGCTAAATGGATTTAAAAAGTGTCATGCAAGTACTAGGTATTAAAATTAGCTTTATTGAATTAAAATTTATGAACAATAATATCTGCCAATGTCATTAAATGGACAATTTAAGGAATTTTTGACAAATATATACATCTGTGTTACCACCACCGCAAACATATATTGCAGCGGTTGGCAAACGTTTTCTGTAAAGGGCCACATAGTAAATGCTTTAAGTTTTGCATGACGTCCGGTCTCTGTCACAACTACTCAACTCTGCAACTGTAGTGCAAAATACATATATGAACAAATCCTTATTCCAATAAAACTTACAAAACCAGGTGGCAGGCTGAATTGGGCCTGTGCACTGTAGTTTGTTGACATGATATAGAATCTTTCCATCACTGCAAAAATGTCCTTATGCCACTTTGTAATTATTTCTTTTTCACATCCCCACCCACTGGCAACAACTGGTCTGCTGCTTATCACTAGTTTTGTCTTTTCTACAGTTTCATAAAAGTAGAATTGTAATCATGCAGTGTGTATTCTTTTTTGCCTGGCTTTTTTACTTAGCATAACAGTTACAAGATTCATCTGTGTGTTCTATTTATGCACGTTACAAGATTCATCTGTGTGTTCTATTTATGCGTGTTACAAGATTCATCTGTGTGTTCTATTTATGCACGTTACAAGATTCATCTGTGTGTTCTATTGGTGCATGTTCTATTGGTGCATGTTCTGCAATATTTTAAACTCTACAATGTAGGACATTTAGGTTATCTCCAGTTTTGGGCTACTATGAGGAAAGGTGTAATGAACATTTATGTATAGGTTTTCTGTGAACATAAGTTTAATTTCTCTGGGAAAAAGGCACAAGGGTACAACTGCTGGGTCATATAGTGTTTGTTTACATTTTAAAGAAACTGCCAAACTAATTTCGGGAGTGGGATGCCATTCTACATTCCTACCATTAATTTCTCAAGATGCACTTTTTTCTTTTCTTTTCTTTTCTTTTTTTTTTTTTTGAGACAGAGTCTTACTCTGTCACCCAGGCTGGAGTGCAGTGGCACGATCTCGGCTGACTGTGGCCTCTGCCTTCTGGGTTCAAGTGATTCTCCTGCCTCAGCCTCCCGAGTAGCTGGGACTACAGGCATGCCCCACCACACCCGGCTAATTTTTGTATTTTTAGTAGAGACAGGGTTTCACTATGTTGGCCAGGCTGGTCTCAAACTCCTGATCTCAGGTAATCTGCCTGCCTTGGCCTCCCAAAGTGCTAGGATTACAGGGGTGAGCCACCACACCTGGCTGAGATCCACTTTTTCATATCCTTGCCTGCATTTGTTATATTTACTATTTTATCTCTTCTAATATGTGTGTAGTGATAACTCATTCTGGTTTGAATTTATATTTCTCTAATGGCTGTTTGACGTCTTCTTATGTGCTTATCTGCCATTTGTATCTTCACTTTAGTGAAATGTGTCTTTGTATCTTTTGTTCATTCTCTAACTGGATTGTTTGTTTTCTTACTGTTGAATTTTGAAAGTTCTTACTTGATACAATCCTTTGTCAGATATGGTTTATAAACATTTTCTTCCAGTATGTAGCTTGAGACAGAGTCTGGCTCTGTCACCCAGGCTGGAGTACAGTGGCACGATCTCGGCTCACTGCAACCTCTGCCTCCCTGCAACCTGCACCTCCCAAGTTCAAGCTAGTCTCCTGCCTCAGCCACCCAAGTAGCTGGGATTACAGGCACCTGCCACCATGTCCAGCTAATTTTTTTTTTTTTTTTTAAGTAGAGGCGGAGTTTCACCATGTTGGCCAGGCTGGTCTCGAACTCCTGACCTCAGGTGATCCGCCTACCTCGGCCTTCTTTTCATCTTCTTAAAGGGTCTTTTACAGTGCAAACGTTTTAAATTTTGATAAAATTCTATTTTTTCCATTTATTGTTTTATGCATTATGATTTTAATATGTCAAGAACTCTTTGCCTAGCTTATGTACTAAAGATTTTCTCCAGTGTTTTCTTCGGCAAGTGGTATAGTTTTAAATTTAAAACCAGGATCCATTTTGAATTAATTTTTGTATTAGGTGTGAGGTTTAGGTTGAAGTTTTTTTTTTTCTGACTTATGGCTATCTATTTGCTCCAGCACTGTTTAAAATATTGTCCTTTCTCCATTGAATTGCTTTTGCGCTTTTATCAAAAACTAGTTTTCTTTACTTGTGTGGGTCTATTTCTGGATTCTCTCTTCTGTTCCATTAAACTGTTTTATCTCTGCCAATTCCAAACTGTTTGATTGTTTTTTAACTATAAGGAAGTCTTAAAGTCAGGTAGAATGATTTCTTTCATTGTATTCTTTTTCAAAAACATTTTCAGTGGTTGCAGTTCCTTTGCCCTGCCATATAAATTTCAGAGTAAGCCTGCATACATCAACAAAAAAATCTTGCTGAGATTTTGATAGGAATTATGTTAAAACTACAGATCAGTTTGAAGAGAATTGACATCTCAAATATCAATGAATATGTATGTCTCGACTTATTTAGATCTTCTTCGATTTCTTTTATTAGTGTTTTGTAATTTTCAGCATACAAGTCCTATACATGTTTTATTAGATTTATACCTAAGTAATTTTTTTATTGTTGAGTGATTGTAAATGGTATTCAGCCTTTAACCTCAGTTTTCACATAATCATTGCTAGCACACAGAAATGCAGTTGATATTGGTATGCTGATCTTGTATTCTGTGATCCTGATGAACTCATTTATTCTCGTCGTGTGTGTATGCATGTATCCCTTTGAATTTTCTGTGTAGATAATTGTGTCATTTGCAAACAGTGACAGTTTTTAAAAATCTATATGTCTTTTTCCTTTTTATTGCCTTATTGCACTGACTAGGACTTCGTGTACTATGCTGAATAAGAGCTGTGGGAGTGGAATCCCTGCCTTGTTCCCAATCTTATGAAGAAAGCACTGCTTTTTTTTTTTTTTTTTTACCATTAAGTATGATAGTAACTGTACATATTTTTAGGTGCTCTGTGTAAAGCTGAGGAGGTTTCTCTCTTTTCCTAGCTTGGTGAGGTTACTATGAATGGGTGTTGAATTTTGTCACATTTTTTCCTACATTATTTGATATGTGCTTTTGCTTCATTGGCCTATTAATATGGTGGATTAATATATTGAACTATTCTTGCCTTCGTGGAATAAGCCTCACTTAGTTGTAGTGCATGATTCTGTTGATATATTTTTGGGTTCAATTTGCTAATTTTTTTTTTTTTGAGATGGAGTTTTGCTCTTGTTGCCCAGGCTGGAGTGCAATGTTGCGATCTCGGCTCACTGCAACCTCCACGTCCCACGTTCAAGCGATTCTCCTGCCTCAGCCTCCCGAGTAGCTGAAATTACAGGCATGTGCCACCATGCCTGGTTAATTCTGTATTTTTAAAAGAGATGGGGTTTCTCCATGTTGGCCAGGCTGGTCTCGAGCTCCTGACCTCAGGTGATCCACCCACCTCGGCCTCCCAAAGTGCTGGGATTACAGGCATGAGCCACCATGCCCAGCCTCAATTTGCTAATGTTTTTTGAGGACTTTGTGTATGCAGGATATGAAGGGTATTGATCTGTATCCTGTATCCTTCAATATTAAGGATATTGGGCTGGGTATGGTATGTAATGTAATGTAATGAAAACTGTAATCCCAGTTTTCTTAGTACTACTGTCTGACAACTTTGGTATTAGGAAAATATTGGCATCATAAAATGAATTTGTACTTCTCTGATGATTAATGATATTGACCATCCTTTCAGGTGCTTACTGACCATTTGCATATGTTCCTTCATAAAATGCCCATTCTTTTGTCTAGTTTTTTTTCTTTTTCTTTTTCTTTTTTTTTTTTTAGGCAGAATTTTGCTCTTGTTGTCCAGGCTGGAGGGCAGTGGTGCGATCTTGGCTCACTGCAACCTCTGCCTCCTGGGTTCAAGTGATTCTCCTGCCTCAGCCTCCTGAGTAGCTGAGATTGCAGACGACCGCCACCACACCCAGCTTTTTTTTTTTTTTTTTTTTTTTTTTTTTTTTTTTTTTTTTTTTGTATTTTTAGTAGAGACGGGGTTTCACCATGTTGATCAGGCTGGTCTCAAACTCTTGACCTCAGGTGATCCGCCCACCTCAGCCTCCCACAGTACTGGGATTACAGGCGTGAGATACCGTGCCTGGCCTTTTGTCCAGTTTTGAATGTTTTTCTGAATTACTGGGTTGTAAGAGTCTTTAATATATTCTGTATATAAGTCCTTCTTCATCACATATTTGTCCTATAAATATTTCCCCCCACTCCATAACTTTCGTTTCTTGATATGAAGTTTCAAACAACATAAGTTTTAAAACTGATGAAACCCAACTTAATTTTTTCTTCTAAGATTTACGTTTTTCATGTCCTCTTTAATGAAGATTTTCTTCTAGGCACTTTATGGTTTTCATGCTTATATTACTCATTTTTCCCCTATACAAAGATTCAATTGTTACAGAACTGTGTTGAAAACTCTATCTTTTCCCTTTATCTTTGCATCTTTGTTGAAAACCACTTGAAAATATATGGGTGAGTCCAATTCTGTTTACCTGTATGTGTAGCCTAGATCCAGTACCATACTATCTTGATCACTATATCTTTAGTTTTGAAAAAAGTCTGTAATCCCAGCACTTTGGGAGGCTGAGGCAGGTGGATCACCTGAGGTCAGGAGTTCAAGATCAGCCTGGTCAACATGGTGAAACCTCGTCTCTACTAAAAATACAAAAAAAAAATTAGCTGGATGTGGTGGCACACGCCCGTAATCCCAGCTACTTGGGAGGCTGAGGGAGGAGAATCACTTGAACCCGGGAGGCAGAGGTTGCAGTGAGCCGAGATCGTGCCACTGCACTCCAGCCTGGGTGACAGAGGGAGACTCCATCTCAAAGAAGAAGAAGAAAAAAATCTTAAAAAATTGTTTTGACTTTGTAGGTCCTTGAGGTTTATAACTCATGCATACAGTGTATCTATTTATTTTTAGGACTTATTTACTTTTTTCTAGCATTAGTACATGTTTTGTAGCTTTAGTACAGGTCTAGTAACTTTGTCCCTACATTTCATAATTTTGATGCCGTTTTCATACTTTCAACTTTTTAAAAATATTGAGCTTGTATCCTGTGACCTTGCTAAACATACTTACTAGTTTTAAAAACATTTTCAGACACTTTATGCTTTTCCATATAGACAATCATGTCACAGCAGTCTCATGCCTTCTTTCACATTCTGTATCCCTTTTCTTTGAGACAGGGTCTCACTCTGTCGCCCAGGCTGGAGTGCAGTGGTGCGATCACAGCTCCCTGCAGCCTTGATCTCCTGGGCCTCCAGTGATCCTCCTGTTCAGCCTCCTGAGTAGGTGGCACTACAGGCACATGCCACTATGCCTGGCTAATTTTTATTTAAGTTTTGGTAGAAATGAGGTCTCACTATATTGTCCAGGTTAGTCTTGAACTCCTAAGCTCAAGCAATCTTCCCACCTTGGCCTCCCAAAAATGCCAGGATTTTAGGCATGAGCTACCACACCCAGCCTCTTTTTTATTGGCTTATTGTACTGGCTAGGACATCCACTACAAGGTTGACTGGAAGTGGTGACTAGACATCTTTCTCTTGTTTCCAATCTTAGGAGAAAAGTGCTTTTTACTTCACCAGTAAGTACGATGTCAGATGTAGGTTCTCCCATAGATGCTCTTTCTTAGATTCTTGAAACTCAATTTAATTCCTAATCAACTGAGCGGTTTTATCATGAATGGGTGTTAAATTTTTTCAAATGTTTTCCTACATTAAAAAAATTGTGGTTTTTCTTTTTAATATTAATATGAAACATTGCTTTTTGAATGTTAAAGCTTGCATTTCTAGGATAAACCCTACTTGGCCATATGTGTTTCCTTTTATAGATTGCTGTGTTCAACTTGGTATTTTAAAAAGGATTTTTACATCTATATTAAGAGATATTGATCTATGAGTTTTTCCTATGATGTCCTTTTTGGCTTTGGTATCTGGGCAATGTTGGTCTCATGACTTTTCTTTGGGGGAAGGTTATCAGCTAAAAATTCAATTTAATAGGACTATTCAAGTTCTCTCAAGTGGGCTTTGGTTCTATAGTCCTTAGGATAAAATTTTCCAATTCATTTAAGTTGCTGAATTTATTGGAATTAAGTTACTAATAAAATTCCTGTATTACCTTCTTGGTGTATAGGACCTATAGTGATATTTACTCTTTCATTCCTGATACAGGAATCCTTTCAACCCTTTCAAAGAGTTAGGTTTTGGTTCCATTAAATTTTCTCTATTGTTTGTCCACTTGTGATTTTTGTGACTTTTAGCTCTGTATCATCTCCTGTTCTACTTGCTTTGGATGATTTCTGTTCTTTTTCTCATTTCGTAAGGTGGAAGTTTAGACTATCGAATTGAAATCTTTATCTCTGATTTCACCTCTAAGCACTGCTTTAGCTACATTTCACAAATTCTGACATATTCATTCAGTTCAAAATATTTTCAAATTTTTCTTACTTTCTCTTTATTGCTCATTTAGGAGTATGTTGTTTAATTTCCAAATACTAAGAGATTGTTCAGACATCTTTGTTATTGGTCTCTTACTTAATTCTGTCCTGGTGAGAGAATATACCTTGTATGGTTTTCATTCTTTAAAAAATTTTAAGACTGTTTTATTACAGTCCATAGTAGGCACACTTGAAAAGAATGTATACAGGTTGGGCACAGTGGCTCACATATGTAATCCCAGTGCTTTGGGAGGTCCTGGAGGGAGGATTGCTTGAGCCTGTGAGTTCGAGACCAGCCTAGGCAACAGAGCTAGACTCCATCCCTACAAAAATAAAAAATAGCTGGGTGTGGTGGCACATGCCTATAGTCCTAGCTACTCTGGAGGCTGAGACAGGAGGATTGATTGAACCCAGGAATTCAAGGTTGCAATTAACTCATTGCACCACTGCACTTCAGCCTGGGTGAAAGAGTGACACACTGTCCCTAAAAAATAAAAATATATTAATATATCATGCTAATGAGTGTTCTACAAATGCCAATTAGTCAAGTTAGTTGATAGTGCTGTTCAAGGCTTATACCTCCTAAGTGACTTGTGCTATCAATTACTTATTTAACTATCTAATTATAATTGAAATTGTGCCTCTTTCAATTTTGCCAGTTTTTATTTCATGAATTTTGAAGCTCTGTTTATGTGTACTTAAGCTAGAAAGTAGCTTTGCTGTAGGATTCCCGAATTCCCATAATACAGAGGTCTTTCCCTTGGGGCCATTCAACTTCTGCAGAGAAGAAACTTCCCATTTCTTGCTGGACGTTAAACCTCTGGTCAGCCACGTACAGGAGTTGGGGAGCAGTGTGTGTTTATGTAATGAGGAGGTATGTTCCATATACAAATGGCCATTAGTTTCATTGCTTTCTCTTCACATCTCACTCCCATCTTCCAAGGTACTAAGCATTTCTGAGCCTGGTGCCAAATTGGTTCCTTCTTTTCCTTATCCCCATATGCAAGCAGCATAACTGTGCCTGCTTCTGCTCTACTGGCTATCTTTCCATCTTTCAAATTTTCATTTGCTGATAGTCTTTCTCCTATTCTCCTTATTGCTGTAGTTTGATAAATTAAATTTTCCTCGCATCTTAATGTTGTCCAATGTGATGAGACATGTTTAACAAAAGTGCATTCTCGAATACTTTCTGTGCTAGCCATTTTTAGCTTATCAAGCCCCAACATGATTTCTGCAGCCTCTAAGCTGCCCCCTGCTCCTTATGTATTCATTTTTCCAGCTCTGCCTCTGGAACCTATTTGTTATTATCACCTGCTCTCAGGTACCCCTCCTGAGTAGCTGGGTCTGCAGGTCTGTGCCAGCACACCAGCTAATTTTTGCACTTTTTTATAGAGACAAGATTTTGCCATGTTGCCCAGGCTGGTCACGAACTCCTAGGCTCAAGTGATGCACCCTCTTCAGCCTCCCAAAGTGCCAGGCATGTTACTTTGGACCCTTCCTCACATTCACTCTGGAAGTATCCCAATAAACTAGCTGTACTCACCAAAAAGGACTACTTATGTTCCTGAATAGTTGCCTGGGAGGGGCTGTTCAACTTCCTATCAAAATGGTATATGGGAATGTACTACATGAGTAACTCTCTTCCAGCTTTTTGTTGTGTGGCTACAAACTATTATATCTTTTTGCAATAAACACAATAATTTCCATGTCCATTGTATTTCCAACTGCCCTCTTGGCCTAAAATGGACGCAGTGTACAATCATAGTTTAGAGGGGGCTAATCAGGACTGGAAAGAAGTATGAAAAACACAAGGCACAAAATTTGAAGAGAAACCAGAGTTTCAATTTCTCAGAGAATGTGAACAAAGGGAAACATGCCCTGCTTGAGAATAAATATAAAGTTCTTGCCGTTAAAATGCTGGGTAGAACATGTAGTTGAATTGTAAAGTACAGACACTTTTACTCTACCCATCTGAGAAACAAGAACAATCCATTCATTGTACAGCATAACAAAGTGCTTGATACTTAAATATTTTGAATGAGTGATTTTTCAGTGAGGGAACATATCTAAATAACCCTTACATCTCTCTCCTTTGTAGAATATAAAGTAAGAGTGATACTAAATATTTAACAGTTTTTACAGTATGAGCGCTGTGAAGACCTGAATGGGCTAATGTCAGTTAGCGAGGATCTTTCTTGTGAACCCGCTGGTGGATGTGAAGGTTGGAGCTCTGGCTGAAGCCCTTCCCACACTTGCTGCACTCATAGGGCTTCTCTCCAGTATGTACTCTCTGGTGGATGAGGAGTTTGGAACTCTGGCTAAATCCCTTCCCACACTTGCCACAGTGATAGGGCTTCTCTCCAGTGTGGACTCTGAGATGGATGCGAAGATCCGAGCTCTGGCTGAAACCCTTCCCACACTCATAGCATTGGTAAGGCTTCTCTCCTGTGTGGATGCACCGGTGAATGTGAAGGTTCGAGCTCTGACTGAAGCCCTTCCCACACTCACCACACTTGTAGGGCCTCTCTCCTGTGTGTACTCGCTGGTGGATGTGCAGGTTTGAGCGCTGACTGAAGCTCATACCACACTCCTCACACTCATAGGGCTTCTCTCCAGTGTGGACTCGCTGGTGGATGTGCAGTTTGGAGCTCTGACTAAAGCCCTTCCCACACTTGTCACATTTATAAGGTTTTTCGCCTGTATGGACGGCATGATGGATGAGCAGACTTGAGCTCCTGGTGAAGCCCTTCCCACACTTGTCACACTTATAAGGCTTCTCATCTGTGTGGACTGCCTGATGGATAAGCAGACTCGAGCTCCTTGTGAAGCCCTTCCCACATTGCTCACATTTGTAGGGTTTTTCTTCTGTGTGGTCTCTCTGATGAAGTAGTAGCTCTGAGCTTTGACTGAAGTTCTTACCACACTGACTACATTCGTATTGTTTCTCTGCAGTGTGGATTTTCTCATATGGATGACCATCTGGGCTGGTGTTAAGTATTTTCCCACAGTTATTATGGTCACAGGGTTTCTCCTCTGTATGAGCTCTCTGCTGACTACAACTGACCACCTGTGATTTCCATCCATGAATGTCTTTGCAGTTACAGTCAATGGGATCCAAAGATTCTTTTAACTGGCCATTCTGGCAAGTTGCCTCACCATTTAACAATGGCGAGGCCAGTTCTTGTCCATCAGACACCAGTTTAACTTGAAGGTTCTCTGAACAACTTTCCCCCTTTATCACTTTTCTCTCAGTGCTTTCTTCCATTACAAAGAGACGTCTGCTTTCCTGATGATCCTGAGGCTCATTCTTACAGAACTTCACTGAAGAGTCTTGTGTGTCTATTTGGCTTGAGACTTTCAAAGGCAAATATGTTTCACTTTCAATGTTTTCGAAACAACCACTTTGAAGAGTCATCACACTGTCCCTGTTTCTGGAAATAGGAGAAGATGCTTCTCCCCACTGTTGACAAGGGGAAATATCTAGTTCAGGCTCCCCATCCACTTCCCCTCGATGATTCACAATACAATCCTGACTTCCAGTAATTGTACTGGCCATGCCTTCCAAAACTAGCCAGGAGGAAAGCTCATGTAACAGATCCTGAAGTGTTTTCTGCTGAAGATTCTCCACAGAATTTTCATTCAAGTCTCCTAGGGAACAAAGACAATTCAGTGGTAAGAACAAAGGGTAGACTTCAAGATTTCAGAGTGAGAGTGCCTAAGGCCTGAAGTCTTAGTAACTAGGAAAAAGTTCAGCTTGTCTTTATAGTCATGTCCTTTGGGTTAAGGTCAGGTACATTTGTATCTGGGTACAAGACAGAAATTTTCTCTTGGCTTTTAAGCATAGCCAAGGAAAGTCTTCCCTAACTAATCCTATAGAAGGCTGTAAGTCCTATATCCTTGCTAACAATAACATTTCATCTCATCTCACTTCATTTTTTTTTTTGAGACAGAGTTTCACTCTGCTGCCCAGGCTGGAGTGCCGTGGTGTGATCTGGTCTCACTGTAGCCTCCACCTCCCAGGTTCAAGCAATTTTCCCACCTCAGCCTCCCAAGTAGCTGGGATTATAGGCACATGCCATCATGCCCAGCTAATTTTTGTATTTTTAGTAGAGGTGTGGTTTTTCCATGTTGACCAGGCTGGCCTCCAACTCCTGGCCTCAAGTGATCCATCCGCGTCAGCCTCCCAAAGTGCTGGGATTACAGGCATGAGTCACCACACCCGGCCTACTTTCCTTTAAGTAAATTTGCATTTAATTGGTATTCTGCTTTCATAGGTGTGGGGAATACAAGGAAGAAAATATAAATCCTTTTGCTTAACAAGCTAAAGCTTCCTGGGAAGACAAATACACCAAATAATGATAATACTAAGTGAGTGGTGTAGATGAATGTATAGTACAATACAGTACAAGAGATGTATGCCTAACCAGCCACGAAAGCACAGCAGAGGAACACTCAACTCAGACCCTGGTGTTTAGGAAGATTTCTGGGAGAAAATGACAGGAAAAACAAAAAACAAACAAAAAAAAGGAAGTGAAATGTGGAGAGAAAATATGACATGTTAAAGAAAACTACAAGCGGCTTCTTACGAAGGAGATAAAAACAGTAAGAGTGGTGAAGAATGTGCCACGGAGGGGAAGTAAGAGGACAGAGCAAAGGGCTTAGTGTCTAATAATAAGGACCTTGGGGCTAAACCCTGAAGGGATTGAAAACTATTAAAGAATTTTAATTCAGAGTGAAATGACTGACTTTGTGACAATAAACACCACTGGAAAGCAAGACTTTAGGTAGCGAGACGGCTGCCATAGCAAATCAGAAGAAAAACGGTAAGGATGATAGTTGTGGAGAGAATAGGAGAAATTCATTCTAGATCATGTGATGATAAACTAAACCTAGAAGAGAAAGGAGGCACCAAGCCTGTTCCTTGGGATTCCTGCCTGAGTGACGGTATGGTGGTGCTATATAATCAGATAGGAAATGCAACAGGAAGAGGCTGAAGTAGGGAAGGCAGCAGAACTGCCTTGTATAATCTGTGGTGTTGGTGGAACATTCTTGCAGTACTGGTCCGTAAGCTGTGAGATATATATAGGTCTGGAACTCCTGTGAGAGAACTGTGCTAGGAATACAGAGTTTAGACTTACTGGTATATTAAAAAACAAAAACAAAAACAAAACCCTCCCCGAGACTTAAACAATTAGAGTGAATAGCCTAATATTACACTGAAATGACAAGAAATCCATAATACTCTTGGGAAAACAGAAAGGCTGATATCATCAGAATAAAAACATTGAGGAACTCCTAAATGATAAGGAGCAGATGGATTAGGAGTGATGGAGGAACTAGGGGAAAAAAATGTACAGCTCAAATTATGTATAACAGAAGGCTTCTTCGTGGGTAAAACATCCTAAGAAATCATAGAAATTCAATTACCAAACTCAGAATCAATAATTACAAAGTAAGGGAGCACTGACCCCATTTCTCTGGAGTCTATGTCTCAGAAAATAATAAACAATGATAAAGTAAGACATTTCCTAATTCAACTTAGGCATTCCTAACAGCTGTGCTAGTTTTTGCTGTTAGCAGCACTCTCCCAGCCCACCCTCTTCCTCTTAGAAATAGAAATATTGGATGGCTAGCAGCAGTGCCCTCATATAAAGCCTCAAGAATAAAATAAATGATCTGCCAAAGAAAGACTGCTAATAATATTAACTGGACTGAAGAGAGAAGCAGAGGTTGAGGTAATGTTGAACGTACACAATGACCAATGGATTAAGGTACAAAAAAGAAGTAATTGACAACATAAGTGCCCAGGATAAAACTTCAAGCTAAACTTTTTAATGGGAGTTCTGACAAGGAAGATAGCCCAGCGCTGGAAATAAAGAAGCAGGGCATGCCCCAGATAACTCAGTGGCAAAAGAGGTGGACTTAAAAAATGGCCTACACCACTGTGCAGGGGAGTACAGGGAATAGGAGGCCCACCTGAGGCTCAGCCCTAGCCCTTAGCCCATCCGTGGGGCCAGTTTACTGCCTGGGTAGTCCCCTTGCCCATGTATCCAGCTACAAAACAATTCAAATTTTTTCTTTTTCCCAAAATAAAACCTCAGCTAGCTCTGCCAACTGTCAAAAAAAAAAAAAAAAAAAAAAAAAAGGCCTATAATATCCACCATCTGGATTCTTATTACCTCCCTCCCTAGCCCAATCAGCAGAAGTGTCCCCTAAAGTAAAACACATATGCATGCCAAAGTGGGTCAAGCATGGGTTGAGGACACACTCCAATATCATGCTGAGAACACAAGAATTTTGAAAAAATATATAAGGAGACCAACAGAATTTAAAAGGTACATAATTAAAATCCCAGAAAAACTGGAGAGGATATCACATTTAAACACAATCTAATAATAAAATATAAACATATTGCTATGAAAAATAATAATTCTAAATAAAATGACTGAAGATGATGATAGGTTATGTCACTTGTTTCCTAGATATGTGTCAGGCTGTTTTAGTCAAACGCCTGCAATCTAGATGAGTTAAATAGTAAAATGAACACATGGCTAAGATGGAAGATTGAGGAATTCTCCAAGAATGCAAATGAAAAGACAGACAAATAGAAAGATAAAAGTAAAAGCCCATCTTCAAGGAGCTGCATGAGGACAGTGAAGATGGAACACAGGGAGAGAAAATGATCAAAGAAATAATAACAAAAAAATGTTTCCTAGAATTCAAGATTCAGGGCCCAATAAATGCTAAAAAATGGTATGTAAAAAGACCCCAAACTAAACATACTCTTTTAAACCTCAGGACTTCAAGGAAAAAACAAACAAACAAACAAACAAACAAACAAAGAAACAGAAAATGCTAAAAGCTTCCAAACAGAAAAGCCAGGTTATGTGCAAATAAATGAGAATTATATTGACACTGAACAACTAATTGGCAATATTGCAAATCTTCAATATCTTCAAATTTTGGGTTAAAAGTCATTGTGAAATTATAATTTTTACCCAGCCAATTAACCATTTCAGTGGGAGGAAAAAATAGACACTCTTTCAGACACGAAAAGATTCAATTACTAAAACAATCATTCAGGAATATACTATAGCAAAATTTTTTAAAATTTAAGAAAAAGGATACATGCTGCAAGAAATAGCAGTAAGCCAAGAAGTCAATACAATACATAATTAGGCCAGGCATGGTGGTTCATGTCTGTAATCCCAGCATTTTGGGAGGTTGAGGTGAGGTGATTGCTTGAGCTCAGGAGTTCGAGACCAGTGTGTGCAACACGGCAAAACTCTCTCTACAAAATACAAAACAAAAACCCCCAAACCCCAAAACCATAGTTGAAAAATAAAAGAAAAAAATAAACAAAACTCTACAATAACAGCACGGAGTCAAAACCCCCCAAATAAAATATATTTTTAAAAAGCAAGTATTAGCTTCAGAGGAAAAATAAAAAAATTAAAAAGAACTATAATCATACTGTACTACTTGACTCTACAGTGAACAACTAATTACAAAGTCAAAGCAATGTAAGCATTCATCACTGACATGACTCTAACATAAATTCTTGGGAAGCTAGGCATTTGGGGAGGTAATATAAAAAAGCTACATCCTCATCTATAATATAGGGAAGTCAATAGAAATTACAAAATATTGATAAACTGAGAAATAACAGTATATCACAATACACTAAATTTAAAGGATACTGAGGTACCATTTTCCACCTGTTACACTAGCACAAACCCGAAGTCTGAAGACACACATTACTTGTGAATGTAAACTGATACGAAGGACAGACATTTTGACAATTATCAATCAATGTCATAAATATATGCACTCAGCATTCCAACTTAGAGTTTTACTCTTCAGATTTTCAGGCATAATTTGTGAAATGACATTTACATGAGACAGCTCACTTTTTAGAGGCCAATGACCAGAACCGGGATAGACAAGAGCTACAGACATGAAAGAAACTTTTCACTGTGCACGTTTTATATTTATTTTTTAACCATGTGAATGCATTTATTGTTTACATGAGAGAGAAAAATAACAATATGTAAACATATTGTCTGGAGTAGGAAGACAAACCCAATATGGAACAGCTAGAAAGGTGAAAACTGAGTGCCTTTGGAAGCCACACTGTGGCTGATGGAGCAGCAGAGTCAGGAAACAGGAATGTTTTTACTATGAGCTGTCCACACAACTTGTTTTACCCAGGTGAGTGTATCACTTTGTTTATAAATTTCAAAAGTAATGGCAAAAATGAAAAAGAAAAATGACAAAAGAAAAACAGGGCAGTTTGTAGCGTTAAATCATGAAATGGGCTGAAATGATTAAATGGATTTTAAAGGATATTGCTTCAACAGCCATATCGTACAATACTTGGAAATGGCTAGTGGTTATAGAAATTATAGGTATATGAAAATGAATGGGGGAGGAATTTTATGAAAGGTGCATTTTAATGAAAGTGTGATGTTAGCTTTTAAAAAAATGTTTAAAATAATATGAAGAATGAGGCCGGGCACGGTGGCTCATGCCTGTAATCCCAGCACTTTGGGAGGCCGAGGTGGGTGGATTACTTGAGGTCAGGAGTTCGAGATCAGCCTGACCAACACGGTGAAACCCAGTCTCCTCTGAATATACAAAAAATAGCAGGGTGTGGTAGTGGGCACCTGTAGTCCCAGCTACTCAGGAGGCTGAGTCAGGAGAAATCACTTGAACCCGGGAGGTGGAGCTTACAGTGAGCCGAGATTGTGCCACTGCACTCCAGCCTGGGCGACAGAGTGAGCCTTCGTCTAAAAGAAGAAGAAGAAAAAAAAATATGAAGAATGAGTGTATAACATTAGGAGAAAATACTGACATGAGAAAAGGGGTCCTTTTATAGGGATTTAACATGGCAGAAAAAAGCTCTAACACATACTGCATAAAACAGCACATTAAAAATACACAGTGTAATCTCATAAAATTTTAATACATATACTTGTAATGTACATACATAAGTACAGAGTCCATAGAAAGTGATTTGATTTCATATTATACTGTGTTGTTTGAGTTTTTGAGACTTTTATGTCTTACTTGCATAAAAGAAAAATGTTGAACAAGTATGTTCCATTTTATGTTAATAACAATGAAAACCTAGAGCAGAGCTTGAAATTGGAAGCCCATCTCCTATTTCATTTTTGTCTACTTGTAAATCACTCTCTACAGAGCAGTCACAGTGATACTGGGTCAATCAGAGCACACCATTCCTTGATACAATGGCTGCCCACTGAAGATAAATCTACTTTTTTTTTTGAGATGGGGTCACACAGTGTCTCCCAGGCTGGAGTGCACTGGCACTATCTCAGCTCACTGCAACCTCCACCTCCTGGGCTCAAGCGATTCTCCCACCTCAGCCTCCCAAGAAGCTGGGATTACAGGCATGTACCACCATGCCTGGCTAATTTTTTGTCATAAATCTACTTTTTACCAGGGCCTTCAACGCCATAACTGAGCCAGGCCATGTTCACCACCTCTTCTCAGTCCTTCTTAGATGCACCCTGTGGTCTACCACACTCCTCCTTCCAGGTCTTTGGGTCTCTTCTTGCATGGTTCTCTTTGCCTGGAATGTTCTTCCCCTCCCTAGCCACCTGTTTAAACTATTGATCCCTTAGCTCCCAGTTTAATGTCACTTCAGAGGCTCTCCGTAAGACACATACACAACCCGCATTCCATCACGTCTTTGTTCTCTCAGAGCGGTGTTCCATTCTTCACAGGACTTACTGACCGTATAGTAACACTCCAAAGAATGACATCATAAATGATGTTTAAAGGAGACTAGTGTACCTGCAACATCTAACTTGAGCTTGAAAAACGATGGCAACAATCTGACTAATTTTTACCCTATTTTAAGCGTTAAACAGAATGACTTTAGGGCAACATCTGTGGGATCTAGGAGTGTTAATAAACTTAAAAGAAGTTAAAGTTAAAAAAGAATTGGTGGGAGATTTTAGATACTGAGGACGAGAAGAGAGAAATTTTTTTTAAAAAATTTTTTTATTTTGAGACAGGGTCTCACTCTGTTGCCCAGGCTGGAGAATTTTGCTCTCTGAAGCCTCAACCTCTCTGGCTTAGGTGATCCTCCCACCTCAGCCTCCCAAGTAGCTGGGACTACAGGTGTATGCCACCAGGCCCGGCTAATTTTTTATATTTTTTGTAGAAGGGGTTTTGCCATGTTGCCCAGGCTGGTCTCCAACTCCTGGGCTCAAGTGATCCTCCTGCTTCTGCCTCCCAAAGTGCTGGGATTACAGGCATGAGCCACCACGCCTGGCCCAAGAGAAACCGAATATAGTCATGGCCTATTTCTAAACTAGGAGACTGGAACAACTTTAATACTGACAAAAGTGGGACTATAAGAAGGGAACTTAAAAAGGAAAATAATTTTAGGCTTATCAAAATAGAAAGGAGAGTTGAACACCATTAAATGTGTAACAGCTCCTCCTATAAGTGGACATACCATGCATTCTCAGGGGCAATAATGTCCCCAAGGGGTGAGAATTGGTTCATAGGGGACACAACAAATCTTTTTATTTTATTTTATTTTTTGGGACAGAGTCTCACTCTGTCAACCAGGCTGGAGTGCAGTGGCACGATCTCGGCTCACTGCAACCTCCACCTTCCGGGTTTAAGCAATTCTCCTGCCTCAGCCTCCTGAGCAGCTGGGATTAAAGGCACCCGCCACCACGCCCAGCTAATTTTTGTATTTTTAGTAGAGACAGGATTTTGCCATGTTGGCCAGGCTGGTCTCGAACTCCTGACCTCAGGTGATCCGCCCACCTCGGCCTCCCAAAGTGCTGGGATTATAGGTGTGAGCCACCACACCTGGCCAAACAAATCTTACATATTATGCTGGTTTGGGACTCATAAAAACAATCCTACCTGACAAAACCTTATTCCTTCATACTTAATTTTTCTACAGGAGAAATTTAATTTGTCTCCTTTTGGCAGGGAGAGAGTAATGATAAAGAAAAAGGCCGAGAAACACTGATGATGTAACTTAAAACCAAAGAGCCCTTTGAGATTTCAAGTTAGAAAAAAGACAGAAGCCAGGAGATCAAGACCAGCCTGGCTAACATGGTGAAACCCTGTCTCTACTAAAAATACAAAACATTAGCCGGGCATGGTGGCACGCGCCTGTAGTCCCAGCTACTCAGGAGTCTGAGGCAGGAGAATTGCTTGAACCCAGGAGGCGGAGGTGGCAGTGAGCCCAGATCACGCCACTGCACTCCAGCCTGGGTGACAGAACAAGACTCCATCTCAAGAAAAAAAAAAAAAAAAAAAAAAAAAAAAGAAAAAGAAGCCAGAGAATCTGCAGAGCAAAGGACTAAGAGAGAAGCTGGAGGAAACAGAAAAACTATGATTTCATGCATGACAAAGAATTTCAAGAGAAGGTCAACACTATAGAAACCATCAATAAAACTGATAATGGTAAATATGCTGAAATAAAAATTAAAAAAGGAACAAACTCTGAAAGAGACAAAAGTTCAGTAGTGACTTCCAAGTGGGCAATTTTGGTACAAGAACAGAGCACAGGCACTGGGTTTATATAAAGAACGTGGAAAGGCCTGGTTCACTACCTGGAGGTAACCACTTTGCCCTGTAGCATTCTCTTTACTCCCCAGGATTAGCTGAAAATAGAAACTGAAAGGCCACAGTTACTGAGGGAAGAGAACCAGGGTCCCACTGTGGACTGAGGGAGGCAAAAACCCTGAAAGCTAACATGATGACACATTTTTCAGTGTTTTTTTTTTTTGACAGGGTCTCACGGTCACCAGGGCAGGAGTGCAGTAGTGTCATCTCGGCTCACTGCAACTCTGCCTTCCTGGCTCAAGGGGTCCTCCCACCTCAGCCTCCTGAGTAGCTGGGATTACATGTAACTGCCGCCATGTCCTGCTAATTTTTGTATATTTTGTAGAGACAGGGTTTCGCTGTGTTGCCCAGGCTGGTCTCAAACTCATGAGCTCAAGCCATCTGCCCGCCTTAGCCTCCCAAAGTGCTGGGATTATAGGCATGAGCCACTGTGCCCAGCCACTTTTCAGTGTTTTTTGTAGAATGGCTGCTTTTGGCTATAAAATGGCAAGTTCATATGGTTCAACCTAGTAGGTATACATTCATTTCCCCATCTAATTTAAGTTCTTCATGAACATATTTTTTAATGGCTACATACTTTTCTGTGATCCATGATAATTTGCCTGACCAATCCCCTGTGATACATCTAGTGGGTAAATAATTTTTTCACTATTTTAAATAATTCTATAATGAATATCTTTGTTCACAATTTTCAGTTAAAATTACTAATTATTGCCTTAGACTAGATATCTAAAAAATGAATTACTGCATTTGAAAATGTTTAAGGCTCCTTGATTCAGGTAGTCAAAAAGTGTTTTATCTGGCCGGGTGTGGTGGCTCATGCCTGTAATCCCAGCCACTCCAGAGGCCGAGGCAGGAGAATCACTTGAACCTGGGAGGTGGAGGTTGCAGTGAGCCGAGATCGTGCCACTGCACTCCAGACTCCAGCCTGGACGAAAGAGGGAGACTCCGTCTCAAAACAAACAAACAAACAAACAAACAAAACAAAAAGACTCCGTCTCAAAAAAAGAAAACAAAAAAGTGTTTTATCTATTTGTAGGGTATGAGAGTGTCTCACCATGAATTTCGATTATTTTTGGGAGGGGAGAGGGATGAATTCCTGAATGTGTAAGAAAAGAAATAATGGAAACTGGATATTGCCAGGCAGGGGGAGGACATTCAATGAAAAATAAAGTCCAAGCAAAGATGGCACATGACCAATGTTGGGGAAATGTGGGGAAAGGCAGGAGTACAGAGAAGCAAGTGACCATTACTGGGAAAGACCACAACCTCCTGCAGAGGTAGAAGGGCAGTAAGTGAATAGATCAGGTAAAACAGTAGCACATAGGAAACATCCTGGAAGTCCCTGCTTTCGACACAGACTGCAAGATACCAGATAACTCCTGGAACGTTGAAAAAGGGATTCCTCTGCTGTGGATTAGCCTGGCTTATAACTTGCCATGATGCCTGGTGCTCTTTGAGGTTCACTTGCTATTATATAATGATCTTTATCTTGCTCCATCTGAGAGATCACATTTCAGAAACTCACAGGGATTGGGTGATTGTGCAGAAAGCAAAATCAGTCCCACCTCTGGCTTATAAAGGATGGAAAAGGTATGGTTTTTGAGACAACCCAGTAAAACTACCATTCTCCAATTTTTACCAAGTTCTTTAGCTGCTTAGAATAGTCAGAAAACATCCTTTTGTGTCAAAAAGGAAGTAGGAAACAAAGAAGCCAATGGGCAGGTGTCCAAGTTCACATGTCCTTACCCACCAAGACCAAGTTTCTGTAGTTGCCCAGCATCACAGCTCCGCACAGCTTCCTGGGAGCAGAGTCCAGGTGACCTCACTCCTCCTCGGTGAAGGCCACAGAGGCATCCTTGAATGTAACTGGTTCCTAAAACATTAAGCACATTCCTCCTCAACAAACAACCATCTGCACAAATGCCCTGCAAGTGGGGTGAAGTCAGCAGCACTGGAAAAGGTAAGAAAGGTATAGAAGAAGTTTGCAGCTCAGGGATCTGAGTGAGCTAAGCCAAGTTTTGTTGGAAAGTCTTTCCTTTCTCACTTACTTGGCTACTTCCATCCAAATCATTTCCCTCCTGCCCACAACATATCTACGCTCAAGTTCTCAGCTACTGAATCTTTCTGTGTCACTCTCTTCTTGTGTCATTGCTGAGTTGTCATCTTCACCCCATTCCCACCATTATCCTGACAACCTTAACACTCGCAGGAACAATTTACCCAACACTCTGACCTCACATTTCTTAATCTCCACAGTGCCAATGATCTCAGCCACATTTCATCAAACTGTAATAACCATAATCGGGACTAGTCCACTACCTGGACCCCTCTACTCTTAAAATATGAATCTCTCTAATATCCTACAAGTTAAAAATCACTTCCTATGCTTTCTGTTCTTCCTCTTCTAAACTAAGTAGTTGAACATTACTGGGAAAATAAAATAGCACATATACACACAGCCATAAAACACTCTCCTGAGGGATCCCTTGACTTAAAATACCATTCACTGCCAAATATTTATTTCCAGCCCTAACCTCTTACCTCACCTCCAGACTCCACCTTTCTACCTTTTAACATCTACACTGGGACGTCTAAAGTGCTTAAAACTTAACAGGCCCTAGCTGGGCACGATGGCTCACGGCTGTAATCCCAGCATTTGGGGAGGCCGAGGTGGGCGGATCACTTGAGGTCAGGAGTTCGAGACCAGCCTGGCCAACATGGTGAAACCTCGTCTCTACTGAAAATACAAAAATTAGCCAGGCGTGGTGATGTGTGCCTGTAGTCCCAGCTACTCAGGAGGCTGAGGTGGAAGGATCTCTTGAACCCGGGAGGCGGAGGTTGCAGTGAGTTGAACAAACAAACAAAAAACAAAACAAAACACTTAACAGGCCCCAACAGAACTCCTGCTCCAGCAATATCCATCAGCATCTGCTCTTCCCCAGTCATCCCCATTTTAGTAAACAGCCACACGAACCACTCAATTGCTCAAACCAAAATCCCCGATGTCATTTCATTCTCATCCTCACATCTCACCTATCACCCACCTCCTTTACCGCTAAAGCATATCGGCATCCACCCAGCTCCCCTGCCCTGCACTGTCACCTCTCTAGGCCTAGGCAGCACTTGCTCTCACCCACATCAACCTCCTGGTTGGTCTGACTCTACTCCTGCTCCCCCAAACATGAGTTTTCCACATGACAGCCAAGGTGATCTTTTAAAACAAAAACAAGGCCAAGCATGAAACCCTCCAAAGGCTTTTCAGTGGCCATCCAGTAAAATCCAGACTCTTCATCCTGGCCCATGAGGCTCTCCTGTCACCTCCCCAACCTAGGCCTCTCTTATGATCATATTCAGCACCAGTGACCCAGCAGGCCCTTGAACTGCATCAAACTCATTGTAGCTTCTGCACTAGCTGCCCTCTCCATTCCTCATGATTCAGCTCTCAGTCCAACTGTTGCCTCTTCAGAAAGCATGTCACTGACCATCTAATCCACTGGAGCATCCTGTATATATCATTTTCCTGGTTTAATTTAATTAATTTCTTCTTATAACTTATGCCTTACCTTATTTTCTTATTCACTTGCTTTCTTATTTACTGTCTTTCCCTGCTGAGATTTAAATTCCCCAAGAATAGAGAGGCTGCCTCATTTGTTCATGACTGCATCCCCAAGACCTCAAGCAGGGCCTGGCACATAAAGGGAGTCCAAATATTTACTCAGTCAATGTCAGCAAATCTGGTTCCCTTCAGGGCTCTGTCTGATGAAGCAATGCTTCTTAAACTACCTGTGGTGAAGAACCAGTTTTTTTTTGTTTTTGAAACTCTCAATTTCAGTACTTATATCTGCACAGTGCATGGGCTGGCACCACTCTCTAAGGCACAATTTCAAAAGTAAAGTGATAGAATATATAAAAAGTCATAAAGGCTGTCTCATAAATTTGATCAGCTAAGCCAGCTTTGGCCTGAGGCTAAAGAGGCACCACTCCCTCCTTCCTTGGGCCTGCCCTGCAGGAGTGACATGACTTACCCAACTTGTCACCAGTGGGGAAGGATGAGGGTAAAGATGAAGGTAAGGATGGGTGCTGTCTCCCAAGCTTTCTGTTCAAGGTCACTGGTCTCCATTCTGAGGAAGAGGGCTGGAAAAGGAGGCTCAAGCCCCGGAGTAAAGGTGGGACAAACAAACAGAAGCAAAGGTTGCTGCCTTCAAGCTCCATCACCACATCCTTTAGCAAGGCATGACCCATGGCATATTAAAAGCAAGTGGACTGGCTGCTCTTCCCAACCAGACCTTCTCTTCAGACCACAGAGAAAAAAAAATTTCTTTCTGTTTAAGGCTAATCTCTTCCTGTGCATTCTAGATCAAATCCCTTCTTCTATCTTCAGAGATGCAAGCCCACCAATTATCTTTTCTCTCCCTTATTTTTTTATCCGTCTTCCATTCAGTTGTCTGGATTGTCTAATCCTCCTTCTCTACCTCAACAATATTCAAACCATTTCAGATCCTGTCAATTCTGCCTCCTAAATTTCCCTCCAATGTGTTACCTCTTTTCCATTTCCACTGCCAGTCTTAGTAAGACCCTTATTTTTTTTCTTACCTAGGCTACAATAACTCCTTACCAATTCTTTGTAGTACAATTTTTGTCATCTTCCAGTCCCTAGGTTAGACAACCAGAGTTATTAATTTTTTAAGGTCCTCAAGATAAAATGGCAGGCGGGACTCCATTCTGAGAAGGGAAAGGATATGTTGGTGGACTACTAACTTTGTGGTAGGTAAAAAAAATGACAGGAGTAGACCAAATGAAAAGAATCATTGTGACAAGGGAAAGGAGAAAAGGAAAGGAAATTAGTGCTCCTGTTAAAGCAAGACAAAGGTGGGACTGAAACACTGAATAATCAACAGTCTTCCCAGGTATCAGTGGCACTAAGGAGTCACTCCAAGGCTGTGCTCCTGCTTACAGTTGGGAGAGCAGACTTGATATTCTAAAGGCCAACCAAAGAGGAAGGTCACAAGTTCAATTGTTTCCTGTTTCTATCAGACAAATGTCGACCTCCTCAGAACTACATACATGCCATCATGTGGCCTTCCACTTCTTTCTAGAGCCCATCTCTGCTGTATCTAACAATTTACTTTGAAGTGGAAAAGCAGGAAGAGGCACACTAGATTACCTGGAGTCATTCAACACATTACACTTGAGTCTAGCACAGTCCTTTCTATAGTAAGCCCTAACTTATTGAGTTCTCCCATCCATTTTGGAGCTTTCAGTCTCAGGACAATAGCCTCTTTCTGAAGCATGAGGATGAGTTAGAATTCTCCTCCTCTGAGATCTCATAGCATCTTTCACATCCCTCTACTATAGCTATTAAGTCTCTCCCAAGTTGGCTGGAAGATTCTGAAGGATAGGGGCTACACTCAACTCATCTTTGTTGTTTGAAACAGAGTCTCACTCTGTTGCCCAGGCTGGAGTGCAGTGGCATGATCTCAGCTCACTACAACCTCCACCTCCCGGGTTCAAGAGATTCTCCTGCCTCAGCCTCCCGAGTAGCTGGGATTACAACAGGCATCAACATGACCAGCTAATTTTTGTATTTTTAGTAGAGATGAGGTTTCACTATGTTGGCCAGGCTGGTCTCAACTCCTGACCTCAGGTGATCCTCCCCACTCAGTCTCCCAAAGTACTGGGATTACAGGTGTGAGCCACCATGTCTGGCCTCAACTCATCTTTAAATCCCCAGCAACTACCACAATTGACTTGGAATCTGAAAGATAAATATAAATTCACATTCAATTTAAATGAATAATAATACAACTAAAAGAAAACATAAAGATGGTCAAGCCCAAGACCCTCAGTTTACAGAGAAAAAAACCACAGTTCATAAGGGCGAAGTGACTTACCCAATGTCACAGAGGAAAAGCAGGGTTAACTAAGACTCCCGCCTTTCAGCAGACCTAAGGACAATGTGTGGTACATAGAAAACACACAATGCTTGGAATGAAGTCCTTCCTTTAAATTAAAAAAGTTGTTGTGTAACACACACCAGAATCTCAAAATTTACTAAACTGGCAATCCCCAGTTGCAGCGGCAGTGAATACTTAATCATTAGGGAGCAGGCAGAAGCGAAGGAAGGAAAATGTATTGATTCTACTAAGGTTAATCTCCCTTGAAGTCCTCAATTACTTTTCAGGGCACAGAGAAGCCATGCTCTCAGTACCTCAAGTCAGCTTACTGTCCTCTAAACAGATTTTTTCTAAGAGCTCATGTGTGTGAGGGCTGTATTTGCCAAGCAAAAAGATGGCCTTTGCTGGTAGTGTTAAAAAACATTTTTTTTCCCTTAAAACGCAGTCTGATATTTTATTCAAACAACTTCTGATGTGATGACCTGTTTAGTTAATGGAGAAAGAACAGCCTGAAGGAAGAAAACACGGGGTTTATTTCTGGCCTTCTGCTCTCTGAAACAAAGGACAAGGCACTTTCCTTCGGCTCTCTCAGAGTTAGCCGAGTTAGAGCTCTCCACCATAAAACGCCAGGACAGGGCAAAGAGGGGGCCGACCATCTCAAACACCATGGGATTCTAAGTGGGGGCTGACCATCTCAAATACCCTGGGAGTCTAAGGGTTAATTTTGAGGTAACCTCCTACAGATGGTTTTATGGGGACAACTGAAAACTCTCTTTAAAAAAGTACGACTTGGTAATTTAAAATTTACTGGAACAGTTAAATATGTAGACATGCTAGTGAAAGAGAACAAATCAACCTGAGTATAAAGGATGAATAACTCATTTTACCTACCCTAGAGACACTTATAGTGTATAGAGAGATATTTCACAATAAACCTTTGGATGTACAAAGATCAACAGAATAAAAAAGGAGTGAAACTCTCCTTTCACTAGGTCTGGAAGAGAGAAGGAAGCTTAGTTCTTAAAAAACACCACAGAGAGTTCTGATGCATAGCCTAGTTGAAAAGCATTTCTAGAGTGATTTTGTAACCACTGTGCTGCCATTTAACGAATTTCCTCGTTTTTGACTCATAGTTAATAAATTATCACTATTAATATGCATTTTTTTGTGTACAGGTAATATAATATGTTCATCAAGATGGTAAGCTCCTTGAAGAAAAGCACCGTGGTTTATCATTCTATCTGTTTTGCTGAGACCACTTAGCACTGGGATGAGTATGGAATAGCTTGGAATGACTTTCAATGTGAGTGAAATGTCTGGCAGGAAAAGGCAGGCTTTGAGAGGCTCCCCAGGAGGGCACAGCCCACTGCTCTGAGGAGTGGAATAAATTCTTGGAGGCAGGATGGGCCAGTGAAAACTCTCTGTGCAGACCCTGGTGACATCATCTGCTAGCTACATGTCCTTAGTATCTTAATGTCCCTACATCCATAGCTATAAAATACCGTACTGGGGGCCTGACAATAAAGAAAACAACACATGGCACAGGGACATTTCAGGGAGATGGCATTTTAGGAGAAATGGAACGCCAACTCACCCGGACCCTGGTCATTTCTTACTCCCAGAGGGGATGGATTCCTGGAAAGGCAGAGTTAGGGAAAGAGAAAAAGCCATGAAAATCAAGTCCAGCAAGACTGCGGGGAAAAAGTTACTCCGCTCCTGCCTCTGACGCTTCTTCAGTCACTTCCACCCACACTCCCTCCATCAGGTGAGAGGTGAAGCATTTTCTGTCACCACCTTCATCTCTCTCCACAGGGCTTTCGATTAAACAAGCCAAGTTTTCCCCCCAAAACCAAGAGGCTAGGTAAATTCCGCAGCCGCCGGCAGCTCGAAGCCGTGCCCATTTCCTCTGACTTTCCCGATCTCTGTCCTAAAGTTCTAGTTAAGAGGAGAAGCTTCTCGGGATGGATTTCGGTTGCCCAAGACGCCTTCCCCGACCTCATTCTCAGGAGCCTGGCTCGTTCCTGCGGTGCGGGGGCTCAGATGCAAGCTCTTTTCAGCGAAGGCAGTGCTGCGGACAGAAACCTCAGTCTCTTACAGGAGCCCCCGTCCGTCGCCTAACGTCCACCGAAAACCCCCCTGCAATAACGCCCGTCACAGGCGAGGAAAAGGCCGGCGTGGCCAACCACGAAGCCCCCAGCCGGCCCAGGCCAGAGCTCGGCCAGGAGGGAGGAGGGGCCATCGGAGGCGCGGCCGCTCAGCTGCAGGGCCCCACAGGCTTCGGTGTGGCCGCAGCCCGGCCCCGGGGGCGCAGCAGCTCGGAAATGCGGCGCCGGGACACACGTGCCGCCGCGGGCCGCGCCTCCGCTGGTCGCGTGCCCTACCATCGCCGCCCTCCCGGCTTCCGCAGCTCGGCGGCCCAGCGCCTTACCCGCGGCACACCCATTTCCTGACCCCTGAACGCCTCTGCCAGCGGCTGGGGAAGCCCGGCCAGTCTCACCTCCCACGTGGAACCCCACGCCTGCAGGGGCCAGATTCCGGATGCTGACCGCTCGCGCGCCTAGGGCCCCGAAATACAAGTCCCAGCAAGCCGCGGGCGAACCACGCCCACTTCCGGCGCGGGCCCCTGAACTCTGCGCTGTGCGGAGCGGGATTCTTGGGCGGAGGGGACCATCTTTGAGTCAGCGACGCGTGTATTCAAGTCCTCCTCCTCGTTTTTTATTACAAACAAATAAGAATTATTTTAGGAATACCTGTTAAGGTGATTTTCATTTGTTAAAATACTATTGGGGGAAAAGGATGTAAATACCCATAATTTCATCTTTACCTTTCAAAACATTCTGAAGTGAATATTTGCCATTCGGCATCTTCCATCTCACCTCTGAAGTTCATCCATTTAACAGATATTAATTGAGAGCCAACTGTGTACCAGGAGCTGTTCAAGATGCTTGCACAAAAGTCACTGCCCTATTCTAGTTGGGGAAACAAGCAATCCATAAATATAGTAAATATATGGCGTCGTGTGTGTC
Source organism: Homo sapiens (assembly GCF_000001405.40). Taxonomy (NCBI): domain Eukaryota; kingdom Metazoa; phylum Chordata; class Mammalia; order Primates; family Hominidae; genus Homo; species Homo sapiens. Next base: position 43,575,069 of record NC_000010.11, read on the forward strand.
ATGAGGTGGTACTGAAAGCATAGAGCTGGGCGGGGTGTGGCGAGGTGCGTTTGTGGGTGTGTAGGACTGGAGGTGTACTTTGCAATTTTAAATAGGGGATCTTGGAACAAACACAGGAGGTGAGGGAATTAGACAAGTGGCTCCCAGCAGTCAGAACTCTCCTAAACGCACACAAGGGTTGTTGATACCAGGATTTTACGTTTATTTCACTTCTCACCGAGTGACACAGAGCTACCCATTTGGTCTTTTCCCAATTCCTTTCTTTCAGATTTATTTTGGAGAGGAAAGAGATGTTGCCTGGACCTCTCTTCTACATCCTCCCCCTTCCTTGGTGTATTAGTTTCCAATTGCTGTCACAACAAATTAACACAAACTTAGTAGTATAACAAACATGTATTCTCTTAAACTTCTGGAGGTGCCAAGTCTGAAATCAAGTTTTACTGGGCTTTATAAAGTCAGTGTTGGTGGGGCTAGTTCCTCCTGGAGGTTCTAGATGAGAATATTTCTTTGCCTTTTCCAGTTCCCAGTGACTATTTGCATTCCTTGGCTTATGGCTCGCTCCTTTATCTTCAAAGTGCATGACTGCAACCTCTGCCTTCATCATCACATCACATGCTCAGGCACTGGCTCCTCGTGGGTCCTTCTAATAACGACTGTTGTGATTACATCAGGCCCAGCTGGCTAATCTGGGATAATCTCTTGACGTCAAGATCCTTAATTTAATCACATTTCAAAAAAAATCCCTCTTGCCATAGAAATTAACATCCACAGCTTCTGGGGGTTAGGACATGGACATATTTGGGGGACTATTATTTTCAGCCTGCGATGCTTGGAGAGGCCCACGTCCCCTTCGGTCTCCTCCTCAGAGATGCTGTCTTACCTTTTGCCTGGGGAACACAAAATGTCTCCCTTGGACCTTACTCCTCTCCTCATTCTTCATTGGAAAACCACAGAGCTTTTCCCTATTTAGATTTACCACCCTTGCCCTGACCTTCACTTCCTCATGTGCTCACTTCTCTCCTCACTCAATTTAAGAGGCCATGGAGCATGGTTATGGCCAGTCCTGTGTATGTGCCGTTACCCTTAACTCTCTTGTCCCAGTCTTTCTTGGTTTTATTCTCTTGATGGAAACCCAAATCTGCTTGAATCCAGTTCCTGGCCTGCGCCTGTACGGCAGAGGTTGTTTGAGAAAACCACATGGCTGGGATGATTGGTTTCATTTTCAGTTTATAACCATTAAGTTCAAGTGGGCCCTTCACGCTGCCTGGCTATCCTTCTACATTTCTTAGTCCATCCATTCTCCTAAATGACTATTTCACAGGTTCTACTCTCTTTTCATTATTTATTTATTTATTTTTTTGAGCCAGGCTGGAGTTCAGTAGTGCGATCTTGGCTGACTGCAATCTCTGCTTCCTGGGCACAAGCAACCCTCCCACCTCAGCCTCCTAAGTAGCTGGGACTATAGGCTTGCGCCACCACACCAGGCTAATTTTTGTATTTTTTTTTTTAAGAGATGAAGTTTCACCATGTTGTTCGGGCTGGTCTCCACCTCCTGGGATCAAGCGATCGTCCCACCTCAGCCTCCCAAAGTGCTGGGATTACAGGCTGAGCCACCATGCCTGGTCTTCTACTCTCTTTTCAAGCCGCCAACAACTCCTCCCATCTCACTGAGTGCTGATGACTTTGCTTTCTGTTACTGAGTAAAGAGAACTTCTATACCGCCTCACAGGCACATCTGCCCTCCTCTCTGCATTAGAAACTGTATGCTCTACTTTTCATTCTGAGTCACTGGCCCTAGTTCCTATATGAGAAAATTCTTTTGCACCCTGGATGTTAAATGCTTTCTCATGAATGAGGTCCTTCTCTCTCTTCTGTATTTCAAGATTTTCATTCTGTACTGAATTATCAGCATACTAATGAATACACTGTAATATTGTCCATAAAATAAATAAAACCCCTTACCTTGCACCCTATTTCTCTCCAGCCACTACCTCATTTCTCTGCTTTGCTTTACAGCAAAACTCCTAAAAAAATTGTCCCTAAGGGATGTTTCCAATTTCTTTTCTCCCATATTCTCTCTTTTTTCACATGCAAAACCCAAAATTTAATTTTTAACTTAATTTTAAAAATTGGTATATAATAGATGCACATATTTTGGGGGTACATGTGATAATTTGATTAATATTATGTGTAAAGATCAAAGCAGGGAAATTGGGATATCTATCGCCAAGTATTTGTCTTTTCTGTATGCCGGAAATATTCAAATGATTCTCTTCTGGCTATTTTGAAATGTACAGTAGGTTAATGTTAACCATAGCTAACCTACTGGTTTATTGAACACCAGGTCTTATTTTTTCTGTCTAACTGTGTATTACACCTTGGTATGTTTTGGCTCTGTGTCCCCACCCAAATCTCATCTTGAATTGTAATTCCCACGTGTTGAGGGAGGGACCTGTAATTCCCACAAGTGGAGGGAGGGAGGTGATTGGATCACAAGGGGCAGTTTCCCCCATGGTGTTCTCATGACAGTGAGTGAGCTCTCACAAGATCTGATGGTTTGTGAGATATGTTTGGAAGTTCCTCCTTTGTTCTTCTCTCTCCTGCCACCTTGTGAAGAAGGTGACTGCTTCTTCTTCCAACATGATTGTAAGTTTCCTGAGGCCTCCCCAGCCATGTGGAAGTGTGAGTCAATTAAACCTCTTTTCTTTATAAATTACCCAGTCTCAGGCATTTTTTTATAGCAGTGTGAAAAAAGACTAATACATACCCCTTAACCAGCCTCTATTCAGACCCCTACCTCTACTCTTTCTGAACTCTGGTTACCACCAATCTACTCTCTATCTTCATGAAATCCACTTGTTTTTTTGTTTAGCTCCCACGTATGAGTGAGAATATGCAATATTTGTCTTTTTGTGCTTGGCTTATTTACTTAACATCATGGCCTCTAGTTCCACCCATATTGCTGCAAATGACAGGATTTCATTCTTGTTTATGACTGAATAATATTCCGTTATGTACATACACCACATTTCTTTATCCATTCATCCATTGATGGCCACTTAGGTTGATTCCATATTTTGGATATTGTGAATATTGTTGCAGTAAACATGGGAATGCAGATAGCTCTTTAGTATATTGATTCCTTTTCTTTGGGATATATACCCAGTAGTGGATTTGCTGGATCATATGGTAATTCTATTTTTAGTTTTCTGAGGAGCCTCCATACTGTTCTCCATAGTGGTTGTACTAATTTACATTCCCATCAACAGTGTACAATGATTCCCCTTTCTCCAAATCCTCGCCAGCATCTGTTATTCCCTGTTTTTCAGATAAAAGTCATTTTAACTGTGGTGAGAAGATAGCTCATTGTGCTTTTGATTTGCATTTTTCTCATGATTAGTGATGTTTAACATTCTTTTATATACCTGTTAGCAATTTTATGTCTTCTTTTGAGAAATGTTTATTCGGATCTCTTTTGTCCATTTTTAAACTGGATTATTTGTGTTTTTACTATAAAGTTGTTGGAGCTCCTTGTATATTCTGGTTATTAATCCCTTGTCAGGTGGATAGGTTGTGGTATTTTCTCCTATTCTGTGGGGTTGTCTGTTCACTTTGTTGGTTGTTTCCTTTGCTGTGCGGAAGCTTTTTAGTTTGATGTAATTCCATTTGTCTATTTTTGCCTTTGTTGCCTATGCTTTTGAGGTCTTACACAAAAAATTTTTTGCCCAGACCAATGCCCTAGAGTGTTTCCTCAATGTTTTCTTCTAGTAGATTCATAGTTTCAGGATTTAGATTTAAGTCTTTAATCCATTTTATTTGATTTTTGTTTATGGTGAGAGATAGGGGTCTCGTTTCATTCTTCTGCATATGGTTATTCAGTTTCCCAGCATCATTTATTGAAAAGACTGTCCCTTTCTCCAACGTATGTTATTGGTTCCTTTGTTGAAAATGAGTTGGCTGTAAGTGCATGGATTTGTATCTGGGTTCTCTATTCTGTTCCATTCGACTGTTTGTCTGTTTTTATGCCAGTCCCGTACTGATTTGGTTACTATAGCTTCATACTATATTTTGAAATCAGGTATTATGCTATCTTCAGCTTTGTTCTTTTTGCTCAGGATTGCATTGGCTATTTGGGGTCTTTTGTGGTTCCACATAAATTTTAGGATTTTTTTCCTATTTCTGTGAAGAATGTTTTCTGTGAAGAATGTTATTGGTATTTTGTTAGGAATTGCATTGAATGTACAAATTGCTTTGAGTAGTATTGTCTTTTTTTTTTTTTTTTTTGAGACAGAGTCTCTCTTTGTCACCCAAGCTGGAGTGCAGTGGTGTGATCTCAGCTCACTGCAACTTCTGCCTCCTGGGTTCAAGTGATTCTCCTGCCTCAGCCTCCTGAGTAGCAGGGGCTACAGGCGCCCGCTGCCACACCTGGCTAATTTTTTGTATTTTAGTAGAGACAGAGTTTCACCGTGTTGCCTAGGCTGGTCTTGAACTCCTGAGCTCAGGCAATCCACCTGCCTCGGCCTCCCAAAGTACTAGGATTACAGGCGTGAGCAACCACACCCGGCCAGTAGTATTGTCTTTTTAACAATACCAGTTCTTCCAGTCCATGAGCATGGACTATCTTTCCATATTTTGGTGTCCTCTTCAATTTTTTTCATCAGTGTTTTATAGTTTTCCTTGTATCGATCTTTTACTTCTTTGGTTAAATTGGTTCCTATGTATTTTATATTCTTTGTAGCTATTGTAAATGGGGACAAATTGTAAATAAAAAAATGCTTTTTGATTTCTTTTTCAGATTGTTTGCTGTTGATGTATATAAATGCTACTGATTTTTGTATGTTGATTTTGTATCCTGGAACTTTACTGAATTTGTCAGTTCAAAGAGTTTTTTGGTAGAGTTTTTAGGATTTTCTAAATATAAGATCACATTGTCTGCCAACAAGTCTAACTTGACTTCTTCCTTTCTAGTTCAGATGCCCTTTATTTTTTCTCTCAGCTAATTGCTCTAGCCAGGACTTCCAGAATTATACTGAATAAAAGTGGTGAAAGTGGGGATCTTTGTCTGGCTCCAGATGTTAGAGAAAGGATTTTCAATTTTTCCCCATTAAGTATGATGTTGGCTTTGGGTTTGTCTAATATATGGCTTGTATTACTTTGAGGTATGGGATACCCCCAGTTTGTTGAGCATTTTTATCATAAAGGGATGTTAAATTTTATTGAATGCTTTCTCAGCATCTATTGAAATTATATGGCTTCTGTTCTTGGTTCTGTAAATGCAATGTATCACATTAATGTATCATGTAAATCAATAAATGTTTATTAAATAATGTATAACATAAATCAATAAATGCTTAATATTTCTTGATTTATGTATGTTGAACCATCTTTGCATTTCTGGGATGAATCCCACTTGACCATGGTGAATGATCTTTTTAATCTGTTGTTGAATTCAGTTTGCTAGTATTTTGTTCAGGATTTTTGCATCTACATTTATCAGTGTTATTAGCTTCTCATTTTCTTTTTTTTTGTGTGTGTCTGGTTTGATATCAGGGTAATGCTGGCCTCATAGAATGAGTTTGGAAGTATTTTCTCCTTTTCATTTTTTTGAAGAGTTTGAGTAGAGTTGGTATTAGTTCTTTAAATGTTTGGTAGAATTCAGCAGTGAAGCCACCTGGACTTTTCTTTGATGGGAGACTTTATTACAGCTTTGATCTCATTACTTGTTATTGGCTTGTTGATGTTTTCTTTCCTTCATGGTTCAGACTTGGCAGGTTCTATGTGTCCAATTTATCCATTTATTCTAGGTTTTCCAATTTGTTGTTGTATAGTTGTTTATAGTCTCTAATGTTTCTTTGTATTTCTGTGGTCTCAGTTATTTAGTCTCCTTTTGTTGTTTCTGGTTTTATGTATTTGGGTCTTCTCTCTTTTTTCCTTAGACTTGCTAAAGGTTTGTCGATTTTATCTTTTCAAAAAACTAATTGTTTTGTTGATATTCTGTATATATATATATATATTTTACCTCAACTTCATTTATTTCTGCTCTGATAGTTATTGTTTCTTCCCTTCTAATTTTGGATTAAGTGTGTTCTTGCTTTTCTAGTTCCTTGGGGCACATTGTTAGATTTTTTATTTGAAGTCTGTCTACTCTTTCTTTCTTTTTTCTTTGTTTTTTGAGACAGAGTCTCGCTCTGTCACCCAGGCTGGAGTGCAGGGGTGCAATTATGTCTCTCTGCAGCCTCGACTTCCCAGGCTCAAGTGATCCTCCCACCTCAGCCTCCCGAGTAGCTGGGACTACAGGTATGTGCCACTACAACAGCTAATTTTAAAAATTTTTGTAGAGATGAGGTCTCACTGTGTTTGTCCAAGCTGATATCGAACTCTTGGCCTCAAGCAGACTTCCCACTTCGGCCTCCCAAAGTGCCGGGATTACAGGCAGGAGTCACTGTGCCTGGCCTGTCTTTCTGCTTTTTTGGTGAAGGTGTTTATTGCTAAAAACTTCCCTCTTAGTACTGCTTTTTCTGTGTTCAATAGATTTTGGTATGTTGTATTTCCCTGTTCATTTGTCCAAGAAATTTTAAATTTTTCTTCCTAATTTCTTCATTGACCCTTTGGTCACTCAGGAGCATGTTGCATAGTTTCCATGTGTTTGTGAAGTTTCTAACATTTCTTTTCTTCTTGATTTCTAGTTTTATTCCATTGTAGTTAGGAAAGATACTTGATATGATTTTTACTTTTTTTTTCTTTTTTTTTTTGAGACAGGGTCTTGCTTTGTTGCCCAGGCTGGAGTGCAGTGGCATGATGATGGCTCACTGCAGCCTTGACCTCCTGGGCTTATGAGATCCTCCCCACTCAACAACCTGAGTAGCTAGGACTACAGGTATGTGCCACCATGCCCAGCTAATTTTAAAATGTTTTGTAGAGTTGGAGTTTCACTTTGTTGCCAGGCTTGTCTCAAACTCCTGGCCTCAAGTGATCCTCTTGCCTCAGTCTCCCAAAATACTGGGATTACAGGTGTAAACCACCACGCCTGGCCCGATTTCTACTTTTTAAAATTTACTGAGGCTGGGCACAGTGGCCATGCCTATAATCCTATCACTTTGGGAGGCCAAGACATGTGGATCACTTGAGGTCAGGAGTTCGAGACCAGCCTGGCCAACATGGTGAAACCCTGTCTCTACTAAAAATACAAAAATTAGCTGGGCATGGTGGCAGGAACCTGTAATCCCAGCTACTCAGGAGGCTGAGGCAGGAGAATTGGTTGAACCTGGGAGACAGAGGCTGTAGTGAGCCAACATCAGGCCACTGCACTCTGGCCTGGGTAACAGAGTGAGACTCTGTCTCAAAAAAAAAAAAAAAAATTATTGAGATTTGTTTTGTGGCCTAAGGTGTGGTCTATTATGGAAAATGTTCCATGTGCTGATGAAAATAATGTGTGTTATGCAGCATTTGGGCAAATGTTATGTAGATGTTACTTAGGCCTATTAAGTATAGTGTGCAGTTTAATTGTGATGTTACTCTATTGATTTTTTTTGTCTGTATGATTTATCCATTACTGAGACAGTCCCCTACTATTATTGTATTGCATGCCATCTCTCCCTTCAGACCTATTAATGTTTGCTTTTTAAACTTGGGAGCTCTGGTGTTGCATGCAAATTTATAATTATTATATCCACTTGCTGAATTGATCCCTTTATCATTATATAGTGACCCCTTTTGTGTCTTTCTACAGTCTTATTTTGTATTCTATTTGATCTAAGTATAGTGAGTCCTGCTGTCTTTTGGTTTCCAGTTTCATGAAGCATCTTTTTCCATCCCTTCACTTTCAGTCTATGCGTGTCTTCAGAGGTGAGGTGGGTTTCTTGTAGTAGCATATAGTTGGGTCTTATTTCTTTATCTACTCAGTCACTCTAACCCTTTTAATTGGAGAATTGAGTCCATTTACATTCTGTTTTATTATTGATAAGAAAGGACTTACTACTGCCATTTTCTTGTTTGTTTTCTGGTTATTTTGTAATTTTGTCTTCCTTTCTTCCTTTCTTGTTGTCTTCTTTTGTGGCTACGTGATCTTCTTTGGTAGTATGTTTTAATTCGTTGTTTTTTTTACTTGCAGTGAATCTATTTTCTTTTTTTTTGCATTGTAGTTCCTGTGAGGAAACCAAAAAATGTATCTTACAGATATAACAAGTTATTTTAAACAGATGACAGCTAAACTTTGATCACAAAGAAAAGAAGATAAACAAAAAAGGAAAAAAAGACCAGTTCTACACTTTAACTCTATCCCCCCATTTTGACTTTTAGTTGTCTGAATTTACATATATTTATATTACTTACCTCTTGACAGGTTGCTATAGCTATTATTGTTCATGACAAATCTATCATGCCTGTTGCGGTAAACTGAGGACCAGAGAGACCGATATGGGGAATACAGGAGGATGTTTATTTAAGGAACTCACCAGCTCAGTGGATTCACATCCAAAAAGCTTCAGGCTGATACCAGGTGTGATTTACAGAAGAGAAAGCAGGAGAATGGATTTGGATGAGGTGATTTGGAACGATTTTTACCTCGCCACAAAGTTTTTCTTAGGTTTTCATTATAATATTGCTGTCCTAAGCATGTTAATTCTCTTACTCGGTCTGTAAAAGCTTTTCCCCAGTAAGCAACACAGTATCTCCTGATAATAGAAGTGGCTTTTTTGTTTGTTTGTTTGTTTGAGATGGAGTTTTACTCTTGTTGCCCTGGCTGGAGTGCAATGGTGCAATCTCAGCTCACTGCAACCTCAGCTTCCCAGGTTCAAGCGATTCTCGTGCCTCAGCCTCCCGAGTTGTTGGGATTACAGGCATGCACCACCACGCCCAGCTAATTTTGTGTTTTTAGTAGAGATGGGGTTTCTCCATGTTGGTCAGGCTGGTCTCAAACTCCTGATCTCACATGATCTGCCCGCCTTGGCCTCCCAAAGTGAGCCACCACGCCTGGCCTAATAGAAGTTTTTAAGAGCCAGACGCTTGAACTTGTGGGCATCGGTTTGGGGGAAAAGTCAGTCAGAGTAAAATTATCTTGTGGCATTGACTCTTTTGCTTCCTAAGGCCACTGGTCTCCCATGTTAGTTCCTCCACAAACATAACATGAGGAAATGCCTAGGCTGCCAGCAATGTTTTCAGCCAACTGAGCAAACAGATTTTTGGCTACAGGAGGAGGCTCTGGTAACTTTTGGTCTACATGCTTATAGAATGACTTAAAGACTTGGAACTGTTGCTGGGCTGGACGGCTCCGGGTTCCTTTTTTGATAACATATAGGTAAGTTGCTGGGTATGTGTGTATGTAGACATGTATGGGGCAACCTGCAGTCCACATGGGTAGGTCTGGCTTTAGAATGGTGAAGTTTACAGGATTACAGGTTTTTGTTTCATAATCTGGTTTACCGGCATTTCAGTAAGCATAATTGGCCTTTGTTGTGTGCTAGGGTGCCATGATATGCATTACTGACAATGTTTTTCTGGGGTCCCAGGGGAACAAGGTGGAGTTGCTCTTGGCATGCATACATATTTGTAGTCATTTCTATAGTATCTTTCTAAAGGTAAGTTACCACAGACAGGTGAGTCTAGGTATGCTGCCTGACAGGCATCAAAGTACAGAGAAATAGGCCCTTGGTAAAAAAGAGGGACCTTGGTCTGGTTTTAAAAGGGGACCTTCCTTTGACTCTGCGTGAATGTCAAACCATTCACCAGGTGAAAATTTAGGGTCATAGTATACATAAGGCTGGCCATCCTCTGGGTCACAGACTGAATAGGTGGTCTGATTGTAAGTACAAGTTCTTAAGTGAGTCCTTGTACACTTATAAGTATGGTACGATAGAGTTATAGTTATACTGTTCCTTGACCAGGTAGTATGTGTACAGTGGGGACACCCTTCTATAGGTGCTTCTTCTAGCATGGTTAAGGGGGGTAACAACAGCAAAACAATGTATGGCATATTCATATCCAGCAAGGACAGAAGAGGGGGAGGAGGTTGAGCACAGCAACAGAACAATAGGAAAACAGTTAGTATTACAAGGAAAACTACTAGTCCTAAGATTTCTAACCACCTTTACTTGCTTGATGAGTCCTCAAGCTTCAGCCATGTATAGACTAGTCAGCTTCCGGTGTATGACTAGAGCAGGGCTTGTTGTCTCCTCAAGTTTCAGCCATGAGTAGACTGGTCAGCTTCCGGAGTGACCACAGCAGGCTGGTTGTCTTTAACAGCAGCTTGGTCTCGTCTTAGGATCAGCGGGATTGGATGATCTGGGTCCTGCTGGCTGGTCCACTTGTCCTGAGCTTCCGGTTTCAGCAGACTGTGGTGGATCCAAGGCACAACACCTGCAACTTTAACAGCAGTGGGAGTGGACAAGATTATAGTATAGGGCCCATCCCATATGGGTCCTAGAGAAGTTTGGTTCTACTTCTTAACCTAAACAAAATCTCCAGGTTTAAAGGGGTGTACTGGGTCTGTCAGGCTTATAGGTATTCTTTCATGTACCTAACTATGGACACTTTGCAAGGCTGTCCTTAAAACCTGCATTGGCTTTCTTAAGATTAATTCTCCTAGTTCACGGAGATCACCTTTAATTTGACCTATGACTGGGGGAGGCCGACTGAACAAAATCTCATATGGTGAATTCTTAGTTGTTTGGTGGGGGTGCATCTGACTCAGAGGAGGACCATAGGCTAGACCTGATACTATCTCAGATGAGTTTTTTGGCAATATTTCTTCAGTAGCTGCTTGAGTGTCCAGTTCATGCGTTCCACTTTTCCTGAACTTTGCGGCCAACAGGCTGTGTGTAACTTCCATTTTATTTTTAATAGTCTTATTAAATCTTGCACTATTTCAGCTACAAATGCCAGCCTATTGTCTGATCCTAAAGATAGAGGCAGTCCAAACTTGGGGATAATGTCTTTTAGCAGTACTTTGGTCACTACTCGTGCTTTTTCTGTTTTGGTGGGGAAAGCCTCAACCTATCCTGAAAAGATGCAAATAAGCAGTAGCATATACTGACAGCCTCCAGCACGGGGCAGTTCGGTAAAGTCTATAAGCAAGTTTTCACAAGGCGTGGCTCCTACTTCCTGAATTCCTGGGGGCCAAGTGGGCCCCTGTCATGGGTTGTTCTGAGCACAGGTTAAGCATTGTTCACCAATGGCTTGAGTGATAGCAGAGAGCTGTGGCACATAGAAATGGCATTTCAGTAACGTTTCTAGTGCCGTTTTTCCCATATGAGTTCCTTGATGAATTTGCTTCACAAACTTAGGAGCTAACATCACTGGAATGGCTAATCTCTTATCGAATAATTTCTACCACCTTCCTTTAATATATTTTCTAGCTTCCTGGGCAAACCAGGCTCTTTCATTTGGAGTATAACTTGGGTCCCTTGGAGAGGAGGTTCTGGCAGGAGAGGCATAGCTAAGGCTTCCTCTTGAAAATGCGGTGTAATCATTGCTGCCTGCTTTGCCTCTCTGTCTGCCTGTTTCCTTTGGCTTCTGGCGTCCCTGCCTTTTGGTGTCCTCTGCAGTGCATTACAGCTACTTTTTCTGGAGCCTATACAGCCTCCAAGAGCTGTAGAATTTCTTCCTTGTACTTTATTTCTTTGCCTCCAGCTGTTAAAAGTCCTCTCTCTTTGTATATAGCTTCATGTACATGCAATGTAGTAAAAGCATACTTAGAATCAGTGTAAATATTAACCTTCTTGTCTCTGCTAACACAGTGCTCTTGTCAGGGCTATTAATTCTGCCTTTTGAGCATGTTGGGAATAGGCCCCCAAATCTGGCCATAAACAAAATCTCTGCAGGCCTGTGACATGTTCACAAGGGCAATGACACCCATGCTGAAGGTTGTTGGTTTACTGGGTCATTTCCGGCTGAGGCCACTCCCTCACCCCTGTACAATATCTGTCCCCCAACACAGCCGGTAGTGCTGCAGTAGATTTATGCTGCACAAAAGCTGTGAGCCTTCTGCCTGGGGAACCCCTGCAAAAAGTTCCAACAGGGGTCTGTGGACCCTTGCCAGCGGGGATGATAGGATTACTTCTAGGTAGATCTAGTTTAAATTTAAAAGGAGTGCAAGTACATACAGGAGTCACTGATTCAGATTACAATGGGGAAATTCAAATTGTTATATCTACTTCTGTTCCCTGGAAAGCAGAGCCAGGAGAGCGTATAGCACAGCTCCTGATTGTGCCATATGTGGAAATGGGGAAAAGTGAAATTAAACAAACAGGAGTATTTAGAAACACAGATAAACAAGGCAAAGCAGCTTATTGAGTGAATCAAATTACTGGTAAACATCCTACTTGTGAAATAACTATTCAGGGAAAGAAATTTAAAGGTTTGCTAGATACAGGAGTGGACAATTCAATCATTTCTCTACAGCACTGGCTGTCCATGTGGCCAATTCAACCTGCTCAATTTAACATGGTTGGAGTTGATAAAGCCCCTGAAATATATCAAAGTAGTTATATTTTGCATTATGAAGGGCCTGATGGACAACCTGGGACTATTGAACCAATTGTAACTTCTCTACCTATAAATTTATAGGGAAGAGATTTATTACAACAATGGGGAGCACAAGTTCTAATTCCAGAGCAATTATATGGCCCTCAAAGTCAACATATGATGCATGAAATGGGGTATGTCCTTGGTATGGGACTAGAAAAAAATTTGCAAGTTTTGAAGGAACCGCTTCACACAGAAAGACAAAGTTCCTGCCAAGGTTTAGGATATCATTTTTGATGGTGGCCATTGTTAAGCCTCCAGAACCTATACCTTTAAAATGGTTAACAGATAAGCCAATTTGGATAGAATAATGGCCCCCGAGTAAAGATAAACTGGAGGCTTTAGAGGACTTAGTTACTGAACAATTAGAAAAAGGACATGTAGCTCCAACATTTTCCCTTGGAATTCTCCAGTTTTCATAATTAAGAAAAAATCAGGTAAATGGAGAATGTTAACTGTCTTAAGAGCCATTAATTCAGTTATACAACCTATGGGGACATTACAGCCAGGACTGCCTTCTCCTGCTATGATTCCGAAAAATTGGCCTTTAACAGTCATAGACTTAAAAGACTGTTTCTTTGCTATCCCCTTAGCTGAGCAAGACTGTGAACGGTTTGCATTTGCAAATCCTGCGGTGAACAACCTGCAGCCTGCTAAGCATTTTCACTGGAAAGTGTTGCCACAAGGCATGTTAAACAGTCCAACAATTTGCCAGACTTATGTGGGGCAAGCAATTGAATCTACTGGTAAAACATTTTCACAGTGTTACGTTATTCATTATATGGACAATATACTTTGTGCTGCCCCCACTCAAGAAATATTATTCCAAGGTTATGATCACCTGCAAAACTGGGTTTCTTGCACTGGTTTAATTATAGCTCAGGACAAAATTCAGACTACTACTCCCTACTCCTACTTGGGTACCTTAGTAAATGACACTACCATTGTGCCACAGAAAGTAACCATACATAGGGATCAACTGATAACATTAAATGACTTTCAAAAATTACTAGGGGACAGTAATTGCATGCGACGTGCTCTAGGCATTCCTACGTGTGCCATGAGTAATCTATTTTCTATCCTTAGAGGAGATTCTAGTCTCACTAGCCCTTGACAATTAACAAAGGAGGCTGAGGCAGAGTTACAGCGAATTGAAAAGCACGTCCATAAAGCCCAAATAAATAGAATAGACCCAGAGAAGACTCTAGATTTGCTAATTTTTCCAACTCAGCATTCACCTACCCGTATTATTGTCCAGGAGCAGGACTTAGTAGAATAGCTTTTTCTTCCACATACTAATTCACAGACTCTAACTCCTTATTTGGATCAAATCGCTACTATGATAGGAAATGGGAGAACTTGGATTGTTAAATTACATGGATATGATCCTGGAAAAATTATTGTCCCACTCACGAAGACACAAATACAGCAAGCTTTTATAAAATAGTCTTACTTGGCAAATCCATTTAGCTGACTTTGTGGGTATTCTCAATAATCATTTTCCTAAAATGAAACTGTTTCAATTTTTGAAATTAACTAATTGGATTCTGCCTAAAATAACTAAATTTAAACCAATTGACGGTGCTGAGAATGTTTTTACGGAAGGGTCTAGTAATGGTAAAGCTTCTTATTCTGGCTTGAAAGGTAAAGTTTTCCAGATGCCCTATACTTTAGCTCAAAAAGCAGAGCTTGTAGCTGTAATTGAGGTATTGACTACTTTTAATATGCCTATTAATGTGATTTCTGATTCTTCATACATGGTTCATTCCACACAGTTAATTGAAAATGCTCAGTTGCTATTTCATACAGATGAGCAACTGATGACTTTATTTACCCAATTACAAATAGCAGTTAGGAGTAGAATGCACCCTTTTTACATCACTCACATTAGGGCTCATACACCTCTTCCAGGACCTTTGACTGCAGGGAATCAAATGGCTGATCACCTAGTTGCTACCGCAATATCTAATGCCAGGCACTTTCACAATTTAACCCATGTTAATGCCGTTGGTCTCAAACACAGATACAGCATTACCTGGAAAGAAGATAAAGCTATTATCCAGCGATGCCCAACTTGCCAAATGGTGCATTCGTCATCTTTTATAGGAGGAGTTACTCCTCGAGGATTGGAACCTAATTCTTTTTAGCAAATGGACATCACACATGTTCCCTCATTTGGGAGACTAGCTTATGTACATGTATGTGTGGACACCTTTTCTCACTTTGGGCTATATGCCAATCAGGAGAGTCTTCTGCCTGTGTTAAATGTCACCTTTGTAGTGTTTTGCAGTGATGGGCATTCCAGCTTCTATTAAAACAGATAATGCCTCAGGCTATACTAGCCAAGCTCTAGCTACATTTTTCTCTATGTGGAATATTAAGCACATTACTGGCATCCCATATAATTCTCAAGGACAAGCCATAGTAGAAATAATGAATCTCTCCCTGAAACAGCAGTTGAAAAAGCCAAAGAGGAGAAACAGGGACTACAGGACACCCCATATGCAGTTGAATCTAGCATTATTGACTTTAAATTTTTTGAGCCTGCCTAAAGGCCAGATGCTATCGGCAGCTGAACAGCATCTACAGAAACCAACTGCAAAGGCAGAAGCAGGACAACTGGTTTGGTGGAGAGATCCGATAACAAAAAGTTGGGAAATAGGTAAAATAATAACTTGGGGTAGAGGTTATGCTTGTGTTTCTCTAGGACAGAACCAGCAGCCACTTTGGATACCATCAAGACACCTGAAATCTTATCATGATCCAGATGCTGAGGAAGAGATTCTGGGAGGATCCCCAGGACCCCCCCGGTTGCAGCCATGTCAAGACTGATGCGAGGAGGACCCCAACTGTCACAAGCAACATCTGTCGAACACAGCCACCTACCTGGGGACAGATCAAGAAGCTGTCACAGATGGTGGAAGAGAACCTGAGGAAAATGTGACAACCAGTCATAATGCGTAATTTAATGATAGCTATGATAGCGGTGATCACCATTGCCATGAGTATTCCTTTAGCAAGGGCTGACACAGAGAACAATTATACTTATTGGGCATATTTATCAATCTTGGCTGGCAATAATGCCTGGATGTAATCACTCTATGACATAGTTACACATGCTTTCTGATCTCAGTATTTACCATAATAAATCTGCTCCTATAATTGAGGCATATCGCCCTCAAAAACCTATTTGTAAACAGAATTGGACCTGGTCAGAAATAGTGAATGTACTTGTTTGGGAACACTGCATTTGCAGAACAGGCAGAGGTGCTGCGCAATGATTCCTATGGAATCATTATTGATTGGTCCCCTAAGGGGATGTTTAGGTTGAATTGCACCTCTCAGTCTGCATACCACGGCCACACTATGTTCAGCTGGTGTAAACGAAATGGTCAGATGGTAGAAATGGTAAGAAGTACGGCAAGAGTTCCTATTATCTGGAAACATGGCGGTATAGTGGCACCTCAACCTCAAATGATATGGCCTACTGTAGGAGCTAAACATAGGATTTGTGGAAACTATTAATGGCTCTTAATAACATAAAAATTTGGGAAATAATTAAAAAAAGCATCCAGAAGAACACTCTACAAACTTGTCTTTGGATGTTGAAAAATTAAAAGAACAAGTATTTAAAGCATCCCAGGCACACCTGACCTTAATGCCAGGAACTGGAATGCTTGAAGGAGCTGCAGACGGATTAGCAGCTAGTAACCCATTAAAATAGATAAAAACACTTGAAGGCTTTGTGATTTCAATGATGATTGTGCTTTTAATCTGTGTTGTCTTTATACAGTCTGCAGATGTGGCTCCCGACTCCTGCAAGAAGTAGCTCAGTGTGATAAAGCCGTCTTTGCTTTTATCGTCTTGCAAACACAAAAAGGGGTAACATGTTGGGAACAGGCCCCCAAATCTGGTCATAAACTGGCCCCAAAACTGTCCATAAACAAAATTTCTGCAGGCCTGTGACATATTCTTGATGGTCATGATGCCCATGCTGAAGGTTGTTGGTTTACTGGAATGAGGGCAAGGAACACCTGGCCCACCCAGGGTGGAAAACCACTTAAAGCCATTCCTAAACCATAAACAATAGCATGAGCTTTCTGTGCCTTAAGGACATGTTCCTGCTGCAGATAACTAGCCAGAGCTTATCTCTTTGTTTCGGCTCATCTCTTTGTTTCTCATAAGAAATACTTTTAGTTAATCTATAATCTATAGAAACAATACTTATCATTGGGTCGCTGTCAATAAATATGTGGGTAAATCCCTGTTCATGGCTCTCAGCTCTGAAGGCTGTCAGCCCCCTGATTTCCCACTCCACACTCTATATTTCTGTATGTTTGTCTTTAATTCCTCTAGTGCCGCTGGGTTATGGTCTCCACGACTGAGTTGGTCTTGGCATGAGCAGATGTTCCAGTAGGCAGAGGCTGAGTCTCTAATACTGAGTTCAATGTTACCACTGCATACCTGGCATGTTGAACCCCTTCTAGCACAAAACTACTCCCATCTGTGAAGTACTTGACATCTGGGTCTCTGAGGGGTCTGTCTGTAAGATCTTTCCAACTGGAGAGTACCTGCATCTACCATTTTGACACAGTCATGGAGGGGAGCTCCTGGTTCAACTGAGAGCAGAGTAGCTGGGTTTAGGGTGTTCACTCTTTCTAAAATAATGTAAGCATTTTTACACAGAAGCCTGTGGTACTGAGTCATCTTCTGGTTTGATAACCAATGATGCCCTCTTTGATCCATCAAAGTTATAACTGAATGTGGCACCCAGACGGTTAGCTGCTGTCCTAAAATGAATTTGCTAGCTTCTTGTGTTAACAAGATGGTGGTGGCTAATGCCTTAAGGCAAGGAGGCAATCCCAGCACCATGGAGTCCAGTTGTTTGGATAAATATGCCACTGGGTGATGCCATGACCCTATCACTTGAATCAGAACCCCTACAGCAATTCCTTTTCGTTCATGAACATATAGAAAGAAAGGCTTAGTTATGTCTGGTAGTCCTAAGGCTGGAGCCTGAGTTAAAGCTTCCTTGATCTGTTTGACTGCTATTTCCTGATTAGTTTCCAAAAGGAGGGGCTCCTTTTCTCCCCCCTTTGTGGCTTCATATAACAGCTTAGCCATCAGTGGGAAATTTGGAATCCAGATGTGGCAGAATCCTGCTGTCCCTAAAAATTCTCTTATTTGATGTCGGGTGGTTGGGGTTGGAAGCACACAAATGGCTTGCTTTCACTCATAGCCAAGCCGGCATTCCCTGTGGCTCACTATGAAACCTAGATATTTAACCTCTTCATGGCAAATTTGGGCTTTCTTTTTAGATACTTTGTAACCTGCTTTCTACAGGAGATAGAGGAGATCCTCGTTTCCCTGATAACAGTCCTCTCGGTTTGGGGCTGCCACAAGAAGGTCATCCAAGTACTGTAACAAGGGGCAGTTATCATTTGGTGGGGTATAGGCCTTGAGGTCTGAGGCCAATGCTTCCCTAAAGATTGTGGGAGAGTTTTTAAACCCTTGTGGGAGCCTAGTCCAGGTGAACTGTGTAGCTTCTTTGTCCTATTGAAATGCAAAGATAGGCTGACTAATTGGTGCCAAGTGGATACAAAAGAAAGCGCCCTTTAATTCTAAGACTGTAAACCAGGTAGCACTTGCTGGAATAAGTCCTATTAAAGTATACAGGTTGGGTACCACTGGATGGATGGTTACTGTGGCCCGGTTCACAACACACAAGTCCTGCACTGGTCTATACTCATCAGACCTTGGTCCTGGCAGCAGCTTTTGTACTGGTAAAAGTGGAATATTTTAGGGCGACTGGCATTGGACTAAAATGCCATGTTTATAGAGCCACTCTAAGTGTTTACAGATGCCCCATACAGCCTTTTGGGGAACTGGGTACTGACGAACCCGAACAGGAGTTGCTCCTGGTTTTAATTCTATTACTACTGGTGCCTGATTTACAGCTAACCCAGATGGATTGTCTTCAGCCCAACTCCAGGAATTTCTCTAACTAACTGAAATAATTTCTCTTCATCCTATGTACAAGGCTGCGTTGGTGCCTGTAGTTTCTTTCCATAAAGTCTCCACTCCTCAGCCTGTGGGATGATAGAGATTAACACCATGGCCTTCGGGTGACTTAGATTTAAAGTCATATCTTCCTGTGGGCCAAAAGTAACCTGTGCGTGCAGTTTTTGAGGTAGGTCTCTCCCTAACAAGGGAACTGGACGGTTTAGGAGCTATAGGAATTCATGCTGAACTTTTCATCCTCCTATAACACTCCTCCTTGACTGGCAGAATGGCCTCTTCTCTGAGACTCCAGTAGCCCCTGCAATAGTTTTATAGTTCTTGGATAATGGCACTAAGGGTTGAGTTACTACAGAGTGTTCAGCCCCAGTATCTACCATAAAGTCCATCAATTGTCCTCCAACTTCTAATGTGACCATAAGCTCCTGGAGGCCCAATGAGAATGATCCTGGTCTGTCCTAGTCCTCATATCCTTCAGCCCCTGCCAGCCCGATTAGATCAGTATCTGGTTCCTCTAGGGTGCAGCAGCCCCTGGCCAATGGCCTCTTTGTCTCACAGCCTTGGCCATTTCCCTCATTGCCTTTTGGACATTCATCCTTCTAGTGTTCCTTCTTTTTACACTGTGCACATTGATCCTTCTCTAGCCTTGGTCAGCTCTTGAATCCCTGTCTAACTAGACCTCTTCCACATCCACGTCCATGTCCATGTCCTCTCACATTACTAATCTCTCTTTCTATAAGGGCTGCTGCCAACAAATTGGCCTTTTTCTTAAGCCTCTGATCTGCTTCCTTCTTTGCCTCCTGGTCACAGTTAACATACACCTTAGTGGCCACTTCTATAAGCTGGGTGGCATTCATGCCTGAGAAGCCTCCCAGTTTCTGAAGCTTTCACTTTATGTCACCCTGGGCCTGTCCTATAAATGATGTATTTACCATATGCTGATGTTCAACAGCCTCAGGGACAAATGGGGTGAAAAGCTGGTATACCCCACAGAGTCTTTCATAAAACTGGCTAGGGCTCTCATCACTTCCCTGAAGCACCTCTGAGATCTTTCCTATATTGATTGCCTCTTTTCCACCATCCCTTAGCCCTTGCAGAAGTGCCTCTTAGTACCTCTGCAAATGCTGAAGCTGGGTCACATCTTCCAGGTCCCAGCTGGGATCTTGGTCTGGGAACTGGCCCGGAGTGTATGCCTGAGCATTCACTGTGTCTGCTGGTGCATGGGCTTCAAGCTGGTGGAGAGCTGCCTGGGTTACTCTCCTGTGTTCCTCAGTGTTAAACAGTGTGAGAAGAAGCTGCCTGCAGTTTGGCCAGGTTAGATTGTGTGTCAGAAGGATGGACTGCATCAGATCTATAAGAGCTTGGGGATTCTCCATATAGGAGGGAGTATGGTGTTTCCAGTTTAAGAGATCAGTGGTTGAAAAGGGCTGATAGATGCAAGTCCGTTGCCCCCCCTGGACTTGGCCTTGGTCATCACAATAAATGGGTCCTCACGTCTCCCTGAGAGGCACTTGCATAGCTTAAGCATGGTCAGATCTGAGACGGCCTGCTTGACTATCTTGACTTCCTTCCCTGGCCTCTCGAGGCTCCGATCCTTCCCTTTGGGGTGAAACCTGGGGTGTGCTAGCTCCTGAATTTCGTTCTTGGGGGGCTGTTGGCCTCAGCAAAGGGTGGAACACATGGAGGAAGAATCTCTGCTCCTTCTGGCAGCTCCTGCAAGACTGGCTTCTTTTGCTTCCTCTGGGACTTTCCCTTTAACTCTGTGTCTGCCAGCGAAGCTGCTCTTACTTTCATTTTTGGCTCAGCTCAGGCCACAAGTGTTTTCTGATAAGCTGCTAAACAGGGCTGGATCCAGGCCAGTCTTGTTTGTACTATATTTAACCATGAGTCAATATAAGAAATTGATCTGGATGCCCAGGCTGTCCTCCGACCCCTGTCACCACCTTAAATACATGGCCAATTATTTCCCTGTCTATAGTTCCTTTGGTCAGCCATCCAATACCAAAAGGAGGCCATTCTAATTCACAGAGAGTTCTCAACCTTTGGGGGGTCAGCTTAACTCCATAATCCCCTGCAAAATATTTCTTAAAGGTCTGTAACTTGCACTCCAATGGAGTGGGTTTTGATGACTTTCCTTCCATTCCTCCCTTTGTGGCGCAGTACACTCACTGTTCCTTTTGCCTCAGGCTGACCAGACTGTCTCCTATTGAGGGAGTTTTCAGATGCCGCTTAGCTTTGGAGGGGTTCTTATTCCCACCACAACTCTGAGCTGTGGGGCAGCTCCTATTAGTTGCATGCAGCTTGCCACTAGTCCAGGTCAGCCCCACACTTTGCTTGGAGCACACAGTGCACGCTAAGAGATTTATGACTCCCCACATCACTCCCCGCATTGGTTCCTTTTGAAACTGTTTCTTTCACACACTTTCACACACCTCCCCACTCCCAGTTCCTGTGTTCCTATTTAGGGTAGTGAGCCACTCTCACCACCTCCAATTTCCTTTTCCTAACCAACTTAGTGAGCCACTCTCGCATCCTGTGTTGGTTGGGGTGTGAGTTTAATCTAAATTGGTGAGCCACTCTCACTGCTCCCTACCTCTCTGGGTCGGATTATGAGTTACACCCCAGGAGGTGATCAGGCTCCCCTTCTGTCCTTATGGAACAGGTCCTGCCTTGGGCCCCAATACCTTACCGTGGTTCCTGAAGCATGCTGCTCCTGGTAATCCTCCTGTAGCCCCTCTCAGGTTCTGTTGCACTGCTGGGTAGGGGCACTGGGTCACAGGAGAGCCTATCTCCCCTCTGGGCTGAAGTTCTCCCAGCCACGCCTGGGGTCACAGTTTTCCCTTGACCCGGGGCTCCAGCCCCACAGGCAAAGGAGATAGTAAGCCTGTCATCTCCACTCCTGGCTGGCTTGCCAAAATGTTGTGGTAAACTGAGGACCAGAGAGATCGAAATGGGGAATATAAGAGGATGTTTATTTAAGGCACGCACCGGCTCAGTGGATTCACATCCAAAAACTAAGCATTGAACAAAACAGAGTTTAGCTTATATAGGCTTGCATTCAAAAGCAAAACAAAGGCAGTGAGTTTTACAGTGACTAGTCATGTAATCCATAGCATAACTGCTGACCTTGGCAATAACCTGTGGCCTTGCATAGCTAGTGGCTAGCAGCTGCATCAAAAGAAAAACAGGAACTTTGCAAATCCTACTAAATACAAGCATTGGCAAACATAGTCATAACTAATAGTACAATACAGGAGAGACAGTAAAGGAATTTTTCTTCTTTTAACCTTGCTTGGGGGTGTCTGGAGTTCATTTCTGCAGGCTAGGTCACCACGACCTGTCTATACCCTTGCCTGCAGCAGAGAAAAACTTGTGTTTCTCACTTCACCTTTAATTACTGCATTTATTCGCTTTTCTTGGAGTGAATAAATGCAGTACTTATTGTTATTATTATTTTTAAATTTCTGTCTCATGCCTATTGGGCTCCATAGTAGAATTGTGAGTGGATTGTATGCCACAATTACAGTATTAGAGCATTCCGGGTTTTTCTATGTATTTAATTTTACTAGTGTGTTTTGTACTTCCATTTTTTTCACATTAGCGATTTTTTTTTCAGACTGAAGAAGTCACTTGAACATTTCTTGTAAGATGGGTCTGGTGGCAGTGAATTCTTTCAGGGCTTTTTTTCTTTTGAGACAGGATCTCCTTTTCTCACCCAGGTTGGAGTGCAGTGGTGCAATGTTGGCTCACTGCAGCCTCAGCCTCCTGAGCTCAAGAGACCCTCCCACCTCAGTCTCTCTAGTAGCTGAGACTACAGGCATGCACCACCACACCAGGCTAATTTTGATTATTTTTTGTATTTTATTTTATTTTATTTTTTTTGTAGAGATGAGGTCTCACCATGTTGCCCGGGCTGGTCTCCAACTCCTGGACTCAAGTGATCCTCCTACCTTGGCCTCCCAAAGTGGTGGGATTATAGGTGTGAGCCCACTGTTCCAGGCCTGGTACGTTAGAATCATATCGGGAGCAATGACAAATAAGAAATGATGTTTAGAGCCCGGGCAACATAGTGAGACCCCTGTCTTTACAAAAAACTAAAAAATTAGCTGGGTATGGTGGCTGATGCTTGTTGTCCCAGCTACTTGGGGGGCTGATGTAGAAGGATGGTTTGAGCTTGGGAGGTGGAGGCTGCAGTGAGCAGTGACTGCCACTCCAGCGTGGATGACAGAGAGAGACCCTGTCAAAAAAAAAAAAAAAAGAAAAGAAAAAGAAAGAAATGTTTAACTTTCTTTGATTCGTATTTGCATGAATGTACGCTTTTTTTTTTTTTTGAGAGTCTCACTCTGTCACCCAGGCTGGAGTGCAGGGGCACAGTCACGGCTCACTGCAGCCTGGACTATTGGGCTCAAGCGATCCTCCCACATCAGCCTCCCAAGTAGCTGGGACCACAGGTTCATGCCATCACACCCAGCTAATTTTTTTGTATTTGTTGTAGAGATGGGGTTTCACCATGTTGCTCAGGCTGGTTTCAAACTCATGGGCTCAAGAGGTCCTCAGCTTTGAAATCCCAAAGTGCTAGGATTGCAGATGTGAGCCA
Source organism: Homo sapiens (assembly GCF_000001405.40). Lineage (NCBI taxonomy): Eukaryota > Metazoa > Chordata > Mammalia > Primates > Hominidae > Homo > Homo sapiens. The sequence goes on from NC_000010.11 coordinate 43,598,203, forward strand.
GCATGCCTATATTAATTTTGTTTTGGGTGGGGGGGTGGTGAGAAAATCACTTTATTCTAATTAACGCTCAAACAATAAAATTACAACAGCTCGTTTAAGGAAACCACAGAAATATTTGTCCAGCCCAAAATTCTATACCATCTCGGTGAAATTCTACACATTGAGAACACCCTCTTCCATTGTAATTCTGAAGCAGGAAAGATATGAATGACAGAGGAGAATTTTAACTGATGGTTTTATACTTTATACCTTTACTGTCAATTATATTTTATGCTAAATTAACTTGGTCATGAGAGCCATTTTCATTTCTTCAGTTTGGACTTCTTGATTAGGCTATTCCATTTGCAAATCTGCACTGTTTCAGCACCTCATTGAGACCTCACAGAGCTTTATGTCATCCTGGTTCTGGCCACGCTCCAAAAACTGTTTCATCTCAGAAGCAAGGCTGCTGCTGCTGTGCTGGCCGGGTTCCCTGAGGTTCTTGGTAAGTGAGGCCAGGCCTTGGAGGCTCAGCATTATTTCTTCCACTAAAGCCCCCAGTGTGTGCCCCACAGTAGAGCCTGTAGCAATGCCAGCTGCAGTGGTTGCCATTTGGGCCATCAGAGCTAGCTACCAAGGTGCAGCAGCACAAAAGCCAGTTGCAGAGGGTGGGGCTGCTGCTGGGGGCTGAGCTGTGGTGCTGGGTTGGGTGCAGTTCTCATCTCAGGTGCCCGGCTGGCTGGAGGGGCCATGCAAGTGATGATGTGGCTTCCATGCAGCATTATGACTGCACAGAGGCTCAGCCTGTGAAAGCCTGCAAAGAGCCCAACACCATAAATATGTTACGAATATTATTTCAAAATTGTATGAGGTTTCTAAAAAGTTGATATATCTTGGTACATGTAGTGAATTGCTTTAATCTGATGCTTTTCTGCATAGAGCTTTTAGCTCTGTGCAAATCCTAGAGTGTTATGTCTTCAAGGATATTCATGGAAAGAACCAGGAATTATACTCTTGAATAGAGGTTTCTGACTGCTTTGTAGATCATATCATTAGACTAAGTAAAAACTTACAGAACACTAATAAAAAACTGGTGTGTTCGTGAAGATCACTAATTGTGTTAGTCCATTCTTGCACTGCTATAAAGAATACCTGAAAGAAAGTATAATTTATAAAGAAAAGAGGTTTAATTGGCTCAAGGGTTCTGCAGGCTGTACAGGAAGCATGGCTGGGGAGGCCTCAAGAAACCTTCAATCATGGCAGAGGGGAAGCAGGCTTATCTTACATGGCCAGAGCAGGAGGAAGAGAGAGAGAGGAGGTGCTACACACTTTTAAACAACCGGATCTCATGAGAACTCACTCACTCTCATGAGAATAGCACCAAAGGGGAAATCTGTCCCCACAACCCAATCACCTCCCACCAGGCCCCACCTCCAACACTGGGATTACAACTTGACATGCGATTTGGGACACAGATTCAAACCATATCACTAACTCAACATCAAGCAGAACAAGAATTAATTACATGGGACTGAACTGATGGAGGAGTGAAATGATTTTTATGTCTATTTGTTTGAAACATTGCTGATTCTTTTCATGTTTTGTTTTGCGGAATCAAGAAAACTTTATTTCTTTTGAGCTACTTGTAAGTCACAGAAATTGGGTAAAATATACTGTTTTTTTTTTTTTTTTTTGAAACAGAGTTTTGCTCTTGTTGCCCAGGCTGGAGTACAATGGTGTGATCTCGGCTCACTGCAACCTCTGCCTCCTGGGTTCAAGTGATTCTCCTGCCTCAGCCTCCCAAGTAGCTGGCATTACAGGTGACTGCCGCCATGCCCAGCTAATTTTTGTATTTTTATCAGTGGGGTTTCACCATGTTGGCCAGGCTGGTCTCGAACTCCTGACCTCAAGTGATCTGCCCTCCTTGGCTTCCCAAAGTGCTGGGATTACAGGCATGAGCCACTGCACCCAGCCTAAAATATACTTTTGGGAGCAGATTGAGACATTTACCTTTCTCTCTACCTGATTTCTCCAGAATTCAGAAACTATTTGTGCGTATTCTTACATTTTGGCAATATAGTTATTTGCATAAGCTCAGTAAGAATCCATTTTTTTTAAACAGGACGCAAGTGGAGACACTGTTTTCTTTTTTAAACCACCATTTGACTGGAATGACATATTTTCTGATATGACCAGACTGCTTTAAATAACTGAAGTTGACTTATAAAGCCGATAGACATGGGGAATGACTGGCCTGGTACCTTGTCTACACAGTTCCCTTATAAAGTTCCTGATCTTGTGGTAAGAAAAGAATATCAGTTTCTGGCCACATATGGTGGCTCATGCTTGTAATCCCAGCACTTTCAGAGGCTGAGGCAGGTGGATCACAAGGTCAGCAGTTTAAGACCAGCCTGGCCAAGATGGTGAAACCCTGTCTCTACTAAAAATACAAAAAAATTAGCCAAGCATGGTGGCAGGAACCTGTAATCCCAGCTACTCTGGAGGCTGAGTCATAGAATTGCTTGAACCCGGGAGGCGGAGGTTGCAGTGAGCTGAGATTGCACCACTGCACTCCAGCCTGGGTGACAGAGCAAGACTCCAATTTAAAAAAAAAAAAAAAAGGATATCAGTTTCTGACAGGCACAGGAACCTCAATATATTTTGAGACCTAGAGAAGAGAGGAATTTATCTAGTTTGTACAGGTAAGACAGGTACAGTCTGATGGCGAATCCTTGGCTTGGTCACTGCACTCCAGCCTGGGTGATGGAGTGAGACTCTGTCTCAAAAAAGTAAAAAAATTAGCTGGGGGTGATGGTGCACAACTATACTCCTTGTTAATTGGTGTTCTCACACACACACACCTTTGGACACTAGGCTGATTATCTCTTTAGGATGAGCCCATGGAAGGGTACTCACTGGGTCACTGGATGTGCTCACAATGTGCTCCTTACCTTTCTGGCTGTGAGTCCCTTCCCTTAAAGTTCTCACTACCCCAGGCCCCCCAAGGGTGGTCTTTTCAGAAAAAGGCCTGTTCCTGTCTTATCCTGTATAAAACCTTCCAAGGCTTCCCATTGCCTGCAGGGAAAGGTCCAAACTTCATCCTGGCCCAGCCTCTTGCCAGCCTTGGTGCTGCCCACTGGCTGGAGCACCACATCTCCACTTGGCCTTGAGTTCATCTGAAAAATGGGGACAGATTACACCATCCCCTTCACATTGCCAACTGGCTAAAGAAGTGAGGAAGTTAAGCATTTAGCACAGAGCCTGTCTCTTTGTAAGTTTTAGCTGGTAGTGATTGAAACCGTGAACTCCCCATTGCTGAGACCAGCTCGGCTGGGGAGACCCTAACCCAGTGGCGCTAGAGGAATTAAAGACACACATACAGAAATATAGAGGTGTGAAGTGGGAAATCAGGGGTCTCACAGCCTTCAGAGCTGAGAGCCCCGAACAGAGATTTACCCACATATTTATTAGCAGCAAACCAGTCATTAGCATTGTTTCTATAGATGTTAAATTAACTAAAAGTATCCCTTATGGGAAACGAAGGGATGGGCCGAATTAAAGGAACAGGTTGCCCTAGTTAACTGCAGCAGGAGCATGTCCTAAGGCACAGGTCGCTCATGCTATTGTTTGTGGCTTAAGAATGCCTTTAAGCTGTTTTCTGCCCTGGGCGGGCCAGGTGTTCCTTGTCCTCATTCCCGTAAACCCACAACCTTCCAGTGTGGGCATTAGGGCCATTATGAACATGTTACAGTGCTGCAGAGATTTTGTTTATGGCCAGTTTTGGGGCCAGTTTATGGCCGGATTTTGGGGGGCTTGCTCCCAACACCCCATTTTGAGTCCTTAATCTCTATTATCAGTAAATAATGTTCTTTTCAAATGATTGACGTAACTCCTGCAGGCTCTGCCTACATCTGTCCACTGGCAATTGACACTTTGTTCAAGCCCCACACAGGAGCACTTATAGTGGAGTGTACTAAGAGAGGATGTCTCTTAGTCTTGGGCCACAGAAGTGAAATTGATATTTTAGTTCAGATAGGAAGGATGGAGAGGAGTTGGCCAGGACAAGAGTGGGGGCCCAAGTTAGGCAAGCAGAAGGAAGAGCCCAGGGCAGCTCCTGCATGGGTCCAGCTCCCTAGGTGGTGTGAAGCTTGGTGAGCAAGGGGCTAAGGAAGCCGCTGGGGCAGAGCCACATGAGCTCTGGCCGAGGGAGAGGTGAGGATGGCAAAGCAGGCAGGAAAGGGTGGAGGGCCCAGCAGGTTAGGCAAGGAGTTCAGACAGTCGAGGGATGATGGAAAGCCAATGGGGGCAACTTTGCTTTGGGATCCAACAATGACTGTTGGTACCCAGCTCTGCTATTTACTAGGTGAGGGACCAAAGACAAGTTACGTTCTCTGAGCCAATTTCCTCATCTGCAAAATGAGAATAATAATTGTACCTTCTTTGGTGGTGAGAGCTCAGTGTAATGATGTATGTAAAAGGCTCTGCATGTCCTCTGGAATCAGCAAATGGTAGCCATATATAAATAAATGCAGATTCTGGATCCAGCCCCCAAAGTAAGGAAAGACTGGTCCTTAGGTGCCCTTGCTGGAAAAAGTGGGATGGAAAAAGTGTGATGGAAAAAGTGTGATTCTTTTGTTTTTTGTAGAGTCTCACTCTGTCACCTAGGATGGAATGCAGTGGCGCGATGTCAGCTCACTGCAACCTCCACCTCCCAGGTTCCAGCAATTCTCCTGTCTCAGCCTCCTGAGTAGCTGGAACTATAGGCGCACGCTGTCACGCCTAGCTAATTTCTTTTGTATTTTAGTAGAGACGGGGTTTCACTGTGTTGCCCAGGCTGGTCTCGAACTCCTGAGCTCAGGCAATCCGCCCGCCTCAGCCTCCCAAAGTCCTAGGATTACAGGTGTGAACCACCATGCCTGGCCATGATTCTTGATAAAGTGGCTTTGTAGGATTCTTGGCTAAAACTCGGCTCACCAGGCCAAGACAAGGCATAGTTGAAAGGAGGATGCAAAGGAGCCTGACTCCACTTTAGTCTAGGAGGGACGCTTGTCAGCTGTTCTATCCTTAGCATCCAGAAGTGAGTAGCACGCAGTGGGCCTTTGGTCAATCACTGGTAAATTGGTAAATGAATGCACCATCCTGAGAAATTTTCTTAAAAAAAAAGGCCCTAATTGAATGAGAGAGATACATTTTCCTCCCTTAGCTTTCCAATTCCTGGAGTTAATAAATAGAAACATATGTTTTTCCTAGAAAATAATACATTTGTTAAAACAGATTCAACCTACTTTCATTTTCTATGTCAGCAAATAGTGAGGAAATAATGTTTTTAGTGTTCTAGGTGATGTACTTTTCTAACATGCTTTTTATTTGTATGAAATAAAAACAGGATTATTTGGAAACAAATAGCTATCCAAAGGCACATAAAATATGTCTCTCATACTTTCCGTATCAGTTTCTGGTGGCAGATGTCAACCTAAGCAGTACATTAGAACCACTTGGGGGCTTTAAAAAATCCGAATGCCAGGACCACACTTAGGGCAATTAATTCAGAATCTCTGAAGCTGGGACCCAGGTACCTTCACTTTGCTTTTTTTTTTTTTTGGTATTTATTTCATTCTATTTTCTGTATAACTTTAAGTACATAAAGATTTATTTCCACAGGATCAGGAAATGGGTAGAAATCACAGGACAATCTCTCTTCCCACCAAAAAAGTTGCGTATTTTGGTAAGTGTTTGTCCTAGAGGGAAAAAACTGAAATTTACATTAGCAGTGCTGTGCAAGATTCTTACATAAATCAAGACCTAAAAGCAGCTTGCAGTGGAGGTTTTGGTCCCCTGTTCAGGTGCTTGGACAGAAGCCATAAGCTGGTGAGTGTGACAGGGAAAAGGAGGCAGTGAAGACAGGTGACAGGCACCTAGCAGGGAAGGAGGATTCAGGAATACCAGACTCCTTGGAATGGAGTGTTGTTTTTCCTTTTTTTTTTTTTCATCTCTGTAGGAAGGTGCTGGGCAGGGATCCCAGAGAAAGAAAGGGTTGAATACTCCTTTAACTGCCCTGGATGAAGGGCACTGCTACAGCAGCTAGTACCGGAGACTCTCCTATCTCATGGTTGAGGCAGACCCAGGATAGAATAGTGAATAAAAGGAATGCTTATAGGAAACAATTTTGCGTGGAATGCTAGATGGCCAAGCCTCAGCCTTTGGTCCAGTGCAATCCTTGCCTCACTTGTCAATAGTGAAAAATTAGTTTGGTTAGAAGAACCATCTGGAAACACACCAGCTTCTGCTACCTTCATGCTCATTGTCAGAAAAAGATTAACCAGTGTGAACGTTCTGATCTGTTAATTCCTGGGACTGTTTTCTTCCCAGTGGACTGTTTGTTGGTAGAATAACCCCCAAAGCTCAAAGCTAAAATGCATCATTAGTCCTCGTCGGCAGTTGAGCTGATTTGGAAAAGCTGCACCTTCCTGCAGAAGATCAACTGACCTGCTATCCCACTGCACATCTGAGGTATATTTCAGTGAAGGCAGGTAGCTGTGCTTTTCAGAGCAGAGAAGCAGTTTTAAGAGCAGAAAGGTAGAGGAAATCTAGAAAAGAACCGTCTTGATACAGATTTATCCCATGGTGTGAAGGGAGGGCAAAGAACCCAGTGGCACTTCGCTTATCCAGCAATTTCTGTCACTGTGGCGACAAACTTCTGCCCATTCCAGAGGGTCTTGAACTGCTCAGGAACTGGGAATTCATTAAAGTCACCGCCTTCTGTAGGAATGAGGACATTCATCTCAGAAGATTTGGCACTGGCTATTTCACAATCCAGGGAATTCTTGCTCAGGTAAGCATGGCAGCCATCTGTTTTGTTGATGGAAATGGTTGGCACTTTACTCATCACCTGAACTTTGACATCCCTACTGTTGATTATCTCCACAATGCCCACCATATCATCGAATACCAGACCAAGTTTCTTACAATTATCTACTGTAATGGAGTTAATTTTGCCCTTGATTTGCAACATCGTGTTGACACACTTGTATATGTAAGCCGCCTGTTTCAGCTCTGTGTCATCAATCACCAGATTGGAAACATTTTCCTGATTTTCCACTCTCCACTTCTTGCCCTCCAGTTCAAGTACAGCTGGCTCCTTCTTTGTGGCTGGTTTGGGGTTTAGGTGCAGAGAATGGCTTGGGGCCACTGCGTACTGGACCACTCTGAGCCTTCAGGGTAGGGTTCTTGTGAGTCTTCATGTCATCAGATACACGTTTCAGGGCATGTGTGATGCTCTCCCCCTGATTAATCTGCGCAAACAGTGCTGAGAGGGAAGCGGACTCATCTGAGCCTGAACTGACAGAGACTAGTGGAGGAGGGGGGCCTGGTGGTGGGGGAGGAGTAGCTGATCCAGCAGAGGGTCCAGATGGCAGTCCACTCAGTTCTTTTGTCACAGGCCCCGTTTTGCTCCAGGCAGTCCGGTGGTATGGAACTCCTTAATGTAAGCCTGCAGCTCTGTGCATATACTTAAATAAGCTTTGACTCAGTCTACATGCTTCTTATCCACATCTTTGTACTCTTTAAGGACTCAGTTTGTATAAAACACAGCAGCATGATTCATTTCTTTCACATAAGGGCCAGGATTGGGAGCCATAGCCACCCAGCCTAGGGCCTGGATACTTTCACTGACAGCTGACAGCTGATTAAACAACTTGCTGCCTCGGTTCTTCTCCCAAAAGGTTATCACTTCTTTGATCTGCTCTGAGATAGGTGCCAACAGATCGGAAAGCTTATTACCTGCCGGCTATTGACACTGAGAAGCTGTAACCAAGAGAGCTCACTCCAACTTCAAAACTGTGTGTACCATCTCCACATCTTTCTGCACGTCTTCCCCAATCTCTTTACTGATCTTCAAGTACTCTGCCACAGGGCAGGCAAGCAGCGAGTCAAATGCCTGCGCATATGGAGCTGCTCCTGCTTTTGAAGGACTATCTCCATATCCACGGTGCATGTCAGAGGTATGGGATACTGCCTCCAGGCGGCCCACTGCCCTGTCCAATTTTTTACCAGATTTTGCATGTCAGTCATAATGTATCACCTCCCGACTGCGATCAGCCGCTCTCCACTTCCCGCACCTTCACTTTTCAAAGATTCCCAGGTGATGCCAACCTGCTCTGCGGATGGAGCCCCTAAGACCCCAAGCGGCCCAGACTACGTTTCCCAGAGGCCTCCGCGGCCTCAGCCACTTCCGCTTCCGGTCCAGCCTGTCTCCGCGTGGTGCGAGCGCTGCACCAGCCCCTGGCTGGTGGTTACTGTCCGAACGGCGTGGTGTGGTCGCTGACTCTCTGGGCGTGCAGCTCCGCAGCCCTGCCGGCTCGGTTCGGTTCGTGAGCGGCCGGGGTCAGGCTGGGTCCCTGAAGCCTCGAGCCCCTGGCGGGTGCTCCCCGCCTTTCCCAGGGGCGGGTCGAGGGGCGAGCCGGGGTGGGAGGGGAAGGCGGCGGTGGGCAGTGCCCACCCGCAGTGGCTGCGCCGTGTGGAGCGACCGCTCGAGGCTGGTGCATCACAGAGCGCTCCAGCCTTGCGCCCCGGCCGACAGATTGGGCCACTGACAAGGCCGTCCCCCGGTGCTGCCAAAAGTGTTTGGCGTGGAGCTGGCTGCAGTCCAGGCCGGATCCCAGCAGCCGTTCCCTTTCCTTTCTTCCCGAGCGTACCCACCTGGACCTGTCTGCCCACCTGTGGAGGGAACGGGCGGGCGGGGACCTGGTCTAGAGGGCAGATTCTAGCTAGGCTAGGGCACGGAGGGACTTCCTCAATTTCCTCTCTTCTTTCCCAGATTGACTTACGCAGGATTCTCAGCCCTTGCCTGGGAGAACAGTTCAGGAGACAGATGGCCCCAAGAGCCCAGATCCAGGCAAGTTTGATTTTTCCATTTCTTGAGAAACCACGTGTTTCAGCGAGGTGGGGTTTATGCCTCTTGCCCGGACAATGCCCTGCCCTGTGTGTGGACAAAGCTACCCGAACCAATCCTGGATGGGTCCCGCGATTTCCGTCCTGTCTACCCATTACGTAGTCATTCACCAAGTAGATTATTGCTACCCATGTTTTCTAGAGTGCTAGAAACAGAAAAGTGCTTTGCAAACTGGCAGACGATGAAAAAAATACACGTTAGCATGTAAAGACGTAGGCCATAAAGACATAGGGTGATAGCAGTGCTCTCTTGACCTTTAGTGTGTGGTAGGGTGGGAGGGGTGGAGTAGTGGGCGCCTTAGTTCTTCCTGAAGAATAAATGAGATTTGCATAATTGCAGAGGATACTAGGGGAAAGCGCTGCCTGAATGAAGTCATTATGGCGGGACCATGAACAAACTGGTCTGAGAAAGTTGGAAACATTCATGGTCTAGAATCCCAGACTGGAGTTTGCTTTTATCCTGGAGAAAACTAGGTTTTGAAGGATTTTGAGAAGCTGATTAAATAATTGGTATTTTGAAAGGAAGTGATAAACATTTGAGTGTCTATTATACAAATAAAATTAAAAAAATTAAAGATCACCTACATTTCTACTGCTCTAAGTCAAGTAATTTCATTTGAAACACACTTTTCATTTTTTTAAGGCTTACTCATTTTTTCTTTTAGTATTTCATAGCCATTCCAATTTGTTCTAGTTTCATTACCACTTTTTGTGGCTTCCTTTTATACTGTGCCTTCAACCAGCCCTGGGACCTTGAGCAAGTTCTTCCAACTCTCTGAACCTTTGTGTCTTTAGCTACGAAATAGATTTTACTTTATATAGTTACGGCAGAAATTTAGAGAGATGATATGTATCTCAGGGTTTAGCACCGTGGCTGGTACATAGTAAGTTGTTACTCTTATGAAAAGCAATTTTTTTTTCTTTTTTAAAAATATTCTGCCCCAGAGTCAGATCATACTCCCTGTAAATTCTCGGATAAAGCTAATCACTTTCCATGTCTTTTCAAAGTTTCTATTCATTTGTTGATTGAATAAAGCTTGAACACTTCTGTGTCAGGCAGTGTTTTTGACTGGGAGGCAGCAGTGACCCACACTGTCCCCCTGGAGCTCACATTAGAGAGGATGCTGACAGTCAGTGCAAACCTCTCCTGCCAGGTGGTGAGAAATCCTGTGAAGAAAAGTGAAATGGGTTTCGAGACTGAGTGGCAGAGGATGGGGTGGAGAAATAGAAGACCTTTTTGATGAGGTGACATGAAGGGTGGAGTGAGCAGAGGCTAGGCCTGGAGGAGGGAGCAGGACAGGCATGCAGGAAGAACCTGCTCAAGGGAGGAGTCGCACATCCCCTGAGCCCTCAGCTTTTACTTGTTGGTTTCCATGAGCACTGTTGGAACTGTCAGAAGCTGGCTTTGACCACCTTGCTTCCTTCTCTTGGGATGCCTCCCTCAGGGGTTCCCGGATGAGCAGAATTGGGTTTGGTTTTGCAGGGACCGCTGACATTTGGGGATGTGGCTGTGGCCTTTACCCGGATTGAGTGGAGACACCTGGATGCTGCTCAGCGGGCCCTGTACAGGGATGTGATGCTGGAGAACTATGGGAATCTGGTGTCTGTGGGTGAGGATGGCTTTCTCCTTGACTCAGGATTGGTCTGCTGGGCAACTTTGTGTTTTCACAGGGTGAATGGTTTGGGGTATTGAAAAAATCTTAAATGATGTGCTTTTTGTTTTGTTTTTCTTAAGTATGGGCTTAGAGGCTGGAGTTTATGCCCCTTACACCCCTCAAGAAAGGTCAGAGCCATACAGAGTTAAGATGGGTAGCTTTGTGGTGCCAACTAGCCCAGTTCTGGAATGTTTCTGTGTCATGATTCATCTGCCTCCCAAAATAGGAGTTTCTCGTCCTCCAGGAGGACCTGGTTTTCTAGTTGACTTTGCCCCCTCCCTTTGCTTTACTTCATGAGTTGGACATCCTGGGTGCCACCCTCTAGGCCTCTCTGACCTGTCCATGCTCATTGCAGATGCTCAAGTTGACACTGAGGTCTGGAGTGACTGCTTGTGCTTGTAACCGCCATCACATTCCTTTTCATTCATTTTTTTTTTCTTCCTCTAAGATCCTTTTTCTTTATGAACAGGGCTTCTCTCTTCCAAACCAAAACTAATTACTCAGTTGGAGCAAGGGGCAGAGCCCTGGACTGAGGTGCGAGAGGCTCCATCAGGCACACATGCAGGTGAGTGGGTGGGGAACATCCCAGCAGAAGCTGAGCACACGGAGCAGTACGGGGGTTCCTGAGTGGAAGCTCATCTTTGAGTGCCCTGTTGGTGCAGAAAGGCACTGGTTTCCTCTTTTGATGTCATCCTCCTGTCAAGTGGCTGGCCGCTTTTCTCCCCAGTCTTTCTGCACTTGGGAGGGCTGCTGCCTTCCTGAGGGCCTCAGGCCCATCTGTGCCATCTCCCAGCCTTCTGAAATCCTCAAGCTCTTTATGTGATTTTTCTCTCTCTCTTTCCAGGCATTCACCAGGTATCTTTTGTTTCTTTCTACTTCTGTTCCATTTTCTTTCTTTCTTTTTTTTATATTTTTTGAGACAGTCTCGCCCTGTCGCCCAGGCTGGAGTGTAATTGTAGCTCACTGCAACCTCAAAGTCTGGACTCAAGCCGTCCTCCTGCCTCAGGCCCCTGAGTAGGAGTAGCTGGGACTACAGGCGTCCACCACAATGCTTGGCTAATTTTTAAATTTTTATTTTATGTAGAGATGGAGTGTCGCTATATTAGTCACGGCTGGTCTCGAACTCCTGGCCTCAAGTGGTCCTTCCACCTTGGCCTCTCAAAGTGCTGGGATTACAGGTGTGAGCCACCACGTCTGGCCCATGTTCATTTTCCATTCCTTACCCACTCTCTCATGGAAGCTTGCTAACTCACTATATACCACTTCCTGGTGGTAGTTGCAGATTCCAAACATAAGCATGGTTTTTTAGCTCTCAGGTAATTGCGATTTTTGGCAAACACATTGTTGGGGAAGCATTTTCTTTCCTTTTCTTAGGGATCTTCTTTTATTTGTCTTTTCTACTGTCCTTTGCTCTTGGCTCTCATTTTTTTCTGTGTATACTTTGTATATGTTTTTGTATGTCACTTTCTCTGTGCCATAGTTCATTTCTGAATCTCTAAGCCTGAATATTTCTCTCACCTAAAATATTTATCCTGCCAGTATTTTTTCTTCTAAAACTCTAATTGTCATTTTGCCTCTATCCTCTTCAGGAGAATGTTTATAACTGTATTTCATGTAAAATACCAGTAATACATAGTCTTGCTTAACCTAGGTCTTTGCTGGTTGTGGGTGGGATGCTTTTGAAGTAATTCCTTTTATTCTTACTGTGTTTAACATTTCCCCCCTAAATTCTTGTGTAGATTCTTTATATAGTAACAAAAGTCACTCAGTCTTCTTTATTCTTTGTTCTTTCTGTTTTAATTTTGGTTGTTATTTGAAATAGAATGTTTAAAACTTGGATGTAATGAAAACAAGCAATGTTTCCCCTAATATTTCTTTCATCTGCTTAGAGGACTAGTAAATCTTTCTACAAAGACTTCACAACCAGTCAGTATTTTATGTTTTTTTTTGTGTGTGTATATTTCCCTTTCTGTTAGTTGTTAGACATGCTTATGGTACCACATTCAGATGGTTCAAATGGTATGCAGTCTCCTTCACATACCTTTCTCATCACTCAGTTCCCCTCCCCAGAGGCATCCCTGTGTCAGTTTCTTGTGGAGATTTGTAGGTGTGATGTATACTTTGTGAGAGTATCCATGAATTCTTTAAGCACATGGTAGCACACTCTTTTGCCTGTTACTTTGGCATTTATGTCTTAGAAGTCATTTGACATAACTATATTGTTTAGAGCTTCTCTCTCTCTCTCCTCTCTCTCTTTCTTTCTTTCTTTTGGAGACAGAGTCTCACTGTTTCCTAGGCTGAAGTACAGTGGTGTGATCATGGCTCACTGCAACCTTGACCTCCTGGCTCAAGTGATCCTCCTGCCTCAGCCTCCTGAGTAGCTGGGACCACAGGAGCATGCTACCACACCTGGCTAAATTTTTTTATTTTTAATTTTATTTATTTATTTTTAAATTTTTTTTTGTAGAGATGAGATCTCGCTATTTTGCCCAGGCTGGTCTGGAACTCGTGGCCTCAAGCAATCCTCTTGCCTCAGTTTCCTAAAGTACTGGGATTACAGGCGTGCATCACCATGCCAGCTTATCTTTCTTTTTGATGCCTGCATAGTGTTCCACTTTATGGATGTCCTATAATTTATGTAATCAGTTATCTTTAGTGGACATAATGACTCTGAACAATGTTGCAGTGATTATCCTCATACACATCAATTCTCTTGTGTACAAGTAAATCTATAGAATAAATTCCTATAAGAATTGTTAAAGGTTAAAATTTTTAAATCCACCAAATTTGGTGGGTATTTCCGCTATTCATAAAGATAATACATGTTTATACTCCTAATGACAACATATGAGTGCCACTTTTATAGCTTGTCAGCAGTGTCTTATATGCTTTGATCCTTGCAAATCTGAGAGGTGAAAATATTTTATTATAATTTTAATTTGCCTTTCTCTTATCAGGAGTGTGATTTAGCATGTTTCAACATTTTGAGCAACCCTTGTATTTATCTTTCCTGAGAACTGCCTGTTCAGTCCTTTGCCCGTTTTACTGTGAGATTGTTGGTCTTTTTATTGTCAGTGTGAAGGGTTCTTTATACATTCAGGAAATTAATTGTATATCATATATATCACAGATTTTTTTTAAAAGTTTGTTTTATATCAGCTTTATATTAACAAAGGTAATGATGGATATGCTTGTCTTTGCATCTTTGCATTGTGTCTGGCCTTCTCATTTGAGCTGGCTGTTGAGTTGGGATACACATACATTGTTATTTAAAGGAAGTATTTCATTCACATGTTTTGTTAAGAAATTTTAGTTTTTTAAATCAAGCATGATTGCTGAATTTTATTAAATGCCTTTTCAAGGTATATGGAAATATCTGTCTTTTCCATTTTGATCTGTTTCTGTGGTAGATTTTATTCTCATTTATCTTGGCCATGACACATTATATCATTCTCTGAATATGACAGTGGATGATTCTGTCTGCCAATCTTTTATTTAAATTTTTGCACTGATACTTAAATGTATTTACGTTTTCTTTTTCATCTGCCCATTTTCATTGGGCTTTGATTTTAATTTTGTAATACTTTCATAAAACATTTTTTTGGTCTTTCATATTTTTATCCTTTAGTCTAGTTTAACTCACATGATAGCTGTTCCCTAAAGGTTTGGGTCCTTTGTCCCGTTTTTGCTTATTTATTGTGATGTGGAGCAGAGGGGAGGAATTGGGGGTACTTTTTTTGACAGTGTTGTCAATACTGACTTGTCCAAATAGATTTTCTCTCTCTAGGAAACAGTTTTAGTAATTTATAATTTCCTAAAAAGCATCCAGTAATTCAAGGTCATAAGTTACTTGTGTTGAACAAAGTAGCTTTTTATAACTCTTAGTAATATTCTCCACATCTTTGGTTACTTTTCCCTGATTTCTTACTTTGTCTTTTTTCCATTTCCTATATTTTCCTATTTCCCCTTTATTAGCTCTGTTTTATTTTTTTGAACAAAAGCATTTGGATGTATTTATTAGTGTTACTGTTTTCTGTGTTTTGAATCTTAAGTTCCTTTTCCCTTTTGCTTTCCTTGGGTTTATTTACTTTCTCCTAAACATTTTAGTTATTCATTCATTGATTTTTCTTCTTTCTTACTGATGTAATATAAATATTTAAAGCCTTAAACTTTGTCTATGTAATGTTTTAGTTATATTCAGTAGGTTACAGTATGTAGAGCTTTCATTATCATTTTTTAGATATTTTACAATTTGTGTTTTGATTTCTGTGATTGAAGTACTAAGAGATTGATAAGCTAGACTCTCCTTTTCTTAAAGCCTTTAAAAAAATTAACACATATATAGAAAAGCTGATAAAATATGTATACAGCCTAAATTAGTATTTTAAAACTCTGTACCCATGTAACCAAAACTTAGGTTAAAAAATAGAACTTTGGCAATACCCGAGTAAATCACATTATAATTCCTCCCAATTATTGTCCATTCTCCTCCCCTTGAACTAACACTATAGTTTATTTTTGCCTGTTTTTAACTTCATGTGAATGGTATCATATAGTACATATAATTTTTGGTCTGGCTTATGCATAACATGTTTTCAAATTCATTTTTAGTTATTTCTTTGCTGTGGATCAATGCTTCTGAAAACTGTAGCGTGCCTCAGAATGCATGCTGCAGTACAGTTGCGGGGCCCCCTGCAGAGTTCTTTATTCAGCAGGTTCTCAGGCATGCTGATGCTGGTGCTGTGGGGCTGGAGCCCATGCTTGGAAAATCACTGTTCTAGAGTGACTCATTGTGTGACTCTACTGCAGTTTCTCTCTTACATTCAGATGCATATATGGCATTTTCCAGCTTTTGGCTATTGCAAGTGCTGTAAACATTCTTATACTTTATTTTTTGGTTCCTACGTGGCTACATTTCTGTTGGGCATGTATTCAGCTTTAGTATATAATGTCAGATAATCTTCCAGAGTTTTGTTCCCAGTTATACTCCTTCATCAGTGTGTGAGAGCACTCCTTGTTCCATGTCCTGGCTAGCACTTCCTGTGGTCAATCTTGTGAAGTTAGTCATTCTGGTGGATGTTCTGTGTGCCTCATTGTGGTTTTCATATCCATGTCTCTATATCTAATGAGGTTAAAGACATTTTAGGGCTGGGCATGGTGGCTCACGCCTGTAATCCCAGCACTTTGGGAGGCTGAGGTGGGCGGATCACCTGAGGTCAGGAGTTCGAGACCAGCCTGGCCAACATGGTGAAGCCCTGTCTCTACTAAAAATACAAAAAATTAGCTGGGTGTGGTGGCACACACCTGTAGTCCCAGCTACTCGGGGAGCTAAGACAGGAGAATCACTCGAACCTGGGAGGTGGAGGTTGCAGTGAGCTGAGATTGCGCCATTGCACTCAGCCTGGGCGACAGAGTGAGACTCCGTATCAAAAAAAAAAAAAAGACCTTTTAGAATATTTATTGGTCCCTATAGAGCATCTCTGATTGGGTAACTATTTGAAGAGCCTGTTATTGATTACATGTATTGTACCATCCCTCTCTCTGTTGTTACTGACTGTTAATGGTCTTGATGAATAGCAGTTCTTCCTTTTTCTGGGCTCAAGCAATCCTGTCTCAGCTTCCTGAGTAGCTGGGACTACAGACACATGCCACCATGCTCAGCTAATTCAAAACATGTTTTTTTTCTGTAGAGATGGAGACTTGCTATGTTGCCCAGGTGGTGGGTCTGGACCTCCTGGCCTCAAGCCATCCTCCTGCCTCAGCCTCCCAAAGTGCTGGGATTACAGGCATGAGCCACCGTGCCCAGCCCAGTTCTTCCATTTGATCAATCCCTTTCTTTTTTGTCAGTGCTTTTTTGTGTCATGCTTTATTTAAAATGTTTATTTTAAATTATATATTAACAATTATTTACTAACATTTATTATTTTTGTGATTTTAATATTTTTTCTTTTCCCGAGATCATGAAGATATTCTTCTGTGTTAATTTCTAGAAGCTTTATTATTTGGTTTTTATGTTTACATTTACCATCCTCTTAGAATGGATTTCTGTGCATCATATGAGTTAGGGTTTATATATTTTTTTTCTCCTAAAATGTACTAATGCAGAATCTCCTCTTCCTCACTGCTTTGCAAGACCACCTTTGTCATAGAAGAAGTGCCCATATGTGTCTTCACGTTGCCAGCTTTACAATCAGTATCTTGAAATTTTCTCTAGTTTGATCATAATACATTAAACACATATCCCATCAAAGGCCATTGGAAGAATGTGGGCTGTTTCTGACTGGGCTTCACCTTCAACTTACATTTCCTTGAAAAAATAAGTCTTAGCTCTAATATCCATTGCATGGAATTTCTCCCCAGACTACTAAGTATAAATACATATAAATATATGTATGTGTATATATCTTTAGGTATAGATAGATACAACTTATGTTTATAAGAAAAGCGCATTTAGTAAAATAATTGGTTGGTGATTGTTAATTTTACTACAAGTTTGGCTCTATTAGTTTTTCAGAACGTTTTTGTCTGAATCATTTCGCTCTGTCTGTCTTAGGTCTTGTGTCTGTACTTTGTAAAAAGCTAGAGAAAATTCACATAGTACACCCATTGATTGGTAATTTTTTTTTTGTTTTTTGAGACAGAGTCTTGCTCTGTCACCTAGGCTGGAGTGCAGTGGCATGATCTCAGCTCACTGCAACTTCTGCCTCCCGGGTTCAAGCGATTCTCCTGCCTCAGCCTCCCGAGTAGCTGGGATTAAAGGCATGTGCTACCATGCCTGGCTAGTTTTTGCATTTTTAGTAGAGACAGGGTTTTGCCATGTTGGCCAGGCTGGGCTCGAACTCCTGACCTCAAGTAATCCACCCGTCTCGGCCTCCCAAAGTGCTGGGATTACAGGCATGAGCCACCGTGCCTGGCATAGGTATGTTGTTTTTTAGATATGTTAAAAATTTAGTTTATAGTAAAATCTTATTGGCCTGAGAACTATTTTTGTTCCTTGAATATTTTTTCTGTTTTCTTTTTTCCACTGAGCAATTAAATATTGGTTCACTCTTAAATCCTCACAGAGAACTATTTTTCTCAAGTTCTTGGTGACATCATAATGTTCTCAAATATACCACCTGCAGAAATCTGCCCTAGTAGTAATTATAGCTTGCTTTGTGACTCTGGGCTTTCTCCTCAATTTTGTATTTATTCTCACATTGTCTTTTTTCTTTTTTAGCTGTTTCCTGTGTTGTCTTCCTAACTTGGCAACTTCTTAGGGGCTCACTGCATTCTTTAAATGCAATGTTTATAGTACAGATTCTTTTCTTTTCTTTAAAATCATACTTCCTTTTCCTGCCCTTAGTCTGGCCATCTTTTCTCAGCAAGAATCACAAGTGGGACACATTAATAATTTTTCATAACCTTTAGTTATGTAGAATAGAACATTATTCAAGTCCTTGCACAACTCTCACTTTCAGCATTTCAACATAAAGAACATTTGAATTTTTAAAATTTTCTTTCAGTCGAGGATTACTGGTTTGAAACAAAGATGTCAGCCCTAAAGCAAAGCACTTCTGAAGCATCTGTTCTGGGAGAGCGAACGAAAAGTGTCATGATGGAAAAAGGCCTGGACTGGGAGGGCAGAAGCTCCACAGAGAAGAACTATAAGTGCAAGGAATGTGGGAAAGTCTTCAAATACAATTCGTCCTTTATTAGCCACCAGAGAAATCACACCAGTGAGAAACCACATAAATGTAAAGAATGTGGGATCGCCTTTATGAACAGTTCATCCCTTTTAAATCACCATAAGGTTCATGCAGGCAAACAGCCTTATAGATGTATTGAATGTGGGAAGTTCCTGAAGAAGCACTCAACGTTTATCAACCATCAGAGAATTCATTCTAGGGAGAAACCCCACAAATGCATTGAATGTGGAAAAACTTTCAGAAAGAACTCAATCCTTTTAAGTCATCAGAGAATTCATACTGGCCAGAAACCCTACAAATGTAATGACTGTGGGAAAGCCTTCGCTCAGAATGCAGCTCTTACTCGTCATGAAAGAATACATAGTGGAGAGAAGCCTTTTAAATGTAACAAGTGTGGGAGAGCTTTCAGGGATAATTCAACTGTGTTGGAACATCAGAAAATCCATACTGGTGAGAAGCCATATCAGTGTAATGAATGTGGAAAAGCCTTTAGGAAGAGCTCAACTCTTATTAGTCACCAAAGAATGCATACTGGGGAGAAACCCTATCACTGCAGTAAATGTGGAAAATCTTTCAGGTATAGCTCATCCTTTGCTGGTCATCAGAAAACTCACAGTGGAAATAAACCGTATCAGTGTCGTGACTGTGGGAAGGCCTTTACAAAGAGCTCAACCCTTACTGGACATCAGAGAATTCATACTGGAGAAAAACCCTATCACTGTAAGAAATGTGGGAAAGCCTTTCGGCACAGCTCAGGCCTTGTTGAACATCAGAGACTCCATACTGGGGAAAAACCTTATAAATGTAATGAATGTGGGAAAGCTTTTCCCCGAAGTTCAGCCCTTAAGCAACATAAGAAAATTCATAATAAAGAAAGAGCCATGAAATGTAGTTAGTGTGGCAAATTGTGCAGAGTAGTTTATTCCTTCTGACCATCATAGAGGAGACATTAAATAAATTATGCATTTAACAGAAATACTCTGTACTTCTGAGAGAACACATCACTTGTGAGGATATTCATTGTGAGGTTCTACTAGTGAAATATTTGAAGAAACTAAATGTATGTCAGTATGGAAGTAGTTATAGCATACTGTGTGCTAATTGAAAAGAATGAGGTGGAGCTGTAAATACTGTACAAAGCCAGGCATGGTGGCATATGCCTGTAGTCCCAGTTACTTGGGAGGCTGAGACAGGATTGCTTAAGCCCAGGAGTTTGAGTCTGTAATGCACTATGATTGTGCATGTGAATAGCCACTGCACTCCAGCCTGGGCAACATAGCAAGACTCCATCTCTAAGTAAAAAAATACAACAGTAGAAATATACCCATGATAATATACCCAATATACCCTTGTTAAAGAAGCAAGTTTCAGGAAATCTATATTATATGCATTCAAAAAGACCTGGACAAATAAAGACCAATCTTAACAGCAGTTATCTCTCTCTCTCTCTCTTTTTTTTTTTTTTTAAAAGAAACTAGCTCTTACTCTGTCACCCAGGCTGGAGTGCCATGTGATCATAGCTCACTGTAGTTTTGAACTTGGGCTTGAACAACCTTCCCACTTCAGTCTCTGGAGTAGCTGGGGCTACAGGCACGTACCACCACACTCAGCTAACAGCAGTTATCTTTGATGAGGATGTAGTATAGGTTGAGCATCCATAACTGGAAAATCTGAAATCTGAAGTGCTCCAAAATCCAAAATTTGTCTGAGCACCAACAGGTACAAAATTCTACACCAGACCTTATGTGATGGGTTGCAGTTAAAATGCACCCCCGGCCGGGCGCGGTGGCTCACGCCTGTAATCCCAGCACTTTGGGAGGCCGAGGCGGGTGGATCATGAGGTCAGGAGATCGAGACCATCCTGGCTAACAAGGTGAAACCCCGTCTCTACTAAAAATACAAAAAATTAGCCGGGCGCGGTGGCGGGCGCCTGTAGTCCCAGCTACTCAGGAGGCTGAGGCAGGAGAATGGCGTGAACCTGGGAAGCGGAGCTTGCAGTGAGCCGAGATTGCACCACTGCAGTCCGCAGTCCGGCCTGGGCGACAGAGCGAGACTCCGTCTCAAAAAAAAAAAAAAAAAAAAAAATGCACCCCCAAGATTCCTTATTATTTGCATGCAAATATTGCAAAGTCCAAAAAAGTCTGAAATCCTAAATACTTCTGGTCTCACGCATTTCAGACAAGGGATACTCGACCTATATTGGTATGATGAAGTGAAATTATGACTTTGACTGAGTTCTTTGAAATGAAATATTTAATCAAGCATCATTCATGTATCTTCTGTAACTTAGTATAGTTATCTTCCTATATAAGAAAACTCAGAAGTCATAAAAATAAGACAAATGCCACACAGAAACTAAAAGCTTTTAGTTTCTGCAACTAGAGGCTTCGTAGTATTAAAATACAAAGGGCTGGACTTGGAGAAAATATTACCATCATCATATTTAACAGGTAACACTTAGACTATTTAGAGAGTCCTTAAAATACATAAATATAAAAATTCCAGTGGAGAAATGGTCTTGGATGTGAATGTACAGTTGTCAGAAAAAGAAATATAAATGATTATGCCTACCAACTTTGACCTTTTGACCTAACATTTCTACTTAAAATCTAATTAAAAAGTAAAGGTGGTCTTTACAGCATTGTAGTAATGAAGAGGTGGAATCACTGTAATATCTGTCATCAGAGGAATGTTGAAGATACATGCAGTCTTTGGACTACCATGTAGTCACTCAACATTTAATTAAAAGACAGTCCTTTAATTAATTAACATTTGGTGAGTTAGACTTTTATGAGCTGACAGGCAAAGTTGTCTATGACATTAAGTTGAAAAAGATCCAAAGTAAAGAATAATGGTATAGTACTTCTTTTGTATAGTCAATGCATTGCCTGAATATTTTGTGATAAAAATATATCATGGATATAGTTCACAATGTAAAAGCAATAAAGCAAACTTAGGAATGTTATAAAATAGAAAAGAAAGGATCTAAGTATTCAACTGATGATTGCAGAGGGCCAGATTTAATCAAAAGAAGCACGGCTGCACACACATAGATGATTGTTGGTAAGAACTGGTTAAGCTGCTTTGGATAACAGTTTGGCAACATGAATGTAAATGTAAATGTATGTTCTAATTGACCCAGAAATGCCACCCTCAAACATTTAAGGAAATAATTTGACTAACTTACAGAGCTTGTATTGCTCATCGTCATTGGTTATACTAATATCCTGGAAAGAGGTGGGAGAAATATCTAAGTAGGGAAATGTTTAAATAAGTTATGAAACTCTCATAGGCTAGCATCCCAGTTACTACAGATGTATAATAAACCGTCACACACTTAGTTGCCAGTATTTGTGTTCACAGATTTTGTGAGTCAAGGATTCAGAAAGGGCACAGCAGGAACAGCTTTGTAACTCCATGATGTCTGGGGTTTCAGTTGGGAAAACTCAAGGTTGGAATCAACAGTTGGTCAGTGGGGTCATTTGAAGCGGCCACACTATGATAGCCACAAGTGGCTACTGAGCAGTTGAAGTGAGGCCAGTCTGAATGGAGACTAGTGTGTTGATTGAAAATAGGACTGTAAGTATAAAATGTGCATCAGATTTCGAAGACTTTGTATAAAAAAAGAAACTAAACTATCTTAATGGTTTTTATATTGATTATATTTTAGATAGATTAAACTCAATGTATTAAAATTGAATTTTAATGTGACTACTAGAAAATTTAAATTTACATATGTGGCCTACATGTATGGTTCGCATGTTGCTATCAGACAACACAACTGAAGGCTCCATCACAAATTGGGTGGTTGATGCTGTTGGCTGGGACCTCAGCTAGGGCAGTTGCATATGAACACCTACATGTGACCTTTTTATGTGGCTGCATAGGCCTCCTCAGCTTGGTGCCTGGGTTCTGAGGAGTCAGGCAGAGAAACTGTTATTGCTTGTTGTGATCTAGCATCAGAAATAACAGCATCTCGGCTGGGCGTGGTGGCTCATACCTGTAATCCCAGCACTTTTAGAGGCTGAGGTGGGTGGATTGCTTGGGGCCAGGAGTTCAAGACCAGTCTTGGCAACTTGGTGAAGCCCTGTCTCTACAAAAAAATACAAAAAAATTAGCCAGGTCTGTGGCACGTGCCTGTAGTGCTGGGGAGGCTGAGGTGGGATGACTGCTTGAGCCTGGGAGGCAGAGGTTACAGTGAACCAAGATTGCACCACTGCACTCCAGTCTGGGCAACTGGAGTGAGACCTTGTCTCAAACAAACAAACAATAACGACAACAAAAAATTCAGTGTCTCTTTCTCCATAGTCAAGCCTGTCCAAACTCAAAGGGGAGGGAACATAGAACATACTTCTTTGGAGGAGTATCAGAGTCACATTGCCAGAAAAGTATATTCGATGGAATATATTATTGCAATAATTTTGGAAAATATGATCTATCATGGAATATGATACAACCATTAAAAAGGATAAAGTGGATATGTTGGATGAAGAAATAGGTTACAGGACAGTATCTGAAAGCTTATGGCAGCAACTTTGAAGTATAATCTTTGGAGTCAGGGTGCAAGATGCAGCTTACCTCTTAATATACTTTGTGAAACCACTGGCTAGTTATGTAGCCTGTTGAATTGTCTACCATGTACAGATAAAAAAAAAACTAGTTTTGTTTAAAGGAGGTAATTTTATAAAGTGCTTAGCTGAATACCAGATGCAAAGTGCAAGGTAAATGTTAGCTGGTGCTGTGTTAGTGATACTCATTTCTGTTTTTTTTTAAAAATGTATAGTATGTATATATGTACATGCACACATATATATGTACACATGTATATACATATATTTCACCTATATATTTTTTTAAAATATAAAATTAAAATTTCTGCATAAAAATATAAAATAAAAAAATTTCTCTCATATATATATATGAGAGGTCTCTTACAGAATTGATTAAAGATCTCAAAAGAACATGCTCCACCATCATCTATATCGTGTGCACAAGGCTCAAGAGGGACCAGTGGTTTTACCCACTGTCAAACACCATGAACAAAGCCTGGGTACTGGCTTGTCTTATTGAGGAAACCTACTTTAACATATGAAAACGAATAAAATATTTCAAAATGGTAATGATAATTATGGGATTTTTGGTAATGTATTTCATTTAAGAAGTTTTCATTTAAAAGAATAGGGTGTTTATTCAAAATGGGACAAGACAGGACAATAAAAGAAAGCTGACCAATATTCCTTATGAGCATAGAAGCAAAAATCTTGAATAGAATATTAGCGAATAAAATCCAGCAATATATAGAATTAATAATATAGAATCATGATCAAATGGGGTTACGGCTGGTTCAGTGTTTGGAAATCAATCAATGTAATCTACATTAAAGAAGATTAAAGACCAAAGAGGAAAAACCACCTGATCATACCAACTGATGCAGAAAAAGCATTTGACAATATACAATATCCATTCATGATACAAGCTCTTGGCAAGCTAGTAGAAGGGAAGTTCCTCAACCACATAGAGGCCAACTATGAAAAACCTACAGTTAACCTCATACTTAATGGTGAAAGACTGAATATTTTCCCTATAAGATGAAAACAAGGTTAGGATATCTGCTGTCACTACTCTTATTTAACATAGGACTGGCAATCCTGGCCAGTGCAATAAATCAAAAAAAGGAAATAAAAATCATACAGATTGTAAAGGAAAGACTGTAACTGTCTCTGTTTACAAAGGACATGATTGAATATGTAGAACATACAAAGGAAGCTATAAAAAGCAAATCCCTGGCCAGGCGTGGTGGCTCAATGCCTGTAATCCCAGCACTTTGGGAGCCCGAGGCAGGTGGATCACATAAGGCTGGGAGTTCAGACCAGCCTGGGCAACATGGTGAAACCCCATCTGGATAAAATTACAAAAATTAGCCAGGCATTAAAGTGCATGCCTGTAGTCCCAGCTATTTGGGAGGCTGAGGCAGGAGAATTGCTTGAACCCAGAAGGTGGAGGTTGCAGTGGGCTGAGATTGCACCACTGCACTCCAGCTTGGGTGACAGAGCAAGACTGTTTCAAAAAGAAAACAACAACAACAACAACAACAACAAAATCTAATAACTAATAAGTGAGTTTAGCAAGATTATAGGACCCAAGGCCACATACAAAAATTGTTTCTACACACTAGCAATGTACAATTGAAAGCTGAGATTAAAAACTGTCATTTGCAATAGTTCATAAAATAATGAAATCCTTAGGTATAAATCAAAACATGCATAGTACCTGTACACTGAGAACTATAAAATGCTGATGAAAGTAATAAAAGACCTAAATAAATGGAGAGACATGTCATATTCATGAATGGGAAGATTCACCATAGTCAAGATGTCAGTTCTCCATAAATTGATCTTTAGATTTAACAAAATATCAGTCAAAATTCTGGAAGGATTGTTTTGTAGATGTAGATAAGTGGATTCTAAAGTGTTATCCAAGGCAAAGGAACTGGAATAGCTAAAACAAGTTTTCACAAAACTAGAAAAAGCTTTGACTCACTTTACACAATTTAAGACTCTAAAGATACAGTAATCAAGACTGTGGTATTGGTGGAGGTATAGAAATACACATCAGTGGAACAAAATAGTCAAGAATGGACCCACAGAAATATGACTAGTTAAAAAATTTTAAACGTGGGTGCAAAAACAATTCAATAGAGAAAGCATAGTCTTTTCAACAGATGGTATTGGAGCATTTAGACATGTATTAAAAATGATCTTTGACCAATACTTCACACTTTACACATAGATTAACTCAGAAAGGATTATAGAGCTGAAAGTAGAGCACAAACCTGTAAAAATTTTAGAAGCAAACACAGGAGAAAATCTTCATGATCTGGGTTAGGTACAGAATTCTTAGACATAACACAAAAACCATAATCCATGCAGAAAAATATTGATAAACTGCAGTTCACAGTTCTGGAAGGTGGGAAGTCCAGTATTAAGTTTCTGGCATCTAGTGAGGAACTTCTCGCTATGTCATCCCATGGTGGAAGGTAAGAGAGTGAGAGAGAGAAAGTGAAAGTGAAAGTAAAAGGGGTTGAATTCCCTCCTTTTGTAACAAACCCACTGCCGTGCCAACAGCATTAATCCATTCACTGTACCCACATGGCCTTATCATCTCTCATTAGGCCCCACCTCCCCAAACTTGCATTGGGAATAAGTTTCCAACACATGATTTTGGGGGAACAAATTCAAACCATAGCAACAATAAAATATTTGAGATAAATTTAACGAAATAAATGTGAGACTTGTACACTGAAAACTACAACCATTCCAGAAAGAAATTTTTAAAAATCTAAATAAATGCAGGGACACTCTGCATTAATGGAGTTGAAGCTCAAAATTTTAAGATTGCAGAACTCTTCAAATTGATCTATAGGTTCAATGCAGCACCTATCACATTTGCAGCAGAGTTGTTCTGAACAATTGACAAACTGATTCTGCAATTTATACTAAAAGAAGAATTGAGAATGGTCAAAACAATCTTGAAAAAGAACAAAGAACAAAATTCATCCCAGTTTCAGAGCGTACTATACAACTACTAAGGGGGAAAAAACAAACTTTTCCATCTGCCCTCACACCACGACAGCAATCAACACAGAAGACTTCTGTGACCAAATGTGTGGGGATTTTTCCTGACAGATAGTGTCAGACCCCACAGGTTGAGGGCTCAAGCCTATAAGACTGCCTACAACCTCTCAGATGCTAGGTGCATCTGGAGGCATTCTGGAGGTAAGCCCTGGCCACCAAAACTTCTGACCCACCAGCTTCAAGTTGGGGCCCCCACAATCACCTCTTTGGGTTCCATTTACATAACTGCTGTCACCACACAATTAATTTGCTAGAACAGCTCACAGAACTCAGGGAAACACCTACTTAAATTTACTGGTTTATTCTTAAGGATATTACAAAGGAAAGTGATGAGGAGGTGCCTAGGGTGAGGCATGTGGGAAGGGGTATGGAGCTTTCATGCCCTCCTGGAGTGTGCCACCCTCCAGAACCTCCATAGGTTTTGCTATCTAGAAGCTCTCTGAACCCTGTCCTTGAGGTTATTATGGAGGCTTCATTACATAGCCATGATTGTTTAAACCACTGGCCATTGGTGATCAACATAACCTTCAGTCCCTCAACCCTCTCCAGAGGAGGTAGGCCTGAAAGTCCCAACCCTGTAATCCTCCCTTGGTCTTTATGGTGACAGCCCCATCCTGAAGCTACCTGGGGGGCTGTCAATGCATTAACATACAATAAGACATCACTTTGGTGTTTCTAAGGGTTTTAGGAGTTGTATGCTAGGAAATGATTTATATATTATGTATTTCACAATGTTACAGCTACTACATTTATCAAGACACTGTGGTCATAGCATAAAAGTAGACATATAGACCCATCAAACAGAATAGAGATTCTAGAAATAAACCCTTATGTTTTTGGTCAGTGGATTTTTTTTTTTCAGACAGGGTCTCTCACTCTATTGCCCAGGCTGGAATGCAGTGGTAAGATCATGGCTCACTGCAGCCTCGACCTCCCAGGCTCAAACGATCCTCCCACCTCAGCCTCCTGAGTAGGTGGAACTACAGATGTGCAACACAACACTGGCTAATTTTAAAATATTTTTATAGAAATGGGGTCTCCCTATGTTGATCAGGCTAGTCTTGAACTCCTGGGCTCAAGCAATCCTCTTGCGTCAACCTCTCAAAGTGCTGGGATTACAGGTGTGAGCCACCGGGCCCACCATCATTGGATTTTTTTTTTAATGGGCTCAAGTGATCTCTGTAGTCCCAGCTACTTGGGAGGCTGAGACGGGAGGATCACCTGAGCCCATTACCAATGGATTTTTGACAGATGTGCCAAGGCAATTCAATGTGGAGAAAGGATAGGTTTTTCAACAAATGGTGCTGGAATAATTGGATATCCTCATGTAAAAAAATATACGTTTAGTCATTTTACATCATACATAAAAATCAAGAAAGATAATTGACCTAAATATAAGAGGTATAACTATAAATTT
Organism: Homo sapiens; assembly: GCF_000001405.40. NCBI lineage: Eukaryota > Metazoa > Chordata > Mammalia > Primates > Hominidae > Homo > Homo sapiens. The sequence continues at coordinate 43,625,525 of NC_000010.11, forward strand.
GGTTTGGGATGTAAAAGCGAAGGGAAAACTTCCCCATTGCCCTCTGAAAGTTTGCTGAAAATCACTGACAAAAGGCAGATTAATAGAAAAGGCATGCACATTTATTTGATCATAGTTTTACTTGAAATAGGCATGCGCCTGTAATTCCAGTTCCTTGGGAGGCTGAGGCAGGAGAATTGCTTGAACCTGGGAGGTGGAGGTTGCAGTGAGCCGAGATGGCGCCATTGTACTCCAGCCTGGGCAACAGAGCAAGATTCCATCTAAAATAAATAAATAAATAAATAAATAAAAAGAGGCCGGGCGTGGTGGCTCATGCCTGTAATCCCAGCACTTTGGGAGGCTGGGGCAGGCAGATCACGAGGTCAGGAGTTCGAGACCAGCCTGGCCAACATGGTGAAACCCCATCTCTACTAAAAATACAAAAATTAGCTGGGTGTGGTAGTCCCAGCTACTCGGGAGGCTGAGGCAGGAGAATCACTTGAACCCAGGAGGTGGAGGTTGCAGTGAGCTGAGATCGCACCATAGCACTCCAGCCTGGTGACAGAGCGAGACTCTGTCTCAAAAAAAAAAAAAAAAAAAAAAGAAAGTTCAATAAGCACATGAAAACATCGTTAGATATTAGAGAAATGTAAATTAAAACACAATGAGATGCCACTGATGCTTTATGCCCCAGGGAGTGTTGTCTGTAATAAAAATCCACTAACAAGTGTTGAGGGATGGTATAATTTGGATATTTGTTCCTTCCAATTATCATGTTGAAATGTGGTCTCCAGTGTTGGAGGTGGGGCCTGGTGGGAGGTATTTGGGTCATAGGAGTGGATCCCTCATGAATGGCTTGGTGCACTCCCTGTGGTAATGAGTTACCTTGAGATCTAATTGTTTAAAAGAGCCTGGGACCTCCCCCACTGCCACCCCACTCTCTTTCTCACCATGTGATGTGCTGGCTCCCCCTCACCTTCTGCCATGATTGTAAGCTTCTTAAGGCCTCACCAGAAGCTGAGCAGATGCTGGTACCATGCTTGTACAGCCTGCGGAATTGTGAGCCAAATAAACCTCCTTTCTTTACAGATTACCCAGACTTGTGTATTACTTTTTAGCAGGGGTGTCCAATCATTTGGCTTCCCTGGGCCACATTGGAAGAATTGTCTTGGGCCCCACATAAAATACACTAACGCTAATGATAGCTGATGAGCTAAAAAAAAATTGCAAAATTCTTATAATGTTTTAAGAAAGTTTATGCATTTGTGTTGGGCTGCAGGTTGGACAAGCTTGCTTTATAGCAACACAGGATGGACAAATACAGGGGAGAATGTGAAGAAACTGGAGCCTTCATACATTGTTGGTGGAAATGTAAAATGCCATTTTGACAACAGTTTTCCAGTTTCTTAAAATGCTAAATACAGTTTTACCATATGACCCAGTGATTCTACTCTGAGGTATACCCAAGAAAATTAAAATATATGTCCACATAAAAACTTATATGTAAATATTCATAGCATCATTTTTCTTTCTTTCTTTCTTTTTTTTTTGAGATGGAGTCTTGCTGTGTCACTCAGGCTGGAGTGCAGTGGCGCGATCTCGGCTCACTGTAACCTCTGCCCCCAGGTTCAAGCGATTCTCCTGCCTCAGCCTCCGGAGTAGCTGGGATTACAAACATGCACTATCATGCCTGGCTAATTTTTGTATTTTTATTTGAGACAGAGTTTCATCATTTTGGCCAGACTGGTCTTGAACTCCTGACCTCAGGTGATCGACCTGCCTCGGCCTCCCAAAGTGCTAGGATTACAGGCGTGACCCACCGCATCCAGCCGTCATTTTTCAAAATAGCCAAAAACTGGAAACAACCAAAATGTCCATCAACTTATGATTGGATAAACAATATCTGCTATATTCACACAATGAAATATTACTCAACAATAAAAGGAATAAAGTACTGATACATGTTACTATATGGATGGACCTCAAAAACATTATACTAAATGAAATAAGCCATATATTGTATAATTCCTTTTATATGAAATGTCCAGAAAAGGCAAGTCTATAGAAACAGATATTAGATTTATGGTCCCGTGGAGCAGAGGGTAGCAATGAGGGATGATTGCAAATGGAAATGAAGTTTGTTAATGGTGTAGTGCAAATGTTCTAATGATAGATTGCAATGTTAGTTGTTCAGCTTTGCACATTTTCTAAAAATAATTGAATTGTACACCTAAAATAAGTGAGTGTTATTGTATGTGAATTATGCCTTGATAAAACTGTTTTTAAAAATAATAGCAAGATATGGGAGTTGAGGGTGTTTGCAAGCAGGTGATTGATTCAAAGAGGGACCATATAATGTAAGCTGGTAAGGAAGGTTGAAGAGTAGTGGGAGAGTAGCAGGATCCATGAATTATTGATGCAGCTGACAATTTATTGGCTTTAGTTCACTAGAGGAAGTGAGATGCAAAGACAGGAGTTGATAATCAGAAAATGAGATGATTAAAATTGAGACCATTGTTGGATTAATAATGCAGAAGTTACAAATATGATCATGGATGGAGGTGAGTGGCTCTGGTCTTCTGGAGAGGAAGTTCATTGGAAGTAAGGAGGAAAAGTGATGAGTCATTTATAAGCACTCCAAGTGTGATGACAGTAGAGCTGGAGTGAGTGATAATGATACAGGAACTAAAATCTTCAAGGGGTGACCCAGGTGATAGATGATTGCTGCAAAGAGGAATAATGTGTACAATGGCTTTAAGGCAAGAGACTCAACGTTGGAGTTAAGAGGGAGGGAGAGAGTATTGCCTTGAAGCAAGCAGAGACAGGGTCACAACAGGCTATAGTCAGGATTATATGAGATGTTTGTATAGGCAAAACCCCAAGAAACTTCCTGAAAGGTTACGGTAATAGTAAAACAAGTTTTTCCATCACATCTGTAGCTTGTGTTGAATGAGATGTATTGATTACAGTCGCCATCTCGGACTATGGCAAAGCTAGGGAGGTTAGTGGCCTGAAAACATAAAAGGAGTATAATCAGTAAAATCAAGAAAAACTAGGCAGGCTGGCCAGAATTACTGGGAAGAGATAGAAATTAGAAAACAAGCAGAATTGTAGAGTGATTTGCATTCTTTAATCAAAGGAATGAGGCTCTCTAAGAGTAAGGTGAGATTCAGCACTGCAGAAACACAAGTCTTGGTCATGGCTGGATTGTACATTCTGTTGTCACTAAGTCCCTGACCCTATGGCAACGACATCATAATGACCCCAAATGCAAGTAAAGTAAACAAAATCAGGGCAGGGCTACAGGTGATCTGGTGAACTGGACTTGGTGGATGGTGTGGAAGGGACTTTGGGAGAGACCTGTGCCCATGATAAAAGGGAAGATGAAGATGTTCCTTTGAGTTTGCATGTGTGGGGCCTTTTTGGCATGGTTGACTTGTCTGTACTCCTTCCTGTGACTTGACATCAAAATTAGGTAAGAAATCATGTATTTATTCATCCTTGTTGACTTTTCTAGTTTTCTGTGGCATTGATTCTTGAATGGAAGCCCTAGCAATGAGGAACTTGGCGTGGAAAAGGAGGACAGACATGCACTGTCTCAACCCCCTGTGTAAGGAGTAGGGTAATCCAGGCCACCTGCTGCTTGGAATTTTCTTCCTGCTCTTTTATTGCCCTGAAGGGAGTTTTGGGTCTGCCTAGAGAGTCTGGTAGGGTTGAGAGTCAAACTGTGCAGCTGGTAAGAAGAATGGGCTGTAGGCTTGTTAAAACACAGTGTGCTGTCTCTCCCTCCCTTTTCCGCAATCTCCGCAGTTTCGGGGTCAGTAGGTCTGGGATAGGCCCTGAGGATTTGCATTTCCTATAAGTTCCCAGGTGATGCTGATGTCCTCAGGAACCACTAGGTTGGATTTATATGTATTTCTGCAGAAGAATGTTTTTGATACCGTGGAGGATACACCCCAAGTGTTATGGGTTCAATTCTGTCCTCCAAAAAGATATGTTGAAGTCCTAACTGCCAGTACCTCAGACCATGTCCTGCTTGGAAATAGGATCTTTGCAGATGTAATTAGTTAGGATGACATCATAGTGGCATAGGGTGGGCCTTTAATCCAATGTGACTGGTGTCCATATAAGAGGTGGAGAAATGTAGAGACACAGACACATGGGAGAAGGCCATGTGATGGCACAGGCGGAAAGTGAAGTCCTGCAGCTGCAAGCCAAGAGCGCCAAGGGTTGACAGCAAACCACCAGAGCTAGGGACAGGCAAGGAGGGGCTCTCGCTACAGTTTCAGAGGGAGCACGGCCTCGATTTTGGACTTCTAGCCTCCAGAACTGCCAGATAATAAATTTCTGTTATTTAAGCCACCTGGTTTGTTGTACTTTATTATAGAATCCTTAGAAAAGTAACACACTAAAGTTACCTTCAATGGGTCACGCCCTTGTGTAACCTCTCCCTTTGTGGGAATAACCAGAGACTTGCCTCTGATAGAATATGGCAGAGGTGATGGGATGCCACTCCTATGGTGGTTATGTTATATAAGACTCTGGAGACTCTCAGCAGACTTGGAAGATAAGCAGACTCTTAGCAGACTTGGAAGATAAATTCTCTTCTGTTGGACTTGAAGAGGCAAACTGCCATGTGGTGGCAGAGAAGTTTAAGTGGCCTGCAGGACCTCAGGGCAAACTTCAGCTAATAGTAAGAAGCTGGGACCCTTAGTACTACAGCCATCGGGAAATGCATTGTGCCACCATCTGAATGGGCTAAGGAGGGATCTTCTCTAGTTAAGACCAGATGGACACGGCTTGGCTGGCAACCTGATTTCAGGCTGGTGAGACCCTGAGCAGAGTTCCCAGCTTGGCCCCTCCTTAACTTCAGAACCACGCAAAATTGTGAGATAATGTATTTGTGTTTTTCAACCTGCTAAGTTTGCAGTAATATGTTACTAGAATGTAAAGATAGATACGTTTATTAATGAAAAAAGAAAAACTAAACTTCCAAACGATGTGTATAGAGTGGTCCTTTTTTGTTTAAAAAGAATGAAATAAGAAAATATGTTCAAATTCCATGGTTTGTGTAAGTATATATATCAAATAGTATATAGAAATACACACGACCAGTATACTGTGGTGTGTGTGTGTGTGTGTGTGTGTGTGTGTGTAACTTTGGAGTGATGTTATTTGGAATGATGTAACACTTGGGATTTTGGAGTAGGGAGATTATTGGCTTTTTTAAGTATAACTTTTTCTTTGGAAGTGGTAAGGAGCATGTTTAGCTTTAATGGGAAAATCAGATAAAGTTTATTAAAGAGAAAATTAATGTATGTTGTTGGTCATTTTTGGTTATAAAAATAATGTATGTTTATTATAGAAAAACACAGAAACAAGAAAATAAAAGTTTATTATGGCCCTTTTGGCCAGAACCACCGTCTTCCAGTAATTCGACAAAATGACAAACACAAAGGGAAAGAGGAGAGGCTCCTGGTAGATGTCTTCTAGGCCTTTTAGGAAGCATGGAGTTGTTCCCTTTGGTCACGTATATGTGAATCTATAAGAAAGATGATATTGTAGACATTAAAGGAGTGGGCACTGTTCAAGAAGGAATGCCCCACAAGTGTTATCATGGCAGAACTGGAAGAGTCTACAGTGTTACGCAGCAGGCCGTCGGCATTGTTGTAAACACACAAGTTAAGGGCAAGTTCTTGCCAAGAGAATTCATGTGGGTATTGAGCACTTTAAGCGCTCTGAGAGCTGAGCTAGCTTCCTGAAACTTGTGAAGGAAAATGATCAGAAAAAGAAGGAAGCCAAAGAGAAAGGTACCTGGATTCAGCAGAAGTGCCAGTCTGCTCTGCCCAGAGAAGCGCACTGTGTGAGAACAAATGGGAAGGAGCTTGAGCTGCTGGAACCTCTTCCCTATGGATTGATTCATGGCATAATCGGTGTTAAAAAAAATAAAATAGAAGACCTCTGGATTGTAAAAAAAAGAAAATTATGAGCACCCCTCCAGAAGATAAACACTATGTAATCCTTGCTTTTAACAGTTCACCTTTTAAACATTATATTTAATAATATATTTAATATTTTGTATACACAAACATATATAACACAACACATGTAAACTACGGAACAGTGGAGTAAATTGTGTGTTGATGTTTATGGACTTTAGCAAAAGCGCCGGCCCAGTTTGTGTTTGGTCTCAGAGCCTCTTTGGGGTTGATGGAAGTCATATTCACAGTGCTGAACAGTCGCAGCCGCTGCTTCTGAATTTTGTCCCACCTTGTGTTTATTTCCCTCCCTTTCTGAATTCTCTGTTTCTATCTGTGACCCTAACCCCTAAGAACTCTCAGGAACAGTGCTCCCTTGGCTGGTTTAAGCTAAAATTTCCACCCTGTGGCAGAGGAGATCCAGTGGTTCTCTTCTGGAGTTTACTTGTCACCACCTTTTATTTCCTGGGAAAATTTGATTATGAGGTTGGATAGTTTGTTTAAAAAAAGTCTGTTAATGTTTAATCCACACGTTCAAACCTAAGGAGCTCTGGAAATAATTTTTTAAATAAAAAAAATTTTAATATGAAACAATTAAAGGGCCAGGCACGGTGGCACACACCTGCAATCCCAGCACTTTGGGAGGCCGAGGTGGGAGGATGGCTTAAGTCCAGGAGTTCGAGACCAGCTTGGGCAACATAGGGAGACCCTGTCTCTACAAAAAATAGAAAAATAGCTGGGTGTGGTGGTGCATGCCTGGGGTCCCAGGTAGTTGGAAGGCTGAGGTGAGAGGATCGCTTGAGCCTGGGAGGTTGAGGCTGCAGTGAGCTGTGATCATATCACTACACTCCAGCCTGGGCGACAGAGTGAGACCCTGTCTCAAAACAACAACAACAACAACCATTAAAGTATATATAACTTAATCTAGCAATTCTACTTCTACGAATGTATTTTATGTTTAACTGTTCACAGTTACATGAAAAGATATGCATAAAGATGTTCCCTGCGGCATCGTTTGTGATAGTAAACACTTCTAAGCTAATAAATCAACAGAGAAACTTGTAAATGAAATATAACCTGTGATATTGTGAAATATATATATTTAATCTTTGTCCTCATTTCCTGACATACAGCTCATAATTGTCAATTAACAATCCAGGCAGATCTAGATGAAGTAATGTAGAAAATCAGAATATTTTCAGGGGAAAAAGTAAATGTGTAGATCAAGCTTGTCCAACCCATGGCCCATGGCCGCATACGGCCCAGATAGCTTTGAATGCGGCCCAACACAAATTCGTAAACTTTCTTAAAACATTATGAGATTTTTTTTGGCGATTTTTTTTAAAGCTCTTTAGCTATTGTTAATGTTAGCGTATTTTATGTGTGGCTCAAGACAATTCTTCTTCCAATGTGGCCCAGGGAAGCCAAAAGACTAGACCCGCCTGATGTAGATCATTATGTGTGGTTTGATCCTGTTAAGGAAATAAACCATATGTGTACCTCCAAGCTCCCTTCCTCACTCTTTTTATAGTGAAATTGCTCTGAATGTTTCCTCTGCACACATTGAGAACCACATCAGTGTTATAGTTATTGCTTCAGAAGCCTAACATAGCTTAGAAAACTTAAGAGAAGGATAATCTATTATATCTACCCATATTTCTACTCTTTCTGTTTTTTGTTTGTTTGTTTTGTTTTTTGAGACAATCTCACTCTGTTGCCCAGGCTGGAGTACAGTGGTGCGATCTTGGCTCACTGCAACCTTTGCCTTCCAAGTTCAAGTGATTCTCCTGCCTCAGCCTCCCGAGTAGCTGGGATTACAGGCGTCTGCCACCATGCCAGGCTAATTTTTTTTTGAGATAGAGTCTTGCTCTGTTGCCCAGGCTGGAGTGCAGTGGCGTGATCTCAGCTCACTGTAGCCTCTGCCTCCTGGGTTCAAGCGATTCTCCTATCTCAGCCTCCCGAGTAGCTGGGATTACAGGCACACACCACCACACCTGGCTAATTTTTGTATTTTTAGTAGAGACGGGGTTTCACCATTTTTGCCAGGCTGGTCTCGAACTCCTGACCTCAGGTGATCCACCCAGCTCGGCCTCCCAAAGTGGTGGGATTACAGGCATGAGCCACCGGACCTGGCCTCTTTCTGTTTTTATTTCTTATTTTCTCATGCTTCAAGTTTCCTTGTTTTATCATTTTTTCTGCTCGAAGAACTTTTTTAGCCATTAATTTAGGGATGGTCTGCTGTTGACAAATTCTGTTGGTTTTCTTTCATCTGAAAGAAATGATTGATTTCCCCTTCATGTTCCTTTTCATACTTAAAAAAATTAACTTTTAAGTTCCGGGTACATGTGCCGGTTTGTTATGAAGGTAAACTAGTGTGATGGGGATTTGTTGTACAGATTATTTCATCACTCAAGTATTAAGCCTAGTACCCATTAGCAGTTTTTCCTGATCCTCTCCCTGCTCCCAACCTCCAATAGGCCCCAATGTGTGTTGTTCTCCTCTATGTGTCCATGTGTTCTCATCATTTAGCTCCCACTTATAAGTGAGAACATGCAGCATTTGGTTTTCTGTTCCTGCATTAGTTTGCTAAGGATAATGGTCTCCAGCTCCATCCATGTTCCTGCAAAGGATGTGATCTCATTCTTTTTTATGGCTGCATAGTATTCCATGGTGTATATGTACCACATTTTCTTTATCCAGTCTATCACTGATGAACATTTAGGTTGAGTCTATGTCTTTACTATTGTGAGTAGTGCTGCAGTGAACACATGTGTGCATGTGTCTTTATAATGGAATGACTTATATTCCTTTGGATGTATACCTAGTAATTTAATTGCTGGGTCAAATGGTATTTCCGTTTATAGGTCTTTGAGGAATCACCATATTGTCTTCCACAATGTTTGAAATAATTTACACTCCCAACAACAGAGTAAAAGCATTCCTTTTTTCTATCTACACCTTCACTAGCATCTGTTACGCTTTGACTTTTTAGTGATAGCCATTCTGATTGGCATGAGATGGTATCTCATTGTGGTTTTGATTTGCATTTCTCTAATGATCAGTGATGTTGAGTTTTTAAAAAGTGTGATTGTTGGCCCCATGTATGTCTTCTTTTGAAAAGTGTCTGTTCATGTCCATTGTCCACTTTTTCTTTTTCTTTTTTTTGAGACAGAGCCTCGCTCTATTGCCCTGGCAGTGCAGTGGCATTAGCTTGGCTCACTGCAACCTCTGCTTCCCAGGTTCAAGTGATTCTCCTGCCTCAGCCTCCTGAGTAGCTGGGATTACAGGTGCATGCCACCATGCCTGGCTAATTTTTGTATTTTTAGGAGGGATGGCCAGGTTAGTCTTGAACTCCTTACCTCAAGTGATCCGTCTGCCTCAGCCTCCCAAAGCGCTGGGATTAAAGACGTGAGCCACTGTGCCCCATCTGTTTGCCCACTTTTTAATGGGTTGTTTGTTTTTCTCTTGTAAATTTGTTTAAGTTCCTGATAGATGCTGGGTATTAGACCTTTGTCAGGTGCATAGTTTGCAAAAATTTTTTCCCATTCTATAGGCTGTCTGTTCACTCTATTGATAGTTTCCTTTGCTGTACAGAAGCTCTTTAGTTTAATTAGATGCCATTTGTCAATTTTTGCTTTTTCTGCAATTGCTTTTGGTGTCTTTATCATGAAATCTTTGCTCATTTCTATGTCCAGAATGGTATTGCCTAGGTTGTCTTCCAGGGTTATTATAGCTTCGGGTTTTACATTTAAGTCTTTAATCCATCTTGAGTTAATTTTTGTATATTGTGTAAGGAAGAGTTTCAGATTCAATCTTCTGCATATGGCTAGCCAGTTATCCCAGCACTATTTATTGAATAGAGAATCCTTTCCTCATTGCTTGTTTTCATCAGGTTTGTTGAAGATTGGATAGTTGTAGGTGGGTGGCCTTATTTCTGGCTTCTCTATTCTGTTCTATTGGTCTCTCTGTTTTTGTACCAGTACCGTGCTGTTTTGGTTACTGTAGCCCTGTAATATAGTTTGAAGTTAGGTAGCATGATGCCTCCAGCTTTGTTCTTTTTGCTTAGGATTGCCTTGGCTCTTCAGGCTCTTTTTTGGTTCTATATGAATTTTAAAATAGTTTTTTCTAGTTCTGTGAAGAATGTCAATGGTAGTTTAATAGGAATAGCATTGAATCTGTAAATTGCTTTGGGCAATATGGCCATTTTAATGATATTGAGTTTTCCTATTCATGAGCATGGAATATTTTTCCATTTGTTTGTGTCATCTCTGATTTCTTTGAACAGTGTTTTATAGCTCTTCTTGTAGAGAAAGATCTTTCACCTCCCTGGTTAGCTGTATTCCTAGGTATTTTATTTTATTTTTTGGCAATTGTGAATGGGACTGCATTCCTGATTTGGCCCTCAGCTTGACTGTTGTTGGTGTAAAGGAATGTTAGCGATTTTTGCATATTGATTTTGTATCCTGAGACTTTGCTGAAGTTGTTTATCAGCTTAAGGAGCTTTTAGGCTGAGACTATGGGGTTTTCTAGATATAGGTTCTTATCATCAGCAAACAGGGAGACTTTGACTTCCTCTCTTCCTATTTGGATGCCTTTTATTTCTTTCTCTTGTCTGATTGCTCTGGCCAGGACTTTCAATATTATGTTGAATAGGAGTGGTGAGAGGGGGCATCCTTGTCTTGTGCCAGTTTTCAAGGGGAATGCTGCTTCCAGCTTTTCCCCATTCAGGCTGTGGGCTTGTCATAGGTGGCTCTTATTATTTTGAGGTATGTTCCTTCCATACCTAGGTTATTGAGAATTTTTAACATGAAGGGATGTTGCATTTTATCAAAAGCCTTTTCTGCATATACTATAGATGATCATGTGGTTTTTGTCTTTAGTTCTGTTGATGTGATGAATTACATTTATTGATTTGCATATGTTGGACCAACCAAACTTGCATCCCAGAGATAAAGCCTATTTTGTTGAGGATTTTTGCATTGATGTTCTTCAAGGATGTTGGCCTGACGTTTTCTTTTTTTGTTGTGTCTCTGCCAGGTTTTGGCATCAGAATGATGCTGGCCTCATAGAATGAGTTAGGGAGGAGTCCTTCCTTCCCCTTTGTTCTTGAATGATATATTTTCACTGATATAAAATTTTGGGTTGAGAGTTCTTCTCCCTGAAAAATGTGTGCCAACTCCTTCTGGCCCCTGTAATTTCTAGTGGCATATCCATTGTTACTCAAATCATTCATTCGCTATAGATTATGTTTTGTTTCTCTCTAGCTGCTTTCAAGATTTTTTCATCATGATTGATTTAACGAAGTTTGATTACGATGTGTCTTGCTGTGTGTTTCTTTGGGTTTATCATGTTTAAAGTTTGCTCTGCTTCTTGAATCTGGAAGTTTGTGGCTTTCACCAAATTTGGGCAATTTTCAGCCATTATTTTTTTCAAGTACTTTCTCAGCCTTACTTTATTTTCTCTTCTAAAATAACAGTGATACCAATGTTATCTCTTTTGTTATTGTCTCACAGGTCCCTGATAATCTGTTCATTTCTTTTTAGTCTATTTTCTCTCTCATTCAGATTGGGTAATTTCTATTATTCTATTTTCAAATTTATTGATTCCTTGCTCTACCATATTCTTGCTGCTATTGAGCCATCTAGTGAGTTTTAAATTTATTTTTCAGTTCTAAAATTTCCATTTGATTCTTTTTTATTCACCACCTGCATGACCTTGTGTAGTTTTTTAACCCCTCTAGACTTTAGTTTCCTGAATTATAATTAGCACTTACCCAAGTTTGCTGTGAGAGCCAAGGATATAAAGCTTAGCTCAGCATCTAGCAAAGCCTAAACATTTCAAAAATGTTAGTTCCCATTTAAAAATCATTTTTCTACATACTAATATCAAATATTTCTGGTTTTCTGGTGTATGATTTTTATTGTATGGGGGTCAGTCCCACCTTACAGACACATTGATATTTTACAATGAAAGTCAGTGGGAAGTTAGATTCTCATTTTACCAGAGCAAAATTCTGCACTTCAGTGGAATATGTTTACTCATTCTTAATGTACCCATACATTAGGAACTTTAGCCTAAAATTTTAATTTAACATTTTGATATTTTATGATTTGTTTTAAGTATATTTTATGTGTTATACATATTATACAAATATATGCACATTTATACAGATATATGTATTATATATACATATATAGATACATATATATATATACAGATGTATGTATTATGTATACATATATAGTTGATTCTCATTATTCACAGTAGTTATGTTCTGTAAAGTCTCTGTGAACATTGATTAGCAAATATGGAACCATTGTTCCTAGGAGAAATACAGGGTTAGGTTCCTACAAGCTTCTAGTCACAATATTTTAATAATCTGATCAACATATAACCTTGTTTTATGTATGTTTGTTTAAAGAAACCTAATTCAATATATATTGTTGATTCATTTACTTTAAACTCATTGCCAAGAGGAATATAACTCATCCCTGAACAAAGCTTATGTAACACATGTGTTTTCTCCCTTCACAAGGCACATCACAGCTTAGGAACAGCAGAGAGCACTTCAGCACTACATTTGAAGTCATTTTAAACAGCAAAATCATCAACAAAAAGCACAAACCTGTGAAAAACATAGCACTAAATATATTGTGAAAAGGCCACTTGCTTATAATGTGAGAATTGAAACAAGAAGACAGAATAATACTTTGTTTGATCTTAGCTGGGAATGTGCATGTTGCATGACTCGAATTTCTCACTGTCCTCTGCATGTCTGTGAATGACTGACCACAAAAGCACAGTAAATTGATTCGAGGGTTACAAATAAAACTTAGCAAGTAGGTATATTTGTAAGAATGGAATGTATGAATAATGAAGATCAGCTCTACAGACACACACACACACACACACACACACACACACACACACCCCTACATATATACATTTTCTTAATTATCGACATTCTAGGTAGATGAAACAGATTTGGGTCTTTACTTGGGCATATAATATGGTGCTGTGATGGGGAAAAATTTTAGACTTGCAAAGGCACATTAATTTTACAAACTACACTTTATCATGATGTATTATGTATTTTATGTATTGTTTGATTAGATTTGCTAAAATATTAAGTATTTTTGTGTCTATGTTCATGAGGGATGCTGATGTATAATTTTCTTTTCTTATGATATCTTTGGTTCTAGAGTCAAAGTAATACTGATTTTATACAATGACTTGGTGCATATTCTCTTTCATTTTCTGAAAAAATGTGTAGGAATACTTTTTTTTTATGTTTTACGTTTTATCAGTGAAGCCATTTGGCCTGCAGTTTTCTTTGTGTGAAGGTATTTGAAATTCTTTATTAGATATAGGGATATTGGATTTTCTATTTCTTTTCTTTTCTTTTTTTTTTTTTTTTTTTTTTTTTGGTGGAGACAGGGTCTCAGTATGTTGCCCAGGCTAATTTTAAATGCCTGGCCTCAGGGTGATCTTCCTGTCTTGGTCTCTCAAAGTGCTAGGATTACAGGTGTGACCCACTGCACCCGGCTGATTTTCTGTTTCTTCTTGTGTCATTTTGGCAAGTTGTGTCTTTTAAAGACTTTGTAAACTTCATTTTTGTTGTTGAACTTATCGACATAACATTGTTCACAGTATGCTTTCATTATTCCTTTAATATCTTTGTAATTTGTTGTGATGTCCTTTCTTTTATTACTGATATTTGTAATTTGTGTTTTTTTTTGATTAGCCTTGGTATGAGTTTATCAGTTTTATTAACCTTTTCAAAGAGCTAACTTCTGGTTTGCTGATATTCAGTTTCATTGATCTACTCTATTATGAACAAATATCTTCTTACTTTGGTTTTGATTAACTCTTTTTCTAGCTTCTCAAGTGGGTAACAGATAGTGATTTTATGTTTTTTCTTTTCTAATCCAGGCATTTTAAAGCTACACAATTCCCTAAAGAGCTGCTTTAACTGCAGCCCTCAGATTTTGACATGTATTATCATTCAGTTCAAAATATTTTCCAATTTTCTTTGTGACTTATTCTTTGAACTATAAGTGATTTAGAAGTGTATAGTTTAATTTCCAAACAATTGGGGGAATTTTCTAGATATTTTATTATTATTGATTACTAATTTAATGCTGTAGTGGCCAAAGAATATACTCTGTATAATTCAAATGTTTTAAATTTATTGAGACTTGTTTTGTGGCCCAGCATATGGTCTGTTTTGGTGAAGGTTTCATGTGCACTTGAAAGGAATGTGTATGCTACTTTTGATGTGTGTAGTGTCCCACAAATACCAATGGCATCAAGTTGGTTGATAGTGCTATTCAAATCTTCCATATCCTTACTGTTTTTTTTTCCCTAATTTTACCAGCTGTTGAGAGAGGGGGTGTCAACATCTCTAACTATGGGATTTTGGTGGTGTCTATATTTCCTTTGTTCTCTCAATTTTTGCTTTATGTATTTGGGACCTGTGATATTGCATTATATATATATTTTTTAATTTTAATTTTAATTTATTTTTTTGAGACAGAGTCTCATTCTGTCACCCAGGCTGGAGTGCAGTGGCACAATCTTGGCTCACTGCAGCCTCCATCTCCTGGATTCAAGTGGTTCTCCTGTCTCAGAGTCCCAAGTAGCTGGGATTACAGGTGTCCACCACCACTCCTGTCTAATTTTTGTATCTTTAGTAGAGATGGGGTTTCACCATGTTGGCTAGACTGGCCTCGAACTCCTGATCTCAAGTGATCCACCCACGTCAGCCTCCCAAAGTGCTGGGATTACAGACATAAACCACCGTACCCTGGCCTATATATTTGGTTTTCGTCTCCATTTCCTGACATATCAGCTTCTAACTCTCTTGGAATCTCCTGAGTGATAAGAGTGTCTTTTTTATGCTAATGAGATGACTATGGCCAGAGGCCCCAAGGTAGCTTCAGGATGGGGCTGGTCACCATAAAGACCAAAGTAGGATTAGGGGACTGGAACTTTCAGCACCCCCCTACCACAGGGAGGGGAGAGGGTCTAAAGGTTTAGTTGATCACCAATGGCCAATGATATATTTTCTGACCTCTTTACTCTTTATTATTTACTCATTCCTTTTTGCAGAACTATGCTTTTAAGATTATATATATCTATATAGCTCTTTCTCTATATCTATCTATATATACACATATATATATTTGAGGTTCTGAAAGTATAAGTATACATATAGGCATATATTTTTACATTTCTTATAGTGCAGTACTGCTGGAGTCCAGCATCTACTTCTTCATTTTATAACTTGGATTAGATCTCAGTTAACTAACCTATACCATGCCTCTTATTTTGTCAAAGAGAATGTTTATTTTTAAACCTTAAGCTTTCTGATGAATCATAAACCATAATTTCCTATTTTGATTTAGCCAGTGAGGTAATATCAAGTTGCTTCCCCAGGTTTTTCTTTTTCTTTTTTTTTTTTTTCTTTGAGACAGAGTTTTTGTTCTTGTTGCCCAGGCTGGAGTGCAGTGGTGCAATCTCAGCTCACTGTGACATCTGCGTCCTGGGTTCAAGTGACTCTTCTGCCTCAGCCTCCCAAGTAGCTGGGATTATAGGCATGCGCCACCATGCCTGGCTAATTTTGTATCTTTAATAGAGACAGAGTTTCTCCATGTTGGTCAGGCTGGTCTTGAACTCCCGACCTCAGGTGATCCACCCACCTTGGCCTCCCAAAGTGCTGGGATTACAGGCGTGAGCCATCGTGCCTGGCCTCAGATTTTTCCTATATATAAATTTTACAATGGCTTATCCTTAAAAAGTACTTAAGTTATTCTATTATTGCTGCATAACAAATTACCTGAAAATTTAGTGGTATCCAACCATAATGTTTCATTTTTCTCATGATTTTGTCAGGGATTAGGTGAGGCAGTCTCACTTTGGAGTCTGTCATGCAGTTTTGGCCAGATGTCAGATGGGGCTGCAGTCATGTGAAGGTTCTACTGGGCCGGAAACCTACAATGACCCTCACACATGGCTGGCAGGCTGTTGGGAGCTCAGCTGAAACTGTTGGCTGGAGCATTTATATGCAGCTTGTCCATGACAGTGATTTCAGGATAACTGGACTTTTTACATGGGCTGGTTTCACCTGAGAGGAAGTGTCTCAAGAGAACCAGGCAGAAATTTTTCAGACCTTTTAGAGGCTTTTCAGAACTATACTTGGTGTAGTATCATTTCTGTTGTGTTCTATTGTTTGAAGCAGTCACAAGCGTGTCCAGATTCAAGTGGTGGTGACATACCCCCCATCTCTTCATGGGATGAGTGTCAAAGAGCTTGTGGGCAATACATTTATACTGTTTCATGGTTACTGAAGTATATCTTACATGTAATAAAATGCACGGATCTTAAGCATCGAGTTCAATGAATTTTGGTAATTGTTTAGACCCCTGCATCAACTGCCTGATGTCAGGTACAGAACATTGTTTTCACTCTGTAAACTTCCCTTGCGTGCCTTTCAAGTCAATCCTCACACATAGTTTTTCCTGTTCTGTGAAGGCACATAAGTGGAATTATACTATTTGTGTATTTGGCTTCTTCAACTCAAATAAAACTTTCAGATTCATCCATATTGTTGATGTACCACGTGTATGTTCTTTTTTATTGCTGAGTTGTATTTCACTGTATGGATATACTACAGTTTCTTTATCCCTCACCCATTGTTGGACATTTCTAAGTGTGTGGCTATTATAAATGAAGATGACATGAACATTCTTGTATACAGCTTCAAATGTTATTGTGGTATCTTTGGAATATTTTTGTATTATTAGAATCCAGTGTTTCCAAATTGTTTCAGTGCTCAAAGACCTTTGAAATTTACCTCTCTACATGGTAAAGATTTACTATTACAAGCTTTTTGGGATTAAGGAAGCAATAATTTATAGCAGGGGGTTCCCAACCCTGGGCCATGGATCAGTACCAGTCTGTGGCCTGTTAGGAACTGGGGCACACAGCAGGAGGTGAGTGGTGGGAGAGCAAGCGAAGCTTCATCTGTATTTACAGCTGCTGCCTGCTGCTCACATTACTACCTGAGCTCTGCCTCCTGTCAGATAGTGGCAGCATTAGATTCTCATAAGAGTGTGAACCCCATTGTGAACTGTGCATGCAACGGATCTAGGTTGTGCACTCCTTATGAGAATTTAATGCCTTATGATCTGTCACTGTCTCCCATCACCCCTAGATGGGACTGTCTAGTAGCAGGAAAACAAGCTCAGGACTCCCACTGATTCTACCTTATGGTGAGTACCTTATAATTGTTTCATTATATACTTCAATGTAATAATAATAAAGTGCACAATAAATGTAATGTGCTTGGATCATCCCAAAATCATCCCCCTCTGTGGGAAAATTGTCTTTATGAAACTGGTCCCTGGTGCCAAAAAGGTTGGGGACCACTGATTTATAGGATCCACTAGAAAGGATGGAATGGTGTCTTACCAAGAAAACCAAAATCTCTATCATTCATCATTTCACTTACATAAATGCTCAGTATGAAAAATTATAGAGATGGCTAAGATTTTAAAAAATGGAAATGGAAATTTCCCCTCAAAACCAATTTCTCCTCTGCAGCCTTCTTCAAATCTCATCCCCTGGAGGTCAGAAAAAAGGATGGGTTAGAATTCCAAATTTCTTGGTGTGTGTGCAGGAGGAAGAGGATAGTATTGTTGGAAAGTGGAAGTTCATTATTGACTACAAACTACAAGTCTGGGTTCAGTAATAACACTTATATCCTTTCTAGATAACCCAACCCCAAGATATTGCTGCTGTTACCAAAGAGGGAGTGAAGGTCTCTGAAAATGTAGGAGTCCCTTTAGTAGATGGGGAGAAATGGGTTAAAGATTTTTAAAAATTGCACAGACAGTAGTTGTTTGCTCTTTGGTTACAGGTGAATTATCTCTATCCTAGTTAGGAGTGGAGGACTGAAGTATGTCTCAATGCACAAACTAAGGCTGTGCAGGCTTGGAAAGAAATTTTCTTTTGTAATAAAAGGCTAGGCCCCTTGCTATAGACATGAGTGATTAGTTACAATAGGTTATTGGGGGTATCATCCAGGTAATGAAATGTTCAACAAGAAGATTATAAAGGTAACTAGATTTGCCCCATGGATTTTGCCCAGTGGTTTTGAAGGCAAAACAAGATTAATTTGAATATGTAAGGAAGAAAAATAACTTGGGATTGATGAGGGGCTGATTTTTTACATTTATAAAAGCCTGATGGTGTCAACTACAAATTTAAAATCTGTATTGGGTATACACAGAACAATCTCTAGTGTGGCACCAGATTAATGGGGGTACCTTGAAAAATCAGGTCAGAATAAAGTGACAGAAATTATAAAACATACATGATAATGATAATAAACAAGACATTTATTTTTCATACTCTTTTGGGGGAAAGGAAAAAAATCAGTTTGCCCTACCCAATGATGGTCTTTCTGAAAGATTCTCCATTCATTCCATAGAACTGGATAGGTTGCTTCATCTCAGAGGATTTTGTACTCTTAATTCATAAAGAGAACTTCTCTTCAGGAAAGTGGTCAAAGGGTGAGCCTCTGTGAGCAGCTTCGCTGGTGCACAGCCAGACTCCCTCTCTGGGTGAAGCTTTTTCCACACTGGCCGCACAGATAGGGTGTCTCTCCTGTGTGGATTTTGCCATGCAGAATACAATTCCCCCTGGTGTGGAAACTCTTCCTGCACTGGGTACAGGCATAGGGCTTCAGGCCTGTGTGGACTCTGATGTGAACAATTAAGCTTCCTTTCTGACTGAAGGCTTTTCCACACTGATCACATCTATAGGGCTTCTCACCACTGTGAACTCTCCTGTGAACAGCAAGGTTACTCTGATTCCTGAAGCTTCTCTGACAAATAGCACACTCGTAGGGTTTCTGTCCAGTGTGGAGTCTCTCGTGGACAGCGAGACTACCTCGTTGACTGAAGCTTTTCCCACACTCCTTGCACTGATAAGGCTTCTCTCCCGTGTGTATCCGTTGATGTGTAACAAGATTGCCTTTGGCCCTGAAGCTTTTTCCACAGTGGGTGCACTCAAAAGGCTTTTGACCAGTGTGGATTCTCTCATGTAACGTTAGACTACCTTTTTGCCGGAAGGATTTTCCACACTCCTGGCACTCATAGACCCTTTGTCTCACTCCAGGTGAATCTTCCTGTAGTGTCTTCGAATCTGGGGATTTTTGTTCCAGCTTCTCTCTTCTGAAAGAATTTTGGATATCCCAGCTTGAGGATCCTGTAGCCTCAGAGTGGTCATATTTGTGGTGGGCTTCAGTCATCACATCTGATAAAATGAGAGGGAAGTCATATAAGAAGCACCAATAATGCTGAGTTAGAATAGGGAAAAAGAAACATAATACTTTGAGTGCTTATGATGTGCCAGGCCTTATTCTTTGCATAGACAATGCAATCCTGAAAACAATGCCATGAGAGTGATACAGATAATGGGAGCAAAGGGAGCCTGTCAAAGGTCACAGAGCTAGGTAAGTTAGAGCTGACTCAAATAGGCATTCTCCATAGCAGTGTACTGCCTCTAAATTTAATTTAGGCCAACAAATAACCTTGTAAGATAGACATGGTTTTCTCTATTTTACAGGTCAGAAAACAGGCTCAGAAAATTTAGAAAACTATACAGAATCACACAGAGCCCCATACCCAACTTTTATCTGACTCCAAAACAGGTGTGGATCCAGGCTATATAAGGCCTAAAACTTTCCCATTTTAGAGGCACCCTTTTAAGAAAATGTATAAAATTAAGCACAGGGTCTTGGAGAGACCAATCCAAGTGAGGGGTCCTAAAACTGAAGCTGCATTTGCTTCTTCAGAAATCCACCTCTGTCCAATCTGTTCTGACAATAGAATAAGCACCATGACCTCAGAAAATATGTAGCACAATCCTGGGTACTTTACATCTATCATTGCTAATCCCTGCAACCCTACAAGATAGAACTTATTGTCCTATTTTACAGACGAACCTGGAGCTTAAGGAAGTTAAATAACCTGTCTGATACTGCAGATCTAGCCATGGCAATTATAGAATCTGATCCAAGGAATTTTTCCCATTAAAATCCTTGCTATTTTCAGTCTACTAAGCTATGGCAAAACTGAAATCAATTTTGGTTTGGAAGTTATTCTCTATGCAGATATTGACTTTTTTTTTTCCGAATACTGCCCTGCATCTGAGCCTCCTGGTGCACTTTAAATATGGGTCCATTCATCACCATTAACAGTTTTCTTGGTGTCTGTCACTCCAGGGTAATCTTCTCCTTGTTCCCTTGCCTTATTCAGAGACAGTGCTGAGATTTAAGCTGCTCATTCATTCTCAGAGACTACTTCAACGCTACCTCCATATCAAGATGGTTCTCTTGCTCTGTTTCTACTATTACTTCTAACTCCAGCTCACAGGCTTTTCTTATAACCCTAGGAACAGCAAGCTCTACCAAAGCAAGGTCTCCTCTGCTTCCTCAGACTGCCGACCAGTGCTGAGAACAGGGACACTGAATATCTGTGAGCTGAGCGCATCCAGCCATCAACTGACTCACTCACTGAAGAACGCTACATTCTGGGCATATCTTCCATGACAGTCCAGCAGGGTAGCTGTTGGAAATCCAAACATGTCCACTCCTGCTTACGACCTCAGTCACCACCTCTTCATATGATTCTTCCATGGGCTGTTCCTGAGCACCTGAGGGAGAAAAACAAACAGAAACAAACAGGAAAGGGCAGAATAATTGATATGTGAGAAGGAAAAAGTCAACAGTTGTTGAGACATAAGTGAATGTAAGAAACCTAGATTGTTTGACATAATGTCAGTTACTAAAATATCACTGCAAAATGGGCCCAAAGGTACCAGGACCACACACAAATGAGTCTAGGAGGAAGCAGGATGTGGGAAAGCAGAGAACACATAAACATATATCTCTTCCTGCCAATCCCAAGTTAATAGTCACTCCTGTTTACACTTTGGTCTTGGCATGTAATTGGGATCTTCCATTTTGGTTCCCCACCTAACCACCTACTACTTTCTTCCCTCCAAGCCCCAGAGGAATTCAGAATCTAAGAAAACAACATTTCAGCCTTCATGATTGGTTGGAGCCAATCAGCTCTCCAGTTATCTGTAGTTACAAAGACTTAACAAGAGAGTCCATTTGTTACCACTGAACAATTCTTAGGAGGCTCCAGACCCAGACTCGCCTTTCTCTTGCTCTTGAAGATACAAGAATACCAGTTCTGACCAAGTGTAAACACTTGTCAATTCTTGGAAAAGAAAGACCTACTCTGGACTCCAAGCCCAAGGCACTCCAACTAGGTTAAGTAACTTGCCCAGAAACCCACAGAAAATAAGGAGTCAAAGTGGAGCAAAGGTTCAAATCCAAGACTTTCTGGATCCAAAATGTATGCTCTTACATTAGACAGTTGTCTAGTTCCTAATCACTAAAGAGCTGGTCAGAATGCTTATAAAATTGAACAGAAAGGAAGAGAGTTTGACCAGATTGAAGTGCTCTTTCAGATCCTAGGAATCCTCTTGTATGTGCTCTAAATTATTTTTTAATTTTTTTAAAATTCTGAGTCAAGATTTTGCTCTGTTGCCCAGGCTGGAGTACAGTGACTCAATTACAGCTTGCTGTGACTTTGAACTCCTGGACTCAACGGATCCTCCCACTTCAGCCTCCCAAATAACTAGGACTACAGGTAAGCACCACCAAGCCTGGCTAATTTTTAAAAATTATTTTAACTTTTTTTTGTAGAGATCGGGTCTCATTATCCTGCCCAGGCTGGTCTCCAACTCTTGGCCTGAAGTGACCCTCCTGCCTCGGCCTCCCAAGACATGTAGGCATGAGCTACTACACCTGGCCCACATGATCTATTTTTTAAAAAAAATATTTCTTCTTACTTCAGGATCCTAATTACTGAATTCTTATACTTTTAAGAAATGCAGTGGTTCAATGCATACTCCTTGTTTCCCTCTAATTTGTCCTATCAAAATGCTGGCCTTCTGATTTAATGAAATAATAGTATGATGCTACCATTCTTTGTTTTGTCAACCTAAGCACCTGGTTCTTCTTGACAACTGCACATTCTGCTACATGCTGTGATGACCAGGAGAATCATTTAAATTTTTATTTGGAGGACTCACTTCCAACTTGGAACACAAGCTGCAAAGGAATTCCCTACCAGCATGCCAGCACATCATTTGGAAGTTCAAGGTATTCTTGCTCAACAGCTGCACACACATTAAAAGTCCCTGGGGTACATGGCGCCTGCTGCCTGGGGTTGGACTCTGTCGCCGGGGATTCCAGAAATTAGAGTAGAATTCACAGCTCTGCCTCTCCACCTGCTGTGAGGTCTTCAAGTTACAACTCCGCCGCCTATCAGGGACCTCCGTGATTAGTAAGGGAGAAATTGTCATATTTTTCTCCCTAGATCACAGGTCTGAGGAAGCAGTTTCCCCAAGATTTTGTAAAAGTGGCTTTATAATTAAAAACATTGATTTTCCTATTAGAAAGGCTACTATATCCTTTGGAAAAAGCTTAGAAGTAGTCCGTGAGTCTTGGCTTCTTGCCGTGGCTCCCCCAGGATATGATCTTGGGCGAGTAACCCAGCAGCCCTGACTCTGCTTCCCCACTTATTAAACAGGTTACTAACACTGTCCTATCAGGTAGGACAATGAGAAGGAAAGAACCAAACAAGAGGAGTATCAGACGAGACCACCAGACTTAAGATCTAAAATCCGGCGTCCTCTGGAGGGCGGATGAGAAGAGGGGTACACTTGGCGGTCTGGAAAATGTCCTGGGGCCAGTTTCAGGTTTAGGAGCTTGTGGGTAGCGTGGTTTCCCACACGCTGCCTGGCTTCCTACTCTCCCCCGCAGGGGCTGCCTCTCCTCCCACCCCGGAAGGCCGGCACCGGCTTCCCGCACTCGCTGAAGCCCGCACGGAGGCCGGGTGAGCCTGCCGCGGCCTCCCCCTCCCACGCCCCGACGCCATGGGCCCTGCTCCTCTCCGCAGACGCTGCCCTCCCGCCTCAGGCCCCGGGCCCCGGGCACCGGGCCCGCCCTGCGTCCTGAACCTCGGCATCCCGCTCTCCGGTCCACGGGACCCTGCTCTGCGGACCGCCGACCTCTCCGCTCGCGGCTGGCCTCCCTCGGGGCCCGGGCCGGCCAGGCCTGCTCATTTCCTTGGCGGCCGCTGGCATAAGGCGGCCACACGGAGGGCCCGGGACAGCGGTCTGATGGCGCAGCCCCGCCTTGCCCCGGCGCTCTGACCCGGCCAGCGGCCTCACTCACCGCAGCGGCGCGTGCCCGCAGACAAAGGCCGGCGCCGAGCCCGCAGCAGCGCCAGCGCCGGCGCCGGCGGAATGGACTACAACTCCCAGGAGTCTCCCCGCGAGCCCGCCCGCCGGGCCGTGGGTCTCGGCGGCCCCGGCTTCCCAAGAGCTCTGTGGGAAATGTAGTTCTCTGGCGCGCCCTGCGCTCGGGCCCCGCAGGTCCCTAGGGCGCGGGGACCTCAAGCCGTCCCGTTTGGACTGGTAATCCGGAGACTCACAGCGGTGACCTGTCAGCGGACGCGGAGCCGGGACGGAGCCACGGCCGCTCAGATTAGCAGGATCTGATTGACAGCATCGGGGTAGCAGACGCTGAGCCAGGGACTCAGGAATACAGGGTTCTTGCAGGGCGTCGCGGAAGGAAACGAAGTTTTTGGGAGAAATCCGTTTGATAAAGCCTTGGCGGCTTCGAGGTCATGTGTTGAGCCTCTGGCTGCATGAACAAAAGCGAAGCCCGCTTTCATGGAGCTTCTGTGAAGAGCAACAGGAACACAGGCAGTCCAGTCGTCCTGAGATACTGGGAGGAGCATGGTTGCTTTTGAACACGTAGGAGATAAAGCCTCTCTAATAATGCCTGTTTTTTTTTTTCCTTCACTCTGTCTCCCAGGCTTGAGTGCAGTGGCACGGTGTCGCCTCACTGCAACCTCCGCCTTCTGGGCTCAAGTGATTCTCCTGCCCCAGCCTCCCAAGTAGCTGGGACTACAGGTCTGTGCCACCATGCCTGGCTAATTTTTTTGTATTTTTAGTAGAGATGAAGGTTTTACCATGTTGGCCAGGCTGTCTGATATGCCTTAAGCCTCTTTTAAACGCACTTTTCCAGGATCGGGGCCACATCCTGGAGCTGTTCTGCCTGGCCGGGTGTATCTCTGGGTCCCTGCCTCTGGAGCCCCTCTCCGTAGATGTGTCTGTCCATCCTCTTTCGTGAAGGACTAATAAAGAATGCTTCCTCTTGCTATGTTCTTGTTCTCTACCCCAAAGCCACAGATTTGTTAAATCAAACAACTTAATTTCACTCAATATGCAAAGGTGTCTGTAAGTAATAAGTTGATTCCTAAATGTTAGCTTTTACTATTGCACATCATTTCTGAATTTCATTCAACATTTATCCGTTGAATCCATTTTAAGTGCTGACACTGGGGATACGAATGTGAGCAAGACACACTCCGTGCTCCTAGGGAGGAGCTGACAGTCTGGTGGAGCAAACAAACACCACCTTCCTCACATGGGGGTCGGGGTGTTGCACAGCTAAGTCCCAGAGTGTGTGGTGCAAACTGTCCTGAAGCTCCCCATTCCTGAACTGCCCCAGGTGGCTCCTCTCCTCACTCCTCCCAAGTCTGAGAAAGGGGTGGAGGGCGGCACACAGCAAAGGCCAAGGCTCAGAGTCCTAAGGCTGCGGCCTCTGCTTCACACAAGGGTACATAGGTTCTGTTAAGGTCAAGACCGGCTGTGGACACTAGGACAAGTTTCAGATCCTGCCGTGAAGGTACATGACAAAGCATTGGTGGGAAAAGGTGGCTGTGAGGGGGGACCATCGTCACTTTTATAGATCTGCATAAATTCCCTTAAGGCGTCTCAGGAAAGTGGACACATTGAAGGGCCCAAAGCAGGGGAGAAAGCTGTTAGGATTGGGGTTGATGTGACCCCAGCCTCCATAGACAGACTGCCCAGCTGCAAAATGGGGCACATCCTCACCCACCACCTGCATCTTAAGGCAAATACTCAACAAAAGGGAGGGTGTGGGGTGAGGGTGAAAGGGAAATCATCCGCAGTGTAGATTTGAAAAATTACCAAAGAACAATTTCCTCACTTTGCAGGCATTTCAAAATATTAGGGGAAGGACAGATAATTCAATAAATGGTGTTATGACAAGGGCTAGACATTGGTGGGGTCGGGGAGTTGAATGTTTACCTAACTCCCATGCCAAGAGAACCTCCAGATGGATTAATGTAAAATGGGAAACACAGAGCCACAAAGGCCCAGAAGAACACATGGATTAATCTTCTTATAATCTTGTCATAGGGAAGGCTTTCATTTTTGTTTTTTTTTTGAGATGGAGTCTCACTCAGTCGCCCAGGCTGGAGTGCAGTGGCGCTATCTCGGCTCACTGCAAGCTCTGCCAGGGAAGGCTTTCTTAACCAATGTAACAAAGGCAGAAACAATAAGGAAGAAGATTTAAATCCAGCACTTCTGTGTGGCCAAAGTACCACTAAATGAAGTTAACATGTGACAAGCTGGGAAAATATTAGCAATCGTCATACTTAAAGACACCATACAAATCAATAAGAAAAAGACAGTTCACTAGAAATGTGGCAAAGGACAGCAACTCACACACACACAAATGAAAGGAAAATACATTCATTATTCATTTTATAAAATTTCCAATTGAAACAAATGAAAATTACTTCCCAAGTACTAAATGGCAAAGATTGCAAAGGAGACTGGGGAAGTGGACATGTCTGTCCGTGTGTAAATTGAGATGACTGCTCTGATAGGACATTTGGCAGTGCATACCAAAAGTCCTAAAAATGCACATATTCCTTCTAGAATTTTTTCTTTGGGGAAAAATAATCAGATAATTGTATCCTAATTGTGGAATGAAAGCCTTAGGGTCCAGGTTGCTGAAGTGAATTATTGGCTTTGAAAGGACTTTTAGTTCCTTTGAAAGGATTGGCTGCCCTAGAAGTTTCCATGAGACTGTGAAGGTCTAGGGAAGCTGAAGTCTTCACTTGCTGCCATAGTTCTGAACAAATACAGTCATTTGGTGCTTAGTGATGGGGACACCTTCTGAGAAATGCATCGTTAGGCAATTTCATCTTTGAACATCGTAGAATGTACTTACACAAACCTAGATGGTACCTCCCATTACACACTCAGTGTAAGACTCAGTGTAAGGCTCAGTGGTTTAGACTCTATTCAGTACAGTCACATGCTAGTAACTGTACTGAATACTGCATGCAATTGTAACACAATGGCAAGTATTTGTGTATCTAAACATAGAAATGCTATAGTAAAAATATGGTGGTATAATCTTCTGGGACCACCGTTGTATATATGGCCAGTCGTTGACTGAAAGGTTATAATGCGGCGCATGACTGCACCTGGGTCTAGAGTGGTAGAATGAGAGCCCACCCTCCTGGGGTAGGGGGTTGATCAGAACACTTTCCATCGTGCTTACCATCTGTGTCTACTCCAGTCCCTGTCAGAAATGCAGGCCTCTTCAGTCCCCACTGGCTGTGTTCCTCCTTCCTCAGTGCTCTGCACACTCACTGCACTGTGCGAGCCTTCTGTCCACTCCACACTCTCCTCTCACTCTGTCCATTATGGAGCAGTGCTTGGAGAAAGTCAGCTTTCTTGCAGATCCCTCTGTCTTGGTGGCCAAGCTTGGGCAGCTGGACCCCCAGGATAAAGGGATCTGTGCTTTAGTGTGATTCTTTGGAAAGGTTGTTGAACCTGGGCTAGAGCTGTCCAAGCATTTCCTGATGTGCTAGCCATTTCTCAGGGCTGGAAGTGATCGTGGATTCTCCTTGGACAAACCATTCCTTTTCTCTGAAGCCGCCTTTGTCCTTTTGAGCAAATGTGTCTTGTGTTTGATTTCACTAGCACCTGATTTATAAACTCAGGATATGAAGACTTTGGCCTTCATGAGCCTAGTGTGTGCATCGTTACTCTTGTCCCCTCATAACTCCCACAACTATTCATATAAAAATCATACTGATGGAAGCTATCTCTGCAAGCTTCAGGCAGATTTTGGGTCTTGCCTTTCATTTCTACCATTTAGCCAGCTGTGCCCTTCTTTAACCTCTTGATGGAATTGTTTATAAGCCAGAAAGTGGGAGGGAAAGTGTGGGGTGGAGCAGATGACCCACACCTAGTACAAATTTGCATTTGTTTTCAGCACTGTGGGCTAAGCCAACATTTCCTGCAGAGGCTCTGATACCCAGATCTGATTACCCTGTTTGGTGTCACTTAGTGGGGCTGCAGTCAGGACCCCTTTAGGATGTATTTATGGTGCTCCTCAGCTCACAAAGACTATGTGCCCTGTATTGTGCACGTGATTGCTGTGCTTTCATAATGAACCTTTTGAGGAAATGTCATGGAGGAGCATGAAGTCCTGCATTCCTGTCTCCCATTTTGTAGGAAGGTCTCCCACGTGGCCAGAGGCTGGAGACATGAATGTGGCTGTGTAGCAGGATGAGCTGCAGACAAAACCCCTCAGACACCGAGTTAAAGAAGGCAGGGCTTTATTCAGCAGGAAGCATCGGCAAGACTCACGTCTCAAAAACTGAGCTCCCCTAGTGAGCAATTCCTGTCCCTCTTAAGGGCTTACAACTCTAAGGGGGTCCGCGTGAGAGGGTCATGATCGATTGAGCAACAGGGGGTACATGACTGGGGGCTGCATGCACTGGTAATTAGAACGGAACATAACAGAACAGGGATTTTCACAGTGCTTTTCCATACAATGTCTGTAATCTATAGATAATATAACCCGATTAGGTCAGGGGTCGATCTTTAACTATGAGGCCCAGGGTGTGGCACTGGGCTGTCTGCCTGTGGATTTCATTTCTGCCTTTTAGTTTTCACTGCTTTTTTCTTTGGAGGCAGAAATTGGGCATAAGACAATATGAAGGGTGGTCTCCTTCCTTAGCTGAAGTGGGAACTAGGTGTTCCTCATCAGATCAACTGTTGGATGCTACTTCCTCTCACACCTGAGTCCTGAGCTGTGGACCCTGGAGCTAGGGTTCTTCACTGAGGCCCACAGATGGGCTCCACGTGGGTCTGTGAACTGATGAAATGGCAACAGTGGATGTCTTAGTCCATTTAGTGTTGCTATAAAGGAATGCCTGAAGTTGAGTAATTTATAAAGAAAAGAGGGTTATTTGGCTCATGGTTCTGCAGGCTGTACAAGAAGCCTGGTGCCAACATCTGCTTCTGGGGAGGCCTCAGGCTGCTTCTGCTCTTGGCGGGAGGTGAAGGAGAGTGGTGTGTAGAGATCACACGGTGAGAGAGGAAGCAAGAGAGACAGAGGAGGTGCCAGGTTCTTTTAACAACCAGCTAATGGGGGAACTCTCAAGGGAGCTAATAGAGTGAGAACTTACTCAGAGCATGAATCTATTCATGAGGATCTGCCCTCATGACCCAGACACTTCCTGTGAGGCACCACTTCCAACATGGGGATCAAATTTCAACATAAGGTTTGGGGTACAAACATCCAAACTATGAAGTGGACTTGAGGCTCTTTAGGACAGATGGTACATAACTTTTCATCAAAGAGTTGGCTGAAGGTACCTACTTTTCATCAAAGAGTTGGTTGATCTCCAAAAAGATGAAAATGATTGAGAATCCTTGAATATGCAGAGACAGATCATTTTAAACTTTTTTCTTTTAACTTTTCATTTTGAAATGATTTTAGACTTACAGAAAAGTTGCAAAAACAATGCAGAGGATTCACATATATTTTTCACTCACCTTCCCCTAATATTAACAACTCACAGAATTATAATAACACCAGAAAATTAGCATTGGTACCATGCATCATGGTAATTATTATTATTATTATTATTATTATTTTTTTTTGAGACAGTCTTGCTCTGTCTCCCAGGCTGGATGGAGTGCAGTGGCGTGATCTCCGCTCCCTGCTACCTCTGCCTCCCAGGTCAAGTGATTCTCCTGCCTCAGCCTCTCGAGTAGCTAGGATTACAGGCACCCGCTGCCATGCCCAGCTAATTTTTGTATTTTTAGTAGAGACGGGGTTTCACTATGTTGGTCAGGCTGGTCTTGAACTCCTGACCTCATGATCCACCCATCTCGGCTTCCCAAAGGCATCATGGTAATAATTAATAGTAAACTGCTGACCTTGTTTGTGTTTCACTAGTTTCCCCCCTAACGATCATTTTCTTTCCAAGGATCCAATCCAGGATCCTACATTGCACCCACTTGTTGTGTCTCCATAATCTCTTTGAATCTGTGGCATTTTCTCATTTTAAAGAAGAAAATAAAATCTGTTGGTAGCAATGATGGTAAACTGCAAGATAACTGTAGGGACACACAAATGATCTGCTCTTCTTGCTTCTTGCCTTCTTATTCTTTTTCTGTCCCAAGCAAAACTTAAAATTAAGTTTATTTTCATTTGCTATCACCAAAGTATGTCATAATTTTTATTTTAACATATGCAAAACATATAGTTGTTGGTTTTAAAGGTTTGAAAGGCTTCAACTCTATTTCACAATAGTCAAACACATTTCTTGAAATATAAAATACATGACTGTAATAATCATACAACTGATTTGTGTAGTAAGGAGTTTAACCTTGCCCTAAAGAGCTCTGACTTTGTCCTCAGCTTCTGGCAGGTGATCTATCTCCAAGCCCTTGGAGTATAGTGCTTAATAGGATTGTCTTCATTTGCCAGTGGCCTGGGCTCACGCTGGGTAGTCTAGATGTGATTTACGGTGGGGCTGCCCCACTGGGTAGTCTCAGGATGGGACCTGGACACTCCAGGTGGTAACGACATGCTATGGGTGGGGGATTTGGGGGTCACATGGAATCAGTCAACTTCGGGAGGGCAGGAGGCTGGAGGCTGAGATCGGCCAGGGGAACAATCAGTCACATGCATGTGAGGGAACTCTAGCAGACACCTCAGACCCAATGCTCGAGTGGCTTTGCAGGGTGGCCCTGCTGCATGCCTACTGTTACACAGCGATGCTGGGAAAGCCACGCCTTCCTCACTCCATGGGGAGGGGACAGTGGGAACTGCATGCGGTACTTTCCCTGCACCCTGCCCTTGGCCAATTTTAATCTAGACTTTCACTGTAATAAACCCTACCTACAATGACAGCAGCTCTCAGTCGGTTCTGTGTCTTCCTAGCAAATGATTGAATCTGAGGGTGGTTTTGGGAACCTCCCCACCAAATTGACAGCTAGTGTCAGAAGTGAGGGCAGTCTTGGCTGGGTGCAGTGGCTCATGCCTGTAATCTCAGTACTCTGACAGGCCAGGGCAGGAAGATTGCTTGAGCTTAGGAGTTTGAGACCAGCCTGGGCCACACAGTGGGACACTGTCTCTAAAAAAACAAAAACAAACAAACAAAAACCTGCATGTGGTGGTGCATGCCTGTAGTCCCAGCTACTCTGGAGGCTGAAGTGAGAGAATTGCCTGAGGCTGCGAAGTCAAGACTGCAGTAAGCTGTGATTGTGCCACTGCACTCCAGCCTGGGTAGGCAGAGCTAGACCCTGTCTCAAAAAAAAAAAAAAAAAAAAAAAAAAAAAAAAAAAAAAAAGTGAAGGCAGTCTTGTGGACTGTTTCTCTAACTTTGCAGTTGGCCTTAACTTTTGCAATGACTTTAAAAGTTGAATCTGATGCTGGAGAGGATGTGGAGAAATAGGAACACTTTTACACTGTTAGTGGGAGTGTAAACTAGTTCAACCATTGTGGAAGACAGTGTGGCGATTCCTCAAGGATCTAGAACTAGAAATACCATTTGACCCAGAAATCCCATTATTGGGTATATACCCGAGGATTATAAATCATTCTACTATAAAGACACATGCATATGTATGTTTATTGCGACACTATTCACAATAGCAAAGACTTGGAACCAACCCAAATGTCCATCAATGATAGACTGGATTAAGAAAATGTGGCACATATACACCATGGAATACTATGCAGCCATAAAAAGGATGAGTTTATGTCCTTTGCAGGGACATGGATGAAGCTGGAAACCATCATTCTCAAAAAACTATCACAAGGACAGAAAACCAAACACTACATGTTCTCATTCATAGGTGGGAACTCAACAATGAGAACACTTGGACACAGGGCGGGGAACATCACACACCGGGGCCTGTCGTGGGGTGGGGGACTGGGGGAGGGATAGCATTAGGAGAACTACCTAATGTAAATGACGAGTTAATGGGTGCAGCAAACCAAAATGGCACATGCATACCTATGTAACAAACCTGCACATTGTGCACATGTACCCTAGAACTTAAAGTATAATAACAATAAAAAAAGTTGAATCTGAAACCATGTCTTTGCACTTGAAGATAAAAATAACCCTTCTCCCAAGACAAACAAGAGATTGTCACTAGTAAAGTGTCATTTTCAATTTAGCAAATGCACTTCAACATGTTTAATTTATAAGAACCCAATAGAACTATGGTCAGTTTAAGACCTGAAGTTATCTCACTTGCATTGAGGGTTTATAACGAGCACTAGATTTCTTCTTTTCTTTTTTTCTAAATTTATTTATTTCTTTTTTTTATATATTTTTATTATACTTTAAGTTCTAGGGTGTATGTGCACATGTGGACACAGGAGGGGGAACATAACGAGGACTAGATTTCTTCTAAACAATGGAGATTAAACAATGTACATCCACTGTCTGTAAAGACCTTGATCTTGACCCATCACTCATGAATCTGTCTTAAGTCCAGAGCTTTTAAAATGTCTCCAGTGTTCTGCCAAGACCTAAGTTCTTTAGGACTACAAAACAGCTTGATTGACTTGTTTTCTTTTAGAAAATTCCATATGAACACTAAACACATTTATGTAATTCCAGAGGGGGTGGTGGTGTATTTTGGCAACAGGGGTATCTTTCTGAAGGCGCAGCTCTATGATAGGTTTGCTCTGAATTGATGCATCTTTTCATTATGGGAACCAGACGCATCAAGTGCAGAGTATTTTCCAGGCACTTGAACTTGCCTTGTGGTTATTAAGTTTCTGAAAGAAAGTACCAATATTTACTTAAGAGAAAAGACAAATTATAGGGTGAAGGCTAAATTGATGTTTACATTATCAAAGACTGCTGTTTTCAGAGCAAAAATGGATGTTAACCATGAAAATGTTTTATGCCGTGGCATTTTTTGGAACATATTTTTTTCATTTAAAAAGTTTCAATATATGGCAAATATGTAAATGTGCACATGGGAACACGTCATTTTTCTGTACTTTTGTCCTCTTTATTTCTGAAATCCTTCCAACTACCTAAAAGTTCCAACTATTAAAAAGTACTGCAGTCTGTTAGCATTTCAAATGTTTGTAAACTTTGATTTAGAACTGTTCCAGTATTTAATTCTGAACTTGCCAGTTTATTAATGCTTTTAAAATAAAATTTATTGCACTAGGAGTTGAAATAAGTTGTTTTTAACTCATAAAAAGAGCTGCTGAAAAGTATTTTCCTACATTTTTCCGAATAACATTTTCAGAAATGCCTAGAGAGATACAAATTTAAAATACTTAATTGGAAACATTTTACATTTAGAAGTACTTCTAATAAAATTAGAGACAATATTTTTCTGCAATTTTTCTACAGCAGAAGGAGAAGTTGTTACTTCAGTTTTGGGCCCCTGGCATTGGTCCATACCTGGAGGTCCTCCTGGGAAGGTGTTCCCATGGCCTAGGTTCTGTGATGTTGGTGAAGGGCACCATAAGGCAGCCGTTCCCAGCCACGTTCAGTTGGCAGAGCCCCTCATGCTCTGACACTTCATAAAACATGGCACGCAGCAGCTGCTGGTAGCGCCCCTGACATCTCTTGAGCTCACCTTGTGCTTTGGTGGCCAATGTCCCTGTATGTCGAGGGCTCCCCACCTCAAGAACTTGAGCTCCCTGCTTGAGGCCTTTCAGTGGCCACAGGAATTTGCCTGCCCTGTGGGTGTGCCCAGCTTCAGGTGCTGGGGATTTAATGCTTCCAGGAGGCACCTTCCATCGATAAGGACTAGGAGTTCCTGGAGGACTATCCCAGCTCACCCCCTTTTCCGTGAGTCAGTCCTGCCGTGTTTCATGTTCTCTTACAGTGCCTCAGTGGGATTGTACCCAATTTGCCACAGTGGTACCCCACTCATTCTTGCACCTGTGTGTGGCACAGCTTCTGGTTCTGGCTCATTGCTCAGTGGCTGACAGTGCTTCCCAAACGACTAGCCCCAAGCCTGTCTCAGAGTCTCCTTTTTGGGGAGGCCAGCAGAAGATGCCATGTGCACCAGGTGACTCAACAGCACCCCCAGGCTCATGGGGGGTGTCGAAAGCTTGTGGTGGCCCCGAAGCTACTTGAAGTAATGGGGAATTCAGGAAAATCACTAAACTCCAACAGGAAGGGCCAAGGAAATGGATACAAAACACATAATGCACACACACACACGTAAGTAATGGAAGAGAAGATAGTATCATTTTAAACCAGCGTTTAAGATCATGAGCTAAATAATAAAGAATAGAAACAGGTGGGAAAGTGGACGGAGGGAAACCAAAAATCATTAAAGACTTACACTTCCATAAAGGGCAAACCAAGTTTTGTGTGTTCATTACCAGTATATTTATTTATTATTATTTTTAGATGGAGTCTTGCTCTGTCACCCAGGCTGGAGTGCAATAGCGCAATCTTGGCTCACTGTAACCTCTGCCTCCTGGGTTCAAATGTTTCTCCTGCCTCAGCCTCCTAAGTAGCTGGGATTACAGGCACCCACCACCACGCCCAGCTAATTTTTGTATTTTTGTTTTTTAAAGTGGAGATGGGATTTCACCATGTTGGCCAGGCTGGTCTCCAACTCCTGACCTCAGGTGATCTGCCCACCTTGGCCTCCCAAAGTGCTTGGATTACAGGCATGAGCCCCTGAGCCCAGCCTAGATATATTTTAAATGAGACTGATACTGTTTTAGGATAATAACTCTAGGATCAAAACTGGGCTGATTTCTTGGCTGACCTTAGTAAAAGATGGAAGCAAACAAGAATGTGGCTCCCTTATCCCAAGACAGTAAATAGATAAGGAAGATGAAAAGCTGGGCCTGCTCTGCAGGTGTCCATGGTAGGCACTGCCAATGGGGCGGGGGCTCCCTCACCTCCCACG
This sequence comes from Homo sapiens, assembly GCF_000001405.40. Classification (NCBI taxonomy): domain Eukaryota; kingdom Metazoa; phylum Chordata; class Mammalia; order Primates; family Hominidae; genus Homo; species Homo sapiens. Next base: position 43,659,673 of record NC_000010.11, read on the forward strand.
ATTTCCCTACACGGGTCCTTCCAGCTTTCCTGTTAATCATTTAGTAGATCTGCCACCTCCTTCTTCTCTCTCCATCACTCCGCACCATCTGTGTGAACTTTTTCTGGATTTCTGGATGGGCTTCTAAATGTTGACTTGTCTAAAATATACAAGTATTGTGTATATTAGGCACCCAATAAATTCCAAACCATAACGAATACACAAAATCCCCTAAAGACCGGCTTGCGGCCGGGCGCGGTGGCTCACGCCTGTAATCCCAGCACTTCGGGAGGCTGATGTGGGTGGATCACTTGAGGTCAGGAGATCTAGACTAGCCTGGTCAACATGGTGAAACCCCGTCTCTACTAAAAATACAAAACTTAGCTGGGCGTGGTGGTGCATTCCTGTAATCCCAGCTACTCAGGAGGCTGAGGCACGAGAATTGCTTGAACCTGGGAGGCGGAGCTACAGTGAGCCAAGATCGTGCCACTGCACTTCGCCTGGGCAACAGAGTGAGAACCTGTCTCAAAAATACCAAACCATAGTGATGGTTTGGTATTATATTTATATTTGAGCACCACTATGCTCAAATATAAATATAATTTAAAAAATGGGCTTGGAAACAGTCCACGTCTGTCGCTCTTGGTCACAGATGTGTGTATGTAGCCATTGCTGCATAGAATCTATAATTTCATCCTTTGTAGTAGGCATTGTTCTTCCCTCCATGGTTTGGAGAGGTTACCACACATATCCAAGATCTCACAACCAGTGAGCAGTCGATGTGGGATTCTACCCAGGTCTGACTCAAGTACCTTGTTCCTTCCAACTCACCAGGCTTTCATGACGGGATATGCATTGGGCAGCAGCAGAATAACCAGAAAGCCTTTGCCAAATAGGATCACAGGCACTGACACCAATATTAATATTAAAAGGGCATGGTTTAGTCAACTGCAATTGGCAAAATATGTATAAACAGCATTTAACAAAAATTATTATCAATATTAAGGATAATGTCTTTGAAACTTTATGAATTTTGTTACTTTTTGACATAAAGACATAAGATGTAGAGTTAGGAGCAATTTGACAAAATATGTTAGACAATTTGACTCACCATTATTAAAGTCAAGCTGGCAAAGGTAAGTAGAAATTACAAAAATACAAAACAGAATTCATCGATAGATTCTGACTTTGGAGCCTTTCTTTGAGACAGGGTCTCACTCTGTTGCCCAGGCTGGGGTGCAGTGGAGATCATAGCTCACTGCAGCCTCAACTTCCTGGGCTCAAGCCACCCTCCCACCTCAGCTTCCTGAGTAGCTGGGACTATAGGCACATACCACCACACCATCTAATTTGTAAATTTTTTTGTAGAGACAGGATCTCACTATGTTGCTCAGGCTGATCTCAAACTCCTGGGCTCAAGAGATCCTCCCACTGCAGCCTTCCAAAGTGTTGGGATTACAGGCGTGAGCCATCAGGTCCTGCCTGGGGACTTTCTGGTGTCTAAAATGTTTACAAAATATGGTAAATCATTATGACATAAAAAGGATCAAAGCATTAGAAAATACAAAGAAAATCAGCCAGGCGCAGTGGCTCATACCTGTAATCCCAGAACTTTGGGAGGGTGAGGTGAGCAGATCTCTTGAGGTCAGGAGTTCAAGACCAGCCTGGCCAACATGGTGGAACCCCGTCTCTACTAAAAATATGAAAATTAGCCTGGCATGGTGGTGCTCAAATATAATTAATTATAACTCAAGTATTTTGGGAGAAATACTTTTATGAAGTCAAATTTATCATTTTTTAATGATTTAATGTTTCTGTGTCCTAAGAACCCTTTGCCTACTCTAATTTTTTTTTTTTTAAGAATCTCCTGTGTTATCCTCTAGATGCTTTATGGTTCTAGCTTTTATTTTTAGGTCTATAACCCATTTTAATTTTTGTGTATGTAGTGACGTAGAGGTCAAAGTTCATTTTTTCCATGTGAATAATCAGTGCTTGAGCACCATTTGTTAAGGAAGACTTTTTTGGGAAAGAAAGCAAAGGCCCTCTCTCCCGAGGGCTTCTGGACTGAATGCTAACAGCAGTCTGGGCTAGCTAAAATTATAAAAGACAACGCAACCAAATATAGGCAAGAATATATAGCACTGAACTCTCAAATATTGCTGAAAGGAGTATAAAATGGCTGGAGAACTTTAGAGACCTTTTGTTAATTTCTTATAAGTTTCAAGATACATCTACCCTATGGTTCAGAAATTTCACTCCTAGGTATTTGCCAACAGGAATAAAACACGTCTACAAAAAGACTTGCACAAGAATGTAGCCTTATTCGAATAACCCAAAAGGGAAAACAACCAAATGTCCATCAATAGTAGAATGGATATACAAACTGTGGCACATTAATACTATGGAATAGTAGTCAGCAAACAACAAAAGGATGCTCACCTGACTCGCACAATATACATTGATCTCAAAAAAACATTATGTGGATTGAACGAAAGCAAGACACAAATACAGACAATATGATCCCATTTATATGAAGCTCAGGAAGAGAAAAATTAATCTATGATGACAGAAATCAGAACACCAGAGCATAGTTTCTCTGGGATGGAAGAAGGTGGGAGGACTAGTTGGAAAGAACTTGAAACACTTGGGGTAATGGACATGCACCATCTCTTGTTTACAGTGATTGCACAGGAGTAATATAATTACCAAAGCATATTGAAATGAATGTTTTGCATTTTTTTGTGTGTCTAAATTACATCTCCACTAAAAATTACCACCAAAGAAGTTGTATCAGTGAAAGTAGATTAGATTATACTGCAGCAAAAACAGTAAAATCCTAGTGACAAGTCAAAAAGGTGTATTTCTTCTCTATTCCATTCTCATGCTATCCTATTGCAGGGAATTCTACTCATTGTAGACATTCAGCAACCCAAGCTGACAAAGCAGCCAGTATCTTTACAGTGCCAGTTACTATGGCAGAGAGATAAGAAAGCTTTGGAACATCTTATACTGGCAATTAAGTGCACAGCCCAGTAGTGACATAAATCACATTTGCTCATATCTTAGTCTTTTTAGTGTTGCTATACAGGAATACCTGAGGCTAGGTAATTTATAAGAAAAAGAGTTTAAAAAATTATTTATTTATTTATTTGTTTGTTTGTTTATTGATTTATTTATGAATGACAGGGTTCTGCTGTGTCACCCAGCCTGGAATACAGTGAAGCAATTATAGCTTACTATAACCTCAAACTTCTGGGTTCAAGTGATCCTCCTGTCTCAGCCTCCCAGAGTGCTGGGATTACAGGTGTGAGCTATTGCACCCAGCTGAAGAAAAGAGGTTTATTTGGCTCACAGTTCTGCAGGCTGTACCAGAAGCATGGCACCAACATTAGGTGAGAGCCTCAGGCTGCTTCCCCTCATGGCAGAAGGTGAAGGGGATCTCTGTGTGTAGAGATCACATGTTGAGAGAGGAAGCAAGGGGGAAATGCCAGGCTCTTTGCAGGAACTTACTCAGCCCCACCCCTGGACACTAATCTATTTATGAGGGGTCCACCCTTATGACCCAAACACCTTCTATTAGGCTCTTACCTTCAACACTGGGGATCAAATTTCATCATGAGGTTTTCAGGGGTCAAATATTCAAATCATAGCAGCTCACAAATTGTTGTCCAGAACTAATTACACAATCTAATTCATCCCTAAGTGTGCCAAGAAGCACCATCCTACAATTGGCCAGAAAAATTGTGGTATGGACTGAATTGTGTCCCCTCAAAATCCACATGTTGAAGCTCTAATCCCCAATGTGACTGTATTTTGGGATGAGGACTTTGAACAGGTAATTAAGGTTAAATGAGGCCATGAGGACAGGGACCTAATGCCACAGTGCTGATGTCCTGAGAAGAAGAGGAAGAGACAGCAGTTTTCTTAGTCCATTTGTGCTACTATAAAAAAATACCACAAACTGGGTAATTTATAAATAATAGAGCCTATTTCTCACTGTTCTGGAGGCTGGGAAGTCCAAGAGCAAGGCCCAGGCAGGTTTAGTGTGTGGTGAGGGTCCAGTCTTTGCTTCCAAGATGGCACCGTCTAGGTGTCCTCACGTGCTGGAAGGGATGGAAGGGCAAAAAAGGGCTGAACTAGTTTCTTTGAGCCCTTTTACAAGGTTTCTGATCCCATTTATGAGGGCAGAGACTTCATGGCCTAATCATCTCCTAGAAGCTCCACCTCTTAATACTGTTGAAATTCAGTTTCAACATGAAACTGAATGTCGGCAGGGACACAAACACTCACACCATAGCACAAGGGATGCATGTTCATCAAAAGAAGGCCATGTGAGGATACAGCAAGAAGGTGTTTGTCTACAAGCCAGGAAGGGAGCCCTCACCAGGAACCAAACTGCCCAGCACTCTGATCTCAAACTTCCAGCCTCCAGAGCTGTGAGAAATAAATTTCTGTTGTTTAAGACACGTTCAAATAGTTTGTGGTATTCTGTTATGGCAAACCGAGCAGACTAATAGAAGTTGAGAGTGGAAATGACTAAGTAAACAGAACTAATAAGTTGGAAATACATAGACGAATCATTGTATGTTTTTAAAGAACAGACAATGCATATCCCATATACATTTTGCAAGACAGCCACATGCACACAAACATAAAAGCCTTCTTCCTTTACTGTAGCTAGCAGAACCATCATAGTAAAATCTGAAACATGCTGATATACAGTATTACACTTATGTAGATAGAAAGAAACTTGATGTAAATAAAATGAATATACCAAAATACTCACATTTTATATTTGTTGGGTACCTACTCTGTAAAACGGGTTTTATATTTTAGACAAATCAACGTTTAGGAGCCCACCCAGCAATCCAGAAAAAGTTCACACAGATGGTGTGGAGTGATGGAAAGGGAAGAAGGAGGTGGCAGATCTACTAAATGATTAAGAGGAAGGTTGCGAGGACCCATGTTGGGGGGAGCATGGGAGGTGAGGGAGCCCCTGCCCCATTAGTGGTGCCTACCATGGACACCTGCAGAGTAGGCCTAGCTTTCTGTCTTCTTTCTCTATTTGCTGTCTTTGGATGAGTGAGCCACATTCCATTTGCTTCCATCTCTTACTAAGGGTCAGCCAGGAAATCAGACCAGTTTTGATCCTATGGTTGTTATCCTAAAACAGTATCAGTCTCATTTAAAATATATCTACAATTGGCAACAAACACACAAAACTTGGTCTGCCCTTTATGGAAGCGTAAGTCTTTAATGATTTTCGGTTTCCCTCTGTCCAATTTCCCACCTGTTTCTATTCTTTATTGTTTAGTTTGTGATCTTAAATGCTGGTTTAAAATGATGCTAACTTACTCTCTTTTCCTGATGGGAGTGTGTGTGTGTGTGTGTGTGTGTGTGTGTGTGTGTAGACAGAGAGAGAGAGAGAGAAAGAGAGAGGGGTTGCATCTAGTTCACTTGGTTCATCAGACTTGTTAGTAATATATCCTCTCTTATTGCAGTTTAGTGATTTTCTTTAATTCTTCATTCCTTCCAGTAAGTGGTTTTGGACTCATCTAGGGCTTTTTGTTTGTTTGTTTTAAACGGCAATGTTCTCATTCACTACTCAACAATTTGCATGAAACCATTGCATAATTTTGACACACACACGTAATACACTTGGGATAATATTTTCAGAAATGGCTTATTTGGGTTTGCCTTTGCTCTTGAAGCTGGCTATTCTGAATGTAACACTTGTTGATCCTCCCAAAGATCTGATGCTTATGATTGCAGAGGGGCAGCTTGATGCTACCTTGCTTCACGTTCATTTAATCTGACTTTTCCACCAATCTACCCTAAACTCCTTTGAACAGCAAAGACAGAATATGAATTAATGCTATAATTAGCACTATGTCAAATTATGTCTGAATATGAGAAGGGATAGGAGATAAATATGAAAATGTAAAAGATAATTTGAGAGCAGTGAGATGAAGTGTGAATGTTTGCACTTAAAAATTTTTATTCTTTGCTGTTAAAATAGTGTTTATGCAAAAATAATTTAGAAAACCATAAAAATCCCTGAAGAAAGTCTGAGAAAGAGGTGCAAGGAGAGAGGGAGAATTTCCAGCTTCATCAAAACTGTGTGCAGATGGAGCCTCTGCAGGTTTGTCATCCCAGCAGTGATGTGGACAACACGAACACAGCAGAGGCAGCCACTGGTCTTTAACGGCACCACCAGCCCATCCCGAAGTCCATCAGAGGCACCTGTGAATCCACAGGTTCAGCGGACACTTATTTCCTGGGTGCCTATGCCATGGAGGCCCTCTTCCTAGTGCTCTGTGGATGCTGGTGTGGGCCCCTCTCTACAGCTCTAGGAAGCAGGGGTCTTAGTCTGTTTTCTGTTGCTTATAACAGAATACCTGAAACTGGGTAATTTATAAAGAAAAGAAATGTATTTCTCACAGTTCTGGGGGCTGGGAAGTCCAAGGTTGAGTGGGTGCATCTGGTGAGCATTTTTTTTTGCTGGTGGGGACTCTGCAGAGCCCAGAGGTGGTTCAGGGCATCATATGGCAGGGGGCTGAGCGTGCCATCTCAAGTCTCTTTTCCCTTTTTATAAGCCAACAGTCCTACTGCATAACACATTAATCCATCAACCCCTTCATCAATCCATTAATCCAGGAATGGACTAACCTATTCAAGAGGGCAGAACCTTCATCACCCAGTCACCTCTTAAAGGCCCCACCTCTCAATACTGCCATATTGAGGATTAGGTTTCAACATGAGTTTTGAAGGGAGGAGTATTCAAATCACAGCAGCAGGGACCATTACTACCCTCCTGAGAGAAGGGGACCTCATGGGGGCCATAGTCAAGGGCTCACCTCCTGCTGCCAAGCTGGGAGGCTGCATCACCAGCCCAAGTGGCCCGGGCCCCGGGGTTCACGCTTCTGATTCTGGACTCCCTGTCCCCTAACCATCCCCCATCCCATCCCTCCTTCACTCCCTGGGCTCTACTTTCACGAATCCGCTGTCCCCTCCTCAGGCCACAGCTCTTTCCTCAGCAGACATCATCCTGCCTGTTACAGAGGAAGTGGGCACTGCCGGGCAGAGCCCCAGCTCTTCTGCACCACGTTCAAGAAGGCAGGCACCACACAGGCAACCTCACGCCTCCTTCGGAAGCAGATGGAGTTTTTTTTTTTTTTTTGCACAAGGTTACTCTAACCTGTTTGTCTTCTTGGGGTAACTTGTTCATTCATATATGAATTGTCACCCATTCTATCAAACAAATAAAATCACCATGACAATTGCTATTTTTAGGCACATTTTAAAGCTATAAATGAGATCATGTTAGTTAATAAAAATTATCTCCTCAGTTAAATGGGTATTAATTACAATTTCCAAAATTACAGCAAACTCTGAACCCTCCTTTTAGACTGGCTGGTACCATCTGTTCTAGCTAGGTATTATACTTTACTTAGCCATTCCCCTGCTGTTGGACATTTAGGACGTTTCTAATTTGAAATTTAACATTGGGTGGTTTTCCAAGTATTTATGTATATATGTATTGGTGCTGATTATGACGACGTCAAATTTCTCTCCGTCTCTGCCTGCCGGCTTCAGCTGCGGCCCCTCCTCTCGGAAGGTTCCTCAGGAGTTCTCCTGTCCAGTTAGAGGTTTTGGGGTTTCCTCCTTACGCTGGTCTCAGCGACTTCCTGCGGCTCAGAAGCAGCACAGGCTGGACCCAACCCCTGCCTCGGAAAACCACTGTGCTGATGCGCCAGCAGAGGGCCGAGAGGACAGCCGCGGCGGAACCCAGGGGCGACAGTTCCCTGGGGCCAAGGGGAGCCATGTGGAGCCCGGCCCAGGCTTGGCGCCCAGGCTCGGCCGGGCTGCTGTGCGCGCGGGGAGTCCGGGTGTCCACTGGCCCGAGCCAGGGTCCCGCACTTAGCGATTTCCAAGCGCGACTTAGACGTGGCCTAGTGGGTGTTTTTCGCTGATGGAAACGCTGGCCGGGACTGCCCCCAGCCTCCGCGGAGAGTGGGAAGCTCCCAGCAGGGGCGCGGCGGGTGCGCTCCGGGGCCCTCCCCACTGCGGGGCTTCATCATACGAAAAACCTTTGGAAGGGCCTGGAGAGCTTTGGCCTTTGTTTCGTGGGCTGTTTACTGACTTTCGCTCCCAGTTAAATCTTCCAACCCGAAGACATCCTTCTGAAGTCAGCAGCACAGATTACACCTAAGGGGAGGCGACTCGGCCTTCTTCCCTTCCCTTCCCTTCCCCTCCTACGGCAGGTCCCGCTGGCGGGAGGACGCCCCGCGAGTGGGGTGGGCCGCGAGCGGGAGGAACACGCACGTCCCGGGGCGGCCGGAGGGGCCCCGCTTGCGCAGGGGGTTGTCAGAAGACTCGCACGCGGCAGGAGGCCTGGCCGTGGGTGCAGAGTTCCCAGTAGGACGCCCACGAAAAAAACCTAACTCCCATTATGTTCTGTAATTCTAGTCTAGCCCCTATTTCATGCTTGATAGAGAGCAGTCGACCCCTTCTTGGTGAATTCTGCCAAGTTAGTCACTTCTCAGTCATGTTAATTAATTGTTTTAGAGACAAGGTTCTGCTCTGTCGACCAGGCTGGAGTGCAGTGGAGCGATCACGGCTCACTGCAGCCTCCGCACCTCCGACTCCAGCGATCAGATTCGCCTGGGTTGTCCAGCTTTCAAGTCCACCGGGGTCCCCATGGAACTTCTGGCTGCCCTCCCTCCTCAGCCTTTCAGGGAAGATGGGGCTGCTGTGGGTGCCAAATGTGCCCAAACCACCTGCACCCCTGAGGCGGGTGACACAGCCTCTCCAAGAGCCTTGGTATTGTGCCATCCAGGCTGTCCTTCAACCTCAGCCCTAGACCAAGGCCTCAGACTTCGGGAAGGAGGCCACTGCACATCCACCCTCAAGCCCACTGCACTCAGCCCAAGGAGCTGAGGGGAGTGAGCAGGGCCTGGGGCCTGGGCCTGTATCAGGCTTCCTCTCCCAACTCTTCCTGCCCCTACCCGGCCTGGAGGGCACAGACACACATAGACACACACAGATATGCAGAGACACACACACACAGACACGCAGACACGGACACGCATGGATGCACACAGAGACACACAGACACACACACAGACCCAGACACACATACGTGGATGTACACAGAGAGACACAGACACACATGGACACACATACACAATTCTAGATATAGAGAAGCCGTGCCTGTAGCTTGCAGTGCCATGTGTCTGCACGCACTGCGGGTGAGGACTACACCAGCTCCGGGGTCGCTCTACTTCATTGCCTTTCCAATCTTTGGTCTCACAGCTGGATGGCACTCTCTAGATGAGAAGCTAGGGTTGTATCTTTATTTTCTGGTTCCACAGTGACCTCCCCTTTCCCCAGAGCATCCCCGAGTCAGGGTTTCAATGAGGAGGGGATGGTCCTTGGGCCAGAAGGAGCCATCAGAGGGCAGGGGCAGGCCAGTGTGGGTGGTCCTGGCTGCACTTGGGTCTGTGTGGCTCTGGGCATGGTCGGAGCACATCTCCAAGGCCACATCTTGAGCAGAGGGGGCTTCTCCTGAGGGGAATGGGCCTTTATTGTCACCATCCTGGGAAGTGGAGACTCTTAGGGAAGGGCATGGACTCGGGAGGGCCTGGGATGTCTGGGCAAACCCGTAAAGACAGCCCCTTATGTGTAGGTACTGAACAAATTGAGAGCTTTCTCCCAAGAGTGAAGGGTGGGGGCCAAGGCACGGCTTGACCCTGACTAGTGCTAGTGGGCAGGTCACACCTCTGTCATGCACAGGCCTCCTGGGCCAGGCAGGGGATCAGTTCAGGGACTCTAGGATAGAGGCAAAGCCTGCTGCTAAGTTCTCTGTTACATTTCCCTTGGCTTCTTCCTGTGTCTTCAGGAAATTTCCACTAAAAGATACCATCTGGGCTCAGCAGCGTGGCAGGCTGCTGGGGGGACTGGCAGGGTTTTGTGCATGTGGCTTGGTGAGCAGCCCAGAGGGACAGAGCCTGCTTCCTAGGACAGCAAGGCTTACCACAGGGCAGAGCCCTGTGGACCTGACTCCCCGGGGCTGTGAGCAGGAAAAGTGTGGAGGGAGATGGGAGCTGGGAGAAGGGAAGGGAGGAAGAGAGCCCATGAGTCCTTGAGCCCCCTGGATAGTTCTAAACAGCGCTGGCCAGTGACCAGGGGTACTCTGCCTTCCAGATCCGGGTGAGAGTGGAATCCCACCTTGGCCTGGGCTTGGTTGGCCATGGTGTTGTGCCATTGTCCTCTGTGCACTAAGGAGGCAGTCTTAAAGCATGTCAACCACTGTCCTGCATGAAAGTGTTAGTGCTGAAGTTTAATCATGGTGTGTGGCTGAGGAGACGGAAACTAGTTTGTATTTTTATTCTTTTGAGACAGAGCAAGACTCTGTCTCCCAGGCTGGAGTGCAGTGGTGCCATCATAGCTAGCTCATTGCAGCCTCGAACTCCTGGGCTCCAGAGATCCTTCTGCCTCAGCCTCCTGAGTAGCTGGGACCACAAGCACGTGTCAGTATGCCTGGCTAATTTTTTTAATTTTTTGTGGAGACAGAGTCTCCCTGTGTTACCCAGGCTGTTCTTGAACTCCTGGGCTCAAGCGATCCTTCCGCATTGGCCTCCCAAAGTGCGGACACTACAGGCGTGAGCCACTGTGCCCAGCCGTAAACTAGTTTTTAAAGCTGATCAAGGGCTTGGTCACTTCATGTTGGACAAGGGGTTGGGTGAGTCATGACACTCAGCCTTTCCCATGCAGTGTCTCTTTCCCAAGGGTTCTAGAAGGAGGTGAAGGGGCCACCAGACCCCCATGCACTGCCCTCCCCCACAAAGACCTCTACTGCACCCCCAGAGGACCCATTGTACCCACGCAGGCGTCTTCGTCCTGAGCCTGAGCTGTCACAACACTGGAATCTGCTCGCTTTTCCCTGGGACAGCTTTGTGTTACTAGAGTTGGGTCTGAGGTTTGCACATCATGTCGCCCGCCCCAGGTCCCCCCAGGCCAGACACAGGGCACTTTGAGTCCCGGGCCCCCCAAGTTCCAGCTGATATGTACTATGGGCTTCCTGAGACTTCCCCGGTCCTGGGCACACCTGTTTTGCTGTGGAACTCTTGACTTGGCTTCTGCCTTTGCCTAGAGTCCTGGAAATGTCCAGAAGCCTGGGGGCGGGGCCAAACAGATCACCCTGTATCTTTCTTCCCTGATTCCCTAGAGCAAATGGCAAACGTTTTGGTTTTAAATCAGAGACAGTGGACCTCATAGTCTTTGAACATATCCCTTGGTCTTGGTCTCTAGCTCTTTTCGTTTTTCATTTTGAAACCTGGGGGTCTGTTGCCAGGCCTGGAATCCTGGAGCCCCATCACAGGCAATCTCTTGCGTGCTGTGGCTTCTTGACTGCACCCAATTGTGGTCTAACTCACCCTTTTCTTTCACCTCCTGTTCTCTCTCCAGCCTTGCAGCTTCAGGACTGCTGATCCTGATTATGCTGTGCAAAGGGTGTTCGTTCCACGGTCACACTGTCTCTATGAGGCAGCAACGTCTAGGAGTGTTATCCCCATTGAGGGGGCAGATAAACCAAGGAAGGAGGAGGGCAGGTGCTGGCCCAAGTCACACACAGATGAAGGCACACATGGTCACGCATACCTGGGAAAGCTTAGCAGCACTCCTGGCTCTCCTCAGGAGTTCATAGAACCCTGCGCTGTGTGGACCACCGAGCTCAGAAGGGTTGCTGTGTGATGCTCGAATCAGGAGGCTCTGATGGACTCTTCCCTTCTCTGTCTCTCCAGCATCTGACTGAGGCACGTTTATGGGACTCTGGCGAGGAAGACTCCGGTTTGCAGAACACCTCCAATGTAGGCAGAGCACCAATCTAAGCCTGCAGAGACTAGATAATAACAGTTGGAAGATGTCTTTCTTCCCTCCTTCCTTCCCCTTGCGCCCGCCCCCTCCCCAAACTAGAAAGTGATGGGATCTTTGTGTCATTTGCATGATGACTTCTGGGACTCCTGTGAATTAGTTGCTTCTTCCTTCTATATTTCCCCAACCCAGGGCCACTGCTTAAATTGAACAAATGATGCATCACAAAACTACAACGGGACTCTTCAAATTCACGGTCGGCGCAATCTGTATGTAATTGTATTGCAACAATTGTCCAGCAGATGGCAGTAAAGTGTCATGAAACAGAGTTGCCTGGTGACCTGTGCTGCACCTTTGTGAGTTAGCGGTGACCAGGCTTCACACACTGGACTTACTGGAGTCACTACTAAGCCAAGGCCACAGCAGAAAGAGCACTGCGTTTTGCATGACCTAGGGGCTCCAAGTCGGCCTGGCTGCACCAGAGCCCTTTCAAAACACGCGGTTTAGTTCAGGGCTCACATTGGCCATTGCCTGGTTTTGTTTGGCCAGCAAGGTAAGAATGGTTTTAACATTTTTGAATGACTGAAAAAAAAAAAGAAAATAATATTTTGTGGAAGGTAAAACTCACATAAAATTCAAATTTCAGGGTTTGTAAATGAAGTTTTGTTGGACACATGAGTGCTCATTTGTTCAGTGTTGTCTCTGCTGCTTTGAGTTGAGAAGCCGCCGCAGACACCGTGTGGCCGCAGAGCCTAGAATATTTACTGTCTGGCCCTTTACAGGAAAATGTGCAAAGCCCTGGATTGCTCCTTTGGGACTTCATCAGCTGCAAACCCTCACAGTATTTTTGTGTGTTTGGAAGTAAGAAGAGAGCAAGCGAGGGCCGAGACCTAATGGGAAGACCCGGCGGCTGGGAGAAGGTGGTTATGAGCTCTCTTATTCCAGGGCACAGCACCCTGTCTGGGAAGTCGGGGGGCAGGCCTTGGCAGAAGTGATCCCCCTCAGTCCTAGGACTAGCTGCAGTTCCTGTGGCCCTGTCTTCAACGTTACATTCTTGCTTCAGCATCCCTGCTGGTCTGAGGGTCCTAGTCCGTGCACCAACTTTGATTCCTGGACCTAGCAGAATAATGCTTCCAGATTTTCAAACTCCTTGGGTGACAATTTGAGCATCTGCTAATGTCAGCCCTGTCTGAAATCCCAGCTGATTTTCAACACTGTGTAAGGGAACTCCTTCATGAGTCTTGGATGGGTAATGGATGATAGGGTCAAGTTGACATTTGACAAGAACTTGCTAAACTCTGAAAACCTGAACTTACAGTCCCTGCTCTAGCAGGCCTGGGTTCTCATGGAAACATCCTCAACAGACCAACTCAAGAAAGTAATTTCCACAGCAAATTGATTTCCCAGAATATGTTCTGTTAAAAGAAGTATGGTTATGATATCTGATCAAATATTCAGCATTATCAGGAAATTCAGCTGTCTCTACCTTCAAAAAAGGTCCAGAATCCAACCACCTACCTCTTCCTCTGCTGTCACCTGGTCCAAGACTCTGCCACCTCATTCCTAAGGGTTATTGCAAAAATTTCTCAATGGCTCTCACCGCTTCAGTCCTTGGCCTGTTATAGGCTATTGTCAAGAGAGCGAGCACAGTGGCCATCAAACCAGCAGGGAGCTCCTCACCCTCCATCGCTCAAAATCCCACAATGCCCCTCAGCTCACTGATGGCCAAAACCCTCTGCCTTCTGGCCCTGTATGTCTCTGACCTTTTGTGTTTGAGCCTTTTCCAGTCTGTCCCCAGTGCTCTCCTTGCTATTCCTCTGGGACACTGGGCACACACCTGCTGAGAACATTCACACTGCTGGGTACTTCTGTCTGGAACACTCCTCCGCAGACACTCTTCTCTTCTCAGCTTTTGCCCAGATGTCCTTTTCTCCCCAAGGTCTGTCTCGACCCTCCTTCATGTCGCACTCTGTCTCCCCACCCCCTGGTGCTGTGCTGTTACTTACGCTGCAGCACTTATCCCCCAGCATCCTATTGGATTTGCTTATTTATTATCTAGTGCTGACTGCTTTTCCTTCTAGAATGCGAGCTCCACAAGGCCAAGCATGCTTTGTTTATTGATGTGCCCCAAGTGCTTGGAGCAGTATCTGGCATGCAGCAGGTGCCTAGCACATATTTGTTGAATGAATAAATAACGAAATGAATTCTTGAGAGGCAAGCCTGCCCAAGTACTGAAGACTGGGTTGGAACTGTAGGTACTTCCTCCATTAACAAATTATCTCAAAAAGTTTGGGTATTGTTTTAACAGGGCTCCTGGCCAGGATCCGTGAGTCGGCTTCTTGAAGTGAAAGACAGAACTCTCTGCTCTTCAGGTTCTATCAGTGCAAAGAGGGCCCACTAAGACCCACTCTGCAGGGCTGTTGAGGAAAGCCCCATCTGACAGGCACCCGACAAAGCTCCTCACACTCCGTAAATGCCACCCATCATGAATGTGGCTATGATTAAATTGTGATGAGGACTGTGACCCACAAGACTGGAAAACCAGTTTGGCACCTTGATGCAGATGTTTTCAAGGACTGGGTTAGAGAATACATACCATCATTCTACTTTTAGCTGTTTTGTTTCATTAAAACCTTTTTGGTTTTAATGAAACAAACCATAACATGTATGACAACCATAACATGTATGACAACATAGCATGACAACCATAACAAGTACAATATTTTGGCCAATTTCATTTAATTTGGCACATAGAATGGAAGAAATATTAAGATATTATTTTCTACATGACTATGTAGCTGGGATGATTGGAACTGAATCATTTATTGCACATTTGAATGGTTAATTTTATTATGCTCACATTGTGTACATATTCTGTGGCTTATATATAATCAGTAAATATTCTATGACTTATTCCTCTTCAGAAACATGTGGAAAGATGAACAAAAAACAACCACAGCATGACAGGGTTAGGGAATTCTAGAAATGGAAAAGATGTTAAAAATGGGTTTATAGTAAAATCCAACATCTAGAGGAAGGATTTAAAGTCTAAGCAGAAACCCTTTCTGGCGGTCTGCAGAAGTCTCCCATCTTGCTAAAGTGTCACATTTGGCACATATTCCTGGAAAACGTTTTAGTGTTTTTCAATTAAATTCCTTACTGCTGTCCCTCTTGCCAACCTGCTGTTAACTTGCCTCCCGTTGCTGCACCTTCAGTGATTTTCCATTTCCTTTAGGACAGACTCCAGAGAAACTCATAATCTGGCACCAACATATTAAGACTGTTACTTCTTTCCACGTGTCCTTTGTCCCAGTCTTGGCCTCAGTGTGAGCTCATATTTCTGTGATAGGGAGCCACCATGCTTTGGGGCTCTGGAGCCAAGGGGGCAGGCGTGTCACGGAGGCGTTGCCTCATCATTGGGGCTCTGGGGTTCTTCTGTTACCTCTTTTCACACATCAGTGTGGTGGAGGTTGTGATGAGCCGAGAGGGAATGTCAGTGTTACCAAGCAACCATGAGCCTATGAGAACCCAGTCGGGATTATGGCCACTTGCACTGCGGGTAGCAGGCATTTAGTACACAGCAAGGACCTGTGCATGGACAATCCTGTGTAGTGTACGAATCACCTCGTGCGTGCTTGTCTATTTCCTCCTGTAGCTAAAACACTGCTCACAAGTCCTTCCACAGTTACCTATTAAATAATAGTCACCATCTTTTAAGGAACTGATAACTTCTGTTATTTTAAACTGTTCCAGAACACAGCAAAGGATGAAACAGTCTTTATCTTGTTTTTTTTTTTTTTTGTTTTTGAGACAGAGTCTCTCTCTTGTCGCCCAGGCTGGAGTGCATTGGCTCACTGCAACCTCTGCCTCCCAGGTTCAAGCGATTCTCCTGCCTCAGCCTCCTGAGTAGCTGGGACACATGAGTAGGCGTCCACCACCATGCTTGGCTAATTTTTTGTATTTTTAGTAGAGACAGGATTTCACCTTGTTGGCCAGGCTGGTCTCGAACTCCTGACCTCAGGTGATCCACCTGCCTTGGCCTCCCAAAGTGCTGGGATTACAGGTTTGAGGCACCTTGTCTTCCATTCTTTAAAGGAGAAGAAAAAGGTAACAAATCAAACAAGCAGTGCTCTCAAGGATAGTGCATCCTGACCAAGAAAGGTTTGTGAGCAATGCAAGGATAGTTCAACAAAAGGAAATCTGTGAACATTACTACCATGTTACTAGAGTGGAAACAGAGTAACCTTGTGATCTGCAGAGATGTCAGAAAACACATGTGAGAAGCTGTAAAACTCTTCCGCAAGCACCACTACTGAGTGCAGTGCTTGAAAAGGTAAACACATATGGCTGTGACCTTTCATTTTTTTCCAAGAGAGTAAATACTTTCAGGGTTAAATTAATATTTTCTCTAAGCTGTGATTCTCTGAGTGATTCTGCCTGTCAGTTAAAAACTATCATCTCACTCTATCTTTGGCTCCCTGTTTATGTCTTATGGCTATTAACTTTTTTTGAATTTTAAAGATAAAAGTGCAGGCAGAGCCCATAGATATTTTCACTCCAGGCAAGAAGTGGAATTAAAGGTTCCTGAGATTCAGAGGGGCACATGCTCCTGTGCTGATGGCCAAGAGCCTCCAGGAAGGGCTAGGAGAGCAGCTCATTTCAAATGGAAGAGTGTGAGCAGGGCCACAACCATATAACCGGTCACGCTTTGACCTTTCTCATTATGTGGATTAACTGGAGGATTCGTACAAATGGTGTTTTAATCATAAGTTATCAATTTAAACCAGACAAAATGCTCTTGGGAATTCTTCATTCTGTGAAGGGGTTTTTATAAACTTCCATGATTTTTCACCTAATTCTCCCTTGTTTACTTTCATTGGGACATTGTAATATTTTATAATTTAGACTTTTCACCTTTGGAAATAAACCAGACTTGGAAAAAAAATTTTGTCAGAAATTTGGATGCATTTAGTAAGCTGTGTAATTTATGTAATCAGGACTGCTAATTTGAGGAAGTAGGATGGTTGGAGCCCAGCCCGGGCCAGGTCAGCACTGGGCCTCCTGACCCCATCTTAGTGAGTCTGGTGAGTCTGTGGCTTCTGGGCCGCATCTCCGTCTTGAGCCCAGTGGAACCTGGGTTTTCATGGTACCCAGCACAGAAACGTGTGGCTGAAAGGGACTACATTAGAAGCTAGTTGTAGTCTTCAGACATTTAATGAGATTAGCAGATGGTTTCTCGCAGGATAACTCACTGACCACCCTTTGGGCAGAACTGGACCCACTTGAATGCGGCGAATTTGTCTCAAAGATGTGTGTAGTGGACACAATTAACCATCCAGTGTTCTTATTCTGAAAAACCCCCTCCGGGAGACAGCCCACTCCGTGATGCACTATTCAGCACTTATTCTCATCCACATTTTCTCTTGAATTTCTCCTGTGTTCTGTCTTCTCCTATCTGGGATGAAGCCGACGACGCATCCCGGTTCTTGCCATGGAGCTGGTTGGCTTCACTGGATTGGCAGACTCTTCCTCTAGCCATACTCTCTTGGGAGGGGTGCAGAGTGCTTGTTGGAACGGTGAGACCTCTTGCTAGGCAAGAATAAGGAAGCATGGAGTGTGATTTTTACACAGCACTGAATTTCAGTCATGAGGAGATGGAGCTGACACTGTGGCAGAAAGAAGGAAATGAAGAACTCCGTGCTATTGGAGAGCCCCTGGGCTAACCAATTCTGAAGCTGTGTTAACTCTTAGACTTAGTGGTTATGTGTTTTAATTTTTTTTAAGCCAGGCTGCGTTGGGCCTCCTCTTACATATACTGGAAAGGTCCTGAGTAATACAGAGGTGAGAATGATTCTCCATAATTTTGTGAGTGTAAGATTTTTTCACTTCCCTTTCTGTGATGCATCCTCACTTATGGCCTTGAAGTTACAAATATCCAAAACTAACCATTTCTTCCTTTGAATTGCTTCTTTTTAAATATTGTTTTGAAGCCCCAGGAGCAGGTAGTAGTAATAATAATAGCAGTAGCAGTATTACGACTATTGGTAGTATTAATAATAACAACTCATATTGAGTGTGTGTTTCCTATTTGTTGGGCACTCTCCTAAGCATTTTATGTGTATATTTTGTAATCTCTACAGTAACACTTTGAAGCCAAGATCACCATTTCCCTATTTTACAGAAGATGACAACTAAGGCAGGGAGAGGTGCCTAATGCCACACTGTTAGTGACCAGAACCGGACGCAGGCACAGTTGGTCAGGTCTCAGGGACCTGCATTTCACTGTCTCCAGAAGCGCATTTCAACTCTCTTTAAGCAGGGAAGTGAGTTTTATGGTGGATTTGGAGTTAACATTTCATTTTTCCTTTGTAATTGAAATCATGATTTATTATTATATCTGCCCCACAAGTACTATTCCGAAAGAGTCTGAACCAAGGACTCATTATATATTATTAGATTCCTTATATATTTTCATTTTAATGTACTTAATCTGTCATAAATGTATATTAAAATAGGTACAATAAAACATCCCAGGACACTTGTTTATTCTACTTTGTCTTTGTAATTCCTGCAGGAGTTACTTCATGTGTTGGCATAGCATGTTATTTGAGCCTCATGTGATGGTGAGGGCTGTGTGTTCTTTTTTGCTGGTGCCTCTGATCGTCATAACGTGATTCACTTTGTATCTCTGCATGCCTTTTCCTTCTTCTAGAATTCTAGTTCCTGTGTGTTGAGTAAACATTAAAAAAATCTATCGAGTCTAACTTGTACCCTTCCCATCAGACAACTCTGCCCTAAGATGACTTGGGGACCATGAACAAAAGGCACAACTTGGCTTCTTTAAAAGATTATTTATTCCTCATTTATTCTTTATTTGCGAGCAACAAGCAAGCAAACAAAAAAAAATGAAGACAGAGGGCAGAACCGGAGATATATGGCAGATGCAATGATACTGCTGATGCTTAGGAACTCATAGGCAGAGAAGAAAGCAGGGGTGGCCCTCAGGGAAACCTAAGGGGCAGTGTTCCACTTTGGGCAGCTGGCATGAGATTTTCATCTTCTTATCTGGGTGTAGTGGAGGCAGGGAGCGATGTCTGGAGACTGCACCATCAGTCAGAATCCAGGCAGGAGAAGGGTTGTCTGGGGACTGCATTGTTCTCTGCCCATCATATTCACCACCCACCATCTTCCCTGCCCACCAAGTTCTCCATCCTTGATGCCACGTTTTCCAAGCCCACCACGCCCCCTCCTGCCCACTGTGTTCACTGCTTGCTGCCATCTTCCCTGTCTGCCCACCATGTTCTCTGCTCGCAGCCATCTTCCTCCGTCTGCCATGTTCTCTGCTCGCAGCCATCTTCCTCCGTCTGCCATGTTCCTCTGCCTGCTCTGTCTCCCCATCTCCATGCTGCCCGCCACGTCTCTGCACAGGCCCTGGCCCTTATAGAGGGTCTTCCTCAGCCTTGCACTTCGCTTCCTGCTACCTCCCAGCACCGTCTCAGGCCACCAGTTGTTAACATTTGGCAAACACCCTTTCATGTAAATTAAATCCTACTCACACATACATTTCGACTGATGGAAATATCTGTCTATGATCTGGATTTACGACAACCTCTGGATTTACAATAACCACTGGTTTTCACACTACTCCTAATTCAAGGGGATAAACCCTGCCAAATGTGGTGAACAGAAAGGGAGGTAAAAGGAGTTGAAGGTCTCCCAAGAAAACGCAGTCTCTTCCACAGTTTGGTGTAAGTGCCGTGACCTCTGCTATCCTGTGTGTTGTATTTGTCCTTTGACTAATGAGGTTTCTGGGGCTTGGCTTTAAGGATCCTTTCTATAGTTGGAATTATTATTTTTATTTTTTATTTTTATTTTTAAAAAAGTATTGATGACTTTGTGGTTCCAAATGACTTTTTCCTGGTACATCAAAATATGATCTTTTTAGTTACTGTTTTTGTTTAAAGCCATAGTAACATAATTGAATTACAGTTGGGAGTAGCCATTTTGCAGAACTTTTAAAAATATCGAGCCAAATCTGTTTGCCATAGCACTTTATAACACTAGGATTAAATACTCTTTGACAAATGTTTTAATTGCTGACAAGTGCAACTTAGGGAGGCGGTTTTGAGGAGTTTTGGCTGGTGTCCCGGTGCCTGCTGTCAAGTGCTGGCATGGCCCAAGGAGCTCTGGTAACCAGGAGGCGGGGAAACCAGAGCATGCTGACTTGGCATGGCCCAAGGAGCTCTGGTAACCAGGAGGCGGGGAAACCAGAGCATGCTGACTTGGCCCGGACTTCTCCTAGGTTCGGAGTCTTTCTGTGCCTTTCTCCTCATGCCTGTTTGGGACATGACAGGACTCACCATGGCTCCACTCCCCAGAGTTCTGCTGGGATGAATGGAGTCAACCGGGTGAGCCCTGGATGAAGGGTGAGGCTCATGGTAGGGATTCCTTCCTCACTTCCACCTATGGTTTGAATGTCCCTCCAAAGTGCATGCTGAAATTTAATTGCCATTTTAACAATATGAAGAGGCAGGACCTTTAGGAAGGTCTGCCCTCATGAATGGATTGACGCTATTATCTTGGGAGTGGGTTCGTTATCACAGGCGTGGGTTCCTTACTAAAGGGTGTTTGCCCTGCCTTTTCTGCCTTCCCCTACCCTCTCTCATCCTCTCCTGCCCTCTTACCTTCCACCATGGGATGACTCAGCAAGAATGAGTCACCAGATGCTGGAGCCTTAATTTGCACTTAGCCCCCAGACTGTGAGAGAAATTTCTCTCCTTTATAAACTACCCAGTCTCGGGTATTTTGTTATAGCAGCACACAATGGACTGAGGCACTTCTTCAACACATCATGTCCCTAGCACAGACTGCTCAGACTTCTATTCAGAATTACTTCTGTGCTCATGTATTCAGTACAGAAGAAGTTGTTACTTGACTCAAAGTTATTTTATTTTTAAAATTAACATGCAGTAAGTGTGACCTTTTGGGAATGGGCTGTTCCACCACAATCAGGACACAGAATTGTTCCATCTCCCCCAAAGCTTCCTGATGCTGTTCCTTTATAGTCACACTGTCCCTTCCTTCACCCCCAGCCCCTGGTACCCACTCCATGACTATAGTTTTGTCTGCTTTGAGAATGTCATATAAATGGAATCATAGAGTATGTAACTTCTGAGACTGGCTTCTGTTACTCAGTGTAATGCCTTTGAGATTCAGCCAGCTTGTTGCATGGATCGGTAATTTGTCTTTTTACTGCTCGGTAGTAGTCTGTTGTATAGAGCTCTGATGGATAGGCCTGGCTGAGCCATCCCCCATGTCTTCCAAGTCACTAGATGTGTCAGTGAGGTCAGCTTGGTCCCTCCAGAAGAGCCTGCTTGCCAGCTGAATACCACCAAGTGATCTCTGCAGTGCCATGTGGGACAGAGAAGTCACCCAGCCAAACCTTGCCCAATTTCCCCAGCCACAAAAAAATGAGACATAAAGAAGCAGTGGCTGTTTTTACCCACTAAGTTTGGATTTGTCTGTTCCATGATTGTGGATAACCAGAACACACCCCAATGGGTACTTAAGCTTCACAGGAATAAGGATCACATCTCTTGACAACCTAAAACTTTGGATCCAGTGGTGCTCAATAAGCATTTTTATTTTTAAAAACCAATTTCCTCTCTGTGCTTGGCAAGACACTTTATAAATGTGTGATAGTGATGAGGACGTGGAATTATCTCGATAATTTCCTTGATGATAAGAAAATTATCCACTAGCTATCAAATACTGTTAAGTATGTTAGTCGTGGACTCCCTCATGAGTTGTGGGGACAATCACTGGAGCCCTTTGGGGCCCTGGGAAGAGGAAGGAGCACAGCAGATGCTTCAGGCAGAGCGCCAGCCTTGTTATTGGCTTGGCTTCCTCCTCCATCCCTGCAGGTCCTGTCGCCTGTAGTTTTCCAGGAATGGGTGTTTTGGGGCCTTGATTCTTCCTCAATGAAGCCCATCCTTCCTGGTCCTCCACCATGGTCCTCTCAACCATTGCAGGTGTCTCCCTCACAGTGCAGGGAGTGACAGCACGGACGCTGCAGCCAAGCAGGCTGACATTTGAATTCTACTTTTATCACTTACTGGATATGTAAACCTTGAAAAGTTTCCTAAATCCCCAGAACTTCAAATTTCCCATCTATAGGATGTGCATAAAAACACATACCTCAGAGGATTGTTTCGAGGATTAGGTGTAGTGATACATGTGGAGCCTCTAGCCTGGGCTGCAGGCGAGGGCACAAGAACTCTCTGTCTCTGTGGAGCAGGGTCGTGGCACCTGGCAGCATGGGCTATGAGGAAGGAAGGAGCCCAGTGGGTTCAAGGACTGGACGAAGGGCCAAGTGGTTGGAGCGCTGAGCCTGAGGGCCGAGGGACATAAAATGAGGTTTGGGAAACTCATAGGGACTTAATCAGGTGGGGTCTTGCAGCTGCATTGAGGATGCCAACTTTTTATTCTGGGAGCAATAGTCAGCCAGGGCTGTGGCTAGTTTTGTTCTTTGAAAATTTAGACTGCAGGGTTAGAGGTGTGCAGATTAAAGGTGTGCAACAGAGGATTCACAGCAGCTCAGGCAAGAGCTGATGGTGGCTGGTACTAGGGAAGTAATGGTGAAAAAGTACAACTTAGGAGAGAAAAATCCACTAGGTTTAGGGATAGACTAGATGTCTGATGGTGCATATTGGGGAATGTGAGGGAAAGAAGACATGGAAGATGATTTCCGAGTTTCTGGCTTCAGCAGCTGATGGATAAGGTGCCATTCACTGGGATAGGAACCCAGGAAGAGAAGCAATTGGCAGTGCCATGAGGTCAGGTTTGCATATTCTGGAAGAAAGGCCCTTGGACTTATGATGGGAGATATTGAGGAGACACATATATTCAGATTCAGAGCTCAGAGATGAGATCTAGGTAGAGATGTACCTTTGGGAGTCAGCTACCGGCAGATGGTAGACGTGTATTAGGGTAATTAATGCTCGCTTTTGAAACAAACCCTGGAAAATCTCAGTGAGTGAACATATAAAAGTTGATTTCTTGCTCTCACAAAGTCTGTTGTGGGTCAGAATGTTCCTCTGAATGGCCATCTTCCAAATGGTGACTGAACTCAGGTTCCAGAACAAAAGGGCTCGTTCAGGATGTTTTATGCTGTATGCCACTTTGGTCCTTGTCCCATGAGCTGGAACCCAGTCATGTGTCCCCAACGTAACTGTAAGAGAAACTGGGAATTATAGTTGGTCTATGTGTCCCACAAGAGGAACAGAGGTTGGTGAGCATCTAGCCAGGTAACCATGGTAATGAATGTTGTTATGAATGAGAACCCCCTGGGAAGAGAAGATGGAGTTTGAAGATGAGGAGCTTATTAAGGACTGGCCCTTGAGTCGTCTGTACATATACAGACAGTTAGAAAAAGGTGGACTGGCAAAGAAAACTGAGAAGGAGTAGCCAGAGATAGAGGAGGACAACTAAGAGAATGTGGAGTTAGGGAAACCAGGAGAAGTATGAGAAAATCAGAAGGAGTCTGACAACCATCCACTGAAACCAGTTACATGGAGAGCATTGATGACTCGAGGGAATATGCTCCTGGGGAGCTAATGAAGGCAGAAATCTGTGTGGACTGCATGGAGAGTCAGTGAGATGTGAGTCAACAAAAATGAATACAGACAGTTCTCTTGAGAAGCTTGATGTTAAGTGGGAGACAGGGGGATGGTGGCTAGAAGGAACATTGCAGTTGAGGCATTTTTTTGTTTGCTTTTTGCTTTGACGATAGGAGAGATTTGAACTTGTTTAAATGTTAAAATTTCAGAGAGAGAGAGAGGGTGCAAGCAAAAAATGGGAGAAGAAATCTGTGATGATGAACAGTCCCTGGAAATGTGAAAGTGTTAAAACTTCAAGTACTGGGTTTATCCTTTGAGCCTCCCATAGCAGCTGCCTCCAGCTCCATCTTCCCAGCCTTGTGCAGAGAAAGGAGAGGACCTGCCTGTCAGCCCTGTAATTTTGATTACCGTTGAAATTTCTCCCATTACACAACACACCTTGCTCAGTGCTGCAGAGATTCATCACTTAGACCAGAGCACCCCCAGCCCTCTAGCCCAGGGATGGAGTGAAGGGGGTCGATGTGAAGCTCAGCGGCTCCCTCTAGAGTTCAGCGAGAGTTCTGCCCTGTGGTGTTGCTTCTGCTCAAGTCTCCAGCCCGTTTCTCATGATTCCCTCCGCCACCCATCCACCGTATGAATCCAGCTTTTTAAAATAACTTACAGTTCTTCAGTTGAGTTTTGTTCTGTCATGTCTTTGACCTAACATGAAGTTAATTCCTCTTTCTGGACACAATTCCTTTGACTTTTTTTTCCCTGGTTATCTCTTATTCATCACCCAAGAACCTGTATCCCTCCTCATTCATTCCTGTCACCAAGAACCTGTATCCTTCCTGTGTGGTTCTTCGTGCTAAGCACACTGAGATAGAACTTACAGATTTCAAGCAAATGACTCAGTAGCAGGCAAGACATTCTGGACAAGTGTGAGACAGGCACAGAACCAAAACATATCTGGATAGAAAAACAGGAACATTTGAATAGGTTTTTGCAATGCATACTGTACACATTTCAGACAGTTCTAACTTCAAGGATGATGGGACGCAGGACTGTTTTTTCAAGTTCATCTTTCTTGACGTCCAAGTTTGAGGACACTTTCTGCAATCCCTCAAGTCTAGTTGGCCCTGTATTCTGGACAATTTCTTTAAAAAATTATTTTATTAAAAATTGTTTTTTGTAAAGACTAGTCTCACTATGTTGTGCAGGCTGATCTCATATTCCTGGGCTCAAGTGATTCTCCTGCCTTGGCCTTCAAAGTGTTGGGATTACAGATGTGAGCCACCATACTCAGCCAATTTCTTATGAAATTTCATGTGAAAAAAAAACCCATTTATCCTCTAATCTTTGGTTTGAGATTTTTTTAAAAAAGGTTTTACATATTTGGCTTATAGTAGAGGTTTTCAATTGTGTAGTTTTATTAACACATTGTGATATGGTTTGGCTGTGTCCCCACCCAAATCTTATTTTGAATTGTAACTCCCACAATTCCCCTGTGTTGTGGGAGGAACCCACTGGGAGGTGATTGAATTATGGGGGCGGGTCTTTCCTGCACTGTTCTTGTGATAGTGAAGGAGTCTCATGAGATCTGATGACTTTAATAACGGGAGTTTGCCTGCCCAAGCTCTCTTGTCTGCCGCCATGTGAGACATGCCTTTCACCTTCTGCCATGATCATGAGGCCTACAGGCCATGTGGAATTGTAAGTCCAATAAACCTCTTTCTTTTGTAAATTGCGCAGTCTTGGGTATGTCTTTATCAGCAGTGTGAGAACAGACTAATACATATTGGGCTTTGTGAGAAATCTATATTGAATATTAAAGTGATGCTAATCAGTCATAGCCTTTACAGACTGGAATATGGAGTGCACTCTGTGGCTTTCTAAGGCTTCTCTATGCAGATTTGTAAAAGTGGGATGGGTGTTTCATGCGCAACCAGTTCTTGTTGATTGGTGTGCAGCCTTGAACCTGAATTTGGTTGGTGCTGTGTTTGTGGACTTTCTGCAACATCCTTGTTAGAGTCTTTCCAAAATCAATGTCTCAGTGTTTATTTTTAAGTTGGTGATTTTTTTAACCTTCTGAAGGATTTATTTTTAAGATCTTTTATGTTCTGACTCCATAAATGATATACTTAGAAGACAGGGTTTTACAGAACTGAATTTTAACTACAGGTGTGGTATATGTAGTAGCCTGATCTTTTCAGGATTACTCTCTAATAATATGAAATATTGTTGAGAAGGACTATTCTTCTCAATTCTGATTGATGCTAGTTATATTTCTTTTTCAAGACTGGAAACAAAACTGGCTTCCTACTGGTTTGGGAATCCTTTACTAGGCAAATCGTGTGTCCCTCAGTAGAGTTTGATTGTAAAAAGCTACTTCTGACAACACACACATGCTTATAATATATTTTACATATAGTATATGTAGGCATGTGTATGTATATTATACACATACATGAAAACATGTATAATACATGTACCTACAGATATACATTGTACACATGTATACATAAATACATGCACATACAGAATAAAAAAATCAAAAGGAGACTTCTGATGTTTCTAATGTCTTTATTCCAACAAATATTTATTAAGCAACCTACTATATGCACAAGCTAGGCCCTCTGGTTATAAGGTCAATGAGAGCTTGGCTTTGCAGAATCTGTTGCCTTTCTAGCCTTGGCATGTGAACAATTTCTTGTTATGCAAGGTCTTGATAGGAATAGCAGGGCGACTGTGGCT
The DNA here is from genome assembly GCF_000001405.40 of Homo sapiens. Taxonomy (NCBI): domain Eukaryota; kingdom Metazoa; phylum Chordata; class Mammalia; order Primates; family Hominidae; genus Homo; species Homo sapiens. The sequence goes on from NC_000010.11 coordinate 43,685,877, forward strand.
GTGGCTGGTTGGGCTTTCATGTGAGAGCCCCGGGCCAGCTCCCCAGGTGACTCCTGACTGCATACACGCTCATGTGCTCACAGACACTCCCAAAGGCCCAGCACGGCAGGTCTCAGATGTGCTCGCCCTCTGTTTTTCTCGCTCCCCACTGGTGAGTGAGCTGTGGTCTCAGGGACGCCCCTTAGCAGCTGCTTGACCACGGGCAGGTCTTCACTTCTCTGCAGTTCAGTTCCCTCCTCTCAAAACTGGCAAAACAATAGTAACTACTTGATTGGGGTGATATGAGCTAACTAAATGAGTTAATTTCTATAAAGTCCTGACAACAATATTGGCATACAGCAAATGTCAGGATGATTTTAGCTCTTCTTGTTATAATTACAGATCTGACTGAATAAATCTAAAGTCCAGAGGCTGGAGGAACAGGTGGGTCAGGAAGCAGTTATGGGAGAATAAAGGAAAAGATTTCCGGAACTCTTTCAGAGCACACACAGAACAGCAGGCCACAGCTTTTCCCGGGGCTCAGCTTGGCCCCCTGTTAGCCGAGGCGGGTGCACCCCGAGGACCCCATGTGGTTGATCACCTACTTCCCTTCTGAGAGGGCCTTGTTCTGCTGGTCAGCCTCTTAGCTGAACACCCTGAAGGAAAGGTGTAAGGTATAAGGCTCACTCATCTCTCAGTGGGGAGGCCTTTCCTTCAACTCAAATAATTACATGTGGATGCCTCTAGGGGAGCCTCAACATCCGGTTGATAGAATCCCACCAGCTCCATGGCAGTTAATCAAATTCACAAATGTGGATGGGCCACAGAAGACGTCCAGGTGGGTCAGCAAGCCAGCAGTGCTTAGAACCACAAAATACCCTGACCCAAATAGTTACTATAGAAGGCAGAAACACGTTTACACAATTTCAGCCTGCATCTCAGAGGGCATTAAGGGGCCAGAACTTTGATTAAACACAAGTGTAGGCAATTATGAAAAAGCAGCAGTGGGAGAACAAGGGAGTGTTCTTAGAAATAGAAATGGTCCACAGTGGCCCAAATTAAAGCAAAACCCACTAGAGGCGGTGAGTCCCAAAATGGACTCTAAAATCTGAGGCAGGAAAGACTCCACCTGGAGAAATCCTTACGGAGCAGAGCAAGAGTAAAATGTGATGGAAATGGCAGGAAAGAGCGGAGAGAAGGCAGATATAGGATTCCCTCATGCATTTAGTGAGCAAAGATCCACTAGATCCTCCTCAATGGTCTTAGCAAGGGGCATCTAGCAGTGAAGAAAATCAGCTGGGCACGGTGGTGGCACGTGCCTGTCATCCCAGCTACTGGCGAAGCTGAGGTGGGAGGACTGCTTGAACCTGGGAGGTTGAAGCTGCTGCAGGCTATGATCACACCTGTGAAAAGCCACTGCACTTCAGTCTGGGCAACAGAGTGGGGCCCTGTCTCTTAAAAAAAAACCCCTGCTTGCTTGAAGCACATGTTTAGTGAGGGATGAAAGACAATAAGCAAGTCAGGACACATCGAATGAGAGAAAGCGGTCAGGGCTTTGGAAACCTAGAGTGAGGAAGAGGAAAAGAAGGGGTGGGGACGAGGGAGAGAGCTGCAGTCTTAAATAAGGTGGCCAGAAGGAGCCTGCTGTGCAGGGAGCTCTGAGCAGAGAGCTGAAGGCATCAGGGAGCAAGCGGGGAGACGTGGGGGCTGCATTCCAAGCAGGGGGTTGGTGCTGTGGAGACCCGGAGATGGTGGTGGCATTGCGGGGAGGGCTTGAGCTGGGGAGTTTGGGGGGCCACTGTGGGTGGAGAAGGGGAAGTGCTCAGCAGAGGAGGCCCATTTGGGACATCTTAGGACTCTGGGATGGAAAGCCATTGAGGGATTTTCAACAAAGAAGTGACATGACTTTCACTTAATGCTTTAACAAGACCATTCTGGCTGCTGTGTTGTGACTAGATTCCTGGAGGGGTCGGTAAGGGCAGAAGTAGGAAGAAGAGGGAGGACGCGACATGATTCTGGGAGTGACGGTGGTGGCGTGTCCTGGGCTGAGCGTGAGGGAGGTGACGAGAAGTGGCTGCTCTCTGGGTTTTCCTTGTAGGCAAGTCCAGCAGGATTTGCTGACAGTGGGTTTGGATGGAGGAGAAGCAGGGTAGTTGAAGACAAATGAGATTTGGATCTAAGCAACCGAAAGAAAGGCAAAGAAGTTCCCAGCGGACTGCTTTTGTTTGTTTGTTTGTTTTGTTTTTGAGAAGGAGTCTTGCTTTGTCGCCCAGGCTGGAGTGCAGTGGCACAATCTCGGCTCACTGCAACCTCCGCCTACTGGGTTCAAGCGATTCTCCTGCCTCATCCTCCCGAGTAGATGGGATTACAGGCACGCGCCACTAAGCCTAGCTAATTTTTGTATTTTTAGTAGAAATGGGGTTTCACCATGTTGGCGAGGATGGTCTCTATCTCTTGACCTTGTGATCTGCCTGCCTCGGCCTCCCAATGTGCTGGGATTACAGGCGTGAGCCCCCCCCGCACCCAGCCTGCGGACTATTTTTTTATGGGGGGGGGGGGGGAATCAGGAGTTTGCCCTTTGTGTTTTCAATTTAAGATTCGGCATTTGGGAGGAGCTGTCTGGTGGACTACAGGAAAGGCGAGTGTGGAGCTGGTGTGAGAAGCTGGCTGGGAGAGGGCTGTTCCTTGGTGACTCACGGGCGGAAAGGTGGCCTTTAAACAGTGAGGGTGGGTGAAGTCATCGGGGCAGGAGCGTGCCTCCAGAGGGCCAGGGACTGTGCCTGAAGCTGGGCTCTCCTGGGCTACAGGGGCTGCGAGGGAGGCTTGAGGGGCTGGGGAGCGAGGGGCAGGCTGAGACCCTCCTGTGGGAAAGCATTGCAAGCTGGGAATGTTTAGCGGTGGCCAGTACCTCAGAGTGCAGCAGGGCGAGGCGGAAAAGAGACTGACCATGTCTGAGTGGTTTTGGTGGAGTGCTGGGTAAAGGTGAATGTGTCAGGGTGTGAAGGAGAAATAGGAGCTGTGCGGAAACGGGTGCTGGGAAAGGGGGAGGTTGCTGGGGAAAGAGGTGTGGGGTCCTGAGGGGGCCTTTGAAAGGTAACGTGGAGAATTCCTACTGGATTTGGCCTTCACTGGAATACCCTAGAGGAGGGGGAAGTTGGAGGTGAGGGCGTGGCCGGTGGCTGAGTAGATGGCCTGGGGGGGCCTGGCCCAGAGAGCTCTTGGGAAGGTCTTAGGGCAGGACCAGGGGCCGCGGGGGCAGCAGATGGCACACGGGGGCGGGGTGTCGGAGGCGGCCTGTGCAGATCCCCTGACCCCCTGCCTTCTCAGGGCTACAGAAACAAGGCCGTCATACTTAGAGGTGCTGGGCGGCTGAGGAGTGGAGCGGGTGGGAGGTGCGGGGCTGCAGGGGGATTAGCTCCCAGCAGCCGTGGGTCCCCCTGAGGATGCCGGGGTCATAATGCACAAAGCCACCCTCTCCAAACACCTCCAGCTGCCCAGGCGAGGCGGCGCGCAGGCGGAGAGCAGGAGGGACGCGAGGGTGAGGGGCTGAGCCGGGGGCCAGGGCGTCTTCAAGGCAGCGCTTTAAGGAAAGGGCCATGGAGTTCCAGCTGGGGCAGGACAGGAGGAGCCGGGGACGGAGGTGAGATTAGTGGCCTGAAGCTCCCAGTGAGGCCAGGACTATGGGAGAGAGGGTACGGAGGGCATCAGGGTGCGGGGGGTGGTTAGGGGGTGAGGGCGTGCGACACAGCGTCAGAAAGCGGACGGAAGCTGGGGGTGAGCAGGACTCGGGTGCCGTGAGTGTCTTGGTGACCACTGTGAGCCGGCGAGGTCCACTGGGCCAGACCCTGGCCCGAGGTGGCCCCGGAGCTGTGAGCGGGAGGAAGAGGGAAGGGCGGAGTCTGGAGCCCTCACGCCTTCCGCCTTGTGCGCGGTGCAGGCTGCCGAGAGCCCGGCCGGGCAAGCCTTTCCGCCGTGGTCAGTGACTCGTTTGCACAAGGACTTTTTAGGGAAGAGAGAAGCCAGGCCTTCGCTGTGGGCCTAGCCCCTCAAACCGCAAGCTCTCCCCCTTGGGGTCCTCGTCGTGAACGCCCTTCTCGTCTCCCGCCGGGCTCACTCTTTCGCATTTTGCTGCGAAAGTTTACTGGAAATAGGTCCATTCACTGGTCGATTCAGAGGGACACTAGAAACGCGATGCCCATATCTAACACATCCTGGCCTTTTGAAGAGGGATAAAAAATAATACCCACTAGAGCCCCGTGCCTCCGGAGAGTGGGGCTTCGCATTTGCGCGTCCGAGGCCCGGCAGGGAGAGCTTCTGGGTCCTGGGGGCGCGCACATCCGGCGCGCGCTGTGTCGGGGAGCGGCGCTCTGGGCTGGGCCGGCAGAGGGCGCTGCGGGGCGGCCGTGGAACAAGCAGGGGAGAGCGTCAGGGGACCCAGCACAGCCTGCCTGCTGCGCCCTGCTGCCGGCCGCGCCCTCCTCCGTGCTGCGTTCTCCTGCTCGACGCTGCGTCCTCATCCAACACTGGCACCGCGCGCTCCTTCCAGGGTCGGAGGCCCACAGACCCCTCACGTTCGCTTCTGTCAGGAGTAGCGGCAGAATTTCGATAATTTATGTCTTTGATGGAGACTGGGAAGGTAGCCTGGCCGCTGCGCAGGAGAGCTGCGCGGGGTCCAGGAGGGGAGCGCGGAGTGGGAGCAGTCGACTCGGGCTGCGCAGTGCGTGTCGGCTGTCACGGGACACCGGTGAGGACCCTGCACCCAGAGTCGGGGGTCCAGGCTGTTGCTGGAACAGGAGGCAGCTCGGTGTCCACGGTTCCGCAGGGGGCCGCTGTCTGCTTGGATCTTTCATCAGGTCCCAGGCAGAGGGTGCGCTCTCTACTCAGCTTCACTCCTTGGGACAGAAGTGTGGCTGCTGATCCTGGAGTAGGGAAGGAGAAGGAAGCATTTGCATGATTAAAATATTTTTTTTTATCTTGGTAAAATACACATAACATGAAATGTACCATGTTAACCATTTTTAAGTACTATTTTAATGTACTATTCAGTGACATTAAGTTCATCGAACATTGGTGTGCAATCGTCACCACCATCCATTTACAGAAGTCTTTTCATCTTGAAAGTCTGAAACTTTGTATCTATTGAACAACAATTCCACATTTCCCCCTTCCCCCAGGCCCTGGCAACCACCATTCTACTTTGTCTCTAGGAATTGGACTACTCTAGGTATCTCATATAAGTCTAATGAAACAGCATCTGTCCTTTGTGACTGGCTTATTTCAGGTAGCATAATGACCTCAAGGTTCATCCATGTAGTAGCAAGTGTCAGAATGACCCTCCTTTTTAAGGCTGAATAATATTCCATTGCATGTCTATACCACAATTTGCTTATCTGTTCATCCATCGATGGACACTGGGTTTGGTTCTACCTCTTAGCTGTTGTGAACAATGCTACCATGAACACGGGCGTACAAATATCTGTTTGAAATCCTGCTTTCAGTTCTTTTGTATATATGCCTAGAAATGGAGTTGAGTTGCTGGATCAGATGGTAATCCTGTGTTGAATATTTTGAGGAACGCCATACTGTTTTCCATAGTGACAGTTGCATGATTTTTAAAAAGTGGCTTACTTTCAACACATTTTTTAAGGTAATATTTTGGACCAAATGGTTAATAAGACTGTGGTGACGAGGTGCAAGACTCTGGGAAGATGGCCAAAAGGCACTGTTCTTTTTCATTCTTGTTTTCTGTCCCCAGCCCATGCCCCTGCTGGCAGCCCTGGGCTTGCCATCCATCTGGAAGCTAGGAAGGGCTGAGTCACCCAGCATTCTGGGGCTGGGTGCACCCTTTCTATAGTGTCTTAGGAGGATGCAGAAGTAATGGCTACAGAGCAGCTGCTGAAGGAGGAGGAGGGCTCACGAACTGCTAGAATTTTAAAGGGCTGCAGCCCCTGAAGTCCTGGGCCCTGTTTTACAGATAAGGGAACAAAGACTGCTGCAAGGAGAAGCATGTGGAAGAAGACAGCTCTGAGGATGCAGAGCCCCAAAGGACGTGCTTGCCATTCCTGGAGAGGAATGGCATCAGGGACCCAGGCCACATGCAGTGCGGCCAGGGACAGAGCACCACCTGTGCGTGTGGACATTTCACATTTTTCCTCCATGGAAAAATGTAGGAAACCCTACAGCTTGGGTTTCCTCTGTTACTGAGGCTTCCTCTGTTACTGAGGCTAACTGGGACATTTGTCTATTTAGCATTTATCTACTATGTGTTGAAAGAGAGGCGGGTGGGGGAGAAGATTAGGAAGCCTTTAAACAAAGCTCCAAGTAGAGCTGTCTCGACATGATTCAAAACTGCATCCTTAGATGCTTGGTGGTATAAAGGTCTTGCCAATTCCCATTACAACACATATTGCAACATGCCTTTCTTCTCGTAAATGTCTTCTGAAGGTCACTCCAGCCCCTGCCAGTCCCTCTCCCCTTGACTTTCTGCCAGTGCCCAACTGTGAACCCGTAGAGCCATCTGCTCTCCCCTCCTGCTTACCTGCAACTGATGGCTGGCCAAGAAGATAGGAGAGTTATGCGATTGGTCAAGGACTGGTGTGAGGTCTCCTGCTGTGCTGCACATGGGGCTCGGGTGGGTATGCTCTCCTTCCTCAGGGAACGGCCATTCCACTGTTACCATGCTCCTCCATTCCCTCTCCCCACTGCCCCATCTCAGCCCCTGCTGGCATGCACATCTTTCCCTAGGTTAGAAGAAGATTCCTTCAGCTTCCTGGCCCCAAGCCGACAAATGCCCTTCCCTGCTGTTCTCAGGTCTCTGAATCAAAGGCGCTGTCCTCTCATCCAGGGATAATTTCTCCTTCTCCATCTTGACACCTTCACCTTTTTCCTCTTGGGTACTTTGTTCTTTCCTGTATTTAACTTCTTGCTTTCCCGAGTCCTCAATGTTTCCTTCTTTGACTCTTTCCCCCACAGATTATGAACATGCACAAGCTTAAAACACCAACAGCAACAAAAAAGAGAAAACAAAAATGCCCTCACTGCAAAGCCCGAGTGAGGCCTGTCTCATGCCATGGTTGAGCTTCTTTCTGGCAAGAGAAACTGGCCTATGTCGCTCCCCGTCCAGCCCCTCCGTTAGTCTCTGCAATCTGGCTGCGACTTCTCAAACTCCACCAAAACTGCTCTCCTGTAGGCAGGTGACAGTCACGCCTCTCACCCGTTCTCTTTCTAGAATCTGAAGGTGTGACCTTCCCATTCTTCTGTGACAAACCTGGTGCTGCCCAGCAGAGTGGAAAGAGCATGTTTTTTTTTGTGGTAAGTTCCAACGGCAGCTGCACCAGGTAAGAGCTGTGTGATTTTGGACTCATAACTTACCAGCTCTGAGACTTCTTTTTCTCATCTATAAAATGGGGAAGAGAGCAAGTAACTACACAGAAACTTTGGGAAGACTGAAGAGGCCTTGCCGATGAAGCACGTGGCACCCAGAAAGTGCTTTGATCCCCAGCTCACAGTGATAATGCTTGTGGGTCCGCATGTCCCTTGCTCTTACTTGCAATGTCTGTTCTTCATCAGTCTCTGCAACCACATCTTCTCTCTCTGCACCCACCTCTTATGTATTTTTACCCTACAAACTCTGTAGGAAATGTGTGCTCCACATGGCTCTGCTCTCTGCTAATTTAACAGATGCTCTTTCTGAGTAACTCACACTCCAGGGTTTTTTTTTTATTAATTAATTATTATTATCATTATTTTTACCACCAACCCTGCTCCTTGGTCTCCAGATGAACCTGCCTAACTCCTCACTGCCTAGCAGACAGCAGCTTTGGAATGTCCAGCAGACACAGTCAAGACTGAACTCACTTCCTTCCTGCAGCCTGCTCCTCCGGCCTCTTCCAAGTCTCCACTGGTGATACCACCTTCCGCTCCCTCACAGGGGGTCATGGTGAATGCCTCAGCTCCTTAACCCCCGTTATGGAAGGCCTTTGGAATTCACTCTCCTTTAATGGGTCTCATATTCCCCCCTTTCTTTATTTATATTGGTACTTCCTTAGTTTAATTCATCAAGATCTTGGCCTTTGAAGGAGTTATTTCCTTTCTGCACTGCCTTTCTTTTGTCTGCCCAGCAAATCCCACCTGGTCCTCTCCTCCCCTATCCGTGCTCAACGTCCCTTCCTGGGTGAAGCCTTCCTCACCCAACACATAGCACTTGGGTTATGGCCAGTTGAGTCTCCCAGCAGCAGGAGCCTTCATGTCTCCAATGGCCTCTGCTCCTAGCACGCCTGCTGGCACCCACAGGTGTTTATGGAATTGACTCAGTGTCTAGGAAAATATGCATTTATTTCAAAAAATACGTAGTAAAATAAAAATTAGATTCAAGAAAACATCCCTATAAATTTTGGTCTGTGATAGTGCCATACACAGTAATGTTATCAGAACATCTGTCATTGGTCAAGGCTGAGGAGGAAGCTCTGTTTTGATCAGCATCTTGGACCACCAGTGATGAAGACTTTCACTCACTGAAGTCCACATTCTTTCTGCTGGGGGAAAATCCAGGTAGCTACAGGCCTCTGTCTGGCAGGGGTGTGCAACGGTGAGTGGTGAGGCAGCATCCTGACCCAGAGACCAGTTGGTTGCCCTGCACTCTGACAGGGAGGTGGGACCCTGGCCACATGAATCGCCTGCCATGACCCCAGGCCCCCTTCACTGTATCCCCTGCTGTGTGCTTCCTCTCTGCCTGCTCGCCTGTGCCAGCCCCACTTGGCTTGTGCTCCTGAGACCTCTTCTTCTCTCCTTCATGCTTTCAACTTGCAGGAAGCTTCCTGCCCGCTCAGTGGTCACCGTAAGATTGGTTCCCAGAGAGTCAGCCCTTTGGTGGCAAACAGAGGGGCTGGAGGAGGGGAGGGTCTGCTCCCTGCATTCAGGGCTGCCTCTGCCTGGGACCCACGCTCCTGGGGTCCTGGACTTGCCCTTCACCTCTCCTCTCATTCTCGCCCCTGGTGGCCCCTCAGCTGCTCCCTGGGTTTTACCCTTGGTACCTGATATAGTTCGGCTATTTCCCCACCCAAATCTCATCTTGAATTCCGACGTGTTGTAAGAGGGACCTGGTGGGAGGCAATTGAATTACGAGGGCAGGTCTTTCCCATGCTGTTCTCTTGATAGTGAATAAGTCTCATGAGATCTTACAGTATTGTAAGGGGGAATTTCCTTGCCCAATTTCTCCCTCTTTGCCTGCTGCCATCCACGGAAGACGTGACTTGCTCCACCTTGCCTTCTGCCATGATTGTGAGGCTTCCCTTGCCACGTGGAACTGTAAGTCCAATTAAAACTCTTTCTTTTGTAAACTGCCCAGTCTCGGGTATGAGTTTATCAGCAGCGTGAAAACGGACTAATACAGTACCTCTTCCTTATTGATTTTAAACAGTGAGAAAGTACTGGCAGGAGAATTACTGTGAAGAAGTTGTGTAATAAACACCCTGTCCATGGTCTTCTTGAACTCCCTTACTCCCTGAGGGAAATGATTGGATCACAACATGAGGACTTAGTTACGGCCAAACACAAGGGCATCCCCAGGGGCTTGGCAGGGCAGTGAACACGTGTGACAAGCTCCCAGGGGTGCAGGTCCGGGTGGGCGAGGGGGAGGTGGGCAAAGGCTGTGTGGGGAGTAGTAGGCATGGTCCTGCTAGGGCAGGGCACCTGCTTGGCTGCTTCCCAGAGGAGCTGAGCCCCAGTGGGTTTTGGTTTCCTGGAGCCGCATGCAGGCCCCACAGTTGCATGGCATTTTGCCTCCATGGCGTCCTCAGCCTTACTGTGGGCGCCACAGGTCTTTAGCTGAGAACGTGAAGGCACCAGGGGAGAATGCATCCTCTCATTTTGTTTTGTTTTGTTTTCTGCCGGGGGCACTTACCCTGGTGGGATAAGGGCCTGCTCTTTTTCTCTCTCAACTGACTTCTTGTGGGACAAGGGGCCCTTTTTTTCCCGGTTTCTGCTCCGGCAGTCGCTTCTGTCCCTCGGCAGGGCCGTGCTGCCCTTGCTTTTGCTCTGCTGGCAGGAGCCCCTTGCGCAGCAGGTCTGCTTGGGAGCCCCCCGCCGCCATCCATGCCAAGCCCTGACCTGGGTGATGGTGCCTGCTCGGGCCATCCCCTTTCCTCATGGCCGGCAGAGCTCTCCGCCACATCCACACTGTGGGTGCCCCTCGCCAGCTCCAGGCCCCGACCTTCCCTGTTAAAGAGCTCAGACTCCAGCGGAACCCGGCTGCCACCTTCTGGGCACCCACCAGGCTCCCGTTCCCACTCCTGCCTTTAAGAACCTTCTGTACTCCGTCCCTCACATGTAACCCTCCCATCTTCCATCCTCCCCAGAACTTGCTTCCTTTGCAAGACGGCCCTGGAGTGTGCCTGTGTGAGTGTGAAGGTGAGTGCCTGTGTGTGTGCACCTGTGTGTGAATGTGTGTGTGAATGTGTGACTGCACGTGTGTGAGTCCATGTGTATTTGAGTATGTGTATGTGAGTCCCTGTGTGTGAGTGCATGTGTGTGACTGTGTATGTGTATGAGTGTGAGTGAATGTGTGTATGAGTGTGAATATGTGTTTATGTTTGAATGTGTGTATGACTGAGTGCGTGTATGCAAGTGTGTATGACTGAGTGCGTGTATGCAAGTGTGTGTATGTGTGACTGAATGAATGTGCGAGTGTGCCAGTGAGTGTGGGAGTGAATGTGTATTTGAGCGCATGTGTGAGTACGTGTGAGCGTGAATGTATTTGTGAGTGCATGTGTGTGTGTCAATGTGTGTGTATTTGTGAGTGCATGTGTGAGTGAATGTGTATTTGTATGTGAGAAGGTGAGTGAATGTGTATATGTGTGTATGTGAGTGAATGTGTGTATTTGTGAGTGCATGTGTGAGAGAATGTATGTGTATTTGATTGTGAAAGCATGTGTGTGTATTTGTATGTGAGTGCATGTGTGTGAATGTGTGTGTATTTGCATATGAGTGCATGTGTGGGTGTATTTGTGAGTGCATGTGTGTGAATGTATTTGCATGTGAGTGCATGTGTGTGTATTTGTATGTGAGTGCACATGTGAGTGTGTGAATGTGTATGTATTTGCATGTGAGTGCATGTGTGAGTGTGTGTGTGAGTGAATGTGTGTGCACATTGCAGGACATTTGGGAAGTAGACGTAGGGATAAAATGCAGGAGTTACTGAATGCCATGGTCTTGATTATTGGAATTGTTTATGGAATGGACTCAGAAGCAGGTGGCTATGGGAAGGGTGCTGGTGTGAGCACGTGGATTTTTATTGCTGCATAACAAATTACCACACAACGGGGAACCAACAGCTACTTATTGTCTTGCAGTTTCTTTAGGACAGAAGTTCAGGCCCGACGTGGCTAGCCTCTCCACGTAGGGTCTCAGGAAGCTGAAATCAAGGCGTTGCCTGGGCTGTTTCTTTAGACTCACGTGACTGTTGGCAGGATTCAGTTCCTTGAATTGTAGGATAGGGACGCCCATTCTCATGCTGGGTGTCACCTGGGGGTGGTTGTTAGCTCCTAGTGGTCACCCCTAGCTCCTTGTTAGTGGTCACCCCTAGCTCCTTGTGTCGGGGCTGCTGGCACGGCCCTTTCTCACTTCCAGTCTCTCCCTCCAGAAGGGCCCTTGTAAGGGCTCACCTGATCACGTCAGGCTCACAACTGCGAGAATCTCCTTTTTGGTTAACTGAAAGTCAACTGACAAGAGACCTCAATTACCTCTGCAGAATCCCTGTTGCTGTAGAGGGAGCGGTCACTGGGGGAGAATAGCCCATACCTCACAGCCCTGGGGAGGGGATTCTATAGCAGGGACGGGGACCTTGGGGGCCATCCACTGCCCACCACTGCACGTGTGTGTGTGTGCTCATGTGTGTACATGTGTGCATGCATTGATTCTCTAGGCTCACTCTTGAAGTTTTGAGGAAATCTATTCTGCCTCATGAAGGTATTCTCCATAAGTGGGAAGGATCTCACACAATTTTCTACAATCAGCAAATATTTCCCAGAGGAAACAAATACCATTTACCCTTGTGCTTTCCGTGTATAATATAGAGGAGGCTTCCTGAAAGTTTACTGATAGCTGAGTTGAGAAAAAGAAACTATTGAATTAATAATATGGCATTAAGCGGAGAGAATATTTTGTTGTGATTTATTTGACATTTAAGCATCTAGGAATAAAGATGTACAGAAACCTTCGTGCTCATTCTGCATTATGGGGTGCACACAGTCCACAATTTTATTCTTCCATTGTTATTTAGTTTAAAAAAGTATCTTTTAGAATGTATTAGGTATCCAAAAAACCGAGAAATGTTTTTGCATAAACCAATACACCACTAGGCCATGTGGGCTCTGCCTCGCCTGCCGGTGTCCCCTCAGATGTGCAGCCCTGGCCATCTCTGCAGGCTCTGTGGCCCAAGGGTGACCCTGCTGCTGGGGCCACGTCTCGCAGGCATGACCAGGCCGACCTCTGAAGGGACTGAATGTCACTTAGCATGACAGCCACATTGTATCCTGTCTCATGACTCTCAGGAAATGGCCCAGCTCGCTTATCTGCTGTTTTGCCTTCAGCACGTAAGTTTCCCTGTCAAAGTAATTTCTCCAGTGCCTGAAAAACCACGATGTCACCCTCAGTGCACATAGCTGCCATTATCTGAGAGGTTTTAATGTCCATGTAAGATGTGATAATAAGATTTGAGTTTAATAGAGTTGGCCTTCTAGACTTGACCTTATCTGTATTAATCAACACTTGACTCACACTAGCTGCCCTCAAGGACTGCACCAAAGTCACGGCCTCTTCTCGCCCTCCTCCTGCCCATGTCTTGGCTCCTCTCTGTCCTGACTTAGCCTTGCTTAAAGTGGCCACAGGTGCCCCAGGCTCCTCTTCTTGCTGAGAAGAGAGTAGGGATGTGGGCAGAGAAGGACAGCAATTGCACGCGATAATGCCTACATCCTACAAAATGTATTTCATTTCTCAAAGTTACGCTGTTCAATGATTTAAATGAAAAGTTTTGCAAAATTATTGACTTTAAAACAAGGGGATAGTGGAGGTTGCCAAATATCATCTCATTCTCAGCCTGGGCAGGGTTGGGCCACCACAGACTTCCTCTGGATGCTTTCCAGGGAAAGGACCCAGGGGGACTCTGGGATGGTCTCTGCATCGCTTGACGCCAAGCATTCTTCAGAACTGGGTGTGGAGGGAGAGGGGGCCACAAAGCCTCATCATCTGCGGGGCTCAAGAGGTCTGGGGGTATCAGCGTTTCACCATTTCATGCCAGAGGATTACGTAAAAGATGCGCTCTGCCCAGGAGGGTCTCTGTGGGACTCTGACTCCCTCTTCCCCCAGGCCACTTTCAGAAACCTGCAGGGGCCCAGCATCTGACATTGACACTTAAGCAATGGGAGTGCACTGCGTATTTTCTTCCTAATGTCTGTGCATATGTTGTGTCTGTGTGTGCAAACGTGTATTTTGCATGTGTGCCATGTCAAGATTGTACCCAAGTCTCTGCGTGTGTGTTTGTGGTTCTGCGTTTGTGTGTGTCTCTTTGGAGCCCGTGTGTATAAGAGTAAAGTTGTGAGCTGAATTCATGTATGTGTTTAGACTGTGTTTGTGGGTGTCTCTGAAGAGATGGAGGGATGACATTCCTTTACTAATTGTGTCCTTAATGTGCTTAATTTGTGAAGCTGCCAGCTGCCTGCCTTCCCACTCCCCCCACCCAGCAGAAGGCAATTTGGTCCAGCTATCTTGCTGGAATGCACTCTGCTCTTCTGGAGCATGCCTTATTATTTTTAAAGCCTTTGGAAGGCCTTGTGAGAGAGGTGCCAGGAGTTCATTGCAGATTAATATTAATAACAGAATTCTAGAGGAAATGGAGTGCTATGTTTTATTGGCAAACTGTCTTCTCCATCTTTAAAGTAAACAAGACTCCATTTTCTACATTACTTAGTATATCATCCTTCCACCCCTTTTAATCATCCTCCAGATGGACTCACGGGGTCCAATTGAACAGGCGTGGAGCCCTCTCTATGTATAGATGTACATAGGGGAGGGAGAGGGGGCACCTAGGGGAGGATCAGGATCCACTGAGATTCAGGCCCTCTGTGGGCCACCAGGGCCAGCACCCTGCTCCAAACTACGGCTTGCCATTTAAACTCAAGTCAACTTGATCCAGATAAACACTTGGAGAATCCGCTTGGTTTGCATGCTAGCTAAGCCTGTGTGTGAGTGTGTGTGTTTGTGTGTACATGAATGAAAGCAGAGACTCTCACTACCAATGGAGAACATTGATGTAATTTGCCCAAACCTGAGCTCTTTTGGCTGCGATGAGGCCCCTACCAGGTCGGTGAGTCCCTGCTGCTGTCTGCATCTCTGCCTGCTGAAGCCCCCTCAACACTAGTTTCCTGAAGTCTACATACAGCAGGCCCCTGCAGTTCTGTGTCCTTCTATGGAGGGTGGGATGCCTGCCCCCTCTCTCCTGCCCCTTCTCCTTACACCCAGCTCAGCTCAGCCACCTTTGTGTCCCGGCAGGAACGTTCCTCCCTCCCTCAGAGCCCCCAAGACACTCAAGTTTTACCCTTCATGGGCCTCAGAACAAGTTGTCTCTGAATAAGTAGAGAGGAATTTTGAGTAACACATTGTTCTGCCTAACTACATCTATAAAGCTCACAGCCACGTGGGAGGGGTTTGCTTCACAAGATTTTGGTCCACTGTGCTACTCTTAGGAGAAGGAGCTCATCATCAAGTCTTCCACTAAACTGTCCCCTCAAGATTTCCAGGACTCCGGGGAGCCACAGTGAGTACAACTTCAATACTCTTAACTTCTCCAAAGCCTCTATTTCCATTCTCCTCCTTCATGTCTTTTCTCTCATTATCATGAAAACGCTCAGGCATGTTCCTTGAACTGTGACAAATTAGTGGGGGGCAAACCACACAGTCGCAGAGCCACATATCACCCGCACTTTCAGTCGTCCTCCAAACTACTGAATGTCCTAGTGTTGGGAAGGGTGTGAGGCGCTGAGGGGCACAGAGAGGAGGAGACCCCCACTACCCCCAAGGGGCTCGGGTCTCAAAGGGAGGCTCGGTGAGTGTGTGAATACCTACGAGGGGGAGTGTGGAGCTTTGGAGGACAGTCCTGGCTGAGACTCAGGCTCCCTGGAGATGACAGAACTGAAGCAGCCCTTGAAGGCTGGGTGGGATTTTGACAGAAGCCCATGGAAAGAGAAGGGCAGCCCACGGTGGTGAACAGAAGCACAGGGCAGAATGTGTGCCCCAGTGGGTCCCGGCCAGGGGCTGGGACTGAAGGGGCCCATAGGAGAGGAGGGGAAAATGGGCAGGACCAGATGCAGGGGGGCCGGAGGAGAAGAAGCCAATATTTGGAGGTTGTCATTAAAATACCTGGAGCAGGCAGGGATGCAGGCTGACCTTTGTGTTAGTGGAATAGAGAAAGAACCATGGTATAGAGTACCTTGGGGGTACAGAGGCTGGAAGGCAGCAAGGAGGGCAGGGCTTGGGAGCACACACCCCCACACTCAGCTCCACCTTTACCTGCACTATCCCTGAACCCCTTGATGCGCAGTGGCTCCGCATCAGCTCCACAGGAGTGGGGCGCCTGCCCTCCACAGCTGAGGCCCTGCCGTCCAGCCCTTGTTCTTCCTGGGCAGCCTGGTTTGCATGCTGGACTTGCCTCTTGCATCGGTTCAGGTGGTGTCTGTGCCTTCAAAGGCTTTTGACAACCCCTCCTCCTTTGTGACCTGTTACAGCCCAACCCCTGCCCTAGATCCATCCCAGCCTGCATTCCTGGGATTACGCCCCAGCGTATGCTCATCTTGGCCACTCACCTAACGTTAACTTAAATATTGTTAGAGATGTTAACATGAGGGACATTATCTAATGCTTTTTGTCTCTACTAATAAACATTTTTTTCTGTATTCTATTTATAATTCTTGCTTCTCCCCCATCCCCCACCCCCCCCCCCCCAATAAACTCCACAACAAAAATTGTTTTGATAGGTGCGACAGTTCCACAATTTTTTGTTTTTTTCGAGATGGACTCTCACTCTGTCGCCCAGGCTGGAGTGCAGTGGCACGATCTCAGCTCACTGTAATCTCCGCTTCCAGGGTTCAAGCGATTCTCCTGCCTCTCCCAAGTAGCTGGGATTACAGGTATGCGCCACCGTGCCTGGCAAATTTTTGTATTTTTTAGTGGAGACAGGGTTTCACCATGTTGGGCAGGCTGGTCTTGAACTCCTGACCTCAGGTAATCCACCTGCCTCGGCCTCCCAAAGTGCTGGGATTACAGGCGTGAGCCACCGTGCCTGGCCCACGTTTTACAAAAGCAAGATAAGAGGTGTTTTCTTTCTGTCCCTACCGGTGCCCTCTGTCTGGGGCTTCTTCAACAGGGTGCATGGCAGGCGGTGTTAGTGTTGAACTCATGGAGACGCCTGTGGCCAGCCCGCGGGGGCAGTTCAGAGGGGCAGGAGGCACTACACAGGTGGCTGGGTACAGGTGCATTCCCCGAGCTGCCCCCCCACGCTGCCACCGGCGCTGCCACCTGCCCATATCCCCGCCTTCCGCAGAGGCTTCAGCCTCCCCTGTACAGAGGCGGGGCATGGAGCCGGCGGCTTTCAGAACTCCCAGGGTCTCTGCTGCGGTAGACCGGCTATTTAACCTCCCTTTAATGCCTGTGTAATGTGCTGGAGAACAACTAGCTACAGTGGGAAATTCCCCAGGAGAGAATTCTTTCCTGGAAGCCCATGCGGACACCCTCGGCCCTGACTGTGGCAGGACGCAGGCAGGCAGTTTTGAGAGACCCCAGCTCTGATGGACAAGGTGACAGTCGCACCGGGCGTGGCCCAAGGCCAGGATCCTGAGAGCTGGCTGCCTGCGGCCCGTGGCATATTTGCTAGCGCCTTCCAGGCATAGAACGGTGGCAGTTTTTTCTGTCAAGGACTCACTTTCTAGGGAAGAAGGAGGGTGGTGGGCAGCGCGAGGCCAGGAGGCTGGCGTGGGCTTGCCGGTAGGCGCTTCTGAGCTGGGTGGGCTCGCCTTCTCGCCCTTCCTCCTCTTTCCTTCCTTGTTTCCCCTAATGAC
Source organism: Homo sapiens (assembly GCF_000001405.40). Taxonomy (NCBI): domain Eukaryota; kingdom Metazoa; phylum Chordata; class Mammalia; order Primates; family Hominidae; genus Homo; species Homo sapiens. The sequence goes on from NC_000010.11 coordinate 43,702,961, forward strand.
CCGGGCACTTATTCTAGCCCAGCTCTGGCCTCGCGTCACTACGCTCTGCAATAGGAGGACGGTAGGGTCCTTGGCCATGCTGGCTCGCCTGGTCACGGCGACTCCCACGCACGCCCGGACTCCTGGTGCTGGTGCTCGCTCAGCAGGCGCGGCTGGGGGCGGCTGACCGAGGGGCCTGGGCCCAAGAAGCTCTGCTTTATGAAGACACCGGGCGCAGGGAGGTCCTCCAGTTCCCCCATCCCACTGTGAGTGTCCAGAGGTGGAAGAGAAAGGTGTTTAGGGCAAAATCTCATGCCTAGAACTAGGACCAGCCGTGGCAGCAACAGGCCTCGCAGAAGCAAGGCTTGTTGTCAGTGGGGGTCTGGGATCCCTGCAGGCCAAGGACAGCATGCGAAGGCTGGAGGTTCACAGGTGGAGATGTTGCCCAGGGGCCCTGGAGGCGTGGCCACAGCGTCTGGGTCTCTCCTGTGCCCCGAGGCCCAGGCAGCAGCTGGAGACACTCAGCTCCACCTTTACCTGCACTATCCCTGAACCCCCTGATGCGTGGTGGCTCGCATCAGCTCCACAGGGGTGGGGCTCCTGCTCCGGACAACTGAGGTCCTGCCGTCCAGCCCTGTACTTCCTGGGCAGCCTGGTTTGCACGCGGGACTTGCCTCTTGCCTCGGTTCAGGTGGTGTCTGTGCCTTCAGAGGCTTCTGACGTCCCCCACTCCCTGTGACCTGTTACAGCCCAATCCCTGCCCTAGATCCATCCCAGCCTGGGTCTAGATCAGTTTCCAGTCCCAAATATCTCAGCCAAAACTCACGACTCATTTGTCTATTCTTACTGAGAATCTGTTAGTGCCAGCTTCTGGGCTCCATGTTATGGGGATTCAAGGAGAAGGACACTAGCGGTGACCTGAGGCTATTGTAGCCCTGAGTAATCTCTCTTCCAACTTGTTCTTAAAATACACATCAAAGTACAGAAAACAGCCAAAAAGCAACACAAAAACTGCACAGGAACAGTGTCAACAATTGTTAGCCTTGGGAGGGATTTCCATTATCTTCAAAAATAATGAGACACTCTCGGGCACATTTGAGGACATTTTCATTGTTAGTGGCTCAGTTGGCCAGAGGCATGTAGGTGAGAAGGGGCCTGGTGGCCCAGTGGCCATCACTGAACCTGGCAGAGCCCTGAGAGCACCTTACCCTCCCCTGGGGCAGGGACTGCTGCTCATCTGTCCTGAGCCTGGGCCTTGCCTCTCCTCCTCCCTGCTGGTTTGCAATGTTGGGGAGGTAAGGGGGAGGACATGTCCCACTGAGTCCTGAACCATGTGGTCCCCGAAGGTACAATGCTGCTGGCCGGGCGGAGGGAGGACTGGCATGGCTTTTTCTTCCGTGTAGCCTATTTGGTGGAACAAAATAAGCCCCTTCCTGTATTCACAAGGGCATACATTGACCCTAAGTGGGTCAGAGAACCTGCCTTCCTCAGCCCAGCCAACCACACCCAATGAGTGCCTGTCTCCAAAGCACTGACATCGGGACTGGGGGTGAACCCACTGTGCCTTCCAGCTTTAGCTCTTCAAGGGGTGTTCAGCCAGGGGACCCAGGGTGGCAAGAGGGTGAAAGTGTGCTGTGTGTCTCTGTAACAAGGTTTTTATGGAGCACGGACCAATGGAACCAATGAACATCTTCTGAACCGAATACACTGACTATAGTTGAAAATACAGTGTTTGAAAAAAATATTTTTAGGAAGAAATAAAAAAGAATTTAAAGATCCATATTTCAAATTCTCAGTGAGCAATGGGGATATAAGATTATTAGAGGAGCTCAGATAATGCAGAGGCTGAGGCACAAGCCCAAGTGAAAAGCACCCCAGACAGGAGGAAAAGCTTCAAAGGTGCCCACCTGCAACAGCAGAGCCCAGCGCTCCACAGTGGCCATAAAGGAAAGAACTGAAGCCCTAGAAACACATTCCAGTCAGTAGAGCAAATTCGAATTGCTCTCATAGAATCCACAGGAAAAGGACAAAGGGATGAAAGCAATGAAAAAATACAGCCATCAAGGAGGCTAGTAAAAGGAGAAGCAGTCTTCGAATAACATGGCCTATCATGAGGAAGAACGAGAAATAACTGCAAAGAAGCAATAATGAAGGATAGAACATTTGAAAACTTTCTTGAGCTGGGAGAAAAGAGTGCTTGGTCTAGAGACTGACTTACATAACGATGTATAAGGCAAATTTTCTAAAAAACAAAGCTATATCCATTACTTTATCAGTGATTAAAAATAGGTAATTTAATTGACAAATTAAAAACAGGTATAGAAACATTCAATCTGAGAGCACATGCTGCTCAGAAATGAATAAATTGCTTGTCAGGAGGATGTCAGACCCGTTCCCAGCAGCAAGTTGCAGAAGACAGTAGGGCAATGTCTCCATTTTCAGAGAAATCATTTTCTTATCCCCAATTTGACTTTGTATATTAAGACAGCAAATCCCTTCTTACGTGCAAGGGCTCTGGAATTATGCTAAGCTTTATGGTGTTATAACTGAGAGAATAATCAACCACAGGAACTCAGGAATGGGAAGGTCAGTTCACAAAAGTCTACCTTGTTGTCAGTTTGGGTGAAAGAGCCAGAAAGCAGCATGAAGACTGAAGATACATAATGAACAAAAACTGTAGCTTGGTAACCATGACATGGCTCTTTAATTTCTGATGAGTGAGAAATGTCTCTAAGCCAGGCAAGGTTCAGAAGCCAAGGATGAAGACAAAGAGAGCTCCTGGTTTTCTAGAGTTGCACTTCCTAAATAGTATGCTAGAGAACAATGATTTTTTATTTTTTATTTTTAGACAGAGTCTCACTCTGTCGTTTAGGCTAGAGTGCAGTGGTGTGATCTCGGCTCCCTGCAACCTCTGCCTCCCGGGTTCAAATGAGTCTCCTGCCTCAGTCTCCCAAGTAGCTGGGATTACAAGCATGTGCTACTATGCCTGGCTAATTTTCGTATTTTTAGTAGAGATGGGGGTTTCACCATGTTGGCCAAGCTGGTCTCAGACTCCTGGCCTCAAGTGATCCACCCTCCTCGGCCTCCCAAATTGCTGGGATTACAGGCATGAGCCACCGCGCCTGGCTGAAAACAAAGAAATCAGTGAGATGATTTCAGACAACAGTAAAGTTACAAAAAAAAAATAGCACAAGGTGCTGATAGGGAGGATGGAGAGAGCGGAGGCTGCTCACAGTGGTCAGGGGATGCCCAGGAGGTGACAGCAGTCGCAGTGTGAGGCTGCCACTCACCCTCAGGGAGGGGTTTCCAGGCAGCAGGGGTGAGGGCAAAGGCCCTGATTGAAAGGAAGCTGATGTGGGGCCAGAAGGCATATATGTGGGCAGAGAGGCAGGCAAAGGCTGACCAGAGAGCCCTGGCCACCATGGTGGGCACATGGATTTTGTCCTTAGGGCCACAGGACACCGTTGAAGGGTACGAGTGGAAAAGTGACCCTCTGAGGCTGCGTGTGGGGCAGGCTGTAAGGGCTGGCACGTGCCGGGGCCCAGGGCAGGGGGCTGTGGGCTGATGTGGGCTGTGCTCATGGCCTGAGGGAGGAATTCAGGAAGATTCTGAGCCTTTTGGCCTGAACAACATGTTCTGAGATTGGCGAGTGGGAGATAAAGAGGTTTGGGAGGAGTGAGGGGAATTAGCTGTGGGATTTGAGGAGGGCCCAGGCCTGAGCCCTGTGTTGATCCAGTATTCAGAGAAGGGAGAGGAGTGGGGCCCAGCGAAGTAGGCGGGGAAGGGGCCAGCAGTTTGTAAGGAGAGATGGGGATGACATAGAATATATATATATATATATGTATTTTTTTTTTCTTTGAAATGAGACCTATCGCCCAGGCTGGAGTGCAGTGGCGTGATCTTGGCTCACTGCAGCCTCCACCTCCCGGATTCAAACGATTCTCCTGCCTCAGCCTCCCAAGTAGCTGGGATTACAGGCATCTGCCACCACGCCCAGGTAATTTTTCTATTTTTAGTAAAGGCAGGGTTTCACCATGTTGGCCAGGCTGCTCTTGAACCCCCAACCTCAGATGATCCGCCCGCCTCGGCCTCCCAAAGTGCTGGGATTATAAGCATGAGCCACTGCGCCCAGCCCAGAATATTTGTTTTTCAGTTAGAAATGTATTTGGCTTCTAGTAATGGAGACCAAACATAACAATGATTAGAATCAGATAGACATGTTCTGGCCTCTATTAGTGAAAAGTGGGTTGTGTGCTTAGGGACAACAGAGTTGCCCCACAGATATGAGGGACACTGACACCACCTATCTTTATGTTTTTGTCAGCTTTAGAACACAACTTCTGTCCTCAAGGTCAACTCAGAGTCTGTGGTGGCTGCTGGACCTCCAGCCATCACATCTGTATTCTCACACCTAGAAAGTGGGAGGACAGAAAAGCATGACGGCCTCCTGCCATTTAGTGGTCTCCCATTTAACCTGCTTTCCTGGTTAAGAAATTGTGAATTCCAGTCACAATTTTCATTATATTGCCTTTTCAGATTCTTGCTATCCTCGTCTGTAAAAATAGGGAACTCTTCGCTCATTCGCGATTCATTATTCATGCATGCATTCATGTGTATTCAGCAGTAGGCTTGGGGTTGAGCCTACCACTAAATGCACCTGGGTAAGGTGATCAGCATGGCCTGGGATAAAAAGTGATTATCCCTATCTGTGAAATGATGAACACTGGCCGAATGACAGGCCGGGTGTAAAGTGCTCGGTCTTTGTTACTCCACTTCATGTTCTCAACAGCTCTATAGGCTGCTGTGGTCTTATTTGCTGCATGAAGACAGCGGGCCTGCAGTAGGTGTGCCTCGTAGTGATCACCGCACTGTGTGGGGACTGGCGGTGTGGACCATGGTGTCTGCTGCACCTGTACAGCTGGGTCACAGTAAGCCTCCCGCAGGCACTGCTCTGGGCCCAGCAGACTTGCTGACGACGGGGACAGCTCCGTGCAGGAAGCCTCAGAACAATGCATCGCTGCAGCCCAGAGGTCTGGGCACGCCCACGGAGATTTCCCCTGTGTGTTCTGGAATGTTTAGTGTGGTTGACCTTGCCAGTGATTTATGAAGTATCTTAAAAATAGTTTTTACCTAGAAATAAAATATGCCCCTGATTCTTATGCTTACAATGACCATTGTACTTGTGATGACTTCAGCTACAGTTGTTTGAGATCAGTATTATATTCACCCAGAATACTTAATCAAATAGTTTCCCTAACAAGCACTTGGTTTCTGAGCAGAATTTCCTCTAGTGGTACAAGGAAACCATTCATGTCTTACCCTTAAGAGGTGATGGATAAAATTATCCTGATTATGAAGAAATTATTTGTCCAGTGAATAAAGTCTGCTGACCCTATTGTATAGACATTCACATTTTTCTGAGTCTGACCTCACTCAGTTATGGCCACAGTGGGTGGTGGCCCTACCTGTGCCGGGACACCTCTCTCCCCCCATGTGGTCACTGTCCCTGGTGTGAGAAGTGTCCCCCCCAGGTCGGGCCTCGTCTGGCTCTGGCCTGGACCTTACTCCTCCTAACTGCACTCATCCACTTAGAGAGGGCACTTTGATTTATGGTGTTTACATTTGTGTTTCTCATTAGCCAGCATTTCCTTTGTGCAGTCTGTGTCCCAAATATCCTTAATTTTTGGGTTATCAGCAGGCAGAAGGGCAGCAGCCTGTAATGCCCCTTGTGGGGCCTGAGGAGTCCCTTCCCGCCTGGCAGAGGGACACACTGAGGGCTGCACCACTGAGTCATTCCCATGCTCTCTCCACAGAATCAGTCCAGAGACTGGGAAAGAAAACTGGCTAACCTCTCCAAGGGCCACTTTTTTAAAAAAGTAGATTTTATTATTTTTAAAGAGCATTTTCAGGTTCGCAACATAATTGAGTGGAGAGTATTTTCAGCAATATTTTGCTGACATACATTATCTCATGTGATTCTCATTACAGTCTTGTGAATTAAGCATGGGAGGTATTGTCATCTTATTTGAAAAAATTAAGAAAGTGATGTTCCAGGCACTAAGTAAGTTCAAGGATATGGGACTAGCCTGGTAAGTACAAGGATGTGGGACTAGCCTGGTAAGTACAAGGATGTGGGACTAGCCTGGTAAGTACTAGTATGTGGGACTAGCCCAGTAAGTACACGGATGTGGGACTAGCCCGGTAAGTACTAGGATGTGGGACTAGCCCGGTAAGTGTTAGGATGTGGGACTAGCCCGGTAAGTACTAGGATGTGGGTCTAGCCTGGTAAGTACTAGGATGTGGGACTAGCCCGGTAAGTACTAGGATGTGGGTCTAGCCTGGTAAGTACTAGGATGTGGGACTAGCCCGGTAAGTACTAGGATGTGGGTCTAGCCTGGTAAGTACTAGGATGTGGGACTAGCCTGGTAAATGCTAGGATGTGGGACTAGCCCGGTAAGTACTAGGATGTGGGTCTAGCCTGGTAAGTACTAGGATGTGGGACTAGCCCGGTAAGTATAAGGATGTGGGACTAGCCTGGTAAGTATAAGGATGTGGGACTAGCCTGGTAAGTATAAGGATATGTGACTAGCCCGGTAAGTACTAGGATGTGGGTCTAGCCTGGTAAGTACTAGGATGTGGGACTAGCCTGGTAAATGCTAGGATGTGGGACTAGCCCGGTAAGTACTAGGATGTGGGTCTAGCCTGGTAAGTACTAGGATGTGGGACTAGCCCGGTAAGTATAAGGATGTGGGACTAGACTGGTAAGTATAAGGATATGTGACTAGCCCGGTAAGTACTAGGATGTGGGTCTAGCCTGGTAAGTACTAGGATGTGGGACTAGCCCGGTAAGTATAAGGATGTGGGACTAGCCCGGTAAGTATAAGGATATGTGACTAGCCCGGTAAGTACTAGGATATGGGACTACGCCGGTAAGTACAAGGATGTGGGACTAGCCCAGTAAGTACAAGGATATGGGACTAGCCTAGTAAGTACTAGGATGTGGGACTAGCCTGGTAAATGCTAGGATATGTGACTAGCCCGGTAAGTACTAGGATGTGGGTCTAGCCTGGTAAGTACTAGGATGTGGGACTAGCCCGGTAAGTATAAGGATGTGGGACTAGCCCGGTAAGTATAAGGATATGTGACTAGCCCGGTAAGTACTAGGATATGGGACTACGCCGGTAAGTACAAGGATGTGGGACTAGCCCAGTAAGTACAAGGATATGGGACTAGCCTAGTAAGTACTAGGATGTGGGACTAGCCTGGTAAATGCTAGGATGTGGGACTAGCCCGGTAAGTACTAGGATGTGGGTCTAGCCTGGTAAGTACTAGGATGTGGGACTAGCCCGGTAAGTATAAGGATGTGGGACTAGCCTGGTAAGTATAAGGATATGTGACTAGCCCGGTAAATACTAGGATATGGGACTACGCCGGTAAGTACAAGGATGTGGGACTAGCACCAGGTCTTTCTTCTGACTCTTGGCTGCATGCTCAGTCTGTATCTGTTCACACAGGAGAGGGCAGGTGCATCATGATGTGGCACCAGAGGGGGTCTGCAGGGCATGAATAGCAGTACCTCTTCTACACACAGCACTGCAGCAGGTGCAACCGCAGACCCCATTACTCTGTATCTAGGGGACATAGTATATGGCAGAAGGTTCCTAAGACCATTTTTGAAGATAAAAGTCTACACGTTCAAGTTGTCATGGAAGCTTGAAAGTGCCACATCTACACAGAAAGACTGATTGGTCTATGGGGGAAATAGTTGTTATCAAACAGGGACGAGCCAGATGGAGCTGGATCTTGCATGGGGCTCACAGAATGCAGATGTGGCTTGGAAGGGAGGGGTGCTTGGGAGGGGAGAGGGATGAGACTCTGAGCTGCCTTCCCATGAGCCCAGTGTGGACCAGGGGTAGGTGGCAGGACAGCCATGCAGCCCTTTCTAAAGCATGCTGGCAGAGGCCTTACTAAACAACCCAAGGAGCAGGCAAACAGATCAACTGAATCGCAAAAAGGCCGCTCAGCAGTGCCTGAGCTGCCACCAAATGTGGTCTTCTCGCAAAACACATGGAGGGAAATGTGCAATCCCCTTTCCAAACTTCAGAAGATTAAAAGGGTAAACACCTCCGAAGTCAACAAATGATGCCATCAGGGCAGGAGAGCCAGGGGGAAACAGGGGAGAAGCGAAAGTGGGGACAAGAGCTAGGAATTCTGGAAAGAACAGTGCTTGCCATCATAGAGAGGCTGCATAGTGGGTGGTGAAAAGAAAACAAAAATATTAAAACCAGCGAGAAGGGCTGTGGGGGAAAATGAGAAAATAAATGAAAGTGGAAGAGGATTTAATGAGTTCTGGGAAGAAAACACTTAGTTGGAGTGGGAGGCTAAAGGGATAGGGGGTGGAAAGAAACAAGCTCTTAAGAGTTGAGAATGACTGAAATGGCTCCTGACTCAACAGTTTTGAATTACAGTTTTGTATGTAAAATTAAGTTATGTATAGCCATTGCGGACAGGATGTGCAGCCTCTCTGTTGATAATGCTGTTGGCTGCTCCATGGATTTATAAGCATCATTGGATCCAGAATAAGTTGCCCTTTATCCCCCAGCCTGGAAGTGATTAGGCAGGACTTCTCTTTGGGCACTCTCAGCTGTGGCTGAGAGAGAAGGAAAGAATTAGGGAAGCAGGTGCATCTTCCTGTGGGCAGGAATCTCAGTGGTTTAACCAGCTCACTAGAGGTGGCACTCAGGGGTGAAGGTGGCAAGACCACTAGAGGAGGCGCAGCCAGGAGGCAAGTGAGCGAGGGAGGGGCCTGAGGTCTCAGGGCGATTGGGTCCACAGGTGGCACAATGCTTGTTATCTGGCCAGGAGAATTACCGGCCCAGAGACACCAGGTCCAGGGCCAGGCTGGACGAGGATGTAGACGTCATACCAGGCATTTGTGTGCTATGCCAAGAGGTGGGCAGGGTAGAGGCACTGGAACCAACAGGGCTCGGTCAGGTTGGCCTTGGGGAAAGGTCACTCTGGCAATACCGATGCCTCTCTCCTCCCAGCCCTTTAAAAATCTAAGTGGATTCACATTTCCTCAGTATCCTCTGGAGCCTAGGTCACAAGATACATGGTTCCCACCCATGCCCATGCAGAGGAGGGTTGCTGGGGGGATGTGTGCAGGCAGCACTGAAGGGGGAAGCATGGGGTGGGATTTCAGCTTAAGTGGGGAGCAGACAGACGAGCAGAGAGACCCAGGGAGCATCAGCTGATACACAGCCACGCACACACCTTCCAAGTGACAAGGGTTGTGCAGAGGCCATTTTGTGCCCTGCAGACAAGCACTGTGGACCTTAATGCAGACATTTGGCCTGATGGTTGGGGCCCCTGGGGCTGGGCTCAGGGTGGGGATTTTAATTTTTCTTTTCTTTTTTTCTTTATTTTGAGACAGGGCCTTGCTCTGTTGCTCAGACTGGAGTGCAGTGGCACGATCTCGGCTCATTAACCTCTGTGTCCTAGGCTCGATCAGTCTTCCTACCTCAGCCTCCTGCGTAGCTGGGACTACAGGTGTGCATCACCATACCCAGATAATTTTTGTATTTTCTGTAGAGACGGGGTTTTGCCAAGTTGCCCAGGCTGGCTGCAAACTCCTAGGCTCAAGCAATTCTCCTGCCTTGGCCTCCCAAAGAGCTGGGATTACAGGTACAAGCCAGGCCAGGGGTGGGAGTTTTTACAAAGCTTTTTATTTAGAAATAATTTTAGAGTTACAGGAAAATTGCAAATAAAGTACAGAGAGTTTTCACCAATACAGTATGTACATTTTAGAGACCCCCCTTAGCACGATAATGAAAACTAAGAGATGAACAGTGCAGTATCATTGAGTGAATGGCAGCCTTTATCAGATTCCAGCGCTTTTCACGCTGTGATCCTGTTTCTCTTCCAGGATCCCACCTTGCACACAGCCCTCATGTCTCCTCAGTCTTCTCCAGTCTGTAACAGTCCTCATTTTGCCCCTTTTCTTTCATGCCCTCGAGACTTAGAAGGATGCTGCCAGTTACTAGGCAGAATGTCTCAGTCTGGGTGGGTCTGTAGTTTTCTCATGATGAGGTCACACACTTCTGGCAGGAGTGTCTGGAGCTGGTGTGCCCTTCTTGGTGCAGGACTGGGGAACCCGATGCAATATGGCTTGTTACTGTCTTTCCAACGATCATTTCTGTCATAAACACTATAGGTCTCTATGTAAATTTAAGTGGCTGAGCAAAGGGCGAGGTGAAAGATGTTTTCCCTCTTTTGAGAGTGGAGCTGTGAGTACCTAAGAAGCACAAACACTATCATCCACTATCCATTGGGTTCACAGGAGCCTCAGATTGGACCCAGCTCACCTGCCTGTAAATCTGGAACTCGCTGCATGGCACTCTCCTGAGACAGGTATCCAGGTTCTTCCTGAAGTGATGGGCAGTGGCCCTTGGTGGGGCAGTCCAGCTGGCCATCCCCAGGCAGGACCTTCTGTTCCGCTCCCACTGCCTCTCCAGTGCCTGGCACACAGAGGTGCTTGGTACGGATCTGTTGGACAAGTGAACGTCAGAACACTCTTTGTGTTGAGCTGATCTCAGAGTCCCTCTAAATTCTACTCTTTGGGTCCATTTCTGTCCTCTGAATCACACACAAATACACACTCTTCTCAGTTGTAATTTTTCTTGTTAGACTTAGTTTTCTTTGCTACTAAATGAAGTTAAACTTTGTTTCCCTCAATTTGATAATCTTTGTTTTTTCCCAATTTTTAAATTATGGTAAAATATATATCACGTAAAATTTACAATCCTAGCCATTTTTAAATGTGCAGTTCAGTGGTATTAAATACATTCATAATGTTGTGCAAACATGATCACCATCCATCCACAGCATGCTTTTCGGCTTGCAAGACTGAAACAGTGCTATTCTACTTTCTGTCTCTATCACTCTCGGTATTCTCGGGACCTTGTTAGTGGAATCATGCCGTCTCTGTCCTTCTTCTTTTTTCTTTTTTTTGAGACAGAGTCTCACTCTCTCGCCCAGGCTGGAGTGCAGTAGTGCGATCTTGGTTCACCGCAACCTCCGCCTCCCAGGTTCAAGCGATTCTCCTGCCTCAGCCTCCTGAGTAGCTGGGACTACAGGCACCAACATGACCAGCTAATTTTTGTATTTTTAGTAGAGACGGGGTTTTGCCATGTTGCCCAGGCTGGGCTTGAACTCCTGACCTCAGGTGATCTGCCTGCCTCGGCCTCCCAAAGTGCTGGGATTACAGGCATGAGCCACTGTGCCTGGCCCCGTCTCTGTCCTTCTGTGACAGGCATATTTCACTAAGCATCATGGTCTCAAGGTTCATCCATGTTGTAGCATGTTTCGGAATCTCCTTCCTTTTTGAGGTTGAATCATATTCCTTTGTTAGGGTTACAGCACATTTTGCTTCTCCGTGATAAGCATCTGTGATGATGCTTGGGTGCTTCCATATTTTGGCTACTGTGGACAGTGCTGCTGTGAACATGGATGGGGAAGAGCATCCTTTGTCTCTGTAATTTCAATCAAGTGGGGTGGGCAGCAGGAGTGGCCTGCTGGCTGAGATTCCCAAAGCACATGAGAGCTTGACCAGAAGTCATGGTGTAACTGATCCTAGAAATAACCCCACCCAGAGCTGACCTGTAACAGTCAAGGGGACCTCTGGGTCCTCAGCTTCTAATAGGCCCTGTCTGGCACCAGTATTCCATGACAGAGGTCCCAGACCCTAGACACCTGGAACTGGGTGCAAGTTGGATCCCTCAGTACCCAAGAGGCCTCGTCCGCCATACGCTCTGCAGACGGGCCCCTGTCCCAGCCCTTCCTGTGCGGCAGTCCAGCTGCAAGATCCCCCAAAGTGCTCTTCCATCTTCTGTAGTTCAGGTCCTTCTGAGGATGACCTGCTCGTGGCACAAATGCTTCAGCCCTCCAGAGATTTTGCCTCTGTCCACAGTTCCTGGGGCCCTGTGCAAACAAAGCAGCCAAACCTTAGAGATGGCACAGGGAGTCTGAGCCAGGGGATGAGGAGGGGAGAGCAACCAGGAACCAGAGAGGATGATGATCCAGAAGGAATCCTTTGGAAAAATGGGATGTGAGTGTTTTTGTTTTAAATTTTCTCATCAATATTATTTTATTGTGCCCTTAACATTAGATGCTTTAAGTTGTCTATGACACAATGATACCATCATGTAGTTAATGCACACCACAGAAAAAACTCTGTTTCAGGTCTCAGATATAATTGCCTGCAGGTGCCCGGCAATAACACACACTTAGGGAAGCAGGCAGGGCTTCCTCCACAAGGACAGTGATGACTGCACCCGAGTTGAATGGCTGCATGGGAGGGCTGGCCCAGTGTGCTCCTGCCAGGTACTGAAAAGCACATTGATTTCAAGCCAAACACACCTGCAGGCCTGATGCGGCCCCAGGGCGGTTGGTTTGCTTCCTGTGTTCTATGCCATCTAAATGTGGAGCTCTTTATTGAACAAGATAGAGTAAAATCCAAGTCAATACCCTCTGACGGCCTCATCTCAAACTAATGGCTATGGCTTAAATTAATGGCTTGATTTAAAGTTGACTCAGCTCAGAGTCCTGTCAGCAATAAGCCACAGGTGGGATGACATCAACAGAGATTTTGAAGAAGGGGCCATGTGACAAGATTTGTTTGTAGGAGATTCCCAGGTAGCATGCTCAGGTCTTTCCAGCCAAGGAGATGCCCTAAGGGGTTGTGCTATAGTCCAGGTAAAAGGTGCTAAAGGTGTGATCCAGAGAGGCAGCTGGGGAGGTGGACAGCAGAGGCCTGAGGCACCCCCAAGCCATGGCCTTCAGAATTAACCCTTTTGCGTATTCCCCAGGAATTCTGAAAATGATGCACATTTTAAAGATAACATTTTAATTATTTTATCTTATATTTTATAATTACAAGGGATGTAATTCACATATGTATTAGTCATTTAAAGTAAACATATTATAACACTCTTTAAAAACTGTATGTAATAGAATTTAAGTATCTTGCAATTTGATAGTCATCATCACCTATTTAAAAATATATTTGAGGCCAGGTGCGGTGGCTCAAGCCTGTAATCCCAGCACCTTGGGAGGCCGAGGTGGGTGGATCATTTGACAAGGTCAGGAGTTCGAGACTAGCGTGTCTAACATGGTGAAACCCTGTCTCTTCTAAAAATACAAAAATTAGCCTGCCATGGTGGTGTGTGCCTGTAGTCCCAATTACTTGGGAGACTGAGGCAGGACAATAGCTTGAACCTGGGAGGCAGAGGCTGCAGTGAGCCAAGATCATGCCATTGCACTCCAACCTGGGTGACAGAGGGAGACTCTGTCTTTAAAAAATATATATATATATGTATATGTATATATATATGTATATGTATATATATATATGTATATGTATATATATATGTATATGTGTGTATATATATGTATATGTATATATATATGTATATGTGTGTATATATATATATATATATATATATATGAACTTAACTCTTTAATAGCTGGAAAATTAACACTGTTCCTTTTCCTCCTTACATTGTATTTCCATTTCCCACTTCCGTCTTTGAATTTTATCCTAATATATTTTTTAATGGCTGAAAGTCTTTTATTGATATATTTATCAAACTTCCCTGTGGCAAAAATATGTATATGGCAAAAATAAGTATATAAATAAAAATAGATTTTTCAAAGTAGTTCATGCGATTACAAGGCTCTTACAAGTGTTAAGAATATTTATTGTTGGGTGGAGCCAAGATGGCTGAATAGGAACAGCTCCAGTCTAGAGCTCCCAGCGTGAGTGATGCAGAAGACAAATGATTTCTGCATTTCCAACTGAGGTACCGGGCTCATCTCTCTAGGGAGTGTTGGAAAGTGGGTGCGGGATAGTGGGTGCAGCACACCCAGCGTGAGCTGAAGCAGGGCGAGGCATCGCCTCACCCGGGAAGCGCAAGGGGTCAGGGAATTCCCTTTCCTAGTCAAAGAAAGGGGTGACAGACGACACCTGGAAAATCGGGTCACTCCCACCCTAATACTGTGCTTTTGAAATGGTCTTAGCAAACGGCACACCAGGAGATTATATCCCGCGCATGGCTCGGAGGGTCTTACACCCACTGAGCCTCACTCATTGCTAGCACAGCAGTCTGAGATCCAACTACAAGGTGGCAGCGAAGCTGGAGGAGGGGCACCCGCCATTGCAGAGGCTTGAGTAGGTAAACAAAGCGGCTGGGAAGCTCGAACTGGGTGGAGACCACCGCAGCTCAAGGAGGCCTGCCTGCCTCTGTAGACTCCACCTCTAGGGGCAGGGAATAGCCAAACAAAAGGCAGCAGGATCCTCTGCAGGCTTAAATGTCCCTGTCTGACAGCTTTGAAGAGAGCAGTGGTTCTCCCAGCATGCAGCTGGAGATCTGAGAATGGACAGACTGCCTCCTCAAGTGGGTCCCTGACCCCCAAGTAGCCTAACTGGGAGGCAACCCCCAGTAGGGGCAGACTGACATCTCACACAGCCGGGTACTCCTCTGAGACAAAACTTCCAGAGGAACGATCAGGCAGCAACATTTGCTGCTCACCAGTATCCGCTGTTCTGCAGCCTCCGCTGCTGATACCCAGGCAAACAGGGTCTGGAGTGGACCTCCAACAAACTCCAACAGACCTGCAGCTGAGGGTCCTGACTGTTAGAAGGAAAACTAACAAACAGAAAGGACACCACACCAAAACCCCATCTGTACGTCACCATCATCAAAGACCAAAGGTAGATAAATCCACAAAGATGGGGAAAAAACAGAGCAGAAAAACTGGAAACTCTAAAAATCAGAACGCCTCTCCTCCTCCAAAGGAACACAGCTCCTTACCAGCAATGGAACAAAGCTGGACGGAGAATGACTTTGACAAGTGGAGAGAAGAAGGCTTCAGACGATCAAACTAATCCGAGCTAAAGGAGGAAATTCGAACCCATGGCAAAGAAGCTAAAAACCTTGGAAAAAAATTAGATGAATGGCTAACTAGAATAACCAATGCAGAGAAGTCCTTAAAGGACCTGATGGAGCTGAAAACCAAAGCACGAGAGCTACGTGACGAATGCAGAAGCCTCAGTAGCCGATGCAATCAACTGGAAGAAAGGGTATCAGTAATGGAAGATGAAGTGAATGAAATGAAGCCAGAAGAGAAGTTTAGAGAAAAAAGAGTAAAAAGAAATGAACAAAGCCTCCAAGAAATATGGGACTATGTGAAAAGACCAAATCTACATCTGATTGGTGTACCTGAAAGTGACAGGGAGAATGGAACCAAGTTGGAAACACTCTGCAGGATATTATCCAGGAAAACTTCCCCAATCTAGCAAGGCAGGCCAACCTTCAAATTCAGGAAATACAGAGAACGCCACAAAGATACTGCTCGAGAAGAGCAACTCCAAGACACATAATTGTCAGATTCACCAAAGTTGAAATGAAGGAAAAATGTTAAGGGCAGCCAGAGAGAAAGGTCGGGTTACCCACAAAGGGAAGCCCATCAGACTAACAGCGGATCTCTTGGCAGAAACTCTACAAGCCAGAAGAGAGTGGGGGCCAATATTCAACATTCTTAAAGAAAAGAATTTTCAACCCAGAATCTCATATCCAGCCAAACTAAGCTTCATAAGTGAAGGAGAAATAAAATCCTTTACAGACAAGCAAATGCTGAGAGATTTTGTCACCACCAGGCCTGCCCTAAAAGAGCTCCTGAAGGAAGCACTAAACGTGGAAAGGAACAACCAGTACCAGCCACTGCAAAAACATGCCAAATTGTAAAGACCATCGAGGATAGGAAGAAACTGCATCAACTAGCGAGCAAAATAACCAACTAACATAATAATGACAGGATCAAATTCACACATAACAAGATTAACCTTAAATGTAAATGGGCTAAATGCTCCAATTAAAAGACACAGACTGGCAAATTGGATAAAGAGTCAAGACCCATCAGTGTGCTGTATTTAGGAAACCCATCTCACGTGCAGAGACACACATAGGCTCAAAATAAAGGGATGGAGGAAGATCTACCAAGCAAATAGAAAACAAAAAAAGGGAGGGGTTGCAATCCTAGTCTCTGATAGAACAGACTTTAAACCAACAAAGATCAAAAGAGACAACACCATTACATAATGGTAAAGGGATCAATTCAACAAGAAGAGCTAACTATCCTAAATATATACACACCCAATACAGGAGCACCCAGATTCATAAAGCAAGTCCTTAGAGACCTAGAAAAAGACCTAGACTCCCACACAATAATAATGGGAGACTTTAACACCCCATTGTCAACATTAGACAGATCAACAAGACAGCAAGTTAACAGGGATATCCAGGAATTGAACTCAGCTCTGCACCAAGCAGACCTAATGGACATCTACAGAACTCTCCACCCCAAATCAACAGAATATACATTCTTCTCAGCACCACACCACACTTATTCCATAATTGACCACATAGTTGGAAGTAAAGCACTCCTCAGCAAATGTAAAAGAACAGAAATTATAAGAAACTGTCTCTCAGACCACAGTGCAATCAAACTAGAACTCAGGATTAAGAAACTCACTCAAAACTGCTCAACTACATGGAAACTGAACAACCTGCTCCTGAATGACTACTGGGTACATAAGGAAATGAAGGCAGAAATAAAGATGTTCTTTGAAACCAACAAGAACAAAGACACAACATACCAGAATCTCTGGGACACATTCAAAGCAGTGTGTAGAGGGAAATTTATAGCACTAAATGCCCACAAGAGAAAGCAGAAAAGACCTAAAATTGACACCCTAACACCACAATTAAAAGAACTAGAGAAGCAAGAGCAAACACATTCAAAAGCTAGCAGAAGGCAAGAAATAACTAAGATCAGAGCAGAACTGAAGGAAATAGAGACACAAAAAACCCTTCAAAAAATCAATGAATTCAGGAGCTGGTTTTTT
Organism: Homo sapiens; assembly: GCF_000001405.40. Taxonomy (NCBI): domain Eukaryota; kingdom Metazoa; phylum Chordata; class Mammalia; order Primates; family Hominidae; genus Homo; species Homo sapiens. Next base: position 43,719,903 of record NC_000010.11, read on the forward strand.
GAAAAGACCAACAAAATTGATAGACCGCTAGCAAGACTAATAAAGAAGAAAAGAAAGAAGAATCAAATAGACACAATAAAAAATGATAAAGAGGATATCACCAGAGATCCCACAGAAATACAAACTACCATCAGAGAATACTATAAACACCTCTATGCAAATAAACTAGAAAATCTAGAAGAAATGGGTAAATTCCTTGACACACACACCTTCCCAAGACTAAACCAGGAAGAAGTTGAATCTCTGAATAGACCAATAACAGACTCTGAAATTGAGGCAATAATTAATAGCTTACCAACCAAAAGAAGTCCAGGACCAGATGGATTCACAGCCGAATTCTACCAGAGGTACAAGGAAGAGCTGGTACCATTCCTTCTGAAACTATTCCAATCAATAGAAAAAGAGGGAAACCTCCCTAACTCATTTTATGAGGCCAGCATTACCGGATACCAAAGCCTGGCAGAGATACAACCAAAAAAGAGAATTTTAGACCAATAACCCTGATGAACATTGACGCTGAAATCCTCAATAAAATACTGGCAAACCGAATCCAGTAGCACATCAAAAAGCTTATCCACCATGATCAAGTGGGCTTCATCCCTGGGATGTAAGGCTGGTTCAACATACGCAAATCAATAAACGTAATCCAGCATATAAACAGAACCAATGACAAAAACCATATGACTATCTCAATAGATGCAGAAAAGGCGTTTGACAAAATTCAACAACTCTTCATGCTAAAAACTCTCAATAAATTAGGTATTGATGGGACATATCTCAAAATAATAAGAGCTATCTATGACAAGCCCATAGCCAATATCATACTGAATGGGCAAGAACTGGAAGCATTCCCTTTGAAAACTGGCACAAGACAGGGGTGCCCTCTCTCACCACTCCTATTCAACATAGTGTTGGAAGTTCTGGCCAGGGCAATCAGGCAGGAGAAGGAAATAAAGCGCATTCAATTAGGAAAAGAGAAAGTCAAATTGTCCCTGTTTGCAGATGACATGATTGTATATCTAGAAAACCCCATTGTCTCAGCCCAAAATCTCCTCAAGCTGATAAGCAACTTCAGCACTCTCAGGATACAAAATCAATGTACAAAAATCACAAGCATTCTTATACACCAATAACAGACAAACAGAGAGCCAGATCATGAATGAACTCCCATTCACAATTGCTTCAAAGAGAATAAAATACCTAGGAATCCAACTTACAAGGCATGTGAAGGACTTCTTCAAGGAGAACTACAAACCACTGCTCAACGAAATAAAAGAAGATACAAACAAATGGAAGAACATTCCATGCTTATGGGTAGGAAGAATCAATATTGTGAAAATGGCCATACTGCCCAAGGTAATTTATAGATTCAATGCCATCCTCATCAAGCTACCAATGACTTTCTTCACAGAATTGGAAAAAACTACTTTAAAGTTCATATGGAACCAAAAAAGAGCCCGCATTGCCAAGTCAATCCTAAGCCAAAAGAACAAAGCTGGAGGCATCAAGATACCTGACTTCAAACTATACTACAAGGCTACAGTAACCAAAACAGCATGGTACTGGTACCAAAACAGAGATATAGACCAATGGAACAGAACAGAGCCCTCAGAAATAATGCCTCATATCTACAACCATCTGATCATTGACAAACCTGACAAAAACAAGCAATGGGGAAATGATTCCCTATTTAATAAATGGTGCTGGGAAAACTGGCTAGCCATATGTAGAAAGCTGAAACTGGATTCCCTTCCTTATACCTTACACAAAAATTAATTCAAGATGGATTAAAGACTTAAATGTGAGACCTAAAACCATAAAAACCCTAGAAGAAAACCTAGGCAATACCATTCAGGACATAGGCATGGGCAAGGACTTCATGTCTAAAACACCAAAAGCAATGGCAACAAAAGCCAAAATTGACAAATGGGATCTAATTAAACTAAAGAGCTTATGCACAGCAAAAGAAACTACCATCACAGTGAACAGGCAACCTACAGAATGGGAGAAAATTTTTGCAACCTACTCATCTGACAAAGGGTTAATATCCAGAATCTACAATGAACTCAAACAAATTTACAAGAAAAAAACAAACAACTCCATCAAAAAGTGGGCAAAGGATATGAACAGACACTTCTCAAAAGAAGACATTTATGCAGCTAAAGACACATGAAAAAATGCTCTTCATCACTGACCATCAGAGAAATGCAAATGAAAACCACAATGAGATACCATCTCACACCAGTTAGAATGGCAATCTTTAAAAAGTCAGGAAACAACAGGTGCTGGAGAGGATGTGGAGAAATAGGAACACTTTTACACTGTTGGTGGGACTGTAAACTAGTTCAACCATTGTGGAAGTCAGTGTGGTGATTCCTCAGGGATCTAGAACTAGAAATACCATTTGACCCAGCAACCCCATTACTGGGTGTATACCTGAGGGTTATAAATCATGCTGCTATAAAGACACATGCACGTGTATGTTTATTGCGGCACTATTCACAATAGCAAAGACTTGGAACCAACCCAAATGTCTAACAATGATAGGCTGGATTGAGAAAATGTGGCACACATACACCATGGGATACTATACAGCCATAAAAAATGATGAGTTCATGTCCTTTGTAGGGACATGGATGAAGCTGGAAACCATCATTCTCAGCAAACTATTGCAAGGACAAAAAACCAAACACCGCATGTTCTCACTCATAGGTGGGAACTGAACAATGAGAACACATGGACACAGGAAGTGGAACATCACACACTGGAGCCTGTTGTGGGGTGGGGGGAGGGGAGAGGGATAGCATTAGGAGATATACCTAATGTTAAATGACGAGTTAATGGGTGCAGCACACCAACATGGCCCATGTATACATATGTAACTAACCTGCACATTGTGCACATGTACCCTAAAACTTAAAGTATAATAAAAAAATAAAAGAATGTTTATTGTTAGTTGAATTATTATAATATTATTAGTATTCAATTGATGAAAATACCATGAAAATATTATAAATTTGGAGAAAGTATATAAAAGTAAAAATTTTATGGTAAATTTATTTATTTAGTATTAAAGGAGATATATGGGACATTTTAATAAATTAGTTCATGCATAGAGAGATGAATATTACTTATTTTCAGTTTCTATAAATCTAAGCCTGAGAACCTTTACTCTTTTATGTAAGTAGATGAGAATGGAGTTTTGTTTTGTCAGTACTTTGAACTCTTTCCTAGGTATTTGCCAAAAATCAAATCATAATCTATCATCAAATATTATTTTCAGTGATTTGTCAGCTGACAAATTCACTAGGTTTTCCTTCAATTTTGTTGAAAGCAAAGAATTGGAAACCAAGCGGCATGACAGTGAGTCTTGAGAGCTGTTTGTGCCTCTAAGGTACTCACGTGCCTACTCTCAAAAGAGGGAAAATGTCTCTCTCCTCTTTGCTTAGCCTCCAAATTTACAAAGAGGCCTATAGAGTTTACTGTGGAAATGACTGTTATGACAGAAAGATAGAAGAGCTTTTTTGCTTGAACCAGGGAAATATTCTCCAAATCTAATGTCCAAAATGGATGATTCTTATAGCACACATGGCCACCAGCTGAGGTTGTCCAATCCAGTGGGTACGATGGTTTCAGGAAATTGGGAGAACAAAATCACTGTCGAGCTTTTAGGAGTTTAGAGGGAGTTAGCAGAATATTGTAAACTTGTATATTTTGCAAGGTGCTCCAAAAAGGCTGAGATGTTGTTGATCTTTTGATTAATTTCAAGCTCCAAAATGTACCTGCGGTGTCTCTAGCATCCTTTACAATGCCTGAGTGAGAGGGCTTAAGTCACAAGCTCTATCCACTAGACAAGTGTATGCAATATTCTTGTTTGTAGCACCAGGATTTTGAGTAAAATAGCCTTCTTCTTGGATGTCCTCACATTTGTTACCAGAATGCAAGACGAGAAGCTAAGAAGGAACTGGGTTGGACCCAGCAGAACTGAAATGATTTGCAGCCTCTACTCCTCTGATGACACTTTAATGTGACCTTGCATTCTTTGGCTTTCAGGCTTTTTCTCCTCCAACCCCAACTCTTGGGAAATTAACCTCTCTGAAGGCAAAGATACACATCTCATAAAGTTCTTTGGCACCCCAGCCATGTGGCTATAGATGAGGAGACTTTCAGTACCATGAGATCCAATGTCAATAATTTCATCCACTCATTCTTGCTGCACCTGCTTTGCTAAGCAATGTCCTGGGTGGTTTGAAGCCCAGAAAACTGAATCACACATGGAGTGAGACTCTGAGGAGCTAAAAGAAGTTGGTTTTATACATCATAAACCCAAGTGAAGAACCAAAGAAATGAACAATGTAGAAGGAGGCAATTGACAAAGATGAAAGTTAGAATTAATGACATTAAAATAGTAGCAGTAATAAATAAAACCAAAAACAGTTTTTACGGAAGACAAATTAAATATACAAAAGCTGATTCTTTCAAAAGACCAATTAAATTTACAAATACCCAACAAGCTTGATTAAGGAAAAGGAGAGAAAGCAAAACTAACTACAGATATAACAGAGATATTAAAAATTATAAGTAGTATAACATGTAACTCAATGACATCAAATATGAACAGAAATTATATAAGAAATAGATGATTTTCTAGGAAAAATGTAAACCACTGCTATGGTCTGAATGTTTGTGTCCCCTCCCAAATTCATACATTGAAGTCCTAACCCCAAGGTGATGGTATTTGAAGGTGAGCTCTTTAGGGGATGACTAGGTCATGGGAGTGGAGCTCTCATGAATGGGGTTAGTGCCCTTACAGAAGAGGCCCAAGAGAGACGCCTTACCCCATTCATCATGTGAGGACACAGCAAAAAAGTGCTGTCTACAAACCAGAAGGCAGGCTTTCACCAGACACCAAATCTGCTGCTTCCTTGATCTTGGACTTCCCAGCCTCCAGAGCTGTGAGAAACAAATTCCTGTTGTTTATAAGCTACCCACTTAATGAGATTTTGACAAAGCAGTCTGAATAGACTAAGATAATCACCAAAATTAACCTAAGAAGGAGGAGAATACTAAACAGATCTGTCACAAGTGACAGAAGAGGTGAGAAAAGTACTTAGATAGCTTTAATTAAAAACAATTCGGGCCAGGTGCGGTGGCTCACACCTGTGATCCCAGCACTTTGGGAGGCTGAGGCAGGCAGATCACGAGGTCAGGAGATCAAGACCATCCTGGCTAACATGGTGAAACCCTGTCTCTATTAAAAATACAAAAAAATTTAGCTGGGCGTGGTGGTGGGTGCCTGTAGTCCGAGCTACTCGGGAGGCTGAGGCAGGAGAATGGCATGAATCCGGGAGGCAGAGCCTGCAGTGAGCCAAGATCACTCCACTGCACTCCATCCTGGGCAACTGAGCAAGACTCTGTCTCAAAAAAAGAACCAAATTCAAATAGATTTTGAGAGGAGCTAATTATAGTATGTCATTTCTGTTTTAAGCTGTTTTAGATCATAGAAAAAGTTACAAAGTTCCACAATTTGTTTTATAAGGCTACTGCAACCATAATTCCAAACCTATAACAAGACCATTTTCACTTACAACTATAGATAAAAATTCTAAATAATTAACTATACTTATCTAGCAGCATATTTATAGACTGATACAAAGTAATCTGATAGAATATTAAAAATGGAATAATTACCACCTGGAGAGGAGGAAGAAGATACTGAAAAAGTACTCCAAGAAATAATGGTTGAAAACTTCCAAAATTTGGTGAAGTCCAGAAACCTACAAAACTCCAGAAGTTGAGTGAACCCCAAACAGGATAAACCCAAAGAGATCCACACCAAGGCACACCCCAGTCAAACTTCTGAAAACTAAAGACAGAAAAGTCTTGAAAGCAACAAGAGAGAAAAACACCTCCTTACCCACAGGGAAAAACAGTTCAAATGACAATAGATTAATCAAGATCAAACCTCCAACACTAGAAAGAAGTGGCATAACAAGTGCTGAAAAAGAGAACTGTCAACCCAGAATCTTATATTCAGTGAAAATATCCTTCACGAATGAAGGGAAAATCAAAACATTAAAGATGAAGGAAAGCTAAGATAATTTGTTGCCAGCAGACCTACCCTAAAAGATTGGCTATAGGAAGTTCTCTAAACAGGAAATGATAAGAAAAATCTGAGAACATCAGGAAGAAAGCAAGAACAGGATGAACAAAAATATGGTTAAGCCCAATAGTCTTTTCTTCTCCTAAGTTTTCTAGTTTGTTTGACAACTAAAACAAAAATTATAACTCTAATATAGTTCTACCAGCATGTGAAGAGGATGTCAGTGGGGATGGTGGAGCAAGGATCTCAAACCCCTCTCCTCCTCTTTATAAAACTAGCAATAATACTGCTAAGAATTGTGAAAATTAACTTTTTCAGAACTCTGGAAACTAACAAAGCTTGTCACAATCTGGAAAGCACTTACTCAAGAAAAACACTAAGTTGTGGTAAGAATAGCAAGCTTTGTAACATTTTAACGAGCCCTATTTCTGTCTTCCCTGTACAGCTTGGCAGTAGCCTTGGAAGCCAACAGCCCACAGCAGAGGTAAAAGACAGCAGCCCAGCAGCCAGTGGAGGGGCCAGAATGGGGCTGCAGCTTCTCCAAAGACCCATTCCCAGAGAACTGCCATTGTTTGACCTGCTAGTCATTCCCCACTCATAAGAGTTGTCTTTATTTGGTCTGACTCAGAGCTTGCCCAGTGCAAATAACCTTTTCCTCAGTGACATTTGTCAAAAACAATCAGTGGTGATGGTTTAGCATCACTGCTGCCTGAGGTGATGATAATAGTTGGGGCAAATGACAAGCTGACCATAAAAACCCAAAGGGAAAAGCTAGAGACTGAGATGTCCAAAGGAGGCTTTGAAAAACTCTGACACATCCTAGGAACCTGGAAGGCCACTTGCATGAACAGGGTTGTGCAAATGCCCAGGGCCGTGCATGTGTTCAGGAAAGAGCTGAGAAGCTCTAAGTTCTCACTTCTGGCTGATATTGAGGTCCTGAAGAGCAAAAAGGAGAGCCTAAGGCAGAGCTGTCAACTACTTGGCTGAGTGTAGAAGGCATTTCCCAAAACGTACTCACAATCCCTTGGCAACGACTGGGAGACTTACTGGCTTCAGACAGTTAAGAAAATCTATGCACAATTGTGAGCTGCCCACTGAGCTAACTGAGCAGTGACTTCTGCGGTCATTTATGACAAAAAGGCAGAGTCTACAATATTAATTCAGGAAAGTCACTAAAACAAACAAACAGCAGCAGCAAGAACAACAATAAGTGGCAACAAAAAGAAATCCCAGGGAGTGGAGAGAACCTGAATTTCAGAGCAGCCACATTACATCATTTGAAATGTCCAGTTTCAACATTCAAAGAAACAAGAAAATATGGTCCGTGTACAGGGGTACAAAGCAGTCAACAGAAACTGTCCTTGAGGAAGTCTATACATTGTCCTTACTAAATAATACCGAAGCTATTTTAAATATAAAGAACTAAGGAAACCATATCTAAAGAACTAAAGGAAAGTATGAGAATAATGTTTCATCAAATAGAGAATATCAACAAGAGATAGAATTATACAAAAAAACAATAGAAATTCTAGCGATGAAAATAATAACTCAATTGAAAAAAGTTCACTAGAGAGGCTGAATGGGATATTTGGGCTGGTAAAAGAATCAGTGAAGTTAAAGGTAGGTCAATTGAAAATATACAGTCTAAGGAATAGAAAGAAAAAAGAATAAAGAAAAAGAAACAGAGCCTAAGAGATCTGTGGGACACGATCAAGCATACACAATATGTATAATGAGAGTCCCGGAAGGAGATGAGGGAAAGGGGTGGTAAAAATACATGAAGAAATAAGGGCTAAACCCCCACAAATTTGATGAAAAACTTTCATCTCTACATGCAAGAAGCTCAGTGATCTCCAAGTACAATAAACGCAGAGATTCACACCTCCGCACCTCATAAACAAACTGGCAAAAACAAAGACAAAGAGAGAATCTTGAAAGCAGCAAGAGAGAAGTGATTTATCACTACCTGTGATCCTCAATGAGATTAACGGTTAATTTTTTAAAAATCAGAAATGGGGAACAGAAGGCAGTGGGATGACGTATTCAAAATGCTGAAGGAAAAACACGTCAACTGCCCATGCGGGGCGGCGCCCGCCTGGAGGGTGGGGATGCGGGGCGCGGAGGGGCCATGCGCCTGGGTCTGCACCTGCCTCGTTCTGCGCCCCGCGTGTGCACGCGAGATGGTGAACCTGGCGGGCACCGTGTGCCCTGGCTTCTGCAGAAGAGGAGGAGAGGGCAGTGAGAGATAGGAATCTCCTCCAGGTTGAAGACCACGATCAGCCCATCCCTTGGAAAGTGCAGTTTAACCTGGGCTATAGCAGTCGCCTGAGCAGCCAATGCCTCAACTCCAGTCAAAGGAAGCACGTCCTCACGGGTGAACTAGGCTGCGTTTGGGAGAGAAAGTATTTGCAGGCGCATGGCTGCGGTCAAGTCAACGTCCCTAGCATAAAGCAACACTGCCGCAAAGGCTGCTGGCCCGACGGCTGCTGCAGCGCCTCCTGGACTGCATCTCCCGCCGCCTGCAGCCCAGACACAATTTCTCCCGGAGCGCTTCTAACCGCGCAGCGGTGGCGTTCCAGAGACTCTTCATGGCCCTTGCTCTCGAGGATCCCTTGGAGTCGTGCCTGGCCGAATGCAGAGCCTCATTCCAGAGCTTGCAGCATGAGAACACCTACCGGGACCCCTAGCAAAGTACTGCCGTGGAGTCAGCCCCGGAGCTCTTTGCCTCTGGATGGGCAGCGGACTTGCCCCAGCTTGGGTGGGGAGGCCCCGCGAAGAACTCGCCTCGTGAGGTCCGGCTGCAGGGCTCAGGCCAGGCAGTGGGAAGAAGACAAAGGCAGCGCGAGGAAACCTTGGCTTTGACCACTTTTCGTTTGTCATCTTGGCTTAGCTCAGCACCGGGCTTACCAGATGGAACAGTCTTCTGTAAAGCAGCTTGGACCCTCTGGCCATTCCCATTGGGGAAAGATGAAACCACAGGCCGGTGGGGGTGGTGCGTTCTTGGACGACTCAAACCTGGGATCTGCACAGGGACCTGTGACTTGTGTTCGTCGGGAGCCGGTGTCACTTCCAGTTTTGATCCAGGCCCTTTCACTGTACAATTATTTATTGGATTCCTTTGGAGTAGTGGGAAAATTGTAATGTTTTATGTAGAAAAATGCTTTGCCCTTCTAGCGACCGTGTTCAAGGAAACGATTATAGTTGTTGTTCTTGTGTTCTTGAGTTTCACGAGTTAAATCATCCTTTCACCCAGATAATATGTTTTGTCATTTAGGATGTAGATGTTCTCTTTAGGCAGTTATTTTTGTTTTTATTTAGACAATATCAAGAGTAGGCCCTGAACACAACCTGTTAACCATATCCCAATGTCTAAAATTATCTAAAAACTCAGGCATTCTTCCATTCTTATCTAACTGAAAGCTTTCCAGCAGTTGGCACCAAGTGCGCACCCTCAGGTTCTATTCTAGTGGTGGTTGAATGTGCTCATATACCCCGTGTGAGAGCACCGTTTTAGCCCGAAATCACACTTCTCATCCTGGAGGAATTTGTTTGCATTTCTTTTGCCACTTAAAATTAGCTGTGGTCTGCTCAGCCAGGGGACAATGGAGCTTCAGGAAGGTCTGAGGCAACCTCCTCCCTGGTTCTGTCAATAGAAACCCAATGTTAAGGCAATTCCTAAACAGAGATGCACCTAGCAACTTGCTGTATGTGTTCATTCTTTATTGCTTTCAGCTTCAGGGGGTGTAACAAGTATAAATGTTTGGTTTCCTTATGAGGAAGAAGAGGAAGAAGAAGAAGGAGAAGGAGAAGAAGGGGAGAAGGAAGAAGAAGAAGAAGAAGGAGAAGGAGAAGAAGGGGAGGAGGAAGAAGAAGAAGAAAAGAGAAGAGAAGAAGAAGAAGATGAAGAAGAAGGGGAAGAAGAAGAAGAAGGAGAAGGAGAAGAGGAAGAAGAAGAAGAAGAAGAAGAAGGAAGAAGAAGAAGAAGAAGAAGAAGAAGAAGAAGAAGAAGAAGAAGAAGAAGAAGAAGAAGAAGAAGAAGAAGAAGAAGAAGACAGGCGAGGGGGAAGACCCAACTTTCTATCAAAGTTCTGTAAGAGATTTCTTCTTACAGACTGGAAGGTTTCTTCTTTTTTCTAAGCTAGAGTGCAGTGGCACGATCTCGGCTCACAGCAACCTCTGACTTCCTGTTTCAAGCGATTTTTCTGCCTCAGCCTCCTGAGTAGCTGGGATTACAGGCGTGCACCACCACACCCAGCTAATTTTTTTATTTTTAGTAGAGACGGGATTTCACCATGTTGTCCAGGATTGTCTTGATCTCCTGACGTCGCGATCTGCCCACCTCGACCTCCCAAAGTACTGGGATTACAGGTGTGAGCCACTGCGCCCAGCCAGAGATTCTTACATCTACCTCCAGTGGGAGATGAGGAAGATCATTATGGCTTAGACAATGCTGCACAGGTAGGTTGCTGGTATGTCCTGAATCCATGTGCATAAAGCACTTCCCATTTTTCTACTGCAATGCAGACTCTTCAGCTCAAGGCCTAGAGTATTTGATCCTAAGATCAAGACATTATGCCCCTTGAATAGCAGTGCTCTTTGATTTCATGTGTAACATTAACACACAGCCCTCCTATATTCCTTCACTAACTTCAGGATTGAGCAAGGTCTTTTAAATTTTTTTGGTTCAAATTATTGACCTGGGAGCAGGGTGCTAGATCTATGGTCAGCATTCAACATTTTTTTTTCAGTGGAGGTTTTTCTTTGGGCTATATTTGCCTTCCAGTATGTTTCTGCAATATGTAGTGGTAATTTTCCTTACCTTCCTCCAACTGCCTCTTATACTCATCTTTCGAAAATAATTTGCCCCCCTTAAATAGATTTTCTTAGAGGGTAGGTTGTCAGGCAATTAAAAAATATTAGATCCCAAGAAATCTATTCTGTTTGCATTGGATTTTTTTCAGATTCTGTGTGTTCGCAACAGTACTAAATCAAACTCTGATGTGGGGGAAAAAAGTATGTCAACCAAAAATTTTATATACAGCAAAATCATTCTTCAAAAACAGAGATGAAATTAAGACGTTCTCAGGTAAATTTAAGAGATGAAGTTTGTCATTAGTAGACCTGCCCCCCCACAATGCTAAAGGGAGTCCTTCAGGATAAAATGAAAGGACACTAGGTAGTAGGTCAAATCCACACGAAGAAATACAAGCACCTCATAGGTAAATATAAAATATGGTATAATGTTTTTTCTTTTTTTTCTCATTTTTGATTTAAAAGTCAATGCAATAAAGTAATAATTATAACACAGTGTTAATGGGTGTACAAAAAGATGTAATTTCTATGATGACAATTGCACAAAGAAAGAAATGAAGAGAATGGAGCTATATAGAAGCAAAAGTTTTTATATACCATTAAAATTAAGTTGATATTAACTTGGACTAGATTGTTAGAATGAAGTATAATCCCCATAGCAATCACTAAGAAAAATAACTCAAAAACAATCTTAAGGAAACAAGGGAATTAAAATGGTACATTAGAAAATATCTATTTAACATAAAAGATGGAGAGACAAACTTTACATGTTTGTAGATGAAATAATGATGTAACAGAGCTTGATCCAGTTTTTTGATGTTTGATGGTTGACAGCTTTGAAGCCTCATCCTTCCTCCTTCTGTTTCTGCTTCACATCTGGGCAAACTGATAAGAAAGCCTGGGTTCTCCCTCCTTCAGCCAGGGGAGGTTTACCACATGTAGGAACCTACACTGAGGCCCTACTCGCTAACAACCATAAATACCCCAAGCTTTTCTCTGCTCTCTCAAGCCATTTTTGGCACTGCTTGTGAGCCGCGGTGCTCTTTTCAGAAAGCCTCATTATGTGAGTCACGAACCGTTCCATTTTCTCTTGGGGTCAATATAGTATCATTAGTCTTGACATCTAAATCAAATTTTGGAAGGGATTCATCCTATGCAGGGTGAACATAAACAACTCAAGACAATTATAAATGGAGGGGGGTAAATTGACTTATAAAAAATAGATGCTTATACTTCACTTGAACTGATGAAATAATGACATCATTAGAGTGTGATATTTTGTATATATGGTATAATACTACAGCAGCCATATACACAAAAGCTACTCAAAGAGCTGCACATTCAAAAACAGTATAAAGCAAAATAGAATTCTGAAAGTTCAAGTAACCCACAGCAAAGCAAGTAAAAGAAAACAGAGAAATAAAAAACAAAACAAAATATTCAAGTCCTTTTTGATCCTGAAGTCAATTAGGTGCCGCTGTTGCTGCTCATATTGACTCTGGAACCGTAGCCAGACATGGGACTGGAGGATGAGCAAAAGATGCTGAGCAGGTCCTGAGATCCTAAGGAGGAGGAAGAGGAAGAGGAGGAATGAGTGAATCCCCTAACAACCGTGAGATAGCAATGTGAGCAGTTGGAGAAATGTGTAAAGGCCTGGAAGCAGCTAGAGCTCTGTGACAAGCGTGTTATCCTCTCGATCACATACAGAAGAGGATTGCAAGAGGAGCTCTTTGACTTCTTGCATGCAAGGGACCATTGCTTTGCCCACAAACTCCTTAACAACTTGAAATAAATGTGAGGACTTATTCACCCCAGCCTTCATCACCTGGGCATCAGGATATTTCTTTATGGTTTTGAATATGCCATTTGTTTCTTTTTTTTTTCTTTTTTAAAATTGTCATTATACTTTAAGTTTTAGGGTACATGTGCACAACATGCAGGTTTGTTACATATGTATACATGTGCCACGTTGGTGTGCTGCACCCATCAACTCATCATTTAGCATTAGGTGTTTCTCCCAGTGCTATCCCTCCCCCCTCCCCCCACCCCACAACAGTCCCCGGTGTGTGATGTTCCCCTTCCTGTGTCCATGTGTTCTCATTGTTCAATTCCCACCTATGAGTGAGAACATGCAGTGTTTGGTTTTTTGTCCTTGCGATAGTTTGCTGAGAATGATGGTTTCCAGCTTCATCCATGTCCCTACAAAGGACATGAACTCATCATTTTTTATGGCTGCATAGTATTCCATGGTGTATATGTGCCACATTTTCTTAATCCAGTCTATCACTGTTGGACATTTGGTGCTGGAGAGGATGTGGAGAAATAGGAACACTTTTACACTGTTGGTGGGACTGTAAACTAGGTCAACCATTGTGGAAGTCGGTGTGGTGATTCCTCAGGGATCTAGAACTAGAAATACCATTTGACCCAGCCATCCCATTACTGGGTATATACCCAAAGGATTGTAAATCAGACTGCTATAAAGATACACGCACACATATGTTTATTGCCATTTGTTTCTTATTTGTATAACTAAGTTCATATGAACCTCATAGATTTTGGCTTAGGCTAGTAGCTTCTAGGTAATTTGCAGTGATTCCATCTTAATAAAGTTCTGTGATCTGCAAAAAAATAAAGTGGCAGCCTTAAGTCCTAACACACCATTAATGATATTAAATATAAATAGTCTTAATGCAGCAATAAAAAGCAGAGATTGACAGTGTGAATTAAAAAGCAGGGCTCAAGTGTATGTTATCTGCAGGAAACTCACTTCAAAATAATGATACAGGCAGTTTGAAAACAAAAAAATGGAAAAAGATATCTATACAAACATTAATCAAAAGAAAGTAGGAATGGCTATATTAATAAATGATAAAGTAGATTTCAGAGCAAAGAAAATTACCAGAGGCAGAGAGGAACATTATTAATGATGAAGGGTCAGTACACCAAGAAGACAGCCATTTAAAAGAGCTACAAAATGTGTGAAGCAAAAACTGATGGAACTTAAAGGAGAACTAGACAAATCTACAATTATAGTTGAAGACTTCAGTGTCCCTCACTCAACAATTGCTAGAATAACTAGACATAAAATCAGTAAGGATATAAAAGAACTCAAAAACTCCCTCAACCAACAGTATATGGTTAATATTTATAGAATAATCTGTCTAGCAACAGCAGAACACACATTTTTTTCAGGCCCACAAAGTAGATAGCAGCATAGAACATATGCTGAACCATAAAACAAACCTTAACAAATTTAGAAGAATTGAAATCATACAGAACACATTATCTAATGTTATGGAATCAAACTCGAAATCAATACAGAAAAATGATCAGAAAATTTCCGAACACATGGAAACGCAACAGCATACTTGTAAAAATCCCACGGGACAAAGAGGAAATCTTGAAGGAATTAAAAAATACACTGAACTGAGGGAAAATGAAAACACAACATATCAAAATGTGTGGGTGCACATCTACGGCAGTGCTGAGAGCAACGTTTGTATCTCTTAACACATGCACTAGAAAAGGAGAAAATTGAAAATCGATAATCCGAGCTCCTGACTCAAGACGTTTGAAAACTTCAAAATGTAAGCAGAAGGAAGGAAAAAATAAAGAACAGATATCAATGAGATTGAAAGCAGAAAAACAATAGAAAAAAAATCAATGAAACAAAAATGATTCTTTGAAGAGATCAATAAAATTGATAAACCTCTAGAAAGACTGGCAAAGAAAGAATAAATACACAAATTACAAATATCAGGAGTGAAACCTGATATATCACTGCAGACCCGTAGACATTAATATGATGTGGGTTACTATGAACAACTCTACACATGCAAATTTGACAACGTAGATGAAATGAACTAATTCATCAGAAAACACAAATTTCTGCAACTTTGCCAATGTGAAATAGTTATTTTGATCAGTGTTGTAACTTAAAGAAAATTGAATTTGTAATTAAACATCTCCTAAAAAGGAAATTTCCAAGCCCAGATAGTTTCACTGGATACTTCTACCAAATGTTTAAGGGTGAATTGACACCAATTCTATACAAAAATCTTTTCCAGAAAATGTAAGGGAACACCAGTTCATCTTTGTGAAGTGAGTAATACCAAAACCAGACTGGTCTCATACCAAAACCAGACATAGTACAAAATCTTAGAGAACAGAATTCAGCAATTTATAAAAAGAAATATGCACAAATTTCAAGTGGGATTTTTTTTCTAGGTATACAATGATGATTTAATATTAAAAAAGTCATCAGTGTAATTCACCAGAGTAACAGACTAAAGTTGATGTGGAAAAAAGAATTTGCCAAAATCTAATATTCACTTATGATGAAAAACTCTCAGAAAAAATAGGAAGAGAGGGAGAACATCCTCAATTTGATAAAGAGCATTTATCAAAAAAATTGCAGTTAGCATTATGTTTAATGGTGCTTTCCTTCTAAGACAGGGGAAAGGCAAGGATGTCTGTACTCACCACTTTTATTCAGCATTGTGCTGGAAGCTCTAGCCAGTACAATAATGCAAGAAAAGGATATAAAAGACATGCAGATTTGAAAGAAAAAATAAAACTGTCTCCATTTGCAAATGACATGATTAGCTCTATAGAAAATCCCAAGGAACCTGCGAGACCCTCCTAGAAACAAAGTGAGCTCAGCAATGTTGCAGGACAGCCCCATGAAGGAGGGGTTGGGGTATGGACTCTGGATTGGCTGCTTTGCACGTGAAAGGTGTGTACGGTCGAGCTGTTTCCAATCTTTAGGAACTGGCTAACGCTGGGAGGGGCAGCCCCTTTGGGGTCAGCAAGGCCCCAGATGTCAAAAACATGAGAATACAGAAAATAAAGGATGTGGTTACTACATCCAGGCTCACTGATGGCTGGCTTTTCTTCATCCTGCCGGTCTCAGCTTAATTGTCACCTTTTCAGAGACAGCTTCTGGGGAACCATGCAGCCCAGATGCCCCCACCCACATCATACTCCAAGCAGCACCCTGTTTGTTTCATTCACAGCCTTCACATTTTTAGTTACTTGTCTGTTACATGTGTGTGCCCTCTGTGAGCGCAGAACCATGCCTGCCTTATTCATTGTTAAATCCCCAGGGCCTGGCAGAGGACCTTGCACATAAAGGGCACCCAATAAATATTTCTGTAATGAAAAAAACAAATGCATGAGGATCACAGAGCTTAAGTGGCTTTCCAAGGTTGTATAGCTGGTAAATAGAGAAAGCAGCAGATGAGCAGAGTTCTCTGGACTTCAGTTTTGTTTATTTTTTACTCTGACACATTATAGTGCTTCTCAAAGCCACGAGTGCATCATGAGCCAGACTTGCCTGGCATTTAGGCCCTCCGAGAAGCTCTAGCCATGGCACTGCCTGGTCCCATTGGGTGTGAGGGGCTGAGTCCCCTGATTCTGAGGGAGGCTGTGCAGCTCTGCAGAGGGTCTGGAACAGAACTGCTGTCCCCTCACCAGGGCCCCCTAGTCCCCACTGATGACCAGTCAGACTTGTGTGAAATTTCAGATTAAGCCCATCCCAAGGGCTCAAAACATATTTGATTCTGTAGGCCTGTCAGAGTTGCCAGATTTGGCAAATAAAAACATAGGATTCTTAGTTAGATCTAAATTTCAGGTAAGCAACAAATATTTTATTAAATAAAAGTATGTCTCAAATATTACATGGAACATATTTAGAATAAACCACAATTCGCAGTTTATCTGAAGTTCATATTTACCTGGGAATCCTGTCTGTAAGCTGGCTGCCTTCCTGGTGGCATGTTCCAGGAGACTGGATTTTTAAAATAGATTCCTCAGTTGATTTCTCTCATCAACCATGTTGGAAACAATTGCTAATGCCAATCAGTAATCCACTAGATGCCATTTTTGCTCAAGTTATTAACTGGCAAGTTTATACATTTTTATTTAATTTACGGATCTGGAGTCCTTGTCATTCATTAACAGTGTCTCTCACTGGCACAGGAGACTGGAGAAATCACCATTTTTCCAGGGTTTATAATTTATAGAGGAAATTCCTGATAGACAGAGATGGGGTGAGCTAGCCTTGAAGACAGGCAAAAGGACTTCCTGCCAACTGCCCTGTGTGCTCTGCTCCTGCAGGAAGGTTACTGGGCTTGTCAGCCATTAGAAGGGGGCAATATCAGAGAATGACGGGGTGATCCTGTGTTTTCTCTTGGGGTGGGTGGGTAGATAATGGCCCCAACAACCAGAACTGGGGACACAAAGAAGTGTCTTTAGGTAAGAAAGACACAGTGAGATGGTTTTGGAGATGTTCATATCTCCTTTGTGCATGCAGGTGGAGGCATTTACCAGGCAGGCCAGTGCTGGGTCTGCATTTGGGAGCACAGCTGGAGCTGGAAGCATGTGTCTGGAAGTCGTCAGTGTGCTGGTGGTAGGTGACACTGGGCTGTGAGTGCAATCGTCTAAGAGCAAGGACAGGGCCTAGGAAAGTGTGGGAACAGCCAGCTCCCTTCCTGTTCATGCTGTCCTTTCCCTGTCCACCTCACCGGCTGCAATCCATGCACAGAGTTCCACCCAGTCCCACTGTAGGGGGCTGCCCTGGTGCCCACACACACCCTGTAACCCCAGGGCTTTATTTGAGACAAACATGGTTGAGTGTGATCATGATGCTGGGATTATGATCCTCGAGACCTACTCACTGAAGCTGAAACACTGCCCCAATCTTCTGCACAGTGAAGGGGGCCATAACAAGAATCTCTGTTACACATATGGAAAAATGATCACATTTATGGGTTACTCAAAGACCACAGTCTACGAAAAGACATATGGGAAGGATAAATGAACCGGAACTTAAAGGTGTTCTTCCCCTGACCTCTAGAAATGTTGGGCAAGTTCACTTCACCTCTCCGTATTCTGTCTCCTCACCTGCAATGGTGTAAGTGTGATGCCTTCCTTGGAGGGCTGCTCTAAGGGTTAAATAAATGTATGTGAGTACACATATATATGTATATATTGATGTATATGCATATGTGTGTATATATGTCTATGTATGTAAATACACATAGACACATGGTGTTTAGAATAAGCTCTGACATGTACACTCGATAAATATTAGCTATGTATATGTTGAATTGTGTTAAATCGTATGTAACTCTTCCATTCCTTTTTAACAAGTTTGTGGAGGCTTTTGTGTTCTGTTCAGGCCAGGGTGGAGGCAGGCAGACAGGTTGAAACCCATATTTCTGCTGGCTTAGGATTGGGGCCTCTTGTCATCTGGTGTTCATTTGTTTTTATGAGTCCAGAGCAGGATAAACTCTTCAGCCTCTCTCTTACCCTCAGTGGAAAGAGCCCTGGGCTGAGAAAAGGAAATACTGGTGTTTATCCACTTCCACTGGTGAAATGGGAGAGAACACGGTGTGTTTGAGAGGGGGCAGCAAGTGTAGCGGGTGCTATTGTGTTCCCCAGGTGCCCCTCAGGACTGAGGCACTCCATGCCGGAAGCTGACAGTTCTCAGCCAAATTCCTCTCTGGAGGTTGCTCTCTGGCTTGCCCAACCTATCCACTTCTTGTGGGCAGCCCCCATCCAATAACTGGTTGAGGAGGAGAGGAGTCTACAGGCCCTGACTTTGGCCTCAAGATGGGAGAACACCAAAGAGCCATTCCAGATCCAAAAATTCTTGAAGCTCAGCTTTCCATTGAAACCACCTTGCAGTTCAACTTCCTTTGCACAGTTTTGCTTTTCTCACCCCTTATAGATGTGACTGTTAAGAGTAATTCCTAACAAACCTTCTGCATACAAATTTCAGAGCTTTAGAGACTCTTTTTTTTTGGTAATCCCAACCTATGATAATTGGTACCAGAAATGGTCCTACAAAGCACAACCTAAATTTGGGTTTTGAAGATAGACCATCCATTGGCTTACTGGCAATGAAGACCACATCACTGGTCTAAGTGTACCCTGATAGTCCCAGTGCCAAATTGGGGAACAATTGTTGAGATTTTCAACAGTGGTAGACTGAGATTGGGTGCTGGTGGGAGAAAGCATATGGCAAGTGTGACATCTCAGGTGGTCATCTTGGGAGTCTGGGGGCTGGAGATAGTCATTATAAGGATGTTGGAACCAAGTGTCCATTCCTTGAGGCCATCAACACCTTGGAGAAAAACAATGACAGTCTGAAGATGAGAAATCACCAGTGTAAGGCGAAGTATGAAAGCCAGAGAATCTCCCTGGCTGCACATGGGAACTCTCATTTCTTTCAGTCAAAATGCAGAAAAGCAGAGGAGAAAGAGAGCTCCAGAGAAAGTTCGGTTTTCAGCATTTGTAGGTCTGCTCCATGCAGATGAGGGCTTTGATTGGGAAGGAGTGAGATACTGAGTTTGGAATAAGGGCTTGTATGGACATAAGTTTTTGTTTTTCTTGGGTAAATATGTGAAAGTGGAATTTCTGGGTCATATGGTAGGTTTAAGTTTAACTTTTTCAGAAACTGCCAAATTGTTTTCCAAAGTGGTTTTACTATTTTACATTCCTACTAGCAATGTATGACAGCGCCAATGGCTGTATATCCCTGCCAAACTTGTATTGTCAGTCTCCAATTTTAGCCATTTCAACTGCTCTGTAGCATCTCAATGTGGTTTTAATTTGCACTTCCCTATTGACTGAAAATACTGAGGGCTGTTTCATAGGCTTACTTACCATGTGTATTTCTTCTTTTGTGAAATATCTATCCAAATATTTTGTCCATTTTAAATTGGGTTGTCTTCTTGTTGAGTTGGAAGAGTTCTATGGATTCAAGTTCTTTGTCAGATGTATGACTGAAGAATATGTTCTCCCAGTCAGTAGCTTACCTCTTTTCATTTCCTAAAACTCCTATCTGTAGCAGAATTTCATTTTCTTGATGATGTGTCCCTTCTTTCACTCTTGTCCATTATCCACTCAGCAGCAAATTTTGTGGAGAGATCCTCAAACGATGTTCAGGATCCAGTCCCTTCTCACTGTTTCCGCCACTCTCCCTGAGCTTTCCCAAGTCTGCATCGCCTCTCCCTGGATCACTGCAATGGCCTCTTTATGGTCCTCCTTGCCTCCACTCTTGTCTCCTTGTAGCTACTGCCGATACAGCAGGCAGCCTGATCCTTGAAATGTAGACGATACGATGTCACTACATGCATCAAAACCCTGCATTGGTTCCCCATGTAATTGCAGTAAAACCCACAGATCTTACAAAAACCAACAAGGGCCTCCGTGGTCTGATGTCCCGTCCCATGCCTGACCTCATCTCTTTTTTGTTCAACTCTACTGCAGCCATACTGGACTCCTTGCTGTTTCTCCAATGTGCAAGGCACACTCCTGTCTTGCACACTTAAAAAAATTGAAATGTAACTTACACACATACATTTCACCCTCTTAAAGTATAATTCAGTGTTTTTTTTTTTACCGTATTCACAAGGGACTCCAACATCTACACTCATTCCAGAACATTTTCATCATTCCCAGAAGAAATCCCATCCCCATTGTCTCCTGCCTTTTTTTGTGTGTGTGGAAATTGCAAAGGAAACTTTATAGACAATGAAAATATAGTACTTTGATTGCTCAAAATGTATAATGTGCTAGAACTTGAAATTATGTAGTTTACTTGTTGACCATCTGGCTACAGTTCAGTTACTGCTTCAAAAGCTAAACTTAATAATCTTCCTAAGCTGCTTAAAATAAAGTTCTTAAATTATAGCAATAAAGAAAAGGAAACAATTAATATTGCAGTTTGTCAAAAAACTTGTATGAAATTTCAACTCTTATTCTTAAAAAGTTATAAAAATT
The DNA here is from genome assembly GCF_000001405.40 of Homo sapiens. Lineage (NCBI taxonomy): Eukaryota > Metazoa > Chordata > Mammalia > Primates > Hominidae > Homo > Homo sapiens. The sequence continues at coordinate 43,740,610 of NC_000010.11, forward strand.
GATGTTTTGGCTAAGTTATAAACATGCTTATAATGCAATTATTTGTGTAAGTCTAGTAATGCTTATGGTGGCTGTAAGATCAGAATAGATTCTTAAAAAACATAAAAAATAAAAATATTTATCCCCATTATTTATCTGTAGAATGTGCTTATATATGCCTAAATTTCAGCATTTACTATATCTTCATTGCTTTAATTTAAGAAGTCACATATGAAGAATAAGGCAAAAGCAGCTACAAGCTGGCATATTAGTTTATTTCTCAACTTGTAAAAATATTCTTAATTTGTTGATGTAGCAAACAAATTTCAACTCTGATTGCTTTGCAGAAAAACAACATAATCTTTACAATAAACTTTATGGTTGTTTTTTCTTTTTTTTTTTTTGAGATGGAGTCTGGCTCTGTCACCCAGGCTGGAGTGCATTGGCGCCATCTCTGCTCACTGCAACCTCCACCTCCTGGTTTCAAGTGATTCTCCTGCTTCAGCCTCCCAAGTAGCTGGGATTACAAGCATGTGCCACCACACCTGGCTAATTTTTGTATTATTAGTAGGGATGGAGTTTCAACATGTTGGCCAGGCTGGTCTCGAACTACTGACCTCAGGTGATTCGCCTGCCTTGGCCTCCCACAGTGCTGGGATTACAGACGTGAGCCACCGCGCCCGGTCTTGCAATGAACTTTATGGTTCAATTGCATACAGGCAACATGTTATATATGAAAAAATTACTAACTGAACTACAGGTATTAAATACTGAAAAAAGTTAGCAGTTTATTATGATTTGTTTTATTTAACAGTTTAGGAAATCATAGCCATCAGCTTTTCCAGTGGAATTCAGGAATCTCGGTGGAGCTGTTAGTGTAGCGAAACTTTATAGGTAAAATACACAAATATTTTTGATAGCACTGTTTTTTTTGCTCGTTAGTTGATGGAGTTTCTTCCTAGCCTTGATGGTCTTTACAATTTGGCATGTTTTTGCAGTGGCTGGTACTGGTTGTTCCTTTCCATGTTTAGTGCTTCCTTCAGGAGCTCTTGTAAGGCAGGCCTGGTGGTGACAAAATCTCTCAGCATTTGCTTGTCTGTAAAGTATTTTATTTCTCCTTCACTTATGAAGCTTAATTTGGCTGGATATGAGATTCTGGGTTGAAAATTCTTTTCTTTAAGAATGCTGAATGTTGGCCCCCACTCTCTTCTGGCTTGTAGAGTTTCTGCCAAGAGATCCGCTGTTAGTCTGATGGGCTTCCCTTTGTGGGTAACCCGATCTTTCTCTCTCTGGCTGCCCTTAACATTTTTTCCTTCATTTCAACTTTGGTGAACCTGACAATTATGTGTCTTGGAGTTGCTCTTCTCGAGCAGTATCTTTGTGGCGTTCTCTGTATTTCCTGAATTTGAAGGTTGGCCTGCCTTGCTAGATTGGGGAAGTTTTCCTGGATAGTATCCTGCAGAGTGTTCTCCAACTTGTTTCCATTCTCCCCGTCACTTTCAGGTACACCAATCAGACGTAGATTTGGTGATAGCACTGTTAAGGGATCTCTCTAAAATTAACTCACTGGTTTCATTCTCAAGCCATGTTGACTTGGGCCACTCAGCATGGCTTTTATCACGCCTGATGTTAATGCATGTTGTCTTTTTACAACAAATTCATGACCATCAGAAGATATCCATTTGACATATGTGGCATCAGGGCCTTAATAGCCACCATAGGTTTTCTCCTCTCCATCCATTATGTCCTTATGAAATTATACAGTTTTGGGAAAGTCTACCTCCAGACTTTTGCATTGCCTTTCCCCCACCTCGATTGCCCTCCATTCTTTCTTTGTCCATTTGTGTTGCTATAGAGAAGTACCTAAGCCTGGGTAATTTATAAAAAAAGAGGCTTATTTGGCTTATGGTTCTGCAGGCTGTACAGGAAATGCGGTGCCGTATCTGGTTGGCTTCTGGTGGGGGACTCAGGCTGCTTCCACTGATGGTGGGAGGTGAAGGGGAGAAGGCTGTGCAGAGGTCACATGGGGAGAGAGGAAGCAAGAGAGAGAGGGTAGTGCCTGGCTCTTCTTAATAGCCAGCTCTCATGTGAGAACTGACCCATTACCTCTAGGCCAGTGACAAGCCATTCACGAGGGATCCTCTCCCAAGACCCGAACACCTCTACCAGGCCCTGCCTTCAGCATCGGAATCAAATTTCGACATGAGGTTTGGAGGCGGGGCAAATATCCAAACTATAGCTCACTCCCTCACCTCCTTCAAGGCTTAACGCAAGTATCACTTTACCAAGGGGGCATTGTACCCCGACTACCCTGTTTAAAATCACTGTCTCCTCTACTTTTTCGTTTTTCCATTCTACTCATCATGTTCTAACATTCTGTGTATAGTTATTTATTCTCTTTATAATTTATTGCATTCTCTGGCAACAATGTAGGGACATTTGTGCTGTTCACTGGTGAAACCTAAGCACCTAGAACAGTGCCTGGCACACAGAACATGCTTATTAAACATTTACTGATGAGATGAACAAGCCAATGAAATCCTGAGTGAATGTCAACCACCTTTCTCGACATAAGTGTGACCGGGCACCCCAGGCCTCCCTTGAGGATAGTCCTAGCTGTTCTTTTTTCACCAAGCCCCAGATCTGACTTGAAGAGGCAATGCAGATATTTACTGAGGTTCTTGGGGGAGACGGAGGAGGAAGTGCTTACAACCAACATTGTCACCACATCTCTAATGGCCTCCTCTTTTCCTCAATTCTCCCCGTAGCAGCATACTCAGCTTTCCTATGTTTTTTCTTTTTTACAGAATCTCTCTCTCCTCCTTTTTTGCTGGCTCTCTGTGTCCTTCCTGACACTGCCCTTCATCTTGTACACCCATTCAGCAAGACAAAAAACTGGTCTGCTCAGCCAGACACCTGGTCACTTATTTCTTCCTAGACCAGGTCACTGATAGACAACAGGGGTATGTGGGGATTCTAGTACTCTGACATTTTGAGAATAGTCGACTCCACCCTCAAGTCCTTTCTACCTGGATGTGTGAGGCAGTTATTCCAGGTATCCACTGCTTGCCATTCTAAGCCTATGTCCTTAGCTCCTAAGAAGGTGTGAAATTCTTTCTTGTTTTGGAAAGCAAGGAAAGAATTAGAGAAGTCTCTTCTGATCCTTGTTCTTTGAAAAAAAGCACAAATGGGGTATTTCAAGAGGGAAGAATATGAGAGGCTGAGAAGCACATGGAACTGTAATGAGAGGCCTGCAGCTTCAAAGGTGAGTCTCTCCAGGAGGGGAAACCTGAGCCCCAGGCCTCGGGTTCCTTGCTGTCCAGGTTCTCATTCCTTCCATCTGCTTCACACTGCTTGGAGCGTGGTTTTGCTCACAGGCATGAGATGACCTGAAGACTGGGGTCTGTTTGCTGTGACTCTATGTTTTATCATTTGAATGGTTGCTTTAGCCTTCATAGTATACGTCCTTAGCTTATCATAGTTGATCTTTGAGTGTATTTATAGCACTTTATAGACGGTATTACAATCTCATGATAGTTATTCCCATTTTCCCCCTCCTGGCTTTTTGTGCTGTTGTCATACATTTTATGTCTACATATGTTGTAAATGACACAATTACATCATTATTATTTTTTAATAAGAATAAAACCTTATACAGTTACTCATGCAGTTAACAACTTCTGATACTCTTTATTCCTTTGCATAGATCCAGATTTCCATGCGGTCTCAATTTCCTTCTGCTGAGAAGTTTCCTTAACGTTTCTTTTAGTCCATGTTTGCTGGTGATGAATTCTTTTAGCTTTTTATTTCTGCAAACAGTCTTTATTTTTGAAACATATTTTTTGCTGGATATGGAACTCTACGCTGACATTTATGTCTTTAATCTGACTGTAATTTATATTTGTTTATGATAGTTAATAAAGTCCATTTTTGAAACTGTAAGTCTGATATTAAATTTCTAGGCACCCTGAAATAGATGGGATCCGGCGTTAACTAGGTCTTCTTTTGGTTTCAGCTCTACATAATGCTAATCTCCTTTTCTGATGCCTTTTTTCATTCAGTACTTTAAAAATGTTGCTTTATTTTTGCATTGTTTCAGACAAGAAATCTTCTGTCATCCTCATCTCTGTCTCTGTATGTAATATGTCTTTTTACTCTGGTTTAAGATTGTCTCTTTATCACTGTTTTTGAGCAACTTAATACTGAGATGTCTTGTAGTTTTCTTTAAGTTTCTTGGGCTTGGAGTTTGCTGAGTTTTTTTGATCTATGGGTTTATAGCTCTGATTGAATTTGGAAATTTTCAGCCATATTTCTTCAAATATTTTTTCTGTTCCACACCCTCTATTCATTTCAATTTTTGATTATTTTCTTTCTCTTGGTGTCTTATTTTGGATAGTTTCTCTTTCTTTAAGATCCCTAATATTTTCATCTGCAATGTCTAATCTGTTGTTAATCCCATCCAATATATTTTTCATTGTAACATCTCACACATTATAGTTTTTATCTCTAGAAGTTCAATTTGCCTCTTTTACAGATTCCATGTAGCTAACTTTTGCAAATACATAATGCAGTTATAATAACTGTTTTAGTGTCCTTGTTTGCTTATTTGAACATCTGTATCAGTTCTGGGCCAGTGTTGATTGGTTGATTTTTCTTCTCACTGTGTTTTCTGCTTCTTTGTTGCCTCAGCTTAGGAGTCCTGTATTCTCCTGCTATCCCTCTCCCTGCCCCATGGCTGGAGAGGTCTCCAGTAAGCTGGGGCAATCAGATGGGTCACCTCATTTGTGCCCATCTCTTGGGGATCACCGTCCTCCATTGCTTGTTGGCCAGTGTCTTAAAAACTATTTTTTCATATATTTTATTTATTATTTTTGTGGGTTCAGACAAGAGGGTAAATCAAGACCCGGTTACTCCCTCTTGGTCAGAAACGGAATCCACTTGCAACATGTAGATAATAGTAATTCTTTGATAGGGGTCAAATGTGCTAATAATTGTGAAGGGTGTAGTCTAGAACTTGGCAGAGAGTAAGTACTCAGTTAACATTAGATATTGCCACCACTGACAATGCTGTTACTACTGTTGCTGCCATTGCTGTTAGTAATTATCTCAAATGGATGAAATATGTTAATTCAAGTGCCTAGCCATGATCTGGTGGTTAGTAAGTCCTCTGTTAATATTCCTCCTTCTATTGCTGTGGGTGCCATGCTATTCCTACTATAACTGTTATTATTATTACAGTCAGACTAACAACCCTGGCCTCAGAGAGACTCACCGGCATGTAATAGAACCTGACAGATCTCTTCCCAGAGGTTATAACTAAGGGTGTTTCTGAGATGTGGAGTGAACATGAAACCTCTATTCCAAGCCTAGGTGGACAGATCCAGGTGAAACTTGCAGGGGATTCTTGCTTTGGTCTGGGAGATGTGTTTTTCCTAGAAGTTATAAAACAGCATTAAGAAATTTAGCTTCTCTGTTATATAGTCTCCTCAACACAAGCTATGCCTCCCTTGTGTCTCCCAGTTATCTCATTGTAATCTCCTAGATTTGAGAGGTGGGGGCAGGAAAGGGAGCTAGCGCCTGTTGAGGGCCTGCCATGCACCAGACGCTCCCTCTGATGCTGGAATGGCCATGTCCCTTAATTTCTGAGTCTTAATTTCATCAAGTATAAAATGGAGATAATTGTGCCAATCATACAGTGTTATTATGAGAATGAATTTAAACACGTATAAAGTGCTGCGGGTAGCGTTTGGCATTGTCTGTATTTGATACATTTTATCCATCATTATTATCTTCACAAAAATCCTACATTGTAGCTGGCGTTATTGTTCCCACTTACATAAGACACCTGATGGAGCCAATATCAGTCCCACAGGGAATGACAAGTCCATCCCTAAATGCCATTTGCTCATTCATTTTTGGAAATATACCGAGGCTCTCCCATATCGTAAGCCTGGGGTGCACAGGTTTCTCCCAGAGCACAAAGTGCAGACAGGCAGGTTAATTTACAAGTGTAGGCCAGGCGCGGTGGCTCTTGCCTGTAATCCCAGCACTTTGGGGGGCCGAGGTGGGCGGATCATGACGTCAGGAGTTCAAGACCAGCCTGGCCAAAAAGACCAGCCTGGCCAACATGGTGAAACCCAGTCTCTACTAAAAATACAAAAATTAGCTGGGCAGGGTGGTGGGCACCTGTAATCCCAGCTACTTGGGAGGCTGAGGCAGGAGAATTGCTTGAACCCGGGAGGTGGAGGTTGCAGTCAGCCAAGATCGTGCCACTGCACTCCAGCCTGTGTGACAGAGCGAGACTCTGACTCAAAAAAAAAAAAAAATTTGCAAGTGTAATAAAATATCATGGGAACACTGGTAAAAGCTTGTGTAGAAGGGACTGACTTTAAATGATTTTAGGAGAGGGAAGGTTGTAAGTAATCTTCACTTGGACAAATTTTTGAGCTGTGTTAGCGTTCATCTAATGGCAGGTGTGGGGAAGTGCATTCTGAGCAGAGAGAATGCTGAGTCAAGGCCAAGAAGCATAATGTTGCCAGCTGACCCATATGTGTGAACTGTAAAATACCACAGGGTTTGATGAGAACATGGTCTGTAGCAGGAGATTCTTGATGCTAAGAAAGAAGGTGGATTTTTATCTTGCAGGCCAAGGGAAGCCACTGAAGGATTTTAAACTGGAAAGTACTTACAACAGTTGCACAGCATTTTTTTTAAGCTAAAAGATTGTAAATTACCATATTCCTATGGTCACAAACCAAATAGTACATATTTAGGTGTTAGGGACTGATTGCTCGGTGCAAGTCTTTACACTGCTGTCTCTGCAGGTGGGATCTCACACTGATGTCTCTGTAGGTGGGATCTCACAATGTTGTCCAGGTCTTCACACTGCTGTCTCTGCAGGTGGGATCTCACACTGTTGTCTCTGCAAGTGGGATCTCACACTGCTGTCCAGCTCTTCACACTGCTGTCTCTGCAGGTAGGATCTCACACTATTGTCCAGGACTTCACACTGCTGTCTCTGCAGGTGGGATTCTTTCCTGAGAGGATGGCTGGCTGGAGGCCCCAGTTTGTGTTAAGGGATTGTCAGTGGGCAAATGTCACTTCAGTGTGTGAAGGCAGGAAGTCAGTGTCTGGGTATAGACTCCCTAAAGCCTGGAATGAGTAACTGTTGCATCTGCAGAGGTCCTGAGCTTAGTGTCTCTTAATAAACATCCTGGTCAACTCTTGTGGAAAGCTCCAAAGTGCAAGGCTTTGCTGAGGGTTGTACAACAAGGTGAGTTTTTCTCCACTCTGATTTATCTGTTAATTTGTTCTCATTCACTTTTGACTCTAAAAACTGTTGAAATGTCCTTTTCACTAATGGCCTTTCTCTTCATTGTTATAGGTTCTTACTGTTTTTATACCTCTTATACCTTCCTATAGATTTCAATTTCATGCTCTTGAACTAGAATCCTGATTTTGCTTTTTAAAAAGGTTCCTGTTGTCTGTAGTGGGGATAATTGGAGGGGTGTGGCCTGGATGTAGGGAGACCTACCCAGAGAGTATTGATCTCGTGGTCCAGCTGACATGGTGGGGGGCTGAATTGAGGGGAGCAGTGAGCCCAGAAGGCAGGAAGGACCCAGAGAAGCCCACAGGTAGCATCACAGGTGAGGGAAGGGAGGCACAGGAGGGCTGGAGGGTGAGATGCCTGCCAGGTCTTAGACACGACTGGCTTGATTTGCAGCAAAGCACAAGGAGAAATGAGTTGGGAGCAGAATGCAGAAGACCAACTTGGGCAACTCAAATCTCTAGTGTCACTGAGACATCTTGGTTGTTATGTGTGTAGATGGGGTTCTTGGGAGACATGTGCAGAAGAAAATATGGATTTATGAGTCATTAGTGTAGGACTTGATGACATGGTGTGCTATTTTGGGGGTCCCAGAGGCCATCCTCAGCCTCAGCGATTCACTAGAAGGACTCACAGAACTCAGAAAAGCTGTGAAGCGGGTGGTTATGGTTTATTACAGTGAAAGGAGGAGGGGAGGCTGGGAGTCAGCTTCCAGTTGCCCTCTCTCAGTGGGTCTGCACAGAAGCACTTACTTCTCCCCGCAATGACGAGTGACAACACATGGAGGACCGGCAGCCAGGCAGTCTCAGCCCTGGTTTCTAGGGGTTTCACTGCAAGTTGGTCACCTAAGCATGGGGTGCCCAAGCGACCGACCTTAGCTGCTTAGTCTCCAGCCCCTGTGGAGGTCAACTTCACACCACATGGCCTGGGACCAACTCCCCTCCCGCTTGACTAAATCACATTGTCACCATAAAGTATGTGGCATGGCCCAAGGCCCCAGGAAAAGACAGTTTTCTCAGGCAGGACACTCTAAGGCCAGGGGTTAGAGGTTTACTCCTGGAGTCAGGCAAAAGCCAGACCTTTCTTGGAATTTAAGATGTGGGATGGGATGAAGTCCCTAGGATGGGTACAGAGGATGGAAAGTGAGGAGAGCCGCAGACAGTGCTCTATAGAGCACCCCAACTTCCCAGGGAGAGTCAGAGAAAGGAAGAATGTCAGAGGCGGGAGGACAGCTTAGAAGGTGCCCCGGAGCCAAGGGCGCAGGGCAGTCAAGGGAACCACACCACACGTGACAGAGAATTCACGCAGGAGGCTGTCTGGAAAAGGTCCATGGGCTTAGCCATTTGGGTGAGAGCCATTTTAACAGAATGTTTCCACTGGAGTGGCTGGGGGCTGGACACCTGACAGTGGTTGGCTGGAAATGTTGGGAGGTGGGGATGGGAACACAGGCGAATGTTGTGAGCTGCTTGGCTGTGAAGGGAAGGAGAGCGACAGGGTGGCAGCTGGCAGGGAACAGCAGGTGGAGAAACGTGTTTTCCTAACCATGGGAAACGGGAAGACGTGACTAAGTGTAGAGGTTGTGGGCAAGAGGCTGGAAATACGAACCAGAGTGAGAGAAAGAGGGAGGGAGAGATGACCTGGAAACTCGGGACGGAGAGCGTGCTGGAGGACGGAGGAGGCTGTAGGATCTGGAGAGCCACTCTAGGGAAAAGAACGGGAACTGACCAGGGAGATAGGAACTGCTGAGGACAGCCGAGGTGCTTAGCACATGAACCAACGCGGAACATCGTAGAGCTTAGGCTGGAAAGTGGACTTCAGAGTTGAGTGTCATAGGCTGGGTGTGTGGGAATGAGGATGGGAGGGTTGTGAGAATAGCGGATCGTGATAAAGGAACAGAGCGTGCAATTTTGGAGATTATGTTTGATGACAAAGTCTGTGGTGTGGCCCAGGGACTGGACAGGTGAAGTGCAGTAGGGTCTAGGGGCTAAGAACTGTTGAAAGTCAGGGTCAGAATTTGATCACCCACAGGACCAACTCTTGTTTGGACATCAGGTAATGTTTAATCTGACTGAGAGGTAGGCATTGGACTAGAAGTTCCACTGGATTGGTGTTCTGGAAGCTCACGGTAATGCCTTCTTTCATGTACAAGGTAGCAATGAAGATGACTTAAGCCGTAGGTAGCAGAAAGCCTGAAACAAACTGGCTGAAGCAATGTGGAAATGTGAGAAGTCAGCCACAGAGCCAGCTGATCACAGGGCTCCAGGTCTGTTTCTCAGCTGTTCTCCAGGCTTGGCTGTCCTCTGTTATGTGGGCTTAATTCTTTAAAAAACTTTTAATTAAAAAAAATCGTGGTAAAATACACATCACATAAAATGACCATCTTAACCATTTTAAGGGTACAGTTTAATGATGTTAAGGACATTCCTATTGTTGTGCAATCATTACTATCATCCTTCTCCAGAACTCTTATCTTATAAAACTGAAATTCTATACCAATTACACAAATAACTGCGATTCCCCTCCTCCCAGCCCTGACAACCACCATTCTACTTTCTGTCTCTCTAAATTGACTACTCTAGGAACCTCATATAAGTGGAATAACATGGTATTTGTCTTTTTGTGCCTGGCTTATGTCACTTGGCCTAATGTTCTCAAGGTTCATCCATGTTGTAGGATGTGTCAGAATTCTCTTCTTTTTTCAGGCTGAATAATTTTCCGTGGTATAGACAGACCACACTGGAAAAAAATCTATTCACCCGTCAGTGGACGTTTAGTTGCTCCTATCTTTGGGCAATTGTGAAGAAGGCTGTTGTGAACATGGGTGTACAAATCTCTTTGAGTCCCTGCTTTCATTTCTTTTGGGTGGGTACCCAGAAGTGGAATTGTTGGGTTTCATAGAATTCTATGTATAATATTTTGAGGGATTACTGGGCCATTTTCCATAGCTACCATCCCATTTTACGTTCCCACCAACTGTGGGCTTAATTCTAAAGCTGCTTCTCCCCTGGTGGCAAATGTTCAGGGCTTTACCCCCCATGCTATGACCTCAGAGGGAGGACAAAAACTGTCTGGGATCTGGCAGTAGTGATGAGACCTAGCCTGCTTGGTGGACTCAGGGCACAGGGCTAACCCTAAACCAATGACTATGGCAAAGGACTGGTGGGCTTTAGACAACCCACCCCCACCCCACCCCCCACACCTTGGAACTGGGGCTGTGGTCAACACCCTCATAAGTGTGTTTGCTGCGTGGATAGTGCTGGGGGCAGATTCCAGGACTATCCACTCAGCAAACACACAGATTCCAGTAACAGAACATGGCTGCTGGGATCACCAACTGTGTCCCAAACTCAGAGTGCTGGGACACAGATTTTTTCTTTGAATAGTTACATGAAGTTATAATTGGCATACAACAAACTGCACATGGTTAAAGGGTACAGTTTGCTAAGTTTTGGTCTGTGTGTACCTGAGACACCAATATGATTGACCATCAGTTTAAAGTATTATTGATATGTTTCCTGAAAAATGATCATGTAATTATCCGCTGCATTCCAATATTGTTTTAGGATGTATCACTTGGTTTTCTCTGATTCTTACCACAATACTCTGGAAACACCTGATCATCGTTTTGCATATTCGGATGCCGCAGTGCAGGAGCAGCATCTCCGGATCGGTGAAGCGGTCCTGGGAAGGATGTCTCCTCGTGGTGGAACAATCAAAGTGTACGGAAAGACAGTTTTTCTCTAAAAAACTAAATGGCTTACTAGGGACCAAATCCAGAGTCTTGACCCACTTAACTGGATCCCTTGGCTGATCCTGAGTGGGCCACAGGCTGGACCCAGAACATGTGTCTTCAGGCCCTCCAGGCCTCTAGCAGGGCACTTATGTTCACACACCAGGGCTCAAGCCTGAAGGCCAATAGAGGCCAGGGCTGATGGAGTGGAGCCTGCGGCCAGCATTGGGCCTGCCCTGCCAGCCACGGGTGCCTCCTTCTTGCTGGCCGGCTGGCTGGGTATTCTGTGCACGGACTGCAGTTTGGTGGAAGAAAGGCGATTCCTTTACTTGTGTGGCAGGGTTCCAGAGAAGATGTGCATTTATAACTGGGACTCTGACAGCCTTGGGTTAGTCCCTGGTGGGCCACTGAACCGGACCTATTCATTTCAGGCCTGAGGTCACAGATGGGAAGGCCATTTATTACAAAGTAAACCTAAGTGAAAGTTCAAATCTATCAGTGCTTCTTAATCCTAACTGGACGTTCAGATAACCTGGGAGGTAGACACAGATACCTGAGTCTCCCCCTTTCTCCCCAGATTCTGGTTTAATTGGTCTGGGTGAGGCCCAGGTGTCAGCATACTATCAAAGATTTCGGGTGAGTCCATCATGCTCCTGGCTTTGAGTGAGGACCACTGACCTGAAGGGTTACTTCAGGTAAAAAGCCATTTTCATTTACATACATATTGCAAGACCATTCTTCTGACACCTGAATTCTTTCTATTTTTTCACATTACTTTTGTCTTCTGCTTAAGTGGAGCACGGACACTTCTCTGACATTTGAATGGTGACACAACGACTCAGGATTTTTAGGAAAAGGCTGTCTTGTTGTGAACACATGGTTTTCTTTCATTAACTTTGCAATGAAAGGGGTGACTCTCGCCAGACTTTAAGACATGTCTTCACAGTTTGTCATCTACAATGGGAGAAGACACTTTGGCTGTGTTCCTCCAGTTTCAGAGAAAATAACTGTGCCTCACAAGTTCGTCTACTAACTTCCAGCCTCTGGCAATAAAGTCACAATCTCTTTCTAGAGGCCCAGGCTGGGTGCTGCAGGCCACCTTCCCACAGTCACTTGGATGATTTAAGGTCACATTAGGAAAGAGATGGCAGATGCCAGTTCCCAGGTCCACGATCAAACAAAGACTCAAAGGAAAAGACTTTGGAAACAAATAAGCCTGGCTCTTCCAAAAGCCACACTTCAGCAGGTTATGGGCAGGCTCTATTGAAGGTTTCACTGCAGTCATTACTGGCTCCTGTGAAAAGGTCAAGGCCCTAATTCAGATGCTGGAGCCACTTCCCCAGCCTTGCAAAGGGAACATGGAATGCAAATATGGAATAAAGAGTAGGTTCTGCTTAGGACCTGGCCACTCAACTACCCCAGGGACTGTGGTTACCAGATAGTACCCTCCTGCCTGCTTCAGAGGTCTCCCCAGCCTGGGCATGGTGCACCCGACAGTCATCTCCAGAGAGCTGTCTCTACTGTGCTGCATACATTGCGGTCCCTCTCTGTACACCCGAATTGGGCAGGCAGGCCTTCCCTTTTCTTCTTTCCCTTTGAGAATGAAGTGTCCGTGGGAACACTGGGACGTTCAAGCCTCCCATCAGCATCTCTTCCTGCCTGTGTGAGGGCATCTGCCAGGTTAGTCTGAGAGGCCAGGACAGACCCTGCCTCCCAAGGTCTCCTTGGTTCCATGTTCCCGGCAGCAACTCCAAATGGTGGCTGACCAGTGGCAGGCCCTAAACAGTCCTGTGTGAGGGCTGGCACTCTGAGTATGACTGTGTGAGCCTCCTCAGCCGGGCCCTGGGCCCCAGAGGGGGGACTCACCTTCCACATGGGGCCCGGGATGCTTTGACCTCCACACTGCCGGCCCAGCCTCCTGGGCTTTGTGTGGCTCCGGGCGGGCGGGCCTTTCTCCACCAGGGCCTCCTGGGGCAGCAGAGAAAGCACCCCAGTCCCGTTTCCCACCCTCTAACAGCGGGGGCTTGGACTTCCCTGGGTGTCCCAGGCCCTTCTTGTTGCAGCAGGAGGATCCTGTGCGTTTGATCTAAATCTGGTCTCCCGCTGGAGAGGCCCAAACAATCTCGGTCAAAACAGTATTAACAGGAAACCTGTCTCTCAGGGCCAAGAATGCAACCAAAATAGCTCCAAGTCTTCAATTCCGATAGCAGCACCGTTTGGGAAGGCTTTACCTGAGAGAGACAATAAGTGGAACTCTGTCCCCAAATATCCCGCCCTGCCTCTGCAGCCTCCATGGGGCCTGGCGGAACACAGGGAGTGTGGGGCTGCTGGGCGCCAGGCTCCCCAGGTGGGTGGGTGGTGAGCCCTGACTGTCCTCCGAGGGTGGAGATGGGGATTCCGGCTCCAATCCCACTGTGCAACTCGAGTGTGCCACAATCAAAAGGCTTGTTTTGACTGAATTAACTGAGCAGGTTTTTTTTTTTTTTTTGAGATGGAGTCTTGCTATGCCACCAGGCTGGAGTGCAGTGGCACGAGCTTGGATCACTGCAACCCCTGCCTCCTGGATTCAAGCGATTCTCCTGCCTCAGCCTCCGGAGTAGCTGGGATTACAGGCGCCCATCACCATGCCTGACTAATTTTTTTTGGATTTTTAGTAGAGATGGGGTTTCACTATGTTGGCCAAGTTGGTCTTGAACTCCTGACCTCAGGTGATCGGCCCACCTCAGCCTCCCAAAGTGCTGGGATTACAGGCGTGAGCCACTGTGCCTGGCCCAGGTATTTTGTTTGGTGGAGATAATTGAGAATTTTAGAAGGAAAACAATCCTTGTTTTAAAGCATCTAATTTCGCTGTGAAATATTTACAAACTCAAAAAATACTACAAGGAAGAAGATACAAGTCACCCATAAGCTTACAGTACAGACAGAACACAGCTCACGCCTGTGGGAACGCTCAATATTTCTTCTATTTATGTGCACGCATCTACATAGACACCAGACATACAGCACACTTTTTAATGGGTTTGGGTATCTCTTGCTTCACTATTTTCCTCTCCCTCCAGGCAGCCCTTGCTGCCAGCTTCCAGAGGTGTCCGCTACCTCGGCAGCACATCTGCATTTGTTCAGAGGAGCTTTCATATGCAAGTGGTAGCACAACAAGGTACTTTTGTGGCCCTTCCTTTCCTTTTGAACTTGACCCTGTACCTTGCAGAACCTTCCAAATCGTACAGGCCTCCTTCTTTACGAACTTGTATAATATTCTACTGTATGATCACACCATAATTTATTCAGTCCCCTATTGTGAACATTTAGATTGTTTTGAGACTTATTTAAAAAAATACTCAGTTTCTCACTTTGTAGAAGTGGTGTCCTTGAGTCAAACACTTCTGGTGCTGAGTGCTTTGCCAGCCTGCTCTCCCCTGAGCTTGTAAACCTGCACTCCCACTTGCAATAATAGCTAGGAGAGTGTTGATCTCTCCGCACCATCACTCACACAGTTTGCCATCACAGCTTTTGAATTTTGCCAACTTGTTAAGTGAAAAATACCACTGCCTTTCTTTTAAGAGTGAGATTGAAATCTGTTCCCATATTTGAAAGCATCTGCACTTTTGCTTCTCTGAACCGTCCATGCGGTTTTGCTCACTTTTCTACTGGTTGTTGGTATCTCTCTTTTTCTTCTCTCTTTTTGATAGCACAGTTTTTATTTTTTGGCCACTACTCCTTTACTACTTCTTAGCCCAGGAAGAATAGAAGCCGCCCACAATACAGTTTCTTTTTCTTCTTTTAAATCTCCTACCTCACAGACTGTCTGCTTCCTGAAAACATGGCTTACCCATGGTTCCTCACTCAGTCTGTTTACTGATGCTTTCCCTGCCAAGTGACCAAACTAGGTCCAGAGTAGCTCTAACCACCAACCCATGTACCCAGCTCCCAGAGGGTAATTTTATTCTGCAGAGAAACTTCTAGCAATGTACCACACAAGCTGGAAGAAGCAGCATGCCAGGTGGTAAAGAAAATATTTGGTTATTTTGGCTGGAAATTCTTGTCCTGTATAAAATTGTCCGTGGTAGTTGGTGGAGGGAAAAAAGCTTTCAGAGTCTAATATTACTGATTCAGTTTCCTCACAGTTGTTCTGGCAAAGTCTATGTAATTGCAAAAATGATTTGCTTTACTTAGAGTTTTGCTCCTCATTATTCTGAGATGTGAAGTTCTAAAGAGACCGAGGTCTCTATCGGGAAAGGTTTCCTCACCATCAGTCTGAATGTGGTGTGTCATCTGAACTTCTGCCTGTGATTTTTAAATCCTTTTAAGTTTTTTTCTAAGTATTGGCCTTTTAGTTCCATCTTTTAAGAAATAACCACAGGGAAAGGACTGTAACTAGCACAGCGGACAAACATAGACACCATTTTGCAGAAATGATCAGACTTTTTCCACTCTGTCCTCCCCAACCTGGTCCCTGCCCAGTGACAGTGAGATACACGCTGTGTCTTTCTTTCTTCTCTTCTCATCTGTGCAATTCCTGTATTCAGAGGCATCAGGATGTAGAGTGTTAGGCAGCAGGCTCTCCCCCTCACTCCTCATTTTCATGGATTTTATTTGTGTTGAAGGCAGAGGCTCCCTTGCCACTGAACTGCTGACTGCATGGTTTGGATGCTCAGCCTGTGGCCTGTCGAAGGAGGATGCCACCAGGGTGGTCTGTCACTTCTGAGCCATGAGGAATGTTCAGACCTAATTGTTCTTAGTTCGAAATTCTACTGTTTGGAAAATGATTTTCTTTCTTTTTCCCCTATAAACACTAATAAAGGATTCATCATGTTATAATATTTGCTAGATAATCTTTGCTACATAGACTACATTTTTCTTTTTCTTTTCCAAGGGAGAAATATTATCTCGGACGGCAGGCAATCTGCCAGTGTTTGTGATTCTTGAATTCTGAATGTATCTAGAACATTGCTATCTTGATATCTGCTGGCATTGGGGAGTAACAGTAGTAATAAACATAATGAAAAGAGTAATAGCAATTGTGCAGCACTTCATATGTGCCAGACACTCTTCAAAGCACTTGATTTTTCTTTTTTTTTTTTTTTTAAATTATACTTTAAGTTCTAGGGTACAAGGGCACAACGTGCAGGTTTGATACATAGGTATACATGTGCCATGTTGGTTTGCTGCACCCATCAACTCGTCATTTACATTAGGTATTTGTCCTAATGCTATCCCTCCCCCAGCCCCCCAACCCCCGACAGGCAGTGTGTGATGTTCCCCACCCTGGGTCCAAGTGTTTTCATTGTTCAATTCCCACCTATCAGTGAGAACATGCGGTGTTTGGTTTTCTGTCTTTGTGATAGTTTTTTGAGACTGATGGTTTCCAGCTTCATCCATGTCCCTGCAAAGGACATCAACTCATCCTTTTTTATGGTTGCACAGTATTCCATGGTGTATATGTGCTACATTTTCTTATACCAGTCTATCATTGATGGACATTTGGGTTGGTTCCAAGTCTTTGCTATTGCAAACAACTTGATTTTTATTAATTCATTTAATCCTCACAAAAAATGGGAGGAACACTAGCTACCTTTGTTTTACAAGAGGAGGCCTTGGCACAGGAAGGTTAAAAGCCTTGTCTGAGGTACCTAGCCACGAGTAGAGCAAGACTGGAATTGCAGAACACTGCACACATTACGCAATGAGAGAATTTGTTGGACCAGGAAGTTGAGCTAAGAAATTCACCAGCCGGCCGGGTGCAGTGGCTCATGCCTGTAATCCCAGCACTTTGGGAGGCTGAGGCTGGTGGATCACTTGAGGTCAGGAGTTCGAGACCTGCCTGGCCAACATAGTGAAACCACGTGTCTACTAAAAGTGTAAAAATTAGCTGGGCGTGGTGATAAGCGCCCATAATCCCAGCTACTTGGGAGGCCGAGGCAGGAGAGTCACTTGAACCCGGGAGGTGGAGGTTACAGTAAGCCGAGATTGTGCCACTGCACTCTAGTCTGGGTGACAGAAGAAGACTCTGTCTCCAAAAAAACAAAAAAAAAAAAAAAAGAAAAAAAGAAAAAAAGAAAAGAAAAAAAAAAAAAGAAATTCATCAGCCAACAATGATCATTGAATGAGCATCATAGCTGAGATTGGTTCTAAGACCCCTGAAAGTATTGTGGGTGATTTGGAGCCAACCCATAACTGGGTCTAGGGATATTGGAAGCTTTTATTTTCAGAAGCTTAACTTTTATTTCCCTTTTTCATCCGGACAAGTTTTAAACGGTATTCCTTGGGGGAATTTATAATGAATGGAATTTGGAAGATGTTATTAGTAATAATAAATTTACATCCTGGTCGGGCAGGGTGGCTCACGCCTGTAATCCCAGCACTTTGGGAGGCCAAGGCGGGTGGATCACTTCAGGTCAGGAGTTCAAGACCAGCCTGGTCAACATGGCAAAACCCCATCTCTACTAAAAATACAAAAATTAGTCAGGCATGGTGGCCGGCGCCTGTAATCCAAGCTACTCAGGTGGTTGAAGCAGGAAAATCACTTAAACCCAGGAGGCAGAGGTTTCAGTGAGCCGAGATAGTGCCACTGCACTCCAGCCTGGGCAACAAAGAGAGACCACACCTTCAAAAAAAAAATTACATCCCATTAGGATTATTTAGAAAGCACAAAATTATATACCCTTCTTTCCAAGTGAGAGCCCTCCCTGTGTAATTGGAACTACAACCACGGTAAGACTGTGTGCGTGGTCACGCTTGCCCTGGTGCTATCTAGGGCACACTGGATATCTTAGACATGGTTTTTTCCTCACAGTCTCTAAACATCGACCCTGGTTAAAGACATAAGACACGTTAGTTACATGGTATAATCCTGTTACAGATTTTCAGGATGAGTTTTCCTCTAAAATTTCTATACTCCAAATCTTCAAGAGGCAAATGAAAGACGTTCGAAGGGCCTGAGCCTACCAGGTGACACATAATATGGATTGATGTGCTCAATTCATTTTTAATCTGCGGTCGATATACAGTCCTCTGTGCAGAATGGAGAAACCTGAAAACTGTATTTTCCAGTTGTCATTGTGCCTGGGATTCCACGTGGGCTGGATGGCCCAGCAATGAGATGCACCCACTGGAGAATTAAACTTGGAGCTCGGTGGAGAGAGCTGCACAGCATGGGGAGCCATTTTCTGATGTGGATTCTGTGGGGAACTGTGTTTTGGAACCAGCAGTTCTTCACAGTCAACAGTTTTCTAAAGTCACTACCAGTCAGTCTTCTCTTTGTACTGTTATGTTACCAACCAGGTAGATAATCAGGCTTATTCATTTCAGATTGTTTTGGGAATTGTTTTGGAAACTGAATTCAGATGAATTTAGAAATGCGTTTCATTATTTATTGTATGTAAAACATTTTGTTTTTAAAGTCAAAACTCTAGGTGGTATCTAAGAAGTCTTTCATTCCTATCCTCACTACCTTGTTTCTCCTTCCCTCTTTATGTAACCACTTTAAAAAATTAGTTTTTGGTTTGTTTTTCGAGTATTTCTTTTTGCCAATATAAGGAGATACATTTATATGTGTGTTTCTATGATTTCTTACCCAAAAGGGCTACATTGTATTTCCCATCATGCCCCTAGTTCTTTTCCCTGCAACAGTGTCTCTTCCAGAGTTTCAGGTCAGAATTTGGAGCGAAGAGCTTGTTGTATTCTCTTGTCTGTTGCCCTGGCTACCACTCCAACACAGCGCCCTCATGGGGAACCCGTTTCCCATTTGGTAATGGGCCAGAATTGGTTCCTCCCGGTGGGATCTTGGTATGGCTGACTTCAAGAATGAAGGCCCCAACCCTCGCAGTGATTGTTACAGTTCTTAAAGATGGTGTATCCTGACTCTGTTCCTTCTGTTCAGATGTGTGCTGAGTTTCTCCCTTCTGGACCCTCCTAGGGAGTGTTAGTTCTTAAAAATGGTGTGTCCAGAGTTTGTTCCTTCTGATGTTCAGATATGTCCACAGTTTCTTCCTTCTGGTGGGATCGTGGTCTTGCTGACTTCAGGAGTTAAGCCACAGACCTTCGCAGTGAGTGTTACAGCTCTTAAAGGTGGCCCCTCTGGAGTTGTTTGTTCCTCCCGGTGGGTTTCTGGTCTCGCTGACTTCGTGAGTGAAGCTGCAGACCTTCGCAATCAGCCTTACAGCTCATAAAGGTAGTGCAGACCCAAAAAGTAAGCAGTAGCAAGATTTAGTGCGAAGAGCAAAAGAACAAAGCTTTCACAAACTGGAAGGTGACTCTAGCGAATTGCCAGTGCTGGCCCAGGTGGCCTGCTTTTATTCCCTTATTTAGCCCCATGCACAGCCTGCTGATTGGTCCATTTTACAGAGAGCTGATTGGTCCATTTTACAGAGAGCTGATTGGTCCATTTTACAGAGTGCCGATTGGTCTGTTTTTACAGAGTGCTGAGTGGTGCGTTTACAAACCTTTAGCTAGACACAGTGCTGATTGGTGTGTTTACAATCCTTTAGCTAGACAGAAAAGTTCTCCAAGTCCCCACCTGACCCAGAAGCCCAGCCGGATTCACCTCTCAGTAAGATGCTGGTTTTAGGGTGGAGTTGTTTATCTAAGAAATCATGTCAGGGAAGTATCCAACAATTCTTTCTTAACTGAATATTTTTAAATACCAGCAATGGGTGTCAGATTTAGTTAAGTGGAGGCAGAAACCATGCCTATTTTTAAATGAAAATAATTTAACATAAAGAACTGTTCACTAAATGACAAGAAGGGACTGCTAAGACATCTGAGAGGTTGTGGGTGGGGGACAAAGGGGAGAGGAGGGGCCACATGGAACTCAGCCCTCTGCAAATCCCCCCACTCCCTGAGCTCAGGCTGGGTCCTGAGGCCTGACGGGCTCCTGGAGCCAGACCCAGACGTCTGATGGAGGCAGCGGCTGGCTGGAGGAGCAAGTGCAAACAGCAAACTGGACTCAAGTGCTGCTCCTGGAACACACCACCACATTTGAGGTGAAGAAGTGAGGATGGGATGATACTGGCTGAAGAGGGAGCAAACAGGAAGAGTGATGCCCCCAGCCTGGCCGCCTCCCTTCTGCCCGTCTACTGCAGGGCCTAGCAGGCACAGCCAGCGGAGCTGGGATGCGGTTTGCAGGGTACCAGCCCCAGCATTGCAGAGCGAAGTGAGGAGCGCAGGCTGGAAGCTCAGGGACGACAGCCTGATAACTGGCACAGCACGTGTGAAACAACATGACTTTTCTTCTTGAAGATATAGATACCATGAGTCAAACACTAATGTGATTAGGCTTTCGAAAATCGCTTTCTTTTCTGGAACGAATCCCACCTGGTCATGACAATTGTTTTGTACATATACTGTTTGCTCACACTTTTAAGATTTTTATGTCAGTATTTATAAGTGAATTTGGTTTATAATTTTCTTTTTAGGGCAATATTTAGTTAGATATTGATATCAATGTTAGGTTTGTTTTGTAAAAAAGAATTTGGAAGTTGTAATTCTTTCCCTTGTGAAACCATCAGGGCCGGGTGTATTATTTGGTGAGAAGTCTTGCAATTTTCGCCATAGCTTCTATAGTAATTGAGCTCTTCAGATTTTTTATCTCTAAAGATTCAAACTTGATACATTATATTTTCCTAAATATTATTTATTTCATTTAGGTTGTCAAATTTATTTACATTAAGTTAGCAAAGTATTATCTTAAAATATTAAAAAGTCCTCTATTTCAATGTTTTCCCACTTTGTCTCATTCTATTTGTATAATTCTGCTTTTTTTTTTTTTTGCTAGTGTTTTCTGTTCTTTGTGGATTTTTTTCCAAAGCAATAGCTTTTTGATCATTTATCAGTTTTACTGTTTTTTAGTTTTCTAACTCAGTGTCTACTCTTTATTCTGATTTATTCTGTTTTTTTTTAACATTAGTTTCTTTCCTTTTTTTGATATAGATATTTAATACTATGATTTTTTTCTCTGAGCACAGCTGACCTATGTTCTAGAGTCTTCAGTATGTGGGTGGAGAGTTCTCTTTTAGTATGCCATAATTTCTGATTGGCAAACTTGTGTTATCAGATACACAAATATTAATAAGTTATATCTTCATTGTAAATTATAGCCTTTAGCATTAAAAAGTGTTTTTGTTTTGCTTACTGCTTTTTGACTAGAATTCTACTGTGATATCAAGATTTGACTAGTATGAATTTTCTCATCTTTTAATTTTTACCTTTTCTTAATCTTTTTTGCTCACTTCTATATAGTATAGAATTGGATTTTGCTTCATTAGTTAGTTTGATAAATCTTTTCTTTTAATACATGATCTAAGCCTATTTCTATTTATTGATAGGAATGGCATGTTCTCAGTTTGACCAGGTCACGTTTTACTTGCTTTTATTGGGCACTGACTTTGGTATCCAGGAGGATTTGTGTGTGCATGTGTGTGTGTTGTAGTGATTACTTCTGTACTAATGATTTATATAAGGACTTAGTTATCTTTTTCTCTAGATATTCTCTGTTGGGTTCCTACTTTGAGAAATATGGAAATTACTATAGACACCATTTCTCCTCCCTCTTCCTAAGCTTTGAATTTTAGATACCAGTTTTATTTTATTGATAATCTTTGTGGTCTTCAATATACTCAAGCTTCTTTTACTTGACTTGTCAGAAAGTGACATCCTTTCACTCCCAGCTAATACCAAGAGGCAATCAATAAACTTCTACCTTCCAGTTTCATCATCCTACTCCTCATCTATCCTTTGGTGAAGTGTGTCTTCAAATATTTTGCTCTTTTGTTCTTTATTGAGCTGTTTGCTTTCTTAATTTTTAAGTTTTAAGGGTTTTAAACTCCTTCAAAAAACTGATTTGCAAATATTTTCTCCCAGTCTGACATCTAAGTTTTCATTCTTTTAATAGTGCCTTTTAAAAAGCAGACGTTCTTAATTTTGATTATGTCAAATTTATAAAATTTTTCCCTTGTGGATCATGGTAAGCACTCTTTGTCTAACCAAAGGTCATAGAGATTTCCTCCTATGTTTTCTTCTAGAAGTTTTATAGTTTCAGGCTTTAGAATTAGGTCTACGATCCATTTTGAGTTAACTTTTGCACATGGTGCATGGAATGGGTCAAAGCTATTATGTTATTATTGTTTTGCACATGATGACCCAATTGCTTCAATCCCATTTGCAGAAATAGCTATTTTTATTCTTTGCATAGTCTGTGCACGTTGGTTGCAAATCAGCTGTCCATATATAAGTAGGCCAATTTCTGGTCTCTCTATTCTGTTACACTGATCTATTTGTGTATCTTTATACCAATACCACATTGTCTCAATTATTATAACTTTATGACAAATTATGAATTAGGTCATTTGTTTTCAAAGTTGTTTTGGCTAGTTTATGTCCTTTACATTTCCGTGTGAATTTTTAATTACCTTTTCATTTTTTCCAGTAAAGCTGACTAGGAGTTTATTTGGATAGTGTGCTGTTTCTAGAACAGACATCTTCATAATATTGAGTCTTCTGACCCATGAACACATATATCCCTTCATGCATTTACATCTTCTTCAGTCTCCTTCAGCAATACCTTGTAGTTTTAAGTGTACAAGTCTTATAACTAAGAATTTCATAATTTCATGCTATTGTTAATGGTTTTGTTTTTAAATTTCAAGTTCTTTTTTTATTGTAAGTACATATAAATATAATTGGTTTTCGTATATTCATGTTACATTCTGCAACCCTGATACACTCTCTTATTATTTCTAGTATTTTTTTTGTAGATCCTTAGGAATTTCTGGATTTACGATCATGTTTTTGGTGAATAAAGAGAGCTTTTATTCTTCCCTTAAAATCGGGGTGCCTTTCTTGCGCCCCCCTTTTCTTGCCTTAATACACTGGCTAGATTCTCCTATACAATGTTGAATAGAAGCCATAAGAGTAGACTCCTTGGCTCATTCCCAATCTTGGGGGGCAGAAAGGGCAATGAAAAAGCATTTAGTCCTTCAAATAAGTATAATATTGGCTGTAGAATTTTTTTAATGGATGCCCTTGATCAGGTTGTGGAAGTTCCCTTCTGTTCCTAGTTTGCCGAGAGTTTTTAATCAGAAGTGGAAGTTGAATTTTGTCAAAAATTTTTTTTCTATCTATTAAATGATCATAGAGATTTAAAATAATTTGTTAACATAGTGAATTACTTTGATGTATTTTTGAATGTTAAATTAGCTTTGAATTCCTGGGATAATCCCCACTGGGTCATAATATATTGTTCTTTGTATTTATTGCTGGCTTCAATTTTCTATGCTTTAAAAAGAAGTTTGCATCTATACCCAGGAGGGATATTAAATTGTACTTTTATTGTAATGCCTAACTTATTTTGGAATAAGAGTAATATTGGCCTCATTCAATGACTGGGAAGTATTTTCTCTTATTTAATTATCTGGAAAAATTTCTGTAGACTTGGTATTAGTTCCTCTTTAAACATTTGATAGAATTTACCAGGGATAGAATTAGCCAGCCATCTGGATCTGGAGTTCAATCTGTGGGAAGGTTTTAAACTAAGACTTCAACTTTTTTCTAGATATAATGGCTTTTTTTCCCCCAGTTATTTCTTGAATTAGTTGTGGTGATATGCATCTTTTAAGGAAATTGTCAATTTCAATGAAGTTTGCAAATTTATTGGCATAAAATTTCTCATAATAATCCCTTTTTTCATCAACAACTGTAAAGCAAGTAATGATGCCACCTCCTTCATTCCTTATATTGGGAATTTTTCATCTTCTTTTTTTTTTCTCCAGAAGTCTGTCTGGCCATTTATAAATTTTATTTCTTTTTAAAAATAACCTAACTTTTGGTTTCATTGCATTTTCTTCATTTTTTTTGTTTTCTACTTCATCAGTTTTTTTGTTCTCATCTTTATTTCCTTGATTTTGCTTACTTTGGGTTTAATTTGCTCTTATTTTTCAAATTTCTAAAGATGAAACTGAGATAATTTATTCCGAGTCTTTCTTCTTTTCTAACACAGGCATTTATTGCTATAAATCATAAACTGCTTTAGTGACAGTTTATAATATATTATGTGATATATTATGTTTTCATTTTTATTCAGATTAAAATACTTTTTTCTGACTCATTGCTTATTTAGAAAGTGAATTATTTGATTTCTAAGTATTTGAGAATTTTAAAGAGACATTTCTGTTGTTGATTTTAATTTCATTCCATTATGGTTACATGGCATATATTTTTCTCTTTTTTAATTTTTAAAACTTCAGTAGCTTTAGGGGTAAAAGTGGTTTTTGGTTACATGGGTGAATTATGTACTGGTGGAGTCTGGGCTTTTAGTATACCCATCATCAGAATAGTGTACATTATATCCAGCAGGTATTTTTTCATTCCTCACTCACTTCCCACCCTCTCCCCTTCCATTATACCACTCTGCATGCCTTTGCATACCTCATAGCTGAGAGCCCACTTACAAATGAGAAAATGTGGTATTTGGTTTTCTGTTCCTGAGTTACTTCACTTAGGACAGTGGCCTCCAGTTCCATGCAAGTTGCTGCAAAAGCCATTATTTCATTCTTTTTTTATGGCTGAGAAGTATTCTATGGTATGTGTATACTACATTTTCTTTATCCACTCATCAGTTGGTGGGCCTTAGGTTGATCTTTGCAATTGGGAATTGTGCTGCCAATAAACATGGGTGCAGGAAGTTCTAGCCAGAGCAAGCAGACAAGAGAAAGAAAGAAAAGGCATTCAAATAAGAAGAGAAGATATCAAGCTACCTCTCTTCACTGAGAATATGATTCTATACCTAGAAAACCCTAAAGACTCTGCCAAGAGGCTGCTAGAACTGATAAACAATTATGGTAAGATTTCAGGATACAAAATCAATGTAAAATATCAGTAGCATTTCTATATACCAATAATGTCCAGGCTGAGAGTCAAATCAAGAACACAATCCTATTTACAACAGCCACAAAGAAAATGAAATACCAGGAATACAGCTAGACAAGGAGGTGAAAGATCTCTGCAAGGAGGACTACAAAACACTGCTGAGAGAAATCAGAGTGATGACACAAATAAATGGAAAAACATTCCATGCTCATGAATAGGAAGAATCAATATTGTTAAAATAGTCATACAGCCCAAGGCAATTTACAGATTCGATGCTATTCCTATGAAACTACCCAATGTCATTCTCCACAGAATTAGCAAACAATTCTAAAATTCATATGAAATAAAAAAAGAGCCCAAATTGCCAAAGCAATCCTAAGGCAAAAAGAGCAAAGCCAGAGGCATCGCACTACCTGACTTCAAACTACAATATAAGGGCACAGTAACCAAAACAGCATAGTTCTGGTACAAACAGACACGTAGACCAATGGAACAGAACAGAAAACTCAGAAATAAAGCCATAACTTATAACTATCTGATCTTTGGCAAGGCTGACAAAAACCAGTGGGGAAACAACTCTCTGTTCAATAAATGGTGCTGGGATAACTGGCTAGCCATATGCAGAACAATGAGACTGGACCCTGATCTTTCATCATATTAAAAAAAACCTGAAGATAGATTAAAGATTTAAATGTAAGAACTCAAACTGTAGAAATTCTAGAAGAAAACCTAGGAAATACTCTTCTTGACATTGGCCTTGGCAAATAATTTTTGGCTAAGTCCCTAAAAACAACTGAAACAAAAAAATTGGTAAGTGGGACCTAATTAAACTAAAGAGCTTCTGTACCATAAAGTAAACTTTCAACAGAATAAAAAGCCTACAGAATGGGAAAAAATATTTGCAAACTATGCATCTGACAAAGGTTCAATATCTAGAATCTATAAGGGACTCAAACAGATCAACAAGCCAAAAACATAAGCCCATTAAAAACGGGCAAAGGACATTAAACAGACACTTCTCAGGGAAGACAAGTGGACAAGAAACATATGAAAAAATGGTCATCATCACTAATCATCAGAGAAATGCAATCGAAACCACAATAAGGTACCATCTCATACCAGTCAGAATGGCTGTTAGCAAGGCCATGGAGAAAAGGGAACACTTATACACTGTTGGTGGGAATGTATAATAAGTTAGTTCAGCCACTGTGGAAAGCAGTTTGGAGATTTCTCAAAGAACTTAAAACAGAGCTACCATTTGACCCAGCAATCCCATTACTGGGTATATACCCAAATAAAAATAAAACATTATACCAAATAGACATATGCACTTGTATGTTCATCACCATGGTATTCATGATGGCAGAGACATAGAATCAACTTAGGTGCCCATCAGTGGTGGATTGGATAAAGAAAATGTGGTATGTATACACCATGGAACACTACAAAGTCATAAAAAGAATGAAATCATGTCCTTTGCATTAACATGGATGGAGGTGAAAGTCATTATCCTAAGCATATTAATGCATGAACAGAAAACTAAATACTGCATGTTCTCACTTATAAGTTAGAGTTAAATATTGAGCACACATGGACACAAACATGAGAAAAATAGATACTGTGGACTACTAGAGGGAGGAAGGAGGGAGGAGGACATAGGTTGAAAAGCTACCTACTGGGCACTATCCTCAATACCTGGGTGTGATATGCCCATGTAACAAACCTGCACATGTACCCCCATATCTGAAATAGAAGTTGAAAAAAAAAAAGAAATAATGCTCTATGGTAATCTACTGATTAATTACCTTGTTAATAAATATGTAAAGCTCAGCACTTCCCCCAACCCAAACCAAAACCAAATAAGAAAACAAACAAAAAAAACCTATGTATGCAGGTGTGTGTGTTTTCTATAATTACTTCTTTTCCTTTGGTAGGCCTACTTTTAGTTCTTTGAGAAATCTCCATACTGTTTTCCATAGAGGTTGCACTAATTTAACATTCCCACCAGCAGTGTATAAACATTACCCTTTCACAACATTGTGCCTATATCTGTTGCTTTCTGACTTTTTAATCATGGCCATTCTGGCTGGGGTGAAGTGGGATCTCATTGTGGTTTTAATTTGCATTTCCCTGATGATTAGTGTTGTTGAGCATTTTTTTCCTATGTTTATTGGCCATTTATATATCTCCTTTTGAGAAATGTCTGTTTATATAATTTTAAATTTCATACAGCTTGAATCCTTTTGGTTTTATTAACACTTATTTTATAGCCCAGAATATGGTCTTTCTTGGTGAATATTCTATGTGCACCTGAAAAAATGTGTATTCTGCTGTTTTGGGTGAACTATTAATGTCAATCATGTCATGTTAGTTGATAGTTTTATTTAGGTCTTCTAAAATTCTTCCTGCTTTTCTCTCTCTTTGTTTTATTAATTGTAGAGTGAAGGGTATTAAAATATTTTATCATAGTGGCTTCATGTATTTTGAAACTCTGTTATTAGGTGCATAAATGTTTACAATTGCTACGTCCTCTTGATGAATTCACCCTTTTATCAATATGAAAAGACCATTATTATCCCTGATAATATTCTTTGCACTGAAATCTACTTTGTCTGATATTACTATAGTCAGTCCAATTTTCTTTAGATTAGTGCTAGCATGGTCTATGTTTTCCATTCTTTTTCTCTTATTGTTTTTGTGACTATTTTTGTTAGTATCTCTGTGTATTTTTAAACTGTTACTAAATGCCTACAAATTGAGGATGTATATATTATCTTAATGAATTGATCCATTTAACACTTTGAAATGGTATTTTTTATCTTTAGTAACACACTTTGCTCTGAAATCCACCTTGTCTGATATTAATATGGCCTCTTTAGCTTTCTTTGTATCAGTGTTAGCATGGTATATTTTTTCCCCTCATTTTTAATCTATTTGTGTCTTTATGTAAAATGCATTTTTGATTATATATGTATTTTGAAAATTGATTATTTATTGCATGTACTTAAGATATACAACATGATGTTTTGATATACATATACATACTGAAATGACAACAGGTAAACAAATTAATATATCTATAATTTTCCACAGTAATCTCTGTTTTTGTGGTAAGAGCACCTAAAATCTACTTTGCCAGCAAATTTTCAATATATAATACAATATTATTAACTATAGTCCTCTTGCTGTACATTAGTTCTTTAGACTTACTCATCTTACCTAACTGCAAATTTGTACCTTTGACCTACGTCTCCCCATTCCTTCCCCATCCTACCCTGAAAACCACTATTCTACTCTCTGTAGAAAGAGTAAAATTTTTTGGATTGCACATGTAAGTGAGATCATGCACTGTTTTTATTTTTGTGTCTGGTTTTCTTCACTTAACATGATGTCTTCTAGGTTCATCCATGTTATTGTAAATGGCAGTATATCCTTTTTAAAGGTTGAATAGTATTTCATTATGTAAGTATACCACAGTTTCTTCATTCATTCATCCATTGATGGACAGTTACATTGTTTTAATATCTTGGCTATTGTAAATAATGCCACAAGGAATATGGGACACAGATATCTTTATGAAGTGCTGATTTCATTTCCTTTGTGTATACACTCAGCAGAGGGATTGCTGGGTCACGTGGTAGTCCTATATTTAATATTTCAAAGAACCTCTGTACCATTTTCCATAATGGCCATACCAATTTACATTTGCACCAACAGCATACAAGAGATCCCTTTTCTGCACACCCATGCCAGCGCTTGTTATCTCTTGTTATTTATTTATTTATTAAATAATAGTCATTCTAACAGGTGTAAAGTGATATCTCATCATGGTTTTGATTTGCATTTCCCTGATGGTTAGTGATGTTGAGCACCTTTTCAGATACCTGTTGACCATTTTTATGTCTTACTTGGAAAAATATCTGTTCAGGTCATTGCCAATTTATTGATTGGGTTGTTTTTACTTTTTAGTTTGCTATTGAGTTGCATGAGTTCCCTGTATATTTTGGATATTAACCCATTATCAGATATATGGCTTGAAAATATTTTCTCCCAATCCATTGGCTACCTTTTCATCTTGTTAGTTTTTTTTTTTGCTGTACAGAAGCTGTTAGTTTGGTGTAGTTTCATTTTTTATTTTTGCATCACTGCCAGAACTTTTTGTGTGATATTCAAAAAATCATTGCCAAAACCAATAACAAGGAGTTTTCCCTCTATATTTTCTTCTAGGAGTTTTATTGTTTCAGGTCTTATGTTTAAGTCTTTAATCCATTTTGAGTTAATTTTTGTGTATGATGTAAGTATCCAATTTTATTCTTTTGTATGTAAACCATATGTTTATTGGCCATTTATATATCTCCTTTTGAGAAATGTCTGTTTATATAATTTTAAATTTATATTTTCCCAATACCATTAATGAAAAGACTATCTTTCTCCCCATTGTGCCTTCTTGATGTGCTTGTCAAAAATTATTTGACTATATTTGCTTGGTTTTATTTCTGAGCTCTCTATTCTGTTCCACTGGTCTATTTGCCTGTTTTTTTTTTTTTTTTTTGTTTTGCTTTTGGTCAGTAACATACTCTTTTGATTATTATAGCTTGGTACTATAATTTGAAATCCAAAAGTGTGATGTCTCCAACTTTGTTACTCTTTCTTAAGGCTGTCTTGGCTATTTGGTATCTCTTGTGGTTCCATATATATTTTAGAATTGCTTTTTTTATTTACTTAGAAATGCCATTGGGATTTTGATAGAGATTGCATTGAATCTGTATATTACTTTGAGTAGTATGGGGATTTTAACAATATTCATTACTCCAGTCCATAAACATCAGATATCTTTCCATTTGTTTGTGTCTTCTTTAATTTCTTTTCCCAATGTTTTTATACTTTTCAGTGTACAGGTCTTTCACTAACTTGGTTAAATATATTCCTAAGTATTTTATTCCTCTTGATGCTATCATAAGTGGGATTGTTTTCTTGACACTTTTTTCAGATAGACTGTTATTGGTGTAAAGAAGTGCAACTAATTTTTTATGTTAATTTTGAGTCCCACAACTTTATTAAGTGCATTTTTTGGGTCTTGATTTTTTGATTTTAGCTGACAATTTCTGTCTTCTAATTGGGCTATTTAGGTTATTTACATTTAATGTTATCATTGATATTGTTAGGCTTAAATCTGTCATCTCATTTATTCTGTATTTTTCTCATGAGTGTTTCCCTTTTATTTGTATGCCTTTTTAAGATTTATTAAATATTTCGTATAATTCCATTTTATGTCAATTTTTGCCTGCTAGTGATAGTTATGATTTGTGATAGTTATTTGTTTTGTTATTTTAGTATTTTAGTGGTTACTTTAGAGTTTATAGTATATATCTTTAATTTATTGCAGTCTGTCTTTAACTAATATTATACCATTTCATGAATACTTAATAAAGCCCTATAATAGTATACTTCCATTTCTGCTCTCCTGGCATTGTGCTATTATTGTCATACGTTTAACATCTACATATGTTATATAAACCTTATGCTATAGTTATTTTTGTTTAAATACTTAATATTTACTCTTTAAACAAAGATATTTAAATAATATTCAAGATATTTAAATAATAAAACATATTTTACTTTTGTTTTTACCAGTCTCCATGCTCTTCATACACTTTTACAGATCCACATTTCCATCTGGTACTTTCTTTGTCATTTCTGTATATTTTGCATTTGCTGGTGAATTAAATGATTTCAACTTTCATATGACTGAAAGTCCTTATTTTGTCCTTAATTTTGAAACATAATTACACTTTACAAATCATAACCATTACTAATAAGCAAAAACAGACATAAAATGGGATCATATAAAATATTTAATTTTAAAAAGGCATACATATAGGGGGAAACAAAGAATTGATGAGAAAAAAACAAAACAAATGAGATGATAGATTTAAACCTAACAATATGAAGGATGTAGAATTCTTATTTCACCAGTTTTTCTTTTTGCTCACCTCTACCTTAAAAATTTGCTCTATTGCATTCTCTTTGCTCTATTGCATCCTCTATTGCATTCTTGTTTGAATAGTTTTCAGTAAGAAATTTGTTATCCTTGTCTTTGATTACCTGTATATGACATACCTTTCATTCTCTGGCTACTTAAAAAATATACTCTTTATCACTGTTTTCAAGAAATTTGTTTATGATGTACCTCAGTGTAGTTTTCTTCATATTTCTTATGCTTGGGGTTCATTCAGCTTCTTAGATCTGTGAATTTATAATTTTCCTTAAATTTGGAAAATTCCAGTCCTCATTTCTTTAAATATTTATTTTCTCTCCTCGTTCTCTTCCCCTTTAGAGACTCGACTTACATGTATGCCAGACTGCTTGAAGTTGTGCTGCAGCTTACCCATGAGCTGTTTACTTTAACAATTTTATTTTTTTTCTGTTTGATTTTGAGCCATTAAAGGGAAAGGTAGCAGTTTCAAGGAACTTACAAAGGAAAATGGCATATTTACTTTGATAAGCTGTAATTAAAAAAAAATAAGTCAGGTCTTTCCTGTCCAAAACAGTGGCTATCAAAAAATAAGAGAGCTTTTGTAAAAACTGGCAAATGTCAGATTATTCCTTGTTGAAGGAAACGGTTTATTTTTGTGTAGAGATTTTCCCTGCCTGAATTTACTGATTTTCTCTCCATTGTGTTATTTGACATGCTCCTCTATTCTCTGTATTTCATGTAGATTGGTAGATAGATCTGGATGATACAATTTTTTTGACAAGAATATTTCATAGGTAGTTGTGTACTTCAACAACGAAGCACATAATGTCTGATTTTTCTCTTGTGATGTTAACAGCCTTTGACAGTCATCATTATCACTCCATATGGCAATTTAGTTCCAGTAGACGCCTCATGAGTGACTCATGGGAGTAAGATGTGTTGAGTTTTTGCTTTTTTTTTTTAATAAGAGACTGCCTTAAGCCTTTAAATATTAGTCTAACTGGATGTAAAATCCCTGGCCTCATTCATTTCCTTGAGCATATTAAATATGTAATTCCATTGTCATTTGGCACAAAATGTTGCTGTTAAAATGTCTGATGCCAATCTGATATTTCTTCCATTTTAAATGTTTTGTTATTTTTGTCTGGTGTTATCCACACAAACAAAATAGTTTTTGAAAAATAAGTACTCTATTTCAAAATTTCAACTACTGTTCTCAGATTGACCTGTCTTGCTAATTTGTACTTTTTGGAATTTTTTTGTTTGTTGGTTGCCAGTGTTACTAGAAGTGTCATTGTCTCATGCAGCTCACATAGCTGTAAGTGGCTTGTTCCTGCTTTATAATTTTGGGTTTATGAAGATACGTTGTCATCTAGATGTTTTAGTATATATTATATTGCCTATGGGCTTTTGGGTCTTCCTAGGAGCTCTGTTTATAAGGACAGGGGCTCTCAGGAGAATTCACAAACAATGCATATGCCATTATACCTGTTTTCTCAATCTTCCTAGTAGGTTTTGAAAATCTTGGATGTGAGTTTTGTTGGTGTCTTTGTTTGTATTTTCTTTTGTTTTGGTGTTCATGACTTTTAGGGTACGTTGGCTTTTCCCTCATTTCCCTAACTTAGACCCACAGCTGCTGACCTCCCACACTCCTGCTCACCACTACTTTTATTCAGGTCATAAAGGACTCTCCATTACCTGGTGGTGTTGAAGATGTTATCCATAGATTCATTTTTTCCACTTTCATATTTGATCTGTTTAGTTTTAAGGAGTTTGGAACATTAAAAAAACTACCCTGCTGCTATGGTCAGTCATATCATTGGAAGTTTATGGAACTTTTTTTCCATATGGAAGTTAATGGAAATTTGTAAAAGTTTTATCACACCATAAATGTCACTATGTCATACTGGTAGTTCCTTTTTTTACACTTAAATTGTTTTTGGAATTTATCCCTGTCGATCTATATATATATATATATATATATATATATATATAATTTTACAATTTCTCTGTGATATTTTCCCCTTGTATCAATATGCCACATTTAATTCACCAACTCACCTATTCATTTGCATTTCTGCTATTTCAGATTTTTCACTATAACGAAAAAGACTGCAGTAAAAATTCTGATATATTTCTGTTTGAGATCATATGATAGTTACTACAGTGTTTATTTATAAAAATTCATATTTAACCTTTCAAAAATTAAATCACCTAAAAGAGCTTTGTAAATGGAACATGGTATACAAATATCACATACTTTAATTATCTGAGATTTTGGCATTTTCTGATTTTTACAAAAGATCTCTTCCTTTTTGATAGCTGCTTTTTTGAACACGAAAGACTTGACTTTATTTTTTTTTAATGACAGCTTATCAATGTAAACATCCCATTTCCCATTACAAGTTTCTTGAAACTGCTTCCTTTCCCTTTAATGACTCAACAGAGCACACATAAAGAACTGCACAAACACATGCACACCCCAGAGAGCTTTGTGTGAAAATCTCTGTGTTGGTAGTTTTCTGTGGTGGTTACCCTTTTAGTTTGCTCTAAAACATCCTAAAAAGAGTAAGGAAGGATATATTGGATTCCCTTCCAGGCTCTTCCATCCTATATCCATGTGCTTGGGGTTTCTGATGGGCTCCCAGCATTTCCAGCCAGGCAACTTTGCCTGGACAGAAACAAGATTTCTTAGTTTGTACAATATTTATTAATGAATAAGTGAGCCTGACTCTTTGGCCTGGAGTCCTTTGCTTTTCATTTGGGTAAATTAACTTAGGAACACTAAATTCAACTCATTGAATTTCCTGTGTATTATTTTGTTGAGGAAGCAGTGATCGTAGTGTTTTTAGATATGGTCCAGGCAGCTGTGACTGCCCCAGATGAGGGTAAGAACATTTCTGTTTTCCCCCGGCTGAGACCTCACACGTTGGTCTCAGTCTCAAAGGGAAAAGCCACCAGCTGTTTGATAAATGTGTTCATTTGTTCATTCACTTGACATGCCTTTATGGAACACCTGCTGTGTGGCCGGCTGTGGTAGAAGCTCAGGATGCAAACACGATGATGATGATGATGATGATGATGATGATGATGATGATGATGATCACACTGAGCACAATGATGATGGGTTTAGATGTGCTTGTTTCCTGGTAATAGATGGAGAATATTTTTTCCATTGCATGAATATACTACATTTAATTGATCAATTTTACAATTCATGCACATTTAGGATGTTTGTTCCAATGATTTACATGATTAGCTGCTTTCATCTTCACAATAATCCTAGAGGTTGGCAATATTGTTCTCGCCCCTATTTTACAGACGGGAGAAGGAAGGCACAGAGAGTGAAGCAGTTTTCTTGTAAGTGCTCTTATGTGGTGAGCCTGGGATCCCATCCTAGGCAGCCTTATTCCAAAGACCACATGCTCAAGAACTCTCCTCTCTCCACCTGTCCAGAAGTAGTTGCTGTCCTAAGGAATTCACAGGCTAAGAGCTCAACATGCAAATAAGTCACTTATAGTACATAGTAGTAAGAAACAATAGCTGACCACTTAGACAGGCGTAGCCCAGAGAAGAGGGGACTAGCTCACCTCTGCAGGTAGGAGGAAGTCTGCTGGGGAGACTCCTTGTTTTGAAGGATACATAGGCTCAGCCCAATCAATTCGGACTCCTAGAGAAGGCGTTTGTACATGGCAGTGGGGGACTATGTGGACAGTGTGAGCAGTGGTGGACTATGTTGACAGTGTGAGCTCACCTACAGCAGGGCAGTGCGGAGGAACAGGAGGCTCCCCAAGAGAGTCCACTTGGGGTCAGAAGTTCAGGCCCTGCCACTCTGCCTCTCACGACCTCTGGCAAGTCACTTAGCTCTCCTGATGTGGTCTTCACTTAATCTCACACATTGGTCTCAGTCTCAAAGGGAATAATCAATGCAGAAGTTCCTTGTAAATGGCAAAGTGCTGGGCACTGTGACGGCTGCTACCACTCCCTGGAAAGGACAAATGAGGCCTGGCGGGTCTCATTGGGGGCAGCGTGAATCATGGCTCTATCGCCTTGCTCCAGTGACTGCCTCGTAAAGCTTCATCTAATCCCTAGGTTCCAGCCTTGAGCTCCTCAGGAAAGGTGTCAAGTATCACGTTTCACCACGAACTGTTGGTGTTGACCTGACAGTCAGGGCCTGGCCAGCGAGCTGAGGCTGCGCTTCTCCACGCCACTCAGCCATGGTCCCCTTTCTTCCTCCATAGGCAGAAAGCATCTGTTTCTGTACAATAAAGAGAGCGGCTCCACTGATAACACAGTCGCTCAACCGGCCCCAACCACCAGAACAGTAGCACTGGTTAACTCTGTGCACAGAAGCAGGGACTTTCCCTAAAGTAGTTCTCAGAAACTGGGAAAGTAAGACTGGGCTGAGGGTTTATCCTAGAAGAATGTGTCAGGATAGCCCCTTTATTAAGAGGTTTCATCCATGATTCAATCTATAATTCCAAGAACTCTCATTTTTTAGACTTAACAAGCTCTCCATCAATAATGGCTGGAGAAAGACTAAAGAGCATATTTTAAAAACTGAAACCTGCAATCTCCTGATGATGGAGACCAAAAATGGAAATAATCACACAGATTTCTCTAGGTCCTCAGGCCCTCCAGGTTTCCCAGGCTCCCTCTTGAGAGAGCTACATTCCATTCAGACCAGGGGGAATTTACATTGAGGGATCCGTCTCATTGTACTCTGCTGAACCTAGCAGCCAAGCTGGCCAGAAGAGTCCTCACTTGCATGGCAGGTGCTGACATTGGCAGGGAAGCCTTCCCCAATCCAGCTCTGTGTCATTCTTGGGAATGGGCAGTGGCCCGTGTGTTCTCCTGAGGTTGGAGTAGTTTCCTTCCCTGGCGAAGCTGCAGTGAGGAGGCCACCGGGCATGGCAGTCTGGAGTTCAGTGTGTCCTGTGCTTGCTGTAGAGCTCCCTTTCACTCTGGGTCTGCTGGGAATATGTGATCATGAAATGCACTGAGAAGAGGCAGCACCACATCTTTGGATAAAGATGCTCCATCAAACTAACCGACTAAGGTCATGACCCCAGGGTGATCCCTAAACCCAGAGCCATGGCCACCCTGGACCTCCCCACCCAGCCATGCTACCTGTGTCTAGGCCTGGGGGCAACTCAGCTCTGCTTCTCTCAGAAGCTTCTGGTCAAAGAATGGTCTGTCCTGCCTTGGCTGTGGTAAGGCTGCCACACAACCCATTTTAGGAAACTTTCATGGTGATGGTTGGGTTGGACGACCTGCTGCCTTTAACTCAGTGTCCTGGATGTCACCTGAAAGGCATCGGCTTCACAACATCCTAGACCTTAAGGCTCTGAGCCCCCCACTTGCTTCCTGGCAATGTGTGCTTAGTCAGCCTCATGGCTGCTTCAAGCTTCCCACTTACGATGCCTCTATCTTTGTTCAAGTCCTTTTTAACATATTTCGTTCCTCCAAATTGTGTAATTTGAATTTGGTTTTACTTTGACTGACTATGATATTTTATGGAAACACATGATGATAAGCCCCCAGCAACTTGCATCTCCCTTAGCTGAAGTGTGAGTTGGAGCCCTGAGCTGCACACTTCGATGGTGCTGAAAGAGGGTCCTGGAGAGGCAAGCAGGTGCATTTGGGCATGCGCAGCCCTGGCCAGCTATATCCTTTGCTGTATTCTTCTCAGCGTATGGCCCTCCAGACCTCCTAGCTCGCTCACAGTCATAGCCAAAGTCACGTTTTGCCCTCATCTACTCCCCTTCCCCTACTCCATGGGGCACACCGGCCTCCTGCCTCCTTGGCCATGCAAGGCACTGGCTCACCTGCCTGGACACCTTTGCACACCTGTCTACAGGATGGCGCCATCACCTCCTCCAGGTCTTTGCCCAAAAGTCACCTTCTTGGGGACTTGTTCTTTACCATTTGATTATTTAAAATTACAGCAGATTCCTAGAACCAACCATCCCTTTTGCTCTCTCTCTCTCTCTTTTTTTTTTTGCCCTTCTCACCATTGGGCATGCTCTTTACTGATTGTGTATTTCTCCCAGCCACTGTGTAACCCTTAGAAGACAGATTTTTTTCTTTACAACTTTTATTTTCGGCTCAAGGGGTACAAGTGCAGGTTTTTTACACGGGTAAATTGCGTGTTGTGGGGGTTTGACGTACAGATTACTTTGTCTCTAATAAGGAATAAGCACAATACCCCATGGGTAGTTTTTAATCCTCATGCTCCATCTTCTGCCCTCAGGTAGGCGCGGCAGTCCTTGTTCCCTTTGTGTCTACACATATGCAGTGATCAGCTCCCACGTCCATATGAGATCATGGAGGACAGGTGTCTGCCTGGTTTGTTACCTTCCCAGTACCTGGGCAAGAGTATCCATGAACTAATGTGGAATACATACCTTCTAAGGAATAAATGAACATTATATCCTCATATTATATAAAGAATATCATTTGAAGTATTTCTCCTTGTGTAACATCTCTCTAAGTAAAAATTAAATTTCTCTAGTAGAATAACTTTAAAACAACACAAAACTTCATTTATCCATAGATATATATTTAAGCCATCTTTTTACTTTTTTGTAAAAGTTTTGAAAAACTTTTTCTTTCAGGCAATAAAAGTAATTCAGAATCATTGTAAAGAGTTTTTAGAAAGTACTGTTATTTTTAAAATTAGTAATTAGTAATAATGCCAGAGTTAACCACTGTTAGCACTTTGCTATATTTCCTTTTATATTTTTATCTATGCTGCACATTTGCATAGACACACACACATGCTTCTATAAATACTTAATGGTATTTGTCTACACACATATGTATATATATATATTTAGGTTGGAATTGTACTATGTTTACTTTTATCATGTACTATGCCAAGAACATATTATATATTGTTCATTGCTGGTCTTTCTGGAACACTATGTTCAGAGATATACTATCATTTCACCACATATAATCTATCATAATTTAACTAATATGCTATTGTGGATAATAAGTGTTTTCATTTTCATTATCTATTGAGTTTATTGGTCTTTAACAGCTCTTACTTTTATTTATTCTAATTCCTTTAGCTTATTTTGCTTGTATATTTTACCTCTCAATAACCTTCAAAGTTTAGTCTTTTGTCCTTATGTTCTTTCAAAATGGCATTTTCTTGACTCTCAGTGGTTTCGTCCCATGGCCTGTTTACCTTTAGTTCCTTGATTCTATCTGTCTCACCTTCCTTGTATTTTCTAGAGTAGATCTCATTTCCGGGATGTGTTTCCTGGCAGGCTTTCACTGTGGTGAAGTGGGAACAACGTGACCCCACAGCCCACTTCCTACTCTGTCAGAACCTTCTCCTCAAAGAGCACGCTCAGGACCTGGGGTTCTTCCCCCTGTGGCTGGCTAGGTCACAGTGCCCTCTGGAATCATGTTCCCAGCCATCCCTTGCTGAGAGAGGAACATTCCATGTTCTAGAGTCTCTAACATGTGCAGCCTCTGATGAGGAGCAAGAATGCCCCCTCTCATCCAGCCTTGTCAGGGCCAAGTGAAAGAAGCCCGGGCAGGCCTGGGGAAGCTGCCCAAGGAGCCTCAGTAGTCAATGCTGGCATCGTTTCTCTCTCAGCCCCGTCTCTGTCACTTTGAAGCTTTCTACTGGTTTCCTTTGAGTCCCCTCAGCTCCCCAGTCAGATCAAGGAAGAGCTGGTTGTTGCTTTCACAGACTTCAGGGGCAAGCAGATCTGAGTACCTCGGGGGTCAAACAGACCTGCCCCAACCACAGCGTTGAAGAGGAGATCCATTTCCTAAAAATGGGGGGAGACGGCTATTGGTGGGATACTCTATTCACATCTGTCTCCACTGCATGTCTACAGAACGGCTCCCTGTAGTCTGGGAGTAGCGTTCCCTGGCTTCTCTGAGCTTCCTGCGGTCCACGAAAGGCTGTTTCCCTTGACAGAAGCCTTTCCTCTTCTTCCATATCTGGTTGACTGCATGTCCTTTGGAGCCAGCCCTCTGGACTGAGGACTTGAATCTCTGATTAATCCGCCCAGTACTCAGCTCCATGGCCTCAGTGGTGTCCACGAGACTCTTGACACGGGACCTATTCACAAGGGAAGGCACCTCCCCACAGATGCACCTGAAAGCCGTGGACCCTGTGATTCTCAGGAATTCGGCTGACTGATGGAGCAATCCTTCCCACACGGGTGAAGGTGGAGGACTCCCCTTGACCCAGACACACGGGTATTCCGTGAGTTTCTTGACGGTGCCAGTTCCTCTGAAGTATGGATTTTACTCCTTGGTGTTGTCTGATTAGATAAACTCTCCAAGATAAAGATCCGGATATATTGGCAAGGGACCTGGCTTTTAGAAAACATATTCCTCAGATTTAAAGTTGTAGGCCCTCTTTTCTCTCCAGGTATGTGAAGAAAATACCTTTGGCAAAGGTCTTGGTGGGCTGGCGCCTGTATCTGCTTAGCTTCTGGAAGAACTGGCTCGTGCACTGAGAATCTGCTTCTTCCATATCTGGCTAGAAGTCTCATTAGATGTATGATCTACAGTCTGGCCAGGGTGCATTCCATCTACTCGGCTTCTGGGTCCCATTGCAATCCAACTTTAACCTTGATTCTCTGCCCCAGGAGAGGGATGGTTATCTGAGAAGACCCATCATTAGGCCCAGCCTTGGGCTCCTGGGCCCACCTGCAGCCAGTGGGCCATCCTCTGGGTGGTTTGCAGCCACAGTTGGGAGGGAGGTTGAGTTCAAGGGTTTGCTAGTTTGTAAGTGAATTTTATTGCTGTAACATCATTCTCACTCACTTGCCCTCTGACGTGCTTTCTTGGGCAGGAGGGAAGGTCAGGGTGACTCAGTGGTGCAGAAATTATCTTGATTCCTGGGCACCCCCTGGACCCCACCTGGGCCTCTGGTCCAAGGAAAGCAACGACACTCACGTTAGGGCCCTGAATACTCAAGTCCAGCCTCTGCCTTTTTGTAAATAGTAAATCTACCCGAGGTTATGTACATCCCAAAGGGGAAATGTGCCTTTTCCACCCTGTTACACAGCGTGGAGGTGCATTTACAACTTGAATGTGAGAAATTCACCCCCAGCTGGACACCAAGGCCAAAGGGCCTTCTTACTGTCAGGCTTCTCTGCTGCAGGCCTGATGTGCATGGCAGACTCACACCTCTGATGATCTCAGCCAGACGAGACGAGGGCCATTAAGGTGGGAATTCAATTTCTGGACTTCAGTTATACCATGAAATGTTATGTGGCTATTTAAAAAGCATGCTTTTGGAGTTATTTTAAGACATGGGAAGATGTTCTTAGTACATTACAAAGTTGAAGAAAAGGACAGGGCCCTAAGCTGCTTCCTCAGTAAGACCCCCATTTTGTTATCTGTATATATAGCCATATCAAAATGCTGATGATAGATATTTTTGGGTGACTTCATTATAGGTACTTTCTAATATTTTTCAAATATCTACAGTGTATGTGAATTATTTTGTAATGAGAAAAGACACATTGTTGAATTAGTATAAGTTTTGTTAAAAAAAACTGTATTAAAATTATGAGTTTCATAATTTATAATGAACCCCCACCCACAGACCCATCACCCATTCTCAAAAATTACCCCAACTATGGGCTAATCTTATTTCATCTATGCCACCATCTACTTCTCTCCTGCTCATATTACTATTTTTAAATTAACAGACAATTTTTGAGAGCAGTTTTTGGCTTAAAA
Source organism: Homo sapiens (assembly GCF_000001405.40). Lineage (NCBI taxonomy): Eukaryota > Metazoa > Chordata > Mammalia > Primates > Hominidae > Homo > Homo sapiens. The sequence goes on from NC_000010.11 coordinate 43,781,206, forward strand.
AAGTGGAGCAGACACAATGGAGAGTTCCCACATGCTCTCCCCTGACCCCAGTTTCCCTATTACAAACATATTGCATTAATGTGGAATGTTTGTACAATGGATGAACCAATACTGATGAATTCTTATTAATTAAAGTCCCTAGGTTACTGTAGGGTTCACTCTTTGTTTTGTATAGTTCCGTGAACACAGGTTTTTAGCTTTTTTTATTCCACAACTTATCAAGTGGATTATTCCCAAGACTACAAATGTCTGAACCAACTTAACTATTTGAAGTATCTAAATTGCATTCCAACTACAATCCAGGAACAAGTGAGGTGATGAAGAAGCCCTTTAGAAACATCTGAAAAGCACAAAGTTGAGAACACAGCAGCCACATTGAAATCTCCATCCCTAGTATATGAGTATAAAGCAACAGCAGTGTGGGTTGCTGGTGCTGATGTGTGGGGGCTGGGTTGTAGGGCTGCGCCTGCTGCCTGGGGAAGGTGAGCCTCACTCCTCCGGGAACAGTAACTTTAACTGGAGCACAGTTGTTGAGGCAGTGGGAGTGGGAAGGAGCGTGCAGAATGTTCTCCAAGACTGATTGGAGCCAGAACCTACAAAGGGGATTAAAAAAAATTAAAAAGTAATCCTGGAAGCCTAATGAAACAGAGACTTTCTCAGCAGTGGAATGGGGGAGCAATGCCCAGCCATGATGTCACCATGGCCGGCCAGGCAGCTCTTTCCAGACACCTGCCAGACGCTAATTAGTCCAGGCCTCCAGAGCAGGGATCCGGGTGGGAGCAGAGGGAGCAGAGGTCATTTTCCCCAGGACATTTGCAACCTGTCAGAGTTTAATGCCCTCTCCCCACAACCAGCCTACAGTAGAGTTTTGGTTTCTATATGCAGAAGGGGACAAAAATTGTCATAGCCAGCTGACTCAGCCCCTAAATTAATCATGCCAGTTGTGGTAGAGACCACATTGACTGTTTGCTCTTCAACAATCTCACTGATAAGCACTTCCTGCATGGGGCCAGGCTTCTGGGAGGCACTGGTGGCAAGACAGGGCAGGCTCTGCAGGGGCACTGACCTCCCACTGCAGGACACCAAGCCCCTGAAGACAGTGGGGGCTGCTCTTTATTTGCTTATTTCCAGGGGCCCCACCAGCCTTCACTTTGCCCTGTGTAGCCAAAGGGCCATGTGCATGCACAGACACATGTCATCTGGGTTTCCTGAGAGTGGAGGAGACCAAAACTGAATTCTGAGTTTCCAAGTTTCCAAATATTCAGCCCGTCATGATGGTGTGGGCAAGCCCTCCTGTGTGGATGGAGTCACAGAGAGCCGGACGCTGCTTCCTTCCACCTTCTTTTGGGGCCACAGCTAGACGTCAGTCACTTCTCAGCAGTGGGCCTCACCCCTTCCCAGCCAGGAGCACCAAACTCAACCCAGGACCATTCAGATTCTTAGGCTACTTTAGAGAATCTGTACAAACCTATATAGAAAAGCAATTAGGAAACTTTAAAAAGAAAACTAGGAGAAGGGACTAGCTCTACATGATTCCAAAATATATTTTAGGTTTCCATGGAAAATGGCACCTGGTAAGAATTCCAGATACAACCTCCTCTCCCTTTCCATGAAAAGACCTAGGAAGAAACAGAAACGCTTGGATACTAACAGATTCTTACTGCATGTGTATTGCATACCAGGTATCATGCTGGGTACTTCCAGCAGCTCATCAAGGTTGGCGGAGTAACTGACCCCACTTACAGAGGACACCCACCCGCCCAGGCATGCACAACCCCACAGACTCAGCCAGCAAGGGGCACGATGGGTGTCATGTCTAGCCCTTCCTGGACCCCAGGGCTGTGCTCCTACTGAGGCCACTCACCTGGTCTTCAGAATCCTGGGGGAATTTCCACAGCATGGGAACCTAAGGGGCTGAACCAAGAATCACGTGCAGAAGCTGGCAGTGTCTGAGCCTGGGACAGATAGGGAGGGACAACGGCTTGGGGCCTGTGGTCATCTCTCCCCTCACAGGCCCATGTTGTTGGCTCTCAGGCCACTGAGCAGTCTTAGGTCTGAGCTGTGGTTACTTTCTGGAGGTTTCATAGAAAGGCTTTGATAGCTGACCTCAATCATTGTCTCCTAGCCCAAGATGGAGCAAATCCATCAGCCTAGTTCAAAGGCCAGTAACTTCCTCTGTCATGGCTCAAAACCCAGGCCACGACCAAGCCCTGCCATGCCTGGCAAGGGAACGACTCTTGGCGTTGACCAGAGAACTGCTCCCTGTACTGTTTCCCTGACCTCTTTCCTCCACCTGATTTCCCCATAAACCTTCTCTTTCTAAATCTGTTCAGGGGAGCCAGAGAGTAGCGGAGGAGAGGTAGCAGCGCTGTCTCCCAATTCTTCCCTCGCAGTCAGCCCCTGCAATGTCTTCTCTACATAGTAGCTATGGTAAGACTTTTAAAACATACATTCAGCTCTGCACCTCCTCTGCTGGTGCTCTCAAATAGCCCCATGGCTTCTCGTGTTGGAAAAGCCTCTCCTCCCTACCCATTCCACTCCTGACTCTGGAGGCCTTGCTCTTCCTGCAAATACCAGGTGAGCTCTGGCTTCAGGGCCTTTGTGTATGCTGGGCCTCCTCCTAGGATGCACTTTGGCCAAGTGTGCTCATGCTCTTCTATGTCCACTGTTGGCTTGGACAAGGATGAGTTCTCTTTGTCTTTTAACAAATGAGGACCTCGGTTTCTGAAATACTGGTAATGTAAAAAAAGAGTTCTGGCTTGAACTTGAGAAGTTGATTTTGTCTGACCTTATGAAATCTCTTGAGAATACACAAGAGTGATTCAATGAAGGGGAAGTGAACTGATCTTCCCTCTCTTAAGTGATCCACCAAGGAGAGGAAGGGAATCCAGAACTTTCAGGAGCAAAGTCATATGTTGGAAAGGTGTCCATCATATATTCATTCAATAGACACCTACTGAGCACTGAGCTTGTGAGTTAGGAGGTGGGGACCCCACCCTGAATCAGAGAGCAGTCCTTCTGTCAATGAGCTGATGGCTGGCCTAACTGAAGAGACAAATATTAAGTGACTATACAAATAATTATAAAATCCTAAGTATCATAAGTGCAGTGAAGGTGACATGGGCAGTTTTAGGTCTGTCTGGGAGGCCAGGAAGGGCTTCCCCAGAAAAGGGACATTCGTTGTAGAATATGAAGGATAAGTTGGAGAGATGCTGAGCAGCACTGCGAGATCCATGGCTTCCACCCTTCAGTGCACACTAGTAACATTCAGTGAAACAGAAAACACCAGGAGACAGGAAGGCCAGGTGTGGGTAGATGGGGAAAGGAATAAGTTCTGTTTGGGACTTTACTGTGAGGTTCATTTGAGCCAGAGAAGAGCCAATATTAAGTATACAATTGGATATTACTAGATATACCAAGGACAATATGCAGACAAAAGCTTGGAAATGTGAGGAGTGGTCTGGCTCAAGGTACATGTTTGCGAGTCACTACCATGCTGTGCGGTAACCAAAGGCCTGGGTGCACACTAGTTCTTCTGAGGACAGAGTGCAGATGGCACAGAGAAGGGGGCCTGGGGGCCGCCTTGAGGAGCTCTAACATTCCAACTGTACGTAAAGAAGGATGAGCTTGCCAAGAAAGCAGAGACATTTCCTGATCAGCAGGAGGAAAAGCAGGAGATTGTGCTTTGAATGAAGTCGAGGGAGGATCCTTTGGACTATTGGTGTGACATTTTTGTAAGTCTAAAATTATTTCAAAACAAACAGTAAAAATCAGTTTATTAGGGCTTATTAGGATGGAGGAGGGCCCAGCTTCTCCATGATGGATAACTGCTTCCCATCAATAGGGACCTTCCTTAGTAGGGGTCCTCATCTTCTTCCGTATCCTCTTCAAAAAGCCACTTTAACTCCTCAAATCTTCTTCCTCCTTATGCCCCTATACTTATCTTTTCATCTAAACCAGTGTCATTCCAGGATGTAAACTGTGAAAAAGGGATAGATCATTTACTTTTCAACCCTTTATATTTAAAGAAATGCTATTGGCTTTTAAATGTATGCTACATTTTAATATATCCCCACTTATTTATTAAACAAACATATACATACATTTAATTGAGGACACTGGAGAAATTACTGCCAATTTGTACCAGTCAGGATAGGCCAGGTTTGATGATAACAAACAAGCCCCAAGTCCTGGGGGCTAAAAGAACAAAGGTTTGCTTCTTGCTCAAGTGCTCCATCTACTGTGGGTTGTGGGAGAGCTTGGCTTGTATTTATCACTCTAAGACCGCTCCAACTTGACACTTATTTCCATGATTGCTGTGGTGGGGAAGGCAGGGCTCAGTCAGGCACTGCATTAGGTACTTCAGCCTGGGAGCTACACACATCGTTTCTGCCCACCCTTCATTAGCTGCAGGCAGGCACTGGTTGTGCCTGACTTCAAGGGAGTGTGGAAGTATCCTTCCTGTGTACGTGAAATAGAAGAAATCCAGAACCAGTCCATGCAATGTAAGGTTCTACCACAAGCAATAAAAGTCAGTAAAATCACAACATTGTGGCAGAAACAGCTAATTGCTTAGTCAATGTTCATTCTTCTCTACTTCCTAAGAGCACCCTTGTATGTCAATACCTACTGAAAAGTATCTAACTCTACAGATACCTTAATAGCTAAGCGGGGGACATATGACCCAATTTTGGGTGTTTGGATGGAATCAGAAGTCACTAGGGGTGGGGCTTAAAGCAAAAAAATCTTTTTGGTGATCTGACAATGCTCGCTTGTGCCTTTGGCCTCTGTCCTTCCTCTGCCGTCCATCTTCTTCCTCCCATCTTGGCCCCTGGAAATGCTGGGAGCACAGCAGCCATCCTGTGATCCCAGCACAGGAGCCTCACTCTGAGGACGGCGGGGCAGGACTACTCATGGGGCCTGGTCTTGGTGACGGTGTTGAGCCTCTAGATCAGCCGTGGGCTGCTTCCCCAACATCGCTGCAGACAAATAAGCCAGCACTGTTAGGTTCTCTGTTACTTGCAGACAAACCCAATCTAAATGATGCAAATAAAATATTTTTATTACCACATACCAGAAATAATGATGTATTCATACAGTATAATTCTGGGCATTTTAGAAATATTTACAAAATTGTCACATTAACATCACCTTTCAGGTAGTTAAATGGCATGTAACTTTCTATAATGAATTTAGAACAATTTTTCTACAGGAAAACAGAGGGAAAATAAAATATTATCTACATGTAAGACCCACTTTGGGGAATAAGTTGTATGCTTTGAACTTCTTGTAAAACTAATCAATCTAGCCTAATAATTTAAGACATTAAAGTTAGTTATTCAAACATTGATAGTGATAAATATAGCAGTAGTATCCATTCCTTCTCCAAGTAATCAAGACATTATGGTTTATTGATGTAAATTATTTTTTAAACATGCAGTTCATTTAGCAATACATGTATTGACAGCTGCACCTTCAAAAAAACTTACAAAACCAGAGAACACAACATTAACTTGTTACTAAACTAAAACAAACTTAGCTGAGATAGTGTTTTGGAAATCATGAGGGACATAGCCTGCTCTTTGAAATGAAAACAAAGGCATTTATTGGGGCATAAAACTAAATTCATTATTTGGCAAATTTCTTGCTCAAATACCATGTCCACATGCATTTCTGTCCCAGCAATTCTGTTTTGTCGTGAATTATATATAACTTATTTTAATGTGTTTGCTTTACTTAAAAAAAGGAATGAATTATAGTAATCTTTTCATCATGCTTGCCTCACCAGAGAGGAGCTCTTAGCAGAGCTGTTCCAGGTATAAGAGCCCCACAGCAATCCTTCCGCCTTTCTGAAATGCCCGTGCAGGATGTTGAGGGCCTGTGGCCAGCGTTTTCTTTTCTTTTCTTCTTCTTTTTTAAAATCTCCCCCATTCATTTAAACTTTATTTATATGAATAAAAGAACTTGAGACAATTTAGCTCAATTTTAATGTTTCCCAAGCATTATTTTGACCAGGTACCCAGGTTTAAGTTATGAACATTGACAGTGTCCATTATATAACCACACTTGAAGTTATTAAGGACTTAACCATTTTCTAATATTAGCCTATTTTCTACACTGCTTTTCACATATATGCCCATTAAAAATGGAATGTCTGTTACATTTATTGGCTTGTGAGTGTTTCTGGAAAACTGCAGTAAGTGTGAAGGCCAATTTCCATGCTGGCATTGCATGCATCCAAATATTAATGCACGGAGGCACAGAATTAGAGCAACAAGAGAGCATATTCAAACACTAGCATGCGCCATTCCCCTTTTTATTGCTTGTTTGCTTAGTACTTCTTAAAACAGAAGGAAAGACTTGAATTCAACGTTCAACTACCAAAGAAGGAGTAACAGCAGGACACATACTCAGGACTTGAATGAAATTGTAAGCACTAGCTGAAGCAAAACAGTAGACATGGGTATATATCCATATATATATATATATATATGTATATATGTATATACCTATATATATACACACACATATATATACCTGTATATATATATATAAAATATCTCTATATATAGACATTGGTATATATCTATATATATCTATATATATACAGCCTTATTATCTAAAACTCTTCTCAACCAGGGCCTTCCCAACAAATTGGTAACAACATGATTTATGTTGAAATATACACAAGAAATAAGAGTGTGTTCTTTGTCTTTGGGAATTTAATAACTCAGACTATCCAAATTTGAATTCAGGTCTGTAGGAAGTGAGAAGCCTGTACTAAGCAACTGTCCTACATTTCTGCTGCAGTTAGGTTATTTTGGACAATTATACCTAAACTATCCTTGGTTTCATCCAGCAAAATGTATACAGTACAAACAGGAAAGCATGCCAGCCAGCTAGGGGTTTAATAACGCATGATTTTTATTCTCTTGGTCTGAAAAGTTGTATCAAAAAATGTAAACTAATGCAAATAACTCAAGATTTATGGGCCTCTTGTGCTTTAAAAAAGGAAAAAAGGTACCCACTAATTTGCTCAGATATAGCAGGCTTAATGGTTCTATATTTTGAAAAGTTTTTAAGAATGGTTTCTAATGTAGGAGAGGGAAAACATCCACTATACCTTTTCAGAATTTAAATGGAGGGCAGTAAACATTCTTTACACCCAAAACCTATGGCAGCAGTTCAAATTTGACCAAGGTAAATGTAGAATGGAGATGTTCTAAACACAGCTAGGACTCAGCAAGTCTAACACACTAAAATCATGTGATTACATTTTAAAAGAAAGTGCACAAAAACCAAAAAGAAATTTTGAGACTTTTTTATTTGAAGGTAATCTTAATGCTATTAAATTCACAAATGCTAATTTAAATACCCAATCCTATTTACCTAAAACACACATTGCAAACACACAAATTATCTGTTCTCTCCACATGTCGGCGTCCATTCATATCATGGTTTGGAAATGGGGAGAATAGATTCCCCTTAAACTGCAAGTCAGCAGGTGTTTCTTTACAGTTAACTTTAGCAAAATTTATACAAAATAGTAATTAACAATTGATCTTCTTTACTTGTTAACTCACAAGGAAACACCTTCAAAACTGCATTTTGTTAAAGTTTCTGTACTAAAATGTAGAAAAACTGAACTACACAGATATTGAAAAGTTAAAAATTCCTTAATTTTTTATTCCTGGTACCACTACCACAATTTACAGGGCAATATACCTGATGTAATGAAAAGAAAAAGAATAAGACAAAGCTACAACAGATAAAAGACCTGAGGAATGTACATCTAATTGACGCTACATTGCATTAATCGATAGCTGCACTTCCTGCAAACTGTGGCTATGACAGTCCTGAACAAGAAGGGTTTCCTGTTTAAGCTGCAGTAACTTTTCTGATTATGGATCATCGTTCCTTCTGTGACAGATTTTTACAGTTCCTCTAATGCACTTGGGACGACTGTCTCAAAGTAACCTGTAGCTTTCCTGACAACTCCTCACTCTCTCTCCTGCTAAGAACTGTAGCCCTTTCCTGCTGTTTTTAGAACCTTCTGCTACCATATCCACCACTTCCACCACCAGATCCATAACCACCACCATAGGGACTGCCCGAGCTTCTTCCACCAAAACTGCCCCCTTTCATGTGTCCATAATTTGATTGCTGTTGTCCACTGTAATTTCCAAAATCATTATAGTTCCCACCACCACCATAGTTACTACCGTCAAAATTTCCTCCTTCATTGTAACCATCATATCCTCCAACACCGCCACCATATCCACCACCTTGGTTTCCATATCCTGGTCCACCACCACCATACCCGCCTCTACTACTATAACCAGGACCACTGCCATAGTTGCCACCATCACCTCCTAATCCATTATATCCACATCACCTCCTCCATAACTACCTCTGCTGCCACCACCTCCACCACCATAGCCTCCTCTTCCACCAAAGTTTCCATCACGGCCAAAATTACCTCCACCACCTCCAAAGTTTCCTCTGTGACCCATACAATTGCCAGATCCACCTCCACGACCCCTCTGTGATCCAGCCGGCTGCATCACTTGTTTAGCAAGGGCCTTTTTCACTTCACAGTTATGCCCATTAATAGTGTGGTATTTCTGAACAACAATTTTATCAACTGTATCATGATCATCAAAAGTTACAGAAGCAAATCCTCTCTTTTTTCCACTCTGCCTGTCTTCCATAACTTCTATGGTTTCAATCTTGCCGTACTTTTCAAAGTAGTCTCTCAAATTATATTCTTCTGTATCTTCTTTAATACTGCCAACAAAAATTTTCTTCACTGTTAGATGGGCACCAGGCTTCACAGAATCCTCTCTAGAAACAGCTCTCTTTGGTTCCACTACACGCCCATCAACCTTGAATGGTCGAGCACGCATTGCTGCATCCACCTCTGTAACACAAGAATAAGTCACAAAACCAAAGCCCCTGGAACGTTTTGTTTGGGGGTCTCTCATTACCAGACAATCTGTGAGTGTGCCCCATTTCTCAAAATGTTCTCTTAAACTATCATCTGTAGTTTCAAAGCTCAGACCACCAATAAACAGTTTTCTCAGCTGCTCTGGTTCCTTTGGATCATGGCCCTCCTCCCCCCAGTGGCGACGGCGACTGCCGGAGTCGGGCTGGGGGCAACCAGGCGGCGGTTTTACCTCCATTTTGAGACAGGACTCACCTCTTCCAACTCGAGATCAATATGGGACCGAGAGGAAGGTGGCCAGCGTTTTCATTTAGGCAACTCTGCCTGGATCAGCACACTTTCCCTCTGCAGTTCAGGACTTACTCTGAACTTCATTGATAACTTGTGACTTCAGGAAAAACCACACTGTCTTGCAGTATCTCAATTGAGCCACTGACATGGACCTGAAAATGGCTTTTTAAATGGTTAGATGAGGCCGGAATGTACTTTTAGATCAAAAGTGAAGTAAGGAGGGGTCAGGAAAGATGAGAGTTGCTGGTAATTTTGGTGCTCTAGATGCCCTAGACCTGGGGAAGGGGGAATGGTCAGGGATGCTGGTTGGAAAACATGTTTTCCTGAGCTGTGGACATTTCAGTATTTCTCACTCCACATTTCTACCACTTTTGGTTGTTCTTTGAACATCTTTTGCATATTTTACTTGCATGCAAATATTCTCCCCAAATCCACTGTTTCAGTGCTAAGCAGCCCAGCTCCAGTCCCATCTTCTCTGGGAGCTTTCCAAATCTCATCATCTTCCTCTGAGATACCATAGCTTTCTGTCTGTGTTTGACTCTGCCATGTCTTGAGCCTGCTCTCTCACTGGTCTGCCAGCTCTTAGAAGGCTGGCATCATTATTCTTCTCTGACTGTCCCAGGTGTTTGGCACACAGTGGATGAACCTAGAAGGAGCTTCATGTGTGCTTGAACAGAATGAAAGGACAGCTGTGATTTTCTCCTGTGCGGCTGATGCCTTCTTTGTCCCATCCAGAAGCAGGATTGCATTGAGATCCCTGGAGTTGTCTCTGGCCCTTGTAAAATTAAATGCCAAGAGAACCTTGGTTAACAGAAGAAATGGAGAAGGACCAACTTCTAGTTTTCTGTGCCAGAGGTCAGTGCATTGCTTCTTCTCTGTGAATTGCTCTGACTTGCTGAATTGAAACTTTCTTTACTTTTGGGCAGATAAGAGTAATTTGGGGGCAGATAAGAGCTTCTGGGAAGTTGTTATTGCAAATGGCTTGGCAGTGATGCTGCTACACAATGGTTATCCAGGACTCGTTTTTTTCCTAGTTTGAGTTACTTAAAAAAAACCCTAAGAATTACTTGATTTAAAAATAATAGGTCAAGACCTTCTGGCACTACTGAAACTTCTGAGTGGGCCTCAGATGGTCGCTTGAGAATCTATTCAGACAACCCAGCAGTTGGCAGATGTAACACTCATCATGCCTCTGCACTCTTTTGTCATTAGTTGATTACATAACAAATATCAGTGGGCTGGGCGTGGTGGCTCAGGCCTGTAATCCCAGCACTTTGGAAGGCCGAGGTGAGTGGATCATGAGGTCAGGAGATCGAGACCATCCTGGCTAACACGGTGAAACCCCGTCTCTACTAAAAATACAAAAATTAGCCGGGCGTGGTGGTGGGTGCCTGTAGTCCCAGCTACTCGGGAGGCTGAGGCATGAACCCAGGAGGTGGAGCTTGCAGTGAGCCAAGATCGCGCCACTGCACTCCAGCCTGGGCGACAGAGCGAGACTCCTTCTCAAAAAACAAACAAACAAAAACAAATAGCAAGCATGAAGTTGTGTGCCTGAGTGAAGCCCTAGCAAAGGAATCAAAGAGCAAACTTTTACATGCAGGTCAGCAACTGTTGGTGTGCTCCACGGGGAATTTACCTTCAGGGCACACTCGGGCCCCCACTGTGCCACCATCACTGCCGACCTCCCTGCCCAGGGGAATCCGCTCCCAGGCGGATTCTCCCTCCTTATGCCACTTGTCCTTCCCACCTTCCATTTACTTATGTGTGTCAACACAAAGCTGTCCACTGACTCTCTCCTTTGTTCTGGAGATATCATTCTGGGAATAAAAAGGAGAGTGGATGGGCCATAAACAGTGTGTGGGATGGAAAGTATCAGACAATTTAGATGTCTGTGAGGCCAGGGGAAGCCTCCTCTTTGGGGGCAAGGACACTGGCTCAGTCCAGGCTGTGTCCAGCCTCAGGGCCAGCTGGGAGCACGTGTCATTTGCTCTTCATCCCACTCTGAATGGGCAGGGGTGTGAACGCTCGTACAACAGGCTTTCTCAGGCTATTTTCAATTGTGTGCAGCTGGTGTTTGAAAGAGCATTGCATTTAGGAATAGGGCTACTTTATGCTCTGGGGGTGAGGAAGGACGGAATGAGAAGGCTCTGGTTCCGGCCCATCCCAAACCACTGTGCAACACCGTGCCTCTGAGGTAGCCCAGAGTGGAAAGTGCCTGGGGTCCTGCATACCCACTGCTGCTAGTGGCTTATTAGCCATGAACATATTGCCGCCCGATTTCTGAGATAGCACTTGTCACATCCAGAGGAAGAAATAATTATCAGATGTGAGAGATATTGGTGGTGGCAGAAGGAAGAGAGGGGGCTGGGGGGAATCCCGAGGGTAAGTGTTGTCTGTGGGGCCCAGGCCCAGGCCTAGGTGAGCAGGCACTGAAATTCTCTAGGATAGAGGATGCAGCAATGCTAAAGGCAGCCATCACTGCATTAATTTTACAATGATTTTACATGCGTTTGCACCTGCACTCTGAGGGAGTTTCCAGGCTGGACGTGGTGGGATGTGCCTGTCTTCAAGGACCTGCCCTTCCACCAGGGGAGCCAAGATGAGCACTTACACTAAATTTGTATTTGCCACAGTGAACAGCTCCTATGCTCATGGATGGCACTGACTGTGATTTACCATTGGGGATGGTCCATCCTGAAGAGGGCCTTTCCTCTCCTTTGCAAAAGGATTTAAGAAGCAGAAAGAGACACATGATCCTCCCCAACCCATTGTCTCCTTGAGCCCCATGGCTGCTGATGCCGGGGCAGCAGGAATAGAGCTCCCAGGAGCTCTCCCACCCGGCGAGAGTCAGGCCCCAACCCACAAAGCACAGCCAAGGGAGTGCGCTTGCGATTCTAGTCTTTTTCTGAGCATCCTTTCTCTAGATTAGAGAAAATCCGTTTAAAGTAAATTAATGGTCAGATGACCTCTGTGAAACCTCTAAAATGATTTCTCATACCCATTAGGCTCAGCTCCTTATATTATATCAGGCAGACAGGAACTGTATTTTAAATCTCTAATAGCACCTAGTATCATATTCAGTGCAATAATTCTGATGAATAAATTTCTTTACCTTTCTTGGTGAAAATTATTCACCCTGAGGGCATCTGTTTGGGTCTTGAAAAAGGCATTAGATATTTTCTTTATATACTGTTTGCTACACGCACACACACACACACACACACACACAGGAGTTATGAAATCCAATATAACATGAACATCCATGAACTTACCACTCAAGTTGAGAAGCTATCTTTGTGTTCTTCCAAGATCCCATTCCTCCCTTCCATGAAACCGTGAATTTTGTGTATATTATGGCCATAATTGTCCACATGTGTATGTATCTCCAATTGCATTGTTTAGATTCTACAGTCACTGGCTTTGTTTAGGAGTGTGTACCACAGTGGTTACAAATAGTGGTTTTGGAATCAAACTGATTGTGTCGAAATCTCCGATGAAGCATTTACTAGTTGTGCAACCTTGAATGCATTACTTACCCGCTCTGAACATCAGTTTCTTCACTCCCAAATGGCGGTAATCCTGCCCAGCTCATCCTTCTCCTGGAGTTGCCCAGGAGATTGAATGGAATGAGACCTTGTCCATTTCTTCTTGGCCCATTATCGGCCCTCAACTAAGGTTGAGGGCAACCCTCTGCCCCAGACATCCCTGGGAACTCCTGTCAAACACATGCACCCTTCACCACTGGCACCTACTCCAAGCCACCAGGCCTTAAAACAGCAGCAAACTAGGAACCCTTGGGATGAGCAAGAGCGCCGGACTTAATTTATAGCCTTTCCTGTGTCCACACAGGAAGACAAATGTGCTGGGCAGAGGACAGCAGATGCCATTACCAGATCATTACTTAGCAAGTTGCTTGGTCTTGGCAGGAAATGGTTCATCATTTTCAGATGAGTAGAGAGCTGCAGAACCTTGTAACTGTCCTCCCTCATTCTGCACCCCTGTCGCAGACGCAATGGTCCTTGCCAAAGCTTTCCCTCCCACGGTGCCTTATCGAGATAAGTGACTGGGGATGTGGGATGCCACATGATCCACTGAATGCAAGAGCCCTGAACTCAGAAGGGGGCTGGGGTCAAAGGCTTCCAGGGCTGGAGAGTGAGGCCGGAAACCCCAAAAGATAAATGAGGACTTCTGGAACAAGATGAGAAGATGAATTAAACTGTTTACTTCGAGCATGCACATAATGTTCCAGAAAAATCCACTTTGGCTGCCAAAGTAGCCCTTCTGGAATTTATGAAGACCCTTGCCAGGGCCCTCACACTGGGGCTTAGTGCTCAGGTCTTGCATCTGTCTTTTTTTTTTTTTTTTTTGAGACGGAGTTTCGCTCTTATCACCCAGGCTGGAGTGCAATGGCGTGATCTCAGCTCACTGCAACCTCTGCCTCCCAGGTTCAAGCAATTCTCTTGCCTCAGCCTCCCGAATAGCTGGGACTACAGGTACCTGCCACCATGTCCTGCTAATTTTTGTATTTTCAGTAGAGACAGGGTCACCATGTTGACCAGACTAGTCTTGAACTCCTGACTTCAGGTGATCCCGCTGCCTCGGCTTCCCAAAATGTTAGGATTACAGGTGTGAGCCACTGCCCCCGGCCGCATGTGCTGTTTTACAGCAATCCAGTGGGGCAAGGTCACCAAGCTCACAAAGGAAGAACCTGAGGCTCAGGAAGCAAAAGTTATTGCCCAAATTAAACATAGTAAGAAGCTGATTTGATTCCAAACCAATATCTGTTTAATTTCAAAGCTCAGGCTGGCTCTATTTCACCATCCTGTGTCCCTCAGCAGGGTGACAGGTCACCATGAACAGGACAGCCACTGGCCAGCAGTGTCTCAATCACTGATTGTCCACTGTGCTTAAGCACCCACAGGGCTCTTGGTGCTGAATAGATGGTGGATTTTTGGCTTTTTTGTCTGTCCCAAATCTTTAGAAGCCTGTTGTCTGTGGTGACAGTGATTTCAGATTGGCTAAGTTTGACAAGCAATGAGCAACAATACATCTGTTGTTAGAGGTGTTGGTTATTCCACGTGCCAGGAAGACAGAGAGAACGTCTCAACCAAATTGTCAAGGCAAGAGTCTTTCAGGAAAAGGATATGGCTAAGAATTCTAAAAGGGGTGGGGGTTGGTTTAACAAGAAGGAGCAGGGAAAGGTGTCTACCTTGAATCTCCAATCTGAAAGGTTGGTATAGGCATAAGATGTCAAGAAAATTAGCAGAAAACATCGTGTTGAGCCCTCAAGATTTGCTTGGAGCGGAGGAGACCACACTCCTGCAGCTGGGTGGTCAGGTAACTGGGTTTCTGACCTTACAGGAGCAGCCGTGTGACTGCACACCTGGCTGGGGCTTGAGGCTGGGGGTTGGGGAGACATGGTGACCCAGCGATCTACTCAGTTCAGCTGCTGTTTCCCCAACAGGAACCCTAGGGTTGCAGGGAGGGGCTGTTGGTTTTGTCAGTCCATTGTGCTTGGGGTGAGGAAAATATTTAGGATATATTTTAAGTAATCTTAAATTAAAAATTAAAATTATTGTCATGAAACTGTATGTGATTCTTATTTTTGGATAGAATTAAGAACTATTCAGCCGGGTGTGGTGGCTCACGCCTGTAATCCCAGCACTTTGGAAGGCGGAGGTGGGCAGATTACTTGAGCTCAAGAGTTTGAGACCAGCCTGGCCAACATGGTGAAACCCCGTCTCTACTAAAAATACAAAAATTAGCTGGGCGTGGTGGCATGCACCTGTAATCCCAGCTACTCGGGAGGCTGAGGCATGAGACAAGAATCGCTTGAAACTGAGAGGCGGAGGTTGCTGTCAGCCGAGGTTGCTCTACAGCACTCCAGCCTGGGTGACAGAGACAGTCTCAAAAAAAAAAAAAAAAAAAGAACTAATTTATTAGTATCTGTGGAGAGTAGATATAAGCATTTGTCCACAATTTTTTTATTGTTTCACTTATATCCTCCCATCCCTGCTTTAGTTCTCCCTTCCTCCCACTGGATTAGTTAAAAGACAATCCAGATTTTTATACCATTTGAGTCATAAATGCTT
Organism: Homo sapiens; assembly: GCF_000001405.40. Lineage (NCBI taxonomy): Eukaryota > Metazoa > Chordata > Mammalia > Primates > Hominidae > Homo > Homo sapiens. The sequence continues at coordinate 43,796,533 of NC_000010.11, forward strand.
AACTATGTGTCTCTAAGTGAAAGAGACTAAAAAAAATAAACATTTTACATTATCAAACTAGAAATATGAAAAATAATTCCTAAATATCATCTAATATTTGGTCAATACTTAAATTTTCCTGATTCTCTTCAGGTGATTAAAAAAGGAAATAAACAAGTGTACACCTTATATTTGGTGTGTATGAACATATCTACCTATCTCAACCAACAGTTCTCCTTTCTTCTTTTTTCTCCTTGTTATTTATATGTTGAAGAAACTCAGTCATTTGCCCTGCAGAATTTTCTACACTGTGGATTTGCCTGACTACACCCTGTGGTGCTGTTCCTCTATCTTGTTCTGGGTAAGTTAATAATTAGATCTAGAGGCTTGATCAGATTTGGATGTTTTTGCAAAACTATTTCCCACTTATTGCTGTGTTCTTCCTGCTGCAGCTCACAGGGGCACTGGGAGGCTGAGGTCTCTCCTTTGGGATGTGTAAATTCATCAGTGGGATTAGGTTATGTCAGCCTCCTCCATCCTGCAAGAAATTTCTCACCAGCTGTCCCCTAAGGATTTGGCAGCTAATCATGGTCTTTGCCAGATTCATTATTTTATTAGGGTTATGAAATGCTGATATCCTCACACAATAATTATTTCTGCATTTGTTAGCTGAAATAATTCTATGAATAAGAACTTTTGGTCATCAACTAATTAGTTACCCCTGGAAATAGTTTGTACAAGAAAGTCCAGATAAATGCTCTATTCTTTCCATTTATATATCAGTTTTCAGAATAACAATTTGGTGTTCTAGCAATCTCCAGTGTGACCAATGCTATTATTATGAACTCATGGATTTTAACTTCTTTGATATAGTTTGACTGGTTGCAATCATTGTTCTTTTTGATGCTTAAATTGTGCCATCCTCGGCCAGTGAGAATCCGTTTGGACTGGCCTCTCTGTCTTTTTGACATTTCCCTGATAGTCTTAGTTAGCTTTCTTGCATCTCCTACAATTTCCGATAAGACCTGGAATCAGACCTTTTTCCCCCAGTGGATTCCTAGGACAAATATTTATAAACTAAAGTCTGGATACTACTTGGTTTTCATTGCTTCTGGGTATTTTCTTTTTTTTGAAATCAAGGAAATAATATTTTTACTGGACTAGAAAATATGTATTTATTTTATTTAAAAATAAAAGTACATCATGAGTTTTTACTTGCATTTCTGTTTTTTTTTTTTTTTTTTTTTTTGAGCCAGCGTTTCACTTCTATCACTCAGGCTGGAGTGCAGTGGTGCTATCTGGGCTCTGCAACCCTCTCTCCCACCTTCCTGCCCAAGTGATCCTCCAGCCTCAGCATGCCTCCCCCTCAATAGCTGGGGACTACAGATGTGTGCCACACTCCTGGCTAATTTTTGTGTTTTTTAGTAGAGATGGGGTTTCACCATGTTGCCCAGGCTGGTCTTGAACTCCTGAGTTCCAGCAATCTGCCCACCTTGGCCTCCCAAAGTGCTGGGATTACAGGTGTGAGCCACTGCATCCAGCCCTTTACTTGTATTTCTAAGTCACATTTAAAATTACAGGGATCTTAACTTCTTTGACTTAATGTTAATTTTCTTTACTTTTACACTAAAAGTTCTTGATTCCTAATAACATTGTGGTGATGTGTGTGTGTGTGTGTGTGTGTTTGTGTTTGTGTAGGTTCAAATAACAATGTCAACAGCACCACTTGTTATTAATAAAAAATAAGGCTACAGAATACTATTTGAAATTTCTCTGTATTCTTTTTGTCCTTAAGATATATTCCTGTAGGGATGAACAGTTCCATATCTGTGTCTTAAACTTATTTAAAGTAATTTTTCTCTTTACTTCCCTCTTATCCGGTCCAATGTCATTAAACACCAACCTAATATATAGTTAGGTTCATTTATTTTCTTTTGATTTGTAATCATTTTTTCCCATTTTGGTTGAATTTTATTTTGTAACGATGTAACACGTCCAAAAGGTTCCAAAGTCAGAACTCTAAAGCAGGTGCCCTCTGAGCAATCGAGCTCTGTTCCTGTTTCCTGCTTCTTATTTTCTCCTTCTCTCACAGGTAACCATTTTTTAAAAATTGAGTTTTGTTTTCTTCATTTCATTTTAAAAACAAAACAGGCACTCACATATTTATACTGACTTCTGTCTTAGACAAAAGATATCACGCTACACTTGCTATTCGGCGCCTTGCCTTTTGTCTTTAATATATGCAGACTTTTCTTGCTTCTTTTCATAGCAGCACAGTCCTCGATTGTGTGGGTGTATCACAGTTTATTCACATTGTCCCCCGTGATGGACACTGGGTCCCCCATGATGGACACTGGGGTTATTTCCGTCTTTTTCTATTACAAATAGTGTTGTAGTAGGCAGCTCTGTGCCTGTATTGTTTGCATTTTTTGGTAACAAGTTGAATGAGCTTAGAAATCATCTTAGTTATAATCTTCCAGGGGTTAGGTAAGTAGAATTATTCACTTAACATATAGGTATTTATTGATGTTTATTATGTGACAAAACCTGTGCTAGTTTTGGTGAAAGAGGGCTGGACAGAGTGATGAACAACACAGGCATGGCCCTGCCCTTGTGGGGCTTACAACACAGTAGGGAAAGTGTGTGAGTAATGGTAGAAATAAATGTTTAATTACATGTGTGATGAACAACATGGGGGGAATGAAAAGAGTGAGCTAAGAAGGCTGAGATGGTGGTGAGTGGCCAGAGAAAGCCTCCAGAAGGAATGGCCATTAGGTGGGTGTCTGGAGGAAGAGGAAGAACAGACCAGGCAGAGATGCAAAGCAAAGCCTGCCGGGCCAAGCCAGCACAATGGGAAAAGTTCACAGGCAGGAGAAGGCTGATGTTTCAAGCAGGAAAGGGCAGTGGGTCTACCTCATGAGCAAGGAGAAGGGTGGCAAGGGATATGGTGTGAGGGTGTGCAGTGCAGGTGGCAAGGATCTGGGGGGACTGGGAATCCATCCTAAGTTACAGGAAGCCACCAGAGAGTTTACACTAGTGGTGTGATCCAGTTCATTCTGTAAAATGCCATTCTGACTTCCGTGTCCAGAGGCACTGGGGAGGGATGGGAGCAGAGGCACAAAGACCAGGAGGGGATGGTTGTGGGAGTCCAGGAAACTGATGATGACAGCTTGGCTTAGGGTAGTGGGGTCGGGGTGGAGAAGAGGGAATGGGTTGAGCTCTTTTAGAGGAAGGGTAGATCAGAATTATTGGATGGAACTATTGGATTGAATGAGAGGGAAGGAGGTGTCCACAATAACTCCTTGGTCTTGGGCACAGGAACTGGCTTATGGAGCTGGATGACTTTGAAAGAGGACTGGGTTAGCGTGGGGTGGGAGGGGCCATAAATTTGGGACATTTTAATTTGAGATCTGTGAGAAATCCAAATGGAGACACAGGGAAAGTCTCTGAGTACGTCTGTTGGGACCTCTGAAGGTGTCATGTGGAGGTTGCACGCATTGGGGATGGGAGGAGACTGCCCAGGGGCAGGGCAGTGAGTGAGAAAAGAGGCTCCAGGGCTTGATCCAAGAAATTCCAACATTGAGGAGCTTGGAGAAAATGAGGCGCTGGTTGAGAAGATTGGATTATTTTAAGCAACAGTGGGAGTGAAAATTATTTTTTCTTAATAATTTACATATACAACATTATAGAACAACAGCGATTCTGGAGATATGTAGTCTGACTCCCCCATTTAATTGAAAAGGAGTTGGAGAATTCTGAAGTTACTGTCTGTTGCTTGCCAGCTAGCACAGCCTGCCCTGTACAGATAGTTTGACTCCAGGAAGAACACTGACCTCAATTAGCTTGCAAATGCAGAAAAAAAAAAAAAAAGAAAAGTTAAAACCACACAGTGGCTCCCCTGGAGCGTCATCATACCCTTCTCCTGGGGTATAGCTCTCTGGGTATCCTTGTAGGGGCTCACTGGCCTGGGACTGGCAGCTGGGCATGGCCATCATTCATGCCGTTTGTTATATTTTCTTCTTTTCCCTCCCTCTCGGTGCATGGCAGGACTGCTCTTCTCAGTCCCCTCGTGGTTGGGTATAGCTATGTGGCTATTTCTGGAGAATAAGTTATGGGTCGAAATGATGCTTCACCTCCAGACCAGAGCTTTTAATTGCCAGGGTGGGATTCTCTACAGTGTTTTGCCTTCTGGCACAGTGACTGAAATCTCGTAGATATTGATGGCCCCATCAGGCTGGATTCAGTGAGGAACAGAGCCCCTCTGATAGCCTGAAATGAACACGCAGCATGAGCAAGATAGAAATCTTTGTTGTCTTAAGCCACTGACATTTAGAGGTTGTTTGTTACTACAGCATAACTTAGTCTATGCTGACTGACACCCTGGATGTTCTACTGCCTGCTTTTCAGAGACTAAATGGACAATCTGTGTATTTAGTTCTTCAAGGACAAATAGATACTCTCATTTTCCCTGATTCCAGACTTTGTATAGTTTGCCAAATTAGGTTTTAACGTTGGAGATGCTGACACCCAAAGTCTTAACCAGAGGAGCTGAGGTTGCTTCTTCCAGACTTTTATTCTCAAATGAATTTCATGCACTAAGGAGGGAGTATTGGGATACATCATGTTGGGCATTTCTGCCAGTAACATGGAGACCAGGAGACAGACCTTCCTGAAGGAGGTGGTCTGAGGGAGATGGTTCAAAGAGTAAACAAACAAACAAGGAAGCAAACAACCACAAGCATTTGCCATCAGGAATAGATGGGGAGAGAGGAAGTGATCAAGCCCCAAGGGGACATTCCCGAAATGATGGTGAAATTTCCATGAGGTCCATGTAACTGTTTCTTGTTACTTCATGCCTTTTTCCCCGAAAGGAACTAGAAAAACAACAACTTCCTCCTCATCCAGTAAGAGAAAGAACAGATCTAACAAAAGCGAAAGGAAGCAACTCATCTCAAATTGGAGACACATAAAAAGAGGACTGCAGGGGCTTTCTCATACAGAGGGGTGCCCGGAACTTCACTACTAGGACTGTGAGGAATCAGGAGTTTAGGCAGCCTGCCCATGTCTGGCCTCTGTGATTTCTAAGAGAAAACCCAGAAGAAAATTGTGTAATTTGCCAAAATAGGTTTTAATAGATTTTAATGTTGGAGAGGAATGCTTATACCCAAAGTCTTAACTAGAGGAGCTGAGGTGGCTTGAAGGATGCCCTTCTCCCACACACCCCCTTCCCCAGTCCCTTCTTAGCCCTGTCAGGAGCTTTAAGTATGTCTGCCAGCCCGCAAATCCTTTGCTGTTTCTATGGGGAGCTCAGCCGCTAAGCACACTTAATGGATTCAGTTTTGGAGTGGCCAGGATTTTGCTGTGTGGCCAGATATCTATAAAGAAATGCATCTCCCAAGAGAGTGACAGATGTTCCATCTTTGTTATATATGAGTTTGTGAGAATAAAGCCTTAATGAGGGTGATTCTTAACTGCTTGGACTCTGGGAGGCAGCTTAGCTTTTTCACACAAGCGGTTGAAATCTTTCTTAAATATTGAGATATCACACATCTTTCCTGCCATGGTCACTGGGTCTTCTTTATGCCAACAGGCAGGGTTCCCAGGGAGGGAGAGCTGGGCAAGGGCTCCCCAAAACTTTGCTTCTCTTAGAGGTATAACCACAGACAATTGATGGGCAGAGTTCACCATCATCACCTGATCTCTTCCTGTAGTTTCCAGGACACACTTCCTGGTTCCTTCCTCTTAGCCACTGGTGGGGCTTACCTTATAAATGGCCAATAACAGAAAATGCATATAACATTTGGGATAAGACAGGAATGGGTCTCAGTTCTCCACTCAATTTTCCCTGTCCTGCATACCCAGCAGGTTGTGAGGCCAACAGAGACACCGGAGGTGGGAACACCATGTACAGTGGGAACCCATGTTCCTTTGTCGTTACTGCTGTTGGTGGTGGCTGCAGTTTAGCTAGGAGAGCTAAAAGGCAGAACAACTAAGAGAGTGGAAAGAGCCATCCCCAAACCTCACAGTTACATAATTACAGTTATATAATAGGTGCAGAGGAGAGCTGTGCCATTCCCCTGCCTGCTCCCTCTGCCTCCCATAGTCCCACTTTTGTTAATCCATCCTGAGACACCAACCCCCAGCCCATGACACAGTGGGGCAAAAGGTGGCATGAAGGCTGTGCTGTCTCAGATTTCAGAGCCCCTTCAAAATGTGTTGATGAATGATAATCAGGATTGAATTCCGTGGTTGTCAGTTACAAGCTGTGTGGCCTCTGCTAAGTGAGTAAACCTTTTTGAGCTGTTTTCCCCTCTATCATATAAGATGGGGTTGATAATCATAGCACTTATCTCTATAGAGTGGCCATAATAGTTAAATGGAATAATGCATACAGGGTCCCTAGCCTGCTGCTTTGCATATAGCAATATATGCTTATTATTTTTGTTTTGAAAAAGAGAAAGCGAGAGAAGAAAAGATGGGTGTTTTAGTCCATTCTGGCTGCTATGACAAAATACCACAGACTGTGTGGCTTATAAACAGTAGACATTTATTTCTTACAGTTGTGGAGGCCGAGAAGTCTGATGTGATATTTAGTGAGGGCCCATTCCCTGGGGCTTAGGTGGTGCCTTCTGGCTGTGCCCTCACATGGAGCAAGGGGCCGGCAGCTCTCAGGGGTCCCAATCAGGACCCACACTCAGGACCTAGTCACATCCCAAAGGCCCCACTGCTAACACCATCACATTAGCTTCCAGCATGTGAATTTTTGGAGAGCACGAACATTCAGACTACAGCAGTGGGAGTGGCACATGATGTGATGGGTAGATTTTGTTCCTCATGAACCTTAAAAAGGTCCACCGAATGCATCTGACTCTCTAATCACAGAAACTGGTGGTCCAAGGGGGACGTCACTGTCTTTAGGATCTATGACCCAGCTCCATCTAAGTAGTGACTGCTTTGAAGAAGAACTTCTGCTGAGAGCTGTATTTATCAGCCCCTCAGACAGTCCTTGGACGGTGCAGGTTTTGGGGGGGCTTTTGACCTCCCTGAGGGGAGGAAGTGGGTATTGGACCAGGACAATCCTCCCTGTGTGTCTGCTGGCAGATGCCAGGCTTGCATATACTTTTTTCCTTTTTCAAATATGAGCAAACATTAAAAAGAAGTTCCCATGATATAGCTCTGCAGTTCAGAGAAAATAACATGTTATCTGGAGGATGGAGGACTTAGAGAAAGAGCAGATCTCTAAAACCTTTTTCTGCAGGAAACAGAAGAATGTTTTGTAAAACATCTGCCTGGTGTCCTCAAAAAGGCAAGAAGACTGGAATTCTATGAAATGGGAGCAAAATGCCACAGAAAAAACATACGGATTCTAGGGAGGGTGGAGCCAAACGCGAACCCCTATGACAGAGTTCAGGGCTCTCCCTGCCGTGCTCACCGTTGCCTTTGTGGGAGAGCTGTCTATAGGAACCACATGCAGGGGCAGGGGTGAGCTGCTCCTACAAGGCCACCTGGTCACAGAGCCATGACAGGCACTGCCCCAGAAACACAGGACATAAACCACTCAGCACCGAGCTGGAACCTCCTGTCACCTCTACCTCTAGTTCTAAATTTATCCCCACCTCCCCCACACTCCTGGAAACTCACCTGGAAAACGGAATGCCTAGGAATTTCAACTTCTCCATTCTTTGATCCTAGCTTGAGAAAGTCTAACCAGAAGCCAGCAGCCTCTGACAGACCTCTCCCAATGCTGCCTGGACCTCCCTTTATAAGGATAAACAGGCCAAAATATATATATATATATATATATATATAAATAAAAAATAAAAAAAATCACCCTGCACCTGACATGTTCCTCGAGGAAGCAGGTTGACTCCAAGAGAAAGGGGAAATCATTTGAAAATCTGGACTTGGATTCTCAATAAAATGTAAGATGTAAGTTTATGAAAGAGAACGATCTTTGACAAGCGTTCCATGGACTTAAAATGAAAAACACAGTTGCCAAAAATAAAAATGGCACAAAAGGCACAATCAGCAGATTGGGTGGTGCAGAAACTTGCCTGAGCAAAAGATTGGCTGGTCATTGCCATGTGGCTATTAAAGCACAGCATAGAAGTCCTCCCACAGGAAAAGAAGAATTATAGATACACACAGAGGATGTACACGAAGATGAGACGCCAAGGTTCGATACAGAGAAGTGCAGATACTCCCAGGGAAGATCACAGAAGGGGGCACACAGACGGCTGCGGCAATGCACAAAGCTACAGAACCGCAGACGTGGGTCCTGCACAATGTTCGAGAGTTTCTCAAATGGAACAAAACCGGAAACAAATGGCAAAAGGGTAAGCAGGCACACCTTGAAAACCCCAGAATACTTAAAAAAAAAAAAAAACAAACAAACTCCTGATATCACACAGAAAATCAGCACTGCACTTACAGACTATTTAGAGAATAATAACCAAAATTTAAGAGTATGTGGCTGAAACTTAAGGAACATATTTATTTTATTGAAACTCTTCCAGAAACTGTTGCAGAAAGGAATAAAGTTTCCTAATCTCCTTAACAGAGATGGCCTAAACCTGATAAAAACATAATAAAAATAACATTTAAAACATAAAACTATAGCACAATCTCCAGGATGAGTGCATTCAGTGTTATAAAGATGTCAGCTCTTTCTACTGATATGCAAACTTAGTATAACTCTAGTCAATAGCCTAACTTAATTTCTTTTCAGAACTTAGCCAAGGGGTTCTAAGTTTATCAGGAAGTGAAACATGCAAGGAAAGCCAAGAAAATTCTGGAAAAGACAGCAATTGTCTGGTAATTGCTGTAGCTATTAAAGAGTATCACCATGTTTCAGTGATCAGAATAGCCTTGAGTCAACCCCAGGGGAGACTGATCAATGGGGAGAGGCAGAGCAGAAACATGCATCCAGAAACAGATGCATATATGCAGGAAGATTCCTAAAATTAATAAAAATGGTGTTTAAGTCAGCATAGCCAGGGTTTATTACTCAGTATGACACATTAGCCCAGCTCGTTACTTATTTGGCAAAACACTGGCAACAAAAATTACAACAGTAATAAGTATAAATCTTTATCAGATTAATTATATGTAAAAAAAGCCATGAAAACATTACAAGGAATTGCAGGATAATAATTTTGTAATTTTAGGCTGGGGTAGGCTTCTCAAACCAAGATTTTAGAATCAGAAACCTTAAGGGAAAATGCGATAGAATTGACTCAAATTAATGAAAAAACTCTTCGGAATGGAAAATATTATAATAAAAATTTCAAATAAAGCTGAATTGGGAAAAATAAGACAGAAGATTAATATTATCAACATGCACAGAGCTTTGCAAACCAATATGAAAACTACCAACACTCTAATTGTGGTGGGTGCTGTGGTCCATACCTACATCCCTCCTTCAGGACTGAATTCCTATTCCCCAGCTGCCAAGAAGTTGGCAGCTAAAGGCTCACAGTGAGTCCTTTCCCAGGAATTGCCCTCTGCTGAAGAAAGCTGCCTCCTACAGGGTTGAAGACCCCCCTAAGTGGTAGTTTGCCTCCAGTGTGACCCACCTGTGCAAGGCTGTCCTAGCTCCAGGGCACCCCTGTTGTGGGCTCTGTGCCTCTGCCTCCACCCTGCCTCTACCCTGCCTCTGTCCTGCTGCCCTCCCTTCCTCCAGGCATTGCTCTGAGAGCCCCAGACATCCTGCATGCACATCTCTGTTTCAGAATCTCTTTCCTAGGCAACCTGACCTAAGAAACCAACTAGATAAAAATGGACAAGCGACATAAGCACAGATCACATACACAAAAAGGAAAAAAAAATCCTAAACAAGATGGTAAATTAGCATTGAACATGTGGAACAATGCCCAGGTGGAGTGAAGCAACATGAGAAGCAGGGCTGTTTGAGAAGGTAATGAACACAGCATTTCTGTATGGAAATTGAGGAGTATGTGTGAAAATCTAGAAGGTTTTTCTTGGGAAATCTCTTATGAATTTATCCTAAGAAGATAACTGTACAAACAGATGTATTAGCCAGGATTCTCCAGAAAAACAGAAGTGTGTGTGTGTGTGTGTGTGTGTGTGTGTGTGTGTATGTGTGTGTATAAAGAGTTTTTTATTTTGAGACAGGGTTTCACTCTGTTGCCCAGGCTGGAGTGCAGTGGCATGATCATAGCTCACTGCAGCTTTGAACTCCTGAGCTCAAGCTCTTCCTCCCTTAGCCTCCCAAGTAGCTGGGAGTACAGGCCTGCATGACCATGTCCAGCTAATTAAACTTTTTTTTTTTTTTTGGTAGAGATGAGATTTTGCTATGTTGCCCAGGCTGGTCTTGAACTCCTGGCCTCAAGCATTCTTCCCTCTTTAGCCACCCAAAGTGCTGGGATTATAGGTGTTAGCAACTGTGCACAGCTTTATATAAAGAGATTTATTATAAGGAATGGGCTTACATCATATGGAGGCTGAAAAGTCCCTAGATATGCAGTTGGCAAGCTGGAGAGCCAGCAGGAGAGCCCTCGGTGTAGTTCCAGAGTCTGAGTCTGAAGGCAGGAAAAGACCGAGGTCCCAGCTCAAGGCAGTCAGATAAGAGGCGTTTCTTATTTCAGCCTTTGTGTTCTATTCAGGATTTCAATGGATTGAATGAGACCCAGCCACGCCGGAGAGGGCAATCTGCGTTACTCACTTTACCAACTTGGATGTGAATCTCACGGAGAGGCTCCCCCACAGACATACCCAGAATACTATTTGACCAAATGTCTGGATATCCTGTGGCTCAGTCAAGTTGTTACATAAAATTAACCATCCCTACTGGTATGCACAGAAACATTAGTTGGAGCACGGCAGTTTGTGTTCATTCACAGCACCCTGGGTACATAAATAAATCCACAGCCAAGCAAAGGATTGCGCCGAGGCTGTAGCAAAGCAAGCAGGAGGGCGCGGCCCAGGAGATGTGAGCTCCCATACTGCTCGCAGCACTGGGACCCAGCATCCCCCTCAGCAATAGCCCAGAATACACAGGGCATCAAGAGCCCTGCCCTGCAAAGGGAGGGCAAACCTCCCATTCCTGGTGCTTTAAGTGGACCCAATCCCTGGCTGGAACTTGAAGGCAGGCCACAGAAACAGACTATTTCCGCCCTTTACTACTCGTACTTGTCTCAGCCCATCTGCTCACACCTTATCCTTCGGGTTCCTAACCCCACTATCTGTACCCAGGTCTTATATTAGCATTTTCCCCCTGGCCACTCAACTTAATGCATGTTTAGATTCACTTTTGGGGCTTCATGAAGTTCCGACTTTCTTTGGGCACTGGACACTGCATCGTGGAATCCCTACATTCTTTGCAAAAACTTCCTTACTCCAACCCACGTCGCAAGGACCTCCCACTCATGACTATGCAGAGTTGGGGATTTGGCCTAACCCAGCAGGCTGGCTTCTCCTGCAGATGCGCCAGGCATCCCGTCACATAATCAGCATGCCTGCTTCTGGAGAGGGACCACTCATTGTGTTGGGCTCCCTTGCGAGCTCAGCACTGAGATGGTCCTAGGAGTTTCTATCCCCACATTGCACCTGGAAATCTCATGGTCCTTGACAGCCACAGGTTTCCAGTGGCAGCTCATGAGGCCTCCAGATAGGTGGCAGGGACCGAAATACTTCACAGCTTTTCCACGGACAAAGATCAGCAATTTGTTTTTAAAATAAAAAGTCAATGTTAAAGTGAAGTTGGCATCAGGTAATTGAGATGCTATCAGGATCCTGAGTGGGGACTGAACACATGCAACCACACAGTGTAGTATTTTTAGGCAATTGCTCACTCATTTGAGAAAACACAGTGGGTAAAACTGTTTCCCTTGTGGTGACTGTTGGACTTCCTGCATTTTCAGAGGTTTTCTGTATTTTCATAGGAGTCCCATTTCCTTTTAAGAACCAGATTGCCAATGCCCCATTAGTTAGCTTTCCACTCCAACAGGCCGCTTGCTCTTTTGCCTTTCCCTCCCCTTCTCTTTTAAACCAATTAATTAAAAAGCTTTACAAAAACAATACATGCTAACGTGAAAAATTAAAGCAGTATAGAAAACTACAACACAAAAAGGAAAAGCTCCTCTGCCCTCAGCTCCTACACTCCTCAGAGGTGGCCATCATGAACATTGGCTTCTTTCTAGAACTTTTCCTGCATAGACAATCAGAGAAACATAGATTGATAGACTGATTTATGCAAAGATGGCTGAATAATGATGTTTAATGCTCTGTTACTTGCTTTTTCCTACTTAATTTATGCTAGACATGATTTCACAGCAGTTGTCAAGGAGGTCTATCACCCTTTTCAACATTTGCATTTTTTCAATTATAAATAAAAAATTAATTAATTAAGAAACACTTGCATTTGGTTCTACTGTAGAAGTGTACCATCATTTGTTTAACCAATATTCCACAGATTGACTTGTAGATTACTTCAGAGGTCTTAATATTAAATGTTCCAGTAAATATCCTCAGGCATGTGTTTTTGAAGAACAGGGCTAGTGTATCAACAGGAGATTGTTTTATAGGTCTTTATAAAATTAAACTGTTTTCACTGGTATAAAAATTTAATAATTGTCAAATAAAATGTTGCTCTTTTAAAGTTTCTTCTCATTATCAAATGACGCTTTTTTTTTTGTCTTGGTCTTCTATAAACCTGCCCTTAAGCTGTGACAAAATTAATTTAAAAAAATCGATGTTGGTCCATGGGATCCATAAATTCTTTTTATAGATCGTTTAACAGAATTCTGTGTCGTGGGCGAGGCTCCAGGCTGGTGTGCAGCGGTGCGCTCCTGGGTCTGTGAGTGGGCATTCCTCAGAATCCCCACAGCCTGACCTGCTGCCCTTTGCTGGTTTCACTTGAAGCTATTATTCCAATTGACTCACTCTTGGCTGACATCTGGATGCGTTTTATAACAGACTGTTTTCATAACTCCACAAAAAGGTTCTCAGGATTAATACTTGTTTATTTTCATTTTCCATTGGACCTTAAATTAGCTAGCAGCCAATACTGGCACAACCCCTTACTGGAAGCCATTTTACCTAAGTGGAGGGGATGGCAAATCCATCCAACCTTGGGTTTTCTGTTGCTTTAAAACCTCTTGCCAACCAACTATTCCAGAGTGGCTGTCAAATCAACCAATAGCAAAATATTTGGGAGTATTTGTCAGTTAGCTGGGGTAGAAGCAGCCAGATGTGTGGATAGGTCATACAGTTACCTTCCCCGTGTAAGTTGGGGCCAGGGTAACCCATGGACATGTGTGCATGTACAACACAGGTGCATGTACAGCCAAGCATACAGGTGCCAAGATATTTTATTGGGATATTATGTGTTTTCTTCTCTCTGTTGTAGGTATTTTTTTTTCCTCTCCCACCTGAAAATTTTTTCTTTGCTTTTTGAGATTGTACTTTCAAAGACATTCAAGACACCCAGATTTTAAATTCAGGGTGTTAATCCAGGGTTTTGTTTTTGAAGACCTGGGATCATTGAAGGGATTAAGTTAGATTTTCCTAGAGGAAAGAGGCAAGTGACTGCCTTTGAATTTAAGGATTGTCTGTATACGTGTGTGTGTGTCTGTGTGGTGGAGGAGGGGGTTGTTTGCCCTTTAACATTTGTTCTTTTAAGGTTTCTTCTCATTATCAAGTGACACTCTTTTTTTTTTGTTCTATAAACTTACCACTGAGCTGTGATAAAATTGATCATTTAAAAAAATATGTGTTGATCTGTTGTGATCTATAACTTATTTTCTTATAGATTATCATGGGCACAGCTCAAGGCTAGTGGTACAAGAGCACCCCTTCCCAGCAAATTAAAAAGCCTGTTATTTTTGCAAAAGCATTAGAAGCTTTCAACAATGTTGTCAAGAGCCTTTCTTAACTCTTTGGTGACTGGTCTGAGTCAGTCACAGGTGGAAGGTGTGATGTGATCAGACAGGCCCTGACATTTCTTGTGAACTCATGAAATCCTGCATCTTTTCCAAATGTGCAATTTTGTTTTTGAAATTAATTTTTATTATCTTCACATTGTGTTGGATGATCAGAGGATTATAATTATTCCCTGCCCCAGGGGAGAGTATTGCAAAGGTACATAGGGCATGAACGTGGGGAGGGCAAGAAGTGTGCCCAAAGCGTGCTATAGCACAGTGTGTGTTCCACTCCTCATACAGCAATGAACTGGTGAAGGAGTTAAAATCTTAATGATTTCCAAATGATCAACAGTTTTTAAAAACATAAATATGCAGCATGAGAGCCTACATTTGTACAAGTGTATGGTTGTGTGTGTGTGTGTGTGTGTGTGTGTATGAACATGCTTGCATGTATGTGCTCACAAATGGGGAGGAAGCACAAGAGGCAAAAGGCAATGGTTTGTTTCCTTTTTGAATTTAGGAGGTATGTTCAAGACAAGGAAGTTCTTTTCTTATCTTCATCAGACTACTGGAAAATGGAATAAAAATACAAACCATAAACTTCAGGCACTCAAGTTTCTGAGTTAAGAGTAGCATTCAAATGTTATTCCAAACCTCTATGGTCATAAGATTTCTATATTTTAAGTTGGGTGGTACAATACTAGCTCTAAGTAGGCGGTAAAAGTTAAGGAAATGTATTGTAATTTCTAGAACAATCACTCCAAATGTAATGCGATGAAGTATTGCTAAAAAGCCAACAGAAACATTAAAGTGGAATTCCAGACACTTCAAATAAACAGTCAGGAAAGCTGAGGATAATTCATTTAAAGTGTCTAGGGGCAGATAACAGGCCTTAAATGAATGGTTAAAGAAAAGTCAGCAGAAGAGAAAAGCAAAACAAAAACAAAAAGAAAGCACTCTGTATTTCCTCTCCTAAACATTGTTTAAAAAGCAGCTTGCAGGATATAGAGAAAATTCTTTTGGAAGAACGCTTGCTTAAGTAAGGTACCTAAATATCTTACCTAAATAAGATATTTTCGAACAACAAATACTCATACTTTTAAAGAAATACAACCACAAGCTCTGCAACTTAGAGATCAAAAAATGAGAGGCAAGGAGAATTGATACATGGAGAGGAACAAATATAGCACCACAGGACTACTGAGTTTATTAGAATTGATGTTGTCAAAAATGGAACTGTCATATGGATGAGATTTTAGAAATTATACAGTATGCAAAGGTTAGAGGGGGATTTGAATACTATGGTAAGTACAAGCAACAGGCAAATGTGTTCCAGTGCACCACTGATGCACTTCAAATAGAGAAAAGAGCACTTTGGAACAAAAAAATTATAGTTAGAAAGGATTTTTAAAATAGTTTAAAAAAACTTTCCGGAAATGACAAAAGATCTGAATTATTAGATAAGAGTGCTTATCATGTCTTAGGAAAAAGAAAGTAACCATTCACCAAGACATGTTCCATGGAAGCGACTATACTTCAAAAATGAATATAAATCCTGTCAGCACCAGAAAGAAGAAAATCATTTATAAGGGGAAAAAGATCATTCTTGCTCCAAATTATCCCAACAATATTTGGGAAGGAAAGACAAAAGGGAGTGAGAGAAAAAGATTGTGATCCAAGAATTCTGTATATTTGGGTTGCTAGTCATCTGAAAAAACAATGAAATAATTTTCCAACAAACAAGAAAAAAATTAATCCTTTGTAAGATACTCGTGACCTTTCTTGCCATGCTAATATGGAAAACTTTGGATAAGCGTAGTGTATTAGTTAGGGTTCTCTAGAGGGACAGAACTAATGGAATAAATATAAAATTCTGCTTGTTTAGTTTCTCTGAACAATGCTGTAATAAGCATTGGTGCCTCATTTTATGGGCCCTAGAGGATACCTACATGTGATGATTAAAGCTGAGTGTCAACTTGATTGGATTGAAGGATACAAAGTATTGATCCTGGGTGTGCCTGCCAGGGTGTTGCCAAAGGAAAGGGGAGTTTATTAAGTATTAACTCACACGATCGCAAGGTCCCACAGTAGGCCATCTGCAGGCTGAGGAGCAAGGAGAACCAGTCCCAGTTCCAAAACTGAAGAAATTGGAATCTGGTATTTGAGGGCAGGAAGCATCCAGCACGGGAGAAAGATGTAGGCTAGGAGGCTAGGCCAGTCTCTCGTTTTCACATTTTTTTCTGCTTGCTTATATTCTAGCCTCGCTGGCAGCTGATTAGATTGTGCCCACCCAGATTATGGGTGTGTCTGCCTTTCCCAGCCCACTGACTCAAATGTTAATCTCCTTTGGCAACATCCTCATAGACACACCTAAGATCAATACTTTGTATCCTTCAATCCAATCAAATTGACACTTAGTATTTACCATCACATGTAGGTATCCTCTAGGGCCTGTAAAATGAGGCACCATGGATAACGATCTTTGGACAAAAATGCTTATTACAGCATTGTTCAGAGAAACTAAACAAACTGAACACTTTTCAGTAAGGGAACTGTTAAATAGGTTCTGTTCATCCATAGCATAAACTATAATGCAGTGGATAAAAAGAGGAGAGAGAGAAAGAGAGAAGTAGCAGGATTTCCTTCTGATATTGTTGAGTGGGAAAAGTAAAATGAAGAAAGCACATACAACATACTACCATCCACTCATAAGTATTACATATTGTATATATGTACATACACATATACAAAGATGAATGGACATTTGTATATGATTGTGAGAGCAGGGGGCAATATGGAAATCAGCACAATTTGTTATCAGCATGGATGGCTGGAGTGTGGTGAGGTGGGCTTAGAGGGTGATGTGGGTGCAGGGAGGAAGGATGAAATAAAAGGGAGAGAAAAGGAAATAGGAGAAAAAAAGGACTGCAAAGAGAAATAAACAGTATGTTTTATGTATTCATGTAAAGATAGATATGCATGCTTGAAAGAAGACATGAATAGGGCATTACATATATTTTTCATTGAAATATATATATAGATTTTTCTATTAACTTTTAGCATGCTAATGTTTTGCCAATTTGCTTCAGAATTTTTAAGAACAATAATATCAAGCTCAAAAGGCCTTACCCCTTCGTTCCTTCCTGCTCCTCAGCAGCACTGCTTTTCCTTAAGTTGGTATAATTCATTAACAGTATTATTGTATAATTTTACTACATTTGGATATATCCATATACAAATGGAATCATGTTTCACATATATTTTCCTTCTTGATTTTTACATTTGGCCTTGTGTTTTTGATATTTATCCCTGTAGATACATATAGGTCTAATTTGTGTCTTCTGTTGCATGATATTCCATTGTATGAATAAGCTACAACTTACACATGCTTTTCCTGACTGACAGCTATGTTGTGTACATTTTTTTCTTGTTATAAACAATGGCAAAAATCAATGTCTTTGTACATGTTACTGTATATATATGTGTGTGGGAATTTCTCTAGGGTACAGGCACACATGCATGTTTGCATATGCCCATATACATTATATGTTATGCTATGCATACGCACATTTTTATGTGCACAGTATAAGCATGTGCAGATGCACATGTATATGCTGCGTACACATGTACATTCATATGTGTACATGTATACATGTGTGTTTCACAGGTACATATCATGTAACATGGACTAACTGAAGATGCATATATCTTGTGAAACAGCACTTGCCATCATAGGAATAGAATGTATGTATCACACCCACATGCACACACACCTGCCTAGGAAGGCAATTGCTGCATGATACGAGACATACATCTTCAACTTTGCTGGTGGCTGTTGCCACATGACTATTCTATTGATTGTACCACTTGCTGCGCCCACAAGCAGTGTGTACCCTGCTATACCCCACATGACACTGGTACTTTTGGACTTAACAAAAAATTTCTAAGCAATCCAATGGATAATAAAACTTGTATAAATATCCACTGTACATGTTAAAATATATTAAAAATATCTGAAAGTAGTATTCTTGACTCGAAGACTATGTGCACTTCCAATTTTGATTGAAAAATGGATATTTTGTAGGTCAAAAAGGATGAAATATTGGCAATGACATGGAATTCAACCTATTGCCAAGTGGTGCTCCCATTGTGCAGCTGTGGTCATTTTCTTTTTCACAGCTTTGCTGATTCTGAACATTTGGTTTTATGTATTAAGTTTGCTTATACTTTCTTATATTTTACATTAATTTGATCATTATCTTTATCTTCTTACTTTCTTAACTACTTGAAAAAAATTCTTTATGCATTGTGAATACTTATTCATTGCCATGTGTCTTGTTAGTATATTCTCCCAGCTTTTACATTGTTGTTTGATTTTCATCATGTGGTTTTGCAGAACTATGCATATCTTACATAGTAAAATTTGTTCATCACTTCCTTGATGATTAATTAATTCTGGGCATGTGTAGAAAGCCTTTATTTATCCTAATATTATAAAAATACATTATCTTCTGGTACTTTTGTGACTTCATTTATTATGTTTAAATATTTGCCACAACTGCCAATAAATTTGGTATGAGGACTTAGGTAGGAGACTACATTCCTTCTCCTTCCCCTGCCCTGCCCTCCAATTGAGCCTTTTTTTTTTTGCGGCATTGCTTGCTTATGGTGCTGAAATGTTACATTTATAAAATCCAATACTTCCATTTATTCTTGGTTGTGTTTCTGGATTCTGTTCTATTCTATTTCTTTGATTATTTCTGCACTGGAATCACTGGATTTTAATCATTCTAGCCTTTAACATCTGACTGAGCCAAACTTGCTACCTAACCCCCCTATTTATTTTTCTGATTTATAAAAAAATCACTAAGTTTCTAAAAAGGAACATGTTTGGAATGTTTTGTGATTGCATTAAATTATTTATCACTACATGACATATTCTGAGAGTTCCTCTTCCAGACAAAAGTACATCTTTCACTTTACTTCAGTCTTCTTGTTTGTCTCTCAAGAGAGTGGGTGAGTCCTTGCTAAGCAAAACAAAACAAGACCCAGAAACTATAAGGGAAAAGACTCATGCATATGAGTACATAAAAATAAAACTAAAATTCACCAATGAAAAATATGGCAGAAGTTAAATTTAAAAAAAGGTCAAACAGGAAAAATACTTGCCAAACAAGTCAGAAGAAGAACATGTCACTATTGTAAAGCCAGGGATTACAAATCTGTCACCAAAATGCCACTCAGTGGAAAAATTGACAACACACATGGCAGTCCACAGAGAAAGAAAAGACTAAATAATAAAGAGACAGCATAGGATTGCTCACCACTGAGCCTGGAAAAAGGTAAACTGTCCCACATTAGCCAGTGTGGCAAGGTAGGGGGAGGGCCTCTGATGCTTTGGGAGAGCAACTTTGTGCAATGGCAAGTGTGTGGTATTACCTGTAAAGGCAAAAGACGGAACGTACCTAAATGCCAATCTAGAGGGACTTGGGAAAATGCATGATCATTCTTCTCTAAAATAAAATACAACGCAGTTTTGAAAAAGAATGAGTGAGTCTGAATGTGCTGAAATGTATTGTTATAGCAAAGAAACTTGGATTCAGAAGAGTAGGCACTGACTGCTCTAATTTGATATGAAAAGGATACGAACGCAATGAACACAAGTGAATACATGGGCTTACATATGTGTAAGATGTCTGGAGGCCCAAAAAAACTATTCATGATGGTTACCTCTCGCAAGGAATCTGGGGGTCTGGTTGTGAGGGAGATTTGCTATCATTTTTAAATATTTAGATTTTTTTAACACGCGCTTGCCCTACTTTAAATGAAAGAGGATTGGATGACACCTTGAGAATGCATCTGATGTACGAAACATTCATGTTTGTTAAACAAATATAATAGGACATGTCTCTTGGAAATCAATTATGATTTGCAAAGTTGGCCCCCTAAGTTCCTAAGTTTTGTAAAAATTTGAATTCAATTCCATTATACTTTCAAATTTGGGGAGCAGGTGGTTAGCAATCCAGATGTGAGAGGAACTGCATGCCAGCAGTCACTTTCAGTTTTAAGGAGAGAGGCTGACTAACCTCGGTGAGAGGGCCCTTAACAGAGAATGGCGGATGTGGCTGGGGAGAGAAAGCCGCAGACACTGCTTACAGCTTTTCCTGTCACACAGGGACTCTTGCTCAGCCTCTGCTCCTTTTCCTTCGGCCTCTTAGGGATGCACATTTTTAAATGATTCTCTGCTACTCTTCTGCACTGAGAATGACTTTTGTTTCTAACGTTTTTGGTATAAGATTTTCAATTATTTCCTCCGCCCTTTGTCTGACCCAGGTTGGAGTCTATGTCTTCTTCCTAGATCTTCCCACAGTTTTGGCTGTGAGGCCATTGTGGGAGTCCCACAGAAACAGGTTGCAGCCTAGTCACTGAGCAATTGCTCATATATCCTTTGTGAGTTCCGAGAATGCCGAGAGCTTTCCAGAGTAGTCTGGAGATAACATCCTGGACCTGTCCACACTTACTTTTGAAACAAAGCAGATGTGCCATAATTAGTGGTTGGTTCCATATTTTTTGGAAGACGTAATATTTTTTCCTGAAAGAATGCACAGAACAGATGCATTCCACTGCAGCAGGCTGAGTGTTGTAACAGGAACATGCACAGGAGTTTATGGGAATGGAGGTGAAGGAGACTGGGAAGGGTGCAAAGGAGGAGGATGAATTGTCCAAGTGGAAAGTGGTCCCAGAACAGAATTAGAGAAGGCGGAGGTATGACAGAGTGGAAAACAGCCTCTAATGGAATAGGCCAACTAGGTTAAAAACACACATGTAAGAAGCTCCCAGGGGCCTCTGCACTAACAAGGGATCTTGAGGATATGAGAGTGATGGGGATGTTTTCCACTCCTTCCCTTCTGCTAAGTCATTCCCTTTGGGCACAGAGAGACCTGGCTCTAAGGTAGAGTTCCTACACTCACCAGGTGTGTGTCAATATGGAAATCTCTCCTTTTCTAGAGACCCCACTTCCTCATCAGCAAAATGTAAATATTTAGCACCAGTTTCACAAAATCTTGTGCCTGGCACGTAGTAGTTGCTCAATAAATATAAGCTTCCATTTTCTCTCATGAATTCCTTTAGTGTAAGTACTACTTGTTCATCCACTTGGCATTCAAAGTCTTCCGTGTTTTGAATCACTCATCACACAAACGTGACCTTCTAATGTCTCTGAATGCTAGACTTTGACTTTAATAATAGAAATGACTAATAATATCTTAGCAAGACACTTCTAACTCGGAGTTAGATCCTTCTATCATATGCACCCTGTGATGCAGCTGGCCTAGGACCACTATGGTCCCCAAGAGACAGATGCAGAAATGGAGGCCAAGGCCCAAGTGCCTTGAAAGGCCACTAAGTTAGTGACCAGCTAGCCAGGACTCAACCCACTGACTCTCTTGCCTGAGGTGGCTACAGTCCTTGTCCGGCAGGTCATTAAACATCAAAATCACAGGGTTCTTCCTTTCCAAACGTTCTTACTTTTTTGCCTGTGGAAACCTATTCATTTTCAGGGTCCATCTTTTTTTGTGTGTGTGTAAGACAGGGTCTTGCGCTCTTACCCAGGCTGGAGTTCAGTGGTGTGATCTCAGCTCACTGCAACCTCGACCTCCTGGGCTCAAGTGATCCTCCCACTTCAGCCTCCTGAGTAGCTGGGAATACAGGCACACACCACCATGCCTGGCTAATTTTTTTTTCATTTTTGTAGAGATAGGGTTTCTTCATGGTGGGCCCAGGCTGGTCTTGAACTCCTGGGCTCAAGCAATCCTCCTTCTTCAGCCTCCCAAAGTGCTGGGATTACAGGCATGAGCCACCCTATGCCCAGCCTAGGGTCCATATTAAGACTTTTATATTTCAGAATTCTTCCAACACCAGTGTGATGGGTGTGTGTGTGTGTGCGTGTGTGTGTGTGTGTGTATGTGTGTAGAGAGAGAACATGTGTGATCTGAATGTTCTGGCATTTGTGTAGACACCCTTTGGGGATTCTGGCTATGCCTATATAACAATTTCTCCTTCGTGGGAAGAAAGCAAGGGTAGCAGGCTGTGACCGTGCTTTTTGTTTTTCAGCAAGGAAGAGCCAAGCACCGCATGACTCTTGTAGAAGATGGACTTTGCAGACTGCAAAAGGGGAAAGGAAAGGGGCGTGTGATGTTTGTAGGTGCCTTGGTAGAAAGTCCCTCTTTGCCTAGAAATTATTTAGGCATCCTTTTATAATGCTTCTGGAAGAACAGAAAGAAAAATCTATTTCCTGAATGAGATAAGGATGCTTTTCATTGAGTGTCAGTATTGAACCAGCCCCAACTGAAATGAGAATTGTACTTGGATGTCACTGTGGACCCACCCCCTCAGTCCTAGTAAAACCAACACAAGGGGTTGGGATTCTCCCCGTGCCCTACTTGAAATGATTGCTGGTTCTTGGGTTGAGCTGGCGTTTGGTGGCCGGCACCCATCTGCTATTGCCCCTAGAGGAGGTGAGTATGGTTCTGGGTCCCTGGCTGCTTGGGGCAAGGACACTGAGGTTGAGATCCAGATGTTCCTTGTCAACAATGCTGTAGGAATTAAAGAGTCTTTACAGCCCCTTAGTCCCGACATTTCCATCTCCTTGAGCTGAAAATAATCAAATTGAGGCTGACAGGGGAGTCTCCCCAGGTTGCGGAGTTCCTGTGGGCGAGCCTCCTCCATCTGGGGGACACCTGCACACCTGCAAAGTGCTCTGACCTGGGGACGGTGACGGTGTTGTGGTGAGAGGGATCCAGACCTGCCCTTCAAGAGCCTGCCTTCTGTCTGGGGGTCAGGTAGATGGCTTGCTGGGGAGGGCCACCGTCCTGGAGGCGGATAGGGTGGAGGGTCAGGAGAGGCCTCACAGGGAAGACTTATGCTACAGAGGGGTTATTTTCCTCAGGACTTAATAGGACTAAAACTCCTAAGCTAAGTTTTAAAGTAAGGCTGGGTGCAGTGGCTCACGCCTGTAATCCCAGAACTTTGGGAGGCCGAGGTGGGAGGATCGCTTGAGCCCAGGAGTTCGAGACCAGCCTGGGCAACACGGCGAGATCCTGAAAGTTAGGAAAGTTAGGCTGAGAGGGTCGAAGCCCAGCCTGCCTGGTGCTCAGGACACCCCTGAGCCCTGAATGGGGCTGTCTGGGGCCAGGGGGAGGGTCTGGAGTGAGCGGCAGTAGATGAGCTGCGGCCAAGGTGAGCCCAGACCTTCGTGGGTGCCTCTCTCTGGACCTGGCCCCCCTATGGCAGTGATTTCCGGTGCCTAGAGGGGCAGGGCTGGAAGCACAGAGAGGTGCGGTGGGGGACCGCACCCCTTGTCGGCGTCAGGTGTGGGGTGCAGGAGGCCTTTGCAAAAGGCCCCTCGCAATGCACTGACAATTTCACAGCGTTTATGATTTATAGCCGGGCAAAGTGAGTGGGAGTGGTCACCAAAGAGTAGATTAATGATTCCATTATCACACATCTTAGGTTTTTAGCTTTCTGGAAACGAATGTTCTTTGCTTTAAAACATGATGGCTGGCCTTCTCTGTGAACGGCGGGCCTCCGAGCGTTTCCTGTGGAGCTGGTTTCTGGTGCTGGTGCGCCTGTGAGATGGGCGGAGGGGCTCTGCGGCTGATCTGGAGCTTCCAGAAGCAGCCCTGTGTGTTTTTCCATTGGATGTGACATTCCATAACTAAGGGATTAGTGGACCCTTTGTTGTTCTCAGTCTTCCTAAAATGATGAGAGGAATTCCTCCCAGACTCTCTAGAAGATGCTTTAGAATAAGCTAGAGAGATTTTAAAAAATAATCTTGATGAGGCTTTACAAAAAGAAAGATCGATGGTCAGGGCTTACGTACCATGTAAATTGACACTTGAGACAAGTTAGCTGACAGCCATACTTATTCAAAGATGAATAAAGAGAAAAAGAAAATACACTGTGTGTCCTGGGAAGAGCTTCTGGGGCTTAATGGAAATTAGGAATTACCCTGATAACTAGAGGAAGGTTCACTGATAAGATTAGAAAAGAAAATTTCAGAGGAAAAAAGAATAACTTATCTTTGGAAAAACACAAGAAACCGTGAATAAAATGCATTAAAAAATCTTATAAGTACTGTGGCACTAAAATTTTAGTTAGAAAATTAGCAGAGCAGTGTGCTGGTAAAAAAAAAAATTAATTGTGATTAATTACATAATTCTAACTTAATCTAAATTTAATTTCTAATTAAAATTAGGAAAAAAATGCCCACAAATATATCAAGCTAATTTTAGCCTCCTGTCTATCAGAGAGCATGCACAGGGCTTTGAAGTAAACAAATTCTGCTTGCAGCCAACTTATCGTGTAAATTTGAATTCAAGAAAATAATATTTGCATGCATGCAGGAGCCTGGATAGTTTTTTGTCTCCAAGCTCTCCCTGAAGCTTTCATAACTATCTAATGAATGCATCCAGGAAATGTCAGAGAAGCTGTGGTGAAGGTTCAGTGATGTAAGTGAATAATCAGAGTGTCCCCGAGCCTCCTTTCAGCACCCCCTCTCCTAATTCTACTAATTTACCTCCTCCAAGGCTCTTATGTCCACCTCCACCCCCTCCCCGACCCCAAATCCAAGCTACAACCTGCTAGATTTTTGAGACTTCTGACTATTCTCCAAGGTCTTTCTTGGACTTCAGTTGGGGAAGAGAAAATTACCACACAGGCGTGAGCCTCTGGGGCTCCCCTTCCAGCCCTGGGGTGGGAGCTCCCCTCCAGGTCTTGTTTATCCTTGGTGCTTCTGCCATCTCCAGTGCTCTCCCTGACCCCTGTCCCCTCCCTCCACAGCAGCCATTTCCCTGGGGAAACCTCTCTGCCCATGCACAGCCCATGCCAGTCTCCACTCTTCCAGCAGCTGGCACTGGGCCAAGTGGTCATACATCTGAACCATGGCCATCCCCCTCATCTGTCCCTGGGCATGGGGAGTGGTCTGCTCATCATCCTAGCCTTAATGTAGCCCTTGGCCAGTATGTAGTACCTGTTCAGCGGTGTTTGTTGAAGGAATGAATGAATCCTGCAGTGCTGTGTTGCAGTTGTCCACAGGCTTCCCAGGACTCCACCCCACTGGGCCTGTGTTTTGCTGTTCCTTGAGTTATCTGCATGGATTGAGTGTGCACCGATGCTGTGGGACACGCCAGCCACACTGAGGTCTGGTGGGCAGTTTGGGGATGAGCAGGTCCCATCTTGACCTCATCCTTCAGTTGGAGGGCCACCAGCCGCATGACGTTTTCTGTAAAATCCCGGGGTTGGGGTGGGGAAGTTCCGATTTCTTTCCTGCTCCCTTGGAGCTTTGTGCAAAGCCTCAGTGAGACTGCTCACTGAATTGTATATATTTTAATGTTAATTCGTGCCTCATTTTACTGCCCCCTGCTTTGCACCGCCCTTCACAGACATGTGCAGACACCGAGGGGATGCAGAGAGGGCTGCAGCGGCCTTTCTGGAGAGAGAGACGGCAGCTGAGGCTGAAGGCCGGCTGGGGCAGCAGAGTGGGGCTCTAAACTGTCTCTGCAGAGTCACCCCATGTTCAGCCTGCAGGGCAGGGAGGCTGCAGAACATTCTTTTCCAGGAGGGACGCAGGTTTATTGACCTTCAGGTTCCTGGAACTCTGTGATAGATCCCACAGGCTGCAAAGTGTGGTGACTTGCCCTCAGGGGGCTTCCAACTTAGAGAGAATGGGGAGGAGGAGAGGATCCCTTTTGCTCTAGAAGGCTGTTAAAATTTCTGTCAAATGCTCTGGTAGAGGCAGGTTCAGAGGTCCAGGAGCACAGAGAGGAGGAATATTTTACCTTTCACTATAAGGGCTGGAGCTGGGGAGGCTTTGTGGAGGACATGACATAAGGCCAAGAAAGAGAGAAGATGACAACAGACAAAGGCCCCAGCAAAGGTGGAAGAGCCAGGGAGTAGTCCTATGTTGGGAGCACAGTGTCCCAGAGAGTGGCAGGAGGTAACTCCGGGTTGTAGCAGATAGGCTGGGGCCTTCAGTGCTTGCCTAAGGAGGCTGAACTTTCTCCTGTGAGTAAAAGAGGAACAGGTGAAGATATTCTACCTGACGGTGGAGTAATGGCTGCATGAAAGAGAGGAGACCTGCGGAGAACCATGGTGAGTTCATGCGCGAGGGTGGTCGAGGGCAGGATCTTAGGTCAGGAAAGAGCTTTGGGGAGCAGAGCGAAGGCTCCCCCTCACTCCAGAGTGAATGACTTGGGAGGAGGAGGAGGAGGCTATGCTGAGCAGATGCTGCAGTCTGAGCTCAGCCCCTCCCCGTGCCAAAAGACAAATGAAACTTTTATGACTTCATCTTACTCAGAGACTCTGAATCTTTCAGTAGTAGTAGACACAATTTTTCCCCCGTCTGTCCCTGTGCCTTTTGTACAGATGCAAAAACATGAATCCAATTCATGCTCAAGAAAGGTTTGTTCAAGGAGCAGACAGATCCTATAACTTGCAAAATTGATGAGTTTGGGCTAACATCACTGGATTGCTGCTCTGAGAGTTCTAGAAATGCTATAAAAAGATAGCTTAGAAAAGTGGTGGAAACATAGGCTCTGGAGCCAGCCTTGCCTGAGTTCAATTCCCAGGTCTACCACTTAGCAACTGTGTGACCTTGGGCAGTTACTCAGCCTCTGAGTACTTCAGCTCTTTCGTTTGTACAGAGCAACATAATAGTATCTGTCTCCTACAGTTGGTTCAGTGATTAGAGCTGGGCCTAATCAGCACTGTGTATAGAAGTTGGTTTTTACTTTCGTTTGCTATTGCTGCAGAATTCAAGTGGTTCAATATTGATAAAACCAAGGTAACAAAGAGGAGTTGAAAAGAAAATAATTTAATCATAAATCCAGGCAAAAAGCTTGTATATAAAATTAAACATGAAAAAAAGTCTGGGCTAGTAAAAACAGAGTTTCTGGCAGAAGCATTCTTTTCCATTGTAAATACCATGGTTATTAAGTCCTTGTGTGATTTTTTGGCATCTTTTCATTTTTGGAGGATATTTTTAATAGTTTTGTTTCCTTCTGACTACCCTTACATGACTTCATAGTGCTATGTAGGGGAAATTATGGGAGTAGAGAGGCCTTAATATAGAATATTAAATGCATGGACTCAGAGTGTTTTAACAATGTTGTCACTGGAGTACTCAGAATGCTGTTTCTAGTGAGTTTTTGCCACACTTACAAGTTGTGACATTTTCCAAGAAAAATACTACATTTTAGAAAGTCATACGGAAGGAGTCATGATTTGGATTATATTTTACATTATATTATATGTGTCTTTTGTTTTTGTAACTTTATTTACTAACTCTGACTTTTATAATAAAGAAATTTTAGCGCACAATGAGAATATCTGGCATATTTGGAAGGCTGCATTTGGTAAGCCATTTTGGACTACTTAGAGCAGGGGTCTGCAACCTATGGGCTGATACTGGTCTGTGGCCTGTTAGGAACTGGGATGCTACAGCACGAGGTGAGTGGTGAGTGAGCATTGCTGCATGAGCTCTGCTTCCTGTCAGATCAGTAGTGGCATTAGATTCTCATAGGAGCATGAACCCTACTGTGAACTGCACATATGAGGGTTCTAGGCTGCACGTTCTTTATAAGAATCTAACTAATGCCTGATGATCTGAGGTGGAACTGTTTCATCCTGACCCATACACCCTGCCTGTGGAAAAATTGTCTTCCATGAAACTGGTCCCTGGTGCCAAAAAGGTTGGGGACTGCTGGCTTAGTGTAATTGTGACATAAACAAAGAACATTATTCCTGTGATTTTATTTAAAATGTCTGGCTCTCATATCACTGTGAATATGGTCTATTCAGACTATGAAAGAGTTAAGGTTAACATGAGATTGAAAATTTACTTCATTATAAAAGTTGGCTATGTTTACCTGCTTTCTATGAAAAAACTCAAATTAACCAAATATATGATTCCAAATATCTAGGCAATGCCCTTAGGTATGCAAAAGTGGATTTTTATAATTGCCTTACTCTTGGTTGGAACTGTGTAGACACATCTTTGCCTTGTCTACAATTCCACCCAGTGACAATGTTATTTATTTTATTTTATTTTTGAGACAGAGTCTCACTCTGTTATCCAGGCTGGAGTGCAGTGGCACGACCTTGGCTCACTGCAACCTCTGCCTCCCAGGTTCAAGCAATTCTCGTGCCTCAGCCTCCAAGTAGCTGGGATTACAGGTGAGCGCCACTGTGCCCGGCTACTCTTTGTATTTTTAGTAGTGGCAGGTTTTCACTATGTTGCCCAGGCTGGTCTCAAACTCCTGGACTCAAGTGATCTGCCCGCCTCAGCCTCCCAAAGTGCTGGGATTACAGTTGTGAGCCATAGTGCCTGGTCCCACTCTCAATTTTAAAGGGCTGTAAGTACTTTCGGGCAAGCACTATGCTGAAAGTTTTGTTCCAAATGCTATTGTTAATCTACTTTTCACCAATCTGATCTGCTCCATTAGCTTCAAAAGACACTTTTTTGTTTGTTTGGGTTTGCCTTTGATGGCCTTCTGCCTGCCACAAGCAATCCTCTAGAATATGGGCCTGTGCTTGGCTTTTCTACCCAAACATGAACAACCTTAAATTACTGGGCGACATTCATCGCCTCCTGCCAACTAGAGAGAGAGGCCCGTCCTGGTGAGAGTGGGACCTTGAGCTCCTCTCGGCCTTGCTTGGGCCTTGGTCCAGGAGGTTATGGGAAGAAACTGGTTTAGAAGCTGACCTCATGGGTTCGCTATTCTTATGTAACACTTAGGAAGAGCAGAGACCCACGCGGTTCAGTCCCAGAGCAATGTTGTGGTCAAGAGAACACAGTCCAGCTACCAATAGTTATTTCAAAATAATTCAAGCTCTTTGTTTATATTTTTTTAAAAAAGAAAAAAGACAAAAAAAGGAAGGGGTGGCCGAGCTGGAAACCTGGCTTTAAGTCCCCTTTGTTTCCCTTCAGGGGGCCCCTCAGGTGGGCGCCTGCTTGGAAACCTCTCCACCCTTCCAAACACCCCTTTCCTACCTGAATGTTCATTTGCTGATCCAGATTCTGAATAAATGAAGTCGCACAGAATCTACCTGGCAGAAAGGAAACTGCCTGGAGGCCAGAGCTGAGGGGAGGCCCAGAGCAGAGCGGGCGCGTGACTCCGCAGTGAGCAGGGAGGGCAGGCTGGGGACGTTCACCACCCAGAGCGCCTCTGCTCCCGGCAGCCCTGAGACTCCAGGCTCCCCTGTTCCTCCCTCCCAGAGACCCTGCCGGTCCTCCCCGCCGGGCTCCCTCGCAGCTCGCAGCTCGCAGCTCGGGGAAAGGGCGGGCTGCGCCCTCAGGACCTTTCTCAGCAGCCACAGCAGCGCATCCCAGCACCTCCTCCAGGAGCCCCGCCATCTCCTGCCACCCGGACTTTCCCCACAGCGCAGCATCCCCTAGTCCCTTCAGGGCTGGAACAGTGGTACCCGCAGACGGTGCAATAGGGAAGTCCCTTTTGCCTTTCCATGGAAGCTGTAGGGCGCTTAGAGCTGCTGGGGGAGGAAAAGAAAGAAGAAGAAGAAATACAGTAAGTGTGATATGGGTACAAAGAAACGAACATGCAGCTTCCGTGTGCCTAGACAGGAGCCCTGGGACATGTGCACTGGGCCTGCGTCATCGCCTGCCTTCAGCGGGCTCCAGACCTTCCAGAGGCCCCCCTCACCACCCGCGGCCCTCCTGAGGCTCCCCTCACCCCCACCCACCTCCGAGGCCCTCCCGAGGCTCCCGGGCTCGCGCTCCTCTGAGTTGCCTGCGGCTGACTCCAGGTGTGGCCTGGGTCTAGTGTCTGGGGGGGTCGTTCCCAACGAAGGGGAAGAAGGCTTTTCGTGAGCATGTAAGGAGTACATCCTCATTTTGTCTTCTCAATCTGTTCACCCAGCGCCTGTGACCCGGACCCAGCGCGCGACTCACAGACCCCGGCTCTGGGCACCCCTGGTGAGTGCCTTCTGCCCCAGAGCTCCACACAGCACCAGCCTGCACGCTCCCCCAGCTTCAGTTCATTTGCTGCTGTCCTGACAGGTCAGTCGCTTGAGCATCCATGCTGCCAGGTGACAAACCCAGTCACGCAGAGGTGTACATCCTTTAGCCAGGGTGACACGATGTGGAGCTGAATCCAAGTCCGGGAGTCTGGTGACCGTATCTGGGCTCTGACTGCGCAGCTGTCTCACAGTGAAACAAATTGGGGACTGGCCTTGTCCTGAGTGGCCTTAGGACGGTGCAGTGGCCTGCAGCCTCCTGTCCAGTCCCCACCATTGACAAGTGCATCGATGTCCCACAGCTGTGCCACTAGAGGCTGTTTGACTGTGGTAGTTTCACATGTATCTGCTTAGTCCTCTTTTGCCAGACTTTACGCTTTGTGTGCCAGTTCCAATTTAGGTAAAAATTCTGGATATTCTCGGTTATCCCACGTGGAGGAAGGACTGAGCAAACTCACATCCATCACCCTGACCAGGGCCTGAGAGCAGCAGCCTCTCCGCGGGCAACTCTGTTACTAGGACTCTGGGCGTGAGGGGAAGCGGAGGGGGCAGCTCTGTTACTAAGAGTTAGGGAACCCAGCGGAGCTCCACTGTAAGTGAATGTCTAGTTCGACTATATTTTCTTGTAGAATCATTAACTCCAAAAGAATTGAATTGAATGATGTACAATTCACAAACACACGACTTTACCATCTCACCAGAAACACTCTTACCACAAGGACACTAAGTTGATTCTGTAAAATGTGGGAAATACAATGCACCTCGAAGCCTTGCAGGCTCCTGTTTTTCTTTCCTTTTCTCTTTTTTTAGGATTAGAATGAGTACATGTAAAGTGCTTAGTGTAGGAGCTGGCAGAGAGGGTAGACACTCAATAAATAGCAGCAATCGTAAGTGTACAAAGCGGGTCATGTGCCTGGCATTGCCCCTCACCCCTGCCTCCCATTCTAAGCAGCCTGTTGAGCACTTGGTAATTCCTCACTTGAAAGAGATTATAAAGAGGTTTTTTTTTTGGTTTATATTTTAAAAGATTTTTTTATTGTGGTAAGATGTACATAATGTAAAGTTTGTACATTCACGTTGTTGTACAACATCATCACCATCTATCTCCAGAACTTTTCCATCATCTCAGACAGAAACTCTGTCCCCATTAAACACAGACTCCCCATTCTCTCCCATCCCTAGACCCTGGTAACTACCAATTCTACTTTCTGTCTCTCTGAGTTTGAGTACTCTAGGTATAGGCTATAAAGAGTTTTGATCAACACAAACCATAATAAAACTTAAACCTATAGAATTTAAGTAAAGAGTTGGTTTCTCCCATGTCTTCACACAGCTATCTCCCTTCACAAAAGTTTCTAAATCAAAGAAGGAAAGTAGGGACTCCGTGTCTCGGGTCTGCAAGACTTTCCCAGCTGTGAGATCGCTCACCAGCCCACCTTGAGACTCTTAGCTTCAGATCTTCCACTGTTCCACTATCTCCTCCCAGCTCTTGCTGCTTGTCCAGATGCTGCAGGATCAGCCGTGTCCCAAACTTGGTCCCACTGGGAAAAGGTGCTCAGTTTTTCCCAGCATTGCTACCATTTGCTTTTTCTGTTATTCCTCCCACAGGACATAAGCATGTACTCTCTGGGTAACAGAATGTTATTTCACATTGTCCTCAGTTAAACCCTGGTCAGTGCTTCCCTGGAAGTGACCAATGAATTCATCCAAGGACCAACTATCAGAAATAGACTTGCTAGAAATCATCATTTATGATTCAATTTCCAAGCAAATCAGGAATTGTGGATCAAGAGTGTGTCCAAAGTGTGGTGTTGAATTGTTACAGTCAGGTCAGACCTCTCATCTGATGCCTTATGTAATATTATTCCTAGTATTTGCCTGAGAATGGAAGCTTTCCACTTAGTCACAGGAGTCAGACTTCCACCTCCCCCTGTACTTTGTAGCAAAGGCAGAAAGAAAGAAGGAGGAAGAAAGGAAGAAGGAAAAGAAGGAAGGAAGAGAAAAAGATGCCTTATGGCAAAATCCAGTGATGAGATTTCCATTTTTGGCAATAGCCGGAAAAACCAAACCAGTGTAGAACATCTAACAATGCTGGATAGAATATTTAAAATAAATCTTTAAAAATGAGTGGTTAATCATATGTGAAAATAAAGAATGTCCCAAAAGCCTGGAAGTGATAAAGAGGTTCAAAGCTGGAAACAGTAAGTGAAACTGGAAAGATAAGAAATTGTCATCCAGTTTTTGTCCTGGGAGTAGGGTGGAGGACAGGCAATTAATATCCTCTTTAAAGGGAGGGATCTGGAGCTGGGCTTTTTACAGGTTCTGGAATCTAGAGCTGGGATGTGTTTGGCCTGTAAGCCAAACGCAGCCTACTACCTGATTTTGTAAAGTTTCATTGAAACACAGCCATGCCTTTCCTTATCATATTATCTGTAGTTGTTTTTGCAAAACAAGGGCAGAGTTGAATAGTTGCAGCCATATGGACCACAGAAGAGAAAAAATTTACTATCTGGCCCTCTATAGAAAAAGCTGACTGTGATTCTTGAGTAACACAGTAGGGAAAGACACTTGCCTGACTTGGTTTTGTATTTAAGTGGAGGGAGGGAATAAAGGGAAAATATAATCAATCCTTAGGATAAAAAAATTCAATAAAACTGAGAGAAGATATTACAAACAAACCAAACCAATGCCAAAAGTGAAAGAGGGCACAATTACAAATAGAATTGAGATTCAAAAGGTAATAAAATAGGATATACTGAACAACATTATGGCAATCAATCTGGAATCAGGTGAAGTAGAAATATTTACAGGAAATATAAATTACCAAAACTGACTCCAGAAGAAATAGTAAGCCTGAATCATCCTATGTTTATGAAAAACATGAATCCTTAGTTAAAAAAATCTGTCCTTAAGGAAAACACCAGGCTCAGTTAGTTTTATATGCCAGTTTGAATACTCAGAGCTGAAAATTCCAATCTTACATAAAGTCTTTGAGAGTTTCACAGTAAGACTAGAGAACAAATTCATATAACAAAATCAACTCAAAATGGATGAAAAATCTAAATGTGAGACCTGAAAGAGTAACACTTCTTTTTAAATTTAACTTTGAATGGTCACAAATTTAGATAGTGGCTACCATACTGGATAATCCCACTCTGAAATCTAGAGGAAATGGGAAAAGGTTCTTGCCATTGGTATTTTGTTGCCATTGCTTTTTGATATGACCCCAAAAGCACAGGCAACAAAAGCAAAAATAAACAATTGGGATTATCAAGCTAAAAAGCTTCTGCACATGAAAGGCAACAATCAACAGAGTGAGGAAACAACCTGCAGAATGGGAGAAAATATCTGTGAACCATACATCTGATAAGGAGTTAATATAAAAATACATAAGGAACTGAAAGAACTCAATAGCAAGAAAACAAGTAATCCAATTTTAAAAACTGGGTGAAGGACCTGAAAAGACATTTCTCAAAAGATGGCATACAAATGGCCAATGGGTCTATTAAAAAAAAACTCAACATCATTGATCATCAGGGAATGCAAATTAAAGCCAGGATGAGATATTTCCTCACACCTGTTTGGATGGCTATTATAAGAAATATAAGAGATTAAAAAGTGTTTTTGAGGATGTGTGGAAAAGAAAACCTTTGTAAACTGTTGGTGGGAATTTAAATTAATACAGTCATTTTGGGAAACAGTATGGAGGTTCCTCAAAAAGTTAAAAACAGATCCAGCCATGGTGGCTCATGCCTGTAATCCCAGCACTTTGGGAGGCTGAGGCAGGTGGATTACAAGGTCAGGAGTTTGAGACCAGCCTGGCCAATATGGTGAAACCCCGTCTCTACTAAAAATACAAAAATTAGCTGGGCATGGTAGTCCTAGCTGCTCGGGAGGCAAAGGCAGGAGAATCGCTTGAACCCAGGAGGCAGAGGGTGCAGTGAGTCGAGATTGTGCCACTGCACTCCAGCCTGGGTGACAGAGCAAGACTCCATCTCAAAAAAAAAAAATTAAAAACAGAACTACCATATGGTCGAGCCATTATGCTTGTGGATATATAGCCAAAGGAAATGAAATACTTATGTTGAAGAGGTATCTGCACTCCCATGTTCACTGCAGCATTATTATCCAGAGCTAAGATATGGAAACAGCCTAACTGTCCATCAACAAATAAATGAATAAGAAAAATATAGTATATATACACAACAACATACTATTCAGCCTTTAAAAAGAAAGAAATCCTGTCATTTGCAACAAGGATAAACCTGGATGACATTATGCTAAGTGAAATAAACCAGGCATAGAAAGACAAATACTACAAGGTCTCACTTATATGTGGAGTCTAAGAGTTGAACTCACAGAAGCAGAGAGGTGGTTACCAGGGGCTGGAGAGTAGGAAACAGGGAAGATATTGGTTAAAGAATGTAGAATTTCAGTTAGACAGGAGGAATAAGTGGGAATTCTATTGTGCAACATGGTGATTATAGGAAACAACAATGTATTATATGCTTGAAAATTGCTCAAAGAGTAGATTTTAAATTTTCTCACCATCAAAAAAGATGTGTGAGGTTAATTAGCTTGATTTAGTCATTTCACAATATATACATATATTAAAACATCATGTTATACACCTTAAATAAATATACAATTTTGTCAATTAAAAAAAGTAAAAAGAGAAATAAGATTGGAGTGAAATAATTAGAAATATAATTACTCATAGATACATTATTGTCTATATGCTAAATGCCACAGAATGTACAATGGAATCATTAAATTGATAAAATATGTATCTGTTGTTTCCTGACTTTTTAATGATCGCCATTCCAACTGGCGTGAGATGTATCTCACTGTGGTTTTGATTTGCATTTCTCTAATGACCAGTAATGATGAGCTTTTTTTCATATGTTTGTTGGCCACATAAATGTCTTCTTTTGAGAAGTGTCTGTTCATATCCTTTGCCCACTTTTTGATGGGGTTGCTTGTTTTTTTCTTGTAAATTTGTTTAAGTTCTTTGTAGATTCTGGATATTGGCCCTTTGTCAGATGGATAGATTATAAAAATTTTCTCCCATTCTGTAGGGTGTCTGTTCACTCCGATAATAGTTTCTTTTGCTGTGCAGAAGCTCTTTAGTTTAATTAGATCCCATTTGTCAATTTTGGATTTTGTTGCCGTTGCTTTTGGTATTTTAGTCATGAAGTCTTTGCCTATGCCTATGTCCTGAATGGTATTGCCTAGGTTTTCTTCTAGGATTTTTACGGTTTTAGGTCTTATGTTTAAGTCTTTAACCCATCTTGAGTTAATTTTTGTATAAGATGTAAGGAAGGGGTCCAGTTTCAGTTTTCTGCGTATGGCTAGCCAGTTTTCCCAGCACCATTTATTAAATAGGGAATCCTTTCCCCATTTCTTGTTTTTGTCAGGTTTGTCAAAGATCAGATGGTTGTAGATGTGTGACATATTTTCTGAGGCCTCTGTTCTGTTCCATTGGTCTATATATCTGTTTTGGTACCAGTACCATGCTAGTTTTGGTTACTGTAGCCTTGTAGTATAGTTCGAAGTCAGGTAGTGTGGTGCCTCCTGCTTTGTTCTTTTTGCTTAGGATTGTCTTGGCAATGCAGGCTCTTTTTTGGTTCCATATGAAATTTAAAGTAGTTTTTTCTAATTCTGTGAAGAAAGTCCATGGTAGCTTGATGGGCATAGCATTGAATCTATAAATTACTTTGGCAGTATGGCCATTTTCACAATATTGATTCTTCTTATCCATGAGCATGGAATGTTTTTCCATTTGTCTGTGTACTCTCTTATTTATTTGAGCAGTGGTTTGTAGTTCTCCTTGAAGAGGTCCTTCACATCCTTTGTAAGTTGTATTCCTAGGTATTTTATTGTCTTTGTAGCAATTGTGAATGGCAGTTCACTCATGATTTGGCTCTCTGTTTGTGTATATTATTATTAATGTACTATTACATTATTAGTGTATAGGAATGTTTGTGATTTTTGCACACTGATTTTGTATCCTGAGACTTTGCTGAAGTTGCTTATCAGCTTAAGGAAATTTTGGGCTGAGATGATGGGGTTTTCTAAATAAACAATCATGTCATCTGCAAACAGAGACAATTCGACTTCCTCTCTTCCTATTTGAATACATTTATTTCTTTCTCTTGACTGATTGCCCTGGCCAGAACTTCCAATATTATGTTGCATAAGAGTGGTGAGAAAGGGCATCCTTGTCTTGTGCTGGTTTTCAAAGGGAATGCTTCCAGCTTTTGCCTATTCAGTATGATACTGGCTGTGGGTTTGTCATAAATAGCTCTTATTATTTTGAGATACATTCCATCAATACCTAGTTTATTGAGAGTTTTTAGCATGAAGGGGTGTTGAATTTTATTGACGGACTTCTCTGCATTTATTGAGATAATCGTGTGGTTTTTGTCATTGGCTCTGTTTATGTGATGGATTACGTTTATTGATTATGTTAAGTGGAACCAGCCTTGCATCCCAGGGATGAAGCTGACTTGATCATGGTGGATAAGCTTTTTCATGTGCTGCTGGATTCGGTTTGCCAGTATTGTATTGAGGATTTTCACATTGATGTTCTTCAGGTATATTGGCCTGAAATTTTCTTTTTTTGTTGTGTCTCTGCCAGGTTTTGGTATCAGGATGATGCTGGCCTCATAAAATGAGTTAGGGAGGAGTTCCTCTTTTTTTCTTGTTTGGAATAGTTTCAGAAGGAATGGTACCAGCTCCTCTTTGTACTGCTGGTAGAATTCGGCTGTGAATCCGTCTGATCCTGAGCTTTTTTGGGTTGGTAGGCTATTAATTACTGCCTCAATTTCAGAACTTGTTATTGGTTTATTCAGGGATTCAACTTCTTCCTGGTTTAGTCTTGGGAGGGTGTAGGTGTCCAGGAATTTATCCATTTCTTCTGGATTTTCTAGTTTATTTGTGTAGAGGTGTTTATAGTGTTCTCTGATGGTAGTTGGTATTTCTGTGGGATCAGTGGTGATCTCTCCTTTATCATTTTTTATTGTGTCTATTTGATTCTTCTCTCTTTTCTTCTGTATTAGCCTGGCTAGCGGTCTATTTTGTTAATCTTTTCAAAAAACCAGCTCCTGGATTTATTGGTTTTTTTGAAGGGTTTTTTGTGTCTCTATCTCCTTCAGTTCTGCTCTCATCTTAGTTAATTCTTGCCTTCTGTTAGCTTTTGAATTTGTTTGCTCTTACTTCTCTAGTTCTTTTAATTGTGATGTTGGGGTGTCGATTTTAGATCTTTCTTGCTTTCTCCTGTGGGTATGTAGTGCTATAAATGTCCCTCTAAACACTGCTTTAGCTATGTCCCAGAGATTCTGGTACATTGTGTGTTTATTCTCATTGTTTCAAATAACTTACTTGTTTCTGCCTTAATTTCGTTATTTACCCAGTAGTCATTCAGGAGCAGGTTGTTCAGTTTCCATGTAAATGTGTGGTTTTGAGTGAGTTTCTTAATCCTGAGTTCTAACTTGATTGCACCGTGGTCTGAGAGACTGTTTGTTATGATTTCCTTTCTTTTGCCTTTGCTGAGGAGGGTTTTACTACCAATTATATGGTCAATTTTAGAATAAGTGCTATGTGATGCTGAGAAGAATGTATATTCTGTTGATTTGGGGGTGGAGAGTTCTGTAGATGTCTGTTAGGTCCACTTGGTCCAGAGCTGAGTGCAAGTCCTGAATATCTTTGTTAATTTTCTATCTCGTTGCTCTGTCTAATATTGATAGTGGGGTGGTAAAGTCTCCCACTATTATTTTGTGGGAGTCTAAGTCTCTTTGTAGGTCTCTAAGAACTTGCTTTATGAATCTGGGTGCTCCTGCATTGGGTGCATATATATTTAGGATAGTTAGCTCTTCTTGTTGCATTGATCCCTTTACTATTATGTAATGCCCTTCTTTGTCTTTTTTGATCTTTGTTGGTTTAAAGTCTGTTTTATCAGAGACTAGGATTGCAACCCATGCTTTTTTTTTTGCTTTCCATTTGCTTGGTAAATATTCATCCATCCCTTTATTTTGAGCCTATGTGTATCTTTGTAAGTGAGATGGGTCTTCTGAATACAGCACACCAATGGGTCTTGACACTTTATCCAGTTTGCCAGTCTGTGTCTTTTAATTGCAGCATTTAGCCCATTTACATTTAAGGTTAATATTGTTATGTGTGAATTGGATCCTGTCATTATGATGCTAGCTGGTTATTTTGTCCGTTAGTTGATGCAGTTTCTTTATAGTGTCAGTGGTCTTTACAATTTGTTTTTGCAGTGGTTGGTACCAGTCGTTCCTTTACGTGTTTAGTGCTTCCTTCAGGAGCTCTTGTAAGGCAGGCCTGGTGGTTACAAAATCTCTCAACATTTGTTTGTCTGTAAAGGATTTTATTTCTCCTTCATCTATGAAGCTTAGTT
Organism: Homo sapiens; assembly: GCF_000001405.40. NCBI lineage: Eukaryota > Metazoa > Chordata > Mammalia > Primates > Hominidae > Homo > Homo sapiens. The sequence continues at coordinate 43,834,843 of NC_000010.11, forward strand.
TGGCTGGAAATGAAATTCTGCGTTGAAAATTGTTTTCTTTAAGAATGTTGAATATTGGCCCCCACTCTCTTCTGGCTTGTGGAGTTTCTGCCAAAAGATCTGCTGTTAGTCTGATTGGTTTCCCTTTGTGAGTAACTTGACCTTTCTCTCTGGCTGCCCTTAACATTTTTTCCTTCATTTCAACCTTGGTTAATCTGACAATTATGTGTCTTGGGGTTACTCTTCACAAGCAGTATCTTCGTGGTGTTCTCTGTATTTCCTGATTTGAATGTTGGCCTGCCTTGCTAGGTTGGGGAAGTTCTCCTGGATAATATCCTGAAGAGTGTTTTCCAACTTGATTCCATTCTCCCTGTCACTTTCAAGTACACCAATCAAACCTAGGTTTGGTCTTTTCACATAGTTCCATATTTCTTGGAGGCTTTGTTCATTCCTTCTCATTCTTTTATCTCTAATCTTGTCTTCAAGCTTTATTTCATTAAGTTGATCTTCAGTCTCTGATATCCTTTCTTCTGCTTGATCGATTCTGCTATTGATACTTGTGTATGCTTCACGAAGTTCTTGTGCTCTGTTTTTCAGCTCCATCAGGTCATTTATGTTCTTCTCTAAACTAGTTTTTCTAGTTAGCAATGTCTCTAACCTTTTTTCAAGTTTCTTAGCTTCCTTGCATTGGTTTAGAACATATTCCTTTAGCTCAGAGGAAGCCTACTTCTGTCAATTCATCAAACTCATTCTCCGTCCAGTTTTGTTCTCTTGCTGGTGAGGAGTTGTGATCCTTTGAAGGAGAATAGGAGTTCTGGTTTTTGGAATTTTCAGACTTTTTGTGCTGGTTTTTCCTCATCTTCATGTATTTATCTACCTTTGTTCTTTGATTTTGGTGACCTTTGGATGGGGTTTTTGTGTGAATGTCCTTTTTGTTGATGTTGATGTTATTCCTTTCTGTTTGTTAGTTTTCCTTTGTTAGAAGGAAAAATGTCAGGCCCCTCTGCTTTAGGTCTGCTTGAGTTTGCTGGAGGTCCACTCCAGACTCTGTTTGCATGGGTTTCACCAGCAGAGGCTACAGAACAGCAAAGATTGCTTCCTGTTCCTTCTTCTGGAGGATTCGTCCTGGAGGGGCACCTGCTAGATGCCAGCTGGAGCTCTCCTGTATGAGGTGTCTATCGACCCCTGCTGGGAGGTGTCTCTCAGTCAGGAAGCACAGGTTAGGTACTCACTTGAGGAGGCAGTCTGTCCCTTAGCAGAGCTCGAGTGCTGTGCTGGGAGATTCGCTGCTCTCTTCAGAGCTGGCAGGCAGGAACGTTTAAGTCTGCTGAAGCTGTGCTCACAGCTGCCCCTTCCTCCAGGTGCTCTGTCCCAGGGAGATGGGAGTTTTATTGATAAGCCCCTGACTGTGACTGCTGCCTTCCTCTCAGAGATGCACTGCCCAGAGAGGAGGAATCTAGAGAGGCAGTCTGGCTGCAGTGGCTTTGCAGAGCTGTGGTGGGCTCTGCCTAGTTTGAACTTCCCTGTGGCTTTATGAGGGGAAAACTGCCTACTCAAGCCTCAGTAATGGTGAACGCCCCTTCCCCCACCAAGCTCAAGCATCCCAGATCAACTTCAGACTGCTGTGCTGGCAGCGGGAATTTCAAGCCAGTGGATCTTAGCTTGCTGGGCTCTGTGGGGATGGGATTTGCTGAGCTAGACCACTTGGCTCCCTGGCTTCAGTCCTCTTTCCAGGGTAGTGAACAGTTCTGTCTCACTGGCATTCCAGGTGCCACTGGGGTATGAAAAAAAACTCCTGCAGCTAGCTCAGCGTCTGCCCAAATGGCCACCAAGTTGTGCTTGAAACCCAGGGCCCTGGTGGTATAGGCCCCCAAGGGAATCTCCGGGTCTGCAGGTTGTGAAGACTGTGGGAAAAGCATAGTATCTGGGCTGGAGTGCACCATTCCTCATAGCACAATCCCTCGTGGCTTCCCTTGGCTAGGGGAGGGAGCACCCCTTGTGCTTCCCGGGTGAGGCAATGCCCCACCCTGCTTTGGCTTGCTCTCTGTGGGCTGCACCCAGTGTCTAACCAGTCCCAATGAGACGAGCCGGATTCCTCGGTTAGAAATGCAGAAATCACCCGCCTTCCATGTTGATCTCTCTGGGAGCTGCAGACCAGAGATGTTCCTATTTGGCCATCTTGCCAACCACCTCTATAATCATATTTTTCTAATTAATAATATAAAATATGCAATGATATATATTTGGCTGGCCATATATATATGTGTATATGAGTGTGTGTGTATATATATATAGATATATATATACGTGTGTGTGTATATATGTGTGTGTGTATATATATATATGTATCTATATATATATATACACACACACATATAGAGAGATGGATCTATTTCTCTATGGCCAGCCAAATATGAATACTTTTTTTAAGCCTATATTTCAGTTAATACTGGTAATTTATGTTTTCCCAGGAAAAAATTTTGATTTTATTCAAGTTTTCTTATTACCAGATGGTCGAACATAATAGTCCCTTACAATTGCTTTAGTGTCCTTTGTGTTTGGAATAAATTTTCTTTTCTGATTTCTAATTTGGGGATTGTTTTCTCATTTTGTTATTTATTCATTGACTCATTTCATAAATAAGTATTGAATGCTTAACATACAGTTATTATTGTAGGTCTTTGGAATTGTGTGGGATTTTTGTCTAGTTGGGGAGAGATAGACAATGACCAAGTGACTTAGTCCATTTTGCGTTGCTGTAAAAAAATACTTGAGACTGGGCAATTTATAATGAACATAAATGTATTGGCTCACAGTTCTGGAGGCTAAATCCAATATCAAGGCACTGGCATCTGTTGAGGGCCTTTTTGCTGTATCATCCCATGGTGGAAGGTGAATGGGAGAGAGAAAGAGAGAGAGAGAGAAAGTGGACAAAGTCACCCTTTTATAAGGAATTCACTCCTGTAAATAAGGACATTAATCTGTTCATGAAGGCAGAACCCTCATGGCTTAATCTTTGAAGTTAAACATCTTAATACCATTGCAATTAAAATTTAATCATGAGTTTTGGAGGGGACACATATTCAAACCATAGAATTATGTTCCTGGTGTCCCAAAATTCATGTTGTTCTCACATACAAAAGACATTCATTCTATCTCAGTGGCCCCCAAAGTCTTAACTCATTCCTGTATCAACTCAAAAGTTCAAAATCCAGAGTCTCATCAAAATTAGACATGAGCAAGACTCAAGGCATGATTTATCCTGAGGCAAATTCTTCTCCATCTGTAAGCCTATGAAATTAAACAAGTACGTGCTTCCAAAATACAATGGTGGAACAGGTATAGGATAGACATTCCTATTCCAAAAGGGAGTAATAGGAAAGAAGAAAGGGGTAACTGATCTCAAAGAAGTTCAAAACCCAACAGAGTGAACAGCATTAAATCTAAGACTTCAGAATAATCTTTGACTTCATATGCCACCTTTCGGACACACTGTGGTGGGGATTGGGCACCCAAGGCCTTGAGGAGCTCCAGCCCTATGACTTTACTGGACTCAGCCCCAAAAGCAGCTCTCTCGGGTTGTAATCTTGTACCTGCAGTTCGCCTAGGCTGGTGTTGCATGCTGGCGGCTCTACAGTTCTGGGGTCTTGGAGGTGACCTTGCCCCCATGGCTCCATTAGGCCTAGTGGGGACTCTCTGCAGCAGCTCTGTCCTCACACTTCTCCTGGGCATTGCCCGAGTGGAGGCTCTCTGCAATGACTTCACTCCTGTGTTAAGTCTCTGCCTGTGACATCCTTTGAAATCTATGTGGAGGCACCCATGCCTTCTCAGCTCTTGCATCATGTGCACCTGCAGAATCAGCATCACATGGATGCTGCTAGGGTTTATGGCATGTACCTTCTGAAGCAGCGGGCCAAGCTGTACCTGGTCTATTTGAGCCATGGCTGGGGCGGCTGAGGAGCACTGTACTGGAATTGGGAAGCAGAGACTTGAGGCAGCCCTGGGCAGTGCAGCCCAAAGTCTGGAGGGTGCCCTAGGCCTCTCTTTTGACATATGTCCGTCCCCAGGAAGGATCTGGCACTCTGGACCTGTGGTGGGAGGGATGTCACCAATAATGTCTGAAGTGCCTTGGGGGTCATTGACGAACAGCCTCTGGCTTCCTTCTATCCACATGAGTCTCCTTATCAAATGGTGAGTTGGCTGCACCATTGGTTTCCTCTCCTGAAAATACTCTTTCATCCTCTATCACATGGCCAGGCTGAGAATCCTTCAAATCCCTAAACTGTGTTTTTCTTTTAATTATACAATTTTGTCTTTAAATAATTTTTCTCTTCTCAAAATTTAGTATACGCAGTTATGAGAAGCCCCACAGCATCCTGAATACTTCGTTGCTTAGATATTTCTTTGACCAGGTATTCTAGTTCATTTCTCTTATATTCTGCCTTTCACAAAGCACTTGGGGTGGACACAATTTAGCTAAGATCTTTGCCACTTTGTAACAAGGTGGGCTTTACTTTAGTGTCCGGTACCTTTTCTCTCATTTCAACTTGAGACCTCATCAGAATTGCCTTGACTGTCCTTATTTCTACCAACATTCTGATCATGACCACTTAGTAATCTCTAGGAAGATTCAGACTTTCCCTACAGCCCCTTTCTTCCTCTGACTCCTCCCCAGAGTTGCTCTTAATGCTCCTTTCATGGCAATACAAGCTATTTCCAGTCAGCTTCTCCAAACTCTTCCAGACTCTACCCATTGCCCAGTTTCAAAGCTGCTTCTACATTTTCAGGTGTCTGTTATGGCACAACCACCACTTCTTGTTACCAATTTTCTGTCTAAGTCCATTTGTGCTACTATAACAAAATACTTGAGACTGAGTGATTTATAATGAACAGAAATTCACTGGCTCACAGTTATGGAGGCTGAGAAGTCCAATATCAGGTGTCAGCATCTTTCAAGGGCCAGTCTTCTTGCTGTATTATCCCAAGGCAGAAGGGAGACGGTGAGGAAGGTGAGAGAGGGTGAGAGAAAGAGAGAGAAGAGAGGGCAAACACACCCCTTTCTTTTTTTGAAACTTTTATTTTTGGTTCAGGGGAACATGTGAAGGTTTGTTACATAGGTATACTCACATCACAGTCTCCTTTTAGTTCTTTGTGGTGAAACATTAGCACAATCATGAAATTCGTTTTGGGGGCTCTGGTGTGTGAGGGAGGGGCTGCAGAGCCTCCTGCTCAGAGCACACTTTCTGGAGGCTGTGCACTTCACAGGCTGGTCAGAGAGGTGGACAACGGGCTGCTCAATGACCTGTAACAGGGATGCCAATAGGTCAGACAGTGACCCTGAGCCTGGCAACACACCAATTTAGTGTCCAGCAGTGAGCTCTCAGCCCATCCAGCCCCAACCTGATTGAGCTGCACAGGGGTGAAGGTATTTCTCTCTGATTCCCCACTGAAGCGCCCAGAGCATGAAAATCCCTTAATGTTGTACAGATTATTACATCACCCTGGTATTAAGCCCAGAACCCAATAGTTGTCTTTTCTGCACCTCTCCCTCCTCCCACCCTCCACCCTCAAGTAGACCCCAGTGTCTGTAGTTTCTTTCTTTGAAACACACCCCTGTCTAACAAACCCAATTCCATGATAACAGCATTAATTCATTCATGAAGGCAGAGCCCTAATGGCCTAATCACCTCTTAAAGCTCTCACCTCTTAAAACGGTTATAATGGCAATGAAATTTCAAAATGAGTTTTTGAGAGGACAAAGATTCAAACCATAGTACCAGGCAAACATAAATGTTGTAATTTCATGTACTTATAAGTATTATTAACAAAACCTGAACAAGACAAGAGATATTTTTGATAATGAGGACATCTATAAGGAGGCGTTCTCTTCCATTTAGCAATTTCTGCTTGATACTTAATGGTGGATAATTTGGCACATAGAGGATTATGACAGACACATGTTTATTATAGATTATGTGTTTCATTGTTATAATATGGAATTTTAATGCCTTTTAACACTTTAAAGCCAATTAGCTTTGTGATATTGTCATGGAAGCCCCTGCTTTCTTCCCATTTCTGTCCACGTGGGTCTCTGCACTGTCCCTATCTGTTCACCTTCCTGGTTACTTTGCTGGGAAACTCTCATTTATGCAGCACATAGTAATTTTTACTCCAGTTGCATTTATCTTATTTACATATATTTTTATGGCAGAGGTACTTGCTCTTACTCTCATCCTCTTATGCTCCATTTTATATTTCTTCCAGTGGTTATTTGTATTTTCCACATTTTGCTAAATGGTCTATAGTTTCTTTGCGTTTTCTTTTTTGTCCTAGTAATATGGTAGGCACACAGTCTCTCTCTCTCTCTCTCTCTCTCTCTCTCTCTCTCTCTCTCTCTCTCTCTTTTGAGCCAGAGGCTCACTCTGTTGCCCAGGCTGGAGCACTGTGGCACAATCTCAGCTCACTGCCACCTCTGCCTCCAAAGCTCAAGTAACTCTCCTGCCTCAGCCTCTCGAGTAGCTGGGATTACAGGAGTGCGCCACCACGCCTGGCTAATTTTTGTATTTTTAGTAGAGATGGTTTCACCACGTTGGCTAGGCTGGTCTTGAACTCCTGACCTCAAGAGATCCACGTGCCTCAGCCTCCCAAAGTGCTGGGAATTACAGGCGTGAACCACCGTGCCTGGCCACACAGTCTCTTTTTAGTTCTATGTGGGGCAATGTTACGACAATTATGAAATCCCTTTTGGTGGCTCTGGTGTGTGAGAGAGGGGCTGCAGAGCCTCCTGTTCAGAGCACACTGTCTGGAGGCTGTGCACTTCACAGGCTGGTCAGAGAGGTGGACAACAGGCTGCTCAGAGAGGTGGACAACAGGCTGCTCAATGACCTGTAACAGGACTGTTCACAGGTCAGACAGTGACCCCAAGGCTGGAAACATACCACTTTAGTGTCCAGCAGTGAGCTCCCAGCCCATCCAGCCTCAGCCTGATTGAGCTGCACAGGGGTGAAGGTGTTTCTCTCTAATCCCCCACTGAAGCGTCCAGAACATGCGAATCTCTTAATGGAGGCTGCTGTGGCTAAGCCCCCCGGTGAGGGATGCTTTGGACTAAGAAGACAGCTGTACCCATGGGTGCCACCTGAAACCTTTGCACCACCACTGCTGGTGAGCTCTCAATGCCAGACCTTGGACTCCAGGTAGTGAGGACTGTTCCACGTGTTTTTCAGTGTCCCAGTGTGCCTCCACCCTGCCTAATGTGAGACTGTAACAGCTTTGCATGTGCAGCGCAGGCAGGGAGGATCCTGGGAAACAGGCACTGCCTTGCCACTGCTGTCTTCAGTGCAAACCAGGATATTCCCAGGAGCACAGACTGTATGTGACTATGCCCCTTTCACTGAGCACACTGGCCCGTGGCAGGAGGACTTGCTGCCAAATAATGGCTTGGAGTCCAGGGGACCGTGATCTAGGCCACAGTGGGAGGTGAAGAGGGTGTGAGCTGAGGCGCCAGGTAGGAGGGAGATGGTGCACTCGGGGGCTCCCTGGGGGGTCAGGGGATGGGCAATGGGGCTGGAGGAGTAGGAGGGGCTGGATCTGACCTGAGAAACGCACTTTTGAGAACCCAGATTGGAGAGACAGCATCTGTGATGAGGGGACCATTGTAATACAAGAGGAAAAATGTTGGAATGAATGAAGGCTGTGGAAATGGGCATGTTTTAGAAATCCAAAAGCAAGGAACATGGAAGGATCAGGAAATGGATTGATGGCCAGGCTGGGGGCGGAAATGCCAGGGAACGTGGGAGCTGGTGGTGCCGTTTGCTGCAGAAGGAAGCACGGGGGTTGGGCAGGGCATCGAGAGGGAGGAGTCTGGAGCTAGAGCAGCCTCATGCGAAGGATCAGGACAGGGCAGGTGGGAGCCACAGACCTTGCCACCACTGGGTTCTGGGGCTGCCCCGTGAGTGGTTCCCTGCATATGGTGTGAGAACCGGGGAGGGCAAGAGCCCCAGAGCTGCCAGGGCCCGTCCTCATGGAAAGTGGCTGTGCCAGTGGCTGCCAAGGCCAGAACTTCTTCCAGGAGACACTGCTGAGGAAGACGAACAGAAAGAATGAATTAGTGTAAGAAAAAAAGGAAGAGCAGCAGGAATGAATGGAGGAAAGAAGGAAGGAGGAAGGGGAAGGGACTTGGACTGCTTCTTATGGGCTGGGGGAGCTGTTCGTGTTATATGTCCCACACGTTATCTTATTTACTCCTTGGGGTAATCTGACATTTTTGCCTTCATTTTAAAGATGAGGAAACAGAAGCCTCATGGGGGTAAGCAATGGCTGGGCCAGAATCAAACCCTGGCAATGGGACTTGTGTCTCTTAGCTCCACTGCCTCTAAATGGAGATATGAATGAAACGTTGGGGGATAGGATGGACAGCATGCTCACTTACTGACTGCACGTATAATAACAAGGTGATTGTGTTCTGAGTGGTCCTTCCTGGATTGATCTGTGCTGTCAGAAGTCAGGACAGGGGCTAGCCCTGGAAGATGTGGGGGCCAGACACACAGAAGCCTTCTGTGGCATGAGTCACATGTGTCTCAAGCTGGATGCTGGGGGCTGGGCCTGTGGTAGGGGAAGCTTCTATAATGTAAATCTGGAGTCCTACAGTCACAGCATCTTTGGGTAATTGAGACAAGGGCTGATGCAATCAGTAGAATATTAGAATGTGTCACTGAGTTAATGGACACAGTGTGCCTGGAATGCACATCACCCTAAACCCGGGGATAGATCCACTGCCGTGGGGGTGGAATCTGTTAGAACTCTCCAAGCTCCATGGGGCTCGAACTTCAGTGCCAAAGCGGGATGGGTTTGTGGCTTCAGCTCTCTGGGACACAGCTGCCAGCCTCTCCTTGTCCAGCTGGCTTCTTGAAGGTTGGGATCGGAGGCTCATCCATGCACAAGAGCTTCTGGACACAGATTCTTTGGCTCCAGTCTTTGGTTCAAACAAAAGGCATTTTCGTAAGCCTCTGTCTTCTTGCCCTGCTTTGAGCAAGTTCAGTTCAAATTCTGAGTTGCTTTTGGCTCTGGCCAAATTCTGCTGTTCTTGGAGGTTTGCTTTGTTTCTTTTTGATGCTCTACAAGTCAAAAATTGCAACATACACCAAGGAGAAAACATGTGGCGAAGACAATGAAAAACAGATCCGGGCCTGCCAAAGAAAGAGGTGGAAAGACAGAACCTGTCAGTTCCATACATCGTGCAGTTCTGGGTGCTCCACTCCAGAGCAAATGTGCTGGCCTGTGGATGGAATTCTTCCTGAGTGAGCCCTGCTTTTTAGATCTGGGTTCAATAAAGATAATTCTCTTCATCCAGTGTAATCTTCAAGTGTTCCATGACTTTTTTCCCTCAAGATCTTTCACCTACTTCTTATAAAAGCAACTGAATGTTGATTTAGGTTTGGGCTGGCAATAATGATGAAAAGTTGGTGACTTGGGGCTCTATGTTCAAAAACCATCTGCATCTCACCATTGCGAGGTGGACTTGTGAATTCCTTTTTTAGTCATAAAAAACTCACAGAATTCCATGAAGGGAAGGAGCCAAGGGGCCCACCTCTCACAGAGGCTGCTGTACCAGGCGGGTAGATGATGACATTCTCGAGGGTTTGCAAGTGCTGCCAGTCTGTGAGGCTGAAGGGTGTCCACAGGAGGAGGGGGCCCTGTGTCTGCAGGCTTGTAGTCTCCAGTGAAGCAACTCAGGGAGATCCTGCTCCACATCAGAACAAAGGCTAGAAACAGGAATTTCTGACTCTGAAAATCCGGATTATAATTATAGTGGAGTGATTGAGAATACCAAGAAGTGATTGATTCTCAGGAGGTGGAGGATACACTTTCACAGTTAATACAGCATGACAAAACAAAGCAAAACAAAAACTAACAACCTTGCCCTGTGGGGTAGAAACAACAGAATTATCCTTCCTAACATCCTTAATTTTAAATTATATATCCACATGTATACATATTAGCCCATTTTTTTTTCTCCAGAAGATTGTTAGTTCCCTGAGGGTGAGGCCTCTTTTTCTTTTCCCCCCACTTCTGTTTTCCAGCCATTAGTACAGTTCCTGGAAGATTGTATCTTGACAATTTATGTAGTCATTTATTTATTTGAGTACTATTTATTGAAGGCCTTCTATCCAGTGAACACTGTTCGGAAGAATATCACAGTGAACAGAAGGGACAAGAATTCCTTCCTCCCAAGGCTTACATTTGAAAGGCATGGGAAAAACAAAACAAAAAAAGAAACCAAATAACTAGAAGGGATTGTGGTGTAAAACCTAAATCATAACCAAGGGAGGGGCATGCAGGTCACATTTTAGTTGGCATGGTGGTTACTTAGTCTCTGAGGTCATTAAGTGGCCTGTGGTCTGAGGCAGGTGCAACGTGAGAAATCCAGAGAATCATGAGGGGGTAGGGCAGGCTTAGAAAAGGGAGAATCTGCTGCCAGAGAGGCCAGATGCCATGAGTCCAAAGGAATCATCCCGCCCCCAGCAGACAAGCGTGGAGCCAGCCTGCTCCTCTGGCCAAAGCATTCCACCCCCGGACCTCTCCTCCAGGTACTTCCTGTCCAGACGGGCAGTGGCCCCAGAGCCTGGGAAACCTGCCCCACAGGTGAGGGCAAGGGGTGTGTCTGAAGTGGGTGAGAGGCTGGTATGAGCCTTGGTTGCTGCTCTGGAAACAGGAAGAAGAGATGTGGAAGAAGAGATGTGGGTATGGTGGATTCTGACCCTTGGCTCCCCAAAGTTCCACAGGTATGTGCAGTTTATCGGTCTCATTGATTATTAAGTTCTGTGGGGGAACGGCTCTGTCAACATCGTCCCAGAGACATCTGTTGATGCCTTAGTGTTCCCTGCGGTCAAGGTGCCTGCAGTATGGCGGAGGAGACTCATGCAGAAAATCAGAACTGTATTATCTTAGTGCCAAAACAGAAGTGGGCATTTTGACATTGCAGTGGCAAAAGGAGGACATGGTCAGCTACAGGTGGCTATCTTAGTTTATTAATAGCAAAATATTAAAAAATATTTTAAAAATTATATTTGCCTCCCAGTGGAGGGTCTTGGGTAATTGGGCAACCCAGTGCTAAAGATAGGACTGGGACTTTCATCATAAACCTTTTATACATTTGTGTTTTTTGACATTTAAAAATCAGAATATTTTCAGCTTAAAAAAAAACATAATAAGCTTCCATAGTTCTTAGAACTGGGACTGTCCACATCAGGAATACGTGATTTGCAATGCCAAGAAAGATGTGCTGAATTTATTCGGCAAACTAAAGAGAAAATAAAATTTATTTGAGTATTTAAAAAAACCCAGGAATGAGTGCTATGCATGCCACACACTAGCATGCCAGATAAAACAGATGTGGAGTCAGAAACTGAATGATGTGCCTCTTGACCTTTGATTTGACCTCTTGTGCCTTTGATTTTGTCATGTGTATATATTACTTATTTAAGAATTATTCATGTAATTGTAAAAGTGGATGAGGAAATGATGTAAAAACAGCTACTCCTTGTGGAAGGTTGGCCTTTGTGCTAAGTGCTGTTTGCTCCACCTCATTCCTAGAGCAGGGAGCATTTGCAGAGGCTTGGGAGGGAGTGGACGTGTCCCTGATGCTAAGGGCAGAGGAGGAGCGGGGCCCTCGGGCAGCTGGAAGGGCATCCTGAAAAGACGCCTGCCTGCCGCCGTTCTCCTGGCAGCAGGGCGCGCTGGGAAGCACCAGGCAGGAAGTGAAGAATTTCCGGTTGTCAGCGGAGGGATGGGGCGTCACCAAGTCTGTGGCAAGCACACCAAGAACCAGCTAAGTCCAAGGCTCACCTGCATGGCAAATGGTGAAGGTAAAGTCCAGCTGCCAGCCCAAAGTAGAGCGCTTTTACAGCAAGCTGCTCTCAAATCATTTCCAAAATCAAAGTTGCTGTAGCTGCAGTCAGGGAACTTCAACAGGATGTGGGCCAGGGGTAAGACAGAAGCATATCTTTACCTGGTTCTCCATCTGGGAGATGAGCATCCCGAGGGAGAAGGACAAGACACCTCAGTAAGGACTGGTGCTCAATGTGTCGGGGCGTGGGGGGCGTGGGGGGCGTGGGGGCTGGGTGGGTGGGTGGTGAGGAAGCAGGAGGGGCCAGATGGAGAAATTCGAATTGTTCCTTTTGCTGCAGACAATAGGAGCACGATAAAGTTTTCAGCAGGGGAGCCATGTGATCACATTTCTGCTTTAGAAACAAAGGGAAGAGCTCAAAATCCTGGAAAGATGATATCTGAGCTGGAAGCCCTCATTGAGTTCTGACCCTCTCCTTGTGAAGCAAGCAACTTGCCAACATCATCAAACCCTTCATTTAAACTCAGAAGAAAAACAAAACAAAGCAAAACAATGCAACCCCCAAACCCTTCCTGTCATTGACCCTGGGTCACCGTCCTATTTCTAACAGGCACATTTTAATTACTGGCAACTCATTTTCTTGATTGGGTCTCTACAGCAGGCTGGAGTCTTTACTCTTGAAGACGCCCTCCAGCTCTGTTCTCTGGTGTCCCACTTTTTTCTTTGCTTCTTAAACTGGACCAACCCAAGGCAAAATTGTGATGCTGGTAGCACTTATTTTTTACTTCCTTACTCATACTACGAGAACATCTGAATTAAATCTGAATTAAATTATTTACTTTAGTTATACAATAAAGTTTGGTAAAAGCAAATTATAAAAATGCACACATAGGGTGAAAGACTTAGGGTTACATATGACTGGCCTCATCTCTTAAATTAAAATACTCTCTCCCAAAAGACCTAGAGAGGTTACGTGATCCTAAACAACTAGCTGGTAGCAGAGTTAAGGCTAGAACACCTAGCTCCCAGTGTTCCTTCTCTTCTATTGTGTATACTGGCCTATTCTTCATTACATCTTTATTTTGGTATTTATTAGAGAGTATTTCTTCAGCTATTGCTGCCTAGAAAACTATGCAGAAACTTAGTGGTTTAATAAGAATTTATTATCTCCCATTGTTCTGTGGTTGGCTGGGTGGTCACAGTCATATGTTGACTGGGGCTGTATTCATCTGAAGGCTCAGCTGGCCTAGGCACCCTGGATGGCTTGCTCGCCTGGCTGCAGGTTGATGCTGGAACTCATGCATAGACTTAGACATAGACTCTTCATGTGGCATGGGTGCCTCACATCATGGCAACTGGATTCCAATAATGAGACTGCCAACAGACCCATGCAGAAGCTGCAAGGCTCCTTATGACCTGGCTTCAGAAGTCCTGTAGTTCCCTTCCGCCACATTCTATTGGCCACGCAAATCCCCAGGACCAGCCCAGATTCAAGGGGAAGGAAATCAGAGCCCACTTCTCAATGGGAGACATGACAAAGGAGGCCATCTTTAATTTGCTACAAGGAAAGTGGAGAGAGTAGGAAAAGCAGAGGCTGTACTGAACAGGTAAATTTGAGAATCATTGCAGTAAGAGTTTAGGGCAACATAGAATGAATTAAATTAAGTCAGCAGAAAGCTGGGTGGCATACCTTTAGGCATTAGGTAGACAGGAATCAGTAGGACACCCTCTGTCTTTCAGCACTCATGTTCTATTAGGACACAGATATTAAGCAGACAGTCATTCGGATTTTAAGTTTTAAAACAGAAGTGCCTATGGTTCGTGAATCCATCCATCCATCCATCCATCAATCCATCCATCCATCCACCCACCCACCCATCCATCCATTCACTAACCTATTCATCTATCCACCTATCTATCCACCCATCCATTCATTCATCTATCCATGCATTAATTTTTTATTTATTTATTGAGGTCCTGGGGCTAAGATCTTAGATCATTGAGCTTACGTTCTAATGGGGGGATAGATAGACCCATTGCAGGCAGTGATATGAAGAAAATAAGATGAGGAGGGGCAGTAAAGGGTGGGGTGGGAAAGGAGCTGCATTCCAGTTAGGGTGATGGGAGAAGTTTTCTCAGAGGACAGGAGAGATAGGATGGCACTTGTGGGATGAACAGGATCCAGCCAGGTAAAGATTTGGAGCAGAAACTATCAGGAAAACGCAAAGGTTCCTGGGGCACAAATGGGCTTGGGGTGTTCAAGGACCAAAGGAGGGCAGTGTGGCTGGAGCTCTGTGCCTGGGGAGCACAGAGGTGTGAGAGGTCAGGGAGGCCTGAAGCAGTGTTGGGAGTGCAGAGAGTCCAGGGCTTGCCCTTCCTGGGGCCACTGCTCTGTACAGAGCAGGTGATATGAGAGGTGGGTCTTCAGGGATAAAGGCTGCACTTGGCTTAAGTGAGTTTATAATGAGGGAGGGGTCATGGGAGGCTCAGGTTGGAGGCAGAGGAGGATACTAATAAAGATAACGAATATTTAGTTATCCCTAGTCATGTTCTTCTCACAGTCCCATTTAAGCTTTATAATCCCTATGCAAAGTGGGTGTTCTTATTATCCTAAATGGAGGGTTGGTGATCAGCGGTCACTTTCCGGGCTTGCTGACTTTGAGGTCCCCTTAGGAGGCATCTAGGTGGACACGTGTAAATAAACCATTGAGATTACACCTTGCTCATATTTGGCACTCAGTAAATAAGTGTTGCATGTGATAGGGGTGAAATATAAAATTCAAAGTAGCTCCTCCATGGTGCTGAACTTGAGCTGCTAGAGAAGTGTCTATGTTACAGCTTGCTTGGCACTGAAATGAGGTTGCTGAAATGTGAATTCAAATCCACTCTAATTTCCAATATGGACTTTTTGTGTTCATGTGGTGGTCATGTGTTTCTTTTTTGGGTGATGAGTCTCTGAACTCCATTCCTGTGTTTAGGCAGGGCCTTTCCCACCTTTATTTTGCAGAGCCCAGCTCCCACTGAAGGCATATGACCCAGATCCTGAGAACCAGATGCACCGGCCTGAGCTTTCGTCAGAAGCAAGGACACACAGAACCTTTCTTAGAGGCATCATTAGAGGACCGGACATGGTGGCCAGAGGCTGCAGGGACAGAAGTCCCAGGGCCATGTCCAGGAACTGGGCTCAGGGGACCTCCTGGTGCCACCTGCATATCTGAGCCCATGGAGTTCCTCTGGTCTATTCAGTTCTCTCATTTTAACTTAATTTTGTTTTTGTAGGCTTTCTTAAAAAATTGCCCAGTTCATTTACCTGATCACGTTTATTGTTCAGAGTTGAGTGTGGTTCTCTCGTAATTATTTAGTCTCCACTGGGTCTGTGATTATATTTCCTTTCTTATTGCTAATGCTGTTTGTGTTTGATTTTCTTCTTTTTTTTCTTGGCCTGACTTAAAGAGGTTTGTCTGTTTTATCTTTATTTTAAAAATAACCAACTGTTTATTTTTACTTCTCCACTGTGATTTCCCCCTTTATTTCTTTAATGTTTGAGTTTATATTTTTTCCTATTTATTTTGGCTTAAATTTTATTATCATTTTGCTATATCCTTGTGTCAAGCGCTTAATTCAATTATTTTGTTATTTTGACTTCTAAAAAATCAGTTAATTCTATAAGTTTTCCTCTATGTACTACATTGAGCAAACTCCACAGATTTCTGTAGGGGGCATACTAATTGTAATTCAATTTCGTTTTCCATGTGTAGGTCCAGATTTATTTGAATGTCCAAATACTTAGAATTGTAGGCTCTTGTTTTGTTATTAAAGTCTGGTTTTATTACATTGTGTTTAGAGAAAATAATATGGAGGATTTTAATTTTAGATAAAGCATTAATATCTTTTTTATCCTCAAACATGATCAATTTTTGACAGTGTTCCAAAAATATACTATGAAATATATATTATCTGTTGGAATAGAGTAATATATGTACACACTCTGCCATGTGCATATGTTTATATATCATATTTAGTCAATGGTAGTTGTGTTAGCCAAGTCCTGGAGTCATCTCGATTCAAGTTTGTTGAGGCAGAATTGTCAATTTCGTCCTCAGCTCAGCTTCAACTACTTAACAGAACCTGATTCATATAGGAATTAAGTAAATGTTTGTTGAATGAAATTCAGTGTCCCCAACCTTTTTGGCACCAGGGACTGGTTTTGTTGAAGACAGTTTTTCCATGGATGATGGTAGGGGATGGTTTCAGGATGATTCAAGTGCATTACCTTTATTGTGCACTCTATTTCTATTATTATTACACTGTAATTAATGAAATGATGGTAAAACTCACAATAATGTAGAAATCAGTGGGAGCTCTGAGCTTGTTTTCCTACAACTAGATGGTCCTCTCTGGGGGTGATGGGAGACAGTGACAGATCACCAGGCATTACATTCTCATAAGGAGTGTGCAACCTAATATAGATTCCTCGCATGCACAGACCACAATAGGGTTCGTGCTTCTAGGAGACTCTAATGCCACCACTGATCTGACAGGGGGTGGAGCTCAGGTGGTAATGTGAGCCAGGAGGAGTGGCTGTAAATACAGATAACACTTCGCTCACTCACTTGCCAGTCACCTCCTTCTGTGTGGCCTGGTTCCTAATGGGCCATGGACTGGTACTGGTTCATGTAGCTTTGCTAAATTTTTCTGCATTTAAAATATATTTTATTGAGATATTTCTGGAACTTTTGGGTGCCTAGATTTGTGATGTTATACAGTGGTGCTCATTTTAGGAATATTTATTAAATGCTTTTGGTGTGCTGGGCACTGTGCTAAGCACTAGAAATACAATGGCAGATAAAAGAATCTAGTGGCCTCCTGCACTTTATGATTCATACATTATAGCTACAAAACAAACAATAAACAAGCAGATAAATAAGTATTAATTTAAAAGAATCCCGGTTGGTGCTATGAAGGAAACAAATGAGCAGCCTTTTCAAGGTATGGAGGGGATGGGACTGTTTGTGGGACGGTCAGGAAGGTCTCCCTGGGGAGGGCGCACTGAAGCCAAGGCCAGAGGACAGGTGGCCAGCCCCATGAAAAGCTGGGGCAGGCTTCCAGGCAAAGAGACCATGCCTTTTGTAAATGTGGCATCCCCTTCTCTCATTTAATGTGTTACCTTGAGTTCTACGTTGGAAATACTGCTTCTGTCTTCTTTTTGTTAGTGCTTACATGATCCATATTTATCTACACAATTATACAATCCATACAATTAGGTATTATGATGGTTAATTTTATGTGTCAATGTGGTGTGCCTAAGGGATGCCCAGATGGCTGGCAGTGCATTATATCCGGTGTGTCTGTGTGGGTGTTTTGGAAGAGGCTGGCATTTGAATCGTGGACTGAATAAGAAGACCCATCCTCACCAGCGCAGGCAGGCATTGTCCAATCCATTGAGGGCCTGAATAGAACAAAAAGGTGGAGGAAAAGTGGATCTACCCTCTCCTGCTTGAGTGGAGACATCCATCCTCTCCTGCCCTTGAGCACTGGTGCTCCTGGTTCTCAGGTTTCCCTACCCAAACCGGGACTTAGGCCATCAGCCACCGCCTTCCCCTTTTCTCAAGCCTTAGGGCTCAGGCTGCATGTCACCACCGGCTTCCCTGCTTCCTAGCTGACAGATGGCAGATTGCAGAAATTCTCAGCCTCCACAACCACGTGAGCCACTTCCCTGAATAAGTCTCCTCTTCATACAGTCCTCCCTTGGTGTGGGTGGGGATTCGTTCCAGGACCCCCGAGTATATCAAACTCCATGCATACTCAAGTCCCGCTGTCAGCCCTGCAGAACCCGTGTGTAAGGAAAGGCAGGCCTCTGCATAAGCAGCCTTCGCTTGCTGGGAATACTGTGTTTTCCATCAGAGTTTGGTTGGAAAATCTGAGTATAAGTGGATCCATGCATTGAAACCTGTGTTGTTCAAGGGACAAGCATCGAGGATAGGCACAGGCTACTGGAGACAAATATGGGAATGTGGCTATGGGCAAGACAGTGCTGGTGGGGCAGGCATCACTCCAACAAGCGGACAACAGCAGGGATCAGTGAGTTGCCAGGGGTCTGGGCATGAGTGCTGAACAAGTTGGAGGTCTTCCTTGGAGCCGGCCTCAGGCTGGGAGAGGATTGTGGGGCCTGAGCGGCTCCAGCCTGGATGGGTCCAGTCAGGAACTCTGCAAGAGGAGCTCACCTGTGCACACAGGGATGCATACTGGGAGAGAGGAGAAGCCGGGGTCAGAGGCTCTGGCCCTCTTGCACTGCATGTGGGGAGCTGCAACTCAGGGAGGCTGCTGGGCAATGGTCAGTGCCAACAGAGTGGATGCATCACAGCCATGAAGCTGTGGTCATGCAGAGCACAGCATGAGAGCCTCTGACCGAGTTGTCTGACTGGGGTTGTGGATGGAGTTGATGGGCACAGGGAAGAGAGGAGGAGGGGCTTGCTTAGCAGAAAAGATACTGAGTTGAGTTGGGGGCATGTGGAATTTGAGGTGCCTGTGGGAGACCCATTTGAGATGTTCAGTAGACAAGTGGGGGCACCCAGTTGAGCACTGGAAATGGGGCTCTGGACCCTTGAAGAGAAGCCAGCAGTTGGGTCATTGCATGAGAGGTGGTTGTGGTGATGATGGGAACTGGTAAGATTGCTCAGGTTAAAATGAAGAAAACAAGCCAAGGAAAAACGATGGTCAAGGCAAATACAGTAAGGATCGACGGCATCCTTGAAGTACTTCTTTGTCTCCAAGAGCATTCATTCTATTTCATGTGCAATGAGAATTCTAGCATTTTAGCACTGTTTAAAATTAATGACTCAGAGGGAATTCTGGCCCCACACAAGCGCCTGCTAGATGGGTAAGCCTCGCTGCCTGCCTTTCTGAATTGCTTGTCGCACAATTGGGCCATTCACTGTGTTCCGGGCCCTCTGTGTGTTTCCTCTTTTCCAGCTTAGACCTATTTGTTAGGGAAAACAATCTACTTCTCAGGGTTTCAGTTTTATGTACTGTTGATCTATTGCTTTATTTCTCTAATCTCTTTCCCACAGTCAATAGTTTTTACTACCTGGAGCTGAAAACAGCCTACAGGATACCAAAGCGTGAGTTTATTTAGAACAAAGAAGACCCTCTGATTCCAGTGAGGTCAGGGAGGAGGCCAAACAGTCAACCCACTTGCTTAGGACATGTGGCCTAAACCGTAATTTGACTTTGCGTTCACTTTTCAACTAGTTGCATTGGCCTTATGGTTTTTATTAAACTGTAAATCTCTTTACCACATTGAAAATTGTGGAACGCATTTCTTCTTCTCGAGTCTGTGCATCTGAAGGCCATAGGTGGACAAGTGCACAGCGCCAGTGGAAAATGGCTTTTCTGGAATATCAGGTTCGGTCCTCAGAGACTAAGAGCACTCCATGTGGTGGGCAATAAATCTGAATTCTGCTGCGTTTAATTAAGGTAATTTTCCTACTTAGCTCCACATGTGGAGATGAGATTCAATTTTACTGTGCCTTAAAGAACATGTCCTTTCAAACGTGTCACCAGAATGGAATGCGACCACAGATCGACATGTGACGAGCCTCTATCGCCTCAAGGGAGAAGAACTGTGGCAGGAACGCAATCTGTCCCGTTCTCCTGCTCCTGTGGGTTTTTCCATTGCATGGATATGGGTTGTGAGGGAATGGAGTCCCTCTACAGAGATATCAGATGCAGATGGAGGGCAGAGCAGGGTGAGAAGTTGAGCCAGAGGAGGAGACAGATTGTTGGATAATGTTTTCTTGCTAGGTACAGTGTCAGTGAATAAATATTTTGATCATCAGAAAGACCAAGGATCCATATTCCTGACTCTTTTGCAGAATAATTAATAAACGTTATGGGAATCACCTAGTATCTCCATATCATCCATACTGTGAGGGTTGATTTTATGTGTTGACCAGGTTAAGGATGCAGACAGCTGGTCAGACATTATTTCTGGGTGTGCTCGTGAGTGTGTTTCCAGAAGAGATGAGCTTTTGAATCAGTGGACTGAGTAAGAAGGTCCGCCCTCACCCATGTGATTGGGCACCATGCAATCTGTTGAGGGCCCAAAAAGAACCGAAAGGCAGAAGGGAAAATTCTCTCTTTCTCTCCTTGGGCTGGGTTGCCCCTTTTCTCCTGCCTGCAGACACAAGCACTTTTGGTTCTCAGGCCTGCAGACTCAGACTTGAACCTACACTGTTGGCTTTCTTGATTCTCAGGCCTTCAGGTTTGGGCTGAATCACACCACTGGCTTTCCTGGGCTCCAGGGTGTCGATGGCAGATCGTGGGGTCTCTCAGCCTCCACAATCCCATCAGCCAATTCCCATAATCAATCTCTTTTTATCTATATCTATATATAGATATCTCTCTCTCTATCTTATTATTCTGTTTCTCTGGAGAATGCTAATACAGAGTTCTTGAAAAGACTCTGAAAACAACCACATCACCACCAAGGGAACATGGAGCCTCCTGGGTCACGAGAGGCCTGAGAGGCATGGTGGACGTGCCTGAGTTTCCTCTACAGGGTTCTTGTTAAGAGGTGGCCCAACCCATGCTTGGCCACGTTGAGAAAAAGGAAACGCATCCTCCCAAAGGAAGGCCCGTTCCACTGCTGGAGAATTCAGGCTACTGAAAGCTTCTTGCTTATGTGATTTTGCCCAATTCCGTTTCCGAGTCTGTCCCTTTTGTTCTAGTCCCTTCTTTTAGAGGAACATGGAGCAATAACAATGACTCTTACCGAGGCCAATTCTCTATTAGGCTCCAGGCAGCCAAGGTGACAAAGGATGTGTATCCTCATCCTTCAGAAGGTGATAGTTGAGAGGAGCGTGGGAGAAAACCATAAGCCCCCCAAGGTTAGGGTCACATCTATTCATCTGTATTTTGGTGACTAGCAGAGCACCTGGCAAAAAGTAGACTCTTCAGATAGTTTTGAGAGGCCCGGGAAACACAAGAACTACATTACCCTTCTCTAGTTACTCTTCTATCCTGTTGTCAAACTTGGCCTCACCAGTGAAAACCTGCCTCACCTTGGTGGCTACTCCAGCTAAGCTCCTGCTTCCTGCCCTCACAGCTGGCTTACAGCATCAAGCCCCATGGGATGAGTGCTCCATCCTGACTGCCATGTCTGCACTGTGTCTGCACAGTGTCTGTGAGGCCCCATCTGTCATGACCCGATGCTGGCCAGCCTGGCCTGGGCAGAGCTCCGAGGAGCATGTGAGTGCTTGAACACATGCACAATGCAACCCCCACCATGGAGTCTATGCTTCTTGGATGCTCACTCCACGAGGTGAGGGGCATGGGATAGTTGTCTCTGCTCTGTGTGAACTCAGTCTGGCCTGGTAGATAACACAGACATGCAAGGCAACTGTGGTAAGTGACAGAGAAGCTGCCAGTTGGCCCTGTAGTTGAGAGGAAGAGTAATGTGCAGTGTCAGCGTGCTGTCCAAGGAGTTCTTGGCATGGCTGGAGGCACTTCACACCTGAAGATGGCTGGTCAGACCACTGGAACATCCCTCGTTAGGCACCATGTGTCAGAAGCCTCATTAGTGTATCAAGGAATGCTCAGGCTTCCTGGAGGATTCATCCATTCACAGTTGCTAAAAGGAAGCCTACCGTGTGCTAGATGGGGCTGCCCCAGTGCCCTGGGCCAGGTCCCTGCTGTTCAATTGGGTGGGATGAAATATATAAACATGAAATAAATGAAAATATAGGGTGTGCAAGACAGGGCTGGCAGGGAAGGGCTCATGTAGCAGGGACATCTGAGTGAGACTGGCCGGCGGCAAAGGGATGGCCACAGTCTTAGGTCAGGTGAGCAGGAGTGACAGGCGGACTCCATGTGAGAAGGGAAAGGGCACTAGAAGTTGGGGAGCAGCAGGGACCAGGCCCTCCACCTTTGTGACCTTGTCCTGCTGTTTAAGGAGTCCAGTGCATTCTGCATTGGCGATTACCTAGTTAGGGTGACCAGAGTGAGCAAATAAAACACAAGATGCCCAGTTAAATTTGAATTTTAGATAAACAGTAAATTTTTCAGTTGTACTACACAAAGGAACATATTAAAATTCTTTGCTGTGGAGGCAAATATAAAACTAGGTAGAATAGGCAAGGTGTGGTGGCTCATGCTTGTAATCCCAACATTTGGGAGGTCGAGGTGGGAGGATGGTTTGAGTCCAGGAGTTTGAGAGCAGCCTTGGCAACATAGACCCCATATCTACAAAAAAAATTAGCTGGTGTGGTGGCATGCCCCTGTAGTCCCAGCTACTCAAGAGGCTGAGTCAGGAGGATTGTTTGAGCCCAGGAGGTGGAGGCTGCAGTGTGCTGTGATCATGCCACTGCACTCTAGCCTATGTGGCAAAGCAAGACCATGTCTCAAAAAAAAAAAAAAAAAAGAAAGAAAAAGAATAAGAAAATAGGATGTAAGAAGGAAGAGAGAGAGAAGTCACAGTTACCATTGCTAGTGGGAGGTGACTAGGTAGAAAACTCCAGGTTGGCTAACCTCCCTTCAGCTTTGCCAAGAGACCAGTCTATGCCATGGCCAGTGATGGACCCAGCCCAAGGTGCACACAGGTGATTGGGTTGGGGAGAGTGTGGAAGACCAAGTCTGGTTTTCCTTCCCTTCAGAACCCACTACAGAAATGAACAGTGGGGGACTCCAGTTCTCACCCTGGAGCCAAGATGGCAAGGTGACAGCATGTCATAACAGCTGTTCAGAGCTAGGACTCAGGGATCAAGCTGAGCTGCACACCAACTGGGGTGCTGTGGGCGAGCAATCCCTTATTATATCTAAGGCAGATAAGAGAAGGAGTTAACCCCTAAGGATCTTGTAAGGATTAAATTAGTTAATGTAGGGAAAGGTGTTAGTTAAATTCCTGGTCCATAGTATCTATTTTATTTTAATTCCTAAGAAAATATAGTATCTCTGTGTCTGCTTCATCGACCAGACTGTATTGCAGATGGTTTAAGACCAGGCAGCAAATTTGAGGTGGAGTCATGGTTATCAGAATGGCTGCCCAGACCACAAAGCTGATTTATCTCAATCATAACAGCAGCAAATTCCTGTTATTGTAGTGAATCACAGCATGTAAGCGCACAGATGCAGGCGCCGGGGTTCAGAGGGCTGGGTTGTGTGGGGAGGGTAACGAAAAACAGACACTTGCAGGGCCCTAACAATGTGTGTAGCAACTGAACCTGCAGCCTGCTTACACAAAACAGGCCTTAATGAAACTCAGTTTCAAAATGGAATATTTTTCCTAAATGATAAGGTATTGCATATGGTTCTTTTCCCATTGTGTAGTAATTCCTTCTAAAGCAAACATTTTAAAGATTTTAACTGAGGTTGGAAAACTAAAACTTGCCTCAGTATAAAAATGTCGAAGCCATCTGCTAGAAAATCACAGCTCTGCGATATAAAACACCCAGAGCTGTGTTGCTCAAACTAATTTAATCACAAAATACCATTTCCTTGATCCGAAGGGAAACATTTCTACTTGGCCACTAGAGCTTTCTGGAGAAAGGCACTTATATTTGCAGTAAGGTATATTAGTAATTTTGAATTTCAAAGAGAAAACAGAGCAGGGATTTTGGAAAACATATGTTGAAAGGGTAATTTCAATTCTTTGCAGATGAGAAAAGTTTTTGTTAAAACAACTGACAGACACTGAGAAACATGGCCATCAGTTTGAAGGAAAGTAATTGAGTTGTGCAGTTTGCATTTTATTTTGCACACGTTTAACAATTAAAAGCTTTTCTGTACTATGAGAACAAAACCCCCCAAACACCAATGCAATGGCAGAAAGTTGGGAGTCAAATCAGGCAGCACACACACGAACACTGTGTTCACATGATGAGGACCACATTTTTGAGACATTTTCTGAAAAGAACCTGTATATGTGTGTGTGTGTATGTATATATTCTTTTTTCCTGCCAGAATCTCTTGTTGAATGATCATCAAGTTAGTTCTGGAAAATAGGTTCCAATATTGCTCCATTCATTGGCATAGGTTGACTTTATCTTATTCCAATTTAATTGGCAGCTGTTTTCTTAGATAGTTTTGCATAAAATGGTGCTCAGAGAACAAGTAGAGTTTTAAACATGACACAGTCGTGTATTTGAGGATGTTTATGTTATATATGTGCTTGTTAATTTAGTAGTTATGAGTTTAATAATAACTTTGAGCTCTTTAGACATGGATCCTCATATATATTAACAAAATCAGCTGTGTGCCTTAACCAACAGTGAGCATATTTTTTAAAATGGGCCTCTGAATTGAAAATTTAAAAAAACCCTTCAGCATCCTATTAGGATTGATTAACCCACAGGAGGGTAATCCTGGTAAGCAAACGTAACCAAGATTCTCCTTCCCCAGTGATTCCAAGTGCAGCCTGGCTCTCCTGGTCAGGTGCTTCCTTTACTCAATATTTCCTGATCTGTTCCTAGATCCTAATACCACCCTCTGCGTCAACCTGTGAATGCATCCTCACTACCAGGGCTCAGGACTTGGAGCCGGGATTTTGCTGACATGGTCTTTTCTCTGGTTGTCACCTTCCATTTCTTCTTTGGTTTGCCTTTCATTTTAATGCCAGATTTTCTAAGTGTAAGAAAGGAGGGTGGAGAGTGGGCAGAAGTCATTGTTTCCATCATGAAAGTCAACATCAGTATTTCCTGTCCTGGGGACAAACCAGTGCCTCATGTTTCTGGAAACGCTGCAGCATTTAACTTCAATTTTAATCTGGATAACGCCAAAGCTTTTCCTCAAATTCACCCCTGGAGTCAGCTCATAGATGCTCTGATTTTGTCTACCATTGCTCCTCCTTAATATCTCTCGCACAGGTGCCATTGACCTTTAGATGGGCTGTACGGTGTGGGGTTCGGTGCCATGGATCTGCTTCTCCAGGGACCAGGATCTTGAGATCTTCAGGCTGGGTTTCCATGGAGGCATGGAGCTGCTTTTCCTCCTTCATAACTGCACTCAAAACAGCCCTGTTGCTCTAGAATGGAGACTTGGGCAACTCCTTCTGGCACAGATTTGTTCACCTCAGGTGAAATTCAGATAGAAGCAAGCTGCAGGCAGTTTCACCTCTAAGTCCATGGGTTCTCAACTGGTAACGTCCTCTTATGGATGTTAGCCCATGAGGTCAATCCTGTAGCAATCTAAGGCTTGAGAAAAATTAATCTTCTGGAAAATTCCAAGAATACATCTTAGGGAAACTGGCTCTACCTTTATGACTTGGATCACACAAGGATATGCTTTTCATCTTGGACTAGAACTGAGAGCCAATGGATGTGTTATCTAAAACTATCCCAGTGTGTTCACTATACAGAGGAAGATTCTGAGATTCAAGACTCAAGACTGAAGAAGATCATTATTTTTATTATTTTAGTCTTATGCACAAAATGATATCTACTGAATAAGCAGGTTTTTAATAGGTGACTTATATATGTTAGCAAAAATAAACACTTTGTCTTTTAGATCTATTCTAGTTTTTCAGTAGCTGTAGACTTAAGTGCTAACTTTTAGCCCATAGGATAAGAAGAAACCAAGTCCTAAAAGTAGGCCAGCACCAGGGTTCAGGCCTCTGACTTCAAGCCAAGGGCTCATCATCTTGAATTGCGCACGAATTTTTACACAGCGCCAAAGGAAACTGCCTGTACTTACTGTTGTAGGTAAGACAAACCTTTGCTTATTTTTACTTCTCATGAATAAATAGTTGCAAGAAGAACTGCTGAAACAAAGGGCATTAATGAGCTTTTGCTACATATAAATAGGGAGTGTGAACCAGCAGTGTGGCGGAAGAACATTTTCCCCTCAACTACGGCAGGACTATGCGATGTTCTCCAATGAGCTCATCTTGTCAATAATGTGTAGACCTTCATGTGCTTTTTAATTATGTGCTGATTTTATTACAAGTGAACCTGTCCTCTTGTTTGTTCCCTTATACATATTCACTGTCTTTATACCTTTCCTTTCCCTCCACGAACTGTCTGCTCATATCTTTTGCCCTTTCAGAGGGAATAGTCTGTTTTTTCTTATAGGCTTATAATATTTTAAATGTAATGATAATGTTAAGATTTTTTTGACATGTACTTTATACTTTCCCAGTTCATTATGTATATTTAAATGTTTCACTAATATTTTAAAACATACATCTTTTCTTAAATTTTCCATGGTTTTATCTCTTAGCCATTATGCTTTTGCTTTCTGTGGTATATTCCTGGGGAGTGTCTCACTGAGACCCTTCGGTTTCTCTAAGTTGGTAACTTTATCTCCCGTGATGAGAAAGCTTTTCAAAGGGAGAGCGTGACCATTTCCATATAGAGTACAGTGTTGTTTTGGGGTTTAAGATTCTATTCCCGGGTGTCATCACTTCTTTTTAAATTTAACTTTGTTATGGAAAATCTTAAGCATATGTAGAAGTAGAACAAATAGTCTAATGAAACCTCACTTGTTCATAACCTGGCTTCAATAATGATCAGTACTTAGCTATTCTTACTTCATCTACCCCTTTACTCTGTGTTTTATTTTTCCTGGAGTATTTTGAAGCAAATTCTAGAAATATATATATATATATATATATATATAAATACCAATATAGTATATATATACACACACACCGTATTGGTATTGATATATATATATATACACCATAAAATATGGATATATTTTACAACATAAAATATGGTGTGTGTGTATATTATATATATAATGTGTATAATACACACACACACACACACACCCTGGAATACTACCCAGCCATAAAAAAGAGTGAAATCATGTCTTTTGCAGTAACATGTATAGAACTGGAGGCCATTATCTCAAATGAAACGACCCAGAAACTGAAAGTCAAATACTGTGTATTCTCATTTATAAGTGGGAGCTAAATAATGTGTAAACATGGACATAGAGTGTGGAATAACAGACGTTGGAGACTCAGAAAGGGGGGAGGTTGGGAGGGCAATGCGGGATGAGAAATTACCTAACAGTTACAATGTATACTAATCAAGTGATGATTACACCAAAAGCCCAGGCCTCATGACTATGAAATCTATCCAGGTAACAAAACTGCACTTGTACACCCTAAATCTATAAAAATAAAAAAAGGAAAAAGCTATAGAATGGAATAGTATACTGCAGTCATAATAAATGAATCTCAGCTAAATATAAAAATCATTGTCCTTTTGCAGGTGCTTTGCTGGATTCAGGATGCAGACAAGGTCCACGCATTGTGGTTGGGTGAGGTGTCTTTTAGGTCTCTTTTAATCTGTAATACTTCTCCCTCTCTTTTAAAAATGCATTTATTTGTTGAAAAAACTTGGTCATGGGTCATTTTTCTGTACAGTGGATTATGTTCTGGATTTAGCTAAATGCCCTCTTGTTGAAGATTTATCTTCCATGCTTCCTGCAGGTGGTTATATCCAATGCTTGATTAAACTCACATTTTTTTTTTTTGGCAAAGCCACTTTATATGAATGCTGTGCATTTCCTGTTGTACCTTCATCACATCAGGAAGCAACAATGTCTGGCCTTCTTGCTTTCAATGTTGTTAAAATTGGTGAGTTCAGGTGTCATGGACCTAGGAGTCACCAATCCTCTACATCTTTATTGACAATTTTCTCCAGAATTCAGAGTCAGTGGTGAGCATAATGGTTGGGAGTGATGGGTTGGAGTCAGACACTCTTCAGTTTGAGTAATAGTTCTGAAAGTCACTTGTTATGCCTGAGCTAGGTTGCTCAACCCCTCAGACCTTTCAGGGCTGACTCAGCTTTAGGAGTGGATACTCCATTTTGTGTGTGGGACTGTTGTTTGAGTGGGGTGAGTTGTGTGAGCTGGACTTTGGCCCAGTCTTGGCAGAGTGGTAGTTGTGATTTAGTGGCATTCGTTTCAAGCAGATGGAATTTGTTTAGATGACCCTAAAGGTCTTTCCAAATCTGACGTACTAGGATGAATTATCAGATGGCTCCTATAGTTGGGTTACCACATATTAACGGTAAATCTGGGGGTAGGAGAGCTCACCATTCAGTTGTAATAGTTCAATAGAGATGACAATTCTGCCAGATTTGGATCCTGTGGGCAGAGCTGAGAGGTCTGTAAATTCACATTCACTCTTCAAATCCTGGTTTATAGCAGCCAGTCAAGTGTGTCACTAAGATGAAGATAAATTATAATGACTACAATTTGGTAATTCATTTACTTTACTGAAATCAGTGCTCAGTCATGTTACAGGCGCGACTCCATCTGGTTCCCATCAATGACAGAGGGAGCATCATGTTTGGACAGAGGGGCTGCATCTGTGTCTATGCAGGGAAAGCTGCATGGATTATCCAGCAAATCATGGTGTAGACCACCAGCTTGGCCAGTCCAGGTCCAAGCCAGCCGGGTGACTCTGTCTTGCTATTTATTCACTTCTGCATTCGACAAGTACTGTGGACACCTGCTGTGTGCCAGGCACTGCTCGAGGTGCTAGGGGGAGATCAGGAAGCAAGAAAAAGTTTCCCTGCCCTCCTGGAGTTGATGCGTATTCCAACTGAGAAGTGGGGGTGTAGCCAACAAACAATGAACATAATCCCCAAATCATAGAGCAAGACATGGGTGATACAAATCATGGCAAAGAAAGCATTGTGCAGACTGAGGGGTTTCTTATTTCCTGAGAAGGACGTGGATTGCAATTTAAGGTGGGATGGGGGTTGGTCCGATATGTGAGCCTGGCTAACAAGATCGGGCAGGAAGTAATGTCTCCTTCAGACCCCGCCTGCCCAGTAGACCACCCGCTTGGCACTGATCTGGGCCTTCGTGTAACCGCCGAGCACAGGAGGGCCATTGCTGCTTGGCATCACTGCCCTGGATGCCGGGATCACAGTGCTGCCCATCCCTCTGCTGCCTCCTCTCTGTGTCCTGTCAGTGGTCCTGAGCTCCATTCCCTCAAGGGTCATCTTCAGGCCATGATTTGCATGTTGGCTCTCTTTGGGGCCCATGGTGCTTCATTTATTCCCAAAGGTGCCTTCTCCTCCCTATTCTGATCGAGACTAAAAGGCCTCCTGATCCCATTGCTTTGCCAGGACAATATTGCTTCCCAGGGAAGACTCTGCTGGCACATTTTAGGCATTTCTGGAAGAACACCATATCACCATCATCACCATCATCATCAGATCTTCCCCAAGTCCCATCTGGGAGGGTCTCATGGGAGCCACATGTGGACTTGGTTAGGGAGCTCTCCTGAGCCTGGACTGATGGCTGGCCCAGCCCAGGCTTTTGTTTGCCACAGGAAGAGAGCTTTGTGCAAACCCTTGTTTAACCTGGCCTTCCCTCTTTAGAAAGAGAATGTTCACCAGATGAATCATGCCTAACATGCTCACTGGAGCCAGAGGACTTTGGCTCCCAGGCTGTTTACTGCAGCTGAGACTTTGTCCCGTAAGTGTTCTTAGGAAATGACAATGGACAGAAAATTGTCATTGTTTTTGCTGAAAAAAAAAAAAAGTTTGAATAGTTTCCTTGGCCCAGGCTGGTTGGTGGCAACCCCGGCCCCAGCATGCTCCTCAGCCGCCTGCTCTCCAGTGTGCCCTTGCCTGTCCACACTGCTCTGCAACCAGGTGCCCTGCTGTGCCCTTGCTCAGGGGCTGGCTGTGCACAACATGACACGTGGTATGTGTTGATGTCCGATGGGCTCACATGGGCAGGGCTGTGCTGTGGCTGTGCTGGAGGCCCTCACCTGGTCTCTCTGCTGACTTCCTCCCACCACTGCCTGCCTTGGGTGGGAGGACACCCGGCCTTCCTGGTCATAGGCAGGGTGGACTTAGAGAGGCAGAGCGTGCTGCAGGCAGGGTCTGTGTTTGGGTTTTGGCAGCCTGGATGAAATCCCGGCTCTGCCACCTGCCAGCTGTGTGTGAGTGGCCAGGTCCCTTGACCCATCCTGAGTTACAGTGCCCACTTGGCTCTGTTTCTGGACCTCAGATATGGCTCTTTCGGTCTCTCTCCTCTTTGTAACATTAGAGTCAATCTCTAAGACATCATGGAGTTGCCATTGAGCTTGCCTTCCCGCCTGCACAAGCAGGTCCTGAGGCAGCTTCCTGCAGCCTCGCACACCCTGCCGCATCTTCAGGGCTTGGAGGCCTCTGTGTCTGACTCTGGCTCAAATGTAATTGCAGCTCTAGAGGAAGCGACCCACACCACAGGGAAGTGAGGAGGGTGGGGGTTGTGTCCAGATGTGCCCACAGCAGGGGCCAGGAGAGCCACCATGGCAGCAGCGACAGAGCCAGGGAAAAATGCCATCCTATGATACGCAGTCTTTAACCCAAATGATGTTTCTGCAGAAACTTTTTGCATTTGCTACTTTGACAGATGGACAATGTTTCAGTTCTTAATTAGCATGTTGGGTAATTACTGCTATTAATCTTGTCCTTTTTTCCATGTTCATTGGCCACTTTGACTTTTCTATACCCATCTTCCTTATTGAAAAACAAGATAGGAAACTTTTAGTTATTAGCTAAATTATGAAGACCTAATAATGCATGGCATTATATCCTTGAAATTTGCTAATAGATTTCAAGTATTCTTATAAAAATGTGATGGATATGGTGATTAGCTTGTTCCTGGTAATCTCACAATGCATATATCAAAACATGACCTTGTACACCTTAAATACTCAATTTTTATTTGTTAGTTATACTTCAATAAAGCTCGGAAAACACACACACGCATATTCACACACATAAAGAGTAGCAGCCAAAACAGATAACTGAAGAATTCCCTTGGCAGCCTGCGCTGAGCCCCGGGGCTGTTCGTGCTCCCAGCCCTCTTTCTATCCTCACATGGTGTGGTCCTGAGCTGCTTCTCCTCTGCCCTCCTCCTCTGTCTCCATCCCTTTCCATTTGGCTCCTACTCCTACACACGAGTGGAAACTGTGCACTCCAAACCCAGGGGACTGCAGGAACCTTGTCCTGCATCTCCCCCTAAACCCATGGTGGGAACAGTCTCTCTGCCCTTCTCTGCAGGGGCTCCATTCCTCATCCATCCTTTTCTCCGTCTCTCCTGGTCACTCCTGCTGTCCACTGTCCTTTCCTCCTGGGCTCTGTGTTTCCACAGCCCCTCTGTGCATTCCGCACATGTCCTCTGAGTGGACTCTGCAGTCCCTGCCGGCCCCACACCGACTTGCCCTGTGTCCTGAGCACAGGTCTGCAGGTAACAGTGACTGATGGGTGTCTCCACATTGTGATATTCTGCTGGAACCTGAAACAGCTGCCCTTGACAACAGCTCAGCACAGAATCCCTGGCCATCCAGCTATGACAGGGACATGGATCCTGCTTCTTCTTCCCGCCAGTCTCTTAGTTGTCTATGCCTTCACCCTGTAGTGGCCCATTCAGCCACTAAGTCCAGCTGCTCTCCTTTCCGTGTCTGTGGAGTCACCCCTTAATTCAGTTCCTGCGAGCTCAGTGGCCATGATTTGATCATTCCTGTCAATTCCTGGACTACTCCAGCCTTGTCCTACACTGCCTTATTTCTTACAAAATGGCAGTATAAACATGGAGAATGGAATTCCTAGCTTTGTTTCTCTCCTTTTAAGCCACCATGATCTTCTCTGAGCACAGCTCCAATCCTACTTCTCACATATTCAAAAGGGTTAACATTTCCTCGCTCACCCCAATTGTTTTCACATGCAACCCAATGTCCCTACAGTCTGTCGCCTATTGACTTTTCAGCATTTTCGGGATGATCTCTTAGTACAGCCCTTGGAGTTCTCTTGTTGTCTCTCTTTTCCAGGGTCTCAGCAGCTTTTGTCATTGCTAACGGTTTCTTCCTCCTGACACACCATCTTGGCCTCCAGGTCCCATTCTCTCCTGGTTCCCCTGCGCACTGCTCATGGCTATTGTCTATGGGGGGCAATTGTGGCTCGGTCCTAGCTGTCACTCTTTCTCATGTGGAGCTCTCCTCTGGCCACCTCATTCAGGAGCTTGGCTTCGTGAGCTCCTGTGTGCAGCTGACATAGAAATCTCCTTCTAGAACTTTCTTCACAGCTCCAGAAACACACAGACAATCACCTTCCTGAAGCTCCCATGTAGATGGCACCTGCGTCTTGACATAATAAAAACAGAACCTGAATCTGGAGCCCTAAGTCACACCTTGTTCCCGTGCTCCTCCTGTTAGGATATTGCCTTGGAGACAGCAAACCCTCATCTACCCCAAATGCAGTCTGTCCCCGCTGATTCTGCCTGTCAGGTGTTCTCAGACACATTCACCTTTATCCACAGCCAGCGTCTCAGTTGGAGCTGCAGCAGCTCTCTCGAGACTGCATGGTGGAAATGGCCAGGATGCCTCTCTGCACTGGTCCTGTAACTTGCAAGCCTCCCCCTGCACTGCATCTGGCCGGCATGGCCTTTTTCAAAGCTTCACTGTGCTGCTGTCCTGCCTAAAATCCTTCAGTGGCTCTACATGCTTCACATCCTTTTTTTTTTTTCATTTTTTTGCAGAACAATGACTAGATCTTTACCTGGTCCACAGCCCTCCCCAGTCTGGCTGCAACCTCTCATGAGGCTGAGCTCACCATGAACCCCTGCTCTAGGCGTCTGCATAGTGTTCTGTTTGTCCCCGTGACTGTCCACCTCTTCTTTGGCCTGTTGGCATGCGCTTATCCTCCAGACCTCAGTCCAAAGGTGAGCTCCTCACAGAAGCTTTGCCGGCGTCCCCAGGGGCTGGGGCGGGGGCAAGGGCAGGGGCAGGGGCAGGGGCATGTTCTTTCCTTTGAGGCACCTCCCACAGTGTTCATTTGCATGACTTGTGTGATTATTTGGTGGATGAAAGTTTTCCGAGTGCTTGTGGGGGTCATGCCTCTTTCTCCTGAACCACTAGTTGAGAGAATACCCTTCCCTTCTTCCAGCACAGCTTTGACATCACATAGGCACCATTTGGTGGTCTTCACAAGTCACTGGGCTTTGATAAACACCCTTCACCATAAGGAAAATGAGTCGGATGACTTAAGGATCACCCCAAATCAGGCATAAAATCTGGATTCTTCTGGTCGCAGGCCAGCAGGTCTTGGTGCCTTCGGATCCTTAGAGTGTCCTAATTTGGCTACAGTTTTCTGTCTGCAGAAAGGCTCCCAAAGGGAAGACGCCAGGCTGGAACGAGAGTGACTCATCCCGGGCCCTCATTGTGCCTGATTCACCCAGAGGAAGCTTTGTGTGGACACAGCTACCCTCTGGAGATATTTCAGGCCTTTGGGAACAGAGTAGGGTTCCTGCCTTTGTAACGAGCAAGTTCTTGGCTCCCTTCCGCCCTGTTTGCCACCTTCCCTCTATTTCTGTGGTTTCCTTATTTGCCAGTTCCTGGGCCTGGTGGACCCCACCACGACTTCTTTTTGTGAGTCCGTTCTGTCCTGCATCCCTACCACAGCTGTACCTGGCCCCAGACTCCCTCCTCCTAGCTGGCGGGCGGGTGGGCAGGGTTCCTCCCCTAACCCATCAGGGCCTCATCTCTGGAGGCAATTACTGCCTGGCCTGTGAAAATATATAAGGAGACTTGAAGAGGTATCATGTTACATCCTTCATATTTTGCCAGCAATAAATCTAGCTCTTTCCTCTTGGGTGGACTCTCAACTCTAAATTAAGAGTCTATTTCTAAGGAGGAAGATTTCATAGGCCCCGAGGTTCTGTATGGCCTGCTCACATTTCAAGGGTTGACCTAAAAGCTGGAGGCTTTCAGAATCGCAGGAAGTCATGCCCAGAGATCTGTGGCTTTAGGATCCATGTCCCACTCACAGCCCTCCTGCTTCTCCTGTACTTCCCGCCAGCTCGGACCTCAGGACCTCTCTGGTTTCCACCCTGTGCTCTGGCCTTGGCTGTCCGACCTCACCCAAGCCTGGATTCTGCTTTTCTCTTCAAATCTTCCATAATCTTTCCTGGGAACACATCGCAGGCCTAGCAGGGCTTGCTGAGGGAGCAGCTTCCTCGGCTGCCTTGAAATCTGCATTTTTATCTCTTCCTGGTGAGTCTTATGCCCAGTAAGATTCAAAAATGTTTTTCTACATGCTAAGTTTTGGGGATCTGAGCTCCATTCCCCAAAGCCCTGGCTTTAGCTTGCTTCTTATTTCAAACTCTATCCTTGTGGGTGGTTCCCCATTACCTATCTGCAAAATAGTCCTAAATGCAGCCTGGGAGTAGCCCACCTCTGCCCCTCTGCCACAAGCCTCCTCCCAGGTAGCCCTGCTGGCCTGGCCTGGAGAGTCCTGCCTTGCTGGCCACCCCTTGGTGGCTTGGTGTTGCTGGAGAGGAATTTTTTAGGTAGCTCATAAAAAGAGATGTTGTCTGGAGTGTGCCTAAAGTCCTAATGAGAAGACAGAGACAGCATATGGCTGACATGGAGCTGTGGGGGGAGGCGTCAGAGGTAGGCGTCCGGCAGAGGGAAGAGGCAGTGGGCCAAGGGGGTGGCTCAGAGCAGACAGGGCAGGCTGGCAAGTGTGGTTGGTGTGGTCTGGTGTCCTTGTCCCAGAGTCAGAGCCTGGCACCCCGGCAAGGCGGCACCTTAGGGCCCTGTCTGGCCAGAGTTGACCTGTCCACACCTGCCCCCACCCGGTCTCCTCCATGGCTTCAGGCTAGAAGGAAGCAGAGTTACATCTCAGGCCCTGGAGGGGCTGTCTGGCTGGAATGAGACAGATAGGCTGTGGGGGTGGATGCTCAGCGGCATCCCCTCCCTGTTCTGTTCATCGAGTCAGGGGACCTGCAGCTGAGGATGCCCTTAGGTAGGCCAGGCAGAGACTCCAGTCCCTGACCAGCCATTCTTGTGCCTCTCCTTGGACATTAGCCAGCTCAGAGCCCTGGGTTTGAGGGGAGGTCTCCTGGGAGCTTGTTCTCCTTGGAGGAGGCCCCATTGTGAGCCTCTCTCCTCATGGACCACAGAGCCTGGGTGGTGGCTCTGGTGGAGAGTACCAATTCAAGGGGCCAGGAAGTAGCATGTGTTGGAGCCTTCCCATTTGAGGACACAGAGTCACCCTATTTTGTTTGTTTCATGGATGGAGTGTCTGGAGACCCAGCATTTCAGAGCACAGGGCACAGACCTCTCCCTGAGTCAGGTGGAGCCCGGGACAGCGCTCCTGGGATGACAGGTGCAGAGTGCAGAAGCCCACCCGGAGCCACAGTGGCTGAGGAAACTGGGTTTTGTACAGGCACAGCTCCAGAATGGCTTTCTGGTGTGTGTGGGAGGAGGAGGTGAAGGAGTGGGGGGCTCACTTTGGCTCACCTCTGCAGGAGGCTCAGCTGGCTCCTGGCTGGTATTACTGGGACACAGGCAAGGAGCACTGCCATCAATTACTGTGCTTGCTCAGCCACCTTCTACTCTCTGTAAGGACAAGGCCCTTGGTGATCACACTCGGATGGGCATCAGACTCACCCAGGAGCTCTGAGAAATCCCTGGGCCCGGGTCCCACCCACTTCAAGGAACCTGGGGCTCTATGGTCCTTATGATCCTCCCAGGTGACTTGGACATACATCAAAGTCTGAGAACCACTGGCTGGACGACACAGAGTGTGTGGGGACAGGATGGTTCTTGTGCGGATAGAATTGCTATCAGGCTAGCTGGAGGAGCCATGGACTCCAGTCTCTGTAAGGCCTGACCCAGAATTTTCCACCCCGGCTGCCTCTTAAAATCAGCTGAGGAGTTCAAAGAATAAAGATGCCTGACCCCTCCCCAGATATTCTGCTTTCATTGGTCTGTGGTGGGGCCAGGCCTCAGTACTGCTGAATCTCTCTAGGTCTTTTTAATGCGCCGTCCTGGATCATGAAAACTCTACACCCACATGGACACTCATTTTTATGTTGGTTTTAGACTGTCTTTGCTCACAGGGGATGCTTGGAAAGGCTACTCCATAGATTGCTAAGCCCACATTTTGAGACTGAGAACCAGAAATCTTGGGGATGGTGACCATGCTCCACCCACATGCATTGGAGGAAGGGTCTGTCATGGTTGGAATAGGATGTTTCTTACCTATTGGATTTTACTTTCAGGTCAATGCCATTGTACACACACACACACACACACACACACACACACACACACACGCGCCAGACAGCGAGGCCAATTTGCATAAAGGGACTAACTTCTACAGAGCCTTGTCAAAGGGCTGAGAACATGCACCTGCCTCAGGGGGAGGGTGGTGGGTGGGTGGGGTGGCTTGACTCATTTTGTTTTTGTCACCCTCTTACTTGAGGGGTGACTGCCTCCCCAGGTCTATGCCTGGGGAAGATGCAGTTGGGAGCCACGGTCACAGAGAGCTGCTGTTGTCAGAAACAATCCTCAGGCCTCTGCAAACTGTTATTGTGCATGTTCATTCCCAAGGGCTCAGCCTCTGAGGAGTCGTAGGAGAACAAAGGCAGCAGTGCTTGCCATGTGAGGCAAACGTGCTTCTAGACCACAGAGGATGGGCGCTCCGCGGGGGCTGCCTGGAGCTGCCAACTGCCCGGCCCCGCTGGAGACTTGGGGCTCTGCACATGTGGCTGGCCTGCCCTGACCTGCCCCTGGGGCCACGCCCTCAGCATTTCCACTCAAGTGGACTCCCTTCCTTTACTGGTCTCAGAGTTGAGAGGAGAGTGCAAGGCTGACCGGAGAGCAGGAGGACAACATCCCAAGGTCACCTAGTGCCAGGGAGGGCTGTGCCTCAGGGCAGGGTGGACACAGAGCCCTACATCGGCCAAGCCCGCAGAGGGATGCCCATGGGCGAAGTTCTTCTCACATGGCCTTATCTTTTCACACACAGGTCCTGTGGGGACATCGCGATTTCCATAAATGACAGCTCAGGAGGATGGGAGAGTAGAGTTCGACTTTGACTTAGCTTAAAATAATTAAATAAATCAAACACACCAAATACACACAAAAAACGTGCACTTGCCCCAAACTGTCCCCATTTCTGAGATGTTGTTGGATGGTGCAGGCTGCCTGGCAGAATATGACATGGTGACAAGGGTTGCCCTGGGGAAATCCAAGCCATACCAGCTTTCCACCTGGACCCTGTCTCAGCATTCACTGCCCCCGGGACAGTGGCTGGAGTACATGGGCAGCGGCCAGGGCACCTGACTTCCCTGGGCTCTGCTGCCTCCACATTTGTAGCCTCAGAGCAGAGAACTGCCTGCCTTCTGCCCCACACTGCCGGGAGGGCTGCAGCTGAGACAGCTGCTGAGCGTCACCATGTGCTCCCTTCCCAGACCACCAATGGGGAGAGCTTTTTTTTTTTTCTTTTTTTTTTTAAAATGATACCATTTATTTTTCATTAAAGCAAGAAACCATGTCATTATAACAATCTGCTACTGAGAATGGTTCTCACAAAGGTATGATCCAGTAAATATTTTCTCCTGAAACAATAATATGTATTGAATAAATATAGAATGAAGTTTAATTTATGTTAGATTTTTGTAAAGTTTATATCTCTTCAAATCCACATGTGGCCATGATATTACTATAGAATCTCAAATCATTAAGAAAAAATTATGAACTCCATTTATGTAAGCAGATTCTAATGCAGTCCAACTTGTTTTGTTAAAGTCATATTTGATATAGAAAGAAGGCTATTGTCAGGGTTCATCACCCACCTACTCTTTAAAGGCAAATATTACTCAAATATTAATGTTCTCCACCAGGTAGACTTAAGAAGAACACAAATGCAGAGTCTTTAATTTCAATATTCAATATCAATTATCTTATTTCGTGAATTTAAATCAATAATGGTTTAATTTAAGCATTCTCTTTTTGCTATTTTAGTATAAACATGACCATTGTTGCTTCTGAACATTTCTTGGCCAGAGAATGAATCCCTTTGTTTCTCGACTTACAGCTCTCCCAAGCTGCTATATTCCAAATTAAAAAGGAAGGATTTTAAAACAGGATTCCAAAGAAACTCTATGCTTTTTTAAAAATTTGAGTAATTGCTAATAAGATTAGAAGAGTCAACAGTTAGACCTGAGACCAAACTGGACTGAGGCTGATTTGAGCTCAATTTGGATATTTTAGGCTCACACATGGCATCCCCAGCCTGGTGAGGGGTGAACTGCCGTTTCCCACAAACGCATCCTCAGAGGTAGAAGCTATAATCAGGTCACTCAGCAAATGTCCAGCACCTCCTTGGCGCCAGGCACACTCTCTGGGTCCTGGGGCTGTGGCCTTGAAGGAGAGTACTGGCTCCCTGGCATCTCAGTGCCTGGAGAACTGCGCAGGAGGCAGAGAGTGCAAACACGGAGTGGGTGAGTCGTGGTAGGGCAGGTGAGGGTGTAAAGGAAGCAAGCAGTGTGCAGCCACAGAGGAGCAGACAAGGACTTGTTTAGACAGGGCCATCAAAAAGACCTTGTTGAGGATGTGGGCCTGGAACCAGTTATAACTATAAATCCTGAGTTTGAAATCCCAGAGCTGAAAGTAGCCTCAGAAGTCATAGGGTATAACTATGCTGTGGTCACAGATGCAGAGATGTGCAGGACCAGAACAGAACTTCCTGTGGGTAGAGGCAGAGCCATGGCCAGGACCCAGGAGACTGGGCTCCCAGTGCCATCCTGCCTTTTTCAGGGGGACTCTTATATGGGTTCTACTGTATAAGGTAGATTCTGAGACCTAAGGGCCTTTCTAGTTCCTAGATAGTAGAATTCAGAAACCGAGAGGGAGGGGGCATTTGCCACACGTGGCTGTTGAGGCAGAAAAGTCAAATTCACCAGGTCACAAATCCTGTTGTAGACTGATTTTTGTGAATTGACAAATTACATTGACTCCAAGTCAGATGGATATCAAACCATCCTGACTTTCTACTGCATTGACTCAACCAAGAAATTAGCTCACCTTCTGAGAAGTGGGAAGAGGCCTGCCAGAGGTTTATAGAAACCTTCCAAGGAGCCGCTTTGCTAAGGGTGAGCTTGGCACTCCTTGCCTTGCCAGAACCTTCCCTCTGAAGAGCGCATTCCTGGAGAGAAGCCCTTGCTTTTGGTTCTCAGCCTCAAGAGTAGGTGCTTTCCTCTGAGCCTGGAGTCTTATCTTCGCCAATAAGGCCACTCACGGAGGCTTGGAGGTTGTGTGGATGAGGCCAGGAGAGGAGGATCTGGCTGGAGCAGCTGGGGCAGAGAGAGCTCCTACCATCCAGGAGCTCCAGCCCCAGGAATGATAGAGTGAAGGGTGAGAGGCAGCGAAAGGACCCCAGCCATCTTAGCTGAACTGCGCCGAGGCTTCCTGCAGAACCGGGCTCCTCTTGCTAACCTTGGGCTCCTTCCCATGTGTTCAAGGCTCTCCCTGGAGTCACATCATCCAGTTATGTGGCACTTGCAGGGCTGAGCTCAGATCTGGAGTCTGCAGAGTTCAGGAGGCCCTCACATGGGGTAGAGTCTAGACATGGCCTGGGGGACAGCTCACACACGAGGCACATTTGACCTGGAGAAGAGACCACCTAGAGGGGAGGAGGCTGGTCCAGTGCTGGGAGGACAGTCCTATGGAGCATCAGGAAATTCAGCAGATGAGTTTTACATCTGTTTTTTCCAACTGCAGTTCAGTCCCGGAGCAGACACAACCCTGTTTGCAGAGAGCCAACATTCTAATTGACAGTGCGTGGTGGGAAACAGTGAACCGAGGGAAAGAGTGCCAGTGTTAGAGAGCCACAGTGCAGTGAAGAAGAGAAGGCAAGAGGATGTGATGCAAAATCACAGGACCTGGCTTCCAGACCATTCTGCTTCCATGAGAACATTTCAGTTGAGAACCGGATGGCATGAAAGTAAGCCAGAAGACACCAGGCAGGGAAAGACTGGTCTCCAGGTGCAAATGAGGTTGGAGCATTTGGGACTGCAAAGAATGTGGAGCGTGGTGAATGAGATGGCCCTTTGTATCAGATGCATGCATGAGTGGCTGGGGTCATGTGTGTGCTTCAGTAGAGGGTACCACGGGGACACTAAGAAATCTGGGTTTCTTTCTGAGGGCCTGGGAAGCCACCAGAAAGCATTGAGTAGGGAGTGGTGGATTGATTTATGTGTTTATGAAATCATGCTGGGTGCTGGGTGGTGCATGCTTATTGGGACAGAGAACAAGGTTGGAATTGCGGAGACCACAGCTAAGAGCCAGTTGCAGAGCCAGGCTCATTGTGATTCAACCTGGGAGGCATTGGGGATGAAAGCGATGAGGCCAGTGAGGATGTATTTCTACATATAATATGGATTAGGTAGATGGGTTTATACGTAATGTAGATTAGACTCAGAAATCAAACTGGAGCCAATGGCGGACACTTGATGGAAGGTGTACTTCAATTTCTTCCATTCTATAGAAAAGCAATACAGTGGAAAGAGTATGGGATTTGGTGTCTTTCAGACAGGATTCCACTTGCAAGCCGTGTGATATGGGGCAGCTCACCAGATCCTGGACCTCCATAAACCCCTCTGCAACGTGGAGAGAATCAGATTTCCCCACAGACTCCATGAAGGGCTCCAGAGTGCCCTCCCCCGTTAGCCACTGATGCATTCATGAGGAAGAGAAAGAGTTAAATGCTCCTTTCGAGGAAGCGGTGGTGGCCGAGTGCTGTGGGCACTGTGAGATCAGAGCTGACAGCCCAGACTGAATCGCAACCCTCACTAGGGCCATCGCGTTTTGCAGGGAGCTCTTCCCAAGTGCCCACTTTTACTAAATTACAGAAAATACCTAACAGGATAGTTTCTTCGTGTTTTAAAAATCAATGATCAATTTTTGTTTTGTTTTGTTTTTAAAATACAGTGTTTTCAGAGATAAGAGTATTACATTGGAAACCTGTTGTGACACAGAAAATTAGATGAGCCTGTGGTTGATTAAAACAGTCAAGTTGACCTACGTGTCATCTCAGTGCACAGTAAGGAAGCGTCTTCAGCTTAGAAAATTGCTGGGATGAACACAAACAAATCTAGTTCTTTGGAATGAGAATTTTCAGATTTTGGATTTATGGTCAGAAATGGCTGAGTCCCAGGGCCAGGAGCGGTGGCTCATGCCTGTAATCCCAGCACTTTGGGAGGCCAAGGCAGATGGATCGCCTGAGATCAGGAGTTCGAGACCAGCCTGGCCAACAAAGTGAAACCCTGTCTGTACTAAAAATACAAACTTTAGCTGAGCGAGGTGGCGAACACCTGTAATCTCAGCTACTTGGGAGGCTGAGGCAGGAGAATCAACTGAACCCAGGAGATGGAGGTTGCAGTGAGCTGAGATCATACCATTGTACTCCAGCCTGGGCAACAAGAGTGAAACTCCGTCTCAAAAAAAAGAAAAGAAAAAAGAAAGAAACTGCTGAGTCCTGAAATACTGATAAAATGACCAGCCCTGTTCACGTTCAAAACCTGACACTTTTAGTGTCAGGGTGACCAGGAATTGTGGCTGTAAAGGAAGCCTGAGACTTCTCTGGTTCTGGCATGAAAGAATTTTCCAAAACTATGTAGACGCTGGGGCCTTACAAGTTTGATATTAGTGTAAACAAATGTATTCTCAACAAGAATATAGATGAGTTTGCAATGAATTTCAGAATACTTAACTCCAGGCTTATAAGAGATTAAATAATTCTTTAAAATGGATTCTCAAGCACTTTATTTATGCTACTCATGGGAGCTACACTGGCAAGGGAGGTCACAGTTTCTGACGTGCCTTTTTTCTAAACTTCTGACTTTGTTTGTACACATGCAGAACATGATTTAACTATTGGGATCCCAATCCTCTATATTGGGGGATTTTTCTTTATATTTTTTACCTTTTGATAAAGTAGATCTTTAGAAATCAGAATTCCTGAGTTTCCAGCACTGTCAAATTTAGATTCTTGGGAATGCTGAGGTCTAACCTTGACTCTTTCAAATGAATGCTGGTGAACTTGTCTAAACTCCTGTTCCTGCATTCAGTTTCTCCCTCTGTGAAGCGGAGGCAATGTCACTCCCTCCTTTTAAAATCCTTAAGGTTTGGGAAAGGTTTTCAGAGTAGTCAAATAATTTAATACCCTTAGGTAAAATGTGCTTTCAAATTGTATTTCTACCCATGGAAATGAAGATTAGTCTCTTCATTTTTTTTCTTAGAATGGCCACTGGGAGATTCTGCTAAAATAAAAGATTTTTTTTTTAATAGTGCTGTTCAGGGGTGTTCGGATTCGATTGCCTTTCTTCTAACTCAAGGGTGAGTTTCAGAGACCCTGGTTCACACAGGACGGGGCAACTTCCGTCGTGTCCTTCTCAGATGAGGCATCTCACACTCGTCTTGTCTTGTGAATAACTGCACAACTGGTCATGAGGAATGCTACAGTGTGGCCTGTCACGGGAGCCCACCTCGCACACATTTAAGGCCAATACACGTCTGGAGCTTTGACAGGGCTGTGTTTATGTCTGCCTTTCACGAAAATTGGTATTCCTCTCATCTTTTATTTCAGCAGTTACAGTTAAACTACACCTTGATGAACTACGCGTGTCTATTCTCCCCAGTTCCCGGCCCACCTCCCTCAGCAACCCTCCCACAAACTGAAATGGAAGCCGGGCTGTGAAACATGAAACAGGCTGTTATAAAACTGTATTTTATAGTTGCAGCATGTTACAGTTGAAGGTGTGTTTACGTAGCTGAGGAGACAGAAACACCAGTCTTCCCACTCCAGAGTTTACCTAACTTCCTTCAGGACTAAGGGTAGAGCTGTAGATCACAATGTACCCCTTGGGGAGCTAAAGAGGAAGAGAAAGAGTTAAACACTCCTTTAGATGAAGTCCACATGCTAAGAAACAAAATGAATGGCACAAACAAACACTTCTGGGTTTTTTTTTTTTTTGAGACAGAGTCTTGCTCTGTTGCCAGGCTGGAGTGCAGTGGCATGATCTCGTCTCACTGCAACCTGTGCCTCCCAGGTTCAAGCGATTCTCCTGCCTCAGCCTCCCAAGTAGCTGGGATTACAGGCACAGGCCACCACGCCTGGCTAATTTTTGTATTTTTAGTAGAGACGGGGTTTTACCATGTTGGCCAGGATGTTCTCGATCTCCTAACCTCGTGATCTGCCCGCCTTGGCCTCCCAAAGTGCTGGGATTACAGGCGTGAGCCACCGCGCCCGGCCCCGCTTCTGGTTGTTAAATGCCGTGAGCAAACATTTCCAAGTCATTGCCACGCTGTGGTTCTTCCATTTTAGGGACTCAGCAGCAAGAAGGCCCCTGTAAGAAGGCCTTGATGGAGGGAGCGTGGGACATCCTTGGTGACTTCGCCGTCCTCTCTTCTCCACTCCTTTGCTTCAGGCCACCTCCTGCTGTCACCCCTTCGGTTCCAGTCCTGCCGGCTGCTGAAGTGCCCTGGCTTGGAGATTTGTGGTTGGGTGGGTGAAGCTCTTCTGCTTCATGTCTGCCTGTTTTCTGGTTTCCCCTTCCTGCCTCTCCCTTTCTCCCCTTCCTCCATTCCCTCCTTCTCCTTCGCCATTTCTCTTTCTCCTTCACCAGTCGGTGAGTGCCAGTCATGTGCTAGGCCCCACTTAGATCCTGAGGGTCTTGAGATAACCCCCCTCCTTCCAGGAGAACCTCGCATCACGACACTCCTTAGAGTGAGGCTGACTCAGCTTGGACTATGCAGAAGTTAGGACACATGGAGAAATCTGGCTGTGGTGGGTTCACCCGTCTGCGTTTTGGTAGGCCCTTCCTTTCAGGTATAGGGCTGGGTGGTGAAGGGGCCCAGTGAAGCCCGGGGCCATGTGTTCCTTCAAGTTGC
This sequence comes from Homo sapiens, assembly GCF_000001405.40. NCBI lineage: Eukaryota > Metazoa > Chordata > Mammalia > Primates > Hominidae > Homo > Homo sapiens. The sequence continues at coordinate 43,878,360 of NC_000010.11, forward strand.
ACATGCCCACCTGCAACATTTAGTGGCATTTCTGATAACTCACTGTGTAAGGCTGTTTTGTGCTTGCGGCAGGATTTCTCCTCCGGTTTCTTACATAAAAATATCATCCATCGCCTGGTGCAGGAGCAGGAACGGAGAGACGAGAGGCCAGGGTGGGTCTGAGGCTGTTCTCCAGTCACTTCAGGCTTGGCTCACAGCCCGACTTCCTGCCCCGCAGCCTCCTGCCCCTGTCGCCAGAATGGCTGAGCCTGTTGATGACAAAGCCACAGCTCACAGGCTGACAATTTTGTCTGGATTTCTATCAAGGCCGGGAGTGCAGTCAATAGCACATGCAGGAAATTTTAAAAGATCAAGAGCAGCTGACAACAAAATCCACTCTGGGATGTTTTTAACCAAACAATCAAGGATTCAGTGCTTTCCGGGGGTGAGGACCAAAATGGAGCAGGACTGGCGGCCAGCATCACCTCTTCCATCTTCCGTCTGTCCTGAACCACGAAGGACGGCCTAAAAATAGCGCCTGGACCTTACACCATGGGTGCTTTTGTTATTTACCCTCTTTGGTCTTTTGAAAAACATCTTTATCGGAGCTGAGAGTCTCCCATCATTTATGCTTATAGAGTCCTTTTTTCTGAAGTCGTGAACGTGCCTGTTCTCATTTCTGGGAAGTCAGTGACAGGACTTCTGTGAGGGGAAAGTGGCTTCAGCCGGGTTACGGAGGGAGGTGGTCGAAGAGTGAGGTGAGAGAACCAGGGCTTCTGGGGACAGAGCATGTGCTGGCTCAGTGGCTCTCTGATTCTTCCTAAGAAAGAACAGTACCCTCTTTGCCCTTCTCTACACAAAGCCCTCCCCAGGCTTCCCTCTGAACCACACCTTTCCTATGAGGCCCTCTGGGAAGCTGAACCAGACCCACAGTGCCTCTCGCCCCTCCTTCAAGTTATACTCCCAGGTGCCTGCCTCTGGCACATCTCAGGAGGGCAGGGGCCAAGCCTCTGCTCCATTTTGAATGCCCGCAGACCCTGGTTGACAGTGATTCCTTCACCACAGCTAGTAAACCTGAGTGGAGGGGGCACCAAGTCCCCAGCACTAAATGGTGATTCAGACCTAAATCCCAAACGAGACGGCCGCCTAGGGCAGCTGACCTGCAGCCCCTGCAGACTGCAGTCTGCCGCTTTCAAGGCCGGCTTTCCCTTTCTCAGCTTCCCCATGGGCTCTGGCCAGTCTTGTCATTTTGCCACGCTTTAGTTAACTCATCTGAATTGCAGTAAGATATTGCACAGAGAATTGTGAGTGGTGACAAAGAGACCCAGAGAATTCGTCTCCCAAAACTGGAAGTTCCATGGACATGGGATAACCACGCTGTGCCCATCTTCCTCGTAGGAGCAGCTGACTGAAAAGCCACGGCTGAGTGGGATCACCACTGAGTGGGATTGGTCCACCACTGGTACTGGCTTCAGAACGCTGACCACAGCCAGGGGAGGGTGGTCAGCCCGGGAGGCCACACACTGCAGCTTTCCTTCAGGAAAAGCCCGTGGTCCCGTGGGTATAAATCAAATGTAAGTTGGGTGGATTACTTGAAGCAGAGGATCCAGTCTCACTCCCGCCCCACAGCCAGCGGGGAGCCTCCAATTCCTGGTGCTGGACACCCGCAGAGCCCCAGGCACCCCTAGCAGATGGCGAGTGTGTCCAGCTGTGCAGGCTGCAGCCCGGTGACTCGGGTGTCTGTGATCTGGTCTTACGCTCTGAGCTGATCCCCACACTCAGACCTCTGCCCCATGGCTGTGCATTCTGCTCACTGAGGTCTCTTCCCCAGTGGTCTCAAGGAAAACACGAAAGGCAAGGATGGTGAGCATGATGAACATTTCCTGTGGGAGACAGAGTTGCAGGCATTCTCAGAAAAGGAGGGCGCTTTGGAATGGGCTGGAGATGAAGGTGCATCACAGTGGGAAGGAAAGCCAGTCTCCACGGAGACGTGGGAGGGAGGTCAGCATGGAAGGGAGAAGGGACCAGGCCTGCTCCCAACACCACAGGCTGCCAAGAGCCCAGACACAGAGAAGGATAAGGAAACACTCGTGTGGGTGTCAGGGTTTGTCCTCATTTGCTTCATGCTGCTGCTCCCCGGCTTAATTGCTTCATAAATCTTGAACAATTTATGAACCTCCCCGAGCCCCAGTTTTGTCATCCGTAATATGGCTGTTAAATTACATACCTCTCCAGCAATAAGCAGATTTAATGAGAAAAAACATATAAAGAATAACAACAAATATCATAAAACACCTTGGAGTATTTTTAAGGAAAATCAGTGTGATTGCAATCAAGAAAGTTACAAAACTTTATTGGCATATAAAATGTACACAAAAAATAACATACACATTTGAACAATATCATATTCCTGAATATAAAAATGACTGTTGTGAGAATATCAGTTGTTCCTAGATTAATGCACACATTTGGTGTAGGTCATTTCAATATCCTCCTGGCTATTTTAGAAACAGAACAAATTCTAAAGTTACAGTGAAAATAATAATGTGAGTGTTCAACATAAATCTTTGAATAAAAAGATTGGTTTTTATAATTATTAAACAATGTTATCAGGATACAATGCTCAAAATAATTTGGTTATGAATAGACAAATCAATGAAACAGAATAAATAATTCAAAGACCTTGGCTCATGAATGAATAAGCTATATGGTTCATAAAGCAACACAAATACTCATAAATAAAAATATTTTCCACAAATCACATGATAATAACCTGCTTGCAGTTGGGGAGAAAGAGTAATTTAGTCCTAAAGAAAAAGCAAATTTCAGATTAACTTAAAAGTTAAAATACAGAGCAACCAAAAGCAGATGAAAGAAAAAAATGTCATCATGTGTTTTGAGGATGGGTCTGCCCTCCATTCTGTGGCTCAGAAACTCAATTTTTTTTAACCATCCCAGGGTTGAGTGAACCCCTGTACACTGATTTGAGCTGTCCAAATTCATAAAACCAACGTATAAAATATAGAGCCTAATTAATTGACAAGGAGACATGGATCTGCCTGGGGGTCCTTTTCCCACGCCCACAGGGTGCTATGGTGAGTGTGGCATCAGAGCGGGAAAAGGCTGCACCTGAGGCCGTGTGGGACCTGCAGGCTGCTGCACCCATCTGTCAAGCCTGAATTGCTGCACACACTCAGATCCAGCCAATGGCACTGCATTCCTTTATTTTCCCAGATGTCACAAAACCTCCTTGAGCACACTGCCCCAGTGTTGGTGGGCAGGCAGACGTCTTCGCTGCAAGGTCAGCTCGCCTTTAGGGTGGTGTGCAAAGTCCAGAAAGCATTTGGTGAGCCTCCCTCTCTCCAGGAGGAGGGCTCTGGTCCTTCAGTTCTCATGTGTTATAGCCACAGGGCAGTGCTGGCCCCAGCAGGCAAGGGGAGGCTTTGGGGTGACGCTTCCCCTGATGTGGTGGTCAGAGTCCCCCCACTGGCTCCTGGCCATGCCATGCTTTTCTCTGCAGCTTCCTTCTCAGCTGTACCTCCAGAGGCCCTGTCCCACTGGAGCACATGTGTCCAGGCAGGTTTGGCACCCAGACTCCTGGGGCCAGTAACCATCACCTCTCTCTCAGATGCAACTTGTCCTCTTCCAAATCTTTTGCGCAAAATAGGGTGCATCCATCTGGTCCCTCTGGAAGACAGAGGCCTGCCCATTGCCAAGTCATCCATAGGAGAGGACTGTGTAATTTGTTTTCTGAAATAAGGCAGTTTTGAGAGTGAGATGGGGAGGGAGTTGTTACTGATGATACTGAGAAAATAGGAGTAAACTAGGGCTACCCAGCATCCCCCCAACACTCTAACTGATATGAACACTTTTTCTGGGCTCCTCGGGCCAGCCCACCCTCTTCTGATGGTCACATTCTTCAGCTACTTTGGTGCCTTCAACACTGTTTCATTTTTGGCTGCCTCCACCCCTTCAGGGTAACTTCTCAAATTGCTATACTCACTGATTATGGGTCAGCTGTTACAGCAGAAGAACTCTCAAAGGAAATCTTATTTCCAAGTTCCTGAGGGCATCTTAGGATGGTTGTCCACTCACTTCCTCTCCCCTGCCCCTTACTCCCCTACCCGTTGGGGAAATTTATCTTAACAAAACAATCTGAAATTGTACTATTATTTAAAATAATGCAGAAATAAAGCCCCAAGAGCAATGCAAATGTTCAACATAAGGAACTGTCCAAGTAAAGCTGACACTGTGGCGATGAATGGTTCATGTTTAGGAAGGTGATGATTTTGGAGAATTTGGCAACATGGAAATTGTATATGCTGTAATGGTTAATGAAAAATTAGAAAGGAGGCTATACAGTTGTAACACTTTGACCATAATTATATAAAAATAATAACAAATACAGTAAGATGTTGGGGTGAAAACAATTGCCAGCATGGTAACAATAACTTTGCTTCAATTATGGGATTAGGGCTGATTTTTTTTTCTCTCTCTTTTACTATTCTCCAATTTTTCTGGAATGTGGTTCACATAATGGAAACAATGCTCTCTCCCTCCCCTTCTGCAGGAATTAAATGAGGTAATGATTATAAAGTGCTTTTTCCTTTGTTTCTCCCCTCTCCATAACCCCATTGTGTCCTGACGGACCTTGTCCTGAAAAAGAGGGAGAATGGGGCTTGGTTGGAGGATCTCTTGTTCCCAGGGCAAGGCTTTCTCTAGTTTTCTTCCTTGTCCTCGAACTGTGTCAACCTTGGGCCACAAATGAAATGCCCTCGACAACGCCAGTGGACTTATCTTGGGGATCTCTTGCACCTGCAAAGTGAAGGCCTCTGTATCCCTTCCACAAAAACTTCAACCCTGTCAAAAACAGCTTTGTTATGCGAAGTTTTATTGGGAAAGGAAGTGTCCCAAGAATTTCCTATAGCTGAGCCTGTTACAAAAGTTCACTCCACCTCTCCAACACTCACTCAGGTTTCTAGCCGCCTTGGTGGTCCCCGCTCTCTCTCTCTCTGTGTTGAGCTGTGATTCCCTGCTCAGGTCTGAAGTGATTCTGGATTTCGCCTCATCTTGACATGTGTTTTCCACTTCTTCAATTTTACTTTCTTTTTTCTAGACCACTTGTGAAGAGGAAAGTTATTCCTCTTAAAGATGAAATATCTTTCCACCCTAACTAATGAAGGCATCCCAGTATGACCTTTCCCAGGACAGTCCTGGAGAAATGAATGGCCCCCGACAGTGCTGGGCATGGGTCTGGGCCGGGGAGGGGCCAGCATTCTGCTCCCGAGGGAATCCTGAACACCGCTCTCATATTTTCTTCCACGAGCCAACTCAACCCAGAACAATGCCCTTAAAAACATTTCCTATGTCTTAGGTAAACTCTGCATTTGGTATTCTAAAGAGACTTGGAAATACATCACTGATATTTATTTCAGCATCACTTGTAATATTGGACTATTGGACATATTCTGATGTCCATTAAGAGGGATCTGGTTTAATAAAGTATGGTCCATCTAACAAGGCCCAGAGCAGTGTATGCAGTAAGGTCTCATTTGTATTAAAATATATTTATATATGTAGGTAACTAGATGTGTATAGAATATTTCTGCAAAGATAGAGAAGAAAACAGTAACGTTCTCCTCTGGGGAAGACAACCAGAGGGGCTGAAAGGCAGAGTGGAGAAGACCAATTGTTTTATTTTATTTTGTATTTCTTTGGTCCCTTTGAATTTTTTATTAATTTATATATATGTATATTTATATTTACTAGAAAAAAATTGAAACGTATAACTAGTGGGCATGCTAAGAGACCTTTCCATTTGGGTGCATTACCTCTTAGGATTACATTTTCTCATTTTCATCTATCTGCATTAAAAAGGGAAATAATTTCCATGCCTGTATCTTTGGGAAGCCCTCTCACCCTACTTTACAAAATTGCTTCAGGCTGCTACAAATATATTCAAGGTTTGTGTTCTTTATTTTTCAGCTCCTCACCCTCTTGGGAGCCACTTAAAAAATTTTCTGGCCAAGAACTTACCCCACCCCTCCTGGTTCCACCTGCAAGGGGTGGCAAGAAATCTAAAATATAAATACTGGAAAACTGATTTGTGATAAGAACGTAAGACATAATATTTATATAAACTTTAGCTCTTGCAAGAGGTGCCTCGAGTATGCTGGGTGTTAGAACGATAAGGAGGGTGCAGCTTTCAGCAGCTGAGTTAAGGTGATCTAAAATCGCTCACACGTGGATGGAGGAATTAATAAGTGGAGGGTGTAAGTTACGAGTCGCTCCTCCACACTCAGATGCAAGAAGCATCACATTTCTTTATTTTTCCAAATCAAATTACACCTGGCTCCGAGCATCTGCTCCCTAGGGTTAAGAAGAAACATGATGCTGGCTGTTCTCAGGGTTCCTTCCTCTTCAATTAGATCATGCAGGGATCCTGGAGCCCAAGAGCCCTGGAAAGAGGCAAGAGCTGCTCCTCAGCCTGTGATCAGCATCACAGCTACTGCTATGTCCTCTTGGCTTCATGATTCCTTCATCTTTAGGGCTCTGTGGCTCAGGGACCACAGAAATGCCACTCATACCACATTGTTCTTGGCCTGAAGGAGGGTTTCCCGCTTGGCTCAGAAGCAGCAGAGGGTAATTTCCAGCTTCCATGCAGCTGTGAAGGACTGGCTCCCCAATCTCCAAAGCCCTAGCTACCCCCAGACCTTGGTTTGGATGGGGACAGGTTCCCAGGGCTCACCTGCTCTTGATTGCCTGCCCGGGGCATCTTCCCAGTCTTGAAAACACCATTCTCCCTCTTCTGCTTGTACACAAACACAGAGACTTCTCTGGATGGCTTAGCTTTCCAGAGCAAAAGCTTGAGTCTTCAGGGCTGTGGTCCATCTCCTGAAATTTGGGAAATGGGTGTTCAGGGTCTCAGGAAAACAGTGCCCGCTTCTCTGAGCAGCACGTTGAAGCTTTCCCTGGTGAGCCGAGGGCAGCAGCACTGACTGCATAAATCACCATGGTGTGTTCTCCCTGACCCACTTCCATACACTCACCTCTCTAAACATAAAGACAGTGACTTCAGTTCTCTGCGCTCACCAGGAGAGGGAAAAATGGGCAGTCTCCAGCCTACATTCTTTCCTTCATCTCCCTCTGCTGGGTCTCCAAGCTCAGCCATCCTGAACCTCTTGGTGACCATGGCTCCTGAGCTTCTGTGCTTGCAGGCCAGCCTGCAAACAGCAGGTTTGATGCCTCGCCCATGGGGCAGCAGCTCCCCTTAACTGGGCTGGTTCCTTCTGCCCCAGAGACTGTAGATGCAGGAGGACACTTTGGAAGCTTTCATTCAGCACTTTGGAATATATGATTCCACCTGAGGTTCGCAGAGTCTATAGAAAAGTGATTCTCAAACATTGATTGTGTTAAAAAATCCTCTACCTGGGCTCCTTCAAAAACACACTGTCTGAGAGACTGAGACAGTTGGCTGCCTGAAAGAATTTGACTGGACTCACAGTGGATTCTAACATAGCTCGTCTCTTGAATTGTCACTGAGAAATAATCCTTCCAAAATGACAAGTCCACCTGAGATTTACCCTGTCACCTGAAATCCACACTCACTTTTCCAATGGTATATTGATTACCAAACGGGAGAAAGCAGGGCCTTGCTGTGCACTAATTAGCTCCAATACCCTAGGCTGTCACCAGGTGGTGGGGTGCCTGTTTGCTGCTGTCTACCTTGCTACCTGTGGGATCACCAGCAACTCCTCAGGAGGTTCTGAGTCCCCAGCTCCTTGCAGACAGGATGGGTGGAGACACTAAATTTTGGTTGATGGCTGGGAGTGTGGGCAGAGGGCAGGTGGATGCATAGATAAAGGAATAACTGTAAGTTTAACTGAATATTGGAAAAACAAAAGGACAATAGAGTTCTGAAGTATTCTGAAGAAAACTTTAAAGATTGTTGGCCTAGGTAGTTGTAATTTGCTTTCAAATTTTAAATTTTTTTAGATGACAAAAGAGTGATACATATTCAAAGTATTAATTTATGCAATAGAGAAATATATACATAAAAAATCATGTCCACCTGTCCATACTACTCAAAGCAATATACAGATTCAATGCAATCCTATAAAAATTTTAATGACATTTTTTATAGAAATCAAAAAAATTCTTAAATTTTTATGCAATGATAAAAGACCTTGAATAACCAAAATTATCTTGAGAAAGAAAAACAAAGTTGGAGGCATTACACTTCTGGGTTGCAAATTATATTACAAAGCAGTAATAATCACACGGTATGGTATTGGTATAAAAACACTCATACTGTATATACCAATGGAACAGAACAAAGAGTCTAGAAATAAGTGCAAGTATACATGGTCATCTAATCTTTGACAAGGCCACCCAGAAGACAAGATGGGGAAAAGATAATATCTTCAATAAATGGTGTTGGGAAAATTGGATGTCCACATGCAAAAGAATGAAACTGGATCTTTATCTTACACCTTCATGAAAATCAACTCAAAATTGATTAAAGACCTAAACGTAAGATGTGAAACGATAAAATTCCTGGAAGAAAACACAGGGGAAAAGCTCCTTGATATTGTCTTTGGCAATGATTTTTTTAAAAATATGACTCCAAAAAGCACAGGCAACAAAAGCAAAAACAAACAAGTAAAGACTACATCAAACTAAAAGTCTTCTGCACAGCAAAGGAAACAATTAACAAACTGAAAAGGCAACTAATGGAGTGGGAGAAAATATTTGCGAGCCACATATCAGATAAGGGCTAAAATCCCTATGGAGTTCATACAACTCAATAGCAAAAAAAACAAACAACCTAATTAAAAAATGGGCAAATGGCCTGAAAAGATATTCCTCCAAAGAAGACAAAAAAAATGGCCAACGGGTTTAAGAAAAGGTACTCAACATCACCAGTCATTGGGGAAATGCATATTAAAACCACAATGAAGTATCATCCTACACCTATTAGGATGGCTATTGTAAAAATGACAAGAGATAACCAGTGTTGATGAAGGCACAGAGAGAAGGGAATCCTTGTACCCTGTTGGTGGGAATGTAGATTTGTGCAGCCATTATGGAAAACAGTATGGAGGTTCCTAAAGAAAATAAAAATAGAACTTCCATACGACCCAGCAATCCCACTTTTGGGTATATACTCAAATGAAATCACCACGTTGTAAAGATATCTGTACTACCATGTTCATGGCACCATTACTCACAATAGTCAAGATATGGAAACAAGCCGTGTCAATCAAAGGATAACTGGATAAAGAAAATGTGGTAGATATACACAATGGAATGTTATTCAGCCTTTAAAAAGAAGAAAATCTTGCCATGTATGATAATATGGATGAAACTAGAGGACATTATGCTAAATGAAATAAGCCAGACAGAGAAAGAAAAATATGGCATGATCTCACTTAGATATGGAGTCTAAAAAAGAAAAACCATGAATACGTAGAAACAGAGTAGAAAGGTGGTTACCAGAGGTGGAAGCAGGTGTGGGGGAAGTGGGGAGATATGGGTCAAAGGGTATAAACTTGCGGTTATCTGAAACGGTAAGTCTAGAGACCTAATGTACAGCAAATGGACTAGAGTTAAATCTGTTGTATATTGAAAATTTGCTAGAGTAGATTTTAGGTGCTCTTGTCACATACATACACACAAAAGAAAATGTAACTATGTGAGATGATTGGTGGATATGTTAACCTACTTGGCTGTAGTAACCATTTCACTATAAATACGTAATATCAAAGCATCATGCTGTATTCCTTAAATACATACAATTTAAAAAATAAGGAAAAAACATAATGCCCACATCCCCAAACCCACAGAAGAGAGTTAACTGTTGGTATGTATTCCTCCACAGTTTTCTTAGCTGTCATAAAACTTATATGAGCAAATGTAAAGGATGTTTTCTTTCCTTAAAAAAAAAAACCACCAAAACAAAATTAAGGACTTATTATTTCATTTGTTTTGCAGTTTGCCTCTGTCCCCCCAAATAAATCCTGGACATCACTGTAGGTCAATTCAAATAGATCTAGTATATTCTTTTAAAATTGTTTCATAATATTCCATAATATGAGTATTCTGTAACTTGGTCTTTCTGAGCCTCTTCCCTTCCTTCTTTCTCTTTTCCTTCTTCCTCTTCCTCTACTTCTTCTTTTTTCCCCTTTTTTCTCCTTTTCCTTCCTTTCTCTTCTCCTCCTCTTTCTTCTGGTCTGCACAAATAACTGTGTAACAAAATCCCTGCATTATTTGAGCACCACTGCTAGTCCAAATTGTGACAGTTAGAAAAAGGCATCCCCCAAGACATTTTACTGCCAGAAAACTGTTATAAAATATATACAAATCCATGATGACTAACGGGAAAATGATGCACCTTAGAGTTCATGGTTGCAAAATTTTATGCAGCAGTCCTCACATACTAAGGCCATTATTTATATAAGATCAGATTCCCGGTCAATGCAGATACATACTTTAACTTTTAGTAGCTTCTGCCAAATCATATTCCAAAAATGTTGTAATACTACAGTGTATGCGATACACTGCCCACACCCTCAATAACATGAATTTCTATCTGAAAATAAAAACTTTCAAAAATAGCTTTATTGTTTATTGTGTAATGAAACAAGCTCATTGCCAAAAATCCCCAGAGTCCTAATAGCCTAAGATGGCCATTGTTAACTCTCAGATTAGCATTTTTTCAGGTATTTCTTTATGCCTCTTGAAATAGATGTCAATACTTTTTCCTGATTGGCATCGGACTAAAACCACTGTTCTTCGACCTACTCTTTAAGCTTAACGCTATTGGGAGCCCCTTTGTGGGCCAACAAATGGAGATGTGCACCATCATTTTCTAGGGAACATGCATTGTTTTCCATTCTCACATTCTGGGTGTAGATACACCATTACATAGCCTCACTTTTGGGGGGTTTATGCATTTGGACCCATCTTCACTGTCTTGGATTCTTGAAATATGTTGTGATGTGTGATCTGCTTCCAGATATTACTAATTTGTGTCTTCTCTTTTTTTTCCTGATCAGTCTGAATGGGGGTTTATAAATTTAATTGGTCTTCTGAAAGATCCCACTTTTGACGTCATTAATTTCCTATATTGTTTTTCTTTTTTCTGTTTTATTGACATCCACTCTGATCTTTATTATTATTCCTTGTCTTCTGCTTATTTGGAGTTTCTTTTAAAAATAACAACTATTTTTTAAAAGAAAATATTTTTTCTAATTTATTTTTTAAACGTTGACAAAAATTGTATATATTTATTGTATACAACATGTATTTTGAAATATTTTTACTAGTTTCTTAAACTGGAAGCTGAGGTTATTGATTTGAGACCTTTCTTTTCTAATATAGGCATTTAGTGCTATAAAATTATACTTTAGCTGTATATCACAAATTTTAATATATTACATTTTCATTTATAATTACTTCAAAATACTTTCTAATTTCTGTTTTAATTCCTTCTTTGATCCCTGAGTTATTCAGAAGTGTGTTACTTATTTTTTCTACATAATTGGGGATTTTAAAAGATACCTTTATTTTACTGATTTCTAAAGTAGTTCCATGTGGTCAGAGAACATGCTTTGTATGACTTGTATGATTTTACGTTCACTGAGACTTTATGGCTAAGAGTATGCCTTGGCAAATGTTCCAGGTACACCTGAAAAGGATGTGCATGCTTGTCAGGTAGAGTGTTCTATCAATGTCAACTAGGTTAAAGCTGATTGATAGTTTTGTTCAAATCTATATCCTTACTGATTTTCTTTCTACTTGTTCTATTAGTTATTGATATAGGGATTTGCAAATCTTAGATTCTAACTGACTTTTTCTATTTCTCTTTACAGTTCTATTAACAGTTTTTGCCTCATGCGTCTTGAGGCTATGTTATTAGTTGGTGGTTCATCCACATTTGGATGACTTACCTATCTTAGAATGTATTTCTATTGCCATAGACACATGACAGCTGTGAGTAATAGAGCTCTTGAGTCCTACTTTCCTCAAATCTCGATTGTTTCATTGCATTCCAGTAAGAAGAAAACTCTGAGGAGTGTCTGATAGTCAGTTAATAGTTTTCCTTTTAGGATACTGGCTTTTACTTTCTCAAAAGTATCTGTGGTTCTTTTTTGGACAAATCTTGGTGTATTTCATCCTATATTCTTTTTATCAGGGTACAGTAAACCTTTGAATTATATTTATTTTTTCTTTCACTGTAGAAAAGATCCTAGTTGAATTTTATGTCTTACAATTTTTTTCTAGTCTTTTCTTTAGATATATAATTATTTTTATATTAAATTTCTAGTTTTCTGATTATCTCTGTTATTTTCACCCTTGTCACTTTTATTTCTTTATTTATGTTCCTTTGTCTTTCTTGTCATTATTTTCTTCTTTGTTTTCTTGGAGTCAATCTCCTACAGTGTTCACTTCAACTATCTTTTGCATCTTGCATGCTTTTCTGCCCTCCTTTCTATTTCTCCTTCTCCTCCTCTCCTACTCATCCTCTATTTCCTTCTCTTCTTTCTACTCTTCTTCCTTCTTTAGTTCAAATTTCACTTAATATTGAATGATGTGATTTTAAATATACTTTTGACCCTTGAACAAAATAGGTTTGAACTACAGGGGTCCACTTATATGTGGATTTGTTTTTCAACCAAAGGCAGATCTTAAAATACAATATTTGCAGAATGTGAAACTTGATTTCATGGAGGGCTGACTTTTCCTAGAATCAGGTTCTGCAAGGCTGATGGTGGAGACCTGAGTCTGTGCTGATTTTTGTATATATGGCAGGTCCTGGAACCAATTCTCCCCCACTGTGTACACTGAGGAATGACTGTATTTACCTTTTAATAGGGTCAGTTCTGTTTGAATTTGATAACCAAAATAATGTGGGTAGAATTTTCTTGATTCTCCACCTTTTTTACTTAACCATCATTTTGAGTGTCTCCTTAGAATATGAGTTAAATGAATGTGTTAGACCTTGTGTTTGGGCATAGAGCATGCTGAGCAAGGGAGGGAACTTAGAGCCTTGGTTCTACTTCAGGTGAGAACCAGGGAGGCAACCACAAAGATGCTAGCTAAATGTTTGCTGACTGAGTGGGCAAACCACTGAATGCCTGCCTGACCTGTCTCACAGAGAAGTGCAAGGTTAGGTGAGAAGACTAAAGCCACTTCAAGACATGGAATCAACCCTGATGCCCATCAAGGGTTGATTAGATGAAGAAAATGTGGTACACATACACCATGGAATACTATAGCCATAAAATAGAAAGAGATCATGTTTTCTGCAGCAACCTGGGTGCAGCCAGAGGTTATTATCCTAAGTGAATTAATGCAGAGGCAGAAAACCAAATACCAACCAAAAACCAAGTGCATTTCTCACTCATAAGTGGGAACTAAACATTGGCTACACATGGACATAAAGATGGGAGCAATAAACACTGGGAATTCCAAAAGCAGGGAGGGTTGAAAAACTACCTATCGGGTACTATGTTCACTTGGGTGGCAGGTTCATTAGAAACCCAAATCTCAGTATCATGCAATATACCCATGTAACAAAACTGCACAGGTACCTCCAAATCTAACCTAAAATAAAATTAAAAATCCAAATTAACAACAATAAAAAAGCCACTTTGAGCATTACCAACTACTACACACACACTGAGCTGAGGTTCTTAGAGTTAGTGAAGGTGGTCACTGCAGGGCAGTGCTTTCTGGTAAAACATCCCACTTTCTCTGAGACGCCACACTTTTTATCCAAAAGAAATCGTGCCATATGCACTTGGGCTCTGTTGCGTGGCTACAGAACAATGACAGTTATTACAAATTAGAAGTCTGTGGTTGTGACCAAATTCCTGGGATGGGTGACTCCATGGCCCAGACAGACAATGTCTGCCCTTCAGAGTGCAGACTGGGGAGGGAAGTCCCCAGGCAGCACTGCCACTGATGCAATACATCTGTGCTGGGCACTCAGTAAAAAGCCTTCCTTTCCCAAACATTTTCTACCCTGCTGTGTGGGAGTAGATCCCATGAGGTACATTAAACTGTGCTCTGATGAGAGGCCCATGCCTCCCAGCAGCTTCCAGAGATGGGCAGTATGTGATTTGGGGAGGTCACCGGGTCTGCTATCACTCTTATTCCCTCTGCACTGTGACATTTTATGGAGAATTCACACTCGGGCATGTCAGAACTAAATGGCGACAGGCTGATCTGGTGTCACTGAGAATGCTCTGGATTCTTTACTGCTGCAGACTTGCACATGTGAGAGACAGCTCAGACTCCCAGGCTCCCAGCTCAGCCCTTTTCTGTGCTGGACTGCAGACAGCAACCCCTTCCTTTCAGCTGCTCATTTTGGAGCAAAGTCTTTGCCTTCATCCTGTTTTCTTGTAACTGTTCTCAGAGCTTGGTTGACCCTCCAGTGTTAATACCCATTTGCTACTTGATCTGGCCCATGATCCTGTGTTTCTGAAGACTAAATGCATCAACAGAAAAGGGACCCACACATTATCTGCGTGTAATAGATGTGAGATTTGCATCACTGAAATTGGGCTTGAATTGGCTAAGCAAGCTTCAATAAAAACTTAAGACTTCTGGGATGTGCAGAATACAGAAAGTGGGGCATTATCCAGCTCACAACTCCTGCAGGGTGTGAGTGGTGCTCAGCCACTCCACTCCAGGCCGTGGCTGATTGGTTCTAGGGAGAGGAGCCTGAGCCAAGCTCAGCCAATCACATTCTCACTCTCAGGACCATGAAAACCTGAGATTGAAGCACAGACATCTTAGGGCGGAGCCCCAGACCTAAGGCCCCCTGACCTCTCTACACTTGACATTCTCAGCCTCTCCTCCAAGGTCCTCTCATTTCTGCTCTAGCCCTTCACTCTTGCCTCTTAACATCTAGGCCTCTAGACTCAAGAGCCTAAAGACTGTTGTAACCATGCCCTTGCTGCTGGCCACACTTGTTGGACATGTCCTCACATCTTGTCTATGACACAGCTCAGCCAACATGCCCAGAATCCAGGCCTCTAAACTCATTGTCTCAGGATGCTCAGGCTCTACTTTCACCCTTTTTGTAGGCTACAAAACTCAAGTTACGGAAACAAAATGAAGATGAAGATATATGGGATATCTGCATTTTTGAAGTCCAACAAATTTGAGCATAGAAACCTCTGGTCTGGTGGGCTCAAAAATATGTCTAAAGACTTTAGGATTATTATCCAGACCTGAGATGCATGCACTCAGTTGATCAATTTAATAATGATTATAATTTCAAGTTAATGCTTGCTTTTATGATGGGAAGTAAACAAAATATAGAAATTGATTCAGTCTCAAGGAGTTTAAAGTAGACAACACTGATTGACTTATTCATTGATGGAGTAATTCTTTAATTTATTTAATGGTCATCTATTAATTCAACAAAAGTTTATTGAAAATAAGCTCATGGCAGGGCATGTTTTGGGGGAGTTCAGGGATAAGGAGTCAATCCTAAAGACACATGTCAATATATGTTGATAAACATGAGAAAAGGCTTGGCATGAGCCTGAAGAAGTACTTAAATTTAATACAGGCATTGCATTAGTTAGGGTTCTCTATGGGGACACAACTAATAGGCTAGATGTATATATGAAGGGTAGTTTATTAGGAGAATTGACTCACAGGATCACAAGATGAAGTCCCACAATGGCCATCTCTAAGCTGAGGAGCAAGGAAGCCAGTCCTCAAAAGTCGGGAAGCCAACAGTGCAGCCTTCAGCCTGTGGCCAAAGGCCTGAGAGCTCCTGGCAAATCACTGATGTAAGTCAAAGAATCCAAAGGCTGAAGAACTTGGAGTCTGATGTTCGAGGGCAGAAAGCATCCAGCACAGGAGAAAGATGGAGGCTAGAAGACTCAGCAAGTCAGTTTCTTCCACCTTCTTCTCCCTGCTTTATTCTAGCCACGTTGGCAGCTGATTAGATGGTGCCCACCCAGATTGAGGGTGGGTCTGCCTCTCCTAGTCCACTGACTCAAATGTTAATCTCCTTTGACAACACCCTCACAGACACCACCACCCTACCCAGCTGCCACAGGGAACAATGCTTTGCATTCTTCAATCCAATCAAATTGACACCCAATATTAACCATCACAGCCATGTATGAAGGCAAGGAGACTAACTAGAAGTTTCTTGCAGTCAGGCAGGTAGATGATAATGATCTAGATTACAGAAATGGTAGTGGGTATGAACAGAAGATTAGTTTCCAAAGATATTTAAGAAGTAAGTGACTGGAAGGTATGGGGATAGAGGGGGAGGTGAGAGAGAGTCAAAGGTGAGATCCTGTTGCTGACTTGTAGGGCTTGTTAGATGCTGATAGAGATAGAGAAGTAGTTTATATGGGAAGATCATTCTGTTTTCTGATATGGGTTTGTTAGATGTGAATGAAAATGGTGAGTGAGTCTGAGTTTTGGAGAGACATCTATGTTGAACATCTAACTGGAGAATCATTTTCTTCCTTTTTGTTTTCATTCTCCAGCTTTATTGAAGTATCAGAGAATCATTTTCTTAAGAGATGGTAATGGAATCCATGCATTTGAAATAAATCAACAGAAAAAAATGATTCAGAAGAGAGGGAACTAGCCTAAGGACAACTGTGATATTGTGAAATATATATATGGGTCTTCATCCTGTGTCCTGGCATACCTAAAACCCTTGGAATATCCAAAGGCATGCTTTTCATGTGCAAATGATTGACTGATGTCTTCAGGATGGAGCCAATCACCAGAAATGTCAAAGCATAATTAGAGTGTTGGGACTTTCAGCCATACCCCACACCCCTGACCTTTGGGGAGGAGAGACGGGCAGAAGGTTAAGTCCATCAACAATGGCCAGTGATGTAATCAGTCATGCCTATGTAATGAAGCTTCCATAAAAATCCCAAAGGACTGGGTCTGGAGAGCTTCTGGATATCTGAGCACATGGAGGTTCCTGGAGGGTGGTGCCTGGGGCAGTCATGGAAGCATCTCATCCCTTCCCACATGCCTTGCCCTATGCATCTCTTCATCTGTATCCTTTAAAATATCTTTGTAATAAACTGCTAAGCATAAGTGTGTCCCTGAGTTCTGTGAGCCATCCTAGCAAATTAACTAAACTGAGGAGGGAATCATGGGAAATCCAATTTATAGCCAGTCTGTCAGAAGCACAGGTAAAATAACCTGGGGCTTTTAATCACCATCAGAAGTAGGGGGCAATCTTGTGGGTCTCAGCCCTCACCCTGTGGGATCTGATGCTACCACTAGGGAGAGAGTGTCGGAATCGAATTGGAGGACTCACAGCTGGTGTCCACTGCTGCAAGACTGGTTACTTGCCTGGTGTGCTGGAAAAATCCCCTACAGAACCTGGTGTCAGAAGTACTCTGCTTTGTGAGAGTATAGGAGAAACTAAGTTTGTTTTTTCCCTCAATATTATTACATTCAAAATGTAAAAGAAGCATGAGCAGAGGGATAAGGGAGATAACTGAAAGGGTGTCAAAGGGGCAGAATAAAAATTAGTGGAGGATGGGGTTAAGGGAGCCAAAGAGAGTCTTTGGATTAGAAGAAAGGAATCATCATTGAATGATACTGAAATGTGAAGGAAGACGTCTACCAGGTTCTCAGTTGATGACTTCTATTTTCTCTGAGCAGCAGGAGAGAAAGTTTTCTGAGAATGCATTTCAGAGATTGGAGGGCAGGGCTTCTGGGCAGCTTTCCAGCAGGATGCAGGGCACAGAAAGAGATAATCATATGTAATACACTTTGAATAATTTCTGGCGAGGATTACACTCTCAATAGACGTGGCGAGCTATTATAATGGCTCCAAATTGTTCAGCTTTGTGGTTTTTCTCTAACAGTGATTAGCACCTGGGATGTAAGCACAAAACAATTGGCAGATGATACGGTTTGGCTGTGTCCCCACCCAAATCTCAACTTGAATTGTATCTCCCAGAATTCTCACGTGTTGTGAGAGGGACCCAGGGGGAGGTAATTGAATCATGGAGGCTGGTCTTTCCCGTGCTATTCTCATGATAGTGAATAAGTCTCATGAGATCTGATGGGTTTACTAGGGGTTTCCACTTTTGCTTCTTCCCCACTTTTTCTTGCCACTGCCATGTAAGAAGTGCCTTTTGCCTCCATTCTGAGGCCTCCCCAGCCATGTGGAACTGTAGGTCCAATTAAACCTCTTTTTCTTCCCAGTCTCGAGTATGTCTTTATCAGCAGTGTGAAAATGGACTAATGTAGCAGTTGTATTAATTTTGAGGGGATTTTGTCAAGAAATGAGATAGGAGAATAAGGGGATTGGGAAATTGGCAAGCGTGATAGAAATATTGTTCTCTGGAATCTTAACTGGCTTAAAAAAAACCCACAAATAAAAGACAAGAGGAGGCTGCTAGCTAACAAGAAAGGAGATGGTTCCCAAGCCAGAAAGTGTTGGTGATGCTAAGCCATTGGTGCAGAAGGACCGATTGAAAGGACTGAGGGAAGGCTGAGGAAGAGAGAGGGATGTCTACATTTGGACTCATGAATACGGCAGTCATGGGCGATGACAGTGGTCTAGGAAGCACCAGAGGCAAGCTGATAAAGTGGAATGGAGGTGAAAGCACTGGAAATGAGCTGATGGAGGGACTGAGAACTCAAGGTATAGGACCTGAACGTCAAATTCAGTGGTAGTTAGGAATGGGTAACATGACTTGGCCTGGTACAGTAGTCAAGTTCTCCAGAGAAACACAAGCAACTAGGAGATATATGTACACATATAGGTAAAGTTATTATGAGAACTAGCTCACGTGACTGTGGAGGCTGAGAAGTCCCTTGATCTGCCATCTGCATGCTAAAGAGCCAGGAAAGCTGGTGGTGCAATTCAGTCTGGGCCCAGAGGGCCAGGAGCCAGGAGCACTGATGTCTGAGGGTGGGAGAGGGTGGGAGTCCTGGCTAGAACAGTAGGCAAATGCCCTTCCTCCTCATTTCTGCCCCATTTGGGCCCTCAACAGAGTGGCTGGCTGGTGCCTGACCACGCTGGTGAAGTGGCTCTGCTTACTCAGACCACCAATTCAAACACTAATCTCCTCCAATCACAGCCTCACAGTCACCCCCAGAAATAACATGTTACCAGCTACCTGGGCATCCCTCAGTCCAGTCAAGTTGACACCTAAAATTAAATGACTACATCTGGTTTCCCCAGAAAGCATGGCCTGAAACGGAGGCAGGAGTGAAAGTGCTGTCCTGGAGCACAGTGTCCAGGGCACAGGAGCAAGGCGGGGGTGTGAAATAGGGAAAGAAGAAGAGCTGTGCAAAGTCTGTCATTGTGTCAGTCACTGCTGCAGGCAACTGTGTGCTTGATCCCAGGGACAGCGAAGGAGCTACATGACAGGGGTCTCAGGGATTTTTCTATAGAAGAGAAAGAGGGAAATGTTTATGCACCGGCTCCCATCCCCCATTGCTCAAAGAGCCCCACATAGGGTGTGATCTCCCTAAACTCTCTCTGTGTTGTGCACCTATGGGCACTAAGCAGGTTCACAGGGAAACCCTGGGGCGGAACACCAGAGGCACACGGCATGGAGTTGAGGGTGGCTGTCTCCAGGTCGTATTGCGTGGAGGGGCTGGTTCCTACAGAGCATAGCTGGAATGAGTGGCAGGTGCAGCTGAGGGCATTTGATGGGGTGCCCCAGAGACGCTCCATGCAGTCCACCCAGGGACAGTCACACCCACTCACGTTATCTGTTAAGTCCAATCTGCCACAGCATCAGTTTCAAGGCAGTGGCTGGCTATAACCTCTGCAAACATTTAACTTAAAAGTATCGGTGAAACAAGCTCCCGTCTCCACTAGTGCAGCTGACTGTGTGGCAATAACCAGTGTTTGCAGACTTCTCCTCCACCTCTGGGTCTGAAAGTCCCCCACACTAGCCAGTGCTTGGGCTGATCTGGGTAGCTTCTGGATTTGGGAACTTTGACCTTCAACCTTCTTACCCAGAATATCTAAGGCCTTGGTTGTCTTGCCCTTGTCAGGGGGCAGGGGCTGCAGTTGCCTGTTCACCATCCTCACTGGATATGGAGGCCACAAAGGGTACCCCAGGAAATCACTGCACTCCATATAAGACTCCTCCTTGAATCCATTAGGAAGTGGAAACTCTAGCTCCTCACAGCCATCGGGATCCAGGCCCTTCACCAGTTCCCTCTTGCCTGTTGGTTCACTGGCATCTGTGGCCCAAAGGTGACCGGGTGAGAGTCACGAATTTAAGCTGAGTAGAGGCCCTGTTGTGCTCACTTAGTAGAAGCTTTTCCCTTGACCACCACCTCCACCCCCTTTGCCACCCCTAACCCAGGGCCTCTGATCAGCCCAAACCTAAGGCTGCTGTGGCAGGAAGTGCACATTCCCCAGGGGTCATGGGGGTGGCCAGCCCTGCCCCTTGGCTCCTCCAGGAGTCTGTGTGGGTACACACCTCAGGTGCCTTCTCCATACAGATTGGTCAACTTCCAGTGTGGCCACAGCTCTGCCAACAGGGAGGAATTTCCTTCACTTTCGTCCTCCAGGGATTTGTGAGTAGCAGGCATGGGCAGTCTACTTTTGCTGGTTGGTGCTGACGCACAGGGCTGCCCTATGTTGCCCAGGCCCAGTTCCGTCCCATGGCAGCTAATTGCAGGGAAACCCTGGAACTGGCCAATGCCAGCTGAGAGCAAGGTATCAGTGCAGCAGGCAGGGGCGCGGGAGCCTGGGCCATCTGTGCACATCATTTTCTCTTCCCCTGGGTCTGCTCGCGCTGGATCTTGAGCATCCCAGTTCCTGTGTGCAAAGGATTGCTGCCGTGCCCACCCAAGCTTATGGCACAGGGGGCATCCGACTGCATGCAGCCCTGCCTAGGAGCTCCTGTGGAGCCCAGCGTTGTGCCTGGAGTTGCTCTTCAAATATGAGTAATTCCTGCCACAGAAGAGGCAGCCCTGCCCAGATCCCAGGGGCCCATGCTGCAGCTCTGCTACTGGGGCTTTCCAGAGACTGGAGCAGAGGCATGCTCCATCGGATGCCGTGTGGCCTAGGGGCAAACTGCATACAGCCAGGGCCTGCAGTACAGCCTTTTCTGGCTCTGAGCCTCATGCAGAGTTGGCAGCTGACTAGGTCATGTGATAAATAGATCAGATCAGTACTTCCAGGTGTGGTTTATATGGCATCGGAAATCCACAAGGCCTGGCAAAAGCCAGATGCCGTCTTAGTGGTAGGGAGTACAAGGTGCAACAGCATGTCTTTCACCCCAGAAGAAACGTCCCAGCATCACCCAGACCACCGGACCTATGAACTTTGCAATGGGCAAAACTGCTTTGGGATCTGCTTCCACCTTCTGGGCCTCATGTGCTGTGAATACCAGTAGAGTATGTCATGCTTCCAAGTCAGAGGACTTGGGCTGCACTGGGTGCCTCTAGAGGAAAGGTCAATTGAGTTGTGATTTCCAGCATTAGGGTTCTCAAGGCACAATGCATTTATTTCTATCTGAAGAATGGGACTATTAATGTCTTCCCTACAATCCTCCTACTGTTATTATGTGGGTCAAAAGAGGAAATACACAGGAAGCACTTTGTCAACTGTGAAGCATTGCTCAAATATTAAATGATTGATATTATTATCCTGTTCTAGATGTCTCATTGCTTTTTTTTTTTTTTTTTTTTTTTTTTGGTGGGATTGGAGGCTTGAAGGAGGGGAAAGGCATGAGTTATGGTTGCCACTAACAGAGCTCAGGGCCAGAAAAATCCTGAAAATGAAGTGAACAGGGCAAACAGGGGCATGCTCCCATCCAGGTGAGCCTGTCCTGAAGCTTCCTCTACATTTCAGCTGGTGCCCTGGAATGGACAATTGAAGGGTGAAATGGAGCATTTCTAAGCCCTAATTATTTGACTGGTAGTTCCCTTAGGTGGAGCTATACCTACTCAAGCTGTAACCAAACTCACCCTGAATGGAAAGATGACCAAGCACTTCCTAAGCTCCATGTACTGCACGCGTGGCCTGCTCACTCCATGAAGCGGGCCGCCAGGTCAAGGCCCTTGGAGCAGACCTCTGAGGAGAAGGTAAGATGTCGTCTAGAAACTCAGCAGCAGCACACTATTTTGGGCTGGGAGCTTGGTCTGGGATGGATTGGATTTTCCTGAGGTCTCATTTTTCCTTGAGTAGAAGGTGTGCCCCAGAGCAAGCAATTTGACTTGGGCACAGATGACCAAGTGCCTGGATTTCTGGGAATGACAACCGGAGCATCACAACAGGTTAATGACAATGACATAGGAAGAGGCTCCAGGAGCAAACCTTGGGGGGTTTGGCTTCAGGAGTGAGTTCTGTCTGGCCTCCCCCGCTCTGTTGCAGGGCTGCACCATAGTTGAAGATGGTCGGGGGCCAAGCTGCTCCCCTGTGCACCGGCTTTCTGGGAGCAAATGTATGCTGGAAATCCAAGCCTTTCTCTTGGCAGTGATTGAAGGAAATCACTGGAAATACAGTGGTATCCCTGGACACCGAACAAGCGTGACTTATGGTATGCAATCTCAAAGCAACTTTTATTGTCAGAGTGCTGATTTTTATTTTTTCCTGGTCCTGGATAAAAACTCAGCAGTCCTTAAGTTTTATTGAAAAGAAAATTTAGAAATTAGAAATTAGAAAAATATAGAAGCACAATACTAGGATAATGTGAGATTATGAAAGCACACAGGGACATTCATGCAGAAGCTGAATAGTGAAGAAGGACTGAGGGCAAAAGTGGAAACATTCTTCTTTCCAGGGCTGAGCCTCATGGTTTTGTGCAGCTGACATTAGGCCTGGCCTGAGTAAAAAAAGTAAGTCTTCATGGACGTTTAGGTGTCTGCAACTTTAGTGTGGTATATCTACCTATTTTCCCCAAAATCAATTTGCAGACTTTTGGAGAGAATAATGATAAAATGAAAATAGCAAGGAAAAATAACACTTGTAAAAGATTAGGAACGAATTTGATGGCATATTACTGCCTTTTAAAATTAATGACAATTCTAAAGCTAGTATAAAATGGACTTTATTTAAATAAACCTGATCACATTGTAAATATCTTAAGAAGAAACAGTTTTCTTTGTATCATACTGTAATGTTAGTTTGCATGAAAAGCTCTGTGGTGCAGTGGCAAACAGGGCTAAGGATGTTTGCTGATGTCGCAGTGGAAGTATTAGGTATTGCATTGTAAGTAAAACATACACAGTAAAAGTTCACATGTCTGTAAACTATCCCCATATTATTCTAAATTTCATGGATTTTCAGTCTGAACTAGAAATCCACAGGGATCCTATCACTTGTAAACCTGGAGCTCGCTCCTGTCTTCACCCTGTCTGGCTGGTGTTTCATCTCAGAGAGTGATGTGGCTTTAAGGCAGAGGGCTCCAAGCAGATGGGCTGGCTGAGATGTTCAGTTTATTTGCTTTTGACCATGGAAAGTTATATCCCCTTTCCAAACCTATATCTTCACCTGTAAAATAAGGATAAAAAAATAGCACCTATTTCAAAGAGTAACTGTAAGAGAGAAATGAAACAATACACGTGATGTGCTTATTTGCATTGAGCCTAAAACTGAGGAGAGTTGATAAATGACACCTATTTCTATTTTTCCTCTTATGAGAGACTTTCATCAGAGTCTGAGTGAGCTGACTCAAACGACATTATAAAGCACCTGCTTTGTGCAAGACATGTGGGGATTTGGACCATCACAATGATTTCAAAAAAAAAACAAAAAACAAAAAACAGAGAAATGGTAGAGGAGCAGCCGTTGGCACTTTAGGAGTGTGAAAAGCACAGCACACACATACAATGCATGCACCCACAGCCCATAAACATCCACACCCCCTCCCACGTGAATGCCAGAGCAGAGCGCTTGGCTCATCCACGTTCCCTGTGCTCCCCCCATTTTCCAGCCTCCCTCACAGTCAGGTCAGATGTTCCGCCCAGTGGCCTGTGGGCGGCTGTGAGAAGGGTCACCTCCAGGTTGAGCAGGTGGGAGCCCACAAGCTTCCTTTGTCTTTGCCGCTTTGACCTGGGAGGCCATGGACCTGGGTCACATAGAGCAAGGTGAAGGAGGCTGCCTGACTCAAATTGAATATTGTGTGAGAAATAAACTTTTGTATATTGCAATGGTGATACAGGGGTTGGTTTTAAGAGCTAGTTGAGTGTCAGTCATTCTGCGATGTTCATCAATTACCTAAAAGGTCTCAGCTCTTGAATGACCACTGAGTGAGAGAACAATATCCAACAGCTGCAAAAGCAGACAGCTCAGATAGGGTTTCAATAAATGATGCACCCATTAAGAGGCACCGCTGGAAAGACCATCCTGACAGTGAGCTCTTACAGCATCCACCCAGCCTGTATTTGGAGAAACCATCTTTTCCTTCCCACAGTGGCTTATGCCATGTTGGAGACCCTCGGAAACTGGATTCTTCCCTTATCGCCTTCTGGCCCTCCTGATGATTGAGCCTCATGACCCCCAAATCCAGATGTCCAGAACATGAGATGTGGCTTCTTGGCAGGAGGTAGTGAGGGATGTGCGAAAGATTCAGATGAGTCCCAGCCACAGGCAGAGGCTGTGACAAGGCAGCTGGGGATGGGCAGGACTGTTGCCGGACTGTCTACACAAGCCCATTGGAAAATAGCAACTTGTGGCATTTAGGCTGTGAACAGGATCAAAGGGGGTCAAAGTCTCCTAATGGCAACTGGGAACAGGGAAGAGCTAAGAGGCTGGCAATTACAACATGGGCAAAGTGCAGGTCCACTCAAAACAGTAGCCAGCAGGTAGCCGTGTCTGCTGTGTGGTAAGCGTCTTACCTACATGATCTGTTTTGATCATCCTGATAACCTTATGAAGTAGGATTGATTACCTGTTAATGATGAAAAAACATTGAGGTTCAAAGATGGTAAGCAATTTGCCCAAGAATTACAGAATGATTAAATCTTGGAGCCAGATTCAAGATGAAATTCCTCAGACTCAAAAGCACTTACTCTCTTCACTTGAGCTCATTGCATCCCAAGAAGGAAAAGACATGAAACAAAATGGATGGCTTAAGAAGCCGGCATGGCCATTACCTGTGTGACTTGGCAGGACATCATGTTGGGACTTCAGAAGGAGGCCAGTAGGAAGAGGAAGCTGGAAATAGATGTGGCAGAAGCAGCAGGATCCAGGCCAGGGTCGCTTTCGAAGGTGAAATCTATTCTGCTAGTCTGGGCAATGGTAGCAGTTTCCAGTACCTGCAGGTGGACTACGAGGCAGTGACATTCTCGTTCCACCTGATCTGTTTAGCACCTTGCTGGATGTGTAGGGCAGAGTCTCACCTCCTGAGAAGGGGTCTGGGCAGGACTGCACAGGGCATCATGCCTTCCACCTGGACCTCTGGGCAGGGCTACAGGCCCTGCGGGTGGACTGGATGCAATTCGGAACATGGAGACAGACATGTTGCATTCCGACTAGGGAGACCTGGCAGAGCTTAGGGGACCCTGACAGTGCAGAGACTGTGAGGGAATCTAGGCTCGTCTTGGGCTGCATGGCCCCCCTGAGCAGCAGCAGGGACTGCTCTCTGGATGGCAGGGCTAAGCCTGCAGATTCTGGGGCTGCTGAGTGCCTACAGCCTAGGGTTGCGGAGAAAGTAGCACCTGACACCGGTTCAGAGGAGACAACCTGCCACTCTCTGAGTTACAGGCTGCATTTCACTTCACTTGAGGGTCCGATTCCGGATGGAATATAGGGCCATTAGAGGCGAGGACTGAGGGTCGGTAAGGCTGGAAGATTTGTTGGAAGGTCAGTGATGTGGCTGTTGACGTGCATGAAAATGAAGATGATGAACCAGGTACCTGACATCCGGCAGTTTATAGACAGCAGATCCCTAAAAGGGTGGGGCAGGAGGCAAGGTAGCTGTCCCTCGATACCTACAAGCTGTGAACAGAGTCCCCAGGACCCGTCCCTCTCTTGGGAACCACAAGCTGATGACTCTTTGGCTCCCACTGGTTTTGCTTGGCTTGCACAGGGTTAAAAGCTGAATTTAAATGTCCTGGGTGGGGCCTGTGTTTTCCAGGCCCACCAGTCCCATCCGATACCCAGACACCTTTACTCAGGTGCGCCACCTGCCTGGGTTGTGGGTGTCTGGGAACTGTCGCGGGAGTGCCGCCAGCCCGGTTTTGTTGTCCCATGCAGAGGCGGTGGTCCAGCCTCAGACTCTTAGCTGCAGGACTGACAGTGAAGTGAGAGCATGCCTTGCCCTTCCCTGCCTCCCCTCTGCAAGCTGTTTCCCCAGGACAGGACCCAGAAATGCCCCCCCAGCAGCCCCACCACCATCCTGCTCAATCTGGAAAGGGAGAGCAGAGAGGAAAAGAGGAGAGAGTTTGTGGAGAAACAGGGTGAGACAACGATTGGAAGTGGGCAGGGAAGACCAAGGGAAAGATATGGCCTTCTCCTGGGAGTCCAGAAGTGATTGTTATGTCTGGGAGCTCCCAGACATGTATTTTCCAGGTCCTGGGATTTTAGTTACAAAGTTCTGCATGAGCTGTGAGTGAGGTGGGCTGGTAGCACAGGGCTAGGAGTGATGGTTCACACACGATTCTTCAAGGGGCTGGTAGAGGGGCACCTCCGAGAGGGGGAGCTTCAGGGCCAGGGAAATACGAAGACCCGAGCAGAGCTGAATGAGTTAGAACAGGGGGAGGTTGTTCTTCTTCACTGCCCAGCCTGCCCCCATCCCAGCTGCCGGCACACGAGCTACTGAGACCCAGGCGTGTGGCCAATCCACAGGAGGTGGGCTGTGAGTGTGAAGTGCATGGCAGACACACACGAGCTCAAAGACCTGGCCTGAAGAGAAGAAAGCAACCGATCCCATTAATAAGTTATGTGAAGGTTACATGCTGAACTGATAATATTTTGGATGTATTAAGTTAAATAAATTATATTACATGATTTTACTAGTTTCTCTTTACTGTTTTTTTTTTTTTTTTTTTTTTTTTTAGTGTGGCTCCTAGAACATTTGAAACTATGTATGTGCTTTGTATCACACTCTATTGGACAATACTAATCTAGGCTCTTCTTAAAGCTCCAGGAGCAAAATATACAAACACAGAAGAAAACACACACGTGCACGTGGACACACACACACACACACACACACACACACACACACTCTAGAGGGTTTCAGGCAGCTCCAGCAGCTGGAAGACAAGACTGCTCGAGATAAGTCTGTTGAAACTGTGATAAATTAAAAAATAACGCAGACCACCCCCGGCCCTTGGGGAGCTCCTGCTAGTGCTCAGTCCCCATTGTGCCAGCGCCTGACTCCTCTTTTCCTGCCCTCGCCTCCAGCCCAGTTCAGGCTGCTTCCCACTTTCTGAACGCCACCACAGACTCAGGGTGTCAGATGTGCTGGGAGAAAACAAGCGCTTACATTTCAGAAATAAGAAATCTTTTTCTCAGGCTTTGGGGTTAATGGTATGAGAGTTTCTGCATTCCAGCTGCTGTGCTGGGTCTCTGGCAGGCCAGCTGTTCTCTGCTCCAATGGAAAACATAACTAAGTAGTCATTTCAGTGTGTAAAAAGTTCAGCAGAATTGTTGGAGCTATCACCATAAATCAGAAATGACTTTCTTTAGGGACTCGATTGCCACTTGATTTAGCATTTCCTGGCACCTTGCCTATCATAGAATGAAGCCATGATTGCTTCCTATACAGAATGTTATCTGTAAAACATCTCACCAGAAGCCCACAGAACGCTGACCAGCCTGCAAGTTTTGATAATCTATGGCTGGCCTTCGTATTGAGAATAAATTTGACAATGGGACCCATTGTTAAATTAGATAATATATTTCATGGAACAGCTTCCAAATGAAAATGGGGTTCATACAGTTTTTTACATATCATTTGTTCCAGAAAAAGGAAAAATGGACTCTGTTCAAGGGAGAAAATTCAGTGAAATATTCATACTGTGAAATCTGAGAAATTATCCTAAGCAAACTACATGCTGACATGCTTTGTTACTGTATGAATGGGGAAATGTGAATCGGCTGAGGGAAGGGTAGGGTGACAGCCGCATGATGGAAATGTCGAGAGTTCCCTTAGCTTAGTTCCTTACATGTAAAGAAGGAACAATGTAGTTGGGAAGGATCACGGGGAAGGTCTAGAAGACTCTCTCCAATGCCCTGTAGCTTTTCCTGGCATGTGCGCTGTCCAGAAGAGAGGCCCAGAGGGGAAGAGGGAGGCTGTAAGATTTGTAGGTAGAGATTCTGCCTTTCACAAAGCCAGGGAGGCACTAACCCCAGCTGACACTTGTCATGGGCTGTGAGCCATGAACAGGCCAAGAACAGGGGTGAACCTCGCTGGCGCTCAGCAGAGAACAAGGGCACTTCCAGGAAACTCCCAGTGGCTTCCAAACTGAGAAAAGAACCAAGGGCAGAGACGCTCCACTCAGGCCATCTCAGAACGGCTTGCTTCCTGGCTCCCGGGGCTGCTGAATCAGCATAGAGAACTGAGAACTCGGTCTTCTTCCCTGCCCCTTCCCTTGGGTCGGAATAACTCAGACCGGGATCCCCACTAATGGTTCTGGACAAACATTGCATTCCCTCTGTAATGTCGAGCACACAGATGAAAATCACCAGGAGAATGAGAAGATAGCACAGTTCAAAAGGAGGAAGCACTCTGAGGAATCAGGGGAAATATTTTCCTATAAAATATAGTTTCTGAAAGAGATGGGAAAATTTTGAGAACACTTCTGATCTGTGTTTCCAATAAACTTCAAATGAGCATTTCTTCTATGAAATTCGAGTAGAGAACCATAAAGAAAAAAAACAAACAGGGTAGGGAAGGCTGTGAGATGATTTAAAAAATGTTCATTTCAGAAATGGAAACGGGGAAGGGGAGAGCAAAATGGACCTTTCAGTAAAAAAGGTTTTATAAGAGAGAAGTCAAATTTGACATCACAGAAGTCAGAGGAAGAGGATAAGAGAAGGTTAATTAGAGAAAATATAGGAAAAGCATGGGCTGAGATATATTTAATTTATAAATATTAGGCATTCCAGAGAAAGAACCTCCAAAAGTGGAGCTATCATTAAAGAACTATTTGGTGGAAATTTTCCCAAGTTAAAGAAAGACTCTTCAGAAATCTAGATAAAATAATGAAGGGCTTTTTTTTGCCTAGACTTACCCTGATAATTTATTTTAATTTCAAGAAAAAGCCCCCACAAATTCAGTGAGGGTCAAGGCGATAAAACTTGGTTCCTGTTTCTTTGTAACACGAAGACAATGATCATCAGTTGCAGAAATGTGACCAAGAAAAGTATGGTGACCCACATGGGGTTTCCAGATAAAATGCAGGATGCCCAGGCAATATTGGGGGCATTCTTATACCAGAAGCGTTATTTCATGTTTATCTGAAATTTAAATTGAAGTGTCTGTCCTGCATTCTCCCATTTTGGCTCCCCTAGCTGCCATGCAGACATTGAGATCCCAGTGCAGAAAAGCTGCGTTCTCTTGTGAACTTGAGAAGTTCAGACCCCATGTGAGGGTCTGGACAGACAACAGCCACAAAAAAATGCAAACAAGAAACATCTTAGTGAGTCATTTTTAAGCCAACTGAGTGAGGAATCAAAATATCAAATCCAAAAATGGAGAATTCATGATATAAAATACTAATAAAAATAAACAAATAACCTCTTCCCCCCAAACAAACATAAACTATAGAACAAAATTAATGTAATTCTCAATGGGACATTAAAACACAACAAGAATGCCAAAAATAATTTCCAAAAGAGGACACATGGTTAAAAATATTAACTAAGTAATAGTTATCTAGTTCAAATAACCTACTGTATCACTAAAAATTGGGAATTGAATGGCCAGAAGACAAGATGTAAAAGTGGAGTATATTCCTCATATCACACAGAGAAGGATCAATTTATATTGTCTTTTTTTTTTTTTTTCCTGAAGAGGGGTCTTGCTCTGTTGCCCAAACTGAAGTGCAGTGGTGCAATCACAGCTTACTGTAACTTTGAACTCCTGGGCTCAAGTGATCCTCCTACCTCAGCCTCCCAAAGCACTGGGATTGCAAGTGTGAGCCACTATGCCAGGCCTATTTTTGATAATGAAAATTAGAGAAAGTAGATTCCAGTGCATACTTATTAAATGTCATTACTAACAGAATGAAAATAGTAGATGTGAGTTCCAAATCACAAGGGAAAAGTCAGGTTAAAAAAGTAACCTCAATATAAAAGGTGTATTAAAAATGACCATAAAACAAAATAGCAGAAATAAAATTAAGCATATAAATCATGTTAATAAAATGATCAGGATGAACTCTTATTTTGAATCACAGACTCACATTTGGTTAAGAGTAAAATCTAAATACTGCGTTAGTGTACCCAGTTAATCCAAAAATATTAAAAATAAGGCAATGGGCAATGATATAGTGAATGAATCCCAACAAAAAGAGACAGGAGTGTGAATATGAACAGGAGACAAGGTGGAACTCAAGGCCAAAACAGCTAAAAGAAAAAATCCACAATGAAAGAATGACAATTTTGCACACTTCTATGGTGATTAAAAAAAAGCATCAAATGTAATTAACAAAAGTTTTAGCAATACAAAAGAAAATAAGGGAAGCACTGTTGTTGTAGTAATGTTAACAAACTTGTGTTGCAAGAAATCACGTGGACAACAACCAATAAGGGAGTAGAGGATTCAAACCATGTCACGTATTTGTATTGCACAAATGGATAATGTATTTTTCCAAATATACTTAGAATATTGATCTACAAATTGATCATAAAAACATCTTAACACACTTCCCAATTACCAGTTAAAATTTGCATTAGTGCCTAGTTTTTGGTTGTGTCATAAAACACCCAGTGCTGTTGGGGGATCCTCACAATGATGGCTATTGTTATCATAAAATATTGACTGAGAGCCTGCAACGCACATGTGCCCCTGCAGGGTGGCATAGACGGCGAGCCCAGGGAGGCCACTGACATGCATTCAAGAGAAAAGAAAAGAAGCCAGGCTTTGGTCAGTTGTGAATATACCATCTCCTGACTCCCAAGCATTGGTTCATCATCCAGCTGGCAATTGTTGAGCCTCAGCCAATGGTGGAACCAAAATCTAGTATCTCTGGAGTAATTTCCATTTCCAACAGAAGGAGAGTGACTTTCACTGACTCTTACTCTCCATTTGGATTTCAGGCATAAGTGCTTCATGGTGGAGTGAGAATGGCTTGCCCTGGAAGGGTCATGTTTTAGAAGGAGTGATCTTCATTGTGAAGTCTAAACTGTTCTGGAAATATAAGCTTTGAAACCCAGGTAGGCAGGTTTCATTTTAAGCAATATTGCAGGATCACAGGATAATTATTGGTTTATAAGGTGATTCTTCACTGTACAAAGTATCTTAAATACTAAACATGCTGATGTGTTGCAAATTTGATTAGGTTTTCACAAGACTTCTCTAGAATGTGTTTATGTGTACCTATGAGGAAAAATTATTGACTCTTTTACCAGGGCTGCCAACAGGGTCTAAAATGAGACCACAAGGCTCTCCTTGACAGGAGTGGTGTGCTTAAAGACAAAGTCACCTGCAAGGTTAATAAATTATTTTTAATAAGTAGATAATGGAGAAAAAGCATGAAAATGTTTCCTTCAATATGTGGCATGGGCTCCATTCTAATGTGATTCGGCGGTGACTTTGTATTTTTAAGGAGCTGAACTCCTTGGCTGTCCTCATCCAGGTTTGCAGAATCTGACCAAGAATGATGTTGAACAGCTCCTCAGCCATAAGGCCCCTGAAGTTGTCAGAGCCCCACTTGTCCTGTCCTGGGTCACCCTGCTTGTCACAGAATGGAGTCCAGTTCACATACTCCCCATCTATACCTAGTTCCATACATACACAATCTTATCGTGAGCTCCTTTTAATTTAAACACTTACATCAGTTATTTACAGCTGCATGATTTCATTCCACATGGTGGTGATATTTTTTTCTCCAAATATGGACTCATTGGATGGTCATAAATAAAGTAATCTGGGCGTAGGAAATGGAGTATCCTTCCCCCGGGGTCATTCCAGGGGAGGCAGGGAAGGAAGAGCTTCGCTATTTCGGGAAAGCTGGTGGACGCTTCGGCTCCGAGGCTGGCTGGGAGGGCCCATAGCTAGGCGGCAGCTGCCCTCAATCTCACAGCTTTAATGAAGGAGGGCTGCCGGATTTACATTGTTTAAACACTTAACGAAATTAGCTATGAAAAGAAGGATGGGAGGAGCCCTGGGTAGTGGGGGAATTTAGGCCTTCTGTCTTCACACACTTTACACACACACACACACACACACACACACACACACACACACACACACACACACACACACACAGTGATTTTCCTAAGAGGCTGCCAGTAGGAACTGGCAAGAAATTATGTGCCTCTTTACAGCAAGATTAAAAGCAACAACAGTGACAAAAACGCCTGTTTTGGAAAGCTGTGCCTGGCAGGGGCTGGTCAGGACTTTGGCGCGCTGGGCCCATGGGCTGCGCTGATTTGGAGCCAGCTCTGGATCAGCAGGGTGAGCGGCTGGCCTAGGGCGGTGGATCTGAAACCTAAGGATGAGATCCCAGGGGCTTCAGTGCCAGGAATGGAAACACTGGGATGGAGGTGGGAGCTTGCAGGCCCAGCCTTCTGAGGCTCTTTCAAATTATTCCTGGTCTACTAGATTTTTAGTTTGGCTCTAGTTGGTTAGAACAGAATTATGTCTAAGAATGTTAAACATTGACTGTTTCTCAAGCTGGGGTGATCTCTAGTGGATGGCCACAGAGCTCTGTCATTGAACCTATTCTCTTCAACATTTTAATCAATGGGTTGAATGGCATCATGGAAGACATACTTACCTAACATTCTAGTAACAAATATAAAAGCGCATATGAAATAGAAAACAAAATCATGAGTGGAAATAAATGTGAAAAATAGTAAATTGAGCTGAGATCAACAAGGTGAAGCTTGCAGGAGTAAATGGAAGATTCTAAAATTAGATTCCAGAAATCCATTTCATAAGCACAATATAGGAGAACCCTAGCTGGGTGGATACGACAGACACATCAGAAAACCCTCTGTGGTTCTGGTTAAGTGAGGAAAAATCATTGACTCTCCTATCAGGGCTGCCAACAGGGTATAAAATGAAGAGACCATGTCTCTCCTTCACAGGAGTGGTGTGCTTAAAGACAAAGTCACCTGCAAGTTTAGTAGATTGCTTTTAATGAGAGAAAAAGCATGAAAATATTTCCCTCAATATGTGACATGGGCTCCATTCTAATCTGACTCCATGGTGACTTTGCAATTTTAAGGAACTAAGCTCAAGGCGAGCCCCACAGAGCCAGGACTTGCTCCCTTAAAAAGCCCCAGCAGATCTGGATTGCCTCTGAGGCGAGAGACGCCCCAGGCCATTGCTACAGCACTGCTAGTGCCATGGCTTTCTGAATTAACAGGTGGACACTGTTTAGTCCTCTTTAAGAAACAGGATTGACTCTTTCCCCTAAATGATGTCATGAAGCATCTTTGATGAACAGGATTTGTTTCTCACAGTTCTGGGGGCTGAGAAGTTCCAGACCAAGGCACCAGCAGTTTAGTGCCTGGTGAGAGCCTGCTTCCACATTCATAGACAGCACCTTCTCACTGTGGCCTCATATGGCAGGAAAAGCATGAGAGAGCTCTCTGGGATCTCTCAGGTCACTCATCTCATCACAGGTTGCCACTGTCATGATCTCATTTAAACCTAATTACTTCTCAAAGATCCCATCTGCAAATACCATCACACCACGAGTTAGGTTTCAACATATGGATTCTGGGGGGACAAACAGTCCATGGCACTGTCCTGTAGCCCCTAAGTCAGCACCCTCTGCCCTGGGCGTTTCTCCTCTAAGGTCCACATCACCTGGCACACTTTATCACCATGAGCCTACCCTGTGTTTCCTGAGGATCTGCCACCTCCTTGGATCATCATTGCCCCTCCTTGTCATTCTCCTCTGTTGGCTGTTTCAGAACTCAGAGGCCCATTATTACCATGGGGCTATTGTTACATCTTCCCGGCTGGTCTCTCCTCTTTCCCAGCATCTCCTTCTTCTCCCTCTGCTGGAATAATGACTTTGGTGGGTATGAATTTAATCACCCCAGCCCCACTTACCATCTTTGGCTGACTCCCAGCTGCCCAAGGTTGCAGCCCAGGTTCTGACCCTGGCCTTTACCCACGTTTCCTGCCCTGACCCCATCTCTCTGTCTGTGCTCACCCTCCCAGCCCTCATTGCTTCCCCAGTACTGGTTCCTGCAAGCTGCTTGGTTGATGCTCCAGTTCCTCCTTTTTCTTCCTCTCTGCCTGGGGAACCTCTCGCATCTTTCAAGGTCAGGATGAGAGGCTCTGCCTCAGTATGTCGCAGTACTTCTGCCTCCTTGAAAATTAATTGCTTTTTCTTGGGATTCTAAAGGTTTCTTTGCCATTTCTCTGTAGAAACAAATCCTGAATTTGAGTTCCAATTCTGTCCCATACTTGCTGGTGACTCTGGGCAAGTCCTGACAGGCCCTGGGGAACTTGGCCTGTTAGAATCCCAGTGTCTTTTTGTAGAAAGTCAGAATAGTAGTGGTTACCTCTGTGCTGTGGACGGAATTGTGTTCCCCCAATTCATATGTGAAGTTCTTACCCCTAGTGTGATAGTATTTGGAGATGAGGCCTTTGGGGAGGTGATTAGATTTAGGTGAAGGACTTGAGGGTGGATCCTCATGATGGGGTTAGTGTCCTTATATGAAGAGACACCAGAGAGCTTGCTCACTCTGCCATGTGAACACATAGCACATAGGCAACTGTCTACAAGCCGAGGAGAGAAGTCTTACTGGGAACCAACCCTGCTGGAACCTTGATTTTAGACTTTCAGTCTCCAGAACCATGAGAAAACAAATCACACTTGTTGAAGCAACCCAGTCTGTGGTATTTTGTTATGGCAGCCTGAGTTGCTAAGACACTTGGCAATTGTCATGAGGTTTAAATATGATTCCATAAGCTGTACTCTGTGGGATGACCCTGGCAATCCATAACCCACACACCAATGGAACTGGCACATACTGGGGGTCTCAAATTATTACTGCTGTTATTCTCATTATTATTTTAGGCAATTGCATGAATCTATTTTCTCTCCTATCTTGCTAGCTCTTTGAAGATAGGACCTAGTCTTATCCATTTTTCTATAACCCAGAACTAGTCTAGAGTTTGGCACATAATAGTTGCCTAATGAATATCTGCTACATGAATAAATAAGCTTATATTTTAATATAATATGCTGTTCATTACAGAAAGGTCATCAACGTAATGAAGTAGCTTACAGGTAGTACAAATAATGAGCAATAATTAATTATGTGCTTTGGGCCACTTTTCATGCAGTACTGAATTCTCACAGGAAGTCTCAGACGAAGACACTGCTAACTCCACTTTCAGAGAGAAACACTGAGGCTCAGAGCTAAACTAACTCGCCTCAGAGCCCACATCCTGGACTTGAGCCTCAGGGTGTTGCATGCCAAAGCCTGTCCTCTTCACCCCAGCTTCCTGGGCATTGGAGCGGATCCATAGTGTTAGATATGCAGTGGGAATGGCCCCCATTCCAAGCCACTTCCTGACCTGATGGCAGCACCCTGCTAGTCCTCACATGGAGCCCTGGAGAAGCCGGGTTCCTTAACCCAGATTTGAATCAATAGCCTCACACCTGGTATGCACATCCAGGCCAAGTGTGGCTGAATGGGGAGCATCTGTTCTGGAGACGGCCACCCTCATGGGCTCCTCTGCTTCCTGTCCCTTCGGGCACTGATTTATGGCACACAGCAGGGAAGGGCCTGAGCTTGAGCCCTGACCATCGTTATCATCACCATCTTCATTCCAGTGCAGTGAAGAACATTCTGAAGGTAGAGATGAAGGTCTTCTTTCTGAATGAAGCTCCTTGCATGATTCAGGGATCTTCCTCTTGAAGGCACCAATCATTTTGACTTTAATGCATGCACTCTGACTTACTTGTGGTGATCTCTCCTGGAAATACATGGAAAAATGAAAAATAGGCTAACTGGGGAGATTTCTTAAATACCAGTTTGTATGGCTGTGTTAACCTGAATGATTAAATATAGGATTGTTTTTTAAGTTACACATTGTGGGTTTGTGTTTTCCTCATTAATATCAATTGGTTCATTTATTTCTGCTTGCTCTGAAGCCACAGAGTTCAACAGAACTGCCTGTGTGTTTGCTGCATCTACTAAACTGCCATGATCTTACTGAATATATTTCTTAATATCCTTTTTATGTATGTCATTTTTGTTAAGTTCTTGAACCAGAACTGAAAAAAAGATTAAAACGTTATCTATTTACAAAACTTTTTTTGATGTTTTGGTAACAAAACAATTTTGCACTTAAAGTTCCCACTTCAGATGTTATTCTTTCTATTTTTTTTTATTTTTTATTATACTTTAAGTTCTAGGGCACATGTGCACAGTGTGCAGGATTGTTACATATGTACACATGTGCCATGTTGGTTTGGTGCACCCATTAACTTGTCATTTACATTAGGTATTTCTCCTAAGCTATCCCTCCCCCATACCCCACCCCATGACAGGCCCCGGTGTGTGATGTTCCCCGCCCTGTGTCCAAGTGTTCTCATTGTTCAATTCACACCTATGAGTGAGAACATGCAGTGTTTTGTTTTCTGTTCTTGCAATAGTTTGCTCAGAATGATGGTTTCCAGCTTCATCCATGTCGCTACAAAGGACATGAACTCATCATTTTTTTATGGCTACATAGTATTCCCTGGTGTATGTGTCACATTTTCTTAACCCAGTCTATCACTGATGGACATTTGGGTTGGTTCCAAGTCTTTGCTATTGTGAATAGTGCCACAATAAACATACGTGTGCATGTGTCTTTATAGCAGCATGATTTGTAATCCTTTGGGTATATACCCAGGAATGGGATTGCTGGGTCAAATGATATTTCTAGTGGTCCTTGAGGAATCGCCACACTGTCTTCCACAATGGTTGAACTAGTTTACACTCCCACCAACAGTGTAAAAGTGTTCCTATTTCTCCACATCCTCTTCAGCACCTGTTGTTGCCTGACTTTTTAATGATCGCCATTCTAACTGGTGTGAGATGGTATCTTATCGTGGTTTTGATTTGCATTTCTATGATGACCTGTGATGATGAGCATTTTTTCATGTGTCTGTTGGCTGCATAAATGTCTTCTTTTGAAACGTGTCTGTTCATATCCTTTGCCCACTTTTTCATGGGGTTGTTTGATTTTTTCTTGTAAATTTATATAAGTTCTTTGTAGATTCTGGATATTAGCCCTTTGTCAGATGGGTAGAATGAAAAAATTTTCTCCCATTCTGTAGGTTGCCTGTTCACTCTGATGGTGGTTTCTTTTGCTGTGCAGAAGCTCTTTAGTTTAACTAGATCCCATTTGCCTATTTTGGCTTTTATTGCCATTGCTTTTGGTGTTTTAGTCATGAAGTCCTTGCCCATGCCTATGTCCTGAATGGTATTGCCTAGGTTTTCTTCTAGGGCTTTTATGGTTTTAGGTCTAACATTTAAGTCTTTAATCCATATTGGATTAATTTTTGTATAAGATGTAAGGAAGGGATCCAGTTTCAGCTTTCTAGATATGGCTAGCGAGTTTTCCCAGTGCCATTTATTAAACAGGGAATCCTTTCCCATTTCTTGTTCTTGTCAGGTTTGTTAAAGATCAGATGGCTGTAGATGTGTGGTGTTATTTCTGGGGCCTCTGTTCTGTTCCATTGGTCTGTATCTCTGTTTTGGTACCAGTACCATGCTGTTTTGGTTACTGTAGCCTTGTAGTATAGTTTGAAGTCAGGTAGCGTGATGCCTCCAGCTTTGTTCTTTTTGCTTAGGATTGTCTTGGCAATGCGGGCTCTTTTTTGGTTCCATATGAGCTTTAAAGTAGTTTTTTCCAATTCTGTGAAGAAAGTCATTGGTAGCTTGATGGGGATGGCATTGAATCTATAAATTACCTTGGGCAGTATGGCCATTTTCACAATATTGATTCTTCCTATCTATGAGCATGGAATGTTCTTCCATTTGTTTGTGTCCTCTTTTATTTCACTGAGCAGTGGTTTGTAGTTCTCCTTGAAGAGGTCCCTCACATCCCTTGTAAGTTGGATTCCTAGGTATTCTCTCTGAAGCAATTGAAAATGGGAGTTCACTCATGATTTGGCTCTCTGTTTGTCTGTTGTTGGTGTATAAGAATGCTTGTGATTTTTGCACATTGATTTTTGTATCCTGAGGCTTTGCTGAAGTTACTTATCAGCTTAAGGAGATTTTGGGCTGAGATGATGGGGTTTTCTAAATACACAATTATGTCATCTGCAAACAGGGACAATTTGACTTCCTCTTTTCCTATTTGAATACACTTTCTTTCTCTTGCCTGATTGCCCTGGCCAGAACTTCCAACACTATGTTGAATAGGAGTGGTGAGAGAGGGCATCCCTGTGTTGTGCCAGTTTTCAAAGATAATGCTTCCAGTTTTTGCCCATTCAGTATGATACTGGCTGTGGGTTTGTCATAAATAGCTCTTATTATTTTGAGATACGTTCCATCAATGCTTAGTTTATTGAGAGTTTTCAGCATGAAGGGCTGCATCTATTGAGATAATCATGTGGTTTTTGTCTTTGGTTCTGTTTATATGCTGGATTATGTTTATTGATTTGCATATGTTGAACCAGCCTTGCATCCCAGGGATGAAGCCCACTTGATCATGGTGGATAAGCTTTTTGATGTGCTGCTGGATTCGTTTTGCCAGTATTTCATTGAGGATTTTTGCATCAATGTTCATCAGAGATATTGGTCTAAAATTCTCTTTTTTGGTTGTGTTTCTGCCAGGCTTTGGTATCAGAATGATGCTGGCCTCATAAAATGAGTTAGGGAGGATTCCCTCTTTTTCTATTGATTGGAATAGTTTCAGAAGGAATGGTACCAGCTTCTCCTTGTACCTCTGGTAGAATTTGGCTGTGAATCTGCCTGGTCCTGGACTTTTTTGGTTGGTAGGCTATTAATTATTGCCTCAATTTGAGAGCCTGTTGTTGGCCTATTCAGCAATTCAGCTTCTTCCTGGTTTAGTCTTGGGAGGGTTTATGTGTCCAGGAATTTATCCATTTCTTCTAGTTTTTCTAGTTTATCTGTTTAGAGGTGTTTATAGTATTCTCTGATGGTAGTTTGTATTTCTGTGGGATCGGTGGTGATATCCCCTTTATCATTTTTTATGGCATCTATTTGATGCTTCTCTCTTCTTTATTAGTCTTGCTAATGGTCTATCAGTTTTGTTGATCTTTTAAAAAAACCAGCTCCTGCATTCATTGATTTTTTGAAGGGTTTTTTGTATCTCTGTCTCCTTCAGTTCTGTTCTGATCTTAGTTATTTCTTGCCTTCTGCTAGCTTTTGAATGTGTTTGCTCTTGCTTTTTTAGTTCTTTTAATTGTGATGTTAGGGTGTCAATTTTAGTTCTTTCCTGCTTTCTCTTGTGGGCATTTAGTGCTATAAATTTCCCTCTGCACACTGCTTTAAATGTGTCCCAGAGATTCTGGTATGTTTTGTCTTTGTTCTCGTTGGTTTCAAAGAACATCTTTATTTCTGCCTTCATTTCATTATTTACCAGTAGTCATTCAGGAGCAGGTGGTTCAGTTTCCATGTAGTTGAGCGGTTTTGAGTGAGTTTCTTAATCCTGAGTTGTAATTTGATTGCACTGTGGTCTGAGAGACAGTTTGTTGTGATTTCTGTTCTTTTACATTTGCTGAGGAGTGCTTTACTTCCAACTATATGGTCAATTTTGGAATAAGTGTGATGTGGTGCTGGAAAGAATGTATATTCTGTTGATTTGGGGTGTAGAGTTCTGTAGATGTCTGTTAGGTTTGCTTGGTGCAGAGCTGAGTTCAAGTCCTGGATATCCTTGTTAGCCTTCTGTCTCGATCTCTCTAATACTGACAGTGGGGTGTTAAAGTCTCCCATTATTATTGTTTGGGAGTCTAAGCCTCTTTGTAGGTCTCTAAGGACTTGCTTTATGAATCTGGGTGCTCCTGTATTGGGTGCATATATATTTAGGATAGTTAGCTCTTCTTGTTTAATTGATCCCTTTACCATTATGCAATGGCCTTGTCTCTTTTGATCTTTGTTGGTTTAAAGTCTGTTTTATCAGAGACTAGGATTGCAACTCCTGCCTTTTTTTGTTTTCCATTTGCTTGGTAGATCGTCCTCCATCCCTTTATTTTGAGCCTATGTGTGTCTCTGCATGTGAGATGGGTCTCCTGAATACAGCAGACTGATGGGTCTTGACTCTTTATCCAATTTGCCAGTCTGTGCCTTTTAATTGGAGCATTGAGCCCATTTACATTTAAAGTTAATATTGTTATGTGTGAATTTGATCCTGTCATTATGATTTTAGCTGGTTATTTTGCTCGTTAGTTGATGCAGTTTCTTCCTAGCATTGATGGTCTTTACAATTTGGCATGTTTTTGCAGTGGCTGATACCGGTTTTTCCTTTCCATGTTTAGTGCTTCCTTCAGGAGCTCTTGTAGGGCAGGCCTGGTGGTGACAAAATCTCTCAGCATTTGCTTGTCTGTAAAGGATTTTATTTCTCCTTCACTTATGAAGCTTAGTTTGGCTTGATGTGAAATTCTGGGTTGAAAATTCTTTTCTTTAAGAATGTTGAATATTGGCCCCCACTCTCTTCTGGCTTGTAGGGTTTCTGCCAAGAGATCCACTGTTAGTCTGATGGGCTTCCCTTTGTAGGTAACCCAACCTTTCTCTCTGGCTGCCCTTAACATTTTTTCCTTCATTTCAACCTTGGCGAATCTGACAATTATGTGTCTTGGGGTTGCTCTTCTCGAGGAGTATCTTTGTGGTGTTCTCTGTATTTCCTGAATTTGAATGTTGGCCTGCCTTGCTGGGTTGTGGAGTTCTCCTGGATAATAACCTGAACAGTGTTTTCCAACTTGGTTCCATTCTCCCTGTCACTTTCAGGTACACCAGTCAAATGTAGATTTGATCTTTTCACATAGTCCCGTATTTCTTGGAGGCTTTGTTCATTTCTTTTTACTCTTTTTTCTCTAATCTTGTTTTCTTGCTTCATTTCATGAATTTGATCTTCAGTCACTGATACACTTTCTTTCACTTGATCGAATCAGCTACTGAAGCTTGTGTATGTGTCACATAGTTCTCGTGCCATGGTTTTCAGCTTCATCAGGTCATTTAAGGTCTTCTCTACACTGTTTATTCTAGGTAGCCATTTGTCTAATCTTTTTTCAAGGTTTTTAGCTTCCTTGCAATGGGTTCGAACATCATCCTTTAGGTCAGAAAAGTT
Source organism: Homo sapiens (assembly GCF_000001405.40). Classification (NCBI taxonomy): domain Eukaryota; kingdom Metazoa; phylum Chordata; class Mammalia; order Primates; family Hominidae; genus Homo; species Homo sapiens. The sequence goes on from NC_000010.11 coordinate 43,919,723, forward strand.
TGTTATTACCAAATTTCTGAAGCCTACTTCTGTCAACTTGTCAAAGTCATTCTCCATCCTGCTTTGTTCCATTGCTGGCAAGGAGCTGCAATCCTTTGGAGGAGAAGGGGCACTCTGGTTTTTAGAATTTTCAGCTTTTATGCTCTGGTTTCTCCCCATCTTTGTGGTTTTATCTACCTTTGGTCTTTGATGATGGTGACCTACAGATGGGGTTTTGGTCTGGATGTCGTTTTTGTTGATGTTGATACTACTCCTTTCTGTTTGTTAGTTTTCCTTCTAACAGGTCCCTCAGCTGCAGGTCTGTTGGAGTTTGCTGGACGTCCACTCCAGACCCTGTTTGCCTGGGTATCACCAGTGGAGGCTGCAGAACAGCAAACATTGCAGAACAGCAAAAATTGCTGCCTGATCCTTCCTCTGGGAGCTTTGTCTCAGAGGGGCACCTGGCTGTATGAGGTGTCAGTCAGCCCCTACTGGGAGGTATCTCCAAGTTAGGCTACATGGGGGTCAGGGACTCACTTGAGGAGGCAGTCTGTCCATTCTCAGAGCTCAAACACTGCTGGGAGAACCACTGCTCTCTTTAGAGCTCTCAGGGACATTTAAGTCTGCAGAATTTTCTGCTGCCTTTTGTTCAGCTATGCCCTGCCCCCAGAGGTGGAGTGTACAGAGGCAGGCAGGCCTCCTTGCGCTGCTGTGGGCTCCACCCAGTTTTAGCTTCCTGGCTGCTTTGTTTACCTACTCAAGCCTCAGCAATGGTGGGCGCCCCTCCCCTAGCCAGGCTTGCTGCCTGGAAGTTCGATCTTGGACTAGCAGTGAGCAAGACTCCGTGGGTGTGGGACCCACTGAGCCAGACGTGGGATATAATCTCCTGGTGTGCCGTTTGCTAAGACCATTGGAGAAGCATAACGTTTAGGTGGCAGTATGCCCATTTTCCCGGTACAGTCTGTCAGGGCTTCCCTTGGCTAGGAAACGGAAATCCCCCGACCTCTTGCGCTTCCCAGGTGAAGCAATGCCCTGCCCTGCTTTGGCTCACCCTTCGTGGGCTGCACCCACTTTCTGACCAGTCCCAGTGAGATGAACCAGGTACATCAGTTGGAAATGCAGAAATCACCCATCTTCTGTGTCAGTCATGCTGGGAGCTGCAGACCGGAGCTGTTTTTATTTGGCCATCTTGGAACAGACCCGCTATTTTTTTTTTTTTTTTTTTTGAGACGGAGTCTCGCTGTGTCACCAGGCTGGGGTGCAGTGGTGCAATCTCGGCTCACTACAACCTCTGCCTCCTGGGTCCAAGCGATTCTCTTGCCTCAGCCTGGTGAGTAGCTGGGATTACAGGTGCACGCCACTGCACCTGGTTAATTTTTGTATTTTTAGTAGAGACAGGGTTTCACCATGTTGGTCAGGTTGGTCTTGAACTCCTGACTTCATGATCCACCTGCCTCAGCCTCCCAAAGTGCTGGGATTACAGGCATGATCTTTCTATTTTTATACAAATCTTTTTATCCCTCCCACCCATCTTCAGGGGAACACATAGCCCCAGGTACATTTGGTAAGGCAGTCGGCATGTAACTACTCAATGCTGCTGGTGCAATGTGCAAATTGGCACAGGCAACACACAAACGAATACGCATGTCCCAGCAAAACTTAATTTACACAACAGGCAGTAAGCACATGGGACCTTCAGGCCAGAGTTTGCCAACCCCTGTTCCACAGAGTCAGACATCTCAGTTCAAGCCCTGTCTCCATCACTAACCAGTTCTGTGGGTGTGTGTCAATGGGAGCCTTGGTTTCTGTATCTGTAAAATGGGCATTACAACCCCCTAGTCACCTCGGAAGGAGCTCACTTCCTAATACTAGCACATTGGCAGCACCTGCATTCTGGAGGGGACACATTCAAACTGTAGCCGTTTCTGCAGCTGGGGTTGGTCTGGAGACGGGGGTGGAGAACTGAGCCTGAGTCCCACAGGTGTGTGCACCAGGGAAGGGCCTAGAATGTGGAACAGGATGTTACCCAGGGAGCTGTCTGCCCTTCATATCCCAGAGAGATGGCAGACTCCCCTCACAGCAGTAGTGAGTTAAAAGGCGAACAGAGATCATGTAGATTCGGAAAACACTGGTGAGCAGTTGCATCTCCCCTCCCTCATCATGTTTGCGTCTTCCTCAAACCAGGGATGGACTTCCAGTAGATTAATTGGTGGTCTTGACTCTGAATCTTCTACGGCCTGTGGTTCTGAAGTCAGGTCCACACCTGGTTGCCTCAGCCATGGCCTGGAGTTCTGGACGTTGTCAGAACAAAGGGCATGAGTGTGTCCCCTCTGCCGTAAGGAGCCCAGCCTGGAGACACAAGGCTTCAGTGACTTTGCCCAGGAGGCAAAGGGCAAGGGCAGGGGTGCCCTGGCAAAGGGTGTCTGTGTCAGTGGCTGCCAAAGCCCTGAGGTAGTCCAGGGGCCAGGGAGAGGGTTCCCCTAGTCGGGGTTCTCTGGGGTGCTCACAAATCACCTCACGTGACCCCAGAGAGAAGCAGCATCGGCAGACGGTGGGACTCGTCAAGCGGGATCTTGGTGGCCCTCACCCTTCCTCCCTTCCTCCCCAAACACGGAGGAGTGAAGACCTAGCAAGCAGGGGAGGGGAGGGAGTAGAAGAGTCCATGGGGCACTCGCAGACAGGCCTCAGCCAGGGACGTTCACAGTGGTGGCTGTGAGAGTTGATGGCTACTTCATGCCGGAAGGGGGCTGTGTTTGTGGGAGAAGGGATCAGAGAACTTCCTCATGACCTGAGAGGGCCTGACAGGCACCGAGACTTCCTCCAGGGACCATCAGGAAGTGGCAGGCGGGGAGAATGGCTGGGAGGTGACCCTGGACCTTTGTGAGGTCACTGATCTGAGTGGACCCTCCCCACCCAGCTGGCCATGGTAAGGAGGCAGGGGCCACAAAGACCTGAGGCAGGGGCTCAGGGTTTAGATAGAGGCTGGGGCAGGGTGGGGACTATGACAGCATGAGAGGGGGCTCTGGGCTGAACTGGGTCCCCTGCACCCCACAATTCCTACATGGAAGCCCTAGCCCCCAGCATCTCAGAATGTAGCTGTATTTGGAGATAGGGCCTTAGATTAGATAATTAAGTTAAAAGGAGGCCACTAGGGTGGGCCCTAATCCAATATACAGTGTCCACATAAGAAGAGGAGATGAGGACCGAGATGCACACTGGGGTGAGACCATGTGAAGACGCAGGGAGAATGCAGACATCTATAAGCCCAGGAGAGAGGCTCAGGAGAAACCAGCCCTGCCACACCTCCATCTCAGACTTCTGGCCTCCAGCCTGAGGAAACTGCCATTTCTGCAGTTTAAGCCTCCCAGTCTGTGACACTCATCATGGCAACCTGAGCACATGAATTCAGGAGGGCTGGAAAATCACTTCCCTCACACCCTTCCCCAGCCCTACTGAACTGCTGCTTCCTCCTCCCCTGTCCACCCGGATGGGGACTCAGTTGCCAGTACCTGTACCTCTTTGTTGAACCCTCCTTCCCCATCTCATTTCACCAACTACTATGAATTCCTGGCGATCCTGCATCTTAAATATCACTGAGAATAGAATGACCCCATAATTTACTATCAAATAGGGACACTTTAGAAGTGAAAGTAATTGTGAATTATGTAAGACAACAAGCAGACAGCAGGCCCGACCTAGCAATGGTGGGGCAAAAGTGGCCCTCTCTTCTTTCTTACCTCCGTGGCTTATTTCAGGTCCTCATCCTTCACCCCCTGAATGACTGACAGGCCTTTCACTTCTCTCTCTGCCTTTGCACTCAGCAACATCCTCCAGTAGATAATTGCTAAAATGCAAATCAAATCATGTTACTGCTTAGCCAATAAAATAACCACCACAAAATCAAGAAGTGGAAGACACACTAAAACTTAATGTGAGAGATTCTCTGTTGCCTTTCAGCATGAGGAGAGCCAAGTCCTTTACCAATGCACCCAGTTCCTCCCCAGCCCCTCCCTTCCAACCCTAACCTCCCGTCCTAAGGGACTGAGCTCAATTTCTCCATGATTCAAGGCTGCATCTTGTTTCTCTGAACATCAGTGATATTTGCTTAGGATACTGTCTCATTCCTTACCTGCCACCTTATACTCAAGATTCAGGTCAGTCATCCACTGGGGAATATGTGTGAAAGATTACTAGCCAGAAGGTTATTTGCTGGTGCAAGCAGACAACAGAGGCCTGTTAGTGGAATGAGGACTGTGACCATGAAGATAAGTCAGGTCCAAGTGCTACATGAGCAAGGAGGAGAGGCCTCACCCAAACTGGAGGGTCAGAAGACCTTCTAGAAGGCTGGTTTGGGAGATCTGTTCCCTTGAAGGAGAAAGGAAGAATCAGGTTCACCAGATGGGGAAAATATTCCAACCAATGGGGCAGGATGTTCCCAGAGAGGGGAGTGGGCTGGACCTTTACGAGAACCTAAAGGAGGTTTGATGTGGATACATCACAACATTCCTAGTCCCCAAGGAGTCCCCTGCATCCCCCTCCCAGGCGCTAATCCCCCATGGGGAACCATTGACTCCTGGCAGCATCCATCTGGCTTGTGAACTTTTGGACTTGCATAAATGAAATTGCATAGTCTTTAGTCTTTTTACTTGTCCCCTGTCTCCATTAGACACTGAACTTCTTGAGGGCAGAGATTGCGTCTTTTGTCTCCTTGTCCTCAGTAGAAGTTCAATAAATGATGTTGGCGAATGAATGAATGAATGCATGGTCACGACTTCACAGGGGCCTGGAAGCCTGGGGATGGCCACGACTTCACAGGGGCTGCTCTGTTCCCACACACACATTGAGGTGACCAGGTGAGGAGTGCATTGACCGTGGGTCTTTGAAGGGACCCTTGACTCAGGGAAAACCTCGGGACTGTGTCCAGATGACTTTTGTTTTGGTTTGAGTGCACAGTAAGTTAGTCATGTGATGTTCACGATGGGCTCAGCCTTCCCATGTGTGAAATGGAATATGAATTTGTCTGTGTCAGATCAGGGAGGGTACACTGTAGCTCTCCAGAAAAGACAAATTTTAAACAGCAAGTACAAAGACTTTTTACAGATCCTGCAAAGTGATTCTTGACCAGGTCCTGTGTGTCATGGACTGTGGTGAGGCATTCTTCTGCTCAGAGAGCAGAGCAGGTGAAACACAGCCTATGGCCATTTTCATTGGTACAAATAAACGAAGAAGCCTTTTTCCACCCAGAGGAGGATTTTTGTCTGTATCCTTTTGGTTTGGTCCTTAGGGAGAAATACTGTAGCCACCATGAATCCCTCCTGCTGCTCCCGCTGAAGCTCCTCCAGCCTCCAGCTCTGTTGCTTTCATGGTCCTTGGTACTTGGGGTTTGCTTTTCAGGTGTACTCACCTTAGGAATTAAATTACGAGTGATCTGAGGCTGGTCCATGTCAGATTCTTCATTTCCAAATGTCAATCTGTCCCGCTTCTCTCCCATTGGGCTTTCTCTCTGTTGAGTACTCAGGGAATACTGGAATAAAATGTTTCCATGGGGAGAATAATTGGGATCAGAAGGGCCCAGAACAGAGAATGGAGCCCGAGCCCTGGTGGGCAGAGGGCTGTGGAACCATAACAGGATTTGGGGACATCACACTTTAGCTCTCTTTGTAACTGTCCCTCAAGCTGGATCTGCTGATGGGCAGCTTTTGGGAATGCATGTCTGCTGTCACTGAGATGGTGGTCTCTGCATACTAAGGCAGGCTGTGAGGGGAGATGAGCTTTGACAAAGGTAGTCTTAGCCAGCTTGGGCTGCAGTGACCACAGACTGGGCGGCTTAAACAACAGACACTTCTCTGGAGGCTAGAAGTCCAGGATCAAGGCACTGGCAGATCTGGTGTCTGGTGGGGGCTCTCTTTCTGGTTTGCAGATGGCTGTCTTCTAGCTGTGACCTCATGTGGTGGGGAAAGACAGACAGAGAGAGAGAGAGAGAGAGAGAGAGAGAGAGAGAGAGAAATAGAGACAGAGATCCACTCTCATGATCTCCTTACCTCCCAAAGGCCCCACTGCCCAGCACCATCACACTGGGGGTTAAGATTTTGACATAAGACTTTGGTGTGTTTAAGGGGGCACAAGAGTTCAGTGCATGATGAGGCTTTCAGCACCCAGGCTGGCTTCACATTGATACAGCGGGTCCTTCTGCTGCTCCGAGGATTCAGCACTGGCAAGCACGGTTTTCACAGATGAAAAACAGAATATGGACCTATGCTTTCCACCCCTGCAGCTGAGGCACGCCGTGGGCTTGCTGGTTTTCCTCTTTATCTTCTTCTTCATCCTAGGTGGCCATTTGCCTCAGGGAGGGCTTCTGATCATACCAAGGCCCCGAGAAACTGTACTTTCACCTATACCAGAAAATTGGAGGGGGCGTGGGTACTGGATACTGACTCCAGTTGTTCCAGATGCTTTCTTTGCAATTTGTATAATGATATTGGGTTCTGGCCAAACCGAACCAACTTTATTGTCAATGACCAGAATGAATCTGTCATGGGAATGCTGTCCTGGCTTAGGCCAGAGCACTAGGGAATACTTCCCATTCCAAATCAAACTCCTTCTGCCGACTCTTTTGCTGCCTTTCTGAAAGGAGCAGAAACCTGACCTTCTCAAACAGATATTGATGGACCTGACCATCAGAAATTTCAGTGCTGAGTCCATGAAAAACATATGTCTATATATATTTGCTGTTGTTTGTGCCATTCTTAGGGTAGTCAAAGACAACCAAAAAATAAAAGGCGTGCATTTGACCTCTGATGCACAGAACAAACAGACAGCATGGGTGGCCCTGCACTCCCTTCTCTTCTTACCCCCACCAGAATGTGTGTGTGTAGCGGGGAGGCAGTAGCGTCAGCTGCTGCGGAGAGGGCACGGGACCTGCTAGGGGGAATGAACTCTTCCCTCCACCAGGGCACCAAGACCACAGGGGTATTTTGGACCAGATGAAGCCTGAAAATAATCTAATTTTGTAACAGATGAGGTATCCACTATGTTCTGCCTGTCTGCAGTGTTACAATGCAATTTCTCAAGCCATAAACTGGAGAAAGATCAAAAGAGCCTCTTGTGGACACCCTTTGGGGAGGTCCCTCATGGCCAAGTGACTGAAATGGGAGGTTGGAGTAGACCATGGCCAGGACTGAAGAAAGAAGGCAGGAGGCACGGACCTTTATGACACCTTCCCTGTCCCTGCCCTGTGGAGGTGTGCTGTGGTGCTGTCTAGAGGAATGGCTCTCCTGCACTGAAGACGGGGCCAGACCCCTTGCTCCATGTTTCTGATCCGTGTTCTGGCCCCCTGCAAGCTCCTGAATGTCCACCCAGCACTCTACCACCAGTGAGAACCTGCGTGCTCATCAGACAGATGCCGCTCCGTCTGCAGGACACTTCCTGTGTCTCAGTCCATTGCATGTCCCGTGGGACTCACTGCAGGGGCATCTCCCAGGTCTTTCACCTGCCCAGCCCCTGCCCCTGAGTCTTCCCTTGGCTCTGCCATGCCCCTGTATCAGACCACCCTCCTCCTGAGCTGGGTTTCTCTCCCACTGGGCTGGGAGCAGCTCAGGTGAGGCTGTGTCCTCCCAGGCTGTCTCCCCAGCAGCACAGCCAGACAGTCCCCATTCCCAGATGTAGGTGGGGCAAAAACAGGATTGTTTTCTTAGAGCTTCTTTTTTAACTTGATCCTTATTTCCTTCTCCAACTCAAGTGTAGTTGTCAGGGGAGCTACTGCAGTGTGTAAAATAGAGAGGAGCACTGCAAATGTGGAAACAAACTCCTTGCCCTTTGGCAACTCCATCCTTTTCCTTCCGTCTTTCTTTTTCTCCTGCCAAGCTATTGTGGAGCCTCACGATGCCACAGACCCTGATTTCCAGGATATGGCTGCTCTGGAAAATGGCTTCACCTTTTCTACTTAACATGCCCAAACCTCAGTTTCCCCATCTGTAACATGGTGGTGATGGTAGTTATCTAACAGAGTTCTTGTGAGAATTAAGTGAGGTAGCAGCAGTAATGAGTCCGCTCTGAGCCGGCTCAAGGGAACACACGCACTGTGCCGGGTGCTCTCCTCAAGGATGCATGAACTCCACCTAGAAACCTCTCCCCTTTCTGTAGCTGATAGCATCCATTTTCAGTATCAATTTTGGGAGAGGAAAATACTTTCCCTCTACCCTCTGAGGTTTGGTAACTCGGTCTATGAAATAAACAAACAGCATGGAGATTAACAGGAGAAGACAGCTACACTTATTGTGTGCACAGAGGTATCACAGGGAGAAAAATGTGGGTACCCGAAAGAGTGGTGAGATTTGGGAGCTTACACATCATCTCCACAGGGGAAAGGGAAGAAGAACTGCAGGCCACTTAGGGGAGATAATGATTTTTAGGAAAGATGAGGAATGCTTTGAAGAGCAGATGGGCGATATGAGGCGAAGCTTGTCTAGGTGTGGTGCTGGCTTCTGGTCTCCGCTCTTGTGACAGGGGTCAGTCTTCCTTGGCTGATAAAAATCCTGAGGAGGGGACTCGTGACTTGAATTGCTTTTGCAAGATCTTTCTTTAGGCAGTTAAGAAGAGTTCAGAGAGAGTTTCTTCCTGTATTTGCTGTTTTTCAAGCGTCTTTAACTCAAAATAATCAGTATATCAAAGTGGCATATTTTGGGGTGGCACATTCCAAACTCCTTCACATGCTTTTATCTCAGCTCTGCCCATGGCTGTATCACCCACAAAGTCACGTGGCCTCTCTAAATCTCATCATTCTTGCTCATGAAGTGGGAATAATAACATTACCCACCTCACAAGGTTATTGCAATGGCTTCCACAGTGTCTGGTCTGGATGACAGTTCCACAGATATGCCAGGGGTGGGAATGTGTGATACCGACGCTCCCACAGGCCTGTCCTGGAGTCCCAGCCTGGGAGGCGCTTGGATCTGAAGCAGAATGAATGGCATCTTTGCCCACTGTTTGCTGGACCATCCTCCAGACGGACCCTCATATGCTATTTTTGGATATAACTTGTCATCACATTGGCCACACTTTCCTTCAACATGAGGATGCCAGGCTCTGAAGTGAAGCTGTGCCCATGACTCCTGGGCCCCTGCCCTCCTCTGAGCTCATTGGTAGAGTTAAGGCTCATTTCCTTCATAGATCTTTGTGCACTGATAACACTGGACTGACGAGACTATGAGAATAGAGGAATGAGGTCTTGCGTTTCTTTGGCATCTTTCCTCAGAGGCTAGAGCACTGTGGACATTCACCATCCCCTTCAGGGCTCCATTGTGAGCTTCAGGGATCGGGTGAAGGAGCTTACTCTTTCCTGCTTTCCAGTCCCATTGCCAGCAGGTGATTTTGAATCAAATAGTGGGACAGCAAACAGAAAAATGATTCTAAAAGAAAACCATGTCAGAGGGCTCTAGATACTCCTAAACATATAGTTTAAAATATAAGAAGAGTAAAATGAGACCACAGCCTGTGTAGCGGAAAGCCAGGGTGGACAGACTCTCCAGAATTGTTCTGCAGTGCCCCGGGGGCTCTGGGCTCCGTGCTCCTTGGTCCTGTCCCACAGGGACATGTCATGGCATCCAGCTGAGGTTCGTAGGCATAGAGGCAGCACCAGTGTCACTGGAGCCACAATCCTGGAGTGCACATCACAGACCCAGGGCTGGCTTCATGAGTCTGCGCTTAGAAAAACCCTGGGCTTGGCTTAGCACTCTGCTGTCACAGTCTTGAAATTCTTCAAAATTTTTGAACAACGGGCCCTACATTTTAATTTTTTACTGGGTCCTACACAGTATGTAGCCAGTCCTGCTCATTTTCAGCCCAGGCCTATCAGAGTCTCCAGAGGAGGCCCCCGGTGTGCATCCATGGAAAGGAGCCAGGCAGATGACCCAGCTGCTGGCCAGTCTTGGTAAAGGAACCCCTGGCACAGACTCAGGGTGGAGACTCCTTTCAGCCACCAAGTCTTACTGAGGGATCCTGGGGCTTTCCTGCGGGCACTTGCTGCTCTGTGAGAACTCAGGGTAAGCAAGAAAGCAGATGCTAAGACACCCCCGTCTCTTCTGAGAGTCCACGTTGTAGCCTTGAGTCAGCAGGCCACTCTGTGACTTGGTTGGCCTTAGTTTCCAAACATTCTGCAGCTCTTTATAATTTCCTGATGATTTTGAAAAATGCAACCTTCTAGTGATTCTGACAATGTGTAAAGCATGGCACCTTTGATAGAGATATTTGGACATGGAAAGAGCCCATGGTCTCTTCCTTTAGAGACTGTGGAGCCCGGTGGGGAGAGTGTGGAGCCATGAGGGGATGGTGAGTGTCCACCGGGCTCTAGCCTCTGAGGGAAGATGCAGAAGAAATGCAAGACCTCATTCCTCTATTCTCATAGTCTTGTGAGTCTAGCGTTATCGATGCACAGAGACCTCTGAAGTGAGCTCAGAGGAGGGCAGGGGCCGAGGAATCATTGGCACAGTTTTGCTTCAGAGTCCAGCATCCTCATGTTCTCTGACATGACTGTGTGTCCAATAAGGTCAAGGCAGGTGGTGCACCTGGGAGGGGTAAGCACAGGGTTACCTAGGGGGAGATGGGTGGTGCTTCAGCTGGCTGGGTGCTTGGCAGGGGAGGGTTAAAGTGAGTATCAGAGATGGGTAGAATTTAGATGCAGGAGTACGGGCCATAGCTGAGGAAGTGGGATTTGCTGAGGCCTGGAGGAGGTGCTTCTGAGCAAGTCCCATGTATAGGGTTTGCAGGAAAGTTGGGGGGAAGGGGCGGAGAAAGGTCCAGAGACTGCATCCTGGGGAGGGGCTGGCTCTAGACTAAGAAGGGGTCTGAGGGGAAGCTACTGAAAGACAGAGAAGTGGCACGATTGGATGCATGCCATGGCTGCAGAGTGGAGAGTGGACTCCATGTTGGGAGGGAATGAGGAGATGTGAGGAGGCTGGGGGAAGTAGATACCGGGGTTTCAGAAGATCAGTGTTTGCAATTTATCTGTGAGGTGGTTTGATCCTGGGCAGTGGCAGGAGAGTGACAACTGACACAGAGTTCCACATGTTTGGAACCAGGCTTTAGAGGCCGAGGTTAGGGAAGGGTGACAGAGCAGGGGAGGAAGAGTGGTGGCCAGTTTCCTGCTTGGGGCTGTGTGGAGGACCTGGCCATCTGAGGTCAGCATCCTTCCAGGAGAGCAGGCTTTCAGGTAGGGGAAAAAGCATGAGTCCTATGTTAAAGAGGCTGAGTCTGCCATCCCTGTGAGACATCCCTGAGTGTCCCACAGGCGATGCGGTAGCTCAGAGAGGGGGTCTGCATTGTGGAAGCAGTCAGCCTGCAGGTATGCATTGCACCTGGGCTGCTGGTGCATCTGCCCAGGGAGAGCAGAGGGGTGGGAGAGGGAGGCCAGGCCAGCTCCCAAAGGAGCACCACTCTGCAGATGGGCCACGAAGGAAAGTCCAGGAGTTTTCGGCACTGCCTAAGCTTCCACAAAAGCTTCCAGTTCTCTCTTTTTAGGAATGTTTGTGGATGTCTTTCTGTGCTCTTGTCTCCTCTTGGCTGGGCCTACCTATCTCAAAAGTCTAAACTGATCCCAGTGCCTTCTGGAAAGGGGGACACTGGACTCAATGGTCCTGGACACAGTCTTCTTAGCACACGAATTTTCCCAAATGTGAAGTAATTTGAGCAAAGACAAATAGTCAGGATCACTGCACTCACAGTTAGAAGCACGCCTCACACATAGTAGTCACCCAATAAATATTTGTTGAGGGAATGAATATACACTTAGCAATTTTAGACATTTCCAGGCAAAACGGACTCATCCTTGAATACAATCTGGGCAATCAGTTCCTTCCTCAGGGGCTGAGAATAGCTGTTGTGGCCCCAGTCATCAGAATTTCCTGTATGGGGGATATGTTTCTCAGAGGGGCTCAGTTTTCCCCTGGATAATCACTAGGGCCCTAGGGACAGACATGGCTGCCTTGAATGGCAGCACAGGAGGGAGAACAAGCAACACTCACCCTTCTGTGTGGCCAATAGGGTGCCTGGAATGCACTCCAGCTCCAGTATAGAGAAGGAAGCCAGGGAACTGACCTGACCCAGACAGATGTATCTGAAGCAAGGGTGTTTTTATTTTTTTCTAATCCTTTTTATTGTGGTAAAATACACGTAAAATTTGCAGTTTAGTGGCACCAAGTACATTTGCATTTTTCTGTAGCCATCACCACCATCCATCCCCAGAACGCTTTTCATATGCAAAAATGAAACTGTACACATCAAACAACTCTCCACTTCTCCCTTTTCCCCTGAGTTCCTGGTACACACCACCCTACTTATGTCTCTCTGATCTTGACGACTATAGGTACCTCATATAAGAGGAATCACATACTATCTATCTTTTTGTGATGATGAGCTTATTTTACTGAGCATAAAGTCCTTAAGGTTCATCCATGTTGTATCATCTGTCAGAATTTCCTTCCTTTTTAAGGCTGAGTAATATTCCATTGTGTGTATAGATAGCAGTTTCCTTATCCATTCATCCATTGATAGACATCTGGCTGGCTTCCTCATTTTAGCAATTGTGAATAATGCTGCTATGAACATGGTGTGCAAATATCTCTTGGAGACCCTGCTTTCAATTCTTTTAAATATACACTCAGAAGTGGGATTTCTAGATCATAAGATAATTGTATTTTTAAATTTTTTTAGAAACTGACATATTATTTTACACAGTAGCTGCATCATTTTACATTCCCATCAACAGTGCACATGGGTTCCAATTTATCCACACCCTTGCTAAGGGTTACTTTTCATTAAAAAATATATATGTATATAAAATAGTAGCCCTCTTAATGGTGTGAGGTGGTATCTTGTTTTGATTTGCATTTGATGATTAGTAACGTTGAGCATCTTTTCATGTGCTTATTAGCTATCTGTGCATTTTCTTTGGAGAAATATTTTCTGAAGTCCTTTGCCCATTTTTGAATTGAGTTGTTAGTTTTTTGTTGTTGAGTTTTAGAATTTCTATATACATTCTGGATATTAATCTCTTATGAAATAAGTGATTTGCAAATATATTCTCCCATTCTGTGAGTTGTTTTTACTCTGCCAATAGTGTCTTCTGATGCACAAAAATTTTAAATGTTCATGAAGTTCAATTTATCCATTTTTTCTTTTGTTGCCTATTCTTAATCAAATCAATAACTACATTAAATGTAAATGAGTTACATACCTCAATATAAAAGAAGACATTATCAGATGCAACCCATTTATAATGTAAATTTAAAAGAAGTAAGGCCACGTGTGGTGGCTAAAGCCTGGAATCCCAGCTACTTCAGTGGCCAAGACATGAGAATTGGTTGTGCCACTGTCCTGTAGCCAGGGTGACAGAGTGAGACCCTGTCTCAAAAAAAAAAAAAAAAAAAAAGTAAGACTGAGCATATGCGGCCTAAGTAAAACTCATTTTAAATACAAAGATATAAATAAATGAAAAGTATAAGAATTAAAAAAAACTATTCTAACTCTAATCAAAAGAAACCTGGAGTGGCTATTTTAAATACAAGGCAAAGTAGATTTCAGAGCAACAATTTCTACCAGGAATGAAGAAGGTCATTTGGAGGTCATTTCAAAATAACAAAGGCATTAATTTATCAACATGACGTAACAATTCTAAATTTTATGCATGTAATAAGAACTTCACAATAAATGAAGCAAAACCTGGGAGAACTTGAAGGAGAAATAGACAGATCCATAGGTATAATCAGAGATTTAACTAGCCCTTTCTCCATAACTTATATGCTATATAACAGAAAATCAATAATAATGTAGAAACTTTGAACAACAGTCAGCCAGCTAGAATGAATTGACACCTCTGACAACAGCAGAATACATATTCTTTTCAAGCGCACTCAAGACATTTACCATATTATACCATATTCTTGCCATGAATTGGAGGCCTTATTGATACAGAATGTTTGGGCTCCTGGCTAAACCCCACCCTTAAGCCTGGAACTGTAGCCCTAAGTGAAAACAGCTGACCTTGTTTTTAATGCCCAAATGTTGCCTTTTTGGTCTATCACTCCCCTATTCTGTATTGCTCTGCCACAAAAAGACATCAGCTGGCAGAGCAATACAAGCTGCTGAGTGGCAAGCACAGAAGCAGCAAGGGAGCTTCTGAGACTAAGGATAGACACGGCTAACGTCAGATGGTGTGGCTTCAGGGAAAGATCACCTTCTTTCCGCACCATCCCCTTTCCAATTCCCCATCCCACAAGGAGCCACCTTTATCACCTAATAAAATCCTCTGCATACACTACCCTTCAGTCTGTTTGTGTGACCTGATTCTTCCTGGATGCCAGGCAAGAACCTGGGTGCTCAGAGGGCAGGGACTTGGACACTGCTGCAGGGCCCACACAACCTGCTCCTGACAGAGAGGAGTGACCGGCTGGCTCTAGCATTCATTCCCTCTGGTTCCTGCACTTGCTTGCTCATGTGCTCCCTCTCTCAAGGAGTGGCCAACAGCTGGCTGAGTGAAACAAGCCACTCCAGTTCCTGCCCACAAAGGGGCTCAAGGGAACTATCCTGTCTCACTAGCTCCAAATATAGTCACACTGGGGGTTAAGGCTTCAACATATAAATTTGCGGAGGAGGATAAAATTCAATCCATAACATTTGCAAAATCTCTATAAACTTAAAAGCATTTTACAAAGTATGTTCTCTGACTCCAATATATTAAATTAGAAATCAATTTTTGAAAACCTCTGGAAAATTCTCAAATATTTGAAAACTGAGTAAAACAGTTCAACATAAACCATGAGCAAAAATGAAAACTACATTAAAATGAACTTCTAAAGTGTTTTGAACTACCTGAAAAAGAAAATAGTACATATCAATATTTGTGGTAAGCAGCTAAAGCAGTTCCTAGGGGAAAGTTATAGCACTATAATTCTATTATAGAAAAGAATGTCTCAAATCAATGACAACAGCATCTACCTTAAATTAGGGATGGCAGAACAAGTTAAACACAAGTTAAATAAAAGAAAGAAAATAATAAAGATCAGAATAGGAATCAATGAAATCTATAACAGAAGTAAAATAGATAAACTTAAATAAATTAATAGTTGCTTCTTTGACAAGATTAACAAAATTGATAAACCTTATTGCATGCCGATTAGAAAAGAAATTACTAATATTAGAAATGAGAGAGGATCCCTTCTCGGAGTTTTGGCTAGGATCAAGTATAGGAATGAGAGAGGTGACATCACTACAGATTCTACAGATGTTGAAAATAAAATAAAGAAATATTTTAAACAACTTTGTGCCAATAAATCAACAATTTATATAAAATGGACAAAGCCCTTGAAAGATACAAACTACCAATGCTCAGTCAAGTAGAGATAGCTCTACTTGATAGATAGCTCTATATCAAACAAATAATTAGTTGTTAAAACCTTCCCACAACAAACCTCCAGGCCCATATGACTCTGCTGGCAATTCTTCTAAACATTTAAGAAAGAAATAATATGAGTCCTACAGACATTATTCCAGAAATTTGGAGAGGAGTGAATATGTTCCAACTCAATCTATAAGGCCAATTTTATCCTGATACTAAAATCAAAGCCTTAACTGAAAAAGAACATTGCAGACCAATATCATTTATGAACATAGATGCTGTATTAGTTCCCTCAGGCTACCATAAGAAAATATCACAGACCAGCTGTCTTAAACAACAGAACTTTATTTTCTCACAGTTTTGGAGGTTGGAAGATGAGATCAAGGTGCCAGCAGGCTGCTGGTGGGTCCTCTCTCCTGGGCTTGCAGAAGGCTGTCTTCTTGCATGTCCTCACATGGCCTTTCCTCATGCACATTCACTCCTGGTATTTCTCCCTCTTCTTATAAGGACACCAGTCTTATTGGATTAAGATCCCATCCTTATGACCTCATTTAACTTTAATTACCTCATTAAATGCCCTATCTCTCGATATAGTCACATTGGGGGTTAAGGCTTCAACATATAAATTTGGGGGATAGAATTCAATCCATCGTAGAGGGAAACACTCTTAAAAACATTTTTTTTAGCAAACCGAATTCAATAATATAAAAAATGAATCACCACCGAGTAGTTGTATTGCAGGGATTCAATGATGATTTAACATTTGAAAATCAGTCAGTGCATTTCACCACATTAGGAAATTGAAAACGAAAAAAAAAACCCCACCTATCATCTCAACAAACACAGAAAAAGTATTTGACAAAACTCATCACGTATTCCTGATAAAAACTCTCAGAAAACTAGGAATAGAGAAAAAGTTTCCTGATCTGACAGAAGGCAGTTAGGAAAAAACTCTGTAGTTAATGTTCCTACTTCAGGCTGACAGACCGAATCCTTCCCATTATGATCAGAAACAGAACAAGGTGTCTGTCTTTACCTTTTCTAGTCAACAGATACTGGGTGTTCCTGTCAGGGCAATTAGGCAAGAAAGAGAAAAAAGTCACTGAGAGTGGAAAGGAAGAATTAAAGTTATTTTTACTCACAGATGGCATAATAGTCCATGAAGATGTGATGGATTCCACAAAACCTCGTAGAAGACATAACAGAGAATATACTTCAGTAAGGAGACTTTGAAATCAGAAGGTAGATTTCCCAATAAAAAGAAGTTCACAGGAAAAAAAGTAAACTTTTCGGCCATTTAAAAAATGCTAAGACTGACGATTTTTGTTTTTTGAAGATTTATTTTTATTTTTATTTTTGAGACAGAGTCTTGCTCTGTTGCCCAGTCTGGAATGCAGTGGCGCAATCTCGGCTCACTGCAACCTCTGCTTTTTGGGTTCAAACAATTCTCCTGCCTCAGCCTCCTGAGTAGCTGGGACTACAGTCATGCACCACCACACATGGCTACTTTTTGTGTGTGTGTGTGTGTGTGTGTTTTTAGTGGAGACAGAATTTCACCATGTTGACCAGGCTGGTCTTGAACTCCTGACCTCAGGTGATCCACCCACCTTGGTCTCCCAAAGTAGAACTAAACCATTAGGCAATATGATCAGTTGGCAGATGGGCGGAGATGTACTTAGGATAAAAAACATTCTGAAATTCTTGTTGTCTGGGAAGAAATTAAAATATTAACTTTACACTTTTTAAAGTCTAGTATGCACATTGAAATGTAATGGTAGCTAATAAAAATAACAGGAATAGAATGTGTAATTCTAAACCAACAGAGAGCAAGGGAGGAGGATGAATTAAACCTGCATAAATACAATGACAAGTAAAAAAGAAGAAATAAAGAAAGAAAAGGTACAATAAATTCAAGACGAAAGATAGAATGACAAAATAGGCCCAAATATATAAACATTTACAATAAAGTTAGTGATTGTTTCTAGAGAAAAACAACTTTTTCCAAATTAGATTTTAAAATCTAATTATATTACATTTACAAGATGACCTAAACCTAAAGCCTAGAATGAAAGAGAAGTATATTTACATCAAAATTATTAATAAATAAAGCAATACTCATATTAGGCACAATATATTTTTAAGCCTGAAAGCAAGGAATAAAAAGGATAATTACTCAAAAGAAAAAGAAAATATTGATTAGGAAGGCAAAATAGTAAAATAATGTGTATTATTTCTCCAAACCAAAAAACATAGCATCAAATAGGTAAAATGGAATCTGATCAAATTTGGCCAAATTCGCACAGGGATTGATAAACCTGTAATACGCTGGGAGATCCTCATGGACCTCTGTCATAATTGTTGAGCTAAATTAACTGAATAAGTTTAATCTAATAGCTATACAGAGAGAGTGCTGCATCAAACCAGGAAACAGTCACGATTTTCGACCACTTGGAAAATGTATAATGATAGAACTCTCTGCAAATACCAATGCATCATTATCATATAGACCATATTTTCTGACCACAATGGAATAAAATTAGATATCAATAGGTAGAAGGCAAAAAAGCCCTAAACAAACATCAAAACAACAACAAAACATAGCAAACTAAAAAGACTCCTTTAAAAATTTTATGGGTCCAAATAAGTTATTATGAATATTACCAAAGATTTAGAATTTTGTAGTAATATAAGTATTGCCTATCAAAAGCCATGGAGTAGAGCTAGAGCCATACTTAGGGGAATACCAGTAGCTTTAAGTGTATATATTGTTATTTAAAAAAGTTAACACAAGAAAAATGGAATAATCCCAAAATAAGAAAAAAATAAATAATTAAAAGAAAACGTTAATGAAGTTGTGTGTATTACACACACAATTACACACACACCACATATACATTTAAATCAAAAGCTAGGTTTTGAAAAGATAGGTTGTAGAATGGTACATTCTACCAACAAGCTTAATGAAGCAAGGAGAGAAAGCACAGATCACCAATATTAGAAGGAGAGAAGGAGGAGGAGTGTTGAGGTTGGAACAGGCTGGGGAAGGTCAGATTTTGATTAACTTGTACAGTGTGTCAAAGATTTGGGGCTTCATTTCAGAGCAGTGGGAAACCTCGAAAGTTTTTAAGTAGATAGTAAATATATGGATGGGGGAGGGGATGGTGGATTGGGAAGGAGTGAGTTGGACTAGGTAGGAGACACCAGTTACAGAGAGGACTGCAGAAGCCCAAGCAAAAAATGATGGCGGTATTCATAAGGGAAGAAGCAGACAAAATGAAGACCTAGGAGACTCAACAGAGATGTGGATTGTAGAGCAAATGGGATTCAGTGTTTGAGAGTGCATCAGTTAGGTCTAATCAGGAGACAGAAGCCACGCAATAATTTGGACTGAAAAATTTTAACATAAAGAATTCTTGCTGGGCGTGATGGCTCATGCCTGTAATCCCAGCACTTCGGGAGGCCAAGGCGGGTGGATCACCTGAGATCAGGAATTTGACACCTGCCTAGTCAGTATGGTGAAACCCCGACTCTACTAAAAACACAAAAAATTAGCCGGTATGGTGGCGTGCACTTGTAATGCCAGCTACTCAGGAGGCTGAAGCATGAGAATCCCCGAACCTGGAAGGCGGAGGTTGCAGTGAGCCGAGATGGTGCCGTTGCACTGCAGCCTGGGTGACAAAAGTGAAACTCCATCTCAAAAACAAAACAATTCTTAACTGTAATGTGGGAGTAACTATAAAGGACAAAAACTAACTTTAAAGAATACTCTGGGGATGAGGAAAAATACCCAAGGAGGATGGAAACTTGGAGGGCCCCTCACCAAGGCTGGGATTCTGACCCGGTCGGAGAGGGTGTGGCTACTGCCCATTACACGTCACAAAGGAGGTGGCCAGGCGTTGCTGGGCTGCCCAACACTATGAACTGCACAAAGATGGCGCTCCCCATAAGTGAGGCTGGGCAGAGCCCCGCTGTGCACCCCCATCTCCACCTCCGCATGTCATTTCTGAAGCCTCGCCACTCAGTAGTAGGAGGAATAGGCCAGTACCAGCAAGAGAGCCCCTTTCTGCTGCTGCATCCCTCCAGTGTCCTCTATTGACAGTTGAACCTGGTGGCAGTTGCAGATGAGAAATGCTTACAGCTCATTTTTTTGCTGAGCAAGAAATGAGAGATGAGTTTAGAGCTGAGAGGCATTCAACTGCTACCAGATGGGATGCAGGGAACCCATGACTCCCAGGAAATTGGCCAAGTCCCTGAGAGGACAGTTGGTGGCATTCTCGGAGACAGGACCCTTGAGGAAAAACTCTAGAGCAAAGCAGAGGAACGGTGTCAGCATTTTGAAAATGCTGAGCTGAATGACACTGAGAAATGCCCAGTGCAATGATAAACGGGCAGATAGTTTCTCAGGGGCCTGGGGCCTGGATGGGGGCTGGGCTGGAGTGAGAGAGAGGCAGGTCTCCAGCTGTGCTATGCACACCTCAGGTTGAAGATGCTACATAGGTAAAAGCGCTGATGGTTCAGCATGATTAACAAGGTATTGGGGACTACATTTAGACTGAGGCTGGTATTTTGCATTGCAATGGACAAAAATATCGCTGTCACAGCTGACTTGGGGCTCATTCATTGCACATGCAGTGAAGGCAGCTGTGTGGCGGTGGGGCCACAGGGCAGGTAGCATGGATGGAGAGAGGATTCTGAATAACTTTGACTCCGCAGGTTTTTCATAAGGAAGGGCTGAACAAAAGCAGCCAAGGGGGCCAGAGAAAGAGAAAGTAGAGAGTGTGAGATTAGAGGAGATGGGCAAGTTCTAGTGAAGATGCAATGGCCCATAGTGTCACAGAAGACAAAGACTGCAAAGAGGCCCTTAGCGTCAGTGACCCAGAGGCCTGTGCTGAGGCCTGCGCTGACTTGTGGCTGGTAAAGTTTCAGTGGAGGTGGAGGCAGAGATTACTGTGGGCCAAGGAATGGGGGCAGGAGAGGAAACAGCTGGTGACAATCTGTGGTCACATTTGCCTGTGAATGAGAGGAGAAAGGATGAGAGTAACTGTGGAGAGGTGTGAGGCTGAGGCAGGGTTTTACTTTTACTGGGAGAAGGAGCATATTGATGGTGATGAGATTGCGAAGGGTGGCAGATGGAGGTTACATACTGTCATGAGTGTGAGCGAGGGAGAGAAGACTGCAAGGGGCTTGCCCAGAGCCGGCAGTCAGGGATGGCTTAGCACGTTTGCTCACCAGCTGGGAGGCCTATAAATGTCATTTGGATGCCTTCCAGGGATTAGCCAGGGGACACAGATGGATTTAGTAAGGATGATAACAGATAGTTCTCTTTTTAAGCAAGGTCACATGGTAGTGCATGGTGTGTGTGTGGTGTGCATGTGTGTGTGTGCTGTGCACGTGTGTGTGTGTGTTAATAGCTACCAGAGCCCAGGTTTCAAACTGAAATCACTTGCAAAAGGGTGAATATGGCTGTGGGGGCTGGAATCAGAGAATGAAAGGCTAAACACTGGCCACGACCTTCAGTTCTGGCCTGTGAGCAATAAGAAGACATCATTAGCATAGTCTGACTTTCTCTTTTTTTATTTCTATCTGCGGTGATTTCTCAACATGTCTTCCAATGGGCCGCTGTGAATTTCAGCATCAGTCACCAGCTTCTACTTGCACATGAAATGCATAGTCCCCACTCCCAGCTTTTCAGAGTGCCACACATCTGGAAGCAGCCTCCTGATGCTCCCAGCTCCTTTTGGGTTGTGGATTTGTTTATTTTGCATTTATAGTTTTGCCAAGTTTTTGGCAAATTTTTTGTTGATTTACATTTAACTTTATCAGTCTGTTCAGGGTTTCCTTCCCTAGCTTGTTCTCAGATGTGGCCAAGCATCACTCTTCACCAGGAGGTGAGTGGTTCTCTCCTGGCTGTGGGAACGTGAGCAAGGTTGTGCTACCTCCCTTCACCCGAGGCTCACATCCTCTCCTGCAGTGTGGGATGTCTGGACAGTGGCTCTCCTCCCTCCAGAATCCCTCAGGGGGAGACAATAAAGGATGTGTGAAGATATTGTGCTTACAAAGCCATGCACACATCAGGTTGAAGATGTTGTATAGGTAAAAGTGCTGATCATTCAGCTAAATGCAGCAGGACTGCATTTAGACTGCAGCTGGTATTTTGCATTGCAATGGACAAAAATATTGTGGTCACAGCTGACTTGGGGCTCATTCATTGCATTGTATTTTGTATAAAAGTGTATGAGCCAGAGTGAAGCAGGATGCTGAGGTCCTGCCTTTCTGGGCATCTCTGGGAGGCAAACCACACTGTTGGGCTTCCAGGTGTCTGGGTAAGATTGTCCTGCAGCCTACCCCTCCATTCCAGGAAGCTTCCTAATGTTTGGTTTCCAGAAGAGACCAAAAGTCAACTGACTTTAGGAGCCCCAGCCCTGCTGCCTGCCCCACTGGAGCACTTAGCCAGATCTTGCATGTTTGTATTCCTCTGATAACATGTGGGAATCTGGCAGTACTAACTGGAGCGCACACTCCATTAATTAACTCAGCTCCTAGAAGGTGCCAGGGACTTTCCTAGGAGTTGGGGTGCAAAGATGGAGCAGATATGGCTCCTGCCCTTGAATGGCTCATGGTTCAGTGGGGAGATGGTCCACAAAGCATTGGAATAAGCAACCTGAGAGAGGCATGTGCACAGTGCCATGGACACACAGATGAAAGAGCAGTCGATTCTGAAACTGATGAGACAGAATGATGGCATGGGAAGGGAGCCAGGAAAGGCAGGCTGGGCCTGGAAGGATGACGAGAAGCTCATCATGTGGGGAAAAAATAGAGAAATGGCATTCCAGGTAAAGGTGAAAATGGGTAAAAATACAGACGTGGGACTAGGCACTGAGTGTGCAGAGAAGAGGTAGCATCCTATGAGATGGAGAAATGGAGGGATGGAGTGAGAGAGGCTGACAGAAATTAAAACCAAAGGGAGTGTTTGGTGCCCAGTTTGAAGAGAGCCTAATGGCCGAGTTCCCTCTTCAGCAGCGCAAGCTGTAGAAGGATTCTGAGCAGGGGAGTGACTGAGGGAAGGTGTGGATGCCAGAAAGTGAAACTGCGGGAAACAGAGTATGGCTGCAGGGCTCCTGGCTCACCTATTAGTGGGTGAGCTAACAGGGGCTGCAGGCACCATCACCATGGAGCTTCGTGAGGCCCTGCATTTCTGAAAGCTGCTCTGTTCTGCATCTTTCTGGGAGAACTCAGCATGCCTGGGAGAGCCCTGTGAGAGGCCCTGCAGTTCAGGGATGCTGCGTCTCCTGGCTGGAAGCTGAGACTTCCCCAGAGCAGTGCGTTTTAGCAGGGAGTGGCCTGGGCTAGACACGAGGGGCAGTGGGGACTCGAGTAGCCAGGGGTTCTGGCCATGCCCTCCTTAGCAACCCCAGGTGAGCGTGTGATTTAAGGAGAAGCATCTTCAGCTCATGGAAAGAATAAGGCTATCGCCTGTAAGACAGGAGCCAATTTCAAAGCTGCTTCCAAGTGCTGATTTCATCAGCTTCTCATAGAAGAGTGTTTGCTACAGACTCTTGTAACGAACTCAAATCAGCAGCAGCAGGGCAATCTCTTTTGGTGTGCACAAATTTTTCATAATTAAAGCAAGGCAAGGTCATGACCCTTTCCTGCCAAATGTTTCTTTTTGGATCCCTTCAGGCAGAAAGATCCTACTGTCTTCTATTTATGGTACTTCTGAACAAACTCAAAATGAAACTAAAAACTGATGGCCCTAAAGGGGACCCCGAGATACCAGGTGGCCCCACATCACAGAGGGTAGATTCTGAGTAGGGTCGGTTAGTGGCAGTTATGCGGGAAGCTCTACATGTTTGAAAATCAGTGTTCTGTGGAAAGGCTCTGTGACAACCATGTGCTAACAAGAGTATCAGTCAGCCCAAGTGCCACCCAACAGAGGGTGGCATCACCCCATGTCCTCCCATGGCCCAGTGCTACCGTGGTAGGGGAATGGGGATAAGTAACTGTTCTGTCATGAGACAGGTGATAACACGGACCTAGCTCCATTCTTAGTGAAGGAAAATTACCTTTCTATTTTTCCCATCAATATACACCACAACAAACAGAAGACACTAAAGTAAAAGAACCATCAACACAAGTGACATGTCATAGCAGGAGCTGACACAGCCTCACCAGCCCATGCTCGGCCAGACTAGGTATGCTGCTGAGTCTGGGTTGGGAGGCGGGTGTGGGGGTAGCCTTGTGGGGAAGCGTGGGTGGGGGGCATGAGGGTGGCTGGGTGGGGAAGCATGGGTTGGTGGAGTGGGGTGGCCATGGGGGTGGCTGAGTGGGGAGGTGGGGGTAGCCAGATGGAAAAGCATGGGTGGGGGACGTGGGGGTGGCTGGGTGGGGAAGTGTGGGTGGGGAAGTGAGGTGGTAGCCGAGCGGGGAAGAGGGGTGGAGGGTGTGGGAGTGGCCGGGTGGGGAAGCTCGGGGGAAGGTGTGGGGGAGTGGGGGGTGGGGAAGGTGGCAGGACCCGGGGAGGGAGCGAGCCCCCCCTGAGCTGAGCTGCCGCTCCCGACTCTGTGGAGCATGACAAGCTTTACTTGTGCGGAAGTGCTTTGAGTAAATTAAGTCCCAGTTAATCAAGAAGGTTCTGCTTGAATTATGGTGCCTTTGGAGGCACTTTCTTTAGGAAAGGACGCTGATTCTCTTTTTTCACCAGTCAGCATGATTTGGGCCCCGAGGTTCCCGGCAAGGGTGACAGCTTGTCCCCACTCCTGTCTGACAGGGAGCATCGGCCGCTTGTTCCATCCTGTGCTTGTCTGCCTGCCTCTCTGTCATGAGACGCATTCGAAGAGTCCTGGGCCCAAAAGCAACTCACAGTCCAGGAAGACGTCCAGGCCTTGGGTGACGCTCAGTCTCAGTAAATGGCCCTGGCTGGCAGGTGGTGGTGGGAGGGACCCAGGTTGGTCCCTGTGGCTGCCTTTGTGCTCCCTAAATCCCCTTGTCTAGGGTCAGCCTAGGGTCTGGCATGGGGCAGAGACAGGAGTGCCCTCATCTGCCAGGGAAATGCTCACTGGGGGAGGGAGCAGCCGGCCCCCCAGGCCACACTCCATGCCCCACCCTCTAAGCTGCAGAGTGCATGTACATCAATGGAACACAGAGGGAGGGTCCCAGGCTCCTGTCCACACTAAAATGCCCCTGGACCCCAACCCTTAACAGACGAGATCCTGTCTCATTAGAAAGCACATGTGACTTCTCTAGCAGCTCATTCCCACTTCCTTTGTCTTCAGTAAAGACGGAGAATGGTGGCCTCCTCCACAGGAATGGTGCTCATCATTAGCCATGACAAGCTTCAATGTTCAAAATGCCTTTGCAAAAGAAATACTGGACAAATTACACAGGGTTTCCAGCCACACACATTTGCTTCTCTATTTGTCTCAACATCTTGGCTCCTTCCTTAGAGATAAGCGTAGGAAACCCAGAGAGACACATAAATTATCTGGCTCTTTTATTACTCTGGTTCTCATAATAGGCTACATTGTGTGACCCGACCATATCTTTTCTAGGAAATTTATGTTGTGGCAGTAATAATTCCTCCTAACAGAAACAGCCCATAACAGGGTAGGTTTATTAGGAGAGTATTTATGGCTAATCAAGCTGCCACAGACACTCCTGGGGTGCCAGGGAGCAGATCCTGTGGGGCATGGTGGGCACTGGAGATAGCACATGTTTCTGAGGGCAGGAGACCCTCAACCCCCAGCAGCGTTGAAACAACAGGGTGAGACACTTCCCTTCTCTTGACCAAACTTTTGTCAGCTGGAAAGTGGACAGGTTGAATTAGGTGAACTTCATGCCCTGTGATTGTGAATCTGAGGGTGGAGGCCAGGCTGTGTGCACAGGGATGTGACATGGGTGAAGGATACCAGCACTCTGAGGCCTTAGCCCCCACCCACCAGTCGTGAAGGTGACAGATAGTTTAACCTAGTCCAGGAGACAAATCGGAAAGTCAAAGTAAGTTAGACGACCCAAAGCATCATGTTCAGTGTGTGTGTGTGTGTGTGTGTGTGTGTTTGTGTGTGTGTGCTCCCAGTGTCTGTCCCTGACCCACACTGAGAAAGCCATTAGGGAAAAACACACTAAGTGACCTAACAGGAGGCCATCTGTGAGCCAGAAAGTGCCCGTCATTCATCACCTCCTCTAAGTGTGTCTGCTTCCACTCTGGGGAGACTAACGACAGTCTTCCCACTCAGGGATCCTGTCCATCTCCCAGCCACAAATCCCTAGACAAATACAGCTGGGAAGAAATTATTCTCACAGTCAGCAGTGACACATCCATCTTGAAAACCATTTTAGCTTGGTTCTGCCCTCCCCCTTGCTGAGGTGCTGGGTCAGTCTGGACCCCAGGGAAGTCAACTCCAACTAACCTGGCCCTCCCCACCCCCTCATGTACCGGGAGAAGGAACTGCAGCCCTTGCTTTCTCAGTAGGTCGCCGCCTATGTCCAGTGACGTTCTGACTCCCCAGAGGAGACGGGGCTCATGCTGTCCCACCAGTTAGGAGCAGACAGGATTAAATGTGTGGCCATTTCAACCAAATCACAAATGGCGACTTACCTTTGGTCAGTAATGGCTTCACCACCATCACTGCAAAGATGCAGGCTTTGTACCACCCACGGGAAGGTTGTTCTAGGTGACTGTGGAATTATTTAAGATACAGTTCTGGCCCTGAAGGGGTTTGCTGCTGGAAACTTCCTGTTTGAGAGAAAAATATTGATAGAATTATTTATAGCTGTCAGTTCTAGGAGGTGCTCCTTGACTGGGTGAGAATAAGGATTGACGGGGACTGCATGGCAGGCTTGGCTATACTTGGCGGTCTGATACTGGTTCCCACTGTGTGATCTCTCTATTCTTATGTCCCTAATAGGAAGACAGCAAATTACTTTACCCTACAATTAAAGGATCAGACAGCCATTTGGAACAGTTGTGCTTACACTGACCACTACCAGCAGCCCAATCGCTCCTTTCATCAGAATGCACAGCTGGCCTTGTGCCACCAAGATCCCCTGCGGACAAGACCAGAAGTAAATCCCAATGTGTTTTCTCATAATTTTTTAATAACACTTTGAGGAGTAGAGTTAGATGTGCTTTTGAAAAAGAGTCTGTAGACACTTGAGAGGGTAATAAATGACATCCAGCCCTGCCCAGTAAATCTAGGGCAAAATCTCTCCGTAGGAAGTAAAAGTACAGGTGACCACACCCCAAGGAACTGGGTGATTGGAGCCTTTGTGTAGCACTGGGTGCTCCAAGGTTTTATGCATTCCAATCTGGTCCCTGTAACTAATGGTGATAATAACGGCAATATCGTTAGGTAGTTATCAGTTATCAAACCTATCAGATATTGTGCTAAACGCTTTATGCATGGGACCTACTTCAACACTTCCAACAACTCTATAAACAGATGCGAATTTCTCTAGACAGGCTCAGAGAAGTTCAGCCAGTTACTTGAGATGAAGCACCAGCAAGCCTCAGAACTGAGATCTGAATCCGCTGCTGAGTTCTGCGCTGTCTAGTATTCCACATCCGCCTGTTCAGTCCCACGCCCTCGAGGAGCGGGGTTCTCTAAGGCCAGGTTTCTAAATGCTGAGGTCTGCCTCTTCCTTCATCTTCCCGTTTAACCACATCATTTGTATCCAAAATCCCAGCATCACCCAGTATGCCCATTTAACATACCTGCACACGTACTCCCTGCCTCTAAAATAAAAGTTGAAATTATATAAAAATTTTAATACATATATTAAATTTTAAAAAAATAGTTTGGAAACCCCTGCATAAAATTGATAACTTGAAAGGGAACAATTTCAAGTAAAATTCTGAACTAGTAAAACAAAAAGGAAGAAATGAGGGATAGCAAGAAAATGTTCTTGTCTCCAACAATAAAAAAAAATCATATGAAAGAAAACTAATAAAGGCTTGGAACACGGATTCAAACTACTTATGTGGCCAGGGGGAAAACGATTAAAAATTTAAAGTAGACCTGGACAATAAGGGCCCAAGATACCTTGCAGAAACTAAGATAAATTTTCTTTGGGAAATTACCTCACAACGAAGACCTCAAGGAAATTCCATAGATAAAAGTTTCAATGAATATAATCTCAAAATCAAAGACATGATAAAACAAATGGAGTCATCAAAAATTAGAAACTAAAGTTAAGATACAAACATACTTGTGACATTGGAATTACCATATAAGAATATAAAATAATATCTCATAGGTTTAGAGAAATAAAAAGTGAAATAAAATTATGAGTAACATATAAAAGCTAATACACATCTCCACATCTTTAACAGCTTTATTGATATATAAACCATATGCCATACAGTTCACCCATTTAAAGTGTAGATTAAATGATTTGGTATATTCACAATTATGCAACCATCATCACAATCTAATTTTAGCACATTTTCGAGATCCCAAAAAGAAACCCTATAGCCATTATCAGTCACTCCTAATCTTTCTTAACCCGTAAGTGCTGGACATTATTAACTCTGTCTTCATAGATTTATCTCTCCTGGGATAATTTATGTGAATGAAAAATAGGTTATGTGGTCTTGGTCTTTTACTAGGCATAATGTTTTCAAGGTTCACTTATTTTATAGCATGTATCACTACTTTATTCTTTTTTATTGCCAAATAATATTCCATTCTGTGGATACACCACATTTTATTTATCCACTCAACAGTTGATGGACATTGGGACTGTTTTCTAGCTTTGACTATTATGAATAGTGCTGCTATGAACATTCATGTACAAGACTTTGTATTGCATGTTTTCATTTCTTTTGGATATATACCTAGAATTAGTATTGCTGGATCACATGGTAACTATATTTAACTATTTGAGGAACTATCAAAATTTTGCTGCACTATTTTACATTAGAATACATTGAGTAAATTCTTTATTCAGCAATCATTTTACATTAGAATACATTGAGTAATTTCTTTATTCAGCAATATGTGAGAATTTCAGTTTCTCCATTTCCTTACCAATGTTGTCTTTTTGATTATAACTATTCCAGCTGGTGCAAAGTGGCATCTCATTGTGGTTTTGATTTGTATTTCCCTATTGATTAATTATGTTGAGTACTTTTTCATGTGGCCACTTGCACATCTTCATTGTAGAAGATTCTATTTAGAACCTTTGTCCATTTTCGATTAGTCTTTTTATTATTGATTTGCAAGAGCATATTATATATTCTAGGTATAAGTCTCTTATCCAAATATATGATTTGCAAATATTTTCTCTCATTCTGCAGTCATCTTTTCACATTTTTAGTCATGTCCATTGAAGAGCAAAGGTTTTTTAATATTGATGAAGTCCAATTTATCTATTTTACTTTTTCACTTGTGCTTTTGGTGTCATAATTAAGATACCATTGCTTAACCCATGATTATGAAGATTTGCTCCTAAGTTTTCTTCTAAGAGTTTTGTAATTTTTAGCTCTTACATTTACATTTATGATCATTTTGGGTTTTTTTTTTTTTTTGGTATGGTGTAAAGTAGGGTCTCAGTTTCATTCTTTTGCATTGAATATCCAGTTGTCTGATACTTGTTGTCAGCATTTATGTGATAGTTGTCACCATCTGTTGAAAAGACTAATCTTTCCCTCATTAAATTGTCTTGCTTCCCTTGTTGAAAATTAATTGACCATAAATGTAGGGGCTTATTTTTGGACTCCAGATCTATTCCATTGATCTGTCCTTATAGGAGTACTACATTGACTTGATTACTGTAGTGTTGTAGTAAGCCTCGAAATCAACAAGTATGAGTCTTCCATGTTTATTTTTCTTTTTCAAGATTATTTTAGCTTTTCCAGGTCACTGCCATTTCCATGCAGATTTCAGGATTAGCTTATCATTTCTAGAAAAAAGCCAGCAGGTATTTTGATAGAGATAGCCTTGAATCTGTGGGTGACAGGTTCAGTATTCTAAACCAATATTAACTAATATTGGTTAATATTGACTTATATATTGGTTAATATTGGCTTAATATTGATAATATGACAATACTAATTAATACAATTAAGCAATATTAATCTGAGGCATTTCTCAATTTATTTTTGTCTTCTGTTTCTTTCAGTAATGTTTTGTAGATTTCAAGTTCAAAATGTGCACTTCTTTTGTTTGCTTTATTCCTGAGTATTTTATTTATGTTAATGTTATTCTAGATGGAATAATTTTTAAAAATTTCATTTTTGTGTGGCTCAATGTTTGCATATATTGTATTCTGCAAATTTGATCAACTTGTCTATTAGATCTAATCGTTTTGAGTGTATTCTTTAGAATTTTCCATATACAAGATATGTCATCTGTAAGTAGAGAAAGCTTCGCTTCTTTTATTTCAATGTGACCTTCCTTCCTTCCTTCCTTCCTTCCTTTTCCTTTCTTTCTTTGCCTCATCGTCTTGGCAGGAATCCAGTACAATGCTGAATAGAAGTGGTCGGAATGCACATCTCTGTCTTGTTTCCTGAACTTATGATAAAAGCATTCAGTTTCTCATCATTAATTGTGAAGTTGGTTGTGAGTTTTTCATAGATGATTTTTATCAGGTTGAGAAAATTCCCTGTTTTTCTAATTTATTGAGTCTTTTTATTACAAAAAAATTTTGAGTTTTTCAAGTGCTTTTTCTCTATTTATTAAGATAATCACATGCTTTTGTTTTTATTAATATGAATTACTATTTGAATTGATTTTCAGATGCTAAACAAATCTTAGATTCCTTGAATAAATACTAATTAGTCATGGTGTATGATTCTTTTTATATATTTTCTGGATTTGGTTTGCTATTATTTTGTAGAGGATTTTTATATGTATATTTGCAAGTGCTTTGTCTATAGTCTTCTTGTTGTGTGTGATGTTTTTGTATGGTTTTGGTGTCAAGGTAATACTGGACTTGTAAAATATATTGGAGTGTTTCCTTCTTTTCTATTTGTTTGGGAAGAGTTTGTGAAGGATTGGTGTTGATTCTTCATTAAATGTTTGATAGAATTCACCTTTGAGGCTATCTGAGCTTTAGCTTTTCTTTGTGAATAGTTTTGAATTACTAATTCAGTATCTTTACTTTTATAGGTCTATTCAGATTTTATTTTTATTTTTCAGTTTTTATTTTAGAATCAGGGGTACATGTGCAGGTTTGTTACAAAGGTACATTGTGTGACACTGAGGTTCGAAGTGTGATTGAACCCGTCACCCAGGCAGTGAGCATAGTACCCAATAGGTAGTTTTTCCGCCCTTCCCTCTTCCCTTTTCTCTCCTCTCCAGTAGTCCCAAGTGTTTATTCTTCCCATCTATATGGGAAGAAGTTTAGCTACTACTGCTAAGTGAGAACATGCAGTATTTGGTTTTCTGTTTCTGCATTAGTTCACTTAGGATTATGACCTTCAGCTGGATTCATGTTGCTGCACAAGACACGATTTCATTCTTTTTATGGCTGTGTAGTATTCCATGGTGTACATGTACCACATTTCAAAAATCCAATCCACCATTGATGGGTGCCTGAGTTGATTCCATGTTTTTGCCATTGTGACTATTCATATTTTTTATTTCTTCTTGAGTCAGTCCTAGTAGTTAGTGTGTTTCTAGGTATTTGTCCATTTTATCTAGGTTATTTAATTTGTTGCCATACAATTGTACATAGAATTCTTCTATAATCTCTTTTATTTCTCCAATAGTAGTGATGCCCTCTATTATTTTTGATTTTGATAATTTGAATCTTCTCTTATTTATTGGTCAGTCTAACAAAAAGTTTATCAACTTTTGGGTTTAGTGATTTTTCTTGTTTATTCTTCTATTCTCTATTTTATTTATTTCTTTTCTAATGCTTTTATTTCCTTCCTTCTGTTTTCTTTTGGGTTTAGTTTATCTTCTTTTCTAGTTTCTAAGATGGAATGTTAGTTTAATGATTCGAGAACAGTGAATCCTAACCACTAGACCACCAGGGATGCTTGGTTAATAATGGTTTGAGATCTTTCTTCTTTTCAATTTATAAGCATTTAGAGCTATAAATCCCCCTTTCTTCCAAGTACTGCTTCAGCTGCAACCCAGAAGTTTTTCTATGTTGTGTTTTTATTTTCATTTTCATTTATTTCAGGTATTTTTAAATTTCCCATGTGATTTCTCCTTTAAGCTATTGGTTATTTAATAATATGTAATTTCCACATATTTGTGAATTTCTTAAATTTCTTTACTTTTATTGATTTCCTATATCATTGTGATTAGAAAAATACGTTGTGTAGATTTAAATTTCTTTACATTTATTGATCCTTGCTTAGGGTGTAGCAAATCCTGAAGAATGTTCCATGTGCCCTCGAGAAGAATGTGTATTCTGTTATTGTTGGGTGGATTGTTCTATAGATGTCTCTCAAGTCTAGTTGGTTTGTAGTGATTTCTAGTCTTCTATATGCTTTTTGATCTGTCTAGTTCTCCTATCTTTACTGAAAATGAGGTATGAAAGTCTCCAGCTGATGTTATCAAATTGTCACTGTCTTCCTTCAGTTCTGTCAGTTTTTGATTCATCTATGTTGTGGCTCTGTTGTTAGGTGCCTGTGCTTATAATTGTTACAGTATCCTAATGGATTGATCTTATTTATCATGATAGAATTTCTCTCTTATCTCTAGTAATTGTTTTTTTTTTTGCCTTAAGGTCTGTATTGTCTGATATTTGTATAGTCATTCCAGCTCTCTTATTGTTGCTATTTGTATGACATGACTTTCTACATTCCTTCACTTTCAACTTGTTTGTGTCTTTGAATCTAAAGTGTCTCCTGCAGGATTTTGTGGATCCTGTGGATTTTGTTTGGCATCTGGTCTTAAAATATCTGCCTTTTGATTGGATTGTTTAAAGTATTTCCATTTAATGTTATTATTGATATAGTTGAATTTATGCCTGCCATTTTACTTTTTGTTTTTTATGTCTCGTTTCTTTTCCTCTTCCTCTGTTCCTCCAAAATGAATATTTTCTACTTAATATTTTAATTCCTTTAATAAGTTTTTAAGCTACTTTTGAATTATTTTCTTAGTGGTCGTTCTGGTGCTTACAATATGCATCTTAACTTATCCAATCTAATTTAGATTTAAATTAATTTAATTTCAGTAAGATATAGAAACTTTACTTCTATATGGCTTTTTCCCTTCCTCCTGTCATTTATTATTGTTGTATATATTATAACATCTATATAAGTTATTAATAGAAACATAAGGATTCATTGTTATATTTATTATTTTACATATTTTTTTTTGTTTTAAAGAAGCTGAGAAAAGAAAACAAAGCAAGTATATATTTACAGAGTTTCTTAATTGTCATTTCTGGTTCTTTTCATTTCTTCCTGTGGATCTGAGTTACTAGCTGGTGTCATCTCCTTTCCCATACAACCTTTTCTCCATTGATCTCTTTCGTTTTGGTATTTTCAAATACACTATATTTCTATGTGTTATAGACCCAATGACACAATTATATACCTTTTTTATGTAATTGTTTTTTAAAAAATATACTTAGAGAAGAAAGGAGAAAAATCTGCAGTTATACTGCCTTTTATAATTATCTACATAATTACCTTTACTGGCAGTGTTTGTTTTATTGTGTGGATTTGAAATACTTCCTGAAGTTATCTGCTGTTAGCCTGAGAGATTCCTTTAGGATTTCTCTCAAGGAAGACCTTCTAACATTGAATAATCTCATTTTTTATTAATTTAGGATTTTCTTTACTTAGCCTTCATTTGTGAAAGTGTTTTCCTGGTTGTAAGGTTCTTGACTGACAATTCTTTTTCTTTCTGTATTTTTGAATCCCACTACCTCTGGCCTCCATTGTTTCTGAGGAGAGGTCAGCTGTTAGCCTTCTTGGGGTTCCCTTGCATGTGATGAGTCACTTTTCTTGTTCTGTGTTCAAGGTTTTCTCTTTGCTTTTGCCTTTCGACTAGTTCAGTGATGTCTATTTCCCTGCAGTGTGGAGCCTCTGATGTCTCTGCTCTGAGGGTGCAGCCTTGAGAAGGCAAACAGTCTCCCTGGCCAGCATAGATCTGTGAGATCTGTGGTTTAGTTGGGTGCACTTTGACTCTCTTTCCGTGATCTGCCTGTTTTAAGCTTCTGGCTGGTCTGCCTCTATTCATGTCTCACACAGATATTAGCCTCCAGTAATTGCTATTTTCTCTATATTGTTTTAAAAAATACCTTGGTGTATAATGCTTCATAGTTTAATTCAATTAAAGCCATGTCTTTTTGCAGGGCAAGGTGTTCCCATCTTCATGTCTTGCACTGACCCAAGGAGGGCTCTTCTTAGCAGTTTCTTTCCCTGGTTCCTCTGTCAAACTTCTAGCTGGTATACCATCTTGCTTGTTTCTACTACTGTCATGGATAGACAGCTTCCTCTTACTCATCACCAAGATCTCCGTTGCTTTTAACAATGCCCTCAGACATTTTTCTGTCAAACTATATGACAAATAATGTCCATTCCTTTAAGGAGAGTTGAGGGTCTTCCTGTTCTTAAAACTCCCTTCTCCTTTTGGGCAGAATCTCTATGCCACAAAAAACAGAGCTGAGGGTGGTGACAGTGGCCCTTTTCTCTTGGAGAGATATCCTTGCTCTATGAGTGAGGTCTTCTCCTCTTGCCTCTCCTGGCATTGAGCTGCCACCCTGCAAGTGAGCTGGGGCAGGGGTGATCAGTCCCATGTTCTTAGCCTTATGAGTGGGGCCTGAGTACAGGAAGGGAGCCCTGGTCCTCTTAGGCACGCCTGCCTAGAATAAAGCTCGTGCAGCACAGAGCTGGGGAGGGCTGTGAGATTGGCTGACAACCTCCCATCCTGGCTGAAACTGTAGCTCTAGACTTGGATCTTGAGGGAGAAGAAGCCCCACCTTCTTGGCCACACCCACCTAGAGGAGAGCTTCTTTCCTGAGCCGAGGGTGGGCATGGGAGCTGGTTGTAACTCAGATGTCACAGACTTTCACTGTTATTACTAAGATTTAGTAGAATTTCTTGAACGAATGTTCCCTATCTACCATATGCCCTTAGGACAATTCCCAGAGACTTTAAATCATTGTTTTGTGAAATGTTCTCCAGTTAAAAGTTTGTTTTGCTGGGGAGAGGGTTTACTGAACTCCTCCCAACACCACTTTTCATGTCCCCATCTGCACCGCCCTATGATCCTTTTGAAGATGGAGCAAAATCTGCTCTCCTCTAATCTTTCAAAAACCATCACAACACAGTTCTACAACTGAATGTTATGAAAGTTTATTCTCCCACATAATATGGTCCTAGAACTTTTTAGCTTGGATTTTCTAGCTTTTCATTTTCTTTGCTTGCCTTTGGCCAGTCAGCCATTTCTGCTTTATTTTTTTGGCAGCCTGTGTGTCTGTAGTTACTGTCTTTCATGCTTTCTACTTTTCTGATTCAAGGCTGACTGGAAGATTATCAGAACTGTGGGACAATTACAGTAAAACCATTCTGACTGAAAGCCTAGAGAATTCTTCAACAAACCAAGTGCTGGTGCTTTGAGTCATGCCATTCCATGAAGACTATTGAGAGCCCCTGTGGAGTCCTGCTTATTTTGGTGTTGATGGCCTTCCAGAAAGGGGGCTCATGGGGAGCTGACGGGCGCTACACAAGGGACCTTGCAGGCTGCTCCCAGCATCAGCAGTGATGATTGAGCCAGGGAGTCAAGAGACTTGTGAGAGTGTCACTATTTTAGCATAGAAAGGGAACACCTTACCAGGGTTGCTTACAGGGACTGATAGCCAGTCCTGAGGTAAGGCAGGAAGAAGGCCAGAATTTTCACGTAACACAAAGAGACCAGCACTGGCCTTGCAGCTAGTCCCACCCAAGGCTTAGAGTGTCCTGATTCTTATAATGGAGCTGTTGCATTTTCTCTGCCTCTGAAGATTGCCATGGAAGACTGCTGCTCAGAGCATCTATGCCCTGGAGTGGTATTTCACCTTTGCTGTGTCCTTGTGAGAGATTTGCATACACAGCAACCCCCAGCTGGACTAGGCCCCTCAATGACAAGCCTTCCTAATGCTCACTGCCAGCTGTCCAACTGCCTATGGCTCTGGCTCCTATCTGTGCCTGGTGTCCTTTCTGCAGGGTCCCGTCTGTTTTCTGTGCTGTACCAGCTTGCTGTGACCGTCTCCTGTGGTCTTGCATATGTCCCTTGCTACAGCTGGTCTGTTGGTCAGTGAACATGCAACCTCAGTTGGAAGGTATGTTTTAAGCCCTGGACTCTCCCAACCTACTCGGCCAATGTGCAACCCAGCTGCAGGTAATGGAGACCTAGTAGAAACAATCAGTGCTTCTCAAACTCCAGCAGGCATCAGAATCACCTGGGGGTGTGGAGCTGTCTTTAATACACAGATTGCAGAGCTCTGACCCCAGGGTTTCTGATTCAGTAGGTCTGAGGTGGGGCCAGGAATCTGCGTTTCTAAGAACTTGCTAAATAGTACTGATTGCTGCTGGTTCAGGAACCGCACTTTGGCAACCACTCATCTAGAAGGCAATACCCTTAAAATGGTTCTAGTTGTTGTCCCTGGGGAGATTACTGAAACTGATTTTTAATGTTTTCCCACAGTTTTAAGTTTGTATTTCCAGTTTTTATAATTAAAGAAATAATAAAAGGTAATAGGAAAAAACACAAATACCTATGCCTTCAAATGCATGTCCTCAAGTTCTCCATTCAGGTGCTTGACTCCAGCCCCTGGGCCTTCTTCCTTTTCCTTGAGGAAAATGTGCTTGTTCTTCTTCAGGGCCACTGATGAAGCTGTTCTGTGCCTGCAGAGGACCCCCCAGGAGGCCCTGCCATTCCCATCAAAGGTTACACCCTCGGAGAGAGTGCTCCTAACGTGTGCCACTCTCTACCACCTGAGATGCTATTTTTTATAGCACTCTTCACAACCAGAGACAATCTTAGTTGTTTGTGTTTGGTGTGTTTTCTGTTCCTGACCTGCCCCTTCTTCCACCTCCCTGTCCTTAGCTCAGTCACCAGAGCATCAGCTCCACGTGTCTTCCCTGTTCATGCTGAGTCCCACGGGCCCAGGGCAGTGATGGTCACATAGCAGGTGCTCAGTAAAATATTTGTTGAGACTAACTGGAGATAAGAGAAGAAACAGTAGTTAAAAACAACAGGACCAGACTCCCCACTGTGCTTTCAGCCATCACAGGGGTGTGTGCTTTAATTTAGCTGGAGCAGCTCTCTAGGGAGGCACTGTACCTGAGCAGGGCATGGAGGAGGAGGGCATGGCAGAGAAGGAGCTGTCAGAGCTCGGGGACTGAGGGGACAGTGGACAGAGTGCTGCCCCACAGCACGGGGAGTTTCAGTGGGCTGCTCACACTGTCAGACAGAGCAGGGAGCTCCTGCACGCAATGGACAGAAAGTTCTATTTGCTTGCAGGTGGTTGTGTGTTTGCTAGGGCTGCGTAACAATGTCCCACAATCTGGGTGGCTTAAACAACAGAAATGTATTCTATCACAGTTCTGGAGGCCTGAAATCCAAAACCAAGATGTTGACAGGGGCACGCTGTCTCCAAAGCCTCCAGGGAAAAATCATTCCTTTCCTCTTCCAGCTTCTGGTAGCCCAGGGGCTCCTTGGCTTGTGGCAGCATCATACCAATCCCTGCAGCTACAGGGTGTCCCGTTCCTGTCTGTCTGCGACTGTATCTCTTCACCTCTTCCTGTGAGGATGCCAGTTGTTGGATTAGGGCATACCCTAATGACCTCATTTTAACTTGATTACATTGGCAGAGATCCTATTTCCAAATAAGGTCACATTCACATGTACCAGGAGTAGGACTTCAACCTATCTTTTTGGGGGACACAATTCAATCTAAACAGTGGTCTTTGTAGAGCAGTTTCCATGGGGTGGTGTTTCATCTGCCAGAGATCTGCACCAACAGGTTACATCTATCCAACTGAAGAATGTTGCACTCCACAGTCTCCAAAGGAAGAGTGGCCCACTGAAGCCCCCCAGGAAAGGTACCTAAGTCCAGGGCCCCTCAAAATAGGGAGTACTCTCACCCAGACCCCTAAAGGAGAAGTGTCTTACTCCAGAATCCTTCCAAGAACAATATCCACTGATGTACCCTAAAACTTAACATGATCTACATCCAGTTAGGGACCATTTTTTGATAGATTGGGAGGGCTGAGATTACCCTGATTTCAACTGTGCTAACAAGGCAAGCTTGACCTGTGTCTTTGCCTGGGTTTTAGAAAAAGAGGAGGCTTCACTGCTGTGTGATGTGGCACATCTTGTAAAAGCCAAGTCTTTCTATGTATGTGCTGGTGCAACCCTATGAGCAATGTACAATGATCCCTTATACAGAAGAGGAGACAAAGGATCAGAGCGGTGACAAAGACTTGTCAACAGTCACATGACTCAGTAGTAGTAAAGCCAGGCCTCATGGCTCTACTCCAATGATCTGTGCTTTGTAACATGAAGAGTCTGTGTTATTGGGGTGCAGTTACCATTGGTGAATCTTTAATCCATGCTTGGTCCTTTAAGACTGGAGGGCATCAGATGGGGGCTGAGGGGAATCCCTGGACAGTGAGCTTAGTGCAGAGGACCCTCCTATCTCACAGGGCCATCCTCTCACCTGCTCATTGTTATTAACGTTGGCTAAGCACAGACCAAGCATGGCAAGGAAGCTGTTTCTGTGGAGCCTGCAGCCCCCTAGGCTCTGATATTTGCATTCAGCATTGTGCATGGAGACTTCTGGGGGCAGCCAGCTAACCCAGATGGGAGGGCTTTTGCTTGAGGACGTGACCACAAAACCAGGTGCGGGAGGATTCTAGGAGCTCGGCACATCATGGAGGGAGGCCTGGGGTGGGCCAGTGAATGGGCTTCCTGGATTTAGACCATGGGGAGCAAGGAATGGTAGGATGAGCCCTGTGGTAATCAGAGGTGAGGCCACAGGGGGCCTTGATACCACACGAAGGAATGTGATGCTCTTCATTAAAGTCCTCAGGGATTGGGATCATCCAGGGAGCAAGAGAGATGGGTATCAGCCTTCTAGATGCCGCTGCACTGTGCAAGACAGGACCCTGCTCACTGCGCCTGCCTCCTGGGTCCTGGCATTGTTTAGTGCTGCCTTGGACCTCCCATCCTGAATGGAGAGGAGCAGCAGCTGTGCTTGGGCTGTGTCCTCTCACTGATGGGGTCAGACTATACCGGGGCCGTGAACCCGGTAGGATCCTGGCCTTTCTCCTAAGCCTGTGACCAGAAACACGCCCTGCCTGGCTGCTATCTCAGTACACTAGGGAGCAGGGAAGCTCTCTAAGTCCCTGGCTTCATGCCATTCAACATGGCCACCAAGAGTGGCAGCCTTGAGACTGGCAGAGCAGGAAAGCCTGCCTACCAGACTGGCTGGGTGAACAGGGCCCTCATCAGAGGCACCCATTCCATCATTCACTTAAGCATCAAATATTTACTAAGTACCCACTGTGTGCACAGTCACCTGCTTACTGCAGGGACAGAGAGGTGGGGAAGGGTAGACCCTGACTTCAACCTCCCCACAGTGCAAAGAAGCAGATGCCCAGAAAATGTTTACACATCCAGATCTGGGATCCAGAAAAGGGAGCAGTCAGCCACATCACCCTTCACCTGAATTTTGCCGTAGCATTACTGTTGATTCCACGCCTATAATGTACCCTTTGCTAGTCCACCCTCCATGTTATCTCAAGAGTGAGTTCTCTAAAAGCACAAAGCTTAAATTCAACCTGACTTTCCATTAAAAGTGGACAGGACTGTTCAGAATCTGCTCCCTCCTCCCTGTACTCTGATGTTCTTCACCTTCCCCTATGACCTCTGTCCCTGCCTGCAGCTCCAGGAATCTGGAATTGTCCTGGCTGTGGGCACTGCTGACTGCCCACCCTGTACTGCTCTCCTGCTCTCTCCTCATGTCCCATTACCCCCTGCCCAGCTCTTGGGAGGAAGGCGGCTTGTCCTCCTTCTCTGCACGCAGCATCCCCTGCGTAATTGACCTGGGGTGGAGAGTCAGGCTGAAGCGAAGATGACTTCCTTTCTGTCTCACTGGTGTGGATAAGAGAGCTTGTAGCGTGTTGCTGTTGGCTGCCCTGAGACAGACCACTGGGGCCACAGCCCTGGGATGAAGCTGAGGGTGAGGACAGTGAAACACATGAGGAGAAGGCAGCTGGGTCCCTGGTGGAGGCATTAAGATGCTGAATGGCACCTCACCTGGAGGCTGACTTGGACTCGAGTTACACACACTTAGCAATGGTTTTTGTTACTAGCAGCCCAAATTCAATAGATGTTGTTCATGCCTCCAATGCCTGTGCACACTCTGTTTAGACACAGGGTGAACACGTGTCCCACATGGCTGGGGACAGCACTGGTTTATGCCTATTGTTTGATTATCATTGGTAACCGCATCCCCTTTCCCTCTCCAGTGTTCCAAATCTGGACAATGGAGTAGGTGTTTCTGCTGCTGGAATGAGGCTGCACAGACATCTGCCTGGCACACTCCTAGCCAGAAGCCTAGAGCATCGCCTCCCTGAGGAGGCTTATCCAGCCTCTCTCTACACGTCCCTGCTTGCCTGAAGGGAATCCCGTACTCCTTTGTAACAGCCCCTGTCATGTGGACATGCTGGTACTGCATGCACTAGACTGCACTGAAATAACTTATATTTATTTTTATTAGATTGTGAGCTCAAGGGGAGGAACCACATGGCCACGTGTGCTCAATAGATGATTGTTAAAGACATAAATAAATCATTCAAGATATATCATTTTCATATAGTAGGTAGGGCCCTCTGAGCCACAAGGTGGCCATGTAATAATTTACAGGGG
Organism: Homo sapiens; assembly: GCF_000001405.40. Lineage (NCBI taxonomy): Eukaryota > Metazoa > Chordata > Mammalia > Primates > Hominidae > Homo > Homo sapiens. Next base: position 43,959,911 of record NC_000010.11, read on the forward strand.
ACAGAGCCTGACAGAGCCTTGGGCTCCTCCTCCAAGGTCATGGGCACTCACTGACCAGCCAAAAGCCGTCAGTGGAGGAATCTTCTGACCCTCCTCGGCTCACTCAGCAGCCTGCAGGGTCTGCCCTCAAGAACCTGGCACGGTGCTCTGGGCTCCATCTGGCCGGGGAGCTGGCAGCAGGACAACACCAACGATACCCCTAAAGGCCCCCAGCTGCTTGGCTGAGGATTTTGTGATGCCTGAGCTGGGTAAGGGCTGTCCCCTACTTCTAGAAGCCAAGGGTCATTTCAATGGACAGGGCCCCAGGGTCCCCACTTCCCATCTCAAAATGAAATGCCCCTTTATTCTTAAGCAGACATCAGGCGTCCTAGAACTGAACTCCATTTGTTATTTCTTTGTTGCTCTTTGTCCTCGTGCACAGGCCTGGGGGCTTCCTTGAATAGTTTCTCTATTGGAAAGACCTGAGTAAAGGGAGGTTGCATGGCTGTAGGTCTTCATTCTGTGTCTCCAGAGAAGGTTCCGTGCAGCCATGTGCTGCCTTCCCTCCTGGGCTGCCCTGGAAAACTTAGTTTATCAGATAGTCCCACCATCCTAGAACAGAGAGGGCAGAGGGGACCCCAGCAAAGGAGATGGCTCCTTAACAAAGAATGTGGGCATCTAGACAAGGAGAGTCAAAAAGAGTCCCCAACATCCTCCTAAAGCCAGCACCACCAATGAGAGTGACACAACCATTGGTGCTGAGAAGCACAGCTTGTGGCCCATGGCGGGGCAGCTCAGCACCCGGAGAGGCCTCCTGCCCTGCCTGCACTGTCCATGGGTCCCATATGGTCCTGGATTCTGAAAGCCCAGAAAGGCAGGAGCTGGAGATTTTGCAGAGATCTGTCAGAAGTAAAATACACCTATCAGAATAAACGCCTAGCATCATAACATGTATTCGGGAAGTTTTCTAGCATCATCTCTGCACTCCCACCTGCTGTCTCCAAACACAGATGGTCCTGGGCCCTCAGCATCACTGACTTGGACTTCTCAACCTCTGTGTATTTGCCCATCTATTTCTATCCGGCAAAACCGTACCAAAACTTTTAAACCCAGTTGAAATAACTTCTCCTACAAAGCCTGCCGTCTACGAGCTTCCAAAGTGGAAGAAATTGGGATTTATTTTTACTCCTAAAAACATTGGACCTCCTTGACTACAGATGTTAGGATCCTAGAGCAACCATGTGAGTGTGTGTATGTGCGCATATGTGTGTGTGCAAGCCCTAGCGACTGTCTGAGATCCCTTGGGGGGAGGCACTGTTTTGTCCAGATTCCCAGAAGTTTCTCTGTTTTGTGGTCCATGCTCTGAAACATTGAATGAGTTGATCACTTGCCTGAGGACTGGAAGGAGACTGCTGGTTTCAGGCAGATGAACTTGAAAATTATGAAGAATGATCTTTTTTCTCTTCTGGTTTGGCAAATAACTTTAATTCTCTAATGGAGAGCTTTAATTGGAACCTTGATTCTATATTCAGAGGTAATGGGCTTTACCAAAAATGGATTGGAGCAGTTCATAAATTTTTCCCAAAATGTTAACATACTACGGGGCCGATAGGGGTTGTTTAGCTTGGCAAAAAAAACTAGCATTAAAGATTAAAATAACAACTTCCTGGATTCCTGTGCAGGCTGCTAACTTGTCCTGGTGTCCTTGGGCCCTGAGTGGACAGTCGTGACATCATCAGTAATGACCATAAATCAGCAAGAATCCCAACCTCTTCATAGTTCTCTTGCAAGAAGTTTGAGGGAACAAACAGGCAGAGTGGGTGTCAAGGAATAATGACTGATAACAGCTAACTTCCTGAGTGCCCATGCCACCCACATCTCCTGTGAGGGCTGTGCCTCGGTGACCTCTGTAACCTCCTTCCAGCCTGCGAGTGGCTGGGTGCCTTCCCCAGGTCGTGTGGCTGAGAACATGTGACTGTACTGGATTTGAGAGTCCAGGTCCCTAACTGCTTTGCTGCACCTTCTCAATTAGAAATAACCTGCAGAGGTTCCAGAACAGAGAGCTTGGCTGAGGCAGAGAGGCGTACTCTGAAGGTTCGGATCTCGTGTTCTTCACTCCAGGCCAGGGACCATCGTGCCCCAGACACAGTGAGGCTGGGCTCTGGAATAGGTCTAGACTGGGTCTGGATCCAGCTCTGTGGAGGGACAGGGTACCTCTGGGCTTGTTGTTCATGCCCTCAATGCGTTGGTGTCTTCATCTGTAGAATGGGGTCTTTATGACATTTAAGGGAGACACTTCATGTGCAGGGCTCAGCACGAAATCTGGGCTTGCGGCGAGACGGAAAAGGAGAATGGGGAGGAGGAGGAAAGGCAATCGTGGCTGCGGGTGTTGGCAGGGCAGGGGGCAGAGTCTGTCTGTCCTCTTGAAATTGCTCCCATTTCTGTGGTCCTAAGAATGTTCAAAGAAAGAAAAATAAGTATTTGCAGACAGGCCCTCAGGAATCTGCTCCCCATGACTTTCTAGTGGCTGCCCTGTCTTTCAGCGCCTTTGGAGCCTGGTGCCCAATTGCTGCTTCTCCTTCACTCTTCCCCTTCTGCCCGCCCTTGCCATCTCTGGGATTGTGGGCTGGCCACTCAGCTGGGTGCCAGGGCTGGTGCTTGGGTTTGTGTGGGGGCCCCAGCACCAGTACTGCACAAATGCAGCCGGGCAACAAGTACTCTGTCCCCTCTCCTGCAGCTCCGCTGAGTGTTATACCCCAGCCCAGGACCATCAGAGGGTGGGACCCTCTGGACCACTCCCTTAAGAGTGACCTGCTGGCTATGGGACATCGGGGCCAGGCCTACCTTCCCGCAAAGTCACAGGGATGTTTCCCACAACTGAGAGGGTTTGGAGCTCTTCCACCCAGCAATCCCTTTGACCTGGAAACCAGGGGGAGAGATTTATGGATCTCCAAGTTAATGAAGCTCAAACACCAGCTGCCTGGGCTTCAGTGGAAGGCATGGCCCTTCGTTCACTTTCTCCATAGCTCTGCCGCTTTCACAGCCAGAGCCAAGATGACCAAATTCCTTACATAACCACAACACTAATTCATCATGTGTGTTTATAATAATGAACACACTTCAAGGCCATTGACAGAAAGCAGCCTCCTGATGGTTGAGTCTCCCTGGTCATGCAGTGCAAAAGCCCATCAGCCAAGCCTCGAGATCCGGGTGAGATGTGACTTATCTTGGGAATGGCTGGCTTTGAAAAATACACACAGAGTGACCCACGGCAGACCCTTAAGCCCTGTTTGCAAGCCCTCATGTATTCTCTGCCTCATTAAAAATGTTGTTTAAAATTGCCGAGGGATAATTAAACAGGCCTGTGGTTGATTTACGGAGGACAAACAGAGCTATGAATGCACAGAAATATTGTGTTGTGGGGGAGGCAATTTATGAAGATAAGGCTAACTGTTGACCAGAGGTTGGCCACAGAAGTGATGTGTCTTGATGATGCTTCAAGTCCACAGAGGCCCAAAGTGTCCAGGTATTACATGTTGACTGCCTGGCCCACATTTTGAGTTTAGTAGCTTTTTAATCTCAATACCCCAACTAACAAATGAAATGAAAGATTGTTGCCCATGCCGCTACCCCACACTCACAGACACATGTTTGGAATTTGAAGTGGAAAACAGGGTGTCTGACTGTGATACTGATGTTGGAGTGGCCCCCACTTCTCAGCACCCAGCCTTGCCTGGCAGCATGGTTGACAATCCCCCAGGTGGTTTTTATGGCAAGTTATAAATCAGAGGGTGTGGGTGCGACTCAGGCACATCTGGGTCCTCATTCTGGGAGTTCTTTGGAGTAGGATGGGGAAGGACATTGTCATTCTCTCTTTGTGTTGATGCTCTTAGTAAGCAAACAAAACACAGAATGTAGCCGAGGCTGCCTTCATAGAGGAGAACCATCCTAGAAGGCAGAGAACATGAGACTTATGAGCCCGTGACCTTCCCTGCCTGGCCAAGCTCCCTGCTGATCCAGGAGCAGCTTCGGTCCATGCCTGGAGTCCTGATGCAGGCCCTGCATCCTGGCAGCTCCTGGAGCTTCCAGCAGCTGAGCCTGGGGCTAGTGTTTTGGGGCCACAGTCTCTGTCCTGTTTGGTCCAGTCCCTCAGTGGTCGGTGGTCACAGGGACACCTACTTCCAGCCACTTTAAAAGATTTGGTCTCCACTGTGTCTGAGAAAGGCTCCTTCTACCCTGAGAGCTGTGTCCTGGAAGCCAGCCTGCACCAGGGCCCTCCTGGACACCTTTGTGCATTTACCCATCACTCCCTTTTGGCCACCTCTTGTCTTCTCAGCTCTGCCCTGAGCATATTTCCATCCCTAACGCCTCCAAACCTGTGACCCACCCCGCAACCACGTGCAGAGTTCCACACTGGAGCCCTGGGACCCGAGTCCTCTGTGCTTGGGCGTGAGGCCAAGCTTCACTTCCTCTGCCTGTGCACTCAGGGTTGCGTACCCTGAGTGCCCCAATAACTTCCAAGGGAAAAAAATTAAATCGAGCTCTAGAAATGACCACAGGTTGCATAGCGTTCATGACACATTTTCCCTGCAGGGTCCTATCTTGAAGGTGCTCCCAATATCATCAGGGTGACCGTGAGAAAATGGCCTGATCCTGGCTTCCTTTGTTGGCTCAAGTCTACCCACTCTTCTGTTCACCACCTTAGAAACTCTGCCCTCCTCAGAAACCCACGCTTCTGCTTCTGTCTTTCTGAATGTCCCTCTGTCCATCTCCAACAACATCCCCACATGTCCCAATTAATGAAACTGCCCTCCTCAGCGTTAGGCTATCACCTTTCCTTCTGTCAGAAACCGCCTCAGAATCTGAGTAACTCTTCCGGGCTCTGAACTCAAAGCTATCCCCAAATCACCACCAAACCTCCCTTTGTTCTAAGGAAGGAAACATTTCACCAGCCTGGTTTGAGTTACTGTGTGTACTTGGAAATATTTGAAATACTCAAAATACTCTTTCCTATAGAATTAAGTTGATTTAAACTGTCCTTGTCTTCAATTTGTCTGAATTGGTAAATTTATTGGATGGGAAAGTTAAAATCAATGACTATGTTTTACACATCCCCCACAACCAAGAAACCCAAATCTTGAAATAAAGTAAATGGTTACTTTATTCTATTTAAGTGTCCCCCAGACTTAAGGTAATCACATACTTGAGGCTTTTACATTTCTGTCTTATTTGTCAGTAATTCTAACCCAAGAGCCATTAAAAAAGTGGAACTTATTGTTTAGCTTGGAAGGGAAAGCTCCTCCTGTTCCGCAAATCACCGAGGCACCTCCCGTCCCGTCTACCGTGTCCCGAGCCTTTACAGCCAGGACCGGGAAAAGTCAGTTTCCTTTTTACATAAATAGGAAAGTCGTACCGCTGTGCATGTGACCCCAGAGACTGGCCTCTGCAGTGCACTCCAATCTGGTAAAAATGTCACTTCTCCCTCTCTCTAAGTTAAAGCATGTGGATGATCCGAACAACACAAGAATAAGCTAGAATGTGAAGCAGAGTCAATCTTATCAGTTAATAAAGTCAAGTTGTTGATTCAGAGAAGATTGGCCCTGAGAGGATTTCAGGAGCAGCAGTGTCATCAGAGCCGAGGCTTCATTTGTGGTTGTTACCACAAACTCTTGGCTGAACCCAGAGGTGGACAAGATTTGGGTATGTCTGCAGGGAAGGAAGCAGTGGTGGTGGAGAGGTATTTATGGGTTTTAAGATTTAAATAAAAGAAAAAACCACATTGTCATCTGAAAGAAGATAAATGGCAAATTGTTGAAGCGACAGGCCCCTAGGGACTAATTACTCTTCCGCAGTAATTCAGGAACTTCACCAGTGACTTACATTGACTTAACATGTCAAATGTCAGTTCTGTGTTATGAAATAAAAATACATGTTCTTTTAGTGTAAACAATACAGAAATGTTCTCAGATGTCCCAAGTTGTTAGTCATGTGGGACAGATTCAGTGCCCTATGATGCATGTCCACGGCTCTGTGCCTGAGGTTACAAAGTGTAACAGGGCAGCTTTATAGTTAAAATCCAAGTAGACACCTTGTTCATCTGGGGGCTGAGGAGCACCCACACCACCCCTCGGAGACATTCATGTTGCACCTTCAGAATGCAAGAGTGATCATGAATAAGTGTTCCTGACACTCCATTCTCCAATCTTCATTCTACTTTGGTTTTGGGGAGGTTGTTGCAGGACATTGATGGGGAGACCGCTGGCCAGCTGTGCCCCTGGTAGGGTTTCAGCCAGTAGCAGGGTGGCAAAGCTTACAGCACTGCGCTACATGGTGTGAGCTGCTTTGGTTTCTCATGGGGTATCACCACAGGTCAAATACAATGTGTCTGCAAACCAGGCCGAGAAGCTGGTGCACAGCTCACACGCTACACATGCTAACTCAATTGAAATAGGCTTTCAGCAACAGGTGCACACTAGTGCTTATTCTACACGAGGCTCCATGCAGGTCATAGAGGGCTAAGGTTCTGTGTTCCGTAGAGCAGGCCCTGTCTTGCTGCTTCTTCTCTGTGGCTTGGCTCAAGGTCTAACAGTTTACAGAAACCCAATCACTGTTGGTTGGCTTGAAGACAGGATCTCTGCCTACAAACTTTTCATAGTTTAGGAGAAAAATCCTATTAATCATCCAAGGTTCAACCAAGAAGAGAGGTCACTCTAAGTATTTATAACAGAGGACTCTCATTGCCCAGGTTATAGGAAGACTTTGAGGCCAGAGCACAGTGACATTGGAGGGAGCCGCAACCCTCCCTGGGTTGAAGGAACTAAGGAGGTAAGTAGTGCTATGGGGCCCAGGTACGAGGTTCACCCTTTGGAAGCTGGCGTCTTGGCTTCCCTGGCAGGAGCTGGACCCTCAGGGAAGTCTGCTGGAGATAGTGCTTAGGTGTGGGGAAAATGGTGATGGAGAAATACCCTGGCTTCCCCCTTCTTACCCCTCTTTTTAGCACCTCTCTCTGGGGTGAATCCCACCAGAAACCAATTGGCACATGAGCCAGGAATGACAGTCTAACAGGCTCAATCCTTCCTTCCCTGAAGCCCATCCCCATAATGCAGAGAGGGAAAGGGCTTGGACTGGCTCTGAGGGCAGACAGGTTCAGGATTGGCACATCTTCCATTGGACAGCATCCCACAGCCTAGGAATAAATTTCCTTTATGTATTTCATTCTCAAAATCCCCACAAAGACCCCGTGAATGGTGCATTTTTACCTCATTTTATGTATGAGAAATGTAAGACCCAGAAGCTTCTGATAAATGACTATAAACTCCCCAGCTAGTGCCCGGCTCAGCAGTACTCACGGTGGGTCTGTAACCCCCATTTCCCTCTTACCCTTGCTCTACGTAAACCTCGAAAGGCTATTTTTCTTCTAAGGACTTATGGGGAGATCTTTCTGCTCATGAAGGTTTTGCATTTTAGATTATTGTTCAAATTGTCTATTTCCCTTTTGATCTCCTGTCTAGTTGTTCTCTCCATGATTCCAAGTGTGGCGTTGATGTTGCCAAGTATTTGTATTGGTCTATTTTTCTCATTATTTATATCAGTTCTGCCCCATGTATTTTGGGGGCTCTGTTAGAAACATATGTTTATAATTGTTATATCTTCTTCACGAGTTGATTCTATTGTTATTATAAAGTGTCCCTGCTTATCTCTGATAACTATTTTTGTTTGAAAGTTTATTTTGTCTGATGTCAGTATGGCCACTCCAGTGTTCTTACAATTGTTTGCATGATTATTTCTTTTCCATTCTTTTACTTTCAGCCCATTTATATCTTTGAATCTAAAGTGTGTCTCCTGTAGCAAACATATAGTTGGATCTTGTTTTTCTTATCCTGTCTGATCTGATAATCTCTGTCTTTTGTGTTGCTTAATCCATTAATATTTAATGTTAATATCCATAGGTTTGGATTTATGTCAGCCATTTTACTTTCTTCTTTATGTCTCATGTCTTTTTTTTGGTCAAGTTTGGCATATAAAGCTGTATATTACAAAACTGGGGTTTTGGAATGCAAAATTTAATAGCATAAAGTATTATTTTGCTTTCTTTCTTTTGTGCGTGAATCTCTTCCAAGGTCTTCTCTAGGAGGAACTCAAACACCTCTTCTCCACCTTGCAAGTCCTGCTGAGTTGCTCTGGGAAGGGGTTAGGAAGGGAGGTAGGGATTCACATGCTTCTGGTAGAAGAGATGAGTTGCAAATAGGGAAATGCCCAGTAGCCCCTCAGCCACCACTCCTCCTTACCTGCATCTCTTCAGATCATTCTCTTCAAGTCATTTCAGGTGCATGAAGACATTGGTATCTGAATGGCCAAGAAATTCTCTTCAGACTTGCCCATCACTGTTCATGGGGACCAGAGGGCAGTTCTCTGTGGATCACAGTCAGTCTAAAGCACCTTCCCCTAAAGCTACCAACATTGAGGCATCAGCCAAGGCTTCCCCACCATGTGCTTTAGTCCACCCCGTGAAAGCCACAGGCTTGTGGCAAATGATAATAGGGAAGCTGATTTGGCAAAGTGGAAAACATGATATTATCAAGTGAATAAAGCAAACTACTAAATTCTACTCCTTGCTGGGACCACCAGGAATAACTAAGAATGCCTGTGGACAGGATTGAGGGGCGGCATGGGTCAGACAATTTTTTTGTCGTAGTTCAGTGGTGATGTGCCTACTGCTTCTCTTTTGTTACATGTCCTTCATTAGTGTCATAATTCTTTTTGGTTTTTGATGTAAGAATCAATTAAAAAAAGAAAAGACAAATTAAGGAAGGGCTGATGGAAAGAAGAGGTGGGGAGGGAAAGAGGTAGAGAGGGAGAGAAGACAAAGAAAGGGAGGTTCGATTTCATTTGGGCTGTAGGAAAAAGCTAATCCCCTCAAGTTTTAAGCCAGCTATAGTTGATGAGTAATAAAGGGAGGTCCAAACCTCATTTATGTTTTAATATTGACTTTGTGTAGTAAAAAGCAGGGAAAAATAGAGTGTCATGGGGAGTTCAAGACCTAAAACGGAGCATCTGAAACATAACCTAAAAAAAGGATACTGTGATTCCAATCCAAGGACTTTAATTTCATACAAGGGAATAGGAAACTGCATGGCCTGTAAAACGTTTTTTACGTTTGGTTATTTGCTCTGAGGAAGGAAGCCGAGGCTCATCTCTGCACCCCGTCCCCTCTGAGCTCTGCAGCGGACGCTGCTGCCGCCGCGCCTGCTCTGCCCGCTGCCCGTGACTCTCCGCAAGGCCTGTGCACTGCCTGTCACAGTCTCCTCTCCTATGATCGCTGCCCTCCCTTGGCTCCCATATCCTCTCTGTCGGAACCTCTGTCCTCTTAGGCCCCATGACCTGTTCTCACCTGATTCCCAAAACCAGCTGAGATGTTTCCAACTCCCTGGAGCCTTCCTGATCTCTGGACCTCATTTTAAAAGAGAAGCTGAATTCCCCACAGTTGTGTTTCTGAAGCTCTCAGACTCTCTCTTCCTAGGAGAAATCATCACCTGTTAGGTTGCGTCCTGGATACCTGTTGGGTGGTTTATGTCAGGTCATCTTAGCTGAGCTGGCCGTTATTCCTCAGAATTGTCTTCTCTGAATAGTTCCAAGGCAGCCTGAAACACATGTTGTGACGCAGAAGGCTGCAGCATGGGAGCAGCCTGACCACTCATAGGTCCGTGCAGGCCGTGTGCCTGACCCCCTGGCTCACCTGGTCAGCGTGGGGCAACTGCTGGTGGCCACTTTCGGGTCCTGCTGTGGCCCCCGCTCTGGCCTCTCCTACTAGAGATCAAAGCAGTTTCAGTTGGTCCTTGCGGGTCCTGTGCAGCCGCGGGGGCCACTTGGTCTTTCTTCCTACACTTGACATCTGTCATCCTCCTTGAATGCTTGCCCTGTCTTACAGGCTCTGGGCCACAGCCTCAGATGCAGAAACAGCAGCAGCAGCCCCACAGGCTGAGGAACCAAATCCCTGCTTGAGGCCAAACCCCTGCAAGAAATGTATTATTCTACAGCTACTGCAGTCCTGCTTGGCACTGGACCTCACAGATGCCCCCCTGTAAGCTGCCCAGATCGCTGTCAGGCAGGGCCAGGGATCAGCTCTGGTTCTTCTCTCTTGGCAAGTTTAGGCATAGAGCAGGCACTCACAGAACACAGGTTGGTTGGGGGCCTTGATGTACCCAAGCTAGCTGAGATGGCCTTGCAGACCCTGGCTGAGCGGGTCTGAAAAGAGCAAGGGCTGGCTGGCTTCCCATGGCTGGAAGAGGCCTTTTGGTTGTGGTTGTTTTGGGTTTTTGGTTCCCCTCATGGTGGGACTACTTGTCAGGCAGGTGCTCGGAGACAGGATCCTGACAGTTGTGGCTCCTCAGATGCCTTCATCTGTCCAAATGGTCTGACGATGGCTGTGCCCCAGGGCCAGGAGTGTGTCCCTGTGCAGTGTGGTGCTTCAGGCTGCCTGTGCTGCACCCTCCTGGAGCTCCAGGATGGCTCCTTCCCCTTGGATCCCTTGGACACAGATATCTTTGTGTCTCTGGTCTTTGGGATCTGGCCCCAGGCTCTCCCACAGGAGGACAGACTGTGGCTGCTGGCCTGGTTTGTGGACCCTAACGATGAAGTCTCTATGATGCAGTTAGGTCCAACTGACACGTGTTTTCTCCCATAACTCTGGCACGACCACTATGCTGCCTCCAGTGCTGCTGCCCACCCTGCACACTCTCTGCCCCACCCTGGTGAATTTCCCTGCTGACTATGGGGTGCCCAATTGGGGGAAGGGGGCAAATCATCCCCCTACGTGGATCCTTTCTGAGCTAGAAATTCCCAGTGTGAGCTGCTGTGTTGAATTTAAGAATGATGTCCAAATGTCATCAGTATCCATTGCTTGGCTCTGCTCCCAGGGCCTGAGGACAAAGCAGGACTCTGTGGTCACAGGCAACAGGCCCTGCTCACTGCCTTGCTCCACCAGGTGGGTTAAACGGCAGCTCCATCTCCTCCTGCCCGCCTCAAAGCCTGGATCTACAAGGATGTCCAGGTCAGTGCAGCATCACAGCAAATGACCCCAGGCTTCCTTCTCTCCATTGTTTCATAAAGTTCTCTGATGTGCATGTTACCATGGTTACAAATCCATCAGTACATTGCTCTCCAAGTGATCAGAGACTTTCTGCTTCTTAGTAGCTTTTGGTCACTTTAGAAAGGGCCTTGGATGTCTAGAGAGGGGGTGTGGGCAGACATGAGATGACCACTGAATGACCTGTACTTCCAGTTTCGGGGCTCTTGGGGCTGGGGTGGCATTATGGCTGAGTTGTGTTCTCCCAAAACTTGTATGTTGAAGCCCTAACCCCCACTACTGCAGAATATGACTGTGTTTGGAGATAGAATCTTTAAAGAGGTGATTAAAGTTAACTGAGGTCATCAGGATAGGCCCTAATCCAATACAACTGATGTCCTTCTAAGAAGAAATGAGAACACAAACGTGCATAGGGGGAAGACCATGTGAGGACACAGGGAGAAGACAGCATCTACAAGCCAAGGAGAGGGGCATGAGAAGAAACCGAACCTGCCAGCAACCTGATCCCAGACTCCCACCCCTAGAAGTGCAGGAACAATGCAAACCTGGCCTATGGTGCTTTGCTACGCAGCCCTGGAAAACTAGGACAGGTGCGTCTTAGTCCATTTGCGTCACTATATAGAAATGCTTGAGGCTGGGTAATTTATAAAGCAAAGGGGTTTATTGGCTCACAGTTCTGCAGGCTGTACAAGAAGTGGGGCACCAGTATCTGCCTCTGGTGAGGGCCTCAGGGAACTTCCATTCATGGAGGAAGGCACCACATGAGGAGACGGGAAGCAAGATAGGGGAGGAAGCACCAGGCTCTTTTTAACAATCAGATCTCATGAAAACTAATAGAGTGAGACTTTGATACTCTGAGGATGAGGATGGCACCAAGACATTCATGTGGGGCCGGCTCCCATCACCCACACACCTCCCCCAGGCCCACCTGCAACACTGGGGGTCACATTTCAACATGAGATTTGGAGGGAGCAAACATCCAAGCCATATCAGGTGGTGACAGAATTCCCCTTGGCTTCCTCCAGCGGCCCCACCTATGGCTTTGGTGGATTTGGTGCCCACTCAGTGAGTGCTCACTTAGCCCAGTGATACTGCACGCACACGGCTCACTTCTCTTTCAACAGTTCCTGTGATTCTTCCCGATGTTCCCAGCCTTCCACCTTCACATTTTGGATGCCGCTGCTGTGCGGCCCCATCTTGCATGAGCTGCCTCCACTCAGCAGGTACCATCTGGGCTGCCATTTCCTCCTGGAGGGCCCAGGGGAGTGGGGACGGGGGTGAGAGGCACTGGAGCAGAGGATCCTGTCCCTGCTTTTCCCTCTTGGCCCCTGGCTCAGCCCAGCAATTCCAAAGTGGGACACCGAGGGGAAGCAGATGGAGGGCCAGGGTCCCAGGGCAGCCCCTGTCACAGACCTGAGGGGAATCGTGCTTGAACGTGGATGTCATTGACTCAGGGTCTTCCTTTGTCTTCCTCATCTTAATTCCTGGAGACAGAAAATTGCACCTGGCAGCCTTTGATGTTTTGTACAGGATATGGAAAAAAACAAATGTTGGCCTTTTTGAGTTCAGTCGCATATGTAGCCAAAGGCCCAGGAGTGTAAGCTGTCTGCAGGGAAGGCAAAAGCATCTCTGTTCATCGAAGCTGCCCATTTGTCCAGGGTTATGATAGCAGCATCCATAACCTGACACTGTATGATGGGTTATGGCTTCCTGGCCATGTTTTCAAGCATTTTTAAATTTTAATACAGGTATTGTTGTCTTTGTTTTATAAATAAGAAATTAAGATCTGAGGAGAGCATATTCTCCCAAAGTTCTCACAACTGTGATGATTTCTTTTTCTTTTCCTTTTTTTTTTTTTTTTTTTTTGAAAGGAGTCTCGCTCTGTTGCCAGGCTGGAGTGTTATGGCGCGATCTCGGCCCACTGCAACATCCACCTCCTGGGTTCAAGCAATTCTCCTGTCTCAGCCTCCTGAGTAGCTGGGATTACAAGTGAGTGCCACCATGCCCAGCTAATTTTTTTTTGTATTTTTAGTAGAGATGGGGTTTCACCATGTCGGTCAGGCTGGTCTCGAACTCCTGACCTCATGATCCACCTGCCTCGGCCTCCCAAAGTGCTGGAACTACAGACGTGAGCCACTGCACCTGGCTGGTTGTGCTGATTTCTAACCCAGTGTGACCACTGCCCCATCCACCTGGCCTCTGCCATGGCATCTCCCCAGCTCACCAGACCCATGGAACACCCAGACCCAGCCTACCTTTCTCCATATGCCCTGTGAAGAATGTGCCTCCCCAGATCTGTGAGAATGCAACATTTCTTTCCAGGGAAGCCTGTTTCTGACCTCGCTGGCATTCCCCTGCCTATCTTGATAATTTCCTGGGGGATCTGAGTCTGCCAGGTGCCTGTCCTACTCTGCCAGCTGCAGGTCTCACTGACTGTGCCCGAGCCCATCCTGAGGGTATGAAGGATGGCAGCAGCTGTCTTTCCCAACCAGGGTCAAAAAATGCCACGCTTTCTCCAAGTCCAGGCCACGCTAGTTTGAGAGTAAAGGGAAGTGGCAGTTTCTGAGCGTGATGGCATCTTCTTTCAACTGCAGTGCTGAGAAATTGCTGGCCTTCCTTTCTCAGGAGGCTTGGTGACTTACGTGTGAAATCCTAGCATGGCTCAGATATTCTCAAAGCTCAGAATCTGCTGAGGCTCTGCTACCTTTAGGGCTCATGGGCTCCCGAATAGCCCTTGGTGTCCGTCAATGCTGCCTGCCGGTGGCCCCAGGTGCTCAGGGTGGCTGAGTTGTAGCTTGTCCCAGCCCTGTTCTGTGTTGGTTGAATGTGGCATTGGCTCTGCCTTGTGTTTCTGCTTTGCCTTCTGCTGGACAGGCCTGTAGCACCCTGTCCTGGACTCCAGCCCAGCCTGCCTGGGCACTGCAGGCCCTCCAAGGGTCCCACACCAGTCATAGGCAGAATTCTGAGAGGCCTTACAATTCCCACCCCGTGGTATACACGCCCCAGTGTAATCCCTTCCCCATGGCTGGAGGCCAAGCTGCAAATCTGATGGCCTTCCTGCTAGTGATGAGGGTGCAAAGGTGAAGAACCTTGCAGATGTAATTTGCAGATGTAATGAAGCTCCTTAATGAGTTGCCTTTGAGATGATCAAAAGGGAAATCCCCTGAGCCTTTAAAATAGCCAGGATCTTCCTAAAGAGAGAGATTCCAAACAGGAGAGGGACGCCCCTGCTGGTCTTGGGGAAGTAAGCGTCGTGTCCCGAGGGGCCCTGCCTGGGTGGAACCAGGGAGGGAGGTGTGTGGCCTCTTGGTGTGGCAGGGAGCAGGTGTGGCCTCTAGGTGCTGAGAGGAGCCTCTGGCCATCGCCTGGCAAGAAAGCTGGGACTTGCTCATTCCATTGCAAGGAACTAAATTTGGCCAAGAACCACAGGAACTTGGAAGGGGACCCAGCTCCAGAGGGGACTGTATCCCCACTGACATCTTGATTTTAGCCTGGTGAGACCCTCAGCCAAGGACCCTGCCCAGGCTTCTGATCTACAGAAACTATAAGACAGTAAAGACATGGTGTTTTAAGTTGCTGAGTTCATGGTGCCTTGTAACACAGCAATGGGAAACTAATACAGTGCCCCCAACTCCCTCTCCCCCTACCCACAGGGGTCAGATTTTTAGCACAGCTAGTAGGGTCTCCTTATTGTCTCTGCCACTGTGTGACTTCTAGATTGGCCTGAAAACTGGAATCCCATTCTTCATACTCATCCTAAGGCTTAAGCCCTGACATGGGTGATGGCCCCAGGCCTTGGGCTACAGCTTATCCCAGGATGAGCCCCTCTGCCCCATGCACCTCAGTGAACAGGAGGATGGAGCAGGCGCAGGGCCCCAGTGGTCCTTTTTCAGTGGGCTCTACTCTTCATGGCTCTGTTCCTAGTTCCCATCAGGTCATTTCTAGGAACTTACAGGAACCGCAAAACCCAGGCCTTCCCTAAAGAAGATAAAGAAATATTACCATTGTTCCAAGCATTGGTACAATGCAAGGTCTTGAGTCTCAAGACCACAGTAACTTGAGACTCAAGAGGAGTGAAGATTTTTTAGAATTACAGTGCCTTCTGCTATCTGCAGGGTTGAGAAATTGTCATTTCATAGGGGGATTGGTGATTTATTTCTGAAATTCTTAGGAGAGATTGCAATGAGAAGAGAAATATCACCAAAGTCTCAAAGCTGCTGACCAGCTTATTTAAAATTATGCAATATATTCAGCAAACACTTAGGGCAAACCACAGGAAAAACAGAGGATAAAATTGATTGCCTTATGGAAAACAGTTGGAAATGTAAAGCCCAAAAATGTGTCAATAAAGATGGAAAATGGAGTAAGATCCCCATTTGATCTCCGTTTATGTAACATAATAATTTTTAAAACTCTTTTGATTTTGATGTAATTATAGATGCACAGGAAGTTGCAAAAATGGTGCACAGAGTGCCATGCCTTTTATCCGCTTCCCCCAGTAGTGATATTTTATACCACTACAGTACAATATCACAGACAGGAAACCGATATTGGTACATGCTATGGCTTGAATTGTGTGTCTGAAGTCCTAACCACCAGTACTTCAAAATGTGACCCTTGAAAGTAGTGCCATTTCAGATGTCATTAGTTAAGATGGAGTTACAGTGGAATAGGGCAGCCTGAATACCATATGACTGGCATCCTTAGAAGAAGACGGCATGTGAAGATAGACCCGCACAGGAGAAGTGCCATGGGGTGAGAAAGGCAGAGATCTGAGTTATGCAGCTGCAAGCCAAGGAATGCCAAAGGTGGCCAGAAAACCACCAGAAGCCAGGAAGAGGCAAGGAAGGATTTGGACTTTCAGGTTTTAGAGAGGGGTTCAGCTCCCTAGTCCGCCCTGCTGATCATTGGCAGAATGTTTTCCATGGATGTTTGGCTGGAGAAGAATAGTTATTGTCAAAAATACCTTCTGTTGTGTTAGACTGCTATTTCCCCAGTCCTGCAGCTGCAGGAAGCAGGCTTTTCTTGGGACATGTCTGTCTACAGTGGTTGGTGGTTCCAGGTTGCAAGTTTCTCCAGTGCTTTGGCTGAATTACATGGAAACATAAAGAAAATCCAGGCACCTCACCGTAGTGCCAACCTCAAGTCCCAAGGTCTCTAAGAAGTCACCTTGCTCTTTCCACCTCTCAGAGTCTTCCTAGGTTTGACTGTTTTTACTGTAGTAAAATATACATAACACAAAATGTATGATTTAACCAGTTTTAGGTGTATGGTTCTAAGTATACTTAGTATAGCACTTAAGTACATTAACATTGTGGGGCAACCATCACTACCACCCTTCTCTAGAATACTTTTCATCTTGCAAAACTGAAACTGATTCATTAAACACCATTTCTCCCTATTTCTGCCTCCCCCCAGCCCTTGGAAACCACCATTCTAATAACTGTTGCTATGATTTTTGAAGTATTTGTCCTTTTGTGACTGGCTTATCTCACTTGAAATAATGTCCTCAGCGTTCATCTATGTTGTAGCATGTGTCAGGATTTCCTTTCTAAGGCTGGATGACATTCCATTGCATATACTGCATTTTGTTTATCTCCTTCTTTGTTGATGGGACACTCAGGTTGCATCTGCCTCTTGGCTATTGTGAATAATGCTTCTATGAATGTGGGGGTACACAGATCTGTTTAAGTCCTTGCTTTTAATTCTTTTGGGTAAACACCCAGAAATTGGATTGCTGGGTCATCTGGTAATTCTGTCTAATTTTTTATGTTCGACTTTTATGTTATGTCCAGCAATTCTTTTTTTATTTTCAAGAGGGATGTCTAGGGATGAAATGGGGTTGCTCCACCTTGGCTAGAACTAGCAAGCTAAATCAACTTAAAAAATATTCTTATCAGCTAAACCCCATTTACAGAATAGCCAATGTGTCCCTTGAAGTTTGTGTCAAGAACATGAACACACTTCTCCTTAGAATCCTTACCTGCTTCCAGTGCTCAGGAAATCTTCCTGAGGGATGATTTTGTTCCAGGCCTTCTGGTCAACCGTGGAGCCTGAAACCACGGAGGCAAATTATTTTCTTTCTTCTTCAGTGTGATTTTCCTTCTCCTTCATACAACTGCTAATGTGTAAGTAAAACATAGTTGTTACAATAAACGCCATACTGACCCTTTTCATTTTTGAAGAAGTGTTCATTTTCATTACCTCATTCATCCTCATCAACCGCTGTGAAGGAAGCAGTCAAGGCCTAGGCTTTATCTCTACTTCATAGACAAGGAAATGGACTTGGAGTCAATTTGGGATGAGAATTCTGAAACTTCCCATGCAGAAGCCACTGCTCTTTCAACATAATTCCCATATGATTTGATTAAAGGAATGGTAAGAGCACCACTTCAGCATTTCAGACAATCAACCTCATCTCTACCAGTAGAGAGTGTCTGTTAATGGGGCTGTACCTCATTCCCTAGCCTGGGAACTATGGGAGAAGGGTAAGGATGGAGGGAGCATGCTGGTGGATTGAGAACATCTGGTTTGAATCTGGCATTGGAAAGGATCTTAACTCTGTTACCCCAGGTCTGTAGTTCTCTTTCTGATTTATCATTGGTGCTGCAGTGTTATATCCTGGAGTAGGACATCAGCGTTAGTACAAACTGAAGCACGTTTCTTGTGAATACTGTGAATTTGGGATCACCTCCAATGGAAGATTGTGCGTGGGGTAGTTTAGTAGTAAATCAGATCACATCAGGCTAGGGCTAATAGAGCCAAAGGCAGCAGGAGGGAACAGAAGAAACCCCTGGGCACTTTGGCTGATGGACACATTGGAGTCTAAGAGTCGTTTGCCTTGCCCGGGCCTGGGATGTTGACCAATTGATCCCATGAAGCTCTCCAAGCAGAAGGTCAGATGAAGACTCAGAGCTCTGCCTCCCAGAGCATGATAAGGTTTGATCAGAATTTGCAGGCAGATTCTCAGCCTAGGGGTCCCGTGGACCTACAGCCTTGCTCTGGAGCCTTCAGCCTCCCTGGATGGCAAGCCCAAGTTCCCATAGAAATGCCCAGTTGTAGTTGTAAAGCAGACTTCATGAGTAGTTTTTCCACCTATGTCAGCATTCTCCCCACGTTATTATGAACTACGCTATGTCAGAACACCAACTCTCAGCTCTGGGAAGACAAGTGAGATGTCAGGATTTCTGGGCAAGAGCACCCTAGCTACCCCTCTATAAAAAGAAAATGTTTTTCTACTTTGTTTTCACCGCTAGACATGCAGTAGGTTCATCTGCAACATGAACAGCTTGTGTAACTTCCTGCTCATTTTCCTGTGTAGCGTAATAGTTGAGTTCTCTCTTTAATGACCTCATTAAATTAACAAGTTAGGGTTGACTCTCAGCTTCTTTCTATCCCTTATACAGTAGTCCCCCTTGTTGATAGTTTCACTTTCTGGGATTCCAGTTACCCTCGGTATGGTACAATAAGATATTTTGAGAGAGAGACCAAATTTATGTAACTTTTATTACAGTATTTTTTCATAATTGTTCTATTTTATTTTTTGTTATTGTTGTTAAATCTCTTACGGTGCCTAATTCATACAACAAGCTTTATCATAGGTCTGTATGTATAGGAAAAAGCATATTGTATATAGAGTTCCCTAAAATCCGATGCTCAACCATCCACTGGGGGTCTTGCAATGTGTTCCCATGGATAGGGAGGGGCGGCTACTGTAATAGGAATGAAATAGGAGTGGAAATTTAGTTTCTGTTACAACCTTTAAACTCAGAAGATTATAAGTAAAATCTCAGGAAATCATGTGCTGCACCGAATGAAGAAAATGGCTTCTTTTGGTCTTCCATTTGTCACATTTTCAGCCTCTTAATGTTGCAGAACTTTTCCTTAGTTCAGCTAAAGACGGGGTTCTTTGTCCCATGGCCACAAAAATTCAGGCTTGCAGACAACTTGAATAATGAGTAAGACAGGGTTTTACTGGGTGAAAAGGAAGAAAATGGGCGAAACAGGGACTCTCGCAGGGCCAGAGTCCCTGCTAGAGCGCTTCCCACCCGGGTTCCACACAGGAATCTTGGATTCCACACAGGAAGAAGAGGGGCCCGGCTCCTCTCCCACCGCAAATAGTGTGAACTTCCCGAGGGTCCGCCCCATTGCGTGGGCAGGTTGGAGTTTTTCCAGGAACCCCCTCCCACCTGGATGCCTCATTAAATAATGTGGTAGCCAGCACCAAAGTGTTGATGCACCAGTGTCTAGCTTTGGGGAGTGTGACATCCAGACATTGGGTGGAAGGGCCAGCCTGTCCCCATGATAAGGCTCCTAACATCCCTCCTACTCTCCAATCACAACAGCTTCTGATAGGTCTCCATCTCCACTCCCCCAGAGTAAAATTTATGAACATTCTGCAGAAAAGAGTCCCTTGGCTCTCACTTACAGCCTATTAAAAAAAAATTTTTGTGTGTGTGTTTAACCAACTTAGCAGATTCGAATAGAGGAAAGAGGCTACATCTTTATGGCAATTATTATTTTTTTTTTTTTACAAAATATTATCCAAAGTAATGAAAACATTAAAAACAACCTGAAATGGTGACTGTGGTAGGATGCATGATGGCCTGTCAAAATGTCCACATCTGAATCCCCCAAACCTGTGAATGTGTCATATTATGTTAGCAGGAGAGAACTGAGGCAGCAGATGGAATGCAGGTTGTGTCAGGTGACCTGGGGATGGGGAGAGGGTCCTGGATTCTCCAGGTGGGCCCAATGCCGTCACAGGTCCTGATAGTTGGGAGAGAGAGGTGGAAGGCTCTCCATGCAGTGCTGTGAGGGCTCCGGCCTTGACAGGCTTTGAGGGTGGAGGAGCAGCCCCTGGAAGCTGGACAAGGCAAGGACAGTTTCTCCCTGGGCTACACGTCTATTTCAGTCTAGTGAAACTGACTTCAGACCCCTGACCTCAGGAACTGTAAGATAAACAATGTGTGTTGCCACTGAGTCTGAATAGCCCTTGTCCAAAACGCTTGGGACCAGCACTCTTTCAGATTTTGGATTTTGCATTTTTTCAGCTTTTGGAATATTTGTACATACATATTGAGATATCTTGGGGATGGGATCCAAGTCTAAATACAAAATTCATTCACATTTTATATACATCTTGTACACATAGCCTGAAGGTAACTTTTATTATTTAACATATTTTAAACATTTATTATTGAAATTATTTAAATATTTTAAATTAGGAATGCTCAGCCTATAATTTGTTATATCAGCGAGAGGAAACTAATAAAATAACATGGCAAAACGCCTGATTCCCCAAGCTTTCAGGACAGGTAAGATTGTAATTGTAACTTATGTAGGAAAACAGACGCTTGGGTTGCCTGGGGCAGTGGGTGGTGGGACGCCTCTGTCCTTGCTCTCTCCCTACCCTGCACACGCCTGCTGCTACTCTCATCAGTGGGTGGAGTTCATTTCCTTTTCTCTTTATCAACAGAATGTGGCAGAATTGGCCGGAAGCAGAATTGCCTGTTTCCAGTGAGGCCCCCTTGCCCTCTTGGAAGCAATTGCTGTGTAGGAAGTCTGAACACCTCACAGGAGATGGAGGCCAGTTCCTGCCTGCTGTAGCCACCCAGCTGAAGGGGGTCCAGACACGAGTGGAGGCATTGTGACCTCCAGCCTCAGCAGACACCTCCACACTGCGCAGGGCAGAGCAACCACGCCACCGAGTGAGCCCCATTTGCAGACTTTGAGCAAATAATGATTGTGCACGTTGGATCATTTATTGAGTTTCTCTCGTACACCAAGCACTGGTTGGATCCCATGCTTGTTGGTGACAGAACTGCTGTGATGCCAGTCCTGCGTCCCCTTCAGCCTGTGAAGGAGGAGCACCATGAACCAGCCAACTAACACGTGTCTAATCACATAAAGGGAACTGAACACCAGAGAGCCACAGTCACTTTCCGAAGGTCACACAGCAAGTGCAAATGAGGCCTCATCCTCAGGGCTGGGTTCCAGGCCTGCTGGGCAGGTCGGTTACTGCTGCACAAAATTTCTGTTATCCTAAAATTGTTTCAGACAAGCACCAAAGGACGTCCCATAGTTCTGCTTGACTAAGGTTTAATGAAGTTAATGTTCATACTTTCCACTCTATTTTTCCACTCTTTAAGGATCCAAATTTTCTTGGTGTAGCTGCGTATAAAAGTTTAACTATTACAGAGATAACCACAAAATTTGATGAGGCTTCATTGAGTGGAAAACACTGTAGTCCAAATAAATGCAGAAATCATTGGTTTGGGAACCAAGGGATAAAATGCTCCCAGCTGTGGCAGTTCCTCTTCTACCTTCTTTGAGTGAATTTGCAACACAGAAAAAGGCTGATGAAGCTGAGACATTGATTATCAAAGTGCCTTCACTTCCCAGAACCATCTGACGCAAGATAGAATCCAGCTATGCTTAATCACCACTTACACAGCACTTTCTGAAATGCTTTCTACATCTTAGGGTAGGTTTTATTTTCTCTTAATGGAGGGGTTTTCCCAGGCTTGTAGGGGACATAGTCTTCTCTGTCCCTTCCTTATCTTGGCTTCTTCTTTGTTTTTATTGTGGTAAAATACACAAAGCATGATGTTGACTGGGTTAACCATTTTTAAGCATACAATTCAGTGGTATTAAATTTACTCATAATATTGTGCCCCCATCACCACCATCTATCTCCACAACTCTTTTTATCTTATAAAATGGAAACTCTGTACTCATTAAACAACAAGTCTCCATTCTCTTCTCCACTCACCTCTGGCAACCACTGTTCTTTCTGTCTCTATGATTTTATGAAGTACTCTGTGTACCTCATGTCAGTGGAATCATACAGTATTTGTCCTTCTGTAACTGGCTTATTTCACTTGAGCACAGTGTTCTCAGAGTTCATCCTTCGTATACCACGTGTCAGCATTTTCTTCCTTTTTAAAGCTGAATAATATTCCATTGCATGTATAGACCACATTTTGCTTATCCATTTATGTATTGATGGACACTTGAGTTGCTTCCACTTCTTGGCTGTTGTGAATAATGATATTATAAACAGGGATATGCAAAAGCCTCTTCAAGTCCTTGCTTTTAATTCTTTTGGGTATGTACACAGTAGTGGAGTTCAGGATCATATGGTAATTCTGTGTTTAATTTTTTGAGGGTCTGCCATACTGTTTTCCAGTGGCTGCACCATTTTACATTCCTTGTGCAAACAATGCACAAGGGTTCCAATTTCTCTATATTCTTGCCAACATCTGTTAGTTTCTGTTTTCTTCCTGGTAGCCATCATTATGGGTGTGGAGTGGTCTCTTGGCTCCTTCTTGACAGGGGTTCTCTTTGGAATCCGTACCTGCCAGCCAGGATCCCTGTCTACTGGCTGCTCCTTGGTCCTGTGGAGCTTTGCTCCTGCACTCTGCCAAGCTCTGAGGCTGGCCTCTGTTTAGGCTGCTGATAGACACCTGTCTTCATGCTAAGGCCTAGCTGACTGGCTGAGCCAACCTACTCCTCCAGGGCCTGCCCAACCCTGATGGGTGCCTGACGCAGGCCTGGAACATCTTGCTGCCTTCTCGTACTCACAGCTTAGGAAGCAAAAAGCAAGCCAGGTGTTCATACTTCTCTGCTGGGGACATAACAAATGGCATGACAAATACTAAAGCAATAAATGAACTGAAAAATAAATGAGTTGGCAATTATTTATCACAGAATTATCTGAGATGGTATTTCAAATTATTTCTCCCCTTAAAAAAAAGGATATTTTTTTACGGCATGAAGAGTCAAATGTAAAAGTAAAGAAATGAAAACAATCAGATGGAGAGAGATGAATATTTATCAGATTCCAGGATGAACATGGGCTTTGTAATTGTAATTCTTTGGGGAAAATTAATTCACCAGAAGCCCCCCTGGGAAGGGCATGGTAATTGCTGAAAAGATGCCTGATAAGCCACATACACGGGAGGGAGATTCCCTTAGGAAGGGCAAAGGGATTGCAAAACTGCCTTCCAGAAAGCTGAGGACCTTGCTAATGAGCTGACTTTATGTTCTGCTAAGAGCTGGTAGATGGTTTAGGGACAAATATCAGGCACTGTGCAATGGAGGGGAGGGAATTTGAGGTTTTGGTGGGGTTCAGGAAGATACCCTGGGGGGAATTCATTTGTATTTCATAAAAATTAATAACTTCTGAAAACAGCAACAACAAAAATGTACCATGAGCAGAAATAAGAGTACTTAAGAAACTAAGAGAAATGTTTTCAGCAAAGATGAATAAAGTTTAGTTGGTATATTTTCAGCACTCCCTATGAAAGGCACTCAGACTCCTGAAGAAAATTGTTCAAGGTCATTAGATAAGTCAGGGGCCCCTGAGAAAAAGAGCAGAAGATGGGAGGATTTTATTCAGGGAAATGGGGGGTGAGAGGGAAGAGAGGGGAGGACTGACAGAAAGCTTGACTCCAGAGAGAGAGAGAGAAAGTTGGGAGGGAGTGCGCTGGACACCCTGGGGATTCCAGGAACACCAGAAAGAGGACTCTCCAGTTCCAGGAGCTGGGCCTTGGTCTCCCAGCCATGCCCTGGTGAGTGGGAGCCGCCCCTGGGCAGCGTGGCCTCAGTCCCAGTGCAGCCTTGGTTTCCCAGCAGCAGCGGGGCCTGGGTCATCTATACTTTCTGTGGTTGGAGTCTTGAGGTGCATTTTGTCGGCCAGCACAGATGTGACAAGAGAGTCCCAAAGGAAGGCAGGCAGATGGCTGAGGAGCATTTCTGTAGGGTGTCCTCAGCCCTCTGAGAAAGCTTCCCACAGCAAAGTTCCGTGCTGAGGCATAGAGACCTTCCGCACTGTCCTCAGGGCCTAAACTATGTAACCACAGCAGAATCAAAGATCTCCAAATCTCAAGCACAGTCCCTTAGTGCACCTCCCCATCCTGTGGTTGTCCAACCTGTGTCTGAATACCTCCCATAACAGGGTGCTCATTCACTTCTGTGACATTTCTGGACACGTCTTGAAGAGCTGTGGGTACAGAGCACCCTTGACTTAACTAACTCCATCTTAGAAAAAGGCTCCATTTTATGTTCACAGAGCACTTTACCAACAAGGATAAGATATTTTGTTTAATAAATGAATTAAAAAAAATAAGACTGCATCCAACAAGATAAGGTCATAAACAAGAATGCTCTTCTCTATCTGTTCTCACCAGAGGACTCTGACTAGAAAAGATTAGGCCTTCAGCAGCCTGGAATTGGCCATCCTAACTGACACCATCTTGCAGTCACTTGTGATAAGAGCTGGGCATCTGCTTCCAAAGGCTCTGCAGCATCAAATACTCTGCATTGCAAAACCAGTGGACCACCTCGCCTAGACAAGGGCTCCTTTAGCTACCCCTGGACTGGTTTGTTCACTTTTTCTTCTATCTGTTTTGCCCTTTGATGTTAAATGTTACTTTGTTTGTTGTAGAATGTTTAGCCTATAACATTCATATATTGATTAAGTATACTATGATGTATGGTGTGCAATACTGACTGGCTTGTGGGGTGACTTGAGCCTGTGTGCTCAGGACTATGTGCCCGTGACTCCCTAGTGCATGGGAAGTGTGATGGAGAATTGCCTTCTTGGGAACTCCATGTAGCTCATGGCTTTTGTGATTGAAATACCTTCAATAAAAGCCTGACATTGTGGAAAGACACACACGTGCATGGATCTGGTTATTTCTAACCTTGTACCACTTATGCCATCATGCGACCGAAAGCGGAGTCCACAGGTCACAGATCTGCCTGATCTCTTTAGAAATGCAGAGCATCAGGCCCACCCTCTACCTAAGGAGCGAGTGAGCATCTTCCTCTTTGTAGATCCCAGAGCTATGCATACACGTTGCAGGGTGAGAAGCAGTTCCTCAAGGTGGCTGCTGTAGCCTGAGCTAGCATTCACTCCCTCCAACTGTTAGCCTGGGTCTTAGTTTTGCTTTGTATAACCACAGCAATGGCCTTGCTCCCTTCCCTCCATAATGGCACAGTGAAGAAGTGCCATGGCAGTCAGCTCTGGTCTGGGTAAGTGTCCTGCCCTGGAGGAGTGAGGAGTGCAGGAGTTCCCACTTCAGGTGGGCAGAGATGGGATAGGAGCGGCTAGCTTTGGGGATAAGGTAAAAGTCTTTGTGCTTACGATTTAAGGATTGAGGGCAAGAATGGCCCAGATTGTCAGGGCCTTGAATGTCAGTCTGAGGACTTTGTTCTGTGAACAGCAGATGGTGCAGGTATGGGAGGGTGATGTCCACATGGCTCTCCAGCCTGGACCCCGGACCCTTCTCCTCCAGCGCGGGACCCAAATCCTCCCTCGCAGCTCCTCCACCTGGATGGCTTCCAGGAACCTTGCTCTGGACTGAATTATGTCCCCACAATATTCATATGTGGAAGCCCTAACCCCAGTGCAGCTGGATTTAGAGATGGAGCCTCTAAGAAGGTAAATGCAATTAAATGAGGTCATGAGAGCAGGGCTCTGACCCCATAAGGGACACCGACTGGGTGAGGTGGCTCATGCCTGTAATCCCAGCACTTTGGGAGGCTGAGGCGGGTGGATTACCTGAGGTCAGGAGTTTGAGACCAGCCTGGCCAACATGGTGAAACCCCGTCTTTACTAAAAATACAACAAAATTAGCTGGGCATGGTGATGGGCACCTGCAGTTCTAGCTACTCGAGGCTGAGGCAGGAAAGAATCACTTGAACACGGGAGGCAGAGGTTGCAGTGAGCTGAGATCGCACCGTTGCACTCCAGCCTGGGCAACAGAGCGAGACTCTGTCTTAAATAAATAAATAAACAAATAACATAAAAAGAAGGGACACCAGAGAGTTCTCTCTGTCTCTCTCTGTGAAGGCACAGTGAGAAGGTATCATTTACATGCCAGAAAACGGCCCTCCGTGGAAACCAATTCAGCTGTGCCTTGATCTAGAATTCCAACTTCCAGAGCTGTGGGAAATGAATGTCTGCTGTTTCAGCTGCCCAGCCTGTGGTGTTTTGCTGTGGCAGCCTGAGCTAAGACAACCTAAAATGCAGTGTCTTCTTCAGAGAACTGAGGATTTCTCCCACAGAACCTGCCCTCCCCTGCGTTCCTGGTCACTGACAGCACCACTGCAAGCCTGGTTTCCTGGCTGGGAAGCCCCTGACCTCTCCTCCTCCTCTGTCCCCTGCATCTACACAGTCACCCCATGGTGCGGCTTTACATTCTCCTCAGCCCGTGTCTCTGACCCTCTGGCTGCTGCCTGGGTGCAAGCTGCCTTAACCTCCAGCCAGCGATGGCGGCAGCTTTCTAGGTGACTTTCCTGCCCCTAAGTCCTGCCTGCAGCCCCTCATCCCACCCTATATACTGTGGACATTTTTCCAGATCCTTCTAAAGGGACTCGTTTGATGAAGTCACCCCACCATCACACACTCCTGGGCTCCACTGCTGCAGGAAGAGGTGCAAGTTACTCTGTACAAACGCGATGGTGTTGACCTTGCCTGCTGGCCTCTTAGCTCACAGAAGCCATTCTCCCTGCCCTTCCCCACCCTCCCCACCCACATGACCAGTGACCCATGGCCCAAGTCTGCCAGGCTCCCGTCTTGCATGGGAGCCTCTGCACATGCGCTTTCTTCTCCTTGGAGTATCTTTTCCTCCCCCACCTCATTACCTTCCAACCCCCTCACCTTTGAGCCTCAGCTGAGCTTCTTTAGGAAGTACCTCCCTACCTCCCAGACTCCAAGGCAGCAGTCTCCAGGCCCCTGTGGCTGCTGAGCTCCTGAGATGTGGCCAGTGCCATTGAAGAAGGGAATTTCTAAGCTGTGAGTAAACTATGCAGCAGATTCATCTCAATTTTATATCAACTATATATTGAATCTTGAATAACAATATTTTAGATATATTTAGTTAAATATATTATTAAAATTAATTTCATATTTTTAAACTTAAAAAATATAGTCACAAGGCAATTCAAAATGATATATGCAGCTCGCCTTTGTGGGTCATGTTATATTTCTGCCAGACAGTGCCCTGGTCCGGGTCAGATGTCCCTCCCATGTGCTCCCAAAAGGCCCTGTTCTTATTCCTGGTACAACACATGTCAAACGCCCTGTAATCACCAATCTGATCCCTTGACCATCCTCTCCAACAGGGTCTGTTTCCTGAAGGGGTGTCTGGTGTCCTAATCAATGGGACATCCCTGTCACCTAATCACAGTAACTCACACAGAGGAGGTGCTCCCAAAAGATCAATGGGAAGAAGGGAAGGAGGGAAGGGGAAAGTAGCATGGGTCTGAACACATAGGAGGAGGCAGTTGCACACCCAGGAGGGTCTGAGTGGGCAGCTTAGGGGAGCCTCCCAGGCTAGGAGGGTGCAACACTCTTACTGGCCTGGATCTCGAGAAGGAAGCCTCCTGGATCAATGACTAGAGTAGGTTTCATGGCAGCTGTGATTTCCTATCACGGTGAATAGCTAAGTCGTGTTAGATGTTCACTCATACACATCCCCAGAGGCCTGGAGGAGAAATGCTTGATCTCCTAACATAATCCAAAAAGTAATCTTCTAGACACTAGTATTTCAGGTGAAAGCACCTTCTTCCTCTTCTTCCTCATCTTTTAGTCCATACGATGAAAGCATAATGGATTCTGTAATTTATCCACCTGGCAGGACTTTTTATATTTTTTTGGCCCATAGGCCATAAATCAACCTGGGTCTACTTACCTACAGCAAGTCTAGTTTGCAGGGGAAGGTGGCGTTCAGATGCAGCCTTCCCTGCAGTCATTCTGGGGGAGAAGCCTCACTATGCTGACAGCTCCTGCCTGGGACAATGCATTCCATGTGGTATAATTAAACACATACCCTGCAGATCCAGGAAAGGTGAGTCCGGTGGGTTAAAGGAATCCATGCAGTGGGTAAGACATCAAATACCATGCTTGTTATCATTTTCTTCAACATAGTGGAATTGGTCCACTGACAATTTATACAAAATGCGTGTCCTAAAATGAGAAGACAAGATGTATTTCAAACATACCTAAATTAAGTAACACATCTTTATAAGTTGTCTAGCTCTACACATAGACTACAGGTATCATTGCCTGGGAAACTCTTCCCTTATGGATTATGGAAATAAATGGACTGCACAGATTTTTTCAGTTGAGGTTTAGTCAAGAATTCTCATCTAGGTATTTTGAAGACTAAGATGTTAATACAGGTCATTAGAAGCTTAGGCAATCCTTAGAAGCCTGGGTGTAAAGGACCAGGGCAAGTCCTGAAGGGTGGAGTTCTCCTTGGTCTCAGCCTCCTGCAGGACCCAAGTGAATCCGCTCAGGAGGCTGCCCAAGGTGCTTGGAGCTTCCATGTACAGCTCGGGGCCCACAGTCCTGAAGTAGGGTCTTTCCTGACAACGTCTCCTGGCAGAGGAAAAGCCCCATGACCTCTCCTGTAGGGGAATTAGATGGTTTCTCTTTCTCTTTGGCCATCCAAGTTTTATAGGAAGCATTCTTGTTTCTTGTGGGATTCAACTGAAGTTTAAGGGACTTGAGCAGATATATAGTTTCCAGGCTGTATCCACTTTGGTTTGGGGTGAGGGAGCTCAGGTGGGAAGGGAGACATATCTGGAAGGTGCCTGAAATATATAAATGGTTTTTAATTTATGTATCCACAGTAGAAAATTTATTTTCATCGTGATTGTAAATCTTTATTTTTTTTCCCTTCAAATCACAAACAGGATTGTTAAGGCTTATTATGGTCAGAAGCTGGCCCCAAGTTTTACTAGACTTACAGACCTCTTAAAAACTTCAGGCTTACCACCCATTCCCAGGGCAGGAAGGTTATTGCACCTCTTCTTTCTACAGATTCTGCATTGCTGCAATGAACAAGAGCATCATTTCGTAGAGGTCCAGCACATGTTAAAGCAAATAAAATGTAAAGCAACACTTTATAATGGCATACACGCTAAATTATAACTGTTTTCCTTTTTTGCCTCCCATCCTTAATGTGAAGGGTTTTCATTAGATGACAATGGAGCTGAGTGTTGCAAGATAAGTGGGGGTTGGTCACATGGAATTTGGGGAAGGCAGGGGATCCTACCATCAAGAGGAGTTACATACTCAAATCATGGAGACTTTCAAGAGTCTTGGGGAACCACAGGTAGATCTGCATGGCTGGATCCTCGGATAGGAACGGAAAGCATGAAGGATGAGATGATGACAGAGGCAAAAGCTAGACTCTGAGTTTTAGATTTTTATCCTAAACACAAAGGGGTCAAGTAAAAATAAGGCACAGTTTTTTGTATTGAAGGAGCCATGTGAAGAGCAGAAGTTTAATTTTATGATGTCCAAATTATCTTTTTTACTTTCTTTTTTAGATCAAAATAGGGGTCTATTTTGATTACCACTGTTATTTTATCTCTATTTGATTTTTTATTTTTATTTTTATTTTTCTAATTTCATTGTAAATTTTTAATTAAACCCAAATATTCTAGGGGAAAGAGGCAAGATAGAAATAGTCTAACTTGGGCATAAATTTTAGAGTTATATTCTCTTGCCGAGAAAGGAAACTAGCTCTCTTACAATGATTGTTTAATTTCGGACTTCACTACTTTATGAGGATGCCCAAATTATGGGCTTTAAAAATATATATCCAAACAGGGGTTCAGAAAGAATAACTAATTGTGGACAAATGATTCCACCATAAGTTTGTCCAGTGACAGGGTCTATATTATTTTCTATATATCAAATTCTACAACTGGTTCTTAAACCTATTGTACATAACCTAAGTTAGAATATTAGGTATTAGTTGATAAGACATTTTATCATCTATGAAATTTACCCATTTCTTCTAGATTTTCTAGTTTATTTGCGTAGCGGTGTTTGTAGTATTCTCTGATGGTAGTTTGTATTTCTGTGGGATCAGTGGTGATATCCCCTTTATCATTTTTTATTTTGTCTATTTGATTCTTCTCTCTTTTCTTCTTTATTAGTCTTGCTAGCGGTCTATCAATTTTGTTGATCCTTTCAAAAAACCAGCTCCTGGATTCATTAATTTTTTGAAGGGTTTTTTGTATCTCTATTTCCTTCAGTTCTGCTCTGATTTTAGTTATTTCTTGCCTTCTGCTAGCTTTTGAATGTGTTTGCTCTTGCTTTTCTAGTTCCTTTAATTGTGATTTTAGGGTGTCAATTTTGGATCTTTCCTGCTTTTTCTTGTGGGCATTTAGTGCTATAAATTTCCCTCTACAAACTGCTTTGAATGTGTCCCAGAGATTCTGGTGTGTTGTGTCTTTGTTCTCTTTGGTTTCAAAGAACATCTTTATTTGTGTCTTCATTTCGTTATGTACCCAGTAGTCATTCAGGAGCAGGTTGTTCAGTTTCCATGTAGTTGAGCGGTTTTGAGTGAGTTTCTTAATCCTGAGTTCTAGTTTGATTGCACTGTGGTCTGAGATACAGTTTGTTATAATTTCTGTTGTTTTACATTTGCTGAGGAGAACTTTACTTCCAACTATATGGTCAATTTTGGAATAGGTGTGGTGTGGTGCTGAAAAAATGTATATTCTGTTGATTTGGGGTGGAAAGTTCTGTAGATGTCTATTAGGTCTGCTTGGTGCAGAGCTGAGTTCAATTCCTGGGTATTCATGTTTACGATCTGTCTCGTTGATCTGTCTAATGTTGACAGTGGGGTGTTAAAGTCTCCCATTATTACTGTGTGGGAGTCTAAGTCTCTTTGTAGGTCACTCAGGACTTCCTTTATGAATCTGGTTGCTCCTGTATTGGTTGCACATATATTTAGGATAGTTAGCTCTTGTTGAATTGATCCCTTTACCATTATGTAATGGCCTTCTTTGTCTTTTTTGATCTTTGTTGGTTTAAAGTCTGTTTAATAAGAGACTAGGTTTGCAACCCCTGCCTTTTTTTGTTTTCCATTTGCTTGGTAGATCTTCCTCCATCCTTTTATTTTGAGCCTATGTGTGTCTCTGCATGTGAGAAGTGTTTCCTGAATACAGCACACTGATGGGTCTTGACTCTTTATCCGATTTGCCAGTCTGTGTCTTTTAATTGGAGCATCTAGTCCATTTACATTTAAAGTTAATATTGTTATGTGTGAATTTGATCCTGTCATTATGATGTTAGCTGGTTATTTTGCTCGTTAGTTGATGCAGTTTCTTCCTAGCCTCGATGGTCTTTACAATTTGTCATGATTTTGCAGTGGCTGGTACCGGATGTTCCTTTCCATGTTTAGCACTTCTTTCAGGAGCTCTTGTAGGGCAGGCCTGGTGGTGACAAAATCTCTCAGCATTTGCTTGTCTGTAAAGGATTTTATTTCTCCTTCACTTAGGAAGCTTAGTTTGGCTGGATATGAAATTCTGGGTTGAAAATTCTTTTCTTTAAGAATGTTGAATATTGGCCCCCACTCTCTTCTGGCTTGTAGAGTTTCTGCCAAGAGATCCCCTGTTAGTCTGATGGGCTTCCCTTTGTGGGTAACCTGACTTTTCTCTCTGGCTGCCCTTAACATTTTTTCCTTCATTTCAACTTTGGTGAATCTGACAATTATGTGTCTTGGGATTGCTTTTCTCGAGGAGTATCTTTGTGGCATTCTCTGTATTTCCTGACGCTGAATGTTGGCCTGCCTTGCTAGATTGGGGAAGTTCTCCTGGATAATATCTTGCAGAGTGTTTTCCAACTTGGTTCCATTCTCCCCGTCACTTTCAGGTACACCAATCAGACGTAGATTTGGTCTTTTCACATAGTCTCATATTTCTTGGAGGCTTTGTTCGTTTCTTTTTATTCTTTTTTCTCTAAACTTCCCTTCTCACTTCATTTCATTCATTTCGTCTTCCATCACTGCTACCCTTTCTTCCAGTTGATCGCATCAGCTCCTGAGGCTTCTGCATTCTTCCCGTAGTTCTCAAGCCTTGGCTTTCAGCTCCATCAGCTCCTTTAAGCAGTTCTCTGTATTGGTTATTCTAGTTATACATTCGTCTAAATTTTTTTCAAAGTTTTTAACTTCTTTGCCTTTGGTTTGAATTTCCTCCTGTAGCTCGGAGTAGTTTGATCGTCTGAAGCCTTCTTCTCTCGTCAAAGAGAATGACTCGTCAAAGTCATTCTCCATCCAGCTTTGTTTCGTTGCTCGTGAGGAACTGTGTTCCTTTGGAGGAGGAGAGGTGCTCTGCTTTTTAGAGTTTCTAGTTTTTCTGCTCTGCTTTTTCCCCATCTTTGTGGTTTTATCTACTTTTGGTCTTTGATGATGGTGATGTACAGATGGTTTTTGGTGTGGATGTCCTTTCTGTTTGTTAGTTTTCCTTCTAACAGACAGGACCCTCAGCTGCAGGTCTGTTGGAGTTTGGTAGAGGTCCACTCCAGACCCTGTTTGCCTGGGTATCAGCAGCGGTGGCTGCAGAACAGCGGATTTTCCTGAACCACGAATGCTGCTGTCTGATTGTTCCTCTGGAAGTCTTGTCTCAGAGGAGTACCCGGCCATGTGAGGTGTCAGTCTGCCCCTACTGGGGGGTGCCTCCCAGTTACGCTCCTCAGGGGTCAGGGGTCAGGGACCCACTTGAGGAGGCAGTCTGCCCGTTCTCAGATCTCCAGCTTCATGCTGGGAGAACCACTGCTCTCTTCAAAGCTGTCAGACAGGGACATTTAAGTCTGCAGAGGTTACTGCTGTCTTTTTGTTTGTTTGTGCCCTGCCCCCAGAGGTGGAGCCTACAGAGGCAGGCAGGCCTCCTTGAGCTGCAGTGGGCTCCACCCTGTTCGAGCTTCCCAGCTGCTTTGTTTACCTAAGCAAGCTTGAGCAATGGTGGGTGCCCCTCCCCCAGCCTCGCTGCCACCTTGCAGTTTGATCTCAGACTGCTGTGCTAGCAATCAGCAAGACTCCATGGGCATAGGTCCCTCCGAGCCAGGTGCGGGATACAATCTCCTGGTGTGCCGTTTTTTAAGCCCGTCAGAAAAGCGCAGTATTCGGGTGGGAGTGACCCGATTTTCCAGGTGCCGTCTGTCACCCCTTTCTTTGACTAGGAAAGGGAACTCCCTGATCCCTTGCACTTCCCGAGTAAGGCAATGCCTCGCCCTCCTTCGGCTCACGCACGGTGCGCTGCACCCACTGTCATGCGCCCACTGTCTGGCACTCCCTAGTGAGATGAACCCGGTACCTCAGATGGAAATGCAGAAATCACCTGTCTTGTGCGTTGCTCACGCTGGGAGCTGTAGACCAGATCTGTTCCTATTCGGCCATCTTAGCTCAGGTGAGGTATCTCTTTCATTTCTTGTATGGCCACTAAAGACAAAGTCGGTATCATTTTACTTAGACCTTGTGCACATGCAAAATGCTCTTTGCATCTGTTGATTAGCAGGCTCATAGCATCTGAGCAATTATCATTTATTGAGATTAAGACATATTGACTTCCAACGAGATCAGCTGGGGTTCTGTGCATACTTCCAGTTGTGTTTCATCAAAATTTTGTTAGGTGAACAAGGGAAAAACAACATCTTAATTTGCAATTATTTAATTATGAGGTATGTTGAGGTTCTTTTCAATTATTTGTGTGAAACTTGCGTTTTATTAGTGTAAACTGCCCATTTTTCTTTTTCCACTATTTTTATTATATTTTGCAGATGTGCAAAAAGCTTTTATATATATTAAGGATTTTTCCCTTCTATCATTTTGGCAATCTTTTTTCTTGTTGTTGGGTTTTTATTTTTAATCATGATATTTTTGTTGTGAAATTTATCTGTCTTTTTTATGGGCTTTAGTTTTTGCTTCTTGCTTAAAATATCGTTTCTAATAAAAGATTACGTTTACTTGTTTTTTCTAATATATTTGCATTTGCCTTTTTAAAACATTAGAGGTTTTGATTCGTCGGATTTAGGTAAATTTGTCAGGAAAGGTGGAACTGAGTTTTGCTTCTTCCTTGATGATGCAGTTTTCCCTTGTCATTTATTTAACAATCAATTTTTGTCCAGTGATTCAAAATTCTGCATTATAATATGCTATAATCCTATATTTCATTCTGGACTCTCCTTCTAATGGTCAATTTGTCTATTTCTATTGTAGAGCAAAACTTTTAATGACCACAGTTACAGAATATGTTTCAATATCAAATGGCCCTTGACGTCATTACTACTTTCGTTTTCCCCAGAATTTTCCTGACTGTGCATGCATAATAATGTTTCCAGATGAACTTTACAAATAGGTTTCATGGTTCTAGAATAAGATAATATATATGAGGAATGAAAGTTGATCTTTTTGTAATACTCAAGGTCAAGGTATAACTTCAAAATATTAGGTCTCCTATGTTCCTTAGAAATTTAAAGTGTTTCTCATAAAAATCCTTCAAGTATTTTTTGTTTAGTTTATCCTAGACATTTTTATTATTGTTTTTGCACACTAATGGGATGTCCTTTAATATTTTATTTTCTAAATACTTGCTGCTTATGCTTAAAAATACTCTTTGATGTTTTATAACCTGCCATTTTGCTGAAGGCAGTTTACTAAATCCTAATGTTCTAATGGTTTTACTATATTTTATTTGAATGATTGCCTTGGTTGAAAGCTCTTTATAAAGTCCTAGACAGTGTTGATTCATGCCATCATCATTGTCATCCTCCTCCTCCTCCTCCTACTTATCATCATCACTCTCACCGTGATCCTTATCACCATCACCATCATCCTCATCATCACTATCATTATCCTCACCATCATTACTATCATCATCACCCTCATCATCCTCACCATCATCACTATTACCAATATCACCATCACCATTATCACCATTATCCTCATCATCATCCTCACCATCATCATCTTTATCATGCTCCTCCTCATCATCTCCATCATCATCATCATCATCATCATCATCATCATCATCATCATCGGTAGTAGGAGAGGAGTAATAACAGTGATAGCAATTTCAACCCTTCAGGCCCTACATTATTGACCCTATTCTGCCCATGTAAAGAGTCAGAACAATTCTCAATGAGTGACTACCCAAAAAGGTGGGTCCCACAAATGAGAGTAGAAAAAGTATTTATTCATTCACTTAATAAAAACTTTATGGATTGTCTACATCAAACATTCAGTTATGGCCAAACATGCAAAAATAATCAAGGTACAAGACGAAAAATGGAAAGTTGAGTGTATCAATCACCTTATGTACCTCATCTCATGTAATTGTCCCCAAAGCAATTTATCAGTTGTATATTGTTAATCCTGTTTTTGTAAACAGGAGTGTCAGTGAAACTGACACTCAGAAAGGCTAATTCCCTTGGCTAGCATAATACAGTGATGTATTTGGGATTGAAACTCAGGTCTATCTGATTCCAGAGTCCTCTCTCTTTTTCCTCTACCCCTACTCCCTGGCATTTAGGAAAAGCCCTAGGCTTGAATTCTTAGTGCCATGAGATAAGTGATATAATGGACCCATGTGCAGAGGAAGGCGGGATCAAATGCCACCTGCCATTGGGGGAGTAGGGAATAAGTGGGCATTCATCAGAAAACCAAGGGATTGGGGGGAGAGGTGTTGCAGAGATGGGAAATAGCATGTATGAACCATGTATAAACATTTAACTGTTTTAAATGTGGTCATGAATTGCTGTATTTGAAATGCAGTGTGCTGCAATGGGAGGAGAGTTAGAGCTGAAACTCTGGCCAGAGGATGGAGAGGCTAATCTGAGTGTGTGGTAGGTTAGCATATCAATGGGCTGACATGCAGTTTTTCTTTTTTAATATCTTTATTAAGATACAATTCACTACTACTCTTCCATAAAAAAATGTATTTTACAGTAACTTGGATGGAATTGGAGGCCATTATTCCAAGTTAAGTAACTTAGGAATGGAAAACCAAATACCATGTGTTCTCACTTATAAGTGGGAGCTGATATATGGGTACACAAAAGCATGGAGAGTGATATGTTGGACACCGGAGACTCACAAGTGGGGAGGGTTTGAAGAGGTGTAAGGGATTAAAAGAACTACATATTGGGTATAATGGACACTGCTTGGGTGATGGGTGTGCTAAAATTTCAGACTTCACCACTATACAGTTCATCCTTGTAGCTGGAAACCACTTGTACTCCTGAAGCTATTAGAAAAATAAAGATACAATGCACACACCATAAAATTCATCCATTTGAAATACACAGCTGGGAATGCCCATCGAGAGGAAGAGGTTTACATTTATCTTGAGGATACGGACTCAGGAGTCCTCAGAGCATCTGGGGAGTGAGAGTGTGTGGTGCCATTTGAGCAAAGGGTGAAGGAGACAGAAAGAGCTTTGAGGACAGACCAGAGAGATGCTGAGACTTAGTAGGCAGGCGGAGGAAGAGAAGCCCACGGGGGAGAGAAGGAAGGAGGAGAATGAGCAGCTGTGCATCACAGAAGAGGGTGCAGGAAGAGGGAGGCATCCACCAGGAGGACTGGAAAGAGTCCAGAGGACATGGCGGCCAGGAAGCCCTGCTAAAGCTTGGTGAGGGTGGGTCAGTGTGGAAGGATGCTAATCAGAGCGAGGAGAGGCATGAGAGGCAGGTGAGGCGGCTCAGCCATTGCTCAAAGAATCGCCCTTCAGAGGCCTTCCCAGCTCCACGGTGACATCCAGACGGTCTCCCTGGCCTCTATGTCCAGAAACTAGAGAGAAGCTCGACCAGTTCACCGTGTCTCATCCTTTCTCTGGCGCGATTTAGATGGTACCTGGAACCTGGGCTTGCCCCAGGTGGGCCTTCACATAGACCATCTCTATTGTTTTCAGGAATCCAAGAGGAAAGCAGAAGAAATTCTGGGGACCTGCAGCAGACAGACCCAGTTAAAAAGGCAACTCAAAGGCTCTAGCAAGATCTCAATTTGGCTCTGGGCTATATTAATTCAGGTAGTCATATTGAACTCTGTTGAAATACGTGGGCCATGTTACATCTAGAACCTAAACTGTGGTGAAAGCCTGTGGGTAACCAATTCCAGGATATTCTTCAGAGTTACTCAGATGAAGCCTCTTTATTTATCAGCACTTCTTGATCAAGAAGAGCGAGTCCTGGGCCTGATGCCTTTTGTTGCAACTTGGGGTGACATATCTATTTTTTGGCAATTGTATTTGCAGTTCATAACAACGCTGCACTCCTCACCAATGACCTGAAACGTACACAGTTGGATGAGGCTCAGTCCTAGAGCCCTGGATCCTTCCTGCAGCCAGAATGCTGAAAGAACGCTACTCCAGGCTGGGCACAGTGGCTCAGGCCTGTAATCCTAGCACTTTGGGAGGCCGAGGCAGGTGGATCACCTGAGGTTAGACATTCGAGACCAGCCTGGCCAACATGGTGAAACCCTCTCTCTACTAAAAATACAAAAAATTAGCTGGGTGTGGTGGTGGGCACCTGTGATCCCAGCTACTCTGGAGGCTGAGACAGGAGAATCACTTGAACCCAGAAGGTGGAGGTGGCAGTGAGCCAAGGTCATGCTATTGTACTCCATCTCAAAAAAAAAAAAAAAAAAGAATGCTACTCCACTCCTGTTGGCATGGAGCAGACTGAGTGTCCTCCGGGAAAACCTGAAGTTTGCTGTAGGCTCAGACTAGAAATGATCTTGCCGTGTTACAGTGAAACCAGGTCAAGGCTTCTCTCCCACTGAGCTCTTTGACCTTCAGTTTCTCAGTATCCTGGCCAAGCCTCAGAGGTTGAGGGGCTGAGGTCATTAGTAGACAACCATCATGTCAGGCTCAACTTCTTATCTTGCAGACCACCAAGGCCACACAGAGCCATCCAGAACTGCGTGATCCCAGCAACACTGTCCTCCTCCCTAGAGAACAGTTGGTGTGTGCCTTCTGCTTTTTTAGAGCATTTCCTCACTGTGGCATTGGCTGATGCATTTTTATTTTCTGGATTTTAATTAAAATCCTGTAATATTCTGATCTAGGCAGCATAAAAACTCACATTCAAATATATGTGTGTCTGTGTGTGTGTGTGACAGCGGTGTATACACACACATATACATATGCTTTGAATAATTACAATACAGTTTTTCTCATATATACTAATTCTTTTTAAGCCAAAGGAAATAATTTATATTTTTCAAAACTTTGCGTTTGGCCAAAAAACCAAAACCCAACCAAAACCAAAACCCAACCAAAAACAAAACCAAAACCAAAAACAAAACAAAACAAATAAACCCTCCAAATCCCAGCACTATTGATTTAAAACAACTTGAAAAGTTTGAGGAGTTGCCTCATTTTTTTGCTTCTATTGTTTCCTGTATATAAATAGCCTTGCATGGCCTCATTTATCACTGTGACTTCTCTGGGGAACTTCCATTTCCTGCTACCTTAGCCTCCTACTTGTACAAAAACATGGAACAGGGAGCTAAATATCCCAAATAGAACAAGTCATTGAAAAAAAAAGCAATCAATGATGTGTGTAAATCATCTATCTGCAGGCAGGGGTATTTAGCAAGGGAATCTCAGTGAGGGTGTGGAGGAGAAAGATCTGTATAACACAGCACTAGAGAAATCTGCACACTCAAGCCTATCTCTGTCCAAGTGATGACTGGAAATCTTGGAAGTGCTGTCTGGCTGTGGAAGAAAACCAGGTGGTGGTAACTGCTTCACCATGTGGCACTGAGGGGCAAGGCTTGGGGACCAGCATGAATTAATCACAGGCTTTTAGAATGTCATCACATTCCTTGGGTCTGGCTTTGGTGAATTCCAAAGCAAAAGCTGGAAGAGAAAGGCCATTTCAGCTTCAGCATTTTCTTTTTCAAATGCCAGTGTTGTGGTTTCAGGTTCCCTTTGATGTCAGTAGCCCAGAGCCTTTGCAGAGCGGGAACCCACTGCACGTGGCAGATGTGTTCAGTGTTTTCTGTAGAAAGAGACGCGGGGATGAGTTCTCCACCATTGAAGAGGCCAGTGAATGTGTAGGGCCCTCACTGTTGAGCAGCTGGCTCAGGATCCTTCCACTGATGCATTTTGCCTGATACAATCTCTGCAGAGAGGTCCATTTACTGTTCTTTGGTCAATCTTTGAAAGAGACACATTCCCTACCTCTCTGTAGATCAGCATAGTTATGAGAATGATGAACTCAGCATTGCAATCCCTGCCTGCCAGTTTGCTGAGTGACCTTGAATGTGAGTTACCAAGGACTGCAATTGCCTGTCTTCCTTCAGAACATGCCTCGAGGAAGATATGCTCAGGTAAAGTAATCTGTTGACAAGCCAAGCAAAAGGCAACCTTTGATAATCTACCCAATGGAAACATTTAATGGAATTCAGCAGAGCTTGTATTACACGAAAATTATAAGGCATAGATATGGTCAAGTGTTCTGGAAAATTGCTTCTGGCTTTATCAAGTACTAGAGGCTTAGTTTTCAGAGACTTAACGTGTTTAGTTTTAATTATTTTTTTCACATGTAACATACTTTATTTAATAAAGTATTTGAAACAGTTTACAAAAGTACACACCATATAAGAAGATAAAGTATACACAAGGAGATTTCCAGGTTATGAATGAAACTTGCTACCTATGCCTGAATAAATATCTTCCACTTTCCAGTGGAATTCCCAGGGAATAAAGAAAAAGGTGCAAAACGTGTAGGGCTGGAAATAAGAGGTTTGATCACTGAGCCCAGCTGTGGAACTTCCGTAAGTGATTTACATACAGCTCATATCCAAAGCTCTGAACACCACCACACTGGGGAGGAAGCAGGAAGGAGACTGTTTGCCTTCACTCCATCTGCGTGGTTCTGCCTTGGAGACCTGGTCCCAGGTGTCAACCAGAAAGCCTGGCCACCAATTCCCAGTAAGAGGATTTGCTTTTGAGATGCTCAAGTCTTTCCTTACCCTACCACTTCTATGCCCAGCCACCCAATCGAGAATTTCTCTGTTGTCACATCTATTATGCACATTGTTACTTGAGTGTTTAAGTGTTCACACAGTGATTCACTGCATCAAGAAATTGAACTCAACAGAAGAGATGATGAAAACAGTTGGGGTCGGGTATGGTGGCTCACGCCTGTAATCCCAGCACTTTGGGAGGCCGAGGTGGATGGATCACGAGGTCAGGAGATCGAGACCATCCTGGCTAACACGGTGAAAACCCCGTCTCTACTAAAAAATGCAAAAAGTTAGCCAGGTGTGGTGGCGGGCACCTGTAGTCCCAGCTACTCGGGAGGCTGGGGCAGGAGAATGGCGTGAACCCGGGAGGCAGAGCTTGCAATGAGCTCCAGCCTGGGCGACAGAGCTAGACTCTATCTCAAAAACAAAACAAACAAACAAACAAAAAAGGAAACAGTGGGAACGATAGGGAATCCCCCACTCTGGGCACTGCCACTGTGCATAAAATACCTTCAGCAAAGACGAAGGACAGTGTGTGTCCACTCACCCAGAGCACTGTCTCCTCTTCACAGTCAGCACCCTGGGCCATCCCAGCAGAGGACAGGCCACGCCAGTTCAATAGAGACATATGAATCAGCTCCTGATAGACAAGGGAATTTCACCCACAGTTATCACATCACCACCTGTCCCTTAGCTTAAGCTCCTGCAGGTGAGAAAAAAGGAGATACTTTTTCCCACCTGTTGGCAAAGAACCTCAAGAGTTTTCTTGTCTTATTAGAACTTTATGAAATAAGACACTGGGACTAAAAGAGAAAAAATGATTAATCTAAGGATATGAAGAAAATGATTCACCACCTATAACAGAATAAAACTTTAATATTCATATGTCTTCTATGCTCAGAATAAAGTATAAAAAATCATAAAATCGGCAGTAAATATTTGCAAAAAATCCTACTCACTGGCTTTCCCAGGTAAAACATGATGGCAGGCATGCACAGTTTGCAGTTGACAGTTTTTTTTTTTTTTAGACGGAGTCTCTCTGTCTCCCAGCCTGGAGTACAATGGTGCAAATTCAGCTCACTGCAACCTCCGCCTCCTGGGTTCAAATGATTCTCCAGCCTCAGCCTCCTGAGTAGCTGGGATTACAGGCGCCATTATGCCAGGATAATTTTTGTATTTTTAGTAAAGACAGGGTTTCACCAAGTTGGCCAGGTTGGTCTTGAACTCCTGACCTCTAGTGATCCACCTGTCTCAGCCTCCCAAAGTGCTGGGATTACAGGCATGAGCCACCATGGCTAGCCTACAGTTTTTTGTATTGCATAAAATAGTTCTACCTTGTTAAGTACATTCAACTTTATGATTTACATTTATCATGTAATTAAAAATCCATCAATCTAGTGTATGTTGATAGAAGGTCTGCTTTTGGTATTCTTTTTGCTTGAATACTCCTATCAGTTACTGAATTATTTGGTATGTGGAACTCCTAGAACCACAGGGAGGTATGCAGGTATCATCAAACCTGGCAAATTTCCTTTGTGGAATAACAAAAACTGTGATTCCACAGCTTTTCTAAGACGTTGGAGATTCTCTTTTAGACTAAGCAAAATTCTCATTACAGAATGTAACCCAGGCCAATTTATAATTGAATCTCTATTTGTTCTGATGATGCTTCTAAAATAGCACTGATATGTTTAAGAAGTTTGGGATTTTTAATTTACTTCAAGGATTAGCTCATATGTTTAACTGGAGTTTTAATCCTGTGATACGTATATTGGATTCATGACCCTTTATGCAGCATTTTTAGTTTTGTGATGTTTGGCAGAATGACAATAAGGTTTCCCCCCATTTTGGTTTCAGAAGGACATGAATAGAGTGTATCATAACTCCTAGTCCTAACCACTTTCAAAACCAGCATCTTTTTTTGTAAATGTTGCTATTGCTTGTCCAGGTACCTCAATTGTAGCTTGTGTAATGTTTATGAATATCTGTCTCTTATGACTTTCATAATGGCTAGTTGATATTTAAAAATCTATTTCTGTTTTGAGGGGTGTGGAAAAAAAGCACTAAATAACAATTTGAGAAAGGCATATTACTTCCAGATTCTGATGTGTGTGGGAAAATACTGTCACAGTGAAAAGCTTGACAATTTACTGCAACAAGGAACTAATAGCTTATCAAAACCAACTTGTACAGACTAATACATCTTTATCATAGTAAAAAAAATCACAAAGTTTATGAAATAAAGATAATCATATGAAAGAGGTTGAAGTGGGCTGAAATTAAAAAAAAGACTTGATAAAAGCTAAGAGAGGTAAGAATGCCAAGGACTCTGTTACAAAATTAAAACCTGTACCATAAAGAGTGAAAAAAGGAGTTGGCAATTAAAAAAAAAAAATCAGTTACCTGGAGGCCAAACTTCATAGGCTGTCTAAGAAAGCAGAATGAATATATAAGTAGAATATGATGAGAGGAAATAAAATAGATATCAATAATGGAAAATCCAATTTATGACTATGTGGCATTCTGCTAACAAAAGCTAAAAGAAATGTGGCAAAAAACAATCGTCACCTGGAAGAAAGCTTTTGAGGTTATAATAGGATATCTGGACTTTTCCAATAAAATCGATCATATTGTGAATAGAACTTTGCATGCAGATATACTCTGCCCAAATGTCTTAATTTCAGTGATGAAGAATAACTGCCCAAAAGGAAAATTACAAGGAAAATATTTAGAAAAAAATCTTCCAGAGATTTTAGAAAATTCTTCTGACATTAAGCAATAGAGAATACTGCAGGGAGTCCTGTACATTTTTCTGGGGAAAGATACAGAGATTCAAAATTTCTACGTTCAGCCTATAAGAAAGACATGTTTGGTTATCCAAGACACATGTGCCTTTCTCAGAAAACTTACCGGTAGAGTGAGAAATAAATCAAACGCAAATATTTAAGAATAGGGAGATGATAATGTAAAAAACTGGTAGTGGTTGGGCGTGGTGGCTCACGCCTGTAATCCCAGCACTTTGGGAGGCCAAGGAGGGCAGATCACTTGAGGTCAGGAGTTCGAGACCAGCTTGGCTAACATGGTGAAACCCCGTCTCTACTAAAAATAAAAAAATTAGCCTAGCGTGATGGCGGATGCCTGTAATCCCATCTACTTGGGAAGCTGTGGCAGGAGAATCACTTGAACCTGGGAGGCAGAAGTTGCCGTGAGCCAAGATCGTGCCACTGCACTGCAGCCTGGTGACAGAGTGAGACTCTGTCTCCAAAAAAAAAAAAAAAAAAAAAAAACAAAAATAATGATGGTTAGCATTATTACCAGGTACACATGTAGAGCCAGATATTCAATAGTTTTGTAAATAAAGAGTCAAAGTTGTTTGTAAAAAAATATATATATATATATATATATAAAACCAGAAGGTACATGACATTTAAATAGTAAAATAATAAAAATAATCATTCTGGCATAAGCAAATGAATAAAAGCATGCAAACATTTTTCATCTAAGGGAGGGTCAAAAGTTATTAAATTTTCTTGAATTTGACAATTAGAGAAAAACAAAGAAAGATGTATGTTTTGGAAAATCTTGAAGGATACCAGAAATAAATTAGATACAGGATATACGCTTCCAAATCAATGAAGAAAATAAAAACAAAGGAGATGTCCTTAAGAAAAGCACAAAAGAAACAGTAAAAGCTTACCAAAGTAGAAAGCATAAAATGAGATGATGGAATTAAGAACAATATATATTAAGTCATTCAGCTTAAATTATGAAATAGAATCAACTACAGCTAACAAAATAAAACACTTAAAAAGATATAGAATCATGCCAAGTAAAGCTAGGCACAGATACCCTCCGCACTGCTGCTCACATGCAGCTCCTTTCCATAAAGACCACTTTCATGAAAAGTAGAATTTAGTGAAAGAAAGATTAACAAACATGAGGAAAGTTATATTATTGATGAAAGGTACAATTAGCAATAAAGAAATAATATGAATAAACTTATATGTGTCCAATAAGGCACCATGAAAAATAAAGCAAGAGTTCCTAGGAAGCTTGTAGATGAAGTACATATTTATAAAACTTCCCTCTTGGAATGCCCCCCATGAAGAAAAAGACCCCAGTATAAAGAAAGAGTTGGTCATTGGTGAAACAAAGAAACAACTCAATGGAAGAGTTGTTTGGAACTCTTCCAATGGAAGAATGGAAGAATATATACAGAATGCAATAAATTTTAGACCAAATTAGAAGAGGGTACTAAGGCAAGGTAAGCATCTCTCTTAACGCAGGGGAAGAGAGAGCCCTTGGAGGTGAGAGATGATGACAGCCTTACAAACAGCTTCCAAGTTGGAGAGGGAGTTCTGCATTATGGATGGCTTAGGGTTCATTTTCACTGCATAAAAGAAATCAGGGCCAGGCATGGTGGCTCATGCCTGTAATCCCAGCACTTTGGGATGCCGAGGCGGGCAGATCA
Source organism: Homo sapiens (assembly GCF_000001405.40). NCBI lineage: Eukaryota > Metazoa > Chordata > Mammalia > Primates > Hominidae > Homo > Homo sapiens. The sequence continues at coordinate 44,004,225 of NC_000010.11, forward strand.
CCTGAAGTCAGGAGTTTGAGACCAGCCTGGCCAACATGGCGAAACCCTGTCACTATTAAAAATACAAAAATTAGCCAGGTGTGGTGGCAGGTGCCTGTAGTCCCAGCTACCTGGGAGGCTAAGGCAGGAGAATCACTTGAACCCGGCAGACAAAGCTTGCAGTGAGCAGAGATCATGCCATTGTACTCCAGCCCAAGCGACAGAGCGAGACTCTGTATCAACAACAACAACAAAAATAAAAAATAAATAAATAAAAGAAAAGAAAAGAAAGAAAAGAAAAGGATTCGAGAAGCCTTGGCTAAAGGTGAGACCACATGGCCCTGCCATTTAGGTTTTCTCTAATCAGGAAGAGTGACTGGACATGGGCTGGGGCAGAAGAAAAATTGGGAAAATGCCCTGGGAGTCGGCTTTGCATCTGCAGATGCAAATGAGCAGAAATCAGTTAGCATTCACCCATCCAAACAAGATGTCCTCCTTACTAGTTGACCTGCTTGCCAAGAGGAGAAATGGCCGAAATTGCAAGGGAGAATTTCCCACAATACACACATATACACCCTCTGCCTGCCACAGAAACCAATGGTCGGGGCAGAGTGTTCAGCCACCTGAACGCGAAGGGCTCCGAGATGATGTTCAGAAAGTATAACATGCTCAGGTCCCACGTCTCCACAGTCAGGGGAGGGTCCCTTCATTGGCAGCATCCTGCCACTAAGAAAACTCCGGGAGCCGCCTAGATGCCGCACTGCTCCTTGGTCCCTCCAAAGGGACTATGGGGAGCTATGCAGAAAGAAAACCACATAGGCAGGAATGTCGAAAGACTGCGGGCTCTGCCTGGAGGAACTGAAGTCCTTGTGGCCCGAAGTTTCTAAGCAGAGGCTGGGCTGCCGTTTGGCGGGGATTTCCCCTTCCTGAGCTTACATTTTTTTCAAGGACCAGGAAGAAGGGGACCGGAGATGAGCATGGCAAAAGCACGTGAGGCCCTGATTGCGGTCAGATAGCACCCTGTGTTCCTTGCTCCTCCACCGTGAGTGTAAGGACACAGGTCCAGGCCCTTCCCAACGCTGTGCTGGGGCAGGAGCCCGCAGGGCCCCAGAGCCTGGGTGGTCCCCGCTCCCCGGGCTCTGGAAGTCCGCTGTTCGGGGTAAATTGGCAGCTGCTGAACCCTAAAGTCGTGGGGCAGGGCTCCGACAGGCCTTTGCGCCTCCTTTCCCCATCAGCGTTTAGAGCTAATGGGAAAGGAATTGTTTATTTTCTTTTGTTTTTATATTTTTGGGTTAGCTTTACCGCTACAGAAAAGTAAGGTAAATGACCCCGCATTCACGGAGGGTGACTGTGCAAAGCGTGAACATGCGCCGAGTTTATGAAGCGGGTGTCGGAGCCAGCGCTGCTTCTCGCTGACCCGCATGCCCCGGCCGGCCAGGAACCTGCGCCTGAGTGCCCTGGTGTTTCTCTTTTTTCCCACGAAAGCACGTGTGAAGGGCAGAGCCACGTTTATCAAGAAGTCATTTTTCCCGTTCGCCGGCATTACACCATTAGCATTACAGGGGCCACCTACACCTCGTATTTCGATTCCACAGCTCCGGAGAACCTGCGGTGCTGCGGCCACTCTGTGGGTGTCCCCCCACCCCCATCTCCACTGCGAGCTCTCCGGCCTGGGCACGCAGCTGCTGACACACATCAGCATGGTGCCCTGGCCGGCATCTGCTCTGTGGCTGGTGCCTGCCTTGCCAGGGGCAGTAGGTATTGTAAATGCCTCTTTTGACTGGCACCAGCCCCCCGCCTCTCCTTTCCCTTTCTACAGCTGTTTCCCGGTTCTCTCACTGCTCCCAAGCGGAGAACATTTTCCTGCACCCCGCCCCCCTTCCCACCATTGCCAGGCCCTGACAGTCTCCACTTTGACGCCTCTTGTACTGTCCCACTGCCCATCAGCCCCAAATCTCATAACCTAGGTGGCTTCTTAATTTACTAAAATTACTCTGCTTCTTAAAATGCTTCGAGGACTCCGGGTTGCATGTAACCGTTCTTCTCAGGCTGAGCTGCGTGACCCCCTGGGGGCACTTCCCTGGGTTCTAGGGCACCAAAAGACTCCTGGGAGATGTCCTGTCTTACTCTGGAGCACCCATTTTACGTGAAGCTTAGAACTATTTTTGAACATTAAAACAAATATCAACGTACTTACAGAGTAGAAGATAAAACTGGAATATTTAAAAATATTTAAAATAAATTATGTGCACAGGGGTTCCCTTTAGGCTATGACCTAAGACCCTTAGGGGATAGGAGATCAGGGTCCTTAAGGAGTTTGAAGGTTAAGGGAGATCATTCTATCCAAAGAAACACAACGTCCTAGTGCGTCCTGCGCGGCCCTCTGAGGTGTAGCCTCTCCACCTGTCTGATCTTATTTCTCAGTGTCTTTCTCAAAGCCTGTGCTCTGGCCACACTTCATGGAGTTTTCTCTGCCAAGGTTGCTCTTGCCCTTCCCTTTCCAGGTGACACGCTCATATCCCCCTTCTAGGTTTATCGAGATGTTTTCTTCCTCTCTGAACCCTCTACTCTTTCCTCCCCAAATGGAGTAGAATCAGTTCCTCTCTCTCTTGTCCCCAGCCTCTCTCTTTCTCCCAGCTTCCCAACACATTCATTTTGAAAAAAGTAAGTGTTTTGGCTTCTGTGTCACAAGCGCTGTGGAGGAATTCTTTCCCAACTGTGCACATTCTGTGGGTTGGGGAAAACCAGCACCCACTTAAGGCACCTCCCTGCTTACACAATCCCCCAGCAGTGACTCTATGTGCAAATGTCACACCTGACTTGGCTCTCCTTCTTCCTCACAGTGCTGGGGCCCACATTTAGGGTTAAACACTGAGATAATCATTTCCTGGTTGTATTCCTGGGAACTGCCCCCAGAGAAACCCCAGTCAGGACTTGCCAGGGGGACCTGCTCTTCTTGCCCTGACTATGACAAACCCAGATTTGCGACTGGGGGTCCTCGCCCCATCTGCCTCACTTGTTTTCACTCTACTTTCTTCTTTGGGTTTGGGAAATTTGTCAAGAAGACCTCTTTCATCTTCCTCTAGAAAAGAGGTCTGAGAATCTGCCCTCCCTTCCTAGAACTTACCACTGTCCCTAACCCACAACTGGTGCTGACTAAACTCAAGTTGGTTGGATGGATGAAGAGACCATTGCAGGCAGCCCTGGAGAACCTCCCTCTTTCAAGTTCCTTCCCAGGAAAGAGTGTCTCTTGGGGCCACGGTTTTGTCCCTCTTCGCTAGCTTTGCCTTCATGGAAAGAATAGTACAAACATTTACAAAGAGCTCCAGACTGAGAAGGTAATTCCCACTTATTCCCAGCTGGTGTGATGTGAGGAGTGTTACCCCACCAGACCAAGGCGCCCAAATCCACATGCATGCCTAATAGCCAGTGGGACACCTGTGCTTTCTTTCCAAATCCCTCAATGAACTGTCTTGAGAAAGACTCACTCACCCACTGCCTAGATCAACCCATACCACCACCAGCCCTGTCTCTCACACTCTACATTTTCCCTGCCGTGTGGTTTCTGGGCTCAACTTCTTGTTTTTTAATTTCCAGGACCAGAAGCTTTCCTATGGTATTAGCATTATAGGTCTCCATGAAGTAGCTGAGTGGGTCGAGAAGTAGAGTTTATGCAAATAATTGGGGAGTAATCAATACTGTAGCTGGGGTAAATAAAACAATTAGAAAGCCATCAACAGGGAAGAACTAATTCTTCTTGGGGGAAGAGAAGAGCAGGGAACACCATCAGCAAAGAGGTGATGTGGGAGCATTTCAAAGGTGGAAGGAAGCAGAAAGAGAAGATGACGGCACATTCTAAAATGAAGGGAGGAGGGGTTGCAAAGGAATCAAAGCATCCCTGACCTCTCCTTCAATCAAAAAACTGTAAACAGAATATGTTTATTTATATGCGTTAGTATTTTTTCTCTTTGCAGGGGTAATTTTATACCTTTATGGAAAATCATTTAAAAGCCTTTTATCTATTAGAATTAAAAAGTATATAAGAAAAACATAAAAGCAGTAAGGGCAATGTTATTTCAGACAACTCAGAATAATTTAAATCGCCATCTGGAAAGCCCATCAGCGACAGAGCCTTCTGTGGCCTCTTTTCTCTCTCTCTCTCTCTCTCTCTCTCTCGGGCTCACAGGTCAGCCCAGAGCATCTGAACATGACCCACGTGGCCCAAGACTCGTGGTGACTTCTCACGGTGGCATGGCTCTGACTTGGAATTCCCCTGTAGAGGTCCTCCTGGGTGACATCATGTGCATTCCATGCTGTGAGGTGTTTCGAGCCTGTGAGTGTGAACTTTCTTTATGGACAGGAAGCAAAGGAAGGAAAGTGAATTTAGGAAAACAATGGTCATCTTAAAAAAGAGGTCAGATTTTAAACAAAAGTTTACCAGCCTGTTTCATATTTCTACTTATTTGGAAACAAGGCTGTTGAACTGTCCTGACAGGCTCTCTCAGACAGAGCTGGGCCCTACAATGGCGTTTTATGCAGGGCTTTGTGGGGAAATTTGGTGAAACAAGCCCCTGGGAGTTCTGTACCCACCCACGCCACAGGGAAGCCAGGGCAAGCTCTCTGCTTTTAAAGGGCTGGTGTAATAGAGCTCAGGGCTGGTGGGTTAACGGCATTACCCTTATTAACCACCTCATTTAATTCTCACCCTGGTGGGTTGTATCTCCCATCTGAGAAAACAGGCTCAGAAAGTTGTTTCTTGCCTACACTGTCAGCACTAGTGAGCGCACAGAACCGTACCTAGGTTCATTTGATGCCAAATGTTCACCCCAACAGAGGGAGGATAAAGAAGGAAGAGAATGGAGGTTAGAATGAGAACCAGTGAGTGTGCGGCCTGCAGTCAAAGTCTGTAATTGTCTCTCCTGTGGCTTGGCCAGGACAGTCCCGCTCATTAGCTTGTTTGGCCAACAGTGGTTTCTAATGAGGGGACTTGGGAAGATAGAGAGAAAAATAGCAGTCACGTGGTAAAAGTGTTAAGGTTTGTAGATGCAATGAATCAACACAGGGAGAAAATAGTCAAGTTGGGAGAAGAGAAATCACTTCCCCAACATTCAAGCTTAACTGATTTGCTTTGGGTTCAGCCTTCCACTCTTGAGTCCAAATACTACATCATGTCTGAATGTTCCTGTCTTGAAATGGTAACCTAATAATCTTCCCAGTCCTCAGGGAGATGGAGCATTGTTTGTTCCCTTCACCTTCTGCCCTTAGAAAGCACAGTCTTTTGGAAATTATCTTTGGCTCCTTGGATTTAAGCACTGAAGGCACTGCAGCCTTGTCGTGGTTCAGAAAGAACGCACGCTCTCCACGGGCCTGTTCGGCCCCCACTCCAGGAAGATGCCACTTGGCCTCAAAATATTAATGTTGGTGGGTTAAACTGGACCCTTAACCTCCTTTCCAAGTCATAACGGGTATGCAAACAGAGGGGTGGTCCTATGTGAGCTGGAAATAATGTTCTTGGCTGCCGCTTCCTTCTCTTTCTATTTTAGTCCTCAGGGACATGGCTTTTTTGCTTCTTTGAGATTTGGGAGTCTTGAGGTTTTATTGCAAAAAAAAAAAAAAAAGAATTCTGTGTGGTTTTAGAAGGCAAGTCACTTTTGAGTAATTTAAACCCTCATTTATCTAAACACGGAGGCTGAGGACCTCTTAGCGAACTGGGTCCCATGTTATAAAACTTTTGGCAAAGATTTGTCATCTATCCTGTGCTCTGCCCACACTCTTACCTAGCAAGTCCCGTCGTCATCTTTCCAAGCCAGTTTGGTCCTGCTGGTTTCTCTTCTTAGGTGTGCATTTTGTGCATGTATGTGCAGATGCCTGTGCACATGAGCGTGTGCTATACAGGAGGTCATGTTACAGAGAGCAGAGGCTGCGGCTGTTTACCAAGCCCTGCAGCCAGTGAGGTTCAGGGATAATTAAGAGAAATCTCCCTTGGCAGAAATGTGCCTGCTTGGGTCTGCTTCTCATTTTGGACAATTGGAAAAGGCAATCACTCAAGTTTTATTGATGCCAAAGAGTTTTTCACAGTCATCAATATGGGTTACAAAAATGAAGTTGTTGACATCTTATTTCTGGGGTTTTTTCTTTCAGATAATTGTAAGCCCTCAAGCATCATATATTCTGAAATAAGGCAGTTCCACCCCAGAACATAGCATTTTCAATGCACTACATGCAATTGATCTTACGGACATTCTGCCAAATTCCTGACCAATCATATCCATCTGTATCTATCAAGCGCATTCAGAGTTCTCTCGCTGCTGTAAGACAGAGGAAGAGTAAAATCTAAGAGTAAAGTCAGAGTAAAATCTGACCTTGATTTTACTCCAAGAGGTGTGAGATAAGATTTAAATTCTACATGACTGCTTTTAGCTATTTCTTAACATGATGTATATTTTGGGTATTAATTCCTAGGGTGTTGTAGAGTTTAGCTTGCTCCCTTAAGCTCCCTGTTAGTTAGGTCTTCTGGACTGCTTTGTTTTTACTCTTGGACCAACCTGGGCTGAGGCTCTACTTGGGAGCTCAGTTCAGCAGCTGTGAGCCCTGATTATCAGCTCTCTAGGTCCTAGGAACTCATTCGAATATCTGCTAGGTTTCCCAGCTTCCACGGGCTGGAAGAGGACATCTTTCCTCCCCATTTGCAGAGAGACAGCAGCCCAGGACTGAGCTCTTGGCAGCAGCCCTCTGTCCCTGTCATAGAAGGCCAGGCTCTGTGCCCAGATGATCATGATGGGGCATAAGGCTGGCTTAGCCAGTCAGGGGCTGCCCTCTGTGAGCTCAGAGGAGACTTGGGCAGGCCTTGGTGCCTGCCCCTCATGGCATGAGGAGCCATGCTGATCTCATGAAGGAGGAGCCATTTCCCCCAGGTCAGCTCCCTGAGGGCTCAGACCTGAAACCAGGTGCACAGGAAGCTGAGTCACTAGGGGCCAACACAGTTGCTCTCAGCCCTGGGGAACGCAGGGGAGCTCATTACAGCTGGCAGAAGTCCTCACCATAAAAGCAGAGGTATTTACTAGCCCAGGAAGGAAATGGAGTGACCCATATGTAGTATTACCATGGAGGAACTCTATGAAAGTCACAGTTTTAGCCATCTTTTGTTTAAGATTAAAGAGCTAAGTAGAATAATGGAATAAGTTGAAGGTATTTGTCAGGCCACCGGGATGATGTCATTTGCTTTCTGTCATTTCTAAAACTGGAGCCAATTTCAGAAACTGAAGCCACCCCTTGCCAAATTATCCTCCTCTATTCTAGAGGGTAAATACTATTCTAGACTGCTCTTACCAATCTCCACTGAAATCCATGTACACATCTATAGTTCCTTTTTGTGGAAAAGAAGTCAAAGTTTAAATAAGTTTCCCAATGCCACAAAAGAGTTAAACAATCTGGACATTTTTCTCAGACCACCTCCTCTATCATCCATCTAAAAATGTGCTTCTCCCTCCAGATATGTGCAATGCTGCAATCAGTTGCCATGGAGACCACACTCTGGCCCTGTACCCTCAACAGCATGGTTAAATAAGTGGTAATGTCAGACCTCTCAAAGCATCTTGGCGGCCCCAATCCAGGTCCCAGAGCTCCAGCCAGCACAGGCCTGGCCAGCGTGGGCACCGGGCTGGGAGCTTGTGGGAGCCTGGGTGGTCTGGTGCATCCCTGGCCAATGTTTAAATGCTGACTTCACGTGTGGGGTTGCCCTGGTGGGTTGCGGTAGAGACACTCCTCCCATGAACTGCTGATAAGAATGAACATTGTAAAAGAAACAATTTGTAACTGGCTATGGCAAACTCTTCTTTGCCATGGGTCTGGATTCATGAAATACAACATGACCCCAACAGAGCTTTAATGTGTTCAGGAGCTGGTTGTTCTTTACCTTCCTCTTGCCCCTCTAATGAGTGATTACCTGCATGCCCATACCCGCTGATGCCCAATGTACACACAGCTAGAAGTATAAATGAGTGCGTTGACCACCGAAGGTCAAAAAATATATATATATTTTTACATGATATTGCTATAAATGACAGGACTGTGGGTCTGAGCCTGCTGGAAAGCAGCTGACTTTAGGTATTCTGTCAGTGGCCTGTTGGGAAAGCCCTGCCCAGCTGGGTAGCTCCATATGGCACCATATTGACCAGTTGCAGTGTCTTTCTTCTGGATTTTGAAAATGAGACACACACAGGGATGTCAACATTGGGCCAGGGTGAGCCAGATGACTCACAGAGAGGGTCTGTGAGAAGACGCCTTTGGATAGCAGGGCGTGTGTGGGCTCAGGGGCATTTGATTGGCAGCAATCAAACGGGGATGCAGAGATGAGAAAAGTCAGATCTCCATGTGGGGTACAGGGCAGAGTGCAGAGCACACTTGCCCAGGATGGGGTGAAAGATGCCTCCTTGCAGTTGGCCTGAATTTTAGATATTTTTCATTGGTGGATGCTTTTCCCTCTCATCTTGACTTCTCTCTTAGGATGAAACCCAAAGCTGTCCTCACTTTTCCTGCCAGACAGATTTCCTTAAGTGAGCCATGTGTTGGTAATGAAATCCTGAACCCACGCGGGGTTAGACAGAACCAGCAGTGCTTGATGATCTATCAGATGTGGGTGAAGACAGAACAGAGCAAGGTATGACATGGTGCCCAGCCTCTGCTTGGCCACAGCCATGGAGGACCGGGCGAGAGAGTGCAGAGAGCGAGGTGGTGCTAATGTGCCCTGAAAAACAGTTTCTGACCTGCGTGATGATAAAATGAATCTGAAGTGCCTTTCAAAATTGTTTATTCTTCCTCCCTTTGCTGCTGTTTCTCCTCCCCTTTCCTCCTCTGCTTCTCCTCTGCAGGGCAGCACATCCATTGAATGTCTTATCAGCTTCCCTGGTGTTTTCAGGGCAAACAGGCCCCCTGATCCATCTCTTGAAGGAAAATCTTTGTTATGACATTTCTAGCTCAGAGCAAGGCATGCTCGATATAATTAATTGGCAATTCCTTGGGATGGAAAAGTTCTGCCAAAAATGTTCTGAGTTCAGGGTGAGCATGTAAATCCTTTCTGAGCTCTGATCTGCAAGCTTGGGGGCAGGAGATCACAGAAATTAATGATTGGCATCTTTTCTGCAGTCAATTTCCCTCTAAAGGTCAGCAGTGGCAAAGCACACCTGGGAAGCAGAGCTTTGTAGAACCTGATAAGAATAAGCACCCCGTGCAGTGTCACTACATGCCACGCTGTCTGTTCTAGCTCATATGTGTGCTAATCCATTTGCTTTTCACAGCCATGTGAAGAGGTACTTTTAATATCCCATTTCCTGGATGAAGAAACTGAGGCACAGTGAGGATAAATAGCTTGCATAAAGACATAGGATGGGAAAGGGCTGGGCTGAGCCTGTGGTTCCGGTCCAGGCTCTCGGGCCACCACACCCCATCCTGCCTTTCTGTATCTCTGCATCTTCCATTGCTCTTCATCTGATGAGCCCTAGGCTTGATTACACCTAGATTTCTCTCCATACTGCAGCCAATTTGAAATTATTTTCTTTAAGTTTTTAGGGGGAAAATACTTTCCTATAGAATTAACCAATAAGGAAATCCTGTTCAGAGAGGACCCTTGCATGGGTTTGCAGCATCAAGGGATTGCTGTCTGTTAGGGTGAAGATGTGGCTAAACTTAAAGCCTGTCTCCTGGAACTAATACTCATCTAGAGGGGTGGGCCCCTCCAGTGCTACTGTGCCCCCTGCAATGGTACAGGCTCAGCAGTTGACACAGGGCTGCTATAGGTGCATGAGCCCATCTGATCTGCACAGGAGTGCAGTGTGCAGGACCCAGGGTGGAGAATTTGGGATTGCACCTTCATCTTCACACTTCCTTTTCCCCTCCCCTTCTCCTTTCCCTCCCTCCCTCCCTTCCTTCCTTCCCATTTTTTCTTCCTCTTTTTATCATGGCACATACATGCTCTGACTACATGCCCCATACAACTCACTGAGCTGACATGTGCTCAAAGACACCAGTCTGCTAAGTGTAGATTGAGGGCAAATCCTTTCTGAAGCCCTCAGGTCCTGAGCTGGAAGCTACCACTTGGCTGATGTAACTCCAGGTGTCTTCTTTGCTCATTACGAGTTGCACAGGCACCTATGGCCTTTTTACAGGGCCTGCAATTGGCTCCAGCTCCTTCCCTGAGGTTTTACACCTTCAGGGACAGTTGAGCTCTTGCTGGCTCATCTTGCTGCCTGAGTACCCAAAATTTGGTGCCTTGAACTGATTTCTGATCCATCAGCTTCGACCTTTAGCCCAGGTGCCGAAATTTTGTTTTCAAAACAGAGCAACCTATAACTCCATCCTGTTTGGATTTTTTTAAACTGTTACTTCTTATTCTTACATAGCTCATTTTTCCCCCTTCAAGAAATCCTTATTCTTCTAAATTATTCTAAACTCTACCAAATTTTCACCCCATACCCTAGAGTCGTAACCCTCCCTCCTCATAGGCACTCACTAAGGACTAGGGACATAGTGGTTCAGCTTTTCCAGGAAGCCGAGGGTTCCTGGCTGTGCCAGGAACCTGTCCTGAGTCTTTTGCCTCTGAATCACCTCTGCTGTGATGCTCCATCCAGGAATGAAATGATCCCAAAGCGGCCTCGCCGCCTCGTCAGAACTCGACTTGCTCGGTGGGGATGAGAGTGGAATGGAGAGCCGTGTCCACTTCTCTTGCCCTCAAGATGCAACACCTACTGAACCTGCAGCTTCCCCATTACTTGGACACCCAGCCCCCTGTGAATTCTCCCCACTCCGCCCCCACCTCCTACCAGGCGCCTCTTTATCTCCGCCTGCGTCAGCATCCGGCTGGCTCTCCACTCAGAATGTGGTCTCTCTCTGCCTCTCCAGCCCCACCTGTCCCCGGCACCCAGGCTGTGTCCTGGGGCTCTGCGCTCTGGCCACCCTCACAGTGACTGTCCAGGTAGGGTTTAGTGGCAGGCCCAGAGAAGGAGAATGGCAAACAGAAATGCCTCCTCAGTGTCCTGTGTGCTGTCTGTCTCCCCTGCTCTGGCCCACAGTCTCCCTGGGGCCAGGAAAGCACCCGCCATGCTCATCACTGTCCAGTGCCAGATGAAGTGCCTTGTAGGACAGTCTCAGGCATCCCTACTGGCCCGACCACCACTGACCAACCACCCACAGGCGTGCCCACTGTGCCTGCCAAGAAGTGTGCACACATTATCTCATGAGCCCTCTTAAAAATCCTCTGAAGAAAACTTTGTTCTTATTTCCATTTACTAATGAGGAAACAGGCTCAGAGCAACTGAGGAAGTGGCTCCTCAGCCTCGCTGATCAGCAGAATCACCCTGAAGCTTTTGGAATACAGATTTCTGAGTTTCTTTCCAGACTTCCTAAATCAACATTTCTAGAGTCAAAATATCTGTAATTTCCAAGAGTTCACCAGGAGCTTCTGATATCAGTGGAGTTTGGGGCTAAATTAATTATCCAGCCCCCAAAGCTAGTAGGAGAGAAAGGCATGATTTACACCTGGGCGTAGCTGGCTCTAGGACCTCTGTCCTCCTGCTACAGAAACCAGGGAGTGACAGCCTCTCCTCCTGTTCTTGGAGAAGTGGAGCCTCAGGGAGCATCTGGCCATACAGCAATTAGCTGCAAGGCAGACATTAGAAGCCACATCCTTGACCCTGGTCTGTGGCATATCCCATTCTCTGGCTGCCTCAATGCGTTTATATCCCAGGCACACGGAGAATATTGGCTGCTCTGGAAGCCAGAATTTGATGGATGACTAGAATGTAATATTACAGAAATGAGTTTTAGAGGCTGGTCATTTTCAAATGAGGTAACAGGTCTGAATGTGGCACAAGTGAGCAGAAGTGTATGCAGAGCACCTGCTTTGTGGCCTGGGAGTGGCCCTGCCCACCTTCCCTTCTCAGCTTTCCCTGGGCATCGACGTGGTACCAGGGCCTCGGCTGGGGACTGGGGTTCACAGGTGAGGAGAGCACCCTAGTTTCTCTGCAGAAGTGAATGGCCCAGCCCCTCTCTGGCATACCATAGCAGGCAGTCAGGATGGCCTGCGGGAGGAGACAGGAAGTGCAGTGGATGGCATCTGAGCCTGCTGACCAGGAGTGACCAGAAGGTGCCAGCCATGCAAGAATCTCAGGGGGTAGGGGTGGGGAGTGGTGGTGCAGAAAAGCTCCTGCAGGCATGTGAGCCTGCTGCTTCCTGCATTGGAAAGGGCCAGTTTCACTGGAGCAAAGGGGGTATGAAAGAGAGAAATGTTGGATGAGACATAAAAGTCACTTGTACCCACTTTTGGAGATTTTTTTTACTGCTTGAGTGGTCAAAAACATTCTTGACTGTTTGCATTTTTTTCACTTTGTTGTTTGTTTTTGCTTCTGCCTGCCTGGTGTCCACCTCATCTTCTGGTAACAGCTCCCTAATTTTGTGCTGGAGGCCCTTTCTCCATAGGGTAGCTTTCTAGTGGGGCTGTCAACCAAGTTGTCCTAACCTGCTCCCATCTTTGCTGACCAATAAGTCAGGATGGGACCAAGCCAGGTCAATCCACTGTTCTCTCCTTGGAATTTTTGTCTGAGAGGAGAAACTGGAAGTGCGATTGCCCTGGGCTTCCGTTCGCCCCAGTAACTGCACCCCAAAGGCAGAGGCCATCATCAATTCAAGTCCTCCACATCCCTGAACTATCCTGAGTCCTGAGTCTTGTCGTTTTGGAAGTCTGGTCCTTCTATTTCTATTTTTTGAATCTCTCATAGCCTTTCAATTAAAAATGCTTTTGCTTTCATAAGCCATGGTTGTTTTCTGTTGCTAGCCACCAAAATAGAAACAAAAGCAAAAACAACCGAGAGATCCACAGGGCTAGAGAATACACTCCTAATTCTGAGAATGCTTTGGTGCAGTGGAGAAGCTTACCCCTGGAGAACTGCCTGTTGTTTGCTCTATGCTTTGGGAAATAATCTGGCAGCAGTAAAGAAATGGATAAAAATAGAGAAAACTGAAAAGTCAATGTCAGTCCATTGCAAAACCAACTTGAACTGTGACTATGTGCCAGGCCCTGAGTTAGCCACAGAGAATTCAGAAATAGAGCAGGGCCCTCCCACCCTTTACTTCCCCTTTCCCTAAAGAACTCACTTATTTTGTAGGGAATATAATTAAAGGACTACTCTCTGACTCACCCAGGCAGAGCTAGCACTGCTATGCTTAGCTTCAAAGATCTTTCTAAGTCACTTTCCTATGTAGTTAATCCCATTGTCCCATAACTTTGGTTGTGTTTATCTGCCTCCCTCAGTAGTCTCTGAGCTCCACAAAGGCAACTTTTATGTTTACTGGCTTATTCTTACCTTTTATATCCCTCATGCCTAGCTTGGAGCTTGACTCATGGGTTAACAGATGACTATTGAGTGAATGGATGAGAGGATGTATGGGACATCCAAGCTAAAAGGAAAAGGACTGGACAGGAAACTTGTAATGAATCAAGGCACAAGGCAGGCTTCCAGGTGTGGAGTAAGGTGTCGAGGCATCAGGAACAGTGTTCAGCTTCAGCGTGGCATCCTGTTCTGCCCTGGGCCATGCCTCTGCACAGCCTGGCCCTTCTCTCCTTCCTCTCCAGTTTGGATTTGTTTTCTCCAGACTTTGGATTTTGCCAAAGATATCTCTCTTCTCAGATGACCCCTAGCTTTGGGTTTCCCAAGTCTCCCCTGGAAGGCTCTGGCTTCTGTGCTCTGTGCTCGCTCTTCCTCTCAGTCCCTCCCTGCAGGCAGTGATGCCCTTCTGCTGACTTCAGCCTGGCCCAGGGTCAAGCCCGGTGGACCTGGAGACACATGATTGCCTATGTAGAAAATCTGACGGAACCTACAAAAAAGCTAGCAGAACTAATAAGTGAATTTAGTAAGATTGCAAGACAAAAATCAAATACAAAAATCAATTTTATTTTAATATGCTATAGTAACAACCCCCCAAAAACTAACATTAAAAACAGTATTATTTAGAATAGCACTAAATATGAAATACTTAGAGATAAATCTGACAAAACATGTGAAAGACCTCAACCTACACCAATAACAAAATACGTTGTTGAGAAAAATTAAATAAAACCTAAATAAGTAGAGAGCAATATGTTGTTTGTGAGTTAGAAGATGCAACGTTATTAAGATGTAATTCTCCCTGAATTAACAGAGTCAATAGGATCCCAATCAAAATGTCAGCAGACTTTTTTTAAGAGAAAAATTGTAAGTTAATTCTAAAATTCAAAAGACCTAGAGTAAAATTTAAAAGACCTATAGTAGCCAAAACAGCTTAAAAAAAAAAAAAAAAAAAAACAAAGAACAAAGTTGGAAGACCAACACTACCTGATTTAAGGACTTATTATAAAGCTACAGTAATCAAGATAGTGTAGTATAGGCATTAAGATAAACAAAAAGATCAATGGAACAAAACAAAGAGTCAAGAAGTAAACATAGTTATATGGGATATTGATTTGCAAGAAAAATGCAGAAGCATTTCAGTGGAGAAAGGATAAGTCTTTTCAACAAAAGACTGTAACAATGGACACATCCATGCAAAATAAAATGAACTTTTAACTTATGTCTTGTATCATATACAAAAGCTTAACTCAAATGGATCATAGACTTAAATGTGAAATCAAAAGCTATAAATCTTCTAGTAGAAAACGGAGGAGAAAATCTTCATGCTCTTGAGTAAGGCAAAGATTTTTTCAAGATACTATACCAAAAGCTCAATCTATAAAATAAAAATGAAATGGGTACATTGAACTCATTAAATTAAAACTTCTGCTCTTCATTGTTGATGGAATGAAGACAGACCACAATCTGGGAGAAAATATTTGCAAATAAAATATCCAAAAAAAGACTTAATATCCTAAATAGGTAAAGAGCTCTCAAAACTCAATAATAAGGAAAAACAACTAAATGTGCAAAAGATGTGAACAGACATCTCACCACAGAAGGCATAAATATGCAAATAAGCACATGGAAATATGCTCAGCTTTTCAGGAAAATGTAAATGAAACCCACAAAGATACCACTACACAGCTATTTGAGTGACTAAAATGAAAAAGACAGCATACCAAGTGTTGACAGGAATGTGGAGAAACTGGAACTCTTCTACACATTGGAAAATGGTTTGCTAGGCTCCTAAAAAAGTTAAATATATGCCTGTAACATAATCCATCCGTTCCACTCCTGTATATTTATCTAACATAAATGAAAGCATATATCCATACAAAGATTTATACATCAATGTTCACAGCAGCTTTATTTGTAGTAGCCCAAACTGGAAACAATCTAAATGCCCACTGGTAGATTAACGGATAAACAATCTGTGGTATATACATACAATGGATTATGACTTGGCAACAAGAGTGAACTATACTGAGTAAAATAAGCCAGACCAAAAAAAAAAAAAAAAGCGCACACTGTATGATCCATTGACTTGCATTCAGCATCCCCTATCAATCTATGTGCTATGCTCCCCTGTGACAAATCTCCTGTGGACAGTGATAACAGTCAAAGTAAATTTTCAGTTCCTGGACTCAATTACATTTCTTTGGTGCCTCTGAGAAATTCTGTTGAAATATTTATCTTCACTATTTATTTCCCAAATTCCCAAGCCAACTCTCTCCACAGGGGTCCCCAGAAAATTTTACTAATGAAATTAAACAGAGGATTGTCCAGGAAACATGCTGGCTGTATTTCACATGTTGCTGGATTGATGAACTGGATCTTCTAGAGCTACTAGCAGCATCCAGCTTCTGGGAATGGCTAAGTTGGCACATACTGTTGTCAATTTGAACAGCAAACTCAAGGACCCAGCTTCCTCTATCTGCTAACAGAGCCTTCAGTTCTTTCCATTACCTGTCACTTATCAGTTCCAGTCATGGCTGTAAGAAGATTTAGGCTTCCTTGAGGTAAAACAGAGCTCCTCCCCAAGGTTGGCTGCAGAGGGAGAATCATACCCCTGTGCCCAAACCCAAACCTTTGCCTTGGGGTTTCTGTGTGACTGTCCCTACTTCTTATCCTTGGCAGGACTGCGTGTCCTGAACAACTCAGCATTAATGAAGAAAGATGCCCCTTTCCTAGTAGCAAAACCAAGGCAAGCCCATGCCATTTAGACAAGCCTTTGCAGGAGTTGGGGGTAACATAAGAGAAATAGAGTGGCATGAAGTTGAGTGATGTGGCTCAACTTCAGGGTGGTTGTCTCAGAGCTTTCCAGCCAGAATCCCACACTTAGTGATCAAACCACCCATGTCCAGAAAGCAGAGTAAGATGTGAGAGGTCCCCTATCTGCTTGCCTTAGTAGAAAGAGGAAGTTTCTATTTCGTTTCTGATAAACTCTTTCTCCTAATTATTGATGTCAGGAATGCCCACCCGCCCTACCCACTTTAGGGGAAATCTCATGTAACCACCTGGCCTTGCAGGCCTCCCCATAATAACCATATTAGAACTTAATACAATAGGCTCAGTGTTCATTGCCTCAACACAGGCATCCACAGGCCCAGGGCCATATCACACAGGACAGAACAGTAACAGGTGTGGCCTGGTAGAAACAATGTCTACATAACCAAACCAGCCAGTCTCACACTTTATCAGCTAGAGAGGACAAAGGCGGTCATGTTTATACTGTATGCCATAAACACTAGATTCCCTGACAATGGCACACTCCCCCCAGTCCTCCTGCACAGCGAGAGTTCTAACATTGCCCTGGGACTCCTCTCCACAGCTGTTCCCAGGAATTTCGAAAGGGAGCACACCCTTGACTTGGTGTCAGGCCAGGGTGTTCTCACAGCTTGTCTGGGGTGAGTACTGGAGACTTAGGCTTGCCCCTGGAGGTCAGACTCAGAAACTGGCTTACAGATGGTAGCATGGGAAATTCCTCCCTCCCTGGCAGCTGTAGTGATATAAATTGCTGCACAACTCTGCCTCTGACAAAAATACGACAAGGACACTGTTGTGCCTTCTCCCTAAGGACCCCTGGGCTTCCCCATATTCCCACTGTGCAGGGGGGCCTCAGTCAATGCTATCTGACCCTTGGGTGTAGGGACACCTTGGATTCATCATTAAGGGGGTATCTCAAAGACAATCTTCCGGAGCCCTGAAAGAATATTGCTCCTTTTTTTTTTTTTTAACCAAAAGACATACATTTTTTTTCCCTCTGGGTTCACACATGCTGCTAAATGTGTTGTGTCAAGATGGGATCTAATGTGAGCTGATAAGAAGATGCCACCCCCAGTGACCATGAATGGGTTCTCATGTGTAAGGTGATTTCCTTTTAAGGAAACTCTTTTCCTTTCTGGCAACCTAAACTTGGGTAGGGCATCCTGGTTTGCCACCCATATTTTTATAGTTTCAAGTCTCAGTGGATGGGGAGAAGGGCTCATTTTTGTAGTTCCTTTCCTCCCAGGAGACCCTCTGTCCCTTTCTAAATTCATGGAAGTACATCAATGTTGGGGAAAGAATCATGATCTAATTCCACTGGCCTCCAAGTGTGTCCAGAACGTTTAGTTTTGAATCAGAGACCCTTGACCAGGCTGGAGCCTCAGTCTCTCCAATGACAAAGGAGAAGGGGATCCCTAGACTCTTAATTTAGGTTTGATTCTGTGAGAATCAAAGGTTAGGGATTAGAGAAAAGACTAGAAGATAATTCCTCAAGTGTCCCATTGTAATGGTAGAGCTGTCTGGGAGCACAGCAGTCAGCAGCCTCATTGAATGCAGAGGCTAAAGAAGAAAAACGGCAGCTGTTGCCTCCCCATGAATAAATAAGGAAGCCTACTGGGGAGGAGTGAGTGGGGAGCTGTCCTCTTGCATCTCTGGGGCATGTCCTGATGCCAGCCCATCCTTGTTCTCTGTTTACTCGTGTCAAAAAACAACATATCAACGAATTGAGTTTCAAAGATCTAATTGGTTTTTCTTAGTGATTCATGAATTAGGCAGCATTCCATCTACAAAATAGGTGCTCCAATTAGCTTGAGAAGAGGGATGGGCTTTATAGGCAGGAAAGGCTGAAGAAAGCAGAAATAGATTACAAAAAATGAATTTGGTGTTTCAAAGCTGCTTTCCTTATGGGGTTAAAGCTGAGGGTACTTCCTTATTATGCTGGCTCAGGTTGGCTGGGTTCCTTTTGATTGGTTGCTGTGAGTTTTTCAGAATCTCCATTTCTAGGTTTGATTTGATTATGTGGCACCTAGCATGAGGGACTCCATTCTGGTTTGGTTTGGCCTGTTGGGCTTAGAGCAGGTGCCCAGTCTAAAACAATGGGCTCCCATAAATTTTATGTACCATGTATAAAGTCTGACATGGTCTGATTATACTTGCCTCTTTTTCTGTGCGTGTCTAATCAAATTCTACATTTGTTTTAGAGACAGAACCAAAGTGGGGGTAACTGAGATTGTGTGCCTACTTTTGTGGATGAACATCCCTGACAAGGTGGTGCTATCTGTGAAAGGTTGGTGTGGCCACTTTGCACATCCTTGCGAGGTACATCTTGGGGCAAGGTGGGGCTGGGGCTTCACCTCCTCTGGCTTCTGCCCACTGGGAGAGTTTTCTGTTCAGTCGCCACCTAGGAATGACTTCACATGATTGTCTTGATTATAGTGCTTAGATAGGCTTGGATGGCAAATTGAAGGCTTGAGTAACAAAGGTGTTTCCCTAACCTTGGAGGACAGTCCAGCCTTCTTTCCTCTCAGGGTACAGTTACACATTCACACATTTTGTAAATCCCACTCTGCCCAGCTTGTCTGTGTCTGTTTTAATTTGCTGCAGGGCTTAATCTCAGTCCTTTTAAATCTCTCTGGGCAACTGTGAATTCTAACAACAAATCCTAATAAATAATAGGAGTTGAGAATCTCTTATCTGAAATGCTTGGGACCAGAAATGTTTTGAATTTTGGGTATTTTGGATTTTGGAATACTTGCATGAGACTTACCAGTTCAGCATGCCAAGTCTAAAAATCTGAAATCTGACATGCTCCAGTGAACATTTCTTTGAGTGTCATGTTGGTGCTTCAAAAGTTTATGATTTTACAGCATTTCAGACTTTGGAGTCTGTTATTTGGGATGCTCAACCTGTATAGGGAATGAGGAGGAACAAGGACAAAATCCTTGATAAAAGCATTTGATAGTCATCAGAACTTAGAGCATTCGGGAACTACAAAAGAGATCTCTCTCATATTTTTAGTTAGCCAGGGGGTATACTTGAAGACTTCAAAATCCTTTCAAAAATAAACCTCCCCTACCTCCTCATTTAGGCAAGATTGAGAACATAATGGATTTAGGAATTTCAAAAGCAGCAACAGGTCCTCACAGGGGATTTACAGACAGTCAGTTTTAAAAACATATGTCTTTGAAACATTTTTTCATGGGCATTTGAATTCCAGCTGGTGGACTGCATATGGGGTCAAAATAAGCATTCTAGCTTAAAAACAACAAAAAGGAAACTGGACTGAAGTTTGCCTCGAGCTAAAGAGAAGGTCTTGTTCTTGTGGCAGCAGCAGCTGCAAACACACACCAGAGCAGAAGTCGGGATGACCAGGGACTTTCTCAGAGAAAAATGCCGGCTTTGACTAAAGAGAAAATATATTTACATCTTTATGCATTTTTCTGTCTTCCCTCCTTCCCTCACCAGCCTGCTCTCCCACTTCCAGGCTTGGCGAGAACATAGCAGGTGATGCGTCAGAGAGAACAGCCACTGTGGCACACTGTGTGTAGAGGAAAAGCAACTTTTCAAACCCTCCCTCCATGGAAAGTGGGGTGTGCTATAAGCTGAGTCCTTTTCCCCCAAATTCCTATGTTGAAGCCCTAGCCCCCAGTATAGCATCAGAAGGTTACTATATTTGAAGCTAGGGCCCGGTGGTTATGTTAAAATGAGGCATTAGGGTGGGCCCAAATCCAATATGACTGGTGTCCTAATAAGAAAAGGAGATGAGGACACAGACACATGCAAAGGGATGGCAATGTGAGGGCACAGGGAGAAAACAGCCATTTGCGAGCCAAGGAGAGAAGCCTCAGGAGAAACCAACCCTACCAGCACCTTGATCTTGGACTTCCAGCCTCCAGGACTTTGAGAAAATACACTTCTGTCATTTAAGCTGCCTAGTCTGAGGCATTTGCAGCAGCAGCCCCAGTTGACTAATGTGGGTCCCTCTCTGCTCAACCCTGGAGCCACAAGAAAACCTTGACCCACGAATGCCACAGAGGGCTCTCTCATCAGCACTTTCCTCAGGAAGTTCTCTGCTGACAGTGGATGTCTGGGTAGAGCAAGGAACAAGCTGCCTTTCCAGAGACAGAGGTCTTAGGAATGCTGTTTGGGGGACTGGCCAAAGTCTTTAGCCTGGGAACAGATGGAGGTTGATTAACATTTGGCATGTGGGTCCCTCAAGGGGAAAACCTTTCATGTGAACAAGAGATGGCTCTTGGAAGAGAGAAGTGTGAGCCTTGAATTCCTCTTTCAGACATGCCTGTCACTAAATCCCACACCCATCTGGCTTCAGGTTCTCAACATATAAATTCTAGATTACTTCTAGGCCAGTGCTTCTCCGACTTCACTGTGATGCGAATCATGGAATCACATGGGGATTTTTTTTTTTATTACAGATGCTGATCCAGAAAGTCTGAGTGGGGTCCATGAACTTGCATTTCCAATTAGCCCCCAGTGTCTACTGGTGCTGCTGGGGGGCCACCCTTGGAGAGCAAGGCAGAGTCTCCACGCATATTCTGACCTGTATCAAGGTCCAGTGCAGCAGTGGTCCCCACCCACCCTTGCTCCATGGCACTCACAATTCCTGGTATGCTCTGGGCACTGGGCATCAGGGACAGATGTATAGGACAGCAAGACACAAGGGCGAGAGAGAAAAGGGTATGTACAGAGCCAGATGGGTTGGAGCCGGACCCTGAAGGGCACAGAGCTAACTCTGCAACCTTAGACGAGGGTCCTAACTACTTAGAGACTTAGTTTTGCTTCCTGTAAAATAGGCACTCTACGTTTCATAAGGTAGAAATAAAAAAATTTTGACACTTAGTTTACCTCAGAGAAAAAAGAAAACAGTGAGCTTTCCAAGGGTCGAATGAGGAGGCTGACAGACAGGGAGATCTTTGGGGCAGAGGCTGGGATCTCGCCCCTCTGTAGAATGAGGATGGGGTATTGGACCATAGTAAGGGGAAGTCGGAACTGAAGTCGGTGCATAAAGTCTAGAGCTTCATAAAGCTGTCCCTTACTATAAATAGAAACTCAAAAACTCAAGAATACTATAAGAAAATTTACTGTCTGGGGGAGAGGGGATAGAAAGTCATCCTTGAAAAATTGAAACGCCAGGTTGCACACACACAGATGTGCAATCCAAATTTGTACGATCAGTCTGGTGTGGGAATTCCAAGTGGAGAAATTAAAATAACTGTTCAAGACCATTAAAGTCCTGTATTTTTAGCAGAAGAAAATGTGAAATTATTGCTGTAGGGAAACTTCACAGCCCAGAGGTCATGGGACTCCCACTGAAAAAACAACTTCATTGAAGATGAGCTGACAATCAGAATTAAAAACCCACCACAAAGAAAATGATCCACCATGAGGGAGAGTCAACAAATGCAATAAACAGAATCAGCACCTTCAAAACTGCAGAGTGCATTAATCTGAAAAGAACAATGAAATAAAAAGATTTCGAAGTATGAAAGACATAAGAGAATAAATGAAAACCATACTCAAAGCATTAATCAGTGTAGAAAGTGATTTGAAAGAAGGCCACAAAAGTTCTTTAGGTGAAAAGTATAGTCATTGAAAAATAAAAGCTCAGTGGCAGAGCAAAACACAGATGAAGCACTGCTGAGGGACTGGTGAACAGGAAGATGGTTCCGAGGATGCAAAAGAGAATGCAGCACAGAAAGAAAGAGACGCAGCAGCTGAGAGACATGGAGAGGACGGAGGTTGGGTCCTTGAAACAGGAATTCCAGGAGAGAACAAAGAAAAAGGAAGACCAGCAATATTTAAAGAGATAAAGGCTGAGGATCTTCAGATTTAAAGAAAATACGCATTTTTATTTTAGGGAAGCACGGGAGTTCTGGAGAAGAATGAATAAAAATAGAACTACACCAGATGTATTAAAACCAGAGAACATTGGAGAAAGAGACACTCTTTCTTACAAAGACAATTATATTGACAGATTTTTCCCCACAACAGTTAATGCCAAAATAAAGGAATAATCTCATTTTCAAAAAAACAAGGACTAAAGTTTCTCCCATATAAGCCCACTAAGATGTAACTACTAAAAGATGGGTTGTAGTTAGATAGAAATTTAACCTGAGGTAGGAGTCAGTTGCCAGGAACAAATGGTGACCAAAAAAAGGGCAAATATGTTAGGAAATATAAAACAGCAGTGTCTGGGGGTCAAAAGAAAATTTGGGGAAGGTTTAAAAATAGGTACAACTAAGGTACTAACAAGCAATAGCATGGTAGGTAGAAGGGTAGGAATCAGAACTGATATATTTCAGTATCTTTGTGTTGTTCAGCATGAAAGTAAAAGAATGATTAATTTTATATTTGTTTATTTAAGTATATAAATTGGAAATTTGAGGGTAACTAAAAAAATGAAAATAGAGTACAAACTTCAAAATCATTAGAGGAAAAAATGAATTAAGGGAACCTAACCAGTTTTATACAAGATAGAAAAAAGAAACAAAGAAATAATGAACAAAAAACATGGTACAGAGAAAACACCAAATAATATGGTAAAAATAAATGCAAATATGGGTAATTGCAATGTAAACACTAAATTTGAATTATAAATTAAAGGATTTTTACATTTGATTATAACAAATAAATGATACAAAACAAAACCCGGCCCTAAACATCCATCTAAAATAAAATGGCAAAGAAAAATTAAATTAAAAGTAAAGAAATGGAAAGGTGGACCATGGAATTACTAACCAACAGAAAGTGATTGCACCAATGTTAACATTAGATAAAACTAGTATTTAAGGGAAAGCATTTTAGAGATTAAGCAATTTATTACTTACTAATAAAATATGTATTTTCAGTAGGATTTTCAGCCTAAATGTAACTAAAAACATAGTCTCCGAATCTATAAGCCAAAACTTTTAGAATTACAATTAGAAATAATTAAGTTATGGTCACAGTGGGGAAAGCTAATGAATCAGCCAGAAGCGTAGTAGTAAGGATGGATAAGATCAGAAAAATGTATTAATGAGTCGGTCTAATAGATATTATATGAATTCTGTACCCAACAAATAACATGTTTTTTAAAAATATTATGAACATATTTTTGTTTTTCTTTTTTGAAAATCTAGTTTTAAAAGCCATCACATATAAATGTCATTAATTCCAGTAAAAGTAGTGATGGTGCAGCCTGACCTAAAAGTAAAGCCTCTCCACTTAGCCGGGGGAGGAGGCAAAGCACAGTGTGTATGTGAGGGGGTGTTGGAATGAGACAAGCATGTGAGTTACGACGAGAGTTACATAGCCCAAGTCAGCAATGTCTGGGTTTAAATCCTAGCCTCACTGTTGATTAGCTCTGTGACTTTGGGAAAATTAACTTAGACTCTTTGAGCCTTAGTTTCCTCACCTGTGTAATGGGTCTAATAGCAGCATCTACATCTTAGGGCTGTTGTGGGAATCAAATAAGATAGTGTATTTTAAGTGCCCAACACCATGTCTATCTCCTCATAAGTGTGCAATAAATTAGCTGTTTTCATATTCATTATTATTTTAATATCCTCCCTCCTATGTCGAATTATTTGAATATATTACTATATACTAAGGTAACTTACTTTTATTCTATCATCCGTCTTCTTTCAAGAATCTGGACTCTGAGTTAAATATTCGTGTTCTGAACATCATTTTGTGTTAAGATGCCTTTGCAACATGTTTTATTACAAAATTAGGGTGCTATTACTGACACATGAGAAGTGAGGAGGCCCAGAAAAAAAGATTAAGCTATTTTGAAGGAACTACATTAGTAAAACAATGAAGCAAAATATTTCAAAAATACATAATAAGGACTCCACGTATTATTGAGCAGATGTTGAAATTTGCAGAGGCAAATAGTAACCATGCGGCATTTTTCATCCCAATGCAGTGAGGAACTCAGAGTCTGGGGACATCCTAATCTTGCTTGAAGTAACACAACCCTACAAACACAACACTACGGTATGGTTAGAACTGAAGAAAGAATTCTTTGAAAAGTGTCTTTCTATTTTGACACAGAAGTTTTCATGTAAAACCCTGACTTTGCCCTCCAGGATGATGCAAAATCATTAGATAAAAACTTCAAGATTTCTCCAGAAATGTTGCCTTTCAGGAGCCAGAGTGACCTGTTGCTTTTGCTCAGATGCTGGTGTGAGCTCAGTCTGGACGACGTCCTTCTGCAGCAGGACAGGGCGAGATGCATTTTCATGGAGCCTCCAGTTTCACCAGAATGAAGCTGTGAGGTTTTTTCTAGAACTGAAAACTGAGTAGGGGGTTTGAAGCAGAAGGAAAGGGACCAGGTCATGCCCCTGGGTAGCTGGGCCCAAAGATCTGTTATGTGTGTAAACAAGGTTCCATTCAGGGCAATCCTGCCTTTGAGTGCCTGGGACGGTTAGAGCAAGGGGATGTCCCTAGGACCTTGGACAGTCTAGAGACAGAGAGGCCACAGGGAACAGGAAAAAGAGGGCATGGCATGGGGTGAGGGTGGGGTGTGCAGTGTGTTATCAGGAAAATGAATGGATGACTACTTTGGCATGAGTAGGTGGTGGGATGTCCTAAAATGCCAGGTTCACACAGCGGCCTCCACGCATGGCGAGCCGCGGACAGGTGTTACCAGGCAGGAGGCCAGGCACTTGGCACTGCAAGGCTCAGCCTGAAGAGGAGTGACAGTGAGGGCTTGAACCAAGGGAGTGGCGGGGGGCATTCTGTGGTTTTCTGCTTGTCAAATCCAGGTACACAGAATAAACACAATCACATGCATGTGATTGAGGCGCCCATGCAAAGACATGGTTCTGCTGTGTTACAGTGTAATTTCCAGCCTCTATTATGGGGTTTAGTGTCTCCAAAGATGGGGTGCATGTATCCAGGGGTGCTCAGGATAACCTATAGGTCTGTATTGCTTTCAAGTAAGGAAATCCATTTGGTTATGATAAGATTTCATTTGTGGAGTGGCCCTGGTTGCCTGCTTTGGGACCCTGTGTCTGAGATGGTGTCTCACAAACACTGGAGCAGGAGTCCCCAGCATGGGGTGATGGCTGCATCTTCATTCATTCCCTTGCTTCCAGTACATCAGTATTTAGAGATTTCTTTGCACTGGTTATGGATTTGCAGACTCTATGATCTGCACTGGGGGTCCTGGGTGGGCTGGGGCTCAGGACCACAGCAGGAATGGCTGTGCTGATATGCACCCAGTGCCCACTGACAACCAGCCCTGCTTTAGGCAACAGTCTTTGGCCTATGGTGGCTCCAATCTGCAAACACAGCTCAGTTCAGAAATCATTCGATTGGGGATATTATTCAAAAACTTCACTCTTCTCTAGAAGTCTAGATTTCTGAGCCTTCCCAAGCTGGGGCTTGCTTCAGGGAAAGGATGTGGTCAGTTCTGCCCCCTGCCCCGGTCCCCATCTCCCCCACCCACTAAGTGCTGTTTCAGAGGAGGGAGGGGGAAGAATGAGGGAGGAGAAGACTGGGATGGGGCAGCTCCTGCCTTGCCAGGGGCTTTGTTGTCTCTGGATCTGGAATGAGATAAAAGTAGATTCTTTATCTTGTTGGTATCATTGAGAGTTCTTAAGGGAGTCCTAGCTGGAGATGTGTTTTTTCTTCACCAAGGCAAATGCACCTTTATTCCAGATGGTTTCCTGGGACTCCTTCCTTAGCATGTAGGACTCAGGAGCTTCTTGCTGTTGGGTTCCTCTCTCCCTTCAAGCAGTCCTTTAGACAGAACCCAACTACTGCTGCTCTGTCTTTTTGGTGACCCCATCCATTCCTCAGGAAGCATGATGCCACCTGGCCCCTGAAGTCCTTGGGACTGGGCTTACTCTGCCCAAGTCTCATCTGTCCTACATACAGGTCACTGTAGGCGTCTCAGGTGTGAGTCAGGGAGGCCGCCCAAAAGCCTCCCTACTTTGAGGAAGCAATTCAAGGCTCCGCATGAGGAACCAGCACCATCTGCCCCTCGTCAGGTGGGACTGCAGCTCTCTGAAAAGATGTGAGGTCAGCATGCCCTTCCCCTCCCTGCTCTCTAAACCCTTTGATTTTTGGTCTGGATTAGGGGCTCAGAATGAAGCTACTTCTTGGAAATTTCCTTTGTAAATTCTGGTGGTGGTGTTCCAGTTTCCAATTTCATAGCCATAAGGGCTTCAAAACTTCAGTAATGACACTTTGTGGCATGTAAATGGGGAAAACAGTTGCCCATATTTTTTTTTCTTTTATTTGGCTGATTGGAGTCAAACAGAAAGGATGGGAGACCACTGCTCTAGACTTTTACTGCTTACCTTAGTTATCCATTCTAACAGATTTCTGGCCCTTCTCTACTAAGGTTCCTTGCTTCAGAAACTGCAATAGAAAAGCATAGCGCAAGTTTTGAGACAATCCATCATTTGGCTGCCTGGCTTCCAAAAGAAAGTTCCAAATGATTCTCCTTCCAGACTCAGACATTCCAGGCCCTATCAGAGCTTAAACGTGCTTTTTCTGTTTGGTCAGTCTGAGTTAAATTACTCTGTGCATTTTTGAGTTTCAAGAACAGGAAAAAAACTTTTTCAACCTGAAAAATAAATGGAAGCCATTCATTTTGGCAGCAGATAACTCCAAAAAATGTGACCTCTCAGAGTTCACACTGCCCAAGTGAATTGTTTCCTGGGAGGAACAGAATCTGCATGAGTTCAATCAAGTAATGTCAAGGAGAAAATGTTAAATGATGGAAGAAGAAAAAATATTTATAAGACAAGGAAATTTTGGAGCCAATTATTCTCCTTGATTTCCCGCCTCACTCTATGTCCGGGCTTCAACATTAGGCAGAATGTTTTATATCACTTTAGTAACCAAGTTAGTTTGGCTGAATGCATACAATGATTTGATTTAGAACAAGTGATCCTCTGGTGGCTAGGAAAATAAGTCTCTATAGAATTGGGATAATTTGATAGCTGCTGGGTAGGACAGATTTGTGTGGAACCTTGTGTAAACAAATCTGAATGGTACTTTTCCCCTTGGTGGATTCCTTTGGTAATCAACCTACAAGGTTCTGGAAATGGACCATTATACAAATTCGTAAAATACAACTGGATCTTTTCACCTTGGGATGTTTATAATTCTTTCCCTTGGAAATAAGATCTTTAAATATAAATCTCCATGGTAACGCTCTATGAGGAGTAACACCATAAATATCTCGCTAGGGAGAAGAAAATACAAAATGTTGGGCTACTCCGAGAAGTAGTAACTCAGTTTTGTGGCTAAGATATTTCAGATCCTCTCAAAGACTATACTTTACAGATCTTTTATTATAGTATTGCTAAGGACATAACTGTTTTTATTTCTCCTTCCTGGCTCTGTGGTAGGTGTAGGAGATGTGTGACCAGGAACAAAGGCTATTTTCTTGCCTTATATAGCTCAGGCACCTTGTTTGCTTGAGGAGACTGACAAGTCCATTGATAGCTACAGCACAGAGGGTACATGCCACAATGGTATGGGCAGGAGATGCTGTAGGGGTGGAGTGGGGTGTTATTAGCCAAAATTGTAAAGGCATCTTGAAACTCACAAAACACTTTACCATTCTGCACATATTTAGTGAGCGGCTGCTATAGGCTGGTTACTATACATTCATCACTTTCATTTTCAAATGCTTCTCCCAGTATTATAAAGTAGACCTCCACAAAGATTGGCATATCAGAAATGGCTTGCACATAGTCCTTGTCTTTACTGGCATCCTGCATGAGAAAATCTCATTGCCCAGAGACTCAAAGAAAATGATTGGATGTCAAAGGAGAGACTTCTAGGAGACACCAAGGAAAACATTGGAAAAAAAAAAAAGAAAATGAAAACCTTAAGAAGAACAACTTGAAAAACAAACAAAATAAGCCCAAAGTGTAGCACAGAACCCAAGGGCCCAATAAAGTATTTCGCAACTTAAATTAAGTACAAAGCAGGGCATCTTGAGAAATTCCCACATTTCCAAGGCTGAACCACATCTAGAACTCAGGGAGTGACTTGAATCCCTTAGGAAATAGATGCAGTAAGGGAACTGCATTGCACAAGGGCCAAGTAGAAAGATTGCATGGCTCCACCACCCAAG
The DNA here is from genome assembly GCF_000001405.40 of Homo sapiens. Classification (NCBI taxonomy): domain Eukaryota; kingdom Metazoa; phylum Chordata; class Mammalia; order Primates; family Hominidae; genus Homo; species Homo sapiens. The sequence goes on from NC_000010.11 coordinate 44,032,491, forward strand.
GACATCAAGGGCCTTCCTGGGAAGCCAGAAGAAAACTAGAGACCTTATAAAAAAGCAAGAGCAAAACTGGAAACCCAGACTCTAAAACAAAATATTAAGTGAACACTTCCAGAGAAAGGGATACAAAATAGTTGATGTGGCAAATACAGCAGTATGAATTAGTTGAGCACATGGAATGAAGAGAAGTGTGGGATGATGTCCTTCCAAACCCCACCAGGCAGTGCTTCCCTCTGGAGAACATTAAAGAGTCTATAGGCCTGCCCTCTAAGTACAGCCCTGCTTTGGTAACAGGAAGGCCTATGGTGGCTCTAACCTGCAAATTCAGCTCCATTTACAAATTATTTCATTGAATATTTTATTCAAAAGCTTTTATCTTCATTAGAAGTCAAGACAGGCTCTAGAATAAAATGTTAGGTGTTAAGCAATGGCCTGTGGTTCAGACACTATCAGAAAATGGGATAAAACCTAGAAACCAGAGTGGAGATCTGGCCAGGTATCTCACTTCACTGATTTGTTGTTGTTATGTTTTTTATTTGTTTAATATTCAAGGGCATTACCTTATGTGCATTCCCGATAAAGTATGTATTTTGATATTTGGCTCTGTTAATGTTTTAATGTGTATTTCACAGACTTCTGTCAGCAAAACTTTGATCAGCCATGGATTTCCTTGTCGAAATTCCAAAAGGGAAAATGACTAACTGTGGTTTGCAAGTCTTTTTTTTTTTTTTGATCAACATTACTCCCTGCACATTTACATAGATACAGGCATACCTCAGAGATATTGTGGGTTCAGTTCCAGTTCACTGCAATAAAGCAAATGTTGCTGTAAAGTGAGACACGCAAATTTTTTTGTTTCCCAGTGCATATAAAAGTTACATTTACACTATACTGTAGTCTCTTAAGTGTGCAATAGCATCATGTCTAGAAAACAATGTATATGCCTTAATTAAAAGTACTTTATTGCTAAAAAATGCTAACGATTATCTGAGCCTTCAGTGAGTGGTAATCTTGCTAGTGGAGGGTCTTGCCTCAGTGGTGATGACTGCTGACTGTTTAGGGTGGTGGTTGCTGAAGGGTGAGGAAGCTGTGACAATAAAAAAAATAAGACAATAAAGTTTGCTACATTGATTGACTCTTACTTTCACAAAAAATGTCTCTGTGGCATGTGATGCTGTTGATAACATTTTACCCATAGTAGAACTTCCTTCAAAATTGGAGTCAATCCTCTCAAACCCTACGCTGCTTTATCAACCAAGTTTATGGAATAGCCTAAGTTTTTTGTTGTTATTTCAACAGTGGTCTTCATCCAGAGGAAATTCCATCTCATGAAACCACTTTCTACGCTCATCCATAAGAAGAGAGTCCTCATCCTTCAAGTTCTATTACGAGATTGCAACAATTCAGTCACATCTTCAGGCTCCACTTCTAATTCTAGGTCTCTTGCTATTTCCACCACATCTGCAGTTACTTCCTTCACTGAAGTCTTGAGTCCCTCAAAGTCATCCATGAGGGCTGTAATTAACTTCTTCCAAACTCCTGTTAATGTTGATATTTGACCTCCTCCCATGAATCATGAATGATCTTAGTGGCTTCCAGAATGGTGAATCCTTTCCAAAATGTTTTCAATTTACTTTGCCTAGATCCATCAGAAGAATCACTACCTATGGCAGCTATAGCCTTGTAAAATGTGTTACTTAAATAATAAGACTTGAAAATCAAAACTACTCCTTAATGCCTGGGCTGCAGAATAAATGTTGTGTTAGCAGGCATGAAAACATTCATCTCATTGTACACCTCCATCAGAGCTTCAGGGTGACCAGGTGCATTGTCAATGAGCAGTAATATTTTGAAAGAAATCTTGTTTTCTGAGCAGTAAGTCCAACAGTGGGCTTAAATATATATATTCAGTAAACCATGCTATAAACAGAGATGCTGTCATTGAGGCTTTGTTTTATTTACAGAGCACAGGCAGAGTAAATTTAGCATAATTCTTAAGGGCCTGAGGATTTTCAGAATGGACAATGGCTTCCACTTAAAGTCCAGTTAGAGAGTCAGCCTGTCCTTTGATGCTTTGAAGTCAGGCATTGACTTCTCTCTAGCTATGAAAGTCCTAGATGGCATCTCCTTCCAGTATAAGGCTGCTTTGTCTACACTGAAAATCTTTTTAGTGTAGCCACCTTCATCAGTGATCTTTGCTGGATCTTCTGGATACCTTGCTGCAGCTTCTCCATCAGCACTTGCTGCTTCACCTCGCACCTTTTTGTTGTAGAGATGGCTTCTTTCCTCAAACCTCATGAACCAACCTCTACTTGCTTCCAACTTTTCTTCTGCAGGTTCCTCACCTCTCTCAGCCTTCTTAAAATTGAAGAGAGTTAGGGCTTTGCTCTGGGTTAGGCTTTGACTTAAGGGAATACTGTGTCTGGTTTGATCTTCTGTCCAGGCCAATAAAATTTTCTCCATATCAGCATTAAGGCTATTTCACTTTCTTATCATCCATGTGTTCACTGGAGTAGCACTTTTAATTTTTTTCAAAATCTTTTCCTTTGCATTCACACCTTGGCTAACTGTTTGGTACAAGAAGCCCAGCTCTCCGCTGTCCTTCTCAGCTTTTGACATGCCTTCTTCACTAAGCTTAGTCATTTCTAGCTTTTGATTGAAAGGGAGAGATGTGAGACCTGACTTCATTTGAACACTTAGAGGCTATTGTAGGGTTATTAATTGTCCTAATTTAGTAGTGTTGTGTCTCAAGGAATAGGGATGCCCAAGGAGAGGGAAAGAGATGGGGAATGGCTGGTCAATGGAGCAGTCAAAACAAATACATTTATTGATTTAAGTTTTTCATCTTATATGACTGTGGTTCGTCATGCACCCCCCTAATTACAATAGTAACATCACAGATTAATGATCACAGATCACCACAATAGATATAATAATAATAATAATAAAGCTTGAAATATGGTGAGAATTACCAAAATGTGACACAGAGACAGGAAGTGAGCACATGCTGTTGAAAAAATGGTGACCATAGACTTGTCTGACGTGGGATTGCTACAAACCTTCAATTTGTAAAAATGCTAGAGCAAAGTACAACAGAATGAGCTCTTCCTGTGGTGCTGTGACAAAGGTGACACAGAACGCTGGATTTGTTGGCGTCATTGTTCATCTAGAAACTGAAGGAGGCTGAGCAGACCTCTTGTCAGCTTTAGCTCTTGTTCATGTGAACTGAAATCTTCCCAGGCTCGGAATTACTAGAAACTCTTCCCCTCCCACCACTGACTAGCTGAGGGTGCCTGTATTTTCTGCTGCTCCAAACCTGATGCCTGGGTCTCCTGGGATGAAATGGCATCTGAGGGATGCTGTTACCTTGCTGCATCTCTGCTCTGGCTTGTAGGTCTCACCCCATTTTCTGGTAATCTCCAATCCACATGCCGTTCAATTAAGACCTGACATTCTTATTCTAGATCCCACTCGGGCAGTCGTCTAGACTCTTAACCCTCTGCTTCAGGAAACACCCTCCCTCTGAACAACTCTCCTCAGTTGTGGGAGAAACCACATTTTCTCCAGTCCCTTCACCTCTGTCTGCTCAAGAAATGTTGCATACCTGGGGTGACTAGGCAGTTCCCTTTCTACTGTCTACACCTCACTCACCCTTCCCTAAGGGGTGGGAGGTTTTTCCGGTGGGCCAGTGGGTAGGTCCTTGGTCTACTCTCTGTTTTGAAGCCCCTGCCCACAGGGTTCATGCACGTCCATGCACACTTGTGCTTCTGGCACCAGCCCCTTTAGGGCCTGACTTAAAAGGTACCTTCTCAGAGAGATCTTCCCTGGTCCCCTTACCCAAAACTCTGTTTTACCTCCAACACTGACCACGCCTTATTCCTCTTCACTGCTTTAATTTTCTCTTTAGCTCACATTACTATTAAAAAATATATGTAAAACACACACACACTCTCACAAATACTTTTTAATAGAGATAACTTATTTATCTTTTTGTTTAACTCTCCCAGTAGTGTTCTGATGAATGTTTTACCACTGGCTGTTCACAGCAGGGTGGGGCGGGGGCACCCTGATGGGTAGTGTTTGCCAATGGTGTAAACATTCCCACCAGGGCTAATTTGCAAGAATAGCTATGTTCAACAATCAGCTTGCAAAATTCTTGAAAATTTCACAATTTGGTCTTGCGAACCCGTTTGAGCCAGTTCTAAGATACCACTGGCTGTCCCCACACTGAGACATCCCATGAGGGTGTCCCATGAGGGCAGGGGTTTCTGCATGCTTTGTTAACTGTTGTAACTTCAACACTCTAAATAGTTTTTGGTCCATAGTAGAAGTTTCATAAATAACTGTTAAATGAGGGAATGAGTATAAGCACATACTTTACAATTGGGATAATTATACATAAAGAACGATGCATTCTGTTATTTTCACTTATGCTCACAATGAGAACTTTGCCCATGTAGTTACATGTTATTTTAGAATATTTTAATGATGCTTTAATGATTAACCTTGCAGTACAGTTTGTTGCACTGCTATTTTATATTTAGGTAAATTTTATCTCATTAAAAATAACACTATTATAAATATATTTGAACACAAAATTCATATAAGCTAGGTCAGATGTGGTGGCATATTGTTTATGGTTAATAAAATACTAAAAGAGGTATGAGAAATAAATTTGAGAAGATTTTGATAGTATTCTGAAATTAAAATGACATATGAATGTTTGATCAAATACAACTGATATTAGAATTTTAAGAAATTAAGTTAATTAGTTTTTTAATTTTTAAGAAATTTGGTATACACTGTAGAACAGATCAGGAACCCAGAACATTGAATTTCTTTAGATACAAATGTAATATGTAAAATAATGTTATAAACAATGCAGGATAGACATTAAAAATGAGTGGGGGTAATTTTAACAATATGAAAAAAATTAATTTAGATTCATAATTCACATTATATTGCAAAATAAAGCCAAAGTGGATAAAATAATAAAAACTAAAATAGCTAAAATTAGAAAATACATTTAATACAGAGTACAAAAATGAGAATTTTCCAAGGAAAATAGAAAAAAATTTTAAATAAATTCAACAAATTAAAAAAGACATGAAGGACCTCTTCAAGGAGAACTACAAACCACTACTCAATGAAATAAAAGAGAATACAAACAAATGGAAGAACATTCCATGCTCATGGGTAGGAAGAATCAATATCATGAAAATGGCCATACTGCCCAAGGTAATTTATAGATTCACTGCCATCCCCATCAAGCTACCAATGACTTTCTTCACAGAATTGGAAAAAACTACTTTAAAGTTCATATGGAACCAAAAAAGAGCCCACATCGCCAAGTCAATCCTAAGCCAAAAGAACAAAGCTGGAGGCATCATGCTACCTGACTTCAAACTATACTACAAGGCTACAGTAACCAAAACAGCATGGTACTGGTACCAAAACAGAGATATAGATCAATGGAACAGAACAGAGCCCTCAGAAATAATGCCACATATCTACAACTATCTGAACTTTGACAAACCTGAGAAAAACAAGCAGTGGGGAAAGGATTCCCTATTTCATAAATGGTGCTGGGAAAACTGGCTAGCCATATGTAGAAAGCTGAAACTGGATCCCCTCCTTACACCTTATACAAAAATTAATTCAAGATGGATTAACGACTTAAACGTTAGACCTAAAACCATAAAAACCCTAGAAGAAAACCTAGGCATTACCATTCAGGACATAGGCATGGGGAAGGACTTCATGACTAAAACACCAAAAGCAATGGCAACAAAAGCCAAAATTGACAAATGGGATCTAATTAAACTAAAGAGCTTCTGCACAGCAAAAGAAACTACCGTCAGAGTGAACAGGCAACCTACAAAATGGGAGAAAATTTTCACAACCTACTCATCTGACAAAGGGCTAATATCCAGAATCTACAATGAACTCAAACAAATTTACAAGAAAAAAACAAACAACCCCATCAGAAAGTGGGCGAAGGACATGAACAGACACTTCTCAAAAGAAGACATTTATGCAGCCAAAAAACACAGGAAAAAATGCTCACCATCACTGGCCATCAGAGAAATGCAAATGAAAACCACAATGAGATACCATCTCACACCAGTTAGAATGGCAATCATTAAAAAGTCAGGAAACAACAGGTGCTGGAGAGGATATGGAGAAATAGGAACACTTTTACACTGTTGGTGGGACTGTAAACTAGTTCAACCATTGTGGAAGTTGGTGTGGCGATTCCTCAGGGATCTAGAACGAGAAATACCATTTGACCCAGTGATCCCATTACTGGGTATATACCCAAAGGACTATAAATCATGCTGCTATAAAGACACATGCACACATATGTTTATTGCGGCACTATTCACAATAGCAAAGACTTGGAACCAACCCAAATGTCCAACAACGATAGACTGGATTAAGAAAATATGGCACATATACACCATGGAATACTATGCAGCCATAAAAAATGATGAGTTCATGTCCTTTGTAGGGACATGGATGAAATTGGAAATCATCATTCTCAGTAAACTATCGCAAGAACAAAAAACCAAACACCGCATATTCTCACTCATAGGTGGGAATTGAACAATGAGAACACATGGACACAGGAAGGGGAACATCATACTCTGGGGACTGTTGTGGGGTTGGGGGAAGGGGGAGGGATAACTTTAGGAGATATACCTAATGCTAAATGACGAGTTAATGGGTGCAGCACACCAGCATGGCACATGTATACATATGTAACTAACCTGCACATTGTGCATACGTACCCTAAAACTTAGAAAGTATAATAAGAATAAAATTAAAAAATAATAATAATAATAATAATTTAAAATTCTATTCTACAAACACTAACAGAGTTAAAATTGAAAGAAAGAGTTGTGACAACAGTGACAGGCATAGTTTTTTAAAAATCTTATCCCAAACTACAAAATTCTCTGAAGTCAGAAAAGGACAAGAGGTTAAAGAATATAACAAGAAGTTTTATTTAAAGTAAAGTATAAATGATAAACACACATTAGGGAAAATAAAAATCAGTTCGATTTTCTTATTAATTAAAGCAATGCAAAGTAGAATTTTATAAGGAAAGCTTGTATGCTCAGTTCAAGTCTCTTTTCATTTATCACACTGCCTGTGTTGATGTCATTTTAATTCTGCCATGCCTTCATTGAGTTATTCATTGATTCGAAGGTGGATCTCAATTTGACCATTCTCAATTCAGTCACGGAGGTGCCAAAGGAAATATCAGAAGCTTGCCAAGGTAACCAACAGAGCCTAGAGCTGATGTGTGATTGTATTGTCCTGAGAGATATTAGAATAACATTCTTTTGTTCTTCCTCAAGAAAAGCAAAACCTCAAAGACTCCGTAAGCCAGAAGCAAATATATTTCAAATCCAAGTAAATTGCCTTGAGATTCCTTCACATTTGGCCCCTATGTGAAGCTTAAACACAGAGATAAGTGCATTTGTGTGCTTCATGTGCACTGGAATCCAGTGGTGCAATTTCATTATGAAAACAGTGATCATTAGGAGTGTATCCAGCTTGAGAGGGAGTTGTGCGTCACTGAATCATGGACTGCCAGGTGGTAGAGGAGATGGCAGTTTTCATCTGCTCTGAACCTGCAGAGGCCCCGTCTGCACACCTACTAGGTGGGCACCCATGGCATTTGCTTGGGTGCTTTGTTTCCATGTCATTGCCATGGCCTTCAGAAAGATAGGACTGTAAGGATTCTGAATGGCAGCTTGGGAGGCTCAAAGGATTCAGAGAGAAAACAAGCATCAGTAGTTCTTTTAAGAGTGATGACAATGATTATTGATAAATAGCTGGCTACGATCTTTGAGAGATGAGAATATGAGGTGAACTTTGTGTTCTCTCTGTTTTCTGCATTGAGTCACTTTCTGAACTGTGACATGAGGAAGTAGAGCTCCATAAAGAGCTGCAGCCTCACTCATCAGTGAAGCAGCTGGATATTTGGAGCCAGGACCATGGCTAAAGTGTGTGGGGCATAAAACTGGAGAGGAGGGAACTACTTAGAAAAGGGACACCAGTAGCCACTCCACAATGTATACATATTTCAAAACACCATGATACATACCATAATATATACAACTTTTCATTAATTAAAAAAGTAAAAACTGAAAACTATGGGGAATCCATTGAAAAAAGAGAAAAGAAAAGGGGCACAAAAATATTCGAGATCTCCTTGAGTCTTTGGCTGAGCACTATACTTCATGTGCACAAAGCAAGACTGAAAGCTGCAGCTACTGGAGGCTCTAAGCTAAAAGGAGGCTTCAGAGGTCATACAGTTCTGAGAGATGCTGGAGTTCTAACCAGCAAGATCAGAATGAGCTCACTGAATGAAGTCCTAAATGGTCAATACCTCAGGGTAGGGCTATGTTAGCCCTAGACTAAAGGATACTCTAGATGTGCCTTAACAAAGCTGAAGATCAATCCTTGGCCAACTGATGCTTATCTACCAGTAAATAAACTGCCTTCCACAACAAAAATTGATACTTTTTGAAGGAAGAAAACTAAATTCATTTTCTCAACAGTGTAACTAACTACTGTTACATATGATTGAAAACTACTAGGCATGAGAAGAAGTAGGAAAATGTGATGCATAACAAAAAAGTCAGTATAAACAGACCCAAAGATGAGACAAATTTTTCCATTAGCAGGCATGGACTACAGTTAATATAAATGTATTGAAAGATTTCAATTAAAAAGTAAGCAGAATAGCTGAGCAGAAGGGGAACAGGGTCAGAAACATGGAAACTAGAAAATAAACCAAATAGATATTCTAAAACTAAAAAATTATTATATTTAAAGTGAAACGTTCAATAGATAGACTTAAGACAATGCTATATACATTACAAAAGAAAACATCAGTGAACTGGAAGACAGAGCTATACAAACTATCTAAACTAAAAAACAAAGAGAATAACGCTTTTTTAAAAAAAGCAGATTTTTTAGGTGGACCTGATTTTTTAGGTGGAGATATTTTAGGTGAGGTGGGGAGGAGAAGGAATACATTACATAAAAGGTGAAGTAACTCTGGAGGCTGAGATGGGAGGATCGCTTGAGCACAGGAGTTCAAGGCTTCAGTAACCTATGATTGCACCACTGCACTCCAGCCTGGGCAACAGAGTGAGACTCTCTCTCAAAACAAAAACCAAAAACCAAACAAACAAAAAAGTGAGGTCACTAAATTATAGAGAGATAAAAGGACTATCCCAACATCAAAGAAACAGTAAAATTCACATTGGGAAATCAAACGTTTATCTTCTGATGCTCAGTCTAACACCTTTTCCTACAGAAAAGGCACTGGCCAAGGCAATGGATGTGCTGATGCTTTTTGGCTGATTGGGACATTTGGGGGCTGTGTTCAGACTGGAACCAGTGAGTTTGTTTCAGAAAGGAGATTTGAAGAATTGTGATATTTCTAATTTCAAAGCAAGGCAAAAAGGCCTAAATCTTGCAGTTGGTTCCAGGTAGGTCAAGTCACCAATTTTCTGAACCTCAGACTGCACATATATAAAAGAGACATTATGTGCTGTGTGCACAGAATGTGGTGAATATTAAGTTGAAGCACACAGGAGCAGCCAGCCCCCAGGGAACATACCTTTCCATACTGTGGATCAAGGGTCTTGAACTATTATCCATCATTACACTGAGCTCCTGAGAGCCAGGGACAGAGGTACTGGATCCTTTGTTCTGCAAAACAAGGCCAGCATGACTAAATAAGAGCCAAAGTGGATGTGCATAAAAGAGTGCTTCTTTTGGCAGTTCCCAGCCCCAGTTGCCCTGGGCTCAGAAACACAGGCCAATCTGCAATGTTATCAGTCTGTCTGGGCCCAGCCTCCTCAGAGTCAAAGTTCCCAGATCCCACAGGGCAGCATCCTCACCCTACTCCAGTGCTAAAGCTGGGATACTGAGCAGGGTGTCAGTAGAAACCCAGACAGAAAGCTGAAATCTCCCGGTTTCCCTGATGCGTGAAGGTGGAGACATTACTTGTCAGATTCCAGCTCCACCTGGAAAGGCCTGGGCAGGATTGGCCACATCAGTGTCTACTGCCTGCTGTGAGACCTAAGGAGTAGCCCATAATGCCCATTCATTCAATCAGCAAACATTCACTGAACATCAGTTCTGTGCCAAGTGCTGCATGGGGCCCTGGAAGAGTAGCAGTGGATAGGACAGACCCAGTTCTTGCTCCTGTGGGCTCATCACACTGTGGCTTGGTAACCCCTCTAATAATGTGGGTGCAGGGGCAAGAATTACAGACCTATTAAGCAAACCTGGTCCCCAATATTCCTTCCTTTCTCCTGTCAGACCCCTAAAGATACAGGGAAAACTGAAATATTGAGCATCAGTTTAGGGGTGCAGAGAAGTTTCAGTGGCAGCTTTGGGGATTTGGAGGACCCGATTTGGAGGTCCCCACCCTGTCCCTCTTTGGTCCTAGCAGGGCTCAGCCCCACATGGACACTTCTGGCTGCATTGCTCCTGTGCCCCCACTTCCAAATGCACAGGTAGGAATCGCCCCTGTTCACTGTGCTGATGCCACCTCCTGGCAGTTTCTTCTCTGATTCTGTCTCCTGTGCCTGGCATGGCTTGGATCCAAATCTGCATCCCAACCTCCCCAATGCACCAGGTAAGTCTTCAAAGATACGAATAAAGGAAATATGTAGGAAACAAAAGACACGTCAATGAAGAGGTGGACCCACATTTTGGGGTCTTCACTGTAGCCAAGGAAAGGATGTTGTGGTCTGTGTTAGGTGAGCCATCTACTCCTATGACTCCAATGTGCCTGACTCCCAGGAAGAGCTCAGCCCAGGGACCCCTTGATTTAGCCTTGTCCATCCCTATTCCCATCCTCAGGGATTTCACTGTTGACATGTTCTCTCCATGACTCAGAGCAGTTGTTCACCTTGTTGGTCAGGTGAGGACACTGGGTCAAACGGGGGACCCGGGTGCCAGTGATGCATCTGGTGAGAGACAGGCACAGGCAGGGACCCAGGCCAGGGCTCCTGCCTCTCGGGCTCTGGCCCTCCCAGTCCATCCCGCCTCTCGGGCTCTGGTCCTCCCAGTCCATCCCAGGGCTTCTCCCTGCAGCATCCTCTGCCCGGGCCCAGGATCTGCTTTGCAGAGGGGAGCAAAGCGCTCTAGGGCTGATGTGGCAAATCTTCTGACAAAAACGTGGCTTTTAGTTTGGCCCTCCTGCTCGGATATTGTTTGAGCCCTGATTCTGGGTGAAAGGCAGAGGGGAGCCCGCGTCTGTCTTGCTGGCTGTCCGAGGCTGGGCACACCCTCCGCAGGGCATGGGCGGTGGGCTCCCATCATTCTGCTCTCACCCAGGGAGCTGGGCACATTTGTGGGCCCATTGTGTGCTGGGCCAGCTGCCAGGCACCTGCTCCACACAGGGCTGTGCCACATCCCCGCTTTCCTGGAATTCAGGGAGTAAGAATGGAGCCGACTCCTTGTTCATTCCGCAATTATTTCTAGCTTCATTTTTCAGGCACCCCCTATGACATTGTTTTCCCAGGAACTCTGAAGCAATGAAACCATGAAACATTCAAACACTATGCATGGACGGTTTATCAAGAAAACAATCACAGAAAAAAGATCCCGCAAATTTTCCCAGTGAGAATTTCAGTGTGGGGAGGAGGAGATGGGAATGGCCAAGGGGAGGGTCAGGTTTCTCCTGAAATGCTGACCAGCTGGACAGGCCTGGGGAAGTGTCCATAAGTGCACGCACAGGCACACAGGGACACTGGGCATGCTCTCCTGTCCTGGTAGGACTCTTCCAACAACTAGAAACACTCATATTTCCTTTTAGATAATTTATGAAGTACTTTTAAACACACCCACTCCCTCAGGGGGAAGATTGTTCAAGCAACAACTTAACTTTTGTTGATGGATTATTGGCTATTAGGGGATATTAGTTCAGCATGTTTTGATTTGTGAGTTTGATTGAGGGGAGCAAAGGAGGCCCAGCTTGTTTAGTAGACAAAGTCTTGGGCTGAGAGGGGCCTGGGCTATGATCCTTCTCCTGGGCGCTCCCTGGGCACCGGCAGGCAGGTCCTCCCTGCCTCATTTCTCCCCCTGGTGTTTGTTCCTGTCATCCTCTCACTCAAAGCTTAAACCAAGGGGGACAGCAGGGCCCTGGGTCTTAGATGCTAGTTGCCTATCCCCTGGGGATGGCTCACAGAGGAGCCAGGGACTACGTGGGGTCAGGCCGTTGCACCAGAACTTGCTGCCCTGGTGTTTAAATGCTGTGACTCTCAGCACTCCAGGGCTAGACAGGCCGCTTGAGGTCCAGAGGGGGCTGGGGTTGGACAGGCTTTCCTCCACTCGCTCGGCCATCTATCTGTCTGTGATCAGCAACGCTGCCCTTGGTCAGCTGCTCAGCGAGGGCAACAGAGTAAGGGTATGCGAGGGAGTTTTTGCCACTTCAGCTAGCAGAAATTTAAGGACTCCCTCAAAGAAGGAAAGGAAAAAGAGGGCATGCTGGGGAATGTAGTTAGAAGGCTGTTGGTCTGCCCCACTGACCATCATTTCTATCTGGGCCCCAAGTGGCTGGGTGGGTGACGGAGGGGCCCAAGACCACAGAAACACACATTTCCTCTGCGAATCTCCTCAATCCTGCAGCTTCAGAGACTAAAAGGCGGAGCTTTTCCTTCGTGGGGAATCCAGATGGCCTGAGTGTTGTTCCCAGGCCCTGGGGCTATACACAGCTCCAGCTGCCGCGTTTCCTCATTTGGGATAATGAAAACAAGGGCTTGGACTGTCTCTGAGCTTTCTAATTGGGCCACCAGCTGATCCACATGGCCTTTTTTCTTTTAACCAACTTGACCTTCTAACATGAGCAGGGAAATGCCTATTTGCTTAAGCTTGTATTTTCCATAGTTATATAGCAAGATCCCATTTTTGTAAGCATAGTTTAGCTTACAGTGTAATGAAGCCCCATTGAGCCATCCAAAAAAAGTGAGTTGGGCTTCCTTCCAGTGTGAGGACCAGGATGCTGGGAGGGATGGAGGTCCTGGGGTGGCAGTGGCTCCTCTTGGGATGTGCACGAGGCTCTGATTCCATCCTGCACAAAAACAATGGCAGATTCACACCACATGGGTGGATCAGGAGGACATCATGCTCAGTGAAATAAGCCAGTCACTGAAGGACAAGTGCTGCATGATTCCACTTCTGTGAGGTTCTTAGGGAAGTCAAATTCATAGAAACAAAAGAATGGTGTTTCCAGGGGCTGCGGGAGGAGGAATCAGGAGCTGTTGTCTAATGGGGATAATTTCAGTTTTGCAAGATGAAAGGAGTTCTGGAGATGGATGGTGGGGATGGTTGCACAACAATGTGAATGTATTTAACGCCACAGAACTGTAAACTGTAAAAGGGTTAAATTAAGATGGTCCATTTTATTTTACGCATTTTTCACTACAATTAAAATGGTCTTGGGGGAATTGAGGCCAGCCAGCCCGTTTCTCCGAGGGGTGTGGAAAATGTCCCTAGGCTTCTGCATCAGCAGTTCTGTAGCCTCTGAGAAACCCACTGCTCTCCACTTCATCCCTGTGGCAGTGCTGATCCTGTACATTCTCATCTGCTAGGAATCCTAATTTATGATTCTGGCATACAATACAGGGCAAGCCTCACTGTGACCCATGTCTGGGGATGGGAACTGGAGCTTGGTTAGTTTGGTACATGCTTTGGTTTTGATAAGAGCTGGATCATGATCCAGTTGTATCTGTGAGGCCTTCCTTTATTCACTTGTTTGTTCTTTCCTTCATCATTCACAAGCTTTTACAGGGAACAGGTTTGGGGCTAGCACTGCACTAGGAAAACGCAGTGAAATCCTTGGTCCCAGACTGTAACGAATGTTGAGTGTGAAATGTACTCACTCCATACAAGGCTGCAGACATTCTGACTTTGAGCTTTTAATTTGTTTCATGGAAGATAAATAGCACTTTGTTTATAGATGAGTCTGAAGAGTAGAGAGCATGTGCCTGTGTATGCCGATGAAACTCCTTGCTACTTCATCTTTGCCATAGGGTCCCTGTGTGCCTCTCCTCGTCACTAGGGTGCCCATGCGGGAGAGCAGGCAGGAATGCTTCCAGGTACACACTGAGGGAGGGGCATGCTGGAAGCTGATAACACATGTTTAGCATAAAACCTTACTAACTCACTGTGAACAATGACTCAGTTCAGCCTGCAGGAGCCAGAAAGGCCCCCGGCGAGCTCTCTGTTGGAACTGGCATCTGCTCTAGTGGAAGAATTGTTTCTTTGAGAAAAGAAAACACACATGCATTATGGGAGGCAGAGCTGCCTCCTCAGCACCTCTGTCAGGCTCTAGCTCCTCAAAGAATGGCAAAGGGCGGGGAGGCTCAGGATCATATTGGCCGATAGAATCCTGCCCACTTGTGGAATTGGCTGTGCCAACGCAGGGCTATTTAGCCATTGCACAGACAAAATAGGAAACACACATTTCCTATAGCAGTGGGCAATGGTGCATTTCTATTGGTTTTATCAAACAAACCTTAAGCTCTTCGCCTTTTCAAAACTTAGAGAATAGGACCGTTTATATTTCGTGTGAACCTCGCCTTCCTAAACACAAAGGCCAATCTCAGAAGCCTGAAAACCCCGAAACAACGTTTGGCAGGAATCTCCATTCAGAGCAGGAAGGTTGTGTTTATATTCTTCTCTCTAGACCAAAGGCTCTTGCAGGGCTGCTGTTTATTTTTCTGTCTCAAAGAGCAGAGCCGCCAATATAATATAAAATAGGTAATATAATAAAAATACTTCATAAATCAGAAGCTCTGCTCAGTTAGGTCCATGCTCTGTCGACTCTGAAATAAACTTGTGGGCGCCCTTGCTGGCTTCATTTCCTCTTGGTTTCTTCATCAGTGTGCTGCCAGAGTCATCCTTCGGTTTGTTTCCGTTAATTCCCCCAGCCCATCCTGCACCAGGTCAGTCCCGCTGCAATTAGGAGTGAACTTTGTCTTGATCTGCAATGTGGCGTGGAGGGAAGTGTTTTCCTTCCCTCTCCTGGTGGAGTGGAGAAGCCGAATCTGCATAGCAGCAGGCACTACCGGCCAATCAAACGCACATCCATCATCCGTCACGGGAAGGTCTGGTTCTCACAATGGCGCTTTCCTTAGTAAAACTGGCCTTTCCTCTTGGGTAAATGTTTCCTTTAGAAAGCAATACATTGTGTAGTGGACAGTTAACTGCGAATAAGGGACACCTCAAATGCCAAGATTTTGGGGGCATCACCTTGCTCCTTTGGCATGAAGACATGCTGGAAAGAGGATTTTGTGAATGTCTACTCCCATCACCTGGCGCTGTGGGCCTGCCCCTGGGATGCAGGCCTGTTTTCACATACCCCCATCTCCCCTTCACGCCCGTGCTTTTGTTCTACAGACATTCTGATTGGAACTTCTCTCTATATTAATCTCAAACCTGCCCCAGTCTTTAGCTGTCAATCCCTGATTCTAATTCTGTTGTCTGAATTGCAACAGAATAAATGCATTTTTTTCCCATGTGATTGGTCTTCAAAAATCCAAAGACTTCTAGAATGTTCTCCCAAGTCTACACTTCTCCAGGTTAACTACATTTCTTCAGTGCTTCCTCAAACCTCCCAGACTCTTCTCCCATCGTTTCTTCTTCCAATGTGTCCGATGTTGGTGGTCATCACTCCTAAAATGTTGCATCTGGAATGGACCGCAAACTTCCAGACAGGGATCTGACTGTGTTGTTAGAAACATCCCCTGCCGTGGACTCATATTGTGCAGACACTATTGAACTTACACATTCTTAGGTCCCCTTTTGTTTGTTTGTTTTGTAAATAAAAACCATTATTTGTATTTCTTTATTCAATGATTTATTTCTTGTCTTCATTCCTGAAAGGATTTAAGGTGTCTCTTAAAAATATAATGCCATATGTAAACTAGCAAAGGGATAGTATGAATAGGGAAACTATGGACAGACAAAAGTTTATACTGGCCATAAAATGCATTCCAGAATGTCCTGCAACCTTGCTATAGGTGACCCACACATGTGGCTGGGTTTCCTAGCAACAAGAAGAAAGGAGGTAACATCATTTGCATGTCAGGGTGCCCATAAAGAAAGCACAAGCCAGTGGCTCAGGACAGGCATAGCTATTTCTGGTACTGAGACCTAAGAGAAATATTCCTCATAGGTCTTGATAGAGGACACTAGGTGATGTAGCTCTCAATGACATCCTTAGAGCAAACACAGTCCATTTCCTAAGAATTTAGGTTGCTTTCAAAGTCCCTGAACTGTTGCTGATCTTATGCCCTATCCAGCGTGATGGTTTTGGCAATTGATTTTTTTGTGACAAATACTTATCCCTGCTACATTTTAATGTGTATTTTAGGGAATTCATATTGAAAAAGGAAAATTGAGAAGCTGAATGAGAGCACCCATTTCACTCAGTGTCCCATAGGGCGCCCTTTGATTTTGGAAATTGTCTTGATATTCATCCCATTTGCAGTTGGATCACATTCTTATAACATTCCCCCGGGGCCCTGTTATTATTGTTATATTTTAAAATGAAACATGTTTTGAGGCCAGGGACATTTGTAAGAGGCTCTCTGTTCTGATTTTTAGTTCCAGGCAGGTCTAGCTAGAACCTGGGATTATGCAGGGCATCTGTCCCTCTGAGGTATAGAACAACCTCTACTCTCCTGAAGCCCTAGATCCCAAATGTCTCCATCCAGGTACAAGCAGAAGGGAAGGGTGGGGCTGTTTCCATATGACAGCCTGAGAAGCTCCTGTGACAGGGAGAGAAGATAGCCTGGTGGAATTCCTCTAGTCAGGGACGTGGGCAGGGTGGAGGGATTCTCATGTGGATGGAAGTAATACACTAACCTGAGTGAATGCTCACACACCTTCATGTGCTGGGCACCAGGGCCCTCGCCCTCTCACTGCTCCTCCAGCTGGGCCTGCTGGCAGTGAGGCTCTATCTCTACCATCTGCTCAAAACTACTCACACTTATTTCAGTGTAGCTCGGTCATTCTAACAGCTCATTTTGTGTTTTGGCCTCAGTGATTTTATGTGTCAATGGCCAGATATTTGGTCAAACATTATTCTGGGGGTTTCTATGAGGGTGTTTTTGGATACGATTAGCATTTACATTCATGGACCGAGTAAAGCAGATTGACTTTCCCAATGTGTTAAAGGCCTGGAAAGGACAGAAAGGCTGGCCCTCCCACCAGCCGCCAGTAAGAGAGACCTACTGCCTGACAGTCTTCATGCTGGGCATTGGCTTTTCCTGCCTCTGGACTCAGACGAAATGCGAAGTCTTCCTGCCTCTCAAGCCGGCTGGCCTTCTGACTGCAGCACCAGTGGCTCTCCAAGGTCTCTGGATTACTGCTGCAGGTCTGGGGGCTTCTCAGCCTCCACAGCCATGTAAGCCAATTCCCATGCTAACTCTCTGCATCTATGTGTGCCTCCTATTGGCTCTGTTTCTCTGGAGAACCCTGACTCTAATGGGCAAAACTGACTGCTTTTCGACTCATTACCTCCCCCATGCCCCCACAGCAGACTCTGTGCTGGGGTCAACAGCCTTGGTTGCTCTGTCCACCCACCCTTCAGCACTGCTTGTGGTCAGTCCATGCAGAGGGAGCGGTCTGGGCTTAGGTTTGGAAACATCTCTTTGTCATCCCAGCAACTTACTATGTGCTTTCTTAATCTTCATCAGTTTCTTCCTGCATCTGCACAGGCCATCCTAAAGCACTAAACCTTCTTCTTTGCTTTTTTTTCTTTAAGAGATGGGGTACTGCTCTATAGCCCAGACTGGAGTACAGTGGTGTGATCATAGCTCACTGCAGCCTCAAGCTCCTGGGCTCAAGTGACCCTCCTGCCTCAGCCTCTCTAATAGCTGGGAGTACAGGTGTGTGCCACTATGACTGGCTAAGTTTTAAAAATTTTTTTGTAGAGTTGGGGGTCTCACTATGGTGCCGAGGCTGATCTTGAACTCCTGGCCTTAAGTTATCTTCCTGCTTCAGCCTTCCAAATTGCCAGGATTGTAGACGTGCCCATAGACACTGTGCCCAGCCGGTATCTTCCTTCCTCATGTTAATATCAGCCATACGGGTAAGCATTTGTGTCCCCTCTCTGGCAAGCTGCCATACCTGAATTTCATGCATTCCAATTTTAACCATCAGTATCTCTAGAGCTTTTTTCATCTCTATGCTTCTCTGAAAGCTTCAAAAATTATTTATTCAGTAAATGTCAGTAAGGTCCTTGAAAAGAGTGAGGTTTCAGGAGGTGTTTTGAAGGAGAGGAATAGGAGACTTTTTATTCCTGGGGGTTCCCCCATGGTGAAGAAGTTAACATAAAAGGGCACATAGCATTCGAGTCTGGAACTTGAGATACTCTCCTCCAGACAAATCACCTATTTTCCCAGTGAAAATGGTCACAACTTTACGTTCCACTCTAGATAAGAGCGCTCAGGCACAAATCATTCAGGCAACTTTCCCAACTCAGGGTGAGGGGAAAACAAAACTCCAACAATATCTGGGACAGCGAAGTGGGATTGATTCAATTTCATCTTGAACTGGGTCATCACTGCTCCCAACCTGCAACAACAAAGAAACAGGGATAGTTTCTATTCTGTTTCCATTTAATGATGACCCAAAACAAGAGAAAGGGTACAGCAGAAAGGGTTTATTTATTCTGATGGAAGAACCAGCTGGCAAATCTGCCTCTGTGTGTCTGCAAAGCCCATCTGGGATGAGTCCACAGGCCCAGGGTGCTGTGTATGCCTGGCGAGGGTGGCAGCTGCCCAGATCTGCTCTTTCTGCTTGGCAAGTGCTTTGGCTTGGTCCTGAACAAGAACGTGAACTATGTCAGAAGTTTTAGGGGCACTATCCATCTAAAAACATTATGCACGTGCTAAGCACATATACACTGGTATTTATCATCGTAAGCACATCAAACTCGAGTGTCTCAATCATCACACGACTCTGTGATATAGAAATTATTATTAACAGTAGCATGATCTCCATTTCCCAGGTGATGTCATTGAGGTTTGAAGAGTGTAAGTTCCATTTGCAGTAACGGCCTTGAACCTGTCTGAGATCCACTTGGCTCTGTTTGCTCATCAATCCTCTGACTATTGCTCTCTATCACTCCCGTTGCCTTGGGCATCAGGCCAGGACTACCCAGTGTGACCTGAGTCACTGCTCCTTCTTGGTATGGGAGTACTGATGGTCGCCACATTCAGAGACATCGGGGCTCCCAGAAGCAGCAGCCTCAGCTTTGGAGAATGGGGTCAACAGCTTCTGGTAGCTGTTCACCTGGAGAAATGGGGGAGAGTGGGAATTCTTTAAAAGATGACACATGCTTTGTTATTTCTGGCACTCACGGTGCTGAACTCGTTTCAGCTGAGTAAGCACTAGTGACTCAACTCCAAGGCACACCGTAGACTTCATCTCACACTGTGCGGGATGTTTAAGGGTTATTGAGTACTTTCTTTATGGCCCCTTAAGATCTGTGAAATAAATCTCTGCCGTTGGCAAACACACTGAGGGCTTTCCATCTCCATGCCCGATTGAAATGTCAAAAGTATGTCAAAAAAGCATAGCTTCTCTTGTTTAGGAGGCTTGATAGAACAAAACCAATGATGAATGCAAACCAGCTTGAGGCTTTGCCAGGAACCTCTGTGAAAATACATAGACTTCCATCTAGTATTGTTTTTTATATGTTAGCATGGAAACCAGCTTGGTTTACAAGTCTAAGCATCTAGTAGACATGTGAGATCCTTGGGTGCTCTGAAGTAGCAGTCTGAGGTTCAAGTATCCTCTCTGTATGGAGGGACTGCCCAGAACTCTTCTTCCCAGGGAGCTCAGTTGCTCAGAAAAGCTGCTGCAGGGGATGGTCTGATTTGGGGACAGCACATTTGGCTTCCTACCTTGTAGTTCTTGGAGACAGGAAATACTTTGATATGAGTTTAACCAGATCTTTTACATTGCTGTTTTATAGATGAGAAAATTTGAGACCTGGAATGCATTTCTTGCTAAGGTAAAGCAGCTAGGATTGGTGTGGGAGGCATCCAGAAGGGGATAGGCTCCCTCTAAGTGGGTGATGCACCAAGGGAGGAAGCACAGGGGGCAAGCAATGAGAGCAGGGACCTCCCTTTGAGTGGAGTGGTGGCATTGGGATGCACATGGACACTATTCATAGAGCTGGGTGAGTGCAGGGCCACTAGTCGTCATGACTGGGTGGGGAGACATCTGAGAGATGATGAGTCTGCAGAGGGAATGCGGGCAGCCTCTCTTGCGCTTGGGTATTTTCTAAGCTGGGGTGGGTGGGTAATGAGGGGTGCAGTTTGCATCAGAAGAGCAGAGGAGGCATCTGGAGAGGTGGACATGATGGCTGACTGGGTTTAAGGCAGTGGTTCTCAACCCCAAATCAAGTGATTTCCACCCACCTCCCAGGCATTTGGCAATGTGTGCTTTGGTTGTCACATCTGTGGAGAGAGGTGCTACTGGCATCTAGTGGGTAGAGGCCTGGGATGCTGCTAAACACTCTACAATGTTTAGGTTGGCTTCCCACACAAGGAGTCATTTGGGCCAAAATGTCAATAATCAATAGTGCAGAGGTGGCCAGGCACGGTGGCTCACGCCTGTAATCCCAGCACTTTGGGAGGCCCAGGCAGGTGGATCACGAGGTCAGACATTCAAGACCAGCCTGACCAAGATGGTGGAATCCCATCTCTACTAAAAATACAAAAATTAGCCAGGTGCAGTGGCAGGCACCTGTAATCCCAGCTACTTGGGAGGCTGAGGTAAGAGAATTGCTTGAACCTGGGCGGCAGAGGTTGCAGTGAGCTGAGATTGCACCCACTGCACTCCAGCCTGGGTGACAGAGTGAGACTCTGTCTCAAAAAAGAAAAAAAAATGTGAAGAGGTTAGGAAAGCCTGGCTTAAGAGTGTGAGTTAGGGAATATTTTCATTGGCATGCCATGTTAGTTTTCACTTATGTTTTATCAATCTACCATCTAGATTTAAGATTCAGTCTCTCACACTTTACAGTCATTCCCAGAGAATAGTGTCATGATGTCAGGGGAAAATAGTTTCAAAATATTCCAGCCCATTCTGCCCTTGTTTGGGGCATGGCTCTTTCTCCCAAGCTGGAGGCAAGCACTCATTCCTTGGCTCCCTAGGGCTCTGTTCTCCTGGGGATGTGAGACTTCACCTCCTCTGGGCCTGATTAATTCACCTCCCACCTCTCACTGCAGGCTGCCTATTGTTTTGTCCATAGAAAGTACTCGCTGGATGTTTGCAACTGTACCGTGGCCACTGAAGCTACCTAAGGCTGAGATTCCAGACCTTAATTCCACCGTGTTTCTCTCTGGCTTGAGAAGCATGGTCACATGTACTTTCAGAGCCTGTCTCCATTGGAAAGCTGGAGGAAGAAGGGCAGGAACCCCCTTAACAGCCATTCCCTGTCTCAGCTCTTTGCCTCCCTGAGCCTCCAGCAGGTGCTCACATTTATGGCGTTAAGACCTCATTGGAAATGGTGCACCCACCTGCTTGCCCCTGCCCACCTGCAAACTTGTGTTGTGTGCTTCTTGTGCACTCAATCTGTGGCTGTGAACAGGTGGGTGTCTCTAGCACTGTCCTAAGAGACCTATGTGGTGTGATGAGTGAGGAACCTTTCCTCGCTTAAGTGAGGGGGACAAGCAGGTTCATCCATGGTCACAGGAGATAGACTAAATGCTCTCGTGGAAACACATCCAGGCTGCGGGTGGGAGTGGAGAGAAAGAAGCCTGGCACTGCATATGGTGGAAGGGCAGCGATGGAGGGTTAGGGAAGGCTACACTTTAAACAGCCCTTAAAGGAGGCACAGAAGGTGAACAGGTGGAAGGATGTGCCTAGAAGGGATTCTTTCTTCACCTAGAGGAGCATTTAGCCAAGGAAAGAAGCTGTGGCCTCCCTGCTGCTGCCCAGGTGGCCTGACCCACTCTTCCCATAGCTCTGTCATCCTGGACAGGTGCACCATGGGAGTTTGAAAGTGGTGGATGAAGGTCCTCCTCCCTGAACCACAAGGCTCTTCACAGTCTGGGTACCACTCAGCTGCCTCATGTCTGCCACCCCCTGCCCTCCCCCAGTTGTAGTCATCTCCTCTAATTCCTGGTGATGGTAGAATGTTCTCAACTCCTTGGCCACTGTGTGCTGAGCTGTCATGACCTTTCCGTGTTTGGAAAGCATCCTCCTCCTTGAGTGATTTTTCTATCTGTTAAAGTCACCTTCAGCAAAGACATGGAATCAACCTAGGTGCCCATCAGTGGTGGGTTGGAAAAAGAAAATGTGGTATATACCCCATGGAACACTATGCAACCATAAAAAGAATGAAATCATGTCCTTTGCAGTAACGTGGATGCAACTGGAAACCATTGTCCTAAGTGAGTTAACTCCAGAACAGAAAACCAAATACTGCATGTTCTCACTTAGTGCAAGCTAAACATTGGGTACTTGTGGACATCAAGAAGGGAAAACAGACCCTCGGGGCTAGTGGGGGGGGCGGGGTGGAGGGGTCAGGGGCTGTAAAACTACCTCTCAGCTACCATGCTTACTGCTTGGGTGATGGGATCCTTTGTACCCCAAACCTCAGCGTCATGAAGCATTCCCATGTAATGAACCTGCATATGCACTCCCGAATCTAAAATAACAGTTGAATAACTTTAAAAAAGAAAGAGGCAGCCAAGAGTAGTGGCTAATGCCTGTAATCCCGTCACTTTGGGAGGCTGAGGCGAGTGGATCACCTAAGGTCAGGAGTTCGAGACCAGCCTGACCAATATGATGAAACCCTGTTTCTACTAAAAATACAAAAATTAGCCAAGCGTGGTGGCATGCGCCTGTAGTCCCAGCTACTCGGGAGGCTGAGACAGCAGAATTGCTGGAACCCAGGAGGCGGAGACTGCAGTAAGCCGAGATTGCACCACTGCACTCCAGCCTGGGTGACAGAGGAAGACTCCATCACAAAAGAAAACAAAACAAAACAGATGAAGAAAGAGGCATAAGGAAGCTATGGGAGGTGTTGATATGTTTACTACTTTGAGGTGGTGATGGTAGCACAGATGTTTGCATATGACCAAAGCCATCAAATTGTACACATTAAATATGTATAGTTCCTTGTATATCAATTATACCTCAATGAAGCTGCTTAAAAAATAAATAAAATCATCTTCAGTTAGGATGTGAAAGGCTACTTTTTCCATGAAATATTTTACACTTCCAGGATGGAAATAGCTGCTTTTGTAATCTCATCAGACTGGGGTTTTGCATCAGTGCTCCTTGAGGCCATGCAAGGCATCTAAAAAATATATTTGTATTTTTGTACCACTCTGTCCACCTAGTGAGTGGACTCATTACTACTGAAATGAGTAGGTAGTAGATGTTGAATGAATGTTGGCTGGTGATGAAGATGATAAATAGCACAGAAGTCTCATTATATTTTTCAGGAACAAGTGTGAACCTACCAGAAAGACTCATGTGGTTCAAAGAAATTCTGAATGTTTTCAGACTCCCCTCGCATTCAGCTTTTAATGATGTTCCTGAACACACAGACCCCCATGGTGCACAGGGGATATTAAAGTTCAAAGAGACATAGAATCAGGTTGAAGATGGTAAGTGATCAGACTCCTAGGGGAATGAGAGCATTTCCTCATTTTCGGACTACAGCAGAAATGTCTGTAATCCAGATATTTAAAACTCGGCTGGGTGAAGAGGTGGGGGAGGTTTCATGGAATAGCCTGGAGTCAGGTCCTGTGGGATGAGGTGGATGTGATTGTGAAGGTCATCTCTGGCCCCCGCGCCTCGGATTCCATGATAGCACATCTGCTTTTGATTGCAGCGGGTTCTGAGCCCAGGGCTTAGGGCCCGACGCCATCTGAAGGAGGAAATACTAAGCCTGTCTGCAGGTCTGGACGTTCCCACAATGGGACACCAGCTAAGCCCTGTGGCCGCTGGAGAGACACTAGAGCTCTGTCTGGGGCTCCGCTTGTTCTCATAGGCCCCACACGTGGAGGTCTTTGCAGCCCACGCAGGCCTCTGTCAGACAAATAAAATGAAGCAGGCAGGATGGGAGGTCTGGGAAAATGGACCTAACAGGAGCAGGGGGTGGCTGTGAAAGGGAGGGTCCATGGTAATGAAGGGGAAGGAGAAGAGTCCGAATCAGACCTGGGCAGTAATCTTGGAGACACCACTCACTGGCCAAATGGGACCTCAGGAGGTTCCCATTCTTTGTTTGCAGAGTAGAGGGTTACCAAGATATTGCAGAAAAGCGTTTAATGCTGTACCCAGCACCTACCATTCAGTCACCTCTGCCTACTGGTATTTGACAACTTAACTCTGGCTTGCTCCATCTGAGGAGACAAAATGACTCTGGATGGATGCTTCCTTTTTGAAAAGAAAGAAGGAAAAATACCCACCCCAGAGTACTGTTTAGAATAGGGAAGCCTTCTTTGGGTGAGCAGCCTCCCTCCCCGCTGGGTGCAGCTGTGAGGGACCCGAATCCTCCAACCACAAGTGCACTTGCTATGCAGCGAGAGCGAGGTTCACCGAGTCACGTGAGCGGAGGCGGCAAAAGCTGCACAAACACATGGGGCGGGAACAGGCACAAGGAGGTGATGCCGGCCCCAGGAGGTCCCCGAGGCTGGCTGGGACACGGATCTCTTGGAACGCTGCAGAGAGAAGGACTATGTAAATAAGAGATCAAAACCCAGCCTCGCCGGGCCTTCGGTGTGATGAATGTTTGTCCTGAATGTGCAACAGAAGTCAGACCACCACCATCTTTTGTAGTCTGAGCTTTCAGAGGACCCTAGGGAAAATTCACTGGTGTGGGATCTGGGGGATCCTTTCAGATGGCTTGTCTCCACGGTGACTGGACCCACCTTCCAAGGGCAGACAGCCCCCTGCATTTTCAAAGCTCAGCCTGCTTGCATGACCCCTCCCGAGAAAGGGGCCAGGGAGCACACTGCTTAGAGCTTTCATCATCCAAGGCGGCGCACGGTCCCCTCCCCCACGGCGTGGGAATGAGCCCGCTGCCTCCTCCAAATTAGCCTATCATCCCAGGACCACCGACGACCTTGTCTGCCAGCTCAGCCAAGGGAAGTTTAATGGGAAGGAAAACAGCGTGGCCAGGTGTGCCCAAGGTTATAAAACCCAAATAAGTGTCAGCAGCTCCTCCTCCTTGTTTGCTACCCATCAGGAGGCCACCTCTCTTTGGCAGTTCCTGATTCAGCCCCTCCCTGCCTTATCAAGAGCATCTTCCCTTAAAGGAGAAAACACAGAACAGAAAACGTCCTCTATTAAATGTCCAAAAATGTGTGGCTTCTCTGTCTTGCCTTAGTGTGAAACTGACAGGCTGTTATGACTCAAGCAGTCTCCCTGAATGGACAGACAGACAAATAGACACACAAACAAGTGGACAGTCGGTCAGCCAGTGGATAATCTATTGATGAAAAGATCCCCTGCTGGTTGAAATGGTCCTCTTGATCTAACCTTCTCCATTTCATTATGAGGAATGCAAATCCTATCATTGCTCTGCGACTATTTATCACTCTGTCTTTTCTGTCAGAGGTGCTGAATCACTGCTCATGCTTGCTGTTTCCTTCAGAAGGCATTAGCAAAGAGGCTATTTGCCTGAGAATGTTTGATCTGTTCTGTTTTTGCTGTCTGGTCCTCCACCACAGTATCTGGGACCATAAAATGATTCCCAATTCTGTGCCTGAGAGAAGGTGCTCAGATTGACTCAAGGACCATCCAAAAGGAGAGGCTAAGGCAATCCTGGGAGCCTGGGGGTGAAGCGTGTCAAGCTCAAATCTCAGGTGAGGGCTGTGGCTGGAAATGGTCTTGGAGGATCTCAGAGATGTGCATGTATATGCACATGTGTTTGTGTGTGTGCACGTGTGTGTGTGTGCATGAGTGTGTGCACATGAATATGCATGTGTGTACGTACACATGCATGGGCAGAAGAGCTTGGGCATGATGATTATGATGATGAAACCTGTGACCAGCTTTGCATGGTGGCAAATGAGCATTTGTACAGGTGCCAGTCCATGGTCAATTCAGAGTGTCTGGGCATGCAAAGGCCCTACAATGCCTCCTATAAGTACCAGTAAACCACAATGCTGTTGAGTGTGACTGGATGCCTCGGAGGGTCCCAGGCCCTGAAGGCCTTTCTTTCTATTCTGGTTTCTCTGTGGTGCCTGGCTGGGCATCTCTGAGGTCGGAAATGTCTGACATCCAAGGCTTCAGATCTCAGATGGGGAAGGGCTTGGTAGACAACAGGCTTCCCAAGGCACGACTGGCCACTTTTGCTGGGTGTACTTTGGGAAAGTCCTCCTCTCTGTTAGCTCTCTGACACCTATTTCTCAGAATATGATTGCAATACACTAAATAGAATAATGCATGTGACAGCCTTTTAGAGAGTAAGAAACACAATTCTATATTGGGACTGTTGAGGGCAAATGTACACACACTGAAATCAATCCATCCCCAAGGAAGACATGCCTGAACTATGGAGAAGTACCCATCCTAGAGGGTTCAGTATTCAACAGCATCCATTTCTTCCTCAGGGCAAAGACATTTGATCAATTAATTCCTAAAGATTTAACTCTGTTCCACCATGGGATGAAGGGTCTTGGTTGGGTTAATAGATGTGAAGGAAGTGGAAGGTCACTTTTGAGTTTGGGGATGTAGTAGGGTGGGCACTCTGGGAAGGTAACTGAGCAGGGGCTGGAGGCACCCCAAGGACAGGCTGTGTCCCTGGGAGTCCTAGAGAGATGGCGATGTCAAAGCAATCAGGTTACAGTTGCCAAAGGACTTGCTCGGGTGTTCCCAATAGGCTGGGGTCAGACACATCCCCAGGGAGTTCAGGATGGGTGGGACCAGGCCCTCAGACCCCCAGGGCAACCTGCATCTGAGGATGGGTTGTCCAAGTCTCCCTAGACAGTGCATCCTCGGGTGTATCCAGGGTCAGGGATGCAGGGTGTTGGTTTCCATCAATTCAAGGCCAGGCTGCACCCTGCTTTCCTGACCTGGTGGCTCCCGGACACTGATCTTCAGACCCAAGTGTCCCTGCTGCCCTGACCTCATCAAGAGCTCAAGGGCCAAGCCATGCACAGACTCTGATGCTGACGGAGAGCCAAGAAGGCTGCTGGCTTTGGTGTTAAAGATCTACCAGTGGTCTTGAAGACCGAGTTTCAGGAATGGGGGCTTCAGGGATCCTAACAGGGTCCAGTCTCTTCTGCTCCTTTGTGACTCTCCAGAGTTGCACAAAATCAAAACAACGCAACAGCAGCAACACACAGCAAGGGAGCCTTCGGCGGCCCCTCTTAAACGCCAAATCCATTCAGTTATTTAATTTGAATAAAAATGATTTTGTTTTGGGCTTTACTCTGGAATCTCTGGTTCCAGGGTGGTATTGTGGCTGTGAAATGGGAAAGATTAAGGACAAAACACCAGTGGTTAAGAGTGCTAGGTCCTACTTGAGATTGTGGCCTCCAATGTGGAGGGTTTGGGAAAGGAAAAGTCATATTCCAAGTTCTTGAGGTTTTCATCATGCTAAGCACCCATCCACTTGTCCAGAACTGGAAACCTATTACAGTGTGTCCTTTGTTATTTTTAGAATTTAAGATGATATTTTCCTATTTTAGTTAATGGCCTGAGAATGAGATATTGGTTGTTTGCAATAAATTGCCTGATTTGGAAGTATTGGTGCAGAGGGACTCTATAATTCAAAGTCTTTTTATAGCACAGCTTTTTTTCCTGGTCTGGAGAATTCCTTTAATCAGGTGGTGGGAGTGATTAATGACCCTCTGTGCCTGTGTGCACGTGGGGGCTCACATGTCCTGAGAATGGGAAGCTGAGGGGTGGGTAGTCTCATTGCTGCAGAAAAGGAAATCTCAGGGCCACATTCTCCACCCAGAAAGTGCATGCATCCAATTAAAGCCCTGCCGGGTCCCACCCAGATGCAAATAGGGATGAGTAGATTAATTGTTGGACTGTGCTCAAGGCCACATCCTCAGATGTGCTGGCCCAACATGCCTCTTTCTGCCCCAAAAAAGCAAAGTCAGGGTAGGGGACAGGGGGTGTAGAGTTTATTCCTCGTCTTTGTTTTTCTTCTTGTTATTTCAAAAGGAAAACATTTAACATCTTCAATCAACTTTTACTAAGCACTTCTTATGTGTCAGACACTGAGTGGAAGCAGGAGGAGAGATTTTAAAGAGAAGTCATATTCTATATTCCTCCTAGGGAGTCCACAGTTAGAGAGAGGCTCAAAAACAAACAATTGCAGCAGAAGGTGGGAAGAGCCACTCCAGGGCTGTTGTGTTGGGCTGCTGATGAGGGCGGGACTCGCCAGAGGAGTTCACCAGGCTGAAAAGGAGAGAAAGGTGTTCTCAGCTGAACTTGGAAAAGATGCAGTTGCATTGAGGCATGAAAAGCAAGAATGCTCCCCTGCCTGAGAGGATGGAGCCTCAGGCAGGGATGGGCAGGGGGGTGGGACCTAGAACATAGAGGGCTTGTAAGCCCCAGTGAAGACTGGATTTGCTTCTGCAGGCAATGGGGAGCTAGGGGATGTTGTAAAGCAGTGAAATTAAAGTGGGGCTGACAACTGAGAGCTGCACACACCTCATCATAAGGATGTGAGAGCTGAGGCCAGTGCAGAGTTGGGATAGGCCTTGGGGCATGCGGCTGATGGCAGAATTGGGATAGGACCATGGACACACGGCTGATGGCAGAGTTGGGATAGGATGGGGGGCATGCAGCTGGTGGGAGAGTTGGGATAGGACTGGGGGCACATGGCTGATGGCAGAGTTGGGATAGGACTGGGGGCAGGTGGCTGATGGCAGAGTTGGGATAGGACTGGCGGCAGGTGGCTGATGGCAGAGTTGGGATAGGACTGGGGGCAGGTGGCTGATGGCTGGCAGGACCTAAGTGAGGTCTTGGATCTCCTCAAAGGAGCCTAAATTGGTTAAATCTGGACTTACTATTGCATTCTTTTATCTTTATTAATTCATTCTCTCTCTCTCTTTTGAAAGAAGTTCTTTCTAATTTTGTTTCCCACGAGTATGTGCCAGGTACCATGTTTCCCCTTGAATCTCACTTTTCAGTGTGTCCTACGTGTACTCTGTTGGGCACACTGATGTGGGTCTGATGATATTTGTGGGAAGAAGCTTGATCAAATGAAAACACAAGAAAATGATCAGGCTCACCACAAGCTTACCACCCATTTTTCAAAGGATACCAAAAAAAAAAAAAAAAAAACAAACAAAGAAAACCATCCATGCTGACCCTCAGAATGTTCCTAAAAGGGGGTTTGGTGCTGCCCCGACCCTGACAGAGGCTTCTGGCGCTGCCCTCACCTGCGGAGGCACAGACACCAGCCCTCCCACCTGTGACTGTGCCTCCCACAATCCCACAGCCTGGCTTCCTGTTCACCTGTATCCCTGTTTTAAAAGGTCTCTAACTCACTTTTACAATGGCCTGAGGGTAAACCTCACTGTTCCTGTATCAGTGAGGAGGAAACAAGGTCATTCCCCTGAAGAAACCAGGGACATCCTCACAACTGAGACGGTGAAACTTTCAGAAGCTGGAGGACACCAAAGCCAGCAGAGCCTCCCCTGGTTCGTGCTCCCCTGGCCCCCATGGTGTTGTGACACACGAGGCTCCCAAGCTGTGTCCTGAAATGACGTTCCCTTCACATCTCTCCCACACTCAGGGTGTTGGTCCCCTGCATCAGGGTTGTCAAAACACGTGCCTGTCTGGCCTGCTGCTGAAGCATCCGGCCCCTTCTTGCCATGCCCAGTGTCCAGGCCTGGGGGAGCTCACC
The DNA here is from genome assembly GCF_000001405.40 of Homo sapiens. Classification (NCBI taxonomy): domain Eukaryota; kingdom Metazoa; phylum Chordata; class Mammalia; order Primates; family Hominidae; genus Homo; species Homo sapiens. The sequence continues at coordinate 44,062,372 of NC_000010.11, forward strand.
GCCCCCTGCAGTACTGTAGGGAAAGGCCTGTGAGGACACCTGGGGTAAGCTGTGCTAAGGAGGCTGAAGGGAGGTGGCCAAAGCATTGCTGGAATCTTACGGAGTGGAGCAGTGAGGAGAGTTGGGTCTGGAATTAAATAGAACTGAGTTCAAAAACTGGCTCTTCATCACTCATCAGAGAAATGCAAATTAAGGCTCATGCCTGTAATCCCTGAGACTTGGGAGGCTGAGGAAGGAGAGGGAGAATCACTTGAGGCCAGGACTTTAAGATCAACCTGGGTAACATAGTGAGATGCCATCTCAAAAAAATGGAAATTAAAAACACAAGGATATACCACTGCGCCCCTGCCAGAGCAATTAAAATGGAAAAGACTGATGATAGTGAGTGCTGGTGAGGGTGCAGGGCGACCCCAACTCTCATCCCTTCCTAGTGGGAGGGTAACCTGGACAACAGCTTTAGAGGGCTGAAGCTATCTCTAAAGTTAAACATGTAGACACGGCCCAGCCCAAAAGCTTCACCCCTGGGAGTATCCCCAGCAGAAAGAAATATCTGTCCTCGAAAGGCATGTCAGACATGTTCATGGCAACCTTACTCAAAATAGTCAAAACCTGGGGAGAACCCAAATATTCAACAGCAGTAAAATGGATAAACAAATTATGGTGTGTTCATACAGTAAAGTACACCACAGCAATACAACACAATAAATGATGGCTGTATGCCTCACCCTGGGTGACCACACATACACACAGCATGGGGGACACCCCAGAATAGTTACTGCTTGGTTCCACTCAAGTGATGTTGAGAAACAAGCAAACCTTGCTGGAGAGATGGAAGAGTGGTTGCCATGGGTAGCCTGATGGGAGGGGAACAGGGGAGCCCCTGGGTGATGCAGAGATTCTAGATCGAGATCTGGGAGGTGGCTCCTGGTGCCCATTTCTTTCATTGTAAATGGGATAATAAAACATGACTTTGGAGTTCTTATGGACTGAGTAAAGTGATGGACATCAGGGCTCAGCACTGTGCAGGGTGAGAAGTACCCCAGACAGGGTGCAGGGCAAGTATTTGTTTCTTCATATCCTCTAGTCCTTAGTCAAAAGGAGAGGGGGTAGAATATGGAGTCCAGAGCCTGAATGTGGGCCAGATTGGTAGATGGAGCCTCCTGCAGTTCCGTAGCCAGAGAAGTCCCAGGAGCATCTATCCCTGCAGCTCCAGAATGCTTTGCAGCTAGGGGAGCTCAGGTCCCTTAATTAGCCCACCCTCCCTGACCAGCCCCCAGGACTGCCACCACCAGAAGCTAAGGCGAGTCTCCTCTCAGCCAATGGGCCATGTCCAGGGAAGGACTCTGAAGGCCCATGATCACTCCGGTAAGGGAACCTGAGCCCAGTGGGTCCCAGCAGCCACTTGCTTGCCTTGTAGCACTGTCATTGGCCTCTGACAGCTCAGCTGGAGTCTAGCTTAGCTGCCTTTTTGTAGTTAGACATCCCACTGGCCCCATTGAACATAGACTTGAGACCCTGTGGTTAGAGGCAACAACTCCTTGCAAAGACCAAAGGCCCTTGGCTCCTCCTTGGTTCTGGGGCCTCAGCATTTGGATCTTTTCCTGGCAGACACCAGTGCTTTCAAAGGGCTGTACTGGGCGGGGCAATTGGCTTGTTCCCAGGATCCCATAATTCATGGACATGCACAGAGGCAGAAACCTGGTTAGGGGCAGTCTCTGGGACCCCCTCTCTGTTTCTCATGCTCCTCCTCTCTGCACAGGCAGCCCTCCCCTCTCCATGTGCCTCTGTGGTTTCGGGCACACTTTGTGCTGGTTTCTTCAGTGATGAGATCTCTCATTCCACTCTCTCTTCTGTGTATTCACAGGCTCCTACAGAAGAACCCAAATGCAGCAGGCGACACCCATGTGCTGTGGATGCAGCAGCACTTGTGTGTCAGCTCATGAACACAGATCGCTCACATCTGCAGCGTTCACAGGCACCAACATGGCACCTCACGAGACATCCCAGAATTCAGGGCATTGTTAGGATAATTAGGGGTCCAGCTCATGGAGAACATCCTGCTCACCTCTCCCGGTGAGTCAGGAGGACTCTGACTTGCCTTCTCCTCCACATCCAGCCTCCCTCCAGCCTCCCCTCCCCTCCCCTCCCTGCTCCTGGCAGATACAAAGCAGGGAGCACAGCCAGACGCCAGGCTCTGTGGGGGTAGCTCCCTGCTGAGGCTGCGTGGAGTTAGTGTGTCTTGGCGGCACACTCCCCACACCCCACCTCAGGCACTAGCCGGGCACCACATCCACATGTCTCTGTGGCTTCACCCATCAGAAGATCCTCTGAAGACCTCACTGACATGTTGATGATGCAGATATAAGAAGGCAGAAAGTAAATGATGAGGTCTTATCTGCTGTCCATTTTATAGAAGTTAAGCTGAATGACCTCCACCTAGATAAGTGGCAATGTGTGTGTCCAATCTTATATCTGTTTTACCTATATTTATACATATATGTTTCATATGTTAATTTGTCTTAATTATCTGTACACCTAAATGCATTCATGCCTTCTATTAAGTCTATTCAGTAAAGGGAAAGGAGTGAGAGAATTGAGTGTCTCCCTTGTCCTGGATGTTTTATACAGATGATAGCACTTTATTCTCACAGTCACATTAAAGCAGGGCTCTCATATCTGAGCTGGCCCATCCAAATGACCTGGGGGCTTCTTAAAACACAACTTTCTAGACCCCAGTCCTAGGTTTCTGATTCAGCAGGTGTGGGTTGAGGTGTGAGAAGGTGGATTGCTGATGAGTTTCCAGGTGAGGCTGTAGCGTCTGGCCCAGGGACCCCACTTTGAGAAGCACAGTTTTAAAGAAATAGGCTCAATTTATGTTGAAAAATTTGAGGCTCACATTTGAGACGTAAAGTCATACAGCTAGTGACAGAACAGGATGTGGGCCTGGCAACACTCTGCCACCCTACACAGCACAGAGTTCCCTCGGTGTTTTTAAATGCCACTCCAAGGGCACTGCAAGGCAGCAGGACCCATGCTGCCCAGCGTGGTGTGTAGAGGCTGACAGTCTTGCACTGTGTGGTTGGAAGTTTCACAGCTACCACTGCCTCTGAGTGACTGTCTACATCTGTTAGCTTTCACTGGGTAAGAAACTGCTCCATAAGGGAGTGGCTTAAACAACTATTTATCAGTGCTGGGCAGTCTTCAGGCCTGCTGGGCAGTTCTGCTGTTGAGGTCAGGCTAACTGATGGAAGCTGGGCTTGCTCAGGTCTGGGGTCAGCTGACAGGTCAGGTGGGGTCTGCTGGTCTGGAGCCCTCTGTGCTTGCGTGGAGGTTGGCTTCATTCTGGCTGAGAGGTGGGGAGTCAGGGCCACGAGCTTCTCATAATCCAGCAGGTGACCTAGCCTCGTTCACACAGTGTCTGCCAGATTCCAGAAACGAGGGCAGAGCGTTAGTGGTGTGCAGAGGGCCTGGTTTGGATCTAGTACACATGGCTCGTGCCCTGTTCTGTTGACTAAAACACTAGAATGGCCAAGATCCAAGGGGTGGTTACAGGAAGGGGTGGAATTTGTGGCTATGTGAAAAATGGACCCTACTGTTTGTTCTGTATTACGGCCACTGCATGTCCTCCTGTGTCCCTATCCCACACCTGGCTCAACAGCAACAGGGGACAAGGAGGCCAGCTCTGCCTCTCATTTGTTGCTTCCTTTGTGGATGGCAGGAAGACAAAATCTATCGTGAACAACAGCATGCCACCAGGGTTTCCTCCTGAGAAATACGTTTTTCATTTTCCATGGAAAGCTCTTAAATGACGTTTCCTTGGAACCATCAGCTGTATGCATAAATATGGAGTTCAAATGGATATCCAGTTTTCACAGCTGTGTCTGTGCTAAATTAAAAAGAACAGAAAAACAAAGAGAAAGAAATAAAATGACCTCTGGCTTTTTGCAACAGAATGGGGGTGCAGGGAAGGAATCCTTCCAACACCGTGCAGCCGGCTTCATTACTCCATCATGTGCAGATTGGACTCTTAATTAATCATGGCTGAATTTTTGCACTTTTACTCTGGGGCTGGTGGTTTATTTTCTTGTTCTAGTGCCCACATGAGCATCCTCTGGCAATAAAACATCCAGAGAGAAGTTATAAAAACATGTCATCTTGGTTATAACATATGGCTAATTGATTTTTGAGAATCGCTTAATTGTGTGACTTTAGTTAACTAAACAACAATGCCTGTTTTCACACCTCTGATATTAGCTCATACGATTTCACGACCTGCCCCTGCTGAGACACACTCCATATTTCTGACCATAAATCTGGCCTCTGCTCAGCTAGCATATTTGCTCCAGCTTTGTTGTGGTAGTTTTACTGCATTGGTTGCCTTTAAAAAAAAATTATAGTTGGCAATAAGCATTGAGAAAGGTTTAAGGGTAGAAAGAGGTTTTCTTTTTTTCCAGTCTATATGAGCTGAATCTTTAATTTCTTCCTTAAATAAAATAATAAAAGGTAGTTTTCTTAACAACTTTGCCCAACATGGATCTCTGTAGGTTCCACTTAAACAGAATATGAGAGCAACATGAGCCTGTGGTCTTTTTTACAGAGGTTTACAAAAGCTCTGCTGAGTTCGATTAATTGCCTGGAGTTTCACAGGGGTCCGTGTCAGTTACAAGAGGGTTTTAATGTGGAAAAGTTAAGATGATAGGCATGTGAGGAGGAGGGAGAGGAGAGGCTTGAGTGAGAAGAAGGAGCTAGGGAGGAAAATAAAGGTGTTTGAGAAGCAGTGGGAAAAAAGCCTTCAGTGGATAATGAGAAAGTGGGTTGGAAGACTCAGCATATTCCTCTAGATTATGGTACAGGCTACAAAGATGGGGGAATGAAGAGATCATCTTCCAGTTTTGCTCCTCTGGAAACTAACTGCCCGTCATGGTTATTATGCAGAGTCAAAGTACAAGATCCCTGTCAAAAGCCATAGCCTGGGGTAGAAGTAGCCACCCTCAGCGTTCCACAGCTTCACTTGAGATTGATGATGTTTTATTTTCTTCCTTACTATAAAAGAAGCCCAGAGTAATGATTACAGTCTATAATAATAGCTGATACTTGCATGTTTTTGCCATGTGGTCAGGCAGTGTTCTAGGTGCTTTGAGGATGTAATTCCTTAAAGCCTCACAAGGACCCTGTGATGCAGGTACTATTGTTACACCATTTCACAGATGAAACTCCTGAGGCACACTGAGGTGAGTAACTTGCACACAGTCAGGTAGTTGCTGTATGTACATGGCAAAGCAGGGACTGATGGGCTCTTTGCTACCTTGCCTCCTTGTTTGGATATTCCCCAGGTAAAGCCTTCAACAAGGCCCTGGGTGCTAGGCCCTGCAGTCATCGGTGCCAGGAAAATACACTGGGGCTGATTCTCGAGGTGGAAAGATGTATGCCTTTTATTCCCTTTCTTGCCTTACTACACTGGCTAGAAGTTGCAGATGATGTTGAGATCTTGCTTCATTCCCAGCATTTGGAGAAAAGTATTTCGCATTTTGCCATTAAGTGTGATGTTAGCTGTAGGTCTTTTTGTTGATACTCTATCAAGTTGCGGAAGTTCCCCCTACTCTTCATTTTCTGAGAGTTTAAAAAAAATTATAAATGGTGTTTTTTTCTGTATCCATTGATATGATCATGTAATTTCTTTCTCCATTAATACAGTGGATTACACAGATAGATTTTTTAGTACTGAACTAGCCTTGAACTCCTGGAGTACACTCCACTTGGTCATGGAGTATATTCTTTCTATATATTGCTAAATTTGATTTGCTGATACTTTGTTAAGGATTTTTGCAACAAGAGAAGGAAAAGAGTATGCAAAATTTGAACCTTCACCTGAACAGTGGGCAAACCCAGGATTGCCTAAAGTTTCTGGCTCTGTGGGGCCTATCCTGGCCAGGCCCCACTGAGGAAGACTGCTGTGCCATAGTGCCGACAGGATGGGACCACATGGTAAAAGAAAACACAGAAAAAAAGGACAAACCTGAATGTTCTCATCTGGACCATCCCATTCTTGTAAAAACAAGCAAACAATTATAAAAGGTCACAGCTTTGTGCGATTCTTAGGGGAAGGTCTCAACCAAAGCATTGAGACTGAGTTCAGTGCTAGATGCCAAGCAAGAACCACAGAAAAACCAAACAAGTCACTCTTCTATACTTTTGTATCAAGATTAAAAATTTTCAGCAATTTTCATTGAACAGAAACAAAGCACTCTGCAGGAATGCAATCCCCTCAGCTATCAATACTTGCCTTCATCCCCCTCAACCCCACCATAACAGTCATGGTGAAGGTCAGTGTGCCCCAGGCTCTGTGGCTGACTAACTTTAGGGAAGAAGGACACAGGGTCCCAGGCAGGGGGCACCATTCAGGCAGACCCCACTCTCCACTTTGTCCAAGCATGTTCCTGCCTTCCTGGGTGACAGCGGCTTTTCTGTGTACCTTTGGCCTAATTCCTTGTGCTGGCTCCTGCATTGGTAACCACCCTGTTGTGACCTATAATTCATCTTCCAAACCAAGGATGTGGCAATTTTGAAAGTGATTTTGCCAGAACAGCAGGCCTAACCTAGGATTGCTTGGGGCAAATGGACCCATACGGTCCGTCTTCTAATATTTGAGGTTCTCCAGAAGTGGGGCTCTGGGTTGTCCTTGCCAGACCCCACTCCCCACCATGGTGGCTACGAAAGGTCTGCCTGTTCCCTGCCCCAGCAGCTGAGCCCCTTCTCCTCTCTTCCAGAACCCCCTCTGCTGTCTTGCTCTGGGATCTCTAACAATCTATTGTCTGACCCTTGAACCCTGCTGTGAAATCTTGGTGTGTCCTACAGCCGTCCGTTCTCGGGCTGGACTATGCCTGCTGGTGCTTGCCCTTTGAATTTTGTCCCATGCTCTTGCTACAATCTTCTGGATTTCACACCAAGTGAGTCACTCTGTTCTCTCCACTCCCACCGGGCAGACCCATGAGGCCCCTGCATGCACATGCTCTCTGCCTCTCGAGAAGCACTCCTCCCTGTTGGGGATGCAGTGGGGGATTGAATGAGCCTCCACTGGTTTGAAAGCTGAGGGGCTTTCGTGTGTTGCCTTCCTCTTCTCCCTGCTATTTATACCTCCTGTAGTATGATTTCCCTTTCAGAGGTTAGATCCTGAGGCTCAGAAAGATTAAGGAAGCAATTCCTTGTATTCTGTAGTGCCCCTGTAGCCTCTTGGAAGTAGGCTTAAGTTGGGAAACCCAGTCCAGCCATGGCAGAACTTGGCCTTTATTTATAAGGGAAATGATAAGAATGTCCTGGACATTGAAAACAGGAAAGAGAAGAGATATTCGTACACCCATGACCGTAGCAGCATTATTCACAGTAGCCAAGAGATGGAAGCAACCCAAATGCCTATCAATGAACGAATGGAAAAGCAAGTGTGGTGCATGCATACAATGGACTATTATTCAGCCTCAAAAAGGAATGCCAAGAAAGAAAATTCTGGCACATGCTACAATATGGAAAAAGCTTGAAGACATTATGCTAAGCGAAATAAGCCAGACACAAAAGGACAAATGCATGATTCCACTTATGTTAAGTACTTAGAGTAGCCAAATTCATAGAGACAGAAAGCAGCATGGTAGTTGTTAGGACCGGGGGAAGTGGGATGGAGAGTTACCATTTAAGGGGTACAGTTTCAGTTTGGCATGATGAAAAGTTCTGGGGATGGATGGTGGTGATGGTTACCCAAAAATGTGAGTGTTCTTAATGCCACTGAATTGCTCACTTAAAAATGGTTAAAATAGTAAATTCTATGTTGTGTATATTTTACAAAAATTTTGAAGAAGAGGGATGTTCTGGATGTTCACTCCATAGGATACTGCTTCGTTTGTTTGGTAAGGGCATTTCACTCTTCACCCTGTCCTCCTCCGCAATCCCCGCTTTCCTGGAAGCCCCCACCATCTGGCCTGAATCTGCACTATCAACTGCATGTACTGCTGATGGGCTACTCGTGCCTCTGGAGAAGTCTTCACAGACACACTAAGCAGGGCCTGGCTCTGCCCAGAGTCTGCTGGCTCCCTGGCTCTGAGGAGACATGCCAAGCCCTGCGTTGGCAGGCATTGGGAGTTGCTCTCACTCCTGTGCAGCATGGAGATGCCAGGCAGAGGGAATGCATTATGCAAGCCCAGTTCTGAGACACCACGCATTGTGCTTTCCAGCCCAGCCATGCAATGCTGACCATGTGCAGTTATTGCAGCAAGGCTGGTGTCCTGGGGACAGGGCATCCTCTCTGTATAGCCAATGTCTCAGGGCCTCCTTGGTGCTGCTGTAGTGAGTCTAGGAAGCCAGGAGATGGATGAAAGCACTGTGGAGCCTTGTCACTCCATCACCTCTGTGTACAGAGGAGGGGGCCAAGGCCAGCTGTCCTAGATGCTGCACAGACACAGGGAGGTTTGGTCAGATCTGGGGTCTCCTGACCCTGGGCAGCACGCACATCATGGTCCTGAGGGCTGTATGCTGCCTGGCTGTTCTTGCACAGTGGCTCCAGGAAAGAACTCGGGAGGAGAAGTGTCTCTTTCTTTTATATAACTAGCTTCTATTTATTTTTACCTTTTACTTTTGTTGTGTTCAAACATTTTCAAATAATGTGCCCCTCGAGCTCATAATTAAATAGCCCAATCCTTTTACTCTTCACAGCATGTATCAGATCAAATCAGAAGCTTTTCCACAAACTTTAAAAAAATATTGTAGATTAATAGGAGTTTGCAAAGATTGTACAGAGAGATCCTGTGTACCCTTCCAGTAGGTTTCCCCATGATTACTTCTTATGAGATACAATATAGCATCAAAATCAGGACTTGGATATTGGTGCAAAGTGTGTGTGTAGTTATGGCTTATTTTATCACATATGTAGTTTGTGTATCCACTACTCCCATCAAGATACAGAACTATTTCCTCACTACCAAGATCTCCAGATCTCCCTCCTGCCACCCACCCCTCCCCACCATCCCTAAGTCCTAGAAACCACCAATCTAATTTCTATTTCTATAATTTTGTCAATATGAGAATGTTAAATAAATGGAATTATATAGTATGTGACCTTTTGAGATGGGCTTTTTTTTTTTCTACTCACAATGCCCTTATGATCCATCTAGGTTGCATGTATCAACAATTTCTTTTTATTGCTGAATAATTTTCAGTGGAACCAGTTTGTTTAACCACACTTATCCATTGGAGGGCATCTGGGATTAGTTTTCTCTCTTATAAATCGAGCTGCCTCAAATGTTTGTGTACAGGTTTTTGCATGCAAACATTTTCACTTTTCTGGGACAAATGCCCAGGAGTGCAGTCCTGGCTCAAACACCAAGTGGATATTTAGTTTATAAAGAAAACGTCAAACTATTTTCCAGAGTGACTAAGAATTCACATTCCCATTAGTAATGTATGAGTGATCCAATTTTTCCACATTCTCACTTGCATTTTGTGTTATTATATTGTATTGTAGTAAGAATATTTAACATGAGCTCTACCCTCTTAACACATTTTAAGTATACTATATAATATTGTGAACTAAAGGCATAATGTCATAAGCAGATCTCTAGAATTTACTCATCTTGTATAACTGAAGCTCTGTACCCACTCAAAACAATCACTTCCCATTTCCCCCTACCCCTAGCCTGGCAACCACCATTCTACTCTCTGCTTCTGTGAATGTGAATATTTCTGATAATTCATAGAAGTGGAATCATGCAGCATTTGTCCTTCTGCAACTGGCTTATTTCGCTTAGCGTAATGTCCTCAAGTTTCATCCATGTTGTCAAATGTGGCAGGATTTTCTTTTTAGGGCTGAGTAATAGCCATTATCTGTGTATACCACATTTTCTGTATCCATTTATCTGTTGATGGACATTTGGGGTTGTTTTCACATCTCGGCTTCATAATGCTGTAATAAACATAGTAGTAAAAATATTTCTTCTGGATCCTGATGTCAATTCTTTTGGATGAACACTCAGAAGTGGAATTGTTGAATCATATAATAGTTCTATTTGTAATTTTTTGAGGAACCTCTGTGCTGTTTTCCATAGCAGCCATGCCATTTTGTTTTTCCACCAGTAGTGTACAAGCGTTCCAATTTCCCTACATCTTTGCCAACACTTGTTATCATTTATATTTTTGATAATAGCCATTCTAACAGTGATATCTCATTGTGGTTTCAATTTTTAATTTCCCTGATGATTAGTAATGTTGAGCACCTTTTCATATACCTGTTAGCCATTTGTATGTTTTCTTTTGAGACATTTCTATTTAATTCATTTGTCTATTTTAAAATCAGGCTATTTGTTGTTCTACTATTGAGTTGTACGCATTCCTTATATATTTTGGATTTTGACTCTGCCCGTCTTATATATTGCAAATATTTTCTCCCATGCCACAGGTTGCCTGTTCACTTTGGTTTTTCTTTTGCTAGGAAGAAGCTTTTTAATTTGATGTAATCCTACTTGTCTATACGTGGTCTTGTTGCCTGAGCTTTATATGCCATATCCAAGAAATCATTTCCAGGACCAATGTCATGAAACGTTTCCTCTATGTTTTCTTCTAGGAGTTTCAACTTTGAAGTTTAAGTATTTAATCCATTTGGAGATGATTTTTACGTATATTGTAACAAAATGGTCCAATTTTATGCTTTGGTATGTGGATATCTGTTTTTTCCAACACCATTTGTTAAAGACACTCTCTTTATCTCCCTATTGTGTAGCCTTGGCACCTTGTCAAAGATCTTCATAGGGCCATATATGCATGTGTTTATTTTATTTTTTCTGGTCTAATATGTATGGAGTTATATGTCATGGTGGCTTTAACTTGCATTTTCTTAATGGCCAGTGATGTTGAACATCTTTTCATGTGCCCATTTATTATTCATAGATCCACTTTGATAAAATGTCTCTTTACATCTTTGGCCCATTTTCTAATTGAAATATTTGAGTGTTTTTTAATGTTAAAATTTGAGAACTATATTCTAGATATGAGCACTTTGTTAGATGTGTAGTTTGTACGTAATTTTCTCTAGTCTGTAACTTGCCTTTACTCCTTTAACAGGATCGTTAGCAGAGAAATCACTTCAGGTTTGGATGAGTTCCAATTGGTCATTTATGTACTGTGCTTTTGGTGTCATGTCTAAGAACCTTTCTCCAAGCCCCAAATCTCAAAGATTTTCTCTTACGTTATCTTCTAAAAGTTCTTATGTTTTACATTTAAATATATGATGTGTCTTCAGATGATTTTTGTAAAAGGTGTGAGGCTTAGGCCAAAGTTTATTGTTTTTGCCTATTTCATTGCTCTCGCACCACTTGTTGAAAAGACTATCCTTCCTCCAAGAAGTTGCTTTTGCACTTCTGTCAAAAAACAGGGGAACACATTTGTGTGGGTCTACTTTTGGGTTCTTTACTCTGTTCCATTGATCTATGTGTATATCCCTTGAGTAATATGCCATAGTCGTGATTACTTTAGCTGTATGATCTGGATAATTCCTCATATTTTATTTTTTTCAGAATTGTTTTAGCTATTCCATACAGATTTCTATATAAATTTGAGAACAATCTTATTTATATCTATCTAAATTGTCTATATCTACAAAAAAACCTTGATGAAATTTTGATAAACCTGTATATCAATTCAGCAGAGAGTTTGTCTTCACCATATTGAGCCTTCTAATCCACGAATACAGTATGCATCTCCATTTATTTAGGTCTTCTTTTATTTATTTCATCAGCATTTGGTAGTTTTCAGCATAAAGTCTTGTATATATTTTCTTAGATTTACACTTCAGTATTTTTTTATGTTTCAACGATATTGCACTCAAAATTTTGGTTTTCATATGTTCATTGGTAGTGTATACAAATACAATTGATTTTTAAATATTTATCTTGTATCTGTGAACCTGTATCTTGTTGAACTCACTTATTCTAGAATTTATTTCGGTAGTCTTTTTTTTTTAATCTGCACTGGCTATCATGTCATCCACAAATAGGAACAGTTTTATTTCTTTTTTAATCTGTATGACTTTCGTTTCATTTCTTTGCCTTAATGTGCTGGCTAAACCTTTCAAGTATTCTGTTGAGTAGCAGTGTCACATGAAAGTAGAATCCATGCCTCATTCACAATCTTAGGGGGAAAACATTCAGTCTTTTACCATTAAGTACAATGTTAGCTGTTTTGTAGATATTCTTTATTAAGTTGAAAAAGTTTATCTCTACCCCTATTTTGTGACAGTTTTTGTCATAAATGGGTGTTGAATTCTGTCAAATGCTTTTTCAGCATCCATTAATATAGTGGATTACACTGATCGATTTTTCAATATTTAACCAGCCTTGCATTCCTGGAACAAGCCATACTTGGTCATGGTGTATATTCTTTGCACATATTGCTAAATTCTATTTGCAATTTTTTTTCTTTGTGGTATCAGGGTAATATTGGCTTCAGGGAATATATTAGAAAATGTTCTCTTTTTTTCTGGAAGAGATTGTATAGATTTGGTGTGGTTTTTCTTAGATCACATATTAGTCCCTTCTTGCACTGCTATAAAGAAATGCCTGAAACTGGGTAATTTATAAAGAAAAGAAGTTTAATTTGCTCAGGGTTCTGCAGGCTGTACAGGAAGCATGGCTGTGGAGGCCTCAGGGAACTTAAAATCATGGCGGAAAGTGAAGGGGAAACAGGCACGTCTTTCATGACCAGAGCAGGAGGAAGAGAGAGAGGAGGGAGGTGCTATACATTTTTAAATAAACAGATAACGTAATAACTCACTCACTATCATGAGAACAGCACCAAATGGGAAATCTGCCCACATGATCCAATCACCTCCCACCAAAGCCCACCTCCAACATTAGAGATTACAATTTGACATGAGATTTGGGTGGGGACACAGACTCAAACCATATCAGACTATTTGGGAGAATTCTCCAGTGAAACCATCTAAGCCTGGATATTTCTCTTATGGGAGGTTTATAGTTATGAATTCAACATTCCTACTTGTTTACAGGATTATTCAAGTCATTTATTTTACATTGGAGGAGTTGTGGTACTTTGTACTTTTTGAATAATTTGTCTATTTTATCTATGTTGTCAAATTTACATATGTATGTTCATAGTGTTTATTTTTCGTTTGATGTCTGCAGAGTCTAGAGCTATCTTTTCATTTTTGATATGGTTGAATATCTGTAATCCAAAAACTCAAAATCCAAAATGCGTCAAAATCTGAAAATTTTTGAGTACTGACTTGACACTCAAAGGAAATGCTTATTGGAGCATTTTGGATTTTGCATTTTCAGATTAAGGATGTTGAACTATAAGTGTAATGCAAATAGTTCAAACTCTGAAAAAGTCCCAAATCCAAAACACTTCTGGTCCTAAGGATTTTGAATAAGGGATACTAAACCAGTACTGGTATATTGGAATGTCTTCTTTCTTTTTAAGTTTTGCTAGAAGTTAATGAATTCTATTTTCTTTTGCAAAGAACAAACTTTTACTTTCATTGAAGTTCTGTACTGTTTTTCTGTTTTCAATCCCACTGATTCTTGCTCTTGTTTTTGTTTCCTTCCTTCTACTTGTTTTGGGTTTATTTTGATTTTATTAAGATGAGAATTTAACACTGATTTGAGACTTTTTCTTTTTTCTAATGTAAGCATGTAATGCTATAAATTTTAGTCTTGGAACTGCATAATTGCATACCATAAATTTTGATATGTTGCATTTTAATTTTCATTTTCAATGTAATTTTTATTTCCCTTCTTTTAGTTTTCCTTTGAGAGAAGCTTTATTCATCCTTTATTACTTAGGAATATTTTGGGCGAATATATAATTTGGGGTGAACAGTTTTATTTCTTACATCACTTGAACAGTGTTTTGCCCCTCCCTTGGGCCTCCATGGTTTCTGATTAAAAAATCTACTGTAGGCCAGGCGCGGTGGCTCACGCCTGTAATCCCAGCACTTTGGGAGGCCGAGGTGGTGGATCATGAAGTCAGGAGATTGAGACATCCTGGCTAACACAGTGAAATCCCATCTCTACTAAAAATACAAAAAATTAGCCAGGTGTGGTGGCGGGTGACTGTAGTGCCAGCTACTCGGGAGGGTGAGGCAGGAGAATGGCGTGAGCCTGGGAGGTGGAGCTTGAAGTGAGCCGAGACTGTGCCACTGCACTCCAGGCTGGGCGATAGAGCAAGACTCCGTCTCAAAAAAAAAAAAAAATCTACTGTAATTTAAATTATTTTTCCCATGTAGGCAATGTGCTGTCTTTCTCTTATTGCTTTCAGGATTCTTTATCTGTCTTTAGTTTTTAGAAGTTTGACTGTGGTGTATCTTCGAGTGAATTTCTTTGAATCTATCACGTTTGGAATTCATTTAGCTTCTTGCATCTCTAAATATATAGATTATTTTGGCCACATTTGTTAATTTAGCATTGTTTTTTGAAAACATTTTTAGTTCCATGATCCCTCTCTTCTTCTAGGACTTTGATGACATGCTAAATCTTTTGTTATATTCATACATGTAAATGAGGCTCTGCTAATTTTTTCAGTCTGTTTCCTCGTTGTTGTTCAGATTGAGTAATTGCTATTGCTCTATCTTTAAGTTTATTGATTTATTTTCTTTTGTCATCTACATTCTGCCATTGTGCCCATTCACTGAATTTTTATTTCAGTTGTTGCATTGTTTAGTTCTAAAATTTCCCAGGGGTGAAGCCCACTTGATCATGGTGGATAAGCTTTCTGATGTGCTGCTGGATTCGGTTTGCCAGTATTTTATTGAGGAGTTTTGCATCGATGTTCATCAGGGGTATTGGTCTAAAATTCTCTTTTTTTGTTGTATCTCTGCCAGGCTTTGGTATCGCGATGATGCTGGCCTCATAAAATGAGTTAGGGAGGATTCCCTCTTTTTCTATTGATTGGAATAGTTTCAGAAGGAATGGTACCAGCTCCTCCTTGTACCTCTGGTAGAATTTGGCTGTGAATCCATCTGGTCCTGGACTTTTTTTGGTTGGTAGGCTATTAATTATTGCCTCAATTTCAGAACCTGTTATTGGTCTATTCAGAGATTCAACTTCTTCCTGGTTTAGTCTTGGGAGGGTGTATGTGTCGAGGAATTTATCCATTTCTTCTACATTTTCTAGTTTATTTGTGTAGAGGTGTTTATAGTATTCTCTGATGGTAGTTTGTATTTCTGTGGGATCAGTGGTGATATCCCCTTTATCATTTTTATTGCATCTATTTGATTCTTCTCTCTTTTCTTCTTTATTAGTCTTGCTAGTGGTCTATCAATTTTGTCGGTCTCTTCAAAAAACCAGCTCCTGGATTCATTGATTTTTTGAAGGGTTTTTTGTGTCTCTGTCTCCTTCAGTTGTGCTCTGATCTTAGTTATTTCTTGCCTTCTACTAGCTTTTGGATATGTTTTCTCTTGCTTTTCTAGTTCTTTTAATTGTGATGTTAGGGTGTCAGTTTTAGCTCTTTCCTGCTTTCTCTTGTGGGCATGTAGTGCTATAATTTTCCCTCTACACACTGCTTTAAATGTGTCCCAGAGATTCTGATATGTTGTGTCTTTGTTCTCATTGGTTTCAAAGAACATCTTTATTTTTGCCTTCATTTTGTTATATAGCTGGTAGTCATTCAGGAGCAGGTTGTTCTGTTTCCATGTAGTTGAGCAGTTTTGAGTGAGTTTCTTAATCCTGAGTTCTAGTGTGATTGCACTGTGGTCTGAGAGACAGTTTGTTATAATTTCTGTTCTTTCACATTTGCTGAGGAGTGCTTTACTTCCAACTATGTGGTCAATTTTGGAATGAGTGCAATGTGGTACTGAGGAGAAAGTATATTCTGTTGATTTGGAGTGGAGAGTTCTGCAGATGTCTAATAGGTCCGCTTGGTGCAGAGCTGAGTTCAATTCCTGGATGTCCTTGTTAACTTTCTGTCTCGTTGATCTGTCTAATGTTGACTGTGGGGTGTTAAAATCTCCCATTATTATTGTGTGGGAGTCTAAGTCTTTTTGTAGGTCACTAAGGACTTGCTTTATGAATCTGGGTGCTCCTGAATTGGGTGCATACGTATTTAGGACAGTTAGCTCTTCTTGTTGAATTGTTCCCTTTGCCATTATGTAATGGCCTTCTTTGTCTCTTTTGATCTTTGTTGGTTTAAAGTCTGTTTTATCCGAGACTAGGATTGTAACCCCTGCTTTTTTTTGTTTTCTATTTGCTTGGTAGATCTTCCTCCATCCTTTTATTTTGAGCCTATGTGTGTCTCTGCACGTGAGATGGGTCTCCTGAGTACAGCACACTGCTGGGTCTTGACTCTTTATCCAATTTGCCAGTCTGTGTCTTTTAATTGGGGCATTTAGTCCATTTACATTTAAGGTTAATATTGTTATGTGTGAATTTGATCCTGTCATTATGATATCAGCTGGTTATTTTGTTCATTAGTTGATGCAGTTTCTTCCTAGCATTGATGGTCTTTACAATTTGGCATGTTTTTGCAGTGGCTGGTACTGGTTGTTCCTTTCCATATTTAGTGCTTCCTTCAGGAGCTTTTGTAGGGCAGGCCTGGTGGTGACAAAATCTCTCAGCATTTGCTTGTCTGTAAAGTGTTTTATTTCTCCTTCACTTGTGAAGCTTAGTTTGGCTGGATATGAAATTCTGCATTGAAAATTCTTTTCTTTAAGAATGTTGAATATTGGCCCCCGCTTTCTTCTGGCTTGTGGAGTTTCTGCTGAGAGATCAACTGTTAGTCTGATGGGCTTCCCTTTGTTGGTAACCCGATCTTTTGTCTCTGGCTGCCCTTAACACTTTTTCCTTCATTTTAACTTTGGTGAATCTGACAATTATGTGTCTTGGATTTGCTCTTCTCGAGGAGTATCTTTGTGGCATTCTCTGTATTTCCTGGATTTGAAGGTTGGCCTGCCTTGCTAGGTTGGGGAAGTTCTCCTGGATAATATCCTGAAGAGTGTTTTCCAACTTGGTTCCATTCTCCCCATCACTTTCAGGTACAACAATCAGATGTAGATTTGGTCTTTCCACATAGTCCCATATTTCTTGGAGGCTTTGTTCATTTCTTTTACTCTTTTTCCTCTCAACATCTCTTCTCACTTCATTTCATTAATTTGATCTTCAATCACTGATACCCTTTCTTCCAGTTGATCGAGTCGGCTATTGAAGCTTGTGCATTCGTCATGTAGTTCTCGTGCCATGGTTTTCAGCTCCATCAGGTCATTTAAGTACTTCTCTACACTGGTTGTTCTAGTTAGCCATTCGTCTAATCTTTTTTCAAGGTTTTTAGCTTCTTTGCGATGGGTTCGAAATTCTTTCTTCAGCTCGGAGAAGTTTGATCGTCTGAAGCCTTCTTCTCTCAACTCGTTAAAGTCATTCTCCATCCAGCTTTGTTCCATTGCTGGCGAGCAGCTGTGTTCCTTTTAATTCTTCTTTTTACCTCTCTCTTCATTGAGATTTTTGGATTTCTTTGCTGAAACTTCTATATTTTCCTGTGTTTCAAGTTTGTTTTTATTTGGTAATTGCAGCACTTTTCATAATGATTGTATTAAACTTCTTGAAAGATAATTCTAACAATTGTATCATCTCATTGTTGGTGTTTTGTTGATTGTCTTCTAATTCACCTTGAACTGTTTTTGGTTCTTGGTGTAATAAATGACTTTTGATTGAAATATAGACATTTGGGTATTATAAGTCTATGAATCTTATTTAAATAATGTGTTTTAGTGGGCTTCCTCTCTCATCTCTCCAGTGGGTGAGGAGGTGGGGTCACTGCCATGTAATTACCAATTAGGGATGGAAAACCAGGTTCTCCACTTGACCTTTTTTGACACCTAGGCTGGGGGAAGGGCTCTTGTTACTGCTGGGCAGAAATGGAGTTCTGGTTCCCCACATTGTCTCCACAGACATGAAGGGACAGGGGACTTGTTACTACCCACCAGGGAAGCAAACCCTGGTTCCCAACTCAGCCTTTATTTATACCAGCTGGCAAAGGAGGTGGGGATGCCACATAACAACACAGTAAGGGCAGAAGTCTAGTCTCCCTGCTCAGCCTTGACTTGTGCAAGTGGAGGTGGAGCCACAGTTTTTCTGTGTTTGGCTGGAGTAGGCATTTTATTCCTAAAAGTTTTCTGTCTTGCTAGGTTTTTCCTTTCCTGGTTCTTTGGCTAGAAAGAGCTGGCATTTTTTTTTTTTTTTTTTTTTTTGTCTACACTAATTAGCAGTTCCAGGTTGCTGACTTTCCAAATACCTAATCTTGGGATATATGAGGCAATAAGAAACTCATTGTCATGTTATTCCTTAAGTCCCATGGTCTCTGGCTCTTCTGCCTTCTTCTCTGTACCTTTCAGAGTCTTCTTATATTTGTTTTATATATAATGCCTAGGGCTTTTAGTTATACTTAGTAGGAATAGGGAAAAGTATGTCTACTCCATCTTCCTGGAAAATGGAAGTCTTATTCTCATAGACTTTTGGGGTTCAGGGAAATTGAAATAAGAGCTGGATCCCTGGGAATAAATCAGGCCAAATCCCATGATTGGGACTTGCTGAGCATTGAGTAGATAGAGTCATTCATTCATTCATCCACAAATGTGTGAGCACCTGCTCTGTTCCAGGAGCTGCTTAGAAACTGCAAATATAGAAATAAACAAAGCAGTTAAAGCTCCTGTCTTGGAGACTCACATTCTACAGAGCAGACAGAAAAACATTCAAGATACATAAGCAAAAAATATATTTTATTAGATATGTTATTAAATGCTGATAACAAGATATGAATCAGGGAAAGAAGATATAAAGTGTTAAATGGGGGGCGGGAATTCCCAGCAAAGTGGCCAGGACAGGCCTCATTCAGAAGGGAACTTTTGAATAGAGACTTGAAGGTAGTAAAGCAACCAGCATTTCAGGCATGAAGAACACTGAGTGCAAAGGCCCGAGGCAGATGTATGTCTGGCAAGTTCAAGGAAGGGTCAGGCAGGAGATGAGAAGGGGAGTTTGGTAGGTGAGCCAGAAAGCCATCAGCAACCTGACAGCAAGGGTGAGTCTTAATATAACTTTCATAAATGGTCATTCTGGCTGCTGTGTTGAGAGCAGACTGAGGAGAGGCAAGGGCAGAAATGAGAAGAGCAATTTGGAGGCTTGTTCAATAACACACTAGAGAGGGTGGCTTGACTGCTTGGGGACAACAGGGGCCATGAGTGGTCAGAGTCTGGATATATTTTGGAGATGGAGCCAATAGGATTTGCTGAGGCTGGATGTGGGGTGAGAGAGGAAGCTGGGAGCCACAGGTAACACCAACGGGTGTGGCCTGAGCGTGGGGCTGACGGGTGGTGCGTTAGGAGTGTGGACCTGCCATGAGTGTGGACATGCCACGTCATGATGCTGTTAACCTTCCCACAGGGAGGTCCAGCCCACTGTGGACACAGGTTCAAGTTGGGGACTAGTGTGAGAATCAGCATCGGTGACTTTAAAAAAGCATGACCTGGCCGGGCGCGGTGGCTCACGCCTGTAATCCCAGCACTTTGGGAGGCCGAGGCGGGTGGATCATGAGGTCAGGAGATCGAGACCATCCTGGCTAACAAGGTGAAACCCCGTCTCTACTAAAAATACAAAAAATTAGCTGGGCGCGGTG
The DNA here is from genome assembly GCF_000001405.40 of Homo sapiens. NCBI lineage: Eukaryota > Metazoa > Chordata > Mammalia > Primates > Hominidae > Homo > Homo sapiens. The sequence continues at coordinate 44,082,022 of NC_000010.11, forward strand.
GCGGGCGCCTGTAGTCCCAGCTACTTGGGAGGCTGAGGCAGGAGAATGGCGTGAACCCGGGAAGCGGAGCTTGCAGTGAGCCGAGATTGCGCCACTGCAGTCCGCAATCCGGCCTGGGCGACAGAGCGAGACTCCGTCTCAAAAAAAAAAAAAAAAAAGCATGACCTGTGTGCTGACCCTTGAGGCAAGTGTAGATGGAATGTGGCTTCACACAGGGGCATTTGGGAGGACCCTACACTGGCGAAAGTCCCAGTTCATGAGATTCTGGAACCTTCCCTGATGGATATGGGCTCTTTAAACTCCCTGTTATCATGGGAGGCAGCCTGACAGTGCCTCTCTTAGGGCTCAGCTTTTCCTGGCAGAATCCTTTGCCTTTGTACCTGTCCCTTCATACCCTCCAAAGTGTTTCCTCTGCCCACACCCCCTGCCTACCCCCGTGCCAGCAAGTTTGTGTGGTCAGGGTGCCTGGCTGGGACCAGGGTGGCTCCCACAGTACAGCGCTGCAGCCCAGGAAGCCTGATCGAAGGTGCAGGGCAGTTTGTAAACTCCTCAAGGATTGCTTACACACCCAGAGAAAATTCCATTTGCCTATTTTCTTACACACGTGTTCACCCCCTTGCTGGCTTTCCCAAGTCCAAATAAGAGGATCAATAATTTTGTTTAACAGTAGACAACTTAGTCTGATTCTGTTTGGGAATTTTCATGTTTTGAGAAATGAACCTTCCTGTTAAAGAGATTTAGCATGCACCCAGACCACAGAAAGCCCCACATGGAAAAAAGTAATGCAACATACCATAAGTTTTGTTTTCAAGGCCTCCGGGACCCCAGCATAAGCAGTGGAATCAAGTGAGCCAGCTTTCTTGCCATCTGACTTAGACCTGGTGACGTCTTCCGGAAGGTATGAGCTTAACATTTCACAAGTTGTGACTCAAATAAAATTTGCACCCACCATCTCTGCTGGCCCCATGCCTGGCACTCACTTAGTGATGGACTTTCGATAAATCCTCAGCCTGTGAGCCTTAGGTGCAGGGGAGGGAGCAGAGCAGGTGTTCTGAGGGACCCTCCTGCTGAGGAGGGAGGCCATGATGCCTGGCTTGTGCCAGTGAATGTGGCCATTCTTTATGCCCCAGTTGAACCAGCACAGACTGTAGCTGTCCTTGGGCAGTGTTTCCTGGCCTGCCCACCTTGACCCTTCTACCATTCTATATCTTCTCTCACTCCTCTGTGAAAAGCTCAAATGAGTAAGTCAATTCATGGGCATCCAAGAAAATGCCTCCCAATGCGTGGGGCAGGGTCAGCACTCCTTCAAGGGCAAGAAGAAGGAGACTTTGCTTTGCTGTATTTCTCCCCACTGATGCCCCACTCAAAGTTCCCCCTTGGACATCATCCTCCAATTACACAGCAGGACAGGGGCTGGGAGCAGAGTTCTAGAATGGGCTCTTCCTGCAGGAGGGGCAGGTTCCTGGTGGGAGACCAGCTGCAGGGTCCAGGAGGATGTGGGCGGATGGGAGAGGGTGGAGGTGGAGGTAGCCGCTTGTCTTTCCCAGCCACTGAAGTCAAATTCGTGAAGTGCTTTTTGAATTGGAAAATGGCTTACAAGTGTTCACTGCTTTGAATTTCTGGTAACCTGTGGTAGCCGTGTGTGTGTGTGTGTGTGTGTGTGTGTGCAAGTGTGTGCACATGTGCTGGGGAGGTGGGTAAGGAGTGAGGGGAAACACCAACACCTCACAATTACAGTCTCCTCCTACTTCACCTTTGTATTTCCCACAATCTTCAGAGCAAATCAGATGGGGAAGCATTACTCCAATACTATGGCAGAGAAAACTGAAAGTCACAACAAACAGAACTGTTAAGCCAAGGGGCCAGTCCCAGGTGCTGCCACTTGAGAGGTCGGCAGGGCTCTTTCTCCTTGGCTGACCTGCCAGTCTTGGGCCATGACCCTGGGACCTGGGTGGGACAGGCTGAAGACACATGCTTTATTGGTTTCTCAACAAGCTTTCTGGTCTATACAGAGGGTGGAGTCTGCAGAGGTCCTTGACAGCACACAAGGAACCTGGATGGAGAGAAGGGCAGGCTTCTCAGAGAGGTCTGCAAGTCAAGAAGTGAGGCAGGGTGGCCTGGAGACTGGGACAGCATTCCCAGTTCCCAGGCTTGAAGTGCCAGGCCAGGCCACACATTTCTCAGGCTGCGCAGTCGAGAAAAATGACTTCTGCAATCTTATCCTTATCATTCACAAAATGGGCACAGGGGCTGCTTATCTCATTGGAATGTGGCAAAGAATACTGAATTGAGATAATCACAAGGCATGCAGTCAGGTTTATAAAGTGCCATGTAGAACAATACAGAAATAAATGCAGAAATGCAAGTCTTTTCTTCAGGAAGTTTGTCATTTTTGTGGACTAAGAAAAAACTTAGTAGACACATGAACAATGAACCCTGAAGTGCAGGGCATGCTCCCTGTGCTGCCTTCATTTACAAACCTTTCTCCGAAGGTTTGCCAACCAAGGAGTTTCGCTTAAACCTGTCTGGTAACTGCGATATATTTGCAGTTAAATGTCCCAGCAAAGTGCATTGTATTTTTCCCCCTTTATGCAAAAGTTGTGCTCAGATTTTAATTCCTTTGACCTGTGGGCCATTTGATCCTTTCTGGCTTTAATTACCTCTATCCCTGATTAATCCCTTTGTGTTCTTCTCCTCCTCTGCTGTCACTGGCAGAACATACTGCAAACTGCAAATGCCTTTTGGTATGTTTGTGAATTTAACTGATCCCAAATGTGAAGGAGAAACCTCCTGGAATTTAGATCTGGAATTTTCATATGATGATTAGAATTTCACAGGTGTTTTCTTCTTTTTTCCTGTCTTGAATGAAGGCTTTGGGAACATGTTTTGTCATTTTATTTTTTTTGTAATTAGATTTTGTAATCTCTATCTCCTATGTTCCCATCAACAAACACTATATCTTGCTCACAAATAACACGAGCCACAAGTATAATCTGCCTTTTCTTCTCCTGAGGATTTTAGTTAATATCTGTGCCTTTCAATCCTGCATTGCTTGAAGCAGCAGCAGGCAGCCTATGGCTTTCCTGTACCCTGAGTCCTGTCTCCCTGAGGATGGCGGAGCCCAGGGAGAATAGGTTAAGGTGGTAAGGACCTGTGATTGAAATTTAGATTCCATACTCAGTCTGTATTTGATTCTGGGCAAGCATTTCAAGTGTATCAATATTTTTCACCTCTCAAACAGAATGAAGCTATTTATGTTAAAACACTTAAAAAGTGAAAAGCACTGTATTCAAAAGGGGTTCATGTTCATACATGTACATGCACAGGTTTGAGAACACAAAAGCAGCATGCATGTATGTTTTTATGAGTGACAATGACGGAAATAGGTATTCAAATTCTTTGCATTTACCGAGACACTCTCTCTGTTTCTGTTTTTCTCTCTTCCCCTCCCTCCCTCCCTCTCTCCCTAGCTGCTTCTCCTTCCCCTCCTCCTTTCTGTAGCTGTTGCTCTCACTACACACACACACACACACACACACACTCATTCCCTCTCTGTTACATACACATCTGTGGAAAATTGGAAAATTGATATCAGAAGTTAAATTATCAATTGTTTTAGAGGTTAAATTTATTGCTGTCTACAGGTGCTACGCTTTAGGGAATTTGATTTAATAATAACATCTGTTTCATTTACATAGTTAAGAGTGAATTCATGTGAAAATGATGTATCAATGTTATATCTCTCAGTGACTAAGAATTGCACTACAGTCATTAAATAATTTTTTCATAATTTTATTCCTTAAATAATGTTACTATTGTTTATTACAGATTATTTCTATAAACAAACTTTCAAATCCATATCCTTGCATATCCACTTGTCAAAATACAAAATAGGTGGCTCTTTTTTGGCCTGTTATGTTTTTGGTGGTTGTTGATAATGTATGATTTACAATCAACAAAATGGAGAGGTCTAAATTTTTCTGTGCATATGAATCCCAGCAGTTTTCTTTTTTTTTAAAAAAAATATTCCATAGAGTTTTCTATGTACATAATTGTCTTCTATTTAAAAAAATGATAGTTTTACTTGCTTTTTAAAAAATCCTTGCTTTTTCCTTTCTTTTTCTTGCCTTATTGCCCTTGCTGGAACTTCCAGTAGAATAACATTGAATAGAAGAGGGGAGAGTGGAAAGCTTTATTTTGTTTCAGATCTTAGAGAAAAAGTGTTCTATTTTTCATCACAAAATCTCGTGTTAGGTGTAGGTTTTTTGTAGACGTCCTTTATGTGATTAAAAGAGTTCCTTTTTATTTCTAGTTTGCCAAAAGAGTTTATCATGAATGGACATTAGCTGCATATGTATTTTTAATTATTGCCTTTTGTTTCTTGATCATGGCATGGCCTCAGCTCCCATTGCCCCGGGTGTCCATTTCATTCCTGTAGATTTGCCTTTGATTAGGCCTTAATCTGTCTCCTTCACTGGTATTAGCAGAGTCTAAAAAAATCCTAAGGGTTTTTTTTTTTTTGTGACATGAAGATATTACCCACTCTGTTTGTGAAACTAGATGTCAGACTTTATATTGTTTATTGTACAACTTTGTACAATCTAAAAGTTCTTTCACCCATCCAATTTTATATCAATTCATTATTTCACAAGGCTATCATTGGGATTTCATAAAATATGATCCTATAATGTTTTAGGACCATAATGAACCAAACCACATTACTTGAACCAAAAGATAGTAATTGAGTTTAAAGTAGAGGAAACTAGTTCATCATACCTATTGTCCAGGAGTGTAGGCTGGGTCTTCGGGATAACCATTCTTTTTTCTAGGTGTTAAGAAGCAATTGATATATTAGAATCTTACTATTGAATCCATTTTATGGTCCTACACTTTTACTTTTGAAATGTGTATGTAAACAAAAAACTTAAATCAAAACCTTCTGATTTTAAATTTGTAAAAAAGACCAGCAGGAACTTATGATGTATTTTTTTTTTTCTAAAAAGAAGGTATGTTTTCTAACTCTATTCACTGAAAACACCAAGAGGCAATGACAACTCCATCATAATTAGCACTTTGGGGACCCAATGTGTGAATTTGAATTTTAAATTATATTTCCCACTAAAACAAAATTCAGGGCTTCTTGCAGAAATGATTGATTCCAGGTTTGAAACAGAAAATGTTAAAGATAAGTTTTATGTGCCTTTAAGTTGAAGGACTCTTGGCCTGAGATGGAATGATTTGACACCCAAAGTAATGATGATGCAATTAATTGAAATACAATACATAGATTTAACGTTTTTATGAGTTCTAATTATAGTAAAAAAAAGCAAAACCTTTATTGGTCATGTTTCAATACTGCTATATAATCAATTCATTATTTTGAAAATGTATAATTAAAAGAAAAAATTAAAGATTTATCCTGCATTTCCTATACAAACTATGGCCAAATAATTGCTTCTTTATAGAAGACACTGGCTAATGCAAGTAGAAGAAATGAGATCCACAGAAAATCACATATTTGTAACCCTTCATAAGATAATGGGTTTAGGCAATGATCCAATGGCTGTAGAAATCTCTAAGTGACATTTTAGTGGGGAGTCATCTGATAGATGGATAAGGATACCAACACCTGAACCCACTCAGCAGCTCTAACATCATAAAAAGAAAGGCAATCAGACATTCAATGTTTCCTGATGTGATACAATAAGGAAAAGTGCACATGAAATATTGTTTCAAAAAACATGAACCTGTACCTGATTAAGGGTCTAGAGCTAGCTACCATTTACAGGAGATCAGAGAGTAGAATAGTGTGTTAAATATCACCAAAGGATGTCAAATCTAGGGTGTGGGAAAATTTACAGGAAAATTGACCTGCTTTCTTCAATAAATAAATGGCAAAAGAAAGAGGTAAACTAAAAAATAGAAAAGGGGCAGGTGGGATTTAATAGACATATTCATCAAATGCAATATGTGGCCTTGTTTGAATCCCAACTGATAAAAATCATTTAGAGACAATTGGAGAAATTTGAACACTGAGTAGATATTTGATGATATGATGGAATTATTGATTATTTTGTTAAACAGGATGAAGACATTACTGTTACTTATTGTGTCCTTATCTACTAGACATTAAAAGAGGAAGCAGTTTCTGATAAAATATGGTATCTGGGATTTGTTTTAAAATGTTCCAGTGCATAACAGGGGTGGTAAAAAGAATCTATGGGAGGTACTTAGGGTGGCCATGTAATTTATCATCCAAACTGGAACACTGGGGAATAATGTGGTGCCACATTACAAGCATGAACAGGCATCCCCAGGCTCTCGCCCTGTGTGCATGTCTGCTTGGAGCCATGGATGAGCTGCTCTGGTCTAGACACATTCACATTTCTCATGGGGCACCCAGGAGTGATATGGTTTGGCTTTGCATCCCCACCCAAATCTCACCATGAATGGTAACAATCCCCACACGTCAAGCGAGGGGCCAGGTGGAGATAATTGAATCATGGGGGTGGTTTCCCCCATACTGTTCTTGTGATAGTGAATAAGTCTCATGAGATCTGATGATTTTATAAATGCGAGTTCCCCTGAACAAGCTCTCTTGCCTACTGCCATGTAAGACATGACTTTCTTCTCCTTTGTCTTCTGCCATGCTTGTGAGGCCTTCCCAGCCATGTGGAACTATAAGTCCATTAAACCTCTTTTTCTGTATAAACTACTCAGCCTTGGATATGTCTTTATTAGCAGAGTGAGAACTGACTAATGCAAGGAGACAGCACTCCCACAGCACAGCACAGGGCCCCATCAGCTATGAGGGGCGCAACCACAGCCAAGATGGCACCTGAGCAAAGAAGATGCTGCTTGTGGTTCACAGACTACTCTAAGCTTGTCCTCTCTTTCTTCCTGTGTGCTTAGCTTAAATAGAGAAACTGCCTGTTTTGGTGATTCCCTCCTTGGTGATGGAGGCCACACCATCAGCAATGACTTCTTGTTCTTTCTAAGCTCTTGGAAATATGGTCTTGGCCACTGGCTCTTTGTTGACAAACAAGACAGTGAGGATCACTGCTTCCTGGTCCTGATGAAGAGGTAGAAGTAGCAGGGCAGCAGTGAGATGTCTCCAAGTCTGGCCTATGAAATGAGGTTTTCTGCAAAGTACCCCAGCACTGTCTCATTCATTCGTTTTGTATTTATTCCACGAATTTGTATTGAGCCTTTGTTACATGCCAGGTTCTGGGCTAGGCTGTGGAAAAACTGAGATAAGAGACACAGTCCTTGTTCTCAAAGAGTTTGTCATCTAGTGGGACAGATGGGCAAATATTTCTCTCAGAATTGTAAGCTCAAAGATATATACTTCATTAGTTCATCCAAAGAACACGGCTGATTAGAAAAAGGTTGAGCATTGTTTTAGACACAGGAGAAACAGCCCTGGTCGAGAGGGTTGCTGTCCTTACCTGGGGAAGGTTAACATCAGGCTTGAGTGGCCAGAAAGGGTGTCACAGGCCCATGGGTGTTGGGCACAGTCTTGAAGGAGAAAGTATGTAAGAGAGAGTGAAGACCAGGCATCCCAAGCAGAGAGAACAGCCCGGGCCAAGAGGCAGAAGCAGAGACATGCCAAATGTCAGAGAAGGAAAGGCCAAATTCTCACCCCTGGGTGGATTCCAGACTTTCAGCCAACAACCAAATGTGTTAATTGATTGCTTTATGAGCTAATTATCTCATGGTCATCAGCTTCTTTCATTGAGATGAGCACAGGCCCAGCTTCCATATCTGCTGAAACTTACATCCCACTCTGGTTGCCTCCCATAGGCTGGGAAAGGAGTCAGGATCAGGAAGACATGTCCGGGCAGCCTGGGCTTTCTATCTCATTGTGCCAAATTGTTTGGCCAGCATTGTCTTCAAGGCTTTGCTCCAGGCTGTGGCTGGACATCTCAGCAATCTAATCATTTTTACAAGAAATGGATTCTTACTAATGAAAAGTAGGAATTACAGCCAATAGCATACTCTTAGATACCAGAACCCACCCAAATTTGTCAAGGGTTTCTAGCTGGGTTTCTGATTCTAAAAACATTGCTTAAAAAACATTGCTTAAAGTATAGTTACTAAAGTTAGGAGTGGGCCTCAGATTTGATGAGTAACTCTATAGGTCAGTAGGGATGACAGGCACTAAATAAAAAGCCCCCCCAGGATCCATCACTTCCGCCAAATTTCTTTTCCTATAACCTGTTTTTCTGTCATTTGTTTCCTAAGTCCCCACCCATTCAATGACAGTCATAGGCTATCTGACAACCTGGAAATGGTAGAGCAAGGGGCATAAAGGGTACCTTTTAGTCTATGGCAATAACATAGAGGGGATATATATAATTACCTTGCATATACCTTAAGACAAAGTAAATGTTTTTGAAAGTGTAGTAAAATACTACAGGCATGACCTTAGAGCAAAGTTTTGCCTATTGTCACCTGAAGATTCATAATGAAAAATGATGGCCAAATGAAATCAACATATCTTTTTAGATTCATCAGATAATTGAGCTCACAGAGCAAAATGATGTTCCCCAAATTGAAGAAGCAGGCGAATGCAAAGAATCACAGCTTGCTGGGACCGTAAGCTGCTGAAGCAGGAAACAAGGATTCCATATAATAACACGGGGGTTACAATTAAAAGAGCCACAACACTAATGCTCATTTAAGAAAGAAGCTCAGATATAACAGGAAATGAAAAGAAGGACACCAGAAGAAATTAAAGCCTCAGACACCTACAGCTAAAACAAGGAGTAAACACAGACACAATAATTCCTAACCAGATGAAGATAAAGCCACACACTAAAAGCCTACTAACCTGAACTTCTATTCTTCAATATGCAACAAATGTTTCTCAGTGAAAAATTACAAAGCATGAAAGGCGGTTCCTAGATGGCCGAATAGGAACAGCTCCGGTCTGCAGCTCCCTGTGTGATCTAAACAGAAGACGGGTGGTTTCTGCATTTCCAACTGAGGTACGCGTTTCATCTCAATGTGACTGGTCTGAAAGTGGGTGCAGCTCACAGAGGGTGAGCCAAAGCAAAACAGAGCATCCCCTCACCCAGGAAGCACAAGGGGTCCGGGGGTTTCCCTTTCCTAGCCAAGGGAAGCCATGACAGACTGTACCGGGAAAATCAGGACACTGCCACCTAAACACTGCGCTTTTTCCATGGTCTTAGCAAATGGCACACCAGGAGATTATATCCTGCACCTGGCTCAGTGGGTCCCACACCCACGGAGCCTTGCTCACTGCTAGTCCGAGATCAAACTGCAAGGCAGCAAGCCTGGCTGGGGGAGGGGTGTCTGCCATTGCTGAGGCTTGAGTAGGTAAACAAAGCAGCCAGAAAGCTCAAACTGGGTGGAGTCCACTGCAGCTCAACGAGGCCCACCTGCCTCTGTAGACTCCAGGTCTAGGACCAGGGCATACCTGAACAAAAGGCAGCAGAAACTTCTGCAGACTTAAATGTCCCTGTCTGACAGCTCTGAAGAGAGCAGTGATTCTCCCAGCATGATGTTTGAGCTCTGAGAATGGACAGACTGCCTCCTCAAGTGGGTCCCTGACCCCCATGTAGCCTAACTTGGAGGCACCTTCCTGTAGGGGTCAACTGACACCTCATACAGCTGGATGCCCCTCTGAGATGAAGCTTCTAGAGGAAGCATCAGGCAGCAATATTTGCTGTTCTGCAATATTTGCTGTTCTGCAGCCTCCGCTGGTGATACCGAGGCAAACAGGTTCTTGAGTGGACCTCCAGCAAACTCCCAACAGACCTGCAGTCGAGGGACTTGACTGGTAAAAGGAAAACTAACAAACAGAAAGGAATAGCATCAACATCAACAAAAAGGACACCAACACAAAAACCCCATCTGTAGGTCACCATCATCAAAGACCAAAGGTAGATAAAACTACAAAGATGGGGAGAAACCAGAGAAGGAAAACTGAAAATTCTAAGAACCACAGTGCCCCTTCTCCAAAGGATCACAGCTCCTCCTCGCCAGCAATGGAACAAAGCAGGATAGAGAATGACTCTGACGAGTTGACAGAAATAGGCTTCAGAAAGTTGGTAATAACAAATTTCTCTGAACTAAAGGAGGATGTTTGAACCCATTGCAAGGAAGCTCAAAACCTTGAAAAAAGATTAGACAAATGGCTAATTAGAATAAACAGTGTAGAGAAGACCTTAAATAACCTGATGGAGCTGAAAACCATGGCATGAGAACTACGTACACATGCACAAGCTTCAGTAGCCGATTTGATCAAGTGGAAGAAAGGGTATCAGTGATTGAAGATCAAACTAATGAAATGAAGTGGGAAGAGATGTTTAGAGAAAAAAGAGTAAAAAGAAACGAACAAAGCCTCCAAGAAATACAGGACAATGTGAAAAGACCAAATCTACGTTTGATTGGTGTACCTGAAAGTGATGAGGATAATGGAACCAAGTTGGAAAACACTCTTAAGGATATTATCCAGGAGACCTTCCTAAACCTAGCAAGGCAGGCCAATATTCAAATTCAGGAAATACAGAGAACACCACAAAGATACTCCTCAAGAAGAGCAACCCCAAAACACGTAATTGTCAGATTCACCAAGGTTGAAATGAAGGGAAAAATGCTAAGGGCAGCCAGAAAGAAAGGTCGGGTTACCCACAAAGGGAAGCCCATCAGACTAACAGCGGATCTCTTGGCAGAAACCCAAGAAGCCAGAAGAGAGTGGGGGCCAATATTCAACATTCTTGAAGAAAAGCATTTTCAATGCAGAATTTCATATCCAGCCAAACTAAGCTTCACAAGTGAAGGAGAAATAAAATCCTTTACAGACAAGCAAATGCTGAGAGATTTTGTGACCACCAGGCCTGCCTTACAAGAGCTCCTGAAGGAAGCATTAAACATGGAAAGGAACAACCAGTACCAGCCACTGCAAAAACATGCCAAATTGTAAAGACCATCGATGCTAGGAAGAAACTGCATCAACTAACGAGCAAAATAACCAGCTAATATCATGACAGGATCAAATTCACACATAACAATATTAACCTTAAATGTAAATGGGCTGAATGCCCCAATTAAAAGACACAGACTGGCAAATTGGATAAAGAGTCAAGATCCAGCAGTGTGCTGTATTCAGGAAACCCATCTCATGTGCAGAGACACACATAGGCTCAAAATAAAGGGATGGAGGAAGAGCCACCAAGCAAATGGAAAGCAAAAAAAAGGCAGGGGTTGCAATCCTAGTCTCTGACCAAACAGACTTTAAAGCAACAAAGATCAAAAGAGACAAAGAAGGCCATTACATAATGGTAAAGGGATCCATTCAACAAGAAGAGCTAACAATCCTAAATATATATGCACCCAATACAGGAGCACCCAGATTCATAAAGCAAGTCCTGAGTGACCTACAAAGAGACTTAGACTCCCACACAATAATAATGGGAGAATTTCATGCCCCACTGTCAATATTAGACAGATCAACGAGACAGAAGGTTAAAAAGGATATCCAGGACTTGAACTCAGCTCTGCACCAAGTAGACCTAATAGATATCTGCAGAACTCCCCACCCCAAATTATCAGAATATACATTCTTCCCAGCATCATATCACACAAATTCCAAAATTGACCACATAGTTGGAAGTAAAGCACTCCTCAGTAAATGTAAAAGAACAGAAATCACAACAAACTGCCTCTCAGACCACAGTGCAATCAAATTAGAACTCAGGATTAAGAAACTCACTCAAAACTGCACAACTACATGGAAACTGAACAATCTGCTCCTGAATGACTACTGGGTAAATAACGAAATGAAGGCAGAAATAAAGATGTTTTTTGAAATCAATGAAAGCAGAGACACAATGTACCAGAATCTCTGAGACACATTTACAGCAGTGTGTAGAGGGAAATTTATAGCACTAAATGTCCGTAAGAGAAAGCAGGAAAGTTGTGAAATTGACACCCTAATATCACAATTAAAAGAACTAGATAAGCAAGAGCAAACAAATTCAAAAGCTAGCAGAAGGCAAGAAATAACTAAGATCAGAGCAGAAATGAAGGAGATAGAGACACAACCCTTCAAAAAATCAATGAATTCAGGAGCTGGTGTTTTGAAAAGATCAATAAAATTGATAGACTGCTAGCAAGACTAATAAAGAAGAAAAGAGAGAAGAATCAAATAGATGCATTAAAAAATGAAAAAGGGGATCTCACCACCGATCCCACAGAAATACAAACTACCATCAGAGAATACTATAAACACCTCTACACAAATAAACTAGAAAATCTAGAAGACATGGATAAATTCCTGGACACATACACCCTCCCAAGACTAAACCAGGAAGAAGTTGAATCCCTGAATAGATCAATAACAGGTCCTGAAATTGAGGCAATAATTAACAGCTTACCAACCAAAAAAGGCCCAGGGCCAGACGGACTCACAGCTGAATTCTACCAGAAGTACAAAGAGTAGCTAGCACCATTCCTTCTGAAACTATTCCAACCAACAGAAAAAGAGGGAATCCTCCCTAACTCATTTTATGAGGCCAGGATCATCCTGATAGCAAAGCCTGGCAGAGATACAATAAAAAAAGAGAATTTTAGACCAATATCCCTGATGAACATTGATGCAAAAATCCTCAGTAAAATACTGGCAAATCGAATCCAGCAGCACATCCAAAAGCTCATCCAAGATCAAGGTGGCTTCATCCCTGGGATGCAAGGCTGGTTCGACATACACAAATCAATAAATGTAATCCATCACATAAACAGAACCAACCACACAAACCACACGATTATCTCAACAGATGCAGAAAAGGCCTTTGACAAAATTCAACAGCGCTTCATGCTAAAAGCTCTCAAGAAACTAGGTATTGATGGACTGTATCTCAAAATAATAAGAGCTATTTATGACAAACCCACAGCCAGTATCATACTGAATGGGTAAAAACTGGAAGCATTCCCTTTGAAAACTGGCACAAGACAGGGATGCCCTCTCTCACCACTCCTATTCAGCATAATGTTGGAAGTTCTGGCAAGGGCAATCAGACAAGAGAAAGAAATAAAGGGTATTCAATTAGGAAAAGAGGAAGTCAAATTGTCCCTGTTTGCAGATGACATGATTGTATATCTAGAAAACCCCACTGTCTCAGCCCAAAATCTCCTTAAGCTGATAAGCAACTTCAGCAGTCTCAGGATACAAAATCAATGTGCAAAAATCACAAGCATTCCTATACACTAATAACAGACAAACCGAGAGCCAAATCATGAGTGAACTCCCATTCACAATTGCTACAAAGAGAATAATACACTTAGGAATCAAATTTACAAGGGACATGAAGGACCTCTTCGAGGAGAACTACAAACCACTGCTCAATGAAATAAAAGAAGACACAAACAAATGGAAGAACATCCCATGCTCATGGATAGGAAGAATCAATATCGTGAAAACGGCCATACTGCCCAAGGCAATTTATGGATTCAATGCCATCCCCATCAAGCTACCAATGACTTTCTTCACAGAATTGGAAAAACTACTTTAAAGTTCATATGGAACTAAAAAAGAGCCTGCATTGCCAAGACAATCCTAAGCAAAAAGAACAAAGCTGGAGGCATCATACTACTTGACTTCAAACTATACTACAAGGCTACAGTAACCAAAACAGCATGGTACTGGTACCAAAACAGAGGTACAGACCAGTGGAATAAAACAGAGGCCTCAGAAATAACACCACACATCTGCATCCATCTGATCTTTGACAAAGCTGACAAAAACAAGAAATGGGGAAAGGATTCCCTATTTCATAAATGGTGCTGGGAAAACTGGCTAGCCATATGTAGAAAGCTGAAACTGGATCCCTTCCTTATACCTTATACAAAAATTAATTCAAGACAGATTAAAGACTTAAATGTTAGATCTAAAACCATAAAAACCCTAGAAGAAAACCTAGGCAATACCATTCAGGACATAGGCATGGACAAAGACTTCATGTCTAAAACACCAAAAACAATGGCAACAAAAGCCAAAATTGACAAATGGGATCTAATTAAACTAAAGAGCTTCTGCACAGCAAAAGAAACTGCTATCAGAGTAAACAGGCAGCCTACAGAATGGGAGAAAATTTTCGCAATCTACCCATCTGACAAAGGGCTAATATCCAGAATCTACAAATAAATTAAACAAATTTACAAGAAAAAAGCAAACAACCCCATCAAAAAGTGGGCAAAGGATATGAACACACACTTTTCAAAAGAAGACATTTGTCCATCCAACAGACACATGAAAAAATGCCCATCATCACTGGCCATCAGAGAAATGCAAATCAAAACCACAATGAGATACCGTCTCACACCAGTTAGAATGGTGATCGTTAAAAAGTCAGGTAACAACAGGTGCTGGAGAGGATGTGGAGAAATAGGAACACTTTTACACTGTTAGTGGGACTGTAAACTAGTTCAACCATGTGGAAGACAGTGTGGCGATACTTCAAGGATCTAGAACTAGAAATACCATTTGACCCAGCGATCCCATTACTGGGTATATACTCAAAGGATTATAAATCATGCTACAATAAAGACACATGCACAAGTATGTTTATTGCAGCACTATTCACAATAGCAAAGACTTGGAACCAAACCAAATGTCCATCAATGATAGACTGGATTAAGAAAATGTAGCACATATACACCATGGAATACTATGCAGCCATAAAAAAGGATAAGTTCATGTCCTTTGTAGCGACATGGATGAAGCTGGAAACCATCATTCTGAGCAAACTATCACAAGGACAGAAAACCAAACACTGCATGTTCTCACTCATAGATGAGAATTGAGCAATGAGACACAAGGTGGGGAACATCACACACTGGGGCCTGTCGTGCGGTGGGGGGATGAAGGAGGGATAGCATTAGGAGAAATAACTAATGTAAATGATGAGTTAATGGGTGCAGCAAACCAACATGGCACATATATACATATGTAACAAACCTGCACGTTGTGCACATGTACCCTAGAACTTAAAGTATAATAAAAAAATAAATAAATAAGAAAAGAAAAATTACAAAGCATGCTAAAAGGCAAGAAAGAACATAGTGTCAAGAGCCAAAGCAAGGAACGGAGCCAGTCTCAAGTATGATGCAGATTTTTGAATTATCAGAACAGATATGTAAATTAAGACTGATTAATATGCTAAGGGCTCTAATGGAAAATGTGACTGATATGTAAGAACGAATGGGTAGTGAAAGCAGAAAAATGGAAGTTCTCAGAAAGAATCCACTGGAAATTTTGGAAATCAAAAACATTGTTGCAAAGAAAAATGCCTTTGATGGGCTTGCCAGTAGACGGGACCCTGGGAGGAAAGAATCACTGAGCATGAAAATGTGTCAATAGAATCTTCCCAAACTGAAATGCAAGAGAAAGGAAATAAGAATAAAATGAAAAAAGGAGCAAGATATCCAAGAACTGTAATACAATTACAGAAGGTGTAATATATGCACAATGAGAATTCCAGAATTTGTGAAAGAAAGGACCAGAAGAAATATTTGAAGTAATAATGGTTGAGAATTTTCAAAAACTAATGACATGTGCCAAGCCACAGGTCCAGGAAACTGAGGGAACACCAAGCAGGATAAATACCAAAAAAAAAAAAAAAAAAAAAAAATTAGACACTTAGGGACACCCTATTCAAACTGTAGGAAACTAAAGATAAAGAGAAAATCTTAAAAGAAGCCAAAAGAATAAAACACGTTACTTATAGAGGACCAAAGATAAGAATTATATCAGACTTCTGAAGAGAATTATACCGGACTTCTCTACAGAAGTCCGATATATACATCTTCACAGGTAGTGGGTAACTTATAACAGAGTAGTCCCAATTTCTTCCTCCCATGCAAGCAAGAAGAGGTGAAGTGGAATATTTAAATTATTGAAAGAAAAAAAAAAAACCCATCAACCTAAAATCCTGTGTACTGCAAAATTATTCCTCAAAAGTAAAGGAGAAATAAAGACATTTTCAGGCAAACAAAAATTGAGAGAATTTGTCTCCAGTAGACTTGCATTGCCTGAAATGTTAAAACAAGTTCTTCAGAGAAAAAAAAAGTCAGAAATTTTGTTCTACTGAAAGAAATAAAACATTAGAAAAGGAATAAATAAGGGTAAAATTTTAAGGTTTTGTTTTTTATTCTTAATAGTTCTAATAAATAATTATTCACATAGTAATAGCAACAGTGCATTGGGTGACTAGCTTAGCGGTAAGTGGTATAAATGTTTGAAGGCATGCCAGAAAGAAATTGGGACTACTCTGTTATAAGGTACATGCTACCTGTGAAGAAGTATAGCGTTATTTGAAAGTGGACTTAGATTACTGCAAATTCAAGAGTAACCATTGAAAAACAGGGTGGGAAAGAAGTATAATTAATATGTTACGAGAGGAGGTACACTGAAACCATATAAAATGCTCAGTTAACACTGAGAGAAGGCAGAAGTGAGAGATAAAAGAAAAACAAAAAAGGGCAACAAATAGAAAACAATAACAAATATGATAAATATTAGTCCAATTATATTAATAATCACTTTAAATGTTAATAATATAAATATACCAATCAGAAGACAAAAACTGATAGAATGAAAACAAAAAAGACTAAACTATATGTTGTCTATAAGATACCCATTTTAAATACAGACACAGAAACATTAAAAGTAAAGGGATGGAGAAGATATACCATGCTATCACCAGGGATAAAGAAGGACATTACAAGGCCGGATGCAGTGGCTTATGCCTGTAATCCCAGCACTTTGGGAGGCTGAGGCGGGCGGATCATAAGGTCAGGATATCGAGACCATCCTGGCCAACATGGTGAAACCCCGTTTCTACTAAAAACACAGAAAATTAGCCGGGCATGGTGGCGGGCTCCTGTAGTCCCAGCTAATCGGGAGGCTAAGCAGGAGAATGGCTCGAACTCGGGAGGCAGAGCTTGCAGTGAACCGAGATTGTGCCACTGCACTCCAGCCTGGGCGACAGAGCGAGACTCCGTCTCCAAAAAAAAAAAAAAAAAAAAAAAAGAAGGGGATATTACATAGTGATAAAGGGTCAGCTCTCTAAGAAGATCTAATAATTTTTAATGTATATGTGTCTAACAACACTACATCAAAATACATAGGGCAAAATTTGGTATAACTGCAAGGAGAAATAGATTAATCCACTATTATAGTTGAAGACTTCAACATCCCTCTATAAGAAAAGGACAGATCCAGCAGGCAGAAAATCAGTAAAAACATCGTTTAATGTAACAACACCATCAGTTAACTGGCTCTAGTCACCTTGATAGATTACACATCCTCCTTGACTTACTATGAAGTTACATCCTAATAAACCCATTGTAAGTTGAAAATACACAAAGTCAAAAATGCATTTACTACACCTAACTTACCAAATATGATAACTTAGCTTAACTTAAATGTTCTCAGAAAACTTATGTTATCTTACAGTTGGGCAAAACTATCTAACTAAGCCTATTTAATAAAGGGTTGAATATCTCATATAATTTATTAAATACTGTGCTGGAAGTGAGAAATAGAATGACTGTATGGTGTTTGAAGTATGGTTTCTACTGAATGGGTTTTGCTTTTACACCATCTTAAAGTCGAAAAATTGTAAGTTGAATCATCGTAAGTCAGGGACCATCTGTACTTCATCTAATAAAAGCAGAATACACATTTTTCTCAAGCTCATATGGGATACTTACCAAGATAGATTCCATTCTGGGTACTGAAACAGATTGAACAAATTTTTAAAAATAAAATTCATAAAAAGTATGCTCTTGGACCATAATGAAATTAGCTAGAAATCAATAATGGAAAGATAGCTGGAAAAGAACCAAATATTTGGAGATTAAGCAACATACTTGCAAATAACACGTGAGTCAAAAGAGAAATCTCAAGAGAAATTAGAAATATTTTTAATTAAATGAAAATAAAGATACAACTTATCAAAATTTGGGGAATACATCAAAAGGAATGGTTAGAGAGAAATTTATAGCATTGAATGCATATATGCATATATTAGAATAGAAGGAGGACCTGAAATCAATAGAGGAAATAGGAAAATAAAGCAAGAAGAGCAATATAACTCTAAAGTGACCAAAAGAAAAGAAATAATAAAAATTAGAACTTCAATGAAATTAAAAACAGAAAAACAATAAGGAACCCAACAAAACCAAAAGTGGATTCTTTGAAAAGATCAATAAAATGGATAAACTTCTAGCCAGGCTAAACAAGAATCAAAGTGAGAGACACACATTTGTAGGGTGAGAAATGAAAGAGGGGAAATGACTACTGATCCCAAGGATATAAAAAGAGTGATACAGGAATATTATGAACAACTCTATGACCACAAATTTGATAACTTAGATAAAATGCACTTCTTTAAAAAATGCAGAAGATGCGGTGAGAAAATGACTTGAGAATTAAAATGGGGAAAATCAACATAGTCTAAAAACTGTAAGATGGAAATTCTGTCATGATACAATCCAAAAAAAATTAGCACATAACTAACGAAATAATTAATTATCATCTACAGTAAGAATGGGATTATTACAAGAGGGAAATGATGAGCTCATTAAGAGTAAGTAACATTGGAATAGTGGCTAGTTATTTTTTCCAATAATGTATGTAACATAACTACGTAAGGAAAAAGAAGTAAGAATGTTTTGGCCTATATGTCTTAATTTTTTAAGTGACATAATGTCTTAGGAATACTAGAAAACAATATAATGAAGTATGTTCTTTTTAATAGTACTTGTGGAAAAGTATGTAACTGGCTTGTGTAACCCTGTCCTAACACTCTGATTAATAGCTTAGTCTTGACACAGAGGGAGGCTTCAGGAAACAACTATAATTCTGTGTTTCCACTCTCTTATTCAATATTCTTATCAAGGAATAAAATTAAAACTTTGAAGGAATACATGTAGAGCTAAATATTTAAAAAATAGATCGAGAGATTTTGAAATGACTGTATCAGGATTAAACTTAACAGGAACAAATATAAGTCCCTGTGTTGGGAGTTTCCAAGACTACCTCCAGTTTCAGTGATTTCCTAGGAGGATGCAGAGGCCTCTGCATGTAGTCATATTCATGGCTGTAATTTATTACAGCAAAAGGGTACCAAGTAAAATCAGTAAAGACAAAAGACATATGGGGTGAAATCTGGAGGAAGCTAGGCACATGCTTTCAGGAGTGTTATCCCAGAGGAGTCACACAGTATGTGCTTAATTCCTCAAGCCCTGATATATGACAACACTTGTTCAATATCTGCCAGACATCTACCAGAGGAGCTCATTAGAGGCTCAGTGCCTGGGGTTTTGATTGTGGGCTTGTCATATAGGTACCCCTCTGTCTAACACATACCAAAATTCCACACACCGGGAAGGAAAGCACATATTCAGCATTAACCATATTGTTTGAACAAACAGTTTAAGCACAGTGAGCCATTCTAATCAGGGAATAATGGAAATTCTCCTGAAATCCAAGACCCCAGGTGCCTGTCAAGGGCCAGCCTTGCAAACAAGGCTTCCTAAGGAATGCAGTCTCAGGCCTACTCTGTTAACCCTTTTCTGCACAGCCCATATTATGGTGAGCACCAGCTTCATTGCACAAGCAAAGGGTATGAATGAAGTAATTGGCAGCACTTCACAGGAAACAGATCTGATGGTCTCCATTGACATCAACCATGGAGCAGGGAGTATGATGGAAAGAACTTAGTTTTGCAGTCATAGATATTTGAGCTCAAATATCAATTTGACCACTGACTTAATTTGACTTTCTAAGTTACTTAAACTGAGTTTCAGCTTCCTTGTCTATAAAATGGGATAGCAATAATAATAATAATAATGATAATAATAAATGTTGGAATTATTGTGGGGACTATAGATACATTTTATAAAGAATCTGGCAATCGATAAATGGTAGCTACTACTGTTTTAAGCTTAATATTAACCAAAATTGTAATGTGACTGGTAAAAACAACCCTCCTTTTGGATTTACTATGGGAGTGAGAAGCAGATTATAATCAGTATCTTAAAACTATTTCCAATATTTGAGACATGAAATAATTTAATGTTATAATAAATACAGGGAGGAAGCCTTCATGGCAGGTGAAATGCAAAAGACCATTACAGTCCATTGAAGGTGAAAGAATAGCCTTGGTGGGGATGGAGATTGTATCAGGAATCTTCAGAAGGCACTGGGAAAGTAGAATATGAAATGTAAAAGACATGTTGAAATTGAACTCAAATGTTTGATTACCCTTTTGGGAAGATGAGATTATAATTTTATTTTATAGGGTTCTGATGGGCTAGTGAGTTAGGACAATTCCTTAGAAATTACAGGAAAACTCAGATTTGTTGAGATAAGGAATATTTTCTGACAAACAGCTCTAACATTGGAATAGAAGACAACTGGAGGTGCTGAGGTCTCCATTCTGGAACGTGTTCAAAGAGAAACTGGATAAAACATCTGCTAAGAACACTGTAGAAGAGTTCCCTGTATTAAGGGGAATGAGGTTGCTCTTCTTGAGGAATCTTTTAAGTATGTTGTAAAGAAAATCAGTAATTAATCTTTTCCTGCTCAGATCCCTCTCTACAATTTTTGTCAATAGCATCCCAATTTCCCAGCCCTCATGTCCAACCTATGAACTTTAGTGTCATGACCCTGCCCCTACCTGTGGGAGCCATGTGCCTCAGACTCGGCTACCCAGAACACTGCCTCCTCTTGCTACAGGACTGGCCCGGGGTGACACATGGACCAAGATAGGACAGCAAGAGACCTCACTAGGGCTTAGGCTGGAGCCACTGGGGAGCAGACGCTTCAAGCTTACTGGGATTGCTAAGAAGGTGGCCTACAAATTAATCCTGCTGGGCCCAATTTGCCACCTGATGGAAAAGCCTACTGAGAATTCAGCCAGCACAGAGGAAACAAAAGCTAGAGTCAGAGACAGGAAATGAGAGAGACACCCCTGATAACATCTTTTGAGGCCCTGCCTCCATCCATTTCTCCCAGTTTTATGAGCCAATAAAACCCCATTTCTTACTTAAAGTGGTTGGAATCTGGTTTTGTTACATGCGACCAAATGACCCTTAATAATACATTTTTTCTTTTAATTGTCAAATAAGCTATTTTAAGAAATGAAGTATATGTGTAAGCCTCTCGTCACTCTAAAGAGTATGGATGCCACTTATAAATATAATAGGGCTAACTAAAGTTGGCATTCAAAGAGATAATCCAGAAAGTCCTGCACGTTTGCTAAAGCTGGGTTGCACATTTACCTAGAAGTCTTTCAAGAGCTGATCAAAACAGATAAAGAGCATTTGTTACAAGATCGGCAAAAGAGGATCAGTTGTTGTGTTCATGAATACAAACAGTACTTGGGGATGGTATTTGTTCCAGGGCACTAATGTCAGAGAGAAGTTTCTCCTTGGGTCGTGGTAAGGAGACCACCTCCTTGCTAACCTCCTACAGCAAGAATAATTAACAAATGCTGCCAGTTGCTCTCTGCAGCCCACCTCGACATAAACTACAGGAGCCAGACAAAAGCAAGAGAAATTAAAGCCCATCTATACAACGTCAAAGCAACTCTGTATATTTCAATGTCTAATCAGAACGGTAAGAGCTCTGATAATCTGGCATCAGTAAAGGGAAGAGTTGACCAGATTTAGAAGAATGAATGAGTCCTTCATCTTCAAGCAGCATTTGCTGAGTGGCAGGGCCTCCATATCTGGAAGTGCAGGCGGCCCTCTTCCCCGATTTCTCAGGTGAGGGGCCAGCTCTGCTAAGTGTGCTGGGTGCTCCAGTGCAGGGCTGCATCCCAGAGGGAAGGCCTGCATTTTTCTCGCTTGCTAGAAATGCAGTCTCCCCCTTCTAGCCAAAACAATATTGAAAATGAACAAAGTTGGAGGTCTCATACTTCCTGATTTCAAAACTTATCACAAAACTACAGTAATCAAAGTGGTGTGGTACATCAAACTGGTGTAGATCAATAGGCTAGAGTAGAAAGTCCAGAAATAAACCCTCACATATATGGTTAAATAATTTTTGAAAAGGGAGCCAAGATTATTTGATGAAAGAAGGGACAGTTTTCCCAACAAATGATGTTTATTGGAAAAATGCATATTCATATGCAAAAGAATGAAGTTGAACTCTTACCTCATGCCATATACAAAAATTAAATCAAAAGGGATTAAAGACCTAAACATAATGCTAAAACTACAAAACTCTTAGAAGAAATAGCAAATGCATCATGTTGTTGAATTTGGCAATGACTTCTTGGGTATGACACCGAAAAGACAGGCAAATAGAGAGCAAAAATAGATAAACTGGACTACATCAAAATTAAAAACTTCTGTTCACCAAAGGACACAATCAATAGAGTAAAAAAGTAATTAATGGGATGAGAGAAAATGTTTGTAAACCATACACCTAATAAGAAGTTAATATCCAGAACATACAAAGAATTCCTACAACTCAATGATAAAGAAGACAACCAATCTGATTAAGAAATGTTCAAAGAACTTGAATAGACATTATTAAAAGCAGATACAAAATGGCCAACAAGCCTATGAAAAGATGCTCAATGTCACTGATCATTAGGGAAATGCAAAACAAAACCACAATGAGATGTCACCTCACACCCTGGCTACTATAAAATAACAAACAGCAACAACAAATACAGAAAATAAGAAGTGTTGCTGAGGATGCAGAGAAATTGGAACCTTCGTTTGTGCACTCTTGGCGGGAATGTAAAATGGTGCAGCTGCTGTGGAAACAGTATGGTGGTTTATCAAAAAATTAAAAACAGAAATATCATGGGATCCAGCAATACTGCTTCTGAATATACAGCTAAAAGATTCAAAGCAGGATCTCAAAAGATTTGAAAGCATGGTCTTAAAGAGATATTTGTACATTAACGTCCATAAAGCATTATCCACAATGGCGAAAGGGTGGAAGCAATTGTCGGATGAACAGAAAAACAAAATGTGGTATATACACAGAATAGAATATTATTTATTCTTAAAAAGGAAGGGAATTCTGACATACGCTATGTTATGGATGAACCTTGAGGACATCTTGCTAAATTAAATAAGACAATCACAAAAAGACAAATGCTGTATGAGTCCACTTATAATAAGGTACCTAGAGTGGTCACATTCATAAAAAGTAGAATGGTGGTTGCCAGGGGCTGGGTAGAGGCAAAGTGGGGAGTTCTTTAATGGATACAGGGTTTTGGTTTTGCAAGATGAAAATGATGTGGAGATTGGTTGCACAACAATGTGGTTATACTTAACACTAAGAACTGTACACTAAAAAATGGTTAAGATGATAAATGTTATCAGTATTTTACCACAATTTAAAAAAATGTATAGTCAGCTCTCCAAGCCATGCTTTTGTGGAGACCATCCAGAGGGTCTCTTTTGTCTAATTTGCACAAAGGTATCATAAAAGACAACAGAGGCCCAGGAAACATGTCTCACCATAGCATTTGGGGCACATTTTGAGAAGCAGTTTAAAGCGATAATATGGAAAAACTTGGAGCGAAATGGATGTGTGTCCCAAAGGATATTAGATCCAAATGTTCAAAAACACAAATGGTGGGTTGTCTTAAGAAAATTATAGTGCCTGAAAAGATTTGTTCCTGAGAAAAAGACCATTCAGTCCTTATTCAGCAGTGGAACAAAGAACCACATTTGAGCAGGACTAAGAAAACAGCTTGGATATGCTTGAAACACAGGACAAATAGGGGCTGGGGCTTCAGAGTTCAGAACCGTGAAGTGTGGCTGCAGTCATGTTGGAAACATTCTGAGTAAGTATTTACGGTCACTCACCGTGGCCATAAAACCTTCCGATAACTCATCCAGAAAATGATTAATTTTAAGCAATGCCATTTCCTAATGAAACTTCCAAGATAAATTGGTTGCAAAAATGTACATTCTGGTAACTAAATGAGTTGACCTGCAGAACACAAGTGTTAGATCTAAGTCAATTAAATGTTGGCAGGTGGCTAATCTGGAGTTTAGAGAAGTTGATCTTAATTCATTCTTTTGGTTTGAAATTGGATACCAGGTCCACTGGTCTTTTGGGCTTACTTCTAATTTATGACTATTAATGAGAAAATAGTTCCAGTTTATCTAAAATGGGCTTAGGTAAAATGTAAGGTGAAAGCAGTATGTATAGGACACATTCCTCTTTTATCACTATCTATAATTAATATTTCCGTAGAACACATTTTTTCAGGGACACTGGTCAGTGTTATGTATAAGCATCAGTGATTAGGGACTTGCGATTAAATGTCTCAAAGGAAAGATATTATTGAGGGTGTTGATTCTCCTTATTTTTCCATATATTTAAAACAATTCCAACCAAATGTGTCTCATGACTACTTTTTTAAAACCTAACAAAAAATAAAAACACAAATGTTACCAGTTAAGAAATTGTTATATAAGAGTAATGAGGAAGTATATTATTAACAGAGATAAAATACATTGTATCATTCAGAAATAGACACACGTGTGTTGACAGAATTTATTCTTGCAAGAAATTGGGTGAAAGGTGAAGATGGCTTGATCATTTAGAAGTCCCAATTGACTGGATAACCATTTGGAAAGAAAAATGAATGCGGACCCCTATCTCATGCCAGATTTAATTCAGAGTTAATTTTTACTTTATTTTATTTTATTATTATTATACTTTAAGTTTTAGGGTACATGTGCACAATGCGCAGGTTTGTTACATATGTATACCTGTGCCATGTTGGTGTGCTGCACCCATTAACTCATCATTTAGCATTAGGTATATCTCCTAATACTATCCCTCCCCCCTCCCCCTACCCCACAACAGTCCCTGGAGTGTGATGTTCCCGTTCCTGTGTCCATGTGTTCTCATTGTTCAATTCGCACCTACGAGTGAGAACATGCGGTGTTTGGTTTTTTGTCCTTGCAATAGTTTGCTGAGAATGATGGTTTCCAGCTTCATCCATGCCCCTACAAAGGACATGAACTCATTATTTTTTATGGCTGCATAGTATTCCATGTTGTATATGTGCCACGTTTTCTTAATCCAGTCTATCGTTGTTGGACATTTAGGTTGGTTCCAAGTCTTTGCTATTGTGAATAGTGCCACAATAAACATACGTGTGCATGTGTCTTTATAGCAGCATGATTTATAGTCCTTTGGGTATATACCCAGTAATGGGATAACTGGGTCAAATGGTATTTCTAGTTCTAGATCCCTGAGGAATTGCCACACTGACTTCCACAATGGTTGAATGAGTTTACAGTCCCACCAACAGTGTAAAAGTGTTCCTATTTCTCCACATCCTCTCCAGTACCTGTTGTTCCCTGACTTTTTAATGATTGCCATTCTAACTGGTGTGAGATGGTATCTCATTGTGGTTTTGATTTGCATTTCTCTGATGGCCAGTGATGATGAGCATTTTTCCATGTGTCTTTTGGCTGCATAAATGTCTTCTTTTGAGAAGTGTTTGTTCATATCCTTCGCCCACTTTTTGATGGGGTTGTTTGTTTTTTTCTTGTAAATTTGTTTGAGTTCATTATAGATTCTGGATATTAGCCCTTTGTCAGATGAGTAGGTTGCAAAAATTTTCTCCCATTCTGTAGGTTGCCTGTTCACCCTGACGGTAGTTTCTTTTGCTGTGCAGAAGCTCTTTAGTTTAATTAGATCCCATTTGTCAATTTTGGCTTTTGTTGCCATTGCTTTTGGTGTTTAGACATGAAGTCCTTGCCCATGCCTATGTCCTGAATGGTATTGCCTAGGTTTTCTTCTAGGGTTTTTATGGTTTTAGGTCTAACATGTAAGTCGTTAATCCATCTTGAATTAATTTTTGTATAAAGTGTAAGGAAGGGATCCAGTTTCCGCTTTCTACATATGGCTAGCCAGTTTTCCCAGCACCATTTATGAAATAGGGAATCCTTTCCCCATTGCTTGTTTTTGTCAGCTTTGTCAAAGATCAGATGGTTGTAGATATGTGGCATTATTTCTGAGGGCTCTGTTCTGTTCCATTGGTCTATATCTCTGTTTTGGTACCAGTATCATGCTGTTTTGGTTACTGTAGCCTTGTAGTATAGTTTGAAGTCAGGTAGCGTGATGTCTCCAGCTTTGTTCTTTTGGCTTAGGATTGACTTGGCGATGCAGGCTTTCTTTTTGCTTCCATATGGACTTTAAAGTAGTTTTTTCCAATTCTGTGAAGAAAGTCATTGGTAGCTTGATGAGGATGGCATTGAATCTATAAATTACCTTGGGCAGTATGGCCATTTTCATGACATTGATTCTTCCTATCCATAAGCATGGGATATTCTTCCATTTGTTTGTGTCGTCTTTTATTTCATTAAGCAGTGGTTTGTAGTTCTCCTTGAAGAGGTCCTTCACTTCCCTTGTAAGTTGGATTCCTAGGTATTTTACTCTCTTTGAAGCAATTATGAATGGGAGTTCACTCATGATTTGGCTCTCTGTTTGTCTGTTATTGGTGTATAAGAATGCTCGTGATTTTTGCACATTGATTTTGTATCCCGAGACTTTGCTGAAGTTGACTATCAGCTTAAGGAGATTTTGGACTGAGATGATGGGGTTTTCTGGATATACAATCATGTCACCTGCAAACAGGGACAATTTGACTTCCTCTTTTCCTAATTGAATAACCTATATTTCCTTCTCCTGCCTGATTGCCCTGGCCAGAACTTCCAACACTATGTTGAATAGGAGTGGTGAGAGAGGGCATCCCTGTCTTGTGCCCGTTTTCAAAGGGAATGCTTCCAGTTTTTGCCCATTCAGTATGATATTGGCTGTGGGTTTGTCATACATAGCTCTTATTATTTTGAGATATGTCCCATAAATACCTAATTTATTGAGAGTTTTTGGCATGAAGGGTTGTTGAATTTTGTCAAAGGCCTTTTCTGCATCTATTGAGATAATCTTGTGGTTTTTGTCTTTGGTTCTGTTTATATGCTGGATTACATTTATTGATTTGTGTATGTTGAACCAGCCTTGTATCGCAGGGATGAAGCCTACTTGATCATGGTGGATAAGCTTTTTGATGCGCTGCTGGATTTGGTTTGCCAGTATTTTATTGAGGATTTTTGCATCAATGTTCATCAAGGATATTGGTCTAAAATTCTCTTTTTTGGTTGTGTCTCTGCCAGGCTTTGGTATCACGATGATGCTGGCCTCATAAAATAAGTTAGGGAGGATTCCCTCTTTTTCTATTGATTGGAATAGTTTCAGAAGGAATGGTACCATCTTCTCCTTGTACCTCTGGTAGAATTCGGCTGTGAATCCATCTGGTCCTGGAATTTTTTTGGTTGGTAAGCTATTGATTATTGCCACAATTTCAGAGCCTGTTATTGGTCTATTCAGAGATTCAACTTCTTCCTGGTTTAGTCTTGGGAGGGTGTATGTGTCGAGGAACATTTCTTCTAGATTTTCTAGTTTATTTGCGTAGAGGTGTTTGTAGTATTCTCTGATGGTAGTTTGTATTTCTGTGGAATCAGTGGTGATATCCTTTTTATCCTTTTTTTATTGTGTCTATTTGATTCTTCTCTCTTTTTCTCTTTATTAGTCTTGCTAGCAGTCTATCGATTTTGTTGATCTTTTCAAAAAAACCAGCTCCTGGATTCATTAATTTTTTGAAGGGTTTTCTGTGTCTCTATTTCCTTCAGTTCTGCTCTGATTTTAGTTATTTCTTGCCTTCTGCTAGCTTTTGAATGTGTTTGCTCTTGCTTTTCTAGTTCTTTTAATTGTGACATTAGGGTGTCAATTTTGGATCTTCCTTGTTTTCTCTTGTGGGCATTTAGTGCTATAAATTTCCCTCTACACACTGCTTTGAATGTGTCCCAGAGATTCTGGTATGTTGTGTCTTTGTTCTCGTTGGTTTCAAAGAACATCTTTATTTCTGCCTTCATTTCGTTATGTACCCAGTAGTCATTCAGGAGCAGGTTGTTCAGTTTCCATGTAGTTGAGTGGTTTTGAGTGAGTTTCTTAGTCCTGAGTTCTAGTTTGATTGCACTGTAGTCTGAGAGACAGTTTGTTATCGTTTCTGTTCTTTTACATTTGCTGAGGAGTGCTTTACTTCCAACTATGTGGTCAATTTTGGAATAGGTGTGGTGTGGTGCTGAAAAAAATGTATATTCTGTTGATTTGGGGTGGAGAGTTCTGTAGATGTCTATTAGGTCCGCTTGGTGCAGAGCTGAGTTCAATTCCTGGGTATCCTTGTTAACTTTCTGTCTCGTTGATCTGTCTAATGTTGACAGTGGGGTGTTAAAGTCTCCCATTATTATTGTGTGGGAGTCTAAGTCTCTTTGTAGGTCACTCAGGACTTGCTTTATGAATCTGGTTGTTCCTGTATTGGGTGCATATATATTTAGGATAGTCACCTCTTCTTGTTGAATTGATCCCTTTACCATTATGTAATAGCCTTCTTTGTCTCTTTTGATCTTTGTTGGTTTAAAGTCTGTTTTATCAGAGACTAGGATTGCAACCACTGCATTTTTTTGCTGTCCATTTTCTTGGTAGATCTTCCTCCATCCCTTTATTTTGAGCCTATGTGCGTCTCTGCACATGAGATGGGTTTCCTGAATACAGCACACTGATGGGTCTTGACTCTTTATCCAATTTGCCAGTCTGTGTCTTTTAATTGGAGCATTTAGCCCATTTACATTTAAGATTATTATTGTTATGTGTGTGTTTGGTCCTGTCAGTATGATGTTAGTTGGTTACTTTGCTCGTTAGTTGATGTAGTTTCTTCCTGGCCTTGACAGTCTTTACATTTTGGCATGTTTTTGCAGTGGCTGGTTCCAGTTTTTCCTTTCCATGTTTAGTGCTTCCTTCAGGAGCTGTTGTACGGCAGGCCTGGTGGTGACAAAATCTCTCAGCATTTGCTTGTCTGTAAAAGATTTTATTTCTTCTTCACTTAGGAAGCTTAGTTTGGCTGGATATGAAATTCTGGGTTGAAAATTCTTTTCTTTAAGAATGTTGAATATTGGCCCCCACTCTCTTTTGGCTTGTAGAGTTTCTGACGACAGATCTGCTGTTAGTCTGATGGGCTTCCCTTTGTGAGTAACCTGACCTTTCTCTCTGGCTGCCCTTAACATTTTTTCCTTCATTTCAACTTTGGTGAATGTGACAATTATGTGTCTTGGAGTTGCTCTTCTCAAGGAGTATCTCTGTGGCTTTCTGTGTATTTCCTGAATCTGAATGTTGGCCTGCTTTGCTAGACTGGGGAAGTTCTCCCGGATAATAACCTGCAGAGTGTTTTCCAACTTGGTTCCATTCTCCCTGTCACTTTCAGGTACACCAATCAGATGTAGATTTGGTCTTCTCACATAGTCCTATATTTTTGGAGGCTTTGTTCGTTTCTTTTTATTCTTTTTTGTCTAAACTTCCCTTCTCACTTCATTTCATTCATTTCGTCTTCTATCACTGATATCCTTTCTTCCAGTTGATTGCATTGGCTCCTGAGGCTTCTGCATTCTTCACGTAGTTCTCGAGCCTTGGCTTTCAGCTCCATCAGCTCCTTTAAAGACTTCTCTGTATTGGTTATTCTAGTTATCCATTCATCTAATTTTTTTTCACAGTTTTTAACTTCTTTGCCATTGGTTTGAATTTCCTCCTGTAGCTCAGAGTAGTTTGATTGTCTGAAGCCTTCTTCTCTCAGCTCGTGAAAGTCATTCTCTGTCCAGCTTTGTTCCCTTGCTGGTGATGAGCTGCATTCCTTTGGAGGAGGAGAGGCACTCTGCTTTTTATAGTTTCCAGTTTTTCTGCTCTGTTTTTTCCCTATCTTTGTGGTTTTATCTACTTTTGGTCTTTGATGATGGTGACGTACAGAAGGGTTTTTGGTGTGGATGTCCTTTCTGTTTGTCAGTTTTCCTTCTGACAGACAGGACCCTCAGCTGCACGTCTGTTAGAGTTTGATAGAGGTCCACTCCAGACCTTTTTTGCCTGGGTATCAGCAGCTATGGCTACAGAACAGCAGTGGCTGCAGAACAGTGGATCTTGGTGAACTGCAAATGCTGCTGCCTGATTGTTCCTCTGGAACTTTTGTCTCAGAGGAGTACCCGGCCATGTGAGGTGTCAGTCTGCCCCAACTGGGGGGTGCCTCCCAGTTAGGCTTCTCGTGGGTCAAGGACCCACTTGAGGAGGCAGTCTGCCCATTCTCAGATCTCCAGCTGCATGCTGGGAGAACCACTACTCTCTTCAAAGCTGTCAGACAGGGACATTTAAGTCTGCAGAGGTTACTGCTGTCTTTTTGTTTGTCTGTGCCCTGCCCCCAGAGGTGGAGTCTACAGAGGCAGGCAAGCCTCCTTGAGCTGTGGTGGGCTCCACCCAGTTGGAACTTCCTGGCTGCTTTGTTTACCTAATCAAGCCTGGACAATGGCAGGAGGCCCTCCCCCAGCCTAGCTGCCGCCTAGCAGTTTGATCTCAGACTGCTGTGCTAGCAATCAGCGAGACTCTGTGGGTGTAGGACCCTCCTAGCCCAGTGTGGGATGTAATCTCCTGGTGTGCCATTTTTTAAGCCCATTGGAAAAGTACAGTATTAGGGTGGGGGTGACCCGACTTTCCAGGTGCCATCTGTCACCCCTTTCTTCGACTAGGAAAGGGAACTCCCTGACCCCTTGTGCTTCCCGAGTGAGACAATGCCTCGCCCTGCTTCAGCTCACACACGGTGTGCTGCACCCACTGTCCTGCACCCACTGTCTGGCACTCCCTAGTGAGATGAACCCGGTACCTCAGATGGAAATGCACAAATCACCCGTCTTCTGCGTTGCTCAAACTGGGAGCTGTAGACTGGAGCTTTTCCTATTCGGCCATCTTGGCTCCACCTCTAATGCAGAGTTAATTAAAATTCTAAATACAAAGCCTGAAAACAGTATGTGCTAAAACAACATAAATGAATCTTTATCTAATCATGAGGGAGTGGCATTTCCAAACATGGCCCCAGAAGCAGAACCCTTGAAGGGCGGATTTTGAAAGCTTTTCACAGTAAAATATACAGATCAGTACACATTCTTCTCAGATACCTGAAGAATAGTCATAAAACAGACTGTGATTAGGACACAAAGGACATCTCCATAAATCCCCAAGGCAGAGAACTTTGATCCATATCCCTTCATTGCAACACAATTATATATATTTAGAAAAGCATTTTAAAAAAAAATCTACTCCCATCTCTCATTCTCTTCCAAAGCAAACAAAAAACCCCACATAGACATTTAAAATTAAAACAACTTTATATCACATTCATGGTTTAAATCAAAAGTAAAAATTGAAATTGAGAATCAGCAATTATAGCACTAAACGGCTAAACTTGAGGGCTGGAGCCAGAGCATCTGTGGAGATATTTTACAACTTTCAAAGTTTTAGTAAGACATAATGAAAACTGAAAGCCTGAATACATTTTTTTTGTTTGTTTTTACCTCTCATTTCATCAGTGAAATCCCAAAGAGAAGAAATCTGCCAGAGAAGAGGATGGAATGGACTTGGGTAGGTCAGGCCATAAGCTGATGAGGTTTCAGCAAATTTCCCAGTTATGGAAAGGAGCAAGGAACATCCAAGGATATGAGAAAGAGGGGAGCCACAAACTGGAATCTGAACATAAGAGCAGCTGCAGCAGAGGACGGCACCCCTCATCCTAACATCTCCCTGGGAGCCCCAGGCTGTCAGCACCCTGACCATTTACAGAGACCAGATCAGTAACCTGCCTCCTACCCCCCCCAGCAAACAGAATTTTAATTTATCCTTTTGTTCCAATCACAGAGTGAACAGCTCTCTAGCATTTTTCCACTAGTCGACAAAACCAAAAGCCAAATCATGGGAACTTTTTTTGAAGAAAATATTAACAAGAAGCCTGAACCATTAGCATATGGGTGTTGGGATCACAAATCAAGGCCATCTTCACTTAGGGGCCTCTCTGCACATACCTCACCTCCTATCCTCAGGAGTCATCTCAGGGAATGAAGGAGGGGGAAGCTATCTAAAAGGTTTGCCCTCCACTTTCCCCCATAAGGACTGTTAAAATGACAAGATTAGAATAAACTTTCAATTAGTTTGAATGCTTGAAAACATAGACTATCATTTTCCCCACTGGTCAGCAGTTGAGGGTCATGGAGTCCAGTTCAGCTAACAACAAAATCAAGGACTTACAGCGTGGGTTTGAATGTGGGAGCATGCTATAACTCAACCCATACAAATGTCTTCCTTTCCCTCTATTGCCCACAGGCTCCTGAGCACCCATTTACCTAGGCTGGTCCCCCTACAAATTTATGGTTTCCAATATCTAGAGAAGACTCAAAATCTGTCTGGCTTATCTTTTTTTTTCTTCTCTCCAGCTATATTAGAAGGTGTCCCTCTTCTTCCAGTGAACCCATGATCACTGTCCTTGAATCCATGGTCACCATTCCTGAACCTATGGTCACTACCTTTGAACCCATGGTCATTGCCATGGACCCATGTTCACTGTCTTTGAACCCATGGTCACTGTCCTTGAACTCATGGTCACTACTCTTGAATCTATGGTCACTGGCTTTGAAGCCATGATCACCATACTTGAACTCATGGTTACCACCCTTGAACTCATAATCACTATTCTTGAGCCCACGGTCATTAGTCTAGAACTACAGTCACTGCCCTTGAACTCATGGTCTCTGCCCTTTAACCCATGATCATCACCCTCCCTGTCCTACAATAACATCCCCTCTAGTATTCTCAGCCTTCAAAATCATGACATATGGGGATAACAGTTTCTGCCCAGTCTCCTTTCAAAGAGTCTTTTTCCACATCCAGACCTGTGCAATGTTTACAGGGGTCAGGAGCTGCTCTGAGATTCTGCTTCCCCCCGCCATATGTCTGAGCACTAGACTGGGAAAGACAGGTAGGGACAGCAAGTAGGGAAGGGCCAACAGCCAGCCTTGTCTCCTGCAAGTGGAGACAGTTCACATGCTATGCAAGTGGAGCCCTGAGACTGTCCCCAAGCCTGCTTCCTTTTAAACAGATTGCTTTTGAATAACATTAGGGAATAGGAAAATTGGAGGATATGTTTCCCGTTTGGCCTGAAAGTCCAAGTATAGACCAGAGCCCCAGAAATCTGTTATCAGAGATGCACACAAGCTGCAACCTGCATGGCACCCCTGCCCTCTTGTATTTCCTTCGTAGGTCAGAAGATTGGCCAGGATGCTGCTTGATTCTCTCTCTGGTGCAATATATGATCAAGGTTTGGGAGGAGCCCAGTGTGTGGTCACCCCGTATATGAGAACAGACTGACTGCTGATGAAATACCTGCCAGGGAAGGGAATCTGGAAATTCATTCATTTCATTTGTTCCTTCATCTCTCAATTTCTTTATTCTAGATCAGTTATCTCTTAATAAGCACATAGAATAAATAGCTTTTAATTTTCTTTGTTAGAGAGACAGAAGTTGATTTATGGCAAGGGAGCGTGATTGAGAGCCAAAGAGTGGAGGAAAAGTTTTTCGAGGAGGCACTTTCCAGGAGGAAAGCCCTGTCTGCTGTGCAGGTGAGAGGTGTCAAGTGGAGGCAGCATACGAAACCACAGCAGGGACAGGAGGTGCCCACATCTCCAGGAAACTCCTTGTTAGCATCACCACACATCCTGTAAGAAGAAGAGATCTCACTGTCCTCGGCTTCTAGCTCCTTTCTTTTCCAGAATAAGGTGATTGTTCTGGGATAAGCAAACTTTGTCTGCAGGAAATTGTTAAAGAGCTACCGTTGTGTGGACTCATTTCTCTCATGCTTTGAATTTGAAAGAGTAAATCAATTAGAAGCAAGAGCTCGGGCTGCCTGATGGAAATTATCCCTGAGAGGACTGAACAGATCACCAAAACCAGTACTCAGGGCTATCTGTAGGGCAATGAATGAATGCATCAGACCCACACCAGTGTGGAAGCAGTTCTGGGACCATATGAAATGTGGCTAGTAAGCCTGGGAAAATTGGATTTTTAATTTACTTTTATTTAAATTACTTTGCATTTAAGTTCAGACGGCTGCAGGTAGCTCATAGCCACCAAATTGACCAGGGCAGATCTAAAGGACTTCATGAATATTAAAATGATTTGAAGCTTATTATAATAGAAGAGAGTAAAATTTTTTTAAAAGTGTGTATTTGTTGATATACAACCCTATAATCTCATTTGTAGGCAAAAAAACAAAGAAAATAAAAGCACAACAAACAAATCAGACTTATTGACAAGTCAAGTGCTATTGGTGTTATCTCATTACCACTAGAAGCTGCTTCACCCTAGGGTCACGGGCTCTAGCTGAAGTTTTAAAATGCTATGGGAGAGCCAAAGTGTGCCCATGGGTTGGAAGAGACAGGGCAGAGTACAGATATCAGGAGAAAAGTTCAGGGGACAAAGAAACTTTGTGGCACTAACAGAAAAAAGAACAGTCAGGGATTTTGAAGTGAGATGTGTTCCCTTTTCTTCATATCCAATGTCCTTTACTAATCGTTAAGGAGGTCAAGGACCAGGGACACAGCAAAACTAGGGAGTGACAACCCTCTGAGTATTGAACATCTGCTGAGAAAGGGGCGGCTCCAGGCTATTCTCCAGTGCAAGAGGACAAAGAGAGAAGAGACGAGGTCATCGGTGCCCTGGGCCATAGACACGGGAGACTCACGAGGGTGATGGGAAGGCAAGGGAGGAGGCAGAGGGGCGTTTGGAGTGGCCTGCCTCCAACAACAGAGGCTTCCATTTGTTTCATTCCATTGATGCTTAGTAAGCATATTGGCCTTTATATAGTTCTTGGTGCTAGGGAGGCAGCAACAACAAAAGACACCTGATATCTGCCCTCAAGGAACTAAAAGTCTACCAGGAAAGCCAGAAGTTAAATACACCGTCATGTAAAATTAATTAAGCATACTCTCAGAGGCTATGAAAGCATATGGTTGGCAAAGCTGACCCAATCATAATGGGCAGAACCTAGTGCAGGCCTCCCATAAGAAAGCATTTCAGCAAATACCCAAAATGTCAGTAGGTGTTCCCTAGAAGAAAGAAGAGCAGACTCAGAAGGGAAATCCTGTATAGGAAGCCTTGGAGATCTGAGAGACCCCTGGGGAGAGAGGCAGGGGCTAGCATAGAACCTGCAGGCAGAGGGGTCACACAGGGCTGGAGCAGCCTGAAGGCCTGTGGAGCCACATCCATTTCTTCAGCTATCAGCTCACCAAAAAAAGGGACAATGGAAAGGTCAGCCAGGATTCAGGCAAAGCACATTGTAGGATAGCGGTGGTGCCATTCCATCTGTCCTGGCCAACTTTGTTTGACACCAAAAGCAAACTAATGCCACAGAGCCCGCTTTATCTGGAGTCTTATGGAAGAGCCCACTTTCTCTGGGGTCCTATGGAAGAGCCCACTTTATCTGGGGTCATATGGAAGAGCTCTCTTTATCTGAGGTCCTATGGGAAAACTCACTTTATCTGGGGTCCTATGGCAGAGTCCACTTTATCAGGAGTCCTATGGGGTTGCACACCCCATGGTTCCCATCCAAGGTCATTGCACACCCAATGGCAGTGGGGCTGTTTCAGGCCATATGGGTAACAAAGGAACGTGAATTTGGGGCGAAGACTTTGCTACAAGTAATCCACAGAGACCCTGGTCTCCACATTTGAAATGCCTCCAACTGAACAGGGGAAGCATTCTACTCTTGCCTTTACCCAAGATGGGGGAGCCAAGGACATTTCTCTTAGTGTTACCAGAAACTCCAGCTTCCTGCACATCCAACTTAGTTATTCATTGTTGGGGCATAATACTGGAGGCTTCCATACTTTGGGCTCCACATCCACTGTGATTTTGTGAATAAATCAGAAACGTTACAATCTGCTTGGATCTGCACAGCTGGTGAGGAGAAAGAGCCTCGTATGCATCTTAGCCTGGGTTAAGCCTGGGTTTGTTGCTGGGTGCTCAGTTCAATTTACATTTCAGATAAACAAGAAACCACTCTGTAGCTTAAGTCTGTCCTAGGATGTGAAAATATTGCCCTAGACAGTTATACTAGCAAAATGATTTGTGATTTTTATGAAATGCAAATTTAACTGGACATTTTTATTTTATCTGGCAACTCTGTGTGTGGGTGATGGGTGACATCTTACTGTAGTGCATGGGGGCTTCTGGGAAAGATTTGGAAAAGGAACTGGTACAGCTGAGGGTAATCCCTGAGAGAAGACTGTGGGATTCTGTAGTTTTGTGGCTCTGAAATAAAGCTCCAAAAAATGGCAGCTTCGTGGAAGCATGGGATAGGGGGCCAGCCAGCCTAACCGTGAACCTTAGTTCTGTCGCTGTGTGATCTTGTGCAACTACTTTGATTTCTCTGAGACTCAGTCTTCTTTCCAATGAGAGCTAGTAATATTTGTTTATGATAGTTTAAATAAAGATTAAAGATAAAGTATGCAAAGGATATGGAACCTTGTAAATATGTAAATTGAAAAAATTATAATAAAAATGGTCAGAATTCTCCTGCGCAAAAAGACTAACATGATTGAAGAAGTAGGTTTATGAGGAAACTAAAGGCCAGGTGAAGTCAGCCATGCAGCTGTGGGGAGAGCTGGAGAGGGTGTTCTAGGTGCTTCCTAACCTGGCCCAGTGGACTTGGAAGTTGCCTCTAGCCTGTTGCTGTGGATTCTCACTGTCAGGCTTACCTGTGTCTCTCAGGACATTGTGCAATTTAACCTTGCACGACACAGGTTTGAACTGTGCAAGTTCACTTACATGAGGACTTTTTTTCAATAAATACATTGGAAAACTTGGAGAATTGCTACAGTTTTTTAAAAAATGCAGCTGAATTCCATAGCTTAAAAATATTGACGAAACAAGAAAAAGGTAGGTATGTCACGAATGCACAAAATATATGTAGATACTAGTCAATTTTATCACTTACTACCATTAATTATGGAAATCTTATAAAAAGTTAAAATTTGTCAAAACTCATGCACACAAATGCTTACAGATCATACATGGTGCCATTCTTAGTCCAGAGAAATGTAAACAAATGTAAAGATGCATTACTAAATCATAACTGCATAAAATTAACTGTAGGACACACTATACCACCATAATAACTTCATAGCCATCTTCCGTTGCTATTGCAGTGAGTTCAAGGGTTGCCAGTGTCTGCTTATAATGCCCTGTGACACTAATCATCTCAGCATGGGCAGGACATCTCTCCAGTAAACTTCATATTGCAGAAAAAAGTGATTTCTAGATGTTCTCATGTATTTTTCATCATGTTTAGTGCAATACTGGAAACCAATAACACCATGGGACCCACGTGAAGTGCCACTAGTGATGCTAGAAGTGCTCCCAAGAAGCAGAAAAAAATCTTGACAGTACAAGAAAAAGGCGAATTGCTTGATATATACCATAGACTGAGGTCTGAAGCTGTGGTTGCTCTTCGCTTCAGGCAGATAATTCATCTTGTAAACAGATGACATAAACTTATGGTATTGATAAATACAGTACACTACTGTAAATGTATTTTTTCTTCCTTATGATTTTCTTAATGAACTTTTCTTTTCTCTACCTTTTTTATTGAAGAATACAGTCTATAATACATATAAAATATGTGTTAATTGACTATATCATCAGCAAGGCTTCAAGTCAATGCCAGATTTTTAGTAGTTAAGTTTTGGGGGAGTCAAAAGTTATAACATGGATTTTCAACTGCATGATGAGTTGGTGCCCCTCAGTTCCGTGTTGTTCTAGGTTCAAATGTAAATACTTCTTGAGTAAAATAAAAAAAATTTGAGTGAGATGTACTAAAAGGAATTGAACTGGCTTGGGTTTAAAAGAGTTTTAAAGAGTTAAAGCCATCAATCTATTATTTGCTTTGATTTAACACACAACTGGAACCAAAATTACTATGTGCTTCTGGTGATGATGCACACAGATGATCTGGATTAGTATAACTAGCATGAGGTTTACCAAAGATATCACAGAAATGAATTTTCTGTAGTGCCTTCTTGGCGTGCACTATTGTACCAGGAGGGGCACAAAAAAGTAGAGAGAGGAAACACTTTCTCACAGTCAGGCACTGTGAGTGGTCCTTCTGCATCTTTGGGTCTTTTACAAACACAAATGTCCACAAACTCTTTGACAGTCTTCAAAAAGTAAACCCTAATTATCTTCTTGTTAAATGAAAGCAGGACTCAGTGACTCATTTTTAACAAATAAATGTGGGCAGAGGTGATGGTGTGTGACTTTTAAAACTAGGTCATACAAGCCACTGCATCTTCTTTTCTCTCTTACTCTCTCATCACTGATCCAGGGGGAGGTGGGTGCCATGTTGTGAGGACACTCAAGCAGCCCTACATAGACACCCCCAGGATAAGAAACCGAGGCCTCCGGCCAACAGCCATAGAGTGCACCATCTAGTCCCAGTCAAGCCTTCAGATGACTGCAGCCCTGGGCCAACACCTTGACTGCAGCTTCATAAAAGACCCTGATAGTGGCACCACCCAGTTAAGCTGTTTCTGGATTCCTTACTCTCAGATCTATGGAAGATAGCAAATGCTTGCTGTTTTAAGCCATTTTGTGATAATTTGTTGTGCAGCAATGAAAAATTAATACAAACAACAATAGCTAACATGCATTGAGTGATAATATGTGCCAAGAACTCTTCTAAACATTTCATACATATTAACTATTATTATTTTTTATTTACAGATGAGGAGACTGAAGTACAGGAGACGTTACCTAACTTATCCAAGGTAAGTACATACTAACTGATTCATACATTGCTAGACTCTCTTTCTGCATGCACTCTCTCTCATGCATATGTGTTTTACTGCAGTACTATCTGTTTCCCCAAATAGATTAGAAGTTCCATAATGTAGGGGAAGATATTCTGCCCATATCATTGGAACCCAGCAGAATGCTTAAAAGACAGCATGCCTAAAATAAATATTTAGATAAATGGAATAGATGGATGATAAAGAAGTAAATTAAAAATTATTACACACCAACTCATTGCCCATGAAGTTTGAGTTTTTGGGTCTAACACAGACCCATATATGGGAACCTCACGACTGGATGATAATAGGGTCCTTTCTTTCAGAATCTGAAAAATTAGACTTCATATTGTTGCCAATTTTAGATGCTCAAATCTAGCCCAGAAAGCCAATGTTTTACAAATTTGTATTTAATTCCACGGAGAATTGGAAATAACCTAAATACCCAACACTGACGTTTAATGAATTATGATACTTCAGTACAATATAATTTTATGCAACTACTAAATTATACAACTATGTTGAATCAAGAAAAATGTTTCAAACAATATTTAACTAAAAGTAGCAGAAACAAAGTAAAATTTAGGCAAATTAATATTATATGTACTATTTAGTTACTAAAACTAATAAAGCATATTTATTTGTACTTCATGGAGCAATCTCAAAGAGATATTTTTTAGTTCTAATGTTAGTAACTAAGGGCAATTTTGTGCAAAATAACATTTTTTTTAAATTTTTGAGATAAAGTTTCTCTCTTTTTGCCCAGGTTGGAGTGCAATGGCACAATTTCTGCTCATTGCAACCTCTGCCTCCCGGGTTCAGGTGATTCTCCTGCCTCAGCCTCCTGAGTAGCTGGGGTTATAGGTGCCTGCCACCATGCCCATCTAATTTTGTATTTTTAGTAGAGATGGGCTTTCAACATGTTGGCAAGGCTGATCTCGAACTCCTGACCTCAGGTGATCTGCCTGCCTTAGCCTCCCAAAGTGCTGGGATTATAGGCGTAAGCCACTGCACCCAGCCCAAAATAACATTTTTTATTAAAAAACAGAAAAAAATATTTCCAAGAATGACTCCTACCTTAAATGATAATAAGCACTGAAGAGACATTTTATGAGAAGCTTTGGTCTCATGTATAAAACTTGAAGCAAGCCTGGCATGTCAGTGAACATTGTATGTCATGCAAATAGCATGACATATCAGTGAGCATATGACCCAGTACAAAGCAAACAACTTAATATTAGCATGTCCAAACCAGAGGACCCAGCATGAAGATGCCTGGGACACAGCAGAGAGGAACTTTGAATACAGTCTGGTCAAACTCGTCACTTTATGGATGTGGAAACCGATGCACAGAGAAGCAAAGGGTTGTACTTCCTCCCAAACTGCTTGAGGTGCAAGAGCTGAGACAGATACTCAGGTGTCCAGAGTCTTAATTGAATGACAGAGAATTCAGCACATTCTATTTCATATATGTTGTATCCCATGATGGTCATATACTCTTATTACACTTGTTTTCCAGAGGGTGAAATTGAGGTGGATAGAGTGACTTAATGTGCTGGTCCAGAGTATGGCATCTCATGTGTGACTACCTAGGCTCAAACCTTTCTCATACATTTAACAAGTGTGTGACTTGGAAAAGCTGCTTAGTCTAAGACTCAGAGTCATCTATAAAGTGGGGTCAAAAGTAACCCTAACTTATAGAATCTGTTTTGAGGATCAAATGACATAGCTTACCTAGAGCTCCTGGCAGAGCACCTGCACCTGACAATAATTTAATCAACATTAACTGTTATTTGTTGTTTATGTATCAATCACAGAGACCCATAGTTTGGGATTCCAAACTGATTCTACAACTTCAAGCCTGACATTCTTTTGGAAATAACTCAGCTGTCATCTAGTGCTGACACTGCTCTAAATAAGGGAAGTGACCTTGAGTGGCTCGTTTCCTTTCTCTGAGAGTCTCCCTCACCTTTGGGATGAAATGTGGGTTCTTGGGGCTGGGCTTGATGACCTCTGAGATTGCTTCTAGCTCTAGGATGCAATTGATTCATTTGTTCATTCATTCACCTGTGCATTCCTTCCTGAGTGTCACCATGTAAAATGTGTGGCCTCGGGAACATATGGGTGCAGAGATGAACCTGCCCCAAAGGCAGCTTAGATAAGATGCACAATACAATGCATAGTCTGGAAGAAAATGAAATGTGCTATTAGAGGAGAGAGAGAGAGATGCAGACCTTTGGGGCTTCAGAAGGGGGTCATCTACTTTGAGTGTGTGGAGGTAGGGGAGATTAAGTGGAAAAGGGAGCTTTCAGTGAAGATCAGTGGATGTGGTCATGTGGAATTTCAGACAGAAGAATGTATGCATTCAAAGAAATGGAAACGGCCCCATGGGCCATGCAGCAGAGGAGCCAGCGGTCCAGATGAGCAGGAGGAACACTGGAGAAAAAGCCTGGAGAGGGAGGCAGGCCCACACCTTGAGGACTTCAAATGCAGGGGAGGTTGAATGACGTGAATTAGCACAGAGAAGGGATGGGCAGTCTGGAACAGGGAGGCCTGGGCTGGGGTAGATCTATGAGAACAAGGATGAAGAAGATAAGGAAAGAAGGAACTAGGAGGACTCTGCCCTTCTAACTGTGGGACCTGGAGACTGGGGATGTGACTAACGTTGTTCAATAGCCCCGAGGAGGAGCAGGCTGGAGAGGAGAAACTGACGGAGCCCTGCTGGGAAACTGCTAAGTGTGGGTGTGCATGGGGACATCAGGCCAGTCAGTGGCCAGGAGGAAAACAGACCCCAGGAGCCAAATCTCTGCAGGGAGGCCAGGGCTAACTGCACATCTGCTCAGTAATTTCATCCTCAAATTTTAGATTTTAAATGAGCACAATTTTATATTTACAAAAATATTGTGATGATGGTACTGAGAGTTCCCATATACTTCCTACCCAGTTTTTCCTACTGTTAACATCCTATATTAATATGACATGTTTGAACAATTAATAAATTGTGAACAAAATTGATTCATTATTGTAAACTAAAGTCCATGCTTTGTTCGTATTTCCTTTGTTTTTATCTAATGTCCTTTATGTGTTCAGGATCCCACTGCGGATGAATACTGTGTTACATTTAGTCACAGGATCTCCTTAGGCTCTCCTTGACTGTGATGGCTTCTCAGGCTTTCCTTGTTTTTGATGATCTTGACAATATTGAGGAGTACTAGTCAGGTACGTTGTAGGCTAATCCTCTATGGGAGTCTGTCTGAAGTTTCTCCCATGATTAGACTGATGAGGTGATGGGCTTTGGGGAGAAGCCCAACAGGGGTAAGGACTATTTTAATGACATTGTGTCAGGGATCCATGCTATCAACATGACTTGTCACTGTTGATGTTGACCTTGAGCACCTGGTTGAGGTGATACTTCGCAGGTTTCTGTGACGTAAATTTACTCATTTTTCTCTTTTGTACTGTAGTTTTTTGGAAGAAAGTCACTGCCACACTTCCACACTACCACAGCCCACACTTAAGGAGTGGGAGTTATGCTCCACCTCTTTGAGAGCTATCTACCGAAATTATTTGAAATTCTTCTGTACAGTAGATTTGCTTCTTTTCCCCCATTTATTTACTTATTCAGTCATGTATTTATATCAATATGCACTCATGTATAATTATTGTGCACTTTGGGTTGTAATTCAATGCGACTCTATTTCATTGCTCCAGCTGTGGCCGTGCAGAGCTCTTTTGTTTGGCTCTTGTGCCCTTTGCTGCACTCCCTTG
This sequence comes from Homo sapiens, assembly GCF_000001405.40. Taxonomy (NCBI): domain Eukaryota; kingdom Metazoa; phylum Chordata; class Mammalia; order Primates; family Hominidae; genus Homo; species Homo sapiens. The sequence goes on from NC_000010.11 coordinate 44,124,574, forward strand.
CAGTAGTTTTGTTTGAGCACCTTCTTACTTTCTGGCACTACAAGATGCTCTGGGCTCCTCTTAGGTAATTGCTCTTCTGCCTTAGAATCAACCATTTTCCTAAGAAATCATGAATCCTTTTACTGGAGAATGGTTTTAGAAACCAAGATATGGGTATGAGCTGTGCTCGTTGAAATTGAGATGTCCTTGCTTCTAGTGCTCTTAGCTGACACAGCAAGGAAATATAAATATGTATATAATAACATGTTTATACACACATATATATTTATAAATATTTTCATGTCTTGTTTTGAGACAGGGTCTCACTCTGTTACTCAGGCTGAAGTGTAATGGTGCAATCATAGCTCACTGCAGTCTCAACCTCCTGGGATCAAGCAATCCTCCCACCTCAGCCTCCTGAGTAGCTGAGACTGCAAGCACTCCACCAAGATTGGTTAATTTTTTATTTTTAGTAGAGACAAGTTTGTGCTATGTTGTCCAGATTGGTCTTAAACTTCTGGCCTCAAGCGATCCTTCTGCCTTGGCCTCCCAAAGTGTTGGGATTATAGGTGTGAGCCACCATGCTTGACCTCATATGTCTGTATTTTTGTATCTGCATCTTTATTAAGTTAAACATTAGTTCATATTGATTTTTCCAACCATAATATACTACCACGCATGGGTCATTTGCACTCTTCCTTTGCTTATCTGTAAGGTCCACTTCAACAGTGAGATGCACAGCTCCTCTTATCTGTATCCAGTAAAATTATCCTTCGAAATTAAGGAGAAATAAAAACTTTCTCAAACAAAAAGTAAAGCAACTCATTACTGGCAAACCTGTCCTCCAACAAATTCCTCAGGTGGAAGGAAAATTATATAGGTGAGAAACTCAAATCTACATAAAGAAAGGAAGAGAGTTGGAGAAGAAATAAATGAAGGTAAAAGAAAATCTTTTATTTTTCTTATTTTAATTGGCCTAAAAGATATCTGTTTAAAGTGAAAATAGTAACAATTATTGGATGACTGTGGCATACAAACAGTGAAATAAATGAGTGACAGTTGTCATCTCACATCAAGGCCAGGATCTCCTTGACTGTGCCTGGAACGCCCTTGTTCTCCACAGAGAGCTGCCTCTACTATCATCCTCACAGCCTCTGATACGCTCTGAGAGAACAAGGTGCAGGGCCTGTTCCCTGCTGGAGCTCTTCCCTGTATGCACATGTTTTTTCTGGGGACCATTTGCCTAATTCATCTCAGAAATGAGTGCTGGAACCCTCCACTGACTGCCATTGAGTGATTTGGGGTACAGCCCTCCAAGCTCTCATATATGGCAGTTGCTGAAGGTGTGTAGATTCCCTGTTTAACTCAGTTAAAGGGGTGGGGATGACTGGCCCCAAAGATGTTCTCCTGGAGGAGATGGGGAAGGAGGGCCTGGCCTGCCACCCCGTACCATCCACCAGCATAATGCTTTCTTAATAGATGGAGGAGGGGCCACAGGGAACTCCAAAGATCTATGAGCAATAACAACACTTACCACAAATTCCACACTCATGTGGGTTTAGCCATCTGGGGCTATTACCTCTTACTCAACACTGAAGGCCAGAGTGAAATGTCCCTGGAACCTGAAAACACATGTTTCTTCTGAGACTCAGAAGAAATAAATGGAAGAAATGTTTTCTCATTTTTAGCAATTGTTACAAGAATTCTTTATTCAGAAGGGACTTGGCTTTTTTGGGGAAATGGTTTAATAAGCCTATTGAGGGGATAGAAATGAGCTTCCAGGACCTGGGTTTTGGGCCCATGCCTAGTTTTCATGAGGAAGAAAAAAGCTTCTCTGCCTAGTACATGGGAGGGGAGGAATGTGATGTTCCTACAGAGACAAGTCCAGGAGGGAAGTGGAGAGAGAAGAATCAAACCGCGTGGGAAGGCATGATTAAGAACAACAGGGCTCTGGAGTGACAGAAAATCGAAAAAGGCCAAAGAGCAATGTCTGATTTTCCTTTTTTTTATCACAATGGGGTTGGATGACGTAACACTTCTCTGCCATTGCCTTGACAAAATTGTTCCTGCTTTTGGACATGTGGATTGCGGCTGGGGAATTATGAAGCCAAAAGGGAACTCCAGGCAGCAGCAGGCTGTGTCTGTGTGGTTGATGAGATGAGCTCTCTGCAGGAGTCACTAGGTAGAGCAGGTGGGTTTTTCTTTTGTTCCTCTCTCAAGGCAGGATGAGTGAAGCCTAGAAGTCACCTAAGTCTTGACTGAAAAGGAGCTGTGACAATCATCAACGTATCTGAGTTAACGAAAGCGTGAAAACCTCACAGTACCAGCATGCCCCTGTGTTTAGAAGAGCTGGCTAAACTTTCTCTGGCTTCAAGAAAAAGCACAATTGACTAATTTGTCCATTCTGGAAGTCTGTATTCATGGTCCTGTAAATAGAATAGACCCATCCAGAAAAGCCCTTGGAGAGAAGAGAGCCAGAGAAAGCCAATATTTCAGAATGAATGGTTCTGTTTGAAGAGCTTTGTATGGCAAATGAGGGTTAAAAATTTTTCCCCACCTTTCCTTTACAGCAGTGATTTTTGAGGTGTGGATTTTTAACAGCTGCAGCAGCAGCATCACCTGGAACCTGCTGGCATTGCAAATTATTGGGCTCCATTCCAGACCCACTGAGTCAGAAAGCCTGGGTATGGGGTCCAGAGATCTGTTATAGAACAAGTTCTTCCAGTGCAAGCTAAAGTTTGAGAACAATTGCTCTAAAGCAGAGGATCTTAAATTGAATTCAGGGATTTGTGAAACCAATGGGAAAAAAATATATACCGTTATTTTTACCACCATTTAACTGAAAGTTAGCATTTCCTTCTGTTGTGAACACAGTCCGAAAAGCACAGTAGGATTGACAGCACTGGGGCTTTTTCGCCAACAGAAACCTTTTTATAGCAGCTTTATTCAGATATAATTTGCATATAATACAATTCGTCCATTTAAAATGTATAATTCAATAGTTTTTAATACAATTACAAAATTATGCACTAAGCACCTGTAATGGTTAATTTTGTGTGTCAACTTGACTAAGCCAAGGAATGCCCAGATAGCTGGTAAAAACCTTATTTCTGGGTGTGTGTGGGGGTGTTTCCAGAAGAAATTAGACTTTGAATTGGTGGACAAAGTGAAGAAGACTCACTGTCACCATAATAGGTAGTCATCATTTGAATCTGTTGGGGCTTAAATAGAACAAAAACAGAGAGAAAGAGAAAGATCAAATTTTCTTCGTGAGCTGAGACATCCATCTTCTTCTGCCCTCAAGTATCTAAGCTCTGGCTCTGGGGCCTTCAGACTCCTGGACTTACAACAGTGGCCTTCCATCCCCCAGCTCCCCACCCTGCTTCTCAAGCCTTCAAATTAGTATGGAATTAAACGTCAGCTTTTCTGAGTCTCCAGGTTATACTGCAGATTCTGAGACTTCTCAGCCTCCATAATCTTATGAGCCAATTCCCACAATAAATATCTCTATATCTCTGTCTCTCTTTATATATATATAAATATTTATTATATTCAGATATATATAGGAAAAAACATATACCATTAATTTTACTAACATTTTACTGAAAGTTAGCATTTTCTTCTGTTGTGAACATAGCCCAGAAAGCACAGTAAAATTGACAACACTGGGGCATCAATCAATCAGTCAATCAACCAATCATCAATACACCAATCATCAATCATCTAGCTATCAATCTCTATCTACCTGTCTATCTATCTATCTATCTATCCATCTATCTATCTATCTATCATCTATCCATCTATCTCTATCATCTATATCTCCTATTGGTTCTGTTTCTCTGTAGAATGCTAACACAGGACCACAATCAAACTTGAACATTGTCCTCACCACAAAAGGAAACTTCATGTCTATTGCCATGCTCCATCATCCCCCTCCCCTACTTTAAGCAGCCACTTATCTACTTTCCATCTTTTTAGATTTGAGGATTCTGAACATGTCATATAAATAAATAGAATTATATAATACATGATATTTTGTAATTGACTTTTCCACTTAGCATAATGCTTTAAAGTTCATCCATGTTGTTGCATGTATCAGTATGTCATTTCTTTTTTTTTGTCAAGTAATATTTCACTGTATGGATATCTAACATTTTATGTATCTATTCATTAATTGATGGACATTTGGATTGTTTCTACTTTTTGGCTATTGTGAATAAAGTTGCCATTAAAAATGTCTGTATAATACAAGTTTTTGTGTAATCATATGTTTTTATTTCTCTTCATGTTTAACGATTTGAGGAGCTGCCAGACTGTTTTGAAAAGTGGCTGCACTGTATTACATTTCCACCAGCAATGTATGAAGGCTCAAAATTTTCCGCATCTTCATCAACACATTGTTTTCCGACTTTCTAAAATTACAACCATCCTAATATGTGGAGTAGTATCTCATTGTGGTTTTGATTTGCATTTCCTTGATCACTAATGATGTTGAGCATACTGTCATAAGTTTATTGCCTATTTATATATCTTCTTTAAAGAAATTTATATTAAGATTCTTTGACCACGTTTAATTGGGCTTTTTTTATTACTGAGTTGTAAGAGTTCTTTGTTTATTCCAGGTACAAGTAACCTATTATATACATAATTTGCAAATATTTTCTGTCATTCTGTGGATTGCATTTTTACTTTTTAATATTACCCTTTGAAGCACGAAAGTTTCTAAGTTTGTTAGAGTTCAATTTACTTATTTTTAGTTTGTTGCTTGTGGTTTGGTATCTTACATAAGAAATCATTTCCTAATCCAAGGTGACAAAAATTGATGTCTATGCTTTCTTCTAACATTTTATAGAATTAAGCCTTACGTTTAGGTCTTTCATTCATTTTGAGTTAAATTTTGAATATGGTGTGAGATAGGGATCCAACTTTATTCTTTTTCATGTGGATATCTAGTTGTCCCAACACCATTTGAAGAGACGATTCTTTTCACAATAAATTGTCTTAGCATCTTTGATGAAAATCAGTTGTACATAAAGGTGAGAGTTTATTTCTGGTCTCTCAGTTCTGTTCTAGTGATCTTTATGTCTATCTGTATGTTAGTACCACACTGTCTTTATTATTATAGCTTTGTAATAAGTTGTGAAGTTGGGAAGTGCGAGTCCTCCAACATTTTTCTCCTTTGTAAAAACTATTTTGGCTATCCTGCATTCCAGGTATTTTGATATGGATTTTATTAGAAGCTTGTCAAGTTCTGCAAAATAGGCAACTGGAATTTTAATGGGGATTGCATTGAATCTGTAGATTGTTTTTGGTAGTATCTTAACAAAACTTAACAATATTAAATCTTGCAATCCATAAACATAGGATGTCTTCCCATTTATTTAGAGATTTGGAAATTTTTTTCAATAATGCTTGTTGTTTTCAGAGTATAAGTTTGCACTTCTTTTGTTTATTTGATTCCTGTATATTCCTGTAAGGTCTATACATCCCACTTGAAGTTGTACAACATTGATTAAAAATAGATTTTTAAACATTAAATATGTCTACTGTAATCCTTAGAGCAACCACAAAAACAAACAAACAGAGAAACAAAACTGAAACAAAACAAAGAGGTATGGTCAAAATACAACAGATAAATAAAAATGGAATATTTTAAAAATGTTCAACTATCCCAAAAGAAAGCTGGAAAGAGGAACAAAGAAATGGAAAGCAGAGGTAATACACAGAAATAAAATATAAAATGGTAAACCTAAATCCAAACATATCAATAATTACATCAAATGTAAAGTGTCTAAGCATCCAATTAAGACACATAGATTTTCAGAATGAATAAACAAACATATGACCCAATTATATGCTGTCTATAATGATAATGATACAAGCAGATTAAAAGTAAAAGAATGGAAAAATATAGACCATGCAAGCTTTAATCTAATGCTGGAATGATTATATTAATATCAAAATAGGCTTCAGAGCAAAGAAAATTACCAGGGACAAAGAGGGATATTCCATAACCATAAGAGTCAATTTACCAAGAAGACATAACATTCAAGGTGTATAAAAACTAAAAACAGAGCTTAAAAAAATAAAGCAAAAACTGTCAGAAATAAAGTATTAATAAACAAACTTGCAAGCATAGTTTTGAGACTTCAACTCTCTCAGTAATGGATAGAACTAATGGAAAGGGAATCGGCAAGGATAGAGAAGATCTGAACTGAACCTTTAACCAAATGAATTTAATGGACATTTATAAAATTCTCCACCTAAACAAAGCGGGATGTACATTTCAGGGGAAGGCAGGAAATATTTTGAACTGAGGAAAAATGAAAATACAGCATATTATATCTACAGAACGTGGGTAGAGTGCTGAGAGGAAATTTATGGAATTAAAGGCTAATGTTGGAAAAGAAGAAAAATTTCAAATAAATAATCTAAGATTTTATCTCCAGACTCTAGGAAAAGAAGTATAAAATAATCCCAAAGCAAGCAGAAGCAAGAAAATAATGAAGATAAGACCAGAAATAAATAAAATTTAAAATATAAAACTAATAGAGAAAAATTGATAAAACCAAAAGCTAGTTCTTTAAAAAGATAAACTTCTAAAAGATCGATGAAGATGAAAGGAGAAGAGGCACAACTTATTAGCATACGAATGAAAGAAGGCATATTGCTACAAACACTGCAGACATTCAAATAATAATGAGAGAATATTATGAACAATTTTATGTTCATAAATTTGACAACTTAAAAGAAATGGACCAATTCCAGCTGGGCATGGTGGCTCATGCCTGTAATTCCAGTGCTTTGGGAGGCTGAGGTGGGCGGACGGCTTGAGCTCAGGAGTTTGAGACCAGTCTGGGCAATATGGTTAAATCCCATTTCTACAAAAAATATAAAAAATTTTCCCGGGGGGTGGTGGCATGCAACTGTAGTCCAAGCCACTCAGGGGCTTGAGAGTGGGAGGTAGAGGTTCCAGTGAGCCAAGGATCACACTATTGCACTCCAGCCTGGGCAACACAGCAAGACGCTGTCTCAAAAAATACATAAATAAAAAAAAATGGACCAATTCCTTGAATACCAAAAATTATCAAAACTCACTCAAAATTAAATAGACAATCTGTATAAAACAAGTTGACTTTGTAGTTGAAACTCTTCTGAAAAAGAATTGTCTAGGCCCAGATAATTTCACTCGAAAATTTGAATAAATATTTTAAGAAGAAATACATAAGACCAATTTTACTCAATCTCTTTCATAAAATAGAAGAGGGGAGAACACGTCCAAATTCATTTTATAAATGGTGACAACCATCTATAAAACGACCCAAAGGTTATTCCCTGGGGAATGAGACAAGGACAAGAAATCTCTCTCTCTGTCTCTCCATATATATATATATATATATATATAAAATCTTAAGCCTTTTTTGGAGGGCAGAGTAATTTGATTTTTAATTATGTACATGCATTACCTTGATTATAATGTGATTAAATATAAGTATCCTGGTTGCAGGCCTGAGAAACATCCAGCATAAATGTCAGCTCTCTTGCCCCATGGACTCTACCCTGGAAGCCCCGTAACCTGGCTGTCATTTTCTCTTTTCTCATCTTAAAATCTCTTTATCTCCCAACAACTGCAGAGCTGTCTCAGAGTACTTTCCACTGCAGGTCATTTGACTTGTCTCTTCTCAGCTTTCTCTCTCTCTTTTTTTTTTTTTTTTTGTTTGCTAATTTCCCCTAAAGGAGGTCCTTGGTCCACCAAATTCATGTGAGTTCAGAGTTTTTTTCCACAATCAGCCTCAGGAGAACAATCAATGAGGTCTTAGAAAAGAATTCACATCGAGGAAATCCCCTTTGAGCTGACTGCATGAATTCCAGTTCCGTTCGTGATTTCATGCTTGCCAAGCACCAAGAGTGTATCAGGGGACTCATAGAGAGGGCAGTTGGGGCACACATGGGAGGTCATGACACCATGAATTGGGAAACTGCACTGGCCAGCGGTGTGACTGACCTTGGGAAAGTGTCCATTTCGGGTAGGTGAGAGGGGCTGCGCCATGCTATGCAACCCACTTGGGAGGATTATGAAAGTTTGGGGGCAGCATGGAGTTAAAAGTTCTCAGACATGAGATAATCCCATGGCCATTGCTCAACCTGGATGGAGCCCAGGATAAAGGAGTCAGAACCACATAGAATGGACTGAAGGTCCATTCTCATCTCAGGAAGGAGATCTGGTTGGCAGAAGCGGTCCTTGTGAAGAACAAGATGTTTTTGAAAACACTCTGAGCCACTTGTTCATGCCAGATGTCACTGCATGGATCTCAGCCTTATCCGTAGCCCAATGCAGAGGCTTACCAGCCCTTTCAGAAACCTTGGTACAGGTGGCTGTTTTTGACACACTGAAATGTGCAGTGACAGTAGCAAAGATTGGGGGTGGTCTGGCTGATTTCACATCTGAGGGCTGATTTCTCCCATGTTTGGTCAGTGTTTGGGCATAATCCGAGGCACCTCAAGCCTTGCTCAGGCATTGCTCTATGGGAACAGAACATCTGCTACTCACCACAGGCAGCCCAGTGGAGAAGCTGTGAGGTTACTGGGTAGAACCTCTCTTGAGGGGTCTGCTGTGAGCCCCTGAGCACCCAGAAGGCACAGCACAGAGAGCAGCACAGGCAGGACAAATCTTGTCTCCAAAGGGCCCTGCCTAGGCCCTGCAGCGCATACAAGTTCGATCAGATTTGAGAAAACAGTAGACAGGCTCTGGTAGAGCAGCAAAGACCTGCAGAATCAACCACTTTCTTCCTCCTGAAGCACAGACATTGGAGTAGTCTCTACTCCAAAGGCCCTCATTTAGGGGAAACTAGGAATAAAAGAGCTGAAATGAGACAGGTCAGATGACCTGTAATTGAAAGGACTGAGACAGCTCCGCAAACAATTATAACAGCAATGTGTATGCCACACTCACTTTAAGCAATGCACTGTTCTGATGGCTGTATGCACCCTGACTATGATCTTGGTCACTCTTACAACAATCCTGGGTTGTTAGTGTCACCATCTGGTAGATAAGGAGACTTAGGTGAACAGGGGCTCAACTTACCACCAATAAGTGGCAGAGCCATGATTCAAATCTGGACAGACTGGTCCCAGCATGCAACCTGGTCTAAACTTCCTCTTTCCTTCCATGAAGCAGTGCCTATCCGGATGTGCCAAGGTCCCTCTCAGCTAATGCCATGGTTTCTTTGTTGTGTGGAATTATCACATGTCTCAACTGAAGCAGTGTTGTGGTCTTTGAAGCACAATTTTAAAAATTATGTGTTTCTGATAATGTCCAGGCATATATATAAAACTTTAACATCAAATGGCATTTAACACCTTTATCTCATCCTTGAGACTTAGACTGAAGCACATTTTTAAGCCTTGCCTATTTGTGTCCTTCCTTCAGTGGACTGAGTTGGGAGTAGAACTCAGAACCCTGAAACCTGAGTGTTCTTAAGAAAAGCTCCAATCCTGTATGAGGTGTAGGTTCCAAAAGATAAGAGCCCCTGAGCTGAGATACAGGGCAAAGGTGTGATCAGGAGAGTGTCAAACACCAAGACAACAGAAACACACATGCACAGTGCTGAAGTAACGAGGAGGAGGAACAGACCGACGATAGATGAGTAAACTCAGAAATCAAGATGGGGGTAATGAGGGAGCCACAGATGAGATGCATGGTTTCCAATGTTCAGTTGGCTCCAGGTTGAGCTCAGAGTGGGCTGCCCTGTGGGACAGCCTTCTTAACATATTATGGTGGGCTGCAACTGGCCACAGCAAACAGGAACAAAATTAAAACACTGTCTTCTTCTCTTCCATTATGATCTGTAGCTTTTCCCCACACTCAGTTGATGCGCCTCAGGGTCTGAGCCTTTCTTTCTCTCTTCCCCTCACTCCTTCACCTCCAGTGCACAACATAATTTTTGGCTCATTGCACTATCATCTTTGGTCAATGCATAACCCTCTTTTATTCATGTGTTCATGTATGTAATTAGCTATATATTTTTGATAATGTAACACCTACGAGATACTGTCCACCACAAAAACTGGGACCTTACCAATAGCCCACAACTGTATTCCACCCCATCCTTTCCACTCATCTCATTCTGACTTTGCTGGGCTCTAAGCACTTTGTCTTTGTGAGTCCCTTCCTTTATTAAAAATTATATTTATATGCATAATTATCATTATATTATTTTTTCTTTATGATTCTAAATGTAACTAAAATTAAAACATTTGTGTGGGACCTTAACATTATCATGGACCCTATGCATTGTTGTGCTTATTGTGTTTAACAGATAAGTTGACCCTGAACCCACCTAGTTTAACCATCTTCCTGTACCTGGTGTTTATTAATACCCTGTTTTCCTTTTAATAAGACTTTATTTACCTATATTAATATAGGTGCATCTGTGCATGTGTGTGTAAATAGTTAATGTACAAAGAGAATGTGGGACATCCAGCAAGTGAAAAGTTTGGAAATCATCCCCTCTATTCTTATAGCAAGAAAAAGCTGTACAAATTGAAAATCAACAGCTTTTCTTACATCTATCATGGAATGGAGGTCATAGGGCAAACTGCCATCCTGAAATGTGCTGGAGGGACCAGCAAATCCAGAGGGTCATAGCCAAGGTCTGCTCACCCAGACCTGAGGCTACTGGGGCCATACACTTGTGGGAGCACTGCAGTGGTAATTTTGATGGATTGCTGGAAACAATGTGGACTAGCATGAGTGGGAAATTCCTGGGGGCACAGTCTTGGGGAAGGGGTGGTCTTCACACTTTTACTGGCTTTATCTTTCATAATCCAACCAGATTCTCATGGTAAAGAGCCAAGAATTATCTCCTCCTGGCTGTGGTAGAGGCAAGAAAAGAGTACTTGTTTAGAAGTATGCCCGGTGAGTTCTCCAAAACAAAGCTTTCTCCAGGGTAAAAGACTTACCAGGGCCTTCTCCCACTGGGGGAAAGGACATTTCTCCAACTCCACTGCCCCTCCCAGCTTTCCTGTATCTCTTAAGAGTAGGGTAGAAGCTAAAAAAAACACTTGTGAAGGCCACAGGCCAGGGACACAGGCACACAACAGACTGAGATTTAATCCTGTAATTACAGAAAGTACCCCATCCCCTAACATACACACCTTACAACCACACCAACAAGGCTCTAGTGTAACAACAGCTAAAGAAACTGCAAGGTTCACACTCTATCAAAGGTGTTCTTTGGGAAGCCCAAATCAACAGTAAGGACAAAAATAAGGAAGGACACTAGAGGAATGGGAAACCTCTGGAACAGGAAGCTACAGCAAACATTAAGGGAATAAAACACCTTGACTTGGTTCCTCCTTCTTGGACCTTCTCTTTTGAAAAGTGAATTTCCCATTAAAAAAAAGGATGGTGTCTCATCCTACCTGATCTATGTAAATCCTCTAGAGCACAGAAACTCTATGGGCTAGAACCAAACACCACTGGTATTTTGTCAACTTGGAAAAGAAACAAAGCTCTGTTAATGAATAGAATTTTCTTAATTTGACATAGCTTGCCCATGAATTTTTCTAAAAGCTTTGTTATCTGATGGTGCTTGCTTGCCTCCATTCTCCTGTAACTTAGTATGTGATTTCAGCCAGGTAAGCATACCGTGGGTGGCCGCATTAGCCAAAATGCACTTCTTAGTATTTATTCAGTCATCTGAACTAGTTTAAAAACAACTTTTGGTGGATGTGCATGAGTGAATAAGAATATTTATTTTGTTAGGTTCTTAACTATCTTTTCCCTTAAGGCAAAAACATGTATTCTGGTCCTTGGGCAAATTAGTACAACAATGGGATTTAGATGAACTGACACTACTTCCTCGTGAGCTCCCCCTTCCTCAGAAGGCACTTGGGAAAGCATGTGAACAAGTTCCTTTACTCAGGATTGTGAGTGGCGAGGCTGCTTGGACCATGATTTCCAGTTTCCAGGACTTGCCCAAGAGGATTCCTTCCCAGCCTGTTGTTGGAGACAAGTGGGATCTTCTTCCTGAGAGAACTGCCTGCTACACCCACTGTCTCCTGCATCATTTTATTCTGAATGTCTCCAGTTATTTCAACTATCTTGGGAAGGACTCTGGGAAAATGAAAGCTGTGTATGTCACCTATGAGTTTCTTACAACAGGAACCATGTTCTACCCTGCATTGATGGCTAATTGATTAAAAATGGTGCAAATGCTGCTGTGATCTTGGTAAATCCTTCTCAATAGAACTTGTTTTTGGTTTTTCACCAATATGTGAATGACACATGTCACTGAGACAGTGACTGGAGTTGATTACCAAGGATTGTGAATAAAATATTTTTTCAAGATGCCCATTCTCTTATAGGATTTGCATCCCAAAACCCCAGTTCTCAGGGTAAGAAACATACTTTGCTGAAAGACATTCAAAATTCCAGTACAGAGCTCCATTAACTAGCTGGATGAATAGCAAAGATTCAGCATCCACTGTGTGTGAATTACGTCTAGAAAGATTCTCATCCCTACCCTCATGAAGATCATAATCTGGTGGAAAAGCTGAGGCACGTTCAAGGAAAAAATCCAGGGGATGCATGAAACTGACAGGCAAACAAGCAGTTCATGGATGAGGAAACCCACCAGGCATTATTAATACAGGTTGGGAGGGAGGAGCCAAGATGGCCGAATAGGAACAGCTCTGGTCTACAGCTCCCAGCGTGAGTGACGTAGAAGATGGGTGATTTCTGCATTTCCAACTGAGGTACTGGGTTCATCTCACTGGGGAGTGCCAGACAGTAGGTGCAGGACAGTGGGTGCAGTGCACCGTGAGTGAGCAGAAGCAGGGCGAGGCATCACCTCACCTGGAAAGTGCAAGGGGTCAGGGAATTCCCTTTCCTAGTCAAAGAAAGGGGTGACAGACGGCATCTGGAAAATCTGGTCACTCCCACCCTAATACTGCGCTTTCCCAATGGGCTTAAAAAATGGCACACCAGGAGATTATATTCTGCACTTGGCTTGGAGGGTCCTATGCCCACAGAGTCTCACTCACTGCTAGCACAGCAGTCTGAGATCAAACTGCAAGGCGGCAGCAAGGCTGGGGGATGGGCACCTACCATTGCCCAGTTAGTTGTTTGATTAGTTAACAAAGCAGCTGGGAAGCTCCAACTGGGTGGAGCCCACCACAGCTCAAGGAGGCCTGCCTGCCTCTGTAGGCTCCACCTCTGGGGGCAGGGCACAGACAAACAAAAAGACAGCAGTAACCTCTGCAGACTTAAATGTCCCTCTCTGACAGCTTTGAAGAGAGTAGTGGTTCTCCCAGCACACAGCTTGAGATTTAAGAATGGGCAGACTGCCTCCTCAAGTGGGTCCCTCACCCCTGAGTAGCCTAACTGGGAGGCACCCCACAGTAGGGGCAGACTGACACCTCACACGGCTGGGTACTCCTCTGAGACAAAACTTCCAGAGGAACGATCAGACAGCAGCATTTGCAGTTCACCAATATCCGCTGTTCTGTAGCCACCACTGCTGATACCCAGGCAAAAAGGGTCTGGAGTGGACCTCTAGCAAACTCCAACAGACCTGCAGCTGAGGGTCCTGTCTGTTAGAAGGAAAACTAATAAACAGAAAGGACAGCCACACCAAAAACCCATCTGTACGTCACTATCATCAAAGACCAAAGGTAGACAAAACCACAAAGATGGGAAAAAAACAGAGCAGAAAAACTGGAAACTCTAAAAATCAGAGCACCTCTCCTCCTCCAGAGGAACGCAGCTCCTTACAAGCAATGGAACAAAGCTGGACGGATGACGACTTTGATGAATTGAGAGATGAAGGCTTCAGACGATCAAACTTCTCCGAGCTACAGGAGGAAATTCGAACCAATGGCAAAGAAGTTAAAAGCTTTGAAAAAAAATTAGACGAATGGATAACTAGAATAACCAATGCAGAGAAGTCCTTAAAGGACCTGATGGAGCTGAAAACCAAGGTACGAGAGCTACATGACGAATGCAGAAGCCTCAGTAGCCAATGCAATCAACTGGAAGAAAGGGTATCAGTGATGGAAGACAAAATGAAAGAAATGAAGTGATAAGAGAAGTTTAAAGAAAAAAGAATAAAAAGAAACGAACAAAGCCTCCAAGAAATATGGGACTACGTGAAAAGACCAAATCTATGTCTGATTGGTGTACCTGAAAGTGATGGGGAGAATGAAACCAAGTTGGAAAACACTCTGCAGGATATTATCCAGGAGAACTTCCCCAACCTAGCAAGGCAGGCCAACATTCAGATTCAGGAAATACAGAAAATGCTCCAATTAAAAGACACAGACTGGCAAATTGGATAAAGAGTCAAGACCCATCAGTGTGCTGTATTCAGGAAACCCATCTCATGTGCAGAGACGCACATAGGCTCAAAATAAAGGGATGGAGGAAGATCTACCAAGCAAATGGAAAACAAAAAAATGCAGGGGTTGCAATCCTAGTCTCTAATAAAACAGACTTTAAACCAACAAAGATCAAAAGAGACAAAGAAGGCCATTACATAATGATGAAGGGATCAATTCAACAAGAAGAGTTAACTATCCTTAATATATATACACCCAATACAGGAGCAACCAGATTCATAAAGCAAGTCCTTAGAGACCTACAAAGAGATTTAGACTCCCACACAGTAATAATGGGAGAATTTAACACCCCACAGTCAACATTAGACAGATCAACGAGATGGAAAGTTAACAAGGATATCCAGGAATTGAACTCAGCTCTGCACCAAGCGGACCTAATAGACATCTACAGAACTCTCCACCCCAAATGAAGAGAATATACATTCTTTTCATCACCACACCACATCTACTCCAAAATTGACCACATAGTTGGAAGTAAAGCACACCTTAGCAAAAGTAAAAGAACAGAAATTATAACAAACTCTCAGACCACAGTGCAATCAAACTAGAATTCAGGATTAAGAAACTCACTCAAAACCGCTCAACTACATGGAAACTGAACAACCTGCTCCTGAATGACTACTGGGTACATAAGGAAATGAAGGCAGAAATAAAGATGTTCTTTGAAATCAACGAGAACAAAGACCAACATACCAGAATCTCTGGGACACATTCAAAGCAGTGTGTAGAGGGAAATTTACAGCACTAAATGCCCACAAGAGAAAGCAGGAAAGATCTAAAATTGACACCATAACATCACAATTAAGGGAACTAGAAAAGCAAGAGCAAACACATTCAAAAGCTAGCAGATGGCAACAAATAACTAAGATCAGCGCAGAACTGAAGGAGATAGAGACACAAAAAACCCTTCAAAAAATCAATGAATGCAGGAGCTGGTTTTTTGAAAAGATCAACAAAATGATAGACCGCTAGCAAGACTAATAAAGAAGAAAAGAGAAGAATCAAATAGATGCAATAAAAAAGGATAAAGAGGATATCACCACTGATCCCACAGGAATACAAAGTACCATCAGAGAATACTATAAACACCTCTATGCAAATAAACTAGAAAATCTAGAAGAAATGGATAAATTCCTCAACACATACATCCTCACAAGACTAAACCAGGAAGAAGTTGAATCTCTGAATAGACCAATAACAGGATCTGAAATTGAGGCAATTATCAATAGCTTACCAACCAAAAAAAGTCCAGGACCAGATGGATTCACAGCCAAATTCTACCAGAGGTACAAGGAAGAGCTGGTACCATTCCTTCTGAAACTATTCCAATCAATAGAAAAAGAGGGAATCCTCTCTAACTCATTTTATGAGGCCAGCATCATTCTGATACCAAAGCCTGGCAGAGACACAACAAAAAAAGAGAATTTTAGACCAATATCCCTGATGAACATCGATGCAAAAAATCCTCAATAAAATACTGGCAAACCGAATCCAGCAGCATATCAAAAAGCTTATCCACCATGATCAAGTGGGCTTCATCTCTAGGATGCAAGGCTGGTTCAACATACACAAATCAGTAAATGTAATCCAGCATATAAACAGAACCAAAGACAAAAACCACATGATTATCTCATTAGAGGCAGAAAAGGCCTTTGACAAAATTCAACAAACCTTCATGCTAAAAACTCTCAATAAATTAGGTATTTATGGGACATATCTCAAAATAATAAGAGCTATCTATGACAAACCCACAGCCAATATCATACTGAATGGGCAAAAACTGGAAGCATTCCCTTTGAAAATGGGCACAAGACAGGGATGCCCTCTCTCACCACTGCTATTCAACGTAGTGTTAGAAGTTCTGTCCAGGGCAATCAGGCAGGAGAAGGAAATAAAGGGTATTCAATTAGGTAAAGGGGAAGTCAAATTGTCCCTGTTTGCAGATGACATGATTGCATATCTAGAAAACCCCATCGTCTCAGCCCAAAATCTCCTCAAGCTGATAAGCAACTTCAGCACTCTCAGGATACAAAATCAATGTACAAAAATCACAAGCATTCTTATACACAAAAAACAGACAGAGAGCCAAATCATGAGTGAACTCCCATTCACAATTGCTTCAAAGAGAATAAAATACCTAGGAATCCAACTTACAAGGGATGTGAAGGACCTCTTCAAGGAGAACTACAAACCACTGCTCAATGAAATAAAAGAGGATACAAACAAATGGAAGAACATTCCATACTCATGGGTAGGAAGAATCAATATCGTGAAAATGGCCATACTGCCTAAGGTAATTTATAGATTCAATGCCATCCCCATCAAGCTACCAATGACTTTCTTCACAGAATTGGAAAAACTACTTTAAAGTTCATATGGAAGCAAAAAAGAGCCCACATCGCCAAGTCAATCGTAAGCCAAAAGAACAAAGCTGGAGGCATCACGCTACCTGACTTCAAACTATACTACAAGGCTACAGTAACCCAAACAGCATGATACTGGTACCAAAACAGAGATATAGACCAATGGAACAGAACAGAGCCCTCAGAAATAACGCCACATATCTACAACTATCTGATATTTGACAAACCTGACAAAAACAAGCAATGGGGAAACGATTCCCTATTTCATAAATGGTGCTGGGAAAACTGGCTAGCCATATGTAGAAAGCTGAAACTGGATCCCTTCCTTACACCTTATACAAAAATTAATTCAAGATGGATTAAAGACTTAAATGTTAGACCTAAAACCATAAAAACCCTAGAAGAAAACCTGGGCAATACCATTCAGGACATAGGCATGGGCAAGGACTTCATGTCTAAAACACCAAAAACAATGGCAACAAAAGCCAAAATTGACAAATGGGATCTAATTAAAGAGCTTCTGCACAGCAAAAGAAACTACCATCATGGTGAACAGGCAACCTACAGAATGGGAAAAAATTTTTGCAACCTACTCATCAGACAAAGGGCTAATATCCAGAATCTACAATGAACTCAAACAAATTTACAAGAAAAAAACAAACAACCCCATCAAAAAGTGGGCATAGGACATGAACAGACACTTCTCAAAAGAAGACATTTATGCAGCCAAAAAACACATGAAAACATGTTCATCATCACTGGCCATCAGAGAAATGCAAATCAAAACCACAATGAGATACCATCTCACACCAGTTAGAATGGTGATCATTAAAAAGTTAGGAAACAACGGGTGCTGGAGAGGATATGGAGAAATAGGAACACTTTTACACTGTTGGTGGGACTGTAAACTAGTTCAACCATTGTGGAAGTCAGTGTGGCCATTCCTCAGGGATCTAGAACGAGAAATACCATTTGACCCAGTGATCCCATTACTGGGTATATATCCAAAGGATTATAAATCATTCTGCTATAAAGACACATGCACACATATGTTTATTGCGGCACTATTCACAATAGCAAAGACTTGGAACCAACCCAAATGTCCAACAACGATAGCCTAGTTAAAGAAAATGTGGCACATATACACCATGGAATACTATGCAGCCATAAAAAATGATGAGTTCATGTCCTTTGTAGGGACATGGATGAATCTGGAAACCATCATTCTCAGCAAACTATGGCAAGGACAAAAAACCAAACACTGCATGTTCTCACTCATAGGTGGGAACTGAACAATGAGAACACATGGACACAGGAAGGGGAACATCACACACCGGGGACTGTTGTGGGGTGGGGGGAGGGGGGAGGGATAGCATTAGGAGATATACCTAATGCTAAATGACAAGTTAATGGGTGCAGCACACCAACATGGCACATGTATACATATGTAACAAACCTGCACGTTGTGCACATGTACCCTAAAACTTAAAGTAGAATAATAAAAAAAATTGAAAGTAAAAATATATATATATATATATACAAGTTGGATTATTTCAGGATAGGCCATGTGATAAAGGAGGCAGGTGTGAAGCAGAAATCTAGTGACCCTCTAAGAGAGAATGGACTAATATTTGTTTGGAGGTAAACTGAACCGATTGCAAGTACAAGTGAAACTTTTGGTTGTGTATAAGAGAGCGAGCCCTTGCCACTTTGTTCAGTAAGTCACTTGATAGTTTCATTAATTCAGTTCATCATTTTGGAACATACAGGGCTACGTACTCTGTATACACTCATTTGCTATCTGTCATAGCAACTAGGTATGTGTCTTCTCAGCCCTGTGTTAGACTGCAAGCAGCCAGTAGGCAGGGCTAGGATCCTGCTCATCATGTAGACCTGAAGGGGATCTTTTGATGAGTGGAGAACCATTGGTCTTAAAATGACTTGCAAAGGGACACCCACAATCTCGAGAATCACCATTTTGAATTCTAATTCTGAGTAAGGTGGCTAATGAAACTTTTTGGTTCACTGACTGAATTGATTCACAAACATGAAGTAGTTATTACTCTGTATGTTTAGAACAACATCCTCTTGTTTTTTTGGCCACTAAATACTTGCGACATTGGTTAGTGGAAAGCATAAATTAAAAACGGCAGCCTGAGTAAATGGATTATTCCAGTGGTTTGCACACATTTTTCGTAGTGACTAATCTTTATAAAACAAAATTTTAGGGGAAATCCCATTATAATCATAAGAGATAATATATTCTGCACACTATATGCCAGGGGTACTGTAATAACTCTTTTCACTAATGAACTGATTTCATCTTTGTAACAATTCAATGAAATAGAATACTGTTGTCATTTGCAACTGAGAGTTGAGGAAACTGAAGCAAAGAGAAGTGATCTGGCTTGCCCTAGGACACACAGAGCCAGCCAGCCTGTAATGAGCCATGATGCTAACATATACAGTCTGGCTCAGAGCCTGTGGATAAAGTCCCAAGGCTATCTGTGGAGAATTCCCTCTTGCCTGAGGAGGCCATTCTGTTTGTTCTATTCAGTTTGCAATTGCAGGAGGCCAACCCTCATTATGTACATTATGGAGGGGCAATTGCTTTACTAAAAATTTACTGATTTAAATGTTAATATCTTCCAAAAACACCCTCCAAGTTGACACATAGAATTAACCACCACACCAGGTCGTGGTAATAAAGGGGTCCCAGAGATGGTTCAAATGCTGTTCAGTAGAAAGCATTTCATGGTATGCAACAATCCAGAAGCACCTCCCTGGGACAAAATTTGACAACCACGGGTTGCTCCACAAAGCAGGTGTTATTACTTCTTTCCTTACTCCCACACCCACTAGTCTGACTCTCTCCTCTGAATGTCTTTTTTTCTTCTAAAATATGTGACTTTCTGTGCTAGACTGCTAAGGTCACTTAGATCCGTGGTCTCCAAACTTTCTGATTCCTCATCAATAGCAATAAAAAGTTTCGGAGTGTGCTCTCCTAATATTTGGAAATTTATAAATTAGACCCCACAATGAAACATCATAAGGCATACATAAAATAGAAAAACAAGGAAAGAGACAGTCTTCCTAAATGTCACATTTTGATGGCTTTATCTTAAGGTCAGTACACACTTGGCTAGAGGGTTATTGCTATAGTATCTTAATGATATTTCAAATCCACCTCTTGATGATCTTAAATGACTTTTTGGCTAACTTTATGTCACCCATGATTATATCTTTATAGTCTTCCTAACATGGCTCATAATGAGCTCTTCTGACGAGTATGAGAAATGTCAGCTCTGATGAGCAACTTCAGCAAAGTCTCAGGATACAAAATCAATGTGCAAACATCACAAGCATTTCTATACACTGACAATAGACAAGAAGAGAGCCAAATCATGAATGGATTTCCATTCACAATTGCTACAAAGAAAATAAAATACCTGGGAATATAGCTTACAAGGGATGTGAAGGACCTCTTCAAGGAGAACTACAAACCACTGCTCAAGGAAATAAGAGAGGACACAAACTATGGTGAAACATTCCATCCCCATGGATAGGAAGCCTTAATATCATGAAAATGGCCATACTGCCCAAAGTAATATATAGATTCAATGCCATCCCCATCAAACCACCATTGACATTCTTCACAGAATTAGAAAAAACTACTTTAAATTTCATATGGAACCAAAAAAGAGCCCATATTGCCAAGATAATCCTAAGCAAAAAGAACAAAGCTGGAGGCATCATGCTACCTGCCTTCAAACTATACTGCAAGGCTACAGTAACCAAAACAGCATGGTACTGGTACCAAAACAAACATATAGACCAATGGAACAGAACGGAGACCTCAGAAATAACACCACACATCTACAACCATCTGATCTTTTTCACACACACACACACACACACACACACACACACTTGGCAGGAGCGGACATTCAAAAACATATTCTGATGTTGACTGATAGTATTATTTAATGTAATAACTAACAGAGAATGATTTCACTTACTGATTGTCTACTATATCCCTGTTACTTTACTAATATTATCTCCCCTCCTCACAAAAGCTTTTAAGTGTTATTGTCCATTTTACTGCAGACTAAACTACTTAAAAGAAGTTGGGTAACTTACTAGAAACCACACACCAGAAAAAAGGCAGAATTGAGATTTAACTCTGAATGTTTCTTTCTCTAAAACTTTTACCCTTTTCACATCAGAGAACTTCTTTTTAATTGTTGACCCCGGAGAAAATTGCAGTTCTCTCTTTCAGCTTCCTGCCATACCTGAGCATCCGTAAGTCAGCTAAATTGAACTCTATGATTAATGAAACATTGGCATTTAACTCCATCAGAGGTCCTGCTTAGTTGCACAGGTGTCTGTCTCCTCTGTAAAGACTGTTTGCATTCAGGCCAGGGGTGGTGGCTCACCCCTGTAATACCAGCACTTTGGGAGGCCGAAGCAGACGGATCACAAGGACAGGAGATCGAGACCATTCTGGCTAACACAGTGAAACCCTGTCTGTACTAAAAAATACAAAAAATTAGTCGGGCATCCTGGCAGGCGCCTGTAGTCCCAGTTACTCCGGAGGCTGAGGCAGGAGAATGGCATGAACCCGGGAGTTGGAGCTTGCGGTGAGCGGAGATCGTACCACTGCCCTTCAGCCTGGGGTCCAGAGGGAAACCCCATCTCAAAAAAAAAAAAAAAAAAAAAAAAGACTGCTGGCTTTCAGAGAAAACTTGATTCCTCATAGCTCATTCTTTTTTTAAATTTTTTTAAATTTTTAAATTTTTTATTATACTTTAAGTTCTAGGGTACATGTGCACAATGGGCAGGTTTGTTACATATGTATACATGTGCCATGTTGGTGTGCTGCACCCATTAACTCGTCATTTAGCATTAGGTATATCTCCTAATGCTATCCCTCCAACCTCCCCCAACCCCACTGCAGGCCCCAGTGTGTGATGTTCCCCTTCCTGTGTCCAGGTGTTCTCACTGTTCAATTCCCACCTATGAGTGAGCACGAGGTGTTTGGTTTTTTGTCCTTGAGATAGTTTGCTGAGAATGATGGTTCCCAGCTTCATCCATGCCCCTAAAAAGGACATGAACTCATCCTTTTTTATGGCTGCACAGTATTCCATGGTGTATATGTGCCACATTTTCTTAATCCAGTCTATCATTGTTGGACATTTGGGTTGGTTCCAAATCTTTGCTACTGTGAATAGTGCTGCAATAAACATATGTGTGCATGCGTCTTTATAGCAGCATGATTTATAATCCTTTGGGTATATACCCAGTAATGGGATGGCTGGGTCAAACGGTATTTCTAGTTCTAGATCCCTGAGGAATCGCCACACTGACTTCCACAATGGTTGAACTAGTTTACAGTCCCACCAACAGCATAAAAGTGTTCCTATTTCTCCACATCCTCTCCAGCACCTGTTGTTTCCTGACTTTTTAATGATTGCCATTCTAACTGGTGTGAGATGGTATCTCATTGTGGTTTTGATTTGCATTTCTCTGATGGCCAGTGATGATGAACATGTTTTCATGTGTTTTTTGGCTGCATAAATGTCTTCTTTTGAGAAGTGTCTGTTCATATCCTTCACCCATTTTTTGATGGGGTGGTTTGTTTTTTTCTTTTCTTTTCTTTTTTGTTGTTTTTTTGAGATGGAGTCTAGCTCTGTTGCACAGGCTGGAGTGCAGTGGCGTGATCTCTGCTCACTGCAAACTCCGCCTCCCAGGTTCATGCCATTCTCCTGCCTCAGCCTCCCGAGTAGCTGGGACTACAGTCACCCGCCACCACATCCAGCTAATTTTTTTGTATTTTTAGTAGAGACAGGGTTTCACCATGTTAGCCAGGATGGTCTCGATCTCCTGACCTTCTGATCTGCCTGCCTCAGCCTCCCAAAGTGCTGGGATTACAGGCATGAGCCATCGTGCCCAACCTGTTTTTTCTTGTAAATTTGTTTGAGTACTTTGTAGATTCTGGATATTAGCCCTTTGTCAGAGAGTAGATTTTAAAAATGTTCTCCCATTCTGTAAGTTTCCTGTTCACTCTGATGGTAGTTTCTTTTGCTGTGCAGAAGCTCTTTAGTTTAATTAGATCCCATTTGTCAATTTTGGCTTTTGTTGCCATTGTTTTAGACATGAAGTCCTTGCCCATGCCTGTGTCCTAAATGGTATTGCCTAGGTTTTCTTCTAGGGTTTTTATGGTTTTAGGTCTAACATTTAAGTCTTTAATCCATCTTAAATTAATTTTTGTATAAGGTGTAAGGAAGGGATCCAGTTTCCGCTTTCTACATATGGCTAGCCAGTTTTCCCAGCACCATTTATGAAATAGGGAATCGTTTCCCCATTGCTTGTTTTTGTCAGGTTTGTCAAATATCAGATAGTTGTAGATATGCAGCATTATTTCTGAGGGCTCTGTTCTGTTCCATTGGTCTATATCTCTGTTTTGGTACCAGTATCATGCTGTTTGGGTTACTGTAGCCTTGTAATATAGTTTGAAGTCAGGTAGCGTGATGCCTCCAGCTTTGTTCTTTTGGCTTACGATTGACTTGGTGATGTGGGCTCTTTTTTGCTTCCATATGAACTTTAAAGTAGTTTTTCCAATTCTGTGAAGAAAGTCATTGGTAGCTTGATGGGGATGGTATTGAATCTATAAATTACCTTAGGCAGTATGGCCATTTTCACGATATTGATTCTTCCTACCCATGAGTATGGAATGTTCTTCCATTTGTTTGTATCCTCTTTTATTTCATTGAGCAGTGGTTTGTAGTTCTCCTTGAAGAGGTCCTTCACATCCCTTGTAAGTTGGATTCCTAGGTATTTTATTCTCTTTGAAGCAATTGTGAATGGGAGTTCACTCATGATTTGGCTCTCTGTCTGTTTTTTGTGTATAAGAATGCTTGTGATTTTTGTACATTGATTTTGTATCCTGAGAGTGCTGAAGTTGCTTATCAGCTTGAGGAGATTTTGGGCTGAGACGATGGGGTTTTCTAGATATGCAATCATGTCATCTGCAAACAGGGACAATTTGACTTCCCCTTTACCTAATTGAATACCCTTTATTTCCTTCTCCTGCCTGATTGCCCTGGACAGAACTTCTAACACTATGTTGAATAGCAGTGGTGAGAGAGGGCATCCCTGTCTTGTGCCCATTTTCAAAGGGAATGCTTCCAGTTTTTGCCCATTCAGTATGATATTGGCTGTGGGTTTGTCATAGATAGCTCTTATTATTTTGAGATACATCCCATCAATACCTAATTTACTGAGAGTTTTTAGCATGAAGGGCTGTTGAATTTTGTCAAGGGCTTTTTCTGCCTCTATTGAGATAATCATGTGGTTTTTGTCTTTGGTTCTGTTTATATGCTGGATTACATTTATTGATTTGTGTATGTTGAACCAGCCTTGCATACCAGAGATGAAGCCCACTTGAACATGGTGGATAAGCTTTTTGATATGCTGCTGGATTCGGTTTGCCAGTATTTTATTGAGGATTTTTGCATCGATGTTCATCAGGGGTATTGGTCTAAAATTCTCTTTTTTTGTTGTGTCTCTGCCAGGCTTTGGTATCAGGATGATGCTGGCCTCATAAAATGAGTTAGGGAGGATTCTCTCTTTTTCTGTTTATTGGAATAGTTTCAGAAGGAATGGTACCAGCTCTTCCTTGTACCTCTGGTAGAATTCTGCTGCAAATCCGTCTGGTCCTCGACTTTTTTTGGTTGGTAGGGTATTAATTGTTGCCTAAATTTCAGATCCTGTTATTGGTCTATTCAGAGATTCAACTTCTTCCTGGTTTAGTCTTGGGAGGGTGTATATGTCCAGGAATTTATCTATTTCTTGTAGATTTTCTAGTTTATTTGCATAGGGGTGTTTACAGTATTCTCTGATGGTAGTTTGTATTGCTGTGGGATTGGCGGTGATATCCCCTTTATCATTTTTTTTTGCATCTATTTGATTCTTCTCTCTTTTCTTCTTTATTAGTCTTGCTAGCGGGTGTATCAATTTTGTTGATTTTTTCAAAAAACCAGCTCCTGGATTCATTGATTTTTTGAAGGGTTTTTTGTGTCTCTGTCTCCTTCAGTTCTGCTCTGATCTTAGTTATCTCTTGCCTTCTACTAGCTTTTGAATGTGTTTGCTCTTGCTTCTCTAGTTCTTTTAATTATGATGTTATGGTGTCAATTTTAGATCTTTCCTGCTTTCTCTTGTGGGCATTTAGTGCTATAAATTTCCCTCTACACACTGCTTTATGTGTCCCAGAGATTCTGGTATGTTGTGTCTTTGTTCTCATTCGCTTCAAAGAACATCTTTATTTCTGCCTTCATTTTGTTATTTACCCAGTAGTCACGCAGGAGCAGGTTGTTCAGTTTCCATGTAGTTGAGTGGTTTTGAGTGAGTTTCTTAATCCTGAGTTCTAGTTTGTTTGCACTGTGGTCTGAGAGACAGTTTGTTATCATTTCTGTTCTTTTACATTTGCTGAGGAGTGCTTTACTTCCAACTATGTGGTCAATTTTTGAATTCGTGTGATGTGGTGCTGAAAAGAATGTATATTCTGTTGACTTGGGGTGGAGAGTTCTGTAGATATCTAATAGGTCCGCTTGGTGCAGAGCTGAGTTCAATTCCTGGATATCCTTGTTAACTTTCTGTCTCATTGATCTGTCTAATGTTGACAGTCGGGTGTTAAAGTCTCCCAGTATTATTGTGTGGGAGTCTAAGTCTCTTTGTAGGTCTCTAAGGACTTGCTTTATGAATCCGGTTGCTCCTGTATTGGGTGCATATATATTTAGGATAGTTAGCTCTTCTTGCATTGATCCCTTTACCATTATGTAATGGCCTTCTTTGTCTCTTTTGATCTTTGTTGGTTTAAAGTCTATTTTATCAGAGACTAGGATTGCAACCTCTGCTTTTTTTTTGTTTTCTATTTGCTTGGCAGATCTTCCTCCATCCCTTTATTTTCAGCCTGTATGTGTCTCTGCGTGTGAGATGGGTCTCCTGAATACAGCACACTGATGGGTCTTGACTCTTTATCCAATTTGCCAGTCTGTGTCTTTTAATTGGAGCATTTAGCCCATTTACATTTAAGGTTAATATTGTTATGTGTGAATTTTATCCTGTCATTATGATCTTAGCTGGTTATTTTGCTCGTTAGTTGATGCAGTTTCTTCCTAGCATCGATGGTCTTTACAACTTGGCATGTTTTTGCAGTGGCTGGTACTGATTTTTCCTTTCCATGTTTAGTGCTTCCTTCAGGAGCTCTTTTAGGGAAGGCCTGATGGTGACAAAATCTCTCAGCATTTGCTTGACTGTAAAGGATTTTATTTCTCCTTCATGTAGGAAGTTTAGTTTGGCTGGACATGAAATTCTGGGTTGAAAATTCTTTTCTTTAAGAATGTTGAATATTGGTCTCCACTCTCTTCTGGCTTGTAGAGTTTCTGCCGAGAGATCCCCTGTTAGTCTGATGGGCTTCCCTTTGTGGGTAACCCAACCTTTCTCTCTGGCTGCTCTTAACATTTTTGCCTTCATTTCAACTTTGGTGAATCTGACAATTATGTGTCTTGGAGTTGCTCTTCTTGAGGAGTATCTTTGTGGCATTCTCTGTATTTCCTGAATTTGAACGTTGGCCTGCCTTGCTAGATTGGGGAAGTTCTCCTGGATAATACCCTGCAGAGTGTTTTCCAACTTGGTTCTAGTCTCCCCATCACTTTCATGTACACCAATCAAATGTAGATTTGGTCTTTTCCCATAGTCCCATATTTGTTGGAGGCTTTGTTCGTTTCTTTTTACTCTTTTTTTCTCTAAACTTCTCTTCTCACTTCATTTCATTCATTTGATCTTCAATCACTGATGCCCTTTCTTCCAGTTGATCGAATTGGCTACTGAAGGTTGTGCATTCATCATGTGGTTCTCATGCCACAGTTTTCAGCTCCATCAGGTCATTTAAGGACTTCTCTACACTGGTTATTCTAGTTAGCCGTTTGTCTATTCTTTTTTCAAGGTTTTAGCTTCTTTACGATGAGTTCAAACTTCCTCCTTTAGCTCAGAGAAGTTTGATAGTCTGAAGCCTTCTTCTCTCAACTCATCAAAGTCATTCTCCGTCCAGCTTCATTTCATTGCTGGTAAGGAGCTGCGTTCCTTTGGAGGAAGAGAGGCGCTCTGAGTTTTAGAATTTTCAGCTATTCTGCTCTGTTTTTCCCCCATCTTTGTGGTTTTATCTAACTTTGGTCTTTGATGATGGTGACATACAGATGGGGTTTTGGTGTGGATGTCCTTTGTGTTTGTTTTCCTTCTAACAGTCAAGACCCTCACCTGCAGGTCTGTTGGAGTTTGCTGGAGGTCCACTCTGACCCTGTTTGCCTGGTTATCAGCAGCGGAGGCTGCAGAAGAGCGAATATTGCTGAACAGCAAATGTTGCTGCCTGATTGTTCCTCTGGAAGCTTCATCTCAGAGGGGTACCCAGCTGTGTGAGGTGTCAGTCTGCCCCTACTGGGGGGTGCCTCCCAGTAAGGCTACTCGGTGGTCAGGGACCCTCTTGAGAAGGCATCCTGTCTGTTCTCAGATCTCAAACTCCGTGCTGGGAGAACCACTACTCTTTTCAAAGGTGTCAGACAGTGACATTTAAGTCTGCAGAGGTTTCTGCTGCCTTTTGTTTGGCTATGCCCTGCCCCCAGAGGTGGAGCCTACAGAGGCAGGCAGGCCTCCTTGAGCTGTGGTGGGCTCCACCGAGTTTGAGCTTCCCGGCTGCTTTGTTTACCTACTCAAGCCTCAGCAATTGCAGGCGCCCCACCCCAGCCTCACTGCCGCCTTGCAGTTCAATCTCAGACTGCTGTGCAAGCAATGAGCGAGGCTCCATGTGTGTGGGATCCTCCGAGCCAGGCAAAGGATATAATCTCCTGGTGTGCTGTTTGCTCAGTTGGAAATGCAGAAATCACCCATCTTCTGCATCGCTCATGCTGGGAGCTGTAGACTGCAGCTCTTCCTATTCAGCCATCTTGGAACCACCCCAACCACCATCTGATCTTTGACAAACCCGACAAAAACAATAAATGGAGAAAAGATCTCCTATTCAGTAAGTGGTGCTGAGAAAACTTGCTAGCTATATTCAGAAAACTGAAACTGGACCCCTTCCTTACACCTCATACCAAAATTAACTCAAGATGGATTAAAGACTTAAATGTAAAATCCAAAAATCATAAAAACCCTGGAAGAAAACCTAGGCAATACTATTCAGGACATAAGCATCGGCAAAGGCTTCATGATGAAAACACCAAAAACAATGGCAACAAAAGCCAAAATTGACAAATGGGATCTAATTAAACTAAAGAGCTTCTGCACAGCAAAGGAAACTGTCATCAGAGTGAAGAGGCAACCTGCAGAATGGGAGAAAATTTTTGCAATCTACCTGTCTGGCAAAGGCCTAATATCCAAAATCTACAAGGAACTTAAATAAATTTACCAGGAAAAAATCAAACAACCCCATCAAAAAGTGGGCAAAGGATATGAACAGACACTTCTCAAAAGACTTTTATGCAGCCAACAAACGTATGTAAAAAACCTCAACATCACTGTTCATTAAAGAAATTCAAATCAAAACCACAATGAGATACCATCTCACACCAGTCAGAAAGGTGATTAGTAAAAAGTCAAAAAGCAATAGATGCTGGCGAGGCTGTGGAGAAACAGGAACACTTTTACATGGTTGGTGAAAATGTAAATTAGTTCAACCCTTGTGGAAGACAGTGTCGTGATTTCTCAAGGATCTAGAACCAGAAATACCATTTGACCCCGCAATCCCATTACTGGGTATATACCCAAAGGATTATAAATCATTCTACTATAAAGACACATGCACATGTATGTTTATTGCAGCACTATTTACAACAGGAAAGACATGGAACCAATCCAAACGTCCATCAATGATAGACTGGAAAAAGAAACTGTGGTACAAATACACCATGGAATACTATGTAGCCATAAAAAGAATGAGATTATGTCCTTTGCAGGGACGTGGATGAAACTGAAAGCCACCATCCTCAGCAAACTAACACAGGAACAGAAAACCAAACACTGTATGCTGTCACTCAAGTGGGAGTTGAACAATAAGAACACATGAACACAGGGAGGGGAACAACACACACTGGGGCCAGTCTGGGAGTGGGGGGCGAGAGGAGGGAGAGCATTAGGATGAATACCTAATGCACATGAAACTTAAAACTTAGATGACGGGTTGAGAGGTGCAGCAAACCAACATGACATACGTATACCTGTGTGAGAAATCTACATATTCTGCACTTGTATCCCAGAACTTAAAGTTAAAAAAAAATGTACAGGTTAAAACACAGAGGACTACAGTGAAAATCATTATAGTTTATATAGTTATCAGAATATTTTTCTAAGTGAATTTGTGCCATAGTGATAAGTGTGCTTAATTGATGCCTTGAATAACAAGACCTAATAGTAGGTCTAATAAGTTCTGTAATTTTCAAGTAGTAATGAGCATAAACATTATTCTGAGATACGTACAACAAGGTAATGTGATTTCAGTATACCAATACTTCCCATTGGTGACAATGTCAAAAAAAAAAAAAAAGAAATTTCAGCTCTGACATTTTCTTCTTGTTTGCTTGGTATCTCGAAAGCACAGGGTTTTTCTTCATGTAAGCATTAGTTCGTTAAAAACCAGATAATTTAATTTGTAATTCTACTTGCCAGGAAATATTGTGAAAGACTTTGAAATAGGCAAGAAAAGATTATTGAGTGTCTTGCCTATGCAACATTTTATTACCATCGCACTATTTTACAACTCTGTGAGTCATAAAAAGTTGGTAAGGATGAAAGTCTCCATTTCATAGAAATGCAAATGATTATGTACAGTAAAATGTAATTGATTATTGCCCTGTGGACAAGGGCTTCATCTATTGTTCATTTGTTTCATCAAATTATGCTGATGGTTTATATGTGTGTGTTTTTTGTATTCTCCTTTGAATTAGTTCTATCATCTCACTTATGGTCCTCATTAAATTATAAGTTAAATAAAAGCTTTGACATGTGGTTGTTGTTTATTTTTATGAAAGTAATGAGTTTATCCTTTAAAAAACACCCAAAACACCCTGAATGAAGTGCACACAAGGTCAATGCAAGACAATTGCTTGGAGGATGTGAGCAGATGAGAGCACTGTGGTTATGCTCTCTGCATTGTGGAGCTCCTCCCAGTCTTTCCCCAGCAGGCCCTGTACATGGCACACATGGCACCTGACACATGCCTACCATAATGTGGGTGGGCCTCATCTGATCGGCTGAAGACCTGAGAAGAACAAAAAGCGTTTCCAAGCAAGAAGGGATTCTCCAGCTGATGGCCTAACAGGCTGAGAGGGCTGCCATGTCAATTTATTAAACATTAGTGAACTTTTATTTCTTTCTTAAAAAAAGAAAAGGCATAGTTTTATTTTCCTTGGTGGAGAATCTTGTGTACTCTCCCTTGGAGATGACTTCACTAGAACAGGGGTCCAAGGAACCTTTTACATTAGCTTTTATTTAAAAATCTGCAGAGTAAATATTTTTAGAGGACACATCACTAGCCGGCCCTAAAGCTGTACTTGATTTGAAGAGTACATGGCCTGTAGGTCAAGGTACTGATGAAGGCTTCAGAGATATAAGACAGTAAAGCATGAAGGTAAGGAAGAATCTACCATAAGAGTTTGGGTATTTAGAGTTCCACTGTTACCAGAGGTCATGGTGAAAAGTCTATAAAGCCTTCAAGTTTGGGTTGCAGTGATTTTATGTTGTGGTTTGACATTCATGCCATAATTTATAAACACTCACACAAGATATTTGTGTGACAGTTATGACTAGTGATAACATAAAAAGTAGCCGAGTGCATTTCTATATTTAGAATACCCAAGCCCTGCAGACTTCTCTATGTCCAAAAAAATCCCTAAATAATAGCATATCTTTGAAAAGCCAAGAAACCCCAGCGAATCTCTCAACTGACCAAACAAAGCCAGAGGAGGGGTGGGTGGGGTGGGGAAATGGGCATTGGTGGTAGAAAAAAACAATAATGAAACTACCAGGAAAATTCAAAGTAGAAACGAAAATTCACTCTTCAAGGTAACTGAGGGCGGAGTTTTGGTCTTTGAGAGATGATAAAGACTTTTTTCTTCCTGTTCCTTCTTGCTAAGCACCACTATAAACCCTGGACATGGCCGAAGAGACAAGCTGATGAGGACTCTGAAAGATAGTGGATAGAAGGCCCCGAGCTGTGTGGGCCTAGGCCTGGAGGCAGCACTGCACAGGGCACCCTGCAACCCTCACTGAACACTAGAAGGCCACCCAGATGCCATGTTCCCAGACGCACAGAAGGATCTTTCTTAGATCCAATGGAAGTCCCTCCAGCACAGTGGTCCCCAACCTTCTTTGCACCAGGGACCAGTTTCATGGAAGACAATTTTTCCATGGACTGTGGAGGTGGGAAATGGTTTTGGGATGAAACTGTTCTACTTCAGATCATCAGGCATCAGATTTTCATAAGAAGCATACAACTTACATCCCTCACATGCACAGTTCACAATAGGGTTTGCTCTCCTGAGAATCTGATGCTGTCACTGATCTGACAGGAGGCAGAGGTCAGGTGGTAATGCTCACTTGCCCACCGCTCACCTCCTGCTGTGCAACCTGGTTCCTAATAGGCCACGGAGGACCAGTACTGGTCCATGGCCTGGGGACCCCTGCTCTACTGGACAGCTGAATCTGTGCCCACCCTTTGAGTAACCAAAGTGTAGGTGCCAGTCCTGTAAGCAAAGATACCTTCAGAATTTTTTAGCCCCAGCCATTCAAGTCTCCCTAGCTGAGGCCCTATCTGCTGTGCCTTTTCTGAATTCCTGATCTGCATCTCCTGGGAACACTTAAAATGCTGTATATTTTATGCTACTAAGCTGTGATGGGTTTGTTATATAGTAATAGGTAATCAAAATCTTTCACAGTGCTATGAGGC
Source organism: Homo sapiens (assembly GCF_000001405.40). Classification (NCBI taxonomy): domain Eukaryota; kingdom Metazoa; phylum Chordata; class Mammalia; order Primates; family Hominidae; genus Homo; species Homo sapiens. The sequence continues at coordinate 44,156,314 of NC_000010.11, forward strand.
AGGTACTACTATTATCCCTAACTTATGCATAAGGAAATCAAGGCTTTTAATGGTTGATTATATGCAGAAATAATAATGACTAAAGATATTTTTTGAGCCCTTCTATGTGTCAAGGACATTATGTGGATGATCTCATTTAAGTACCATGAAGCTCTGTGAAGTAAGCAATTTAAAAAAAAATGTTTAATTTGTGTGGGTACATAGTAGGTTTATATATTTATGGGGTATAGGAGAGGTGGTCACTCACCTCCTGCTGTGTGGCCTGGGAACTGGGGACCCCTGCTCTAGTAATATCAGGCAAATATGATGCTGCTGATGAGGAAGATTGACCTGGATCCCTGAATAAATTAGCAGCCAGGGAGGCCCTCTCCTTTCCTGTCAGGCCCGAGGCTCCCTTCACCAGAGGCCCTGAGGCTGCTGGAGGGCAAAACTGTTGAGAGAGTCCTGGCTACACCAGGCAGCTTGCTCAACAAGCCCCTTTATCCCTGTAGGAGGAGACCCCTTCCCCACCCGGAGACATGGACTTGACAGATTACACTGGAGAAAGGTACCCAGGCACAGCAGATCTCTGGTTCAGAAAACCTTCTTATCTCTGAGAACCTGAGAGTGTCAGCCTCCTGCACCCAGAGACAGCAAGGGACCCTGGCATAGTAAGCTGCCTGGCCCAGGAAGCCCCTCTGTTCTGCAGGCCTGAGACTATCTTCTCCCTGCCAGAAATAGCTGTGGAAGCAACAACAGAGGGATCCTACCACACTCTGCCTCCCAAAAGACCCCCAGGGGCTGGCGTGGGGAAACCCCTCCCACCTTCTCAGGCAGTATCTATAGGGAACAGCAAGATCCTGGGGGGGCTCCAGATAACCAAGCAGACCAAAACAGCACTCATAGGCTCTGAAAACTAAACTTCCACTGGAACTGCAGCTAATGAAAATAGGCTAGAACCTAGGTGTTAATCTAAACAAGGTGACTGCCTGCTTAAAAAAAAAAAATTTAAATAGGACCCAGAGTCTCCTGACAGACCCAATTCCAGAATACAATAAAAATATCACCCATAACACCAAGAGCCAAGAAAACGACAACTTGAATGAGAAAAGAAAAGACATCTGATACCAAGATGAACCAGATGTTGGAATTCTCTGACAAAAATTTTAAAGCAGTGAACACAAGAATGCTTCAATCATCAATGACAAATTCTCTTGAAACAAATGAAACAGTATGAAATTTCAACAAAAATAGATATTATTAAGAACCAAATGGAAATTATATAATTAAAAAGTATGATAAAACATGTAGAACTTGGTGCTGAATAGGCTCGATAGTAGAGTGGAGATGACAGAGTACAGAATCAATGAATTTGAGGACAGGACAATAGAATTTACCCAATCTGAATAACAGAGAAATACTAGGCTTATAGAAAATGAACAGAGCCTCAGGGACCTGTGGGACAATAATAAAAGGTCCAGCATTTGTATAATTGGAGTGCAAGAAGGAAAGAGAGTGGGCCTGAAAGGCTACTTGGAGAAATAATGGCCAAAAAACTTGCCAACTTTGGTGAAAGATATAATGTTACAGGTCCAAGAAGCTGTGCAAACCTGAAACAGGATAAGCATCATAATTAAACTTTGAAAAACTAAACATAAAGAAAAATCTCTTGAAAGTAGCCAAAGAAAAGCAACACATTACACATAGGGAAACACCAATTCAAATGACAGAATTCAGAAGGAAGTGCCCAATATTTTCCAAGTTCTTAAAGAAAAGAAACGTCAACCATAATAAGTTCTATATTAGCAAAACTATCCTTCAGGAATAAAAAGGAAATAAAAACACTCTTAGATGAAGAAAAACTAAAAGAAACTTATTAGTAGATCTATCTATAAAGACTAGCTAAAAGTTCCTCAAACAGAAAGAAATTGATAAAAGAAGGAATCTTGGACCCTCAGGAAGGAAGAAAAAATAGCAGAAATGGCAGAAATGTGCACACATACAATAGACTATCTTTTTCATGTGAGAATTATAAATTATATTTGATAATTAAAGCAAAAAGTATAAGTCACCATCTGCTACCCAAAATACAGTGGGAGAATGAAGGAAACTAAATGGAAGTGAGGATTCCACATGTTATTCAAAGTGGTAAGATGATAATATCAGTATATATAACAGTTATAAGTCACATACTTATCTTGTAATTCCCAGAGAAATCACTGCAAAAATTATAGCAAAGACACACTGGAAATCACTGGAAATAACTCAAGATGGAAACCCTAAAAAATGTTCAACTAACCCACAGAAGGCAAGAAAAAGGAAACAAGTAGCTGAGGAAACAAATAGAAAACAAAAATAAAATGGCACACTTAAATATTAAATATTAATAACATCTTAAATATAAATGGTCTAATTCATAATCAAAAGTCAGAGTTTGCCAGAGTGGAGCAAAAATGTCATTCAACTACACTACTTAATAGAAACTCACTTAAAATTCCATGACATGAGTAGGTTGAAAATAACGGGATAAAAAATATATCATGGAAATATTAATTTTTTAAAAAACAGAAGTAGCTATATTAATATCTGATATTAACATAACCACTTATAGCCTTCAGAGAAAAAAAATTACTAAAGGCAGAGACATCACATAATGAGAAATGATTAATCTATCAGGGAGACCTGACAATCCTAAGTATGCATGTGTTGAACAACAAAGTCCCAAAATATATGAAACAAAAACTGACAGAGCTTAAAGGGGAAATAAGCACATTCACATTTATAGTCAAGTACTTTAATATCTCCCTCTCAGCAAGACAGAAAATCAGTCAGTGTAGGGAAGAGCTGAACAACTCAATCGACAGGACCCAACTGACACACACAGAACACTCCACCCAACAGTAGCAGCATACACAAGTTTTCAAGGGCCTATGAAATAGTTACCAAGGTATATCATATCCTGACCCACAAAACAAACCTCAACAAATTTAAAAGAAAGAAAATCAGAGAGTGTGTTGTCTGATGATAATGAAATCAAACTAGAAATAAATATCAGAAAGACAATAGGAAAATCTCTAAACATAAAAATTAAATAACACATTCCTAAATAATCACATAGGTTAAAGAAGTCTCAAAGAGAATAAAAATACACGCAACCAAATAAAAATGAAAACACAACATAGTAAACTATGTGGGATACAGCCAAAGCATTGCTGAGAGTGAAGTTTATAGCACTAAAATGTTCATATTAGAAATGAAGAAAATCTCATACCTAAGTTCCCATCTCAAGAAAATAGATAAAGAAGAAAAAAATCAGTCCAAAGCAAGTAAAAATAAAGAAATAATAAAAATCAAAGCAGAACTCAATGAAATTTAAATTTAAAAAATAGAGAATATCAATGAAATAAAAAGGTAGTTCTTTAAAGAAATTAATAAAGTAAATAGACCCCCAGCAGTATTGACAAAAATAAAAAGAGAGAAGACACAAATCACCAATATCAGGAAAAAACTGGGAATATTTCTATATCCTTCAATTGCCGGAAAGACAGTAAAGTAATACTACAAATAATTTTACACTTATATATATGATAACTTTCAAGAAATAAACAAAATTTTCAAAAACCACTAACTACCAAAACATGTAAAAAGTTTTTAGGATCCTTTTTATAATTCTACACCTTGACCAAGTTGGATATGCCCAAGAATGTTTAACATTAACAAAATCAACCAATGTAATTCATCATATCAATAAGTTAAAGAAGAAAAGTTATATGACCACATCAAATGATGGAGATAATAATAGTATGTGCCTCATTAGATAATTTTGAAAATCAAATAAGATTATGAATGTGCCTAGCACATAGTGAGGGCTTAATAAATATATGTTAGGTAATTTTATTTACCCTCTAGTACAACTCTGATATGGGCCTGATTGTGTTCTCCAGTGAGAGGGAGGCTTGAGTAAGAAGATACGTCAAAGAGATGTGTTCACGCAGAAATCTCTGAGAGGGGAAAAGTAAAGCCACCATGAAACTCCCAACTCTCACCAGTTTCTTGGGGCGTCCAGAGGGCATACAGTCCAGTTTGCCCCTCTGGCCCATCTGCAGCATATCAGTAAGATGCACAGTGATAGTATCCAGCATGAAAAAAAATGAGAGCTTCACCATAGCAGAGGAAGTTCATGAAGATTCAGAAGCAATAAAAACAGTAATCTTGGCAGAGTCATTTAACACCATCCATCTTCTTAGGAACAAAATTTGTATTGATAGTTGTAAGGAAGGTTTTGGGGCCTTGAAGAAAGACCTCACCAGAGAAAGCTGCAACAGTTCAAAAGAGTAAAAATACCAAGCACTATGTTGGCACCCAAGGGATGTGCTAAAGCCATATTTCAGACACCCAGACACCCACAGAGATGTTTAGGAATGGGTTCAGGGGATTTGCAGCTGGAGATAGGAACCAGACACAAAGAGAAATTATTTGTTTTTATAAATGCAGACCCAATTTTACACCAGGCTGAACTGGCCTGAAGAACTGCAGGTGACACTTGGATTTGGTAATGCAGAACTGTGTAGAAAAAGCAAACTGTTTTTCTCTGCTTTCACACAACAACAAGCAACACAGAAGACTTCTGTGGTCAATGTCAAGGGATTTCTCTCCACCAACAAGCAAGCAATCAGTTCTGCTGTGGATACCCACTGGGACCTATTCAATTCAGTTCTGACACTTGAGATATCTACTAATATCTACCTGGAGATAGTGTCAGATCCCACAGATTGAAGGCTTAGTCCCACAAGACTGCCCCCACTGCAGCTGCCAGTCAGAAGTCTGGGCCTCTGGAACTTTTGATGGAACCAGTTCAAGTTAGGTTTCCTACTACTCCCTCTTTAGGTTCAATTAATTTGCTAGACCAACTCACAAAACACAGCAAAACTCATTTAACAATTCATTATAAAAGATATTTTAAAGGATTCAAATAAGCACCCAGATGAAGGGATACACAGGACAGAGAGAGATTCTGTTTTCTGAGGCTGCTTCTGAGGCCTGAAGTGCCCCAACAATATAACAAAAGACTGTCTTTGGCCTTTATCACTCTGAAGCTGTTCCAAAGCTGCTTCAGTAAACAAGGACAAAAGGCCAAATGCTTTAACAAGAGATAGAGAGATACACTTATTGTTCTAGTCACTTGGGAAAAAACAAGGGCTATGTGAGTTATGAACCAGAAATTGTGGAAGAATATATATGTCTAAATAATCACAGGAACTAACCTGTTTCTTTTCCACTTTTCTGGTCACTTCTGTTTCTGTGAGCTTCTCTTCTTACAGGCCTTCTTCATTACCCTTTTCTTCATATACACTTTCCACCAGGGCAACTGAATCGCCTTCTTCATTTCATTGTGAGACTTTCTTTCGCTATCAAAATCAACTGATTTTTGTATTCCGATCTCAAATCCTGTAACTGCTGAATTTGTCTATCAATTCTAATAGTTTTTGTGTGGAATTCTTCATATGTTATGTTTACAAGATCATGCCATCTGCAAATGTAGATATTTTCACTTCTTCCTTTCCAATCTGGATGTATTTTCTTTCATTTTTCCTAATTGCCATGGCTGGAACCTCCAGTACAATGTTATAGAAGTGAGAAAAAATATCTTAGTCCTACTTCTGATCTTAGATAAAATTGTCTAGTCTTTCACCATTAAGTATGATTTTAGCTGTGGGTTTTGCCTCGACACCCTTTATCAGAAAGAGGAACTACCCTTCTTTTCCCAATTTGGTGTTTTGTTTTATCACGAAAGGGGCTTTAATTTTGTCAAATGCTTTTTCTTTGTCTATTGACATAAATTATTTGGTTTTGTCCTTTATTCTAGTAATATGCATTACATTGATATGATATTTATTTCTTATGTTAAACATATGAAATAGACCTTGCATTTTATGGATAAGTCCCACTTGATTATGGTGTACAATTCCTTTTATATGTTGCTGGATTTGGCTAGCCGGTATTTTGTTAAGGATTGTTGTGCCTATATTCATAGGATATATTGGTCTATAGTTTTCTTTTCTTTTGATATCTCTGTCTGATTCTGGTATCAAGGTAATATTGGCCTCACAGAGTGAGCTGGAAAGCCTATGCTCGTCTTAGATATTTTGGAAGAGTTTATGAAGGATTGTTATTAATTCTTCTTTAGATATTTCATAAAAACTCCCCAGTGAAGACTTTTCTTGGGGGAAAACTGATTAATTACTAATTCCTTCTCTTTACATGTTAAAGAACTATTCGGATACTCTATTTCTTCTTGAGTTATTTTCAGTAGTGTGTATCTTGCTAGGATTTATTATTTTATCAAGATTATCTAATTTGTTGGCATAGAATTGTCACAGTTTAATATTTATAATATATATATTTTATTTCTGTAATGCTGACGGTGATATTCTCTCTTTCATTTCCGATATCAGTAATTTAAGTCTTTTATCTTTTGGTCAATATAACTGAGGTTTTCTCAATTGAATAGATTTTTTTCAGAGAATCAACTTGATTTCATTGATTTTTCTCTAATGATTTTCTATTCTCTTATTTATTTTCATTCTAACATTTATTATTTTCTTTCTTCTTCTGCTTTTTTGGATTCAGTTTATTCTTCTAGTTTTTTTAAGGTGGAAGATCAGGTAACTGATTTGAGATTTCTAAGATTTGCTCCAGCTACATTGCATCAGTTTTGGTGTATTGTGTTTTTACTTTCATTTATCTCAACATATTTTCTAATTTCCATTGATTCCTTCTTTGATTCATTGGTTATTTAGAAAGGTGGCATTTAATTACTACATTATTGTGAATTTGCAAAATTTCCTTCTGTTATTGATTTCTAATTTTATTTCACTGTGATTGTATAATGTCATCCTTTAGCAATTATTCAGGCTTTTTATGGCCTAACATATGGTCTATCTTGAAGAATGTTCTTGTGCTTTTGAGAAGAATGTATATTCTGCTGTTCTTGGGTGGAGTACTATGTAGATGTCTGTTATATCTAGTTGGTTTACAGTGTCATTGAGGTCTTCTATTTCTTTGTTGATCCGTTTTTTGTATCCATTATTGAAAGTGGGGTGTCAATTTTTCTAACTATTATTGTTGATTTATCTATTTCTCCTTTCAGTCCTTTTAATTTTTGCTTCATGTATCTGGGGATTCTATTGTTAGGTGAATGTATGTTTATAATTTTTATATCTTTTTGATGGATTGACACTTTTATGATTATAAAATGTCCTTGTCTTTAGCAACACTTTTTGTCTTAAAGCTTATTTTATCTGTTACCAGTGTAGCCACTTTAGCACTCTTTTGCTTATTGTTTGCATAGCATTACATTTTCCATACTTTGATTTTCAATCTTCTTGTTTTTGAACCTAAAGTACGCCTCTTCTAAATGGCATACAGTTGGCTTATGTGTTTTTTTTTAAATCTATTTTATCAATCTCTGTTTTTAATTGATATGTTCAAACCATTTATGTTTACATAATTACTGATAACTTAGGATTTTACTACTTGTGTTTTATGTCTTTTTTGTTTTTTTTTGTTTCTCTGTTCCTCTATTATTACCTTCTTTTATGTTAAGTAAACATTTCTCTCTGATGTCATTTTAAGTCTCTTGTATTTTATTTTACTATATTTCATTGAGTTATTTTCTCAAAATAGGTCAGATTAAAATTAATATGCTAACTTAAAACAATGCAGTTCGAGTTTGGGAAGATGAAATAGTTCTAGAGGTGGACGGTGGTAATAGTTGCACAATAATGCAAATATACTTAATGCCACAGAACTTAACTAATTTTAACTAATGTGATATGGCAACTCTGCAAATCAGATCGCACCCCCTCCCTTTGAGTTTGTTGTTGCCTTTTGCTATTGTTGATGTTGTTTTCCTGTTTAGCGATTTTTCTGTAAAGTATGTATTCCATGTGTGGAGACTGAAATCTCTACTCAGTTTACATAGTGGTAAACTGAAACTAAATATTGGATGTAGATTTCCTTAAATGCCTTGAATCAATTAAATCTCCCACCTTTTGCCAAAGTATGTTGAGGAATGCCTTCAAAGTTCCAGCAGTTACTGACTCTCCCTTAGCCTTCACTTTGTGATCACACAGCACCACAAGGTCAGCCAGAGGTAAGAGCTTAGGTCCCTTTCTGGTCTTTCCTGAGCATGCTGATAGCCATGTCCGTGTGCATGACCTTCTAGACTTCCAGAAATATGTCAGAGCTCTTCAAAACTACTTATGGAAATCTCATTTGCCAGATTTTCTTTAAAATTTTTTTTAAAACATGTTTCCCTTATTATTTTAAAAACATGTGTTTACCTTATCATTTTTTACTTCAGGCAGCTTGAGTGTTAATTGCAATTAATTTATTTTTTCAATAATGCCCTGGAGATAGGATTCTATTCACAGGGCTTGCCTGTGAATAGGTCACAGGCCTGAGTCAGGTCAAATGAAGACAAGCTCTGCTATTGGGACTCTCAGGTAGCTGAGAGTGGGGCTTTTGGGGAAGCTCCAAAGCCTTTCTTTCCCCTCCGTGTCTGCTAAGCTCCTGTTTTTCACACCCACCATGATCCCGAGTCTTATGGTTTTCAAAGAAACCATGGACCTGAATTTAGAAGGATGGGAATAGGACAAATTAAAATACCACAGAGCTTGTTCTTTTTCTGAGATTCAGACATTCTTTTCCTTGAGTAAATACTCCTTGGATAGTTTTAGGCTTTTGGTTAATTTCCAAAGTTCTGAAAAAGTTAATTGTGATATAGTTTGTCAATATTCTAGTTGCTTTTAGGATGATCATATTTTGGGAGAGTCTTGTTCCACCATTCTGGACACACTTCCTATGAGAGATATTAATACAATTCTCAATCCATCATGAAAATATCACAATCATTAATGTTTATGTACTTAATATGAGTTTCAAAAATACATGAAGCAAAACCGAATTAAAAGGTTTTTAGGCAAATTCACGATCATAGTTAAGGTTTTTAACGCTGTACTCTTAGTAATTGATAGAAACTAAAAGACAAAATATCATTAAGGATATTTTGAACAACTTGAAAAACACAATGAATACACTTAATTTAGTGTACTTTCATAGGATAATACGTCGAACAATTGCACCACACATACTCTTAAAGCACAGATGGAACACTCATCAAAAGAGACCATTTGTTAGGCCATAATGATAAGGAATTTATAAGAATTGAAATAATAAAATTATGTGACCATAACAGGATTCAACCAGATTTTTAAAAATTTTGGAAAACCTTCAAATACTTGATAAACAGCACACTTCTAAATAGCTCATGAATTTAAAAAGAAATAAGGGGAATTAGAAAATGCTTTACCTTTTATTACAAGGGAAATAAAATGAATCAAGACTTGTGGGATGTAACAAAAGCAATGCCTAGAGAGAAATGTATAGCTTTCACTGACTATGCTGGAAAGAAAGAAATATAAAATCAATGATCTAAACGTCTACTTTAACCAGCTAGAAAAAGGAGAAGAGCAAAGTAAAGCCCATGTGGTGGAAGGAATAAAATAACAAAAAGCAGAAATCAACGAAGTAGAAAATAGGCAGACAATAGAGAAACTTAACAAAGCCAACATTTGCCCTTTGACGAAATTAATAAAACTGATAAATTCCTGGTAAGATTTGAAAAAAAAGAAAAGAAAACACAAAATACCATTATCAGAAATAATAAAGAGCCTATCAGTATAAATCTGAAAACATCAAAAAGACAATAAGAGGACTTACTGAATAATATGAAACAATTAAATTTGACAACTTGATAAAATGGAGAAATTCTGTAAAAAAAAAAAAGTTGCCAACACTGACAAGAGACAAAGTAAGAAATCTGAATACTTACATATATAAAAGAAACTGAATTCATCATCAAAAATTTTCCTACAAAGAAATCTCTAAATCTTCTTCCACTGAGTGAGGACACAGCAAGAAGTTGGTCATCTACAACCCAGAAGACACACCTCATCAGAACCCAATCAGGCTGGCACATGGTCATGGACTTCCAGCCTCCAGAACTGTGAGAATTACATTTCCATGGCTTATAAACTACCCAGTCAATGGCGCTTTGTTAAAGGAGCCTAAGCAGACAATGACAGGCATGTGGGTTTCCACTGTCCCCCAGCTGCGGACCACTCTATGGACATTCTTGTACATGTTTTGTGCACATGTGTGTTTCTCTAGAGCAGCCTCTCAATTTTTTTTTTCTATTTCAACCCTTAGTAACAAATGCATTTTACTTTGCTATCATCCCCACAAGATGTCTGAGCCTAGATAGAGTCACTGATAAGTTCTACCAGATGTTTAAGAAAAAAATACCAATGTTACACCAACATGTTCAGAAAAGCAATGAAAGAACTCTTCCCAATTGCTGAGGCCAGTGTAACTCTGAAACCAAAACCAAACAAAGGCATTACAAGAAAAGGAAGCTACAATGTTCCTTAAGAGCATAGACACTAAATTCTTAGCAAAATTGAAGAAAATGAATCCAACAATACATAAAAATATGAACATCGTGATCAAGCAGGGTTTTTCCCAGGATTGTGTGTTGGTTTAACATTTAAAAATCATTCAGTATAATTTATCGCATTAACAGAGTAAAAGAAAAACATATAATTATCCTAATAGATGCAGTAAAAGCACTTGCCAAAATTTAACTTTACTTCTGATTCAGAAAATGGACTCTCGGCAAACTAGAAATACAAGGGAATTTCATTGATATGAAATGTGGCTAACATGATAATGGTGAAATATGTCTGCTCTCACCAGTTCTATTCAACATTGCTCAAAAGGTTCTATCCAGTGTAATGAGGTAATTAAAAAAATACTTAGCAAAAAGAATGGAAAAGGAAGGAAACTAAAACAATGCATTATTATTCATAGTAGGAAGTAAATATATATTATTTTAAAACTACATGGTCAGGTTCAGCCTTTATGGAGGAAACCTTGGAAATATCTATAAAAAATTTAAATAGCACATGTTATTTGATTTAGAAATTCCATTTCTAAGAATTCTTCCTAAAGATATACTTGCACATATGTGGGATAATGTATGTACAAAAATGTCAACGTGATCCCTCTCTCTGTGTCTCTCTCTCTCTTTCAAATCTAGTAGACATTTGGAAACAACCTAAATATTCATCACCATGGGACTGGCTATATGAGATATTCTGCAGCTGTATAAAGAATAATAATAGACACCAATATGTTCTGATATGGAACTATCTGCAAGATATTTTTGAAAGTTAAAAAAAGCCAGTTGCAAAACAGTGAACAGATCTGTCTCACTCCTTTTTGAACTACGCAAATCTAGTTCAATTTCACTAAGGGTGGTCCAAGGACTGCCTGCATCAGGACCCTCTGGGTCCTGTTAGAAACATCGATTCCCTCCCCTTCCCCCCATCCCCCATATTGTAATGCATACCAAATATTCGAGAGCCAATGAATGAATGAATGCCGATTTGCTATCAATCCCATGTTATTCCTCCTCCCACGTTGATCTGAAATGCCTCATTGTTCACAGACAACCAGGAACTACACTTTCTGTGCTTCATAGCTAATGACAATCACTACTGAGCAAGGCAGTGTGAGCCATTGGCCAAAGGGCGAGATACAAATGCCTCTGTCTTATTTCTGGCTCTGACTGTGACCGGGGAATGTGTGTCCTCCATGACATTTCTTTTTCTGTGCTTTGATTTGTGCATCTGCTCAATAGGGAAAATGATATTGCAGGAAGAAAGTACGGAGCCCAGTGAGAAATTTTCTTAGAACCCTGGGTTCAAAGTAATGGGCTAAGAACTTTCTAAGGTATTCTCATGATTGTTTCTCATGATTAAAGAAACAAATTGCCATTGATCACTTTGTAGTACTGATTAATGCACAATTTTAATTTGATTTTGCTTCATTTGTTGCCTGGGGTTTTGTTGTTTTATTTATTTTATTGTTTTATTCTTTCGCAATGGTTCCCTTTGCACTGAAAACTTACCACATATTCATCCAAATTAAACTAACCTCTGGACACATTACTAGGTACTAATTTTAGATGAGATGCTGTGCTTGGTTCTATGGGGATGCCAAGGTAAGATAGAGGCTCAGTTTACAAAAATCTTCGAACGGGAGAGAAGGTGACTGCCTAAATAAATGCAGTGTCTGACAGCTGTAAGAGCCGAGAGAGGCACAGGCAGCCTCACCTGCTGAAGTGAAGTGAAGGGCGCCAGCTCCACTGAATGGGGAGGGCAGAGGACGAGCAGAGGATGGGAGCTCAGCTTTGTGCCCAGAGGAGGCTTTGAAGAACTGGGCGTGGTGGAGGCAGCAGCAGCACTGCAGAGGCACCAAGTCAGGAAACCATGGAGCATGCGTGGGAGAGGAGCTAAAGATAAGGTGAAAAAACCAGACAGGGTTTTAGGAGGAGAGTTCTGTTGACTTATTGAAAAGTGTTTGATTAGATCTAGAACAAGTGAAACTAAGGAAAAAAAAAAACTCTTACAGCAAATGCTTCCATTGATAACACATTTGCTGCATTTTTTTCCCACACCACCGGTATGTTTAAGCCCAAAAGTGAGAAGATACACCTCCTGGATCATTGTTATGCTGTTGGCATTCAATAAGTATTTGTGAAAAAAGTAAGCCATTGGATAAACTGAAGCAGAAACTGAGGGCCAGAGAGAACTGCTGCTTAGGGTAAGATGGCGACACTCGGCGAGGCTGCCGGCATTGAATTCACCTTCCCCCAACACCGGACAGAGACGGGATGAGTGGCAGGGCCAAGTTTAAAGGGAGAAGTTTGAGCTTTGCTATATGAAATATTTGAATACAGAAGTGCAGAGGAAGGATATAACTATCTTTTTTTTTTTTTTTTAAAGATGGAGAGATGGAGTCTAGCTTTTTTCGCTCAGGCTAGGTTGCAATGGCATGATCTCGACTCACTGCAACCTCCGCCTCCCAGGTTCAAGCGATTCTTCTGCCTCAGCCTCCCGAGTAGCTGGGATTACAGGCGCTCACCACCTGTATTTTTAGTAGAGACGGGGTTTCACCATGTTGGCCAGGCTGGTCTCGAATTCCTGACCTCAGGTGATCCACCCACCTCGGCCTCCCATAGTGCTGGGATTACAGGCGTGAGCCACTGTGCCTGGCCGAAGGGTATAGAGAGCATCCCAGAGCTCTCTGGACTGCGTCGTGATGTCACTTTAGGCATTTGACGTCCCTAGGCAGAGGTCACAGAAACGCAGTCCTCTCTCGTTCTCTGTATCCTGGTGAAAAAGAAGTGAATGATATTATTTTGCCTGATTATAATAACAATGTTAGTAATTTCGCTTAACTAGGGCTTTAGGAGTTTTTAAAGTTCTTCTGTAACATTATTTCATTGATTTTCACAATTCATTCTTTGTGTGAGGCAGCAAGGGGAAGAGTTACTTTCATTTGAATTGACAATGAAGAAATGGAGGCCTAGAGGGATTTTATGGCTTTCCTAAGATCTGGCTGCCAAACAGAGGAGATGAGGCTCATCTTGGGTTTTTATTTATTCAGTAGTTAAAAGTCTAAATATCTTCTACATTGCAGGCACTTGCTGAATGCTGAATAAACCACATGTCCTAATTGAAGGCCCGCAGAGTCCATTGGGAAGGTTCTAGTTCATGCAACAGAGGATAGATCCATTGTACGGTACTTTCCAGTTATAAAAGCAGAAAAATCCTGGATAAGTGAAACCAAAATAAAGTCTTTTCAGACACAACTGAACTTAGTAGAAAGGAAGAAAAATCCCCATATTCTAGAAATGAAAAGGAAACGTAAAGCTAGAAAAGGAAGCTTGTGGTCAGATGCTTTGGCCAGCAGAGGGGCAGAATCATCTGGACAGAGAGGCTCATGGCTTGGGGCTGGGGACCAAATGCCCTTGCTGGGACGGAAGGTGGGGTCGAGGACCTGCAGAAGGCTGGAGCTGTACTGAGATATTCTATTCAGAGCTGGAACTCTGAAAGGGACATCCTTCCACGAAGCGAAGCTCAGAACAGAAGCAATGATGAAGCCACTGTCAGCCTGGAGTGTGGCGTGTGCGCACTATCAAAGCGTCAGGTGTGGGTCAGGTACAGAGGTGGTAGGGAGCACGAGCGTATATTCCCACAAGGTTTGGAAATCCCCAGAAAAGAGCATGAAATGGGACTTAGGCAGGTGCCCTGCAAAAGCAAAGGCTAAGCCACTCTTTGTGGAACTTTCCACAGTCCAGGATGCACAGAGCACCCAGAGATAAATAACTCCACTGGAACATGAACTTTAAAATAAGAATAACAAACTACACAAGAAGCTATCAACTGTGAGAAAGACTCAGCAGACACGACACACATGAAAATAGCACATAGGAACTCAAGATTATCTATCTGAAAGAAAAGTAAGTGTGCTCTAATACTTTAAAGGGAAGAGATAAAACGACTAGAAATGCAAATGGAATAATAGAGCCTGTGTGGAAAAACAAAACAAATAAGAGAAAATCAAGCAACTTGCATTCCCAGAAGAAAAAAATTGAGTAACTGACATAAACAAAAAGATAATGTACCAACAGATGGGACTTAACTGAAGACAATTGATTGCTTGAGTGATCAAACTGAAGAAACTGGAGATAGAAAATGCAAACCAAAGTTTTGGAAATATTGAGAAAAGAATAAGAAGCTCCTAACAGGGCAGGGTGTAGTGGCTCTTGCCTGTATTCACAGCACTCTGGGAAGCTGAGGTGGGAGGACTGTTTGAGCCTAGGAGCTCGAGACCACCCTAGGTAACATAGCTAGACCCCATCTCTACCAAAAAATACAGAAATTAGACTGTGTGATGACGTATGCCTGTGGTTACTTGGTAGGCAGAGGGAGGAGGATCACCTGAGCCTGGGGAGGTTGAGGCTGCAATGAGCTGTGATCGTGCCACTGCACTGCAGCCTGCAAGAGTGAGACCCTGTCTCAAAAAACAATAATAATAATAATAATAATAATAATAATAATAATAATATCTTAACAGACTAACAGGAGTCCTGAAAGTACAAAAGAGAGAGGATGCAGGAGATGCCATCTCAAAGTCATCACACTTGAGAACTTTCCAGACATGATAAAGCCTCAGTTGACATTGTATATCATGTCCCAAGAAGGGTAAAGAAAAACAAATCCACACCTATGGTCATAGTAGTTAAGCCACAGAGCGCTACAGACCAGCAGGCGTGTGACAAAGATGAGTCCTTAGAGGATTAATCGCTGACGAGGGGCACCCGAGAGGCTCCAAAGAGGGAGAGGGCAGCCACCAGGGGACGTCAGAAGCAGTGAGGTGGCCACTCCAGATGCACAATGGTGAGATGGGGAGACAGCTGGACAGGGTGCTAGAGTGAGATGAGCGCGAGAGAAGCGGCCGTGGTAGGGAAGCGGGACCTGCTCTGGGAGACTGATGTGTGCCCCTCCTGTAGGCCAAGGACAGTCACAAAAGACTTTAAGCAGAGTAGGGACTGGGTAGGATTTGCATTGTGGAAGATGCTCTGGCTGCAATGTGGTGGGTGGACAGGAAATGGGTAAGCAGGGAGGCAGGGCTGGAAGATTGTTAGCACTACCCAGGCATGAGACGGAGGCTGGGGGCCACAATGCAGGCAGCGCAAGGAGGAGGGGGCAGCGCTGGGAGGAGCTGAAAGGCATGCGGGGTGTAGGGCCTGCAGCAGGAGGGATGAGGGGCTGAGGTGACCTCCATGGGTCCCCAGATACAGGCCATGCAAGCTTCCCAATCTTAACAAAGTGGGTTTTACATGTCACTCTCTATTCACTATTCACTGCTTCACTGTCTGTCTTTTAATAGCCAACACCAAACATTATTGATTCACAATTATTAACTATTATGAATAACCTTGAAAAGCAATTCATGTTTAATTTTGGATCAGTGGTGAAATAGGACATTCTTTGCTAGGTAATGTGACATAATGGGAAGCAGAAGAATGCCTAAACTATTCATCTGCTCTATAGGGAGGTCTTTTTAGAAAGGAAGAAAACACTTCTCATAAATGTGGACAGACACAGAACATGTAAGTAATAGGGATTTGTGAGGGCTTTGGGGGAAGATGATGTTTATAATCACAGCAATTTCTCAGTATCATAAATGGATATAGCTGAAATGCCATAGGCTCCTTCAGGGCCTTAGACAGCCTGGACTGGTCTTGCCCATCCTCCCCAGGTCTCCTGGGTGCATGGGGGACACACGGTTTCTTATTCCATGAATAAGAGGAGATAATAGGCGTCTACCTATAGGCAAGGCACAGGGTCAAAGAATCGGCATTACTGAATGTCCAGAGTGTGCCAGAGACTCTCCATACAGAAATTCTATTAATAAACGAATCTCACGTCAAGTGCGACTGTGTTATTACAGCTCTTTTAAAGGCAGGGAAAGGGGCACTTGGAGAAGTGTCTTGGTGGAAGCCCGGAGCTGAGAGAGGTGTGTGAAGCCAAGCCTGTGGGGAACCCTGCTGCAGCCCCACCCGAGTCCAGGGCTCTCCAGCAGGGGCCTCCCGCCAGCCCCTGCTTCTTCATGAGGGGTCTTGTGGGGACTGCGGGGGCTTGGGGCAGTGGCCAGGCTGGGCTCCCCCATGCTCTTGCTGTGTGGTCTCCAGAATTCACTTAACCTCCTGCTGCCTTGGCCCCCCATCTGTGAAATGGGGATCAAATTCCAGCGCTGCCAGTCTGTCTGCCCAGTGGAGTGGGTGATTAATGAGACCATGGAGGGGGTGTGTTGTGCCCTGGGGCAGACTCATTTATCATGGAGCAGAGTCCATGTTTCTTCTTCCTTCCACACCCTGCCAAAGATTAAAATAAACAAGCAAAAGGTAAAATAAGCTAAGGGGAAATTTTCCAGAATTTTACTGCATAACATTTAATAATTTCAAACTAACTTAAGCTAAAATCCTTCCTTTTCATTAGTAATTCCGATCACTATCTGAGAGAACTGATTTGGTTTTGGAGCTGGCATAATTCTCAAGAGTTTAAGCAGACTTAGCTTTTTATTCCCTAAGTAAAATGGATTAGGCACAAAGTGACATTTCAAATGACCACAGTTTCCAAACACCTTAAGGGCTTTGAGGTTTTGGCCTTTCTCCAGGGAGATTCTGGGGAAGAGTTTAAATAATTCCAAACCAGCTTTCAGCTCATTATGACTTCTAACATTTAGAACTGAATAAAATTTTTATGTTTTTCTCTCAAAGCTAAGAGTTAAGGACAGAGCAGGGGTATCCATCTTTAAAAATATCATCAGCAAATACTTATATATGAGTCACTGGACTGGATACTCAGTTGCTGTTCTGTGGGGAGTGCTGTAAACGGTGTCTGCTGGGGTTCAGGACTACAGGGAGATGTGAAAATGTTTGCAGATCATCTTGCCACATGGTGCACAGAGTCATGGTGACACCGAGGATTGCCAGGCCTCCAGGGTCAGATGCTTTAAGACAAGCACACGTAGTTGGAATTCAGGAGGGACTCATGCTCCGCTAAGGTTTCAGTCTGAGAACATTTTTGCCAGTTTCTGACACTCTCCTAGATGCTGCAGACCCTTTCATTCATGGGACAGATGTGAGGTGGGTGTGACTAGGTGCCGGGCTGTGTAACAGGGGTGGGCTGTGAAGATCAACAGACGTGAGGCTTATTTAAGACTCACATGCGCACAGGTGGGAGACAGCAAGTGGGGGCTGGGCAGGGATCACGTCTAGCAAAGATCATCCTTCCCTGCTCCAGTGCTGGGCCAGAGGGAAAGCAGATGTCCTTCCAAGAGGTGGTGAAAGTTGGGACTCTTATGTAAAGCTTCCTGAGTTTCAAATATTAGCGATTAACTGCAAAACCATGTTTCTTTCAATACTAGGTGCTGTGTTCAGCCAACTACAGCTAGTTAGCAACCTCCCTCTAAGTTTTCTTTCTGCCCAAAACTCTCTACTTCAATCCCCAGCAGCCAGATGTCTTGCCTGTGTGTCCTGGGTGAGAATGTTCCAAAATGCAACAGCTCACTTGTGGTTCTTATTTGGTGACGTAGCTACGTCATTTCTTATAGAGAGCAGTTCAGTTATTATTTAGGAGCAGGAGTTCTAACGTGAACATATTGCTTAAGGGGGCTGATATCAAAATGTATGCACTACCAGGCACATACATTAGCCAGTCAAGCATTCTCCTTCACATTGTCTTTTACTTCTTCATTGTTCCTTACACAGAAGCCTAGTATGCATTACTCGAACTCTCAGTGTATTGCCACTAAGACTTTTATTTCAAAAAAAAAAAAGGGGGAGTTGAGAGCTATTTTTAGAAGCTTGTTTCCTATGTATTTCTGTGCTATCATTTCTTTCTGTGATTAAAGCCCAAAAAGAAGGATGGAAACACTTAGGGTATCCCATCAGTAAGGTCATTAGTCCTGAATTAGATCCACATCCCATAAGTGACAGTTCCGCCCACTGTGGCGATCCTGGGCTTCTGGTGGCCTTGGCTCTCCACTGCTCTGTGGCTTTGCCAGTGGCAGTATGGCTGAAGGGGACAAACATGCCTACAGACATAGGACTCGACTGCCCAGTACCCATTTAAGTTACCAGTTGTCTTGGAGACTTCTCTGGGTGAAGCAGAGAAGCAAAAGATTTATCGATGTGATCAGGAAAAAATATCTTATTCCCTCTATTGCATATATTTGGGCGTGCTGGGTAGGATGGATGGGAAGGTCACAGCTCTCTTCCCCACAGCTCACAAGCTAACATAAATAGTAGACGCATCTGAAGGACTCCCCACACACACATTCCCCAAGGTCAGTGTAAGTGAGGCACGGGAAAAAATGAAGCCATCGGCTATCCCTCCTTTGGGATTGAAAGGCCACCTAGGTCTCATTGGAAACACAGTAGGTGTGGGTCTCTCACTCAGTCGCTGGTTGGCATCTGCATTTGGGGTAAGGAAGCACAGTCTGCAAGATGGCAACAGCCTGGTGTGTGCAGTTCCACTGGGGACAAGCATGAGCTGAACTCATTCTGTTTTTCATCTTTTCTTTTTCTAATTTGAGACAAGTTCTCATTTTGTTGAGTGCAGTGGCTCCATCATGACTCTCTGCAGCCTCCAACTCCGGGCTCAAGGGATCCTCCCGCCTCAGCCTTCCAGGTAGCTGGGACTATAGGCATGCACTACCACACATGGCTAATTAAAAAAAAATTATTTGGTAGAGACAGAGTCTTACTAGGTTGCTAAGGCTAGTCTCAAACTCCTAGCTTCAAGCGATCATCCCACCTCTGCCTCCCAGTGTGCTGGGATTACAGGCATGAGCCACTGTGCCTGGCTGCTTTTCTTCTTGAGTAACATCATCCTCTGCCTTGAAGAGAAATTATGGGTGTCAGAGAGAGTTCAGAAATACATCAAAGCCAGGAGAGTTATCTGTGTGGAAGCGAAACACAAGTCCACTCATGGTACAAACCACACACCTCATATTTTAGCCTTATTTTGAATTTCTCTGTGATCCAGGGCACTTGTTATACCCAGCTGCAACTGAATATTGACAGTGACCCCTGGGGGGAGACACCAAGACCGTTTACCCTGAATACATGATATGCTTTAATGAAAGTGAACGGGACTTAACACCGGCAGAAATTGCTCGTAGTCTAACAAGACAGTTTCTCCAAGAAACTGAGATTTGCTGAAATAGGTCCTGGCTAATTACTTATTCTCTGTGTTGCCCCTTTGGTTTTAGCAGCCATCATGATTTTGTGAAAATCCAATGATACGGATATTGCATTTACCTTTAACTCTATTACAAGGAAACAGTAGCAGATTTAATCACAAACCAGAGTATTAATTGTAAGCCCAGGCTTTGCTAAAGGAATAGACCTCCAATAGGGTAAGCTACTCATTCATATGTTGGTCTTTACTTGGGTAAAAGAAAAAAAACTGTGGGTTTCAAGGTCTTCGGCGGATGGGCGCAGTGAGAGAGTATGCAAAGATATGTGCTTATTAGGGTATTCCTGAACATGCCTTCAAGAGCAAATGCCTGGTCTTTGGAAAAATCCCTTACTCGGGGGATTAGAATATCTTGTGCTTTCAATCTCTCACATTCTACTTGCCTGTGTCCTCATTAGGGTGTCACGTTTACCAGTCACCATGCAGCTAGCCCTGCTCAGATTTAATCAGCAGCAGACTTCCATCAGAAGGAAGGAAGGACCATCCCTGCCCCCTTACAGCCTCCCATTAGTGAAATATTCAGCAAGAAAACAGAGCCAGAATGCAAACAAACAAGGTTGACCATACCCTCACTCCACTTATAACCTCCTGTGATCTTTGGCTTCTGTTCAGTAATTGCGTTTATTTTGACTTCATTAAAAAATGTGAGAGATGGAATTTCATTTGAGTCTTAAGTTCAAAGATTTACAGCCCAGATATAGAAGAGAGAGTTGTCTTGGTGTTCTTATCAATTTTGGGTTAGAAGTCCTGTTCTATTTTGGATGTTTCCCTGCAAAGGAGGTAACAAACGTCCCTCCATTTTCTCAGCAATATACCAACAGTTTAGAACATATTTCATAATCATTTTTCTCAATACTATTGTAAGTTAAGTGTGATCAGTCTTATTTTATAGATCCAGAGACCCCTCATTTTCCCAGAACTTGATTAAAGACTCACTGCTTCACAGCTGTCACAGATTGAGATAAGCAGCTTCTTCCACTCATAGATGTCAGTCTACTCAAAGTGCCCTCTCCCTGTGCCAAACCCACTGTCCTGGGCCCACACACAGGAATGCAAACCTTGAGTCCAAGCAGTGTTGCTTATAATGGACATGTCAGGGAAGAGCCAACATGTTTGCATTTTTATGATTATTAATTAAATCACCAATCCCATTTGATAATACTAATTCACAAAGCTACATCATTAGACATTGTTTACAAACACGTTCATGATCAGAAGCCCCATCACCTTGAGTGTTCATCTCTATGCTCTTGAATCCCTCAACCCTGCCGTCTACATGCAGCAGAGCAATGCCTCATCCAGGCCCCATCACATCTGCACCCTGAGTCTTGTCTGGCAGGGCTCCAGCAACTGAAGGGAGCCCCAAATCTGTCCCTAGCAGCGTGGCATTCTAAAAAATTACTGTGCCATAAAGCCACATGAAATATACACCAAACTTCCAAAGAGAGATGAGAAAACTAAAGCTTAGAAAGTTTACATACCCGAACCCAGTTCAGGTTACTATTATAAATATGACAAACATGGAGGGGAGCCAAGTTGATGGGTGAAGGGTCCTCTCTCAGCTTGACGGTAGGCTGACTTGACTGAGAACATGGTAGGGAACTGCTGACATGAGACACTAGGATGTCTTCTGGGAACAGGAGCAGGACAAGTGCTGACCACAGCGGATGTGGACTAAAGATGCTGAGCCCAGCAAACATGTATCACAAAAGGGACACATGCCAGGGAAACCCTGTGCCCTGCAAGCTGATGAAGGGCGTTGAAGGGAAGCAAATATTGTGAGCTTGTGTTTTATGCATCTCCACGCCCTCAGCTTCCAAGAGGGGGCCTGGCTCAGAAGGCGCCTGACCACAAATGCCAGGAGGTAATGCTCTGCTGATGTGTGCTAGGGCAACTGCGTGCCGGGACACCTAGATCAGAATGCTCCCCCAACAGGAGCAACACATTTATTTTTAGGTCGCTCCTTTTTATGGTATTCTGACTGATGCACCAGATGATAACTAATCAGTATCGAAACTATTACCATTAGCGTGTACTCCTCTTTTAAATACTTGCTTTTGCTCCTCGCTGAGTCGCAAGCAAAGTCCCTAAAAGTCGACCTCAGTGATTCTTTTCTCTTTCACTGTTTTTACAGTTTCCAAAAATGGCTCCAAAATTCAATGTGAATGGGATTGTTTTCTATTTCCTCTGCTTATTTTCATCAGATGAGGACAATAAAAAATTTGCCTTTAATTGTCCAGATCAGTCAGGGTATTAACACCAATTTATGGCTTTGTACTAATATGTCCCATATTTAGAGTGACATACTACTTTGAAATCTAGGATTGTGTGATTCATAAACAATGGCATCAGAGTAATTTGTGGAGCTTGTCAAAGTCTGTACCCCATGGAGCTTCATGAAGTTGAACTCATTGAGCCCTCAGCCAGAAAGCAATGGCCCCATTGTTTCTTTCACCATCCCTGCCATCGAAGAGCTTCCTAATAACTAGACACGTGCAGGAGCTGGCACGTTAGGGAAACATCAACCCCAATTATATGAATATACTTGACTAGTATAAAAGAAGAAAAAAGAGAGAAGGCATAAATATGAAAAACTAAGAATGAGAAAGGGTACCTAACCACAGACATAAATTTCAAATTTTACAAGAAAATATGAAGAATATATCCACGTTAATCAGTTTAAAATCAACTATTTCCTAGAAAAAAAAGAGAAATAACGGTGATCAACTAAAGAATCATAAAACTTGAATAGAATCATAGTTATGGAGATGAGGGTGAAAGAACATTGTGAGAATGTCTCTGGTGGCAAAATTGATAATTTTTTTTAAAGCTTGTGAGGTTCAGATAATCTTCACATTTTGTAAACTCCAAAGAGTATAGAAATGTAAAAAGTTTCTCAAACCTCTTTTTGTGTTAGTATAACTGTGGTATCTGAATATGAAAATACTAAAAGAAGAAACCTTCAGGTTTACTTCAGTTATGAATAGCAAGGCCAAAATTCTAAGCTGACGACTAACCAATGGCATTCGTTCACATATTTGAGGAATAACAGTCTGTGTCTAAGTTTTCCTCAGGAATGAATTGCTGATATATTAAAAATAAGTCCATTGGTAGACTATCTATAATAAACTAGCCAAAGGGCAAATAATACAAATTAATTTCTAAAACTATCAAAGGGGCATTCATTAAACTTCAACATATGTTCTCATAAAAACCGTATTAAATGATCAATGAGGATGACAAGAAATATCTAATAAAATTCATCTGTGGGCACCTGTGATGGTGAAATTATTGAAGCATTGCTTTTAAAATCAGATGCAAGGAAGGGTGCCTATTATGATTTACCATCTTTCTGGAAGTTCTAGTAATTACTCTAAGATATGGAGATAGAAATAAAGAATACAGCAATTGCTAAGTAAGGGAAAGTGAATTGCCTGAGAAAGAAAAAGCCTGATTTTTCTTGTATGAGTTGCCTTATTGTTTTCAATGGCTTGATCCCTTGAGCCATATTTGGTATTATATTCAAATATGGTGCCTCATGCTGGGATAGGAAGCTAATCCTAGCCCTTCCTCATCACTGGGAAAGTGGTCAAGGAAAAGCAAATGGTGTCAAATTCCTCTTTACCCATAGTCGTGGCATGAATTGTGTTTCTCCTTAATTCATATTTTGAGATCTCAATGCTCAGAACGTCAGAATGTCACTGTATTTGGAAATAGGGCCTTTACAGAGGTGACTAAGTTAAAATGTGATGGTTAGGGTGGGCCTCAATCTAATATGACTGGTGTCCTTATAAGAAGAAGAGATTAGGATACAAAGGGAAGACAATGTAAAGATATAGGGAAGGTATAGGGGGAAGACCATGGGAAGATACAGGGAAAAGATATAAGAAAAAGCCAAGGAGGGTAGCTTCAGAAGAAACAAAACCTGCCAGTGCCTTGGTCTCAGACTCCCAGCCTCCAGAACTGCAGGAGACATATGTTTTTGTTGTTTAAGCCGCCCAGTCTGGTACTTTGTCATGGCAGCCCCGGCTGAGTGGTGTACCCTATTTTCTCACGGTGTTCTTATGTTCTAGTTGGTGTCCAGTGGTCTTGGCGCTATCTGCATAGCTTCTGGTGGCAGTGCCGATGCTTTATGACCCAGTTTGGTGCACGGATATCCAGCGGCACTGAGCTAGTGAGACCTCACGAATCTCAGTGACCATGGACCAGTTTGCCGTGTCTGATGTAGAACTGCTGTTATAAACCTATTAAATGGTGTAGATGCTATCTGGCTGAGACCACAACAGGGATTCCAATGAGGTGGAAGAATCAGGCTTTTTCTTTCTAAACTCACACCAACATCTGTGCTTCAGAAGTCTCTCTCAGAGCATTCATCCCCGCTGACTCATACGCTGTGGCAGGCATCGGACACCTACAGTGCAGTGGGTTCTTTTCCAAAAGTCCATGTGACTTCGTCACGTGAAACAGTGTCTTGTCAAATGCCAGATGCTGCAACTCCCCTGATCCCATAAAGGGGGTTTTGTTCGCATCTCAAGCAGCCCGGCCCTTCTTGCATTTCTTGAAGAGCTCTGGGACAGTGCACCAGTGGTGCCAGAAGAAAGCACATCACAGGTCTGACTGTGGCACTGAGAACTCCTCCTAAAACGAGAGGCAATATTGTTCTAACAAGGAGCACATGGAGGATGCAGATGCCTTAGCCAAAAATCTGGGAAAGTTGAGAAAGAGGAAAATACCAATATTGCCAAATCCTTCTGAGCTACAAGTTAGAAAACATGTTTTATTCAGCATTGGTCTGCATTTTGGTAATTCGATAATAATAGCATTGCCCCACTGAAGAACTAAGAATTGCATAGAACTAAAACATAAGTGAATTCACAAGAGGATCCCACTCTTGAACACATTCAACAGAAGGAATGCCCTCATTTGCCTGGAGAGCTTAAGTGTCACTCTTACACTGCAGTAATGCAAAACAAACCCAATGACGAATTGCCACATTTTAGCTGGGTAGGAGAAAATGTGCTGTAGCAAGAAGCAGATTGAGAGTGATGTTCTTGTTCATACAGTGTCACATATAATTAGTTCATCATGAGGGCTCTGAGCCATGCACCAAATATACACAATGATGAGTTCTTTCACATCTCTTTTCTTTTTTTTGAGACAGAGTCTGGCTCTGTTGCCCAGGCTGGAATGCAGTGGTGCGATCTTGGCTCACGGCAACCTCTGCCTCCCAGGTTCAAGCGATTCTCCTGCCTCAGCCTCCCAAGTAGCTGGTACTACAGGCATGTGCCACCACACCCAGATAATATTTTTGTATTTTTAGTAGAGACAGGGTTTCACCTTGTTGGCCAGGCTGATCTCGAACACCTGACCTCCCGATCCACCTGCCTTGGCCTCTCAAAGTGCTGGGATTATAGGTATGAGCCACTCCACCAGGCCTCACATCTCTTTTCATTTGATTAGATTTGTATAGCCTCAAATCCTTATGAGTGTCCTTCCCTGTGAAATGTTCTTATGGGAGAAACTATTAGCTGCGTGCCGTTCCTGGAAAAATTCTGATGACGACAACAAGAAACAACAAAAGCTATGCAGCTTCTTTCTCTCCTGTCTTCTCTGTGCAGGAACATGGAGGCAGTCCCTGTAGATCAGAATGGTGAAAAGGAATGCACATAACTTCCTATAGTGCAAAGCCAAATCTTTGGATATTCAGCAATAACAACGGTGTTCACTGAAAGACAGTGGAGGAAGGGGTGTATCAGAGACCTAGGTTTGCATTTTCCAAACTCTACCCAGTATCTGCCTCTCTTTCACTCAATTCCCTGATGCTGAATTCTGAAAATTTCCCCTAGTAGCCATCTAACATTGGCTTAAAATGAATTTAACATATTCTTTAAAAAAAATATTCTTGGCCGGGCACAGTGACTCACGCCTGTAATCCCACCACTTTCTGAGGCCGAGGCGGGCGAATCACGAGGTCAGGAGATCGAGACCATCCTGGGTAATATGGTGAAACCCTGTCTCTATTAAAAATACAAAAAATTAGCCGGGAATGGTGGCGGGCACCTGTAGTCTCAGCTACTCGGGAGGGGAGGCTGAGGCAGGAGAATGGTGTGAACCCGGCAGGTGGAGATTGCAGTGAGCCAGAATTACACCACTGCACTCCAGCCTGGGCGACAGAGCGAGACTCTGTCTCAAAAATAAATAAATAAATAAATAAATAAATAAAAATTAAAAAATCTTTAAACATCTCTGAATATTCCAGATGTTTTTCTTTTTATATTTACTCTTTTTTTTCTATTACAAAAGGAAACCAAGTTCATTTTAAAAATGAGAAAATGCAGGGCACAGTGGCTCACGCCTGTAATCCCAGAACTTTGGGAGGCCAAGGTGAGCAGATCACCTGAGGTTGGGAGTTTGAGACCAGCCTGACCAACAGGGAGAAGCCCCGTCTCTCCTAAAAATACAGAATTAGCTGGGCGTGGTGGCACATGCCTGTAATCCCAGCTACTTGGGAGGCTGAGGCAGGAGAATCACTTGAACCCAGGAAGCAGAGTTGTGGTGAGCCAAGATCGTGCCATTGCACTCCAGCCTGGGCAATGAGAGTAAAACTCCATCTCAAAAAAATAAAATAAAATAAATAAATAAAAATAAAAATGAGAACAATACAGGAAAGCAAAAGAACAACCAAATCTCCCACACTCCCACCCACCTTAGGACAACCCTCAGCCTCACCTTGGAATATTATGTCCTTAGATGCCTTCCTTATACAAATTAAACTATACTATTTGTCTGAGAAATTGTCTCAGAAAATCTACTGATGAGCATTATTTATTCTACCTTTTCACTACTTAAATTTCAACAGAGCAACAGAACAGAATAGCAAGTAAAAATTTAAACACATTTATGACCATTAAAAAAGTTTCTGAGAAACTGGCAAAACTTCTTAGAGGTAGATCAAGGTTTGCAAAACTACTCCCCAGGATGCATCCAAAATGACCTAGTTATTAAATGTTTGGTTTTTGACCTAGACATCGTTTGGCCAAATTGTCTTGTTTTTCAACCTGAATGTAGGCCAGTCTACCTTTGGCCAATGTAATGCTGCCAAAATTGTGTGTGACAAGTCTAAGAGACTTTCTTCATTTTTTATCTCAGTATTCTTTCTCTAGAACTCAATATCCATCCCTGATCTCATATTGTATCTTCTCCCGTGGCCCTGTTTAAACACCCTCTGGTTCTCCATCTGGCTCTCTGCCTAAATTTCTGGCAGTTTCTTCAAAGTTCATCCTCCTGAAAAGTCCAAGATGTACTGGGGAGGAAACTGGATATATGTAAAGTGCATAGTACCTAGTAAATATCTGCCCAACAAAAGTGGTATCTACTCTTATTTTTGCAGCCTTTTATCCAATAACAAGTATAGCATGCATGGTTTAAGTCTCTTTTAGTCTTCATAAAAATTATGCATGAGTTAGTTTCCTTTCCCCCATGTAAGAGTTGAAAGCACCAAGATGCTGAGAATGTATGTGATTTGCATAAATGTGGAGGCAGATTTTAAACAGAGGTCTAACTATTAATTATTTTCTGCACAGAGCTAGATGCAATATGTGGACATGAGAACTGGCTTTGTTTGAAGTTGAAGGAAACTTTAAAACTTAAAAAACTGAGCACAAAACTAAAAACTTGCTGAGTTTTCAAATTCTGTTATGGCAAATTCTTTCACAAACCTTAAATTTGGGAATGTAAATAACATTCTTCCAGGCAATGCAGAGCTATTATTTAAAATTAAAAAAAACAGACTCCTTGAGCAACAGCTTTGTGAACTTGGTTGGCACTACAGCATGCGTTTTGCAGAGTCAACACAAAATTATTTATGGGAGGTCCTGTTGCTTAATGTGACTCATGTGTGTTTGATTGTGTTTCACAGAACATGGAGAAAGCGCTGCCATTAGGATGGGAGGTCAACATGGCTCTGCTGGATGCCAGTGGCTTTGGATCTGATCTGACAGAGCTGTAATCAATACTCAGCATTTCCTCCATGCAGTTACTCCGATCATTTACATATTGCCTTACTCCTCATGGCAAACCTACACATTCTTGTGATTTTACAGATGAAAAGACTGAGGCATGGAAGGGATGAAGAGCCTGTCCAGGACCAGCAGTTAATCACAGGAGAACTGGGAGCTGAGCCCAGGCTGCCTGGCTTGCAGCTGCCCTGGGCCTGCCTCTCTGTGCTGCAGGGCTGTCAGATCCAATGCCCTTGGCATCTGTAGAGAAAAGCAATCCACACAATTCTTATACATAAAATAAAAACCATTTTGGCTACTAAAAAATATACTGTATTCATTCCACGATCACGTGAATTCATTGGTCAGTCCCAACTATCCTCTTCCAATGTCACAGTAGGTGGGCAGGAGGATGGCGCAGTGGTCAGAGCTGTGTCACCTTGCTGGCCTGCACCCCTGTCACTGCACGTTCCCACCATGTACCTTATGTGTCTCCCTCCCCCCACCCAACATGGGAACCCACTCCCACATCCCAGAGCAGAGTCTTCACCATGTTTGAATCTGATCAGACAACACTGGGCAGTGTCCCTGTCGTTCAGGGAAAGAAATGGAAACCTACCCAGGAAGGTGGGAGGAACACATGGAGGAGACAGCAGTCTGGGTCTGGAATGCTGGTGGGATTTCTATGTGATAGGAGTGAGTGAGGAGATATCTATTTTAGGAAAGAGGAAATATCTCATGAGAACAAATGCAGACAGGCCAACCTGGGCACAGACAGGAGTGGTCAAGGGAGCCCAGGAAGGGCAGGGAAGGAGCAGGAGAACAGGGAGGCCTGGGAGTGGTGGTTTGCAGCCTGAGTGTCCTCTGCATCCTGTCTTCTCCAGGCCCATAGCCCACCTTCTATGAGCTTCCTTCCAGGTTCTGTTATGGAGAGACCCTCAACTGCCCAACTCCCTTCTAAAGGGTGATGAGTGGAGAGCACGTACTGGGTTCAACCTGCGGGCTTCAAGACCATGGGATAGTGCATGCGTGAGTGTGTGTACATGCGTGTGTGTGTCTGCATGCGTGTGTGTGTGTGTGTGTGCATGGGTGCGTGTGTGTGCATGCGTGCATGTGTGCATGTGTGTGTGTGTGCATGTTTTGAGTGTGTGCCTGTGTGCATGTGTGTGCATGTGTGGGTGTGGGCATGAGTGTGTGTGCACTCATGTGTGTTGTGTGTGTGTGTGTGTATGTGTCTATAAAGGGCTTTGTGCAGGAGAGTAGCATGGAACAGCTAGGCATTAGGATGGTAGTAAACCTGATGGGGGCCAAATGAATTGAGAAAAGAAGGAAGAAGGAAGGAAAGGAGGAAGGGAGGGAGAGAGGGAGGAAAGAAGAAAATGAAGGAGGGAGAAAGGAAGGAAAAAAGTAGGAATTAAGAAATAAAGAAAAGAAAAAGAAGTGAAAGGAGACAGGTGCACAGTGTCAAGGGACACGCACCTTGGCATGGCAGTGGAGATGGAACGAGAGGGACCAGAGGCTTCCCCGACCCCCCTGAGGGTGACTCGCACAGCAATGCATCAGTCCATCTGTCTCCCACGTTCCTCTCTATGCTTCTCAGGGGAAAGGGGACGTTTCCATTTTATAAAAGAAGAAATGACCTTACAGGACAAAGACAAAAATAAAAGTATTAAGATTGGTGCTGGATGGATAAGTTTGGATACCCAGCAAATAATTTGGAAAAAAATGAGTAAGATTTTTTTAGCTTATAGGCTATCATGAATGCAGTGAATTCAACTCACCTGAGATTATTCACTGTGTTTTTTTTTTGTCTCAAAATATAAAACAGTAAAAAAACCAGCTAATGTATTTGACCTGTGCTCAGCCTCAGCTGTGTGCCAGGCGCTGTGCTGGGCATGACAGGAAATGCAAGGATGCATAAGACACTCTCCTTGACTCCTGTGGAAGTGAGGGAAGAGCATTGCGTGGCAGGAGAGGGAGCCCCCTCAAAGCCCACCCCTTGTCAATCCCTACTGGTCTCACCCCTTCATTTGTGGTGGTATTTATCTGTGGGTGGAAAGGGGGCACAGAGAGATTGAATATTTGGGAATATTGACATAAGAACCTCTGTGATTTCAAAACTTTCACCTATGTATATTTGTTAGTGTTCATCTGATGCTCATGTTAAACAAATGGCCCATGAAGCTCCCTGGTGGGACATTCAGAATCCAGTGGCAACAGAAAAAGTGCAGAAAAACTGCAACACAAGCATTGCCTTCTTTCTCTATCCATGGGAAGAGGCACTTTCAGAGAATGTAGGGGGTGATGATTCTGGCCAAACTAGGGGTGTGTGTTGCAAGACAGGAAAGCATCTGCAAGTCC
The DNA here is from genome assembly GCF_000001405.40 of Homo sapiens. NCBI lineage: Eukaryota > Metazoa > Chordata > Mammalia > Primates > Hominidae > Homo > Homo sapiens. The sequence goes on from NC_000010.11 coordinate 44,186,393, forward strand.
AGCTGGAGATCCTACAACCTCGACCAATGATTATTTTGGTTTCCTATTTCAAACACTGGCTCCAGGTCTGTGGCTTTTGTTTTTTAATGAGAATGTCAGAGCCCAGAGGCCCTTTGGTCCAATGCAGTTGGGTGGGCAGTGGCTGGGGCACACACGCAGAGCAGAGCTGTCCAGTAGTGGACAGCACCTTGTTGAGACTCTTCCAGCTCTCCTGGGGAGGAGGTGCAAAATAGACCTGGCGTTTTGTGCCTGAAGCACCATTTGCTTTATATTGAAGTGATAGCTCAGTAGGCAGCTGTTTTTAAAATTTTCCCTTCACCATGCATGTTTTAAAGGGAAACTTTTGGCTTTGATTTCTTTAATAAAAATCTGGCGGTAACCGTTCCAGAAACCCATTATGAAGTTGTTTTTTTCCGGCAATGACAATTGTGATCATTGTGCACCTCAGGCCAGTGTCCAGGTGGGCTCTTGACCAAGAAGCCTTCCTCCTTTACCAGAACCTGGGACCAAGGAAACCCCAGACACAAACAGGCTGAAGCTATTTGCTTTTTGTCAGCTCCTCGACTGCAGAACAGTCCACTCTCACCACACTTATACTGTGCACCCCTCACTTACACTGTGCACCCCATTGCATCTGGCTGTCAGGAAAGCAGCATACCTTAGGTCCAGAGGCAAACACAGCACTAGTTGTCTTATTGGGGGCATCTCTCTACTGGTACTACCCATCACCAAGGCTTCATGCTTCATCTTGGAAGGAACAGCAGGGAAGTGGCAGGGGATGAAGGGACACCAATTATTTCTCCAGAGAGAGAGGGGACATGTGTAAAGGCTGATGCTCTCAAAGAGGCTCTACAACCTGATAGGATCACCAACCCCATGAGACCTTTCATCTCCATGGCCTGGGCAACAGATTAGTGTCCCCTTTGATTAAGGCCACGTGGCCTTGTTGGCTGGTGGGTGCAGGGTTCATAAGGAAAGGGGTGGCAATATGGGGCACCAGCTTCTCTAGTTCTGAGAACACCTGCAGCCAGGAGGTTTCTTTTCCCATCCTAGGACTCTTCATCATTTTGGCGCAGACATAAACATCAGTCTCCAAACAGTGAGCCATTGTCCATTCCTCTGTTCCTTCATCTATTTTTGTCATAGAGCATCATAGTGCATAACTGTACAGCTCCCTCAGAAACAGGTGGGTGATCCAAAGAACCTGGGATCTAATGAATACATTGAATTTATGATTACAAAAAACCTTCCCACAAAAACAAACAAACAACAAAAAAAAAAACACAACTCCAGTTCCATAGAGCTTCCCTGGTGAGTTCCACCAAAGAAGAAATGATACTCATTCTATACAAATACTTCTAGAAAATTGAAGAGAATGGAATTTCTCCTAACTCATTCTTTGAAGCCAGCATTACCCTGATACAAACCTAGTTAAAGACACGACCAGAAAAGAAAACTAAAGGTGAATATCTTCCATGAAACAAGATGCAGAGATTCTAAACAAAATTTTAGCAAATCAAATTCAATGATAAACAAAAACGATATACATTATGGCCAAATTAGATCTATCCCAGAAATACAGAGTTGATTTAACATTTGAAAATCTATCAGTCGAATTTACTGTATGAATAAACTAGAAAAGAAAAACCATATGATCATTTAAATATGTGTATTTTTTTGAACAAAAGCTAACATCCATTCCTGCCATTCCTGATAAACTCTCAGCAGACTGTAACAGAAAGGAATTTCTCAACCTCATAAAGAATATCTGCAAAAAACTAGTATAGTAGCTTAGTATAGTACTGATAGTGAAATACTATATAGCTAGTATAGTACTGATTAGTGAAAAATGGAATGCTTTCTTCCTGCTATTAGGACAAGATAAGATACCTAGTCTCATAACTGCTATTCAACATTCATTGAAGTTTCTAGCCTATGCATCCATCTTGGAAAAGAAGAGGCAAAACAGTTTTTTCTTTACAGATGACTAAACTTTGATGTAATCTACGAAAAGCTACTAGAACTAGTAAATAAGCACGTTTGTATGATACAAGCTAACACACAAAAGCCAATTGTATTTCTATATATTAACAATGAACAACAAAATATTCAAAAAATTTAAAACAGTACTGTTTAAAATGGCATCAAAAATATTAAATACTTGGTGATAAATATCAGAAAAGATACAAAAAACCTATACACTGAAAATTAGAAAATATTACTCAGTAAAATGTAAAAAGAACTAAATAATTGGAAAGGTAAAACTTGTTTATAGATTAGAAGGGTCTATATTATCATGATATCACTTTTTCTATAGTTTCAGTGAAATCCCAATCCAAATTCCAGAAGGAGTTTTTGGGTAGAAATGTACAAGCTGGTTCTAAAAATTCATGTGGTAATACAGAGGATCTAGAATCACCAAAGGACCACTGAAAAACAAGAGCAAAGTTACAAGGTTGATACAAACTAGTTTTAAGATTTATCAGAAAGCTAGAGTAATCAAAACAGTGTGGTATTGGCATAAGATTAAAAAAATACATCGGAGTAACAGAAGAGAGTCCAGAAATAGACTGACACATAAATGGTACAACCAACTTTTGAAAAAAGTGCAAAGTCAATTCGTTGGAGAAAGCATAGTCTTTTAAACAAATGGTGTTGGAACAAGTGGATCACTATATGCAAAAATAATGAACTTTGATACGTATACAAAAATGACTTCAAAATAGCTCACAGGTCTACATGCAAAACCCCCAAATTTAAAAATTCCAGAAGTAAACAGAAGTAAATCTTTTTAATGTTGTGTTAAACAAAGATTTCTTTGCTATGACATCAAAAGTAAAGTCCATTAAAAAAAAAAAAGATGAATCTGACTGGGCATGGTGGCTCACACCTGTAATCCTAGCACTTTGAGAGGCTAAGGCAGGAGGGCTGCTTGAGCCCAGGAGTTGGAGACCAGCCTGGGTAACATAGAGAGACCCCCATATCTACAAATAATAAATCAATTAACAAGGCATGGTGGCGTGTGCCTCTGTTCCCAGCTACTCAGAGGGCTGAGATGGGAGGATCACTTGAGCATGGGAGGTTGAGGCTGCAGTGAGCTGTGATCGCACCACTGAACTCCAGCCTGGGTGACAGAGTGAGAACTTGTCTCAAAAAAAGAGATAAATTAGATAAATTTGACTTTATTAAATTTGACAATATTAAAAACTCTGATTTTTGAAAAACACTGAGAAAAGAATGAAAAGACAAGTCATTACCAGGTGAAAATACTTGTTGATCAACTATCTAATACATATCTTGTATTCGGTATATAAAGGACCCTCAGAAGTTAATAAGAAGACAAACAACCCAGTAAAAGAATTGAGGCCCTTATCAAAGAAATGCAAATCAAAACCACAATGAGATACCATCTCACACCAGTTAGAATGGCAATCATTAAAAAGTCAGGAAACAACAGGTGCTGGAGAGGACGTGGAGAAATAGGAACACTTTTACACTGTTGGTGAGACTGTAAACTGGTTCAACCATTGTGGAAGACAGTGTGGCGATTCCTCAAGGATCTAGAACTAGAAATACCATTAGACCCAGCCATCCCATTACTGGGTATATACCTAAAGGATTATAAATCATGCTACGATAAAGACACATGCACACATATGTTTATTGTGGCACTATTCACAATAGCAAAGACTTGGAACCAACCCAAATGTCCATCAGTGATAGACTGGATTAAGAAAATGTGGCACATATACACCATGGAATACTATGCAGCCATAAAAAAGGATGAGTTCATGTTCTTTGTAGGGACATGGATGAAACTGGAAACCACCATTCTCAGCAAACTATCACAGAGACAAAAAACCAAACACTGGATATTCTCACTCATAGGTGGGAATTGAACAATGAGAACACTTGCACACAGGGTGGGGAACATCACACACTGGGGCCTGTCGCAGGGTTGGGGGAGGGTGGAGGGATAGCATTGGGAGATATACCTAATGTCAATGATGAGTTAATGGGTGCAGAACACCAACATGGCACATGTATACATATGTAACAAACCTGCACACCTGTGCACATGTACTCTAGAACTTAAAGTATAATAAATAAATAAATAATAAAAAAATTAAAAAGCAAACCAAAAAAAAAAAAGAATGGAGGCCCTATGTTAAAAAAAAAGAATAGGGAAAACAGACACTTCAGCAAAGAGCAAATAACAGAAGAAAAGATGGTCAACATCATTAGTAATTTGGAAAATGCAAATTAAAACCATACTGAGATACCATACACACTTATTAGAAGGGTTCATATAAAAAGAGTGACCATACCAAGTGCTGGTGAGGATGTGGGGAAGCTGAACTTTCATACATTGTCTGGGAGGAGGGATGTGAAATGGTACAATCACTTTGGAAGACAGTTCTCAGTTTCTTAAAAAGTTAAACATATGCTTACCAAGTGATCCAGCTATTTCATTCCTAGGCATTTGCCTAAAAGAAATGAAAATACATGTCTATACAAAGACTTATGCATGAAAGTTGATACAGCTTTTTATTTGTAATAGCCAAAATCTGAAAACAACCTAACTGTTCATCAACATATCAGAGGATAAACAAATTGTGGTATGTCCATGTAATAACACTACTCTACAATGAAAAGGAATGAAATATTGATACATAAAACAATGCAGCTGAATCTCAAAATAATTACACTGAGTGAAAGAAGCCAGACTTAAAAGGGCACATCGTGTAGGCACATCATTCATATAAACTCCAGGAAATGAAAACTAATCGTTAGTGACAGAAAGAAGATCGGTTGAATTGACCAGGCATGGGGCAGAGTAGAGGGATGGGTTACAAATAGGTATAAGAAAACATTTGGTGGGGAGACATGTCTTCTGTCTTGACTGTGGTGATGGCTTCATGAGTGTATGAGTAGGTCGAACATCGAATTGTACACTTTAAATGTGTCAGTGTATGCTATGTAAATCACACCTCAATAAAGATGTTAGAAAATAAAGAGAATTAAAACAGCAATGAGATACCACTACATACCTGTTAGAATGGCTGAAATCCAAAACACTGGCAACACCAAATGCTGGCAAGGATGGGGAGTGGCAGGAACTCTCATTCATTGCTGAATGGTACAGCCACTTTGGAAGAGACTTTGGCAGTTTCTTACAAACTAAATATACTCTTAGCATATGATTCAGCAATCGATCACACTCCTTGGTATTTGCCCAAAGGAATTGAAAATCAGTGTCCACAGGAACGTGCACATGGATATTTATAGCAGCTTTGTTCATAATTGCCAAGACTTGGAAACAATCAAGATGTCAATAGCTGAATGGATAAACTGTGGTACATCCAGACAATGGATTAATATTCAGTGCTTAAGAAGAAAGGAGCTATCAAACCATGAAAGGACATGAGAGAAACTTAAAGGCATACTGCTAAGTGAAGGAAGCCAATCTGAAAAGGCTACATACTGTATGATTCCAACTATATGACACTCTTGGAAAGGCAAAATTATGGAGGTAGTAAAAAGATCAGTGGTTGCCAGGGATTAGTGGGGAGGGAGGAATGAATAGGCAGAGAACAGAGAAATGTTAGGGCGGTGAAACTACTTTGTACAATATCCTAACAGTGGATAAATGTCATGATAAATTTGTACAAACCCATAGGGTTGTGCGACACCAAGATGAGCCCTAATGTACACTGCGTACTCCTAATGTACACTGCGTCCTAATGTACACTGTGGACGTGTCAGGATGGTGACTCTCTGTACTTTCACTCAATTTTGCTGTGAACTAAAACTGCTCTCAAAAGTAAAGTATATTTAAAAATAAAAAAAATGAAGAGGAGAAGGATGGAAGAAAAGATGGAGAGATGAGGAAAGAGGACAGCAGGAAGAGAAAAACAGAGGAAGGAAAGGCAGAAAGATGGGAAAATGTGAAGAAAGGATTCTCTTTGGGTTCGGGTGGCTGAGAGGTTGGATGGTGGTGAGCAGGTGCCTGGGAATGTTCCAGAAACTCTTCCACTCAGTCACCACAATGAGGTCCACTGTGTCCGTCTCAGCATGGCCATGTGCCACCTGTGGGAAGGAGCTTGGGTCCAGAGAAGGGAGGGTCTTCTTTTCCAGTGGCTCTGTCCCCAAGCCTGAGGCTTTCTCAGCACTGCCGGGGCCTCTGGAGAATGATTTCATTGGTCCTGCTCTCTGTACTTTGCCCACACCACGGCAGATAACTTTCCGTCAGCTGTTAGCATGGCCCACAATGCCTTGAAGGCTGAGGCTCCATCTTCTGTCTGGACACTCTCACTCAATGGGCTTCAGCCACAGCGGTCTTCTCTCTTCACCTAAAGCCAACCAAACTCTTTTCTGTCCAGGACCTTTGCACACACAGTTCTCAGGCCTGGGTGCTCCCCTCAACACGCCTGAGCCTGCCAAGGTCTGGAGGTCTAAGGTACATGTTACCAAATAACCAGGCTTTTTATTTCCTATTCTCAGACTAGATTTACTCCTTTACATCAGCCACAAACTCTAGTTTCCTATCCAATATTAAGAATCACAGTGCTGCTGTCAGAAAATAGGTGAGATTTGCCTGTTTCACTTCATGCCATTTGTGAAACCACTCCCACGTCTACGCATGCCCACAAGTAAAGGCAAATGCCAACCTGCGGGGCCTGGCTGCTCCCAGTTGCTGGGTCCCTGAGGCCCATGTGCATTGGGTCCCAGCCTCCTCCCTTAAGGGCATCACTTCACCAAACACAAAGTTCCTGGCAATCACCTGCCTCTGCACAGTTTTGAACCTGGGAATGTGAAAATTCTCTAGGTTCCTTCCTGACTCATGGAGCTCATAGCTGGGCTGCTGCTCCTGCATTAGCATGCAGCCAGTGCATCTCAGTTTGAAATCTGAGAGCAAAGAGCAGCGGCCTCAACCGTGAAAAACAAACCCAATACAATTCCCGGTTGGAGCTTGTGGGTTCTTCTCTAAAACCCACAGGCTCAGCTTCCCAGCTTTGCCTTGAGTCCATCTATAAATTACTTTTATAGGAATGTTATCATGTTATTGAAAAGCAATAAAGACTTGCTAGACATGCAGCTCTACTGTTTCTGCAATCTTGTGTGGATGGCTTCTATGTGCTACCTCACCCATCTTCATCCAAGCTACTCAAGCCCCTTAATACCTCCTGGTGGATCTTTCCCTTAATCACCTTTTAGCTTAAGAACAAAGAATCCACTCCAAATGGAATAATATTACTACCAGATTATTCTTATATCTCAATATCTATAGGGAGCTAACAGCTGGGTCAAAGAACATAAATAACATGTGGATTTTATTTGAGAGTGAACTCTTACCAACAGGGAAGCTGCTGCCTCCTAATGTTTCTATAAAGTCTCTTGGTGTTTTGTACAGGGATTGCTTTCAAACACATGAGATCTCAACTACTCTTCAACTTTGCAGACTGCTTTCCTCTTTGAGCTCTGATAGAAAATAATCCACAGGGCTGGGTGCCACCTCCTTCCCCTAGGGGCTGCACGGTCCCCTGCTGTGCGGCTGCAGAGCCACCTGCCCTCCCTGGGACTGTCCCACTTGCTCTGGGGGGCCACAAGGAGGCAGGGAGGGCAGGATGCCTCACAGGCCCTCAGCTCACTATTGCTGCTCTGCTACCCAGGCCGTCATTGAAGGGGCTACTGGGCAGTCTGCTTCCAGGCTCCATCCAACGTCCAGGTCTCCTCTTCAGCCTGAGACTGAAGCTGACCACGTCATTCCATCTAAAATCCCTTATGGAACCTATTGTTTGCAGGATGAAGTCTCAGATCCTCCCTTGGAACCTGGATGTGCCTGGGTCCCACCCTGCCTGCCTCTCACCTGGTCTCCTGACCCTCTCCAGCTTTTCCTAAGGTTGCCTAGAGCTGGGGGGCTTCTCCTGAGCCCACCCACAGGGCTGCAGCTCCCCCACATGTTGCTGGAGCTGTTTCCTTTCCTTTACATAATTTCTTATTCTTTTTCTCCACCTGAATAACTACATACTTATCCTTCAGGATGCACGTGTGTGTGTGTGTGCATGTGTGTATACATGTGCTGCATGCTTCCCTAAAAGAGAAGAGAAATGCTTCCAGTGACAATGAAACAGTGGCAGTGGGACAGAGCAGAAAGCTGGGGTCAGCCCCAGGGACTTCTCCACTGCCACCTCCTCTTGTGTAATTTAGGGGTGTATTAGTCTGCTAGGGCTGCCATAACAAGAAGCCACCAGCTGTGTGGCTTAAGCAACAGAAATGTATTTTTTCACCATGCTGGAGGCTGGAAGCCCAAGATCAAGGTGTTGCAAGGTTGGTTTCTCCTAAGGCCTCTCTCCTTGCCTTGCAGATGCTGCCTTCTCCCTGTATCTTCACGTGGTCTGTGTGTGCCTGTGTCCTAATATCCTCTTCTTATAAGGACTCCAGTCATATGGGATTAGGCCCCCGCAACAACTCCATCTTACCTTAATCACCTCTTTAAAGGTCTTCCCTCCAAATGCAGTCTCATTCTGTGAAATGGGGATCAAGATTTCAACACATGGATTTTGTGGGACAAGTTCAGCCCACACTGGGAAGCGGTCCTTTCTCCAACCTGGCCTCAGTTGCTCTTTCCCTCTGTAATAGGACTGTTGGGGGCTCATGACAGTAATCTTGTGGGTCCTCTGCTGCTTTCAATTTTCTGGAAGAAGAGTCAGGCAAGGTGAACCCAGAGCTGAAGCCATTCCATCCTTTTGCTGTTCTGTCAGAAAATGAGCCAGGCGTGTCAGACAGGCTTATCTGTGTGGTGCCTGAGTCCTCACTCTGCTTTCTTTTCCCTCTCTCGCAGAGAGAGATAGAGGAGCGAACCAGAGGAGGTGGGAGGTGAAAATGCCCAGATCCCTATATGGTCCACAAAGCAGGGGACCCAGCATTGAAAGGCTTAGAACAAAGAGAGCGAGTGGAGGGAAGAGGATAAGGGCACTAGTGTGAGTGTCCAGGCCTCCAGATAACAAGAAAAGCCATTTGACCCACAGTGGCTGGGGAAGTTAAGTGGCCTCTCAGGAGGGGCCGGGGGCCTCTCCTTCCTTCCCTCTAGTCTTTAGGGATGGCTCCAGCACATGCCACTGTCAACACAAGAGATAATAACTGCTCACTTCTGGGGTATCCCACTGGGGTGCCCAGGGTTGCAGGGCCCAGCCTGCAGACATCTCTTTTTGTGGGTCTCTGAGTCATCCTCCAGATGTCTGCCCTGGAGAAAATCAGGCATGGAGCCCAGGGGCTGCGGTGTGCACTTTGGAACAGGAAACATCTAACATTGCTTAAAAAAATAAAAGACTCTGCTGTGTTTACTTTTGAAACAACTTGCCAGCCCATCCTGGCAAACTGGAAGGCAGAATAACTTAATGGTTTTGGAGCAGATAGAACTCTGGTGTCCAAGTTCAAGTCCAGCTCTAGAGTCATGCTCCTTACAGTGGCCCAAGGACTGAGTGTGGATTCTGTCACGAACAGTATTTATGTGGTCATAGTCACAAATGCTCTTTAGTGATTTTCCTCTGTAAACACCCAGGTGTGGACAAGGGCATAGAACGCTCCACTATTGTTATCACAAAGGAACGGCTAAGCTGGCACTTTGCAGAGGTGCTCTCCAGTGAGAAGCGTGGCTGACCCTTCCCCAGGCTTGGACAGGCCCCCAACCCATATGCCCCTTCTGTAGGTCTCCACCTGCAGCTGTGGAGGCTTCACACAGAATGCAGTTCACATTTGGGGTTGTCACAGGTACACATTGTGATGGGATTTGCTATGTGCTTGGAGAAAGGAACAGCTTGTACTAATTCTGCAAGGTATCCATGGGCTGTGAGGTGCTGAGTAGACCTCAGGGGCAGTGACACCTGGTTACTCACATGCTTCCCTCTGCACTGGGAGCCCACCGGGCGCCAGCCAAGTCTGAAAAGCTTGTGGTGGGTCCCAGCTTGTACACAAGGCCTGGCACAAGATAGACATCAATGTGATGAAAGAAAGGAACTAGTGGAGATCTGGGGATGAGAAGAGTCCCTGGAGGGAGTGCAGGGAGAGCAGGTGAGCGGGGCTGAAGGCAGAGAGGAGGAGAGGAGAGCTGGCCTGCAGGTCACAAGAGCGTGAGCTGTCACCGGAGCCAGCAGGCATGCAACCTTCAGCAAGGCCTCAGCCTCTGCGCCCTCAGGTTTCCTCATCAGAGCACGAGGGCAGGAACAGCAACTCCAGCAAGGACTCTTGTCAGAGAAGTGATTGAATTGATATTTTGTTTTTTAAGTTATTAAAATGTTTATTTAAATTGATAGCTAATATTATATATATATTTATTGAGTACAACATGATGTTTTGAAGTGTACATACATTGTGGAATGACTAAATCTAGCTAATTAACATGTGCATCACCCCACCTAGATATGATATTTGTGGTAGGAACACTATACATCCACTTATTCCTTTATCTAACTGACATTTTCTATCCTTTGATCAACATCTCCCCAATCCCCCAGTACCACTCCCCAACCCCCTGATAACCATCATTCTACTCTCTGCCTCCATGAGATCAACTTTGTTAGATTCTATATATGAGCTAATACGTCTTTTGTTTTGTTTTGTTTTGTTTTGTTTTGTTTTCCTTTCTTTTCAGACAGGGTCTTGCTCTGTTGCCCAGGCTGAAGTGCAATGGTGCGATATCAGCTCACTGTAGCCTTGACCGCCCAGCAATCCTCCTACCTTAGCCTCCCAAGTGGCTGGTACAACAGGCACATGCCACCATGCCTGGCTAATTTTTCTTTATTATTTGTGTAGAGACAGCATTTTACTACATTGCCCAGGCTGTTCTTGAGGCTCAAGTAATCCTCCCACCTCAGCCTCCCAAAGTGGTGGCATTACAGGCATGAGCCACCACACCTGGCCATGGGCTAGTTTTTCTAAAGTGCTTAGAATAGCACCAGGCACAGAGATGGCAGGATACAAGTGTTTAATAAACTATACAAACGAAAAGAAGAATGTTAACCTTGACAACGTGAAATTAAACATGAGGTGATAGAATTTGGAAGTCGGAAGGCGGAGGGAGAGGGAGGCACCAATGCAGCTTGCTCAGAAGTGCTTTTGAGGAGACCTCGGTGACGGGCTTAGTCTTCTGGGCATTCACAGCCTCCGCAATAGGATACCAATCTTCTGTCCAAGTGCATCGACACTATTGCCTTTTCTTAAGGTGCAAGCTTACTGGACTCTTTTTTCCAAATGCAAGGAAAGCAGAGAACTACGGCCATCCGACTGGAGGATGCCCCTCATCTTGCCAAGCCTTGTGATGTGCACATAGCTGTTGCCTCCCTCTCTCCCTTCCCAGGGTCTTCTTCCTCCTGACTCTTGACATCTATCATGTGACTTCTGGGTCTCCCACATGTAAAATCATGTCAACCCACCCCTGGGCAAAGCAAAAGACAAGGGCCACATTCACGCAGGTTCCAAGTCTGGAACTTTCTAGGCAGGAAGTGGTAGGTAAGAGTTGGAGACAGACACACCAGGAAAATCATGTGGTCTCAGCTCCAACAACTGTGGCCAAGGTGCCTTCCCTTCCTGCCCCTGGGAGGCTGGGACCTTTCAGGACCCTCCAGGATGCAGCAATGGGGCTAGGGGAGGCAGGGTGTCATTGCTGGCCCAGGTGCTGTCTTCTGGGATGTGTGTCTCAACAAAAGTCCTCCTCCATTCTCACCTATGAAGAAAATTTCACTCAAATAAATGTTTTCATCCTGTCACAGAAACTCCCTTAGCCCTCGGACTAGGGAGTTTCTCTGCAGAGAATGGTCTCTCACTCTCATGATTAAGGGGATTTAATCTTCCCAAATGCATTTGTTTATTTTGGTAAGAAAACCTAAGAGAAAGGCATCTTGTCTGTCCATTCCATATGTGGTTCATTCTCAGGGCAGGCCAGGAGCTTGGGCTCTGGAGGAAGGGCCTGGCCTCAGATTGCACTGAGTGCCTGCTGAGGCTTCAAGAGGGTGCCTGGGTTCATGGAAGGTGGCTGAGGTTATCTTCACACAGCCACCACCAGCCAGGGTTCCTGCTTTCCACCTACTAAGACGACCTGTTTTTGTAATATCTAAGTTTGTTCTAACTCTTGCATTGGGCAAAAAAAATGATAGGAAAAGTACAACAAAAATACTCAGAAGCTTGTCAAAGTAAGAGATGAAGACTCAACCCTAGGGCTGGGTTCAGTCTGTTCTTCCCTCTGCTCCTCACTGTCTGAAACCTTGCACAGCTGTGTGTGGGCAGAGTGGGGAGGGCTGGGTCACACAGGCCTAACAGGACCAGAAATTCTCCAACTCATCCTGCCAGAAATGAAAGAGACGGGTAGCCTCCGTATCACAAAATGTAGAATCTGGAAGTTTGAGGGTAGCTGCGTTCTGAATTTGGAAGTGAGTGAGCAGTCTCTGGCCCTGGATCTCTTGGTGAGGAACAGCTGCCGCTGGGGAGGCTGAGGTCATGGGCCTGTTCCCTGCCTCTGTGCTTACTAGTAATGACAATGAACAACATCTGCCCGTGCCCTGCCTCTTCAAGCATGACCTCTAGAGCAGCCTGTGGGCCTTCTTGCTCCGTGGGTATGTAGGTGGGTGGCTCTCAGGGCAGCTGTCCTGGGACTTGTCCACCCCTGCTCCAAAGAAAGTGTCCATCAGTGACCTCCCTTCCCTTCTATTTCACCCCAGTGAGCATACACACAGTCCTCAGTGAGTGATACAGGCATGAGGAGAGTTGGGTGGTGACTTGGCTAGCTTCTAGTGGCACTGTAGACCCAGGAGAGTTGAGGGGGCAAAGCAGTCTCCTTTCTGCCTTCTTGTTTCTCCCAAAGGTACAATGCCAGAGGACAGGAAGGGCAGAGGAAAATCTTAGCAGAGCTGAGTGACTTCTCATATTCAGAAGAGAAATCTACATTCAGTCTTGGGTGAGAAATCCTTATGTCTCTCCATATAGTAGCACTGAGAATACACTCCAGCCACTGGATGGAAATGGGATTCAAACCAGTGACATGAAAATGTCCCCCGAACCCGGGGTCTGATTGCACAATCCTCCAACCATGACAGCCCAGTGCCAAATGAGCTCAGGGACAGGACCCTTTTCCTGAAAACAGTGTGTTTTTTTTGTACTTAGGAAACATAGCCAGTGTCGGGTGGACACAGAGCTGGGTGCTACTGAGGGAGGAGATGGTATTTGGGATGGGCCATTGCTCTGCAGGTGGGGCAAGGCCTAGGAAGAGGCCCTGTTGTGCTGGGGTGTTCATTTGTCTGGGAACAACTTGGAACTTGACCATGAGTTTTTCACTCTGGGTTTCTCCGTGGTACCTGGCTGGGTCTCTTCATGGCAGAAAAGAAAGACCTCTCACCCATTAATGGTGGAAATGTTCATGGTGCAGCCACATGGGACCTGGAGAGTGAGGGAAAGTGGAATGATAGAGACAAAAGAAGGAGGTCACTGCAAGTGGGAAGAAATGAGACGGCTGTTTCGTCACACACAACTTCCTCCAGGCAGGCTCCTCTCCACGCCTGGCCAGGTCCATGTGGAGCACAGGGGAAACCCTCCTGTGGAGCTGTGCATGGATTTAACCTTGAGAACAAGGACAACATGTGCATGGATGTTGCCATTAATGACATTGCTGTCTTTAGGGAAGATGATCCTGGAGCCTCCCTCCAGCCATACTTGATGACAACATGCCAGGTCTTGTCCTTGGCACAGTTTGCCCATCAGGGTTGGGTCTCACCTCATGATCTTCGTGCACTTTTTGGAGCCATGACGGTCCCCCTCTAGGGACACCACAGCAAATGAACCACAGTGAGGTTCTGGCCTCCAGCCGAGTGGTTCCAGGCTCTCCCTGGCCTTTTACTCAGCTCATGGAATTTGACATAATCTGGGGCATCCAACGGCCTCCCACTCTCTTCCTCTGAAGGGCTGAGGTGGCGCCTCTCTTTAATACCACAGAGAAGGTATTAAAGGAGTCAGAGCCACCAAAGGAAGACGCAAAGGTGCGTGTGGGTCCCCATGACCTGGAAATATTCAGGCAGCGTGGCCCGTCCTGGCCTCACCCCAATCTCCTCACCCTATCCTAGTTCCTGGGTCTAGAAAAGCAGTCATTAGTGGGGCCAGTGTGGGGTGGGTTCATGCAGCAAGGAAGTCCTGCCGCCTAGGGAGGTTGTGCTCTGCCCCTCCTCATCGGATTCTGCGACAGATCTGCTCATAACACACATTTAATTCTCCCTGGTGGAAGTTCAGAGGGACCCAGTCCATCAGTAGGTGAAGGACCCAGGTGAGACCTCAGCAGGTGTGACTCCTAGCCCCATGCCATGTTCCTGTATCTGAGGCTCAGGGACTTCACACCATTGAGAAGTGGTGGCTTCAAAGGGTGCACTAGTTGGTTTTGGGTCACAGAGAAAGTTGTTCCTGGGCACCAGATTTTGCTTATCTCCAGAGACCTACATTCTGAGGCAATGAGACAGGACTTACACACAGGGGGCCTATGAAGGGTCAAGTTGTGTCCCTCCACATTTATATATTGAAATCCTAACCCCCTAGTAGCTCAGAATGTGACCTGATTTGGAGATAAAGTAAAGACAGATGTAATCAAGTTAAAATGAGGTTCCTAATCCCACATGACTTTCATCTTCATAAGAAGGGGAAATCTGGACACAGAGACACACATAGGGGCAAGGCTATGTGAAGAGACACAGGGAGAAGACAGCCACCCACAAGCCAGCAGAGGCCTCTGAGGAAACAACCCTGCTGACACAGTGACCTTGGACGTCCAGCCACCAGGGCTGTGAAGCAATACATCTCTGTTCTTCAGGCCTCCTGGTTTCTGGTGCTTTGTTGTGGCAGCCCTAGAAATGAATACAGGGCTGGCCGGGTGCAGTAGCTCATGCCTGTAATCTCAGCACTTTGGGAGGCCGAGGTGGGCGGATTGCCTGGGGTCAGGAGTTCGAGACCAGCCTGACCAACATGGAGAAACCCCGTCTCTACAAAAAGTACAAAAAAATTAGGCAGGGGTGGTGGTGCATGCCTGTAATCCCAGCTACTTGGGAGGCTGCAGCAGGAGAATCACTTGAACCTGGGAGGTGGAGGTTGCAGTGAGCCAAGATCGCACCACTGCACTCCAGACTGGGTGACAGAGCGAGACTCTGTCTTTAAAAAAAAAAAAAAAAAAAGGAAAAAAAGAAATGAATACAGGGCTAAAGGCTAATAGGAGACCTGTGTCAATGAGAAGGCAGAAAGTCCATGAGTGGCCACCCCACCCCAGGCTCGCTCTGCTCCCAGCATGGTTTGCCCCATCATTTCCTAACTCTTGCTTGCAAGGAAAATCAGGAGAGCCCAAGAGTAAGGAATTTTTTAGTTGAGTACTGCTGGGGAAATGAACATGCTTGACTAAAAATCTCTCTGCAGGCCTGTGCTCTCAGCCAAAGCTTACCATATGGTCGTTTACCCCCTGCAGAACTGGGCCTCAAGGGCAGCTGCTGATCCTGCACACAAAGAGGGGTGCCTCTTGAGACACCCAATAACAGTCTTACACCCCATATCAAATGCAGAGCAGCCCAAAGCCATGGCTGGACCAGCACCTGGGGTGGGCCTGCTGGGACCACACATTTCTCTGTGTATCCAGGTTCCATGTAGCAGGCTATTGCTCTTTGGAGTATACCCCAGGGAGGCTTTTAATAGCAAGAACTGTACAAGAATCAGTAGGGAAGGAGGCTCTGGCTTTGGAGCCTGCTATGGTTTGAATGTGGCCACTAATATTCATGTGTTGGAAACTTAATCCTCCATGCAACAGTGCTGAGAGATGGGACCTGTAAGAGGTGACAAGGTCATGATGGCTCTGCTCTCCTTTATGGGTTAATCTTCTTAGTGCAGGAGTGGGTTCCCGTAAAAAAAAAAAAAAAAAAAAAAAAAAAAAAAAAAAAAAAAGGCAGTTCGGCCAGATTTTCTCTCTGTCTCCCATGCCCACTTTCCTTCTACCACAGGGTGACACTCATCAGATGCCAGTGCCATGCTCTTGGACTTACCAGCCTCCACAACCATGAGTGACATCAATTTCTCTTGCTTATAAGTTACTCAGTCTGTGGTATTCTGTTACAGAAGCAGAAAACAAAGGCAGAGCCTTTTCATCAGGAAGTTCTATTAACCCTGCACGCCACAGTGGGGTCACAGGGACAGGTTTGGATGTCCATTGAGAGATGGGGGGTTAGTTCAGGGACATTAGCAGCTTTCTCATTACCTCTCCCCTGAGAGTCAGGGTCTGGCCTTTTCTGGGAAGAATGAGGTCTGGAGAGGGGTTGATTATTACTCCTTCTCAGGTGGGAGGGATGTGAGTGGACACTGATGGAAGGTGTGGCTTCCCTTGTAAGGATTCCTGATCTACCCACTTACCTTGCCTTAGGTAATTCACAGCTGGGGTAGGACCATTTACCAAGCTGCTCATTGCTGTCTTCTCTCTAGGAGACTGCAGAGGATGCAAAGGGAATTTTGCCTTCCTCTTGTCTAGAAAGTTTAAGGCTTTTGGTCTGGGGCGGGGAGGGGGTGGTTGTTATTAGTTTTTCAGTTTTCTGGCCCCAAATAGAAGTTGAAAAAGTGGTTTTACACCCCTTGAGGCAGGCTCCCTCGTGGGAGAAAAAGTTATCTGGGTGTTGCTGAGAGGGTGCTGGGTCAAACGAGGGGGGTTGCCCAAGGGTGGCACAGGCTCCCTGGACTTTGGAATAGAAGGATGAGGATCTGCACCACGTGCCAGTGTCCTGCCTGGGAGGGCCACAGTGCCACTGTGTTTTCCTGTTGTGTTGCTATAACAAAATATTGTAAACTGGGTAGCTTCTAAATAACAGAAGTTCATTTCACAGTTCTGAAGGCTGGGAAGTCCAAGATAGAGTCACCCACAGATTTAAGTGTGGTGAGAGTCCATTTCATAGATGGCTGGTATTGGGTAGGTCTTCCCACCCCGGTGAATTGGACTCATAGCCCAATATACATAAATAAAATATAATTTTATTTTAAAAAATCAAATTATGTGATGTTTCTTTTATCTCAGCATTATAGAGCAAATTTAAGCTTTCCTATTAATTACCTTTCAATGTTTAAAAATCTTTGAACTGTAAGCATTGTTTAATCTCTTTTACAGATGGGGAAACTGAGGCACAGAGAAGTAAATATGTACATACTGGGCAAGCAGAGCAGCAGGAGCCAGGGGTGACAAACTCCTTGTGTGAGGAGAAATAATTTGTATTTAAGTTACAGAAAACACAACATATTGATTCATGTTTTGGACAAGCCTGGGGTTAGGGTTGCAGTCAGGCAGTTGGGTTAGGCAGAGGCTTGGATGATGTCATCAAAACTCAAGGTTTCCCCCAGTCTCTTAGCCCTATTCTTCTGTGTCCTTCATTCTCAAGTTTCATGTGATGGGAACATGCCAGTCAGCAAGTTCACAGTGAGGATACTTGGATACAATTCAGCAGCAGATCTGTGCCACTTTCTTAGGTCCTGCATAGATTCATGGTTCCTTATGGGCTCTAGATGGGTCTATGTCCATCCCGAGTCAGTCACTGGGGGATGCAGTATTTCTTGCCAGGCCTAAGTCATATACTCATCCCCTGACAAGTGATGACATGGGTGGGGTAGTGGGTAGGAGCTGAGAATAAAGAATAGAGATGGTGGCTGGGTACGGTGGCTCATGACTGTGATCCCAACACTTTGGGAGGCTGAGGCTGGTGGATCACCTGAGGTCAGGAGTTTGAGACCAGCTTGACCAACATGGAGAAATCCTGTTTCTACTAAAAATACAAAATCAGCTGGGTATGGTGGCGCATGCCTGTAATCCCAGCTACTTGGCAGTCTGAGGCAGGAGAATTGCTTGAACCCAGGAGGTAGAGGTTGCAGTGAGCCGAAGATCATGCCATTGCACTCCAGTCTGGGCAACAAGAACAAAACTCCATCTCAAAAAAAAAAAAAAAAAAAAAAAAAGAATACAGATGGTTTCAAATTAATTAACTCTATTTAGTAGAAATATATTTGATTTCCACTATATCTCAAGGAATTGTACTCTGCCTGGTTACCATGCATTTCTTAATGGAATTGAACTCAAAAAAGACATAATGACACACAGATGAAGGATTTCTAATCCAAATTCTCTATCAACACAGAATAGATTTCTATAATCCACTTTAGAGAAATCACCAAAATAGTCAGGCAAAGTACCAGTCGTTGCTGCCACCAATGTGGAATCACTTGTTTGGAGTAAATGAACAACAACAAAAACACAAAAAACAAAAACTCCAAATTAGTAGAGAGGGAGAAAAAAAAAAACTAGAGAAGATATTGAGCAAAATTACAGTTCTTTCGCCATTTGGGATTTACCTCTGTGAGCCAGAAAAGAGATGTCTGGGCTGCAGCCACCTGCGAGGCACACTTGCTTTTCTGGCAACAGATTTTACCCTTCTCTGTTTGATGAGTCCATTGGGCATTGCACTCTATGACATCCGAAACTGTTAAAATATTATTTTTTTAAAGAGCACGTAATCATGTCTGTTGTAGAGATATAAAAAGAACACTTGTTAATAATTGTATCTTACTTATTAATAATGACTAAGATGTTTCTTTCAATTGATTCAAAGGAGAATCAAAGTATCACACAGGCATAGGCAGAGAAGAGATGTTGCAATTAACTTAGATGCAAAGGACATATCCACAGGGAAACAATTAATTGCATTCCACTGAACACAATTGTTGTGGGTTTCTATAGGCAAGAAGCATTTGCATTATTATCAGTTTCCCACAATTTACAGAGTTGTAAAACAGCTCAAAGGCAGGGGGTGGTAAGTAATCCTTTCTGTGTCCCATTGCCAAATCTCTGACACTCCCCCTGACACTCCAATACGCCCAACAAGCGTCCCATCTGGCAAAAGAACTTCTGACCACACTCCTGCAATGCTATTATGCTGGATCCCAAGGAAGGCTTTCCCTCAGTCTCCAGTTCTCATACGGTTTTTAGTGAAGCAGCTCTCCTGGTTGTTCTTTGAATCCCTCTCTCTATAACTGAATAGTTCACATAGCTCAGGCCAGGCTAGTGAGGGTCCACCATACAGAGCTCAAAACCTGCCCTCCCTACTACCCTGAGCCATCATCCTTATTCCAAGTTATTACATTTCCCTCTTCATTCCCTTGAAATGGAAGTGTACGAAATGGCTTCTGTAGGCTTGCCCAGTTGTTCCTGAATCAATTGAGCAACAAAGAGATTTAGGTTAATGAGTTGGAGCTCTCTATTAAAAAAAAAAAATCAATATCCACAATAAGAAGAAAACAGACAAAATGACTGCAGCCTTAACCCCAGGCTTGTCCAAAACATGAGTCAATACATTGTGTTTTTTGTAACTTAAATCCAAATTATTTCTCCCCACACAAGGAGTTCACCACCCCTGGCTGCTTCTCTGCTTGTCCAGTATGTACATATTTACTTCTCTGTGCCTCAGTTTCCCCGTCCTTAAAGAGACTAAACAATGCTTACACTTCAAAGATTTTTAAATATTAAAAGGTATTTAATAGGAAAGCTTAAATTTGCTCTATAATGCTGAGATAAAAGAAGCACATAATTTGATTTTTTTTAATAAAATTATATTTTGGTCGGAATGTGTAAAGCTTATAGGACTCAGTGTCTGTGTGAGGAACAAAATAAAGCGTGAAGATTAGACAAAGGGGTTCCCGACACCTTGTTAATCCAGGCTGTTGTCCATTTATTTATTTCTCTGCAGGCAAAATAGCAGCAACTACTTATCAGCTCTTATGGATGTGCCTGGCTCTCTCCCAGGAAGTCCTACACGCGTTGTGCTTAACATCTTGGAAATGAAGAGAACCATGACTTAAAGGAGTGGAAAAATTCGTCCAAAGCCACAGTTAGTAAGTGGAGGATCCTGGGTTACTGTGGTCACAAAGCCTGTCTTTTTGTCCTCACACCCTTCAGTAAGTGCTTGCAGAATGAGCTGTCCTGCTTTCCAGATGGCACAGTGAGAGACGATGGCCGACCCTGCTGGAGTCTAGACGCCGCCGCGCAGGAAGATGAGCCCAAGGAATCTGCAGCTGGAGCAGAACCACGCGTCCCTGCTGATTGCTTGCAGTGGAGGTGCCCTGGGCGTAGGGTCGGCAGTAAGCGTGAGGCCGCAACCCCAAACCAACCCATGGGAGATAACAGCGAGAAGAGGGCCCCGAAGCCCCCACTCAGAGCCCGGACTCCGCCACTTTGCCGGCAAGGCTCCCCAAGCCCGGCGGGGCTGCCCACGGAGCTGAGGAGACAGGGGGTGGGCTTTGCTCTTGCTGGAGGCTGGTGTTTCAGAGAAACCCCAATGGGCCTTGGCAAATTTGCTGAGTTCCTGTCCAGTCCGCAGCTCAGTTCCTAGGTCTAAAGTCCTAGGAACTTTAAGAGAGGGCAGGGAGAAACGTGTACGGGCACAAAGTGCCCCAGGCCAGAAGGAATCTGATGCCGATATTGGAAAAACTCGTGTGTGTGCAGATGGCGCCCTGAAGTTAGAATTCGTCCCTGCCCCAGCTTCAAGCTCCACTAAGAAGGCTACGTAACAGGTTTGAAGCTGAGACTCAGAGGCTTCCACCATTTGCCCAAAGTCCCGCAGTCTGCCCAGGCCTGGGCCAGAGGACAGCAATTCCTCAAGGACGAAAACAAACTGCAAGGCGGATCACAGCTGGGGGAGATTCTCCTGCACCTGCTGTCTCCCTTGGGAAAAACAGCCAGTTGGGTCTGGAAAGGATAAATAGGTTCAGCTTTTGACCTTCACATTGTTTTTCCCTCATTTGGTTAATTCATAAAATATGTGTAGTGGATCCTCGGTGGGGGGCAGGCCCTGCACCTGGTGCTGGGGGTCAACGTGAACAGTGACCAGGGCCCTGTTCAGCCCAGCGCAGGGCACAGGCAGGTTCTGAGTCCGGATCATGGCGATGAGGGCGGGGCTTCAGGCCTGGTCAGAACCACTAGCGCCGGCTCTGCAGGGCTTCGACTGCTAAGGTGCCAACACCTACACTGCAGCTGGCTCCTTGACATCCCTATGCTTCTATGCTTTTGTTTTCATCATATGTGTGTCAGGAGATTTAAATGAATTCATATATACTGATAAAATAATATGCTAGCATTGTGCATGGGCACATATGAAGTGTATTTATAGAGACTGGTAATCCCACCTTCTAGACCCTGCAGTGGGCGAATAGTGGTGGGGCTGGGATTTGAACCCTGGGGGTCAGGCTCCAGAGTCAGGACCTTTGGCCTCTCTCAGCTCTGCTTTAGCCCAGCCTCTCCATGCCACTAGGAGCCAGAGATGGGGCAGAGGAAGGTGTCCCAGAGGGTTGCGCTGCACCTGGCCCTTGGCCACAGCAGCCGTGTTCGAGGAGATGGGCAGCATGAGATGGGGAGTGGGGGCTGCGTCCCTTGGCGTAGGTGTGCAGCTAGAATTCTCAATCTGCTCTTCCCCAGCATGGAACTTGAGCAAACGTCTGAATATCTGACCTCCCAGTCTCCTCACATGTTAAATAGGCATGATGGTGCCCACCCTGGAAGGCCGTTGCCAAGGTGACGAAGTGTGAAACTCCAAGGCTGGAGGAGTGCCTGGCAGGTGGCAAGTGCTCCATGAGTTCCCATCCAACTGTTCACTTCCTCATCCCGGCATCTTGCCTCCCCATCCACCACAGTGCACTGGTTCTTCATGGATCATTGTTGCTCACTTCTTTTGCCCAGAAAATAGCTTCAGAGTTCCCTCCCCTCTCTTTCTCTCTTCTTCCTTTACTCATTCCCCCTTCCCCTATCTCTTTCTCAGTAACCTTTGCAGGTTTCTCCAATTCTGTCCATTCCCTAAACACTGGGGTTTCTCTGCGTTCCACCCTTGGTCATCTTCTCTGGTCCCACCCTTCATACTGTCCCTTTGTAAGCCGCACATCCATCTTCTGACAGCTCCAAATTCTATGTGCTCAGCCCTGATCATCCTCCTGAGCTCCTGACCCATATTTCCAGTGATCACTGCTACTCCAACATCCTATTGGTACGCGTCTAAATTCAGACCCTCTTTCACCCCTGTATTAGTCAAGGCTCTCCACAGAAAGAACCAATAGGAGATAGATAGATCTATGGATAGATGAGAGGGGATTTATTAGGGGAATTGACTCATGTGATTAGGAGGACAGGCTGTATGCAAGCTGGAGACTCTGGAATGTCAGTAGCAGTAGCGTGGCTCAGTCCAAGTCCAAAGGCCTCAGAACCAGGGAAGCTGATGGTGTCACTCTCAGTCAGAGGCTGAAGGCCTGAGAACCCAGGGGGCACTGGTGCAAGTCCTGGAGACCAAGGCCAGAGAACCTGGAGTTCTGAGGTTCAAGGGCTGGAGAAGAATGGCATCCTTGCCCTGGAAAAGAGAGAGAGAATTCTTTACTCTGCCTTTTTGTTCTATTTGGGCACTTAGCTGATTGGATGGTGTCCATCCACACTGGGTGAGGGTGGGTCTTCTTTACCCAGTCCACTAATCCAAACATCGGTATTTTCTGGAAACACCCTCACAGACATTTCCAGAAGTAATGCTTTACCAGCCATGTGTGTGTGTCTCCTAAACCGTCAAGCTGACACGTAAAACTGACCATCACAATCCCCACACTGCATTTCCCCAGGACCCCAGTCTCCCCAGTGCTAGCCTTTGTATCCTTTCCATTGTTGGCAAAGTGGTCTTTCTAACAAGACTAAGTCCTATGGCATTTCTCTGCCTAGAGGCCTTCCCAAGAGCTCCCTAGATCCAGTCCCAAACTCCTCATGAGGCCGCAGGCCTCTGTATCCGGCCACTGTATCCATTGTTGCCTCTTTCTTGTCCCTCTGCCACCTGCTCCACATTTCCTGACTACAGCTGCTCCTTCACCTCTATGCTTGTTCAAGAGCTGCCTGAAAATGATCCTTCTCCTCGTTGTGCACTACACAAACTAGTTTTCATTCATCTGGATTCAGATGTAAGATGATTTTCTCTGTGAAGCCTCCCATCTTATATCTGGAAAGAAATGAACACTGGTAGGGGTATGAATTTCATTGAGAGATTGGGACGTCCTTGTGGGTAGAGGCCATGTCTTATTCATCTTTGTGTCTCATTCCTCCCCTGTTACTTTTTTAACAGACGAAGGAACATTTATTTTGCATATAAGGAAACTGAAGTGCAGGAAACAAATGTCACAAACTCAAGGTCATGTTACTAAAAAGAGTCTCTGCTGCTGTGGGTCCTGGACCTCTTCTTCACTCTAGTTCTTTCAAATTACAAAAAAAGGAAGGTGCCTTAGTCCAGGGCCTGCCCGTGCTGGACATAACATGGCTAGATTCTCCCAACCCTCTGGGAGGCTGCAGCAGTGGCACAGGCTGGCTTCAGGGCAGGCAACAGGACAGTCATACGGGGCCCTTCTGAGAAGGGCCCCACACTAGGTTTAACATTCTGCTGTGACCAACTCGAAATTCTTTCTAATTTTATTTTGAGCTTGTGATTTGTAAGTGAAGTCTGATGGGGCCTTTGCTGGAGCAGAGGAGGTAGGCTGGGCCTGCACAGCGGGCAGCAGGCTGGGCTGCCCAGTTCACAATGGTGACGCTGCAGTGTCTGGGCCTTAGGAGACAAGAGGGGCTCTGCATGCAGGCAGCACCAGGAGGCTTCCCTGACCTTTTCAATGTTCTGTTGTGTTGTGATTAGATAGCATCACCTTTTCCTCATTACATTTCATGAGTAATAAAATGCCTTCAAAGGATAATCTTTATAGCTTTTATTTGTAACTGCATTTATTTTCCTGCTTTTTGAACAAGGAGCCCTATTTTCACATTGCTCTGGGCCCCACAAATTATGTGGTCTTCCCTGTAGATGAGACGTGAAAGACAGTGAAGTATTTTAAATTAAAACACATAGGACTGAGCAGCTGGGAATTCAGAAGATAATATGAAATGCAGAGCGATTTGGCAGAGGTTAGATGGAATTAAGGAAGAGAAGTACAATTTAGGTGAGTGTGGCAAGGAAAAGCCGGTTCTATTCAATAGTTATTGATACAATTTTAGCAGTAGTGATAGAGAAGGAAATCAATTTTAGAACTGCGGGGTCAGCAAACAGCCTATGAAGTGAAAGGAAAAATGAGTTTTAAAGAGACCCTACTGTGTGACCCAAGGTATGGCAAAATAGATTTTTCTGACTTGATTTGATTTAACTGAATGATGCCTAGAAGATAGAAAAAATGGGTTGTCAATAGCAAGAGATACTTTCAATAACAAGAGAAATTTGAAAAATAAAAAAGAATGGTGTTTCTTTTTTCAAAGACGTGTTGCTGACTAAAGAAATGGAGAGCTGAGGAAAGAAAAAAAATATTTTTTGCATGTTTGCCAAATATTTGAATATTTATTTCATCAAAGCATCTTAAAAGATTTCTAAGAATAGATACAGATAGATACAGATAAAGATACAAATATAAATATAGTTATACATACATGTCTGCACACACATATAAATATATAATTAAAAATAAATAAATCAAAGACATACTGTCAGCTCTCTGTATCTATCAGTTCTGCATCTGTAGATTCAACCAACCGTGGATTAAAAATACTCAAGAAAACAAATTTTTCCTGGATCGAGCATGTACAGACATTTGTTCTTGTTATTATTCTTTAAATCATATAGTGTAACAACTCTTTACATAGCGTTTACATTATATGAGGTATTATAAGTAATCTAGAGATGATTTAAAGTGCACAGGAGGACATGCATAGGTTATGTGCAAATACTACGTCATTTTCTATCAGGGACTTGAGTATCTGCAGCTTTTGGGCTTTTGATATCCATAGAAGTCCTGGAACTAATCCTCCATGGGTACTGAGGAATTACTATATTTAAAATTATAAATTTGATATATAAATATATAATTTATTTATAACATGTCTACATAGATAAATACATATAACTTTCTATATAAGTCACTATATAACATACATAAAATTAAGATTAACACATTGCCTCAGATGACACACAGAGCATGGACTTGAACTTAGGAGTGTCTGGGTCTCAGTCTGGTGGATTTTCTCCCCCCTCATGCTGCTTCTCCTGCTCTTGTCTTTTTTGAATCCGACTTTGAAACTGCAAATTTTTTTAGACTGGATATACTCTTTTAGGACAGATTATTATAATATTTTGAAAAGTTTAAATAAACAGAAGATTTTAAATGTCACCTAATTTGTCTAAAGTAACCACAATTTGAAATATTATTTTAAGAAATAAAATAGAGCTCAACTTCTCTTAAAAACTGAGAAGGCTCAGCCAAGATAATATGAGTTGTACCATCAGCCACAAGGAAAAGAGAAAGAGAAGCTGTATGAATGGGCAAAAAAAGGAAGCGCTCACTGGAAAAGATAAGGGAAAGACAAAAACAAAATCATGATTGAGATTGAGGGAACTCTGCAGCTTGAGATGAAATGGGGCAGGCCTCCAGGGTACTCTGCTGAGATTTTGTAAGCATAGCACTACTCCCTGCTCTCTCTTCAAGGATAAACGTCTTGAAAAAGATGTCTCAACAGGCAGTCTCCCTTTCTTTATCTCTACTTCACTGGTCAATTCGCTGCTATCTGGTTTTGTTCACAAAAAAAATCCACTGAAACTGCTCTTGTCAAGGTTTCCAACAATTCTCATATTGTTAAGTCCAATGGTCCATTTTTTTGCCCTCATCTTATTTCATGTGATAGCAGGATTTGACAGGGCTGGCTACCTCTGAGTTCTAGCAATATTCTCCTTTCCCAGCTTCTGGGATGCTGCACTCACACAGTTTTTCACTTACTTCTTATTTAGAATCTCTTCTTCTTTCTTCTGTTTCCACAAAAGATGCTGTCAGTTCCCATATCCATAATAATACCTGGGTGTCAATGATGCAGAATTGCAATTCCTTCATATCAATAATCATGTTTTGCAATTATTTATTTATTTTTCTTCTTTTTTATCCTTAAAATGTCAGTTCCAATAGTCATATGACTTTGTAAATTTGGTCACTAAAAGGTGAAATAAACAGGTTCACATTCTGAAAATTAGTAAATTACAGAGCCAGAAATGGGTCATCTAACTTTCTAATTCCAGAGTTGTTGCTACTGTATGTCACTCTGCCTCTCATAAAACAACTATTAGAGGGGATTTCTGTGTCTGACCATAACAGAGTAACTTGAAGCAGACCAGCACTTCTGCCAGGAAAAGTTTAAAAATCCAAATATAATACAAAATAGACAGATATTGAAGACATTAAAGGGATGCCAACATAGCTAGGAGTTAAGTGGCAAAAATCCCTGAGAGAAGGAAACCACATAAAATAAGCTCAATACTTGGTGGTTTTCCCCTCAAGGTATTTGCCCAATGCTTAAACTGTACAAGTCAAGAGTGTAAGAAGCAAAGAAGAATCATTGAATAATGGAGCAGAGTTTTAGCATTGCTATCAGACTGAAAAACCAAAAAAAAAAAAAAAAAAAATTAGAGTTCAGGACCCACCAAAGACGAGAACTTCTGAAAACACCCAGGTCCTTGATTGGAACACACGTAAGGCTACCAAGGAATGGTGACAAAACAGAGGTAGACCCTAGCAAAGACTGCAACTGAGTCTCATAAAAGGTCTTCCCCAGTCACATTGAAGTATTTCACCTTAGAAGTATCTCATCCTACAGTAGTTGCCCACCTGAGGAAAGGGTGATTCATCATCTTTGGTAGAAGATAACACTACTCAGAACATCCCTAATGTTTTATATTAAATGTTTTCTATTTAACCAAAATTGTTAGGGATATCAAAAGTTATGACCAATAGAAAAAATATAATTGGTATACACCCAAAGAAGTTGAAAATATTAGAGCTAAACAACAACACATAGCTTTTCACATAATTGTGATTAATATATTCAAACAAGACAGATTAAAAGATGTAAAATGTAATCAGAGAACTGCAATTCTTATTTTAAAAAAGCTTAAGTGGAAAATCTAGAATATCAAAATAAAAAAATAATTTTAAGAACTTAATGGGATAAAAGCAGATTTGGTGAGGCTGAAGAGAATATTAGTGAACTAGAAGATAGATTAATAGAAAAATTCTAATAACACAGAGAAAACTAGATGAAAAATACAAAAAGGTACATAATAGACATATGAGACTCAATACAAAAGTTAAACCAGTGATTCATTGGCTGGCTTATGCCAGCTAATAAGAACTAACTGGTAATTTTCATGTATTTTTTGAGCTCCTTGTTAAATAGTTGGTAACTTGAACTCAGCATGAAGAGAAGAGAGGTAGCAAATGCCAGTTAACAGAACCATTTTATTTCCTTCAGAAAATTAGCTTATCACTAGGTCTAAAATGTGGGTAAGTGGAGTCACAGAAATAGAGGAAAGAGGGAATGAAACAGAAGTAAAATTTGAAAAGATAATGGCCAAAATTTTTTAAATCAGATAAAAAACTTCTAGCCATAGATTTAAGTGCGTATAGTGCAGTAAACAACAATAAAACACACCTAGCCATATCATAGCAAATATGAAGGAAACCAAAGACAAAGATCTAAAAATCACCCAGCATGGAAAAAAAGATCTATCTGAAAAGAAGCAAAATTATGACAAATGACTTCTCCATAGAAACAAAAGAAGGCCAAAAACTTGAAATGATAGCTGATATGGTTTAGCTGTGTCCCACCCAAATTTCATCTTGAATTGTAACTCCCACCATTCCCACATGTCATGGGAGGAAACTGGTGGGAGGTAATTGAATCATGGGGGCAGGTCATTCCCATGCTGTTCTTGTAATAGTGAATAAGTCCTATGAGATCTTATGGTTTCGAAAATGGGAGTTTTTCTGCACAGGGTCTCTCTCTTTGCCTGCTGCCATCCATTTAAATGTGACTTGCTCCTCCTTGCCTTGCACCATGACTGTGAGGTTTCCCCAGCCACGTGGAAATGTAAGTCCATTAAACCTCTTTCTTTTGTAAATTGCCCAGTCTTGGGTATGTCTTTATCATCAGCATGAAAACGGACAAATACAGAAGTTGATACCAGTAGAGTGAGGTGCTGCTGAAAAGATACTGGAAAGTGTGGAAGTGACTTTGGAACTGGGGTAACAGGCAGAGGTTGAAACAGTTTGGAGGGCTCAGAAGAAGACAGGAAAATGTGGGAAAGTTTGAAACTTCCTAGAGACTTGTTGAATGGCTTTGGCCAAAATGCTGATAGCGATATGGACAATAAAGTCCAGGCTGAGGTGGTCTCAGATGGAGATGAGAAACTTCTTGGGAACTGGAGAAGGGTGACTCTTGCTGTTTTAGCAAAGAGACTGGCAGCATTTTGCCCTAGAGATTTGTGAAACTTTGAACTTGAGAGAGATGATTTAGGGTATCTGGCAGAAGAAATTGCTAAGCAACAAAGAAGAAATTTCAAAGCATTCAAGGTGTGGCTGGGTGCTGTTAAAAGGCATTCAGTTTTAAAAGAGAAAGACAGCATAAAAGTTTGGGAAATTTGCAGCCTGACAATGTGATAGAAAAGAAAATCCCATGTTCTGAGGAGAAATTCAAGCTGGATGCAGAAATTTGCATAAGTAACGAGGAGCTGAATGTTGATCACCAACATAGACAATGGGGAAAATGTCTCCAGGGCATGTCACAGGTCTTCATGGTAGCCCCTCCCATCACAAGCCTGGAGGCCTAGGAGGAAAAAGTGGTTTTGTGGGCCAGACCCAGAATTCCCATGCTGTGTGCAGCCTAGGGACTTGATGCCCCACATCCCAACTGCTCTAGTCATGGCTGAAAGGGGCCAAGGTACAGCTTGGGCTGTTGCTTCAGAGGGTGCAAGCCCCAAGTCTTGGCAGCTTCCACATGGTGTTGAGCCTCTGGGTGCACAGAAGTTAAGAATTGGAGTAGGAACCTCCTACTAGATTTCAGAGGATGTATGGAAATGTTGGGATGTCCAGGCAGAAGTTTGTTGAAGGGGTGGGGCTCCCATGGAGAACTTCTGCTAGGGCAGTGCAGAAGGGAAATGTGGTGTCAGAGCCCCCACACAGAGTCGCTACAGGAGCACCACCTAGGGGAGCTGTGAGAAAAGAGGCACCATTCTCCAGACCCCAGAATAAAAGATTCACCAATGGCTTGCATGGTGCACCTGGAAAAGCCACAGACACTCAACATCAGTCTGTGAAAGCAGTTGAGAGGGAGGCTGTACCCTGCAAAGCCATGAGGTGGCGCTGCCCAAGACAATGGGAACCCACCTCTTGCATCAGTGTGACCTGGATGTGAGACATGGAGTCAAAGGAGATCATTTTGGAGCTTCAAGATTTGACTGCCCTGCCAGATTTTGGACTTGCATGGGACCTGTAGCCCCTTTGTTTTGGCCAGTGTCTCCCATTTGGAATGTCTGTATTTACCCGATGCCTGTACCCCATTGTATCTAGGAAGTAACTAATTTGCTTTTGATTTCAGAGGCTCATGGGCAGAAGGGACTTGCCTTGTCTCAGATAAGACTTTGGACTGTGGACTATTGAGTTAATGCTGAAATGAGTTGAGACTTTGGGGGACTGTTGGGAGGACATGATTGGTTTTGAAATCTGAAGATGTGGGATTTAGGAGGGGCCAGGGACAGAATGACATGGTTTGGCTGTGCCCCCACCCATATCTCATCTTGAATTTTAACTTTCACATGTGTCATGGGAGGAGCCTGGTGGGAGGTAATTGAATAATGGGGGCAGGTCTTTCCCATGCTGTTCTCATGATAGTGAATAAGTCTCATGAGATATGATGGTTTTAGAAACAGGAGTTTCCCTGAGCAAGCTCCTCTCTTTGCCTGCTGCCATCCGTGTAAGATGTGACTTGCTCCTCCCTGCCTTCTTCTGTGATTGTGAGGCTTCCCCAGCCACGTGTAAGTCCATTAAACCTCTTTCTTTTGTTTATTGCCCACTCTCAGGTATGACTTTATCAACAGTGTGAAAATGAACTGATACAATAGATATAAAGTGCTAAAAAAAATAGAATTCTATAGCTATCAGAAGTATACTCCAAAAATCAAGAGCTAAATAAAAATGTTTCTACTCAAACAAATACTTAAAGAATTCATCAATAGCAGACACCTTGTAAAGTAATAGCAAAGTCAGAAGTAAAATTATTCCACATGAGAACGTATAAAGTATAAAAACAATGTAAAGGATAGAAATATGGACAAATATAAATGAAAGTTGACTGTAAAACAACAAAATGAATGATGAAAATCATGCAAAAAAGGCAAGAGGAGTATAAATGGAATAAAAGTGATCTGAATTCTAGCATTTCTGAAAGTGAATAAAATTAATAATTTATCTGAGACTCTAATATATCAGAGATGTGTATGTTTCAATCTCTAGAATATTCACTAAAAGGATAGTGAACGTGTGTATATCTAAGAATTTAATAGAAGGAAATTTTAAAAATAATAATTGTAATCTAATAAATTAGATTAATAATAATTTTAATCTGTAAGGAGATATGAAAAGAGAAAAGCATAAGCATAAACTAGGTAGAACAGATATAAATCATGTGATCAATATAAACTCAAATATATCCATAATGGCAATAAATACTGATGCTTTAATTAGTCCTTTTAAAAGATAAAGACTGCCATGTTGGTTTTTTAACAAAGTCTTTGTGCTGAAAAGATGAAATGCACCTTATATATAAGGACACCCAAATATTCAAAACAAAGGGTGGAAAAAGAAATTTCATGTGGGAGTGACATCGTCAAGATGGCAGCATAAAAGATAATCTGTTCATACTCCTGACAACAACATGAACTCTCTACGTATTGACAGTCAAAAGTCTCTTTTTGGGAGCCTCAGGATTCAGGTAGGGGCTTGTGAAACACCTGGTAAAACCCAAGACATTGGAGAGTTATTTGAGAGTGCACACCAACACCCAAATGGCTGATCTGTTGAGCTTGCTCCTGTGTTCAAGTACAGAAATAACCCAGTCGTCCGGGAGCCTTGGTTACTGCTTTGTTTGGTCTTGAGCCTACAACCTAAACCATCTGCCAAGAGATCTAGAAGGAATCACACACACACTAGTGCCTTGGCAGAAAGGCTTCTCTGCCTGCCTACATCAGTCTCAGCAGTGAACCTAAAAGCTGCCCTGTGGCTGGGATTCACCCCTGATCAGTTGAGCTCCCATCTCAGAAGTGGTTACACAAGAACCCAGGGGAAGACTCACCCATATCTCACAGCTCAGGAGTCTGAGCCTCCCTGATGGGCTTGCCCAACTCTGTCCCAGAGCAAATCCCAAGGGTGCCCAGCCTTAGCTCTTGTCCCTCTCGATGCTGTCAGAGAACTATCTCCTCTGTACTGAGACCTGGTGGGAGAGCCATACCTGTCTGGGACAATGATGCTGGCTCTCTAGCCTCCATCTCACAGCAGATCCCAAGGGGACCCGGTCCCAGCTCTGATTTTTCCTGCTGCAATGAAAGAATGATCTCAACTATCCAGGGACTTGCTGGAAGATGCACATCCCTTTAAGTCAATGAGACCAGGCTCTTTAGCCTGTATCCCACAGCAGATCCCTAGACGGTCTAACAGACATCTAGAGAATATTTTACCCAACTGCTGCAGAATATACATTTTTCTCATCAGCACATGGAACATTCTCCAAGATACACCATATCATAGGCCACAAAACAAGTGTCGCCAAATTCAAGAGTCAAAATTATATCATGTATCTTCTCTGACCACAATAGAATGAACTAGAAGTCAACAGAAAGTAGAAATTTAGAAACTATACAAATACATGGAAATTAAAATGCTCCTGAATGACCAATGAAGAAAGTAAAGAAGGAAATTCTAAAAAGTATTAAAACAAATGAAATGGAAATACAATATATGAGAACCTATGGGATATAGCAAAAGCAGTACAAAGAGGGAAGTTTACATATAGCCTAAATAAAAAAATAGGAAGACTTCAAATAGCCTAACAATGAACCTGAAGAAACTAGAAAAGCAAGAACAAACCAAACCTAAAAATAGTAGAAGGAAAGAAACAATAAAGATCAGAGCAGAAATGAATAAAATTGAGGCTAAATACAGAAGATCAATAAAATGAAAAGGTTGTTTTTTGAAAAGATAAAAAAATGACAAATCTTTAGCTGGGCTAAAAAAAGGGAAGATTCAAATAAAATCAGAGACAAAAAGGAACACATTACAACTGATATCACATAAATTATTAGAGACTACTAAGGATTTTTGAGACTGCTATGAACAACTATTCACTAATAAGCTGGGAAAGCTAGAAGAAATTGGTAAATTCATTGACACATACAACCTACAAAGACTAAACCATAAAGAAATAGAAAACCTGAACAGACCCATAATGAGTAACAAGATCAAAGCACTCAAAGTCTCTCATCGAAGAAAAGCCCAGGACCTGATGGATTCACTGTTGAATTGTACCAAATATCTAAAAAATAACATCAACTCTACTGAAACTATTTCAAATAATTGAAGAGGAGGTAATTGAAGAGGGGGGGATGCTTCCAGAGTCATTCTATGAGGCCAGCACTATCCTGATACCAAAAACATATAAAGTCACAACTAAAAAGATAAAACTACACACCAACATCCCTGGTGAACATTGCTGCAAAAATCCTCAACAAAATATTAGCAAACTGAATTCAACAACACATTAAAAAGATCATCCACCACAATCAAGTGGGATTCATCCCAGGGATGCAAGGATGGTTCAACATATGCAAATCAATAAGCATGATACATCAAATCAACAGAATGAAGGACCAAAAAAATGACTTATCTCAATGAATGCTGAAAAAGCATTTGATAAAATTCAGTATGACTTCATGACAAAAAAAATTCTCAACAAATTGAGTATAGAAGGATCATACCTCAATATGACAAAGGCCTTATATAATAAACTCATAGCTAATATTGTGATGAACAAGGAAAAATTGAAAGCAATTTCTCTAAGACCTGGAACCTGACAAGAATGCCCACTTTCACTACTGCTATTTTACATTGTTCTGGAAGTCCTCGCCAGAGCAATCATCAGGCAGTGGAAAGAAACAAGGGCATCCAAACAGGAAAGAAAGAAGTCAAATTAGCCTTGTCTGCAGAAGACATAATCTTATATTCAGAAAAACTTAAAGACTCCACCAAAAAACTCTCTTATAACTGATAAAAGAAGATTCAGTAGAGCTGCAGGATACAAAATCAACATACAAAACTCAGTAGCATTTTTCATTGCTGACAGTGATCTGTACAGGAAATCATAAAACAATGCCATTTAATATAGTCACAAAAAATAAAATACCTAGGAATAAATTTAACCAAAGGAGTGAAAGATCTCTATAAGGAAACCAATAAAATATCAATGAAAGAAATTGAAGCAGACACAAAAAATGGAAAGATATCCCATGCTCATAGATTGGAAGAATTAATATTGTTAATATGTCTATAATCTATATAGGTTACTCAAGGTGATCTATAGATTTAATGCAATTCCTATCAAAATACCAGAAATGCTCTTCACAGAAATAGAAAAACACAATTCTAAAATTCATATGGAACCACAGAAGACTCCAAATAGCTAAAGCAATTCTGAGAAAAACACACACACACACACACACAAAACACAAAAAACAAAAACAAAGCTGGAGGCATCACAATACCTGATGTCAATTTATACTGCAAAAACATAGTAATTGAAACAGCATGGTAATGACTAAAAACAGATACATAGACAGATGGGACAGCATAGAGAACCCAGAGATAAAGCTACACACTTGCAGTCAACTTATTTTTGACAAAGCCAGCAAGAACATACATTGGGTATAGGACAATCTCATTAATAAATTATGATGGGAAAACTGGATATCCATATGCAGAAGAATAAAACAATATCCCTATCTTTCACCATATACAAAAATCAAATCAACATAAATTAAAGACTTACATCTAAGTCCTGAAACTATGAAGGTACTGGAAGAAAATACAGGGGAAAAGCTTCAAGACATCAGTCTGGGCAAGGACTTTTTGTGTAAGACCTCAAATGCACAGGCAACAAAAGCGAAAGTAGGCAAACGGGATTATATCAAGCTTAAAACTTTCTGCACAGCAAAGAAAACAATCAACAAAGTGAAGAGTTAACCTACAGAATGGGAGAACATATTTGCAAACTATCCATCCAATAAGAGATTAATAACTTGAATATATAAGGAATTCAAACAACTCAATAGCAAAAAGACAATCTGATTTAAAAATGGGCAAAAGACCTGAATAGACATTTCTCAAAAGAAGATGGACACATGGCCAACAAGTGTATGAAAAAGTGCTCAACGTCACTAATTATCAAGAAAATGCAAATCAAAGCCACAATGAGATATCACTCCACCCTAATTAGAATGGCTATTATCAAAAAGACCAATAATAATAATAACAAGTGCTGGCAAGGTTGTAGAGAAAGGA
Organism: Homo sapiens; assembly: GCF_000001405.40. NCBI lineage: Eukaryota > Metazoa > Chordata > Mammalia > Primates > Hominidae > Homo > Homo sapiens. Next base: position 44,220,902 of record NC_000010.11, read on the forward strand.
GAACTTCTCTTTCTCCCAGCTAGAGTAATATCAGCAGAGCCCTAGTAGGGGAACTGGAATCCCACTCTACCTAGCAGTAATAAGCATCTCTTCCCTCTCACGTGTCAAAGAAGGTCAAAGAGAGAACTGGGACTTTCCTATTTCACCTAACAGTAATGAAGCAGCACCTTCCCACCCCTGCTGGTGCAGTGTCAGAGGAGGTGTGGAAAAACAAAGTTTAAATAAGATCTGAAGTCTCACAACATAATACTCAAATATCTAAGTTAAATGAAAAATCATTCAATATACCCCAAACCAGGAAAACAGCAACTCGAATGAGAAAAAACAACCAACAGAAGATGCCAGCACCAAAACAGCACAGATGTTGCAATTATCTGAGGAGGATTTTAAAGCAGCCATCATAAAAATGCTTCAATGAACAATTATAAACATACTTTAAACAAGTAGAAAATATAAAGTCTTAGCAAAGAATAGAGGACATAAAGAATAAAAAGAAATGTCAGAACTCAAAAATACAATAACTAAACTTTTTTTTAAAAAAATGGATGAGCTCAACAGCAAAATAGAACAGAGAAAAGAAGCAGTGAACTTAAAGAGAGAACAAGATATATTACCTATTGTGAAAAACAGAGCGAAAACAGAGGTGTTGTGTTTGTTTGCTTTTTAGAACAAACCCTTATGAACTGTGGAACTATAATAAACCATATTTTGTTACAACATATGTAATCTAACATGTCACAGAAGGATAAGAGGAAGAGAGAAGGGCTGAGAAAGTATTCAAAGAAATAATAGCTGAAAGTTTTCCTAATATTTCAAAGTACAAAAATCTATAGATTCAAGAAGATGAATGAATCCTAAATAGGACTGACCCAGAGAAATTCATGCCAGGACACATCACAAGCAAACTTCAGAAAACTAAATACAAAAAAAAAAAAATCTTGAAAGTAGTGAGAGAGAAAGGGCATATTACTCACAGAGTTAAAAAAATTCAAATGACAATAGATTCCTCCTCAGAAACTTAGAACACTAGGAAAGAAGAAAGAACAACAGAAAGAGCAAAAATGTAGGCAAATACAAAGGATTTTCTTTCTCTTCTTCAATTTTCTTAACTATGTTTGATAGCTGAAGCAAAAATTATAATAATATCTGATGTACTCAATGTATGTAGAGAAAATATTTTATACAATTATAAGCAGGAGAGAGTAAAGGGTTATTAAGAGATGTAAAGTTTCTTTTTTTTTTTTTTTATTATACTCTAAGTTTTAGGGTACATGTGCACATTGTGCAGGTTAGTTACATATGTATACATGTGCCATGCTGGTGCGCTGCACCCACTAACGTGTCATCTAGCATTAGGTATATCTCCCAATGCTATCCCTCCCCCCTCCCCCGACCCCACCACAGTCCCCAGAGTGTGATATTCCCCTTCCTGTGTCCATGTGATCTCATTGTTCAATTCCCACCTATGAGTGAGAATATGCGGTGTTTGGTTTTTTGTTCTTGCGATAGTTTACTGAGAATGATGGTTTCCAATTTCATCCATGTCCCTACAAAGGACATGAACTCATCATTTTTTATGGCTGCATAGTATTCCATGGTGTATATGTGCCACATTTTCTTAATCCAGTCTATCATTGTTGGACATTTGGGTTGGTTCCAAGTCTTTGCTATTGTGAATAGTGCCGCAATAAACATACGTGTGCATGTGTCTTTATAGCAGCATGATTTATAGTCCTTTGGGTATATACCCAGTAATGGGATGGCTGGGTCAAATGGTATTTCTAGTTCTAGATCCCTGAGGAATCGCCACACTGACTTCCACAATGGTTGAACTAGTTTACAGTCCCACCAACAGTGTAAAAGTGTTCCTATTTCTCCACATCCTCTCCAGCACCTGTTGTTTCCTGACTTTTTAATGATTGCCATTCTAACTGGTGTGAGATGATATCTCATAGTGGTTTTGATTTGCATTTCTCTGATGGCCAGTGATGATGAGCATTTCTTCATGTGTTTTTTGGCTGCATAAATGTCTTCTTTTGAGAAGTGTCTGTTCATGTCCCTCGCCCACTTTTTGATGGGGTTGTTTGTTTTTTTCTTGTAAATTTGTTTGAGTTCATTGTAGATTCTGGATATTAGCCCTTTGTCAGATGAGTAGGCTGCGAAAATTTTCTCCCATGTTGTAGGTTGCCTGTTCACTCTGATGGTAGTTTCTTTTGCTGTGCAGAAGCTCTTTAGTTTAATTAGATCCCATTTGTCAATTTTGGCTTTTGTTGCCATTGCTTTTGGTGTTTTGGACATGAAGTCCTTGCCCACGCCTATGTCCTGAATGGTAATGCCTAGGTTTTCTTCTAGGGTTTTTATGGTTTTAGGTCTAACGTTTAAATCTTTAATCCATCTTGAATTGATTTTTGTATAAGGTGTAAGGAAGGGATCCAGTTTCAGCTTTCTACATATGGCTAGCCAGTTTTCCCAGCACCATTTATTAAATAGGGAATCCTTTCCCCATTGCTTGTTTTTCTCAAAGTTTCTAAACTTCACTGGAGCTGAATTGCATCTTGATAGCAGTGGTTGTCACATTTAAGATAACATGATGGGATAGCATAAAATTACACACATAAATTGCAGAATTATCAATTTTCTTATTTTGAGATTGTACGATAATTATATAAGGTGTAACCAGTAGGGGAAACTGGTGGGGAAAAGATATACGACATCTATATTATCTGTATTATCTTTGTAAATTCCTATAAGTCTTTAATTATTTCAAAATAAAACAACTAAATAAAGGGGGAAAATAGAGACACACACACTCAGAGAATACTCTTCCAATATCTTTAATGATAAGAATTATCACTAGAGACCCTGCAGTTATCTAAATGTTTATAAAGTGTTTTTATAAACAACGTTAAACTGATACATTTGAAAATCAAATAAAATGAATGCATTCTAAGAAAAATATAGCTATTCAAAAACTAACACAAAAGGAATAGAAAATCTAAATAGTACCTATGACTATATTTTTAAAATCTAATCTGAAATTTTATGAATGTTATATTTTACATTATACATAAAGGAAACTTCAAGCCCACATGAATTCCCCAGTGAATTCTCCCAAACACATGAGAATAAACTAATTGTATCCAAAGTCTTTTATAAAGTAATAAAAGAGACACTTTTTGACTCATTTTATGAAGCTAGTAAAACCTTCTAACAAAAATATGACAAGATTACAAACAAGAAAAAATCTAGCGTAAGGCCAATTTCTTCTGTGGACAAAACATTAGTAAATTAAATCTAGTTATAAGCTGACAAGCTGATTCTAAAATGTATATGAAAAGAGTCCCAGAGAAAGCCAAGAGTAGTAAAGGCCGTCATGAAGAAAAACAAGAAGAGCATTGCTAGACATCAAGACTTGCAGACTATGGATATTAAGGTCATGCGATATTAGTGCAAGACAGATTAATAGTCTAAATAGCAGAACAAAGAATCCCAAGACAGTACAAACATATAAAAGAACTTGACTTATATGACAAAGTTGACATTACAGTGCTCTGGGAAAAAGATAATCTTTCCAAAAAGTAAGTGGAATCCATTCAATATCCACATGGAGTATAACTGAATCATGATCTTTACCTTACATCACAGGTATTCCATCAATTCTAGATGAACTAAAGACCTCATTGTGAAACACTATGATTTCTAAAAGTCAATTAAATTGACTTTATCATGAAATTATATTGGAAAACATCTAATCTCCTAAACAGAATGTAAAAATTGTTATCAATAAAATAAAGAAGCTAAATTGGACTGTAAAATATGATTTAAAATTCTGTTTATCAAAACATAACATTAAGATAGCAAAGCCCCAGTGGTAAGAAGATATTATATATTAAAAAACACAAAGTTCTGGACTCCAGAATATATAAAGAATGCTTACATATAAGTAAGAGAATAAAAATTTTAAAAAATGGACAAAAGTCTTAAAGAGGTACTTCACAGAAAGGTAATTACACTGTCAATAGATATACAAAAAAGAGCTTGGTTTTATTAATCATCAGGGAAATGTAAATTAAGGCCACAAAGGCCATCAGTGCTTCTACCAGATGGCTTAAATTAAAAGAATAATGATATCACTTCTAGGTGTAACAAAAATGCACATACATGCAAATTAGAAGATACCTCAAGAGATATTTATTGCAACACAATTTGTAATAATAAAAAAGTGGAAACAAATAAAATATACATCAATAGCAGAGTGGATAAATAAGTTATGATGAAATTATACAATGAAATACTAGATAGGAATAAGAAAGAATGGCATATTGCTACATGCAACAAGGTGCTTGCATCTCACAAACATATTGCTGAGCTAAGGAAACCAGACACCAAAATAATGCATACAGTAGGCTTCCCCTCTACTTGGAGGAGGAGTGAGTAGTTAGGTGGGAGTGTGAAGGCTTCTGGGGTGCTACTGATGCTTTACTTCTTTATATTGGTTGTTTTATGGGTGTGCTCACATTGTGAAAATTCAGTGAGCTGGACACTTGTGATCTGTGCACTTGTAAATATGATATCTTAAAAAATTCTTTTACTTTTAAAAGGATAGCAAGAATTAGAGAAAATATGGAGTTAACAGCATTTCATCCAAAAGCTGAAATCTTTGTGGGCAAAGGGCAAATCAATTTCACACAGGCACTTGCACGCAGACAACATATGAATCTCTCAGGTTACAGATGGCAATGGGTAAGTGCATGTCTTCGAAGACAGGAGTTGAATCTTGAGAATGGGGTCTTCTAAGTTGCAGCTCAAATACAGATGGTCCCCAAATTATAATTTTTTTCAACTTTACAATGGGTTTATAAGCAGCTGTACATATCTGAGCCTTGCAACTGTCTGTTCCATTTTCCTGAGAGAAGAAAATAACTTGGACTTCATCAAGTAAATAGAAACCTATTCTTACCTTATCAACATCACAAAGGGGAGTTGCCACCTAGTTAGTTGTTTTTCTTCTTCCTCATTTTCCCCTCTCTTTTTTTAAAAATAATTTCTTACTTTTTATTTGCTTAGTTTGTTTTTCTTTATTAATTCTAAAAAAAAAGCGGGTGGGGGGGATACAAGTGCAGAACGTGCAGGTTTGTTACATAGGTATACATTTGCCATAGTGGTTTGCTGCACCTATTGACTTGTCCTCTAAGTTCCCTCCCCTCACCCCCCACACCCTAATAGACCCTGGTGTGTGTCATTCCCCTCTCTGTGTCCATGTGTTCTCAATGTTCAACTCCCACTTATGAGTGAGAACATGCGGTGTTTGGTTTTCTGTTCCTGCGTTAGTTTGGCTTCCAGCTTCATCCATGTCCCTGCAAAGGACATAATCTCATTCCTTTTTATGGCTGCACAGTATACCATGGTGTATATGTACAATATTTTCTTTATCCAATCTATCATTTTCTTTATCCAGTCAATCAAATGGGCATTTGGGTTGGTTCTATGTCTTTGCTATTGTGAATAGTGCTGCAGTAAACATACGTGTGCCTGTATCTTTAGAATAGAATTATTTATATTCCTTTGAGTATATACCCAGAAATGGGATTGCTGGGTCAAATGGTATTTCTGGTTCTAGATCCTTGAGGAATCACCATACTGTCTTCCACAATGGTTGAACTAATTTATGTTTCCACCAACAGTGTAAAAGCGTCCCTATTTCTCCACAGCCTCACCAGCATCTATTGTTTCTTGACTGTTTAATAATTGCCATTCTGACTGGCATGAGATGGTAGCTCATTGCGGTTTTGATTTGCATTTCTCTGATGATCAGTGATGTTGAGCTTTTTTTCATGTTTGTTGGTCGCATAAACGTCTTCTTTTGAGAAGCGTTTGTCTGTTCATATCCTTTGCCCACTTTTTGATGGGGTTGTTTGTTTTTTCTTTTAAATTTGTTTAAGTTCATTGTAAATTCTGTATATTAGACCTTCATCAGATGGGTAGATTGCAAAAATTTTCTCCCATTCTGTAGGTTGCCTGTTCACTCTGATGATAGTTTATTTTGCTGTGCAGAAGCTCGTTAGTTTATTTAGATCCCATTTGTCTATTTTTGCTTTCATTGCAATTGCTTTTGACGTTTTTGTCAAGAAGTATTTGCCCATGCCTATGTCCTGAATGGTATTGCCTAGGCTTTCATCTAGGATTTTTATGGTTTCGAGTTTTACATTTAAGTCTTTAATCCATATTGAGATAATTTTTGTATAAGGTGTAAGGAAATGGTCCAATTTCAGTTTTCTGCAAATGGCTAGCCGGCACTATTTACTGATTAGGAGATCCATTCCCCATTGCTTGTTTTGTCAAGTTTGTCAAAGATCAGATGGTTGTAGGTGTGTGGTGTTATTTCTGAGGTCTCTCTTGTGCTTCATGGGTCTATATGTTTGTTTAGGTACCAGTACCATGCTGTTTTGATTACTGTAGAAATCAGTAGCATGATACCTCCAGCTTTGTTCTTTTTGCTTAGGATGGTCTTGGCTATTTGGGGTCTTCTTTGATTCCATATGAAATTTAAAATATTTTTTTCTAATTCTGTGAAGAATATCAATGGTAGTTTGATGGGCATAGCATTGAATCTATAAATTACTTTGCCCAAAAGCTACCATTGACTTTCTTCACAGAATTGGAAAAAAATGCTTAAACTTCATATGCAACCAAAAAAGAGACCACACAGCCAAGACAATCCTGGGCAAGAACAACAAAGCTGGAGACATCACACTACCTGAATTCAAACTTTACTACAAGCCTACAGTAACCAAAACAGCATGGTACTGGTACCAAAACAGATATATAGACCAATGGAACAGAATGGAGGCCTCAGAAATAACACCACACACCTACTACCATCTGATGTTTGACAAACCTGACACACAAGCAATGGGGAAAAGATTCCCTATTTAGTAAATGGTGTTGGGAAAACTGGCTAGCCATATACAGAACACTGAAACTGGATCCCTTCTTTACACCTTATACAAAAATCAACTCAAGATGGATCAAAGACTTAAACGTAAGACCGAGGACCATAAAAATCCTAGAAGAAAACCTGGGCAATACCATTCAGGACATAGGCATGGGCAAAGACTTCATGACTAAAATACCAAAAGCAATGGCAACAAAAGCCAAAATTGACAATTGGGATCTAATTAAACTTAAGAGCTTCTACACCGCAAAAGAAACTATCATCAGAGTGAACAGGTAACCTACAGAATGGGAGAAAATTTTGCAATCTATCCATCTGACAAAGGACTAATATCCAGAATCTACAAAGAACTTTAAACAAATTTACAAGAAAAAAACAAACAACCACATCAAAAAATGGGCAAAGGATATGAACAGACATTTCTCAAAAGAAGACACTTATGCAGCCAATGGACATATGAAAAAATGCTCGTCATCCTGGTCATTAGAGAAATGCATATCAAAACCACAATGAGATACCATCTCACGCCAGTTAGAATGGCGATCATTAACAAGTCAGGAAACAACAGATGCTGGAGAGGTTTTGGAAAAGTAGGAATTCTTTTACACTGTGGTTGGGAGTGTAAATTTGTTCAACCATTGTGGAAGACAGTGTGGTGATTCTTCAAGGATCTAGAACTAGAAATACCATTTGACCCAGCAATCCCATTACTGGGTATGTACCCAAAGGATTATAAATCATTCTGCAATAAAGAGACATGCACACATATGTTTATTGCAGCACTATTCACAATAGCAAAGACTTGAAACCAACCCAAATGTCCATCAATGATAGACTGGATAAAGAAAATGTGGCACATACACACCACGGAATACTATGCAGCTATAAAAAAGGATGAGTTCATGTCCTTTGCAGGGACATGGATGAAGCTGGAATCCATCATTCTCAGCAAACTATCACAAGATCAGAAAATAAAACACCACATGTTCTCACTCATAAGTGGGAGTTGAACAATGAGAACACCTGGACTCAAGGAGGGGAACATCACACACTGGGGCCTGCGGGGGATGAGGGGGCTAGGGGAGGAATAACATTAGGAGAAATACCTCATGTAGGTGACTGGTTGATGGGTGCATCAAACCACCATGGCATGTGTATACCTATGTAACAAAACTGCATGTTCTGCACATGTAACCCAGAACTTAAAGTATAATAAAATAAATAAATAAATAAATAAATAAATTACTTTGGGCAGTATGGCTATTTTCACTACATTACTTCTTCCTATCCATGGGCATGAAATGTTCTTCCATTTGTTTGTTTTCTTTCTTATTTCCTTGAGCAGTGGTTTGTAGTTCTCCTTGAAGAGGTCCTTCACGTTCTTTGTTAGCTGTATTCCTAAATATTTTATTCTCTTTGTAGTGATTGTGAGTAGGAGTTCTTTTGTGATTTGGCTCTCTGCTTTCCTATTGTTGGTATAAAGGAATGCTTGTGATTTTTGCACATTAATTTTGTATCCTGAGACTTTGCTGAAGTTGCTTATCAGTTCAAGAAGTTTTTGGGCTGCGATGGTGGAGTTTTCTAAATATAACATCATGTTGTCTGCAAATAGAGGCAACTTGACTTCCTCTCTTCCTATTTGAATACCCCTTATTTCTTTCTCTTGCCTGATGGCCCTGGCCAGAACTTGTAATACTAGGTTGAATAGAAATGGTGAGAGAGGGCATCCTTGTCTTGTGCCGGTTTTCAAAGGAAATGCATCCAGCTTTTGCTCATTCAATATGATATTGGCTGGGGGCTTGTCATAAACAGTTTTTATTACTTTGAGATGTGTTCCATCAATACCTAGTTTACTGGGAGTTTTTAACATGAAGGGGTGTTGAATTTTATCAAAGGCCTTTTCTGCATCTATTGAGATAATCATATGGTTTTTGTCTTTGGTTCTTTTTATGTGATGGATTACATTTATTGACTTGTGTATGTTGAACCAGCCTTGCATCCCAGGGATGAAGCTGATTTGATTGTGATGGATAAGATTTTTGATGTGCTGCTGGATTCGGTTTGCCAGTATTTTATCGAGGACTTTTTTGCATCGATGTTCTCCAGGGATATTGGCCTGAAGTCTTTTTTTGTGTCTCTCTTCCTGGTTGTGGTATCAGGATAATGCTGGCTTCATACAATGAGTTAGGGAGGAGTCCCTCCTTTTCAATTGTCTGGAATAGTTTCAGGAGGAATGGTACCAGCTCCTGTTTATATTTTTGGTAGAATTCAGCTGTGAGCCCATCTGGTCCTGGGCTTTTTTTGGTTGCTAGGCTATTAATTACTGCCTCAATTTCAGAGTTTGTTATTGGTCAATTCAGGGATTCAACTTCTTCCTGGTTTAGTCTTGGTAAGGTGTATGCATCCAGGAATTTATCCATTTCTTCTAGATTTTCTGGTTTATTTACATAGAGGTGTTTATAGTATTCTCTGATGATAGTTTTTATTTCTGTGGGGTCAATGGTGATATCCCCTTTATCATTTTTATTATGTCTATTTGATTCTTCTCTCTCTTCTTCAACTATCTGTTAATTTTTTCAAAAAACAACTCCTGGATTTGTTGATTTTTTAAAAGAGTTTGTCATATCTCTATCTCCACTTCTCTGATCTTAATTATTTCTTGTCTTCTGCTAGCTTTTGGATTAGTTTGCTCTTACCTCTCTAGTTCTTTTAATTGTGATGTTAGAGTGTTGATTTGAGATCTTTCCAGCTTTCTGATGTGGGCATTTAGTGTTATAAATTTCCCTCTTAACACTGCTTTAGCTGTGTCCCAGAGATTCTGGTACATTGTCTCTTTGTTCTCACTGGTTTCAAAGAACTTCTTGATTTCTGCCTTAATTTCATTATTTACCCAGGAGTCATTAATGAACAGGTTGTTTGATTTCCATGAAATTGTGTGGTTTTGAGTGGGTTTCTTAATCCTGAGTTCTACTTTGATTGCACTGTGGTCTGAGAGACTGTTATGGTTTCAGTTCTTTTGCATTTGCTGAGGAATGTTTTACTTTCAATTATTGGTTGATTTTAGAATAAATGCCATGTGGCACTGAGAGGAATGTATATTCTATTGATTTACAGTACAGAGTTCTTTAGATTTCTACTAGGTCCACTTGATCCAGAGCTGAGTTCAAGTCCTGAATATCCTTGTCAATTTTCTGTCTCATTGATCTGTCTAATACTGACAGTGGGGTGTTAAAGTCTCCCACTATTATTGTGTGGGAGTCTAAGTCTCTCTGTAGGTCTCTAAGAACTTGTTTTATGAATCTGGGTGCTCCTATATTGGGTGCATATATATTTAGAATAGTTAGCTCTTCCTGTTGACTTGTTCCCTTTACCATTATGTAATGCCATTCTTTGTCTTTTTTGATCATTGTTGGTTTAAAGTCTGTTTTTTCAGAGACTAAGATTACAACCCCTGCTTTTTCTTTTCTCTCCATTTGCTTGGTAAATTTTCCTCCATCCCTTTATTTTGAGCCTATGTGTGTCTTTGCATGTAAGTGGGTCTCCTAAATACAGCACACTGATAGGTCTTGATTTCTTATCCAATTTGCCAGTCTGTGTCTTTTAATTTAGGCATTGTTTTTACATTTAAGTTTAGTATTATTATGTGTGAATTTGATCCTGTCATCATGATACTATTTGGTTATTTTGCACACCAGGTGATTCAGTTTCTTCATAGTGTCATTGGTCTTTATATTTTGATGTGTTTTTGCAGTGGCTGGCACCAGTTTTTCCTTTCCATATTTAGTGCTTCTTTTAGGAGCTCTTGCAGGACAGACCTGGTGGAAAAGAAATCCCTCAGCATTTGCTTGTCTGAAAACGATTTTATTTCTCCTTCTCTTATGAAGCTTAGTTTGGCTGGATATGAAATTCTGGGTTGAAAATTATTTTCTTTAAGAATGTTGAATATTGGCCCCCAATCTTTTCTGGCTTCTAGAGTTTCTGTTGAGAGGTCTACTATTTGTCTGATGGGCTTCCCTTTGTAGGTGACCTGGCCTTTCTCTCTGACTGCCCTTAACAGTTTTCCTTCATTTCAACCTTGGAGAATCTGATGATTATGTGTCTTGGGGTTGATCTTGTTGTGGAGTATCTTAACGGTGTTCTCTGTATTTCCTGAATTTGCATGTTGGCCTGTCTTAGTAGGTTGGGGAAGTTCTCATGGATAATATCCCGAAGTGTGTTTTCCATCTTGTTTCCATTCTCCCCGTCTCCTTCTCATACTCCAATCAATCGTAGGTTCGGTCTTTTCACATAGACCCATATTTCTTGGAGGTTTTGTTTGTTCCTTTTCATTCTTTTTTCTCTCTTCTTGTCTGCATGTCTTATTTCAGTAAGCTGGTCTTCAAACTCTGATATCCTTTCTTCTGCTTGGTTGATTCGGCTGTTGATACTTATGTATGCTTCACAAAGGTCTCGTGTTGTGTTTTTCAGCTCCATTAGGTCATTTACGTTCCTCTTTAAACTGGTTATTCTAGTTTGCAATCCCTTTAACCTTTCGTCAAGGTTCTTTGTTTCTTCTTCTTCTTCTTCTTCTTTTTTTTTTTTTTGGTCAGAGTTTTGCTCTTGTTGCCTAGGTTGGAGTGCAATCTCAGCTCGCTACAACCTCCACCTCACGGGTTCAAGCAATTCTCCTGTTTCAGCTTCCCAAGCAGCTGAGGTTATAGGTGCATGCCACCACACCTGGCTAATTTTTGTATTTTCAGTAGAGATGGGGTTTCATCATATTGGTCAGGCTGGTCTCAAACTGCTGACCTCAGGTGATCTGCCTGCCTCGGCCTCCCACAGTGCTGGGATTACAGACGTGAGCCACTGCACTCAGCCAGTTCTTAGCTTCTTTGCCTTGGGTTAGAACATGCTCCTTTAGCTCACCGTAGTTTTTTATTACCCATCTTCTGAAGCCTACTTCTGTCAATTCGTCCATCTGATCCTCCCCACAGTTCTGCACTCTTGATGGAGAGATGTTGCAATCATTTGGAGGAGAAGAGGCACTCTGGCCTTTTGGGTTTTCAGAAATATTTTCGTTGATTCTTTCTTATCTTCATGAGTTTGTCTAGTTTTGATCTTTGAGGCTGCTTACCCTTGGATGGGGTTTTTGTGGGGGCCTTTGTTGTTGTTATTGTTGATGCCATTGTTGTCACTTTCTGCTTGTTTGTTTTTCTTTCAATAGTCAGGTCCCTCTTCCGTAGGGCTGTTGAAGTTTGCTGGGGGTTCACTTCAGGCCCTATTCATCTGATTCGCTCCTGTGCCTGGAGATGTCATTCAAGGAGGCTGGAGAACAGCAAAGATGGGTGTTTGCTCCTTTTTCAGGGACCTCTGACCTTAAGAGGCACCAACCTGATGCCAGTAGGATCGCTCCTGTATAGGGTGTCTGATAACCCCTGTTGGAGGGTCTCACCCAGTTGGGTGGCACAGGGAGCAGAACCCATTAAATGAAGCATTTTGTCCCTTGGTGGTGATGGTGGTGTGCTTCACTGGTGGGAAACCCACTCGTCTAGGCTGCCCGGATTCCTCAGAACTACCCGGAGGAGAGGCTAAGTCTGCTGGTCTGCAGAGACTGTGGCCACCCTGCCGCCTTGGGGCTCAGGCCCAGGGACATCTGAATTCTGTCCCTGAGCCTCTGGCTGGAGTTATTGGAGGTCCTGCAGGGAAGCCCGGCCCACTGAGGAAGAATGGGTCAGGGGTAGGCCTGAAGAGGCACGCTGGCTGCAGACTGCCACAGCCAGTGTGTTGGGCTGTGGGGACAAGTCTTGGGACCAAGCCGCTCAGCCTTCCTGGCTCCAGCAGGAGAAAAGAGCAGCCTGGAGCTATAGAAATGAGTGCTGCCCTTCCCCCGCCCAGGGAGCTTAGCGTGTTAGGCAGTTGCAAGTCCCAGTGCTGGCTGCTGCCCCTCCCCCAAGGGGCTGAAACGGCTTAAGACAGCAGGCAGCCGCAGCCGGTGCTGGTCGCCCCTCCCCCTGGGAGTTCAGTAGGCTTAAGCAGATTCCAGCTGAGAGGCTATAAGAATCTGCACATTGCGGGGTTGGAACACTAGGCCCCAGTGGCATGGGTTCAAAAGTGGAAACTTCCCATCTGTGGGTTGCACAGTTCCATGGAAAAAGCACAGTTTCCCCTGCTGGGTAGTGCGCTCACTCACCACCTCCCTTGGTGGGGGGAGGGGGTTCCCCTTCTGTGGCTCTCAGGTGGGCGGCACACCACATTGCGTGGGTAACGCCAGACTTCTAGACAATTTTGATGAGAGAACCTGGATACGCTGGTTGCCGGTGAAGGACTCACCCGCTTATTATGGTTTTTTTTTTCATTATTTATTATTATTATTATTATTATTATTATTATTATTATTGAGATGGAGTTTCGCTCTTGTCACTGGACGGGAGCCTCTAAACGCTGCTGCTTCCACTCTGCCATCTTGGCCCCGCCCCTCTCTTCTTCCTGTTAACCTGCATGGAAGGAGGGCAGGCTTTTCCCCTGCAGTGGCTGCTTGTTCTATATGGAAAAACAAAAGAAAACAAAAACGTCTTTGCTGTACCACCGTCAACCCACTGCCAACACCGTGTTGTGTGTGCAAATGAAACTGCTTTTCTCAAGTCAATTTGATGAACATCTCGGTTAAAAATAATGGTTCTACTATCCCTTTTCATGGCCAGAGCCTTTGAGGCATCATTAGGCTGAACAACATGCAAGAACTTATGCAAGCCTGGGCTGTCAGAGTACCAGCAGGGAGCTCCTGGTGTAGTTTGAGAGCCAAGTGGTGAGGGTTTGGCAGCTTGGAGCAAAGCTACCTCTCTTCCGTCTTGAAAACATGGTGAGATGACCAATGGGCCTCCTGTGTTCAGCTGTTTCTCATGATTTCTGTATGCTTACGTATTTGGGAGCTGGAATCTCACTCTTCTGCTATTGAAGCCTGATTTGGCAGCTTACTGCTTGGTAGTCTGAGTGCATTCCCTAACTTCCTTGTCTGTTTTCTCAACATGTAAAACTGGGAAAACACAAGTATCTATCTCATTGTGAAGAGAATTCAAAGGATTTAATGCCTAAAAGTGTTTCTTACAGTTGTGTGTAATTAGTTTCCTTGAACAGATTCTTATCCTGGAGTCTGGTAACAAAGGTATAAATAACGAAGAACAGAATTCATTCAAAACCGTAACTGAGGCTGCAGGAGGCTTAGCTCAGAGTTACTCCCTGTTGAAGCACTGTTCATCCTCAGAGGTGGCAAAACCCTGGAGAAATTCTTTTCTATTGTTATTTTAAATATATTTTTATTTAATTTTTGTTGGTGCACAGTAGGTGTACATATTTATGGGGTACATGAGACGTATTGATATAGGCATGCAATGTGTAATAATGACATCAAGGAGAATGGGGTAGCCATTCCCTCAAGCATTTATCCTTTGTGTAATAAACCATCCAATTATGCCCTTTTAGCTATTTTACTGGGAACTTCTTAATCTTCGGGCAAATACCGAAATTGTTAGCAGAGCCTACAGGTTTCTACATTGAGAAGAAGCCTTGGAGAACGTGTGCAAGTGTTGCAGAGCCAGGAGATGAGCAGCTCATCACACCCAACAGCCCCTACCTGCCCCTGGACGGACTGACTTCCAGGGTCAGGGTACAGCGCTGACCTAGGTCTGGCCTGGTTTTGCTTGGTTTGGGGCCCTGATTTGTCATGTCTGACACCTGCTCTCAAAGAAGAGCCTGGCTATGTCATCGCAGCTCCAGGTATGACCCAGGCTGCTCTTAGATCCATTGCTAATGGAAACTTTATCCAATGCCTTTCCCCCGGTTCTTGTTTTGGTTCCTTAACTGTAACTCACTGTCCACATCCTAGCTGCTAGACAAGGGTTCTGTTTATCTGGCAAGCTCAGGATAGTGGGCTCTGTGAGGGGATAGGGCTGGGGTGATCATCTGTGCGCCATGTGCTGGGTGATTTACGTAGAAATCGGCTATTTCAACCCTTAGCATTCTCTGTATAGCATTATCACCAAATTACAGAAAAGAAAACTGAGCTTTACAGTGGGCAAGTAGGTTAGCTAGTGAGGAGCAGGACTGGGGTTCCAGCCTAGACCTGGGTAAATCTCAAGCCAGTGCTTGTTCCAGGGCACAGCCTTGCAGCGGCACCGAGAGGAAGATTGGCTAGGAGTCTAGACCTCATCCTGGCTTCCTCTCCCTCCTTCTCATCATGTTTCCTGTATTCCTTAGAAAGACTGCTCTGTGAGGTCGGGTGTGGTGGCTCACACCTGTAATCCCAGCACTTTTGGGAGGCCGAGGCAGGTGGATCACTTGAGGCCAGGAGTTCAAAACCAGCCTGGCTAACATGGTGAAACCCTGTCTCCACTAAAAATAAAAAATAAGCTGGGCGTGGTGACGGGCACCTGTAATCCCTGCTACTCAGGAGGCTGAGGCAGGAGAATCTCTTGAACCTGGGAGGTGGAGGTTACACTGAGCAGAGATCATGCACTGCACTCCAGCCTGGGCAACAGAGCGAGACTCTGTCTCAAAAAAAAAGACTACTCTGTGAAGAGTTAACTATTGTGAAGACCTCACCTTCACTTGACAAGACCTGTGGTGCTGCTCAGAGGATTTGTTATAGTGCTGGAGGTTGTGGGTGCCCTCTCCTCAGACCTGATGTTGTTAATAGGTACCCGGATTTAAAGCACACAGTGAATGGGGTCAGGGCTATGTCTTCATCCTAGCCAGCAATATTACAAAATCTTGTTTTGATGCTCATGCTGGCTCAGAAAACTCCACCCACTTCTCAGTAAACTCACTCTAGGGACCTGCTGTCCAATGGTAGTCAATACCATAATCTTTATGGAGAGAAGGTAAATGCAGCCTGGTTGCAGGGCTACTCACCAAGGACTGGGGAGAGAAGGATGGAGTCCCAAAAGAGGTTTGCCTGCTTCTCTCCCAGACCATGGCCCTAGGGAATCTGTTTCAAAAGTGTAGCTCATGCATTGCGGCCCAGATTCCTAACATCTGTCCAGCTGTGTGGTCGCCAGGGCCTCCAGCTGCCAGTCAGATGGGAACTTGAAAGGTGACGTGACCTTCAGATAAACAAAGCAAGAGCTGAGGTAACAGCAAACATCAGGCAAATATTTGCCATAGGAACTGCGTTTGAACTCTCCCCCGTGGTGTAGGTCCAGGTTTGCTAGCACAACCTGACCTCGGCAACCTTGCCCTCTACTTGTTGTTTTGAGATAATTCATTTTAGTGTGTAGGTTTTCCACAGGCTCTGCTTGAGTCAATAAGTGATCTCATGACCCCAGAGCATTCTATTTGGGGCTCCTCTACAGGAAGCCCAACATGGCTCCAGGGCAGGTGGGTAATCTTTTCTTTTCTGGATGGAACACACCTAGATACTTTAGTTATGGTACTCATGTCTTAGGAAGAGTGTAAAAAACTGAAGAAGTAATTAAGAACATCTTGAACCATAAGGTGGCTCAGATGGAATGAAATGGATGAGTTTACCTTGAAAGCAACACATCTCTTAGCCCACTACTTCTTGGTTCATGCACTGTTGCTTTTCTATGGCTGATAGAAAGTAATCTTGATTATCAGAAGATGTGGGTCTATTATTAAGGCTATCATTAAGAAGACAGAGGAGGAAGTGGGAAGAAAAGGAAGAAGGATGAAGAGAGAAGGAGATGGAAAACAGGAAGGAGATGAAGAAGGAGAAGGAGGCATGGGGAGGGGAAAGCAGGGAGAAAGAGGAGGAAGAGAAGAAGAAGGTGGCAGAGAAAAGAAGGAAGAGAAGAGAACTGATATCTACTGAGTGCCCACTGCATGCCAACAATTTTGCATGAATTATCTTATTCAATCATGAAAACAGTCCTTTAATTTAGGCACTAGTAGTTCCCCATTTTTCAGATGAGAACCTCACTCCTAGAGAGGGTTGATAACTTCTCCCAAGTCACACATCCAGGAGTTACAGGGCTGGAACTGCGCCACTCAGGATGGTGTGACCCCACAGCTCCACCTCCATCTGTGCTTGCTCTAGAGGCCTGTATCTACACAGAACACCACTGTTGGGGAAGGGGAGGTTTCATTGGCCAGTGGTGATGCATCAATATTGGACAAATGCCCAGTTATTAACAGAGAGAATACCTTTAACTTCTAGCCTATACTGAAAAAAGGAAGGCTTAGTACCCAGAACTCTCTGCTAATAAGATTTTTATTCATTCAGAATTTTTTTGAGAAAGTAAACTTCCAGGAGAGTCCATAAGGCCTATGACATTAAATTAAATCTTTTGCACGTTCTGAATTATCAGACCCAGACCCAAGGAATGGGAAATTATATTTGGAATCATTTCCCCAAAGCCCCATCAAATAGTGTAGTCATCAGAATAACCTGGGGAGTCTGAATCCTGAATCGGTGTTCTCGTGGATTCTGGTCCTGGTTCTGGCAGTCACTGGGCAGGCAGCCTTGGAGGGGCCCCTTAAATATTCAGTCCCCTCATCTATATGGTGGGTGGTTTAGGCTCCTTGTGTCCTGAAAGATAAGATAAGCACATTTCAATACATACTGAAACTGAAGGGATGGTCACAATCACCACCCTTGAGTCTCCAGCTGGCTTGGGAAGGTGAAGGAAAGAGACAGACAAGGTGCTCCTGGGCCAGTTGAAGGAGGGACCCTCCTGGTGTGGGGATAAGTAAAGGGCAGACGTGCAGAGTCAATGATGTTTTACCTGGAACCCAAGGAATGGGTGAAAGGTGAACAGAAAGCATTCTAGCCAGAGGGAAAGAGCAGGGGTGAGGCCTGGAGGCAGGAGAGAAGCTGCCATGTAATTGATCATTGGACAGGGCTTGTTGAGAATTACACCAGGGCCTCAGGCATAAGCCAGGACACTGCCAGGCAAGCCAGGTGAATGTCATCCTAAACACAGGCTGCACTAATATTCTTGGTTTTCATCCTCAAAGAGATTAGGGTTACCTGGCAGGCTTCTTTTATTTATTTCTTTTTTCACAGGTTGTATGTCTTTTTTTTTTTTTTTTTTTTTTTTTTTTTGAGACGGAGTCTCGCTGTCGCCCAGGCTGGAGTGCAGTGGCGCAATCTCGGCTCACTGCAGGCTCCGCCCCCTGGGGTTCACGCCATTCTCCTGCCTCAGCCTCCCGAGTAGCTGGGACTACAGGCGCCCGCCACCTCGCCCGGCTAATTTTTTGTATTTTTAGTAGAGACGGGGTTTCACCGTGTTAGCCAGGATGGTCTCGATCTCCTGACCTCGTGATCCGCCCGCCTCGGCCTCCCAAAGTGCTGGGATTACAGGTGTGAGCCACCGCGCCCGGCCGGTTGTATGTCTTATTTGTATCTTCTGACATATCATTCACATATAGTAAAGTGCACAGATGTGAAGTTCACACCTTGATGTGTGTCTACCTGTTTATACACCCAGGTAACTGTCACCGGATCAAGACTTGGGGCATTTCCACATCTGCAGAAGGCTCCCTTCTTCCCCTCAGTCCTGCCCTCCCCACCCCAGGGGAGACACTTTCTGGACTCTACCAAACTTCTAAATGGAGTCATGTGCTGTGTGCATTGCAGGACTCTAGTGCCAGGGAGGGGTTGATGTGATCCCTTTGATTTGTATTTGGAAAGATGGTACCCTGCTGTCTGCAGCATGGAGAATGAATAGGAGGGGCCCCACTTGCAGCTGGAAGATGAGATGGAGGCTGTTCAGTCCTCAGGACCTAGGACACAGGGGCCTGAATGGGGAAAGGATGGAAAATAGTGGCAGACGGTGGTTAAATCAACCAGACCTGGTGGCTGTGTGTGGGTACGGGGGATAGAAGAACTAACGCTGGTTCCTGGGCTGCTGTCTTGGTGCCTGGGAATCGGGGCAGAGAAGCTGTGCATTGAGCCAAGGAACCTGGAGAAGGAAACCCAGAGGAGGAGGATGGGAGTGACTTGGGGCCTGGGGCTTGTTGAGTTTGAGATGCTTGGTACTGCCAGGTGGAGGGGCTGCACAGGTGGATGGACTGAGACACCAGTCAAGCAATGGGCACATCCATAATGCTGGGCAAACAGACAGAGCTGTGATCATGAGACAATTGCTCTGGGAGAAAGAAATTAATAAGAAAGCAGTCAGAACTCAACAGTCATGAGTCTCATAAAGATGTTTCAGTCAGTGATGGACCAAATATACAATTGTGGTCACGTAAGATTACAGTACCGTGTTTTTACTGTATCTTTTCTACATTTAGCTGTTTAGATACACAGATACCATTGTGTTACAATTGCCTGCAGTGTTTAGTGTCTTCGCGTGCTGTATGGGTTTGCAGCCTGGGAGCTATAGGCTATGCCATATAGCCTGGGTGTGCAGTAGCTGTACCATCTAGGATTGTGTAAGTCACTCTATGATATTTATACAACAAAATCACCTATGATGCATTTCTCAGAACGTATCCCGACCATTAAGTGATGCATGACTGTAATGATCAGCTGAGTAAAGAAAAGTGCACCCACAAAGAGACTGAGAGGGACCCCAGAAAAGTAGGGGGACGTCCAGGAGAATATGGAACTGCAGAGTCAAGGGGACGGAGTGCTTCCCAAAGGCTGAGGACAGGAGCGGCCTTTACTGTGGCTGTGAATCTTGTTAAGCTGCTATCAGATCCCAGTTCCCTGTTCCTGCATCCTTTCTCCTGAGTCAAGACTAGCAGCTTCTCAGTGAGAAACTTCGAATCTTGTAATTGGAGTAGGTCTGAAAGCATTGTAAGAAGCTCTGTGAGATTCAAACTTATTGCTTTATATATGATCTTAAGACTCAACCCCTGGGAGCTGGATACAACCATGGTTTTCCAACAGCTTCAGACAGGGTCTCTGAAGGCAGGCAGTCATTCCTCTTAGAGGCTTTGGAGACTCAGGCCCTTGTTCTCCCTTCCCCTCTGGTATCCCTGAGCTCATCAGCCCTGACTTCCTGAGTGGCCAGGGTCATTTTCCTTTTAGAAAAATCAGATAAATAGAACAAGACAATACAAACAACAGACAAAAAACCCTGTGAGATCATCAGGTACAATAATAGTAACGATTATTCATCCACCATCTGTTTTGGGTGGGGCACTTCACATGCTTTATCCTATTCTCACAATGGCCTTGTGAGTGAGAGATTCCCACTTTTCAGATGTCGGAGTTGAGGTCACAGTGCTAGTGAGTGGTGTCTGAGCCACATGAGGCTGACTGTAGACTGGGCCCACCGTTCCACCGCACCATGCCGAGTCTCAAGAATGTATATGCTCTGTTGAAAATCAAACCCTGGCTCCTGAGTGACAGATGGAAACACTGGGGTGAATCGTGTTGATTCACTTCCATAAGCATTTACCAAGCCCCTTCTATGCCAGGCATACACCATGATCAGCACTGGGGAGACAGAGGGAAAATCTTGAGCAAGTGAACTTCCAGCTGAGACAGAGACACAATAAGCTAATGGACAAATAAAGTCATTTTAGAACATGCTCAGGGCTCTGAAGGGAATAAGAGGAGGTGAATGAAAGTGATCATATGAAGGGGCAATTAAAGTTGGGCTGTCAAGGTCTCCAGGAGCCCAAGTTCCAGGGAACTCCTGCCAGGTTGGAGCTTCTTCCAGGCTGTGCAGTTTGCCTCGAAGACCACGTTCTGATCCTGTGGGCCAGCAGGTGTGTTACTTGCTGGCCAAGGACCTGGGGTTCTATCATCAGTAATGTTTGCCAAAGGGACTAAGCAGTTTTTATTTCTAAGGCAAGGTAAATCCTGCAACAGTCAAAACTGGCCTGTGATAAAGATTTGGTGAACATAGAATGTGCACGGTGGAATGTGTTGACTTAAAGACACCTCAGGTCCCCACATCAAGAAAACCTTCAACAACATCTTAAAGCAAAGGCACTACCTAGGAGAAGGCATGACGGTTTCACCTAAAAGATAGTCTTGGAGGCTAAAGGGACCCAGTGACAAGGTAGTGCCTCCTAAGCAGAGCTGGTACCCTAGGAGAGAATCCCTGTGACAAAGGTCCACATGCCTGGGCCAGAGCTGGGGTGGAGCCAGGTGGGTGCCTCCCCTGTAGATGAGTCTCCTGGGCATTCTAGCCCCTGGAAAGATCTGTCATTTCCTTAGGAGTGGAGTCTTCTCAGAAGGGTTCAGACTGGGAAGTGGGAACCTCTAGTCCAGCCTGCCCAAGGGCTTGGGGTCAGCAATGCGGACATGAGGGACACTGGCCAGGTGGAATTGAAGACTCACCCAAAGCAAGTCTTCCTCATCCTCCTCAGGGATTGGAGCTTGGAGAAGCCACCCCTTCAGTGCAGGAGAGCTCTGTTCTCTCCTTGGATAGCGTGCACCTGCCCTGGTACAGGTGGGGAGGTGCTGACTAGGAACCTCCTACCCAGGACTTGAAGGGTTAAGTCCATTTCCTTTAGAGGAGGCCTGTGGGAGTTATCAGGCACTCAGCACTGTGGGAGCACATGGCAAGGTCACTGCCCATGCTTCGCTTCTGGACTGGCATTTTTCCTGGAAGAAGGACAGCTGGGAGCAGTGGTGGTTGCCCTTGGACCCTGCTCCTCCATCTGCTTTCCCATCTGCTTGAGGGTCTTGCCATGACAGAGAGTGCCTGGGAGGAGGGCATCCAGCCACTTCATCTGGATGTTTGGGACCACACATATCAGCCCCAACTACTCTCCCTTGCCCTTGCCATTCCGCCAGTTGACAGCCTTGAAAGGAGATGGGATATGGTACAACAATCACAAGACTTTGGCTCCTGGGAAGCCCAGGAAGTGGACTTGGCTTGGCCCCACTTGCTGTGGCTCCAGCGAGGTCTTGCGTCTGCCTCCCCATCTGAAGTCATGGAGATATTCCTTGCTAAAGGAACCTGTCTGGGCCTGACATAGGAGGCGCTCCACAAATGGACTGTGCCCGTATCCTGAGCCTCCCAAACCCAGAAGCTCAGGTGGAAAGTCACCTGAATGGACGTGTTCTCCCTGTGTCACTTGACTCAAGGTTTTGTCCACATGCCCCTGCATCTTACTCTCTCCCTGCTTCCAGTGTTCCCTGCCAAATCATCATTCTCTAAACCACCATTCCCTAAACCATCATCCTCCAAAACACCCTTTTCTAAACCACTGTTCTCTAAACCACCCTTCTCTAAACCACCATTCTCTAAACCACCCTTCTCTAAATCACTTATCTCTAAACCACTGTTCTCTAAACCACCGTTCCCTAAACCATCGTTTTCTAAGCCACCCTTCTCTAAACCACTGATCTCTAAACCACTGTTCCCTAAACCATCATTCTCTAAACCACCCTTCTCTAAACCACTGTTCTCCAAACCATCGTTCTCTAAACCACCCTTCTCTGGCCTCATTGTGCTCACATTTCTGCTTAGATGCTTCCACGATGCTTCACTCCATGCAGACAAGCTTTTGGGTCTCGGCCCCCCCTGGATCCTTACACTGGGAGCCTGACTCTGGACCTTTACCTCACAGTCCCCTTGCCTTGGGAGGGTCTCTCCCCAGGTCATGGTGGGCTCCCAAACATGCCCCTTGCTGGCTTTCCCTTCTGCTCCTCTGAGTCCATCGAGATCTAGCTGTCCTATGAGGGCTGACTTTGCTCCTACCTTCTTCTCAGAGCTTTCCCCAGTCAACACACCTCTGAAATCTTAGAGTCTGTCTATGGGTAATTAATTTAACATTTCACACGTACTGTCTTGTCTCCTTCCTAAAATAGATCCCCTTGAGACAGGAGCTAATAGTCTTCCCTTTAAGCCTTCATCTGATTGTCCTCAACACATACCCAGGGCCCTGTGTCAAGAGCAAGACCCTAATGAACCTGACAATCACTGGGAAAGAGAAAAATTATGCCACAGAAAGTTTTAAATTAATCAACTAAGATCCATATTAAAAATTAGGAACATTTGTAGAAAGAATAAAATAATGAAGATGAGAACAGAAATCAGAGAAATAGAAAAAAGTACCCTAGAAAAGGTAAACAGAGCCAAAATTGTTTTGAAAAGACTAATAAAAGTGATGTGCACTGGCGAGATGGATCACAGGGTAAGTGGGCAGCTCTCGATGGTTCTTAACCCAAATGCCATCCAGATGTTGGGCTTAATTTATCAAAACAAGTCTGAAATCCCTAAAAGGCATTCCAGTCTGAACCTACGGGTTCATTAACATTTACTTAGCACGCCTCCTCAGGCCTCTCCTCCCACTGCTCTGGGATCTCAGGCTCCCAAATCCAGTGCCCTGAGGAGGAGGAGAAAGAGGAATAGGCAGAGGTCAGGAGCATGGTAAGCTCTATCCTTTCCTGGATTCAGAGATCTTAAGTAACTTGGAAGACAGAGATGCCATCCCCGAGTCCCTAAATGAACATAGGTCATTAGAGATCAGAGAACAGACAAACAGCACTCAAGCAGAGTGTAACTCAATCCCACACTTGGAGACACAAGCACGGCATTTGAGGAAGTGCCTGAAACTCACCTAGAGGATGGCATTGCCTTTGAAAAAGGAAACCAAGACCAGATTTATGAGTCTGCCACCAAACTGAAATAATTAGCTCAATTTTCTCGGCCATTGCAGCAGACTTTCAAGCTCTGCTTTAGGAATGGATAATTTACATGATAGGAAAACATGAAAACTTTACTATGCATTTATTAACATACCACAAGCATCTATTTCAAGACTAATGGAGATGTTTCTCAGTTGGTTAAGTAAGTAAATAAATAAATAAATAAATAAATAAATAAAAGCATCAGGAAAGACTCTAGCAAGTGGGTAAGACTCTAGAAGTGGGTAACATGTGAGGGAGAAACTCTAGATGGGGCCCGTGTCCTCCCATTGGGAATTGTCTATCCAGACAGAGAGACTCTGCTGGGCTACTCCCAGAGGGCACAGAAGAAAGACCTTTCTATGGGTTCAACACTAACGCCTGTCTTACATCTGGAACCAGGACCTTTTGCAATTCAGCAGAAATCTGCTGGGAACCTGATGTGTGCCAAGCATTGGTCTGGAATCTGTGGATACTAGATGAATTAGTTGTAAGCCCTGCCCTTGAGGAACCACAGTCTAGCTGGGAGGACAGTTATCTTAACACCCATGTAGGGCACAGTATGATCACAGGCAGGAGGTGCACAGAGGCTCTTTGTGAATGAGTTAATGAACAGTTAATGAATGACTAATGATGCTAGCAGTATGCACACCGTGCCTAAGTTCTCTGGCTGTCCTCGCCTGCCAAAGGTGTATTGGACAAGGTGAGCATAAAGATTATCACCCACAACAGTTTTAAGAGTGAAGGCGACCCATGGAAAAATGCACAAGGACAACAGGAGTAACCAGAACTGTCGTAAGCAAACAGATTGTACGGTCATCCTAACTATGGGAAGGTAGGAAACTGGAAAGACAGGGAAGTATAACATGGGAAGAATGTTTACTTTTTCTCCACTCATTTCTTAAATGTTTAATTTTTTTTAAACTTTTAACTGTGGAAAAACATATATACGATAAAATTTGCCATGTTACTTTTAAGGGTACAGTTCGGTAGCATTAAGTACATTCACATTGTTGTGCAGTCTTCAAAACTCTCTTCACCTTGCGAAACTAAAACTCCATGCCCATTCAGTGATAGCACCCCATTCCCCCTCCCTCTAGACCCTGGCAACCCTGCTTTCTGTCTCTATAGATTAGACTACTTAGATGCCTCATGTAAGTGGACTTATACAGTATTTGTCTTTTTTGTGTGGCTGGTTAATTTCACTCAGCATGAGGTCCTCAAGGTTCTTCTACTCATTCCTTGATAAGTGTTATCACAGCATCAAATTCACACTTGCAATGACATCATTGAGAACTAAAAGCTATGCAGTCATTGCATCATTGCTATTCTCAGCTGACGAGATTTAGTTTGAGCTTTTCTTTCTTTTGTTTGCATTGCATCAGCTACATTACAGGAATTCTTAGACTATTAAAGTGCAGGTTCCATTGTGGAAAAACACAAGTTGTTCACAAGGCCTTCAATAGCTCATAGTCTTGTTGCTAATTGAAGAATAACCAGACCAGGGCTTCCTGGGACTGGCAGGCTGGGCCCACTGACACATTATTGTTTCAATGGTACTTAGTCTGTGGGGGATTTTGTTTGTTTATAGGCTTCTAAATTTGGGGTTCATGGCTATTTTATAAGTCTATGTAATCCTCAATTTTCTTATGAATTGTATACCTATGTTTTATTTAAAAGTGTATCATTCCTGTGATTATTACATATGGCATGCCTGTAACAAAATATCTCATGTACCCTATAAATATAAACACCTACTATGTGCCAATAAAAATTTTAAAAAATTTATTATAGTTTAAGTTCTGGGATACATGTGTAGAACGTGCAGGTCTGTTACATAGGTATACACATGTCACAGTGGTTTGCTGCCCCCATCAACTCGTCATCTATATTAGGTATTTCTCCTAATGCTATCACTCCCCTTGCCACCCACCTCCCAACATGCCCCAGTGTGGGATGCTCCCTCCCTATGTCCATGTGTTCTCTATTCAACTCCCACTTAGGAGTGAGAACATGCGGTGTTGGTTTTCTGTTCCTGTGTTAGTTTGCTGAGAATGATGGTTTCCAGCTTCATCCATGTTCTTGCAAAGGACATGAACTCATCCTTTTTTATGGCTGCATAGTATTCCATGGTGTGTATGTGCCACATTTTCTTCATCCAATCTATCATTGATGAGCATTTGGGTTGGTGCCAAGTCTTTGCTATTGTGAATAGTACTGCAATAAACATACGTGTGCATGTGTCTTTATAGCAGAATGATTTATAATCTTATGGGTATATACCCAGTAATGGGCCAAATGGTATTTCTGGTTCTAGATCCTTGAGGAATCACCATACTGTCTTCCACAATGGTTGAAATAATTTACACTTACACCAACAGTTTAAAAGCATTCCTATTTCTCCACAACTTCTCCAGCATCTGTTGTTTCCTGATTTTTTAATGATCACCAATCTAACTGGTGTGAGATAGTATCTCATTGTGGTTTTGATTTGCATTTCTCTAATGACCAGTGATGATGAGCTTTTTTCATGTTTATTGGCCACATAAATGTCTTCTTTTGGGAATTGCCTGTTCATATTCTTTGCCCACTTTTTGATGGGGTTGTTTTTTTCTTGTAAATTTAAGTTCCTTGTAGATTTTAGATATTGGCTCTTTGTCAGATGGATAGATTGCAAAATTTTTCTCCCACTCTGTAGGTTGCCTGTTCACCCTGATGATAGTTTCTTTTGCTGTGCAGATGCTCTTTAGTTTAATTAAATCCCATTTGTCAATTTTGGCTTTTGTTGCCATTGCTTTTAGTGTTTTAATCATGAAGTCTTTGCCCATGCCAATGTCCTGAATGGTACTGCCTAGGTTTTCTTCTAGAGTTTTTATGGGTTTAGGTCTTACATTTAAGTTTTTAATCCATCTCGAGTTAATTTGTGTATAAGATGTAAGGAAGGGGTCCAGTTTTAGTTTTCTGCAAATGGCTAGCCAGTTTTCCCAGCACTATTTACTGACTAGGAGATCTTTTTCCCATTGCTTGTTTTTGTCAGGTTTATTGGAGGTCAGATGGTTGTAGAAGTGTGGCATTACTTCTGAGGCTTCTGTTCTGTTCCATTAGTCTATATGTCTGTTTTGGTACCAGTACGATGCTGTTTTGGTTACTGTAGCCACGTAGTATAGTTTGAAGTCAGGTAGCATGAATGTTCCAGCTTTGTTCTTTTTGCTTAGAATTGTCTTGGCTATACGAGCTCTTTTTTGGTTCCATATAAATTTAAAGTAGTTTTTTCTAATTCTTGAAGAAAGTCAATGGTAGCTTGATAGAGATAGCACTGAACCTATAAATTACTTTGGCAATATGGCAATTTTCATGATATTGATTCTTTTTATCCATGAGCATGGAATGTTCTTCCATTTGTTTGTGTCCTCTCTTATTTCCTTGAGCAGTGGTTTGTAGTTCCCCTTGAAGAGGTCCTTCACATCCCTTGTAAGTTGGATTTCTAGGTATTTTATTCTCTTTGTAGCTATTGTGAATGAAAGTTCACTCATGATTTGGCTTTCTGTTTGTCTATTATTGATGTATAGGAATTCTTGTGATTTTTGCACATTGATTTTGTATCCTTAGACTTTGCTGATGTTGCTTATCAGCTTAAGGAGATTTTGGGCTGAGATGATGGGGTTTTCTATATGTACAATCATGTCATCTGCAAACAGAGACAATTTGACTTCCTCTCTCCCTATTTGAATGCCCTTTATTTCTGTCTCTTGCCTGATTGCCCTGGCCAGGACTTCCAATACTAGGTGAATAGGAGTGGTGAGAGAAGGCATGCTTGTCTTGCGCCAGTTTTCAAAGGGAATGCTTCCAGCTTTTGCCAATTCAGTATGATATTGGCTGTGGGTTTTTCATCAATAGCTCTTATTATTTTGAGATATGTTCCATCAATAACTAGTTTATTGAGAGTTTTTAGCATGAAAGGGTGTTGAATTTTATCGAAGGCCTTTTCTGCATCTATTGAGATAATCATGTGGTTTTTGTCATTGGTTCTATTTATGTGATGGATTACGTTTATTGATTTGCATATGTTGAACCAGCCTTGCATCCCAGCGACGAAGCCAACTTGATCGTGGAGGATAAGCTTTTTGATGCGCTGCTGGATTCGCTTGGCCAGTATTTTATTGAGGATTTTCACATCGATGTTCATCAGGGATATTAGCCTGAAATTTTCTTTTTTTGTTGTGTCTATGCAAGGTTTTGGTATCAGGATGATGCTGACCTCATAAAATGAGCTAGAGAGGAGTCCCTCTTTTTCTATTGTTTGGAATAGTTCAGAAGGAATGGTACCAGCTCCTCTTTGTACCTCTGGTAGAATTCGGCTGTGAATCCGTCTGGTCCTGAGGATTTTTGTTGTTGTTAGACTATTAATTACTGCCTCAATTTCAGAACCTGTTATTGGTTTATTCAGGGATTCGACTTCTTCCTGGTTTAGTCTTGGGAGGGTGTATGTTTCCAGGAATTTATCCATTTCTTCTAGATTTTCTAGTTTATTTGTGTAGAGGTGTTTATATTATTCTCTAATGGTAGTTTGTATATCTGTGGGATCACTGGTGATCTCCCCTTTATCACTTTTTATTGTGTCTATTTGATTCTTCTCTCTTTTCTTCTTTATTAGTCTGGCTAGCAGTCTATCTACGTTGTTAATTTTTTCAGAAAACCAGCTCCTGGATTCATTGATTTTTTGAAGGTTTTTTCATGTCTCTATCTCCTTCAGTTCTGCTCTGATCTTAGTTATTTCTTGTCTTCTGATAGCTTTTGAATTTGTTTGCTCTTGCTTCTCTAGCTCTTTTAATTGTGATGTTAGGGTGTCCATCTTAGATCTTTCCTGCTTTCTCCTGTGGGCATTTAGTGCTATAAATTTCTCTCTAAACACTGCTTTAGCTGTGTCCCAGGGATTCTGGTACATTGTGTTTTTGTTCTCATTGGTTTCAAAGAACTTATTTATTTCTGCCTTAATTTTGTTATTTACCCAGCAGTCATTCAGGAGCAGGTTGTTCAGTTTTCATGTAGCACTGTGCTGGAAGATCCAGTGCTCTCTTTAGAGCCAGCAGGCAGGAATGTTTAAGTCGGCTGAAGCTGCACCCACAGCCGCCCCTTCCCCCAGGTGCTCGGTCCCAGGGAGATGGGAGTTTAACTATAAGCTCCAGACTGCGGCTGCTGCCTTTCTTTCAGAGATGCCTGCCCAGAGAGGAGGAATCTAGAGAGGGAGTCTCGCTACAGCGGCTTTTCAGAGCTATGGTGGGCTCCGCCCATTTCAAACTTCCTGGAAGCTCTGTTTACACTGTGAGGGGAAAACCGCCTACTCAACCCTCAGTAATGGTGGACGTCCCTCTCCCCACCAAGCTCCAGTGTACCAGGTCGACTTAAGACTGCTGTGCTGGCAGTGAGAATTTCAAGCCAGTGGATCTTAGCTTGCTGGGCCCAGTGGTGGTGGGATCCTCTAGACCACTTGGCTCCGTGGCTTCAGCCCCCTTTCCAGGGAAGTGAATTGTTCTGTCTCGATTGCGATCCAGGTGCCACTGGGGTATGGAAAAAAACTCCTACAGCTAGCTTATTGTCTGCCCAAACGGCTGCCCAGTTTTGTGCTTAAAACCTAGGGCCCTGGTGGTGTAGGAATCTCCTGGGCTGCAGGTTTCAAAGACAGTGGGAAAAGCATAGTTTCTGGGCCAGAAGGCACCTTTCCTCTTGGCACGGAAGTCCCTCAGGGCTTCCCTTGGCTAGGGGAGGGAGTTCCCTGACCCCCTTGTGCTTCCTGCGTGAGGCGACGCCCCACCCTGCTTCGGCTTGCCCTCCATGGGCTGCACCCATTGTCTAACCAGTCCCAGTGAGATGAGCTGGGTACCTCAATTGGAAATGCAGAAATCACCTGCCTTCTGCATTGATCTCACTGGGAGCTGCAGACTGGAGTTGTTCCTATTCAGTCATCTTGCTAGCCACCCCCAGAAAAAAATTTTAAAAAGTGTATCATTTTAGATAGCAAATTGTAGAGCAGTACATACAATATAGAGGTAGATAGATAGATAGATAGATAGAGAGAGAGATAGATAGATAGATATTATGACTGAATATGTAATTATGTCTGTAAAGGTACAATCCACTTACAACTGTACCTAACTTTAGGAAATAATTTTTTAAAACTCCATATGACTTTATACTGTGTTTATTAATAACTCATATTTAATTGAAAATTCTTTACAAAGCAATCATTTGGAGCTCAAGATGCACTTATCCTTGAAGCCATCATTTATCTATATATTCATTCATCCAATCAGTCAACAAATATTGCACACCAGGAACTATTCTAGATACCAGGATGTGGAAGAAACAAGACAGATAAAAATCTTGCCCTAGAAAAATTTACTTTTAAAAAGAAGGATAAAGGGACAGATAATAAACCATCAAACAAATAAAAATAATAACTTCTGAGAACAATAAATGCTCTTAAGACAATGAAATATTTTAATGTAGTAGAGTATCTGGAGGTGGGGTGTGGAGGATGGATTTTTTGGAGAATGTTAGGAAAGAACTTTTGAAGACAGGAATGTGGAAGATGGAGACCTGGAAGGACAGCCTCCCAGGAAGGCGAAATGGCACTGCTAATGTCAGAGTTGGGAAGGCTGGCATGGACCAGAGCAAGCAGGGGAGAAGATGGTGAATAATGAGTGGATCCCTGATGGACATGAGGCTCGTCTGAGGGATTTTTGAGGGAGGCAAGAACTGGCAATCACAGAGCACTGGGCAGCACTGGGCAGTTCTGCGCCGGTGTGGAACATGCCAGCTGTCCTGCAAGCCACAATGATTCCACCGAGTGAAGTGAAGTGGTCTCCTAAGAGTCACATGGAGGTGGGGAAGGGGAGGGAGTTGATGGGTGTAGTGATTCATGTTTTGGGCCTGAGTTTGAATCCTGGCTCTGGCTAGGGAATTGCCTATTCACCATGGGGTTCTGTTTTCTCATTTATAAAACTTTGGGGGTGGTCACAAGGTCTATTTCACAGAGTGATGGTAGATTTTAAAAGAGCCAGGGCACCCACAGTGGCTCACATTCAGAACTGAAGAGCCATTTCATTACTCTAAGACTTACTTCTCTGAAAACCACCTAGCCAGGGATTCAGACTGGCGGGGGTTGTAGCACTTGCTGGATGAATGTGGGGGGAATCAGCTGCTTCGTGTGGTTATGCTCACATTTGTTAGGGTTCAATAGCTCTTAAGAAACTAAAGCCACATGACAGATAGGAGCCACTAGGAACCTGGCACTGGAGAAGCTCAGCCTGTAGCTGTGGACATCACAGAGTTACTAAGTCAATGGGCTTGATTGCATATGTGTGTGTTAGTTATGTTCTTTAACCATGCATTCTGTGTGGATCCTACATTCCCTTAGTAAACCTGTACCATGCCTGCATTTTGGGGTCATCTACAGAAACCACTCTCTGCTCAGAGGAAAAGGGACTGTGGTCCTGATTGTCTCTTGTGAGATGAGAAAGATGGAGGCAAGCAGGGGTCCACAGAGAGCGGAACATCTGCAGGAAAGTGCAACCAGGGTCAAATGAATGTGTGGGAGCTAGTCTTCCGTGTGTAAGGCAGAATCCCATTCATAAGAGCACTTACATTGAATCCTGGCTCTTTTGACTTATTGACTTGTGCCCTCAATTGAGTTATTTACTAGCATGAGCCTTGGCTTCCAGATCTGAAGAATGAGGATGGTACCTTATTATTTTGGTATTACGATTCCTGGATAATAAATTCACAGTTCTTAAAAGAGTTCAGGTACAGAGTGCTCAATAACTGGTGGGAAGCCCCAGCACAGAGCTAACCCAGCCCACTCTGTAGCACTGCTAAGTGGACATTATTGTCCCTGCTGTAGGTGTGAGAAAATAGAGGCAATCAAACTTAAGTAATTTGAAGAAGAGAAAGTTGCCAAGTGGTAGGAGCAGGTCCCGAATCCACACCTAACCCTAAACTCATGCTTGTGATTATAGGTCTTGCCTCTCAAACTTGAATATGAGTAAAAAGGAGAAGAAATATGTTTTTTGTTTATTATTTTACATTACTTTAAATTCTGTGATACATGTGCTGAATGTGCAGGTTTGTTACATAGGTATACATGTGCCATGGTGGTTTGCTGCACCTGTCAATCCGTCATGTAGGTTTTAAGCCCCACATGCATTAGGTATTTGTCCTAATGCTCTCCCTCCCCTTCCCCCCAACCCCTTGATAGGCCCCGGTGTGTGATGTTTCCCTCCCTGTGTCCATGTATTCTCCATTGTTCAACTTCCACTTATGAGTAAGAGCATGTGGTGTTTGGTTTTCTGTTCCTTTGTTAGTTTGCTGAGGATGATGGCTTCCAGCTTCATCCATGTCCCTGCAAAGGACATGAGCTCATCCTTTTTTATGGCTGCATAGTATTCCGTGGTATATATGTGCCACATTTTCTTTATCCAGTCTATCGTTGATGGCATTTTTGTTGGTTCCAAGTCTTTGCTATTGCAAGTAATGCTGCAATAAACACACATGTGCATGTGTCTTTATAGTAGAATGACTTAAAATCCTTTGGGTATATACCCAGTAACAGGATTGCTGGGTCAAATGGTATTTCTGGTTCTAGATCCTTGAGGAATAACCACACTGTCTTCCACAGTGGTTGAACTAATTTATATTTCCACCAATAGTTTAAAAGCGTTCCTTTTTCTCCATATCCTTGCCAGCATCTGTTTCCAGACTTTTTAATGATTGTCATTCTAACTGGAGTGAGGTGGTATCTCATTGTGGTTTTGGTTTGCATTTCTGTAATGACCAGTGATGATGAGCTTTTTTCCATATGTTTGTTAGCTGCATAAATGTCTTCTTTTGAGAAGTGTCTGTTCAT
Organism: Homo sapiens; assembly: GCF_000001405.40. Classification (NCBI taxonomy): domain Eukaryota; kingdom Metazoa; phylum Chordata; class Mammalia; order Primates; family Hominidae; genus Homo; species Homo sapiens. The sequence continues at coordinate 44,253,293 of NC_000010.11, forward strand.
ATCCTTTGCCCACTTTTTGATGGGGTTGTTTTTTTCTTGTAAATTTGTTTAAGTTCCGTGTAGATTCTGGATATTACCCCTTTGTCAGATGGATAGATTGCAAAAATTTTCTCCCATTCTGTAGGTTGCCTGTTCATTCTGATGATAGTTTCTTTTGCTGTGCAGAAGCTTTTTAGTTAAATTAAATCTCATTTGTCAATTTTGGCTTTTGTTGCAATTGCTTTTGGTGTTTTAGTCATGAAGTCTTTGCCCATGCCTATGTCCTGAATGTTAAGAAATGTGTTTTAAGGTGATATAATGACCATGCTTGGGACAATGTGAAACATTATGCATATGTAGGAGAGAAGACATTGCTCATAATCCCCTGTCAGCACAAGAGTCTGCCCAGAAATAGAAACACAGCCCATGGTGCTGCATAGCTGGGCATGCAGTTCACATGCAGTCTCCAAAATGCTGCTGCATGTGGAAAAAGTTGAATGAGGAGGCTTTCTCAGATGATATTGTCCTGGCCCCCTCAGTCCCCAGGACAATGTGAACAGGGTTCCGTGCATGAGTACTAGAGTGTCTGGGGACCTCATTTTACAGTTTCATCTCTTGCCCTGCTCTGAAATCTTGACGCTGCTAACACAACTCAGAGCGTCACTCTGCACCAACTTCCCATGGAACTCTGTCTTCCCAGCATCAGCACACGCACTGGCATCCTTCCAGCTGTCCAGCACATGACTCAATCCTGTGTTTACTCACACTTAATAACTTGGTTTTCTCTCTTACACTCTTAAAGCCAGACTTTGGTATGCAAGGAGTCCTCCAATCCAGTAGATTTGGGATCTGTGGTTGGTTTGGTTTGTTAATCAAAAAAATCAGTTAAGCAAAGAACCACAAAAATAATATTTGGATATCATAAATATTTTATTTTGCTTTAAAACATATACATGAATATTTGGTTACTAATCTTGTGACATAAAGCAAAAGCCTCTCTGAGGTGTGGGCCCAGTAGGCATCCCATGATGTCCCTCTTGCATAATGCATGTCTAAGCTGCATCCTCTATACATTCCATTGTTAGCTTTTTTAAAACGGACTCAGAACTTTAAAACAATTGCCAAGCATTCTGATTGTAGAATTTTAGTGGCTATTTCCCATTTTAGTTCCCCAATAAGTTACAGCTACTTGGAAACACTGAATTTGGTAGCATTATTTTTTAGTGGCTATGCTCAATAAGTCTTTCCACACTTGCAATTTAATTTTTCACAGGGATTTCTTCTGGGTATTTACCCAGAGGAAAAGAAGTCATTATACACAAAGAATACTTGCACATGCATGTTTATAGCAGCACATTCACAGTTGCAAAATCATGGAACCAACCCAAATGCCATCAATCAATGAGTGGATAAAGGAACTGTGGTGTATATATATGATTGAATACTACTCAGCCATAAAAAGGAAAGAATTAATAGCATTTGCAGCGACTTGGACACGATTGGAGATGATTATTCTAAATGAAGTAACTCAGGAATGGAAAACCAAACATTTTATGTTCTCACTGATATGTGGGAACTAAGCTATGAGGACGCAAAGGCCTAAGAATGATACAATGGACTTTGGGGGATTGGGCGTAAAAGTAGGGTAGCGAGGGACAAAAGACTGCAAATAGGGGGCAGTGTATACTGCTCAGGTGGTGGGTGCACCAAAATCTCACAAATCACCACTAAAGAACTTACTCATGTAACCAAATACCACCTGTACCCCAATAACTTATGGAAAAATAATAAAATAAATAAATAAAAATAAAACTAGCTACAAAATAAAAAAATAATTTTCACAGGAATGACAACTCATTTGTACCCATATCTCATTGGTTTGAATAAATTTACTTATATTAAATAACTTTGATAACAAGTATAAGAGTTATAAATAGATATGAGGAAAATGAAGACAGACCCCTGACAAGCATCCAGCTCACATTAGGTGGGGAGGTACAGCCAGAGTGGCCCAGGAAGCAGGAGCTTTGCCTGCCTTCTGCATGTGCACAGCAGAGTGGACTATGTCCAGGAGTCCAGAGAATCAGCTGAGGGGCTGCTTGAGAAAGCCTCAGAGTACATGGTGACCATTTTCTTAGAATGCACTCCCCAGTTCACCTGACCATCTTCTTCTAATTATTTATTTGTGCTTTAGCTGTCTCCTCTGCTAAACCTTTCCTGTCTTTATTCCAAGACTACCTTTCCTAGATACTTCAATTGCACCTAGAACTTTCCATTAATACCAAACTTAAAACATCACATTGCAATTGTGTTTCCATTTTTAATCTTTGCTACTAAATTATAATTTCCTTCAATCAGGTCCTATACCTTATTTACCATTATTTTCCCAGAGCCCAGCATAATGTCTCTCTCATTGCAAATATAAGTGTTTATGAAAGAACAGACAAATCTAAAATGGCCCAGTCCTACTGGACCAACAAACAAACAAACCCACAAAACCTAGACTAAGCTTTCAAAGCTTGTTCTTCTTAACTGATACCTTTCAGTCAACCTTACCTGCCCAAATACTGTATATTCTACGATCAACACGTGCAATGCTGCTTTAAATTTTCACTGGGCACCTTGGGAGACCAAGGTGGGCGGATAATGAGGTCAGGAGATTGAGACCATCCTGGCTAACACGGTGAAACCCTGTCTCTACTAAAAATACAAAAATTAGCCAGGCGTGGTGGCACACGCCTGTAATCCCAGCTACTCGGGAGGCTGAGACAGGAGAATCGCTTGAACCTGGGAGGCAGAGTTTGCAGTGAGCTGAGATCGTGCCACTGCACTCCAGCCTGGGCGACAGAGCAAGATTCCGTTTAAAAAAAAAAAAAAAAAAAAAATTTTTTTTCACTGGGAGCCTCCTCACTGCTGTTCCAGATCCACTGGGTTTTCTCTTGGCTTTCGCGTCCTGCTTATGCCTCCCAGTTCCTCCCCTTGACCTGGTGTTGGGATCTGATTTCCCTGGGCATCTGGATTGAATCCACCCTTCTGGCTCTTCCCACATTGGTAGATTTTAGAGAGAATATGCTGTCTGGTGCTGATCCTGGTGATTCAACCCTCCCTGTCTGTGCCTGCTCTTACCAGTGTTGGCCTTGAGGGAGAACGGTTGTAGGTGGGCTGGAGAGTTCTTTGGTGATGCCATACCTGATGATCTCATACAAGTGTCCCCAAAGTAAGTGCATCCCTTATGACAACTTCCTAGCTGGGGTTCTTTAATTTTCCAGGGTAGCCCCTATTAAGTCTTAAATTCAAAGCCAAAGTCTGGACCAAAGTCTTAGAGGACCAAACAGAAGTTTTAAAATTCCCTGTACTATGTTTACCAGAAGGTTGAGAAACTTCTTTGCTGGAAAGATTACTTGTCTCCTGACCTGTGATTCTAGAGTCCTCACAGTGGAATTTCAGGTCTTCTCCATGATAGGTGGACACAGTAGGCAATGTTCACAGTGAACAGACTGGTCAGGTAACCATGAGGAAAAAGTGACCCAAGTTATGCAGAAATACTCGCTTGTAGCAAATATCAAGGCCTAGAAAATCAGAATTCTGTATCAACCCAGGTGTTTAAATTGGATCAACCAAGACTGCAACCTAATGCCCCTCAACAGGCCATATCCCCCCTAAGAACCCTTGGTTTGTGTATGTTACGAACTTCTCCATGTCATCACATAGCATGGGATTCCAGTATGTGTTACTTTTTGCTTCTTAGATTGGTTGCTTTTGCTTAGACTGATGGCCTTAGGGCAGTTTTAAATGGCTGTCTTGTAATATGATCAGGTAAGAATATCTGGGAAACCTTGTATGTTTTAATTGGTAATGGTTATGCCAATAATTCTTGATGAATACACTGAAGCCAGGAGTCTCCTTTTTGCATCGTGTTTACACTTCACATCAACCAGGAACCCAATCTGAGAAGTTTTCCCTGGACCAAGGGAGAAAGAATGTAGCTCCGGGAAGGAATCAAGCCTGGCTAACTCTCAGTGAAAGGAAATGGTGTCTGATCTTGCTAATTCCTGCTTCAAGTATTAAAATCTCAAACAAAACATAATGTATGTGTGCACACGGGTGCATACACACACACACACACACACCCCACCACTGACAACAATAACAACCTCCACAAGGGGAAGCCATGCTTCCGTAAGCACAATTGAAAGATTTCTGAACCTCAGACCAGAGAGCCACATGATTTTTCAGTCAATTATTGTCTCTCTTGCACTCCCAAGACTGAGCTGTAAGAAAAGCTAAGGCATCACATGGCATCCATGGGCCCAGCCGATTGCCACTGCAAGTCATGGCTCTGCACATGAGAGAAACTATAGGGAGAGCTGGGACCTGGGAAGGAATGGGCAGTCTTGAGTGGCAGAGAACTTAGAGCAAGAGAGGGACTGGAGTAGAGCTGGCAGCACCATGAAGGCCTCTCCTGCAGGAGCTGCTAAGTTAGCTCTGGTCAGCACCTCCCAAACACACCTGACCCTGGGATTAAAATTATGATGTTCTGATAAAACACTAATTAAGGGTTAAGAAGATGGAGTACATACTTGCCTCAAAATAGGAAAAATCAAAATTTTAATATTTTGGAATCTGTAATAGAAAAAAACACATCAATTAAAAAACACTTTTTCACAACATACATTTTGGTTGCTTATAGTAAGTATAGCATTCCCTCATTCCCACTTTGAATCTTCCTTTCTCCACCCTGAGAGGCAGTGAATGTTGAGATCCGAGCCTCTCTTTATCAGAGGGTTTAGAGAACTGGCCACCAGCTGGACTGAAGGAGATTGTGCTGTCCACCTCTTCTGCCCCCATGGGACTGGAGCCAGGTCTCTGCCCAGCTGAGAGACAGCTCCCACATGGGTACCCCTGGGCCTCCAGAGGGCTCCTCCTGCAGACTCACTCCCAGCCCTGACTCACTCCTAGGTTCTCCTTGAAGACCAGCATTAGCAAGTCCCAGCCCAGCCCTCTCCCCGGGGCTCCCCCTGTTGAAATGCTCCTCCTGGCACTCACCTGCAGCCACAGGTGCCAGGAGGGGACAGCAGCAAAGACGGAGGAGCCCCTCCTGGGCTTCAGCTGCCTATTTACTAAAGTAGCTTAAATTAAATGCACTTTGGAGTGTGAGAATTAATTTTTTTCAATTAAAAAATATTTTTAGAGAGTTGTAGGTTCACATGCAGTGGTAAGAAATATTACAGAGATTCTCCAGTTTCCCCTAGTGGTAACATCTTACATAAGAATAGCTGTCATAACCAGAAATTCACATTGATCCAAGGATCGACTTTATTCAAATTTCATCAGGCTCACATGCACTCATTTGTGTGTGTGTGTTTGGTTCCATGCAATTTTATCATGTGTCCAATCATGTGACTGCCACAGTCGAGATACAGAGCAGTTCCATCACCAGGAGGGCCCCTGGTGTTACCTTTCTAATTGTTTTCTCCTCAGCCAGGTGTATGCAGATGATACTTGGGAGGTACTGAGTGTGACTGCATCATGGCAAATGGTGTCAGCATGTGGTATGTACCCAATGTTTGTATCCCTCAAATTCATATGTTAAAATCCTAATGCCCAAGGTATTAATGCCATGGTATTTGAAGGTGGGGCCATTGGGAAATGATTAGGTCGTGAGGGAAGAATCCTCATGAATGGGATTAGTGCCCTTAATAAAGGGACCCCAGGGGACTTGGTCATCTCTTCCACCATGTGGAGACACAGCCAGAAGGCGCCATCTGTGAACCAGGGAGCAGGTCTTCACCAGACACCAAACTGCTGGTGCCTTTGTCTTGTACTTTCCAACCTCCAGAACAGTGAAAAATAAATGTTTGTTGTTTAAGCCTCCCAGTCTATGATAGTTTTGTAATAGCAGCCTGCACTGAGACAGCATATGCTGTTTCCTCTCCTCTTCCTGCAGGGGATCTTTGGAATGGGGGAAGGGGACCAAAGAGTCACCCTGCCCCTCGACATCAACCAACAAAGAGAGCACAGATGAGAGGAAAAACAGGTTTGTCAACAGATCCCCCGCTCATGGGGATGAAAAGTCACATAACTTCCCAGACTGTTTCCACACCTTTGAAATGAGTACTAGGTTGTGCCTGCCAGAGAGCACAGGGCTCCTGGGGCCCAGGGGGAGGTCCTCTCTGTAGATGGCCTTTGAACCTTGGCCCATTTCTTTCACAGGATGGCTCCGGGATTGAGGGAGCATGTGACGCCAGATTCACAGATCACCTGGTATCAGCCATGTGTAGGAGAGGACTAGTCCAGCAGCTACTCACTCCTTGGGGCAGATGGCTTCCTGGGTGTGCATTTTCATGTTGACCCACGGCTTCCTCAGCTGGCTGAGACCAGAGTACTCACAGACCTGGGAGATTGACACATGGTGCCAGGTGGCCATGGAACCTCCTTCCTGGATTCAGGACTCCCTCAGCGTAAATCTGGGAAAGCTGTTCCTGGAGCTCCCGGCCCATGAGGGTGATGCACAGCCTTCTCCCTAAGCCTCATGGACTTGGACTTGCTGTGATTCCCACAGTGACCTCATCAGCCCCTGTCACAGGAACAAAATATGCCAGCACCGCCCTTGACTTTATAGGTCCTGGCAAGGTGGGAGACACTTGGTTTTCACAATGTCTTGGTCTCCTTAAATTCTAGGGGAGTTGTGCCAAAAGGTGGCATCACTGTCCACAGTCCAGGACTCGGAGGAGGTTACTTCACACACTTGCCAACTCAGGTGTGTGTAGAACAATTGAGGTAGTGTTCTAAGCTGTTTCTGTGTATTCTCTCAATCCTCACAGCATCCCAATTAGGTAGGCGCTGTTATCTCCACATTTTGCTGATGAGGAAACTGAGGAACAGAGAGGTTGAGTAAATTATCCCAAATTACACAGCTAATTGAGAGAGCTTAAGGCTGTCCCAAATGACAGTGATGGCTCCCAATTGCTTCAACTTGTTATTCAAAATTATGTCTACCATACATTTTCTCTTTCTCTCACTGACAACTTACTAGCCATCAAGTTAGAAATTTGAGAGAAAAATAAATAAGATAGAGGATTTTATCATCCTTTCACTGCACATCCTTTTAAATCTCCAAATCAGAGTGGAGGTGTTGGGGGCAACCTCGGGTCAGGGGGAGCAGAGGTGTGACATCCGGAGGGAATTCAGGGGGAATTCCCAGCGAGCAGGCCCATTCCTCCCCAGATGTGCCTATTTGGCCCAGAAGCAGCAGAGCGTGTCCTTGTGGGAGTTTCTCACCTCCTGCTGGAAAGCCCTGGCCTATACTCTCCTGCCTGCGCCCCGCAGACCCAGCCTGAGCCCTGAGATGGGGATGGGCTGAGCTCCTCTGTAGGCAGCCGCAGCCCATTCCCATAGATACAGAGGAGACCCAGTGGGGAGGGCTCTCACCCTGCCGCCACCACCAAGCCTGTGCAGCTGGGTGCTGAGGGCAGGCCGACTCGGGAACCCACACATCCAAACAGCCCCGGGGCGCACTTGGATGGGTTCCACACCAAGAGCTGCTGAGTGCAGGGCGGACTGGATGGAGCAGAGATGCCTCAACAGCATGGGCTAGAAGTGGGCCTGACAAGGCAGAAAGAGGCTCATGGGGTGGGATTAGGGACTCCCCAGCCAGGCCCAGGGCGTCTGTGTACAGTGAGAGGAATGGCTCCCACTGTGAGATACAGGCTGGCCTCAGAAAATCAAACGCAGATGGGAAGGAAAGTGGGGAGCAGAGGGTGGCTCAGAGCCAGGACTTGGGTCTCTCCCAGGACTTGGGTCTCTCCCAGGGCTTCTATGGGAGCCTCTCCCGGTGCGTGGGCTAAGCCCTGTTCCATAGCAGTGATGAGGGAGGGACCAACCAAGGTGTGTGTGCCTTGGGGCCCCCATCTTGGCACCAAACCTTGAGGACATGGTCTCCCCTGCATCCCTCCCACACCCACGTGTGCCCTGGGTTCAGGTGAACAATGAGTGCAGAAGCCTAGTGAGCTAGAGAACCCTGCTCTTGGAGTTGTCCCTGCAGTCCCATCAGGCGCTGCGTATCAGAGCTGCACACCTGCACCAGCAGAAGGAACAGGACCCCAGGCTGCAGTGAGCAGGCGACCTCAGCGCCCTCTTCACTGAAGCACTGGAGCCTGGGCGGGTTTCCATCAGCGGAGTCAAGTAATTGAGCTCAGATTAGATTAAACCCAGACGCATCCCGTGTTTAGTGCCAATTACTCACGGCCAGCAGAGGCGGGCAAGGGGTCTGGACTGTGTCACGTCGTGCCTTCTTGGAGGCTGACTGCTCCCTCCAGCTCAAGGTGAGTTGACCCGAAATACCAACAGTCGTGTCGCTGGCTGTGTTTCACCTCCACCTGGCACTTTGCATGGATCTGATGCTGCTCAGGTGGGCGGCTCCTCTGCCCCCTGTTTACAATGGGGGTCAGAGCTTTGAACCCTCTGTCCTTGCCATCATTGGCTGGGCTGGCAGCAGAACAGAGGCCCACCTTGCACACCTCACTCACCCAGGCACAGGGCACAAGTGGGCATCTGGCCCCTGCATGCCCTCGGGAATCCCCATCACTATCTGGAGATTGCCACGTGAGTGAGGCGTGGGAGGCCAGGCAGGCAGGATGTGGGGGTGCTGCGATTTGTCATCTAGTGCTGAGTTTACAGCTTGAGAAGAAAACAACCCAGATTTAAGTGCTTTACTTCCTACTGGGAAATGGCTTGACTGTAGCCATGGCCTTAAGCCCAGGGCCGAGAAGCCCCAGCTGCACCCCCTTGGAGGCTGAGAGTGGCCTTCAAGCCAGCCCCAGCTCACAGCCCAGCTTGAAGGCACAAGCAGGGACAAGGCCACTGCAAGAAAAGCAATGAGTCCAGAGAAGGGCATTCAGGCTGGAGAGCTTGGCACTTGGAGTAGAATGAGTTATGAGTCTGAACCAGGGAAAACACTGGGGAGAAACTTGGGATGAAGCAGCAGGGCACTGGGTTGAGACTGGAGGTTTGGGAGGATGGCTCAGCGCCCTTACAGAGGTGGAAGGGATCCAGTGGTGACCACAGCATAACTGGGGGTGTGACAAGGCCCAGAGTTGAGCTCTGCCTGTGAAGATAGAGAGGGGAAGAAGGCACCTTTGCTGGGATTTCTCTTCTCATGTTTCGATGCACCTTTTTCCCATGGTTATTAATTACTCTTTTAGTGAATAAAGGCTGTGTATTAGTTATTTATTGTTGTGCAACCAGTTGCCTTAGAAAATAGCATCTCCAAACAGAAAAAATTGATTATCTCACACAGGCTTTGAGGATCAGGAATCTGGGAGCAGCTCACTTGGGTGGTTGTGGCTCTGGTTTCTCAAGAGGTTGCAGTGAGGACGTCGGCTGGGGCTGGATCATCTGCAGGCTCAACTGGGGCTGGAGGACCTGCTCTCAGGATGGCTTCCCTCATGGCTGTTGGCTGGAGGCCTTGGGTTCTGGATGACTGCTAATAGGAGACCTCCTTCCATCCATGTAGACTTCTCCACAGGGCTGCTTGAGTGTCCTCACTTTATGGCAGCTGGCTTTCTCCAGAGCAGGAGATCCTGATGACTTCTGAGATGGTTCCCTACATTCCATCCCCTGGCGTACACACCCTGTGCAATCCCCTTCCCTTGAGTGTGAGCTGGACTTACACAAATGGTGCGATCTCACCCCCATGATTATGTTACATTATACAGCAGAAGGAATATTACAATCAAGATCCGTGATCAGTAGACATTGGGTTAATCAGAAGTATTATCCTAGGTGGGCCTGATCTAATCAGGGGATCCTTTAAAATGGATCAGAAGGATTTGAAGCCAAGGAAGTTCCTGCTGACCTTGAAGAAGCGAAGGGTCATATTATGGAGGGTTCCAGGTGCCAAGACCCCAAGAGCAGCCTCTAGGAGCTGAGAGTGTTCCTAGCCCCTGTTAAGCTTGGCAGAGGGCCCCAGACCTCAGCTGAGATCTCAGTCCTGGCCAGCACTTTGATTTCAGCCTTGTAGGACCCTGAGCAGAAGACCACCCATACGGCACCTGTGATCTAGAGAACTGTGATATAATACATTTGCGAAGTTTAGAATAAGTTCCTGGTAATTCATCATGCAGCAACAGAAAATGAATACACTCATTCCCTGAAGTTGCACCCCATCACTTCTGCCTTTTCTCTGTTTGTCAGAAGTTAGTCACTAAGGCCACCCACATGTCAGGGAAGGGGTCTGCCTATTGAAGAGCGTGTTCAAGAACTTGTGGACTTCCTTTAAACCAACACAGTCTGGACAGTGCGTGTAGTGGGACCGTGTTAATACACCCAATGTGGAGATGAACAATGGCTAATCATTCTAACATCTAGAGTGAATTTGCACAGGGTGATAATGGACTTACGTAAGGCAAATGAGCATTTTATTTTAGGAAGTGACAATCCCAACTACAATGTCGTAGGTTGGTGCTTTTTTTTCCCCTTTTGATGTCCCCTTGCAAGCAATCTACAGAGTAATTGTGTAGATACAGGAGGAAGATGGAGCATTTCTGCCTTTAATTTGAAAGTTATGATGCATTAATCAGCCCCAGTCTGAGCCTTGCAGGAGTGCTAAATTTGGGATGCATTAGTAAGCATCTTCCAGATGGGGTGGGGGAGGAGGACATGGGTGGAGTTCAGATGACAACCCACAGGCAAATCTTTTGGGACACTTTTAACAGGAAAAGCTCACTGTCACCAAAGCTACATTCCACTTCTGAGCCATAAAACAGTTCTTGGCTCTTGGATTAACCAGTCTTCGATATTTGCCATCATGTCAGCGTTTGAAGCAACTGGGAGTTTTCTGGCTCTGCTTGGTCCATGAGAGATCATCCGATACAAGCACAAATGCTGGCTCAGGATTTCTTTAATTCCCACAAAATTTTCTCCTACATGGCTACACAGATGAAATGAAGACACCTTTAACTCCCCCTATTCAAGCTCTGCCTTTTGTGTTCCTAAGAGCTGTGGTCTGGGTGGGTGACGGTGGCTCAGAGAGCCATCACTGTTATAAACAGAGGAGGACCACATGCCTGTGACTTTATCTTCCCAAGAAGGAGAGAAGAAGAGAAAAAACAAACTGGATAATTTAAGAACGTGTCAGCAATTTGGCAAAAGACAGAGAAGTGAAAGAGCCATATGAGTTCATAAATAAGTCACAGATCCCAGCTGGATTTAGTAAAAATCCCCAAAGGTTTTGTGTACTGACACCAGTCAGGTTGGTTTCATTTCATCTTAGCTTTGGCTGGAGGCCTGCGTGAAGCAGGATGGATGGGGACATGAGCAAACGCAGGTTGTGGTAGAAAGGAAGAGTCCCCTCCCAGAAGGCCTCTGAGCCAGAGGTGCGAGTCAAAAGGAGCTGGGCTACCTCTTAGGCTGCCTAGACTGCATTTCCCATGGAGTCTATTAACATGGTTGCATTTTCAAAATGATGATGGTGAGGATAGCAAGTCTGATGGCCAAGTGTCCCAAGACAAAAGTGCTTGGGGACAGGGAATGCACTTGGGTTGGGGCTAACACAGTACCTTTTTTTTTTTCTTTCTTTTTGAGACAGCGTCTTGCTCTGTCTCCCAGACTGGAGTGCAGTGGCACAATCTTGGCTCACTGCAACCTCTGCCTCCCAGGTTCAAGTGATTCTCATGCTTCAGCCTCCCAAGTAGCTGAGACTACAGGTGCGTGCCACCACACCTGGCTAATTTGTATTTTTATTATAGTAGAAACGGGTTTTGCCATGTTGGCCAGGCTGGTCTTAAACTCCTGACCTCAGGTGATCTGCCCGCCTCAGCCTCCCAAAGTGCCACCCAGGATCTTGAACACCTGTGATCCCTCAATCTGAGTCCAAAGGGAGCTGCTCCTGCTCAGTGCACTGACCCTTAGATCTGGGTGCAGATGGAGAGCTGATGTCTCTGCAACACCCTGCTCTGGCCTCTTCTTCTGTAGGTCATGGTGTCTGTGTACTAGGGACACAAGAAACACAGGAAAGACATCATCTTGCATCATGGGCCATCTGTCTTCTGTTGGAGGCAAGTTTCTCACCTTCGGCACAGAGACTCCCAATTTTTGCCACTTTCTCAGATTGGGTAGAAGAAGATAGGAGGTGCCCACTGAATCCCTGGAACTTCCTGAACTGAGCTTGGAAACTGAGTGGGAGCTGAGACTTGACCCAGACTGCTCCATGGACAGCAGGTGTCAGGAGGAGGCAACCAGTCTGCAGCCCTCCTCTCCTGGGCCATGCCATGAATCCTCACCTGAAGGCGTTGTGCTGAGTTAAGGTAGAATGTGCATGCATTTTATCACTTAATCCTCACAACAATCCTAAAAGGTAGTGATTATTCTTGTCTTCTTTACAGATTAAAAAGTCAAGCAGCAAGTTGTCTTGTCCAAGGACAGAGGCCTACCTAGTAAGTGGTTGAACCAGAACTCAAGCCCAGGCCTTTCACTCTCACACTCTGGCACCCTCATATCTACACACTCCTTGAAACAGTACTGTGGGTCTTTGGCCTGAGGAATCTCTGGGGACAAACCCAGCAAACAGATCTTGAATTGGCCCAACAGGCACACACATGGGTCAGAGCTGCATGGAGTAATTCAGTCCAGGTGACTTAGCACCTGGCAAAGAGAAACAAAACTTACCTGGGATCTACTCACTGCTGCACTTGTGTGTTTCAAGGCAATTGTTTGTGTGGGTTGTGTTTCTGACACTCCTCTAATATCCAATATCTGACGTCTGTCCTCAGTTACATCAAGGGGTGTAGTGGGTTGAATAGTAACCCCCCAAAGTTATATTCTCATCTAAACCCCAAGACCTGAGAATATTACCTTATATAGCAAAAGATGTAATTAAGGACCTTGAGAGGAGGAACGTATCCTAGGTCATCCAGGGCCCTAAATGCCATGTATCCTATAAGAGGGAAGCCAAGGGAGTTTTGATCCAGACCTGCACAGGGGACAAGGCCCTGTGAAGACAGAGAAGGCCTTGGAGAGACATGGCCACAGCCCAGGAGCACCACAGAAGTTGCCAGAAGCTGGAAGAGGCCAGGAAGTCCTTTCCCTAGAGCCTCAGGCAAGAGCACAGCCAGGCCAACACCTTGACTTCAGACTTCTAAATTCCAGGCCTGTAAGATAATAAAGTCCTGATAAAGCTGCTGGGTTTGTGGCCATCTATTACAGCACCTGCAGGAACTAATACAGTGAGTAAAGCCCCTTCCCACCATGGCCTGTTCCACCTGCACTTAACGTGGCCTGGGAAGGGCATGGGCTGACGACTGTCTGATTGCACCTGTGTGAACCAGTAAATGAGAAAATCAAGAAGCAGTCACCCAGGCCAGCTCTGAAGACCAACCCCAGCCCAGCATCACACAAGCTGCCCAGACAACCACAGGGCCTTCCTGGAGATGCTACCCCAGGACCCAACACCCAGGGCCTAGAAACCAAGACACCAGAGTTGCACTCCCAGGAGGAGACGGAGGACATAGGATCCTTGGAAGCATACTGTTGTGCAACTCTGTTTTTAAATTAACATTCCATCTGCTACTATGGGAAAAGTATTTCATTCCTTTTACTGGCTACATAGTATCTCATTGCAGGATGCCTTTAGAAAGAGGAAAGAGAAAGGTTGTGCCTGGACAACACAGTGAGACCCCATCTCTACCAGACAAATTTAAAAATAGCTGAGTGTGGTGATGCACATCTCTGGTCCTAACTATTCGGAAGGCTGAAAAGGGAGGATTGCTTGAGCCCAGAAGGTTGAGGCTGCAGTGAGTTCTGTTCCTGCCACTGCATTCCAGCCTGGGTGACAACAGGATCCTGTCTCTAAAAAATAAATAGGAAAGGGCAGCTGTGCATGCAGCTTCAGCAGACTTAAATGTTCCTGCCAGCTCTGAAGACAGCAGCAGATCTCCCAGCACAGCACTCAAACTCTGCTAAGGGACAGGCTGCCTCCTCAAGTGTGTCCCTGAACCCTGTGCCTCCTAACTGGAAGACATCTCCCAGCAGGGGTCGACAGATACCTCACACAGGAGAGCTCCAGCTGGCATCTAGCAGGTGCCCCTCTGGGACAAAGCTTCCAGAGAAAGGAACAGGCAGTAATCTTTGCCGTTCTGCAGCCTCTGCTGGTGATACCCAGGAAAACAGGGTCTGGAGGGGACCTCTGGCAAACTCCAGTAGACCTGCAGCAGAGGGACCGGACTGTGAGAAGGAAAACTGACAAACAAAAAGGAATAGCATCAACATCAACAAAAAGGACGTCCACACAAAAACCCCATCCGAAGGTCACCAGCATCAAAGAACAAAGGTAGATAAATCCACAAAGATGAGGAAAAACCAGCACAAAAAGGCAGAAAATTCCAAAAATCAGAATGCCTCTTCTGCTCCAAAGGATAACAACTCACCAACAAGGGAAGAAAACTTGACAGAGAATGAGTTTGATGAATTGACAAAAGTAGGCTTCAGAAGGTGGGTAATAACAAACTCCTCCAAGCTAAAGGAGCATATTCTAACCCAAAGCAAGGAAGCTAAGAAACTTGATAAAAGGTTAGAGGAATTGCTAACTGGAATAACCAGCTTAGAGAAGAATATAAATGACTTGATGGAGCTGAAAAACACAGCACGAGAACTTTGTGAAGCACACACAAGTATCAATAGCCAAATCAATCAACTCAAAGAAAGGATATCAGACATTGAAGATCAACTTAATGAAATAAAGCATGAAGACAAGATTAGAGAAAAAAGAATGAAAAGGAACAAACAAAGCCTCCAAGAAATATGGCACTATGTGAAAAGACCACTACGTTTGATTGGTGTACCTGAAAGTGATGGGGAGAATGGAACTAAGCTGGAGAACACTCTTCAGGATATTATCCAGGAGAACTTCCCCAACCTAGCAAGACAGGCCACCATTCAAATTCAGGAAATACAGAGAAAACCACAAAGGTACTCCTCGAGAAGAGCAACCCCAAGACACATAATTGTCAGATTCACCAAGGTTGAAATGAAAGAAAAAATGTGAATCGGGAGCCAAAATGGCCAAATAGGAACAGCTCCGGTCTACAGCTCCCAGCATGAGCAACGCAGAAGACGGGTGATTTCTGCATTTCCATCTGAGGTTCCGGGTTCATCTCACTAGGGAGTGCCAGACAGTGGGCGCAGGACAGTGGGTGCAGTGCACCATGCGTGAGCCGAAGCAGGGCGAGGCATTGCCTCACTCGGGAAGCGCAAGGGGTCAGGGAGTTCCCTTTCCTAGTCAAAGAAAGGGGTGACAGACGGCACCTGGAAAATCAGGTCACTCCCACCCTAATACTGTGCTTTTCCGGCAGGCTTAAAAAACGGTGCACCAGGAGATTATATCCCGCACCTGACTCGGAGAGTCCTAGGCCAACAGAGTCTCTCTGATTGCTAGCACAGCAGTCTGAGATCAAACTGCAAGGCTGCAGCGACGCTGGGGGAGGGGCGCCTGCCATTGCCCAGGTTTGCTTAGGTAAACAAAGCAGCTGGGAAGCTCGAACTGGGTGGAGCCCACCACAGCTCAAGGAGGCCTGCCTGCCTCTGTAGGCTCCACCTCTGCGGGCAGGGCACAGACAAACAAAAAGATAGCAGTAACCTCTGCAGACTTAAATGTCCCTGTCTGACAGCTTTGAAGAGAACAGTGGTTCTCTCAGCATGCAGCTGGAGATCTGAGAACAGGCAGACTGCCTCCTCAAGTGGGTCCCTGACCCCTGACCCCTTAGCAGGCTAACTGGGAGGCAACCCCCAGTAGGAGCAGACTGACACCTCACATGGCTGGGTACTCCTCTGAGACAAGACTTCCAGAGGAATGATCAGACAGCAGCATTCGCGGTTCACAAAAATCCACTGTTCTACAACCACCACTGCTGATACCCAGGCAAACAGTGTCTGAAGTGGACCTCTAGCAAACTCCAACAGACCTGCAGCTGAGGGTCCTGTCTGTTAGAAGGAAAACTAACAAACAGAAAGGACATCCACACCAAAAACCCATCTGTACATCACCATCATCAAAGACCAAAAGTAGATAAAACCACAAAGATGGGGAAAAAACAGAGCAGAAAAACTGGAAACTCTAAAAAGCAGAGTGCCTCTCCTCCTCCAAAGGAACGCAGCTCCTCACCAGCAACTGAACAAAGCTGGATGGAGAATGACTTTGACAAGTTGAGAGAAGAAGGCTTCAGATAATCAAACTACTCCGAGCTGCAGGAGGAAATTCAAACCAAAGGCAAAGAAGTTGAAAACTTTGAAAAAAATTTAGACGAATGTATAACTAGAATAACCAATACAGACAAGTGCTTAAAGGAGCTGATAGAGCTGAAAGCCAAGGCTTGAGAACCACCTGAAGAATGCAGAAGCCTCAGGAGCCGATGCGATCAACTGGAAGAAAGGGTATCAGTGATGGAAGATGAAATGAATGAAATGAAGTGAGAAGGGAAGTTTAGAGAAAAAAGAATAAAAAGAAATGAACAAAGCCTCCAAGAAATATGGGACTATGTGAAAAGACCAAATATATGTCTGATTGGTGTACCCGAAAGTGACGGGGAGAATGGAACCAAGTTGGAAAACACTCTGCAGGATATTATCCAGGAGAACTTCCCCAATCTAGCAAGACAGGCCAACATTCAAATTCAGGAAATACAGAGAATGCCACAAAGATACTCCTCGAGAAGAGCAACTCCAAGACACATAATTCTCAGATTCACCAAAATTGAAATAAAGGAAAAAATGTTAAGGGCAGCCAGAGAGAAAGGTCGGGTTACCCACAAAGGGAAGCCCATCAGACTAACAGCAGATCTCTCGGCAGAAACTCTACAAGCCAGAAGAGAGTGGGGGCCAATATTCAACATTCTTAAAGAAAAGAATTTTCAACCCAGAATTTCATATACAGCCAAACTAAGCTTCATAAGTGAAGGAGAAATAAAATACTTTATAGAGAAGCAAATGCTGAGAGATTTTGTCACCATCAGGCCTGCCCTAAAAGAGCTCCTGAAGGAAACACTAAACATGGAAAGGAACAACTGGTACCAGCCACTGCAAAATCATGCCAAATTGTAAAGACCATCGAGGCCAGGAAGAAACTGCATCAACTAACGAGCAAAATAACCAGCTAACATCATAATGACAGGATCATATTCACACATGACAATATTAATCTTAAATGTAAATGGGCTAAATGCCCCAATTAAAAGACACAGACTGGAAAACTCGATAAAGAGTCAAGACCCATCAGTGTGCTGTATTCAGGAAACCCATCTCACGTGCAGAGACACACATAGACTCAAAATAAAAGGGTGGAGGAAGATCTACCAAGCAAATGGAAAACAAAAAAGGGCAGGGGTTGCAATCCTAGTCTCGGATAAAACAGACTTTCAACCAACAAAGATCAAAAGAGACAGAGAAGGCCATTACATAATGGTAAAGGGATCAATTCAACAAGAAGAGCTAACTATCCTAAATATATATGCACCCAATACAGGAACACCCAGATTCATAAAGCAAGTCCTTAGTGACCTACAAAGAGACTTAGACTCCCACACAATAATAATAGGAGACTTTAACACCCCACTGTCAACACTAGACAGATCAATGAGACAGAAATTTAACAAGGATGCCCAGGAATTGAACTCAGCTCTGCACCAAGCAGACCTAATAGACATCTACAGAACTCTCCACCCCAAATCAACAGAATATACATTTTTTTCAGCACCACACCACACCTATTCCAAAATTGACCACATAGTTGGAAGTAAAGCACTCCTCAGCAAATGTAAAAGAACAGACCCTATAACAAACTGTCTCTCAGACCACAGTGCAATCAAACTAGAACTCAGGATTAAGAAACTCATTCAAAACTGCTCAACTACATGGAAACTGAACAACCTGCTCCTGAATGACTACTGGGTACATAATGAAATGAAGGCAGAAATAAAGATGTTCTTTGAAACCAACGAGAACAAAGACAAAACATACCAGAATCTCTGGGACACATTCAAAGCAGTGTGTAGAGGGAAACTTATAGCACTAAATGCCCACAAGAGAAAGCAGGAAAGATCCAAAATTGACACCCTAATGTCACAATTAAAAGAACTAGAAAAGCAAGAGCAAACACATTCAAAAGCTAGCAGAAGGCAAGAAATAGCTAAAATCAGAGCAGAACTGAAGGAAATAGAGACACAAAAAACCCTTCAAAAAATTAATGAATCCAGGAGCTGGTTTTTTGAAAGGATCAACAAAATTGATAGACCACTAGCAAGACTAATAAAGAAGAAAAGAGAGAAGAATCAAATAGACAAAATAAAAAATGATAAAGGGGATATCACCACTGATCCCACAGAAATACAAACTACCATCAGAGAATACTACAAACACCGCTACGCAAATAAACTAGAAAATCTAGAAGAAATGGGTAAATTCCTGGACACATACACCCTCCCAAGACTAAACTAGGAAGAAGTTGAATCTCTGAATAGACCAATAACAGGCTCTGAAATTGTGGCAATAATCAATAGCTTACCAACAAAAAAGAGTCCAGGACCAGATGGATTCACAGCCGAATTCTACCAGAGGTATGAGGAGGAACTGGTACCATTCCTTCTGAAACTATTCCAATCAATAGAAAAAGAGGGAATCCTCCCTAACTCATTTTATGAGGCCAGCATCATCCTGATACCAAAGCCTGGCAGAGACACAACCAAAAAAGAGAATTTTAGACCAATATCCTTGATGAACATTGATGCAAAAATCCTCAATAAAATACTGGCAAACCTAAACCAGCAGCACATCAAAAAGCTTATCCACCATGATCAAATGGGCTTCATCCCTGGGATGCAAGGTTGGTTCAATATATGCAAATCAATAAATGTAATCCAGCATATAAACAGAACCAAAGACAAAAACCACATGATTATCTCAATAGATGCAGAAAAGGCCTTTGACAAAATTCAACAACGCTTCATGCTAAAAACTCTCAATAAATTAGGTATTGATGGGACATATCTCAAAATAATAAGAGCTATCTATGACAAACCCACAGCCAATATCATACTGAATGGGCAAAAACTGGAAGCATTCCCTTTGAAAACTGGCACAAGACAGGGATGCCCTCTCTCACCACTCCTATTCAACATAGTGTTGGAAGTTCTGGCCAGGGCAATCAGGCAGGAGAAGGAAATAAAGGGTATTCAATTAGGAAAAGAGGAAGTCAAATTGTCCCTGTTTGCAGATGACATCATTGTATATCTAGAAAACCCCATTGTCTCAGCCCAAAATCTCCTTAAGCTGATAAGCAACTTCAGCACTCTCAGGATACAAAATCAATGTACAAAAATCACAAGCATTCTTATACACCAATAACAGACAAACAGAGAGCCAAATCATGAGTGAACTCCCATTCACAATCACTTCAAAGACAATAAAATACCTAGGAATCCAACTTACAAGGGATGTGAAGGACCTCTTCAAGGAGAACTACAAACCACTGCTCAATGAAATAAAAGAGGATACAAACAAATGGAAGAACATTCCATGCTCATGGGTAGGAAGAATCAATATTGTGAAAATGGCCATACTGCCCAAGGTAATTTATAGATTCAATGCCATCCCCATCAAGCTACCAATGACTTTCTTCACAGAATTGGAAAAAACTACTTTAAAGTTCATATGGAACCAAAAAAGAGCCCGCATCGCCCAGTCAATCCTAAGCCAAAAGAACAAAGCTGGAGGCATCACGCTACCTGACTTCAAACTATACTACAAGGCTACAGTAACCAAAGCAGCATGGTACTGGTACCAAAACAGAGATATAGATCAATGGAACAGAACAGAGCTCTCAGAAATAACGCCGCATATCTACAGCTATCTGATCTTTGGCAAACCTGAGAAAAACAAGAAATGGAGAAACGATTCCCTATTTAATTAATGGTGCTGGGAAAACTGGCTAGCCATATGTAGAAAGCTGAAACTGGATCCCTTCCTTACACCTTATACAAAAATTAGTTCAAGATGGATTAAAGACTTAAATGTTAGACCTAAAACCATAAAAACCCTAGAAGGAAACCTAGGCATTACCATTCAGGACATAGGCATGGGCAAGGACTTCATGTCTAAAACACCAAAAGGAATGGCAACAAAAGCCAAAATTGACAAATGGGATCTAATTAAACTAAAGAGCTTCTGCACAGCAAAAGAAACTATCATCAGAGTGAACAGGCAACCTACAAAATGGGAGAAAATTTTCGCAACCTACTCATCTGACAAAGGGCTAATATCCAGAATCTATAATGAACTCAAACAAATTTACAAGAAAAAAACAAACAACCCCATCAGAAAGTGGGCAAAGGACATGAACAGACACTTCTCAAAAGAAGACATTTATGCAGCAAAAAAACATACGAAAAAATGCTCACCATCACTGGCCATCAGAGAAATGCAAATCAAAACCACAATGAGATACCATCTCACACCAGTTAGAATGGCAATCATTAAAAAGTCAGGAAACAACAGGTGCTGGAGAGGATGTGGAGAAATAGGAACACTATTACACTGTTGGTGGGACTGTAAACTCGTTCAACCCTTGTGGAAGTCAGTGTGGCGATTCCTCAGGGATCTAGAACTAGAAATACCATTTGATCCAGCCATCCCATTACTGGGTATATACCCAAAGCATTATAAATCACGCTGCTATAAAGACACATGCACACGTATGTTTATTGTGGCACTATTCACAATAGCAAAGACTTGGAACCAACCCAAATGTCCAACAACGATAGACTGGATTAAGAAAATGTGGCACATATACACCATGGAATACTATGCAGCCATAAAAAATGATGAGTTCATGTCCTTTGTAGGGACATGGATGAAATTGGAAATCATCATTCTCAGTAAACTATCGCAAGAACAAAAAACCAAACACCGCATGTTCTCACTCATAGGTGGGAATTGAACAATGAGAACACATGGACAGAGGAAGGGGAACATCACACTCTGGGGACTGTTGTGGGGTGGGGGGAGTGGGGAGGGATAGCTTTAGGAGATATACCTAATGCTAAATGACGAGTTAATGGGTGCAGCACACCAGCATGGCACAGGTATACATATGTAACTAACCTGCACATTGTGCACATGTACCCTAAAACTTAAAGTATAATAATAATAAAAAAAAATTCTCTTATTAAGAGTGCAGTTGAGATATTAGGAGCCATTTTCATCTATTTTTTGTGTCAACTGTCTGTTCATATCTCTAACATTTAAAAATAAAACAGTGCTATCGGCTTTTTTTAACCTCAAATTTTAAATGCTGTGTATAAAACAGGGCTATTTTAACGTTTTGTATCCTACATTGCATTTTTTTTCTAGTTTGTCATTTATCTTTTAATTTTGCTTATGGTGATATTTTGAAATGCAATATTTTTAAATTTTTCTTAATCAAATTTATCAATATTTTCCTTTGTTGCTTTTGGATTTTGAATTGTAACAAGAAAAGTTTTTCCCACATCCAGGGTATAAAGTAATTTACCTATGTTTTCTAAAAAAAAAAAAAAAAAAAAAAAAAAAAAGAAAAAATGTTAAGGGCAGCCAGAGAGAAAGGTCAGGTGACCCACAAAGGGAAGCCCATGAGGCTAACAGCGAAGCTCTCTGCAGAAACCCAACAAGCCAGAGTGGGGGCCAATATTCAACATTCTTTTAAATTTTATTATTATTATACTTTAAGTTTTAATGTACATGTGCATTCTCAAAGAAAAGAATTTTCAACCTAGAATTTCATATCCAGCCAAACTAAGATTCAGAAGTAAAGGAGAAATAAAACCTGTTACAGACAAGAAAATGCTGAGAAATTTTGTCACCACTAGGCCTGCCCTACAAGAGCTCCTGAAGGAAGCTCTAAATATGGAAAGGAAAAACAGGTACTAGCCACAGCAAAAACATACCAAATTGTAAAGACCATCGACACTATGAAGAAGCTGCATCAACTAACGGGCAAAATAACCAGCTAACATCATAATGACATGATCAAATTCACACATAACAATTTTAACCTTAAATGTAAATAGGTCAAATGCCCCCACCTAAAAGATACAGACTGGCAAATTGGATAAAGAGTCAAGACCCATCAGCATGCTGTATTCAGGAGACCCATCTCACGTGCAAAGACACATACAGGCTCAAAATAAAGGGATGAAGGAATATTTAACAAGCAAATGGAAAGCGAAAAAAAGCAGGAGTTGCAATCCTGGTCTCTGATAAAGGAGACTTTAAACCAATAAAGATCAAAAGAGACAAATAAGGGCATTATATAATGGTAAAGGGATCAAGGCAACAAGAAGAGCTAACTATCCTAAATATATATGCACCCAATACAAGAGCACCCAGATTCATAAAGCAAGTTCTTAGAGATCTGCAAACAGATTTAGGCTTCCACACAATAATAGTGGGAGACATACACAAGTCAATAAACATAATCCATCACATAAACAGAACCAATGACAAAAACCACATGATTATCTCAATAGATGAAGAAAAGGCCTTTGATAAAATTCAACATCCCTTCATGCTAAAAACTCTCAATAAATTAGGTATTGATGGGACGTATCTCAAAATATAAGAGCTATTGATGACAAACCCACAGCCAATATCATACTGAATGGGCAAAAGCTGGAAACATTCCCCTTGAAAACCAGTGCAAGACAAGGATGCCCTCTCTCACCACTCCTATTCAACATAGTATTAGAAGTTCTGGCCAGGCCAATCAGGCAAGAGAAAGAAATAAAGTCATTCAAATAGGAAGAGAGGAAGTCAAATTGTCTCTATTTGCAGATGGCATGATTGTATATTTAGAAAACCCCAGTGTCTCAGCCCAAAGTCTCCTTAAACTACTAAGCAACTTCAGCAAAGTCTCAAGATATAAAATCGAAGTGCAAAAATCAGAAGCATTCCTATACACCAATAATAGACAAACAGAAAGCCAAATCATGAGTGAACTCTCATTCACAATTGCTACAAAGAGAATAAAATACCTAGGAATCCAACTTACAAGGGATGTGAAGGACCTCTTCAACGAGAACTACAAACCACTGCCAAAGGAAATAAGAGAGGACACAAACAAATGCAAAAAACTTCCATGCTCATGGATAGGAAGAATCAATATCTTGAAAATGGCCATACATCCCAAAGTAATTTATAGATTCAATGCTCTCCCAATCAAGCTACCATTGACTTTCTCCACAGAATTAGAAGAGACTACATTAAATTTCACATGGAACCAAAAAGGAGCCTGCATTGCCAAGGCATTCCTAAGCAAAAAGAACAAAGCTGGAGGCATCATGCCACCTGACTTCAAACTATACTACAAGGCTACAGTAACCAAAACAGCATGGTACTGGTACCAAAACAGAGATATAGACAAATGGAAGAGAACAGAGGCCTCAGAAATAACTCCACATATCTACAACCATCTGATCTTTGACAAACCTGACAAAAACAAGCAATGGGGAAATGATTCCCTATTTAATAAATGGTGTTGGGAAAACTGGCTAGCCATATGCAGAAAACTGAAGCAGGACCCCTTCCATACACCTTATACAAAAATTAACTCAAGATGGATTAAAGACTTAAACGTAAGACCTAAAACTATAAAAACCCCAGAAGAAAACCTAGACAATATCATTCAGGACATAGGCATGGGCAGAGACTTTGTGATGAAAACACTAAAAGCAAAGGCAAGAAAAGCCAAAATTGACATGGGATCTAATTAAACTAAAGAGCTTCTACACAGCAAAAGAAACTCTAATCAGAGTGAACAGGCAACCTACAGAATGGGAGAAAAATTTTGCAATCTATCCATCTGACAAAGGGCTAATATCCAAAATCTACAAGGAACTTAAACATATTTACAAGAAAAAATAACCCCATCAAAAAGTGGGCAAAGGATATGAACAGACACTTCTCAAAAGAAGATATTTATGCAGTCAACAAACATATGAAAAAAAGCTCATCATCACTGGTCATTAGAGGAATGCAGATCAAAACCACAATGAGATACTATCTCACACCAGTTAGAATGGCGATCATTAAAAAGTCAGGAAACAACAGGTGCTGGGGAGAATGTGGAGAAATAGTAACACTTTTACACTGTTTGTGGGAGTGTAAATTAGCTCGACCATTGTGGAAGACAGTGTGGCAATTCCTCAAGGATCTAGAACCAGAAATACCATTTGACCCAGCAATCCCATTACTGGGTATATACCCAAAGCATTATAAATCAGTCTACTATAAAGATACATGCACTTGTATGTTTATTGCAGCACTATTTAGAATAGCAAAGACTTGAAGCCAACACAAATGCCCATCAATGATTGATTAGATAAGTAAAATGTGGCACATATACACCATGGAATACTATGCAGCCATAAAGAAGGATGAGTTCATGTCCTTTTTTTGTTGTTGTTGTTTTGAGACACAGTCTCGCACTGTTGCCCAGGCTGGAGTGCAGTGGCGCTATCTCAGCTCAATGCAAGCTCCGCCTCCCAGGTTCACGCCATTCTCCTGCCTCAGCCTCCCCAGTAGCTGGGACTATAGGCGCCTGCCACCACGCCTGGCTAATGTTTTGTATTTTTAGTAGAGACGGGGTTTCACCGTGTTAGCCAGGATGGTCTCGATTTCCTGACCTCATGATCCACCCGCCTCAGCCCCACAAAGTGCTGGGATTACAGGCGTGAACCACTGCGCCCGGCCGAGTTCATGTCCTTTGCAGGGACATGGATGAAGCTGGAAGCCATCATTCTCAGCAAACTATCACAAGCACAGAAAACCAAACACCGCATGTTCTCAGTCATAAGTGGGAGTTGAACAATGAGGACACATGGACACAGGGAGGGAAACGTCACACACTGGAGCCTGTCAGGGGGTAGGTGGGTATTTTTATTCAATTTGCATTAGGAGAAATACCTAATGTAGATGACAGGTTGATGGGTGCAGCAAACCACTGTGGCATGTGTATACCTATGTAACAAACTTGCATGTTCTGCACATGTATCACAGAACTTAAAGTATACTAAAAAATAAATAAATATTAAAGTTTGTGTTAAGGCTGGAATTCAAGCTAGTGTTGAAATGCAAAAATTGGCCTAAAATCTCTTACTGTTGGCTTTTTGTCTAAGCAGAGGGCCTATCTCATGAAAATTGTAGAGAATACATTTCACCTGGAGAAATGCTGATTTAATCAATGTGACGTTTAACCGAAAACACGGGCATGTAAGGATCCAAAGCCTCAGCCTACACATAAACTGCAGTTACCCTGGAGGATATCCAGTGATGTGCCTAAGTAAGACTGTCAGGAAAGGGCCATGGAGGAATTCACAGGGAAATGAAATGATTAGGAAGAGAGTGTGAAATAACCCTCACCCCTCAGGTGTGTGTGTACCCGCAAGTGGAGCCAAAAGGGAGTGGGAGGTCTGGGTCCTAGTGCAAGGATTGAATGTGAGCTCAGGTTTCCCTGAAGTTTGGTGGGGAGGCATCTGCAGCAGAAGCCTGCAATGCAGGCTGGGCTGAGAGCTGGAGCCTGTGTGTTGCTGGGGAAGATAGAAGGGTAAAGATTTTACAGGAAGTAGGGGCCTGGAGACCATATATCTCCACTGGCTGGGCTCTCCATGCTCTGCCGCACACCCCTAACCCACCCGCCCACCACAGTGGCCTGCACCTGGGCCTGCCAGGAGGTCGTAGGCTCCCCCATGGAGGAGGGAGGGCTCTGCTGCTCCCAGGCTCTGGGGATGCTCAGGGCTGCCACTGTGACAGGGCTTCCGCCAGCTCCTGTTCCCCTCTGTGAAAAAGCTCTGCTCGTGGCTCCTGTCCCTGCATCCATGCTCCCTGAGGCTGGCCATGACTCACCTCCATGTCTGTGGTGTCTCAAAAGGGCATACTCAATGCCATCTGCAGCTAAATTACAATGGAGTGGTTTCATAGACCCTTGGCCTCCAAGGACCAAGATTTCAGACAGCTGTGCCCTGGTAATCACTCATATGATTAATAAAGCAGGCAGCTTTTATGCCTGTCTTTTTTTTTTATTAATTTTTTGCATTGCTTAATCTTTGTGGTAATAAGTCTTACAAAAATAATCAAAATATTATAAAGACAAATGTGAATCATTCACCCAAGTGGCTTATCTTCTCTCGTTAACCCATTACCTCCCCCTCAGTTTTGCTCTCTCCCCATTGAAGCATATTTATTTACTTCGTCAGGAAAGGGACGTGATGAGGCAGGTGAAGACTATAGAATGGTCCTTCTGGGCTTGATCACAGGCCTGATGGAAACAGCTGAGCAGTGCTGAACAGCAATGCCTGTATGAATCATATGAGTAGCAGCAGAAGTGAGACACATGCCATTACAGCACCTGGGGAGGTGAACGTCCTCTCTGATCCTGCCATGCCCTTTCCCAGCTCCCAAAACCACCATCTGCATTTAAGATGCACTTTTTCCAATTGCATAACTATGCATGTACTATGTTTTATGCAGATCATGTTCACTATATATGCTGCATGGAAATTTAGTTTTTCACTTAAGATCCAACTGGCATCTTTCCATTGTAATTTGTATAATTGATCCATCTTAGTCTTTTCAATGGCAGCGTATTATTGCATAGATTATGCCATATGATGCCAGTGCTCTGTTGTGGCATAATTTGTTGAATGAGTTCCCTGTCAATGAAAAGCTGGGTTTTTGCAAACAAGACTGTGACATATTTCGTGTATATTCATCTTTATATACCCCAAACATATTTCTGTATTATTATTCATAAACCGTGGTGAAAGATTGAGTATATTTTATTTTAACAGATTTGATGACATCTTCCACCATAAAGTTTGTGCCAGTTTATAGCCCCACTCACAGTATGTAAGAGGATTTCACACTGGCCTTTTCAGAAGTTCAGGAATCCAATGTCAAGACTCAGGAACTTGTCCAGATGAGGCCATCAAGATACAGGGACTCTCATATAATGGAGGATTTTCCTTAGAGAATTTCAGGATTTCAGGACTGAACAGAGACTGAGAAGGGTAAAGGGTGGTAGGATTGAGCGAGTCAGGCCAGAAACCTCTAGTTAGCTACCATGACAGAAGGGAAACATGCATTCAACTTATTTAATTAAACCAAGCTGTGTCATTTTCTTGGCATCCTTTGCTTCCTTTTTATAAGGAAACTTTGGGGAAGGTAGCATTCATGCTGTCCCTTCAGGGAAGCTGATATCTCACCCAGGAACTGGGAGTGGATTTTCCTTTGGCCCCTTGATAGTGGATTTACCCACCAAATGCTTGTATTTTTGTAACCGTTTTTTAATTTCATTGTACGCACGCTAAAGAGGTGTTTGACTTTTTTCACATGTCTTTTATTAAAATGATTTCTGGAAAACATACTGAGCTGTGGATTTTGGAACCAATAGGAGTGGAATGCTGCCTGCCTCATAAAAACATAACCAAAAGCATGTTGAGCAAAATGGCAGGGCTTCCAAGGGCTGGCAAAGTACATCCTTGGAGAAGGTCCTGGGATCGTTCTATTGGACAACACAGCATTGGTTAAGCAACAGCAAAACTGTGTATTTTCTCAAGCCCAAATGCCAGCAGACTCCTTGAAAATTCTTTTTTGTGTGCTTGCTGCCCCTCCCAAGAACCTAGCAGCAGAAACCCTAAAGCTTTGCAGTTTGTGCTTTGTACCTGCTACCTGGACTTGGAGAGCATTTGTTTCTCTATTTCCTTCCACGAGCATCTGTCCATGATCAATAGGTACAGCTAAATGCAACCGAGGAGCCGAGGTCAGGAGGACAGTGAAACCCCAGGGCTCTCCCACACTGCTGGCAGACACAGCACCTCAGCTGAGGCCCAGGCATACTGCCGGGATCCCTGCTTGGCTGGGGTATGAGGTTCCTTGACTGGTTCTCTGGATCTAAGTCAAGTAATCTAAAACATGGCACCTCTTCTCACAGTGTGTGCCAGGGCCACGTCTGCCACGCAAGCTGACGGCAAGGTGACCACGTGGCATCTGTGTGAGACAGGGGAAACTTTGGAGTAGCAGGGCTAAACATCTGGAAAGGAGGGAAAGCCAGGTGGAATGGGGAGGGAGGTGGGAGGAGAACGGGACAGGAAGGAAAGATGGAAGCGGTCAACAGCGCGGCATGCTGCCAACAGGAGACAGGAAGAGAGAAAAGCGCCTCACTGGGCTTAGCAATTAGGAGGTTACTCAGATTTTGCCAGTAGTGGCCTCAGCCTCATGGTCAAAGCAGGAGTCAGAGCTGTCCCTGCTGCAGCTCACTCCTCTATGGTTCTAATGGCCCTTCTTCCTCTCCACCCGGCAGAGACCTCTCAGAAACGACACTTGTCTCCAGAACAGCCTGGTTTGTCAGACACGAGGAGCCCCTGAGGACAAGGGTGCTGGGGACCCAGGCTTGCCTTTCTAGGCGGCTGGGGTGGGTAGAGGGTGGGGAGGTGCTCTGGGTCCTCTGCCCACAGCAGGACTGTGGATGGAATGGTCAGTGAAGAGGTGAGGCTGGAATTTCAGGCAGGGCCCAGCAACGCACAGCCCACGCCATTTGGCAGCCTCCTGCCTTGGGATGTGGGGACCACCTATGCTCTGTTCCCTTCTCTCTCACATCCTTCTTCCACCACCCTCTGGTCTTTCTGCCAGAGAGGAGCCCACCCTCCCCTGTCAATTTTGAAACTCAGTCCAGAAACTCAGGTAGAGAGCAGCACCCAGCCTGCGTGCTGCCCAAACACAGAGCCCTGCCCTGAGGACACATGAGGACACAGCCCAGCCAGAAGGAGGTGGAGCCGAGGCCTGCCAGCACCTGCAGGCCCCAACCATCCTGAGGCTCCAAGGGTCCTGGAAGACAAGCTGGAAGCTGAGGACATTTGAGTTCATCTTCTGAGGGCCTCAGAGAGGAAAATACTAACAATCACTAAATTAATAGTCTGACTACGCACCTGGCCATAAACTCTTGGTATGCATTACAAAGTTACACCTCACAATAGATAACTATCCTATTTTGCCAACTTGACAGATGAGGAAACTGAGAAACAAGAACAAAAGTGAGGTCTTCCAGCCAGTAAGTGGCTGGGTCTGTATTCTTAAGAATTTCACTCTATTGAAAACCATGGAGATAGGGGAGTCTTTGGAGTCAAACAGAAATGAATCTTTGCCTGGATTCCACAATTTACTGTATGTATTGTGACATATAGATATATATACACATACACATGCTATGCATGCTCTATATAACATGAAATGTAAAGATATAGATGTATTCTAAAATGCATATAATTTCCACATGTAAATCACACATCTTAAATCTTTCCCACCTCTTCTTCACCTGTACTTGTAGTGTGAGCCCTTGCAGGTGTAGTATGTGTATGTTGAAAACAGGGGAGAGCTCAAAGCCCTGCCTCCCCATCTATGCCACACTGCAATGTGGGGAATGCATCTGCCACCCAAAGGACAGCTGGCAGGAGAAATGTCTGCAGGCCTCACATGCTGCTCAAATGCAGGTGACACAGACTGGCTTTGCTCCCAGCTTTCCCCCATCTCTCAGACAAAGGAGAAGCAGACAAGAGACATTAGACATGTTGATATAATCAAGTCACTTTTCAAGCAAGCCCAGCTTTCTTTTACTTTGCCAGCACCAGCTTGTGTCTTAGAGGAGCTGACACCCAACAGCAAACTAAAATAAACTCCCTAAGTCAGCCATGTCGCTTCTCAGGACTATAGGCAGGTGGGAAGTCTGCCATGTCATCCCACTGGGCCATATCTGTTATCAGTGCCACACCTCCCGCCGTCCTGTGGGGAGCCCTGGCCTTGTGTGGCCACCTTCAAGCCTTCTTTCTTTACACATGGCCCTCCCCATGCTGCTGGCCCTCCCAGGTTCCTGTGGAGGTCTGTCTTCCTGGCGGCTTTGATGGTAGAGCTCTCTGCAAAGCTGCCTTGACAGTGATAACGCAGTGTCTCTAAAAATGAAGAAAAAAATAAGATCGCTTAGATTAAAGGAGTCCACTGAATGCTCAGCTTTAAAGAAATATTTGATCAGTCTCATGACATCAAAATTGTAAAGTCTTATATGACAAAAGCAATAAAAAAGCAAATAATTGCAAACTGGACAAGAGATAAGAGTAGAGCATTCACAGAAAAGGGAATCCAGATTGACAACAAACATGAAAAGACACAATCTCCCTGCAAACCAAGGAAATGCAAATTATAACAGCAAGGCCAGACTGCTGTTCTGCCCATGAGACTTATAGAAATTAAAAAGAAATTGGCAGTGGCAAGGATACAATTGGTGAGAGTATCAATTGGCAAGACCTTTTGAAGACAAATTTGGCATTATCAGTTAAATTTAGGTGCACATTTCTTAATTCTGACATTTTAAATTCTAGGTGGCCATTTTAGAGAAACACTACATACCTGCTCAAAGAGACATGCATGAAATATCATTTAAGGTAGAATAAAAAGGAAGTGCTCCGAATGTTCACCAACATTTGCAACATTTGGCAGTTCACCAACAGAGATGGCTGCAGATGGAATTGGGGTGTATTTGCACTGCAGTGCAGCCATTTAAGATGATTGGGTACCTCTCTATGTTCTGATCTGGAAATATCTCTATGGCATAGGTGAAAAAAGGAATTTGATGACAATGTGTGATACAATGCTAAATATGTTAAGATGTTTAACATAATATGTTATGTTAATATGTTAAATATGTTAACTACTAATTTTTACGTGTAAAAATGTATATAAAAGGTCAGACATCAAACTGATAACCTTTGAAGATACAGCTACAATTAGAACGGGGGACAGTAGTAGCCAAGGGAACTTTTACTTTATGTGTAATTTAGAATAGTTCAAAATTAATATGTCCCAAAATGGTATATTCATGTATTTATATTCAGTATTGCTTTTTTAAATGATGGAAATCAGGAGAGGAAAAGTCAGAGACAGCAGGACAGGTCTGGGAGAGCTGCTCTGTTTGTTTCCAGGAGCAGGGCTAAGCCCGGCCCTCTGAAGGTGCTCCACGAGGTGGGGCTGCACACTCCAGCTCCCAGTCCATCTCAGGCATGCCGCAGTGTGTCCACGCTGCAGCTCCCCTGCTGCACCAGCAACAGAGGTGCAGGCCACCAGCATCATCTTCTGTGCCCCTTGAAAGAATGTAGCACCCCTGGAGCCAATCCTGGAGGGCATCCAGGGGCCTCCTTCCCTTTTACTGTGTCCCTAAAATGGACATGCTGGTCTGTCTCCAGTGCCCCTCAACCTGCTAAGACCAGATTCCTGAAGGCTTGAAGTTCTTGAGAGGGAAGCACAGCATAGAACAAACAAGCCAAACAACACTGAAGACTGAGTGTCTGCAAGGAATTCCTTTCACCTGAGCCTCAGCTGGGGCACGCCTGTGGACTCCTGGTCACTTTCTGCCCTCCTATCACCCAGGGAGAAGGTGAGTCCTTGGACACCTCCCTCCTGCACTGCATCTCCACCCCCACACAATCATTCCCTAGTCCTGTCCCCTGAGGCCACCCTTTGTGTCTTGCATCTGCCATCTTGGCAACAATTGACAGGAAGAAATTCCACTATCATTAGGAAATAAATGAGTGTATCCTGAACTGACAAGATCTGGTTGTAGGACTGTGACATTGTGAAAAATATACAGCCATGTACTGCCTGGGATGTTTCAGTCAATTATGGACTGCGTATAAAACAGTGGTCCCATAGGATTATTGCCCTATACAGGTATACATTTTCAATCTTTTATACAGTGTTTTTACTGTACCTTTTCTATGTTTAGATACACAAATATCACTGTGTTACAATTGCTGACAGTATTCAGTACAGTAGGATGCTGCACTGGTTTGTAGCCTAGGAGCAATAGGCCGTCACACATAGTGTAGGTGTGTAGTAGTCTATATCATCTAGGTTTGTGTAAGTATACTCTGATATTCAAACAACAATGAAATTACCTGCACCAAAGAACATATTTGTCAGAAAGTAACCAATAGTTCAGCAACCATTTTATTGTTTTCCCCTTTTCCTGGCTTACAACTTCTTAAGTCCTCGGAATCTTCCAAAACGTTGAGTGTCTTTTTATGCTAATGAGTAGGCTGATGTCTGGCAGCCCCCAGGTAGCTTCAGGATGGGATGCTGGTCAGCAGAAATACCCAGGCATGATTTGAGGGTTGGGAATTTCCCCTCCATCCCCCAACCTCCAGGGATGGGAGAAGGGCTGAAGTTAAGTTGATCACCAATGGCCAATGACCTAATCAAGCATGCCTACATAATGAAGATTCCATAAAAACCCAAAGGGCTGGATCTGCAGAGCTTCCAAACATCCAAACCTGCGGAGTTTCCTGAAAGATGGTGTGCTCTAAGAAAAGAAAAGTAGCTCAGGGCAGTCTGAGGTACGTGAGGGATGCAAAATCCATCAGGCCCAGAGAGTCCGAGTGTGGGACTTCAGTCAAGCCCCACTTATGCTGGAGGACAATGGTTTAAAGTCATTTTGTGATACAAATAAACAGTGTATAGCTAATCAAATCTTACATTATTTTAATGTAAATTATTGGTAAAAAAACCTCAGGAACTTCTTTTTTTCCTTTAGAAATTCACTTGCAAGTACTGTTAATCAGAGTGTACATTCAGGGCAACCTGAATTTATGATCCTAATTTCAATTCTGAAGCTTAGCCCCCCCACACCCCCCACCAATCCCCCAAATTCTCTGCTTATATTAATTTGGACTCAGCTTCTTCCTTCTAGGTCGACATATGTGGTGTAGTTGGCAGGATCCAGAGCTACTCCCCCCAGCCCTCCAGGGTTTCTCTCTGAAAGCCCTGCTTGGCACCAGCAGGAACCCATCGCATTCTCTCTGCCTTCAGAAGTTCCAACGGGTATTTCAGGTAAGTTCTATTGAACTTGTGAGTTCTCTTGAATTTGAAGCTTCTACTCTTTTGTTGAAAGTCTAGATGTTATTTGGATCAGTTTTCAAAACCTCTTTTTCCTTTAAGACTGAGGGCTTCAGTCTGTCTTTGGATAGGAGGTTCCAATAAAGAACTCTGCAGAGAACTGGCTTTTTTCCACCTCTACCTTAGGACAGAAGGTTTGGGTTTTTCTACCTTTGTCTCAGGATTGGGAATTCAGGTCATGGGAATGGCAATGTGGACCAGTGATCTCAGTTGACATAGTATGCTTTTTAAGATTGCAGAGGTTTTCTATTGTTTAAGATTTGGGCTTGGTTTTTCATTTGTGATCAAATCCTGTTAAAACACTAGCTGAATTTGTATATAACATTTATGGCACTTCATCTTATAAATACCTAGGAAAGTCGACCCACCCAACCCAGGATGTTTTTAAGCAGCAGTAGCCAATATGGGGATCCTTTGAAATGTTTAAAATAATTCATTTGCATGCACAGTTGGAGAAAAAAGCTGGCTTTCATACCAGACAAACTGAATGAGAGACCTACTTTATGTTCATTGTGGCTGAACTCTAATGATAAGAGATTTGATAACATTTCATGTAGAATTCTACGGTCAGAAGTTGGCTTAAATAAAAGCTGATATTTAAGGTATAATGTTTTTGAGTAAAAATAACAAAAAGGTTTTTTATCTTTTCCTTTTTTGGATCTTGTTTGTGGGAATTTTTTCAGTTAACTAAAACTCCTGTTTAAGAATGTTTGGCCTGTCTGTTTCTATCTTGCTGGCATAATTCTTGCTGAGAAAAATGTAAAAACTTAGTCTTTTAAAAAAAAAGACTCCTCAGTTTGGCTCCTCTAAGACTTATTGTTCTATTTCCTTCCACTTCTGGTTCTCTGTCTTTTTGCCGTTTTTGATACCACATGAAGAAACTAAGGGAGACTTCAAATGACTGTGAGGCCACTTGAAAACTACAGAAAAAGGCAGTCCCCCTTTGGAAAGTTTTCTGTTTTTCTCGTGGAGTACAAAGAATTGTGGGCAGGTTCCTATCAGGTCTAAAACTCTTCTGTCTTTTGCAATAAGTTACCTGATCTCTTTGGCTTTGGGGGGGGTCCCAGGAATTACTTTGTACTGTAAGAGAGAACTTGACTTTTTGTGTGTGCAATGGCTGACAAGTCACTGGACAAAGCTGCAGTTTTGGAAGCAGCTGACAGTGGTTGTAGTGAATATTTGCTGCTCCAGGGGGCAACTTGTTTCTTCGTGTGTTCAGATGAAAAGGCAGATTTGAACACTTGGAGGCTGTGGGAACACTCCCCATCAAACAGTAAGATTCCTGTGGAGAACAGGCTGCTCTAGAGAGGCCTGCTTGGCACTAGGTCACCCACCAGGCTCAGGGGAATGTCTGTACCAAGGAGTACTGCGGAAACATTGCACAGCCTGGTCCTGTGGTGCTTCCCTTTTTTGAGGGTCCTACAGCTCCATATAGAAGTGGGGTCCTTGATTTTTAAAGATCTAGATGCACTGCCTTCCAGTTGTGCTGCTTTTTACATTTCAAATATTAGGCCAGGGAAACTGCAAATACTTTCTTTGCCCTATTCATTAAAGGGATCCACTCTGAGTCAGTAACCTAATCAAGAAATAAACTAAGTTGAAAGACCCCCATCTAACTAGATTGCTGGCATTTAGCTGGCTAGTTTGACACTCTTTATAGAAGAAATGTATATCTTTAAGGAAATCTCCATTTATAAGGGCACCTCCCTGCACAGGAGCCGTTAGAAACTTTTACAATAAGAAAGACATTGGCTTAACGTTTATACACCAAATCGTACCTTTGTTTAGGATACTTTTCCTGACAATCTTGTTTTGAGTGGGCCTTTATCCATGTCCTTTTTGTTTCAGCAAATAATGGTGTTTAGATCTAAGTTCTGTGCCTTGGAGATGTAAACTTTCACCTGAGTCATCCCTTTGAAGGTGTAAATTTAGGGTTGCTTAAGTAACAACTGTCTAGAGCAATGGAACAGGTAATCAAGAGATTAATAGTTTAAAGAGGGAAGAAAATTATTTAAAAACTGGCAAATAAAAAACTGTATAAAGCTATACAGCCTGTTTTTATCCATGTGTCTGAATGTCTGTATGTTTATATGTGTCATGTTTATGTGATATTTCACTATCAAAATATATAAAATATCTATTTCATTGGCTTAAGGAAAAAGGAACTGCTTAAATAAAATATTTTAGCAGAAAAATAGAAATTAACTCAAATGCCTTTAGTTCACATGACTTGGAAAACATTAGTAAATAACTCGTTTAACATTATTGGTTTAATGAAAACAGCTGTGTCTTCTGATCAGCAAAATAAACATGTGTTTAACTTTAGAGCTCTTTTTCACATGATAACTGCCTAACATTATGAGTTACAGAAGTGATTAACAAAGAAATAACTCGAGATGATGCCTGACTTTGTTTAACGAACTAGTCAAGCATAATTGTTAAGAATGAATACATTAAATAAATATAAACGGAATAAAAGTTTATAAACAAAATTTTCATAATTTCAAAAATCTTTTTCAGAAACTTAATCTTAAAGTCATATTATGTTAAATTAATAGGTAATTATAAAATACTTGAGTCATTTATATGATATAGAAAAACTAAATATATTTAGATCTGTTAATAAGGAAAAGTTATGAAATAGTTTTCATCTACAAGTACTGGTATAAGAGTTCAAAATTTACTTTTTAGGTTTTTCACTGGAAATTAGGGTTACTAATGTTACCGGTGGAAGGTATCCAAGTTACCAGTGGTGAATCCATACAGATCTGCAGCAATCTCAGTTTTTGCCTCCTCAGAAGAAATAATTCAACTAAGGGGCATATAGCAGAAAGAGACTGAGGCAAGTTTCAGAGCAGGAGTGGAAGATTATTTAGACAGGCGTTAGAACAGGAGAGAAAAGAAGGTTCACTTGGAAGAGACCCAAGTGGGCACCAAAGGTCAAGAGTGGTGTTTAACCTTGACTCTAAGACTTTATAGGCTGGCCTCTTTGCCATGATCCTTCCCTTAGGGGGAGCTGCCCACATACGCAGTGCCCTCCTTACCCTTGGGAAGTGAGCATGCGCAGTGTGTTCAGGAAGTTGTATGCATTCCCATCTGAGACTTTCCTCCCTTTTCCAGTGGTGTGGCCCCAGAAGGTCATACTTCACCATTTTGTCTCTTAACGTAGATGTCCAGGAATTTGCTTCTCCCTGGCGCCTGCATTCAGTTAAATAACATTTTAGTGAAACAGACTTGACCATCAGGAAATGGCCTCTCTCTGGTGCTTTTTTATCACTTTTGTTTTATTTATTTTATTTATCACTTTTAGAGAGACAATGTGATAATTGCCAAACCAGCACCTAATGTTCCTAGTGGGTGGGGAGCCCTTTCCTGCCCCACTCATGCCTGTCTAACTACCTGCAGCACTAAGAGTCAATGTTATAGCTAATATGTATAATTAAAACTACTTGCTATAGGAAAAACCTCTATTATAGAGCATATAAAGGAAGTAAGATGCAAAGAAAGTTGAAAAGAGAAAGTGATTTTTTTCTTTTACATGACTGAGGACTTTGTGGTCAAAACAATAAAGAAGAGAGAAAATCACATTTTTATAGAATCCCAATGCAAAAAGAGAAAGTATAAGACAAAACTGGAGGTTTAAGTAAGTTGTAGGTTTGTGAAAGATGAATCTTGCGAAAAGAATTTTGTGTGTGAGCAAGTTGGCTAAAATTATACGAGAATTATTTCAAGTTTTTCTAAAGATTGAGCATTAATATGAAAAGCACACTAATGCAAGGCCAGAGTCCTGGCTCCTATGTTTGAACAATAGGGTTTTCCCTATAATTTTAACAGAAAATTATAAAAGATTATAAGAGGTTTATGGAAAGCTTATCTTGCATGGTCAAAACTGATTCAGACTGGATGGATTTATTTATAAGTCTTTATTAAACTTAGCTTTAGCATTAATAATATACTGACACAAATGTAGAATATGCTTTCCTCTTTTGAACAAGATTTTAATGTAGTATTAATAAGGATAGTAAAAGGCTTTTGTTCAACTTTTGAGTAAACTGCAAAAAAAGATCTTTATTAGGTCTTTTGATTATTTAGATAACTGAGTCTTCTCTCTCAAAGAGTAAAGGTTGTTTGAAATTTTTGAATTATTGCTTTGGTTAAATGAATGACTATTATTTACAGTGAACTGTGATCCTAATTTGATCAAGTGTTTTAAACCTTTAATATTTGATATACTACCCAAAGTCAAATTTCAGTTTCTAAAATTAAATCTTTTCCAAAAGTAACCTCTAGAAATCTAAGAAAGATATATTTAGCTTATTTGGTATGTTAAAATCATATGGGAAGCATTGTCAAATCTCAAATAAATAATGGAGTTTAATTTTTTAGTCATATTTTTCTGAATATGTTATTATTTTGATATATCATGATATATGTTGTCAAGCATAATTATGATTTATCCTTGGTAAAAACGGGGAAACGGGAGAGAAAAATTGCATTTCAGAAGACAAGTACAGTATGCCTGTTATCAGATTCTAGTCTTGCCCATTGTTTTTGAGTTTTTATTATTTTCCTACAATTTGGACTAAATCCTGAATTCTTTCTTGGCTGCAAGTCTTCAAACTAATGCTTTTGAACTTTTCTCTCATTTTTCTCACTTGGAATCACTAGAATTTAAAACTGCTTTTCTTGAAGCCCTGCAAACTAAAGTTAGACAACTTGATATAAACTTCAGGAGGAGTCAGCACAGCAACTCACATGTACACAGCCTTTGTGCCTGCTGATGTATGGGCTACTCAGGAAGTTCACATGAACACGTAATTCAAACTATAATCCAGGAAAATCTGTAAGATTACCACTACAATCTGAAGATACTTCTGAGACTCTAGAAAAACTAGTTTATTATGGACTATTCCAGACATTAAGAAAAACCTTTGTTTTTCTTTGTTTCCATAGAAATGCCTCTTATTAAAGACCAGCTTGCCTGCATCAGCTGTAGAAGCCCAGCCCCTCTGTAGTGCCACCTCCTAGAATGGACACAGCTGTTTGACCAAATGCTTCTACTCTTAGGACTAAGAGACTGATTCAAGAAGATATGGGACAACATATTTATTTATTTTTCTTTTCTGCTTATCCCAATTTGTTTT
The DNA here is from genome assembly GCF_000001405.40 of Homo sapiens. Taxonomy (NCBI): domain Eukaryota; kingdom Metazoa; phylum Chordata; class Mammalia; order Primates; family Hominidae; genus Homo; species Homo sapiens. Next base: position 44,291,428 of record NC_000010.11, read on the forward strand.
TTCCCCTTCTTTGCCTTCTTTTCCTCTAACCCAAATCTCTCCATAATCACTGATTCAGCTGTTGATAATGTGAAATTCTAGGGAAGTTCCAAACAGGAGGATTGAAGGAGCGCAGGGAACTTGGCCCCAAAATATGGCTCCCTGGTATGAGTATTTTCAATTAAAGTCCCTCAAGATCAACAGAAGCTGGAAGAGTCCTCTCCCTTATCTACATGAAGACCCTGCAGACCCACCAAAGAGAACAATTACTTTTCCTTCTCCTCCCTCTTATCTCATTATCTATTGCAGAAAAGAAAACCAACACGTGACCACACCTGAACAGACGCTTTCAAAAAAATAATCCATTTCTCCAGCTTATTAAATTTTCAAAGAGAACCATTTACGAATAACTCTCTGTTTCTTGACCCATTCATTCTCCTTAATAATAATTTATTGCCCCTCAACAGAATCACCTACATTCCGCCTTCCACCCTCCTCTCTGAAAAAACGCTGTATAAGTATCTGGACCTCATGGGATATTGGGTAATCACCTTATTTTTCCCGTGTACACGTTAATAAATTTGTATGCATTTCTCTTATTAATCTGCATTGTACACTTAAAAAGTATTAAAAGAGTGAAATTTATGTTATGAATATTTTATCACAATAAAACAATATTTTAAAAAACTGACAAAAATTCTTTTTAATTTCTTTCAAGTGAGGAATTACCAACTACTTAACAGGGTGCTTAGAATGGGGGATTTTACCAGATAAGTGGCATGCTTTTTACAATTAACAATTGCTGTTATTTACTGAGTATCCACTTTCTCTGCCAGCTCCTGCGTTAAGCACTTTACATATACTAATTCAAATCCTTAAAAAAGAAAATAAAGAAGAGAAAAGGAAAGAAAAATAAGAACATGTAAGGCTATAAGGTGCCTCATCTTTGCCAAATTCTACAGACTGGCCAGGAGACTGCAGGCCACTGCAGCTTCCTAAGGCCACTCAGGACAAGGCCAGTCCGCAATTTGTTTCACTGTGAGACGGCTGCGCGGTCAGAGCCCAGACACGGTCATCAGACTCCCGGACTTGGATTCAGCTCCACATGGTGTCACCCTGGGTAAAGGATGTACATCTCTGCGTGCCTGGGTTTGTATGGATGGCAGCATGGATGCTCAGGCAACTGACCCGTCAGGACTGCAGCAAATGAACAGAAGCTGGGGGAGAGCGCGGGCTGGTGCTGTACGGAGCTCTGGCGCAGAAGGCGCTCACCAGGGGTGCCCAGAGCCGGGGTCTGTGCGCCGCGGGTTGGATCCGGGTCACAGGCTCTGGGTGGACAGAGTGAGAAGACAAAATGAGGATGTACTCCTCAGATGCTCACGAAAGGCCTCCTTCCCCTTCTTTGGGAACGACCCCCCCCCACCCCCTCCCCCCAACAGGCAGTCCCAGGCCGCGCCAGGACTCGGCCGCAGGCAACTCGGAGGAGCGGGAGCCCAGGGGCCTCAGGAGGGCCTCGGGAGTGGGGAGGTGAAGGGGGCGTCGGGAGGGCCGCGGGTGGGAGGCGGGATAGGGAGGCGGGGAGACTCGGAGCGGGGTTGGGGAGGCGAAGAATGGAGGTGGGGAGGTGGGGAGGGGGGCTTCGGGAGGGCCGCGGGTGGGAGGGGGATGGGGAAGCGAGAAGGGGGGGCGGGGAGGGGGGCCTCGGGAGGACCGCGGGTGGGAGGTGGGTGGGGAGGGGGGCCTGGGGAAGGATGGAGCCCGCTGAAGGCAGGCGATGACGCAGGCCCAGTGTACTTCTCCTGGGGGCTCCTTTCTAGGCCCACGGAAGCTCCGTGTTGGTTTCTTTGTACCCATATCACACTCACTGTATTTCTTCTTTCCTTTCCTCTCCCAGCAGCTGTAAGCGCCCTACAGTTTGCATGGGAAGGCAACAGGGACTTCCCTTTTGCACTGTCTGCGGGTACCGCTGTTCCAGCCCTGAGAGGACGAGGGGACGCTGCGCTGTGGGGAAAGTCCGGGTGGCAGGAGGTGGCGGGGCTCCTGGAGGAGGTGCTGGGATGCGCTGCTGTGGCTGCAGAGAAAGGTCCCGAGGACGCAACCCGTCCCTTCCCCCGAACTGCGAAGGAGCCCCGCGGGGAGGACGGGCAGGGTCTCCCGGAGGGAGGAACAGGGGAGCCTGGAGTCTCAGGGTTGCGGGGAGCAGAGGCGTTCTGGGTGGTGAACGTCCCCAGCCTGCCCTCCCTGCTCACTGCGAGGTCGCGCACCGGCTCTGCTCCAGGCCTTCCCTCAGCCCTGGCCTCCAGGCAGTTTCCATTTTTGCCAGGTGGATTCTGTACGGCTTCATTTATTCAGAATCTGGATCAACAAATGAACACTCAGAGAGGAAAAGGGTGTTTGGAGGGGTGGAGAGGTTTCCAAGCAGGTGCCCACCTGAGGGCCCCCTGAAAGGGGACTTAAAGCCGAGTTTCCAGCTGGGCCACCCTTTTTTTTTCTTTCTTTCTTTCAGAAATATAAACAAAGAGCTTGAATTATTTTGAAATAACTGTTGGTAGCTGGACTGTGTTCTCTTGACCGCAACATTGCTCTGGGACTGAATCGCGTGGGTCTCTGCTCTTCCTAAGTGTTACATAAGAATAGCGAACCCATGAGGTCAGCTTCTAAACCAGTTTCTTCCCATAACCTCCTGGACCAAGTCCCAAGCAAGGCCCAGAGGAGCTCAAGGACCCACTCTCCCCGGGACACTCCTCGCTCTCTAGTTGGAAGGAGGAAATGAATGTCCCCCAGTAATTGAAGGCTGCTCATGTTTGTGTAGAAAAGCCAAGCACAGGCCCATATTCTAGAGGGTTGCTTGCGGCAGGCGGAAGGCCATCGAAGGCAAAACGAAACAAATGAAAAGGCATCTTTTGAAGCTAATGGAACAGATCAGGTGGTCAAAAATGGATAAACAATGGCATTTGGAGCAAAACTTTCAGCTTCTTCGTTTTAGTTCGACAGCCCCAGGAGGGCATGGAAGCTTCTCGCCCTCCTCATATGTCTTGCCCCAGGCATCTCTGTGTCTCTCTCCTCTGTAACATCCTTTATAGTAAATGTAAGTAGGCCTTTCCCTGAGCTCTGTGAGCTGCTCTAGCGAATTATTCAAGTGTTAGGAGGCGTCCTGGGAACATTGATTCGTGGGAACGCCAGTGGGTCAGAAGCACAGGTAAGACCACCTTGCCATTGGCATTGGAAGTGGAGGGCAGGCTTGGGACATGAGGCTTGGGCTTGTGGGGTGTGAGGCCACCTCCAGGTAGAAGGTGTCGATGTTGGAATTGTCCGATGTAGAACTGCCTTCTTGCTTGTGGTGGGGAGAAAACCCACACATTTGGTCACAGAAGTCTTCTGTGTTGATTGTTGTTGAGTGAGAGAAAAAAAGTACTTTGGTTTGTTCTGATATTTTCAGAAAGGCTGTAATCAGTTCCTGGGCAATGCGTCATAATACCTCCGCCTCAGTACACTCCCCATCCTGAGGGGCGGCGCTTGCCATTTCTGAAAGGATGCCTCTGTGGGGCCTGGGAGCAAGGCAAGGCTGTGTCATTTCAGTCCTCTCAGCCCAGTCCCCACCAGGACCTGCCAGCCTGGAGTGAAAATGCATCTTATTGTCCTTCTGTCGCCTTCCAGAGACAGACTCCTAACCAGAACGCACATGGCACACATGCATACACACACATTACACACACATGCCCCACATACATACACACAGGCCCCACATGCATACACACGCACCACACATTCATATGCACACAGCACACATGTAGTCACACATGCCACACATGCATACACACACACCACCCATCCCACCCACATCACATATGATATACACAAGACACACCACACCGCACCGCACCATAGTCACACATGCTAAACATACCACATCATCCACAAATGCACCTACACATGCCACACATCATGCCACACCATGTATGCTACTGCATGTTACACCACCCACACACACCAGACACACTACACACATCACACACACACACCAGACATATTACAACATCCACACAAATATCCCACACATACGACACAATACACACACGCTTGCCACACACACCACAACACACATGCACACGATACCATGTATGCTATACACAAGTGCATGATATACCACCTAGACACACACTTGCCACTCATACCACACTGGGCACACCATGCACACATCACAGGCACACACACTGCCTACACGAATTCCACATTATACTTCCAGATACCACAGAAAACAGCATCCAAATCACACAAACACACAAACTGTGCACATAGACACATATACCACAAACATACCACACATCCACACACACTGCATACACACACCACATACAGAGACACAAGCCACAGGCACACCACAAAGTACACATTCCTACACCCAGCTCCTACCATCAACACCACAAACACGTTTTCAAATGCTCATTCCACATACTTATGAAAACAAAAGCTGTCATAAACAGCACAGTTCAAACCTGGGTCAATTAAAAGAAGAACAAAACAGTTGTAAAAGAAACACAGTATTCCAACGTGTTCACCTCCTCTCCTCCCACATAATAGTCGTTTCTATTGTCATGTGCTTCACTCATCATTTTCTGTCCCTGAATAGGATCTCTGTGACATAGACAAAGCCACACTGAACTCATTTCCTCCAGAAAAGGCTGAATCCAAACTTCTCCCTGGCCACCTCTCCAGCTCTGGGGTATCCCCATCTGATATGAGAAGATAGGAGGAGGGAGGGAAGTAAAGATCTTTCTCTTCCAAAACTGTTTCATGGGAACCATTTTATTTTTTATAATTATAGCAAAATGTAAGTTTAAGATTTTTTGTGTGTTGTATTTGGGTTTGTAAAACTGAAAAGTAATCACTGGAAAATATATCCTTTATCCAATATCCAAATATTTCCAAATATATCCAACATCCAATATCCAGTATATTTGGAAATATACCCAAATATATTCAATAGAAATTGGATAAATAACTTGCCAAATGCTGAACAAACGAAAGAGGAAAATATTACTGATCAACCCACTGAAAGAAAGGAAGATAAAATCAGAAATACTGGAAATGTGATAAATGTAAAAGATAAAATAAGACTATTACTGAATGTATTGGTTATCAGAATACATCCAAAAATAAGTGGACTAAACTTCCCTATCCAAAGGCTAAGTACCTAGAGTGCTTCAAACAGCAAAACCTGATCCATCTAAAGTAAAATGAAGCATAGAGGTTGATACTTTGACACTTAGGAGTTAGGCGAGGATCTAGCAGATAAATTCAGATATAGACAAAGCAAGGGAGGGAATATTTATGTCAAATAGAGAAAGAAAGCCTAAAAATAGTCAATGAGGCAAAAATGATCATATTATTAATAAAATATACAATCCACAATGAAGACATTGAAGTCATGAACATTTGCATTTCAAATACTAGTAGAGGAAATAATGTGAAAATATAAAACATAAAAATTTGATAAAATTGTTTGGTACTGAGAAGCTCTAACACATTGTACAGAATTTTGTGGATTAACAAGATAAAAAAGGACATACAAAGCGTGAATAATGTAATTAACAAACTTGGCATAGTACCTACATAGAAAACATTGTAAGCCACAAAGAGACAAAGTAATGTATTAACTCAGTATTTATAAATATTGATAATGAATTAGGCCTAACAAAGTCTATTCTAAATAAGGTAGAAATTCTACAAGCCTTTTTCTCTTAGTACAAGTAGTAAATAATGACAAAATGATTATGAATTTTAACCACACAGAACTGTAAAACTACTTTTTTTGATCAAAGGACTCCAATCCCAAGGAGGGAAAGCTTTTTTCAAATGCAAATTACTTCCTTCCCACCTTCCTTTGGATCCCTTATAAGTAATCCAGGTCATAGATGATTTTTATCAGACTTTGAGGGAAATAATTCAGTATGATGCTATTTTAAAGTTCCCAAAGCATAGAAAGTTTAGAAATTGTTTGAAACTGATTATATAAGACTAGCATCACATTTAAGCCCAAACTCAACAAAGATAACAATGAAAAGCATCTATAGAACAATTGCACTTAAGAGTATAGATATAACACTTCCCTATAAAATATTTTTACGTTAAATCCAGGAATAAATTCAAAGAATAATATACCACAAACTACCCAGCTTTATTCCTAGGAATATGGAAATAATTTATTAGCATGACATATATTAATATAATTTATAACAATAATTTGTTAAAGGAGAAAATCCAAGTAATTATCACACTAATTACTTCAGTGGCAGATCATACAATTCAACAACTGCACCTACGTGTGTTTTCCTCACATCTTGGAAGGTATTTGTCAGAAGAGCTCAGCCAGCATTATACTGAGTGGTGAAGCACAGGAGAGATCCACGGTAAGGGTAGGAATAAAATGAGGATGTCCACTCTCGCTCAGCGTGATGTCTCAGCATTGCCGTACAGCCATATTCTAGCAACTCCAAGGAGGAAAGAGAGATATGTTAATTATGCAAATACTGGAAAGGAAGAAATAAAATGTTTGCTGTATTTAGATAACAAGACTATTCTAATTCTCTGCAAAGTAATCCATAAATATAGCAAAGTGTCAATTAACATCGCAACAGCATGCATTCTAAAAGTCATCTGGAAAAATGACTGAACTAGCAATACAAATGCTGATAACAGAAGAGAGACACCGAGGGGCTTCCCCGGCAGGTTTTGCACTCTCACAATGCCAGGATGCCTTCCGCTGTGCGGGGCCCACAAGAGCACATACACATGTAAAGGTGTCTCTTTAAATCTCCAGGAAAAGGACAGATTAGTGGGGAATGCGTTGTGACAACCTACTAACCATCTTAGGGGAAAATAGTGTTACAGTCCTACCTCATACCTCACACCAAAATGAATTCCAGATGGGCTAAATATTTTTAATATTTAAAAAAAATCATAAGGGCAGTAAAAGAAAACATTTAGTGAAAATTGTATGAATATCTGGGTGTGAAAGTGCTTTCTAAGCAGGCAACCAAAATCTGAAGTAATATAAGGAAAAGACTAATAGATGTTAATACATAAAAACTTAAAATGTGCTCTGAAATAAAATAAAAACCTGCCATGTACAAAATTAAGAGATAAGGAAAACTGGGGGGAATAGCGAGCAGGAAGGGAATTGCCAAATACATATAAAAGAATTAAAATTGCTATTACCTAAAAAGATCTTATAAAACTGTTAGGAAAAGGCAAACACACCAACTTTTAGAAGCAGAAAGAGAATACAAACAGGCAATTCAAATAAAACGAAATGCAAATGACCAATAAATTTGTAAAAGCCCCAGTGAGGTATAATTTATAGCCCCAAACCAGCCTAGATTGAGAATGTTAAATGTGCAAAAAGATTATGGACACCCTTGCCCATAAACTGCTGTTGGGGATAGAGTCGCAGCCAACCTCCAGGACAACAGGCAGGAATTGGAAGCAAACACTCCCTCAACTCCACCGTAGGCACTGCAGCCTCAGAACTGGTTCTAAAGAAAGAGTTCCAGGGTGCATAGCTATGCGATCAGGCAGTCCTCACAGTGCTTTCATTTTTAACAAAAAAAAAAAAAGAAATGAAAAATTTTAAATGACCATCAATATAGGTTTAAAGAAAACTCATAACCCTGTTCTATAAAATATTATCCAAAAATTTACATATGACACAAATCCATGTTTATGAACATAGAAATCTATCCATATTGACTACTAAATAAGGAAATCTGGAAAAAGAACAGTATGGATAATATAATTAAAAAGTAGGGTGTGTGGGTCTGTCTGTCTAGAATAAAGCATGACCCCCAATATTACCAATGATTAAATTATGGCCCGAACCTATTGACATAAGGCGGTACTCATTCATGCAATGTCAATTCAGAAGGCAAGTTGGATACAGAATGTAATCTCTAACTACCACCACTGTCAATTTGTCTCTCTATATAATATGGATTTTTAAACTGTAAGAAAAATGACTGAAATAGTAACTGAAATTTTCTCTGGGTAGAGAGATTTAGAAAAATAGTCATTATTTTCACAATCTAAATTTGTGTATATCTCCTCAATTTTCTGTGGAAGGTGTATTAGTTTGCTAGGGCTACCATAACAAAATACCACAGACTGGGGGCTGAAACAATGAAAATTTATTCTCTCACAGTTGTGGAGGCTGGAAGACTGAGCTCAAGGTGCTGGCAGAGTCCTGAGGCCTCTCTCTCTCCTTGGCTTGCAGATGCCCTGTGTCTTCACGTGGTCTTCCCCCTGTGTGTGTCTGTGTCCCCATCTTCTTAGAAGGACATCAGTCAAATTTGATGAGAGCCCACCCTAATGATCTCATTTAACTTATTTACTTCTTTAAAGATCCTATCTCCAAATACAGTCACATTCTGAGGTGCTAGGGGTTAGGGCTTTAACACATGGATTTGTGGGTGGGAAGGCCCAATTCAGCTCATAATAGTTGGCATGTGGTAATTCTATAATCTGAGGAAAATGTTAAAACAAAAGGAGAACAAGAGAGGGAGCAGAGGGTCAGGGCGTGTCCTTGTTGCCACCAGCACACAACCATGCCCCACTGCAGAACCAAGGCTGGGGGTGGTCATAAAGGACAGTCCAGGACAGCACTGTCCCAGAATGAAGAGCACAGGCTGGCTGCCTGGGCCTGCACCGTGGCATGCACCAGGACTTGCTAACACCCTTAGCTACTACTGGCACAATTCTGGTGGTCTGCACCAGGAATGCATGTGCCCAGAGGACTGGCCCACCACCCTTTGAACCTTTTCCCAGAGGAGCCTTGGCACCTGGGAGAGACTTCCTAAAGCATTCTTCATAACAATCTAATGATAGGGACCACACCATCTCTTAGAGATGTGTGCGTTCAGGGTAAAATCTCTCAGGGGATGGCAAAATGTGTTGTTAATCCATCCTCAAAGATGTTTTTCTGTGCCATGCTACACACCTGGGCATTAAAATTACTCACTGAAATGTTCTGGCCACAGGCTTTGCTAATATTGCTGGGTTTTGTTAAAGTCGTTTATCTCTCCTGGAGACATGAATGAGGTCCACCAACTCTGGAGTGGCCACGGGCAGCATCTCTCCTGCAGAGAGGCTGGGATGTTGAGAGGCTATTTTGCAGCCCGGTCTGCATCCCTGCACCCCACTTCCTCCCCGGCAGCTGATGTGCATGTGCCTGACCTGACCCCTAGCTACAAGAAAGGAGTCCAGGGTCCTGCAACTTTCTGGGGTTCCTTGGAGATTCCTGGTGTTGGGTAAAATGAGGGCATTCAGCCCTGCCAGAAGTGAAGAGAGTAAGTGAGGTGGAGACAAGGATGGGCCTGAATGAACACGTCCAGAAGCAGAGTTCTCCAGCCTTCCCACGGTGTTTCCATGGTGCCTGGTATAACAGAAAGCATGGCATTTTAACTGGATGCTGTGAGTCTTGTGTTTGTATCATTCCCCAAGAGACCCTGAGTTTCTTGATGGCAAGGGCCATTAAGGCCCAGCACAGTAGTTTCCTCATCTTTTGAGCTCAAAAAGATGTCCATTGAATGAATGAATACATGCACAACAACATAAAGAAATAAATGGAGGTACTTTTAGATGTAGGCATCACAATGCAAATCAATTATGATTGTTCATATTATTACTACAGCTTACCTCACCAGATAGTCATCTGGCTACTTTTTGCTTGAGCAGAAGATGCCTAATTGCTGGAAACTAAATGACTCAGCATCTCACCAGCCTTAGTGACAGACATGCCCTCAGGCTGCAGCCTTGGCTCTGCTCCCTGGAATTAGATGTGGTCAATGGTTCTGATTCACAGAAGCTGGTTTACCGACTTGTCTGTCTTTCTTGATTTGAGATGTAGCTGACCTCACTGCCCGTCATCACTGGAGTTAAAATCCCTGTGGCCATGGTCTGATCAGTCATGATGGTCATGATGATGCTGGGAATTTGAGTGTGTGGGATCATTTGCATTCTATCATAGAGAAAGCACAGCTGATCGCCACATGACTCACAGCACCTGCTTCTCGCTTCCCTGGACCTAATTAATCTCCTTGTGTCAGAAATTTGTTGGCCCTGAGCCGACTCCAGGGGATGATGGTGCCAGCTCAGCACACCAGGCAGGGCCAGGAGCCAGGAGCCAGCACAGGGTATGCAAGGCCTAGACAGCAAAAGGAGAGAAAGGAGCAGAAAGCTGGGAATGTTCCTAGGCTCTAGGACAGACTAGCAAGTGTCAAAGGATGATTCTTGAGAAAAGAACCATCCCAAGATTTTTTGACAGCTCCAATAAGGAAATAATAAGGTCTGTGCTGAAGGAGGCCATGACAATGGCCTCCTTGATATCTAAGGCAGGATTTCAGGAAAACCTTTGGGGACAGTGAGAAGTAGGGGACACGTTGCTACAGAGGTGCCCAGGGCTCTTGTCTGAAGGCACCATGGACTCTTCTGGATCAGAGCACTCAATGTGTCCATAATGTAGTCATTCAAAAAGTCCTTTTAATACAGCACACAGCAGGACAAGTTATTCGTTGTATGACACATGGCTGCTTGGCATTATTCCAGCTTTCTGTATTACTGTCACCAAATAAATTAAAAATTAAGAAATAGAGATATTTTAGATAATCAAGTGTTATTTTCCCTGCCCCCATCCCCATCTCTTCATTTCTGGAAAAGCCACAGCCCAGGTGCCTCTGTGCTGGGAGGTGAGAGTATTTCTGAAGAGGTGGTAGAAGAGAACTAATGGGATTATCCGCCAGAGTGATCATTTGCAAAGAGTAGCTCATGGTTGCTGGAAAGGTTTCCACTGCCATCACCATTGACCACAGTTATTTGCTCTACTGTGGTGAAATGATTTTAATAAGTTATCTGAAATCGAGTATTATTAAGTTATGCCAGTCGAGGGGCTCTGCCCGGGTGGGCCTTAAAATGGCCCACTTACAGGAGATAGGAAGCTGCATCCCACCAGAATTATGATGTGACCTTAGGCACATTGTTAACCTCAAGTTGTTGAATCTCCTGAGTCTCGTTTCATCATGTGTGAAATGAGAAAACAAGGCAGTTGTCAGGGTTCGAGGAGCTAAGAGATGTAAATCCCTTAGCATGGTGTCTTGTCACATGTGGGGGTGCTCAGTCAGGTCAGCTGCTGTTGTCATCATTACTACCGCTGACATTAAACTGTTAGGCTTTGAACAAAGTAGCAATAGAAAGCATCATGTTCCTAGGTTAAAATTTCCCCTGTTAGGAAGATTAGAGCCAAAAAGAGAGATATCCCATCAAAGAAAAGCCCCAGGAACAGATTGAATCACTGCCGAATTCTACCAGACATTAAAGAATAAATACCGATCTTACTCAAACTCTTCAAAACAAATGGTGAGGAGGGAGTACTTCCAAGCTCATTCTAAGAGGCCAGCATTACTCTGATAACAACACTAGACACGGACACAACAACAACAACAACAAACTTCAGGCCTATATTACTAATGAATATAGATGCAAAAATCCTCAACAAAATCTTAGCTAGCCAAATTCAACAACACATTAAAAAGATCATTCATCATGACCAAATGGGACTCATCCCAGTGATGCAAAGATGGGGCAATGCAAATAAACATACACATGCAACATATGCAAACAAACAAACATAATACATCACATTCACAGAATCAAGAACAAAAACCATATGATTATTCCAACAGATGCTGAAAAAGCATTTGATAAAATTCAATGTCCCTTTATGATAAAAACCCTTATAAAAATGGGTAATCAAGGAACATACCTCAAACTAATAAAGGCCATATATGACAAAGCCACAGCTAACATAATACTGAAGGGGGAAAATTTGAAGGCCTTTCCTGTAAGAACTGAAATAAGACAAGGATGGCTATTTTCACCACTATTATTCAACATAATACTGCAGGTCTTGGTCAGAGCAATTAGGCAAGAGAAAGAAATAAAAGGCATCAAAATTGGAAAAGATGGAGTCAAATTAGTCTTGTTCACAGAAGGCATAATCTTGTACTTAGAAAAACCTAAAAATTCAACCAAAAAACTGTTAAAACTGATAAATGAATTCAACAACATTGCAAGATACAAAATCAATATATTAATACAAACTTGGTAACATTTATATATGCCAGCAGTGAACAATCTGAAAAAGAAATCAAGAAAGGAATCCTGTTTACAATAGCTACAAAAAATATAAAATACCTAAGAATCAATCTAACCAAGGAGGAATCAATCTAACAAAGGAAGTGAAAAATCTCTACAAGGAAAACCATAAAACTCTGATGAAGGAAATAGAAGAGGACACACATGCACGATAGAAAGATATTTAATGCTCATGGATTGGAAGAAATAACATTATTTAAATGACCATACTACCCAAACCAATTTACAGATTCAGTGTAATCCCTGTCAAAACATCAATGATATTCTTCACAGAAACAAAAAAAAATCCTAAAATGTATATAGAACCCAAAAGACCCTGAATAGCTAAAGCAATTGATATGGTTTCGCTCTGTGTCCCCATCCAAATCTCATCTCATATTGTAATCCCCATAATCCCCACGTGTGGGAGGGTGGGACCTCGTAGGAGGTGACTGGATCATGGGGGCCATTTCCCCCATGCTGTTCTCATGATAGTGAGCGAGTTCTCATAGGATCTGATGGTTTTGTGTTTGACAGTTCCTCCCTCTCTCTCTCTCCTCTCTCTCTCTCTTTTGCCTGCCACCATGTAAGACATGCCTGCTTCTCCTTTTGCCATGATTGTAAGTTTCCTGAGGCCTCCCCACCCATGCGGATCTGTGAATCAATTAAACCTCTTTCATTTGTAGATTACCCAGTCTCAGGGAAGCTCTTTACAGCAGCATAAGAACAGACTAACACAGCAATCCTAAGCCAGAACAAGGCTGAGGCATCACATTAGCTGACTTCAAAATCTAGTACAAAGCTCTAGTAACCAAAACAGCATGGTACTGGCATAAAAATAGATACACAGACCAATAGAACCCAGAAATAAATCTACACATTTACAACAAACTCATCTTTGACAAAGACACTAAGATTATACAATGAAGAAAGAACAGTCTTTTCAATAAATGGTGCTGAGAAAACTGGATAACTATGTGCAGAAGAATGAAACGCAATCAAATCAAATCAAATCAATATGAATTAAAGACTTAAATCTAAGACCAGAGACTATGAAACTACTTAAAGATGACAGGGAAAATGCTCTAGAACATTGATCTAGGGCAAAGATTTTTTGTATAAGACCTCCAAAGCACAGGCACAAAAGCAAAAATAAACAAATGGGATTACATCAAGCTAAAAAGTTTCTACACAGTAAAGGAAACAATAAAAAAAGTGAAGGGACAACCCACAGAATAGGAGAATATAATTGCAAGCCATCCATTTGGCAAGGGATTAATAACCAGAATATATAAGGAGCTCAAACAACTCAATAGCAAACTCTTCTCAGGAGAGTAGAGAAAGTCAAACAAAACAAAACAAAAACAAAAACAATCTGATCAAAAATCAGATCAGACATTTCTCAAAACACGCAAATCATCGACAGATATATAAAAAATACTAATGTCACTAATGATTGGAGAAATTCAAGTCAGAACCACAATCAGATATTATCTCACCCCAGTTAAAATGGCTCATGTCAAAAAGGTAAGCAATAACAGATGCTGGAGAGAATATGGAGAAAGGGGAACCCTCATGTGCTGTTGGTGGAAATGTAAATTAGTACAGCCAGAAAGAAGAACAGTATGGAAATTCCTCAAAAAAACTAAAAATAGAACTACCATATAATCCAGCAATTCCACTGCTGGGTATATACTCAAAAGAAAGGGAATCTATCAAAGAGATATCTTCACTTGTAAGTTTATTGCAGCACTATTCACAATCACCAAGATTTGGAACAAACCTAAGTGCCCAAGGATGAATGAATTCTTAAAATATGGTCTACGTACCCAATGGAATATTATTTAGCCATAAAAATAAATGAAATTCTGTCATTTGGGGTGATATGGATGGAACTAGAGGCCATTTAAGTGATATAAACCAAGCACAGAAAGACAAATATCACATGTTCCCACTCATATGTAGGAGCTAAAAAGTAAATCTCATGAAGGTAGGGTACCTTAGTGGTTACCAGAGGCAGGAAGGGGAAGAGGGAAGGAGACATGAAAGAAAATAAAAAGAATATAAATGCATTTATTACCATTGAATGTACACTTAAAATGGTAAAGATGGTAAATTATATATGTAAAAATTAATTTAATTTTTAAAAATAACAAAAAATAAATACAAAAAAAAGAGATAGCTATTCCCACAAGAAAAAAAAGTTAGAAAAGTATTCTATATAGGAAGAGATCCAGGCCAAGCATGATCTTTTCTAGGGTTTATCAGTATAAATCGAGGCATGTATAAAAAAAATTTCTAGGGTAGTCAAGATTTTACTGTAAAGCCAGTAAAGGGACTGAAATGCAACCACCAAGAATATTAAGGAAAAGAAAGGATTAAATTTGATTATTAGTAAATTAGAACAATTTACTCCAGGGAGGCTGAAAATGGATGAAATCGCTCCCTTTGCCCCTTTAAATATCACAAAATATAATTAACTTGGATTCAAATGCACACATCAAAAAGCAGGAGCATTTATGAGAGTTGTGTGATGGGATTTGATGTGAAAGGAATCCATATAAAATGTTCCTTCCCCAACCACTGGGCCTGGAGGACATCAATCAGTCCCATAGTGATGGTGCCATCCAATGCCGGGGATAAGAGATCACACTCAAGGACTCACCATGCTTCTCAGAGGACAGGTCAGAAAGTTCCCCTGCCTTCCGTGTGGATAGCAGTGTGGAACTTACAAGTTGCATTACTTTACAGCCGCTCTTTTGTTCCCACTCATTTTAAAGCTATGAAGGAAGTTGAATGAGGCAGCCATGGTTTCAAGGAATTGGGTGACTTGCCCAAGAGAGCAGAGAAAGTCACTAGTGAAATTGACCTTAGTTCCCTTATGAAGATCTTCTAGCCTGGCAATAGCACACACTGATGCTGGACTTGAAACTTGAGCAGCAGGGTATGAGCTGAGTCACAATGTTTGGCACTAGTAAAAGGCCAGCCCACAGAAGTTGGGATGCTGAGAAGAATTGGAGAGTGGGGCAAGGGAGAAGAAAAGTAGAAGACAATGCTAAGAAACTAATAACCTCTTTTACAAAGTGGAGTGTTGAGAGTCTGTCAAAAGTTGTCGTAGTCCGTTTGTGTTGCTATGAAGGAATACCTAAGGCTGGGTAATTTATGAAGAAATGAGGCTTATTTGGCTCATCGTTCTACAGGCTGTACAGGAAGTGTGGTGCTAGCACCTGCTTCTGATGAGGGCCTCAGGAAGCTTACAATCATGGCAGAAAGTGAAGGTGGAGCAGGTGTGTCACATGGCGAGAAAGGAAGCAAGGGAGGGGAGGAGGTGCTAAGCCATTTTTAACAATCAGGTCTCATAGTAACTAACTGAGTGAGAACTAGAAGAGTGCCCACAGGAGGGCACCAAACCATTCATGAGGGATCCATCTCATGACCCAAACACCTACCAGAGGCCCACCTCCAACACTGGGGGTTCACATCTCAACATGAGATTTGGAGGGGACCAACATCCAAGCTAACTCAAAAGTAAATGGAAATAGAAAGAAAAGGATGAGTGTATTATTTGAAGTTACAATATTATCAAGAGAGATGCTAGAAATAATCTAATTCTCAAACATTTCAAAGAACAGAGGCGGGAAAGGTTTGGTTGTCAGGCAAGCAAATCTTCTATATGCTTGACGCGATGTGGATAAATAGGTCAACAGAGATAAAGCATTTTATTTAGAACTGTGGGATAGGCCTCAGGACAATTACTAAGAGGAATACTAAAAAATCTCTGTATTGTGGTTCTGGGCTGGGGTGGCATCTGGTGAGAGGCTGCTCTTTCGTATTATAAACCCTTTGTAATATTGTATTTGATTTGTTGCTATGAATGTCTATTACTTTAATTTAAAAAATGACACAAGATCAATTTTCTGTATTTCCAGCATAGAGACAGTTGCTGTCTTTTCATAAAGAACGTTTTAAAGAGAAATCCCTACAGAAATAATAAATAACATGCTTGTCATTCCTGACTCCCAGGGTACATGGTTGCTTTAAAACATAGGTTTTATTCATTTAGGTGTGGCAAGGCCAACAGATAAGGAGGGGACTGCTGTTGAACAGATAGTCTGTCATGCACAGATCTGGAGAGGAGGTACATGCCTTGCCATGGGGGCCACGCTGTGCCATGGGGGACCACATGGGGAAACTCCAGTGTTGGTTAGAAGTGTGGGGGGAACTGTAGCAAGAGCCTTTAATGTGGTTTTTGTGAGAAGGAACCAGCAAGGCAGTACAAGTAGACTTAGAATGGACTACTTTGAATAATTTTAGTGGGCTCTGGACACAGGGGTGTCATGAGTTGCCTGGTGCCTGGCCCTGGGGTGATTAGGGCAGGTGGCCGTGGCCCAGAGGGTGAGAGCCCAACGGAGGAGGTGGTTGGGAGGGCTCTGGAGTGGTTGGTTTGCATTGGAAAGCTGTGCTTGCTGAAGTCATTTACCATCTCTAGGGACTGGCCAGCCTGGGAGGGGCAGTCCCTCCAGGCCCAGCAAGGCACCGAGATTTCTACACCTTTTGAAATAGTTTAGTCAAAAAGCACCCAGTGTCTATTTCTTGCAACTGCAAAAACAATATTAAAAAGAAAGCACTGATTGCTAGATATTGCCACCCTAGGTAGTGGTCACAAAGACCATTAGCCCCTGAACCCTCATGGATGGTTGTTAACAGAATCTTCTGTTTCTATCTCTGCTGTCCTTTCAGCCTTTCCCATTGTCCCCTTATCTGCCTCTGAACCAGAACAACATGCATAGTTCATCCAGTGGGCAGTGCGTCCTCAAGGTGAGTAGCTCTCCTGGACCTAAGTCCTTGCACGGCGAGCAACCTTCTGGCTTGCACTTGGCCACTGCAGAAAAAGGGAATATGCCAATCCTTTCCATGGGAGCATGGGACATCTCAGAGCTCATTAACAATTGATGCTTTGGTTACATATCAACTTTGTGTTTTTCATTATCACAAGCTAATTCCCACGCCAACATTTTGGATCTCTAAGCAACTGGCAGGGTTAAGCTTAGCATCCTGGCTGATATTTGGTTGCTATCACTTCAATGTTAATAATAGTTTCAGTCAACCAGCTGGCAATATGGTAATTAGATAAAGCCTAGAAACAGGAAAAGACAGTAAAGGTGTCAACCTGGGACAGGGAAGCAGAGTGGCAGCCTTCTCTGTGAACCTACCTAGCTTGGCTAAATTTTCATAACACAAACACATACAAGAACACTCTGCTATTAAAAAAAAAATCTGGGGCCCATCAGCTTTCTTCTCATTTTTCCAGTGAATGGTTGGCAGAAATCTTCCAAACTGTCTACTTGACAATTTGTTTAAAAGTATAGTTTTGCAGCTGGGTGATTTGTTTGCTCTTTTTCCCTCCAAGAATCAAGTGTTACAATCAGGGATAGCTTGTTATGATGGAAGCCGTGCGGGCAGTTTGGATTTTCATGGGTGTCCCCACCCTGCTGGCAGGCAGCTGGCTTTGGAGGCCTGTCCTGGATCCCTCTCACTGACTGCATCTCCCCTCCCCTGGTCCAGGCTCCAGTTTACATGGCTCTGCCATTGGGAAGTGGAATGGCAAAGCATATGCGGCCGTGCTGCTCAGCCAGGTACAAATAAGAGTTGTGTTGCTGCTCATCTGGGGCTGCTGGCTGCCTAGAAAAATGAAATAAAGTGAGTTTGTAACAAGCAAAGTCCTGTGAATTGTGGCCTCTTTCAATCATAAACAGACAGTTTATCCACTGAAAAGATCATATGGCCCAAATAATCAGAGTGACTTTGGAAGAGTAATCCACGTGGTTTTATATTAAAGAGGGGGAGGGAGGGAAGGAGGTGGCGGGGGGAGGGAGAGAGAGAGAGAGGGAGAGAGAGCAAGCCAGATTTCTCCACAGAAACAGAAACGATAGGATATACAGATATAGTTGGATGAGGAGAGCTGTTGTGAGAATTGGCTCACTCAATTATGGATGCTGAGAAATTCCAGGCCACGCCATCTACAAGCTGGAAGCAGGTCCAGGCCAGTCCAAAGGCCTAAAATCCAGGGAGGAAGGGGACTGGTGTAAGTCCCAGAATCCAAAGGCCTCAGAACCAGGAGCTCTGATGTCTGAGGGCAGGAGAAGGTGGATGTCCTAGCTCCAGAAGAGAGAGACAATTCACCTTTCCTCTGCCCCATTGTTCTCTCTGGGCCCCCAACAGGTTGACCAGTGCCACCTACATTGGTGAGGGTGGACCTTCTTACTCAGTCCACTGATTCAAATGCTCATCTCTTCCAGAAACGCCCTTACAGACACACTCACAAATAATGTTTTACCAGCCATCTGGGCATCCTCACCGCAGTCACGTTGACACCTAAAATTAACCATCTCAGAAAGCCAAAAGGTGGCTGGGGACGCGGGGGCAGCATCAGCCGGCTCCCCGCCCCCTGACCAGGAGAAGGTGCGCACCGTAAGCACTCCACCCTCCCATTCGGCCTCTGGCCCCAGGTGCAGCCACTGTGGACTCACCCTGCCTGGTGCGGAACACTCCCTCCCTGTGATGTGCAGTCCGCAGATGGAAGCCTGGAGGGCCCACACGCTTCCGAAGCAGGGTGGCCCTAGGCTGGCTTGTCAGCGGAAGCTGTC
This sequence comes from Homo sapiens, assembly GCF_000001405.40. Taxonomy (NCBI): domain Eukaryota; kingdom Metazoa; phylum Chordata; class Mammalia; order Primates; family Hominidae; genus Homo; species Homo sapiens. The sequence continues at coordinate 44,310,237 of NC_000010.11, forward strand.
TAGCGGGGATATGGCGGTGGCAGAAGTGAGGGGGCTGAGGGGCGGGGCGGACTTTAGCAGGAGGATAGAGGGGAATGTCCTTGTTTCATAAAGCTGAAGTGTGCCCAAGCAATGTCCCGGTATCTCTGTGAAAGGTTGGCTGCCTGGTGTGACTGAGAGACCGGAGATTTGGCCCTGGAAGGTCAAGTGTGGTGGTCTTTTTCTTTTTTCCACTTTTTAACCTTTTTCTACTGTGGGGAGATCGCCCAAGATTACTGAATTTGCTAACCCCAGGGGAAGTAGGCATTTGAGTCTAACAGCGCCATCCCTCCCTCCACAAAACCCTGTAGAGCAGTGTTCGCTCTATGACGTGTGAAGGTGAAAAGCCACTCAGGAAACCAGAGAGATTTGGCACTAAAATATATGTTTTTCGTAACCAGGGCAGGTTGGGCTTCCCTTCATCACACACCAACAGATGCACACGGAGCCCCGCGCGGCCCATTCCTGAGGGCGGATTCCCCAGGGCAGGGCGAGAAAGGCCCTCGGGCCCCTGCCTGTGTGCCCATCTCTCCATCCTAGGTCGAGGATGAGCGGGTGTGCGCAGGCCCAGCGTGGGAGAGGCAGGCAGGCCAGGAGCGGCCCGCCAGAAAGGTGCAAGGGAAAGCCCCAGAGGCGGAGGGGAAGGTGAGAACCCGGGGCGGTGATGCTGCACGCCCCTGGGGGACTGCATGGAGAAGGGGAGGGTGCGCGGGGCCGGCTGGTCCAGTGCACTCCGGCGCGGCCCCGGCACCCGTGGGCACCGCCATGTCCTTCGCTCAGCTCCGCCGCGGCTACCTGCGGGGTCTGCGCGGCTGCGGTGGCCAGGTGAGGACGTCTCTGCCCTTGCGCGGCCTGCGCTGTATGCTTCCTGCCTGGCCCGCGCTTCCCCTGCCTGCATCACCCGCTGCCCGCGCGGCTCGGAGCGCGCCCTCTGCTGGACCGGCCACGGCCGGCGGGCGGCTGCCTCCAGGCTCCACCACAGGAGGGGGAGCACGCGCCCTGCTGACCGCACGCCCACGTGATATCGCCTTCTGCCATCGCAGAAAGCAGCGGTTCAGCCTCTCTGCCTGCACACTTGCGTGATGGGGAGCTCACAAGCAGTCCACTGCATTGCTGTCAACGCTGACCATTAGAAACAGCTTCCTTATGTTGAGCCCTTTGTCGCTCACTCCATTTGTCCTACCTCTGCCCTCCAGGTCTCGCCTGCAAAGGGCTTAGCTTCTCATGACAGCACTTAAAGCATTTCAACACAGCATTAGCACCACCTAACCCCAGTTCTTCTGCTCTGCCCAAACCTCCCCGGGCCCTCCAATCATTGTGGTATGATGTAGCGTCACCATTCAGATGACTCACGTTAGGACACAAACCATCTACAGAGTCCCTTCTCCACTGTGGTGCCCAGGAGTACACCTGAGCCTGCAGGTAGGGTCTGCCCACTGCACAGGACGGGACGTCGCCTGCGGGACTCTAACCGCTGGCCTTCAGACACACAGGCAGAGGTCACAGCAGTCGATGTGCCAGAATCTTCACACTTCTCATGCGCTCTGAGTTTAGGTTCAATTTTTATTCATTTTCATATGTTCTACTAAGTAATCCCATCCCTGAATCCATCCAGCGAACATTTAATTCCTAACGAGTGCCAGACAGCTGCTATTATTGCTGTTCAGTCTAAGGGTGTATCTTCAGTTTCTGCACTAAAGTTCATCCTGGCTTACCACGTCCATAATTCTCATTTATGTTAATCATTTGGGATGGTGATGTTTTTAAATATCCAATATATCTGTAATGGCTTCCAGATCCATCTAATTAGTGAGTTTGACAGGCAGCCTTCGTATGTCCTAGTGCTGTTAAAATACCGAAATCCAGCTTCATATTCCGGTAAAGAGGCTGCACAGCCCCTTTCCCCTTTGTGAAAGATTGCTTGACAAACTACCAAGGCTTTTATGAGGAGCCCATGAAGATCTTAACCTATTGTCTTTAAATTGATCAAAAAGCTTCCTCGTGTCACCTTGTCACATGCCTTACAGAAATCCAGAGACACTAAGTCCACCACATTTCCCTGATGTGCAGCCCAGTAATTGCACTAGCGTCTTGCTGCCCTGCTGGGCGGTTTTGACAGAACACCTGTCATTGCCTCTCCTGGTCTCTAAGCCTGTTGTTCTGCTGGGCAGGCTGGACACTGAGGTCCCACGACTGCACACAGAGGCACACTCAGTTCTCAAACAACCACTCTATGCACTCCTGACTCAGAAAGGAGCCTGGGACTCAAGCTTTGTCTCTGATGGTCCCCTGAGGCGGCGGGTGCTTTGTTCCTCTCTTGTGCTTAGCCATGCCTTGTCCCAGCAGAAGTGTCTCAAGTCATGGGGTTTCCCCATGTCCCTGCAGAGGGTATTTTAGTCTAAGAATACATGGCATTCTTAACAAGGGCTTCCTGATATTAATCATAAATAGTCCTGCACTGATTTCACACTATTATTCTTTCTTACAACTTTTGTTTTTAATACAGCTGAACACCCACCTCCTCAGGCTGTGCCTGAATATGTGTGTGATGTGTATGGTATGTAGGACAAGGATCCTATAGGAGATAATGAGTATTTTAAATATATAAGACATATTATTTACTACTATATATTTTTAAGGAGAGAGAAGATGTAGCATTTTCATTGCACTGGAAACTATACTGCAGTGATGGCTGAGGCCTAGATGTGTCCTTGAGGTGGAGGAGTGCTGGGGAGCAGGAGGTTGGGTATGGGGAGTCTGCTCTGTCCTGCTTTCTGGCCTCAGCTTCCTAGTTTAGTGAATGGCTGGGATGGGATGATCCCAAACATCACTCCCAACTCTTCTACAACATCCGCAAGTCATCACTTACAATATAGACCTATGGTCTCTGAGATTTGTAACTGACTTTTGTAAGAGTACTACTGCTACTAATGAGAATAGTAATTGACACTCACTCATTATGCATCTGTGACTTGGGCTTCAGCAATTTGCTGAGTTCTTATAACATATCTCTGAGATAGATGTACTACTCTATTTACAGATGAGAAAGACCCAGGTCTGGCATGCTCAAGCCACTCGTTCAAATGAACATGCTGTTATGCAGCAGCCAGAAAGCCAGGTCTGTCTGGATCTTTTACATCCTCTGGCCAGAGGCTGCAGTGTGGAGATTCTACCTGAGGAGACATACGGAATCTAGAACTCTGCAGCCCAGTGTCCAATATGGGATCCAGTCCGGGCGCGGTGGCTCATGCCTGCAATCCCAGCACTTTGGGAGGCCAAGGCAGGCGGATTACCTGAGGTCAGGAGTTCGAGACCAGCCTGACCAACATGGTGAAATCCTGTCTCTACTAAAAATACAAAAAGTAGCTGGGCATGATGGTGCATCCCTGTAATCCCAGCTACTCAGGAGGTTGAGGCAGGAGAATCCCTTGAACCTGGAGGCGGAGCTCTGAGCCACCTCCCCCAGTCTGGGAGCCAAGTCCTTGGCCTCCATGGTTGACCCACTTCTTGACCCTCTCCTTCACTAGGCAGCCAGTGGCTGCTTCATTACAGCTCCACACTTCAACAACTCCCAAAGAACCCAAATATCATTAAGCAATTTTATAGCAGTCTGGGGCTGACTGACAGTTCAGAAGTGGCTGCCGAGTTACTTGCCATCCAACAATTAGAAAACAGTCAAGGCCTTGGTGGGGGGTGAGGGTGCTTAGCACAGGGCTGAGGGCACAAGTATAATGTCTAAGACCCTGCACAGAGTCCTGCCAAAGCCTTGGCAACAATCCCAGTGCTGTGTCTGGAGAAAATGACAAATGTTCCAGAAGTGGGAGGGCACATGTCTCTCCTGGAGAGACTCTGCTTGAGGCTGCATTTACACTAGGGCACCCTTTGGGTTACTGTGGAAAACTAGATGACTAGAGCCCCAGTAAAAGCTGCCTACTGTGTGGAAACTGCATGCAGATAGTTCTGGCATGGGAGGGTGGCTTCCTGATTGAAACAATAATAATGCTGGTGTGTGTGTCACTACAAGGAAAGAAAGGTGATTTGTGGAAATAACTACTCATACAGAAAGACAACTCAGCTTGATTAGGGAGAAGTAAGGAAGACAGGGTAAAGAATGAATTTCCTCACCTACCAATGCCAGGAGCAGCTCCAGGACCAAGAAAGGGATGTCACTTAAGGAAGTGCTCCTGCTTAGGGTAGTAGGGGTGCAAGGTCAGCTCCTGAGAATGTGTGCCTCTTAAATGCTGGGCCCTGGGAGGGTGGTGTCTGCCTGGCTGTACCCTAGTTGCAGCCCTAAGCAGGGATTTAAGGATCTACTTACTTTAGCTTATTTATTCCATATAAAAGCTTCATGGTGCAGAATTACTATCCCCATTTTATAGATAGAAGAAACGGAGGCTCAGGTTCAAAGTCACCCAGTGAATAAACTCAGACAAATAGCCTCACGATCTCATAGTCTGCTTAAAACCATTTCAGATTTTTTCCCAACATTAAAACAACTCTGGGGGAAAGATAGATTAATCTGGTCAGAGTCATGTCCCAGCCACTTGCTGTTTGACTTGAGGCCAATCACTTAATTTCTCTAGGACTCAAGTTTCTTGGTTTTAAGTGGGGAGTAATACTAGGACATGTATAGATTTGTTATGAGGCTGAAATGAGAACATGCACATAAAGTACTCAGCAAAGTGCCTGGCACAGGATACAGGCAACGCTAACAGCCAATGAACAGCAAGAACCAAGAGTCACTCATTCAACAAAATGTTTCCATGCCCAGATGCCTCCAGCCAGTGACTACCCTCAAAGAGCTCATAGTCTGGAGGCAGAACAGAAAAAAAAATAAAGCAGGAGGAGTGAATAGCATGAAATAAGGCTTGTGGGAGCCAGAAGAGGAAATTTCCAAAAGTTGGGAGGAGACCCAGAAGCTACACAGAGGAGGCGACTTTGGAGACGAGTCTCGAAGGGCCACTCTGAGGCTTGCAGGCAGGAAGGGCACCCCAGGGAGCTGCGTTTCAGCTTGTGACCCCTTAGGAAACCCGAGCCAGCCTCAGGATGCCTGGAGTGGAAGGAGGGAAGAAGAGATAGGAGAGTTGGGTTCTAGAAAGTGTAGGGGTTCCAAACACTAATGGGTTTTGCCATGAGGACTTGCCCAGCCCAGACATGTGGTCCTTTTGCACTCTGATTTAGAGAGTGCCTATAGTCCCAGCTACTTGGGAGGCTGAGGCAGGAGAATTGCTTGAATCCGGGAGGTGGAGGTTGCAGTGAGCCGAGATCGCTCCACTGCACTCTAGCCTGGAGACACAGCGAGACTCCATCTCAAAAAAAAAAAAAGAAAGAAAAGAAAAAAGAAAAAAAAGAGAGTGCAATTCCTACATTCTAGTGCAAGGATGGTTTTGCTCAATCCTGGCACCCTAAAATCAGGGAATGGTGAGAGTCCAGGTTATAACCCAGAACCACCTTTCACTCTTTTCAGGATATAATCTTTCTTCTCTGTTCTTTTTCTTACAAGCATGGGGCTCCTGTATCTACTCCACCATCAGCTTCCTATGTTTCCAAACATGTTGCCCTCCGTTGGTGCTGTAGTCCAGCACGGATGCCTTCTGGACATCCTGGTCTGCACGTACCTAGCCGAGAAGGGGCTCTCTGGCAGCTGTGGGCTGACAGAGGCACTGGTGGCCTTTGGGGAGGGCAGCAGTTTAGGAAGAAAGAACTGCAGAGACCCCTGGGGCTCCCTCAGGCAGGAGCCTCACTGGTCAGACCCTCGGATCTCTTCATGTCTAGTGGCCATGCTGAAGCAGGAAGGCAACTTCTTCCTCTTAGGAGTGAAAGAGTGGTGTGATTACCAGCAAGATCATTATTCTTATCTCCATTTCTCAGGTAAAGAGATAGCACCTAGCTCACAGGTGGCAGAGTAGGGTTCCCATTCAATTTTTGCTGCCTTGGAAGTTACAGCAATATCAAACACTGCCAGGAGTCCTTCAGCTACGAACAACCAGCACTACTAATTTTCCCAGCTTCCCACTCTTACTTTGAATCACTTTTTTCCTCTTCATTGCTATAATGACACCAAGGAATGGAAGACACTTGTGTAGGTCTTCCCCGTCCCATCCACTTCCTCCCCATCACTTTCCTCCAGTGTTGAAACATGACTGGTCTAAACTACTCTTTAGGAAAAACAAACAAAAGCAACCACTCTTGGCCAGTCCCTAGACACTGGGTCTTTCCCACCACCCCTGACTCCTCCCACAAGCCTTGGTCCCTCCCACTAGCCATGAATCCTCCCACCATCCTCGGCCCTTCCCACCACCCCTGGCCCTTCCCACCATCCTCGGCCCTTCCTACCAGCCCCGTCTCCTCCACCAGCCTCAGCCCCTCCCACCACCCGTGGCTCTGCCCACCATCCTTGTCCCCTCCCACCAGCCCCAGACCCTCCCACCAACCCTAGCTCCTCCCACTACCCCTGGCTCCTCCCAGGATCCTCTGCCCCTCCCACCAGCCCTGGGCCCTCCCACCACCCTCAGCCCCTCCCACCACCCTCAGCCCCTCCCACCACCCTCAGCCCCTCCCACCAGCCCTGGTCCCTGTGTGCCAGCACAACTCACTTTGCTGCTGGTGAGCACGGTCCCCTTCAGGACCTCTAACCTGGTCTTTGGACCCTGCTTCTCGGAACCATGGCCCTTACAAGGTGGAGGTAGAGACCTCCCCTTCCTCGACAGTCCCCCACCTTTTGATCGCCACCTCGAAAGGAAGTAGAGGTCTAGCTGCTCAAAGGTTTGGGAGGCTGGGAGGCGGTGAAATGCCTGCAGCATGCAGTCAGGAAGTAAACTTGAATCTCTACGGGCTACCGTTTCAAAGGAGTCAGCTACGCTATGCCTCTGGGAATTTCAAACTGAACACATTTCTAAGTGGGCCGAGTAGCTCTCCCCTCCTCCCCTGCTCTCAAACACCTCTATGCTCATCTTTGGCCTCCCCAAACCCACGTTTCTTTTTATTTCTCAATGTGTTTTAGTTATAGCTTCGCTTTTCTCTTTCCAAACATCACCTCAGAAGCCTCATGTTTAACATTTCAAGGTATTTTGCTAAACAACGACATCTACTCTATAGCGAGATTGCTCCACCAAGTCAGTTGCAGAGGTCAACAGAATACATTTGGGGAGCTGCTCCGCTGCACACTCACAGACACACAGCAGTGTTTTCCTTCGGGCTGTATTTGACTAGGCCCAGGGTGAGAATATCATCCAAGACCCATCATACATCCCACCGGTGCCCTCATCCCTAATTCTGACACAAGGCACACTGCTGGCCCAGTCCTGGTGCAGCCTGGTGTGGCCGCAAGGAAAAGCGAGCTGTTTCTCTATTTTCTGAAGCTTTTGGCTGTTTTGTGCCAAGACCTATGGTTACTTTACTTTTGGTTATCATCTTTGGAAGCCCTCGGGCTCCATTTTTTTTTTTAAACGAGGCAGCTGTGAGCATCGTAATTGCAGTGATGTGCCCCAGCAACTTCCAGATTTTCTCTTTAAAATAGTTTTCTAGTTATAACTCGAGTTTATCATGTCATCATCAAATCACTGAGTAGAAAATGTTACATTTGGGTGTCATCATGGATAATCACTCTGAAGAAAGAGTTTTATTCTAGTAAAGACTGTGTTTAATAAAGCCTCTGGTGAACTTCAGCCTTGCCAGGCTGAGCAGCAACGGGTGACCCTGGCTGGGAGGGACTAGCTGTTGACTTTCCTCACCTCTTTCTTTATGCCCTGAGCCAGGCACCCTGTGTTGCTCTGTGGCAAAGAAAAAGTGTTTCCATTTTCAATATGTGGCTTAACTGCATGCAGCAGTGGAAGTTGCTGTGCCTAGCCCTGCTCGCGGGGCCACAGGCTTCTTGAGGCTGTGAGGAATATTGCTTTTCTCCTTGCACTTGAGAAGGGATGTAGACCTGTGGGTCCCTCTCCTCCATCTTCTCCTGCTATTGTATTATTGTCTTATATTGTATTATACAATCTTCTGTCCCAGAGCACATTGCCCATTCTAGGCATCCATTTTCTTGCCCAAAGTCCTGTTTCAGTTCATGGAGAAATTGATCCCATTCACTTTTTTTGCACCCAGAATGTGAAAGTCAGAGATCTGGAGTACAACTGCGCCCATTTGGCTGCAGAAAGCAAAATGGATCTCTGTATTTTCTACCCGATGCATCTTCATCAACATGATCCATTCTCTGATATGCATAGCACTCTACGAGTTGCCAATTTTCACATCCATTTTTCTTATTTGATATTCACCTATTTAGTTAGAAAGTAAAAGTAGATGTAATTTCCCCCCATGTTATAGAGGGGGAAATTAAAGAGAAGGCAGGCAAAATGCTTTTGTCAAACAAAGAAAGTGGTAGGTTTTCTGATATCTAGCCTAAACTATTTCAGATATACCAGGATGTAACAAAGAGAACATACTTGTCTGTTAGTCTATTACATGCTAAGATATCACTATTTAGGTTTAAATATATTATACAGAGATCATGGGGAGAAATTGGCCTCTGCAACTTTGAAGATGCCAATATAGCTTCAAACAGCTCTTGAGGTATGTGAGAGCTGGCAAATGAAACTGACTGGTAGTGAGAATCACATAAAAAGTCAATCATGCAACTTAATAAATGTCACTTACAGAAAACCCATGGTACCATCTTACTGGTGAAATAATGGATGCTTTCCCTCTAAGATCAGGAACAATACCAGGATGTCTGTACTTGTCACTTCTATTTGACATTGTACGGGAGATTCTAGCAGGGTGGCAATTAGACAAGAAAAAGAAACAAAAGGGAGCCAAATCGGAAGGGAGAATTCGAACTACAATTGCAGATGCCATGATCTTGTATTTAAAAACTCCAAAGGAGTCCAGTAAGAAAGCATTAAAACTATTACAAATGAGTTCAGAAATGTTTCTGGATACAAAATCAATCTACTCACATTTATGATAGTAGCCCTTCCTTATCCACAGTTTTGCTTTCTGTGGTTTCAGTTATCCAAGGTCAACTGCAGGCAGAAAATAAGTGAGTACAATCCAACAAGATATTTTGAGAGACAGAGAGACTACATTCACATAACTTTTATTACTGTATATTGTTATAATTGTTCTATTTTATTATGTTAATTATGCTAATCTCTTACTATGCCTAATTTATAAATCAAAATTATAGGTATGTATGGAAAGGAAAAAACATAGGCTTCAGTACTATCTGTGGTTTCAGGGGTGCACTGGGGGTCTTGGAAAGTATCCCCCACAGATAAAGAGGTCTATTGTGTTATTTCTGTATACTAACAATGAACAACCTGAAAGTGAAACTAAACAATTCCATTTACATCATCATCAAAAAGAATAGCATACTTAGGAATAAATTTAACAAAAGAAGTAGCGGACTTTTACACCAAAAACTGCAAGATATCATTGAAATACATTTAATAAAACCTAAGTAAGGGCCGGGCATGTTGGTTCATACCAGTAATTCCAGCACTTTGGGAGGCCAAGGCAGGTAGACCACCTGAGGTCAGGAGTTTGAGACCAGCCTCATCAACACGGTGAAACCCCGTCTCTACTAAAAATACCAGCTGGGTGTGGTGACACGTGCCTGTAATCCCAGTTACTTGGGAGGCTAAGGCAGGAGAATCGCTTGAACCCGGGAGGTGAAGGTTGCAGTGAGCTGAGATCACGACATTGCACTCTAGCCTTGGTGCCAGAGCAAGACTCCTTCTCAAAAATAAAAAATAAAAAACTAAATAGGTGGAAGCACATCCCACATTCATGGATAAAATAAGTTAACATTGTTAAAACGGCAATACTTCCTACATTAATCTACAGCTCAAATGCAGCTCCTATCAAATTCCCAACCTCCTCTTTTGCAGAAATAGACACACTGGTTCTCATATTTACATAGAATTGCAAGGAGATCCTAAATAGTTAAAACAGTCTTGCAAAAGAACAAAATGTGGAGGACTCACACTTCTTAATTTAAAACTTACTACAAAGCTATGACAATTGCAACAGTGTGATACTTGGGTAAGGACAGTCAAAGAGATCAATGGGCTAGAACTGAGAATCTATAGATAAACCCTCACATTTATGACCAATTGATTTTTTATGAGAGTGTCAAGATCATTAAATGAGAACCACAAAATCTTCTCAACAAATGGTGCTGAGACAACTGGATATCCACATGCAAAAGAATGAAGTTGGACCTCTGTCTCATACACCATATAAAAAATTAGCTCAAAATGGATCAAAGACTTAAATGAAATAACTAAGACTATAAAATTCTCATAGAAAAAAATAGGGTATATCTTCATGACCTTGCATTTTAAGATATGACACCAAACACACACACACACACACAATCAGACAAGTTGAACTTCATCAAAATTAAAAACGTGTATCACAAGATATTATCAAGAAAATGAAAAGACAACTCACATGGGAGAAAACATTTGTATATAATATATTTGATAAGAGTCTAGTATCCAGACAAATAACCTGATTTAAAAAATAGATGAAGGATTTAAATAGCCGTCACTCCAAAGATAAACAAATGGCCAATAAGCACGCGAGAAGATCTTCAACTTCATTAGGTAAGTGCAAATCAAAACCACTTTATGCCTACAAGGACAACTATAATAAGAAGGAGAGATAAGAACAAGTGTTGGCAAGGATGTGGAGAAACTGAAATCCTCATGCACTGTTGGTGGGAATGTAAAATGGTGTAGCTATTTTGGAAAACAATTTGGCAGTTTCTCATTAAGTTAAAGTAGGATTACCATATGATCCAGCAATTCCACTGGATGTGTAATCAAGATAACTTAAAAATATGTCCACATAAAAACTTGTACATGAATGTTTATAGCAGAATTGTTCATAATACCCAAAAATGGAAACAACCTAAGTGTTCCATCAACTGATAAATGGATAAACAAAATGTTATATATCCATACAATTGAATATTACTTGGCAATAAAAAGGAATGAAGTACTGATGTGTGCTATAGCACAGATGAATCTTAAAAACATGTGAAAGAAGTGACAAAGCCAGACACAAAAGGGCATATATATATATATATATATATATATATATATATATATATATGGTTCATTTTACATAAGACGTCCAGAATAGAGAAATCCGTAGAGACAGAAAATAGATCACTGGTTGCAAGGGGTGGTGGTATTTGGGGTGGTAATGGAAAGTGACTGTTAATGCATATAGTTACTTTTTGTTGGGTGGGGGGAGATGAAAATATTCTGGAATGTTATTCCATCGATGTCATTAAAAATAAAGTATTTGTCAGTGTCACTAAACTCTACCCTGTGTAAAGGCTGAAATTTCTGCTCCCTTTCCTAAGGGGATTTGATTCTGGTTGCCTGAGGGAAGGGAAGAAATCAGATTTCAATGTGATGACTGGATGCCATATGTATGGCAGGTGAGTTCATCATGTGGGTGAGCAGGGCTCCCGTTTATACAATGTTAGAGTCTACTTAAACTCTACCACCATAGGAGTGTGGATGTTGTTACCATTAGGATCACACAGTTGTCCCTGGGTGGACCTTCTCTTGTGGATGGCATGCTTCCCTTCTGTCACCACAAGTGAGATATGGAGTCCTAGGCCCTGAACAGGTTACCTTGATGCTGGTAACCCTAAAATCAAATACATTTTCAATAAGAGGTTCTGTGGTCATGCTAGCTTTCAGTTTCACTCAGATGATGGAGAATAAATTGTTCAGATTCAGAGGCTAAACTTTGTCATGAGTGGATATAGATTATCCTAGAAACTCAGCCCCTGAGCCTTATCCAACAGAAGCACTGGGGGGCTTCCAAGCAGAGAAAAGCAGGGCCACTCTTGCTGAATCAAGAGCAGGGGTCACAGGGCTGCCTGCCCACCTTCTAGCATAGCCCATCATGTGCCCAGACCTCAGTTTGCCTCTGCCCTCACCATCGTGGCACCTTTGCCATGGTTTAAATCCACTTTATTAAGACTGCTTTCAGTTACTAGACTAATTTCCATCATACCCCAAGGCAGATATTCAAGGAAGAATCCTGCCTCCTTCAAACCCTGGTGCCTTTATGAGTCATGAGGTGCATCATTCATATTAGTTAATACATAATAAAGCATTTACATACACATAACAGGGAATTTTTTAGACTTCATTTTCTGAGAGCAGTTTTAGGTTCACAGCAAAATTGAGAGAAAGGTACAGAGATTTCCTCATATATCCTCTGCTTCACACAGGCACAGCCCCCCGGCCCCCATTATCAACATCCCCCACCACAGTGGTGCATCTGTTACCACTGATGAGCCTACATTACATGCCATTATCACCAGAGTCCACAGTTTACATTAGGGTTCACTCTTGCTCTAATACATTCCAGGACTGAGCCCACTAGCTTAGGGCTCTCTTCCTCTTTTTAGAAAGCCACCATAGCTCCATTCCCCTGATAACCTATTAATCCATTAATCCACTAATCCATGAAAGGATTAATCCAATTATGGGGGCACCCTCATGACCCTGTCACCTCTTGAAGGTCCCACCTTTCAATACTGCCACATCGGGGATGAAGTTTCAACATGAGTTTTGGAGGGGACAAACATTCAAACCCTAACAGTCTTGTTATCTTACCTACTTATCTTTTACTGAATCAACCAGATTGTTTTTACTGTTATAACTTTATAATGACTCTTATCTGCTTTCCTTGTCCTTAAGCTAGTCATTTAATTTTACTGTTCTTACTTACTGTTTTACTTACTCCAGGAAAGGAGGCGGGTAGTGAGAGAAGAGTTCATAGATAGTTGGAAGCAAAGCCATGCCAAGTGCCGGAGAAGTTGTACTCATGAACAGGGAAGGTGCTGCTAAGCATTCAGAGTTCTTCAGGTCTATTTCTCAAGCTGTTGTTCCAGGCAAACTGGGTCTCCTAGGTCCAGTTGGTAGAAGACCCTACAATTTTCTGCAGCAACCACTTCTTTTCATCCAGGTCATACCTTTCCCTGGTGTAGCCCCAAATTCTTGTACTTCTTCCAGTTTACTACTACTAATAGCTACCATTTAATAACATTAAATTATTGCCTAACTTAATCCTCTCAATAACCCTATAACTTACACATAACCCATTCCATGGATGAGGAACCTCTGGTTTGAAGAACTTAAATGACTTTCCCAATATCGGGTTACTTGGTGGTGTAGCTGAACATCAGTCCCAGGAAGGTCTGGCTGCTCAGGCTTGCCCACCTGCTTACTTTCTCGCCCAGCTGAGGAACGGTCTCAGAGCACTGGATCAATTGTCTTGGGTATTCAGTCTGAAGAAAGAGGACTTACCTGAGGGCTTTGATTCATGGGGCAAGAGAGTGATTCTAGGGACTTTCTAGCAGAGATTTTTGTTGGGATAGGAGGTAGAGGGTGAGAACAGTGGGTAGTAAGGCACAAGGTGGATGACAGTGGTGGTGGAAGGAAAGAGGTTGGTGAGAGGCTAAGGTAGGTGTTTCCTGTTGCTTTCCTACTGTATGGGTTGAGTAATCCCCCCAAAACTCATGTCCACTTGGAACTTCAGAATGTACTTGGAAATAGGGTCTTTCCAGTGTAATCAGTTAAGTTAAAACGAGGTCATACTGTATTAGGTATCCTAATCCTAGCAAATTCAATGACTTGTGTCCTTACAAGAAAAGGCCAGATACAGTGGCTCACACCTCCCAGCACTTTGGGAAGCCAAAGCGGGAACACTGCTTGAGCTCAGGAGTTTGAGACCAGCTTGGGCAACATAGGGAGACTCTACCTCCATAAAAAATATAAAATTAGCAGGGCGTGATGGCACAGGCCTGTGGTCCCAGCCACTCAGAAGGTTGAGGCAGGAGGATTGCTTGAGCCCTGGAGGTGGAGGCTGCAGTGAGCTGTGATCCTACCACTGTACTCCAACTTGGGCAACAGATTGAGACCCCATAAGAAAAGAAAGAAGAAAGAAAGGAAGAAAAAGAAGGAAAGAAAGAAAAGAAAGAAAGAAAGAAAGAAAGAAAGAAAGAAAGAAAGAAAGAAAGAAGCCAAGAAAGAAAGAAAGAAAAAGAAGGAAAGAAAGAAAAAGAAGGAAAGAAAGAAAGAAAGAAAGAAAGAAAGAAGGAAAGAAGGAAGGAAAGAAAAGAAAGAAAGAAAAAGAAGGAAAGAAAGAAAGAAAGAAGGAAGGAAGGAAGGAAAGAAAGAGAAAAAGAAAGAAAGAAAGAAAGAAAGAAAGAAAGAAAGAAAGAAAGAAAGAAAGAAAGAAAGAAAGAAAGGGGAAGTGAAAGGGAAAGGAAAGGAAAGGCAAAGGAAAAGAGAGAACTGAGAGACAGATACAGGGGGAAGAGGCTATGTGAGATGGAGATGGGAATTCTGTTCCCACAAGGCTGAGGAGGCTGAGGTTTGCCACAGCCACCAGCAGCTGGGTGAGGCAAGGAAGGATCCTCCCCTAGAGGCACTGGAGGGAGTGCAGCTCACCTGACACCTTCATTTCTGCCTTCTGACCTCCAGAAGTGTGAGAGCATAAACTTCTGTCATTTCAAGCCACCAAGTTTGTGGTGATTTGTTAGAATAGCCATGAGAACCTAAGAAACCTGCTGAAGAGCCAAGAGTGATGTCCCCGTTGAAATCATTGAAGTGACACCTGCAGATATCACTCATTTCCTATTCTTTTGATTACCTGGCTTGTAGAGTACTCTCTGCTTCTCAATATGTGAGACATAAATGAAACAAAACCTGCAGCTGCAGTAGCTTTCCAGTATGTTTGGTTTAGGCTGTGATAACCTTCTCTAAATGAGAAGTGCTTGGCATGTAGTAGACCAGCATATGTAAATTCATTAAATAAATGAATGAACTCAGAGGAGGTGACTATACCTGTCTGCGGAAATAAGACTATATTTTTCCTTGACACCGTTGTCTTTGGAGGACAGTCTGGTTTGCCATAGTCACAGAGAACACACAGGCATGAGAGCCAGACAAACATACAGTGAGTCACTGTGGGACTTTGAGCTGGTACCTGAGCTCCACTGAGCCTTTGTTTTCTCACCTGTGAGTGAAAGGACCACGCCTTCCTGGAAGGGTTACTGAGAGAATTAGTTGTCAGAGCACTTGGCATATCATATGCCAAGCTATGTGATCTGAGCTGTTATAATGCTGACCTACCTCACTCCTCTTCTCCAGCAGGAGGCAAGTAATGGTAGCACTCACAGTGGCTCTCTGGAAATATGAAATTGCATGCACGTGTTTTGTGGTGTGTGTGTGTGTTGGTACAGTGTGTGTATTTTTAGGTGTGAAGTGTGTTCATCAAACAGCTGTACTTAGATAAACGGGAAAAACCATGACACCCTAGGCAGTTTAGCTCTAGAAACATCCAAGTTTTCCAAGCAGTCTTCCTTTGAGAGTAAAGCATCAAAGAATTAAGTCACTTAGTCACACATTTTCAATCTCTGTAACATTTTCCTCATTCATCCCAGGACTGTCAACACAGCTGTTACTAGGCCTAGGTGTAGACAGCTTTCTAAACGGAGTGGTAGGTCCATTGGTTCTGGTTTAATAGACAAGGTATTAGATGTTTTCCAACTTTGGCTACTGTACTCAATAAATCATCTTCTCTGGAGGAAATAAAAAGGAAAAAAAAAAGGAGAAGGAGAAGAGAAAAGACATCAATCTTGACTGACGACGATCCCCGGAGCTTCTCTTGCAGGGAAGGGTTTAGGAAGAGTATGTGAATGCGGTGCTGTGAATGGACACAATTAACCTGTCCTGGGATCTGTGTGTCTACTTTTCTGACACTGAGCAGTGCCCCTGGAGAACACACTCCCAAGATGCTTGTAAGAGAGCAGTGGAAAGTCTGACTGCTGAAAGCAGCAGCTCCACGTACCTTGAAAGCAGATGTTGGCAAACAATTATTCCACAGGCCTGGTCTCCAGCCAGTTTCTTAAGCTTCACTAGATCCTATAACCAGAGCAAAGTGGCTTCAAGCTCCACTCAGCTGATGTTAAATCCAGACACATATACCAACCATTAGAAGATATTGAGTTGGTATTTTTACGGCTTCGTAAATCCATTCTTTGCCTAATGCCTTAGCCACCTTGGGTGGCTGGGAGGGGGGAAAGCAAGGAATCCCATAAACAAGGCAGCATCCCTGTTAAAACTAGATCATCTGATTCCAATCCCCATGCTCTTCCCAACATGGTGCACTGCTGTGGAGGTGGCAGATGTTGAAGGCCTCCCTCAATCTGGCCCCAGATTCTCTCCTTGATCTAATTTCCCATAAACCTACGCTTGCCTTCCAGGTCTCCAGCCACACTGAGTTCCTTGTCTTTCATGGATGTACCATTAGTTAGTGCTAAGTCAATGTCTTTGCTCTTGCTGTCCCTCCCTTCTATCTAGAACATTATCTGCTTAGAATAGTTTTTGTCCCCTTGGCTGCCTGCCAAATTTCTAAATAAAGGGCAGCCACTTCTGAAAAGTTTCCTTCAGCCCACTTTTTCCTGTCTCCTGGCTCCTTGTAGCTCCCTTTCCCATAGGACTTGTCCCTGCATCTGTAATTGTTTGTTTACTTGGCTGCCTCTCTCACCAACCTGACACCTTCCCCTCTGCAGCACCTGACTCTGAGCACTGCTGGGCTCTAGTGGCTTTTGACAGAGATTACTTAATGAATGTAGGAATTAATGAATGATCAAATCCAGTGAGAGTCCTAAAAACCTCAAGATGAGGTGAGCTATTATTATTACATGTCACCCTCATCATTATGTATTATGCTAACTGAGCCCTGACTGAACCAGGTCTCCCTGAACCAGACTGTACACTTCTTTCTGAGAAGGCAGAAGTCCAGTTAGATTATAAACTAAGCATCAGAAATATGTAGCATTGCAGATATTAGCTAGCATGTCCAATTAACTCATAGATCTAAGGAGGGAGTTTACTAATTCAGCTATTGGCTTAGCATGTGACCTTGGGCAAGCATCCATTCCTTAATCTTTCCACTTATAACAGACAGATAAAGACTTTGATCTTTACCTCAAGGACCAATGAGGTTGAGTGTCTGAAAGCTCTAAACGTCTTGGGGGAAATGCTTGCTACAGGACTTTTGGCCACATACTTGCATCTCACTTGGGACATAGAGGATGGTGAAGGTTGTCTCCATTCTTCTCTGCCAAGTAAGGCAGATAATCTGGATTCAATAGGTCACTGTGAGGAGGGCTGCAGTTAGATGGATAATTCTGGGTAAGGAAGAGATACCGTTGACATTTCCGTTGATGTATGTTTTCCCCAGCATGAGGTACAAAGGAAGCCCACTCCAGGTTTATAGGGCTAAATTTTGAGCACCCATCCTGCAAACCATGGGAAGTTCTATCTTCCCTCTCAGGATTCCTTCCAGTGATAAATTTGAGATGTGCTTTCTCACAGCCAGATGGTTGGTCCTGGTGACATTGCTATCTACTGCTCCACTGCTGTTGGGTGCTGAGTTTTGTCAAAGCTTCCTCATGTGAAGGGTGGAGAGGGTCCTGTACTTGGTTATGGGTTCTCTACCCCAAAGAAGCCTGGGTCCTGGGTGCTGTGTTTTTTGTAAGAGTCACATGCAGTTCCTGTAATGAGCCTTTCCCACAGTAAAACATAATAACATTTAGATCGGAGCTTCTCTCAATTCCAAAGAAGGAAGTTACTACAAATAAGCCAAGATGAGATCCTAAAAAATTGTTCAAGTAACTCACAGAAAAGTAAGAAGAGAAATACAGGAATAAGAAAGAAGAAACCAACAAAAAACAACAAAATGGCAGATGTAAGTCCTGATGTGCCAATAATGTAAATGATCTAAGTATACCAATGATCTAAGTACACCTTAAATGTAAATGATCTAAGTACACCAATTAAAAGAAATTGACAAAGTGAATTTTAAAACATGGTAAAAAGTATTCTGTTTGCAAGACACATAAAATGAAATGACACACAGATTTCATAGCCAGTGAGTGATCTAGGTAGGTTGAAAGTGAAAGGATGGAAGAAGATATACCATTATACATAATTTTTATAAAGTAGAAGTAGATACATTAATATCAGGTAAAGTAGACCTGAAAAGAAAGAAAAAAGTAACTAGAGATAAAAATGAGATCCCATAATGATAAAAAGATTGATCCTCTAGGAAGCCATGATAATCCTAAATATGTATCCACCAAAAAACAAAGCCTTAAAAAACATGAATAAAAAACTGATGGAACTGAAAGAAGAAATAGATAAATCCACAATTATAGTTACACACTTCAACACCCCCCACTCTCAGTAATTAGAAGAACTGAAGAACACCAACAAACAGGAACTGCCTGGCATTTATAGAGCACTCTAGTCAATGCCAACAGAATACACATTCTTTTCAAGCATCCATGAAGCATTCACCAAGATAGAGCATATTCTGAGTCATAAAACAAGCCTCAATATATTCAAAATAATAAGAATCATACTGAATATGTTCTTTGACCATAATGTAACTAAACTAGATATCAATAACAGAACAACAGAAAAATCTCCAACCATTTGCAAATTAAACAACAAAATTGTAAATAACCCATAAGATGATGAAGAAGTCTTAAAAGAAATAAAAAACAAATGAAAATACAACACATCAAAATACATGAAATGCAGTTAATGTAGTGCTGAGGGGGGATTTATAGCCCTAATTTATTAGTTTAGAAAATCAGAGTAATCTCAAATTAATACTTTAAGATCCTACGTCAAGAAACTGGGAGAAAAAAAGAACAAAGTAAACCCAAAGCAAGCAGAAAGAAGAAAATAATAAACAGCAGAAATTCACAAAATTGTAAATAGAAAAGGAATAGAAAAAAATCAATGAAGCAAAAAGCTGGTTCTTCAAAAAAAAAATATTAATACAATTAGACCTCTAGCAAGGCTGATATGGTTTGGCTGTGTCCCCACCCAAATCGTATCTTAAACTGTAGCTCCCATAGTCCCCACGTGTCATGGCAGAGACCTGGTGGGAGGCAATTGAATCATGGGGGTGGGTTTTTCCTGTGCTTAGTGAATAAGTCTCACGAGCTCTGATGGTTGTATAAAGTGTAGCTCCCCTGCACATGCTCTCTTGCCTGCTGCCATGTAAGATGTACCTTTGTTTCTCCTTTACCTTCTGCCATGATTGTGAGGCCTCCCAGCCCTGTGGAACTGTGAGTCCATTAAACCTCTTTTCTTCTTTTTGTTTTTTAATAAATTACCCAGTCTCAGGTATTTCTTCATAGCAGTATGAAAATGGACTAATACAAAGGCTGACAAAATAAAAAATTTAAAAAACAGAGAGAGAAAAAACACACAAATAATATCAGGAATGAAATAGGGGATATAAATACAGATTCTGCAGTCATTAAAAAAGATAATAAGAAAATGCTATGAACAACTTAATACTTATGAGTTCTTTAACTTGGAAAACTAAACCTATTCCTCAAAGATCATCAACTAGAAAAATTCAGTAAGGATGAAATAGACAACCTCAATTGTCCTATAACCATAAAAGGAGTGGAATTTGTAATTTAAAAGCTCCCAGAGGCTGGGCGCTGTGGCTCACACTTGTAATCTGGGCACTTTGGGAGGCCAAGGCGGGCAGATCACAAGATCAGGAGTTCGAGACCAGCCTGGCCAGCATGGTGAAACTCCGTCTTTACTAAAAATACAAAAATTAGCCAGATGTGGTGGTGGGCACCTGTAATCCCAGCTGCTTGGGAGGCTGAGGCAGGATAATTGCTTGAACCCAGCAGGCAGAGGTTTGCAGTGAGCCAAGATCACATCACTGCACTCCATCCTGGAGGACAAAGCGAGACTCTGTCTTGAAAAAAAAAAAAGCTCCCAGAAATGTCCAGAACCAGCCAGATTCCCAGGAGAATTCTACCCTACATTTAAAGACAAATTAACATCATTTTTTCACAATTAGTTCAGAGGAGGGAGCACATCCTAATTCATTTTGTAAAGCTGGTATTGTATTGATACAAAACCAAAGACAGTACCAAAATAATAATAATAATAAAAATCTACAGACCAATACATCTCATGAACTTTGATGCAAAAATCATAAACAAAATATTCACAAAGTGAATTCTGTAATGTATAAAAAGAATTATAAGCCATGACTAAGTGGGATTTATTTTAATTGTGCAAGGCTAGTTCAACATTTGAAAGTCAATCAGTGTAATCCACCATATATATCAGCAGGCTAAATAAGAAAAGCCACATGATCCTATCAATTGATGCAAAAATGCAAAAGCATTTGACAAAAAAGGAAAGTAAAATTCTCCACAGAAAACAAGTTGTGCTGGCCTTATCCAGGTGTGCAAAGGAGGAAATGAACAATCTTTGTGCTCTGGCCTTGGAAAATAAGGAAGTGTAAACTAGGACACAGATACAGAGAAAGATGAAGATAAAGCACTTGGATTACAGGCTCAGAGAGGCTAAGTCATTTGCTTAATGTCACATTACCAGTAATTGAGAATCATATCTTTTGATGGAAAACCCATAGATATGTACACCAGAGTACCCTGGAATTATGCTCTTGATCAATGTCTTTCCAATTATATTTGTATATTCATATATATTTTCTTGGTCCATTTTCTACTGCTATAACAGAATACTACAAAGTAGTTAATTCATAAATAATAAAAGTTTATCTGGTTCATAGTTCTGAAGGCTAGGAAGTCCAAGATCAAGGGGCCACATCTGATGAGGGCCTTCATGTTGTGTCATCCCATGGTGGAAGGGGTCACATGACTAGAGAGCACACACAAGGGAAAAAATCTGGGCCAAACTCATCCTTTTATCAAAAGCCCACTCCTGCCACAACTAGCCCACTCTTATGATAATAGCATTAATTCATTCATGAGGGCAGAGCCATCAGGTCCTAATCACCTTTTAAAGACCCCACCTCTTAATACTGTTGCAATGGCAATTAAGTTTTCAACACATGAAATTTTAGGGACATATTCAAACCATGGCATATAGATATAGATAGATACAGATATTGATATAAGTTGAGTATCCCTTATTTGAAATACTTGGAACCAGAAGTGTTTCAGATTTCAGATTTTTTCAGATTTTGGAATAGTTGTACTATAGTGGTCAAACATCTCAAATCAGAAAGTCTGAAATTTGAAATGCTCTAATGAGCATTTCCTTTGAGTGTCATGTAAGCACTCAAAAAGTTTCAGATTTTGAAACATTTCGGATTTAAAAATTTTAGTTTTGGAATGCTCCACCTGCATACACACACATATGTGTGTATATATTGCAGAAATGAAGAACAGCATTTCTCAAGAGAAGAGAGTGAATACAGCAATTTGAAATTTTTGCAATAATTTGAACTAGTGAATTTCATTCTTAACATAATATTTTAGAGAAATAACTGGCATGACAGCACTCTTTCAGGGGCTCTTAGTTTTACAGTGATGAAATTGAACTTCAGAACAGTAAGCCTTACCTGAAGTCACACAGCTTATGAAAGGCAGCAGGTAAAGTAGACCTAGTTTGCTGTCTTTCAAGAAAATGTTAGCTGTGATTGCACACCTGTATTAATCATATGAGAACCACATGTATTTTTTAAATGCTCATGCCATGTAAAAATCCAGCCTCACTGTATCGTTAATTGGAATTAAAATGTGGCTATAAACTGTGTTGAATTCTTTTAAAATTATGTGGGAAATGCTTTATAAACACACAGCCTTGGATCTCACATATTTGTTTTCTCAAATGAACATTCCAGCAAATACGGTAAATATCCATACATATTTAAATAATAAAATCTGGTTAGTTTTAGAGGATGTAGAAGGGACTGGTTTGGAGGGATTGCCCATGTTATTCACAAAACTGTTCATAAAAATGGGAACAATGTCTTATTTTCTCTTCAATACATTTCCTCAAAGCAAACAGCTGCTTGGAATTCTTTCATTACTGTTCTTTTCTCAGGGATCATGGCAGGCATCCCCAATGATCCAAGGTTTGAACATTTGGAGGGGAAAACATTTCTTGAGTCTTATATCATTAACATTAGTGATAACTTTGTGCACAACACAGTTCTTTGTAGATATATGTTTTTTAATTCTCACAACTCTTTTTCAATGTAAGTATTATGATTATTCCAGTTTTACAGGAATTGGTTTACCCAATGTGTCAGCAGGCACATGGGGAAGCTGGTCCCAAGATCCCGAGAGGTTTGGATTCAGAAGCCTGTGCTCCTTCTCAATCTTATTGTTGCACCCACAGTAGCCCTAGGCACTGGGGGATGGGGTGAAGTGACCTTCCGGGATGCTACCGAGGGAAAAGCCAAAGGGACTATTCAGGCAGAGAGGGGACCAGGGCAGTCTTTGGCGGTCACGTTCTCAGGCTGATGTGCCTGCTTAGAGTTTTGCAGAAATCTCGGGAGCACCTAGGAGCCAGGATGGTAACAGCCAACCACTATCTGGGAGTGCAACTGAAAGTGTGCTCACAAGCTATGCAGATCCATCATACACAGCCAGCCAGGGACCCCCCAAAACGTCCACCCAGAAAGCAGTGGCTACTGAGGGATGCATGATGACTCCACTGAGCTTCTCCCCGTCCCAGGTGCACCTGGCTTTGAGCATTGATCAGTCCTCTACTAATGTCTGTTCTTTTACTTCATATTTTCCAAAAGTTAGGGAGAAACTATAACTAGGTCCAGGAGGAACAGGTAAGTAATTAAGGCAAAAAGTAACTAGATCATTGAAGAAAAGGTAAATGGGGAGGGGGTAATTGGTGGGAAAATGACACAGCCCAATGCTAATATCAACCATGGAGGAAAATTACTCTTGAAATAAATTTGAAGAGGAAGGATGCAAAAATATATGGTTCTGGACAAAAAGTGGTGGCACAGATCCTGTATTAGTCCCACTTTCCAACTGTCCCTGGGGAATTAATTCGCTGCTTCTGACATTCCATAATCCCGGACCTAAAGAAGTGTTGGAGAAGTGGGTGTGATAATGGGTGGAAAGTGCTCTGCAAGCACTTTATGTATGTAAAGAATCATAGTAACTCTATTTCTGCTGAGGGTCCCTGAAAGATGATGGCTACCCCCTATCTTCTCTGTCCAGAGGTGATACCACTCAGAAAAATAAACTTTTGTTCAGAAAGCAGGAAACCAGACAGCCCTGGAGGCACATGCTGGTGTCCCTGAAGAGTGAGAATCTGAGTGGCACTACGACACCACAGAGCCAAGCGACGCTGTCTCAGTCAATTCAAGGCTGTTATCACAGATATCTTAAACCGGGTAATTTATAGGCAACGGACATTTATTTCTCACAGTTCTGGAGGTTGAGAAGCCCAAGATGAAGATGCCAGCATGTTTGGTGCCTGGCGAGGACGTGTTCCTCACAGACAATGCTGTCTAGGAGGCCTCGCGTGGCAAAGGGCAAAAGGGGCCCATGAGGAGTGAGCACGCCATGCGGGTGGAGCCCTGGAGAAAGGGGTTGGTGTTCTTATGAAAGAAGCCCAGGGAGCTTAAACACAGTGTCCATCCAGTTCCACACTATCTGCAGTTTCAAGCATCCACTGGGGTCTTTGAACGCGTGCCCCTGGGATAAGAGGAGACTATTGCAGTACATGTATCAACAATTTGTTGAGTACCAGTTAATTGCCTGATGCAGATCTGTTCTAAATGAAGAAACAGAGAAAGAGAAAGGGGAGAAAAGAAAACAAACCAGTGAAGCCTGACATTTTTCAGAAAGGGAAAGTAACGCCTCCTTCCACTCTGGCTATGCAGGTGGTCACAGGGCTGAGCTGGAGAGAAAGATGAAGGACAAGTTGCACTGCAGAGGCCAAGCTCAGAAGCTCAAGGCTAAGTTGACCCCATACCCAGGAGTGTCCAGCCCAGTCCTTTGCAGCACCAGAGTGGAAGGAAGGCCTCCTGATTCCATGCCCAGCCCTGCCCCTGCATCTGGGTGACAGAGCAAAGGGCTTTTACCTAACCCACGGAGTCTCCTCTGTTTCTTCCATGCCCTAAAAATTCAGACACTGAACTCTTCTTTTGGGGTCTCGCAGCCCTGAAGATTGCATCCTGCCTTTTAGCATGGATGTCTTTCTCCCAGGTGCAGCTGCCCAATCCAGAGGTCGCCACCACCGTAATTTACAGCTCAGACCCTGGACATCGGTGCGGTTGAGAAGGCCAAAGATCAGAAGGGGTGACCCATCCATTGGGGCTTGGATTTGCTCTCTTCTGACTTGCTCAGCTATAAACGCTGCTGTTCTGAATAATAAACTGGGGATAATTACTTTCAAACCCCAGCGTAAGATGATCCCTGAAGGCCCCAATCACTTGCAGGTGCTGCCTCCTTTCTGTGCTGCGTGTTGTCATTTTCCTCGCTCTGTCTTTGTGGAGACTTTTGCAAGAATCCTGTTCTGTCCCTTTTGCAATAACCCATAATGCGGGGGCAGCATCTGTCCCATCTGTGTTCTCTCTGAAACCCCAAATAAAGACAGCTCAGTGCTCAGATTCCATGGGATCCACCTCATGCTGAGGCTCCTCAGGTTTCCAGGCACACAGCCAAGAAACCACCACCTTCTGTCCCTTTGTCTTGCCCTTGGATTACCTAGAAAACAAGAAACATCACAACTACCCACTTCCCTGGACAGGCAACAAGAAGGATCAACTGGGCTCTCCTGGGTAAAGGAGCTCTGTGATTTGTGAGGTCTTGTGCTTGTACAGGGGTTAGCTGTTGTTATTATTAGCTGAGCGATGTCCATGACTCACAGGATACAATTAGGTTAATTCCTTGCTAAACCCCATGGTCCCCACAGCTGCAGTGAAACAGTTAGAGAAACAGGCTACAGAGAGGCCAGAGTGGCCATGGAGCTGCATGGTCAGCATTGCATCTGCGTGAGTTCCCAGCAGATATGCAGTTCACCTGCACCAGGCTAGCTTAGGAAGCTCCATAATGTAGGCGTGTGCATTTGCAAACTCTTCGCTTGGGGTTTTCCATTTAAGTTCTGGTCTAGAATGGAGCAGAAACATCAAGCGTATTACTGGTGTTAGTGAGAGGGCTGGTCCGAGGACATAATCTAATCTCCCATGCCTCAGTTTCCCTGTCTATAATGCAACAAGAGAGCAGGCCTCATTGGGTTGTGAGATATTTATTGGAATACATGGAGAGCCCTCTTGCCTGGCACAGGATAAATGTTAGCTATTATTAAAATGATGCATGCACAGAACTTAAATTTAGACCTGTCCGGGGCAGTCTCCAGTTACAGACAGAGAGCCTTCAGTTCTCATGTTCCTAAAATGAGTGCAACCGCCTTCACATCACAGATGGGCACAGAGCTGGTGATCACAATCAGTTAGGAAATTCTGGAGACGTGTCTCATGGGGACTGTGCCCCAGCCACTATATCAGCACAGAGAAGTTGGAGACTCCCATCCCTAGCAAGCCCCAGGCTAGTGAGGGGTTTCAATGATGCAAAATGTAGGACAGGAGTAAGACAGGTTGGGGCAGACATCAGCAGGCTCCACGTCCTGGGGCAAGTCCGGCAGCCTGGGGCAGATTTGCAACCTGAAGCTCCACCCACAGACCTATGATGCTGTGTGACCCACCCAGGCTGTGAGTCTTATCTGGGCTTCACTTCCTCCTCCGCCTTGATTTCCACCTTTGTTCTTGAGAGGACGAGAGCATTCCAAGAAGGGCTTTGTGAGCTGCCGTGGCTAAAACCCAGCGGGTGTGGTCATCCTAGTGATGGGTTGGAGGTGGTTCCTGCTCTCCCATCTTTGGAAAGGATGAGAGGTGTTCATAGCAAAACCTACATCATATAACCAAACCCAAGGCAGAGGACAATGGATGGGGAGAGCTCTGTGCACAGAGGAAGAGACACCAGTCCAGTCAAACCTCGGTGGAAGAATCTGGAATGGTTTTCTGCATTACATCTGGGCCTTTATCATGGGTCTGATATAAAAAACCTTTGAGTTAAAGTGGGAAGGGTGAGAGGCATTCCAGCAAGGGGCATGAAGACAAGAAGGACCAGAAACCACCCAGGGAACATGTGTTAGTTTCTTTGCACATATGAGCACCTAATATATGCTAGGTGTTGGGGTAGAAAGGTGAGTGGGAAGTGGCCCCTACACTCCAGAGTTCTTACTGCATCAGCAGAGAATCTCAGAGGAACCAGTGAGTTGAAGGGTATGGTGGAGACACAGAGGGAGGCCCAGACGGGGGTCTGGACCCAGCCCGGGGCTGCAGGGACAGTGCTGAGGTCAGCTGCCCCTTGTAGTTAGGACCCTTCAAAGCAGATCAATTAGTCCCCCTACCCTGGACTTCCTATTACAGGCTGAATTATGTCCCCTGAAAAAATTCCAGTGTTAAAGCCCTAACCCCCAATACCTCAGCATAGGACTGTATTTGAAGACAGGGTCTTTAAAGAGGTAATTGTGTTAAAATAAGATCATTAAGGTGAGAACTAATTTAATATCACTGGTGTTCTTATAAGATTAGGACATAGGCATCCACAGAGGGAAGACCACGTGAAGACACAGGGAGAAGACAGCATCTGCTCAGGGGAAACCCTGCTGACACCCTGATCTTGGACCTCCCACCTTCAGAACTATGAGAAAATAAATCCTGTGGTGTAAGCCCCCAGTATGTGATACTTAGCTATGGCAGCCCAAGCAGACTAAAACGCTTGGTAAGAGCTACCCCTGAAACAAGAGGGTATGGGCAGACATTCACTCGGGGGCTCAGCATGAGCAAAAACATAGAGATAGGGTGTGGCTTAGTAAAATACCAACATAGGCGGTTAGGCTGGAGACATAGACAGGACCCTGATACTAAAGACTGTATGTGCCAGAGCGGGGAGCTTGGAAATTGTCCTGGAGGACGACGGGCTGCTGGAATGTTTGGTGAGGTGTGAGATGTGGCCAGGTTTGAATTTAGCCAATGACTCTGCTGGGTGAATTGGGGGCCCAGTGTACTCAGGACCCTGCCTTGGAGAGGACCAGCTGCACAGAATGGCCCCTTTCACCTTTGTCCTTCCTGGCGTGTGTCTTAGGCAAGTTCCTCTGGCCTATGGCTCTTTTTCCCCAGAGGCAAATTAAAACCCTAAGGTGTGACCTTCACTGTCCTCCCACCTTGGTAGGGGGTGTCCTCCCTCAGAGCTCATGGTGCAGGATGTGATCACTGGACCCCAGCAGTTAAGCTTTCTGTTAGACATGGCTTTCTGTTCCTCCTCATACAGGAGCAAGAGGGGAAGGTGTGACAGTTTCAGCCTCACTAAGGTGTGCCCAGCTAGACCTCCCGACTGCCTCCACTCTGGGAACCCCCACTTTACTCCTGGTGGTGAGAAGCTACAGTAGTGAGCACATGCATGCTCAGTGGAACTGTAGCTGATATATCTCACAGGTACAGGCCCGGGACAACTAACACAATCACAGATGCAAAGCAGAGAAGGAAAGGGGAATGAAGGCGCTCTGAGCCATGACGCTCAGAGCCCAGCCCGGAAGCTGAGAAATGCAGAGGACATTTGTGAATGCGGAAAATCTTCTGACCCTCAATCTTGGCTGGGAAAAGAAAAAATTGTTGAAACAGGTGGGGAAAGTGGTAGCTTTGAGGGGAAGGTTCAGACAGAGAAAATACAGCAAGATGTTACCTAAAACATTCAAGGGCCAGACCCTTCCAGGTGGCCCCAAATTCCACATCCGGGATTCTAGAGAATGACCCCTCTTCCTTCACCTCTGTGGCCTCTGCTGGGACCTTGGTAAGTGCACTGAGTTATAGATTCAAGTTGAAGGGCAGGCGACCATCAGAGACAAAGCTAATCCCTGTGCCGTTAAGATCAGGGCTCAGCCACGTGTGCTCATAAGTGGCTGAAAATCCACTTGGAAGGGCTTGTCTGAGCCTCCACAAGTCCCTCAAGACCCGTGGACCACACACTGATCAGTGAATAGATCTTTAAAAAATGTATTTATTAAAGTCTCCAGTGATTTATATTGGATGAACTGGCAGAGCCTAAGAGGCCTATAGGAGCTGGGGGCTCGAGGCTCTGTGGCCTCCATGGTTTCCTGCTCCCTCTGTCCCTCCCGCTCTGAGTCAGCCTCCAGACAGGCCTCTGTTGCTGAATTTTCCTCCATCAGAAAAGTCCTCTATGCTCTGGTACCTCCATGATCCCCACAGCAGCACAAATGAAATACTCCTTAAATATCCGTGACCATCATCACATTCAGTAAGAACTGCCACATACTCTAGAGAGTCAAAAGAAGCAAGTTGTTGACAAATCTGTATATTTGGTGTGTTCACTGAATTAGTCGTTTGGCAAATTGATCGCTTACTTAATTGGCTTTCACTGAATTGGAAGAGCATCTGGGAGCAGCACAGAAGCAGAGACAGGGAAATGTGCAACACTACAGTGTGGAATTGGGCCTAGAGACCAGAGAGAGTGGGAAACTTTGGGAGTGAACGGGCCAAGGGGAGGACATGGGATTGAGGGAGGGGAAGTGAGAAGCAGGAATCCTGGCACTTCCTGAGGGTGCACAGCCTGTACCATCCTCCAAATGCCTCCACATCTCTTTTCTCATTTCATCCTCACACAATTGTGTGACACAAGACAAGTCTTTCAATCCCATTTGCAAGTGAATTAAGAGCCCTAGAGATGTAATTTTCTAAGATTATAAAGTTAATGTTTTAAAAAATTTAGAGCTCAAACCCAATTTATGAGGTTCTAAGACCCATGTTCTTGTCCATCTCACAGGTAAACTGGCAATGAAGGAGAGAGAGACCCAGAGGAGTGGCCATGATAATTCACCACTATGTTTCCAGAGCATTGCACATAGTGGGTGCACAGCAAATATAGCTTGGATGAATGAATGAGTGAGTAATAATGATAATGATCATGAGGGTGATAATAAAAGTGGTTAATAAGTATTGAGTGTGAAGAATTATCTCATTTAATTTTCAACCATATGTGGTAGATCATATTTTTAAACCCATTTTGCAAAGGTGGTTTAGAAAATTCAGTGGTCCTTGAGTCTAGCCAAAAGGCCTTGCAATGAAGCATGAAGGGCTGAAAGAAAATGCTTGACCAAGCAATGCTTTCCCGGAGGCAAAATGCAGAGAGTTGCTTGATTGTGTAATAGGAAACTGAGCCTGTAACCCAACCCCTGCGTCCTGAGTTTATACCTAGATTCCTGGGCCATGTGGTTCAAATATTTAGAGAAATTCTAAGTAGCTGGCTGTACCTGTGAGGTCCACATGGGACGCTGTGAGGGAGAACTTGCTCTCCTCACCATCACCAAGTCCCAAGGCTGCAGGGCCCCAGTGCTGGGCCCTTCCTTCCTGCCTTCCTCCTCTCTTCCTGTGCTAGTTCAGCCCTGCATTACCCTTCCTTGGGGCAAAGGTTTGCTCTCTTACTTCAGTCTGCCCAGCACACCCCAGCCAGGGTGATCTGCTGAAGAGCAACTCAGATTATTGCACTCTCTCGCTCAAAACTGCTGGGTCCCCACCTCTCCTGCCCCCCATACCTAGGAGCAGACGGTCTCAAACTAAAGGCTGTATCAGAATCCCCTAGAGCACTTGTTAAAACATAGGTCTAGGGTGGGGCTAAGAATGTGCATTTCTTGCAAGTTCCCAGGTGATGCTGATGCTGCCGGTCCAGGGACCACTTGGAGAAGCATAGCTTTAAATGAAAGCAAAAGGCCTCGACCTGGCATTTAAGCACTTTTATACCAGGTGCCAGTCCACATCTCCTTCATTTTCTTCTTTTGTGAATCACTGTATGCACACTGGGCTGTTATTAGGGTTACCAGGTATGTTCCTGCCTCCACATGTGCAGTGTCTCTGCCTAAAATACCTGCTCCCCGTCCACCCTGCCACATTTTCCTGTCCCCCTCCAGCTTCTCTGCGCATCCTTATCTTACCCACTCTGCCAAGTCCACCTGCCATGGGAAGCCTTTTCTGACCTCTGTTAGTGGTACAAGCCCATTCCTTGCCTGCTCTTGGAATAGTTTATTAGTTCTTTCTCGTGCCTTTCAATCTCAAATTCTGTTCCTATGTATCTATGTAGTATATGCCCTGCTAAAATATTGGCTACAGAGACGCAGGGTGGCAGGGTGGTTGTATGCACAGGCTTCGGACCCTGGCTGAGCTGTTTTCATGTCTCACTTCTGCTGCTTGCTAGCTGTGTGCACCATCACGGTCAACTCAGGCTCCCAGGTTTTGGTTTCCTCATCTATATAGTGAGAGAAATTCATGCTGCCTGTGATGGTTTTAAGACACATCTGCAAATTCTTTGATACTCCTTCCCCCAAATGAGGGCTGGCCTTTGAGACTCACTGGTAAAAAATGGAATGCCGTGGAAGTGACACTCTGTGTTTCTGAGGTGAAGTCATAAGAGGCTACACAGCTTCTGCTAGACCCTCTTGGGATGTTCTTGCTTGGAGCCAAGCAGCCACCTGGAGACCCCACACAGCCTTTCCAGCTGACAGTCCCAGCTGAGGTCCCAGCAGATGGCACATCCACAGTGAGTGGGTGAGCCTGGAGAGAACTTCTGCCCTCATTGCCCTCTGACCACAGCTGAGGGAGAGCCCAGACGAGCCTATTCTACCCCAGGACCACGAGGGTACATGATGAAATGACTGTTAGAGTGATTTGTTCTACAATAGATTCCTGAGACACTACTCTACATGCTTATTTCAAAGGTTAAATGAGACCATGAAAGAATTTATTGTACTACCTGGTGCACTGGGAGTAGAGGGAGGACCTTGTCGCCCATGTGTTCAGCCGCCCAACAACCTAATCCACAAAATGTTAGGTTTTGCCTCTACACCCTCTTCCAAGTTGCCTACTGTGTCATCCAGATATTCAGATCCCATGGCCTGTGCCACAGGTTTCTCCCAAAGCTCAGAGGCAGTAGTTCACCTTGATGACTTGGTCCTAAGGAGATGTAGGTGCAAATGGGCTCCTCCTAAGAGGATGTGTTCAGAGGCTGTGCAATGGTGCTGGGGCTCTTAGCACAGGTGTGCTCTTCCTCTCTGCTCTTCACCCAGCTCCCTAGACAATTACTGGGAACCCTTGCCCTCTGTATGGTCCTGGCTGTCAAAGGGCCACTGCAGTTTCATGGTGTGGAGGCTGAAAACAATGGTTCCACATTCCTTGACATTCCTCCCCTGGAGAGGTAGGCTATGTCCCCTCCCCCCGAATCTGGGCTCCACCAAAGAGCCTAGGGACGTGACCTGGACACTTCAGCCTTCATCTCCTCTAATAATCTCTCTTGAGACTCTCTCCTGGGCCCCTATCGATTACTGTTTCTTAAACTGAACTAATAGGGTGTGTGTGTGTGTGTGTGTGTGTGTGTGTGTGTGTGTGTGTGTACAGAGAGATCTACCTTAAGGAATCCACTCCCACAATTGTGGATACCAGCAAGTACAACATCTGCAAAACAGGCTGTCAGGCTGCAGATCTAGGAAACAGCTGGTGCTGCAACTTGAACCCAAACACAGTCGGGAGGCAGAATTCCCTCTTCCTCAGGGTACCTCAGTCTTTTTGCTATATGACCTTCAACTGACTGGGCGAGGCCCCCCACATGATAAAGCATGATTGACTTTACTCTGAGTATACTGATTTAAATGCTCATATCATCTAAAAATGCCATCACAGTGACAGCTAGGCTGGTGTTTGACCAAATATCTGCTATGGCCTACCCAAGGTGACACATAAAATATTCCATCACAGGCCCTCTCTTTTAGAATCCAGCGACCATGCTATGAGCCGCCTAACCAGGCAAAAAGGTGAGGAGGAGGAACTGTGGTCAGCACTCCAACAGGACCCAGCCTCCCAGCTGTCAAGCCCAGGCATTGAGTGACAGCACCTGCAGAAGGCCCTGCTCAGCCCCAGCCCTCAGCATCACGCCTGACCACTCAAGTCTTTCCAGCTGAGGCCTTAGAGACTGAGGAGGGGAGGCCACCCCCTTTCATCCTGTTCAGACTCATGACCCACTGAATTCACAAGCACAATGAAATGGGGGTGGGTTTATGGCACTACATGTTGGGATGGTTCAATACACAGTAATACATAACTGGAATACTAAATCTTTAGCAGAAAAATTCTCATGTAGCCCTCATATGTAGTCAAAGGAGAATTTTACAGGCATGGCTAAAAGCCACAGCTCCCCAAACAGTCCTCATTAAACCAAATTATATGACCTCTCGCTTCTTCCCATCTCATCTTTCTTTGTTTTTCTTTCCCAGAAATGAAGCCTTCTCTGAACCAGTCCCAAGAAGTCTCAACTTTAAAGCATTAACTCCCCCAATGAACTTGCTTTCATTTCATCTTCTCATATGTCATTGCATTCTCAACAAACCAGATCTATAGGATGGATCAGTCGAAGCTTACAAAGAAATCTAATTAGGTATGGAATATGAACTTTTTATTTGATAAATAACTTAGCTGGAGATACATTGAGAGTTACTCTATTAGAATAAAAGAAAGAAACGTCATAATTGCTGGAGTTCATGAGTGATTCTCTCTGTCCATGGGGCTGTCTTGTGAATGTTATGGGTTAGCCCTGGGATGGCCTGCAGCCAGCTGCCATGGAGGGCACTGAGAACCCACACACAAATAGTGAAGTTGCTTTGCAGGGAAACACATTTGTTGAGGAAGGAGAGGGAGAAACAGAGCTGTTTGTTTCCTACTCTGCACTGCCCAGACTGGTATAAAAGAGGAAGGCTCACTTTTGTTGAGGGGAGGGAGGATAGGGCAGGAAAACCTGGCTTTCTCGCCACATCCTGAATGCAGAAGAACTCGTGGTTCACCTGCGTCCTTCTCTGGGAACGAATATTTGGGAAATGAGAACCTTGGCACACCTCTAACATGTAGAAACATCCACGGACTGAAAGGCGGGACACAGCAGGCAAAGGCAGGCTTGGTTTCCACATGGGGCATAAGCCAGTCTTGGTCCAGCTAAGACAGGAAGGGATGATGATCAGGTGGGTAAATGAAGGGGGATCCTGATTCCACCTCTCTCCTGGGGAGATCTCAGAGCCCCGTGTTCTCAGTCCAAACTCAATTCTATAAGAAAGCTGAAAAATCTGAACGGCACAGAAGAAAGCCATGGCAATGGTGAAATTCAGACAGGTCTTAAGGGAATGAAGGGACAGAAAGCAGTGAGTCCGAGGCACAACCTGTCTGCCAGGTCTCTCATCTCCTGCTGATGGGGGGAGGAAGCCTGGCTGCTGAAAAGGCACTTGGGACATTCGCCAACTTGAGCCTCCTTTTTTTTCTTTTTCTTTTTCTTTTTTTTTGAGACAGAGTCTTGCTCTATCGCCCAGGCTGGAGTGCAGAGGCATGATCTTGGCTCACTGCAACCTCCGCCTCCCGGGTTCAGGCAATTCTCCTGCCTCAGCCTCCTGAGTAGCTGGAGGCTTTTGAGCACACAAAGCTGGGAGGAGATCCTGGGTGACAGAACTAAGATCCAAAATTTACTTGACCAACCTAGAGAAATGGACAAAATTTTACAAAATGAAAGTCCAAAGAGGAAATCTTTGGGCTTGAATGTGCCTCCCAAGCCCTACTGCAGAGGAAGACAGGTAAGCATTTGAAAGCTTACAAAGCAACTAGATCACCAGGAAGTTTCCTGGGGCCTGAAAATCAGCTGCAGTTCTTCGAATGCATAGGCAGTTCTCTCTACTACTCAGGGCATAAGCCCTTCCAACCCCTGGTTCCAAGGACTACAGCTCTGAAAGGGTAGAATCCCCCAGTGTCTGGGGATAGGGCAGCCCCACAGGGCAGTTAAGTGCTCTTTCACTTCCTGGAGGGCAGACAGGGCTGAGGAGGGCGCCAAGCACCTGTGGATCCGGATCTGGGAACCATGCTGCCCAAAAGAACCTACTCTTTTTTCCCAGTTACTAGCACAGCTTCCCAGCATAACTTTCCCTGCATTTAACTTGTGTACTTTCTTCCAGGGTAGGGCTTGGAAACATCAGGCTAGCACAGATTCCTCTGAATTTTCTGCACTTGTTAAGTTGCCCCTGGAAACTCTTTTGGGGAAAAATCTTGAGACTATTTTGGCTGGGAGAACAGAAAGAAGGGATTCTCAGTGGTTAAAAAACAGACAAACAAACAAAAAAACCCCACATACCCTGCACTTTTAAAAATTAATCAATGTGTTTTTACAGTCAGGTCCGTACCAACCACCTGCTCTGCCTCAAGGGTGTCTTTTTAACGTAGGGTCACTTGGAACCTGGCAGAACACAGGCGTGCTTTCGAATTTCAATAAACTGGGGAAAGAGAGAACTTGGGATTTCAGGGGCTTAAAAAGAAATAGAAGAAACTTGCCTGCTAACTCTTAATTCGTATACTGAATATTTATTTTTAACTCATGATTATTTTTAATGACCTGGAGTAATGAATTTGGTGTTTTAAAACACCAAATTGCTCAGCTGGGAAGAGGGTTACTGTGTGTCATGAAAGAGTGATCCATTATTTCTGCCCTGGGGTTCTTATGAAGAGGTTTGGACATTCTGATCTCCTTGGCCACAGGCTGGCGAGATGGAGATCTCCTTCCTAGAGATGTTGAGGCAGATGGCCTCTCTTTAAGGAAGATTCATGAGGGCTCTGAGGAAGAACTTCCCTTCTGGTCACTCATTGAATGCTGCCGAGAATGCAGGGGTGGCTGGGAGGCCCCCTGCAGGTGAGGGCATGAGAGGCCATTTCTCCCTGCTCCAGAGCCTGGGAGAGGCGATGGTGCCATCACGACACACCTCAGGAGGCCATGGTCAGCACAGGAGCGCTACTACAGGGCCCACGGTAAGGTTATGCAGACATATTTTCACAAGGAGGTTCCAGGTATTGCATGACCTTAGCCCTCCACAAGAGGTGGGAGTTGAACATGGGGAGAAATGACCCTCCTTTAAGCAAGGGGAGGAGAAAAGCCAGCATGAGGGAAGAGCCCCAAGTTGCCAAGTCGGACGCTAATGGAGAGATCCACCTGGAAAGAGGCTGGGAAGAGACAGAAAGTTCTGGAATGTCAGATTGAAGGACCTATTATTATTTCTCTGTACACTTTGGGGAGCAATTAAAAATGTTTGAATGAGAAGCTCTTATTTTTTTACATGATGGTCGTCGGGTGCAGCCACAGAAGGAGACACAGGAGAGGCTTGGGAAGAGTCCATTACACTCATGGGTCCTAGAGCCAGGAGGGTGCTGTGCTGGGCAAATGTGGGAAGGACACCAGGGCAGTCAGGAGCAGAAGGCAGGGACAGGGGAAGGCTGGGCTAAGACCTCTACTGGGGTTTCTGTGGGAAAGGCAAGGCAGAGCAGGGCGAGGAGTGTCAGAGTCACTGTGATGGGCTTTGGACGTAGATGGTGCCTAGTTGTCTGGTGCCTGGCTGTCTCAGTTCATGCAGGCTACTGTAAAAAATGCCATGGGCTGGGGGACTGATAAGCAACAGCCATTTATTTCTCACAGTTCTAGAGGTTGGGAAGTCCAAGATCAAGGTGCTGGCAGATGTGGTGTCTGATGAGGGCCTCTTCCTGGGTCACAGAGGGTGCCTTCTTGCTGTGTCCTCACACAGTGAGAGGGGCAAATGATCTCCCTCAGGCCTCTTTTATAAGGGCACTAATCCCAGAGCCCCCATGACCTGATCACCTTCCAGATGCCCCACCTCCTAATACCATCACCTCGGGGAGTTAGGGTTTTGACATACACATTTTGGGGGGATAGGAACATCCAGACCACAGAACTGTCCCTGGGATGGTTAGGGCAGCGGGTATTGCCTCCTGGGGTGCAAGGCCCAGGTAAAGGAGGGAGAGCTCTGATGGGTCAGTTTGCACCTCAAAGGCATGCTCACCACTGGGCCCTTTCCTCTTTCTAATAACTGGCCCAGGAGCTGCAGTTTCTCCTCAGCTAGAAAGGATTTTTTAGATGTCAAAACATGGCAATATGCAGAAAATTAAAAATATATACAATGTAGAGCCCAACAGAACAGTGCTATGACCAGGTGCCCAGGTATGGGGCCAGTGAATGCTCCACCTGCATGGCTAGGGAGCTGTGCTGCCTCTCCACTCAGCTTTCTCCCCTGTAGCGAGGGGACAGTGAGTCCTGGCCTCACACGGTGACTTTGAAGAGCAGGCATGCTGCTGTGTGTGAGGCCCTCAGCCCAGGGCCAGGCACACAGTCGGTACACATGTTTACGTGACAAATACTAGGACAACTTGGCTTGAGAAAGACTTAATCAGCAAAATGGATTGGAGTGGGGAAGCTGAAGAGGGGAGACCAATTAAGATCCTGTAGCTCAGAGACAAGGCGGTGAGGGCCTGAGCTAGGGTGGCCTGAGCGGAGTAGGAAGGAAGGCGTGGTGGGACTCCGCAGGTTTCACCGCTGAGGGGATGCTGGAGCCCTTCATGAAGGCATTCACTCAGGGAGCAGCTATGAAGTGCCCACTGCATGCCCAGTGCCAAGTGATGTGTGTGGAGTTGGGGACGCTGCGGACCAAAATGCTGCTCCTCCAAAACCATTGTCCTCCCATTTCTTGCTTTTTGCCCTATTCCCCTCTATCCCTGTACATCGCTTGATGCTCAAAGGTTAGATTTAATAAGTTTGAGGCATCCTTGGGATTTCATGGTGGTGGCAATAGAAAATGTGAGACTGGATTTTAGAAGTGAAAGTGGGAACAAGGTGGAGAATTGGGAGTGATTGACATGAAACAATTGGAATATTTGAGGTCGGCAAGAGGGGAAGTGTAGGGAGGAGAAGAGAGCAGGGGAGTATCATCGGTGTGGGGCTAGACCCTTTTATTCCCCCTCCCAGGTCAGCATGAAGCTCCCTGAGGCGACACCTCACTATCCTGTGTCCCCCAGCACCCTAGACTTGATGGCAGCAGAAGACAGAGCAGGTCCTCAGCCTCAGGAGCTTAAACGACCCATCCCGCCATGTTTTGCATATGTTTGCCTACTTGACAGCTACCAAAGTTTTAAAAACAAAACATCCGTGTACATTTAAATGGATGTAGGCATCAGAGCCTATAAATCGGTTGATTTAGACTATCCTGTTGGCATCCATAGTCCAAGTCACACAGGGTTCAGATACCAGCTAGAAGTGCCAGTCTCCTCCCACCACCTACTGCCCTCTCAGGCAATAGTACTTTTACTGAGGGGTGTGTGTTAGATTCTTAGATGGGAAGAACAGTGGAGAACCAGACTGAGAACCAGAAAAAAGGCAGGATGAGGACCAGGGTTGCCTGGGGGGCTGGGAGTCCCCTGCCTTCCCTCTCAGAAACCAGCACCAGAAGGAACGCCATCCAGGTACTGTCTCACCTTGACTCTCTGGACTGAGGGTCGTATCTCCCAGCAGCTCATCCCTTGGCCCAGCTTGGAAGTCAAAGACCTGCTGGATGGGAGCAGGGAGAGGGAAAGAAGATTCTGCAAAACAGAGTCGTGCTGTTAGGGAGGGGGAATGGGTGCTGGGAAATCAGAGAAGCAACCATGCTCAGGGAGCTCTTTATGACACCAGGACCCTGGGCATAATCAAGTACCAGAGGCCTTCAGTGTCCCAGGTACCCAGAGGCCTGCGGGGGGCACTGAAGCGCTCAGAGCTTTTGGGAAGCAGCATCAGCACTGAGCACCACAGAGAGCCCAGAAAAGCCTCAACCCCTGGGAGGCATCACTTTGGAGCAGTTTCTACATTTGCTTTCTGCGTTGTGTGCCAGGGAGTATTTGACAAACATCACGGCCTCATTCACTGGGTCTCCTTGTAACTCCCCTATTCTGAATACCTTGAAACCATTCTGTCAAACTTAGAGTCAGCCACAGAAATGCAGCTTAAGATACCATTGCCCCAGGTGTGCTGCTGGGGTCTGGGCCCTCACCTGCACTCCCTGAGAGCTCCATGCCCTGGAGAAAGGCCTCTGTGAGGGAGGGAAAGGCACTGAACCTGGACATAGGCTGTGTGGCCTCAGAGTGGAGAAGGTGTTCTGTGGTCCTCCCGGGGAGCCTGACTGATGAGACGGCCATCACCCTGCCCTGGACGCCTTGCCTGAGGGTGTCTGTGTTACTGTTGGGTGAGTGTCAGCCCTCAGCTCACTCAAAAGCTTCTGGGCTATTTGCCTGACAGTAGACGTGACCAGCTTTCCTCACCGGGGTCTGTGGAAAGGGAGGGAGAGCATGTATCATGCTCCTTACCTCTGTTTGGCAATACTTGCTGCTGCCTTCATAGAGAAGCAGGTATAGGTATCAGGTGTGAATCTGCCTGTCCAGATTGCAGTGGGAAAGCATCATTTTCCTTTACGTGTTTCAAATAAATTTAATTCTGGTCCCAAGCTACCACTTATCAGAGAAGACGAGGCACCCAGAATCAATCAGCCTTGGACTCAGCCTGCCATGGCCAGCTGCTGGCCTCTGTCCCCTCATTGTGCTGTCCTCTAGGAAGGGTGGGTGAGGCTGGCCCAGGGGCTGTGGTGAATGCTCTCCCCTCCTCACACTCCACCAGGCCGTCCTCTCTGCTCACCTTGTCCAGTCTCAGAACTTTCCCCATCAAGAAGACAGGTCTAGGGGACAAGAGGCTGTGCTGTTCTCAAACCCAGAAAGGCCCTCCAGCACACCATGGAAGACCAAGCTGACATTCACTACTTACCCTTCATTCGATACATGCATCACGTCCTGGCATGATCCTACGTAGTCACTGTTTCCTTTCTGCATGCACCGCTTGGATGTAGACTTCATGATGCCTGGCCCATTCGTTCATTGCTGCATCCTGCATCCTCAGTGCCTACATCAGGCCCCAGGATTTATTTGGGAATCTGAGTGCAGGACTCACAGTGCGGGCAGGGAGAAGCGGCCACCTGAATGAGGAAGCCCAGCACATATAGATGAACCATCAAACAACAAAAAGAGAAAATAAAGGGTGAAATAAACAGCAGAAGAAGTAGAGACAAATGATAGAAAGAGGCTGCCTGCAGAAGTGAGCCTGTGTGTGGACAGTGGGGCTGAGGTGGCTGCTTTTTATTGTAAGCTCTGCTGTGACACTGAGTTGTTACCATGTCCATACAGTATCGTGCTTAGCAAAGACATTCCTCCTTAATAATCAATTAATGTTAATTAATGTTCCTATGTTGGCTGGGCCAACATAGGAAGATACTGATATTTACATATTTCCACCCTACCATTGTCATGGTTCCTCATCTCTTATGATGGTGGCTCCTATAGTCTCCATATTTGTCTTCCTGTCTCAATTTGCTTTCCCCACTAATTTAGCCCCCATATTGTGATCAGATAAATCTTTCCAGAGCACAAATCAGATCCTGCCATTGCCCTGCTCTGAAAATTGTCATTTTTCATAAGACAAAGTTCATCTTGCCATATTAAACGTTTATTGAACTATGGTCCTGGAGATTCAAAGATGAAAATCCTAATTCTTGCCCTCAGGGAATTCATAGTCTAGTGATAACAGACAATATGCACAAGGCATTAGCTAAGTGTTATGGAACTGGCAGATGCTAAGAGAGCCGGGTATACAAGAAAGGCACCAGGGGACGAGGCCTGAATTAGTCAGCTGAAAACGGGGAGAATACGTTGGTTGGTTCAGCCTAGCCATCATTCACCCTTTTCTTCTGGTAATGGAACTCTCACTTTTCCTTTGAGTAATTGCTCCTTCTCCATTCCCCCTGTGGCCTTCAGGACATTGGCACTCAAGGTTCAACTGCCCCAACCATCCAGGGATAAGCACATGATCTCAGCATGGCTTGTCATATTCCTCCCACCTCTCTCTCTCAAGTATAATATGTCCTTCACCTTGTGGGACTACTATATAGCATGGACAGTTGAACAGGTTCGACACTGCACTCCTGTCCCACTCCTACAGCATCATGTACACAACATCTTGCTCATTTTTGTATCTATTTTCTTCCTGCTCCTCAATGTCCTCAAAGTCAAGAACATGTCCTCTTCTTATTCTGAGGCATCTTTGTGCAGTAGTTATGGGTGAATACGTGGGAACTAGCAGCCGCTAGTAGGCTCTGTCTCCTAATGATTTAATGACGTTTGGCTTTAACTCAACCTAATGGAGCCTCAGGTCCTCTCTCTGGAAAATGGGAATAATACTGTTGTAGTCTGTTTTCTGCTGCTATAACAGAATACCACAGACCGGGTAATTTATAAACAATAGAAGTTTATTTGGCTCATGATTCCGGAGGCTGGGATATCCAAGAGCATGGTGCCAGCATCTGGGAAGGGCCTTTGTGCTGTACCATCCCAAGGTAGAGGGTGAAACAGCAAGCAAGTATACACAGAGCAAGAGAGCAAGAGGGGGCTGAACGTGCTTTAATAACAAGCCCACTCTCTTGATAACTAATTCATTCCCATGACAATGACATTGAGGGCAGGGTTCTCATAAACTAATCACCTCTTGCTAGGCCTCACTCCCAACACTGTTGCATTGGGGTTCAAGTTTCCAACACATGAATTGTTGGGGATACATTCAAAGCATAGCAAATACCCGTCATACAGGACTATGGGAGGAGTAAAGAAGGCAGATCTGTAAAGCAAGCAGCCTCTTCACACAACACCAAGCCTGGGTGTAGTATGTGCCCAGTTAGGCAAATTAGTCTTGAAAACCTAGGAGATATACCTTTGCTTTGTGCTGGGCACTTGGAACAGATGGAAAGTCTGCCAGATCCCCCTTTTTTGTAGGGAGCACACACTTTATCTAAGGCCTTTTCAGCATGTGACCTAGCCACCTGCCTGCTTGCATGCACCCCAAAAGATAGACATGTGTGACCTACAGGCAACTTTGCTATCTGATTTCCCTGTGGGCATGGCACACTTTGGTTGCAGATAACTTGCCCTTGCTTATTCCTTCTGAACTTTAACAGTAACCCTGAAAGGTAGACACTCTCATTCTCCCTATTTTACAAATGAAGAAACTAAGGATCAAGTTGGTGAAGGATTCCCTGTGGGTCACTAGGAGCAGGTAGCTACTAGCGGTGTGGTCTCACCTCCAAAAGGTGTTTCTTTCCTTTCTTTCTCTCTCTCTCTTTCTTTCTCTTTTTCTTTCTCTTTCTCTCTTTCTCTCTCTTTCTCTTTCTTTCTTTCTTTCTTTCTTTCTTTCTTTTTCTTTCTTTCTCTTTCTTTCCTTCTTTCTTTCTTTCTTTCTTTTCTAGACAAAGTATCCAAAAGGTGTTTCTTTCCTTTCTTTCTTTCTCTCTCTCTCTTTCTTTC
The DNA here is from genome assembly GCF_000001405.40 of Homo sapiens. Lineage (NCBI taxonomy): Eukaryota > Metazoa > Chordata > Mammalia > Primates > Hominidae > Homo > Homo sapiens. The sequence continues at coordinate 44,351,445 of NC_000010.11, forward strand.
TTTGGAGACAAAGTCTCCCTCTCTCGCCCAGGCTGGAGTGCAGTGGCGCCATCTCGGCTCACTGCAACCTCCACCTCCCGGATTCAAGCGTTTCTTCTGCCTTAACCTCCTGAGTAGCTGGGATTACAGGCATGCACCACCATGCCCGGCTAATTTTTTTTGTATTTTAGTAGAAACAGGGTTTCTGCATGTTGGTCAAGCTTGTCTCGAACTCCGGACTTCAGGTGATCTGCCAGCCTAGGCCTCCCAAAGTGCTGGGATTACAGGACTGAGCCACTGCGCCCAGCCCTTTCCCCTCTTTCACGCTATCTTTTTCATTTGAAGAGCACAGTCACCAGGATTCACTTGAACTTCAGCATGACCAGTCCCAAAGTGGCAGCAACTCTCTACCCAAGTTCCTCTGTTTTTAGGGGTCACCACGCTAGAGAGCAACAAGGAGGCCTCTGTGGGTGCCAGGACCACCAGGTACTGATCCCCAAGGGAACAAGGGCCACATCCCAGGCCCTGAGAGCCCAGGTGAGAGCATGGGGTTCCTGGTGAGACCCGCTTCTGAAGGATGATGTCTCTGACTTCCGTGCTTTAAAAGCAGGGAGTGAACAGAAGAGGTCGGTCATGGGTTGATCCCCCCAGAGTAGCTCTGGCATTCATCAGCTCCTTTTGGGCTAGCTGCTTTGCATTAGAGAAACTTTGCATTAGAGAAACTACAGGGTCATTCAGCTCACTCTTCACCTCTCTCCTGGTGCCACACTCTCTTTGCTTCTCTTCTTATTTTCTTCCCCTCCTCACTCTTTGTCTCCCTCGTGTTTCTGTTTTTTCCTTCCCTCCTCCCTCATCCGTCTCTCTGGTTCTCTCTGTCACCTCTTGCTTCCATCCTCTCCCTCTTTCTGGTGCCTGGTGATTGAGTCAGGAAGGTGTGGAATCTGTTTTCCTGCCCCCAGAACTGTGACTTCAAACCAAGGGAGGAACTGTTTGGGAGAAAGACTGAGGAGGGTTTAGCAGTTATCAAAGGCCCATCAGTGTCGGGGCGGTAGACTTCCTGTTTATACAGCCCTCCTCCTCCTGGGAGGCTCAGCTGAGCCTGGCCAGCTGTGGCTTGGGCAAGCTGCCGGCTCCAAGGCTCAGGATCCCACTGAACTTGTGTCAGGCCCGGCCTCTTACCCTTGGCCCCAGGCTCATTGAGAAGTCCTGGGGTTCCTCACACCTGCTGCTGGCTTCCTCTGCACACTCCCTTGCATCTCCCAGTCTTCCTCTATCAGGGGGTCCTGGGAGTGCGCACTTTTTAGGAGGAAGATGCTGGTGTGTCCACCCTTACCCCTGCAGTGCACAGAGGGGCTTGGTTGGTGGAATGCCTCTGACCCTCTGTCTTAAAGGCAGGAGCCCCGTGTCTCTAAACTGGAAAGCCACCTGGGAATTCATGCATCTGTCCAGCCCTCACATACTGATTAAATACCATTCAGGTGTGAAATATCGAACTGTTCTCCTGCTCCTTCTAGGGCCCTGGTGACACAGATGGAGAAAGGCAAGGATCTCCGTTGGCCCTATGCTCTCCTGAAGTTCACATGCTGAAGAGGACATAGGCAGTGGGCAAGGAAACAAGGGACTGTCAATGGTGACACTGCTGTGGGGCAGCTCAACGGGGACAGAGGCAGGGCTGGGGTGCAGAGGGCGGTCTGCCCGACCTGACCAGGGGAGCAGGGATTTGTGGAATTGAGACCTGAAGAGTGAAGAGGAGACAGCCATAAGCAGATGGGGTCGCTCCAGGCCAAGGTCCTGAGGGGGCCCAGGCTTGATGGCACGGAAGCCTGGGTAGTTTGGAGAGGGGCTCGAGGAACCCTGGAAGGTAGCCAGAGGCACACCTCGCTGGACCTGCAGGCCCTGGAAAAGAGTCTGGATTTGATTCCAGTGGCATGGAAAAGCCATTGGAAAATTTCCCTCCAGAGGAAAGGCAGCACCAAATTTATGATTTAAAGCCCAAACTGGCTGGCAGGAGCTGCTAGAGGGTCTGTCTCCACAGAGGACCCTGTTGTATGACCTGCACCATCCAGCAGGGGTCTGGTCGCTGTATCAGTGATGACCATGAACTAGGCCCTGAGGGGCCTGGATATCACACACACAAGCTCCTCAATACTCCCGGAAACGGCTACCCATGAACAGAGAGAGACAGCTAGGGGTAGAAAGCAGCGAGTGTGGCATAGTCAATGAAACACCAATTGTCCCTCAAGTGCCACCCCTAAAACCTCTTGTGAGTGTTTGCTCCAGGCCCATCTGGGTTGGAGGAGAAAGCAACTTCCCCTTGCAGGTTGAGGGCACGCACAGCTTCAGGCCAACCCTTTCTACCTCCACACCCGATGGCTCCATATTGCTGGCGTGGAATGTGTTGTATTGACTCACACGGGAAGTGGGGCCCTTTCACCGTGGGCACAGAGTGGCTTGATGGAGATGGGTAGGCAGCAAGGACAGGGGTGCCATCTTAGAGGATTATCCCTGTGTCCCCATGGCTGCCCATGGCAGGGCTCCCCTTGAATCCTCACTTGGAAAAAGCCTCTTCCTGAACAGCAAATGTTTAAAATGGCCTTGTGACCCCACCGAGCCAGTCATGGAGCCCTCAGATGACCTGCCGCAAGACACTTGTCCCAAGCCAGCCACCTCAGTGGGCAGTCAGCATTCTGGGGACCTTATCAGAGGACATGTCCTTCCTTGGCATCAGGTGATCCAGCCTCTGGGCATATGGGAACTGTGGGGGTTGCATGTGGCAAGACTGAAGATTTCCCTCATCAGTGATAAAGACATTGATAAAAGGCTTTGCCACCCTAGGCTTCAGGGTCATATCGCAGAGGGCAGGCAGAATAGGCTCTGAAAATGATGAGAGGAGCCCAGGCCAGATTGAGAAGAGAGCACCTTCTTGCCATGCTCGCCCTGTTAGAAAGAAGCTGGAAGCTGACGTATCTTCACCTCCCATGCTGTGCTCTACACATGGAGTAGTATTTAGAATAACGATAATGAGAATCATCTTCACGCTTTGAGTATGTATTAAGTGCTTATTATGTTAACCATTTTTCATATATTTTCTCAATTAGTTCTCCCCTAAATTTAGAAATATTTTGAGATGACAAGGTTGGAGCTCAGAGAAATTAAGTGACTTGTCTGAGGTCACACTCACACAGGCTAAGTCTGGACTATAGCTCAGGTCTTCCTAACTCCAAAAACTAGGCTTGTAACACCTAAACTTAATTCAGACTAAAGTTGTAAAGTTCCTATTCCAGAGTGTGAATTGATTCATTCTCAACAAGTCCTTTGGGCATTGTTGTAACTCATTAAGCTAAAATCCCCTTGGGGAATTTTTACACACAGTGCTGGAACTGGGTCAGCTTGTGTCCCCTTTGGAGTTGAAACCTGGGACCAGAGTGAGCCGAGTTAGGAAGCAGCTCCCCTTGCAGAGTGCTGAATGCTGCCTCTTCTTGTTTTATTTTTACTGTTTACATGTACTATAAAAGTAGTGCAGGCTTGTTTCAAGAAATGCAAACATCATGGGAAAATATCATCTGAAAGTGTAACAGTCTGTATGTTAATCAGCGTCCCAGCAGAAAACAGATGGCACACTCAAAATAGGGTCATTTCAGAGGAGTTTAGTAAAGGCACTACTTGCAAAGGTGCAAGCAGGTCACAGGGTGGGGAAGTGGTCATCCAATGCAAAGGCAGGGTGCTCTAGGTAGATGGCTCCCCTGGACAGAGCAACCAGCCTCCATCAGCAGAAACCGGGAGTAACCTGGCTGCAGGGCTCCAGGGAAGAAACATCCTGACCTCAGCTCTTCCTGTTGTCTCCATATTTTCTGGTGGTGCAGACAGCAGTGCCCGTGAGTGGTCCCAGGACAGAGGTCTGGGCTGAGACAGTAGGGTTTAGATTCAGAGGGGCCAGAAGGTATTCCTCACATCCCTCAGAATTTTACCTCATAAAGTAACCTCTGTGGGTAGTGATGTCTCTAAACACACTCCTAGGGACTGAGTCCAAAGGTCACTTGCCCATCTGGATTGTTCTCCCCACGGAAGCCCCTGCAGTTGGCTGCCCTCTAGTATGGCAAGGAATTGAGAGAGTAGAACACAGTCTTTGTTGCATACACAGAGAATACCATGAATCCAATGAGAGTAATGGAAACGTGAAAGAGGGGCAGGGAGGTGGCAGCACAGAGGCTGGGTCCCCAGAGATGGGCTGAGAAGCGGAGAGGAAGATAAGCCAGCATCCCCACCCAGGCTGCAGGGCTGGGTCCCCACATGCTGCTTCTGGAAACGCTCACCTCCACTAACTGGCTCCCTGCTGGCTCCATACACACATGTGTACACACACACACACACACACACACACAAAGTGCATAGAAAGCTCCCTGTGCAGCCAGGGGAGGTGGCAGGAGAGGGCAGGTGTGATCACACATGGAGGCCCAGAGAGCTCTAGGAAGCTATTGGAGTTTGAGTTTGATTGAAAGCCACAATGGCTTTGATGATGGGAAGGGGTGTGTATGTGTGTGTGTGTGTGTGTGTGTGCACGCTAGGGGTGGGGTGGAATCATGGCAGCTCCAGGTTTTTGGCTGGTGATACCGCAAGACAAGGAAGCTGGGAGTTGAATGTGCTTAAGTGATAAGGGGGATGTGAGAATCAAGCTTTCTCTTGGTCTCTGCAAAGGTTGAAATGCCTTTGACATCCAAGTAGGTAACTGAATAAAAAATGAGTTGGAAGCTCAGCTGAGAAGTGAGGACCCAAGATGTAAGATTTTCAGTATCTGGACGTAGCACGTGGACTCCAGAAGATGCCCCACTCCGAGCGCTTCTGTGGCTAGGAGGCGTGTAGGCTTACCTGCTTCAGCACTGGGTGGGGACCTGTGTGTGTGTGTACACGTGTGTGTGTGCGTGCACATGTGCATGTGCATGTTTCTGTCTCTTTCTGTCTCTCTCTACCTCTTTCTCTGTCTCTCACCATCCCAGGACAGGTGGGAAGTCGGGGACGGGAGGATGCACCTGTGGAATGGGCCCTGCATGCCTTCCCTCTGGGCATCGAGGCAGAGCAAAGGGAGTGGGAAGAAATCAGAGAGAAAGAAGACCAGGAGCAGCCTCAGAGCCAGAGCTCAGGATGAGCGCTTCCTGCCAAACCCTGGGCGAGGGCAAGCAAAGCAGGGCTCTCCTGGGACTCTCAGGCCCAGCATCCAGAAAGGGCTGGCTCAGCACCCCCTAGAGAGAGAGAAAACGCTTCAAGGATCCCAGGCACAGCAGCATGGGTTTCCTCTGATTTACAGGTGGCTGCTGTAGATTCCAGGCAGCCGAAAAGGCCCTGGGAAGTCACTGGGCTCAGGAACAAGGAGGGGCTTTTTTAGGATCTCCAGTGACAGAAACGATACCGAGTTTTACATGCCCTCTGGTGCCACCCCTCACCCCAGCAGTCCTCTTTGTATTTGTGGGGGCTGGTTAGAAAGGGAGCAGCCGCAGGGACTTCCCCTTGGGGAGGGAAACATGCCTGAGTGTGAGCCGGCGGAGGCCAGGAACCAGGGAAGAGTACCCATGCCTTTTTGCAAGACGTCTTGGGGAGATGTTTGAATAAGAAACCCAGACTGTAACTCCCCAGTCCTCTCGTCAGCTGGACAATGGAACCTCTACTCCCAGGGGCACTGAGTTCAGTGAGGAAGATCTGCCAGGCAAGCTCAGACCAGTCTAATGGATGATCTCACAGTAATCAAACCTGGAAGAAATGTCCCGGACTCCCCTGGGAGGGAGGGGTGCTCATTGAGTGGGTGAACAAGAGGCAGGATTAACACCCCGGAGTTGGGCATCTCTTTCAATCTTGAAGTCTCATGTTTCTCTGGCCCTGTGGCCCTGGACAGTACACAGTCACCACCGGCACACTGACCAGCCCAGCACAACAAGGCCGCATGCCCGCGGTCCGGAGCACAGGCTCCCTCTCACCCTGTGGCCCTGGACCTGTCAGAAATGCATATGCCTAGGTTCCACCCCAACCTGCCGAGCCAGAACCTCTGGGGGCAATCAAGAACCCTGTGTCTCAGCTAACTCCAAGGCTTCCTCGAGTTTAAGAGCCACTGGTCTAGAGCAGTGACTTCCCACCATGGCTGGGCACCGAGATCGCCCACAGAGCTTTAAAAACCACTGCCCCCGGTCCCACCCGGGGCTCTGATTCCACTGGTCACCCAGTGTGGATTTCACGAGCCAAATGGGCAGCCTGGGCTGAGAGCCCAGGCCCAGACCTTCCCCCAGGAGGCCCCTGTTTTCCTAGACTCGCTTTTCTCATCTCTTTCCTTTGCTGTATTTCTTTTACTAGATTTTTTTTTTCAGATTTGTCTACTTCTCTTTTCTTTCATCCACTTCACTGAAAGTAGGTTACGGTGATAGTCTCCTTTCCAAATATTCGTGGAGAAAAAGTACTAAACAAGATGCTTATGAGCAAGTCCTTTGTCTGGGGTTTTGCACTTGGATAGAAAAAATAGTAGATTCCATTTTTCTGAATGCTTCTGTCTGTCATCCCCGGGAGTTTCAGTGTTCGTATTAAACTGGCTAAGGCATATTATTTGTTTGTTAAATAAAATGAACATATTTTATGCTAACATATTTCCCTTGGAAATGTAACTATAAGAAAGTCTTAAGAGAAATATTAGCTTGACATATTCAAATTATGATAATGTGGCCAATGCAAAATCCTCAGGGCATATGGGCAACACCGAGAAAAACGGGGCACTGCTTTGTAAATATCTAATGTGTGACAGTTTTGCTGCCTTCCTTCTTGGGATAGTAAATCAGGCTTTAACCGGGGAGAAGGTAAACAAACTTGAACTTGGCTGCATTATGGGAAAAGACTTTCAGAGAGGCGAGATGTGGAACAGCCAGCTGCCCTGACAGGGCCCAGCAGCAGGCATGGCAGGGATGGCAGGGAGGAAGGTGTGGGCCTGGTGGAGCTCATATCCAGTGGGGAGGATGAACCATGGGCACAGGAGCAAGGAAATCAGATGATACAGAGAGCTCAGGCTGGGAAGGCAGTGGCGTGGTGCAGAAAAGATGACCCAGGAGGCATCTCACTCATTATAGGGAAGGGCCCTGCTGCAGCCTCAGTGGTGTCATGGGGCTGCCAGGCTGAAAAGAGGTCCTGGGCAGGGGAGGATCATTTGAAGACAGCGGGGAGGCAGGAGTGAGCCTGTGTGACCGAGGGGAAGGGAAGCTGGAGAGGGCTGCTGCTGGGCGTTCTTAAAGGGTTTCAAACTGTATTTGCACTCCTTTAGACTGGAAAGATCCATGCAGAGCATTTTTACTTAGCTCCTGCAGTAAGCTTCTACTGTATCAGGCATGGGTGGGGAACCTAAAAGCTGAGGGAGATGATCTTTTTGCTCCAGAATCTAACACATTGCTGCCTTTAAAGCACTTTTCAGTTTCCTTAGAGGAAAGAAATTGGTTGGATCCACAATCCTAAATAGTTCAAGACAGTGATAAAGGCTCTCCTCACATCGTTTAAAATTAAATGTTTCATATGATTTTATAAATTCTATTTTTTACTCATTTCAACTTTATTTGTCCCCCGCTCCCCAGACTTTCCCTAGTCTCTGCATATTTTTTAATACCACGGATGACCCCCGCTGCCATGCACTGTGAGTCGGGCAGCCTCCTCATTTCTGTTTCAGGACACTGGGAAGTGCAAAGGTGCCTGGACTTTGGGGCGTGCCCAGAGCATCACCATCTGAGGCTGGAGCTATCTCCAGAGCGGGCAGCTCCCTCTGGTTTACATGAGTGTTCAGACTAGATTGTGGGCTTGGCATGGGGTCTCTCCTAGCTTCTTTACTTCCTGCCTAGATTCCAAGCCCAAACTTGCCAAAGATACTTTTTTCCTGTCTTATTTTGTTTCACCTTCATGTTGAGTGGTGTGAATATGTGAATGAAAATGACGAGGAAGGACATATCAGTGCTGGGAACCTAAAACGTGTGCTGTGCTTTGATTCGATTCCTGTAAAACAGCTCATGGTGTGGGTTGAAAGGAGATGGAGATGAAAATCTTACTTCCAAGCTGCACTGGACATTTCAATTTATCCTTGTAAACAACCTCTAGTGGGGAGCCAGGTTGAGAGGTGGGCATGGGGGATCCTGGTGGACAGCTCTTGGCCCTGGCTGTTTGTCTTATTTTACTTGGAAACCTTTTTTTTTTTTTTTTTTTTTTTTGGGTGGGAGACCATCTGGCTTTTCTGAGAAGGGATCCGTCTTTGTCACACTGGCATGAGCTGGTGCTGGACCCCCTGGCAGGACAGCTGGTGGGGTGAATTTGCTGTGGAACCATTGGGAGTAAAAGACAAAGCTGGGAATCTGAACTCCCAAGAACATGGACATCCAAACATGTATGTGGAAATCTGTGGTTTGTGAACCATCAGCACAAGTAAGAAAGGGTAGAATCGAGAGGAAAGATTTTCTATTCACAGGTGAAAAAGCAAAAATAATTTCAAACTCTGTCCTTGGCAGCTGAATTACAATGTGGACGTGCCCTTGTCTCTTACAGAGACAGGCGTCTTTAAGTAGACACTGAGGCTGCCCCATCCCATTTGAAGCTGTAGGTCAGAGAGCTGCAATGGGTGGCAATTTACATATCCTCAGGTTGTTTGTTTAAATAGTCTGTTCAACAAGTAATTAAAATGTCTTGCAATGAGCTCATGATGGTTTAGGGTAGAATTTTAGGAGCTGGAAATTTCCATGAAATTGGGAAGAGGTGATGACTCTGGCTGATAAATTGAGGAATGGATGGAACTTAAAGCCCTGGATGTGGGGCACATTCTGGAGGAGGCTGAGCTAGGAATTAGGTGGCCCCTGGTGTACCCAAGACCGAGGCCAGACCCTAGAGCACATGCATTTAGGATGATTCCTGAACCCCAACTTCCTAGTAATGTCCCACCCTTGGGCATTTCAAAGAGCCCTGACTCCCACAGCGCACACTGGGGAAAAGTAAGGCAACTGCAATCTTGAATCCCTGCCTGACCTGCAGCTAAGGAATGTCTTTAACACAGGCAGCCAAAGAGATGTCACCAAGAGCACCTGTCACTCACTAAGAGATGAGTGATGACAACGGACATAGAAGTACCCCAAAAATTGAGGGAAGAACATGCATGTTTGAAGGATTCCAGGGACAAAGCCGGGGAGGGGAATCTTACCTTAACACTGCATACCCTGGCCAGGCAGCATATCCAGCCTCAAGGCCCCAATACTTGCTCAAGCCAACACAGGTAGAGATGCTGGGGAGGGACCCAGATATGATAGGCAACTGTAGGTGGCCCTGTGCAAGTCATTCTCTTTCTCTTGCCTCCAGAGCAGCCAGCCCTGAGCGTGGCACAAAATTGGCACTTGGGAAGACTTAGCTGGCATAATTTTTATTGTTATTATCCCCCTTATTTTTTACCAGTCTCCTGGCTCCTGTGTTCATGCTAACTGGTCAAGGCAGAGTCTAACCATTCCTTTTTCCAATTCCAGAATGCATTTCTAGCTCCTCTCTTCTGAGTTCAGGGCTGCTCAGGGCCCAGGCCAAGTGTCAGCCAACATTGCCACATTGCGTGGCCCTGCGTGTGCTGGACCCCTTGAGAGTCCAAGTCATGTCACCCTCCACTCGGGGGCAGCTCACAGCCCAGCAGAAGTCAAAGAAGTGTCTGATGCCCTTTTGGCTCAAGGTGACCCCCTCTCATCATCACAATCCCTCCCTACCCCCTGATACCTTCATTTATCCCTCCATGGCTGCGGCTCAGACACACAGGAAGGAGGAACTGCCTGGTGATGCAGACAGCTCAATAAAAAATGTGGAGACTCAAGCTTCAGCTACTTTTCCATACATGGCTTAGGAAAGTGCTAACCTTGCCCATTTTCTCATCTGCAAAACAGAAATATCATCTCCCCTGCAGGGAGCAGGGAGCATTATTCAGAATGTGCTAAGTGCCTGGCATGTAGAAGGGTGGAATGAACACTAGGTTGGTATTCTTACTTGCACTCAGGCTCCAGCTCTGCTCACCTCCAGGCAGTCCAGGGCTGTCCCTTCTCCCTGCTCAGGGTGAAATGGATGAGGAACCACAGACAAGGAGACCAGGGCTTGTAGAGCCTCTGAGACTTCCCTTCTCAGATCTCCACTGTGGTTTGTGATGGGTGAACACTGATCGCATTGACTACATGACTGGCATTCCACCTCAAACCCTGTGGAACTCTAACTTCTCTCTTCCTGGGCTGGTTTCCCTGCCTGTACCTGGTTTACAGGGAGTATGAGGAGCCCCAGGCCAGGCCAGGGATTCAGATGCTCCAGAAAGCAGCTCCAAGTTTGGGTGAAGAGAAGAGACATCCAGGGAGGAAGTACAGCAAGAACCTGGGGCTTCTCCAGGCTTTCCTGGAGGAGAAGGGGAGGGTGATGGAAGAGGGCTGGAGGAACAGGAGGCTTTGTATTTCCAGCCATGAGCGCAGCAGATCCCACAAACTCCCTCACTCTTTGACAGACTGGCCATACAGTTTATCATTGAAACCAGGACATTCTGACAGAGAAGAGGGCTCTGTCCTTCATTTTCCTGGAACAACAGGCAAATACTGGGACAGTATGGTCACTTTGTTCCTCCAGGACTTTGAAAGGGATCTGAATAGCATCTTGGAGACCACTGATTGTCCAGGGCAATGACCCCCTCAAGTCCCCTCTTGGGAATTTTGGAGTTTGAGTCCCCACATTTCCAGGAAGCCATGCTTTGGTTTCTGCCCCTGTGGCTTCCTGAGAAGTCAGCAGGGGGCTCCATGAGCCTTGCCCCACTGGACCAGGCTCCCTGAGAAGGTTCTGTGTTGGGGTTCAAGATGAGCCACACTCATCGCTGGGTTTGTGTACACTAGAGCAGTACACTTTTTTGACCACAACCTATGATAAACGTTGTATTTTACATCATGATCATCATCATCATCATCATCAGGTGTTCACCAACCCCCACACACACACTCAAGACTTATTCTTCCCCACAGTAGATGTGACACTTGCCAAAATTTCTCATTTTATTCTCTTCCTTCTTTTCTATTTGAAAACACATTCTTCTTTCTTTTCTATTTTGTTTTTTAAAATTGCTGCTTCTACTAGTTTATGTTAATTTCACAGCCTGACTTTGTCCAGCATTTCCCATACATGGATTCTCACTTAAACCCCAGAAATATCCCTGTGCCATCCAAGGCAAACCATGGACCTGAGCCTGGCAGCCCCTGTGCTGGCACATCTGGAAGGCCCCAGATGTGGCCGCATCTGGGGCCTTCCAGACTGACCAAGGCCGGAGAACAAGGCCGGAGACTGCAAACCACAAGAGAAGGTTATTTAGTGCATTGGCCCCAAACAGCCCAAGGAGGGGCTCCTGCCTGCCATATCTCAGCTCTGAGACGTGGGGCTCACGGCTACTCTGAAGCTCCTTGTCTGTGTCCATCACATGGAGAGGGCTGGTAGCTCATGGGATTATCAGGACAACTGGAAGAGATGGTACCTGAAAGTCCTGTGTGGGCCTGGCAGGCACAGGCTGCCCTGGAAGGCACATGACCTAGGTGTTGGTCTGTCCCCAGCAGGAGCTCTGTCCTGAACAAAGGAAACACGCAGTGAATGCATTAGGCTCCAGTTTCCCTTGGCCTCCTGAGCAGGGGGAGGCCCACACAGCCTGAAGGGCAGGTGCTCTCTCAGAGGAGGAACTGGAACGAGCTGGTCCCTGGCAGGCCTCCTTCCCCAGCGAAGGCACCGACAGGGCCCTGGAGGGTTCCCATAGTGGGCGGAAGGAAAGCCGCCTCCCCCAAGGCTCAGGAATGCCCAGAATGGTTGTTTCCTCACGGCCTACAAGCCCATGTGACCCAGGCTGAGGGTCCCACGTTTGGGGAAGTGCCTGGGAAGGGGAAAGGACAAGGGTAGCCCGTGGCTGCATCTGGGACCTTCCAGACTGACCAAGCCTGGTCGCTCCTCCTCCCCATCAGCTTCTCTGGCTGCAGCATTGAGTTTGGCCACTGCCTGGGAAAGCTGAGCACAGCCACCGCTGCCAGCCACAGTCCTGAGCTCTTGGCCCTTGCCTCAGCTCCTCCCCGGAGGTTGGCCATCTTGCTCAGGTCTGGCTGGGAGCATCAGCCTTTAGGCCAAGCCAGCAGCAGCCAGGGTAGCCTAAGGCCTCCACCTGGTAGGGCAGTGGGGAAGGTATAGAGAACCTAGAGGGGAGGCAGGGGGGTCCTATGGTTACAGGCTTAGGTTTGGAGCCATACAGACTCATGTCCGAATCCTCACTTTGTCACTTCCCAGCTGTGTCCATTTTTGGAAAGACTCAGCCTCGGCTTCCAGTACTGATTTCGTGGAAAACTCCACTTGGTGGTGTCTCTGCCCTCTAGGGCCCTGGCTATGTCCTGAGGTCTGGCCAGCCACCCACTGCCCCATGTCAGGCCTGTCCTGAAGCACCAGCAGCAGAAATCTGTTCCAAGGCTCAGGAATGGGACCTGCAGCCACTGTGGTTGTCCCCTGGGGCCACCAGCTGCAAAGCCCAGACCAGCTGTGCCTGTCCCAATGCTGGCCTGTGGTTTGCACAGGCAGCATGTTCAGGCCCCACTGGAAGCAGGGAAGCCTTGGAAGGGGGTGCCTCTAGGGAAGGGATGGTTCTTTAATTTAGGCTCACAGGGAATAAACACTATAGTGTTTCTCATGTGCTGGGATTCCAGGGGGAAGGGCCAGACACAGGGGAGTCTGCAGAAGGAGCAGTGCGGGTAACCACTGATGTACAAACATTGGAGTGAGATGGATTTGGGTACCAGTGTGACCTTGGGTGTGCAAATGAATGCACAACCCTGGAGGTGAGTTGCTGCCTTCATTGCAGAGATGAGTGGAGAAAGCGTCCAACATGTTAACATCCCATTTAGCTATTGTGCCATCATTCCAAAATTACTGTCGTACCTTCTATGTGCCAGCCACAGCAACTGATAGGCAAACACAACAGACCAAGTCCCCCCTTGCTGTGCAGCGCAGGAAAGCAGGCAAGAAACAAACAGATGTGGTCAGGCAATGCAATGGAGAGGAGCAGCAGCAAGAGGAGGCCGGGGCGCAGCAGCGTGGGAGGAGGGGGCCTCTGCAAAGGCTTTTCTGATAAGGCCATGGTGAGCAGAGGCTGCAGGAAGGGAGGGGTGAACCATGGGATGATATGCGGGCCAAGAGACCAACTACTGCAAAAGTCCTCTGCCAGGGGTGGGCCTGACCTGTTGAAGTAAGAGGAGGCCAGTGTGGCTGGAGCAGAGAGGGCTGAGTTCAGAGACATGCCAGGCTGGTGGGGCAAACCTTTGTAGGCTGTTACACCACATGGGATGGGAAGCCACAGGAAGGCTTGAGGAGGTGGGCTGCAGCCAGCCATCATCACAGGCCACTTCAGCTGCTTCTGAAAGAGCCTGAGGGTGGACAGTCAGGGGCTAGCACAGTGATTTAGGCAGGAGACCCCTGTGACTTGGACCAAGACAGTAACAGTGAGAAGTGATTGGATTCTGGAAATATTTTCATGATAACTAATTGGGTTTGTTAATGGTTTAGCTTGGGGTTGTGTGAGAATAAAATCAATCAAAGATAAATATAAGGGCTTTGGCCTGAGCCACTGAAAGGATGGAGTTGCCATTTGCAGAAATGGGGATAAGCAGGTGGAAATTCAGAGTTTCATTCTGCATATGGTGCATTTCAGAGGAGGAGCTGGGTGTACAGGTTTGGGCTGGAGACAGCACTCTGGAATTCCTTCATGTTTCCATGGTGTTCAAGGCCAAAAGAACAAGTGAGTACAACTGGTGCTCAAGAAGAGCTAGGGGCCGGGTGCAGTGGCTCCCGCCTGTAATCCCAGCACTTTGGGAGGCTGAGGCGGGCGGATTACCTGAGGTCAGGAGCTCGAGACCAGGCTGGCCAACATGGTGAAACCCCATCTCTACTAAAAATACAAAAATTAGCCAGGCATGGTGGTGCATGCCTGTAATCCCAGCTACTCAGGAGACTGAGGCAGGAGAATCGCTTGAACCCGGGAGGCAGAGGTTGCAGTGAGCCAAGATCATGCCACTGCACTCCAGCCAGGGTGACAGAATGAGACTCTGTCTCAAAAAAAAAAAAAAAAAAAAAAAAGAAAGAAAAAAGAAAAGAAAAACAAAAACAACAAAAAAATAAGAAAATAAGACAAGCTAGGAGCACTGAACCCTGGACGCTCTCATGGTAAGCTGTCTAGAGGAGAAAGAGGAAGCAGTGAAGTGGAATGAGAGGGTGTGAAGCAAAGAAACAGGCCAGATTGGCCTCCTAAAGGCCAACCAGAAAATGTGCTTCAAGGAGGGCGATCAACAATGTCAGGTGATGCCAAGGGACCAAGGAAGCTTAGCATTGATAACTGGCCTTTGGATTTCCCAGCATGGGGCTGACTGGCAGCCTAGCGCCCGAGCAGCTCCAGCACATGAGCCAAAGGAATGCTCATGGAAGTGGGCTCAACGAAGGGAGAGGCGGAGAGACAGTGGGCATGGGGAACACAGACAACCCTTTTGAGGGCTTGTGTGTGATAAGAAGCAGAGATACTCCAGAAGATGCAGTGGGATATAGGTTAGAGATCGTTTTCAATGTTGCTTTGCTTTGTTTTTGATAGGAGATATTATAACATGTTGGCAGGTTAATGTAAGCAGTGAAAAAATTATGGTGTAGCAGAAAGGGGAAGTCAGAAGAGGCATCCTTGTGCAGGTGAGGAATGCTGATCTCCATGTCCCAGGTGCTGGGTGGCAGGGAGGTGGGTGAAAGCAGCTACAGTGCATACATATTGGATGAGTGGGTGGACGAGAGGTGAAGCTTGTGAAAACCCCCTTCTTCTTTTTTTTTTTAACTTTTAAGTTCAGGAGTACATGTGCAGATTTGTTGTATAGGTGAACTCATGTCATGGGGGTTTGCTGTGCAGATTATTTCATCCACAGATATGAAGCCCAGTACCCATTAGTCATTTTTTCTGATCCTCTCCCTCCTCCTACTCTCCACCTTCCAACAGGCCCCAGTGTGTGTTGTTCCCCTCTATGTGTCCATGTCTTCTTATCATCTAGGTCCCACTTATAAGTGAGAACATGTGGTGTTTGGGAAACCCCCCTCCATAATGCTCCCTTTGATTCTGTGACAGAGGAAGCCAGATCATGAGCTGCAAGTTGACAAAGGAGAGGAGGAAGAAAGCTTAACGAAAGAGAAGAAAGCATGGAACAAGCCCCCAGGAGTAGGAAGGGCAAACAGAAGGGCTGAGTAGGATCAGGTGGCTGAGTATGAATTTTGAGAGTGGACAGCAGGGAAGAATTTTTTCTAAGCTCCGATCAGCTTTGGAGGTGCAGGTGCAGGGTGGACTAAGTTAGACTTAGCTGGAGAAGGTTAAACAGCCATTGACAGCTGGGTCCTTTATTCTAAGCCTGGGGCTCTTTCCACTCAGCTGCCAAGTCCACAAGCCCCACTTGCCACCCCAGGCCCCTCCATTCACAGCAAGAATAGGAGGATTGGGGAGTTCAGAGCCTTCATCTATGGCTTCATTCAGCTTTGTTTCTTTTTAGTTTCTTGGGCCAAGGGGTGGACACAATTCCTTATGCTCTTACTTGTAGCAGGGCAATGGCCTTGAAATCTGACAGCAGCTAAGACGGGAACCCCAGGGTTGGGCTGTGACTTGACCAGAGGCTGCTGCCCAGGGCCTGGTGCTGCCTTGCAGCCTGAAGAGTCAGCTTACTCATTAAGTCTGTGAAACATCCATGATGAGGCACTGGCAGGAAACCCTGAAAAGGCATTGTGGAGCTTCCTCCTAGTGGGGGATGTCTAGGAGCAGACTCTACCTGAGGACAGCTGAGGACTTAGCTATCTCCAGTTTGCTCTGCTCAGCGGATACACAGGCTGTGCAGTAGGCCCAAGCCTTCTCTGCACACACCTGGTGGCTGGGCCAGAGCTCTCCCAGGCTGACGGATGTTCACCCGTCTCTTCACAGCTGATGCTGGGCAGGCAGGGTGGGTGCTACACGGGTCCTGTGTGCCTTATGTGGAGAGAGGCTCGGGGAATGCCTCAGGGTCTTTGATCAATCCTAATGGGTAGCAGGCACAGCTAAGGAATCTGTGTGGTCTAAATCAGGGGTCCCCAACCCCCAGGCTGCAGACCAGTAGGGGTCCATGGCCTGTTAGGAACTGGACTGCACAGCAGGACATGAATGGTGGGTGAGGGAGCATTACCACCTGAGCTCACCTGCTGTCATGATAATCAGCAACAGCATTCGATTCTCCTAGGAGAACGCTATTGTGAACTGCGCGTGCGAGGGACCTAGGTTGCGTGCTGCTTATGAGAATCTAACTCACGCCTGATCCTCTGAGGTGGAAGTTTCATCCTGAAACCACACCCACCCCACCCTGCACTGCCCGTGGAAAAATTGTCTTCCAAGAAACCGATCCCTGGTGTCAAAAAGGTTGGGGAACGCTGATCTAAATGGTCTTTCTTTGGAGCTTGCAAGTTGACCCTGGTGATGATTGTTTGAGTGTAAATAGCAGAAATCCTCATTTTACCTCCAAGAGGATTTACTTGGAACACACAGAACCCAAGGCGGGGAGTGTGGCCAGACTTCACCAGTGACCAATGCCCTCTGAGGTTCTCCAGGCCCTCCATGGGCAGCCACAGGTTGCTTCCCTGGTCTTGCATCCCCACTTCTCTCTCTGAATCTGTTTCAAGCAGTGGGGGCTCCCTCTGCTTCTGTCTCCCGGCAGCCCACACTCCAGAGTGCCGAGTCCTCAGCTGCAGGCACAGAGAAAGGGAGCAAAGCCCGATGCTGTTGAATCACAGCCTTGTACTCCTGTGACAGAAAATCAGATCGGCCTGCAATATGCATCCAGTGTCCACTCCATGCAATCAGCCGTGCTGAGGGGACCCCATCACCGTGGGGGTCCAGCTTTCTCAGCTGTGTTTGTGCCTCCCACAAGTGATGGGAATAAGGAAGCTGAAACCCAGTGCCCTGTGCCCCCCATGCCAGACTCCCTGTGTGAGCTACACCTCCGGCTTCTAGAATAAGCCCCCTTTCCAATTCACAGGAGGATACCACCTGGGCTCTCCATGCCAGCCCTCATGGGCTCAGTAGACCACCTCCCCAAAGAATCCACTTTTCTCAGGTCTCACCTTCACCAGCGCTTTTTAAGCAAATCCTTACTGATGCCTAAGTTAGGGGTCTTTTCTGTTTTACGCTTCCCTGATGCCTGAATGCACCACAATCTATGAAAATACCCACTTCTCACACGGCAGCCGCCAGACTGCAGGCTTCATGGAATTAGAGTGAGTGTGTCTTGCTCCCCACACTCCTGCGGTGCAGGAGAGGCATCACAGCTGTTGTTGGCCAAGTAAATGAGGGGAGAATGCAAGCATGCCAGGGCTCAGGTTTTCTTTCTGATGCCAGGTCATTTTGAAGGGTTGGCCCATTGTCGATTCCCAGTGCTAGGATAGCAGTGTGGTGTGCCGGAGATACAGGGGATGCGACCCAGTGACTTCTCCCCATCCTTTAGCTGAGGGGCAGGCTCAGCTTCCAGGTCACTTCCTGCTCCCTTGGTCTCTGAGCTTTGTTAAGGGGCTCAGCAGAGGCAGATGTGGGTCTTATTCTAGCTCTGTGGACCTCAGGAAACAGGAGGTGGAGAGAGGGAGCAAAATGGGGAACTTTCAGGGTGGAGGGGCGGGCTTTGTCCTGTCCCTCAAAAGCTAGCTTCTTCCACACACTCTCCCAGTCTAATCCTCTTGACCGTTGGCAGTAATAAGCTTCAGTGTTGCAGCTGGGAGACTGGAACTCAGAGAGATCAAGGGATGCATCTCAAATCACAGAGGGAGCAGAGAGTGAATGGGACGCAAGCCCCAGTCTACTGATCTTCACACCTGCACAGGTCCCCTGACACCACGCTGCCCTTCCCGGCCTGCTCTAACCCTTCTTCCTTCCCCAGTCCATCTGCAGCTTAGCACCCACATGACGGCCATCCCATTAAGTCATGGGAAGATTTGGCATGGGATGATGTGATCACATCTGGACCAATGGGGAAGAGGGCTTGGAGGACCGGACAATCTGACTCAGACATTCGGAACTTTTGTGCTGACTCTCCTTTCTAACAAAGTTGACTGTGGATGACAGAGAATGTGCTAGAGAGTGTTAAGGGCTGACCTCTGTGAGGACCAGAACCTGTCTGCTGGGCTCATCTCCTATGCCCCATGTCCAGGACAGTGCTGGCTAGCCATTGCTAGGTGAGAGAATCGTGTCTGGCTTCCAGCAAGGTCTCTGTGCAGTGCAGGAAACACACAGAGTGCTGGTCCTCAGCAATTACCATCAGGGCCAGACCTCTGTTGCATTCTCCCAGGACTGAGAAGGGCAGAGTGGAAGCTTCCCTCCTCACAGCTGTCAAGAAATACCTGAGACCCTTGCACAAAACCATCCCTTGTGGAGTGGAGGACAGGCTGGCCTTTCAGAAGCAATTCTAGCAAAATCAAAGACACTCAGAGAAAAGGGAGCACCTTTCCCTGCTAAGGATCAGCTGTCCAGAAGAGGCAAGTATGCCTCCAGAATTCTCAGCTGTGATTAGCATGATTACAATGCCCTGTTTTCCATGAACCACTGTAGCCAGGATTACACAACCCTCAGTTTTGGGTTTGTGGGGAAAAAAAGCACGTCCAGAAAATTCCAAGTAGTAACACTAATTTCAAACTGTTGGTGGCTACATTTGAGTACAGAACTTTATTAGGAAAATTATAAGTGCATATACATTTTTTCATTGGTATGACTTCAAAGTAGAAATTGTTGTTTCTCAAAGAGTTGTTTCTTATTTATTTTTTAAAGCACGCTGCGTATAGGAATTGGCCTTCTCCTGGACCATTTTCACATTATCTGGGAGATGCAATTGAAACAATACAAAATACAGTATTCATCACATTTAACACTGAATCATTCACTGCTCAGAGACTGAGAGTCCAGCGAGGTTGCAAAATAACAAATTTTCTACATGGTTTTATCAGTGGTCTGCTTAGGGGATTTGGAAGTTTCTAGGGAATATTTCCCAGGAATGGGGCTCCTTCAGAATGAGTCAGGGAAGCTCTGTAGAGGGATCAGAGCACTCAAATTCTCATCCAGCTGGAAAAGGGTGTAGCACCTGGGAAAGGCGATCAACTCCCAGTCAGGGAGCCCACGGTGATAACACCAGTCAGACGATCACACCATGGAAGGGTCCAATGAGATCCAATGGAAAGACTTAGAACATCTAAGGTTGGGGGAGGTGCAACCTTCTGCTATTCAGCCCCTCTGCTCCAAGCGGAACCTTTTTTCTCAGGAGGTAATCTCTAATAACAAGCAGAGTGCCCTCTGGAGCCTCCTCGCTGGTATCTCAGTGCCTGGACAGAGGGGGACACACCACAGCACAAACACGTGGCACAGACTCAATCCCAACACACAGCCAGTCAACGAGCCTCTGGCCCCTTCCTCTGGGTCCTGATACAGAGCTGGCAGCGAGGGCCTCTGAAGAGGTTACAGGGAGCCCAAGGGAGTGTCAGGTAGAGGCAGCACCAGGTCCCGGAGGGACAGATGAGGGATCCCTAGTAAACAGCTCGTGGACGCACTTGACTAGCAGTTCGAAAGCAAAAAGAGATTCGGATTACAAGAGACTTTTCCCTTGCAAATGGAAGACTGTATTTAAATGCATATTGCTTTAGCTGGGCAGTCTCCAGGAAGGAGCTGATTGTTAGTAGAGGAATTGTTATGCAAATAATTTTCCCTGCAGTTTCTACTCTTATCTATTTTCTCCCATGGAGGAGAAATAGAAATGATTCCTTTCCTGACTGTAGTCAAGATTTAGGGTCATGTTTGTTTCCTCAACCAAGAATTCAATGGTCTTGGTTCATGGATTGGGGGCAGGTACATCCAAGTTCTACGTGACAGATTTTAAAATATCTTGGATTACCTGGATAATGACTGCCCCACTGAAAACTCAATTATACTGGTATAGTGAGAGGTTAATTTCAAAAGGTTTTGAAAGAGTTCTGTATCTTTATAACTAGTAAAGATCCCTCAGGCTCTATTTTTTCAATATAACATAGCTGGATTGAGGATTTTAATTTTTGTTTAAGGGACAATTTTTGTTGATGGGTTTGCCTTCTGCCATGAAGCTCCAATTTGAAATACTTATGAAAATACTTAACACATGTTACTAATTACCCTACAGATTATTAAATTCAAGAACAGTTACAATTCAAGATTACATCACTATAATTTACTTCCTACTTCCTACATGTTACATAGTTTCCTTGCTTTGACTTCCTTGTTTTCCACTTTCTTCATTAAAATTTTTTTTAACTGGAGTCTTTAATCAAAGGGCAAAAGTATTCGTAAGACTGAATGAAAAACAAAACAAAAACCCACAAGTGCTTGCCTTTGTCAAAAGTGAACATTTTAAGTGGCTTAATACAGCTCTATCGACTGCCCTCAGTGGAAGGGGAACACTCCAAATGTCAGGCAGGTTGACTTACTCTTCACATAGCACATTGTTCTCTTAGAGAAATGTCCTGTGGGAAGGGCCCGAAGCACAGGTGACACGCAGAGCAGAGAGGGCCCAGGAGGAAGGCAGGAGATGATGGCATTGCCAAATGGTGAAGAAGATGAGGTTAGATGTGAATTGGGAAAGAATCTTCATGTCCAGGATTGGTTATTTTGTGGACTGGGTTTTAAAAACCAAAAACAAGTTGTGAATGCTTGTTTTCCTCAAGCAGTGCTGGGCTTGGCCCTAGTTTGAAGGTACTGACATGTGAGGGAGCACTGATGGGGCAGCAATCCTCTGGGGTCAACCCTGGTGCACACCGAATTCCCTTGGGCTCTGCCCATGGACCCACCATGTTTTTGTGATCAGTGGGGGAACCAAGGTAGTTCACCCCAAAGGACCACGGCTCTGATCAGGACTGCACTCAAAGGGCCCAAGGAGCATCTCCTCGCTCAGCGGCTGCACAGGGGGAACAGTGCATGCATCAAGACATTGGTCACAGAGGAGGACGCTGGCTTTGAACAAAAACATAGGATTGGACAATGGACAATATTCCAAACAAGACACAGATGTGCACAGTGTTTTCAGGTAACACAAGACATTTTCATTTCCTGCTTGGTGCACAGTTTACATGAAAGCTTTGGTCCTGAGAGTCCTTTTGCAGGGCCATGGAGACAGTCGTGGACACACATGATGATGGATGAGACAGAGAATGATGAGCAGAACGTGGAGGATGTGGAGGTGCTCGGGATGAGGGCTGGGTCTCACTCTGCCCTGGCCTCACACTGCTGCCTCAGCTCAGGGTAGCCCTGCTGCCCTCCCAGAAGAGGCAGACCCGGCTCCCATGTGGATGGAGAAGGGGGTGAGCCTCCCATGTGGCCCTCCACCATCCCATCCCACAGAGAGAAGCCTTCACTAGGCTTTGCCCAGGTTGACTGGTCCTGGCACCCCCAGGCGTCCCTCTTGGTGGCTCTCCACCCTAGGGCTGACCATGGGGCCAGGCTCCCTCAGCCCAGTCTCCCCACCTGCACAGCTCAGAGAATACAAAACCCAGGAGCCCTGAGTCAGAGGAGTGGCTCCGTGGAAAGACACTCTAATAAGGCAAGTACAATAATGGCCTTAGTCTAAGCTGCTACGTGTCGCCAGTGACACTGAATAATCAAACTAAATGAAAAATAAATGTCATGTATTTTGCTACATAATCAAATGGTGAAAATATGGCAAAGTGTGCAAAACAAAGCCCTTGGCAATGCCTGGGGCCCTGCCCTGGCAGGGGAGGCTGTGGCAGGCCCTTCCCTAACACTGGTTTCAGAGCTGGGCTCCTACTGTAAGGGTTCCTCAGGCGTCTGACCCTCTCACATCTTGAACCTCCTGTTGACAAGAACAGAGGGAAACACCATTAAGGCAGGTTCCCCCCACACCCAGCCAGCTCCAGAAGGACAGCGGCCTGCGCGGAGGCCCTGGGGCCAATCCCTACTTCCAAGTTGCCACCTTGGCCATGCATCTCCCTTCAGAGGCCCTGCGACAACAGACGGGAGGGGAGTGCGAGACGCAGCCAGGCTGAAGCGGAGGGACCCATGGATGGCAGAAAGCAGAGGACAGACACGTGGCAAGCACTGGGCGTGGCAGACGCACGAAGGCACAGAGAGGCCCATCAGAGTGGTCATACGACGGGGACAGGGCACACTGCTTACCCGGCACCGGCGTGGGGCTGAGGCTCAGGATGCTGCTGCCCTGCATCCTGGCCTCGGCTGTCCCAAGAGGCACTTTCGTGGCTTCCAGTAACCCTTCGCCCTCGGGGCCTCTCAGCCAGGGGCCATGCCACCGTAGGTGGCCCCAGGTGGGACTGCTGGAGGTGGCACAGGGGTGGGTGCACAGGTGGCCAGGACCTCCCAGGAGGAACGCATGCTGGACAGAGCAGTGACCATAGCGCACCCCTCATTTGGCTCTGACTGGTGTGAGCACTTCCTAGTTTCAACCCACCAGGAATCCCGGTCAGGCTCTTCACTCTTCCACGGCGACCCTGTCTTCAGCACTGGGTGTACCACCTGCTCCCAGGAGCTTCACAAGCCACTTGTAAACCACAGTGAGCCCCCAGGGCACATACAGTCACATCAAGACATCAAGACAGGACGGACCTTGCATGCGTTCTCAAGGTGGGACCCACTCTCAGTCCCTGCAGACCCTGCTCCCCAGGAGTGGGATAGCAAGCAGTTTGTATCCTCAGGCAGCCTTAGCTGGGCCCTCTGTCCCTAGGGGGCCAACAGCTTTTCATACTGACCAGGACAGACTGGCCACCCCTCCCCAGGCACAAAGCCCTGCTGCATGTGGAGTCCGAAGAATGCAGGCGAGTATGGGGGCACAGGTTTGCCCTCTCGGGGCGCTTTTGTCAAGAGTCCCATGGACTAGAGTGGCTACTGGCTTCCACGGGAAGGATGGCAGCCCCAGGCAGCCCACCCAACAGCTCTGTGCCTTAAGAGGTGGGGAGGGCAGAAGACTAGGGCACCCCTGTACCCAGGGCTCAGGCCTGTGACCCCCAGTGCTGGCAAGAGGAACGTGGGCCAGGAGAGTTGTCCAGGTAAAAGAGATAGCAGCGGGAAACAAAGGTCTTTGGCTGAAGCATCCTAGGACACCTCCCCAACGAGGAGAAGGCATGGCTGTGATCACAGGGAGCTCATTAAAGCTCAAGGGGACACCACGCTCCGGGACAGGGTGTGTCTGACATGCAGGGGTCTTTGTGGGTTTTCTCCTGAATTCCATGTGCTCCATCCTCCAACCACTTTCTCTTTCTGCATTTATTAAAATTATGACCCAGGATCCGGGTGCAGGGTGGGCGGGTGTTTATGTGAGGTGGAGAAGGGCTGAGAAATTCAACGCATCCTTTTTCCGAGCACTACTGAAATGGGGTCCTTGCTCTTCCATCCTCCCGGTCCAGATTAGAGAAACTTGCCAAAAAATCTCACACATACATCTACATGGGCAGGGAAGGAGGGTGCAGGAAAGTTCCTAGAGCTTAAGTGGTATTTGCTTTAGGCAGATAAGGTATTTCCCATGAATGAGGACAGAGGCAGCTGTGCCCTGCAGCTGGAGCACACGCCATCACGCAGGAGGCGGGAGGGGACAGGCTGGGATCCCCAGGGATTCAGGACCCTTGCAAAGTTCCATAGCACATCTGTCCTCCACGTGGGGGACCCGTTTAAAGACTCTAAAGAGAATTGCCCAAAGAGGAGCTCCCTGAGAAGTGTTTCCACATCTGCTCTCTGAGAATGCAGCATTCCCTCGGGCTCACCCCACACAGTTTGCAGAAACCCACCCGGGCTTGGGGATAAAGCCACTCCCACAACCCAGGAAGGAGGGGCTGAAGAAGCCCCTTCCCAGGTGGCAGAGTGCTGGAGGGAAAGGCAATGGGTATTTGGAAAAAGCCAGGGCCCATTCCTAAGGGTCAGTCAGTTTTCACCTTTCCTGAGGGCCACAGAGGGGTGGCACACCCCCTTCCTGGCGAGGCCACCTCTGCTAGCAGGTTGCCCTGCACACTGGCCAGGTGGCCACAGCCTGGTCTCCACAGGAATGCAGACTGCAAGTGTGTGGAGCTGGTGAGCTCCCCAGTGAGCGCAGGCCTTCTAAGAGAGGAAGTGGAGGGCGGGCTGGGGGGCTCAGCAACCTGGGCATTCCTGGAGCTCCCAGGCTATTCTGGACAGAGTCCTGAGCACACAGGCTCCGCGTCACAGACCCCCGCCCCAGTCTCTGCACAACTACTTTCTTCATAACTTAGCAGACCAACAAGGGCCTTAAAAAGCACATAAATACAGAAGCCGGTGTGGCTGGCAGGGCAGCAAAGCACTGCTCCCCCACGGAAGTCTGAGCCCCTGCCCAGTCTGCATGGGGGTCTGTCCTGGAGGAGGATCGAGCAAATTTACAAAGCGCCGAGAGCAAGTGAACTGTGGTCCATCTCGAGGTGGCAGATAACTAGTTTTTCCTTTTCTGGGCAGCCTTTCTCTTCTTCTGTCGCTTCTTTTTTCCTATCTTTTCTTTTTTCCCCACTTTTTCTTCTCTGCGCCCCCTTAGATAAAATTAGTAGAACCATTAATAATGTGGAAATAAACAAAAGTTCGTCTCAGTCTGCATAAGATTTAACACTGGCCCGTGTACTGGTTAAACTGTGCCTTCAGTCTCAGGCCTGGAGGCCCCTGGTCAAAGCACTGTTTATCAGTAATTCATTAAAATAAATTGGACATTTCCTTCCATTCAAACAAATGTTCAATGGGCTCCTAGAACACCTTTGTGAATGGGTTACAGCGACTGCCAATCTGCCAACCTGAACCTGATTCCCACTGGGGACAAGGAATCCACATCTCAGGGTACACCCAGGGCCAGGCTGGCCATCGTGGTCCTTGTCACCCCACCCTGCCCTGTTCTCATGGGACTTTTTCTTCTTCTCAATGCAGGGCTGAACTCTTAGCTTTCTCTAAGAAATGTCTGCATTTCAAATTGAATAACGTTTTGGAGGCTGCAGGCCCCAGGTTCAGACTGCCATTCAGAAGAGGAGAAAAAAGGCAGTGGTCCCACCTTCCCCTTTCTAGACGCCTGTGAACACTCCTGGGAATGAATGCGATTGTTCTGGAGAGCAAGGGAGAGAGCTGGTTAGCAGAATTTTATTAGAGCAACTGGCTCGTGACTGTCACATTAAAATGATTCAAGCTGAATGGTATTTAATGATTTATGGGGTGAGGCCACCTGTCCCTGTGAAAGCTTCATATTAACCATGGCCTGGAGTCATGGGATTTTTACATGGGAAAATGTAAAAGGTTGATATTACTAGGGTTGAGTCTCTGGGGATTACATGGGGAAGTTAGGAGAACCAAGGAGGAGGAGGGAGGGAAGACGAATTAGTGAGTCAAATATTATTCTTCAGAAAACCAGCACTGCTATTTCAATCGGGTTAAAAAAAAAAAAAAAAGATCCAAAAACTTGAGCTGCAGATCTAATCTGCTCGTGAGAAAAGCCCATACACTGTCACACATGGGCTGTGAGAAGGGGTCTCAGACACCTGACTGCAGGCAGGCTTAACTATATAAACCAGAAACGTCTATAAGCTCCATCACTAACAACTAATGAATTTTATTTCAGGTAAATAAATTCCCACATACAGTAGGACGTTTATACCATGAAACAATTAGCATTTTATTGCTAGTGCATATAATGTCACATTTGATACAATTTTAGTACAAGTGAAAAAATACACTGTGGCTAACATTGAAAAGCTGCAATCACATTTATATATCATATATATTTCTTTACAAATTGCCAGTAGTTTGAGATAATAGAGAAGTATAAACTACTGACATTCATATGGCTCCACTTCAAATATATGAATTGTTCGACTATAAATATATTTTGAAATACATTTGTTTTCTAAAGAAACGTAAAAAAAAATGTGCACAAAAATATATATAAAAAAATGCCTTGCAAAAAGTTACAAATACCACCAGGACCTTCTGTGGATCGCATTTATGCATGGAAATGTCACCTTGCCAACAGTTCTGATTGGAACCTGAAACCCTGCTGTGGCTTCAGGAGGGGGTAGTGGCAAGATGATGGTTTATTCACTGATTTTTTCGCTTCTGATTTCGGAAACCTCAGAGTTTGTTAGTGCCTCCATGGCATACATAGGCTTCAGAGGCAATCACAAAACCCAGTCACTCAAAGCGAGCTCTCAGATTTAAAATTGCATTTGATTCTGTAAAGACTTGTCTTTTGCGGGTAAGCAGGGGGACCATTACACATCCCCAGGAGAGGGCCAGCTCCATTCTGGAGGAGGCCAAAGACGGATCTCACAGAGGGCCCGAGCTGTGGGGCAGGCCCTGGGAGGAGAGGGATGCAGGGCACGAGCCCCAGCAATCACCCTCTTCCCGGCTGGTGCGGCGCTGATCAGGCTACAGAAATGAGAAGCAGAAGCAAGATTAAGCATGCTCTCGGAGTCGGGGAGAGAGTAGGAATAGCTGGGAGAGGGGTCTCTGAGCACAGTCCCAGTAATAGTGGCTTCTACATGGAGCCCACAGAGCCAATCACTGAGGTTGAAAGAGGAGGTGAAGGCAGTGGCGGCGCCCAGCCCCAGTCGGTATCTGAGTGCCACAGAGGCCTTCCTCTTGGGAGGGGCGCTGCTGCGGGAGCCTCAGTGTCTGAAGAAAGGACACTTTTTCCAGCTCCCTGTTAAGCCACCACCTGACTGTGCCCAGACTCCCCAGGGGAGCAGAGGAGATGCTCCAAACAAGCCAAATTCAGATCTTGAAGTACTCGTTGATTTAAAAAATGAGAATGAGAATGATGATGATTGTGATGATCATGAAGGAACTAACTGCTTGAAAATGCTGTTGATAATACAATTTCTTTCTTAGAAAAACCCCAGTAATAAAAGTTCCAACGTGCACAGGTACAGGGCATGGATGAATATAAGCTGCAATATCATACCGTATGCTATAAATGCAGGGTCTAAATGCTGGCAAACCTCAGGCCCGATCCCAGATCAATGTGCCCACCCCACACACACACCTGGTCCTCATGGTTAAGGCCCCCTCCCCCACGTCTTTGCCCTTTCATCTCTCACAAGGTTTTAGTTTTCCTCGAGTGGGTCTAGCGGAAAGTCCTTTTTGGCTGTTGTGCTTACTTGTTTAAAGCTTTCTCCAGGTACTCCTGAATCCACTTTAGCTTCGGGTCAATGCACACTTGTCTGTTGTTGTTCTTCAGCCGGGCTCTGTGAAAACAGAATGGCAACAGTGTGCGGCTGCACAGGAGGAAGGCGCGGCTGCAACGTGTGCATCCGCTCCCCCAACACCCATCTAGGGCCCTCGCTGGCACCCCGTGCTCCACTTGGTACGCTCAGGCTCCAGAGGTGCTCGCGGTGTGCTGGGGAAAGCTCAGCGCTGGCAGTGCAGGAAGTTCCATTGCAGAGACATGGAAATGTGAACAGAAGTCTTTCCGGGGCAGTGCAGGGGAATTCATGTAAGGGAGCATTTGAGCTGCCTTTGAAGGATAAGTAGGAGCTTGGAGAGTAAATAAACGGGAAGGGAAAATCAGGAGCAAATACGCCAGGGGGGTCATCAAAGCATACAGAGGAAACTGAGGAAGGGGACGACAGGATGCTCTAGGTACCTGGGGAGGGGAGAATGGAGAGCAACAGAGCAGAGGTTTATTTGGATGGGTCATCTTGATAGATATAGGGCCGACTTAAGGATGGGCATGAGGAAGCCTGGAGGAAGGAGGCCTGCCAGAAGTCACCGCGGTCTGACCGGGAGGGTGACCAGCCAGGGAGGGGAGGGGCAGTGCAGGTGGCTTACCAGAAAATAGTTTCTAGAAAGATTTTACAAGTTCACTGAATGTTTCTTGGTCTCATTTGTTTTTTAAAAGTTCACACTCTTAAAAGCTTCCCTACATGCAAACTCCTGGGGAAGGCCTGATTTCATCTCTCTGAATCTCTTGCCAGAAAGCCCTTTGGTGCCAGGTAATCTCATGCAGCCCAAGTACTTAAGGGTCTTGAGGACAGCTAAGCCCCAGAACAGTGGTTCAGGGGCACCCAGGGAGTCTTCAAGCAGCCTGTCCATTAGGTGAAGAGGGGTGCAGAGATGGGTGTGGCTCGGAGCAACCCACATTGGGGTCCAAATCTGGGGCCTATTCTTTGTTAATTTAGTGTCTGCTCAGACCTGAGAATTGTATTTGGCATCTTCAACTTCAAGGTGCATTTCCAGGCCAGTAAACCAGCATGATCAGTGCTGTAAAGCAGGTCCAAGGTAGCTAAATTGAGCATCTTTAAAATACTCTTCACAAGAGATAAAGTATCATGTTGTAGGCAAAGTACAGAAAAAACATTCATTTTCTAGGGCCCTAAAACATACTGTAAATAACAAACACATTCAAGGCAGTAAAGGGTTAACTCAAAACTAAAAACAGTTTTCTAAAATCAAAAGTAAAAACATTTGGTGTTGGGTGGAAAAGTCTTGGGAAAGTTGTAGCTTTGGTTCCAACTGCTGTCTCCCCACCCCATTTTTAGCACTAGAACTTCTGAGCAATCAAATCCTCTCCAGGAGACTCCCTGAGCCCTCGCTTCCCCGTGTTCAGACACAGGACCTCTTGAGCATGAGAGGGCTTTCAAGCACATGGCTTTCTTCCCGCATTTCTCCCGGTCTTCTGTACCCAGCTGAGATCTTCCTGTCTTGTGGATGTGTGATTTTGGTCTTTGTTTCCCAAATGAATAAAATCAAATGTTAGTGGCTGCCATCCACACCAAATAACACCAAAACCTCATATGTTGTACTTGAGAAAATACAGGCAAGTGAGCTGAAAATGTTGAAGTTTCACCCAATGGTTAAAGAGGACTTAAACTGCATTTGGGTCTTGTGAGTTAATGTAGGGCATCAGATCCCCGAAACTGGCAGGCCAGTTATCACTGTTATTAGCTAAGGGCTGGCTAATTTACTAGGCTTCAGCCAAAACCTTGGTGAAGCCCATAGTTTCTCCAGCATCCAGCTGTGCTGTGCTGAAGAACACAGGTTTGGAAAGAAGAGAGAACTACTACGAGCACAGCAGGGTGCCCAGGCCAAGAGCGGCTTTTAAAATTAATGCCTGGTGGCATACTAAAGGTCCTCATGATAAGAATAGCTGCCACTAATTATGCCAAGTTCAAGGTTGGACACTTGGCTTGTCACCTCTACACCTTTAATAAGACTCGGGTTAGATGTTACTATGTTCGTTAGATGCAACTATGTTCGTTAGATGATGTTCAATTTCAAGACTTACACAATCTGAAGGGCACAGTTTGGAGTGTTGAGAATTTTGAGATGCTTGACGTTGGCTCTGGCAACATGGCTTTCGAAGAATCGGCATGGGCATCTGTAGCTCAGGCTGACGGGCTTCCCTAGAAGAGGTAAGGACAACAAGGCACTTTACTACCCTGCCAGATTTTGGTAATGTGTGTCTGGGCTGCAGCAGTTGGTGCAGCGATTAAGGATCAAGAGACGGCATCACTGGGGTAAGTTCCAGGTTACTGGTGTATGTTGGGAAAGGCCATCTCCTCAGGCAACACAGTGAGTGCTGGCTGAGCTCAGGCTCAGCTTCTACAGGGCAAGGAGCCCAACAGGCCTGGGGAGAGCCGGAGCCTAGATGAGGCGGGAGTTTAAATTAGAAGCCACCTGCTCAGTGTCTCAAGATAAAGGTAGTAATTATAGTAGATAACGGTTTCAGTCCAAGGTACTGAAATTTCCAGTTACTCTTTGTAAAAAAAATTCCTCAAGGGACAACTGAGAAAGATCTCCCTACTCAGGGAAAAGAAAGGGGGACAAGAGGCTCCAGGCTCCCTGGCCTCTCTCCTCTGGCACAGGCCTCTAGCCAGGAAGCACAGTAGTACTCAGGAATGCTGCCCTCCCCCACCCCAGAGACCCCTCCTCACATTCACCTAAAGCTCTGGAAGGCACAAAAGAATCCTGGCTGGCTTCCTACCTGTGAGTCCCCTGAGAGCAGGCCAAGGACCCACCTTCTGCCCAGCACTTTCCCCAAGGCTTAGAGATTAGTGGAGCTGGAGTTAAATGTGGTTTTCATTGCCTAGGCAGGGATGCTGTAGCCTCAGGAATTGTATTAAGATCTTTGCAAAATCACCAATTTACAAAATGCCATAATTGACACTCATTAGTGTAAATTAGCAAGGGGCTCCTGCAGAACCCACTGCTCACCCTTTAAATATAGGATTGCAAGCCCTGGAGGGCTGGGATTTGTGTGTGCTTTTTGTTTTTCTTTTTTCCTTGAAGATTTTATCCAAGCCCCACTTAATACCCCAAATTATTTGAACTTGTGGATCCTTTCATCAGAGATTAAATATATGTCTAAGAATATTTGGTCCAGAGATTTTTTTTCTTTTTTCTTTTTTTTTAAGTTTGCCTGTTTACAAAGTTCTGAGAGACCTCTGTGGTTCTGAAATTCTGCACCTTTGGGAAAGAATGCTGGGGAAGTAGGAGGAAATCTTGAGTAAGGGGCTCATTTTATTTTATTTTTTCTACAGACTGCAATCAATTGAGGGATGATGTGGACTAGGAATTGCATTGTGTATTCAGCCACCAAGTTGCAGGAAAAGTGGACCACTTGTCCCCCCACTTCCTTGTCCCCAGGACCAAATGCAACTCCCTGAAAACCAGGAAAAAGCCAAGCATCAGGGTGCTGGTGACTCATGGCACTGGAGAGACCTAAGGCAGCCTTCACAGTTACACCTGATCTAACTCCAGAAAGGCACCTCTGGGGCCAGCTTCCAGCAGCTGCACTGGGACCCTGCAGGGGAAGTCAGCACTGCACTGTAACCAGATCACCTGGGAAAGCCACCCCCAGGGCCGGGGCCTGCAGCCTGGGTAACTGAGGAGCTAAACGCTCCTGAGTGTTGTGCCTCCAGGTTTCCCTGGATTTCTTTTGGGCCCTTCCAAGCTGAGGCAGGGGGTGGGTTGGGGGTGGAGCAGGAGAATAGGAGGCCGGTAGTGAGGCACAAGCCCCCTCCCGGCAACAGTGAGCTTGAAGATATGCAGCCAAGGGCAAGTGCTGCAGCCGCCCCCGCTGGGATGGGTGGGGCTGTGACTCTCCAGCGCCCAGAGGAGAGAAGCTCCTCTGGCCCCCCAACCAAGCAGTGGTGATGAGGCCAGAAATCAGAGCCTATTCAGAGCTCAACACACAGGCTCTCTCTCCTCTCCCCCTCCACCCCCTGGGATTATCCATTTCCTTCAAAAGCAATTCTTGCTTCTACTCCCAGGACCTAAGGCCCGCCTGTCAAGCAGCGAATTTCAACAGGTCTTTTTAAAGTGACAGAGCCCCCAGGTGTGCTTACCAAAAGAACATGGTCTCGTGTGTACCTCATGTGCTCCTTCCTCCAGCTTTTTGTCAGTAAGACTAACTTTCCCAACCGTTCTGGATGTAAATCCGTGTACCGGCAAGAGTCCTGACTGGCTCTGATGGTACCCCGGATTTGGGACCGGGTGAGCTTGGCTCCAGGAGTTTTCAGAAAGCCCTCCAGTCTAATGCAGAGACAGGAGCCCAGCTGGCCCCTCCAAGCAGGCTTGGGAAGGGGGCCCACCCTGAGTTTAAGCCCGGGAAACCCAAGGGCCCAGCTGCCTGACGGAAGTCAGCCAATGGGGGAGGGGCAGGACCCCTGGCCAAGCTCTCTCTGTAGTGCAGCTTGAGGACTAAGTGTGGGGATAGGGGGCACATAGGCACTGTGAGGTGAGGGGAAAACAAAACAAAACAAAACATTCTGGCGATGTGTGTAAGGAGCAGATCTGCCTGGAGCCCAGGCTCCTGCCCTGGTTACTTGGCTGCCAATGGGGCAACTCTGAGGGCCATGTCACCCTTCCCAGGCCAGGAGGAGTCTGGGATGAACCCCACGTCTCTGTGCTTCCCCCAGGTCAGTTGCACCCATAACTCAAAGACCGAGGTTCCTCATTCCAATCCTCTCTCCAGCCCTCCGGGGAGGGGGCAGCACCATTTCCCAGAGCGGCGCACTGTGACACCTCCGCGCTCATCCCACCAATCAGTCAATAACTGCCCAAACCAGAGACCTTACAGGAACAGAAGAATATCCAGCAATAAAAACTAGAAACATGCCCCATGACTTGCGGGGGGGGGGGGGGGTCAGTGTGCAGACACAGCCTCAGGGACTTTTCATCAACGACGAACATTCCCAATTGCCTTCAGTCTGTGTCCTTAACACTTAGGCAGTCCGCCACGACCCCAGGCTGCCCAGCTTCTCCAGCCCGACTCAGCTGCGCTGGTCCTGCTCACACCAGCGCACAGTCCAAGCCAGCTAGGACGCCGGGGCCACGTCTGCACCAACCCAGCCAAGGGCTCGAGGCGCGCTGGGCCTGCACAGCCCGCGGCTGCAAGAGCACTCAGAGTGTCCTTCAACTCTTTGCAGGAAACTTCACAGCCAAGGAAGCTCAGCGGCCTGAGCCACAGGGTTTTGTTTTGTGTGTTCAGAGGCAACAGTTTATTTTGGTTTGCATCGGTGTCCTGTGACAGCGCAGCGAGTTTCTCTTCAGCGAAAGAAAAGAAAAAAGCCCTCTCCCAGTGAAACGGGACACCACGGTTCCCAGTGGCCCAGGGCCTTGGAGATTGAACTTTGCTGCAGCTCTCATTCTGGGGCAAAGCGCTTGGCCAGCTGGTGACAAAAGAGCCTGTCTGCAGGTGTGTTTGGGGAGCTGGGGAGGGGGCGTGTGAGGCTCGGAGGGTCCCTGGGCCTCTCTCAGGTGAACCCGAGAAGAGACAGGAAGACAGCGGCTGGACGCGCGCCCAGGTCCGCGTCGCTGCGGACCGCGGAGCTGTGCAGAAGCGCGGCCTGGCGGGTGGCACAAGCCCGACAGCTGCGCCGCGCAGCCCGCCCGCGCCTGGCCAAGAGCCCCGCGAGGGTGTGGGGAGAGGATCGGCTTCGCAGGGAGCGGAGGCTGCGCGGCTGCATCGGACCTCACAGCCTCAAGTCGCGGCATGAGGCGAACTTTGCAAAGCGCGCTCTCGCCATGCACCGCCCGACCTCCAGCACTGTGCGCAGCAGGACCTCGGAGCCCATTCGCCTGTGGAAACCGAGCCCGCAGCGGGAAGGCAGTGGGTGGAGGGTGGGCAGGCAGGGGTCTGGGGTCCGCGGCTCCCCACCCTCGCGCCTTCCCGCGCCAGTCCCGAACGCTCTCTTGGGGCGTTCCTGCCCAGTTGTCCCGGCTGACCTCGCTCTGCAGCCAGCTTGAGGTCAGGCGGTCGCTCTCTGCAGGTCACAAACCCTCGGCGCAAAAGTAGGGCTTTGAACGCGACACCGCACCAGAGCGCCCAGCTAAGCGAGCTGCCTCCACCCCCACTGTGTCGGGCGGCGCAAACTGCGGGCGCAGGCAGAGGAGCCGCGGCTCTGCGCCGGGCGGGAGCCGAAGCCCAGAGCCTCGCCAGGGCCTCCCCGCCGAGCGCACTTACCGTCGCTGAGGCAGAGCGCGGTCAGCACGAGGACCAGCACGACCACGACCTTGGCGTTCATGGCGCGGGCGGGCGGGCGGGCGGGCGGACGAGCGCGGGTCGGGGGCCGGACGCCGAGCGGGCAATGCGGCTGACGGAGAGTGAAAGTGCGGCGGTGGGAGGCGCGCGCCGGGCGCTTTAGAGGGGAGAGCCAGGCGGGGCGGGGCGGGGCGCGCGGTGAGGGGCGGGCCCGGAGCCGAGTGCTGGCCGTGGCCGGGGTCTCTGACGCGCGACTCCCTCGGCGGCACCCCCCACCCATCCCCTTCGCCCCTCCTCCGCTCCCTCTGTGCTCCCGAGGCGCAGTGCGCTCCGGCCTTTGACCTTCTCAGGCTCCGCTGGGCCCCGCACCGCTGGCCCGGTCTGCAGTGAGGTCCGCAGCCTGAGCGACGCCGGCTGGAGGGCCGCTTATTGTCCCTGTGACAGGGCCCCACTGGAGAGACTGAGGACCTTAGGCGTAAAGTGGGGCGCGCGTGGAAAGCTGCGGGACGGGGCCTTTCGATGGCGGGAACTGAATGAGAACCAATGAAAAGCAAACAAGTTAGTCCCGGGCGGAGGGCCTGCTGGCGGTGGCGGCCCAAGGCAGCCGAGGGGGTCCTGCTTTCTGTGCGTGGGGGCTCAAGCTCGCCACCTGCCCGGCTTGCGGCGCAGCCGCCGGCAGAGCTCGATCTGCGGGAATGAGACCCGTCTTTGCAGTCAGCGTGGCTCGGACTCCAAGCCCACGGCGCCACCAGCCGAGCCTCAGTTTCCTCGCCTGTACAAACAAAGCAGAAGGCGCCGGCGGCTCTCAGTAAAAGCGAATGTAGCCTTTGTACTTCCGACCTCTCAATGGTGAAATGAGCTAATCACAGGCCCACCCCGCGGAGTGGGACGGGAGATTCAATGAGACCCGCCCCACGCCGCGAAATTCTCTGCATCGTGTCTGACAAGCAGACAGTACTCAATAAATGGTAGCTGTAAGTAAGTCCTTTAAACCTAAGTACTTACTGCCTTACCCAAGAAAAGCTCCGTGCGACCCAAAGAGCTGAGAACTCCCCCACCCCGACCTCCGACTCCTAGGACAGTACTACTGGCGTCTGCCTTCTGGGTCCAGAAAACTCTTCCCACGGAGCCGTCCCTCGGCGGTGCTTAGCCCTCCGGATACCCCCGAGACATCCCAGATGGCCCCAGTCCGGTGGCGAAGGGAGGGTGCAGGTCGGCACCCAGGAGACGTGGGGGTGAGGAGAGCGCCCCTTTGGGCCTCGCTTTGTGACCGCAGGCTGCCCCAGCCACCTCTCTGTGTCCTTCCCAGCACAGCGTCCAGCGAAGTGGGGTCAGTCGCCGCGTCCATCCAGGGGCCTGCCCTGGGGACACGTCCCTGTCCCTGGGGAGTCCTGGCCGTCGGGGAGTGGGCGGTCAGCGGCTGCATTAGGCGGGAGCGGTCAACAGGAGGCTGCGAGGGCTCCGGAACTCCGCTGGTGGGAGTAGGTGTCTTCTGTGCATTTTTTTTCCAAAACCACTTTGGCCGTTAGATGGCTGTGGGCCGGCACTCCATCCATCCATCCATCCATCCATCCACCCACCCACCCACCCACCCACCCACCCTGGGCACTGGGCTTGGAGCCGGGAACCCCACTGACTTGGCCCTGCTCTTAAAGAACTGAAGGCAGTGAGGTCCAGTGAAGAAGGCAGCCGTCGGGCGTCCCCAGGCCTTTGCTGGGCTGGGCCGGGGAGCCTGGCCGCTCACCGGCCGCAGCGCTGGGGCTCCGGCGCCCTCTGGTGGCGGCGCCTCCCTCCCCGCTCCCAGAGCTCTGGCCAGCTCCATTCCTGCGCAGCTGATGAAACCCGGGAGGGCGAAGGGGTCCGCGGGAAATCTACACCCGGGTGGAGGGGCGCCCTGGAGCTCGGAGATCCGACCCTGCGGGAGCCGCGCGCAGCCTCGCTTGCCCTTAAATCTGGCCAAAGCAAACGCCATCGCCTCTCGCTTCTTCTTCTTCTTTTTTTCTTTGCCACAAAATCAGGTGGGCAGCTGGACCTAGGATCTGTCCCAGAAGCCTGAAAGGCCCGCGTGGGCTGAGTCGAGGGCGAACCAGGGATTCAGGCCTGGCCGCTGCCCCTCCCGCAGGCGCCCTGAGGCCCCAGAACAGAAGCTACTGTGGCACCCATGGGGCCATCCCTTCCGCTAGTCGTTCGTTAAATACTTACTGAGCACCCACTATGTGCTAGACCTGGGCTACATGTTTGAAGTAGTTTAGAAAAGGCACTAAACGTTTAGAAGCACATGGCGCTAAGCATAAGTAATTACGCATAAAATACTTAGAAGGCCATTAAATGCTAGGGGAAGATGGAGCAGAGGAAAGTGGGGTGGGAGTTAGGATTTTAAATAGGGTGGCCAAGGATCCATATTTTAGGTACAAGCCTCACAATTTTACAATTGGCGATTGAAATTTAAAACCCTGGCCGGGCACGGTGGCTCATGCCTGTAATCCCAGCACTTTGGAAGGCCGAGGCGGGCGGATCACGAGGTCAGGAGTTCGAGACCATCCTGGCTAACACGGTGAAACCCCGTCTCTACTAAAAATACAAAAAAATTAGCCGGCCGTGGTGGCGGGCGCCTGTAGTCCCAGCTACTCGGGAGGCTGAGGCAGGAAAATGGCGTGAACCCGGGAGGCGGAGCTTGCAGTGAGCCGAGATGGCGCCACTGCACTCCAGCCTGGGTGACAAAGCGAGACTCCGTCTCAAAAATAAATAAATAAACAAATATGTAAATAAATAAATAAATATGTAAATATGTAAATAAAATAAAATAAAACCCTGTACACTCTGGGGGCCTCCGCACCGCCTGCACAGGCAGGCGGCCATCAGACCAGGCCATTTTGACATGTCTCCAGCTCACTCGGCCACAGGGGTACCTCTCAAATTCGGGTCAGCGAAGTTCCCCACCCCTTTCCCTGTGTCCTTTGCTTATGCTTATGCTCAAAAGGCTCCACCTTTCTTTCTCTGCCTGGGGACTCTTACTCCCCATAGAGCCCCACCTTCTCCTGAAGTCTTCAGACTCTGTGCCGCTCTACCAGGTAATGCAGGGCACAGCGGCTCCTCAGGGATGCCTTGTTAAGCACAGTTCAAGGTGGGAGGCAGGGGTCTGGCTGCTGAGTTAAAGGCAGGGCATCTCCTGAGCTGGCATGTGTGCTATGGTCTCTAGACCCCTAGGCAGCATCTGCCTACCCCCCTCTGCCTGGCCTGGGCCGTTCACTCCTCCAGGGCCCAACGGCTGGGCCTGCAAGAGGGTTCCCAGTAGGGATTGAAGGTTTACACTAAATCCATGTTGTACAGTGTGTAATTGACAAGGTGACTTCAGGTGGTACTCTGAAATCTATAAAATATAGATTTATGTATTTATTTTTTTAAAGTAATAAGAAAAAATATAACTAGCACAGTAAAGGCAGATATTTCAGATATTGCTCAGGTTTTTTTTTTAATATATGGTTCAAGTTTTAAAAAGTAAGTCAATTGAAGCTAACATAGCAAGTGCTAGTCTAGGTGGCTGGAGACATAGCAAAAATTTTGACAGCAATACAAATAGATCTGAAATTTGAAAACCTTTTCTACATGAAGAATATTTTTTGTATTACTTGACACCCTCCCACCGCAATCCCCCTCTTGAAATAAGTATTTGGCTCCAAAGTGCTGAAACATAAAATCACACAAGGGAGGCACGATGTCTTCCTCACTTGCCTGCCAGGTGAGGCTGGAGAACGCTGGTCCAGGAGCGCTCAGGTCATAGGAAGACTGTGGGGCCCTATGGGATCCCTGGATACCCTTGGCCCTGCCACCCCTCCAGGAGTGCTCCTCTCCCAGCTCCCGTGCAGTCCTGGAGGGACCCCTCCCAACCACCCACATCTGCCCTCACTCCTTTGGCACCTGGCCCTGGGGTTCAGGAGCAGATGGCCTATTCCAGGAACCAGGAAGCCCGGTGAGGAAGACAAATCCTCACCGCCTTGCTGATGTCATCTGTGCAGCAGGTACATTAGCTGACATGGTGGATTTGGTCAGTGTGAAACCACTTGGCCCAGAGAAGGCCCTTAGGAAGATACTGAACAGTGGACTTACATAGGACTTTAGTTTGCCTTCTTTGAATTTGTCAATTTGGTACTTTCAAAGACCGAGCTTGCAGTATAAGCCCCACTGTCTCAGCTTTGAAGACATGGAACCCAAGTCTCCATGGGCTCTGAGCCCAAGGCTCAGAGTTGAGGGCCTCGGCCAACATGACAGAGCCAGGCAGGAGCAAGGGTACATCTCTCTGGGGCCAACGTCTCTGGATCCTGGAACATCAGCCAGGTCCTGAAAGCACTCTTGGGGACATAAGTCACTCCCATGGCAGTCATCCAGGGAGCCTTTTGGAATCCCGTACCCAGGGCCAGGACTTGGCATTTGACCAGCTGGCCATGTTTTTCCTGTCTAGATCCCCACTGGCCTCAAGAGCCAGTTGCAAACAGCCCCAGGCTGCCCTAGAGGGAAGGACCCCTGGGAGGCAGAGCTGATCCCCACTGGTTCTGGGCACATGTGTGGGCAAGCAAGGCTTACCGTCAGGGTATGTGCACGTCTAGCAGGCCAGGACTTCTGTCTGAGCAGGCTCTGCCCAAAGACTTCCTTGCTGGACAGTGCTGAGGCAGGGGGATCTGAGAATGTAAGAATAACAAACTCAGTTTCTCCTTACTCTCACAACACAAAATACTTTTGTGACTTCAGATGTGTGTGTGTGTGTGGGGGGGGGGGCGGGGATTCCCCACATACAAAGCCAGTAGTCCTTCAGCTGCAGACACCAGCTGGCTGTCTTCTAATTCAATTCAACTCTGAGATGATCTACCTGGAGGTAGGCTCAGGCCCCACATGTTGAGGCCCCAGTCCCACAAGGCTGCCCCTACTTCAGATACCAGTTGCAAGCCCTGGGTTGTTTTCCCAGTGCTTCTGACCAAATGACCATAAATTAGGGTTTCTATGACCCCATCCTTGGGTTTCATTAATTTGCTACCACAGCTCATGGAACTCAGGGAAGCACTTATGTTTACTGGTTTATTAAAAAGGGTATTATGGGCTGGGCGTGGTGGCTCACGGCTGTAATCCCAGCACTTTGGGAGGCTGATGTGGGTGGATCACCTGAGGTCAGGAGTTCAAGACCAGCCTGGCCAACATGGTGAAACCCCATCTCTACTAAATATACAAAAATCAACTGGGCTTGGTGGCGGGCACCTGTAATCCTAGCTACTTGGGAGGCTGAGGCAGGAGAATCTCTTGAACCCGGGAGGCGGAGGTTGCAGTGAGCCAAGATCACACCACTGCACTTCAGTCTAGGTGACAAGAGCAAAACTCTGTCTCAAAAAAAAAAAAAAAAGGATATTATGAAGGCTACAGGGGAAGAGATGCATAGGGCGAGGTATGGGGGAAGGGGACATGAAGCCTCCATGCCCTCTCCAGGCACCATCCTCCAGGAACCTCCACTGTCGTGAAGCCCTCTGAACCCTGCTTTGTTGTGTTTGTATAGAAGCTCATTACATAGGCATGATTGATTACATTACTGGTCATTGGTAACTTAGCCTTCAGCCCTGTTTCCTTCCTCAGAGGCTGATGGGGTGGGGCTATAAGTTCCCGCCTTCTAATCCTGCTTGGTCTTTCTGATGACTAGCCTCCATCCTGAAGCTACCCAAGGGTTGCCAGCCATCAGTCAAGTAAACCAAAGATTTTAGGAGCTGCATGCCAGGAAGCTGGGACAAAGACCAAATATATATTTCACAATAGCACAGTTGGTATTTCCTGGGACATTCCCCGGGACTGTCGGACTACCAGGGCTCATAGGGCAAATCAGACCCAAGGCCCCAGGGGTTCAGATCTGTGCTCCCAGTCCCCACACCAGTTCCCAGGAACCAAGTAGTGAACCCTTCCTGTGCTCAGTCACCACAGTCAGGCCTGGATTCCTTCTGCCTCCCTTTCCTAGCCCCACCCCTCTCTCCTATTCCCCTTGCCTCTGGGCAGACTGGACTCAGCAGCTGGGGATCCACTGAAGGTTCTCATACTGGAGTATACATCAGTTCCTACCTATCAGAAACCCCAGAGTGTGCACACTGAGAGTGTGAACAGCATTGACACTGGAGTCACCCTGTGCTGCGTGCCTTCTGTCACCTTTCTCCTTGCATCTAGCTGATGAGGTGGGTTCAATGGCAAGGCCATTCCCTGAAATAAGGGACAGAGATCACAAAACTATTATTTGTCAGGGATGGAGTTTAAATCCACTCTGAAGTAGGGCTGTTCCTGGTGAAGGAGAAAGAGCTGGTTTGCCACATAAAACACAGCATGCCCAGTTATGTTTGAATTTCACAAAAAAGCAAGGGATTTTGTGTATTTGTTTTTTGTTTGTTTGTTTCTTTTTGTTTTTAAGTATCAGTGTGTCCCAAACATTGCATGGGGCATGGGGCATACTTATTAAAAAGAATTATCAGTGTTTGTTTGAAATTCAGGTTTAACGGAGCATCCTGTATTTTCATTTGCAGAGTCTATGCTTGTCACATTGCCACAGCCCCCCGCCTTGTGGTCTTCTGCCTGAACCTTCAGAACATGTGGTTGAGGTTGGGAAGGGAAGTTATGGAGTCACTTTTTTTTTTCATTGAGAGGATTTCTTGAGTTTTATTAACACAGAGATGCTAGAAAGTGGTGCATGAAAGCAATATAGGAATGATCTTTTCTTGTTCTTCTTTCTGGGTTGAGCAGTGTAACACAGCACCTGCCCCAACCCTACCCTTCCAGAAATAGTCCTGGCCATGCCTGAAGCAAGGGTAGGCAGGTCTCTTATCCCCAATATCACCAGCCCTGCTCTTCCTCTGGTCCCGGCAGATGTGTATGATGCCCAGCTACTGACACTCTTTCCATCTATTTCAGGTGGGTGAGCTGTGGGTGGAGAAGGAGGGGAGAAATATCTCAGGGAAGAGGGCCACGTGAGCAATATCCTGGGCTGGTGGGATTCTGCAGGAGAGGAAAGAGCTCAAGAGCTGCTGTGGGTTGTAAAGGAGGAGCTGGGTCTGCTGCCTGCACAGATGGTCCCTTCCAATTAGAAAAGCCAGGATTCCAGCTCCACTGGCCCTCCTTGTTTGGAAGAGGAGTTTTTACTTCTTTCTCCACCCTACATCCCTGTGGCGGGGTGTCTGTAGTCTTACTGCATGGATGATCTGAACTGGGCTGTACACAGAGGCTACTGAGAGAGGCTTTCAAGGCTGAGTGCAAATGCGGGCTTCACCAGCAGCCTGGCCTAGGGGATGTAAGTGGGAGATGGACTCAGGTGGGGATACCTCTGAGGTATCCATCCATTCATCTACTCACCTACCCATATATTAATCCATTCATCTATTCACCCACTGAAACACCCAGTCATCCATCCATACGTCCATCCAACACATGTACCCATCCGTCCATCCATTCATCCATTCATCCACCCACCTACCCATACATTAATCCATTCATCATTCACCCACCGAAACACCCAGTTATCCATCTATATATCCATCCAACACCATCTACCCATCCATCCATCCATTCTTTCATCCATGCCTCCATTCATCCGTGCACCCCTCCATCTATCCAGCCAATTATCCATCTGCTCATCCATCCACTCATCCATCACTCCATCCATCCTACACCATCCATCCATCCAGCCAGCCAGTCATAGCTCCATCCATCTGTCCAGCCAATTATCTATCCACCCATCCATCTGGCTTTCCCCTTCACCCCCTCCACACCAGTCCTCTCCAACTGCTTTAGTCCTGAGCGATATTTTCCATAAGGAACAGAAAGACATGCCTCCTGCTTCCTGGACCACAGGAAAAAAGAAGCAAGTACCAAAAGCTCAAAACCTGGAGATCACTCAGCAAATTTTAGCCTTGAAATAGATCAAAACCTTCACCTTTCTCTGCTGAAGGAATGGCCTTCTCTTATGGGCAGGGAGGGTTTCCTAGGGAAAGCCCACCCAGGCAGGAGATGAGGAGAGCAGCATCTGAGCACACTTCATCCCACAGTGCCCATCCCATGAGTATCCTCCATAAATTACAAAGAAAGAAAAAAAATAGGGAAAAAACAAACCTTTATTTCTCTGTTTACTTCTCTGCATTTAATGAGCAGTTGTTAACATGACTGAAACCATCTGATGATTTTTACCAAATGGAAAAATCTGCCTACAGGGGCAATAAAATAAATATTCAGAATAGAGAGAGGCAGTCATAAAAGACATTACCCGGTTGTAAACGGAGGCGGGTGGTGGTGATCTATTACCCCTGCCTCGGCAGCTTTCAACAGAGTTCTGGAATTCCAGGAGGGGCCCTGACCCAAGGCAATATTTACTTCTGCGGCTTCTTCATCAGGTCAGCATGGGTATAATTCTGTCTACCAGTTGACTGGAGCTGAGGTTTCGAGCAGGAAGTGCAAACCCTGAGTGCTTATAACTCAGGAGGAGTGAGGCACCCCTTCCCAGAGTATGCCAAGAAAAGCACATTGTACTGTCCTGGCTGCAGGGGTGAGGCCCCTGCACACCCAGGCCATTATCAGCTTTGTGCCCTGGCCAACAGCGCCTCTGGTTGGTGCATTTGTCAGCTGTATTTTACCCTAGAGCTCTGGGAGGCTCATCCTTTTTTGGTATACCACCACGTGGAGAGAGCAGAGTTTTAATAGTGTGGCTGCTTCATGCACCTTGGTAGAGCTAATTAGACCCAGAAGAGATCTTGAAGTCTGAATAGAAATTTAAAATCAAAGCTTAAACTTGCAAAGACAGGCATTCCTTCCCCAGGGACCAAACATGAAGCTGCCTTTAGAGATGGCCACAGTTGTGCCAGCCCCTATAACAACCTCAGCGTACCCAGATGTTAGATAGACCCAAAAGATCGCATAGGCAGGCCACAACAGCAGCTCATATGAACTTAGCAGCGGCATTGAAGAGCAAGCGTGCTTATCCCATTTTCAGATCAGAGAGGGAGGTAACTTCCCAACACCACAGGAACCAGCAGTGCAGCTGAGGCTCTGACCAGGGCTCATGCTATGGCCCTGCATGTTCCCCTCATGCTCCCTGGTCTGGCTGCAGAAGTGTTTGGTTTTTGGTTGCTTTGGGTGCAGAAGTGCAGACTCTCCCCTGACCTTCTGGCCTACTTCAGGGTTCATTCACTGGTATGGTGTAGGGATCTGTTGCATCACAGCTAGGCTCTGCCTGAGAGCTTGGAGGAGTTTAATAAACTTACAGAACAGCTGACCACAAAGACCAGAATAAGGCTTGGATCCCTTTGGTGTGTGCCCACAGCCAGTCATGGGGTCTGCACAGCCTCAGAGGCCCAGGCTGGCTGGAGGCTGCAGCATGCAATGGGCTGGTCACCCAGGTGTGCCACAGCACCTGCTCCCACTTTTACATGCCAGCCAGCACCTTCCTGGGGGGCACTAGGCATGGCTCTCAGTCCTCCTGAAGAGGGGCTCCTTCAGCCTTGCCCTTGAAGACCCGAAATGCTCATGGGTAAGGTCATGTGCAGACACCAGTTCTTAGAATGGAATAATTCAAAGAGCCTTTGGGTGGTTAGAGAACCTGGAGGTGGGGGTGAGGGTCTGCTTTTTTTTTGTGGAGGCACCAGAAGCTCTGAGGATGACATTTTTCTGTCCTGCAGAAGTGCAGGGAATTGCAGCATTTAAAATTTTTTCATCTTTGCTTCTTCTCATGGAGAGCTCTAGTTGGTTTATGAAGGAAGTGTCCTGTGCATTTTTCTTTCCCATGGAACTACCGGGTTCCCATCCCCATTTCGCCAGTGAGGACTCTGGGACTACAGACCTGAAGGAGGTTACTCAGGTGGTGGTGGGGCACCAGAGCACCTGGGGGGGTTCACACCCTGGCTTCTGTGGTCTCTAAAGGTGGGTGCAGAGCTGAGAGGGCTGGGAGTATGGTCAGGTTTTGCAAAGAGTAGCTTGTTGGGTGCTTCTGCAGGATCCCTTTTAGATGCGACCTTAGCAAGACACAAGACAATCTCCTCCCAACAGTCACTGCCT
Source organism: Homo sapiens (assembly GCF_000001405.40). NCBI lineage: Eukaryota > Metazoa > Chordata > Mammalia > Primates > Hominidae > Homo > Homo sapiens. The sequence goes on from NC_000010.11 coordinate 44,395,019, forward strand.
CCCTCCTACAGGCTCCCTGGGTTTCTGAAGCCACCTTAGTCTTAACACAAGGGGGGTTTCAGGCAGGTGTCTGCACACAGCCAGGCCTGGGGCACTCCTGAGTGTCAAGGGAAACAGGTTTGAAGTCCCCATGCCATTGCTGCTTTCAGCTCGGCCCCCTGAACAGGTCCTTAAATGGGAGTTTGTTTTCTGTAATCACCACCCCCTGGAATCTGGGCAATCATGGTTTCTGTGGGAACCAGTCTGTCTGCAGGCCCAGGAACCATGGAAGATGAAAGCAAAGATAAGTTGGTCTCTTTACCCAGGGGCCAGCCCTCAGTGAGTGTTGAAGAAGGGAAGGGAGTTGGGGGAGGCAGAGGGGGGCTTAGGGAAGGAAGAGGAGAGGACTGCGCAGAGGTCCAGAGAGGGAATACGTTTTCCAGGAGCAGCCCTGTGGTAGGAGGCAGAGGGTGCACATATGTGTCTGTGTCCATCCTCATTGTTGGACAAGCCTTTGCCTCCAGGAGCCCAGCAGGAGCAGCTGAGGGCAGGGCCAGGCCAGGATGTGCTTGCCACCTGTTTCTCCCTCCCTCCCAGGCCATAGAAATGAGGCCCTCCTCTTCCCTTCCCCCTGTCCCCATAGCGCAGGTGTGTGCTGGTGCCTGCCCCAGAGGACATCTGGGGCCAGGAGGTACCTAGGTGGTGAACAGCTGGACTGATTCCAGGAATGACAGAGGACAAAAAAAACAAAAAGGAACTTGTTTATTCAGGCGGAAATGCTTCACGTGTGCAAAATTTGACCTCCATCTCCCTAGGTTGCCAGATGGTGGATGTGTTTAGTTTGTATGTAAAAAAAAGGAAGAAACTGGATGGAGAGCCAGCAGTCAGGCCTTACAGTGGCCCACTCCCCACTTTGGGCTCAGAGGGACACTGTCCATGCCAAGAGAAGTGGGGTGCCACTGGGTGCCCCTGGGAAGAGCCTTTGCTGCCTAGCCTGGCCTGGCTCCCAGTGTCCTCGGCAGGACTGAGGGAGCTGCTTGGCAGATGCCAAGTTTAGCTCAGATCCTAACCACGGAGGGGAGAGGTGCACTGGGCATCTCCACCCCACACCCAGGCCTCTAGGCAGAACTCATTTGGCCTTTTTGGTTGTGGATTTGGGGGCCTTCAGAGGCCACATTTCTACCTCCAGCAGGTCAGCCTGGGGAGAGAGGCTCAGTGGTGAGCCAGGCCAGCTGGCAGCCACCGTTCAGCTCTGCACTCCTGTCCAGTAAGCCCCTGCTTCCCGGGATCAGTTTGGGGAAAGAACCTGAAACGTCGGGCCACTCCTGTCCTGGAACACTCAACAGCTTCCCTGCCCCTCCCCATACTCACTTTTCCTGAGTTTGCTTCTCCCGAGTGACCTGATTGGCATCCCAGTGCCTATATGTTGTTGGAGACAAGGAAAGCGAGGCTCAGGGAGTTTGTTACCAGTGAGTGGAAAAGACGGGATCTGAACTCACGGTCAGCTACAAATCCCAGCTTTCCCTGTCATGCTGCACAAGCCATCTCAGGGCAGGAAGGAGGAGGCCTCTCAGCATGACTGACTGCTTCTCAGCTGGGACTGGAGTCTTGGGCTACAACTAGAATTTGCAAGAGTCCCAGGACAAGAGCCAGGGAGAGGGCGGCAGAGCTGAGTGGGTTGCCCCTGGGGCAATTTGAAAGGTTTCACGAAGGAGGGGATCTGAGCTAAATGTTGAAGGAGGCAAAGATTAAGAAGTAGAGATGTGGTGGGTGGAGCAAGAGGGTTTAGGAAACAAAGAATGAGGGTAAGGCCATGGGGCTCGTGCTGGGGGCAGCCAGGAGAGCAGTTTTGTGTGTAGGAGGTGCCTGAGGGGCCATCTTCAGGCTCCATGGAGAAGGCTGGTGGCCGTCAGCCAGGAGCTCTCCCAGCACTGGGGGGAAGCTCGTCCTTCAGACCTGGTGGTCTGTGGTGGGGAATCACAGCATCCACAGTCTACCCCTTGCTCTGCCAAACCCCTGCTCAGGAGGGTTTTGTGTTAGAAGAGGAGCCCGGCCAGGGAGGGCATAGGACGTGGACTTTGAGGAGTCCCTGCACACAGGAGGCCCCTGTGTGTGGGCAGCCAGCTTGGATGGGAGGGTGATGGGACCTCTGTGAAGTCTCTGGGAATTCGGTGGAGTTTCATGGGCCAGGTTTAAGATGAAATGTATTTTAAAGAGCTTTTTATGATGGAAATAGCAGGAATATAAAAATTCCACCGGCTTGTTGGAACAGAGTGTCTACAAACCTTTTGCGAGGGCTTTTGTATCAGTCAAACGGTTTTACAGTCACAGGTGACTAAAATCCAACAGAATTAACTTAGGCCAAGGTGGAGGAATGGGCGGGGATGGGATGGTACAGGAAGGGAAGGGAAAGAGGGGAGGACAGGAGAGGGGAGGGGAAGGGAGAGGAGGAGAGGGGAGGGGAGGGGAGGGGAAGGGAGACAAGACTAAATCTCCCTCTCTCCCACCTCTCTGTCTATTCTTATATACTTGAAATGGAGGAGGAGAGCCCTGCAGCCTGGCCCCAGCCTCTGAGGAGGGATTGTGCACTGGGCTCAGCCAGGGCTTCAGTAGAGCTGGGTCATGTGGCCACTGCTGCCTGGTCCTGGTGGAGGGTCCCTGCAACTTAGCTTCCCCCACTCCCCCTCTCCCATCCAGCTGCTAGAATGAATGCAGATGAGGCCTGGGGCAGGGAATGGGGGAGGGCTGTTGTTAGGGGTCAGCAAAGTTTGAAGTCTGACCTAGGCTCTCACAGCTAGCCAGGGGCTGCCACGGGGCTCCAGACAAGCACTGGTCCCTTGTCCTTATTACCGGCTTTTTTCAAAACCTAGTAGGATACTTGGGACATCTGGGCATAGGCAATCATGCCCTTCTTCTGAGTCATCAGCCTGGCAAGCCCAGTGTGGGTAAAGAGTGGTGTCAGGGGTTCATATGGCTACCTTGTAAGTTCCAGAACTCCAGGTCCACAGGAGCCCCTCGGTCCTGAGCCCACAGCAGGCAGCTCCAGACACAGACAGCACAGGCAACATCAGCCACCTAGTCCGAGCACCACAGGCTTGCAGGCAGATGTGCTACGAAGCCCATGGTTGACCATTCCCTTTCTCAACCCTGTCTTTAAAGGTTGGCGCAATACTTTCAGCATGTGAACACCACATGGGAAAGAAGCTGGCATTGAACTTAGGTTTCCAGAGCATCTATTATGGTCTGCACCCTCCTGGGAAACGGGTATATGTTATCTATGGTAATTGACACAAGGATACTACGAAACAGGCGATTTTATCACCATTTGTTAAATTAAGAAAGAAATTGGCTTAAGCAATGTAAGTAACTCACCCAGCTCACCCAGTGAGTGGCCGGGATGAATCTGGGCTGTCTGGTCAGAGCCTGTGAGAGCCACACTGCCTGCCTTTGTCAGGTGGCAGCTCCTCCTGCTGTGTTCTGGGGAAAGTGCTGGGGAAAGTCAATTAACGGCACTGGACCTGGCCTGCGAGCCAGCATCCTCACTTGCAAATAAGGCTGAGTGGAGCCTTTTGATGCAAAGATTAAGTGTATGTGAAGGTGCCTTGTAAACTGTGAAGTGGCATGCACTTGGCACACTGAGGTGTCAGGATGCTTACCGTCTCGGCTGGTCAGTACACAGGATTATGAAGATGACAAGGGCAAGCCCCGCTTGCTTTACATTTATTTTAAAAGCCCCTCTAGCATGAGACAATAAGGTGAACCGATGGCTCCTCATTCCACTCCCTGAATGCAGCTAATTTTTCATCTGCAGGCAGGCAGTTTTGCAAACAAGGCTCTGAACTTGAAGCTCAGAGGGTGAGCGAGGCCTCGTGCCCCCAGGGCCTCTGCTTGCTCCATGTTGGTGCCCCAACGTCCAGGGATGCAAAGCACAGAGGACCCTTAGAGGCCACACCTGGAAGTGCTCATTCAATGGACCGAGGGATGAAAGTGAGGAGAGCGTTAGGGGAGCTGTGCACAGTAAGTAGGGGCTGGAATGGGATGTGACCCAGGACATCCTGGTTAGATTTGGCCAGGAGAGCTGTGAAAATAGGGGAAGCTGGTCCCCAAACCCCACACCCTTTTAAAAAATCAATCCTGGTGGGCGCAGTGGCAGAAGGACCTGAGTTTGTTACAAAGACCTCAGCAATCCTCTCCCTCTCCTGACCTGTAAACACCAAGAGCCGGAGACAATGCAAGTGTCAGACGCTTCTCCACCCGCAATGAGGCCTGGGAAGCCCAAGTTGATTGGCTTTCTTTCCAGGAAGGCAGAGCCCAGACGCACTTCAAGGTGGGTATTTCTGTTTGTTTTCTCCTCAAGGAAAGCACAGCTGAAGGGCTCACGTATTCCACACCCTCTTTTCAAGGCTCATTAATAAGGAGCCCAGGGCAAAATCATACATGTGGCAAACTCCACAACCACCAAGGCCGGCAGAGCAGTGAGAGCTGCATTAATGGGGAATTTCAGTGAAATGCCGCCCAGCTCCTAAATTCATACCAGATGAGTTCCAGAAGATTAAAGTTATTACAATAAAGCCCCAGGGAATCAATCACGCTCTGCCTTGTAACCTTCTTGGTTTTCTGCATCATTCACACAAACCACTTTCTGCAGGGCACTGGGGTGTTCCCTAGCTGGGCTGGACCCACAGGCCCCAATAAAGCACTTCAGGTTAGAAAGCCTAGCAAAAGGACAGGCTTGGTTCAGGTAAGTGGCTGGGGTCTGGCAAGTGGCTTGTTTAGTGACCAGTGACAATGCGGTGTGGGAGCCCAGTGGGGAAGGGTGGGCTCCCTAACCCCCAGCCTGCCTGAGGCATGCCCCTGGGGGTGGTCACTGTTGGAACCTTGATAAAAAAACAGCCTGAAAGTTGGAAAGTGTCTTGGTAAAGAGTAGAACACGGCACAGTTCTCTTTGATACTGTTTTTATGTTTTCATTTTTTATCCTTTTTTTTTCCCAAAGTGCCTCCCAGCCATCCAGGTTCAATCTCAAGTCCTTGTATGCTCAACCAGGCTCCTGGTGAGCCAGTGATCCTGCGCCATTCTCCCCCAGAACCCCTGGTGGCCACCTGCACTGTCCCTGAACTCCTGTCCCCGAGTGTGAACACAGTCCTCATTCTGCATTACACCCCTGGGAGCAGGCATCAGCTCTCTCTGCCTCCACTTCTATGAGAGTTCCAGATGATAGAGGTGCAGAATAATTCACTAAAGAGTCTGCAACCTCTAAGGCCCAGACCTGCCCTGTGGTCTCTGCCCCAGCCATCTGCTATCTCCCTCCCAAATCCAAGCTCTACAAAAGTTCCAAGTTTGTCCACGTTTTGGTGTTCAAGCCCCCAAACTCTCTGCCCCATCCTGAATGCTCCTTCCTGCTTCGCAATATTGAGTAGGACCATCCATTCCCTTCAGAGAAGTCCCACACTCAGCTTCAGAAATGTAGCTTGGTCCAGTGACCAAGCAAGATATTCACAAAGCTGACTGACACAGGTGCATTTCACACTTCTTATTTCTTTATTCTTATTTATGATAATATTTAACTTAGGATCAATGCTCAGCGTTTGTGAGAGCTATCTGGAGTTTCCTTTTTCTGTGCAACTTTTTTTGGTTTTGATGTCAGAATTCTATTAGCTTTCCAAAGAAGAATCTACAGACTCTCCCCTCCCCCAACATTCTTGCTCTTGGTCAGTTTAAACAGAATTCAGCATTTGAAAAACCCCATCCTGAAAACACTGAAGCCAGTGCTTTTGAGGGCTGTAGTTCTTTTACAACTGTTTGATTTGCCATTTAGGCATTCCTATCTCTTCTTGAGTCCATTTCGATCATTTGCATGTTCCTAGAAAACGGCTTTTCATTCAGGTTTTCAGAGTCATTGATATGTTTAAGTAATTCTGTTTTCTTCTTTTTCGTACTCTGGTTATTTGTACTTTCTCATACTCTGTTTCTTTGCCCCCTGCCTCCTTCCCTCCCCCTTTCTCTCTCCTTGCTTTCTTTTTCTTTTACTTGTTTTTGTTTTCCTTGACTGGGCGAATTAATATTTTGTTGCACTCCATTTTGTTTCATTCTATTCCATTCTCCTCCGCCACCAAAGACATACCTTTCATGTCATGGTCAATTGTATGAGGCTTTTCTGTTGTCACTGTGATTCTATTTTTAATATTCTTTTTAGTGACCTTAATCAAAAGAATTATTATGTAAAATACCTAGTTCATTTGTTTTTATTGGTTCATATTTTTACTGAAAATATTAATGGCTATATATTTTTCTATGAACACAGCTTTAATAGTATTCCAAAGATTATGAAAAGGAATATTGATTTTAAGGAAATTCCATGAGGGACTTTCAGTTTTTCTCTCACTGAAGTATTGTTTAGGGAAGAGCTTTTAAAAGTTCAGAATTGTTCTGTGTTATTATTGCAATTAGTAAATTTTGTTTTGCATTTTTAGTTTTCCTTTATTGATGTTAAAGAAGGTGGTTTTTGTTATTTTTCTTTTTCTTTTGAGTTTGAGGTTTTCTTTGTGAACAATAGAAAAGGATACACATTTTCTGTACACAAGGCATGGGGACATATATAAAATGTCATACATGTTTATATGAATATATGTGTGTGTTATATATATGATCAATCTATTAATGGAATTATTTGGATTCTCTGTTTCACTCTTCCTTAATTTCTTGACATACAGGATTGAGTGAGAGAGCTACACTGAAGTCTTCCAATGATTTTGTGCTTTGTCAAATTTATCCTTTTATTTGTTCCAGTTTTTGCTACATTTATTAATGCTATGATGCTATATAGTAAATAAAGGTTCTTGACAGCTATATCTTTAAATCAATCAAGCAATAAATATTATAAAATATTTTATATTTTATGTTGAACATTTATGTCAAATACAATATTTTTTATATTGAACACAATTTCAATATTTTTTGGTCATGAATGTAACTGTGTATAATATTGATACTCAGCTTTCTATTTGTTTACATTGAATTGGAATATTTTTGCTCTTCATTCTGCTTTCAGTCTTTCTAAGTTCCTTTATTTTAATTTCATATTTTGTAGAATACAAGTAACCTGGAATTAGGTTATTTTGTTTTGGTCCTGACTGATGTCCCTTCTCCTTTGGGTTAGGCTTATACACTCATATTTATTGCATAAGATATACACTGTAAGACCTAGCTTTGGTGTTTCTACTTGAAAGCTTCCTTGGTTTTTAATGTTTCTGTCTTTTGAACTAGAGTCTGTGTTCTGCCTCCTAAAAAACATCACCAGTAATTAAGAAGCAAGAATGTCGTTTTTACACCAAAATGTTGATTTTAAGCTTCACATGGTGAAATTAGATACGATGTTGTATAACATTTGGCACCTTGGTGAGAAGTCAGATTAGAAAATTGCCCGTGGCTCTGAACTTTCTGTGATTTGACTTCAGTGTATTTTTCCCAATAGAGTCACCTGTTGCCTATTACAATGAAGTTAGATGTCTCCTGACCTCAGCCCATCCCCTGTTGGATAAAAAGTTTCTGCTTCAGTCTTGCTGTCCACGCCCGTGGAAGAAACTACAATAGGGGATTTACTCTCCTGGCCCAAATCAGGTCGAGCTTCTGGGCCTCCCTACTCCATGCTGGGGGATACTGGACATTCAGAGTGCCTTTCTGTCAGCCCCGCAACACAGCCCCACTGGGGTGGCTGACTGTGCTGACCTTGTGTCTCTGAGCTCAATTTCAACTGGGGTGTATCTGAGGGTTAGTCTTCAGAGAACTTGGAATGAGGTAAGACTTTCCTAGTTCCATGTAGGTGATTATTTTTCCTTTTGTCTATATTGAGTTATTTTGGTTCATTTGAGAAGTAACTGGGCAGGAGGCTTGTTGACATTTACTTGAAATGCCATCCTTTGTCACCTCTAAATCAATCTGTCCTCTTCTCCGGGATGGTATCTCTTTGAAACAAGAGTAGTTTCATTTTCAAGGTCGGGGCTCTAGCACCTAGCCCAGTGTGTGGCAGGCAGGGAGTGCTCAGGGCATGTTTGTGGGGGCTTTTCTCAACAGTGTGCAGGGCTGAATGAGGGAGTGGAAGCCTCTACTCTGCAGCAAAGATAAGACAATTATGATCAGCCTCTGAATTCCCATCACCATTGCCAGCAGCTGGGCCATAGGCACTTGTGCAGCCACATGGAATACCTCCTTTGTTAGAAGTACCCAGTTTGGACACTGTGGCCCTTTGGTTAGCTTTCATTTTCATTGTATCTCTTCATACATTTTTAGATTAAAAAAAGCTTTATTTAATAAAAATAAAACATTATTTCTTTAAAGCAAGCATTTAAAACATTTAGTGTGTACTTCTTCTGATATTGATTTTTTATTAAAAAAGACCAGAAATTCCTTGGAAAACATAATTAATGGCCAATGTTGAGGATGGAAACTTTAACTTTCACTGAAGAAGAACCATTTTCAAGTTCATATAGACAGTAAATTAGCCTCTGGAGCAATGACACTGTACTCAAGAGCCCCAGCCATCTGGAGAAGTGGTTTCCATGCGAAAATTTACAGTTGCATGGTTGTATTTTAGTGCTTTCAGTTTGGTTTCTCTTGAGAAATTTCCTTCTTTTGGTGAAGTTATTTAAATTTGGACATGGCTTACATGGCAACCAGAATTCCAAATTCTCATTATAAGGGAGTCAATGCCTTGGCCATATGTTCATGATTTCTCCTGTTGATAAAGTCTCCTGATGAATAAATACCCATTTTTTTCTAAAGGAAATTGCTATTCCAAATTTGATAAGAGTACTTTGAGTTTCTATTTCAATAATTCTGACAACCCTGATGGAGAAATCACTTTATTTTCTCCCTCCCTCTTTTTCTTCATTGTCATGAGTGATCAATGAATTAATCAGTTTAAAGAAGTGAATGTTGCATCAGTAAGAAGATAATTTTGTACATGTCTGTTTCTCTGCTTGGTAATTTTTTATTGTTTAGAAGTAGAAGATGGATTAAAAAGATAAAAGCCATCAGTGTAATATACAATATAAGGCATATGGTAGTTTGTCATTAATAAATATCCCACATCATTTAGGTTTTGCTTTGGTCAACAAACTTTTACCAAATTTGCCTAGTGTTTTTGATGAAACTGCTTGACCACTATTGACTTGGAGGATTAGTGATAGAACTGAAAGATCAAGGAAATTATTCGGAGAATTCATTCTATGGGTGGACTTTTCTAGTAACAAAAGGAAGAGCTGATTTTTGCACAAGCTATGGACAAATTAGGTAGTTGTGGACACTGATTCCACACAATACACTGGAATTTAACCCAGTGGTTCTTCCCATTCCTTGCAGTGCTCATCCCTACCTTGCCTGCTTAGATTAAGTTGAAATAAATCTTTGCCTAGTCTATTTCATCTGTTCTATTTACTTGTTACACACACACACAGACACACATATGTGTGTGTGTGTATATATGTGTGTGTATATATGTGTGTGTGTAATATATATATATATATATATATATATATATATATTTAGAGATTGCCCTAGGGTTTGAAATATACATTTTGAAATAATCTGAGTTTACCTTCAGGTACTGTTAAATCACTTCACATCTAGTGCGAACAGCTTTCTTCCCAATTGTTGCTCCTATCTTTTGTGCCACTGTTGTCACTTATTTTACTTTTACATAAGTTATGAATATACAATCTATTGTTACCATTACTGTTTTAAATTTTTGGCTATCTTTTAGAGCAATTTAAAATAAGAAAAAAAGAGAATTTTACCTTCACTTTTTCCATTTCCAACACTCTTCATTTCTTTGTGTAGATACAGTTTTCTAACCAATGCCATATTCCCTCTTCCTGAATAAGTCCCTTTAAAGATTTTTTGTGGAGGGAGTCAGCTGGGATGAATTATGTCTGTTTTCATTTGCCTGTGAATGTCTTTTTTTTTTTTAATTTTTGGAGGATATTTTCACTGGCTATAGAATTCTGGGCCAATGGTTTTTTTCTTTCAACACTTTAAATATATCACTCCATTGTTATTGTTTCGGACAAGAAGTCTGTTGTAATTCTTACCCTTGTTTCTCCTTAGGCAATGTGTCATTTTTCTCTGCCTTCAAGATTTTTCTCTTTGCTTTTAGTTTTCAGAGATTTGAATATATGTTGAAGTGTATTTTGTTTGTTTCTTTTATGTTGTTTCCATGTTTATCCTACTTGTGTCTTGTGAGTTTCTTGGATTTGTGGTCTGGTGTCTGTCATTAATTTCGGAAAATTCTTAGATGCTATTTCTGCAACTATTTCTTCTATTCCACTGTTTTTCTCTTTTCCTAGGATTTTAACTACATGTGTCTTAGAATATTTGATATTATCCACAGCTCTTGGATGTACTTTTTTTTATTGTTATTATACTATAAGTTCTGGGTTACAGGTGCAGAATGTGCAGTTTTGTTACATAGGTATACATGTGCCATGGTGGTTTGCTGCACCCATCAACCCGTCACTTACATTAGGTATTTCTCCTAATATTATCCCTCCCATATCCTCCCACCCCCTAACAGGCTCCAGTGTGTGATGTTCCCCTCCCTGTGTCCATGTGTTCTCATTGTTCAACTCCCACTTATGAGTGAGAACATGCAGTGTTTGGTTTTCTGATCTTGTGATAGTTTGCTGAGAATGATGGTTTCCAACTTCATCCATGTCCCTGCAAAGCAGGTAAACTCATCCTTTTTTATGGATGCATAGTATTCCATGGTGTATATGTGCCACATTTTCTTAATCCAGTCTATCATTGATGGACATTTGGGTAGGTTCCAAGTCTTTGCTATTGTGAATAGTGCCACAATAAACATACATGGGCTGGGCGCGGTGGCTCACGCCTGTAATCCCAGCACTTTGGGAGGCCGAGGCGGGCGGATCACGAGGTCAAGAGATCGAGACCATCCCGGCTAAAACGGTGAAACCCCGTCTCTACTAAAAATACAAAAAAATTAGCCGGGCGTAGTGGCGGGCGCCTGTAGTCCCAGCTACTTGGGAGGCTGAGGCAGGAGAATGGCGTGAACCCGGGAGGCGGAGCTTGCAGTGAGCCGAGATCCCGCCACTGCACTCCAGCCTGGGCGACAGAGCGAGACTCCGTCTCAAAAAAAAAAAAAAAAAACATACATGTTCATGTGTCTTTATCAGAGAATGATTTATAATCTTTTGAGTATATGCCCAGTAATGGGAACGCTGGGTCAAATGGTATTCCTGGTTCTAGATCCTTGAGGAATCCCCACACTGTCTTCCACAATGGTTGAACTAATTTATACTCCCACCAACAGTGTAAAAGCGTTCCTGTTTTTCCACAACCTCTCCAGCATCTGTTGTTTCCTCACTTTTTAATGATTGCCATTCTAACTGGCATGAGATGGTATCTCATTGTGGTTTTGATTTGCATTTCTCTAATGATCAGTGATGTTGAGCATTTTTTCATATGTATGTTGGTTACATAAATGTCTTCTTTTGAGAAGTGTCTGTTCATATCCTTTGCTCATTTTTTTGTTGGGGTTGTTTGCTTTTTTCTTGTAAATTTGTTTAAGTTCTTTGCAGATTCTGGATATTAGCCCTTTGTCAGATGGATAGATTGCAAAAATTTTCTGCCATTCTGTAGGTTGCCTATTCACTCCGATGATAGTTTCCTTTGCTGTGCAGATGTTCTTTACTTGAATTAGATCCCATTTGTCAATTTTGGCTTTTGTTGCCATTGCTTTTTGTGTTTTAGACATGAAGCCTTTGCCCATGCCTACATCCAGAATGGTATTGCCCAGGTTTTCTTCTAGGATTTTTATGATTTTAGGTCTTATGTCTAAGTCTTTGATCCATCTTGAGTTAATTTTTGTATAAGGTGTAAAGAAGGGGTCCAGTTTCAGTTTTCTGCATATGGCTAGCCAGTTTTCCCAACACCATTTATTAAATAGGGAATCTTTTCCCCATTGCTTGTGTGCATCAGGTTTGTCAAAGGTCAAATGGTGGTAGATGTGTGGTGTTATTTCTGAGGCCTCCATTCTGTTCCATTGGTCTATGTATCTGTTTTGGTACCAGTACCATGCTGTTTTTGTTACTGTAGCCTTGTAGTATAGATTGAAGTCAGGTAGCATGATGCCTCCAGCTTTGTTCTTCTTGCCCAGGATTGTCTTGGCTATGAGGGCTCTTTTTTGATTCCAAATGAAGTTTAAAGTAGTTTTTCCAACTCTGTGAAGAAAGTCATTGGTAGCTTGATGGGGATAGCATTGAATCTATAAATCACTTTGGGCAGTAAGGCCATTTTCACAATATTGCATCTGCCTGTCCACGAGCATGAAATGTTTTTCCATTTGTTTGTGTCCTCTCTTATTTCTTTGAGCAGTGGTTTGTAGTTCTCCTTGAAGAGGTCCTTCACATCTTTTTTAAGTTGTATTCCTAGGTATTTTATTCTCCTTGTAGCAATTGTGAATGGGAGTTCACTCATGATTTGGCACTCTGTTTGTCTGTTATTTGTGTATAGGAATGCTTGTGATTTTTGCACGTTAATTTTGTATCCTGAGACTTTGCTGAAGTTGCTTATCAGCTTAAGGAGATTTGGGGCTGAGACAATGGCATTTTCTAAATATACAATCATGTCATCTGCAAACAGAGACAATTTGACTTCCTCTCTTCCTATTTGAATATGCTTTATTGCTTTCTCTTGCCTGATTGCCCTGGCCAGAACTTCCAACACTATGTGGAATAGGAGTGGTGAGAGAGGGCATCCCTGTCTTGTGCCAGTTTTTCAAAGGGAATGCTTCCAGTTTTTGCCCATTCAGTATGATATTGGCTGTGGGTTTGTCATAAATGGCTCTTATTATTTTGAGATACATTCCATCAATACCTAGTTTATTGTGAGTTTTTATCATGAAAGCCTGTTGAATTTTGTTGAAGGCCTTTTCTGCATCTATTGAGATAATCATGTGGTTTTTGTCATTGGATCTGTTTATGTGATGGATTACATTTATTGATTCGTGTGTTTGAACCACCCTTGCATCCCAGGGATGAAGCCGACTTGATCATGATGGATAAGTTTTTGATGTGCTGCTGGATTCAGTTTGCCAGTATTTAATTGAGGATTTTCGCATCAATGTTCATCAGGGACATTGGCCTAAAATTGTCTTTTTCTGTTGTGTCTCTGCCAGGTTTTTGTATCAGGATGATGCTGGCCTCATAAAATGAGTTAGGGAGGATTCTTTCTTTTTCTATTGATTGGAATAGTTTCAGAAAGAATGGTACCAGCTCCTCTTTGTATGTCTGGTAGAATTTGGCTGTGAATCCGTCTGGTCCTGGACTTTTTTTGGTTGGTAGGCTATTAATTATTGCCTCAATTTCAGAGCCTGTTATTGGTCTATTCAGAGATTCAACTTCTTCCTGGTTTAGTCTTGGGAGGGTGTATGTGTCCAGGAATTCATCCATTTCTTCTAGATTTTCTAGTTTATTTGCACAGAGGTGTTTATAGTATTCTCTGATGGTAGTTTGTATTTCTGTGGGATCAGTGGTGATACCCCTTTATCATTTTTTATTTTGTCTATTTGATTCTTCTCTCTTTTCTTCTTTATTAGTCTTTCTAGTGGTCTATCTATTTTGTTGATCCTTTCAAAAAACCAGCTCCTGGATTCATTGATTTTTTGAAGGGTTGTTTTGTGTCTCTATCTCCTTTACTTCTGCTCTGATCTTAGTTATTTCTTGTCTTCTGCTAGCTTTTGAATTTGTTTGCTCATTTCTCTCGTTCTTTAATTGTGATGTTAGGGTGCCAATTTTAGATCTTTCCTGCTTTCTCTTGTAGGCATTTAGTGCTATAAATTTCCCTCTACACACTGCTTTAAATGTGTCCCAGAGATTCTGGTATGTTGTGTCTTTGTTCTCATTGGTTTCAAAGAACAACTTTATTTCTTCCTTCATTTTGTTATTTACCCAGTAGTCATTCAGTAGCAGGTTGTTCAGTTTCCATGTAGTTGTGCGGTTTTGATTGAGTTTCTTAATCCTGAGTTGTAATTTGATTGCTCTGTGGTATGAGAGACAGTTTGTTGTGATTTCTGTTCTTTTAAATTTGCTGAGGAGTGCTTTACTTCCAATTATGTGGTCAATTTTAGAATAAGTGTGATATGGTGCTGAGAAGAATGTATATTCTGTTGATTTGGGGTATAGAGTTCTGTAGATGTCTATTAGGTCTGCTTGGTTCAGAGCTGAGTTCAAGTCTTGGATATCCTTGCTAAGTTTCTGTCTCATTGATCTGTCTAATATTGACAGTGGGGTGTTAAAGTCTCCCATTATTCTTGTGTGGGAGTCTGAGTCTCTTTTTAGGTCTCTAAGAACTTGCTTTATGAGTCTGGGTGCGCCTGTATTGGATGCATATATATTTAGGATAGTTAGCTCTTCTTGTTGCATTGGTCCCTTTACCATTATGTAATGGCCTTCTTTGTCTCTTTTGGTCTGTGTTGGTTTAAAGTCTGTTTTATCAGAGACCAGAATTGCAACCCTGCTTTTTTTTTTTGCTTTCTATTTGCTTGGTAGATCTTCCTCCATCCCTTTATTTTGAGCCTATGTGTGTCTTTACATGTGAGAAGGGTCTCCTGAATACAGCACACTGCTGGGTCTTGACTGTTTATTCAATTTGCCAGTCTGTGTCTTTTAATTGGGGCATTTAGTCCATTTACATTTAAGGTTAATATTGTTCTGTGTGAATCTGATCCTGTCATTATCATGCTAGCTGGCTATTTTGCTTGTTAATTGATTCAGTTTCTTCATAGCTGGGATGGTCTCTACAATTTAGCATGTTTTTGCAGTGGCTGGTATCAGTTGTTCTTTCCATGTTTAGTGCTTCCTTCAGGAGCTCTTGTAAGGCAGGCCTGGTAGTGACAAAATCTCTCAGCATTTGCTCGTCTGTAAAGGATTTTATTTCTCCTTCACTTATGAAGCTTAGTTTGGCTGGATATGAAATTCTGCATTGAAAATTCTTTCCTTTAAGAATGTGGAATTTTGGCCCCCACTCTCTTCTGGCTTGTAGAGTTTCTGCTGAGAGATCAGCTGTGAGTCTGATGGGTTTCTCTTTATGGGTAACCCAACCTTTCTCTCTGGCTGCCCTTCACATTTTTTCCTTCATTTCAACCTTGGTTAATCTGATGATTATGTGTCTTGGGGTTGCTCTTCTTGAGGAGTATCTTTGTGATGTTCTCTGTATTTCCTTAATTTGAATGTTGGCCTGCCTTCTAGGTTGGGTAAGTTCTCCTGGATAATATCCTAAAGATAGTTTTCCAACTTGTTTTCATTCTCCCTGTCACTTTCAGGCACACCAATCAAATGTTGATTTGGTCTTTTCACATAGTTCCTTATTTCTTGGAGGCTTTGTTAGTTTCTTTTCACTCTTTTTTCTCTAATCTTGTCTTCTAGCTTTATTTCATTAATTTGATCTTCAATTACTGATATCCTTTCTTCTGCTTGATTGAATCGGCTATTGAAGCTTGTGTATCCTTCACAAAGTTCTCGCGCTGTGGTTTTCAGCTCCATCAGGTCATTTAAGCTCTTCTCTACACTGCTTATTCTAGTTAGCCATTCATCTAACCTTTTTTTCAATGTTTTTAGCTTCCTTGTAATGGGTTAGAATATGCCCCTTTAGCTCAGAGAAGTTTGTTTTTACCGACCTTCTGAAGCCTACTTCTGTCAACTTGTCAAACTCATTCTCCATCAAGTTTTGTCCCTTGCTGGCAAGGAGCTGTGATCCTTTGGAGGAGAAGAGGCGTTATGGTTTTTGGAATTTTCAGCCGTTTTGCGCTGGTTTCTCCCCATCTTCACGGATTTATCTACCTTTGGTCTTTGATGGTGGTGACCTTTGGATGAGGTCTCTGAGTGGACATCCTTTTTGTTGCTGTTGATACTAGTTAGTTTTCCTTCTAACAGTCAGGCCCCTCTGCTCCAGGTCTGCTGGCACTTGCTGGGGTTTCACTCCAGACCCTATTTGGCTTATTATCACCAGTGGAGGCTGCAGAACAGCAAAGATTGCTGCCTGTTCCTTCCTCTGGAAGCTTTGTCCCAGAGGGGCACCCGCCTGTATGAAGTGTCTGTTGGCCCCTACTGGGAGGAGTCTCCCAGTCAGGCTACACAGGAGTCAGGGACCCAGTTGAAGAGGCAGTCTGTCCATTATTGGAGCTTGAATGCTATGCTGGGGGAACCACTACTCTCTTCAGAGCTGTCAGGCGGGGATGTGTAAGTCTGGAGAAGCTGTCTGCTGCCTTTTGTTCAGATATGCCCTGCCCTCAGAGGTGTAATCTAGAGAGGCAGTAGGCCTTGCTGAGCTGCAGTGGGCTCTACCTAGTTAAGAGCTTCCCGGCTGCTTTGTTTACACTGTGAGCATAGAACTGCCTCCTCAAGCCTCAGTAATTGCCGACGCCCCTCCCTCCATGCTCCAGCATCCCAGGTAGATATCAGACTGCTACACTAGCAGCGAGGAAGGCTCCGTGGGCATGGGACCCACCAAGCCAGGCACAGGAGGGAATCTCCTGGTCTGCTGGTTGTGAAGACTGTGGGGAAAGTGCAGTGTTTGGGCAGGAGTGTACTGCTTCTCCAGGTACAGCCACTCATGGCTTCTTCTGGCTAGGAAAGGGAAATCCCCCAACCCCTTGTGCTTCCCAGGTGAGGCAACACCCCGCCCTGCTTTGGCTGGCCCTCCATGGGCTGCACCCACTGTCCAACCAGTCCCAATGAGATGAACCAGGTACCTCAGGTGGAAATGCAGAAATCACCCATCTTCTGCGTCAATCTCGCTAGTAGCTGTAGACTAGAGCTGTTTTTATTCGGCCATCTTGGAAGCAACTTGATGTACTGTTTTTAAAATTCGTTTTATGTTTCTCATCACATTTCCATTTAGCTAATTTCTATTGCTGTATCTTCAGATTCACTGATTCTTTCCTCAGCTGTGTCATATCCACTGAAGAGCATGTTGAGACATTCTTCATCTATGTTACTGTATTTTTTGTCTTTTCTGTTTCTATTTGATTGTAGGATTTCTGCTTCTCTTCAGAAATTACCCATCTGCTACCGCATGTTGAACCTTTCACATTAGAACCTCTCAGGTATTAATCACAGTCATTTCCCATCTCCTGTCTGACAGTTCCAACCTTGGCGCCATGTCGGATTCTGGTTCGGATGCCTGCCTTGTCTCCTAGACTGAGCTCTGAGCTCTTCTTGTGTTTCACATGCCTCCTGTTTTTGTTATTGTTGCTTTGTTGGAAGTTGAACATCTTATGGAGGGTGGTGTGTACGGAAGTAATTTTTTTACACTGAACATGAGCATGCCTTTCCTTCTGCTAGACCTTCAGCATGGACGGTTGTGTTAATGCTGTCACCAGTTTGGCTGAATTTGAAGTTTGTTGTGCTCTAGTTACCCTCAGAGCCAGAGAGTTCCGATTCCTCTGGTTATACCTTGTGTTTAGGGTGTGAACTACTTTTCCAGAGGGTTTTCCCCACTGCCTGTATTCTGCCTGGCTTAGGAGTCTGGCGGGGTGGTTTTGGGTCTACTCTTTGTGTTGCTCCCTGTGAATAATCTGTTGTTGCAGTTCTCCTGGCTAGGCACCACTGCCATGTGTGCCTGATGTCTGTTAGCATGGTGTTGGGGGAAGGGAGAAGGGTGCCTCAAATGTTCTGAGTAGGCCTGGACTCAGGCAGGCTCAGTGCAACTGATGCTTTCCTAAGTGCCCTGTACCTGCTCTAGCTCTGATGAGGGATCTTGCGTGCGTTTTTCTGCCTTCCCCAGGTATGCAGATTTCCTTTAATATCGCCTTCCCCTAGCTGCAGTGGGTTTCCCCACGGCAGGGTGCATTGCTCTTTCTCTGAAGATTAAGGCTGCTGTTCCCTTCTCTAAGCAGGATGGGGAGGGAGCTGTCTCAGCATTCTCAGTGATCTTCCCTGGGAGTGGATTTTGGGCTTCATGGAGGAAAATCCTGCAAGTGGTGCTAATGCCCCCAAATCTCCATCCCCTTCAGGTATCCTCCTTCTCATGCTAGCCATCCAAAAGTTGTAAGATTCAAAATAGAATAACTTGTGTCAAATCCTGGCCTAAATTGTGGGTGCAGTGAAGTGGATGAGGGGAGATGGGCTGAGGTGAGTTTGGAGAAAGGGCCAGAAACCAGGTTGTGCAGGGCCATGGGGGCCAAAGGAAGGAACTGGTGTCATGCTAAGGGAGCCAGTGGAGGAACTGGAATTTGGCACTTCCTTGATCTTATTTACTTTTAAAGGAGGCTAGTCTGAAAGTTTGGGAGAGGGCGAGTGGGCAGCATGGTTTATAAGGTCCGTACTCAACCCCAAATCCCATGACCCTGTCCCATGTCTATATCTACTGCAGGATAATGAGCTTCTGCTTCCATCTCTCTCAAAATATTACTTATCTGTCTGAAAAAAAAAATACAACTTATCCTTTACAAATACTACTTATCCTTTACAACAGAGCTGGGGAAGGCCATGAAGGGAGGACTCTCACCCATAATTTAACTGATAACAGGAGCTATCACAAAGTTATTCCAAACCACAGCTTACTACGTGAGTCACACAAGGACAGAGAGCAGCAGATACAAAAACTCCTGCCTGACACACTGTCTCATAAGCCCAACCCCAAACTGCAAGGGCCTAACCTGAACTCCAAGACCACAAGTCCTATCTAACAACCATTGACACCAATCAGAACTCTCTGGCTCTTGTAAAAAGCCATGAGCTGTCTTCTTTTTGGTGTCTGCAAGAAACCATTTGGTTTTTCCTTCCAACTTTTAGGTTCAGGGGATTCATGTGCAGGCTTATTACATGGGTAAATTGTGTGATGCTGGGGTTTGGTGTACAAATTATTTCATTACCCAGGTAGTGAGAATAGTACCTGACTGATAGTTTTAGATCCTCATTCTCTTTCCAACTTCCACCGTCAGGTAGGCCCCAGTGTGTACTGTTCCCTTCTTTATGTCCATGTGTACTCAATGTTTAACTCCTACATGAGAACATGTGGTGTTTGATTTTCTATTCCTGCATTAATTCTCTCAGGATATTGGTCTTTAGTTGCATCTATGTTGCTGCAAAAAACATGATCCTCATTCTTTTTTTAAGGCTATGTAGTATTTCATGGTGTATATGTACCACATTTTCTTTATCCAGTTCACCATTGATGGACACCTAAGTTGATTCCATGTCTTTGCTATTGTGAGTAGTGCTGTGACGAACATATGCATGTGTGTCTTTATGGTACAATGACTTATATTCTTTTGGGTATATACTCAGTAACACACCCAGAGGATTCCTTATATTCCAAAGGACTATAAGTTGTTCTACCATAAAGACACACATGCATATGTCAAAATGGGTCAAATGGTAGTTCTGTTGCTGTTTTTTTTCCAAATCAGTAAGTCTTTTATTGCATCGTTTAAATATCACAAGTAGGTCTTAGGAGTCATCCGGCATCTTGTTTCTGTAGCTGAGCTGGGCAACTCTTAGATCTTATTCATCAGCATGCTGAGCAGTTTCTTTTTCAGAGACATAGATACCATCCAAAAATTTCCTGATATGCTGAGCAGTTTCTTTTTCAGAGACATAGATACCATCCAAAAATTTCCTGATATGCTTGTTTTTAACTGTTGTTGCTTGCTGAATCAAAGCCGCTGAATTTGAAACAAGCTCAATGTCATTTCCTTCAAGGATTAATTCATGTTTCTGGGTTTGACATACTGAACAAGCAACACCTGGTCTCATCCTAACCCTGCGGATGTATTTTTCACCCAAGAAATTTCGGATTTCAACAAAAGACCCATTCTCCCGGGTAACGATGTTGATGGGGAAGTGAGCATACACAGATCTCATCTTGTAATGGAAGCCCAGTGTAACACCCTTGATCATGTTCTGTACATGACTACAAATAGTCTGAACCATAGCCGGTTCCTTTCTGTTACCTCACCACAAGTGTTGTTAAGCCGGAGCCTCTTTTTTTTCTTTACAAGAAGACTGAGTTCTATACTGATGTGATTGAAGTCCCTCCACAGAGTTCCTCTGGGGCCCTTCACAATAACTTTGCATCCCTTCAGAGTAATGACATTTTCCGGAATATCAACAGTCTGATTGCTGCGGATGGTCTTCATTCTTGCAGTAGACACGGTAAATAAAGTGGTAGTTCTGTTTTAAGTTCTTAGAGATATCTCCAAACTGATTTCCACAGTGACTGAACTAATTTACATTCCCACCAGCAGTGTGCAAGCATTCCCTTTTCTCTGTAACCTTGCCAGCATTTGTTATTTTTTGGCTCTTTAATAACAGCCATTCTGACTTGTGTGAGATGGCATCTTATTGTGGTTTTGACTTGCATTTCTCTAATGATTAGTGATGTTGAGCATTTTTTTCATATGCTTGTTGGCCACATGTATATCTAATCTTCTTTTGAAAAGTGCCTGTTCATGTCTTTTGCCCACTGTTTAATGAGGTTGTTTTTTGTTTGTTGATTTGTTTAAGTTCCTTTTAGATTCTGGCTATTAGACCTTTGTCAGATGCATAGTTTGCAAATATTTTCTCCCATTCTTTAGGTTGTCTGTTTACTCTGTTGATAGTTTATTTTGCTGTGCAGAAGCTCTTTAGTTTAATTAGGTCCCACTTGTCAATTTTTGTTTTTGTTGCAATTGCTTTTGGAGTCTTCATGAAATCTTTGCCAGGGTCTATGTCCAGAATGGTATTTCCTAGGTTTTCTTCCAGGGTTTTTATAGTCTTAGATTTCACATTTATTTCTTTAAGCCATCTTCAACTTTTTTTTCAAAACAACTTGTGTAATCTCCTCTTTCCCTAGTAACACCCTAACCTTTTCCTTTGTTCTCCAGACATTCCAGAGGCCACCCTGGTCTGTGTGTATGTCCTGAATTGCAATCCCACTTCTTGTTTATTATTCCCAAATAAAACCTTCCTATTTAGAGATTTACTTCTTTATATATTTTATGTTGACAATTAGTTCATTTAAAAATTTTAGCTGAATCTTCTTACCAGTTTATATGGCACCTAATGGTGTCTGCCTAGGTAAACAAATACTCAAATCCTGCTTCTTTTGGCATGAAGCTGTGTCTCCCTGGATTTTGGGTTAGTTGGTTGACCTGTGACCTCAGTACTCTGAGGGGTTCAAGAAAAGTCGTGATTGTGCAATTTGTCTAGCTTTTTTTTCTGGTTGTAAGAGGGATACATTGTTCTAACCCTCTACATTTTCTGAGCTGACACAGGAAGCCCTTTCCTCAGGTCTAAACACATAGAAAGCAAGATTTTCTCAGATATTTGTGCCAGAACTACTACTTTCCTCTTTTTCCGGGAGAGAAGACTTATGTAAATGAGTTTGCAAGGCTCTGCTCTTGTTTTGAAAAACACATCTGCACATGTCCGTGCTTGCCAGAAACCTCAAATTGTTCAGCCAGTCTCCTGAGCACTGTAGCTTTCCCATTTTGGAAAAGCCTTTGGAAAATAGGAGTGAAGATTGAGTTGTGTTTTAACCAGGGTTTCTGTACTCCAACCAGAGGAGTGCCGGCTGAAAGAATCATTATGGAAAGGATGGGGCTGAGGCAGAAACTGAGCCAGCCATTGGGATGTCAGGGCTGGCCCTGGAGGGCTGTGCGAGCCCTAGGGCTGCAGCCGGGCTCCTGGCTCCCTGGCAAGGTTCTGGTAATCGTGGCTTGAGAAAGGAAGTGAAAGCTTCCCTTTTTAAGCTATGTTGTAAACTCCCTCAGCAAAGTTGTTTATAGGAGGTGGTAGAATAAATATTATTTAAGGTACAGTTTGGGGAGATTAGGACTCTAATCTCACCTGAGGGAAGTGAATATGTCCAGCTGCTGAAGAATGTTAAATAGGCCAGCTCAGGAAGGGCCCCCAGGCTGTTTGCCTAATGCTGTCCCCAAGAGAGGGATGGAAAGTGCCCTCCTTCTAGGACCAGGGAGAGCAGAAAGTGGGGAGCACAGGAGGGTAGCTTGGGGATCATCTCACACACTCCTCCTGTGAGTTTGCTAAAGCTTTGTTAACAAACCATCACAAACTGGATAGCTTAAACAACAGAAAATTATCATTGCCCACTTCTGGAGGTGGGAAGTTTGAAAATGAAGTGTTGGCAGGGTTGGTTCCTTCTGAGAGCTGTGAGCAGGGATCTGCTCCAGGTCTCCTCCCTTGGCTTGTAGACGGCTGTTTCCTCCCTGTGTCTTTTCACAGGGTCTTCTCTCTGTGAGTGTTTGCCTCTGTACCCCAATTTCCCCTTTTCATAAGGACTCTAGCCGTATTGGCATACTGGCTTAGTGGCCCACCCTGCTCCAGTATGGCCTCATGTTAACTGATTAATTTACAAAGATCCTCCTTCCAAATAAGGCCAAATGCTGAGGGCTGGGGGTTAGGACTTCAGTACATGGATTTGGGAAGGACATAGTTCATCCCACACAATTCCTCGTTTTAAAGAAGGCACGTTGAGACTGAGGAGGAAAGAGAAGTGGAATGGAGCATTTAACAGCAGATATTTATGGGGGGCGGGTAACCATGTGGCACTGTCTGGTGCTGGGGCCATCGTCAAGTCTAAGCTGCCTCCTGCTCTCCCAGAGTCACATCTTAGTGAGGAGATGAAGACCTTTCAAAGAAAGTGAAGGCAACTCCAGAGAGGGACAGATATTTTGAAAATCATCAAAGATGCCAACTACCTCAAGCTTGAGGTCACCTGCACATGTGTTGGGGAAGAGGTCCTTGAACCAGGGTTGCTGGGACTCAGTAAATCCTGGATCATGGGAAGGAGACAGTCACAGAGCCACCTGCCAGGAAAGTGCTCCAGAGACGGGGGCATCTTGTGCAAAGGCCCTGAGGTAGGAACATGCTTGGTTCGTATGAGAAAAGGAAGAAGGCCAGTGTGGCTGCGGTGATGTGGACAAGGGAACATGGATTGAGGTGAGGTTGGAGAAAGGGCCCGGAACCAGGTCACACAGGCCTGTAGGGGCTGAGGGAAGGGGACAGTGGAGGGACTGGAATTTGGTACTTACCTTTATTTACTTTTAAAGAAGTCCACTCTGAAGGTTGGGGGGAAGGATGGGTGGACAGAGTGTTCCATAAGGTCCCTTCTAGACCCCAAACCCCATGGCTTTATCCCATCTCTATATCCAATGCAGGGTAATGGGCATTTAGCCTCTTCTGCTTCCATTTCTCAACATACTACCTCTCCTTATGTCTCCTTTAGGCCCAGGATAAATGCCACTGTGCTTCTGAGCTGACTCGGTTTGGTTTCCCAGTTGGATATTGGGTCCTTTCTCCACTGGCTCTGAGCACTCAGCTGGTTTCCCCTCCTGGACTTTTATACCCTGCGAGCGGGAGGGGTTCTGTGCAGGCTCCTCTTCCCCAGAAGCAGACACCTTAAGGTGGAGCTCAGTCTACCACCAGACCTTTCTGGGCCCTTTACTGGTTAAGGGCGGGGACAGTGTTTGAGGAGAAGAGGAAAGGAGAAAGGAGGGATGGAGGCAAAAAGAAGAAAGGAGGGAAGGAAGGAAGGAAGGAAGGAGAGTACTTATTAATCAAATACTTTGGCCATATTGCAGGCTTAAGTTGTCATGGCAAGCATCTGTGAATGGGTGTGTGTGTGTGCGCGTGCATGCACACACACACACAAAGGGTGGGGTGGTGTCCTGCCTTCCCAGGCAGTACACCTGGTGTTTCAGTGACCCTCAGGTGAGATACAGAGACAGGGCAGGACAGAGGTGAAGAACCAGCCTGGATCCCAGCTCCACCAAGAACCAACTACACGGCCCTGGGCAGGTGACAGGGTGCTCATGTCCACCATGGGGACGATACCCTTGCCTGCCTTCTTGGGTTGCTGTGGCAATAGATACAGGTGCTCAGGAAGTATCGGCTCCTATTGGCTGCGTCCCATCAAACAGTTTGCATGCTAGGGTGAGTCTCATCTTGAGCCTCTTTTCTTGATTCTACTTTAAAGAGCAGACGTTACCATGCTTTCCCATGACGTCCCAGAGGCCTAAATGCTGAGTATGAACGCAAGCCCTTGAAGATCTTTCTTCTTTCCCAGCAAACCTTGTGTGGACTGCTTCCTCTTGGTTGGAGGAATGCAACAAGCTAGTTCTCTCTATTGTCCTTTTTTCCCACAGCCTGGAAGGCAGGAGCTCAGAGTTGCATCTTTGTGCTGTAGCTTAATAATGGTGTTGCACAGAGCCGGTACTCTGAAACCAGCCTGTTCCGAGGGGAAGTCCTGGCTCTGTTGCTTTCTGGAAAGCTATTGAACCTCTCGGAGCCCTGGTCTCCTCTCCACGATGCCTCCCTCGTGGGCTTCTGTGAGTATTAAGTGAGATAATTATGGGGGTTCAAAGGGGAGCACTTCAGCGTTTTCTCCTCCTCCCATCCCACTTGCAAATTATCCCCACAGTGAGCCACGTGATGGTGGAGGTGTCAGAGCCCTCGGGGATTCTGGGAGGAGGAACAAGTTGGGACTCACAAAGGTATTGCTGGCATGCAGAGTCATTCTTGGTAGCACCTTGGGCAGGTATCAGTTCCTTGCCCCACTGAAGAGCGTGGCACATAGCACAGAAGGGAGAGAGGTTTGTTCTCTTCTTGCCTAAATACTGTGTTCCTCCCGGGGGAGTTCTCAGGCCAGACCAGTAGATGGTCTCCTGCCCGCCTCCTGTTTTTTGACGCTGGTGCAATTCTGCCCTCCATTGGTGAGCCCAGGATCACTGATTGTGATACTGGACTTCCAGCCTGGACCTCTGGCTGGCTCCCCCAAGGATGTGCCTCTGGGAACTGTTCCAGCCTCCATGACCTGTATTTGGGCTGCTGGTCTCATGGAAGTTATGTCCTCATGGAGATATGAGAAGGATCGTCTGTTTATATCTCTAAGCCTGAGCTGCAGACTGTTGGGTTGCTGTGGTAGGAATTCTCCATGGGTGTGGAGGCCATTTTTTCCATAGCTGGGAAAAATGCATCTGGGCAAATTTGTTCTGGAGCTCCAGGCATGGGCAGGTGCACCAAGGCAGTAAGCCAGGGAAGCATGTTCTCTGTGGAGGAGGAGAGGAAGGCTTAGAGGGGGGCACCTGCGGAAGACATGCACTGGAGATGCCCCTGCCACTCCCAGCCTTCATATGTGGTGAAGGGAGGAAATAGAGGGCTTGGCTGGAGGCTTCCTGAAGGCTGGCAGGGAGGAGCTCACAAGCCTATATGTCTACAGTTAATCTTAGCCAAAAGGCAAAGAAGCAACACAAGCTCATATGCCTGAAGAGCCAGAAGAATTAGGCTTCACTAAGACAGCAGAGCAGGAAGTCCTGCCTGTGTCTAACTTGCCTGTGCAATGGAGCAGAGTGGGGTGCATTGGGGGTTGCAGGAACACCCAGGGGTTTACACAGAAGCTCATGCATGACAGGCTTTAACACTCAGCTTAGGAAAAGTACAGATGATTTCAGGGAAGTGAATAAACTTTGCAGATTAAAGTTGAGGTCAAGTCTACACACTTAACACTTGCTGTTGTATTATACAGCAGTTTCTCCTGAGGAAACTTCTTCATGTAGCTTTGCAGGAGATGTCTTTATCCCAGCAGATATTCTGAGAACTACTGGAGAGGTGGTGATTGTATTCCATTTTGGAATATTGTCTGAAGTAGTTATCACGGAGGAAGTTAATAAAACTTGCATTGGCTGCTGTGTTGCACACAGTGCCCTGCATTTGGAAGGCAGGCCCATGATACACAACACTTCCTTTCAGTATGATTGTTCCCATTGCTTTTATTCATCAAAACTCTTCTGGAAACCCAGTTTCTCTAGCAGGTCTTCTCAGACTATTAAAGCAATCGTTTCCCATCAGCATGTGCACCATGAGGCACTTTGTGACAATTCATACGACTACCAGCTCCTGAGAATTGCTGCATGGTGAACACTTAGCTGTGGGGTTCACCTTTGGCATGCCTTCTTATTTAATTCTCGTGACTCCTACCTCTCATACCTTACCTGATCCTCAGGGCAACTTTGAATTTAGGCAGTGCTATTACGCCTGTATTACAGATGAAGAATCTGAGGCCCAGAGAGGCCAAGTTTCCTGAGACCACGCAGCTACTAATTAAAGACAGGACCAGGGCTTGCACTCGGCATGGTCTGGTCTGCCCCAGCACCCAGAAAACCATGGAACTATAGCTCAGCACTGCAGAGGGCTGCTGACTGGGCTGGGGTGAACACACACTGACAAACAGCCTGGGCACCTCAACTTTAAAGGAAGGGATTATTAATCACAGACTCCAAGGGAGGTGACTGAGAGTACAAAGCGCTACCATATGACAAAACCAGATAATAGCAGTGGCCGGGCATTCTGCATGGCAGGTAGGTAGGGGTTCAGGGATCCAGTGACCTAAACGCACAAATCAGTGTTCAAACGATGCCCCTCCAGGCAGTGGGGAGAGATGTGTTTGGAGGAGACAGGAGTATTTCCAAGCTCTGTGTTTTTGATGCTGCATTTCTCTTCCCTCTGTTCTGGTCCTCGGGGGCTCTCTAGCCATGCACACCTGCCTGTCACCTCCTTCCAGGGGCAAAACCATCAGCATGTTCTTCCGGCTGGCTCCCCACCCTGGCCAGGCTCTACTCCCCTCTGAATGTTTACCGTGTCTAGGTTACAGGTGGAAAACTGTAAAAGCAAAAGCAAAACATGATTGTTGTTTTTGCACATAAAACTGAATTTGACAGTGTAATTGTACAGGTCAGGCAATTGGAAAACACAGGGCTCAAGGCCTCTGTCAGAGGCAGCTGACTTGGACTGTCATGGCCTGGGTGTCAGGACTGTTGAGCTTCTCTTGCTCAGTTCATGAGCATCCCATCAGCCCCAGTCACAGGAGAGGAGGACCAGAACAGGGAGGGGCTGAGGGCCTCTCCTCCACCCACCTGCCACATGTAAACAGTGCCCACATTTTGGGGGCCTCAGTCATTAGACTTTCCAGAGTGAAAGGCATGTGAACTCTACATTGACTTTCCATGGATTGGTTTACCTGAGTGTTTGCCTTGGTAGGACCATTGTTGTCTACAGTAAAACTGTTTTTTAAAAAATCATTAATGTGTTTTATGTGTACACATCTTGCCTATATGACTAAATTGGTTTGGTATGAGAGATAAAGCAACATAGAGGTGTGATTATTGGTGAGAAGTTGTTCATTGATTTTGGACAGAGGAAAGGACCAGTGTCTGGAATGGCTGACCCAGCAGGATAGTCAGGAAAGGAAGGGTTCTGCCTCAGCCAAGCTGGCTTTAGTTAGAAGAAGAGACTCAAATGTTTTCAGATGCGGTGAACAGGGCTGTGTCAGAGCTGCTGTGTCCACCAGCTGCTACCCACCCATGGGCAAGCTCAGGACCCTACAGGTCCAGCTAGGCTGGCCTCACATCTAGGGCCAGGGTGTCTTCCCAGAGCCAGTCTTCTATCCCGACCCAGGTGACTTCTGTGCCTCAGGCCTATCTCCTCTCTTTGCATGTCATTTGTTCATGCATCTCTCTCTGAACCTTCTCCTTTGGGGCTGAATTATGCAGCTTTTTCTCCCTGAACACATGGAATGCCTTCATCTTCCAGCTTTGACAGAGATCTTGACAGCTCCCTGTGATCTTCTGCTTCAGGGTTTCCCCGCCAGCTCTCTGCACTCATGGTTAAATGGGCCCTTCCCTTCCAGACCAAATCACCCAAGCCCCGAGGCTCCCGGCCCCTCCTCTTTCTGTTGAGAATTCCCTGGACAGAGCAGCGGGATGAGGATCCTGCCCCACTCATCGCTCCTTGCTCACAGGCACACAAGTATCTGCATCTGTGCAAGTCACCACGGACTCAGCCCAGCCAAGAAAGGTGGAACCCAGTGAACAAAATCAACCAGCAAACATGGGAGGTGGCCAAAGGCAGTGAGAGATGGATACAGTTTAGAGGCAGCTATTGGATATTTCCCTGGAGAATGAGGCATAAACGCACTTGGCTTTCAGAGTCCCAGTTTTTAGGGCCTTCCCACCCTCTCTGATTCTGCAAAGACTCGTGTGTATGGGATGGGAGTGGTGGGGGGAGATCTGGGCCCTGGCCAAGACTTCAGTCAAGAGCATCTGTGCCGTTCACCCCCACAGCAAATCCCAACCATGTGTCTCCAAACAGTTGTTGAAATTTCATGTTCTCGAGTTAAGTAGTTCTTGCCCCAGTTTCAAAACCAGTCATTATCAAGTTTAAGTAAAGGGATGTTTTCCCTTCCTAAAGAACAACCTTCCAGCCTGTCTTGTATCTTCATGTCTGTGAGTTGCAGTGAGAGTTACTACAGAAGGATTTGTGTTAGAAAACGATCATAAAACTAGGGTTAGAGTTAGGGTACCCTAACTGTGGTAACAAGGGCAACGAGGAGATCCCTTTAGTTATGACAAAGCCAGCCTGTGAGTCAGATCCAAGGGCACACTGGATGCCTACTCTGTGCACCCCACTGACTTCTCTACACTTTTTGTGGGAAACACTTAGCCTGCTCTCAAGTCCGAGGTGTTTATTCAACCAGTTAAAGAAGGAGTTTAGGCTGGACGTGGTGGCTCACGCCTGTAATCCCAGCACTTTGGGAGGCTGAGGTGGGCAGATCATTTGAGGTCAGGAGTTCTAGACCAGCCTGGCCAACATGGTGAAACCCTGTCTCTACTAAAACTACAAAAAAAATTAGCTGGGCATGGTAGCACACACCTGTAATCTCAGCTACTTGGGAGGCTGAGGCATGAGAATCACTTGAACCCAGGAGGCGGAGGTTGCAGTGAGCCGAGATCATACCACTGCACTCCAGCCTAAGTGACACAGTGAGACCCTGTCTCAAAAAATAAATAAATAAATAAATAAATAAAAATAAAAGAAGGAGTTTACACCTGGCCTGGAAGTCCATTTTCATTTTTACTTGTAAGTTTATAATCACACTTCGGAGATGTGGCACAGGCATTCAGGGGAGCAAGTTATGTAAGTCAAAGCCCAGCCTCCTTCCCCCTCAGGGCTGGGGCCAGCTCTCCAGCCACTGCTCCTTCCTCATTCATTCATTCATTCATTCATTCCATCAGCATGAATGTGCGGAGCTCAGTCTAACACCAGACCTTGCTGGGCCCTTCACTGGTTAAGGGTTGGGACAGTGAGGAGAAGAGTCACATCTTAGTGAGGAGATGGAGGCCTCACTGCAGGTCCAATGTGTAAATTAACATGAGCTGATGCCTACCCATGAGGAGCCACCAGCGGAAGG
The DNA here is from genome assembly GCF_000001405.40 of Homo sapiens. Taxonomy (NCBI): domain Eukaryota; kingdom Metazoa; phylum Chordata; class Mammalia; order Primates; family Hominidae; genus Homo; species Homo sapiens. The sequence continues at coordinate 44,424,261 of NC_000010.11, forward strand.
GGCAGAAGCCCAAGAGACAGACAACTCATACAGCAGAGAAGTGCAAAGGTCAGGGCACCTGGGCAGGGGGCCGAGCTTGCTTCTGAGGCTTCGGGAGGGAGGGTGAGATGTCTGAGATTTGTTTAACGAAGGATGGGGGAAGGGCGTTTGGGGCTAAGGGACAGTGAACAAAGGCCTGGAAAAGCAGCAAAGCCTGGCACTGAAGGGTGGAGGGAGGCCACAGGAGGGTCCACCACGCAGGCTTCCTGGTAGGACTGAGCAGCTGGCCCACTCCACAAAGCTCCCACCCACCACCTAGGAGGTGCCCAGGAATGGGCAGTGGGTCTGCTCCCCATGTCCCCATCCATCTGGCTGCCTTAGCTCCCTGAGCCTTCTTACATCCCAGCACTTTGCTGCTGGACTTTCCTCTCATTCCTTGGTGCTCTTTACCTCCACTTTTTGTACCTTGGCTTTGGCTTCTGCCTTCTGATGAGGAGCTGGGGTGACAAGTGAACCTCCCTATATCTCTAAATTTTTCTCCCACCCCTGACCCTGCCCTGCTCTCTCCCACATGTGCCCCATAATGACCAGGACACAACAACCCTCAACATGCATATTGCATATAGGACAGTGAGAAAGATTATGCTTTGGGAACTCATTTAGACCTCAAAGTCCTCTATGCCATCAAAGTCACCATGAAGTAGAGCCCAGCTTCTGTAGTGCTAAAGAAGAGGTCCATATGTTGGTTGCACTCCCCAGTTTTCCTTTCATATTTTAACAGTAATGACCCCTAGGACATCTGACCCCAATGTTTATCCGAGACTTATTATTGCGACCTCACTGCTTATTAAGAAAACAAGACTAGGCGTCAGCCCCGCATGGCATGTCCCCATCGGGACGAGCGTCCGTCTGGCTCTGGTGCTGATGGATGGGCCCAAGGAGGAACTCCTCAGCGCATCCACCACTGCCTTGGTGGCCCGCGGTGGCTTCCCTCCGTCAGGGTCAATCTTAAAAAAATGATTATTACTTTGGCCGTAAGCCCAGTGACAAATGTGGCTTTTGTCCAACAACAACCCACAGGCAGAAGTCTGTTATTTCTCCCCTACCCCAGATGCTGGGACTTGACACAAAGGATGCTGTGGACACCACCAAATCAGAACCTGATTTTGGATCCACACTCTCCTTTCACGGCTTGCAAGTGACACCCAGGGGAGAAGCTGAGCTCCCCATGGCTTTTGGGGGCTCCTGAAACGGTGTCCACTGGGTGGGCCCTTACAGAGCTGAATGAATGAGAAACAGAGATAGGCTGGGTTTAGGTCATCACCCGGCCCCTCCACTGGATCCCCCCCAGGAGAGCAAGTTGGGGAGGGAAGAGCATGGCTTTGTGGTTGAGGGTCCCTGGGGGACAGCCATGGCTCAGCCCTCACCAGATGCATGACCCTGGGTGGGCGTTCGAGCTCCCTTTGTCAGTTTTCTCCTCTGTGAATGTGGTCGGGGCAATGCCCACCTTACAGCTGTTCACAGTCGCTGCAGTACATGGCACCTGTGGCACAGCCCGGCACAGTCTCTAGCACCTGGGCAGTGTAGATGGACGTGGGCTTCCCTTCTTGGATATCAATTCCATCCTGCCCCTGTTGGCTCCTCATAACAACCATTCTCCTCCATGTCTCATTTGGATGTCCTACTAGAAGGTGCAGAATCCCCCTGTCAACTTCTCTTAGAGCCCCCTGCCCCCAGGTTGGCCTTGTCCACCTCACAGAGAGACCCAGCTGTGGGGATGGGACAGGAGTTCAGTGTCAGCTCTGGGGTTGGGAGTGCTGACAGTGGAGTGGCTCCTGCTGTGGCTGGTCTGGTGGTGTGGTGTTTGTGGGGAGCGCACAGGCAGGACTGCACCGGGAGCCTATGGGAAAGCCATCCTGTCCTGGCTCCTGGGGAGGAGAAGCAGAACTGGGCTCACATCTCATTTCATCTCCATTTTTCTTCAGTAAAGATGAGAGGATCCCAGGGAGAGCCTGTGGCTGCCAAGTGTCTGCTTATGTCGGTTCTTGCAGTGAAGAAGGCCCAGGAGACCTGGGTACCTCTGGGGTGCCATCTGCCTCTCTCCAGGCCCTTCTGCAATGCCCAAAGCAGGACACATTAGCTCCACCATGCCACCTAGTCAGGTGTCTCGGGCAGGACTGTGGACACGGGAATACCTGAGCAGACAGTTAAGGGCACAGGCTGTTGGAAGCGGGAGTGCGGTGCCTGGCTGGCCTTTGCAGCAGGTTTTGGGAACACTGGGGCTACCTGGACTTCAGGGACCATAATGAGGGAATGCCTTTTTGCTGGCTTTGTGTATTTGGCCCTTTCCCACGAGTGCCTTCTGGTCTCTGGCCTGTCAGCTGTAAGTTTCTGATCTTGGCAGATTCTAGGCTCCTATCTCCCTCCCTCCCTCTTTTCACAACCCACTGGAACATGGGCCATAGTGGGCTTTGGCACTCAGGGAAGGCTGTGTGGGATGTGGGCCAAGGAGCTCCAAAGAGCCCAGAGGCCCCATTCCTGTCTTCAACTTGGTCACTCACATCTTAGGTTGTGACCAAAGTTTGGAAATAGGTCACAGGACTGTGAGCAGATAGGAAGCCTGCCGTGCTGAGTTGGGTGTGTGGAGGGCTGGGGACCTCGGGCCACCCAGCTCCTCATGTGGGGTGTGGGAGGGGCTGAGCTAACATCAGTTCTGCTAGTGGGAAAAGGCCACTATGTTCTTAGATCAGCCCTGAGCACCCAGTGGTTGAGCACCCCTTGTCTTATACATACTGTGCACTCTACTGGATGCAGTATGGACATCATGACGACTGCAGATGGAGGCTGACCTGGCATCTCACAGTGTCCTGGGGACGTCTGGTGGGGGGTACCTCAGAGAGAGATCAGTTTTCCTGGCCCTGTCCTACCTGGCTGTCCTGACCCTCAGAGCTATGTCTGGCCCTCGGGACCTGTCTTGGGCTCTACGTGCTGGCAGAGAGGCTGGTCCTGCTCTGAGGAAGCCAACCCTTGCTGGGAGCTGCTGTTTAAGCCAAGATGCAGGAAGCCTTTCTCCATGCAGGCCTCACGTTCAAGGTGTGCCACTTGGAGCTTGGGGGTCTTTGAAGGTAGCTTCAGTCTGGGATGTGGCTGGAGCCATTTCCTGCAGGGCAGTTTTGGAGCTGCACATGCTCTGAGAAATCCCAGTCCTGGAAGCCGCTGAAGGGGTAAGGGTCCCAGGAGAGAGGACTGATGGAAATGGTTTCTCACCTGGCCTGGTGTTGCCCATCCTCAAACTCCAGGTCCTGGACCTCCTGCTGCTCCCTGCAAGACTGTGCGAGGTGAGGAGGCCCAGGGGTCCCTGAAGCGGTTGGTGGTCAAGCCTGGGTCCCCTCACAGGCCTGTTCCAGGGAAGTCCCAGGGAATCTTTGGATGAGACAAGAGTGGGAGGAAAGACACACAGGGCTGAAGGACCAGTTACCACTCTCAGGTGACCTGGGGCCACATGTAGGGCCTGGGTGCCTCCTCAGTCACCCTCTCTGTTGAGCTCCTGGACCTCCTTCCCTCCCTTTTTCTGGGGTTGCAGGACTTGGGTTCACAGCTGGCTTTGCAGCTGCACCCTCATCCCTCTGTGAGGGCAGTCAGAGGCTCCTCCTGGTCTCCCTCAATGCCAACAGCCTCCTGACTTTTCCTTAAGCATTTGCTCTGAGATTGCTGGTGAAAGATGGAGCAGGTACTGGAGGGCAGGAGTGGCCCCAGCCCACAGGGCTCCCAGTGAGTCTCTCAGCCTCTTGAAAGAGAGGACAATCACATCTCACTGGGGCCCTGAATGTGTCTAGCTGAATCTTTACAGCCTGGAGACCAGCTGCATATTGTCAACCCTTTCTTAAAATATGGGGAAACTGAGGTTCCAGGCAAGGAAATTGCCAGGGTGAGGTCATCCACCAGGAAGCAAGCAGAAAGAGGTGTGACCACATCCACTTGACCACAGTTCCAGTTACTGTTCTGTGCCCCTCCTGGGTTGGAAAGGGCCTCCCATTAGAGGCTGAACCTCTGCCAGGAGAGGTCCCCCAGCTCTTGTCTGCATCTTCACCCTCTAGGAGGAAGGGAAGGGTGGGAGGGCAATTAATTTCAATAGGGTTTTGGGGCACGGGTGGTGTTTGGTTACATGGAAAAGTTCTTTAGTGGTGATTTCTGAGACTTTTGTGCACCCATCACCCAAGCAGTGTACACTGTCCCCAATGTGTAGTCTTTTATCCCTAACCACCCCTCCACCCGTTCCCCTAGTCCCCAAAGTCCATTGTGTAATTCTTATGCCTTTGCACCCTCATAGCTTAGCTCCCACTTGTGAGTGAGAACATACGATGTTTGGTTTTCCATTCCTGAGTTACTTTACTTAGAATAATGGTCTCCAATTCCATCTGGGTTGCTATGAATATCATTATTTCATTCCTTTTTATGGCTGAGTAGTAGTCCATTATATAAATAAGACAATTTCTTTATCCACTCTTTGATTGATGGGTTGGTTCCATATTTTTGCAATTGCAAATTGTACTGTTATGAACATGCATGTGCAAGTATCTTTTTCATATAATGACTTCTTTTCCTCTGGGTAGATACCCAGTAGTGGGACTGCTGTATCAAATGGTAGTACTTTAAGGAATCTCCACACTTTTTTACATAGTGGTTGTACTAGTTTACATTCATATCAGCGGTGTAAAAGTGCTCCCTTTTCACCACATATACACCAACATCTATTATTTTTTGATGTTTTGATTATGGTCATTCTTGCAGGAGTAAGGTGGTATCGCATTGTGGTTTTGATTTGCATTTCCCTGATCATTAATGAAGTTGAGCATTGTTTCATATGTTTGTTGGCCATTTGTGTATCTTCTTTTGAGAATTGTCTATTCATGTACTTAGCCCACTTTTTGATGGGGTTGTTTGTTTTTTTCTTGCTGATTTGTTTGAGATCCTTGAAGATTCTGGGTATTAGTCCTTTGTCAGATGTATAGATTGTGAAGATATTTTTCCCAATATGGGTTGTCTGTTTACTCTGCTGATTGTTTCTTTTGCTGTGCAGAAGATTTTTAGTTTAATTAAGTCCCATCAATTTATCTTTGTTTTGTTGCATTTGCTTTTGGGTTCTTGGTCATAAAGTCTCTGCCTAAGCCAATGTCTAGAAGTGTTTTTCTGATGTTATTTTCTAGAATTTTTATGTTTTCAGGACTTAGATTTAAGTCTTTGATCCATTGTGAGTTGATTTTTATATAAAGCGAGAGATGAGGATCCAGTTTCATTCTTCTACACGTGGCTTGCCAATTATCCCAGCACCATTTGTTGAATAGGGTGTGGTTTCCACACTTTATGTTTTTGTTTACTTTGTCAAAGATTAGTTGGCTACAAGTATTGGCTTTATTTCTGGGTTCTCTATTCTGCTCCATTGGTCTATGTGCCTATTTTTATACCAGTACCATGCTGTTTTGGTGACTATGGCCTTATAGTATAGCTTAGTTTGAAGTCAGGTAATGTGATGCCTCCAGATTTGTTCTTTTGGCTTTGTCTTGTTTTGGCTATGTGGGCTCTTTTTTGGCTCCATATGAAATTTAGAATTTTCTTTCTAGTTCTGTGAAGAATGATGGTGGTATTTTGATGAGAATCACATTGAATTTGTAGATTGCTTTTGGCAGTATGGTCTTTTCACAATATTAAGTCTATCTATCCATGAGTATGGGATGTGTTTCCATTCATTTGTGCATTTCAGCAGTGTTTTGTAGTTTTCTCCTTGTAGAGTTTTTTTACCTCCTTGATTAGGTATATTCCTAATTATTTTATTTTTATCACAGGTATTGTAAAAGGGGTTGACTTCTTGATTTGATTCTCAGCTTGGTTGCTGTTGGCGTATAGCGGAGCTACTAATTTATCGACTTAATTTTGTATCCTGGAACTTTGCTGAATTCATTTATCAGTTCTTGGAGCTTTTTGGATGAGTCTTTAGGGTTTTCTAGGTATTCAATCATATCATCAGCAAACAGCGACAGTTTGATTTCCTCTTTATGGATTTGGATGCCCTTGTTTTCTTTCTCTTGTTTGATTGCTCTGGCTAGGACTTACAGTACTATGTTGAATAGAAGTGGTGAAAGTGGGCATCCTTGTCTTTTTCCAGTTCTCAGGGGGAATGCTTTCAACTTTTCCCCATTTGGTATAATGTTTGCTGTGGGCTTCTCATAGTTGGCTTTTATTACCTTAAGATATATGCTGGGAGCAAGCCCCCCAAAATCTGACCATAAACTGGCCCCAAAACTGGCCATAAACAAAATCTCTGCAGCACTGTAACATGTTCATAATGGCCCTAATGTCCACGCTGGAAGGTAGTGGGTTTACCAGAATGAGGGCAAGGAACACCTGGCCTGCCCAGGGTGGAAAACAGCTTAAAGGCATTCTTAAGCCACAAACAATAGCATGAGAAATCTGTGCCTTAAGGACATGCTCCTGCTGCAGTTAACTAGCCCAACCTATTCCTTTAATTCGGCCCATCCCTTCATTTCCCATAAGGGATACTTTTAGTTAATTTAATATCTATGGAAACAATGCTAATGACTGGTTTGCTGTTAATAAATATGTGGGTAAATCTCTGTCGGGGCTCTCAGCTCTGAAGGATGTGAGACCCCTGATTTCCCACTTCACACCTCTATATTTCTGTGTGTGTGTCTTTAATTCCTCTAGTGCCGCTGGGTTAGGGTCTCCCTGACCGAGCTGGTCTCGGCAGGTATGTCACTTCTATGCTGATTTTGCTGAGAGTTTTAATCATGAAGTCATGCTGGATTTTGTCAAATGCTTTTTCTGCATCTATTGGAATGATCATGTAATTTTTGCTTTTAATTCTGTTTATGTGGTGTATCACATTTATTGACTTGTGTATGTTAAACCATTACTGTATCCTTGGTATGCAGCACACTTGATCATGGTAGATTATCTTTTTGATATGCTGCTGGATTCAGTTGGCTAGTATTTTGTTAAAGATTTTTGCGTCTGTGTTCATCAGGGATATTGGTCTGTAGTTTGTTGTTGTTTTTGTTGTTGTTGTTGTTGTGTCCTTTCTTGGTTTTGGTATTAGGGTTATATTGGCTTCATAGAATGATTTAGGGAGGATTCCTTCTTTCTCTATCTTGTGGAATAGCATCAATGGAATTGATACCAATTCTCCTTTGAATGTCTGATAGAGATGAGCTGTGAATCCATCTAGTCCTGGACTTTTTTTGTTGGCAATTTTTAAAATTACCATTTCAATCTAGCTGCTTGTTATTGGCCTGTTCAGAGCTTATGTTTCTTTCTGGTTTAATCTAGGAGGGTTGTATATTTTCAAAAATTTTTCAATCTCCTCTAGGTTTTCTAGTTTATGCGCACAAAGGTGTTTGTAATCTTGAGTGATCTTTTGTATTTCTGTGGTATCAGTTGTAATATCTCCTGTTTTATTTCTTTTTTCTTTTTTATTTTTTTTGAGATGGAGCCTCACCCTGTCTCCCAGGCTGGAGTGCAGTGGCATGATCTTGGCTCACTGCAACCTCCACCTCTCAGGTTCAAGTGATTCTCCTGCCTCAGCCTCCTGAGTAGCTGGGATTACAGGTGCCCATGACCACGCCTAGCTATTTTTTGTATTTTTAGTAGAGACGAGTTTTCACTGTGTTGGCCAGGCTGGTCTGGAACTCCTGACCCTGTGATTAGCCCCATTTCTAATTGAGGTTATTTGGATCTTCTCTCTTCTTTTCTTGGTTAACCTCACTAATCATCTATCAACTTTATTTATCTTTTCAAAGAACCAGCTTTTTGTTTCATTTATCTTTTGTATTTATTTTGTTTCAATTTCATTTGGTTCTGCTCTGATTTTTGTTATTTGTTTTCTTCTGCTTAGTTTGGTTTGTTCTTTTTTCTCTAGTTCCTTGTAGTGTGACCTTAGATTGTTTATTTGTGCTCTTTCAGACTTTTTGATGTAAGCATTTAAGTCTATGAACTTTCCTCTTAGCAGCACCTTTGCCATATCCAAGAGGTTTTGGTAGGTTGTGTCACTACTATCATTCAGTTCAAAGAATTATTTAATTTCCATCTTTATTCCATGTATTTGCATGGTTTTGAAGGTTCATTTTGGAGTTGATTTCCAGTTTTATTCCACTGTGGTCTGAGAGAGTACTTGATACAATTTCAATTTTTAAGAATTTATTGAGGCTTGTTTTGTGGACTATCATATGGTCTATCTTGGAGAATATTCCATGTGCTGATAAATAGAATGTATATTCTGCAGTTGTTAGAATGTTCTGTAAATATCTGTTAAGTTCATTTGTTCTAAGGTATAGTTTAAATCCATTGTTTCTTTGTTGACTTTCTGTCTTGGTGGCCTGTCTAGTGCTGTCAGTGGAATACTAAAGTCCCCCACTATTCTTGTGTTGCTGTCTATCTCATTTCTTAGGTCTGGTAGTAATTGTTTTATAAATTTGGGAGCTCCAGTGTTAGGTGCATATATATTTAGGCTTGTGATATTTTCCTGTTGAACAAATCCTGTTATCATCATATAATGTCATCTTTGTCTTTCTAAACTGTTGTTGCTTCAAAATCTGCTTTGTGTGACATAAGAATAGCTACTCCTGCTCACTTTTGGTGTTCATTTGCATAGAATATGTTTTTCCACCCCTTTACCTTAAGTTTATGTGAGTCTTCATGTGTTAGGTGAGTCTCTTGAAGACAGCAGATACTTGGTTGGTGAATTATAATACATTCTACCATTCTGTGTCTTTTAAGTGGAGCATTTAAGCCATTTACATTCAACTGTTAGTATTGAGATGTGAAGTACTATTCTATTCATCATGCTATTTGTTGCCTGAACACGTTGTTTGTTGTCTTTTTCATTGTGTTTTGTTTTATAGATCCTGTGAGATTTATGGCTAAGTAGGTTCTATTTTGGCTTATTTCCAGGATTTGTTTCAAGATTTAGAGCTTCTTTTAGCAGTTCTTGTAGTGCTGGTTTGGTACTGGGAATTCTCTCAGTATTTGTTTGTCCGAAAAAGACTGCACCTTTCCCTTATTTCTGAAGCTTAGTTTTGCTGGATACAAAATTCTTGGCTGATAATTATTTTGTTTAAGGAGTCAAAGATAAGGCCCCAATCCCTTCTCACTGGAGGATTTCTGCTGAGAAATCTACTGTTAATCTCATAGGTTTTCCTTTATAGGTTACCTGGTGCTTTTGCCTCACAGCTCTTAAGATTCTTTCTTTCATCTTGACTTTAGATAACCTGATGACTATTTGCCTGGATGGTTATCTTTTTGTGATAAATTTCCCAGGTGTTCTTTGAGCTTCTTGTATTTGGATGTCTAGATATCTAGCTAAGCAAGGGTAAGTTTTCCTCTATTATTCCCTCAAATATGTTTTCCAAACTTTTATATTTCTCTTCTTCCTAGGGAACACTAATTATTCTTAGGTTTAACATAATCCCAAACTTCTTGGAGCCTTTGTTCATCTTTTAAGATTCTTTTCCTTTGTCTTTGTTGGATTGAGTTATTTCAAAAGCCTTGCCTTTGAACTGTGAAGTTCTGTCTTGTGCTTGCTTAATTTTATTGCTGAGACTTTCCAATGTATTTTGCATTTCTCTAAGTGTGTCCTTCATTTGTAGAAGTTGTGATTGTTTTTTATTTATGCTTTCTATTTCACTTAAGATTTTTCCCTTTGTAGCTTGTATAAGTTTTGTTTGTTTTTGTTTTTGTTTAAATTTCATTAAAGTTGGACTTCACATTTCTCTGGTGCCTCCTTGAATAGCTTAATAATTGACTTTCTGAATTCTTTTTCTGGCAATTCAGAGATTTCTCCTTGGTTTGGCTCTGTTGCTGGTGAGCTAGTGTGATCTTTTGGGCATGTTAAAGAACCTTGTTTTGTCATATTACCAGAATTGTTCTTCTGACTCTTTCTTATTTGGGTAGGCTATTTCAGAAGGAAGATCTGGGGCTCAAGGGCTGCTGTTCATATTTTTTTTTTGTCCCATGGGGTGCTCCTTGGATGTGGTGCTCTCCCCTTTACCCTAGGGATAGGGCTTCCTGAGAGCTTAACTGGAGTGATTTTGGTTTCTCCTTAGGATCTAGCCACCTAATGGAGCTACCAGTCTCTGGTCTGGTATTGGGGAGGGTCTGCACTGAGTCCTATAATGTGAACTGAACTGTCTCCAGGTCTCTCAGTTGTGGATACCAGCACTTGCTTCAGTGGACGTAGCAGGGGAGTGAAGAGGACTCTGCAAGGGTCCTTGGTTGTAGTTTTGTTTATTGCACCATTTTTGTGTTGGTTGGCTTCCAGCCAGGAGGTGACAATTTCAAGAGTGCATTAGCTGCCATAGTATAGGGAGGATCAGGTGGTGGGCAGGGCCCTAGAGCTCTGAAGAGATTATGTCCTTTGTCTTCAGGGTTTTTTGGCTGTCTCTGGGCACCTGCAGCAGCAATCCACTTCCTTCAGAGGGTCTGTGGATTCTCTCCGCTTTCCGGGTATGTTGCTATGGTAGTTCTTGGAGCAAAAGTTCACGATGTGAGTCTCCATACACTGCTCTGTCCAACCGAGTGGGAGCTGCAAGTTAGTCCTGCCTCCTATCTGCCATTTTTCCAGGGTTCTGATCATCTGTCCTTTCTTCTGTAGAGTCTTAGGCTGGGGAGGTGCAGGAGAAGGGGAAGTGGGTACCCTGATAATGCAGTTTTCCTGACCAGGGTCTCCAGTTCTTTGGGACTTTGAGCCAACTAAGACAGAGGCAGAGACAGGAGCTCCACGCCACCTGTTCTCTGCCCACATCACTGGCAGGGCCCCCAGGGACCTCTGCTCTTTGGGACCAACAGACACATTTGCTCTTCACTCCTCTAAAGTAGCCCTGAAGGCCGGGGCTTTCAGCCTCAGCCTCCTGTGGCCTCAGCCTCGCTTGTTGCAAAGTCTCAGGTATTTCACCTTCCTACCCCCAAGTGGGGAATCAGCTCGAGGAGTCAAAAGAGATGTTTCTTTTTCCACTCGGGTCACTGTCCAGTGTCCCCAAAGCATAGATGGATCCGAGGTGAGAACCTCTGTGGACTGAGAGAAGCAGTGGTGATGCATGTCCTTGACAAGCTGGGACTAGACTGGACACACCAGCTTCTGTCCAGATCTGCTTGCTCATCAACTTCACTTGGCTTCTGCTTTGCTCTGCACCCTGGTTCCGGTAGCTGCAGGGATATTGAACTCACATTTCAATGGCACTATCATGCCTTGGCCGCCAGAACCTAAACGTTAGAATCTGGCTCTTCCCTCTTCCCCTTGCCTCACTTTTCACCAAATCCTGATCATGCATCCTCTGCCACAGCGAGAGCTCTTTCCCTCCTTGCTGCCCTCCTGCCCTCTGCCTGGTTTAGCCTCATGGCTTCCTTCCTGCATTATTTTAATGACCACCTGCCTGTGTACCCCTCGTCCCCAGGCTCCCTCCTCCAGGGCACCTTCCCTTAGCAGTGAGAGAGATCTTTCCAAGGCATAGCTGGGGTCCCCACTTTCTAGGAAGAAAATGCAATGTCTCTCAAATAACATTCATAGGATTTTCATGGTTCTTGAGGGAGAAACGGGAATCCACATATCTCACCTGCCTTTATATACCAGAGAAGAGGCAGCAGACTGCCAATTCCCTGCAGAGGCCCTGGGATGGAAGGCTCCATCCCTGTCCTAGCCACTTGTTCTTCCCCTGCATCTGTGGCCTCCGGGCTAGTGTGCTCAGGGATCTGACTGCTGCCTTGGCACCCTCAGCCCCATCATCCTTCCCATGAAGTGCCCTTTCTCAATGAGTAGCCTCATCCACCACTGTCACCCAAACCCCAGGCCCATCCTTTGCTGTATCTTCCCTACTTATCCAGCTGGTTGAAGCTGCCTCTGAGTGCAGTTAATCTGCTCTTGGTGCCCTCTTGTCTCCTGGCCCACCCTCACCTGTGGATACCTGGCGCTGCCTCTCCAAGGCCATCCCTCCCACCAGTGTTTGCCTTACCCCTGTCCCCTGCCTCTCAAGTCAGAGGTAATCCCTGCTGCTGCTAGGGTGATCTGTCTAGTGATAAAATCCGACCTGCTGGTACAGCCTGCAAGCCTCACTTGGTCCTCCCCTCCCCTCCACCTCAGCTCCCAGCATCCTTGTGCACCTGTGGCCAACCATGCCCAGCTCTTTCTCATGTGCATTGGCCTTTGAACATGAGCTGTCTTTGCCTGGAGCATCTTTTCCCTCCTGACACTGGCAAGCTGCTGCTGGGCCTGCCCTTCTCAGCATGATTTTACCTCTCCCAGGAAGCTCTCCAGGGACCCTTAGGCTGGGTCTCATGTGCTGGCTCTTGCTTCCTCAGCACTCTGTTCATGCTGGAGAAATAAAGTGGCATAAAGTAGAGTCCTGCTCCTTAAGGTTCGAGTGTAGACCTCTGACTGCTCCTGCAACAATCACTTCTATCACCAGCATCAGCAGGTTTTCCCTTGCCACTGCATCTTTCCAACAGCACATCAGCTTGCAGTGAAAGCTTGGTCTTTAAAAATAGGAATATGAAGCTTGTTTCCTGCCTCAGGACCTTGTTCCTGACCCTACTCCTTCCTGGATGGCCCCCGTGCAGGTCTTCTCAGGGTCATCTTGACTCCGCATCCCTCCTGCAACCACCATCCCACTTCTCTGCTCCTCTCTAAAGGAACATCTGCAGAAGTGGCATGTCTAATACCAAAATGTTGGTTCCTACCCCAGAACTGCCCCATCCCCACAGCCCTGTTCTACCTAGACAGGGTCCGCATCTCACGGAGGGCACTGCCATCTTCCTGTTTGGCCTTCCCACCCAGGAGCTCCTACTGCTGCCTACCCTACTTCCCATAGTGCTTGGGGTTATGATCTCCATGTGCTTCTACTCCAAACCACCTGTAGTTTCCTGTCCCTTCCAGAAGAAAATCCAATCCCAACACCGTGGCCTGTAAGGCCCTGACCACCTCCTGCCATGCCTTCACTTGCCCTGTTCCAGCTACACTGACTGTGAGATTCCTATAACATGAAGCTGTTTTTTCTCACTCCAGGACCTTTGCATTGACTCCACTCCTTCCTGGACAGCCTTCCAGGCTCTTCTCAGGGTGTCTCCCTCACATCGCTCAAGTACGTTCCCTCAGAGAGGCCTTCCCACACCTCCGGACCTGGTGTCCCTGGCCATGTCCTCTCCTGCTCCCTGAACACAGCAAGCTTCCTTCCATTCATATTATTTATCAGGACCTGAAATGGTCAATTTATTCACTTATTTATTGTCTGTTTCTCCTTCTGGAAATATAAACTTCCGGGCAGGGACCTCATGTGACTTATTTATCACCTAAACCCAGGGCCTGGCTGGTACTGGAGGAGCTGATGGGCCCTGGGGGTTCCTCCCAGCTTCATGACATGGCCCACCGCTGGCCTTCTGCATCAAGGCTGGGAATACTGTAGCCAGAAGGAAAATCTCTCTGTTAACATGGAATTAATAAAAGAATGCTTATACATGGTTGCAGGTAATATATATATAAGATAAAAATGACATTCTGCCGAGAGATAGAGAGAACCCATAAACTGTTTTTCCTGCATCCTTACATTGTCTTCATATGAAAAGAAAATTTTAACTGCTGGCTTACACACTAGTTTTAGATGTAAGCCACCATTTATGAGACCTTTTGGTAAGTGCTGAAGTAAAGTGATGAGCAGGAAACCAGGCCAGCATGTCCCGGCACCAAGAATGGGAGTGGCCACAGGGCAGCCTTCCCTGGAGAACTTGCTCTGATGCCCCGTGAAGTCCTGTGAGCTCTGGGGCCAGAACCTGGCCTGGTACCCCTGCGCCCCAGGGCTCTGCCCCAGTCCATGATTCTTTCTGGGATTGTCATGGACTTAACTCATTACCAAACACGCATAGCCCCTTGAGGAGTTTTGGCACACAAGGCATTTGGGATGTCTTGGGGAAGAAAATGAAATACTTTAATGTAATCAAAAACACAGGAAGCAGATGCCCCTGAAATATAATATGTTCTAGGAGCTGCTCCCCTGCTGTGTGGCCTTTCATGCTCTGCAATATTCCAATGCCTTTTTTTTTTCCCCACAGAATCACTCACATGTCACTTTGGTGAGAGGATGAGGCATTCAGATTGGGAGAACTTGTTGCTTTGTCAGCATTATTTTCAGACAAGAAGTTTTACTTCTTGTTTTTATATTTTGAGAGAACAATGTCTTACAACATTCAGGAATTAGTACTTTGCATTTTCAGGTTCACTTTGGTGCAGCCCTTAGGGTGCTTGTGGGTCTGGCCCAACCTTCCCTGGAATGAGTCTTCGGTTGAGGGGGCCTGACGTCAGCGCCCTGCAGGGTTCATCTGTGTCACCTAAAAGTGTCCGGCTGCTTGGCCTGGCTATTTCTGCTGAATGCACAAAAATACATTTTGCCTTTTCTCCTTCCAAGTTGCAGTTTCTTTTCTGCAAATGAAGCAGAAGAAAAGTGCTGCATTGACATGATGAACTGAAAGCACACTCACTTCAGGGACATGTTTCTTCAGTTGGGAAATTCCTCTTTTATTTGTGACTAGTTGTTTTCTTTCCTTAGTCAACTTCCTTCAACCCTCAATGCATGTGACACACACACACACACACACACACACACACACACACACACACATAATCGGGGTGCCCAGAAGTTCCCAGGGCCCAGCACTGGCTCTCTGAGACTGTAGGCTCTGGGGGAGGGTGGGCTTTAGGGAAGGTGTCTGTCTAGGGTGGGGTGTGCAGGTGAAGAGCTGGGGTTGGCCTATGAGAGACCTGGGCCCCACTGGCTGCCCCTTGATGTCCTCTCTGATCTTGTCTTTTCCATCCATGAAACAGAGGTGAGCCACAGTGCCGAGCCCACAGGGGTGGGGAAGTCACTGTGCACAGCTCCAGGCACAGAATAGGTGCTGGGTGAATGTCAGGTGGGACTCCTCCCACTCAGGGAGAGTGTGAGGCAGTGGAGGAGAGGTGTCAAGAACCCCTGAAGCATCCTCCTGGGGAAGCCACTCACAGGAAAATGATGTGGATTTGAAATCTCTTGGCTCCTTCTTTTAAAGCCTCCTAGGACCCCACATTTGATGTGCAAGCTCAATTCTGCAGCCAGACCCAGAGTGCCGTGCTCCCTCTCTCTCCTTATTAGCAAGCAACCCAGTGACTCACTGCAACACAGTGCCCAGGATTGTAGGGACAAGTGGAGGGTGTCTGCACAGACTCCCTGGCCAAGGCACATGAGTGCTCCTCCCAGCCCTGCCCTCTGGCCCCCGTTTCAGAAGGGACCACTCGGGACAGTCAATCCAAGTGATGTGTCCAAGCAGGCCCTCCTAGGAGTTATCAGGGTGCAAATGCAGGTCATAATCACACCAGCCACCCACCCTTTGACCGCTGCTCCCCAGACACCCCCAACACCTGAGCCCTGCCGCGAGGGGTATGGCCAGCCTGCCATCTCCAGGAGTTTCCGGAGCACCCCAGGCTGGTCCATGGTGCTGGGTCCAGCCCTCAGAAAGACCTTTCCAGCAGGCTTGGATTCCTGCCTCTTGGGTGGTCTGATAAACTGTCCCCTGGCTGGTGTTTGGGCCAACTGTACCAGCTTCCATCTGATGTTTCTGGCAGAGGAATTCTTGAGGCCTCTGCACCTCGTTAGCCCTCAGAATGGGACTCACTAGGCTCAAGTGTGGGTCATTACTCGGATCTGTGAGCTTGTTGCTGTGACCTTGGGTCCGCTGACCAGATGGCCCAGATGCAGGGGGCCCGGGAAGCCCCAGGCCCTGCAGGAAGCCCCAGCTGGGGCTCCCTGCTCATCCCGTTAGAGGAAGGGCTATGGTAGCAATTGTTTCAGGCCTGAGGCATGAGGGGAGCCAGGGGAACTTGATTTGGGAGGTAGGCAGGCCAGGTGCAGGTCTTGACTTTCCAAGTAGCTGTGGCCTTGGGCAAGACCTCTACTTCTCTGAGCCTCGATTTTATCCCCTGCTGTGTGGCCATGGATGGAAGTCCCAGGGAGGGCACAAGGACTCACTCACCACAGTGTCAGACAAGAACTGGTTCTCAGCAAAGGAGAGCTCACATGATGGTGCCTGTGGATATCAGAGGCACAGAAAACAGGACACACACTTTTGTTAATTTAAGTTTAAAAAATAAAAATGAATAAAGATTAGCCCCTTTTTGGCTTGTCAAATCCCAGCCAGGCCACACTCTTCCTTTTGCAAACCATCCCATCCCAGTTCCTCACTGAGACATTTGCCATCCTGCAGGTGTGGATCGCCTTCCTTGTGAGCCTTTGCTGTTTCAGCACTGTGCTGGGCAGTGGATGGGCTCCCACTAGCCTTTCTGTGCCCTGGAGTCTGTCAGCCTTGGGCCTTATTAGTGATGTGACCCATGAAGGGAACTGAACTCCTCTAAGCCTCAATTTCATCTTCTGTAAAGGGGGTGTAATGAATGTCCTGGTCAAACTTGCCCCAGGCATTCACATACTATTGTATGAACATTGCACTGCGGGCAGTGCCCGGCATGTGGCTGCCTTTTAGAGATGGGAGGAAGGAATCAAGAATATCCTGTTCTGAACTACCTGCACTACACATAAAGTAGTATGTGAATGTGGACTTAGATTATTAAAAATGTGTATTGTAGTCCTTGCCCATGCCTATGTCCTGAATGGTAATGCCTAGGTTTTCTTCTAGGGTTTTTATGGTTTTAGGTGTAACGCTTAAGTCTTTAATCCATCTTGAATTAATTTTTGTATAAGGTGTAAGGAAGGGATCCAGTTTCAGCTTTCTACATATGGCTAGCCAGTTTTCCCAGCATCATTTATTAAATAGGGAATCCTTTCCCCATTGCTTGTTTTTGTCAGGTTTGTCAAAGATCAGATAGTTGTAGATATGCGGCGTTATTTCTGAGGGCTCTGTTCTGTTCCATTGATCTATATCTCTGTTTTGGTACCAGTACCATGCTGTTTTGGTTACTGTAGCCTTGTAGTATAGTTTGAAGTCAGGTAGCGTGATGCCTCCAACTTTGTTCTTTTGGCTTAGGATTGACTTGGCAATGCGGGCTCTTTTTTGGCTCCATATGAACTTTAAAGTAGTTTTTTCCAATTCTGTGAAGAAAGTCATTGCTAGCTTGATGGGGATGGCATTGAATCTATAAATTACCTTGGGGAGTATGGCCATTTTCACAATATTGATTTTTCCTACCCATAAGCATGGAATGTTCTTCTATTTTTTTGTATCCTCTTTTATTTCATTGAGCAGTGGTTTGTAGTTCTCCTTGAAGAGGTCCTTCATGTCCCTTGTAAGTTGGATTCCTAGGTATTTTATTCTCTTTGAAACAATTGTGAATGGGAGTTCACTCACGATTTGGCTCTCTGTTTGTCTGTTATTGGTGTATAAGAATGCCTGTGATTTTTGTACATTGATTTTGTATCCTGAGACTTTGCTGAAGTTGCTTATCAGCTTAAGGAGATTTTGGGCTGAGACAATGGGGTGTTCTAGATATACAATCATGTCATCCGCAAACAGGGACAATTTGACCTCCTCATTTCCTAATTGAATACCCTTTCTTTCTTTCTCTTGCCTGACTTCTCTGGCCAGAACTTCCAACACTATGTTGAATAGGAGTGGTGAGAGAGGGCATCCCTGTCTTGTGCCCGTTTTCAAAGGGAATGCTTCCAGTTTTTGCCCATACAGTATGATATTGGCTGTGGGTTTGTCATAGATAGCTCTTATTATTTTGAGATATGTCCCATCAATACCTAATTTATTGAGAGTTTTTAGCATAAAGCATTGTTGAATTTTGTCAAAGGCCTTTTCTGCATCTATTGAGATAATCATGTGGTTTCTGACAAAGGGCTAATATCCAGAATCTACAATGAACTCAAACAAATTTACAAGAAAAAAACAAACAACCCCATCAAAAAGTGGGCAAAGGACATGAACAGGCACTTCTCAAAAGAAGACATTTATGCAGCCAAAAAACACATGAAAAAATGCTAACCATCACTGGCCATCAGAGAAATGCAAATCAAAACCACAATGAGATACCATCTCACACCAGTTAGAATGGCAATCATTAAAAAGTCAGGAAACAACAGGTGCTGGAGAGGATGTGGAGAAATAGGAACACTATTACACTGTTGGTGGGACTGTAAACTCGTTCAACCCTTGTGGAAGTCAGTGTGGCGATTCCTCAGGGATCTAGAACTAGAAATACCATTTGATCCAGCCATCCCATTACTGGGTATATACCCAAAGCATTATAAATCACGCTGCTATAAAGACACATGCACACGTATGTTTATTGTGGCACTATTCACAATAGCAAAGACTTGGAACCAACCCAAATGTCCAACAATGATAGACTGGATTAAGAAAATGTGGCACATATACACCATGGAATACTATGCAGCCATAAAAAATGATGAGTTCATGTCCTTTGTAGGGACATGGATGAAATTGGAAATCATCATTCTCAGTAAACTATTGCAAGGACAAAAAACCAAACACTGCATATTCTCACTCATAGGTGGGAATTGAACAATGAGAACACATGGACACAGGAAGGGGAACATCACACTCTGGGGACTGTTGTGGGGTGGGGGGAGGGGGGAGGGATAGCTTTAGGAGATATACCTAATGCTAAATGATGAGTTAATGGGTGCAGCACACCAGCATGGCACATGTATACATATGTAACTAACCTGCACATTGTGCACAGGTACCCTAAAACTTAAAGTATAATAATAATAAAAAATAAATAAATAAATAAATAAATAAAAAATAAAAATAAAAATGTGTATTATAAACTCTGAGGCAATCACAAAAAATTGAAAAAAGTATTAATGATATGCTAAGAGAGGACTTAAAATAGAATCACGTAAAATGCAAATGTGAAAACAGGGAAGGCAGAGAAAAGGAAAAAAAGAGAAGACAGGTGCAAAGAATAAAAGGTTACAAATAAGGCAGGTATTAAATGAACTATATAAATTATCAGCTTAAACACAAATGGTCTAAACACACCAGTTAAAGGACAGATTACTGAGGTTACGATGAGCTATCATCGCGCCACTACACTCTAGCCTGGGCAACAGAGTGAGGCTTTATCTACCAATTACTGCTGTATATAGGAAACCCACTTCAAATATAAAGACTCAGACCAGTTGAAAGTGAAGGGATAAAGAAAAGGTATGTAAATATTTATCAAAAGAAAGCTTAAGTAGCTGTATTAGTTCTGGCTTTAATTCCAGAGAAAACAGCAGAAAAAGGAAGATTATTGGGTATAATGAGGGAATTTTATAAGGATAAAGAGGTCAATTCTCCAAGGAGATATAACAGTCCTAAAACAGCATGTACCTAACAACAGTGCATCAAAATAAATGAGGCAAAAACGATAATTTTGCCTTAAATTGAATTGGAAGGAGAAATAGGCAAACCCAATATTATAGTTGGAGACCTCAAATGCTTGTCAGTAATTGATAAATCAAGGAAGCAGAAGATCTGTAAGGATAGAGATGACCTGAGCAGCATTAAGAATCAACTTGATCTAATCGACATTTTTGGAATATTCCAGCCAACAACAGCAATTATACATTCATCTCAAGCTCATTCATATACAATATTCAATATAGACAGTCCAGATCAGAAAACACACTTTAAAAATTTTAAAGAATAAAAATCATACAAAGTATGTTCTTATACCACAAAAGAATTAAGCTAGAAATCAATCATTCACAGAAGGATAGGCAGAAAATTCCCAAACATTTGGAAATTAAATAATCCAAGGGAGAACTAAGAAGTCTCAAAAATAAAGAACAATTGATATTTTGGAGTAAGTAAAAATTAAAATGCAACTTTTCAAAGTTTTGGGGATGAAGAAAAGAAAAGTGGCTCTGAGAAGAAAATTTATAGCATTAAATACATATATTTGAAAAGAAGAAATATATAAAATCAATGACCTAATCTTCTATCTTGGGAAGCTAGAGGAAGAAGAGCAAATTATACCTTAAAAAAGCAAAGAAAAGAAAATAATGAAAATTGGAGCAAATATCAGTGAAATTGAAAGGAGGAAAACAATAAACAGAATCAGCAAAATCAAAAGATCAAGAAAATTGATCAACCTCTAGCCAAGCTCACCAAGAAATAGAGAATATCAAATTGCCCAGTATAAGAAATTAAAGGGAGGTTATCACTACTGATCTTAAATAGATAATAACAGAATACCATAAATGACACTTTATCCACAAATTTAATAACTACAATGAAATGGACAATTTCCTGAAAGACACAAACTTCCAGAACTCATTCAAAGAGAAATAGATAACCCAAATGGCTCTAATTTAATAAATAAATTAATGATTAAAAATATTCTAAGAGAAAAAAAAAAGAAGGAAAGAAAGAACCAGGCCCAGATAACAAACACCAGTGGTTGCACTCATAAATTCTACCAAATAACTAAAGAAGAAATAATATCAATTCTTCACAATTTTTTTAGAAGCAGAGGGAGCATTTCCTAATCAACTCTTTTGAGGCCAGCATTACCCTAATACTAAAACCATAGAAAAATGTTACAAAACTACAGACCAATATGTCTTAAGAACAAGGCTGCAAAAATCTTTAACAAAATATTAGAAAGTTTGTTAAGCAATATCTGAAAAGGATAACTCATTGCAACTAAGTGGCATTAAATCCAGCAATGGAAGGCTGGTTCAAATTAACAAACTAATCATTGGAATTCACCATATTAACATATTAAAGAAGAAAAACATGTAATCATATCAATTAATGCAGAAATGCATGCAACAACAAAATTCAACACTCATTTATGATAAAAACTCCCAGCAAACTAGCAATACCGGAAAACTTCCTTGTCCTAATAAAGGGTATATATGAAATGCCTACAGTTAATCCCATACTTAATAGTGAGAGACTGATGCTTTTTTCTGAGACTGGAAACAAGGCAAAGATGTATTCTCTTAAAATTCCCATTTAACATCATACTAGAAGTCATAGCAAGTGCAATAAGACAAGAAAAATAAGTAAATGATGTGCCAATTTGAAGGATAGAAATAACACTGTATTTATTCATATATCTAGGTAAAAACACTAAAGAATGTACAAAAAAATCCTGGAATTAATAAGCAAGTATAGGAAGATGGCAGGATGTAAGGTCAATATACAGAAATTAATTTGTTTTTTATATACAAGCAATGAATAATTGGAATTTTAAATAAAACAAAAATACTATTGACAACAACACCAAAACTGAAGAAAATAAAGTATTTATTTATAAATCTAAAAAAAAGTACAGGATTTATATGTGAAAAACTACAAAACTCTGAATTAAAGGATCTCTAAATACATGGAGAAATATCTTATGTTCATGTAGTAAAACAGTGGTACTTTTGGCACCAGGAACCGGTTTTGTGGAGGACAAATTTTTCACAGATGGTGGGGTGCTAGGGGATGGTTTCAGGGTGTAACTATTCCACCTCAGATCATCAGGCATGAGTTAGATTCTCATAAGGAACATGCAAGCCAGATCTCTTGCATGCATCGTTCACAATAGGGTTTGTGCTCCTATGAAATCTGTATCTTATCTTACATGGAATAAGGGATTTTGTAGATGCCTTATCCATAAACTGACCTGATTCATGAAAGTAATGTGATATGATTTAAGAAAAACTCAATTGGCCATTCTTTCTGACTTTGAAGACCAAGAATTTGGGCAGCCATATAGCTGGAAAAGAAAAGACAAAAAGGAAGGAAAAGAAAAAAGAAAGAAAGAGAAAGAAAACCTTGTCATCACCTTGATTTTACCCCAGTGAGACTCATTTTGGATTTCTGACCTTCAGAACTATGCTGCTGGGATCTGACAGGAGGCAGAGCTCAGGGAGAAATGCTAGCTCACCCACCACCCACCTCCTGCCGTGCAGCCTGATTCCTAACAGGCCATGGACTGAATTGGTACTGGTCTGTGGCTGGGGGTTGGGGACTCCTATGTTAAAAGACTCAATATTGTTAAAATGTTAATTCTTCCCAACTTGATTTTTAGTTTCAAGAATGTAATCTAAATTCATGGTTAGTTTTGAATGTAATCCTATTCAAAATTCCAGCAATCTGTTTTTATATATTAACAAACTAGTCCTAAAAGTTATATATAAAGACAAAGGACTTAGACTAGCCACTGCAGTATTGCAGTAGAATAATAAAGTTGGAAGACCACACTATATGATTTCAAGCCTTACTATAAAGCTATAGCAATCACGATAATGGAGTATCGGCAAACTAATAGATGCATAAAACAATATAACATAGTAGAGAGCCCAGAAATAAACCCAAAGAAATATAATCAACTGATCTTTGACAACAGCACAATGGCAATTCAATGGAGAAAGAGTAGTCTTTTCCACAAATGATGCTAGAATAATTGGATAGCTGTATGCAAAGAATGAAACTAGAGACACACTTTACACAAGAATTAACTCAAATGGACTGTGGTCCTTGTATTAATTTCCTATTTCTGCATTACCACAAATTTAGTGACTTAACACAAATCAAATTGTTATTTTATATATAGTTCTGAAGGTCAGAAATCCAAAATGAGTCTCACTGGGGTAAAATCAAGGTGATGACAAGGTTTTCTCTCTCTTTCTTTCTTTTTTCTTTTCCTTCCTTTTTGTCTTTTCTTTTCCAGCTATATGGCTGCCCAAATTCTTGTGTCTTCAAAGTCAGAAATGGCCAATTGAGTTTTTCTTAAATCATATCACATTACTTTCATGAATCAGGTCAGTTTATGGATAAGGCATCTACAAAATCCCTTATTCCATGTAAGATAAGATACTTACAGATTTTGGGATCTATGGGAGACATATTCTGCCTATAACATTCCACCTTCTGGCCTCAAAGCACATCTATCCCACAGGCAAATACATTTGCCCCATGCCAACATTCCCATAGGCTCAATCCATCACAGTTTTAACCCAAGTCCAGAATTTCATTTTAAATCTCATCAACTCAAAACTCCCAAATCTCATCATCAAAATCATCTAAGTCAGGTATGGGTAAGGCTCCAGTTATAATCCCTGCTAGGGCACAATTGCTTTCTATCATTGTTTGAAGTTTTGGATTCCATTTACATGACATTTTGGAAAAGGCAAAGTGATAGAGGCATAAATGGATCAGTGGTTGACAGAAAGTTTGAGTAGGCAGGAAGGATGAATAGATGAAACACAGGTGAATTATTAGGGTGGTGAAACTATTTCTTATAATATTATAATGGTAGATATATGGCGCCATGCATTTGTCAAAACCCATAGAACTATAAATAATAAAAAGTAAACTTTAATGTAACAAAAACGTTTAAAAAATCAGCTGCATGGACAGTGGGTGCCAGAATGGACTGCACACTATGACAAAAAATTAGCTAATAAAATTGTATTTCAATAACTTCACTGCAGGAGAAGGGGAAAAAAGGTACTAACCTAAGGATCATTGGAAATGAGCAGAGACTATAAAACTAAAGGCAAAAGGAACTATACAAAAGCACTGTGTGCTAGTTGGTAAGGCTGCTTTCTTTTTTTATTTTTGTTTTTTTTTAAAGTTCCAGGGTGCATGTTCAGGATGTGCAGGTTTGTTACAGAGGAAAAAGTGTGCCAAGGTGCTTTGCTGTACCTATCAACCCATCATCGAGTTATTAAGGCCAGCATGCATTAGCTTTTTTCCCTAATGTTCTCCATGTCCCCCAGCTTCCCCAACAGGCCCCAGTGAGTGTTGTTCCCTCTCTGTGTCCATGTGTTCTCATTGTTCAGCTCCCACTTATAAGTGAGAACACATGGTGCTTGGTATTCTGTTCCTGCATTACTTTGCTGAGGATAATGGCTTCCCACTTCATCCATGTCTCTGAAAAGGACATGATCTCATTCCTGTTTATGGCTGCATAGTATTCCATAGTGCATATGTACCACATTTTCTTTATTTTTTAATTTTTATTTTATTATAGTTTAAGTTCCGGGGTACATGTGCAGAACATGCAGTTTTGTTAGATAGGTATACACATGCCATGGTGGTTTGCTGCACCCATCAACCCATCATCTACATTAGGTATTTCTCCTAATGCTATCCCTCCCCTAGCCCCCCACCCCCCAACAGGCCCTGGTGTGTGATGTTTCCCTCCATGTGTCTGTGTGTTCTCATTGTTCAACTCCCACTTATGAGTGAGAACATGCAGTGTTAGGTTTTCTGTTCTTGTGTTAGTTTGGTGAGAATGATGGTTTCCAGCTTCATCTATGCCCTTGCAAAGGAGAAGAACTCATCCTTTTTTATGGCTGCATAGTATTCCATGGTGTATATGTGCCACATTTTCTTTATCTAATCAATCATTGATGGGCATTTGTGTTGGCTTCAAGTCTTTGCTATTCTAAATAGTGCTGCAATAAACATACAAGTGCATGTATCTTTATAGTAGAAAGATTTATAATCCTTTGGGTATATACCCAGTAATGGGATTGCTGAGTCAAATGGAATTTCTAGTTCTAGATCCTTGAGGAATCACTGCACTGTCTTCCACAATGGTTGAACTAATTTACACTCCCACCAACAGAGTAAAACTTTCCTATTTCTCCACATCCTCTCTGGCATCTGTTGTTTCCTGATTTTTTAATGATCACCATTCTAACTGGCGTGAGATGGTATCTCATTATGGTTTTGATCTGCATTTCTCTAATAACCAGTAATGATGAGCTTTTTTTAGTATGTTTGTTGGCCACATAAATATCTTCTTTTGAGAAGTGTCTTTTCATATCCTTTGCCCACTTTTTGATGGGATTGTTTTTTTCTTGTAAATTTTTTAAGTACTTTGTAGATTCTGGGTATTAGCCCTTTGTCAGATGAATAGATTGCAAAACTTTTCTCCCATTCTGTAGGTTGCCTGTTCACTCTGATGATAGTTTCTTTTGCTGTGCAGAAGCTCTTTAGTTTAATTAGATCCCATTTGTCAATTTTGGCTTTTGTTGCCATTGGTTTGGGTGTTTTAGTCATGAAGTTTTTGTGCATGTCTATGTCCTGAATGATATTGTCTAGGTTTTCTTCTGGAGTTTTTATGGTTTTAGGTCTTATGCTTAAGTCTTTAATCCATCTTGAGTTAATTTTTGTATAAGGTGTAAGGAAGGGGTCCGGTTACAGCTTTCTGCCTATGGCTAGCCAATTTTCCCAACACCATTTATTAAATAGGGAATCCTTTCCCCATTGCTTGTTTTTGTCAGGTTTGTCAAAGATCAGATGGTTGTAGATGGGTGGTGTTATTTTTGAGGCCTCTGTTCTCTTCTATTGGTCTATATATCTGTTTTGGTACCAGTACCATGCTGTTTTGGTTACTGTAGCCTTATAGCATAGATTGAAGTCAGGTAGCGTGATGCCTCCAGCTTTGTTCTTTTTGCTTACGATTGTCTTGGCTATGCAGGCTGTCTTTTGGTTCCATATGAAATTTAAAGTAGTTTTTTCCAATTCGATGAAGAAAGTCAATGGTAACTTGATGGGGATAGCATTGAATCTATAAATTACTTTCGGCAGTATGGCCATTTTCACAATATTGATTCTTTCTATCCATGAGCATGGAATGTTTTTCCATTTGTTTGTGTCCTCTCTTATTTCCTTGGGCAGTGGTTTGTAGTTCTCCTTGAAGAGTCCTTCACATCTCTCATAAGTTGTATTCCTAGGTATTCTATCCCCTTTGTAGCAATTGTGAATGGGAGTTCACTCATGATTTGGCACTCTGTCTGTTACTGGTGTATAGGAAAGCTTGTGATTTTTGTACATTGATTTTCTATCCTGAAACTTTGCTGAAGTTGCTTATCAACCTAAGGAGATTTTGGGCTGAGATGATGGGGTTTTCTAAATATACAATCATGTCATCTGCAAAGAGAGACAATTTGACTTCCTCGTTTCCTAATTGAATACCCTTTATTTCTTTCTCTTGCCTCATTGCCCTGGCCAGAACTTCCAATACTACGTTGAATAGGAGTGGTGAGAGAGGGCATCCTTGTCTTGTGCCAGTTTTCAAAGGGAATGCTTCCAGTTTTTGCCCATTCAGTATGATATTGGCTGTGGGTTTGTCACAAATAGCTCTTATTATTTTGAGATACATTCCATCAATACCTAGTTTCTTGAGCGTTTTTAGCATGAAGGGCTGTTGAATTTTTTCAAAGGCCTTTACTTCATCTACTGAGATAATCTTGTGGCTTTTGTCATTGGTTCTGTTTACGTGATAAATTACATTGATTGGTTTGTGTATGTTGACCCAGCCTTGCATCCCAGGGATGAAGCCGATTTGATTGCGATGGATAAGTTTTTGATGTGTTGCTGGATTCAGTTTGCCAGTATTTCATTTAGGATTTTCACATACATGTTCGTTAGGGATATTGGCCTGAAATTTTGTTGTCGTTGTGTCTTTGCCAGGTTTTGGTATCAGGATGATGCTAGCCTCATAAAATGAGTTAGGGAGGATTTCCTCTCTTTCTATTGTTTGGAATAGTTTCAGAAGGAATGGTACCATCTCCTCTTTGTACCTCTGGTAGAATTTGGCTGTGAATCCATCTGGTCCTGGACTTTTTTGGTTGGTAGGCTATTAATTACTGCCTCAATTTCAGAACTTGTTATTGGTCTATTTAGGGATTTGGCTTCTTCCTGGTTTAGTCTTAGGAGGTTGTATGTGTCCAGGAATTTATCTATATCTTCTAAATTTTCTAGTTTATTTGTGTAGAGGTGTTTATAGTATTCTCTGATGGTAGTTTGTATTTCTGTGGGATCAGTGGTGATATCCCCTTTATTTTTTTTTAATTGCCTCAATTTGATTCTTCTTTTTTCTTCTTTGTTAGTCTGGCTAGTGGCCTATGTATTTTGTTGATCTTTTTAAAAAACCCATCTCCTGGATTCACTGATTTTTTGAAGGGTTTTTCTTATCTCTATCTCCTTCAGTTCTGCTCTGATCTTAGTTATTTCTTGTCTTTTGCTAGCTTTTGAATTTGTTTGCTCTTGCTTCTCCAGTTCTTTTAATTGTGATTTAGGATGTCAATTTTAGATCTTTCCTGCTTTCTCTTGTGGGAATTACTGCTATAAATTTCCCTCTACACACTGCTCTGAATGTGTCCCAGAGATTCTGGTACATTGTGTCTTTGTTCTCATTGGTTTCAAAGAACATCTTTATTTCTGCTTTAATTTCATTATTTACCCAGTAGTCATTCAGGAGCATGTTGTTCAGTTTCCATGTAATTGTGCAGTTTGGAGTGAGTTTCTTAATCCTGAGTTCTAATTTATTGCACTGTGGTCTGAGGGGACATTTGTTATGATTTCTTTTGCATTTGCTGAGGAGTGTTTCACTTCCAATTAGGTGGTCAATTTTAGAATAAGTGCAATGTGGTGCTGAGAAAAATGTATATTCTGTTGATTTGGGGTGTAGAGTTCTGTAGATGTCTATTAGGTCCACTTGGTCCAGAGCTGAGCTCAAGTCCTGGATATCCTTGTTAATTTTCTGTCTTGTTGATCTGTCTGATATTGATAGGGGGGTGTTAAAGCCTACCACTATTACTGTGTGGGAGTCTAATTCTCTTTTTAGCTCTCTAAGAACTCGCTTTATGTATCTGGGTTTTCCTGTATTGGGTGCATATATATTTAGGATAGTTAGCGCTTCTTGTTGCATTGATCCCTTTACCATTATGTAATGCCCTTCTTTGTCTCTTTTGATCTTTGTTGGTTGAAAGTCTGTTTTATCAGAGACCAGGATTGCAACCCCTGCTTTTTTTTGCTTTCCATTTGCTTGGTAGATCTTCCTCCATCCCTTTATTTTGAGCCTGTGTGTGTCTTTACATGTGAGATGGGTCTCCTGAATACAGCACACTGCTGGGTCTTGACTCTTTATCCAATTTGCCAGTCTGTGTCTTTCAACTGGGGCATTTAGCCTGTTTACATTTAAGTTTGATATTTTTATGTGTGAATTTGATCCTGTCATTATGATGCTAGCTGGTTATTTTGCCCATTAGTTGATGCAGTTTCTTCATAGTGTCAATGGTCTTTACAATTTGGTTAGTTTTTGCAGGGGCTGGTGCTGGTTGTTCCTTTCCATGTTTAGTGCTTCCTTCAGGAGCTCTCATAAGGCAGGCCTGGTGGTGACAAAATCTCTCAGCATTTGCTTGTCTGTAAAGGATTTTATTTCTCCTTCATTTATGAAACTGAGTTTGGCTGGATATGAAATTTTAGGTTGAAAATTATTCAGCAAATGTTAAATATTGGCCCCCACTTTCTTCTGGCTTGTAGGGTTTCTGCAGAGAGATCTGCTGTTAGTCTGATGGGTTTCCCTTTGTGGGTAACCTGACCTTTCTCTCTGCCAGCCCTTATCATTTTTTCCTTCATTTCAACCTTGGTTAATCTAATGATTATGTGTCTTGGGGGTTGCTCTTCTCAAGGAGTATCTTTCTGGTGTTCTCTGTATTTCCTGAATTTGAATGTTGGCCTGTCTTGCTAGTTTGGAGACGTTCTCCTGGATAATATCCTAAAGAGTTTTTTCCAACTTGGTTCCACTCTCGCCATCACTTTCAGGTACACCAATCAAACGTAGATTTGGTCTTTTCACATGGTCCCATATTTTTTAAAGGTTTTGTTAGTTTCTTTTCACTCTTTTTTCTCTAATGTTGTCTTCTTGCTTCATTTCATTGTGTTGATCTTCAATCTCTGATATTCTTTCTTCCGCTTGATTGATTTGGCTCTTGATACTTGTGTATACTTCACGAAGTTCTTGTGCTGTGTTTTTCAGCTCCACCAGGTCATTTATGCTCTTCTCTAAATTGGTTATTCTAATTAGCAATTGCTCTAACCTTTTTTCAAGGTTCTTAGCTTCCTTGCATTGGGTTAGAACATGTTTGTTTAGCTCAGAAGAGTTTGTTATTACCCACCTTCTGAAGCCCACTTCTGTCAATTCGTCAAACTCATTCTCCATCCAGTTTTGTTCTCTTGCTGGTGAGGAGTTGTGATCCTTTGGAGAAGAAGAGGCGTTCTGGTTTTTGGAATTTTCAGTCTTTTTGTGCTGGTTTCTCCCCATCTTCATGGATTTATATACCTCTGGTGTTTGATGTTGGTGATCTTCAGATGGGGTCTCTGAGTGGACATCCTTTTTGTTGATGTTGATACTATTCCTTTCTGTTTGTTAGTTTTCCTTCTAACTGTCAGGCCCCTCTGCTACAGGTCTGCTGGAGTTTGCTGGAGGTCCACTCCAGACCCTGTTTGCCTGGGTATCACCAGCAGATGCTGCAGAACAGCAAATATTGCTGCCTGTTCCTTCCCCTGGAAGCTCTGCCAGCAAGAACTCTCCTGTATGTGGTGTCTGTCGGCCGCTATTGGGAGATGTCTCCCAGTTAGCATACATGCGGGTAAGGGACCCACTTGAGGAGGCAGTCTGTCCCTTATCAGAGCTTGAATGCTGTGCTGGGAGACCTGCTGCTCTCTTCAGAGCTGTCAGGCAGGGACGTTTAAGTCTGCTGAAGCTGTGCCCACAGCCACCCCTTCCCCCAGGTGCTCTGTCCTAGGGAGATGGGGGTTTTATCCATAAGTCCCTGACTGGGGCAGCTGCCTTTTTTTCAGAGATGTTCTGCCCAGAGAGGAGAAATCTAGAGTCTGGCTGCAGCGGCCTTGCTGAATTGTGGTGTGGTCTGCCTAGCTCAAACTTCCTGGCAGTGTTGTTTACACTGTGAGGGTAAAACTGCCTACTCAAGCCTCGGCAAAGTGGATGGCCCTTCCCCCACCAAGTTCAAGCATCCCAGATCAATGTCAGACTGCTGTGCTGGCAATGAGAATTTCATTGGATCTTAGCTTTCTGGGCTCCATGGGGTTGGGACCCAGTGAGCCAGACCACTTGGCTCCTTGGCTTCAGCCCCCTTTCCAGGGGAGTGAACGGTTCTGTCTCACTGGTGTTCCAGGTGCCACTGGGGTACGAATAAAAAAAAAAAGAAACTCTTGCAGCTTGCTCAGTGTCTGCCCAAATGGCTGCCCAGTTTGTGCTCAAAACCCAGGGCCCTGGTGGCATAGGCACCACAGGGAATTTCCTGGTCTGCTGGTTGTGAGGACTGTGGGAAAAGCGCAGTATCTGGGCCATAGTGCACCATTCTTCCTGGTACATTCTCTCACGGCTTCCCTTGGCTAGGGGAGGGAAATCCTCCAACCCCTTGTGCTTCCCGGGTGAGGCGACACCCCATCCTGCTTTGGCTCACACTCCATGGGCTGTACCCACTCTCCAACCAGTCCCAATTAGATGAACTGCATACCTCAGTTGGAGATGCAGAAATCACCTGCTTTCTGTGTCAATTTCACTGGGAGCTGCAGACCAGAACTCTTCCTATTCAGCCATCTTGCCAGTGACTCCCCACATTTTCTTTATCCAGTCTATCATTGTGAGCATTTGGATTGATTCCATGTCTTTGCTATTGTGAATGGTGCTGCAGTGAACATACATGTGCATGTGTCTTTATATTAGAATGATTTATATTTCTTTGGTATATATCCAGTAATGAGATTGCTGGGTCAAATGATATTTCTGGTTCTAAATTTTTGAGGGATTGCCACACTGTCTTCCACAATGGTTGAACTAATTTACATTCCCATCAACAGTGTAAAAGTATTCCTATTTCTTTGCAACCTTGCCAGCACCTGTTGTTTCTTTTTTTTTGAGACAGAGTCTCACTCTGTCACCCAGGCTGGAGTGCAGTGGCGTGATCTCGGCTCACTGCAAGTTCTGCCTCCTGGGTTCACGCCATTCTCCTGCCCCAGCCTCCCCTCCCGAGTAACTGGGACTACAGGCACCCGCCACCACGCCCAGCTAATTTTTTGTATTTTTAGTAGAGATGGGGTTTCACCATGTTGGCCAGGATGGTCTTGACCTCCTGACCTCGTGATCTGCCTGCCTCGGCCTCCCAAAGTGATCTGTTGTTTCTTGACTTTTTAATAATCACCATTCTGACTGGCGTGAGATGGTATCTCATTGTGGTTTTAATTTGCATTTCTCTAATGACCAGTAATTTTGAGCTTTTTTCATATTTGACCACATGTATGTCTTTTTTTGAGAGGTGTCTGTTCACATCCTTTGCCCACTTTTTAATGTGTTTGTTTTTGTTTTCTTGTAAATTTGCTTAAGTTCCTTGTAGATTCTGAATATATTAGACCTCTGTCTGATGGAGAGATTGCGAAAATTTTCTCCCATTCTGTAGGTTGTCTACTCACTCTGATGATAGTTTCTTTTGCTGTGCAGAAGCTCTTTAGTTTAATTAGATCCCATTTGTCAACTTTTACTTTTGTTCCAATTGCTTTGGCGATTTCATTATAAAATATTTGCACATGCCTCTGTCCTGACTGGTATTGCCTAGATTTTCTTCTAGGGTTTTTATAGTTTTGGGTTTTACATTTAAGTCTTTTATCCATCTTGAGTTGATTTTTGTTTAAGGTGTAAAGAAGGGATCCAGTTTCAATTTTCTTCATATGGCTAGCCAGTTTTCACAGAACCATTTATTAAATAGGGAATCCTTTCCCTATTGCTCTTTTTTGTCAGATTTGTCAAAGATCAGATGGTTGAAGATATTCAGTTTTATTTCTGAGTTCCCCATTCTGTTCCATTGGTCTATGTGCCTGTTTTTGTGCCAGTACCATGCTCTTTTAGTTACGATAGCCTTGTAGTATAGTTTGAAATCTGGTAGAGTGATGCCTCCAGTTTTGTTCTTTTTGCTTAGGATTGTCTTGGCTCTTTTTTGGTTCCATGTGAATTTTAAAATAGTTTTCTTTTAATTCTATGAAGAATGTCAATGGTAGTTTAATAGTAATAGCATTGGATCTATAAATTGTTTTGGGCAGTATGGCCATTTTCATGATATTGATTCTTCCTAACCATGAGCATGGAATGTTTTTCCATCTGCTTGTGCCTCTCTGATTTCCTTAAACAGTGGTTTGTAGTTCTCCTTGAAGAGGTTCTTCACTTCCCTTGTTAGCTGTATTCCTAGATATTTTGTTTTCTTTGTGGCAATTGTGAATTCCCATTCACATAATTTGGCTCTCTGCTTGTCTGTTATTGGTATATAGGAATGCTTGATATTTTTGCCCATTGATTTTGTATCCTGAGACTTTGCTGAAGTTGCTTATCAGCCTAAGAAGATTTTGGGCTGAGTCAATGAGGTTTTCTAGATGCAGGATCATGTCATCTGCAAACAAAGACAATTTGACTTCCTCTCTTCCTATTTGAATACCCTTTGTTTCTTTCGCTTGCCGGATTGTCCTGGTTGGAACTGCCAACACTATGTTGATTTGGAGTGGTGACAGAGAGCATCCATGTCTCATGCCAGTTTTCAAGGGAGAATGCTTCTTGCTTTTGCCCATTCAGTATGATATTGGCTGTGGGTTTGTCATAAAGGCTCTTATTATTTTGAGGTATGTTCCTTCAATACCTAGTTTATTGAGAGTTTTTAACATGAAGGTAATTTGAATTTTATTGAAGTTCTCTTCTGCATCTATTGAGATAATCGTGGTTTTTGTCTTTAATTCTCTTTATGTGATGAATTACATTTATTGATTTGTGTGTGTTGAACCAGAGTAAGGCTGCTTTCTACAGGGGTATTGGTTAATGATTTTGAAACCACAACGCAGGGATAATGGAATCAAATAATTGATGGATGCAGGATGATGGAAGCCAATTTTCTCACTGTTGGAGGAGGAGGTTGAGGAAGCTTAGAGTGATCATGTGGTCCTGGATTAGAGTTGGATATTTTAGTATTAACTCCTATTTAGCTTAATATAGATAGCAATGAGTCCCTAGGGGAATATTTATAGATATGAGTATAGTCATGGGTTAGGACACTCAAATATCTCTCCTTGCTCTGTTGGTTAGCAGGGCTTGGAAGCAATGGAATCCCAGAAGTATGGAACACACACATCACCCAGATTCTGACTTCTAATACCAGTCTCTAAAGAAAGGAACAAGACATCCTGGCAGATACTGTGGATTCTAGGGCTGGGCAGGGCATATAGAAGAAGAGCCTGGCATGTCTCATAGTGCCAGAATGTAAGTATATAGCACACACACAAGCGCACAAACACTCAACAACGGGGTGTATCAAAGTGACACAGTAGCCAACTGAAAGAGCTCCTAGTGGCCACAGGTGGAATAATTTCAGCAACAAAATTAATAAAGTAGTACTAGATTATGACCTCATGTATATAATAAATATGCATGAGATCATATTGGTATCAACATATGATTGAATATATAACTAAAAATAAGGGAGAGCAAACAAACCTCTCATGCAGAAGAATTTAAAATAATTTATGTAGATACCCCTGTCTCAAGGAGGTAGAATATAACTCCCCCTCCCCTAAGTGTTGGCTGCATACGGTGACTTACCTCCAAAGAGTACTGGATGGGAAATGGGAAAAAGAGTAACTTTACAGTAGAGAAACCAGACAGACCCCCTCAGCCAGGTGAGCAAGGCAGACAAAGTTAAGTTATGTCAGTGGCATGTGCCTTTACCTCAGTGGTTTTTCCCTCAAATCCTGCAACTCCAATCTAATCATGGGGAAAATACCAGGCAAAGTCCACCTGATGGACCTTCTACAAAATAGCTGAAAAGTCTTCCCCAAAACTCCCCAAACTGTCAAAGTCATTTAAACAAGGTCATCCTGACAAAGTCTGAGAACTTGTCACAGCCATAGAGGAGCTGAAGGATACACAACGACTAAATGTTATGCGGTGTCCAGGATGGGATTCCAGTACAGAAAAAGGATATGTGGTAAGACCTGAGGAAGCATCCATAAAGTATGGATTTTAGCTAATAATAATCAATAGTGGCTTCTTGGTTGTGACAGATGACCCCTACCCATGTAACATATGAACACTAGGAAAAACTGAGTGTCGGGTATGTGTGGACCTCTTGTACTACTATCTTCACAATTTTCTATGAATCCAAACCTATTCTAAAATTCAAGGTTTATTTTTGAAAAAGTCAATCGAGATTATGCAAGTGAAGGGAAGGGAGCGGGAATAAAATGAAGGCAGGAGGTCTGTGCATGCAAAGCCCTAGCTGGGAGAGATGGGAGAGGAGGAGAGAAAGAATGACTGGCCCGTAGAAGTTCTTCAAAAACATGGGTTTAGGAACTGGTAGAGGCTGATTTCAACATTACTTAGTGCTACTGATCTTTAAAATGCTAATTATTTTCCATTACCTTTGCTTTTAGTGGACATTTTCCCTACTATGAAGCACAAGCAAGCAAAATTGTGTTTTCAACAGGCAATGTCTGTGCATTGCCTCTTGTTGAGGGCACCCCAAAGTACGTTGAACCAGCAGAGGGAAGATGTCAGGGAAAGGCCGTGTCCTGGTGGAGGATGAGGTGGGTGACCCCAGATGTCAGAGGACAGGAGGCAGAGCAGATCCACCAAACCTGCTGAGAGGGACCACCCATTCTGCCCTGCTGTCTCCTGCAGCCAGGGCCAGATGGCAGAGGCTGTGCTTTCTTCCTCTGGTGAGTCATAGAGGCCACTAGCATCCTGAAAGGGAGGCCACCAAGGTCTGGGCTTCTGCCATCTAGCCAGACTGTGACTTCCTGGAAATCAGCCACTGCAGAGCTCTAGTTTTGGGTGGCCATGGTTGCGGGTCTGTGGGCTGCTGCTGATGCTCCAGCCTATGGCCACAGTGAACACCCAGGTCCCAGCCAACTGCCTCCCAGAGGACTGCTGGATGGAGGCGGCTGCACATTCTCTCCTGCTCCTGCAAAGCAACCCAACTCCCATGCCCCATATCCTGAAACAAAGACCATGTGCTCTACAGTGTGGACAAGCATGTCAGTTCAGCATGAAAGGAGAGGTGGTCCAATGACGTAGTCACATGACAGCCCACAACCCCGCCGCCCCCGTGGCCCTGCTCTCATCTTGGCCTCAATGGTTCACAGACATCCCAGGCCCAGCTGGTAAAGGCTGGCATTCATCATCGCACTTTTCTCAGATTCTTGGCTTCAGTTCCCTAGCAGAGACCTTGGCCTTTACCACAGTTTAAAGATGTGCCTTTTAATGATTGAGTCAGTTTCAATTTTCAGCAGCTGCTTTAAGACAGCTTAGGCTAATTATTGTGTGATCATAAAAAAAATCACCTATGGATCTTGTTAAATTTACAGATGTTCCTGAGTCCCATCCCAAAGGAGAGTCCTGGGGATAAGTATTTTTAATATGCTTCCTGGGATGCAGATCTAAGTGCCTAGGAAATGATGTAGAAAGTTCGAGCATGGTTTTTTTTCTAAGTTCTAGTTCTGCACTTCTTAAAAAAATTAGAAAGGGGAGGAAAGGGAGGTTGAAAATCTGAAACTAAGTGTTACAAAACGTCAGTTAGCAGAAACCTAAGAGACCAAGTTCTCCAATCCTTTCTTTTCACAGGAACAGAGCTGGGACCAGCGAGGTGAAGGGTCTCACTGAGGTCATTCAACTACAAAATGCCAGAGCAGGAGTGGAGGCCAAGTCCCCAGGCTCCAATTCATGACCTCAAGGTGAAAAGATCTCCCGAGACAGATAACAGTTCTCATTTAAGCAAGAATTAAAAATAAAACCTCTCAGTGCTTTAAGACTGTGTTTCCACTAGGCAGTTTATTGTACCCTGTAGATCTGCAAACACTCCCAAAGATGCCTAAACAAAGGCTGCAGTCATCACTCTGTTGGCTGGGCTGACTTGCTTTCTCCTTCTCCAAACTCTCCTTTGCTCCAAACCTCTTCACCCCACCCACCCATTAGTTGTCCTCCCAAGTCCTTTTTGAGCTTGGTCCCAGCCTCATGCTCTCTCCCCAGTCCCCAGTCCAAGATGACTCTGGAGTTCGTAGCCTCAGCTTGCTGTCCCTGGACAGAGCCTGGGACACCTGACGAACCAGTAGGACCAAGGAGTGGGGTTCTGCTCTGTGGGGATCCAGGAGAGTTGCCTCTGATTTCTAAGGGAGCACTGCTTTCCAAACAGAGGCAAGTCACAGAGCTCTCTCCGAAGCTATCAGGCTCACCCTTAGGGTCAGCTTAGAGGGAGGCTAAGGTTATAGGGGGTTGACTGGGCACTGAACACTGGTCACTGAACACTTCTGATGTCTCTCTCTATCCCTGCAACCATCCTAGTAATGACAGAAGAGCATGGAGGTACTGTTTTTGAATAGTTACTATGTGTCACCCACTGGGTTATTTGACACATTTATTTATTATTTCCAATTCTCACAACAGCCTCATGAGACAATGGTGTTCAGAGAGGTTAAGTAGCTGGCCCCAGTCTCACAGCCTGCAAGATTTGCTGCCAGGACTGGAATATGAGAGCAAAGCTTTGGCTCCTTCACAGTCAAGCTCCCTCTCATCTGCAAACTGGAAAGCACATTGTTCAACTCCTAACCGCTCTCTAGGAACATTTTTGGTTCCATGCCCATCCTGGAGGTTTTCTCTAGAAATAGTAGTTCTAGATGACATTCCAATATCTCTTGATTGCTCAATACCCAAGCCATAAAGAACAAGGGAGAACCATGCATGTTTCCCTCAATTACTTCATAATTTTATGATTACCTGGGGTCAAGAGAATGGTGGGAGGAGCTGAGGCTACAGGGACTCACAGGTCCTCTTGGTCTGTTCTCAGGAGAGGAGCAGGCTATAAGGAAGGCTGTTGGGCACTGAGGACCAACCATGGTAATTAGGTTTGTTCTGAGCCTGTGTGTCAGGCAATGTGCTGGATGCTTTCCTAGCATGAGCTCACTGAAGCATCACAGGACCCCTACTGCTGTGATCCCCATTTTCAAGCAAGGATAGGAGGCCTACGGAGTCTAAAACTCCCCTGAGTTAAGAGAGCTACGGAGTATCAGAGCCAGGATTCAGATGCAGGTCTGTCTGACATCACAGCCTGTGCATGTGATCCCTGCAGTAGACTCCAGTGACTTCCCTTAAAGAACCAGTACAGTTTGCTTTTTTTTTTTTTTTTAAGACGAAGTCTGTCACCCAGTCTGGAGTGCAGTGGCACTATCTCGGCTCACTGCTACCTCTGCCTCCCAAGTTCCAGCCATCCTCCTGCCTCAGCCTCCCAAGTAGCTGGGATTACAGGCACATGCCACCACGCCTGGCTAATCTTTTATTATTAGTAGAGATGGGGTTTCACCATGTTGACCAGGCTGGTCTTGAACCCCTGACCTCAAGTGATCCCCCCGCCTCAGCCTCTCAAAGTGCTGGTATTACAAGCATGAGCTACTGCTCCTGGCCGAGTTTGGTTTTTTAGGCAAAGGATTTCCTAAGCACCTACACTGCAATAGGTTGTATGAGGCCTTGGAGGTGTGAAGATGAATAGAACATTGACCTTGCCTTCTGTGGTTACTCCAGAACGGTGGAACGGACATGGATGGTTAAAGGCAGCATGCCATCTCCTCAACACACTGTGTAAGTTGAGGGATAGGAGGAGTTCATTCTCTTTCCTCAAGGGTGCCACGTAGGCAGAGGAATGGAGGCACATAGGAGAGCAACAGGAAAGGGCACACCTTGGGCAGGGGCAGCACCATGCTTTGTCTCACTATCCATCTTCGTTTGCTGTGTACTCTGCACCAGGTGGGCCCAGACAGGGATAAAACATTTCTCATCCTCAGGCATCACGTGGTCCCTGAGACATGCAGTGCAGAAACAAACAAATAGAGTGAATGCTTGCCGTGTTCACGTGTGTGTGTGTGTGTGTTTGTCTGCACAATGCAGGGAAAGGAGAAGTGCGAGTGATGAGGCTGGAACAGAGCTGTGAATAAGACTTGAACGATTTTGAGCATCAAAATCCAAAATTGCTATTTTCTTTTGTAGACATAGAGTTCTGTCATTTAAAACAGTGGAGAATCAACATCATCCCTATCAACACTTTTTCTCCAAGTATGAAAGAAAGACTTGACAAAGTTATCACATCCCGCCACCCCTCATCCATTCTTTCCCACACAAATCCTCTCCTTTACAGCCCCCAGCCCTAAGCGGGGAACTGGAGCTCCACCGCACACACCTCACCTCCTCTTGCTGGGCTTGGCTGGTTCTTCCTCCTCATCACCTCCTTTTCGCCACGTCTGTGCTGCTGGTCAGCACCTCATTTTCTCAGCTGGCCAATTGCAAATGTCCTCTAATTGGTCTCTGTTGTTAGCTGAGTTGTGTCTCCCAAAAAGATCTGTTCATGTCCTAACCCCTGGTACCTGTGAGTGTGACCTTATTAGAAATAAGGTCTTTGCAATGTGATCAGGTTAGGATGATGTCATGCTGGAACAGACATTCAATATGAAATTTGATATGACTGAAATTCAATATGACTAGTGTCGTTACATGCAGAAGGAAAGAGACACAAACCCAGGCTCAGACACCAGGAGAACGCCACATGATGACAGGGCACTGAGCAATGCGTCTGTAAGCCAGGGACTGACAGGGACTGCCAGGGAATGCCAGGGAATGCCAGGGATTGCCAGCAACATCAGAAGCTAAGATAAAGGCTTGGGATAGATTTTTCCTAGAGCTTTCTGAGGAACGTGGACCTGCGATGCCTTGATTTTGGAACTCTGGCCTCTGCTACTGTGAGAAAATGAATTTCTATGTTTTGCAGCCACCCTGTTTGTGGTCATTTGTTAGGGAAGCCCCAGGAAAGGAATATGGTCTCCTTGCCTCCATATTTGCCTCCCACCCCCTGCATCCCCCATGGAGCTATCAGGTTGATCTTTCTAAATTGCAAATTTTCCCCAGTCATTTTCTCATTTAAGGGTGTTAGTGGCTCCCCATTCTTTGCTTATCTCAGAATAAAATCCCAAAAACCCTCAGCTCTGTGACTGCCTCACTCTCATTTCTAACTTATGTTCCAAGTGTACTATGGGAAATTTTTTGTTTATTTTTCTGCGATAGAAATGTCTGCATTTTATTTTCTGTCTATTGACTTCTCATCCCTACATTATCTCAAGTGGCTGGATCATGCCCCTCCTACGTGCCCCTCTATCACTATGTCTGGAATAAGGAAGTGAAGAACAAGCGTTTGTTGGATAAGTGAATAGATGGATGAATAACAGATTCAGGGAAAGCCAAGGCTCTTATTGCTGTCACAATGCAGAGTTCAGAACAGCATAAAAGGATTTGAATCAGAGAAAAGTGGGGCTTTTCACTCTTTTCTTTACTGTTTGTGTGACTCGGGGAAAAATTGCTTAACCTCTGAGATTCATCTGTAAAGGCGATCTGTAGAGGCGATAATACATTCGCCATAGAAGCACTGAGAACATGAAGCAAGCTGGTGCGGGTGAATGAGAGGCTGTGCAATGCCTGGAGCAAGCCACAGGGCTGACTCTTCCTTTCCCAGTTAAACCCACATGTTCATTATGTAACTGTGGATTAGAGTACTCCACATCTGAAGTCTCATAAATGCTAAGCAGAAATTGGCCTTTGTTTTGGACATACACAGGAATGACCTCTGCAGTGAAAACTTCCCTAATTACTTGTGCAGAACAATAGCAAAAGCCACGAGGAGGTCCATTTAAACACGGGAGGGGCAATTAATCACAGCCCATTGGAATATTGCTTTTGGTCCTGAACTCAGTTTGCCTTACATACAGGAAATGAAATGCAGTAATTATGGTCGTCACTTGAGACTCCAGAGTCCTGGCTTCAATTCCCCAATCCTTCATCATTTCATTTTGGCTGTGTCTATAGAACACCAAGACATCTGGCTAAAAAGTGAAAAATGCCATCCATTTTTCAACTCATGATTCATTGCATATTCTACCTTTCCTTTTTTTATTGTGGTGCAATACCCATAATGTTTACTCTTTAACTGTTTTTAGGTGTGCAGTTTGGTCGTGTTAAGTACATTCACACTGTTATGTAACCATCACCACCATTCATTTCCAGAACTTTCATCATCCCAGCAGAAACTCTGTCTCCATTAAATAATAACTTTCACTCTCTCCCTCCCCTCAGACCCTGGCAACCACCATTCTCCTTCCTGCATCTGTGAATTTGATTAGGTACCTCATGTAAGTGGAATCATGCAGTATGCATCCTTTCATAAATGACTGATTTAACTTAGCATAATGTCTTCAAGGTTCATGCATGTTGCAGCATGTGTCAGAATTTCACTCCTTTTTAAAGGTAAATAATATTCTATTGTATGTTTATACCACATTTTATTTATATATCATTTGTTGATGAACACTTGGGTTGCTTCTTCCTTTGGCTTTTTAAATACTGCTGCTCTGAACATGTGTGTGCAAATATCTGTTCAAGTCCTTGCTTATTTTTAATTCTTTTGGGTATATACCCGGAAGTGGAATTGTGGGATTATATGGTAATTCTGTTTCTAGTTTTTTGAGGAACTGCCATACTGTTTTCCACAGCAGTTGCCACATTCTACATTCCCACCAGCAGGGCACAAGAGTTCCAATTTCTCCACATCCTCACGATTACTTGTTATTTATTTATATATTTTTTTGCTAATAGCCATACCAATGGGTGTGAAGTTCACCTTTTTCATGTGTTGCAAGAATTTACTTTTACATGTTAATTCATTTATGCATTTGATGTCTTTTTTCCCCCATCATGTATTACAGTAGGTTTATCTGAACATCTTGCCCAACCTTTCTTCAGCACTCTGCCAAGTATTCTGGATTTTCACATTTCTGACCACTGCATCCTAAAAATTTCTACAGCTCAACTGTATATTTGCAGAACACAGCACAATTAAAAGTCAAGAAGGAGGAGACAGTAAAGGACGATGAGCAAGTATGAAGAGATTCTTCCTTCCCACACTGAGTGCTGTGGTCAGTGCCCCTGTGTCTGTGAGCCAGGTGCCGACTCCCACCCAGTACTCTGGTGATATCTGCTGGCCTCCGTGATTGCTGCTTCGTGAGGTTTCATTGCTGGGAGGTCTGTGAGCTTCCGGAGGAAGTGGAGGGCCACTTACCAATCTGTGTATCCTTAGTACTCAATCAAGACCAACCCAGCAAATGCTCAACAATATTTTTTTCTAATCAACTTCATTTAATTAAAGTAAATGAATTAGTGAATATGTAATATTCTTCTATAAGCAGAGGAAGTAGTCAGAAAAGCAAACTAAATTTTCTTGTCAAAATAATTCTATCTTCAGGAGAATTTACAAACTTCCCTATGTGGAGTTTCAATTCACGTGATTTTATTGACGGTAGCTTACTTGGTCTCCTAGCATACCGAAAACTTCCCCAAGGCTGTTTTAAATGTTGATTTGAATCTAAACACCTAATTACTGGTCCCTGACTGGAGATACGGCTCCAGAGGCCCCGCAGTGCTGGCCGCTGCCAAGAGCTGCCTGGCAGTGATGGATTGTGCAGCTTGCTAGCCCCGCCAGCTGGGGGCTCAAGACTTCCTACAGAAGTGCCCAGTGGGGAGGCATGCTCGAGGGGCCTGACTCCTCGTTCCTGCCTGTGTTTTGTATTTGGGTCCACTTTTGTTTATTTTTGAGTCAATACCAGAGACAGAAAGGCCATAAGTTCTTCTGTTGACACAAGTACAGTCTTCAGCTTTGTAATGTTCATCCTTTCCCACCAAGAACAAGAGCTCTGGGGTGACAGTGGCCAGTTCCTGAACTTCCACCAGTATCTCCGACTGAGTTCTGACCTACCACGTTGGGAGACAATTCCCCAAGTGCCTTTCCTGTTTCTCCTGACTGAGGTATTAGCTGCTTTTGTCCCAGACTGCCCTTTCAAGGATGTTTATAGAGAGAGCAGTCTGGAAGATAGTATACCCCCTACAGAGCAAAGGGCAAGTGTGCTTGCTGTCCAGTGAAATAAAAATAAAGTGTCCCTCTGGAGAAAAGGTTAGGCAGGTTTGCTTCCTACATATTATAAAATACTCATATTCCTTAAACTCTGCTTCTCAGCTGTGATGCAAACTCACTGGATGTGCAGTGTCCACCGGGTCCCCTCTGTATCCTCTCAATGGAATTTTTGGGGGGCAAAGGGAATGGATTCTAATGTCATGTTTCTTGCTGTACTGTAAGGAATAAAGTCTTTTGTCTCTGACTCAGGAGTCTCATATCTTTTGCCATCATCCAGGAAACTGTGACAGGCTAACTAGTTACTATGTAAATAGGGTAAAATCTCACATCTGCAACCCTTCATGATTCATAATACACGCTGATATCAGCTTTATAAGATGTTAACTAATTATGCCTTGATCCTCGCCTCATGCTGCCTTCCTCTGCCCAGGCCTAGGTCAAGTGCTCACCACACATATCTGTTCTCCACAATGTCTGTTATCCTATCCAGCACTGACTGCTGGGACCAGACTACACATGTCTGCACTGGGCCTGGTCATGAGGGAAGGGAGAAAGTTATTCTGAGGATCAAATGGATCCTGTAGGCTCTTCTGGAAATGTTGGTTGATAATGGGAATAATATTTTCATTCCCCACTTAAATTTCATTCTCCAGGTGTCTTCTCCCTCCAGGGCCATGCCATGAACTGTGTTATCCCAGGGAAGTTTAGCACTGGTATCTCTAGAACACATAGGTCATTGAACAATGTTAGTCTCAAAGTTAACTTTCTCAAGTATTTAGGGGTGCAAGTAGTCTTGACAGCCAGCTAGGCCTTCACCTGGGGGCAGGCCGTGGGATTTTTGTTGAGGTCACAGGGAAGGAGCGGCAGTCCCGCCTGTGGTGCGTCCTGGTGCATGGCTGCATCCTCTGCGAGTGAGAAACATTTTCTGGTTCTCAAAAAGGTTACTTGTTGGCTAGCAGAGAAAAAGTCTTTATAAAAGAAGAAAGAGAGGATTTTTAAATTCTCAACCTACCAGGTTTAGACATAAAGACTTAGGCTTTCCAAGGTTCTGATCATAGAATTTTATTGCAAGTCATACTGCAGAAAGAGAGAGGACTGGGGACATAAAGTGAAGGAGTTCTCCAACCAGACTGAATGAGGAACAAGAGGCCCTGCCCTGCCTACCCTGGGCCTGGGCCACGAGCTGGTGAGGAGGGAATAGGATGTAGAGGGAGGGCAAGGAAGCCACACCTGGGTCCACAGCCCACAACACGGAGGGGCTGGCCCTAAGTTAGAGCATAGTCAGAAGCAGGCAAGGAGGCTATTTGCACCAAGGGAAGGCAGCCACTGACATCTACCTGGATGCTTCTGAAGCCTTCTGTAACTCTGGTCACCTGGCCTTCATGTTGTTTTGCAAACAGATCAGACATTCTTGTCTCAGGACTTTTGCACGAGCTGTTCCCTTTGTCTGAAAGATTCTTCTACCAGATATTCTCATTGCTCACCATTTTTCAATTCTAAGTCTCCATGCAAATCTTTTCAAATATTACTTTATTGAGAAGGCTTCCCTGACAGTGTATTTAAAACAGCACCCTCCTATCCCAACAATCTCCATTGCCCTTCAGGGATATCCTTTC
The DNA here is from genome assembly GCF_000001405.40 of Homo sapiens. NCBI lineage: Eukaryota > Metazoa > Chordata > Mammalia > Primates > Hominidae > Homo > Homo sapiens. Next base: position 44,467,693 of record NC_000010.11, read on the forward strand.
CTTGACAGCACCTATCACTGTCTGGTATGCGGTTGATCGTATTGTTGGCTTGCTGTCTTTTTGCTCCCATGGGGCAGGGAACTTTGTTTTGTGTGCTACTGGATCTCCAGTGCCTACAGTAGTGCCTGGCATGATGATCCCTTGATGCACATTTGTTGAATGAATACCCAAGTGAACGAGGCTCCAGGTTCATGAGAGAAGCTCTGCCTTGGCTCAGTGTCAGCCTCAATACAGGCTGGGAGTACTGAGAGGTGTCTAACAGTCAAGTCTGAGCCATCTTCTTGGCCCTAGGCCAAGCATGCATGGGGTCCAGGAGCTCCCACTTGCCACATAAGTGCATTTGAAGTGCAATGTGGATCAGCAGCAATCTCGTGTCTGGAAGAGATAGCTGCAGGAGCCAGAAGCGAGGTCGGGCCAGCATCAGCAGGGGTGGGTGGTACCTCCCTGCAATGAGAGCAGCCAGGATCACCATCGCCTCTGTGTCCTGACCACAGCCCAGGCAGAGCTTACAGACCAACAGGCAGGCTGCATACTGACCATGGATTGGCTGCTGCTTCTGCAGTGCCCAGGGCTCACACCCAGACCCCTATCTGGAGAAAGAGAGAGGCAGTGACAACCTAATGGACAGCTGAACTTGGAATTGACTGTTCACTAAAAGGGACCATTCAAGCCAAAAACAAATAGTTATGTGCTCACTGGGAACCACGGTTGCCTTCCTTTGCTCCCTAACTCCAATCCCCAGCTGACGGGGTTTGCGTGGAAGACTAAGCAGTTGTAGGAAAATTTAAACAAACGTGTAAAATGTCTTTGTGCATGAGGGCAGTGAGTTAAATGTGGGACCCAGTCATCACCCTGAGCCTGATATACACTTGATGAGAGCCCCCAGGGAGGTGCGCCCGAAGCAAGGTGGCCTATGGTATGTTTTCTTTCCAAAGCTCCCGCTTAGATTAGGTTGGCTATGTTCACCGGGTCACTAGCTAAGTGTACAGCTGTCTCCTGCAGACGCCTTGGAGCGCTTCCTGGTGGGCACGGGCTATGGTGGCTCCTAGGGAGTGGAAGTGTTTCCTGCCCAACCACTTACTGACGGGTACGCCTTTGGAACTCTGCAGATTGCTCGGCTCTCTGGGGATCCCACGAGAGGCTCTGGAATTACCTCCTGGTGGAGGTAAGCAAAACTTAGGCAAGAGCCTGAACCATCTGGGAGCTGCCTGGAGCAGGAGAATTTCTAATCCGTTATCATGAGAATAAGACCTAAGTAATCAAAAATGCTGTCAACGTGAATTTTGAGTTTCAGTGAAAACCAGACCAATTAGTTAAAGGATTAAATTGGTGAATATGATAGTTTCTACTGCTACCAACAGACTGTCAGAGAGCAGCGGTCCTCAATTGGGGGCAACTGTGGCCCTGCCCCAGGGACATCTGGGAGTGTCTGGAGGCACTGTGGGTTGTCACAGCTCAGGGGGTTGACACTGGTGCCCAGTGTACTGGAGCCCGGCTGCTGCTAACATTCTAGGATGCACAGCACAGGCCCCCACAGCTCCTCACAGCCAAGTAGGGGCTGGCCCTGAATGCTCACAGTGCCGGGTATGAGAAACCCAGCCATAGAGGTTTGCTTTTGCAAGGCCCTTTAGAATCTGTTCTTTCAATGGTATTTCCCAAATGCCCTGTGAGGTAAGACAGGTAGTTATCATTGTGCCCATTTCACAGGGGGCCAAGGCTCAGAGCTGGCAAGTGACCTGCTTAGGCCCATGGAGCAAAGGACAGGGGAACAGCTCTCTCTCCACCACCAGCTCCTTTAGGGTCACCTGGCCAGGCCTGGGAACTTTTCTACTCAGTATCTGCTAGTTTTGAAAAAAGAAATAAAAACATAACATTTATTAAGAGTCTACTGTTTGTCAGGCACAAAGACCAAAATTGTTGCTCTCAGGGACATTACAGGCTGGCAGGGAAGCAGTCAACAAACAAGGTAATGTGTAAAACACATGGCACACCAGATTGCAGGGGTGGAGGAGAAGAGGCGTGGAAGGAGGAGGTGTGGTGGAGCTGAACTAACGTTTTAGGCAGTGTGACCAGAGAAGACCTCAGCCGGGTGGCATTTGAGTGAAGACCTGAACCAAGTGAGGAAGCCAGCCATGTTGCTGTCTGGGGAAGAGGGTCCAGGTGCAGGGTCAGCAGGGGCAAAGGGCAGGCCTGGCATGCATGAGGTCCAGCATGGCTGACAGAGCACTAGGGAGAGGGAGAGAGCAGAAGAGGCCACAGACAAGAGTTGGGGAAAGGTGGGTGGGGCACATCGTAGACTCGCGAAGGTCATTTGAAGGACCTTGGCTTTCATCAGAAAAATAGGTAGCCACTGCAGGATCTGAGCAGCAGCTCGGCTGAGTCTTTGGATTTTAACTGGATCACTCTGGCTGCTGTGTGGAGGACGGACTGAAGGAAGAGGCACTGAATGTGTTCAGTTTCATTTTTGCCAATCCTAATTTCCTCAATACCTCTTTTTAAAAATGAATTCTGTGATGATGTGAGGAAAAGATATGGTTGTGCAGGAGTACCAAGGAGAGCCCGAAGAATGGAGCTCATTGGTGAGCCAGAAGAAAAGCAGCTATCAGACAGGAGGATGTGGGCAGAAAACTGAGCGTGCTGGCCGGGGCTTCCTCATGGATCAGGGGCTCCAGCCGTGCTTGGAGCAGGTGGTGAACGCAGAACCCAGGATCCCGGTGCATCTGTGGGGCTCCATGTGGACAGAGGCTGCCTGGCTGGGGAATGATGTCATTTCCTCTAGGATTAGCCAGCTTCTCCAGAAAATTCAGAAAATTATTCTTCTCTGATTAGTTTTCATTTCATCATGATGTGTTCGTCATTACTTTACCTGTCTTAGTCAAAAACTTACAGCCTGTTTATATTAAGATGTAAGCCCCTGAACTTGGGATTCTCAGGAACTGAGTCTAAACTTCCCATTAAATTGTACCGATGTTTGTTAAGAAAGCTATGTTGCCAACATAATGGGGCAGGTCATTTGAACAAAATTTATTACACCATTCTTGAGTCTTTAGGGATAGGAGTTTTGATTTCCTTATCATAAAACCAAAAATGCAGAGGAGTGCGATGAGTTAACCCATTATCATTGCATCATAAAAAAAAACAACCAGTGTATATTTATGTGGCTGCTCCTCAGGGTAGGGAGAAGAGAGAGACAGAGAGGTCTTGGGCCATGTTTGCAGGGGGATATGTCAGCCTACTGTCTGAGAAGCAGTGTGACCTTCCCAGGGAGAGATTTACAGTCTATGTAACATAAAACCTAAGGCAGACATCCAAACTTGGAAGCCAAACTTGGCCACCAGTGCATTTCGTGCAATTGGTCTCCATGGAGTTTCAGGAGAAAACAATATGAAAACTGGGAGGTGGTATATAAAAGTTCACATTTCCAGGTTTCCTTGAAAAATGAGAACATCTTACAAAACCAGGCACACCCTTCAGTGTGGAGATGATGATGCAGACGTGAGAAGCAGCCTCATGTGGGTACCTTCACCTCCACTGCACCCCCCATGTCCTCAGCTAAGGGGCAGAGGATTGCTGTTCATTTATCATCATACTTGCATGTTTTCCCCCTTTAGTAGGGAAATTGTTATCTATCTTTATGTTTCTATCAAAAGTGGGAAGTTAAAAGAGATGCATGTTTCCAAAAAAGTGATGGTAGTGTCTTCTTTGTGGAAAGGAAGAGCATCCCCACGTATCTTGGAGCACATTATGGTTGCTTGAACTTTTCCTTCCTCCCAGCGATTTCTCATTTACTGAGCAGCTGGGCCACTGTAGCACTCAGGGGATGTGATCAGTCTTCATCAGCCTTGGGATGCCAAGGCTCCCTCAGGGGGTAGGTCGGGCCCTCTGGATCACTGAGAGCCTGACTCATGGAGTAGCACCCAGACCTTGGGCAATGTCGTGGAGAGCTGAGGGGGCTGGGATTTGCAGCCTGAGCAGAGAGTTAGGGCAGAAAGTGTCTAGAGCCTCAAGGCAGCTTGGGTAATGACTTCAGCACTGGGGCTGGGAGAGGCTGGGCCTCTACGACAAGCCACCAACAGTGACCTTCCCTGTGATGCCAGATCATGTGGAATCTACAGTTTGCAGTGTGGACCCAAACTCTTCTGAGGCTCAGCTTCTCTGACTGCATCTTTTTTTTTTTTTTTTTTTTTTTTTTGAGACGGAGTCTCACTCTGTTGCCCAGGATGGAATGCAATGGCGTGGTCTGGGCTCACTGCAACCTCCGCCTCCTGGGCTCAAGGGATTCTCCGGCCTCAGCCTCCCGAGTAGCTGGGACCACAGGAGTGTGCCACCACACCCAGCTAATTTTTGTATTTTTAGTAGAGACAAGGTTTCACTATGTTGGCCAGGCTGGTTTCGAACTCCTGACCTTGTGATCTGCCCACCTTGGCCTCCCAAAATGCTGGGATTACAGGCATGAGCCACCATGCCCGGCCTCTCTCTGCATCCTTTGATGCTTCCCTTTGCCCTCCCAACCTCACCAAATGAGAGAGAGGCCTAAGGGAATTGGGAGAGCTGCTGCATTCTGCCTAACGAGAGAAACTCCTGGGAAAGCAGCATTCTGAATGTGGGGCTTGTACAGAGTCAGGGCCAAGGGAAGTGGGCATAGCCTGCAGGGCTGGTCTGCTTCTCTCTGTAGGATGCAGGGCCAGCAGCTGTCCTTGGCCCTCTCCCATGTATCCTCAGGTGGGCCCCTGAATAAGAAATTCCCAAAAGTAGAAGGCACGATGTCCATATTTCTCCAGCACTTTGAATTTTCCAAAATGTCTCCCAGGACATTTCCTCCTCTGCCTCTCATCCCACCCTCATGAGATTGGCAAGGGGGGCTGGCCAGATGAATTCAAAGGGTCATGTGGCTTCAAACCACTTCTATTTGAATTGAGAACCATTACCATGTATTTTGATCTACTGCAGCCAAGTTCTTTTATGAATGGCTTCGTTTAAGCTGATATATAAAGAGAGAGTGCATTGCTCATATGCTCCACCTAAAGGGGCTGTGGTGTCATGGGCCCGCCCCCAAACCTGTAGAATCAGTGATTCCTGAAACCCCACTCTCCCCCAGCCCCTGGTGTGGGCCTTGCATCAGTTCAACATGACAAGTATCTATTAAAGGAGGCGGACATCTCCTCTATTCTGAGTCTTTAACTCATAATAAAATCCCTCACTTCCCTCTGCTGTGTCTGTCTGCAGTGGGTGCCAGCCCCCGGGAGGAGGGCTTCAGAAAAACAAGCCCCCAAAACAAGTCTCCATTCTTACTGTCCTTCTCCCCACTCTGGCGCACCTGTGTGGAGAGCAGGCCAGGTGAGCTCCCCGGAGGCTGTCCGGTCCAGCTTTCCTCCCTTTTGGAGGTAGGGTTTCCACCATTTCCTCCATGAGATTCACCCCCAGTTTATCATCTCTGACGTTTACAGCAGGAAGATTGGGGTCACTAGGACTCCTGGGCTGGGGAATGGAGCCGCTGACTCACACAGAGACTTACAGGGTGGGTAGAATCCGAGCAACTCAATACCCAGAAGGCATCTGAGGATCAATACAGCAGGAATCACAGCTCATCTCTGGAAGGGCAGCAGCCCTGAGGCCAGCAGGGCATGAGTTTACAGAGCCATTCCAGGACCTGTGATTTACGGCAGACTGGTCAGACAGGCAGAGAGGCCTGAGCTCTGTGGCTCTCTGAACAGAAACAACTCACCCTGGGGGAAGGGAAGTGACCAGGGCCAGCTTTCTCTCCCCACAGGTCTGTCTCCCTCCCACCTGTTCTTTTTAAATAACATACTTATTGAGACATAATTCACATATCATACAAGTAACCTATTTAAAGTATAAAATTCGGTGGGCTCTTTATATTCACAGATTTGTGGAACCATCTGTGCCCATTTGGCTCCACTCCCTAGGCAGTCACTTTCTCTCTCTATGGATTTGCCTGGTGTGGACACTTCAAATACTACGTGGGCCTTTGTGGTTGGCTCCTTTCATTTAATATAATGTTTATAAAGCTCATCCATGTTGTAGCATGTATCAGGACTTCATTCCATATGAGCCAGCAATTTCCCTACTAGGCAAATATTCAAGAGAAATTAAAATATATATCCCATAAACACTTGCATGAGTGCTCAGAGCAGTGTTATTCATAAGAGCCAAAAAGTGGAAATGACATCAATACTTCATCAAGTGATGAAGGGATACACAAAAAGTGGCATATTCATTCCATGGAATATGGCTTGGCCATAAAAAGAATGAAGTACTGATATGTGGTACAGCATGGAAGAGACCTTGAGGACAATATGCAAAGTGACAGAAGTCAGTCATAAACGACCACATGTTGTATGATTCCACTCCTGTGTAATCTCCAGAAAAGGCAAATCCATAGAGACAGAAAGATTATTAACTGCCAGGGATTGGGGGAAGAGGAATGAGGACCAGGGACTGCTAATGGATACAGGGAATCTTTTAAAGGGGTGATGAAAATGTTCCAGAATTAAATAGTGGTGTTAGTTGCATAGCCTGGTGACTGTGTTAAAAAACCACTGACTGTACACCTTAAATGGCTGAATCTCTTTTTTTTGAGATGGAATTTTGCTCCTGTTACCCAGGCTGGAGTACAATGGCGCGATCTCAGCTCACTGCAACCTCCGCCTCCTGGGTTCAAGCGATTCTCCTGCCTCTGCCTCCTTAGTAGCTGGGATTACAGGCATGAGCCATCATCCCTGGCTAATTTTTGTATTTTTAGTAGAGATGGGGTTTCACCATGTTGACCAGGATGATCTCAAACTCCTGACCTCAGGTGATCCACATGCCTCAGCCTCCCAAAGTGCTGGGATTACAGGCATGAGCCACCATGCCTGGTCAAATGGCTGAATCTTATAGAAAATAAATTGCAGTTGAATGGAAAATTTGTAAAAGGAGTATAGAGAGAAAATGGAGGAAATGAAGAAGACCGAGGAGAATGCTTCAGGTCCAGAGAAGTTGGTGTAGACCTGTTTCTCCCTGCTGTCTGCACTAGCACAGCAACAGGCCCAGGAAATGACATGACTGGCAGCCAAGTGCCGTTCCAACAAGTGGCCAGAAGAAGAACTGCTGGAGACCCCAGGACTGGAGGAAGAAATAGTGGCAGAGTAGATTAGGTCCTCTACCCAGCAGAGGAAGGAGACCCAAACCAGGTGTTTGCCATCCCCCACCCAGCAACAGAAGGCACCCGTGTGGGCTCTTTTCACTGCATTGGAGGAGAGTTCCTATGACAGTGTGGCCTGCTCCGTGATCAACTGGGACCCAACTGTCAACAAACAGTGAGGGAAGAGGTCTCCTCCCTGACGCCAGTGGGCCTGAGGTCTTTCTGCTCCACTGAGAGGCCTGCTGGGCCAGGTAGCATGGACAAGACAGATCCCCCACAATAAGTGGCATGGCCTGGGAAGCCCATTCGTCCCCATAGGGCTGAGACTCTTTCCCCAGCGGAGACACCAGGGCAGCTGGGAGTCACTGTTAAAGGGACCCCATAGCAACAAGCATTTGGCCATAGAAACCCCTGGCCGTCTTGGGCCTGAAAGACCCCCTATGCATCAGGAGACAGTGGTGCTCCACCTGGAAAAACTCCTCCTACCTCCTCAGGTGGCACTAGAAGGCCCAAGGGGAGCCCCAGGGGCACTGGGTGAATCAGCAGGCCACAATGCCAGGGCAAAAGCCTTGAAAATTCAACTGCCTTTGGAAGCACAGCCCACAAAATCGGCCAGTTCCTGGGGCTAAAACTAAACAAATTATTATTATTTTGACCGGGTGCCAAAATAATAGATTTTTAATACAATTGAAAGTCTCCCTGCATCTGCCATCAACCCACTTCTATGTAACTGAGTCCTGCACTGTCCCGTGAATGAGTTCTGGGGCCATAAGGGCTGTATTTTTGTTGTATTTTTAAATTTTCAATTATTTTCCAGATTGAAAAGTGATACATGTACATCATAGAAAATCTGGAAAAAAAGAGCAATACAAAAGAAACTGTGTTGCCTGTAATTTCACCACTCACAAAGAATATATGCATATATGTATGTATGTATGAGTGTGTGTATCTATATTATCCATATATCCTTCCGGTCTCTATATCTGTATAGCGGAAAGTTTTTCTCTTATAGAAAATAACACTATTCTGTGTCTAACATAGTTGTAACATGTCTTTTTCCTATAGAATATATTCCTTCTCCAAATCATTAAATGTTCGTTCTGCATCTCTTTTAGTTGTTACATAGTGTTTAATCACATTCATGTAAAGGAAGTGCATCAGTTACTTTTGGACAACCCATGCTTGGCACAGTATGCCATAGGTGCTCGATGAATGTTGGATGAATGAATGGACAGAGCCATGTGACCAGCTGGAAGTCCACAATGCCTGGCGAGTCCCTCGCTGAGAATTAAATTGTCCAGCCAGGACCCATAAAGGAAGAAAGAGCCCGTGTCCAGGCTTGTGGGAAATCACCAGGAAGGGTCATGGCTCTGTGTTCTCGGCTCTCCCAGAATTGGTCCTCCAGATCCCACTGGGAAGGAAGGCCCACTTCTGGCACACCCTAGAAGGCTCACTGCAAGATACCTTGCAATTCTGTCTTCCCTTCAAACTCCTTCTTGCACCTCCAGGCCATCACGCATTGACTCATGTGGTTGTTCAGTCTGCACCGTCTACCCAGTATTTCCTAATGGCAGCCCCAATCTGACATCGGCTCCAGTCCCAGGGACACCTCCGGTGTGCACGTTCCCTGACCCCCTCTAACACCTCCACTGTGCCCCCCTTTTTCCCCAGCACTCAGTGCAAGTGTCAGACAGAAGCCTTGGCCATCTGCTGGATTAATGTGTTCTTATGTCTGCCTCATGCATTAGACTCCAGATTCCCGGCCTCAGCCCTCTGTGAATGCCTGTGGAAGGAGTAACATGCAGGGCGAGACCAGCTTGCCTCTGCAGAGGAGCAGAGAGCTTCACGCCCCACAGCCACTGACCTCACAGCTCAGAGGGGAGTGGGTGGCAGCTGCCTGGACTGGGGTTGGTGTCCCCGGAAAACATTTGCCCTTGCTTTGCCTTGTCTCCAATGCCAGAGAGTTGCCAGAGAGCAGGAAGAAGACAAGGATCCCTTGGCATGTTTCCTAACCATGCTTTATGAAAGAGAAAGTCATCTTTATTACATTTAATTTAGAGAAGGGGGTTATGGGCACTTCATCTGGTGCTCACTTCAGAGCAGCTGTTCAGCATTACTGAGGAGAAGGATGAGTGACTTGTGTTCCTTGCTTCATGCCAGATAATCCAAAGAATAGACACAATGGCGTCTCTCCTGACAGGCAGAGTTCCTGGAACCAGGAAGCTTTCTTCCAAATCCCCTAGGCCTAAGTCCCAAGATTTTTCTTCTTTTTGTCCCAAGGCTTGATTTAGTCAATAGATATTTCCTAGTGCTCACTCTGAGCCTGGTCCAGGGCTGCAGCTGGGAGCTGGAGCTCAGGATGAGTCAACCAGGAGCTGCCATGTGGCAATGGACTGTCCACTATGAGAGAGCACAGGAGCAGAGCTGTAACTGCAAATTTAAGCAGCAAAAGGATTTGCTGAGTGTGTACAGAGATACTCCCACAACTCAGGGGAAGGCTGGTGAGCAAGGCTTGGAACCAAGGGAGGTTAGACAACAGGAAAAGCAGCTGAGATAAGCCACGATTTCCATTGTTTTTGGAAGCCATTCCTGGGCCTTTGGCTGTCTTGAATATTTTCTCAAGTGTCCCTAAACATTTGTGTCACTCTCTCTGGATTTAAGGTACTACATGGGAGCGACCCAGTGGACAAATTTACATCATTTGCCTGCACTGTGGATGGTGACTGTGTGCAGAGAGAACTGGCTGGTCCTTTTGGATTCTGAGGAGAGAGTGACCTCACAGTGGCACCTGCCTACAGCCAGCATTTCTATTCAGATTTCTTCCTTTAAAATTGGTCTTCTGGTTATAGAAGGGAGATATACCTAGAAGAGGTATACCCAGAATCTTCAAAGGTAAGGATGAAGTTCCATCTCTTAAGCTGGATATGAATTTTTTGGTGTGTGTGGGGGTCATTTCTCAACTCAATACAGTGGGATACATATATGTATCACTCCCAGGCCTCAACAGAAAGCCAGCCCAGGACACAAGCTGTGGGGGAGTCTGTCTGCAATTTCCAGATTTGCAGGTAGATGCCTTCTAAAGATGTTTGCATTTTAAATTTTTTACTTTCCAATGACTTCATTTTAAATTTAAAAATAAATTCCTGGTGGTAAAGGTTATCTGTCTTTCTGGCTACAGTTAAGGCAGAGTTTGCTTAAATCTTGCAAAGAAAAACTTTGACCTGTCAGTAACTGGAAGAAACACATTTCTAATCTCAAGAAAATTGTAGTCAACTCACTCTAGGGTTTCCAGCCAAGTAACAAGGATTTAGAGTCCAGAAATATGGTGGTCCTGAGCTGTCTAGTCACATCTTCCTTAAACTACAGCTGAGTCACAGTTACTCTGCAGAATGAAGAATGATTGCCAAGCTTCTCATGGTGTTCTCATATCTCCTTCCTCCACACACACATAGTGAGACTCCTCTGGGAGTGTGCGTTTGATTAGTGTCGAAGCATTTTCAGCATCACTCATTGTTTTTATTAGTGCTTATCCATTTTTTCCCCCTGGATAACCCAAACATAGAGTTTCACCTGAGCATCATTAGAATTTCAAGTTGCTGCTACAAATATGTACTTATTCAGCATATACTTTTTGAGTGCCTACCAAACTGTAGCCATGGGGATGAGGACAAAGACCTGGCCCTTTCTTGGAGATTATCTTCTGGGGTGAGAGATGGGTCAGCAAAGGGCAAGTAGAATTCAGCGTGGGAAGGGCTCTGAGTGAGTTAATCACAGGGCATCACAGGAGTGTGTGCAGGGGTCTCAATCTTGACCAGGGAAGTTGAGGTGAGTGGCCTAGGCTGAGGCAGCAGGAGGATACGGAGGGAAAGAAGCATGGGAGAGAGTTTAGAGGGCAGAGTTGCTTGGACCCTGGACTGTGTGGATGTGGGGTGCAATGCTGTGGGAGGACAATGTGCAGGGAGACCCTGCTGGGGCCACCTTGTAGAGGGGCCCCCTGTCCTTTTTATAAGAGACAAGAGGCAGGTTGTTTGGAGGAGCAGGGCGGGGAAGAGAATGAGTTCAGCTTCAGAACACATTGGTTTTGTTGCCAAAGGAATATTTAAGTGGAGCTTTCCAGTTGAGAGTTTGAATTCCGGGAGCACCGAGAGGGAGACTTACATTTCAAAGTTATCAGCACATATATGATCCACAAATGGGAGTAGATAAGTGAATCCAGAGACAAGGTTCAGTGAGAAGAAAAGTTGTCCTAAGACAGGATCCAAAGCACGTCCTAAGACAGAACTGCCAACAGATAGGTGGGGGAGGAACAGTCCTTGAGAGAAGCATTCCCCATAGGGCAGTCAATATTTTGTCCAAACGAACTTGCAGCTCCCCGGTAAATCTCTGTTCTCAGAGTGTGGTGGCTCTTTGATTGAATTCAGAGCTCAGCTCAGCTGGGGAAGCAGCGGGGGCGGTGGGGGTGGGCAGTGGGGAAGGGAGGAAACCTATTCCCAGGATGGTACTGAACCAACAGCAAGTTGCTGGCAACATCTCAGCTGCCTAAGGCTGTAATTTTATTTAGGGCAAACAAGAGTCCAGCTGGGAATTGAAAAGGAAATCCTGGACAACTAGACTACCATAGGAAACTGAGCAATTCTGGCATAGTCCTGGAGATCTAATAAGCTGTACACTTCCCCAAGGCTGTGCACATGCATAGGAAGGATCTGGAAAAGAGAAGTCACCAGTGTCTTACCTTTGGCTGACCACAAGGCCCTGCACAAGGAGGAAATGAAAGCTAATGCTACACTGAAAAATGCCTGAAGTTTGAAGACTTAACTTCTCACACAGATCTCCTTGGCAAATGGTTGAAGACATGCAGGCAAGGCATTTCAGGAAATTTCCCCACCAATCATTGGCTGACCAATAAATTATGCTGACCCAGGTATGACCCCAGGAATCCAGGCTTAAAAATAGAAAAAAAGAACTTAAAAAAGTAGCAAAAACTTCATAGCCACACACCACAAGTAATATAGAATCTACAAATTTAGTCCAGAAAAGTCACTAAACCAGTAATTAGCAATGAGGAAAAACAATAACAATAAGCCAGCAACAAAAAATAAATCTTGGGGAAGGAATCTGATATCACAGTTGTTGCAATATAGAATATCAACTCACATGTCCAACTTTCAACAAAAAAATTATGAGGCATACAAAGAAATAAGAAAGTATGACACATGTATAGGAACAAAAGCAAGCAACAGAAAATGTCCTTGAGAAGGCAGATTCTGGGTTTACTATACAAAGACTTTAAATCAGTTATTTTATACATGTACAAAGATAAACATTTATAATATAAATGCAAATATTTCTATGTTGTAAATATATATTTATATAATATAAATATTTACATTCACATACCATGTCCAAAACATCAAAAGAAAGTATGACATGGATGTCTTACCAAATAGAGAATATCAATAAAGACAGAGATTTAAGGCGTTCCAAGATGGCCAAATAGGAACAGCTCTGGTCTGCAGCTCCCAGCATGATCAATGTAGAAGACAGGTGATTTCTACATTTCCAACTAAGGTACCTGGTTCATCTCATTGGGACCGGTTGGACAGTGGGTGCAGCCCATGAAGGGCAAGCCGAAGCAGGAGGGCAGGGTGTTGCCTCACCCGGGAAGCACAAGGGTTCGGGGAATTTCCCTTTCCTAGCCAAAGGAAGCTGTGACAGATTATCTGGAAAAACGGGACACTCCTGCCCAAATACTGTGCTTTTCCCAAGGTCTTGCAACCGGCAGACAAGGTGATTCTCTCCCGTGCCTGGCTCAGCAGCTCCCATACCCACAAATCCTTGCTCACTGCTAGAGCAGCAGTATGAGATTGAGCTGTGAGATGGCAGCCTAGCTGGGGGAGGGGTGTCTGCCATTGCTGAGGCTTGAGTAGGTAAAAAAAGTGGCCCAGGAAGCTTGAACTGGGTGGAGCCCACCGCAGCTCAACAAGCCCTACTGCCTCTGGACTCCACCTCTGCGGGCAGGGCATAGCTGAATAAAAGGCAGCAGACAACTTCTGCAGACTTAAACCTCCCTGTCTGACAGCTCTGAAGAGAGCAGTGATTCTGTCAGCATGGCATTTGAGCTCTGAGAATGGACAGACTGCCTCCTCAAGTGGGTCTCTGACCGCTGTGTAGCCTAACTGGAAGACACCTCCCAGTAGGGGTTGACTGACACTTTGTATAGGCAGCTGCCCCTCTGGGACGAAACATCCAGAGGAAGGATCAGGCAGCAATATTTGCTGTTCTGCAATATTTGCTGTTCTGCAGCTTCTGCTGGTGATACCCAGGCAAACAGGTCTGGAGTGGAACTCCAGCAAATGCCAACAGACTTGCAGCTGAGGGACCTGACTGTTAGAAGGAAAACTAACAAACAGAAAGGAATAGCATCAACATCAACAAAAAGGACATCCACACCAAAACCCCATCTGTAGGTCACCATCATCAAAGACCAAAAGTAGATAAAACCACAAAGATGGGGAGAAACCAGAGCTGAAAAGCTGAAAATTGTAAAAATCAGAGCACCTCTTCTCCTCCAAAGGATCACAGCTCCTCACCAGCAATGGAACAAAGCTAGATGGGAAATGACTTTGATGAGTTGACAGAAGTAGGCTTCAGAAGGTCGGTAATAACAAACTTCTCCGAGCTAAAGGAGGATGTTAGAACCCATTGCAAAGAAGCTAAAAACCTTGAAAAAAGATTAGGTGAATGGCTAACTAGAATAAACAACGTAGAGAAGACCTTAAATGACCTGACGGAGCTAAAATCCATGGAACAAGAACTTCGTGATGCACGCACAGGCTTCAATAGCCAATTCGATCAAGTGGAAGAAAGGGTATCAGTGACTGAAGATCAAATTAATGAGATAAAGTGAGAAGAGAAATTTAGAGACAAAAGAGTAAAAAGAAATGAAAGAAGGCTCCAACAAATATGGGACTATGTGAAAAGACCAAATCTACGTTTGATTGGTGTACTGGAAAGTGATGGGGAGAATGGAAACAAGTTGGAAAACACTCTTCAGGATATTATCCAGGAGAACTTCCCCAACCTAGCAAGGCAGGCCAACATTCAAATTCAGGAAATACAGAGAACGCCACAAAGATGCTCCTCAAGAAGAGCAACCCCAAAACACATAATTGTCAGATTCACCAAGTTTGAAATGAAGGAAAAGGTGTTAAGGGCAGCCAAAGAGAAAGGTGAAGTTACCCACAAAGGGAAGCCCATCAGACTAAAAGCAGATCTCTCAGCAGAAACCCTACAAGCCAGAAGAGAATGGGGGCCAATATTCAACATTCTTAAAGAAAAGAATTTTCAACACAGAATTTCATATCCAGCCAAACTAAGCCTCGTAAGTGAAGGAGAAATAAAATCCTTTACAGAGAACCAAATGCTCAGAGATTTTGTCACCACCAGGCCTGCCTTACAAGAGCTCCTGAAGGAAGCACTCAACATGGAAAGAAACAATCAGTACCAGCCACTGCAAAAACAAGCCAAATTGTAAAGGCTATCGATGCTATGAAGAAACTGCATCAATTAACAGGCAAAATAACCAGCAAACATCATAATGACAGGATAAAATTCACACATAACAATATTAACCTTAAATGTAAATGGGGTAAATGTCCCGATTAAAAGACACAGATGGGCTAATTGGATAAAGAGTCAAGATCCAGCAGTGTGCCGTATTCAGGAGACCCATTTCACGTGCAAAGACTCACATAGGCTCAAAATAAAGAGATGGAGGAAGATCTACTAAGCAAATTGAAAGCAAAAAAAAAAAAAAAAAGTGGGGGTTGCAATCCTAGTCTCTGATAAACAGACTTTCTTTTTTTTTTTTTTAAACAATTATTCATTTTTGTTTAAGACATCAGGAGTACTAATAAAGAACCAACTGGTAAACTGCTGATAATTCCATATAATATATCTAGCACTACAACTACACTGAATCATTTTTTTTTTATACTTTAAGTTTTAGGGTACATGTGCACATTGTGCAGGTTAGTTACATATGTATACATGTGCCATGCTGGTGCGCTGCACCCACTAACTCGTCATCTAGCATTAGGTATATCTCCCAATGCTATCCCTCCCCCCTCCCCCCACCCCACCACAGTCCCCAGAGTGTGATATTCCCCTTCCTGTGTCCATGTGATCTCATTGTTCAATTCCCACCTATGAGTGAGAATATGCGGTGTTTGGTTTTCTGTTCTTGCGATAGTTTACTGAGAATGATGGTTTCCAATTTCATCCATGTCCCTACAAAGGACATGAACTCATCATTTTTTATGGCTGCATAGTATTCCATGGTGTATATGTGCCACATTTTCTTAATCCAGTCTATCATTGTTGGACATTTGGGTTGGTTCCAAGTCTTTGCTATTGTGAATAATGCCGCAATAAACATACGAGTGCATGTGTCTTTATAGCAGCATGATTTATAGTCATTTGGGTATATACCCAGTAATGGGATGGCTGGGTCAAATGGTATTTCTAGTTCTAGATCCCTGAGGAATCGCCACACTGACTTCCACAATGGTTGAACTAGTTTACAGTCCCACCAACAGTGTAAAAATGTTCCTATTTCTCCACATCCTCTCCAGCACCTGTTGTTTCCTGACTTTTTAATGATTGCCATTCTAATTGGTGTGAGATGATATCTCATAGTGGTTTTGATTTGCATTTCTCTGATGGCCAGTGATGATGGGCATTTTTTCATGTGTTTTTTGGCTGCATAAATGTCTTCTTTTGAGAAGTGACTGTTCATGTCCTTCGCCCACTTTTTGATGGGGTTGTTTGTCTTTTTCTTGTAAATTTGTTTGAGTTCATTGTAGATTCTGGATATTAGCCCTTTGTCAGATGAGTAGGTTGCGAAAATTTTCTCCCATGTTGTAGGTTGCCTGTTCACTCTGATGGTAGTTTCTTTTGCTGTGCAGAAGCTCTTTAGTTTTATGAGATCCCATTTGTCAATTTTGGCTTTTGTTGCCATTGCTTTTGGTGTTTTGGACATGAAGTCCTTGCCCATGCTTATGTCCTGAATGGTAATGCCTAGGTTTTCTTCTAGGGTTTTTATGGTTTTAGGTCTAACGTTTAAATCTTTAATCCATCTTGAATTGATTTTTGTATAAGGTGTAAGGAAGGGATCCAGTTTCAGCTTTCTACATATGGCTAGCCAGTTTTCCCAGCACCATTTATTAAATAGGGAATCCTTTCCCCATTGCTTGTTTTTCTCAGGTTTGTCAAAGTTCAGATAGTTGTAGGTATGCGGTGTTATTTCTGAGGGCTCTGTTCTGTTCCATTGATCTATATCTCTGTTTTGGTACCAGTACTATGCTGTTTTGGTTACTGTAACCTTGTAGTATAGTTTGAAGTCAGGTAGTGTGATGCCTCCAGCTTTGTTCTTTTGGCTTAGGATTGACTTGGCGATGCGGGCTCTTTTTTGGTTCCATATGAACTTTAAAGTAGTTTTTTCCAATTCTGTGAAGAAAGTCATTGGTAGCTTGATGGGGATGGCATTGAATCTGTAAATTACCTTGGGCAGTGTGGCCATTTTCACAATATTGATTCTTCCTACCCATGAGCATGGAATGTTCTTCCATTTGTTTGTATCCTCTTTTATTTCCTTGAGCAGTGGTTTGTAGTTCTCCTTGAAGAGGTCCTTCACATCCCTTGTAAGTTGGATTCCTAGGTATTTTATTCTCTTTGAAGCAATTGTGAATGGGAGTTCACTCATGATTTGGCTCTCTGTTTGTCTGTTGTTGGTGTATAAGAATGCTTGTGATTTTTGTACATTGATTTTGTATCCTGAGACTGTGCTGAAGTTGCTTATCTGCTTAAGGAGATTTTGGGCTGAGATGATGGGGTTTTCTAGATATACAATCATGTCGTCTGCAAACAGGGACAATTTGACTTCCTCTTTTCCTAATTGAATACCCTTTATTTCCTTCTCCTGCCTAATTGCCCTGGCCAGAACTTCCAACACTATGTTGAATAGGAGTGGTGAGAGAGGGCATCCCTGTCTTGTGCCAGTTTTCAAAGGGAATGCTTCCAGTTTTTGCCCATTCAGTATGATATTGGCTGTGGGTTTGTCATAGATAGCTCTTATTATTTTGAAATACCTCCCATCAATACCTAATTTATTGAGAGTTTTTAGCATGAAGGGTTGTTGAATTTTGTCAAAGGCTTTTTCTGCATCTATTGAGATAATCATGTGGTTTTTGTCTTTGGTTCTGTTTATATGCTGGATTACATTTATTGATTTGCATATATTGAACCAGCCTTGCATCCCAGGGATGAAGCCCACTTGATCATGGTGGATAAGCTTTTTGATGTGCTGCAGGATTCGGTTTGCCAGTATTTTATTGAGGATTTTTGCATCAATGTTCATCAAGGATATTGGTCTAAAATTCTCTTTTTTGGTTGTGTCTCTGCCCGGCTTTGGTATCAGAATGATGCTGGCCTCATAAAATGAGTTAGGGAGGATTCCCTCTTTTTCTATTGATTGGAATAGTTTCAGAAGGAATGGTATCGGTTCCTCCTTGTACCTCTGGTAGAATTTGGCTGTGAATCCATCTGGTCCTGGACTCTTTTTGGTTGGTAAACTATTGATTATTGCCACAATTTCATCTCCTGTTATTGGTCTATTCAGAGATTCAACTTCTTCCTGGTTTAGTCTTGGGAGAGTGTATGTGATGAGGAATGTATCCATTTCTTCTAGATTTTCTAGTTTATTTGCGTAGAGGTGTTTGTAGTATTCTCTGATGGTAGTTTGTATTTCTGTGGGATCAGTGGTGATATCCCCTTTATCATTATTTATTGTGTCTACTTGATTCTTCTCTCTTTTTTTCTTTATTAGTCTTGCTAGCGGTCTATCAATTTTGTTGATCCTTTCAAAAAACCAGCTCCTGGATTCATTGATTTTTTGAAGGGTTTTTTGTGTCTCTATTTCCTTCAGTTCTGCTCTGATTTTAGTTATTTCTTGCCTTCTGCTAGCTTTTGAATGTGTTTGCTCTTGCTTTTCTAGTTCTTTTATTTGTGATGTTAGGGTGTCAATTTTGGATCTTTCCTGCTTTCTTTTGTGGGCATTTAGTGCTATAAATTTCCCTCTACACACTGCTTTGTATGCGTCCCAGAGATTCTGGTATGTTGTGTCTTTGTTCTCGTTGGTTTCAAAGAACATCTTTATTTCTGCCTTCATTTCATTATGTACCCAGTAGTCATTCAGCAGCAGGTTGTTCAGTTTCCATGTAGTTGAGCGGCTTTGAGTGAGATTCTTAATCCTGAGTTCTAGTTTGATTGCACTGTGGTCTGAGAGATAGTTTGTTATAATTTCTGTTCTTTTACATTTGCTGAGGAGAGCTTTACTTCCAACTATGTGGTCAATTTTGGAATAGGTGTGGTGTGGTGCTGAAAAAAATGTATATTCTGTTGATTTGGGGTGGAGAGTTCTGTAGATGTCTATTAGGTATGCTTGGTGCAGAGCTGAGTTCAATTCCTGGGTATCCTTGTTGACTTTCTGTCTCGTTGATCTGTCTAATGTTGACAGTGGGGTGTTAAAGTCTCCCATTATTAATGTGTGGGAGTCTAAGTCTCTTTGTAGGTCACTCAGGACTTGCTTTATGAACCTGGGTGCTCCTGTATTGGGTGCATATATATTTAGGATAGTTAGCTCCTCTTGTTGAATTGATCCCTTTACCATTATGTAATGGCCTTCTTTGTCTCTTTTGATCTTTGTTGGTTTAAAGTCTGTTTTATCAGAGACTAGGATTGCAACCCCTGCCTTTTTTTGTTTTCCATTT
The DNA here is from genome assembly GCF_000001405.40 of Homo sapiens. Lineage (NCBI taxonomy): Eukaryota > Metazoa > Chordata > Mammalia > Primates > Hominidae > Homo > Homo sapiens. The sequence goes on from NC_000010.11 coordinate 44,486,665, forward strand.
GCTTGGTAGATCTTCCTCCATCCTTTTATTTTGAACCTATGTGTGTCTCTGCACGTGAGATGGGTTTCCTGAATACAGCACACTGATGGATCTTGACTCGTTATCCAACTTGCCAGTCTGTGTCTTTTAATTGGAGAATTTAGTCCATTTACATTTAAAGTTAATATTGTTATGTGTGAATTTGATCCTGTCATTATGATGTTAGCTGGTTATTTTGCTCGTTAGTTGATGCAGTTTCTTCCTAGTCTCGATGGTCTTTACATTTTGGCATGATTTGGCAGCGGCTGGTACCGGTTGTTCCTTTCCATGTTTAGCGCTTCCTTCAGGGCTCTTTTAGGGCAGGCCTGGTGGTGACAAAATCTCTCAGCATTTGCTTGTCTGTAAAGTATTTTATTTCTCCTTCACTTATGAAGCTTAGTTTGGCTGGATATGAAATTCTGTGTTGAAAATTCTTTTCTTTAAGAATGTTGAATATTGGCCCCCACTCTCTTCTGGCTTGTAGGGTTTCTGCCAAGAGATCTGCTGTTAGTCTGATGGGCTTCCCTTTGTAGGTAACCCGACCTTTCTCTCTGGCTGCCCTTAACATTTTTTCCTTCATTTCAACTTTGGTGAATCTGACAATTATGTGTCTTGGAGTTGCTCTTCTTGAGGAGTATCTTTGTGGCATTCTCTGTATTTCCTGAATCTGAACGTTGGCCTGCCTTGCTAGATTGGGGAAGTTCTCCTGGATAATATCCTGCAGAGTGTTTTCCAACTTGGTTCCATTCTCTGCCTCACTTTCAGGTACACCAATCAGACGTAGATTTGGTCTTTTCACATAGTCCCATATTTCTTGGAGGCTTTGCTCATTTCTTTTTATTCTTTTTTCTCCAAACTTCCCTTCTCACTTCATTTCATTCATTTCATCTTCCATCACTGATACCCTTTCTTCCAGTTGATCACATCGGCTCCTGAGGCTTCTGCATTCTTCACGTAGTTCTCGAGCCTTGGTTTTCAGCTCCATCAGCTCCTTTAAGCACTTCTCTGTATTGGTTATTCTAGTTATACATTCTTCTAAATTTTTCTCAAAGTTTTCAACTTCTTTGCCTTTGGTTTGAATGTCCTCCTGTAGCTCAGAGTAATTTGATCGTCTGAAGCCTTCTTCTCTCAGCTCGTCAACATCATTCTCCATCCAGCTTTGTTCCGTTGCTGGTGAGGAACTGCGTTCCTTTGGAGGAGGAGAGGTGCTCTGCGTTTTAGAGTTTCCAGTTTTTCTGTTCTGTTTTTTCCCCATCTTTGTGGTTTTGTCTACTTTTGGTCTTTGATGATGGTGATGTACAGATGGGTTTTCGGTGTGGATGTCCTTTCTGTTTGTTAGTTTTCCTTCTAACAGACAGGACCCTCAGCTGCAGGTCTGTTGGAATACCCTGCCGTGTGAGGTGTCAGTGTGCCCCTGCTGGGTGGTGCCTCCCAGTTAGGCTGCTCGGGGGTCAGGGGTCAGGGATCCACTTGAGGAGGCAGTCTGCCCGTTCTCAGATCTCCAGCTGCGTGCTGGGAGAAGCATTGCTCTCTTCAAAGCTCAGATGGAAATGCAGAAATCACCCGTCTTCTGCGTGGCTCACGCTGGGAGCTGTAGACCGGAGCTGTTCCTATTCGGCCATCTTAGCTCCTCCCCCTACACTGAATCATTTATTTTGAGCCAGGGCTTGAAGCAGACAATCCAAGCATCCTTCTAAACTATCCTCGGTCTTGTCAACAGCTGTTATCTTCAGCTTCTTCAAGGTATCACTGAGATTATCCATGTTGCTCCCCGAGGGTGAGGAACCGGCGGGGCGAGGCGAAGGTCTGTGGTGCGGGCGGCGCAGCTCTGTGTCCTCCCTAAAACAGACTTTCAACCAACAAAGATCAAAAGAGACAAAGAAGGCCATTACATAATGGTAAAGGGATCAATTCAACAAGAAGAGCTAACTATCCTGAATATATACGCACCCAATACAGGAGCACACAGATTCATAAAGCAAGTCCATAGAGACCTACAAAGAGATTTATATTCCCAGTCAATAATAATGGGAGACTTTAACATCCCACTGTCAATATTAGACAGATCAATGAGACAGAAGTTTAACAAGGATATCCATGACCTGAACTCAGCTCTGCAACAAGCAGATCTAATAGACATCTACGGAACTCTCCAACCCAAATCAACAGAATACACATTCTTCTCAGCCCCACATCACATTTATTCTAAAATTTACCACATAATTGGAAATAAAACACTCCTCAGCAAATGTAAAAGAACAGAAATCACAACAGACTGTCTGTCAGACCACAGTGCAATCAAATTAGAACTCAGGATTAAGATACTCACTCAAAACCACATAACTACATGAAAACTGAACAACTTGCTCCTGAATGACTACTGGGTAAATAATGAAATGAAGGTAGAAATAAAGATGTTCCTTGAAAGCAATGAGAACGAAGACACAACATCCCAGAATCTCTGGGACACATTTAAAGCAGTGTGTAGAGGGAAATTTATAGCACTAAATGCCCACAAGAGAAAGCAGGAAAGATCTAAAATCGACACCCTAACATCACAATTAAAACAGCCAGAGTAGCAAGAGCAAACAAATTCAAAGGCTAGCAGAAGGCAAGAAATAACTAAGATCAGAGCAGAACTGAAAGGGACAGAGACACAAAAAACCCTTTAAAAAATCAATGAATCTAGGAGCTGTTTTTTTGAAAAGATCCACAAATAGACCACTAGAAAAACTAATAAAGAAGAAAAGAAAGAAGAATCAAACTGATGCAATAAAAAGTGATAAAGGGGATATCACCACCAATCCCACAGGAATACAGACTACCATCAGAGAATACTATAAACACCTCTAAGCAAATAAACTAGAAAATCTAGAAGAAAGGGATAAATTCCTGGACACATACACCCTCCCAAGACTAAACCAGGAAGAAGTTGAATCTCTGAATAGACCAATAACAGACTCTGAAATTGAGACAATAATTAATAGCTTACCAACCAAAAAAAGTCCAGGACCAGATGGATTCACAGCCAAATTCTACCAGAGGTACAAAGAGGAGCTGGTACAATTCCTTCTGAAACTATTCCAATCAATAGAAAAAGAGAGAATCCTCCCTAACTCATTTTATGAGGCCAACATCATCCTGATACCAAAGTCTGGCAGAGACACAACAACAAAAAAGAGAATTTTAGACCAATATCCTTGATGAACATCGATGTGAAAATCCTCAATAAAATACTCGCAAACCAAATCCAGCAGCACATGAAAAAGCTTATCCACCATGATCAAGTCGGCTTCATCCCTGGGATGCAAGGCTGGTTCAACATATGCAAATCAATAAACATAATCCATCGCGTAAACAGAACCAATGACAAAAACCACATGGTTATTTCAATAGATGCAGAAAAGGCCTTTGACAAAATTCAATAGCCCTTCATGCTAAAAACTCTCAATAAACTCATTATTGATGGAACGTATCTCAAAAGAATGAGAGCTATTTATGACAAACCCACAGCCAATATCATACTGAGGGGGCCAAAACTGGAAGCATTCCCTTTGAAAACTGGCACAAGACAGGGATGCCCTCTCTAACCATTCCTATTCAATATAGTGTTGGAAGTTCTGGCCAGGGAAGTCAGGCAAGAGAAAGAAAGAAAGGGTATTCAATTAGGAAATGAGGAGGTCAAATTGTCCCTGTTTGCAGAAGACATGATTGTATATTAGGAAACCCCATCATCTCAGCCCAAAATCTCCTTAAGCTGATAAGCAACTTCAGCAAAGTCTCAGGACACAAAATCAATGTGCAGAAATCACAAGCATTCCTATACACAATTAACAGACAAACAGAGAGCCAAATCATGAGTGAACTCCCATTCACAATTGCTACAAAGAGAATAAAATACCTAAGAATCAAACTTACAAGGGATGTGAAGGACCTCTTCAAAGTGAACTACAAATCACTGCTCAAGGAAACAAAAGAGGACACAAACAAATGGAAGAATATGCCATGCTCATGGATAGGAAGAATCAATATTGTGAAAATGGCCACACTGCCCAAGGTAATTTACAGATTCAATGCCATCCCCATCAAGCTACCAATGACTTTCTTCACAGAATTGGAAAAAACTGCTTTAAAGTTCATATGGAACCGAAAAAGATCCCTCATTGCCAAGACAATCTTAAGCAAAAAGAACAAAGCTGGAGGCATCACACTACCTGACTTCAAACTTTACTATAAGGCTACAGTAACCAAAACAGCATGGTACGGGTACCAAAACAGATATATAGATCAATAGAAGAGAACAGAGTCCTCAGAAATAATACCACACATCCACAACCATCTGATCTTTAACAAACCTGACAAAAACAAGCAATGGGGAAAGGATACCCAATTTAATAAATGGTGCTGGGAAAACTAGCTAGTCATATGTAGAAAGCTGAAACTGGATCCCTTCCTTACAATTTATACAAAAATTAATTCAAGATGGATTAAAGACTTAAATGTTAGACCTAAAACCATAAAAACCCTGGAAGAAAACCTAGACAATACCTTTCAGGACATAGGCATGGGGAAGGACTTCATGACTAAAACACCAAAAGCAATGGCAACAAAAGCCAAAATAGACAAATGGGATCTAATTAAACTAAAGAGCTGCACAGCAAAAGAAACTACCATCAGAGTGCACAGGCAACCTACAGAATGGTGGAAAATTTTTGCAATCTACCCCTCTAACAAAGGGCTAATATCCAGAATCTACAAAGAACTCAAACAAATTTACAAGAAAAAAACAAACAACCCCATTAATAAGTGGGCGATGTATATGAACAGACACTTCTCAAAAGAATACTATGCCACCAACACACACTTGAAAAAATGCTCATCATCACTGGTCATCAGAGAAATGCAAATAAAAACTACAGCAAGATACCGTCTCATGCCAGTTAGAATGGCAATCATTAAAAAGTCAGGAAACAACAGATGCTGGAGAGGATGTGGAGAAATAGGAATGCTTTTACGCTGTTGGTGCTAGTGTAAATTAGTTCAACCACTGTGGAAGACAGCGTGGTAATTCCTCAAGGATCTAGAACTAGAAGTACCATTTGACCCAGCAATCCCATTACTGGGCATATACCCAAAGGATTATAAATCATGCTACTATAAAGACACATGCACACATATGTTTATTGCAGCACTATTCACAAGAGCAAAGAGTTGGAACCAACCCAAATGTCCACCAATGATAGACTGGATTAAGAAAACGTGGCACATATACACCATGGAATACTATGCAGCCATAAAAAAGGATGAGTTTATGTCCTTCGCAGGGACATGGATAAAGCTGGAAACCATCATTCTCAGCAAACTATAAGAAGGACAGAAAACCAAACACTGCATGTTCTCACTCATAGGTGGGAATTGAACAATGAGATCACTTGGTTACAGGGCAGGGAACATCACACCCTGGGGCCTGTCTTGGGGTGGAGTGCTGGGGTAAGGATAGCATCAGGAGAAATACCTAATGTAAATGGTGAGTTGATGAGTGCAGCAAACCAATATGGCACATGTATACCTATATATCAAACCTGCACATTGTGCACATGTAACCTAGAGCTTAAAGTATAATAAAAAAGAGGGAGAGAGAAATTAATATATACAAACACAAACACATACACACCTGAGAGACCTTCCAAAAATTTGTGGAAAAATGGAATTGAAATATAAAACCAAAAATATCAACTTTATTTCTCAAGAGAAGCTCCATGAAGTTTAAGACACTCTTATAAGTGATGATACTAGCCCTAAAGCACTGAGGGTCCTAGGAATTTAACCATGTCAATGTAATATTTTTTACGTTGTTAACTGAAGAAAAATGGGTGCCCTTTACAGATTTTTTTTGAGATTAGTAAATGAAAAGAAGTCGGAAAGAGCCAAATCAGGACTGAATGTGGATGTCTAATGATTTTCCCTTGAAACTTGCACAAAATTGCCCTTGTTTGATAAGAGAAATGAAGAGGACCACCACTGTGGTGTAAAAGACCTCTCTGCTGAAGCTTTCTTGGGCATTTTTCTACTGCAGCTTTGGCTAACATTTTCAAAACACACTCTTAATCATCAGATGTTATCGTTCTTTGGCCCTCCTGAAAGTCAACAAGCAAAATGCCTTGAGCATCTCCCCACACTGTTGCCATGACCTTTGTTCTTGACTAGTCCACTTTTGCTTTAACTGGGTCACTTCCGCCTCTGGACAGGCATTGCTTTGATTGTGCTTTGTCTTCAGGATTGTACTGAAAAAGCCATATTTCACGGGTTTAAAATTTCCACTGAAAAGTTTTGCCCTTGTCTGCAGCTGATATGGGTGAAACAATTTTGGCACCCACAAGGGGAAAGTTATCTGAACTTTAATTTTCCAGTCAGAATTGTATATAAGCTGAACCAATAGAAAGGTCTATAGCATTGGCTACTGTTTGTGCTGTTAATCATTGGTTGTCTTCAATTAGGGCATGAGCAAAATGACTTTTTCCTTACAAATTGGTGTTCATGGTTTGCTGTTACAGGCTTCATTTTCCACATTATCTCACCGCTTCTTAAAATGAGTTATCCATTTGTAAATTGCTCATTTCTTTAGGTCATTGTCCCCATAAGTAAAGCATCAATGATTCCACTCTTCTTCTACTCAAGCTTCACCATCAACTTGATGTTTTTTTTTCCTGCTTCAATTTTAGCAGAATTCATGTTGACTTGGCAGGAGCTCTTTTCAAACTGAAGGCTAATTTTTCTTAGTGCCTCACACTAGACTAGGCATGTTCTAACAAATTAGCATGAGTTTATTTTAATGCAAAAAATAAAATCCACATCTAGTTTTTCAATGAACTCCTTCCCTCCCTCCCTCCCTCCCTTCCTTCTTTCCTTCCTCTCTCTTCCTTCTCTTTCTTTCTCCTTCCTTCCTTTCTTCCTTTCTTTCTTTTTCTTTCTTTCCTTCTTTCTTTTCTTTCTTTCTCTCTCTCCTTCCTTCCTTCATCCTTCTCTTTCTTTTTTTCCCCCAGCTTTCACTTGGTTGCCTAGGCTGGAGTGCAGCAGTGTGATGATGGCTCACTGCAGCCTCAAACTCCTGGGATCAAACAATCCTTCCACCTCAGCCTCCTGAGTAGCTGGGACTGCAGGCATGTGCTACTATGCCTGACTAATTTTTAATTTTAAATTGTTTATTTATTTGGTGGAGACAAGGTCTTGTTACGTTGCCCAGTCTGGTCTCTAACTCCTGGCCTCAAGTGATCCTCCTGCTTTGGCCTCCAAAATTTTGGAGTTGACAAGAAGTCATTAGAGAAATTCAACAACAGATTTGAGCTGGCAAAATAATCAGTTAACTTAATGATAAATCCACTCTGAGGAGCAGAAAGAAAAAATAATGAGGAAAAGTGAAGAGAACCTCAGCAACCATACCAACATACATATAATGCTGCCATACTGCTTCAGAGGGAATGAGAAAAGAAAGAGGTAGAAAAAATATGTGATAAAATAATGTCTGAAAAGTTTGATGAAAAACATTAATCTGTACCTTCACGAAGCTCAGTGAACTCCAAGTGGAGTAAACTCCAAAGGATCCACACATGGACATATCATAGTCAAATTGATGAAAATCAAAGACAGAAAAAATCTTGAAGGCAGCAAAAGAAAGGCAATTAATCAAGTACAAGGAATATGAAAAAGGTTAACAGTTGACTTCTCATCAGAAACCACAGAGGCCATTAAACGGCAGGATGACATCTTTGGAGTACTAAAGGAAAAAGCCTCTCAGCCAAGAATTCTGTACCTAGCTAAATCTCCTTCAAGAATGAGGGAAAATAAAGACAATTCTACAAAGACAAAAATGGAGATAATCTGTTGCTAGCAGACCTACCCAAGATAAATACTATCCAGAGTGCTTCAGGCTAAAATAAAAGAAGACTGGACAGTAATTCAAATCTGCATACAGGAACAAAGAACACTAGTCAAGATGTAACTACTCAGATATTATAAAACATAATATAAATATGTTTTTGTTTCCAAATATTTTTTCTTTACCTGTTTTAAAAGACTGCATGAAAGGTAATTACAAAATTATGCTTATAGAGTTATATAAAGATATAGTAATAATTTTTATGAAGCTAATAATACAAAGGAACAAGAGAGAAAAAAATTATTGTGGAGTAAAATATTAGGACACTTGAAATTAACTTAGCATATTTTAACTAAGTTAAGATGCTACTTGTAGTCCCCAGGACAATGACTAAAAAAATATATGATGGTGAAACCCTGTCTCTACTAAAAATACAAAAAAATTAGCCAGGCGAGGTGGCACGTGCCTGTAATCCCAGCTACTCTGGAGGCTGAGGCAGAGAATTGCTTAAACCTGGAGGGGCGGAGGTTGCAGTGAGCCGAGATCGCGCCACTGCACTCCAGCCTGGGTGACAGAGCGAGACTCCATCTCAAAAAAGAAAAAAAAGAAAATATCTCACAAAAGTGCAGTAAAAGAAATAAGAGAATAAAAGACACAGTAGAAAATATCTATTTAATACAAAAAGGCAGGAAATCAAGAGATTGAGAAACAAAAGACATAAGACATAGATGAAACAAAAAGTAAAATGATGAATATAAATCCAACTTTATTAGTAATAGCATTAATTTTAATTAATTACCCCGATTAAAAGGCATAAGAATGGACTTTAAAATGATCCAACCGTATACTCTCTATGAGACACATGCTTTATATTCAAAGATACACATGTTAAAAAGGGAAAAATATAGCAAAAAGGAAGCAAACAAAAGAGAGCTTTAAGATAAAAATGGTTACTAGAGAAAAAGAGGGACATTTTATAATGATATCAGGGTTAATCCATCAGGAAAATATAATGATTATGAACATATATGTACTTAACAACAGAGACCCAAAATACATGAAGAAAAATCTGACAAAAGTAAAGGTAAAAATAGATAATTCAACAATAATTGTTAAAGACTTCACTACTTCAGTACAAATAATTGACAGAACAACTAGGTAGAAGTTTAACAAGAAAATAGAAAACTTGAATAATATTATAAACCAACTAAACTTAACAGACCTCTGTAGAACATTCCACCCAAAAACAACAGAATGTTTGTCTTAAGAGGACATAAATTATCCTCCAGAATAGACCATATTTTAGGCCACAAAATAAATCTTAATAAGTTTAAAAGTCTTGAAATTATACAAAATATTTTTTTCAACCTTATTGGAATGAAATTAGAACAAACAACAGAAAAAAAGAAATTCTCAAATATCTTAAAATTAACTAACATATTCCTAAATGAATGTGTCAAAGAAGGAATTATAAGAAAAATTAGAAAAAAATAAGTTTGAATAACTTAAATATCTATCAAGAGATGAATGGATAAACAAAAGTGGTAAATCTAGTCAATGGAGTATTATTCAGCCATAAAAAGGAATGAAGTACTGATACATGCTATGACACAAATAAACCTTGAAAAATTATGCAAAGTGGAAAAAATCATTTATTATATAATTAAATGTATGTAAAATGCCCAGAATAGGCAAGTCTGTAGAGACAGAAAGTAGATTAATGTGATTGCCAGGGTCTAGGGGGAGAAAGGAATGAAGAGTGAGGATTAGTGACTACTAATGGATGTTTCTTTTTTCACTGATGAAAAATTGTTTTGAATTTAATAGTGGTGGTAGTTGCACAATCTAGTGACTATGTGAAAAAACACTGAATAGAAGACCTTAAATAGGTGTATTTTACAGTAAGTGAATTATACCTCTAAAGAGAGCAAAGAGTCATAGATGAAAAGGAGGAAATGGACCAGACTGAGGAGAGTACTTGTATTTTGATATGGATTCGTCTCTCCCTGCCCCACTCATGAACTGTAACTCTAGACTTTGGAAATAACACAGCAGGCAACAAAGTGGATTTTTGAAAGGTAGTGAGAAGACGGTGAGCTGAATTCAGATGTCGGGACTGGAGGAAGAGCACTGTAGAAAGGATGTCTTAAATCCTCCACTTGACAGAAGAAAAGACCCAGGCCCAGTGTTTCTCACCCCACCCAGCAACAGAAGGCACCCAGCTGGGCTCTTTCCTACATAGATTGAAATAGAGTTCCTATGAAAAGATGACCTGCTCGGTAATCAATTGAGGACCCCACTAACAATAAGCAAAAAGGGGAAGAGCTCTCCTCCTCCTGAGACTCTGGGGCCTGAGACTTCCCTCCTTCACTGAGAGGCCTTGTGGACCAGGTGGCATTGGCAAGAGGGATATACCCACAATCAGTGGCATGCCTGGGAAGCTTCTTTGGCCCTGTGGGGCTGACACTCTTCTCCCGCTAGAGATACCAGGGCAGGTAGGGGTCACTGGTAGAGGGATCCCTCCACAGCAAACAGGCAGGCCTGGGAAGCACTCTAATTTCCTCAGATGCAGGGGAAATCCTGCCACAACAAGTGCCTGGCCAGGAAAACCTCTTCTGCATGGACCCCAGATTTCCTTCCTTTAATGGGAAAGCCATAGGTAGGCAAAGAAACCTGGTAAGAGAGGCCCAGCTACAGCAAGCAGCCTGGTCCAGGAAACCTGATGGTTTCGATGAGCCAGAGACTTTCCTTCCCTGTCCAGTAGCACAGGGGAAGTGTCTAACCATAGAAGCCTCTTTGGATGTTCCTTGGATATAGAGTTCTTCTATCCACCAGGAAAATGCCAGGGAGGAAAGATGTACCCAGAGAAAACAAGCAGCCCTGCCCACTTAGTCTTGAGAGTATCTTTGTCCCTGTGGGGCTGAAAATCTCTTACTGAGAGACATTGGAGAACCCTGGGGGGTGAGGGGTGATGTCTGGCAAGAGGCTGTAGGTCATGTCAAAACAAGCACTCAGCCAAGAGCACAGTCCATTTCTCAACAGACAGGGAGGATGCCACCATAACAAAAGTCCTTCTAGGAAAGACTCTGTCTTGCAAGCAGTACAACCAGGGACCTAAGAGCCACCAGACTAACAGTCCAACTGACATAGCAAAAGCTCTGAAAACTAGACTGTCATTGGAACCACATCCCACAAAATTGGCCAATACCTGGCTGGTGAAACTAAACCAGGTGACCTCCTGCTAAAATAATAGGTAAATAGGACCTGAGTCTCCTAACATCAACCATCATTGAAGAACCAAGAAAACTATGTGAATGAGTATATTAGTCAGGATTCTCCTGAGAAAAAGAACCAATAGGATGTGTGAGTGTGTGTGTGTGTGTTTGTGTGTGTGTGTGTGTGTGTGTGTGTGTGGTAGTGCTGGGGGTGTTTAGGTCCTCCACTTGACAGAAGAAAAAGACCCAGATGCAGTGTTTCCCACCACACCCAGCAACAGAAGGCACCCAGCTAGGCCCTTTCCTACTCAGATTGAAGTAGAGTTCCTATGAACTCTGGGGGATATTACATATATATAATATATAATATAATAATATGCATTTTTACATATATAAATATATACATATGTATCTATCATATATATCATGTATATGTGTATATATATAGAGAGAGAGAGAGAAGGAAATTTATTTTAAGGAATTGGCTTACATGATTATGGAGGTTGGCAAGTTCAAAATGTGCAGGGTAGGCTTGCAAGATGGAAGCCCAGGGAAGAGCCAATGTTGCAGTTCAGGCCCAAAGACCATCTTCTGCAGAACTCTCTTTTGCTCGGGGAAGTGAGTCATTTGTTCTATTCAGGCCTTCAACTGATTGATCGAGGCCCACCCACATTATGGAAATCAATCTGCTTTAGTTTAAAGTCTGTCAATTTATATGTTAATCTCGTCCAAACCCACTCTCATAGAAATATCCGGAATAATGTTTGACCACATACCTGAGCATTATGGCCGAGCCATGTTGACACATAAAATTAACCATCATAATGAGAGAAGACAACCAAAGTATACCAATGTCAATATGAATCTTATGTTGGAATTTTCTGATAAAAATTGTAAAGAGGGCACTATAAAAATGTACCAACAATCAACTACAAGTTCTCTTAAAACAAATTAGAAAAGAGAAAATTTCAGCAAAGAAATAGAGACTACAAAAAGAACCAAATGGAAATTTTAGAAACAAAAATACAATAACCAAAATAAAAAGCTATCTGGATGGATTCAATGGTAGAGTGGAAATAACAGAGGATAGAATCAGTGAACATGACAACAGATCAATAAAACTTACCTGGTCTGAATAATAAAAAAAAATTAAAATAACAAATAAGACAAAAATCAGAGACTGAGGGACCTGTAGGATAATAACAAATGGTTCAACATTTTTATTATCAGAGTCCAGGAGAAGAGTACAAAGAGAATGGGGCTGAAAGAGTACTCAAAGAAATAAGAAAAAAAACTTCCTAACATTGGTGGAAGACAAAATCCCACAGATTTAAGAAGCTGAGTGTCTTAGTCTATTTGGGCTTCTATAAGAGAATACCATAGACTAGGTGGCTTATGAACAAAAGAAATTTATTTCTCATAGTTCTAGAGGCTGGGAAGTCCAAAATCAAAGTGCTGGAAGATTTGGTGTCCAGTGAAGTCCTGCTTCCTGGTTCACAGATGTCTCTCCTCTCCCTGTGCCTCATATGGTGGAAAGAACAAGGGAGTTCTCTGGCCTCTTCTTGTAAGGACCCTAATCCCATTCACAAGGGCTCTGTATTCATGACCTAATCACATCCTGATATGGTCTGAATATATCCCCCAATATTCATGTGTTGAAGATTTAATCCCCAATGCAAAAGTGACTTTAGATGAGGCCTTTGGGAGACGTTTAGGCTATGAGAGCTCCACTTCACAAATGGATTAATGTCATAATAAAAGAGCTTGATGAAGCGAGTTCATCCCTTTTTGCCCTTCAACCTTCTTCCACATGTGGACACAATATTCCTCCCCACACCAGAAGATAACAGCAAGCAGGCTTTCACCAGAAACCAGAGGCTGGCATTTTGACCTTGATCTTCCCAGTCCCTAGAACTGTGAGAGATAAACTTCTGTTTCTTATAAATTACCCAGTCTCAGGTAGTCTGTCATAGCAGCACAGATGGACTAAGACAGCTCCCAAAGCCCCACCTCCAAAAATCACATTGGGAGTTAGGTTTCAATATATACATTTTCAGGGGACAAGCATTGTCTATAGCACTGAGCAAATACAAAAGAATATAAACCAAATAAATCCATGCCAATACACATTCTAACTAAACTTCAAAAAATTAAAACAAAAACAAAAAATCTTCAAAGCAGTCAGAGAGAAATAACACATTTCCCAGAGGTAGTTGTAATGACAGTGTATTTCTCATTTGAAATAATAGAGGTCAGAATAAAGTAGCATTTTAAATAATTAAAATGCTTATTTCTTTTTTTAAAATTTTAAATTGAGATATCATTTACCTGCCATAAAATTTAACCTTTAAAAGTATACAATTCAGTGGTTGATATACTCACAAGGTTGTATACCATCACCACTATTTAATTCCAGAACATTTTCAATACCACCAAAAGAAACCTCCTACTCTTTAGCAGTCCGCCCCCCACCACGCCTCCCCCATTTCCCCATCCTCCCACTTTCTGGCAATCACTAATCTACTTTTTTGTCTCTATGTATTTACATATAAAGGACATTTGTATAAATGGATTTATATATGGTTTGTATCTTTATTTGTACCTATCACTTAGTGTAATGTTTCAACGTTCATTTCTGTTGTAGCTTGTTGATATTTTATTTCTTGTTGTGGCTGAATCATATTTCATTGTCTGGAAGTATCACATTTTATTTATTCATTGCTTGATGAATATTTGTTTTTGTCTACTTTTTGGCTATTATGAATAATGCAGCTATGACCATTCCTGTAAAAATTCCTATGTAAACATATATTTTCAATTCTTTGGGGTATAAATTTGGGAGTTGAATTTCTGGCTTATATGTAACTCTATGTTTAGCTTTCTGAGGAACTGCCAAACTGTTTTTTCTTAAGTGACTACACAATTTACATTCCCATCAGTGATGGATAAAGCTTCCAGTTTCTTCATATCCTCTTCGGTGCTTTTTATTGTCTATCTCTTTTATTACTATAGTTTTCCTAGTTGGTGTGAAGCAATATCTCATTTTGGTTTTGATTTGCAATTCTCTAATCACTAATGATGCTGAACATCTTTTATGTGTTTATTGACCATCTGTACATTTGCTTTGGAGAAATGTCTATTCAAATCCTTTGACTATTTTTTAATTGAATTGTCTTTTTATTTTTGAATTGGAAGTGCTTTCTAAATATTCTGTATACAAATTCTTTGTCAGATATATGATTAACAAATATTTTCTCCATTATAAGGATTTTCTTTTCATTTTCTTGGTAGTATCCTCTGAAACACAAAATTTTTATTTTGATGAAGTACAGTTTATTCATTTTTACTCTGCTTGTTTTTTGGTGTCATATTTAAGAAATCATTGCCTGATCCGAAGTCATAATTATTTACACTTGTTTTTTTTATAAGATTTTTATAGATTTGCTCTTACATTTAGGACTTTTATCCATTTTGAGTTAATTTTTTTATAGGGTGTGAAGTGAGCAGCCAACGTTATTATTTTGCATGTGAACATACAGTTGTCCAAGCATTTTTGTTGAAAAGATGATTCTTTCCCCATTGAGTGGTTTTGCTACCCTTGTCAAACATCAATTGGCAGTAAATGTGAGAATTTGTTTCTGCACTCTCAGTTCTATTCTATTGACTCATACATTTAGCCTTATGCCAGTACCACATGTTTTTTTTTTTTTTTTTTTTTGAGACGGAGTCTCGCTCTGTCGCCCAGGCCGGACTGCGGACTGCAGTGGCGCAATCTCGGCTCACTGCAAGCTCCGCTTCCCGGGTTCACGCCATTCTCCTGCCTCAGCCTCCCGAGTAGCTGGGACTACAGGCGCCCGCCACCGCGCCCGGCTAATTTTTTGTATTTTTAGTAGAGATGGGGTTTCACCTTGTTAGCCAGGATGGTCTCGATCTCCTGACCTCATGATCCACCCGCCTCGGCCTCCCAAAGTGCTGGGATTACAGGCGTGAGCCACCGCGCCCGGCCCACATGTTTTGATTACTATGCCATTGTAGTAAGTTTTGAAATAGGAAAACAGAAAAGTGAGTTTTCCAACATTGCTGTTCCTCGGGATTGTTTTGGCTGTTATGGATCCCTTGGATTTCCAGATGAATTTGAGAATAAGTGTGCTTATTTATGCAAAAAAATTAAAAAAATCTGAGGCTTTGATAAGAATAACATTGAATATACACCATTTACCAATATTAAGTCTTCCAATCCAAGATCATAGAATGCCTTTTCATTTATTTAGGTCTATAGTTTCTTTCAGCAATGTTTTGTAGTTTGTAGTTGTACAAGTCTTCCATACCTTGGTTAAATTTATCTGGAAGTATTTTATCTTTTGGTGCTATTATAAATTGATTGTATTCTTAATATGATTTTTGGATATTTTTATTGCTGGTACATAAAAATATAATTGATTTTTCTATATTAATCTTGTATCCTGAAACCCTGATGAACTCATTTATTAGTTCTAGAGGTTTTTTCAGTAAATTTTTTTGGGATTTTCCATGTAAACAATCATGCCATCTGAAAATAGGAAAAGTTTTATTTATTCTTTTGCAACCTATTTCTCTTACTTTTTTTCTTTGACTTATTCTATTGTCCAGAACTTCCTGAAGTATGTTGAATAAGAGTGGCATCAGTGGACATTCTTACCTTATTCCTAATCTTAGGGTAAAAGCATTCAGTCTTTTGTCATTAGACATGATGTTACCTAAAGGTTTTTCCTAGATTTCCTTGATCAGGAAGTTCACTTCTATTCCTCGTATGTGGAGTGTTTTTATTTGAAAAGGGCACAGTATATTTGTATTCAGAAAACAAGCAAACAAACAAAAACCTTTCAGCTGGCAATTCTATGTCCAGCTAAACTATCCTTGGGAATGAGTTTTCAGGTAAAACTAAGAGAATTTGACATTAGCAGCACTACCCTTAAAATTGACATAAGAAATTCTTCAAACAAGTGAATGATAAGAGAATCTTGTAGCATCAGGAAGAAAGAAGGCAAAATGAAAAGAGCAGAAATACAAGAGGTTATCCTATTTTACATGAGTTTTATAAATCATATTTGATTATTAAAAGGAAAATTATAACATCCTCTGATACTCAAGACAATGATATTTTAAAGTAGGCAAGGTAAAGCAACCTAAATGGAAGTGAGGTATCCACATTTCCCTTGAAGTGGTAACATGTTGATATCAGTAGACTTTGATAAGTCACATATGTACATTATAGTACTCAAGCAATAACTCAGAAAATTATATAAAGAGATATGCTCCAAATCATTACAAATAAATAAAAATTGAATCCTGAAAAATATTGAATTGACTTGCAGGAACAGGAAGGCAAGGATGTAAAACATAGGACCAAAAGAAGCAAACAGAAAATAATTGCTAAAATAATAGAACACTTCATTGCTAACTTAACAATAATTATCATGAGTACAAACCATCTAAAAACACCAATCAAAAGACAGAGATTAGTAGAATAAATTAAAAATATTACCTAAGAAAATGTTGTTTTGAAGCAACTTGCTTAAATTTCAAATGACATATGCAGATAAAGTGAATGATGAAAAAATATTCCATGCAAATATTAATAAAAAGTAAAAGTGGCTATATTAATATCTGATAAAATTTACTTTAAAAACAAGAAAACTTCCAGTAATTCATAGTGATAAAAGAGACATCTACCAGAAAGATGTAACAAACCTAAACATGCACACACCAAACAACACACCTTCAAAATACATGAAGCAACAATGGATAGAGCTGAAAAGATAAATAGATAAATCTGCAGTTACATGTGAACATTTACCTAAACCTCACTGTTTATATAAAAAAAACTCAAAATCAATCGCATGTTTTTTTAATTGTGAAATGCAAAATTATCCAACTTTTTGAAATAAAATTAAACACAGGAGAAAATCTTCAGTTCTTAGACTTGGCACCAAGTGCAAAACTCATAAAAGGAAAAATCTTTTTAAAATTTATACAATTAAACTTTTTTCTAACATGAAATTTTTTGCTTTGTGAGGATAAAAAGACAAGCTACAGATTGGAGAAAATGTTTGCAAACCACGTATCTGACAAAGAACTAATATCCAGAATATATAAAGAACTCTCCAAACTCAATAGTAAAAAAAAAAAAAATTCACGATCGAATTAGAAAGTGGGCAAAATATGTAAACACGTTTCACTGAAGAGGGTATACAAATAATCACATCAAAAGATGTTCAATATCATTAGCCTTCAAGTAAATACAAATTAAAACCTTGATGAGATCTCATGCCACACCTATAAGAATGTCTAAAATAAAAAATACAGTGATAGTGATAACACCAAATGCTGGTGAATATTTGGAGGAACTACATCACTCTTACATTACTTGTGGGAATGTAAAATGGTTCGACCACTCTGGGAAACAGATTGGCAGTTTCCAATAAAACTCAACATAAAATTACTGTACAACTCAGCAATTACACTCTTGGACATTTATCCCACAGCAGTGGAAATTTATGTGCATGCAAAAAGTTGTATATGAATGTACATAGCAGCTTTATTTATAATAGTAAAAAACTAGAAAGAACCCAGATTTCTCAGGGGGTGAATGATTAAACAAACTGTGGTACATCCATACCATAAAATACTACTCAGCCATAAAAGGAAAGAACTATCCATATATGCAAAGACTTGCATGATCTTAAGAAAATTGTGCTGGATGAGAAAAGCCAATCTCAGAAGCTTGCATACCATATGATTCCATTTGTATGACATTCTTGCAGTGATAAAATTATAGAGATGAAAGAATAGAGGGATAAAATTGTAGGCATGGAAAACCGATTGGTGGTTGCCTGGGGGTAGAGATGGAATGGGAAAAGATGTAAATGTGCTTATAAAAGTGCCACACCAAGTTTCTCATGGTGATGGAACCGTTCTGTATCTTGACTATAGCAGAGGATAAACAAACCTACAAGTGTAATAAAATTGTGTAGAACCAAATGCATACATACACGAGTACAAGGAAAAACTGGTGAAATCTCAGCAAAATTAGGGGTGTATCAATGTCAGTATCATGGTTGTGATATTGTTCTACAGTTTTGCAAAATGTTACCATTGGGGGAAACTGGATCAATGGTACATGAGACCTCTCTGTATTACTTCTTTGACTGCATGTGAATCTACAGTTATCTCAGTAAAAGCCTCTATTAAAAAAAAAAAGACAGAGGGGAGGTAGAAATTGTAGGAGAGCACAGAGGTAGTGGCAATTAAGAAGATGAAGGGGACAATAAGTCTTTGAAAAAAGGACACAATAAAATACATTTAAATACATTATTCCACAAAAAAGAGAAGATTGTAAGTCATGCTTCTCACCTCCATCAACACTGAGCTCAGTCCCACATGGCTTCACCACACCTTGTTACTTTCCTATGAACAAGGAGCAGTCCAGGTGGCACCCCCTACCCTCCAGCCCTGCAAGGTTGAGAGAGAAAAATTGCCACATAGGAATGGGGCCAGACTTGGGGGAAATTCACCCCCTGCATTTATCAAAATGCGGACCTCTGGCCTCCATGATCACCTTCCATGTTACTTCCCTAGGATGCCCAGTTTTAGGTGACTTA
Source organism: Homo sapiens (assembly GCF_000001405.40). Classification (NCBI taxonomy): domain Eukaryota; kingdom Metazoa; phylum Chordata; class Mammalia; order Primates; family Hominidae; genus Homo; species Homo sapiens. The sequence goes on from NC_000010.11 coordinate 44,505,414, forward strand.
CCACCAAGGTCAGCCTTCTACTGGATATTAGGAGTCAGGTCTGGCTTTGCAATAAAGAAAACTGATACACCTGAGTCCCACTTCTTTCTAAAACACCTAGGCATAGAGCATGGTTACATTACCCACCTACACTATTGTGACCCTGAAGTCCAAACCCTGAGTCTTGGGTTGGCCACACTGCCCTTGATAGAGTCAGGGGGTAGGAGTTAGGCCTGGTCCTGTCTCCTGTCCCTTTGGAGATTGATGTTATTTATGGGGTGGCATTAGTGCTCCTCTGGGTATGGTAAACTAAAGTCCTAGACAAAGTGATAGGTAAGGGACCAGGACTTGGGGGAGGTTCCCGGGGCTTGGATCTGGGTAGTACAGTGCAGTGATGAGTGCAAGTTCTGGAGTCAACCCCCTGTGGGGAGCCTGGGCCTTTCACTTCCCTGCTGTGCTCATGGCCTGATCTGTGAGATGAGGAGACTGATGGGATCCACCTCAAAGGGCTTGTAACATGCTTAAGACAATGTCTACTGTGGCACAGAGGCTCAGTTAAACTGGGTGGGGATGACACAGTGATTTCTGACCTCGAATTCACAACTAGCTTAAGAGTGAGGGGTGCAAGTGGAGAAGTATTTCCTTGAGACATGGGGAGAGAGGCCAGGGGTGAAGCCCATCAGGACAAGAAGTCATACTTAGAGGTTGAGCCACGGGGCAGCTATGATAGCTCACACAGGTAGAGTGGCCACGTTCTTGTGGTAAACTGAGGGGGGCAAGAGGAGCCTTCTGGTGAAGGGCCAGGCTCCAAGAAGGAGATTGGAGCCACGGAGGCAGCAGACTCTGACGTCAGTTCAGTGGAGAGGCAGCCAGACTGGGCACTGACACTGGACCTGGGCTTGGGATGCCCAAGCCTGTTGAGGCCGTCTTCCCACATCACTTGGGCAGCATCCAAATGTGCTGGTGGACGTGGTTTCTCGGCACAGGCTTATTTTCTGCACAACCCGCTTGCTCCCACCTTTTTTCTGCCCTCAAGCTTCAGGACGCAGATGGGAGCTGTCCCAACCCTCCAGGTTTCTGTCCTTTGCCCTCTAAATTGTCCTTCTTTTATCTTCCCCCTGAGTTGTCTTTTGCTGTGAGTCCTAATACCTCTGCTTCTGGTCTTCCCTTCCCACCCTCGCATGGTTACAGGTTACCCCCTACAGGACAGTTTGCAGGTCACAGTTAATCTCTTTGGGGAGCTTCCCTTCCTGATAGCAGCTGCTTAATTGGGGGTGCATGTGAAAGCATTTCCACAAGTCTTCACTACCTTTAAGCTTCCACTGTGTTGGCAGAGGGCTGGGGGCTGGAAGAGCTAGGATCTCTGATGTCAGTGAGGCTTTTGTATCTGTGCCCAGAGTGGGGCAAGAGGGGACATCCCAGGGGAGCATGTGAAGGGAAAGGCCAGATGGGAAAATCCTGCATAAGGTAGTGAAGCTTTATGATATGTGATACATGCTATGTCTGAGGCTTGAAGGACACACTCTGCCATTGATTTGTTTGTTCACTCCACAAACACCTACCCAGTGGCTCCTGGAAGCCATGACTGAGCTCGGCGTCTGGGGTAGGAAAATCCGTAGCATCTCATCTCTGTCCTTCGGACACCTGGCATCTAGCAGAGGAGAAGGCAGGTGCATACAGCTCAGGACTGCTCTGTTCTTCTTCCTCATGAAGCAGGAGCGAGGGCCTGATGGCTTTGTTTAACTCTCCATGTTATGGAGCAGAGGATTCAGCATCCAGCCCTTTACTGATGTCTTCGAATACATTATCTCACTTTCATAATCTTCACATAGCATCTATTAGTGAGATGGGACACTGGAGCCAAGAAACTTGAAATACTATAAATGTCACCCAGCTGGCAAATGGTAGACCTGGGATTTGAATGCTGCTTCTTTTGAAACCTCCCTCAGGAGAGGGGTAAGGCTACATTAGCTGGGGTGAAGGCAGGGAGAAGAGTTGGGGGAGATTAAAGACCAAGGGAGTCCCATGGGCAGGAGATGACATGGGCATGGGCTAGGGCATCAGTGAAGTGGGGAAGGGAGCTAGAGAGACGCATTCTGTTTGCTTGTGAGCCTTCTGCAAAGGCTAACTTGAGCCAGGCAGAGCTGGACATTGAGGATGCAGAGATGAACAATTGTAATGAATGAGCTCACAGTCCAATGGGCGAGGGATCTGGGAGCTGACAACCGCAGAGGAGCATGATGGATGTTGTGCCTGAGGAGGAGCCCTGACACAGTGAAGGCAAACTCAGGGCAGGCTGGAGGAGGCAAGACCAGAGCCACTGTCGAGAAGAAGTCAAAGAGGCAATGAGGAGAATCAGAGGAAATTGAAAGACAAGAGCTAAGTGTTCTTCCCAGAGAACAACAGGGACAGGGGATTGAGGAAGGAGAGGATGTGCAGTCTGTGGTTTCCTGACATTTTCTTCAAGGAGTCTGGGACTCCGTCCCTCTCCCCATGCGTGCCCAGGCAGTGCTCCTGGCTGCCGATGCCTGCACCTCCTTCAGCCTCTCCTGGGCCTGTCCCTTGGGCCTGCTCTCTCGCTTCTTCCCTGACTGACTGCTTTCTCTCCTCTGGAAGGGTCATTTCCCACCACATGAACCTCCTGTGAGATTAAAGCTGACCAGCCAGGAACGGAGAAACCAGGCTGGAGATTTCTCTGTCTGATTTGAGTGTAAGCAAGGGGCAGTGGAAGGTGTCATCTGGTAGGGAGGAAGGCAGGGCCGGCCCTGGAGGCCACAGGAGGCCAAAGGAAGTGTTTGTCTGCAGCCGAGTTCTCTATTACACAGCATCAGGTAACTGTCACTAGCTCTGGGCTCATGTAACCAAGAATAGGGACATTCTTGGCCCAGACACATGGGAAACCATGGCTGGATGAGATGCCTACCACCCCTTGCTGGTGCCTGGGACCAAGTGGAAGCTCAAGATCTCATGACATTGTGGAGCTGGGGGCTCTCGCATTAGCAAGGACATGGGCAGGACACCCCAGACGAGTTAGCTACCTGGTGAGAAGTGGCATCCTGTGGAAACGTGGTTCTTTTCTTTTTTTTTTTTTTTCCTGTAAGTACCATCCTCAGCATTCCAAGCCTGGTGAGACAGCTGACATCTCACATTCCACCACATCCCTTTTGAAACATCCCTTTAATGAGAGACGAGCCTGTGTCTGCTGGGGAGAAGGCAGCTGATGCAGGGTTACCTCTCACTGAAGGGATGAGGTGAGGAGTCAGGATAGAAAGCCTCAGTCCTCAACCTCAAAAAGCATGCTGTATCTCTGAGGAGATAAGATGGGGTCAGAAATAATTACTGCACAGTTGAGAAAGGGATCTGATGATCCACAAACTGAGCTCTGAGAGGCTAATAGAGGGAGCATACAAGCTGGGGAGATGGAAGGCTTCCTGGAGAAGGTGGCATGGGACAGGCCTCAGAGGATGGAAAGGTGATGTGCGGATGAAGGGAGGAGGCCCACAGCTGGGCACATAGCAGCAGTGACCTGTGCAGTGGGCACTCAGGCTGCCTCTGGGGCAGATAGAGACGGCGCCACCCAGAGGGAGCCTGGGGCTCTCTGGCCTTGTCAGGGGTTTGGCCTCAATTAGGGAGGAGCCCAGCCACCTCTGCCTCTGTGAAAAGTGGTCACAGGATGGAGATCCTGGTGGCAGCATGACTAAGGGGCCTGGGACCTCGGACACCAAATCCAAGGCTGTGGTCCCAGTTAGAGAGGAGGCAGCGTGAGCTGCCCGGGTTGTAGTGCTGGGAATGAGAGAGAAATGCTGCCCTGGGTGGGATTTAGGGACTGAGGGAAGCAGGAATTACTGGGGAGAGAGGAAGGTCTAGGTGACCTGGTGGGAAGGAGTGCATAGAGGGGGCTGGGCTCTGGGTGACCTGGTGGGGAGGGGTGCATAGTGGGGGCTGGTCTCCCCTGCCTCAGCTGCCCTTAGGGATCATGGGGATGATGGGGGCCCTGGGCATGATCAGGTTGAGAGAAGTCCACATGACAACCCCCGGGGGCTAGTTTCCTAGTTGCCCATTGGCATTTTTGCTGGGCTGAAGCTCCACAAGATAAGAGCTCCAAGAGTTCTAGCATTTTCTTCTTCCTCTTTTTAATATTCAGCATGGCAAAGACAGCAGACATGGGATTCATCAGGAAAAAAACAGTGATTAGAAAGTGATGGGTGTTCTGGTGTCTGTACAGGAAGCTCGGCATCTGGTCGAAGCAGGTTCCTCAAGGACGGAGACAGCCAGGACTCCCTAGGCAAGGAGAGGTGCATGTGCAGAGGTCTCAGCAGGCCAGCGTGGAGGTCCCCCTTTCTCCTTATAGCTCAGAGATGGAGGAACTTGTCATGTCAAAACACAGAATCGCCTCAACCCAACCTCTTTACCCGTACTTTCTGCTCCTGTGGATGGCTCAGCTTCTTCTAAGTGAGCTGTTTCTTCCACTTCGCTGCAGGCCTTAGTTCACAGTGTCCTGGTGGGCTACTGATGATGGCCAGGATGGACTTATGGAATATGAATATGTAATTGTATTTCAATTTTAAACATGAGTAAAAGCTCAAAGAAGTAGACAGTAGAATGGTGGCCTCCAGGGCCTGGGGTGGGGAAGGAGGATTTCGGTTCGACAGGAAGAATAAGTTCTAGAGATCTGTTGATCTGTTGATCACAGGGTTGTGCAACACTGTGACTATAGTTAATAATATATTGTATTCTTGAAAATTCCTAAGAAAGTGGTGTTATCACCATAATAAGTAAAGCTTATGTTAATTCATTCAATTCAGCCATTCCACAATGTATACATATTTTTAAATATTATGTTGTACACAACAAATATGTACAATTTTATGGCAATTAAAAGTAAATAAATCAGAAAAAAGAATAACAAATTAAAAGCAAATGAGACTGTTTCCCTGGCAACTTAGAAAATGATGTCTATATCAACCAGTAAATCACTTGTAACTCAAAAAATGGGAAAAAAGTCCAAAGAATCACAGATTGAGAAGGCTCACAGTTTAGCGGCATTTTTGAGGACATCTTCTTACCCATCGATCCTGCTGGGGCAGGGAGGACAGTTCCTTGCAACAGTCACTACATAGATGCCACACTGCTGTGGAAATGAGGTTTGCCTGGGCACAGCCCCAGCGAGTGGGGGTCCTGGCACCACATGCTAAGCCTTCCCCATGCCCAGTCTTTCACTCTGCACTGAAGCTGCCTGGGTCTGCCTTCCCTCAGCACCTACAGGAAATCCCCATAGCCCCCATGCTGGGCACCAAGAGTGGGCAGCATATAGCAACAGTCCATCAGCTGTCAATCAGGTTCTCAAATACATCTGGGCACCTACTGGAAAGGTAAGGGATGGGTTTTCCTCAAAGTGAAAAAAAAAAAATCCAGAAAACAAGATGCAGCTAGGTGCCAAATGATGTCATCCCAGAAGGAGTAGTCAGCCTGCCAGACTAACATTGCTCATGAGGGATCCATGGCAAAGGAGACAGAGGAAGGTTTCCTTGGAGAGGACTTTATTGGATAATAATCCGAATGACTAACATTTAGCAAGCGTTTCCTAGGTGCTAGACATTGTCTAAGGCGCTTACATGACTAACTCACTTAACCATCCTATGTGGTAGGCTTCTAATTTGCTCAAGGTTACCTAGCTAGAAACTTAGCCTGACTTCTAAGATTTTGATTTGAATTGGCCCATAAAGAACACCAATGGGTGTTTATGTAGGACTTAACCATGTGCAAGTCTGAGCCTCTTACGTAAGCAGTGTATTAGTTCATTTTTACACTGCTAATGAAGACATACCTAAGACTGGGAAATTTATAAAGAAAAAGAGGTTTAATGGGACTCATAGTTACACGTGGCTGGGGAGGCCTCAAAATCATGGTGGAAAGTGAAAGGCATGTCTTACATTCCAGCAGACAAGAGACAGAATGAGAACCAAGCAAAAGGGAAAATGCCTTATAAAACCATCAGATCTCATGAGACTTATTCACCACAGCAAGAACAGTATGGGGGAAACCACCACCATGATTCAATTATCATCCACCAGGTCCCTCCCATAACATGTGGGCATTATGGGAGCTACAATTCAAGATGAGATTTGGGTGGTGACATAGCCAAACCATATCAAGCAGTCACTTTGAGTTTTTAGAAAACCTATGAAAATGCTTCCCCATTTTACAGATGGAGCAAGTAAGGTCCATAGTGAAGAAAGGATTCCAGGTAAGGTGGTGTAGGCAACTATGAGATGAGAGCATAATGTGGGGAAGTGGTAGGAGATGGATAGATGTGGAGTGAAGGCTCACTTTGGAGAAATGGTTGGTCTCCTGGGTAGGGAGGTTGCATCATAGAAATAGAATTTGGAGGCAGCACTTCCTCATCATCATGTGGTGTTAGAGGAAGAGAACCTGACCAAATGGCCAGCTATGCCAGCCTGGAGTTTTCCTGCATGACCTTCTCTTTGTAGGGCACAGAGTTAGTATTAAAAATCATCTGAGAACAAGACTTTGTCACACAGCATTTAGGAATAGCTCACACGTGTTCCTGAGATCTCACAATGAACCCGAATCTCACATCCCTGAGGCTGCTTAGCTCTGCTCCTCCAGATAGCCATATCCAGCTCATCTCTGGGCTCATGAAAACTGCTCCAAGAGGCCCAGAAAAGAAAGGTAGTCCCACAAGCCTTGGAGTTGTCTATTGGTCATTTTTAAGTTTAAACTTCAAGTCTGAGCTTTGAATGGCCAGAGGTCTTACATAGATCTATAGGCTTCCAAAAAGAGTTTAGATACTAAGAAAAAAGTAGTAAAAATTTGACATGCTCTTGCTAGACAAAGTCAAACATCTGGATATTTAGATAAAGCAAGATTTTTAATGGAGCTTTTCAGTTTTCTCATGGATATTTGGCCTTATGTAGTTGCAAATGTGAATCAAATCTAAAAATAATATGTGGATTTGCACCGCAAATTCAGTGGGCACTGAGCTGGAACTGTCAAAATGAAGGGTCCACACTAGTGCAAGTTAACATCTTGGTTTTGTGTTATTGCAAGATGATGACAGCATGTGTATGCTACATTACAACAATCTGCCATGGCATTAATAGCTTTGGTGTGTGATAAATGCAACAGGTCCCCAAGGAAGTCCGCTCAGAGGTTAACTCCATCCAAACAAGTTATATATAGCCTCACTCTCACTAAATTCTACCAAGTCTCCTACTTTCAAATAACACCAGTGTTGGAGCAATATTTTGGTATAAATTTTGTCTATGTGATGAGTGTTTCCAGCGCAGGACTTTATGTTACCCTGTATAATGTGTCCTGTGATGCTGAGGGTAATTAGGAGTGAATGCATAGCAAACCAGTCTCAGGGGAGTTCCTTGGAGATTATTACATCGAAGCTGTGGAATGGACGAGCCTAATGGGGCTGGATTTGGGAGCCAGTTGTGGACCATCTCCAAGACAGAAAGAATATGGAATGATCCATGTTAGACAACACTCACTAATTCCCTCAGTGCTCATAAACCTGTGGCCACTGGGCTCAATGCCACTTGCTGAGAATAGGAAGATTAATATATTATAGAATTTGGGGCAGTGTAGGAGATTTGAAGGGTGGGAAATTGGCCCTCTGCCACTAGATGAGCACTGAGTGGTATGTTCACTCTGCCTAGGGCTTGTCAGCCATCTGGTATACCCCTCTCAGTTACCCCTGAGTTATACCATGCTGCTGGGATCTCTCCACAAATGCTTCTTCTTTCTAAACACAGATTTTACCTTTGTGTTTTGGCAAGTAAGGGGATATTTTGTACCCAAATGGCCCCTAGCTGGAGTCATTCTTCAAGATTTCCTGAACTGAAAGGATCCTGAGAGAAATGGAAATCAGAAAATCAAGTTATCTGCTCAGTGGACTAGAGTCCATGAGGTTAGGCTGCAGCCCTAGCAAGGGTGGGCATGGAGGAATCACACTCACTTATCTGCAGTGTATGCTCCAGAGGCCTTCACTGAACATGTGCTGTAAAAGAAAAAGGGTTGCAGGAAGGTTGAGAAGGCAAGCTCATCAACTGTGCATGGGAAGGGAGCAAAGCTGACAGGCAGGACTGATGGGGTGACATTCCCTTTTTACCAAAAAAGAAATCTGTGCACATAGCCATAGTCCAACAGTATTAAAGTGACACAATATCATCTAATCCCAGATTCCCTAATCTTACTTGCCTGAGGCAGCAATTACAGTAGTCCTCCCTTATCCGCAGTTTCACTTTCCACAGTTTCAGTTATCGGGGTCAACTGAGGCCAAACATATTAAATGGAACATTCCAGAAATAAGCAATTCATAAGTTCTAAATTGCACACCATTCTGAGTAGTGTGATGAAATTTCTCGCTGTCTTGCTCTGTCCCACTCAGGATCTGAATCATCCTTTTATCCAGCATCTCCATGTTGTAGACGCTCCCTGCTGGTGGTCCCTGACATTGTCTGCTCCTGGCACCCAGCCACAAACATGCTCACGGTGCAAAGATCCAGGATCATCTGAGGCAGATAATTCTCCATCCAATAACTTGTCAGAAGGTCAATGGCAGGCTAACGCTGCATCTCAATGCCTACATCACGTACCCCAACTTCCTCTACATCGCACAACAGCACAAGAAAAAGGGCAGGTACAGTACAATTAGATAAAGAGAGAAAGAGAGAGAAAACACATTCACATAACCTTTAGTACATTACTTTGTTATAATTGTTCTATTTTATTATTAGTTATTATTGATTGTTAATCTCTTACTGAGATTAAGTAAGAGATTATTTACTTGTCTAAGTAAGTTAGTAAATTTCATTCTAAGATAAATGAAATTTTACCTTAGCTCTGTATATATATAGAAAGAAAACATAGTATATACAGGATTTGCTCTTGAAACATATCTCTCATGGATAAGAGAAAACTACTATCAGTTTCTTGTGTATCCTTCTATTTTTATGCATATGCAAATACAAATACAAATATATAAATGCATGTATGTATATGCATAAAATATATATACATACACAATTTTAATTTTTCTAGTTTAAAAAAATTTTTTTAGTTAAACATTTTTAATTTTTAAGTTAATTTAATTTAAAATTAATTTTTTTACACAAATGAGAGCATATTTATGAAATTCTTTTTTGTACTCTTTTTTTCTTTTTTGACTAGTCAGTTACACTCTACCTTGGAGAGCAAGGTAGAACTTAACAGTGATTTTTCCCTAAGGCCATGGATTTTCACTGTGCTCATTCATGGAAGAATAGAAAGGGGGAAATTCGGCTTGGTCGGTCCCCATAACTTGGAGTATTAGATGGTTGTAGAGAGCTCGGTTTGATATATAACAGCTGTGACATTGCTGTTACAACTCCACCCATCACCTCAAAATTGCATTAACAAAGTGATGGGATTCAGGACAGAGGAGGCGATAGCTCAAATCATGCACTTGAGGAGGATACGGATCCACTGGAATGTTATCTAAGAGAGTGGCCAGGATTGGTCAAGGGACTAAACATCATGTCAAATGAGTTCTGAGTGACAAACTGACAGATGGAACCAACCAACCAACAAACCAACCCCCGAAACTAGAGATCCATGAAAGTGGTGGTGGGAGTTTACTTATATAATTTTGTTTTAACTTGGCTAGGGAATGTGGGATCCTGGTAGCTGCATGAATGTGGAAGAGAGAGGAGACGTCTGCGGTGAGGACTGATTGTGTGGAATTAGGATCACTGAGTGGAGGCTACAGAGAAACTGCTGAACACGAAGAGCATTCCAAGGACATCACTGCCTGTGGGCGGCATCATCAGCTTAGATAAGTGGTAGGCCCCCGGCACTGCAAGTATTGGAGGGTAAGCTGCCTAGGCACATGAAGCAAAGGCCATGAAGTGATATTTCTCAATCTTTGCTTTTAACACAACTAGTGTTCTCTATGATCATACTAGTTGTTTCACAGAACATGTTCGATAGGACATTAAAGTTTAGAAATATTAGTTTAAACCAAGTTCAGCAGTGATGTTTACTGTAGACTTTCTCAGGAAGGGGATGAAATGCACTGCCTTGCACGTTGATGACATAACACCTGCTCAGGCATGCATGTCCACCTGTCATATTACATGATGAAGGGGGAGCATTTCCGGGCTCAGTGGGATTCCATGGAACACAGTTTGGGAAACCATGTTACTGCAGGATGGAGGTAACACTGGATGATCATCTGGGTCCAGGACTGTGACTCCAGAGGATGAAATGTCTATCTGGCATATTCCACCTTGGGTCAGGAATAGCCGGCATCAGTCACATGCATCCCCAGTGGCAAGTGCTATTGGCCCTGTTTAGAGCATTTTCTCATTTCACCATGTCAATGAATCTTGAAGACAGTTACTGTTATTGGACTCATTTTACAAATGGGGAAACTGAGGAACAGCACCCTTATACAAGGTGGCCCAGGCCATGAACTGGAACCCCAGCCTCGTGCTGTAATTGAAAGGAAAGATCAGACATTGACAGGACAAAGGTGAAGGCAGCCGTGAATTCGATGTCTTCATGGGGGAAGTCATGATGTGGCCTCACTGGAGGAACCTGGCTTCTAGGAAATAAGGAAATAGATAGTATGGGTGAGTATGTGAGGGAAGAGAGCAGGGCCAATCTGTACTTAGAATAGCAAGCTGCCTATTCAAGTGATTTGAAGTTTCAACACATCTTCAGATGGACTGCTACAGCATCTGACATTCTACCTTTAGAAACAGTTTCATTTCACTAAAAATAAAGACTGAATCTCTAAGCACATTCTATGTTATTTAAAGATCATATGAAAAGAAGCATCGGTCATTCCACACTGGAGCAGATGAGCCCTTGTATTGCTGTGTTTAGGATTTCCAGCCCAGGGCAGAGGTTGGGAGGAAACACAAAGAGAAGGTGAGGGGTCAGAGCAGGTTTTATTTAAAGCTCACCAGGGACTCACTGTAGTCTTTCTGGGTCATCAGGAGAAGCAAGAAGAAAATAAATGTCCCATGAGTCCCAGGAAAGCTTCCACACAGATGTGTGGGGGTCTGAAGGCACCTAACACCTCCAGCCTGTCTGTTTGCAGCTTTCTCTGATCCACAGAGCCTGTCTTCCGAAATCCATCACAAACAGATTGAGGTGGGGGCAGCTGCTCACCTTCTGACCATGTGCCGGTGACAGAAAACAGACGTCCTCTGGCTCAGGGATTTCTGAAGGATGCAGCTGGCAGGGTACGATGAGCCCGTGGGTAGGCATGTGTCCCCCAGGAGGGTGGCAGCACATGGTAGGGGCTCAGTCTGTTTATCTCTCCCAAGGCCGTGTCTCCCCACCCGACCTGCACTCTGGGCCTCAGCTTGATGCCAACTCCAAGAACTTGCATCCTCTAACAATATCTCCAGCTAGACCTTTTGTCCTAGGCCTGCTCCTATGAATACCAGACTTTGAATGAGAGCCAAGAAAATGTCCACTTCTTTACCGTTATCGTTGCAATCAATGTTTATCTTAAAGATGCAAGGGGGAAATCTGGAACATGCCCCTCTTCTCATGCTTTTGGAAAGTGTTGGTGTCATTAAACATTCCCAGACTTTTGATCATATTAGGCCTTAACCCTGTGCACAAATCTCAGAGCTCGGGGAAGGGACACAGTCCTGCCCGGCTACTGATGGATTTATGCCTCAGAGCACAGGGGACCAGCCAGGCTGAGGCCACCATCTGAACCCAACTCCTCACTTGAGCAGGAACTGTCAGGACGTGTGAATGAAACACAGAGCAGGACTCTGAAAGGTTCCTGGAGATTTATGGAGTATTTCAAACCACAGAATCCCATAAAATAAGATTTGAAAGCCTGTTTGAGTGAACCCGGAGAATCAGCCGTCAGCGGCAGCTCACTGGGTACTGTGATTGATTCTGTCTCCCCCGTCCCCATCTGTTCTTAAGTGCTCTGGGCACCCTATTACCCTGTTACCCCATGTCCCCATCCCCTTCATACTCCCTTCCCAAGGCAGTGGAGTGACCAAGTGAGTCCTTCAGGCAGTGGAACGACTGAGTGAGAACACAGCTGGCCTCCGGCAGCCACTCCTTCAAAGTCCACAGCCCAGGCAACATGGTTCCTGGGGTGACCAGCTCTGAGGAAGCCAGAGAGGGCAGGCTGGGCTACAAACATAGGCTGCCCTGAGGACCACTGGCAGAAGGTCCTGTAGGGCATCATGGCTGTGGGCAGAGTGCCCTCGAGGTTTGCTTGCATAGGGTTGTTTTTTTTTTTTTTTTCCTGTAGCAACTTACGGATGGACGGCTCATAGGCTCTGATGCCATTTGAGGTATGGCTTCTCATCAGCAGGCCCTGAGCTGCATGCAGATCATGGAGATCATCATCATCAGTCCCAGGTGGTGCCCTCTAGAGGAAGACACGAGCACAACCACACCTCCTCTGCACTGGTCCAGGCTCTGTGGATCCCCGCAGCAGGCTCTTGGGGGCAATGAGGAAGGAGAGAGCTGCTGTTCCATAACAAACTTCCTAGAAACTTGGGCTTGAGGTAACAACCACTTTATTACATCTTGCGATGTTGCACGTCAGGAATTTGCTCAGAGCTTAGATGGCAAGTCCACTTTACACCATGTAGACTAGGTTCACTTGGTCCTTGGCTGGTGGCTGGATAGTCTCAGGGGTTCCAGATGCCTTTCTTCACATGCCTGGTACCTTGGAGGAGGCAGATGGAAGGGTGGGTCTGCCCAGGTTCGTCTCCGTCTCCAACAGTGTAGTTGGACATGTAATGCAGTGGCTTCAGTCACCCAGAACTGGTAACTGTGTCACTTACACCATCCTCCATTCGACATAGCAGTCACAGGCCAGCCTGGATTCAATGGAGGTAACAAACAGCCCCACACAATAGGAGGAGCACCAAAGGCATCCTGAGTCCACTGCACCCACCTTCACAGCCATCGTCTATTTCTGCATTCAGAACCCACTGGGTCCTTATGATGTATCAGATGCTGAGCTGAATGATACGGGAAATGATAACACTCATATTTACTGAGTGTTTCTTACATGCTAGTCACTGATCTAAGTGCTTTACAAATAGTAACTCATTTCGTTCTTGAAATGACCCATTTTACAGATCAGGAAACAGAAGTATAGAGAAGTTAAATGACAAGACTATATAGCTAATAAATGGTAAAGCCCAAATTCGACCCAGGCAGCCTGACTTAGAAGCCTGAATTCTTACACATATTTATAATGCATCTGGTACCTAGAAGTCCTGCTTTTGGCAGTTCGTGTTTTGTGACAGAGGTAAGGTAGATAAGAAATAACTATAATATGGCAGTAATGGTAAATGCACCAGTGATTACAGTAATGTGCAACGGTGTGACGCAGAAAAAGACATTAGTGCCAGCTGTAAGCACTGGAACTTGACAGGAGCACCTTGTAGGAGGGTGTTTCCATTATCTATTGCTGGGTAGCAAATCAACTTAGTAGCTTAAAATACCATTTGATGATCTCTTGCCATTCTGTGAGTGAATCTGGTGGCTCTTTTGTTCCAAGTAGCTGGGGCCTAGGACAGCAGAAGTCATCTGAGCTCATCAAGAACTCTCCACTGGGGCTCTCCATTCTCCTTATGGCTGCCTGGGCTGCCTCAGGCCTGGTGGCTCAGTCCCCAAAAGGAGTGTTCCACGGGCAAGGAAGCAGAAGCTCTCAGACAAATCATTGCCATCCCCAGAATTGGCACAACCTCACTTCTGTTGTATTATGTTGGTCAAAGCATTCTCACATCCAGTGAGGGGACAATGTGGATGAGAACTTCATAAGGGCATGAATGTCAGGAGCATGGCTCACTGGAGTTATTGAGAAAGAGTATAACTGAAATGGAAAAGATACTATTTTCATTTTCTTATGTTGTAATTTTCCCTCTCAGCATGGATACTTCTATTATAAATATCTGTCATGTGGGTGTTAAAATTAAATGGCAATGTGTATTAATACTTGAAAAATATGAAAACATATGAGCATAGATAAGACCCTACTCAAAGATAAGCAAGGTTTTGGCAAGCAGGCATGCAACTGGTTGGGTCTTCTCTGTCAAGAAAGAGCAGACCACACAAAGTGGGAGGCATGAGCAAATGAGTAGAAGGGAGGGTGTTTCCCTGGAGGAGCCAGTGAGCTTGTCCATTGGGAGGGAACCCACGGAGGAGATGACAGAGTTGGGAGGCCCAGCCTTGAAATCCAAACAAATACATATAAACACTTGTGTTTTGTTTATGTCACAGCTAGATTTGGGTCAGGCAGCTCTCCTAGGCAGCTTATCTTCAAACGATGGCTCAGAGATCAAGAATATTCCTTTTTATGGTGCTGTCATCTTCAACTCATGGCCTCCAGAGTTGGCACAGAAAGGAAAAAGGTAGGTTGCAAGATTATGCAGTGGGTTTTACAGCCAGCCGGGGAGGTAGTATACATCACTTCTGCCCACATCTCAATGTCCAGAGCCCAGTTACATGGCCCCAAATTATCTGCAAGGACAGCTGGAGAATATGTGCCCAGGAAGAGGAAGAGTGAGCAAACAGCCTGTCTCAGGCACACCAAGTCTGCAACCTTGGACAAGTTGCCTAATCTCTGAGTCTCCGTTCCCTCTTTTGTGTTTTGGGACTGATAAGGTCTACCTTTTGTGGTTGGTTGTTGTAGAATAAATAAGATACTGTGTATGAAAAGAGACCTGGTAAAAATTAAGTTCCAAGAAACTGTCATAGCACTTGTTGGTACTAGTAAATGTATGATGAAGGTCAATTACAAATGTAAGAATCAAAGGAAACCATCAAACATTTAAAATAATTATTTTGAAATAATAAGTTATTTTAAGTTCAGTGCCAGCTTAAGCCCAATACTTTGCATAAATTCCCTTATTTAATTCCATCAACAAACCTTTAAAATTAGTGATGCTATTCCCATTTTATGAATGAGGAAACTGAGACTTTGAGAGACTAAACAACTTGCCTAGGCTCCCATGGCTAAGACTTGAGTACAGTCAGTCTGATTCTACACCCTATTGGTAAGCACTGTGCTATTTTTTCTTTTTAAAGGAAGAAATGCAGTTGAAGGAGAAGGAGGACAGTAGAAAGTACAGCTATTTTGACCTCAACGATTTTTTTTCTTTTTTTGAGACGGAGTTTCACTCTTGTTTCCCAGGCTGGAGTGCAATGGCACAATCTCAGCTCACCGCAGCCTCCGCCTCCTGGGTTCAAGCAATTCTCCCACTTCAGCCTCTCGAGTAGTTGGGATTATAAGCATGAGCCACAACGCCTAGCTAATTTTGTATTTTTAGTAGAGATGGGTTTCTCCATGTTGGTCAGGTCAATCTTTATTTAGTGCAACACTCACAGTCCTTTTGAGGGCTGATGAGCAAAAGTAAAGGACTGTGAGATTTTAGAATGTGCTCTTTTTCCATGTCAGTATGGATCCATGACTCACTCTGGGAAGCCTCACATAAAATTCTTGCCATCCTTTCCCCAGCCTCTCCTGTAGTTATCAACTTGTTTTGAGCCAGCAAAGTGTTTCAAATTCCCAATACCAGTGCTTAACTGGGGAGTAACACAAATTTATGCAGAAAAACAGAGTTTGCAAAATTCTTAAATCAACTTCTCATTTTGGAATAATTTTGATTTATAGAAAAGTTGCCAAGATAGTATGAGAGTTTCAGAGAGTACACATGGCTTCTCCTGTGTTCAGTATCTTACATAACCATGGTCCATTTGTCAAAACTAGTGCAGGAAACCAACATTAGTACAGGACTGTTGCTTGAACTCCAGACTTTATTCAGATTTCATTATTCTTCCCACTAATGATCTTTTTCTGTTCCCGAATCTAATCCAGCACACTACCATCGTGTGACTTTTAGTAGTTGTTATGGGCTGAATGAGGTCCCCCTAAAATTCATGTCAAAGTCCTAGCCTGCAGTGCCTCAGAATGTATTTGGAGATAGGATGTTTAAAAAGGTGATTAGGTTAAAATGAGTCCATTACAGTAGGTCCTAATTCAATATGATTGGCATCCTTATAAGAAGAGGAGATTAGGACACAGACACACACAGAGGGAAGACCCTGTGAAGACATAGGGAGAAGGTGGCTGTTTACAAGCCAAGGAGAGAGTCCTCAGAAGAAACCAACCCTGCTGTCATCTTGACCTTGGGCTTCCAGCCTTCAGACCTGTGAGGAAATAAACTTCTGTTGTTTAAGCCACCCAGTTTCTCGTACTTTTTTATGGCAGCCCTAGCAAATGAATAAAGTTGTCATGTATCCTTATTGTCCTCTGGGCTGTGACGATTTCTCATTCTTTCTCTGTTTTTCATGACCTTGGCAGTTTTAAGAAGTACTACTCAGGTATTTTGCAGGATAGCCCTCAATATGGGTTTGTCTGATGTTTTTCTTATTATTACATTGATTTGTGGGTTTTTGGAAAAAATATTGCATAGGCAAAGTGCTCTCCTTGTCATATCGTCTTGAAGGATATATGCTGTTAACCAGTGATGTTAACCTTGATCACTTGGCCATGTTTTCCTGATGTCTCCATTGTAAAGTTATCTCTCACTCAATATTCCATTCATTGGAAGCTAAATGCAGCCCACACTCCAGAGTATAGTAGGGGGGGATTAAGCTGCTTCTTTTGGAGGAGGACCATCTGCATGAATTATTTACAATTCATCTGTAAAGAAGGTTGGTTTCTTTTCTCCATATATTTATTTATTCAATCATTTACCTATATCCTTCAGGATCCAGGGATATTTATTTTGTATTTTGGGTGATAATTCAATACTCTGTTATTTGTTTTGTTGCTCACATTGCTTCAGACTGGGCCCCTGGATATTCTTTCAGGTCGGCTCCTGTGCCTTGTTGACATGCCTGCATCCTCTTGTTATTTGAGCTCATTCCTACTTTGTGGCACTGTAAAAATACTCCAGTCTCAACTTGCATTTAACTGGCCCCAGCCCTAGGACCTATCATTTTGTGAAAGAAGCTCTGACTTCTTTTATTGAAGAATGGTATTTAAAAGCCAAGATATGGGTACTGAGAGACATTGTGGATTTTTGTCCTATTTGATGTGTTTCAATTCATTGCAGTTATTGTTATTATTGAACCTCAAATTGTTTCTTCTTTGGCCATTCAGATCTTCTTCAAGTTAATTTGTGAATTCTTTTTTTTTCTTGCATTGGAAAATTTATTTTGTTTTGCTTGGTTTTAATATTAGTACATAAATGTGCTAAAAAGAGCCAGATTGTAATGAGGAAGTGTTTAAGACCTTGAACATGAGAAGAAAATATTAATTAATCTTTGAAAGTGCCTTCCAAATCTTCCATGGTGGTGCCCCCTATAGCCCAGCAAAGGGCTGACTTCTTTTTTTTTAAATTAATTTATTTCTTAAAAAAAATTTTTTTTTATACTCTAAGTTCTAGAGTACATGTGCACAATGTGCAGGTTTGTTACATATGTATACATGTGCCATGTTGATGTGCTGCACCCATTAACTCGTCATTTACATTAGATATATCTCCTAATGCTATCCCTTCCCCCTGCCCCCACCCCGAGACAGGCCCCAGTGTGTGATGTTCCCCTTCCTGTGTCCAAGTGTTCTCATTTTTCAATTCCCACCTATGAGTGAGAACATGTGGTGTTTGGTTTTCTGTCCTTGCAATAGTTTGCTGAGAATGATGGTTTCCAGCTTCATCCATGTCCCTACAAAGGACATGAACTCATCATTTTTTATGGCTGCATAGTATTCCATGGTGTATATGTGCCACATTTTCTTAATCCAGTCTATCATTGTTGGACATTTGGGTTGGTTCCAAGTCTTTGCTATTGTGAATAGTGCCACAATAAACATACGTGTGCATGTGTCTTTATAGCAGCGTGATTTAAAATGCTTTGGGTATATACCCAGTAATGGGATGGCTGGGTCAAATGGTATTTCTAGTTCTAGATCCCTGAGGAATCGGCACACTGTCTTCCACAATGGTTGAACTAGTTTACAGTCCCACCAACAGTGTAGAAGTGTTCCTATTTCTCCACATCCTCTCCAGCACCTGTTGTTTCCTGACTTTTTAATGATCACCATTCTAACTGGTGTGAGATGGTATCTCATTGTGGTTTTGATTTGCATTTCTCTGATGGCCAGTGATGATGAGCATTTTTTCATGTGTTTTTTGGCTGCATAAATGTCTTCTTTTGAGAAGTGTCTGTTCATATCCTTCGCCCACTTTTTGATGGGGTTGTTTGGTTTTTCTTGTAAATTTGAGTTCTTTGTAAATTCTGGCTATTAGCCCTTTGTCAGATGAGTAGATTGCAAAAATTTTCTCCCATTCTGTAGGTTGCCTGTTCACTCTGATGGTAGTTTCTTTTGCTGTGCAGAAGCTCTTTAGTTTATTTAGATCCCATTTGTCAATTTTGGCTTTTGTTGCCATTGCTTTTGGTGTTTTAGACATGAAGTCCTTGCCCATGCCTATGTCATGAATGGTACCGCCTAGGTTTTCTTCTATGGTTTTTGTGGTTTTAGGTCTAACATGTAAGTCTTTAATCCATCTTGAATTAATTTTTGTATAAGGTGTAAGGAAGAGATCCAGTTTCAGCTTTCTACATATGGCTAGCCAGTTTTCCCAACACCATTTATTAAATAGGGAATCGTTTCCTCATTTCTTGTTTTTGTCAGGTTTGTCAAAGATCAGATTAGATGTGTGGTATTATTTCTGAGGGCTCTGTTCTGTTCCATTGGTCTATATCTCTGTTTTGGTACCAGTACCATGCTGTTTTGATTACTGTAGGCTTGTAGTATAGTCTGAAGTCAAGTAGCGTGATGTCTCCAGCTTTGTTCTTTTGGCTTAGGATTGTCTTGGCAATGCGGGTTCTTTTTCAGTTCCATATGAACTTTAAAGTAGTTTTTTCCAATTCTGTGAAGAAAGTCATTGGTAGCGGGATGGGGTTGGCATTGAATCTATAAATGACCTAGGGCAGTATGGCCATTTTCACAATATTGATTCTTCCTATCCATGAGCATGGAATGTTCCTCTATTTGTTTGTGTCTTCTTTTATTTCACTGAGCAGTGGTTTGTAGTTCTCCTTGAAGAGGTCCTTAACATCCCTGTAAGTTGGATTCCTAGGTATTTTATTCTCTTTTAAGCAATTCTGAATGGGAGTTCACTCATGATTTGGCTCTCTGTTAGTCTGTTATTGGTGATAACAATGCTTGTGATTTTTGCACATTGATTTTGTATCCTGAGACTTTGCTGAAGTTGCTTATCAGCTTAAGGAGATTTTGGACTGAGATGATGGGGTTTTCTAAATACACAATCATGTCATCTGCAAACAGGGACAATTTGACTTCCTCTTTTCCTAATTGAATACCCTTTATTTCTTTCTCCTGCCTGATTGCCCTGGCCAGAACTTCCAACACTATGTTGAATAGGAGTGGTGAGAGAGGGCACCCCTGTCTTGTGCCAGTTTTCAAAGGGAATGCTTCCAGTTTTTGCCCATTCAGTATGATATTTGCTGTGGTTTCGTCATAAATAGCTCTTATTATTTTGAGATATGTTCCATCAATAACTTAGTTTCTTGAGAGTTTTCAGCATGAAGGGCTGTTGAATTTTGTCAAAGGCCTTTTCTGCATCTATTGAATAATCAGGTATTTTTTGTCTTTGATTCTGTTTATATGCTGGATTACGTTTATTGATTTGAGTATGCTGAACCAGCCTTGCATCCCAGGGATGAAGTCCACTTGATCATGGTTGATAATTTCTGAATTCTTTTGACACAACCCAAGTAGTCTTTGAGAGCTGAATTGTGTTCTGGGCTCTTCCTGCCCCAAACCAGGATTTGCTTATTGCCTGGGTCCAGTTTCCTTTCCTGTGAGATGGTGAGGCTGTAGCCTGGGTGCTAGGGTGCTCCTTGCTCTTGGCGTGATCATTGTTAAGAGGCCTTTCTAGTGGACAGAACTTGTCAGTGCACATGGGTGTATGTGCGTATGTAAGAATAAAACATATCATAATTCACAGATGCTTCCATTAAGACACAGAACTATTAATACAAGATTCTAAAAAAGATTTTATTTTGAAATAATAGATTCACACTTTGTTTAAAAAGATGCATAGCAAGGTCCCCTGCAGCCTTCCCCCGGCCTCAACCAGTGGCAATGTTTTGCATGATATCCCAGTTAGTACACTGTACTAACTGGGATATTAATATTGGTACAATCCAGAAAACATTCACATCTCATCAGTTTTATAAACACTTGTTTGTGCGTGTATAGCTTTTGCCATTTTATCTCATATGTAGATTTGTGTAACCACCACAACAACCAAGATACAGAATCTTTCCACCACCACAAGGCTCTCCTGTGCTGGCTACCACTTTATAGCCACACGCATCTCTCCTCTCTCCCCACCCGCTACCCCTAACTCTTGGCAACCAATAGGCTATTTTGATATTTTCTATTTCTATAATTTTTTTCAAGAATGTTATGTAAAGAAAATCATGGAGTATGTAACCATTTGAGCTTGGCTTTGTCTTTCAGAATAGTTCTCCTGGGATCCATCTAAAGTGTTGGAAGGTATATCAATAGTTGTTTCCATTTTATTGCTGATGAGTATTCCATGGTATGTATATATCACGGCTTGTTCAGGCATCTCCCCATTGAAAGACATTTGGGATATTTCCAGTGTTCCAATATGTGTACAGGTTTTTGTGTGGACAAAAGTTTTCATTTCTCTAGAACAAATGCTCAGAAGTGCAATTGCTGAGTAGTATGGTGAATGTGTTTAGTTTTGTGAGAGTCTGCCAAGTTTTTTCAGAGTGGCTGTACCATTTTACATTCCCACCTGGAATGTGTAGGTGATATATTTTCTTCTCATCTTCATAAGGATTTTTTTAAAATTGTTATTTTTTGTTTCAGCCATTCTGATAGGCGTGTAACAATATATCATTTTTGTTTTAATTTGCATTTTCCTAATGGCTAATTATGTTGAACATCTTTTCATTGTGTTAGTTTGCCATTTATCTCTTCTTTGTTAAAATATTTATTCACATTTTTTACCCTTTTCTAATTAGATTGGGGTTTTTTTCTGAGTTATTTTTTTCTTCATTGAAGTGAAATTCATATAACATAAAATTAAGAATTTTAAGGGAATAATTTAGGGTCAATATTGTGCAACCACCACCTCTGTGTTGTTCCAAAACATTTCTATCATCCCACAAGGAAATCTCTT
This sequence comes from Homo sapiens, assembly GCF_000001405.40. NCBI lineage: Eukaryota > Metazoa > Chordata > Mammalia > Primates > Hominidae > Homo > Homo sapiens. The sequence continues at coordinate 44,526,656 of NC_000010.11, forward strand.
CCCTATTAACAGTTCCACCTCCATCCCTGGTAACAACCTATCTGTGTTTTGTGTTTTGGGATTTACCTAATTTAATCATGTCATATAAAAGATATAAAGTATGTGATACTTTGTGTCTGACTTCTTACTTGCACAATATTTTTGAGATTCACCCACATGGTAGGATGCATCAGTACTTCATTCATTTTTGTGGCTTGATAGTATTCCAATACATGGGTGTACTAATTAGTTCATTCATCTGTTGATGTGCAGTTGGGCAGCATTCACTTTTGGCCTATTGTAAATAGTTCTGCAATTAACATACAGGTACATGTATTTATTTAAGAACCAGTTTCAATTCTTTTGAGCACATACCTTGGAGTGGAATAACTAGATCACATGGTAATCCATGTTTAACTTTTTGAGGAATTGCTGACTGTTTTCTACAGTGGCTTAACCATTTTACAATCCCACAAGTAACGTAAAAGAGTTATAATTCCTTTACATTCTTGCCAACACTTGCTATTTACCATTCTTCTTTTTATAGCCATCGTCCTGAGTGTAAAGTGCTACCTCATTCTGGTTTTGGTTAGCATTTGCCTAGTTAGTAACTATGTCAAACGTATTTTCATGAACTTGCTGGCCATTTGTATCTTTTTTGGAGGGATTGCTGTTAAGTCTTTTGCCCATTTTTAAACAGCATTGTCTTTTTGTTGTTGAGTAGTAAGAGTTCTTTGTATATTCTGAGTATTAGATCCTTATTAGATATACGATTAACAAATATTTGCACCCATTCTATGGACTGTCTATTCACTTTTAAAATAATGTCCTTAGGTGAAATTTTTTTCCTTTTTTTTTTTGAAGTCAGTTTATCTATTTTTTTTCTTTTGTTGCTTGTGATTTTGGTGTCATGTCTAAAATTATATTGCCAAATCCCTGGTTATGAAGTTTTACCCCTATGTTTTCTTCTAAGCGTTTTGTGAGGTTTGCTCTCCTATTTAGGTAATTGATCCCTTGTTAAACAAGTTTTGTATACGGTGTGATGTAGGAGTTCAAATTCACTTTTTTTGACATGTGAATATCCAGTTGTTTTAGCATCATTTATTAAAGAAATGATTCTTTCCACCATTTAATCATCTTGGGAACTTTGTAGAAAATCAATTAGCCATAGAGGTATGGGTTTATTTCTAGATTCTTAATTCTATTCCATTAGTCTATGTCTATCCTTATAACTTATTACATTGATTTGATTATTGTAGCTTTGTAGGAAGTTTGAAATTGGAAGCGTGAGTCCTCCAAATTTGTTCTCCTTTTTCAAGACTACTTTGACTATATGACAGCATTTGAAATTCCATATGAATTCGAATATCAGCTTCTCTATTTCTGCAGAAAGTCATTGTAATTTTGATAGGCATTGCATTGAATCAATAGATCACTGTGGGAAATATTACCATATTAAAAATAATAAATTTTCTTTTTTTTTTTTCTTGAGATGGAGTTTCGCTCTTGTCACCCAGGGTGTAGTGCAATGGCGCAATCTCGGCTCACTGCAACCTCCACCTCCCAGGTTCAAGGGATTCTCCTGCCTCAGCCTCCCAAGTAGCTGGGATTACAGGCGTGTGCCACTACACCCAGCTAATCTTTGTATTTTTAGTAGAGACAGGGTTTTGCCATGTTGGTCAGGCTGGTCGCAAACTCCTGACCTCAGGTGATTCACCCCCCTTTGGCTTCCCAAAGTGCTGGGATTACAGTCATGAGCCACCGTGCCCAGCCAAAATATTAAAATTTTAAATCCACAAACATAAGATGGCTTTACATTTTTTTATCATTAATTCCGAATGGCGCTTTTATTTACACATGATTTTTCAGTATGCAAATATTTCTCCACAGGGAAGTGATGTATATGCAATCCTCAAATTATAAATGATTGTTTCCAACAACAATTCTGAAATCAATTACTGTCAATGACAATACATTTAAGGTCTTAAGCTGTAATACAGCAACGTACCATGTAATATCAAAGCTTTAAATTTTCAATACAAAGCAATTGAAAGCAACATTACTACATTCAAACCAATAATAAAGTCCATTTTATTTAGGCCTTCTTTTATTTCCTACAGAAATATTTTCTATTTTTTTTCTAGTTTTTGGTATATATAAATCTTTCATCTCTTTGGTTAAATTTATTTCTAGATATTATACTGTTTTGGATGCTATTGTAAATGGAATTGTTTTCTTAATTTTATTTTCAGATTGTTCATTGCTGATGTACAGAAACACAACTAATGTTCATTTATTTATTTTGTACCCTGCAACTTTGCTGAATTAATTTTAGTTCTAGTTGCTGTGTGTGTGCGTGGTTTCTTTGGCATTTTCTACATGTAAATCATGTCATTTGTGAATAGCAGTAATTTTACTTCTTTTTATCAAATATGGAAGCCTTTGATTTCTTTTTCTTGACTAATTGCTCTGACTAGAACTTCCAGTACAATGTTGAATAGCAGTGCAAAAAAAAAGACATCCTTTTCTTGTTTCTGCTCCTAGGAGGAAAACTTTCAGACTTTTATCATTACATATAATGCTAGCTGTGCGTTTTTCAAAAATCACCTTTATCATGTTGAGATGATTTTTCTATTCCTAGTGCTCTGTGTTTTTATTATGAAAGGGTGTTGTTTATTATAAAAGGTTGTTTTCTGCATCAATTGAGATGATCCTTTTTGTTGTTGTTTGTTCTATTAACGTGGTATATTACATTGATTGACTTTCTTATGTCAAACTATCCTTCCATATCTGGGATAAGTTCAACTTAGTCATGGTGTATAATTGTTATAATATGCTGTTGGATTTGGTTGGCTAGAATTTTTTTGAGGATTTTTGATTCTGTATTCATAAGAAGTATTGGCCTGTAGTTTTCTTTTGTTGTGATGTCTTTGTCTGGCTTTGGTATCAAGATTATAGTGGCCTCATAGAAAGAGTCGAGATGTGTTCTTTCCTGTTACATTTTGTATAAGAGTTTGAGAAAGATTGGTGTATTTCTTTAAAATATTTGGTAGAATTCACCAATAAAGCCATTTCATCCTGGAATTTTATTTTTTAGGAAGCTTTTGATTAGTGAGTCAATCTCTTGTATAGGTCTGTTCAGATTTCATATTTTCCCTGGAAACAGGTCTGACAACTTATTTCTAGGAATTTATCAGTTTCATCTAGGTTTTCAAATTTGCTGACACAATATCGGAAGCCATGTAGTAAAACCTCCAATCATTATTGTAGAAGTATCTCTTTCTACCTTTAATTCTGTTGTATTAGACCATTTTTGTGTTGCTGTAAATGAATACCTGAGACTGGTTAATTTTTAAAGAAATGAGGTTTAACTGGCTCATGGTTCTGCAGGCTGTGTAGGAAGCGTGGTCCTGGCAGCTGCTTGACTTCTGGGGAGGCCTCAGGGAGCTTTTACTCATGGCAGAAGTCAAAGCGGGAGCAGACATGTCACATGGTGAGAGAGGAGGCAAGAGAGAGAAGGGAGATGTTCCAGACTGTTTTAAACAGCCAGATCTCATGTGAACTAACGGAGCAAGAACTCACTTGTCACCAAAGTTTCCAATTCTGGACAGAACATATAGACTAAACCTAACATAAATAAAGAAACTTCAACCCAACAACTGGAAAATACACATTATTTTCAAGCACACATAAATCATTCTTCAAAATAGACTATGTTTTAGGCTACAAAACTAGTCTTAATGAGCTTCAAAAGATTGAAACAACACAAGGTATCTTCTTGAACCAAAGTGGAATAAAGCTAGAAATAAATAACGGACGTAAAACTGGAAAGTTCACAAATATATAAAAATTAAACAACACTTTCTAAAATGAGTTAAACCATTCATGAGGCATCTGCCCCCATGACCCCCATGATTTAAGTGTAGCCACTCCTGCTCTCTTTTGGTTACTATTTGCATAAAATATCCCTTTTCATCTTTTCTTGTTCACCTTATTAGTGTGCTTAAATCTAAAGCGAGTCTCTTGAAGACTAGTTGGGCTCTGTTTTCTTTATCCACTCTGCCTGTCTATGTCCTTTGATTGGAAGTTTAATCCATTTATATTTAAGTAATTACTGATAAGAAAGGACTTATTTCTGCCATTTGCTGATTGTTTTCTGTATGTTTATACATTTTTTCTTGGATTCTCCATTACTGCCTTTTTTGTGTTTGATTTTTTGCAGTGTACCATTTTCATTCTCTTCTCATTTCCTTTTGTGTATACTTTTTTTGGGGTATTTTCCTAGTAGTTATCATGGAGATTTCAATTAACATCCTACATTTACAGCAATCTAGTTTAATGGATACCAATTTACTTTCAATAGCATTAAAAAAGCCTGCTCCTCTACAGCTCTTTTCCAATCCCGTTTGTTATTGTCATAAATTATATCTTTAGATATTGTTTGTCCATTAACGTATATTTACAATTCTTTTTATTTATTCATTTTTAATTATGCAGAAAATAAAACAAATAGTTTGGCTATATATATATCATTCTGCATTAATTTTTTTTAAATTTCAGCACTTTAAGTGTTTTATTCCACTGCATTCTGGCCTCCATGGTTTCTGATGATAAATTAAACTCTCACTGAGGATCCTGTATTAATCTGCTCTGTATTGCTATACAGGAATACCTGAGGCTAGGTATTTTTTTTTAAGCGGTTTATTTTGGTTCATGGTTCTGCAGACGACATAAAAGTCATAGCTCAGGCATCTGCTTCTGGTGAGGGCCTCAGAAAGCTTTTACTCGTGGCAGAAGGAAAGGGGAGTTGGCATTTCACATAGCAACAAAGGTAGTAAGAAGGAGGGTGGAGGTCCCAACCACTCTAACAACCATAACTCACATGAGCTCATTGATGTGGGGATGGCACCAAGCCATTCATGAGAGATCTTCCCCCAGGACACAAACACCTCCCAGTAGGTCCCACCTCCGACAGTGGCAATCATGATTCGAAATGAGGTTAGGAGGGGACAGACATCCAAATCATATCAGATCCCTTGTACATGACAAATCACTTCTCTCCTGGTGCTTTCAGGATTATTGTTGCTTTTGTCTTTTGACAGTTTCATTATGATTTATATTAATGTGGCTCTTTTTAAGTTTATTCAATGTGGAGTTCATTGATCTTCTTGGATGTATCGATTAATTTCTTTCATCAAATTAGGAAAATTTTGACTACTGTTTTTGTGAAAATTTTTTTCTCTCTGTTTATCTCTCTCTTCTTCTTCAATTTCTATACTTTGCATGTTGGTCAACTTGATGGTGTCCCACAGTTCCTTTAGGTTCTGTTCACTTTTCCTTATTCTTTTTTCTTTTTGTTCTTCAGATTTAATCATTGCAATTTCCCTATCTTCAAGTTCACAGATTCTTTCTTCTGACTGCACAAATATATAAACTCTTCAGTAAATTTTTCATTTTTGTTATTAAAATTCTCAGAATTTGTATTTGATTCCCTGCATGTTTCCGATATGGCTTGCTGGTGCCAGGGAGCTATCTGGGGCTTTGTTTTTAGTATATGGTGATTGTGCCTTTTGACCCATCTGGTGGTTCCCTGAGGAATGAAGATAAAAGCTGTCTTTTCCTATGTCCTCCCTTTAGACTGGAGCACCCTCCCTGGCAGTGGCAGTGTCTGTAGAAAGATTGAAAGAATATGCTATCCATGCTCACCTATGGCAAGAGACAGTATATGGGGCAGGAGGCAAACATAAAAACTTAGAACAAAGGAGGCAGAGAAAGAAGTCTCTTGTGGAAATAAGTGGAAGGGCAATAACATATACTGGGGGGGAAAGAAAGTGCAATATGAATGCCTAGGACTAGACACATGCTCAGAATAAGACCTGAGTATGGGCCATTCAGAGAAAAAGTAAATGAATTGATAGAAATCACCCCTGAGGAAGCTAAGATACTGTATTTACTAAAAGGCGTTAAGTCGACTATCTTAAATATATTTAAGGCTAACGTAAAGCATGAGCCAAAAGCTTAAGTAAACTAGAAAGATAAGACATGAACAAAGTGACAGTATTATTAAAGATAATGTAAAGGAATCAAATAGAAATTCTGGAAATTTCATTAACTGGAATAAAAAAATTCACTAGTGGAATTCAAAATAATATCTGGCAGGCAGAAGAAAGAAACAATGAGCTTGAATAGACGACAATTGAAATTATCAAGTTTGAAGTAGAGAGAGATAATCTGTATAATTTTAATTATTTACTTTTTTTTCAGTTTTCTTTTTTTCTTTTCTTTTTCTTTTTTCTCTTTTGGGATGGAGTTTTGCTCTTGTCACCCAGGCTGGAGTGCAATGGCGTGATCTCAGCTCACCACAACCTCCACCTCCTGGGTTCAAGTGATTCTCCTATCTCAGCCTCCTGAGTAGCTGGGATTACAGGCATGCACCACCACAACTGGCTAATTTTGTATTTTTAGTAGAGACGGGGTTTCTCCATGTTGGTCAGGCTGGTCTTGAACTCCCGACCTCAGGTGATCTGCCCGCCTCGGCCTCCCAAAGTGCTGGGATTACAGGCGTGAGCCACTTTTCAGTTTTCTTTAATGGCAGCCTTTTCAGTTTTTCTTTAATGGCAAAGGATATGGTGGATCTTGGTGAATGTTCCATAGGTCCTTGAAAATAATGTATATTCTGCACTGTTGGGTGAAATGTTCTTATTGGTCAATGAAATCCTGTTGGCAGATTATGTTGTTTAGATTGTCTACATATTTTCTGAATTTCTATCTAGCTGTCCTATTAATTGTGGATAGGTTGGTGTTGAAGTCCCTAATTTTAACTGTTGATTTGCCTATTCTGTAAGTTTTATGAGTTTTTGCTTAATATGCTTTGAAGTGCTGCTATTTGGTGAATACACAATCAGGTTCACTATGTCTTCTTTGTGGATTGACAAAAATGTCATTACGTAATGGCTCTCCTTGTCCCAAATTTCTTTTTTTGCTATGAATCTACTCTACCTGATAAGATGTACCCATGCCTGCTTTCTAAAATTAGTATTTACATGGTATATCTTTTCTATCTCTTCAGTTTCAATCTACCTATGTTATGTTTAATGTGAGTTTCTTGTAGACAGCACATAATTGGTTCATGTTTTCTAATCCACTATGTCAATATCTGTATTTTGACTGGAGTGTTTTGACCAATAACATTTAAAGTAATCATCAGTTGGTTTAGACTTGATTCCGTCATTTTATCATTCGTTTTCTGATTGTTCTATTGTTCACCCCTTCTTTATCTCTTTTTATCTTCTTGTGGATTACTTCACCATGTTTTAGAATTTTATAAATTTATTCACACCATTTTATGTCTTTGTGTACTTTTCTTATTGCCTACTTTAAGTATACAATATCGTTTAATATTACACCACATGCTACTATTATTGATGTGTCACCACTTTGAATAAAGTGTAGATAACTTACTTCCATCCAGGTCCCTTTAAATTACTCACTTCTTTTTTTTTTTTTATTATTATACTTTAAGTTTTAGGGTACATGTGCACATTGTGCCGGTTAGTTACATATGTATACTTGTGCCATGCTGGTGCACTGCACCCACTAACTCGTCATCTAGCATTAGGTATATCTCCCAATGCTATCCCTCCCCCCTCCCCCCACCCCACCACAGTCCCCAGAGTGTGATATTCCCCTTCCTGTGTCCATGTGATCTCATTGTTCAATTCCCACCTATGAGTGAGAATATGCGGTGTTTGGTTTTTTGTTCTTGCGATAGTTTACTGAGAATGATGGTTTCCAATTTCATCCATGTCCCTACAAAGGACATGAACTCATCATTTTTTATGGCTGCATAGTATTCCATGGTGTATATGTGCCACATTTTCTTAATCCAGTCTATCATTGTTGGACATTTGGGTTGGTTCCAAGTCTTTGCTATTGTGAATAATGCCGCAATAATCATACGTGTGCATGTGTCTTTATAGCAGCGTGATTTAAAATGCTTTGGGTATATACCCAGTAATGGGATGGCTGGGTCAAATGGTATTTCTAGTTCTAGATCCCTGAGGAATCGCCACACTGACTTCCACAATGGTTGAACTAGTTTACAGTCCCACCAACAGTGTAAAAGTGTTCCTATTTCTCCACATCCTCTCCAGCACCTGTTGTTTCCTGACTTTTTAATGATTGCCATTCTAACTGGTGTGAGATGGTATCTCATTGTAAATTACTCACTTCTTAAATGTAAGTGTCTTACATAGTTCTTCTCCATAATCTGAGCACCACAAAAGATGATTGCTGTCATTTTTTTTGCTTCAACCTTTAATTATGATTTTAAAAGTTTATGAGGAAAACAATGTCTACTATATTTAAGATCATTTTAACCATTCTATTGTTCTTTCTTTTCTGAAGTTCCAAAGCTTTTTCTGTTATCTAAAGCTTCTTCAGCTGTCTAAAGAACTCCCCATAGACATTCTTTAAGGGTAGTCCAGAAGGGAACTAATTCTCTTGATTTTCCTTGGATTGATAATGGCTATATTTCTTCTTCATTCTTAAAGAAGACTTTTGCCACAAAAAGAATTTAAACTGGTCAATCCTATTATTTCAGCACTTTAACATGCTGTGCCAATTCCTTTTTCTATAAATGGTTTTAAATGAGAAATTCACTGTCAATGGAATTGATGCTCCCATATGAGTAATTCGCCATTTCTGTCTGGTTACCTTTAAGGTTTTTTTCCTTTATCTTTGGTTTTCAGAAATTTACTTGTAATGTTGTGATGTGTCTTGGCATAGATTTATTTGCATTTATTATCCTATTGAGGGTTTGCTAAGATTTGTAAATTTATAAGTTTATATGTTTTGCCAAATTAAGAAGCTTTATCTATTATTTTGTCGAATGCTTTTTTAATCCCAATAAACTAAAGCTAACCCTTTTGTTACTATCCTCCAAGTTCCTGAGGCTTGTTATTTTTTCCAGCCTATTTTTTTCTCTCTCTTTTTCATATTGAGCAGATTCTATCAATATGTCCTCAGATTTGCTGATTCCAACCTCTGTCATTTCCACTTTACTATTGAGCCCATCTATCAACACTTTTGTTTTGGCTATTATATTTTTCAGTTATATAATTTCTATTTGATTCTTTTAAAATAACTTACATTTGTTTGCTGAGGTTTTCTATTTTTTGCATTGCATTTCTTTCAAAAGAATTTGCGATTGATCATTGATGCATTTTATGATGATATGCTTTAAAATCTTTTAGATAATTTCACCATCTGGTTCATCTCGGTATTGATATTATTTGATTATCTTTTCTCATTCAAGGTGAGTTTTCCTGATTCTTAGTAAGATGAGTGATTCTCTATTGTACACTGGACATTTTTGGTTTTATGATGGGAAATTCTCAATCCCATTTAAATCTTCTATTTTAGCAGTCAGGTTTCCTGTTTAGTTTTAGCACGCTGAAGTTGTGGCTACAATTTGGCTTTTAGAGCCCTTGCACTTCTATTCTGGTCTGCTTTGTTCATCTGGTACCAATGGGGCTACTGCTTGATTCTTCATGGAGGCACCTGTGGGATGGGGAGCAGAGGGCACTTCCCTGGATCTGGTATTGCTCTGTTGAGTATAGGAGTCACCGGGTAACCAAGGCAGTGAGCACTTCCTGCAGTCTCCCCTCTGGGCTGCCCAGTGCTGGAAGAAATCTCACTTGACCACTATGGTGTTGCTTGTAGGCATAGAAAGTGCTTGCCTGGGCCTCCAGTGCTGCTAGACAGGAGTTGGGGAAGTCCAGTCCTACAGGATAAGTATCGTTTCCCTGGGCCTACTCTCTGGTTCTCCTTATGCTACTGGCTTCCTGCTTGAAAGTGCCCATTCATGATGCATTCTGTCACTGGAGATGGTAGTCAGAAGACCCTGGGCCTAAGTAACCCTCTGCCAAAGGGCAAAGGGCCAGGAGACACTAGGAATAGGTTGCCATCTTCTGCAGGTAGAGGGTTGGGAGACCAAGTCTGGGTCACTTTCTACTGCTGAATAGGAGATTCTGGGCTTGCTGGTTCCTCTGGTGGAACTAGTAGAGGTGGCAAGCAGGCCTCCTGCTGTCATTGCATAGGGGACAGAAGAGAGAGCTCCTTGCTCTGTCTCTGCTTATGCCACTAGCAGGTGGGTATGTGAAAGATGGCACTCCCCACACAGTCTTCACCTGCCACCATCTCCAGCAGAAAGAGCAAACTGCTGCTACTGGGTGGCAAACAGAAATGGGGCTCACCATCCAGTCTGTGTCTGTGCTTCTGCTGTGAGTAGCAGGTGGTGATGTGGGTCCATCTGAAGCTGCTGCTGATTGAGGAAAGGAAAAGGAAACTCCCCATCTGGTCTTCTCTGGCATTGCCGATGCAGGTGGCACAAGCACACCAGTTGCCACTGGTTATGGAGTGAGAGTGGAGCTCTCCAATCTAACTCTGCTGGGCCACCCTTTTCTCTGTATTTTGACCTGAAAGCAGACTTTTCTTAGGGCTTTCTCTGTCTGAACCTGCTGACAGTCCCAGGTGGCACACCTCTCCATTGCCAAGTCTGGGATATATGGTAAATCAAAGACTCAGGATGCATAACTAGTTCATTCCACAAGTCCAGAGGTGACTAGCAATTCTGCTGTCCTGTTTCCAACTTATAGAGATATATTTTGATTGCATGTTAAAGTATTTGCAAGATTTTTAATTCAATTTAGAGGGGAGTCTATGATGTGTTGTCTGGGACCAAAAGACTGCAGACTATAGTTTTTTCTTAACCCCATTTATCTTACATTTGTATCTTCATTTCCCCAGGCTAAAATTCCCAGTTCTCAGTAACTCCAGCAAAATTGCTCATTTGTTTTATGTTGAAACACATAAAGATTCACCTCAGAACACCACCACCAAAATTATCTCCAATGATATGATTATTGAAAACTTTACATTTCTTTAATTTTATAGTATTTTATTTCTGTACGTTTATGCCATGAGTCAATATAGTCAGGTGTATTTCTTGAAATTAGGTTTTTTTTAGAGATTTATTATTTTAAATTTAATCATATTGTAATTATGCAAACGTGCTTCAAAAAAATAAAATCTACCAAAAGAAAACAAATAGAAAGTGTAGCCTCTACCCCTGTTCCCTCCATCATGTTCTCTTCCTCACTAAAATGTAATTCTTTATTTCTGTTGTTTAGTTTTGGGCTTTCCCCTTTTTAATGCGGTTACATTTAACTGTGGTTTGTCTCAGTATTGATATTATTTGATTACCTTTTCTCATTCAAGATGAGTTTTCCTGGTTCTTAGTAAGATGAGTGATTCTCTATTGTACACTGGACATTTTTGGTTTTATGATGGGAAATTCTGAATCCCATTTAAATCTTCTGTTTTAGCAGTCAGGTTTCCTGTTTAGTTTCATCACCCTGAAGTTGTGGCTACAATTTGGCTTTTAGAGCCCTTGCACTCCTATTCTGGTCTGCTTTGTTCATCTGGTACCAATGGGGTACTGCTTGATTATTCATGGAGGCACTTGTGGGATGAGGATGGGATAGGATGGGTTACATTTAAATGTAATCACATTAAAAAGGGGAAGACTCAAAATTAAACATATATATGTCATAAAATTTACAATTTTACTATTTTAAATGTACTATTTATTGACATTAATTCCTTCACACTGTTTTGCAACCATCACCACTATCAATCCCCAGAACTTTTTCATCATCCTGTACTGAAACTCTGTACCCATTAAATGACTCCCCATTTCCTCTTCCCCACCCTCTGAACTTTGTTCTACTTTCTGTCTCTAAGAGTTTGACTACTCTAGGTACCTCATGTAAGTAGCATTGTAGAATATTTGTCTTTTTGTATATAGCTTATATCACTTTGGATAATGTCTTTAAGGTTCATCCACTTTGTAGCATGTGACAGAATTGTATTCCTTTTTAAGACTGAATAATATTCCTATCCCACTGTATACACACACACATGTACTTTTTGTTTATCCATTCTTCCATCAGTGGATATTTGAATTGTTTCCACATCTGGCTACTGTGAATATAAAACTTTTAAGAAAATTGTAGACTCACCTGTAGTGATAAGAAATAATAAGAGGAATAATGTGTACCCTTTATTTAGGCTCTTCAGAAGGTGACATCTTGCAAATCACAACTAGTATACAATGCAGTGCAATATGTACAATATGGAACTGTAATATACAATACCACACAGCATGTAAAATACTGTGCAATACACTACAATATCACAACTAGAATACTGACATGGATAGAGTCAGGATACAGAAGGGTTCCATCACCACAAGGATGCCTCACATGACCCTTTTATGTGTTCCTCCTGCTCCTATTCCTCCTTGGTCCCTGGGAACTATTAACCTGTTCCCCACAGCTAAAATTTTGTGGTTTCAAGAATATTATATCAATGGAATCATACAGAAACATTTTGGGATTTACGTTTTCCATTTGGCATAATTCTCTTAAGATAAATCCAAGCTTTTGCATGTATCACTAGTAGATTTCTTTTTGTTGCTGAGTAGTATTCCATGGTATGGATATACCACAGATTGTTAACCATTCACCCATTGAAGGGCACCTGGGCTATTTCCAGTTTTTTTCCTATTATGAACAAAGGTGCTATGAAAATCCATGTACAAGTTTTGCATGCATATACATTTCCATTTTCCTGGGATAAATGCCCAAGGGTGCAGTTTCTGGGTTGTATCATACTTGCATGTTTAATTTCATAATAAAACTGTCAAACTGCTTTCCAGCAGAGTTTTACCATTTAATACCCGCACAAGCAATGTATAATAATCGGATTTCTCTGCATCTTCACTATCATTTTGTTTTGGCATTATTTTTCATTTTAGCCATTCTGATAGGCGTGGCATAATAACCCTGTGGTTTTCATTTGCATATCTTTTAAAATTTTTTCAGCTTTTATTTTAGATATAGGGGTTTCACGTATAGGATACTTACATGGATATATTGGACCCAGGTAGTCAGCATTGTACCTAATAGTTTTTCGACACACAACCCCCTTCTTCCTCCTCCCTTAGTTGCCCACAGTGTCTATTATTCCCACATTTATATCCATGTATGCTCAATGTTTAGCTCCCAGTTATAGGTGAGAACGTGCAGTATTTGGTTTTTTATTCCTGTGTTAATTCATTTAGGATTATGGCCTCCAGCTCCATCCATGTTGGTGTAAAGGACATGATTTCATTCTTTTTGATGGCTGTGTAGTGTTTTCTGGTGTATAAGTACCATATTTTCTTTATTCAATCCACCATTCATGGGCACCTAGATTGATTCCATGACTTTGCTATTATTAATAATGCTGCAATTAGCATACAAGTTCATGTGTCTTTTTGGTATAATAATCTATATTACTTTGGGTATATATCCAGTAATGGATTGCTGGATCAAATGGTAGCTCTGCTTTAACTTCTTTGAGAAATCTTTGAAATGCTTTTTTGCAGTGACTGAACTAATTTACATTCCTACCAAACATGCAGAAGTATTCCCTTTTCTCTGCAGCCTCACTAGCATCTGTTGTTTTTTTTATTTTGTTTTTGAGATGAAGTCTCACTCTGTCACCCAGGCTGGAGTGCAGTGGTATGATCTTGGCTCACTGCAACCTCTGCCTCCCAGGTTCAAGCTATTCTACTGCCTCAGCCTCCCCAGTAGCTGAGACTACAGGCCCCTGTCACCACGCCCGGCTAATTTTTTGTGTTTTTAGTAGAGACGGGGTTTCACCCTGTTAGCCAGGATGGTCTGGACCTCCTGACCTCATGATCAGCCTGCTTCAGCTCCCAAAGTGCTGGGATTACAGGCGTGAGCCACGCATCCGGCCGACCACATCTGTTTTTTTTGTTTTTTTTTTTTTGACATTTTAATAATGGCCATTCTGACTGGTATCTCTTTGTGGTTTTGATCTGCACTTCTCTGATGATTAGTGATGATCAGTGTTTTTTTCATATGTTTTTTGGCCACTTATATGTCTTCTTTTGAGATGTGTCTGTTCATGTCTTTTACCTATTTTCTAATGGTGTTATTTGCTTTTTGCTTGTTGATTTAAGTTCCTTATAGATTCTGGATATTAGACCTTTTTTGGGTTCATAGTTTGTAAATATTTTCTCCCCATTCTGTGCATTGTTTGTTTACTCTTTTGCTGTGCAGAAGCTGTTTAGTTTAATTAGGTCCCACTTGTCATTATTTGTTTTTGTTGCAATCGCTTTTGGGGACTTGGCCATAAATTCTTTGTCAAGGCCAATGTCAAGAAGGATATTTCCTAGGTTTTCTTCTACGTGTTTTATAGTTTGAGGTCTTATATTTAAATCTTTAATCCGTCTTGAGTTAATTTTTGTATATAGTGAAGAGTAAGGATATAGTATCATTCTTTTTCATACACATAGCCAGTTATCCCATCACTATTTAACTATTTATTTAATACGAAGTCCTAGCCCCATCACTTGCTTTTGTTAGCCTTGTTGAAGATCAGATGGTTGTAGGTGTGCAGCTTTATTTGTAAGTTTTCTATTCTGTTCCATTGGTCTATGTGTATGGTTTTGTACCAGTACCATGCCATTTGGGCTACTATAGCCTTATAGTATAATTTGAAGTTGGGTAGTGTGATGCCTCTGGCTTTGTTCTTTTTTGCTTAAGATACTTTTAGCTATTCAGGCTCTTTTTTTTCCATATGAATTTTAGAATAGTTTTTATCTAGTTTCGTGAAGAATGACATTGATAGTTTGATAGGAATAACATTGAATCTGTAAATTGCTTTGGGCAGGAAGGTCATTTTAATGATACTGATTCTTCCAGTCCATAAGCATGGGATATTTTCCCATTTATTTGTGTCATCTCTGGTTTCTTTCAGCAGTGTTTTTTTAGTTCTCCTTGTAGAAATCTTTTACTTCCTTGATTAGCTGTATTCCTAGAAATTTCATTTTCTTTGTGGCTATTGTAAATGGAAATGTGTTCTTAATTTGACTCCCAGCCTGGATGATATTGGTGTATAGACATGTTACTGATTTTTTACATTTTTTAATTGTGAATCCTTGCTAAAACCATTGATCAGTTCTAGCAGCCTTTTGGCAGAATACTCAGGGTTTTTCCAAGTATAGAATTATATCATCAGTGAAGAGAGATGTTTTGACTTCTTTTTTTTTTTTTTCCATTAGGATGCCTTTTATTTCTTTCTCTTGCTTTATTGCTCTGGTTAGGACTTCTAATACTATGTTGAATAGGAGTGGTTAGAGTGAGCATCCTTACCTTGTTTCAGGTCTCAAGGAGAATGGTTCCAGCTTTCACTCATTCAGTGTGAAGTTGGCTCTGTGTTTGTCATAGATGGCTGTTATTATTTTGAGGTACGTTCTTTCAATGCGTAATATGTTGAGGGGTTTTTTTGTTTCGTTTTGTTTTTTGTTTGTTTTTTTTAGGTGAATTTTATTTTATTTATTTATTTATTTATTTTTATTATTATTATACTTTAAGTTTTAGGGTACATGTGCACAACATGCAGGTTTGTTACATATGTATACATGTGCCATGTTGGTGTGCTGCACCCATTAACTCGTCATTTAGCATTAGGTATATCTCCTAATGCTATCCTTCCCCCCTCCCCCCACCCCACAACAGTCCCCGGTGTGTGATGTTCCCCTTCCTGTGTCCATGTGTTCTCATTGTTCAATTCCCACCTATGAGTGAGAACATGCGGTGTTTGGTTTTTTGTCCTTGCGATAGTTTGCTGAGAATGATGATTTCCAATTTCATCCATGTCCCTGCAAAGGACATGAACTCATCATTTTTTATGGCTGCATAGTATTCCATGGTGTATATGTGCCACATTTTCTTAATCCAGTCTATCATTGTTGGACATTTGGCTTGGTTCCAAGTCTTTGCTATTGTGAATAGTGCCACAATAAACATACGTGTGCATGTGTCTTTACAGCAGCATGATTTATAATCCTTTGGGTATATATCTAGTAATGGGATGGCTGGGTCAAATGGTATTTCTAGTTCTAGATCCACACTGACTTCCACAATGGTTGAACTAGTTTACAGTCCCACTAACAGTGTAAAAGTGTTCCTATTTCTCCACATCCTCTCCAGCACCTGTTGTTTCCTGACTTTTTAATGATCGTCATTCTAACTGGTGTGAGATGGTATCTCATTGTGGTTTTGATTTGCATTTCTCTGATGGCCGGTGATGATGAGCATTTTTTCATGTGTTTTTTGGCTGCATAAATGTCTTCTTTTGAGAGAGTTTTTTTTTTTTATCATGAAGGGATGTTGGATTTTATCAAAAGCTTTTCCTGAATCTATTGAGATAATATGGTTTTTGTTCTAATTACATTTGTGTGGTGTATCACATTTGTTGACTTACATAAGTTGAACCAACTTTTCATCTCAGGAATAAAGCCCACTTAATCATGGTGAATTAACTTTTGATGTGCTACTGGATTAAGTTTGCTAGTATTTTGTTGAGAATTTTTGCATATATGTTTAAGAGGGGTATTGGCTTAAGGTTTTCTTTCTTCGTTGTGTATCTGCTAGATTTTGGTATTAGGATGATACTGGCATCATAGAATAACTTAGGGTAAAGTCCCTCCTCCTCATTGTTTTGGGAATAGTTTCAGTAGGATTGCTACCAGTTCTTTGTACATCTAGTCAAATTCAGCTGTGAATCTACCTGTCCAGGGCTTTGTTTGGTTGAAAGGTTTTAATTTCAGAGCTCAATATTGGTCTATTTAGGGTTTCAAACTCTTCCTGATTCAGTCTTGGGAGATTGTGTGTTTCCAAGAATTTATTCATTTTCTCTAGATTTTCTAAGTTGTGTGCATACAGTTCTTCATAGTATTCTCTGAGGACCTTTTGTATTTCTGTAGGATCAGTTGTAATGTCATCTTTGTTGTTTCTGATTGTACTTATTTGGATGTTCTCCTTTGTTTTTTGTTAATTTAGCTAGTGGTGTATCGATCTTGTTTATTTTTTCAAGACACCAATTCTCAGTTTCATTGATCTTTTGTATGAATTTTTTAAATCTCAGTTTCATTCAGTTATTCCCTAATTTTAGTTATTTCTGTTCTTCTGCTCGCTTTAGGGTTGATTTATTCTTTTTTTTTCCTAGCTTCTTTGGGTGCCTTGTTAGATTGTTAATTTGACATCTTTGTAACTTCCTGATGGAGGCATTTAGGGCTATAAACTTTTCTCCTAAAACTGCTTTGGCTGCATCCCAGAGATTTTGGTAAGTTGTATCCTTACTTTCATTAACTTCAGGTAGTTTTTTTGATTTCACTTTAATTTCAGTGTTCACTCAGGACTTATTCAGGAGCAAGTTATTTAATTTCCATATACTTATATAGTTTTGAGAAATCTTGATACTAATTTCTATTTTCATTGCACTGTGGTATGAGAGTGTGCATTCCTGGTATCCCTTGAATAAACTCTGGGTTTGATAAACTCTGAGTTGGCCATGGTGTATAATTCTTTGCATATATTGCTATATTTTCTTTGTTAATATGCTGTTAATGATTTTGTTGGTATCTGTATTCATGAGAGATGTGGGTCTGTTTCTTTCCATTAGCACTATCTGTCTGGTTTTGGTATTTGGTGTTATATATTTTCAAATAATCTTTCTACATTAATTGATATGATCATGATTTCAGTTTTTCTGAATTTACTGAGATGTGCTTTATGACTGAGCATGTGGCCAATCTTAGAATATGTTCCATACGCAGATGAGAAGAATGTGTGTATATTCTGTGGTTGTTGGGTAGAGTGTTCTGTACATGTCTATTAGGTCCAGTTGGTCAAGTGTGGAGTTTAAGTCCAGAGTTTCTTCGTTAGTTTTCTACCTGAGTGATCTACCTAATATGGTTAGTGATGATTATCTTTTCATTTGCTTATTTTCCATCTATCTGTTCATGTTTTTTAGTAAATGTTCATGTCTTCTGCTAATTTTCTAATCAGATTGTTTGTTTTTTTACTGTTGAATTTTCAGAGTTCAGATATTAGTCCTTTATTGGCATGTGGTTTGCAAATATGTTTATCCAGTTTACAGCTTGTCTTTTCATACTCTAAACAAAGTCTTTCACAAAGCAAATGTTTTTAATTTTAATAAAGTTCAATTTTTTTTTCTCTTTTATAGATTGTATTGTTGGTGCCAACTTGTGCTTAGTATTAGATCCTGAAGAATTTCTCCTGTACTCTGTTTTGTCTTTTTATTTTTTTTAGTTTTATAGCTGTAGTCAATTTTATATTTAAGTCTACAATCCATTTTGAGTTATTTTGTGTGTAAGGTCTGAGGTGTATGTTGAGGTTTTTTTTTTTTTTTTTTTTTTTTTTTTTTGCCCCAGGAGCATTTATTGAAAAGATTATCTTTCCACCATTGAATTGCTTTTGCACATTTGTCAAACATCAGTTGAGTATATTTGTGGGGATATATTTATTGGCTACCTGTTCTATTCCGTTGACCTAAATGTCTGTTTCTCTGCAAATGCCATAGGATCTTGATTATGTGAGCTGTATAAATCTTAAAAGTAGACAGGTAGGCACATTCCTCTTGCTTTATTCTTCATTTTCAGAATTATTTCAGGTATTGTAGTTCCTCTGCCTTTCCAAATAATTAATAGAATAACTTTTCTTATATCTAAAATTCTTGTTGGGGTTTCAATAGGAATGGTGTTAAATCTGTATGCTAATTTAAGGGAAACTGACTTTTTTTTTCTAGTAGAATCTTCCAATCTAAGAACTTAATATAGCTCTCCATTTACTTAGATATTCTTTATTTCATCAGAGATTTGTAGTTTTCAGCCTAAAAACTCTATATATTTTGTTGAATTTATACCTAAGTATTTATTTTTTTGAGCAATTGTGTATGGTAATACATTTTAAGTTTTGGTTTTCACATGTTAATTGTTATTATATAGAAATATAATGGATTTTTGCATGTTTATCTTGTATCCTGTGACCTGGCTGAACTCATTTATTACTTCTAAAAGTTTTATGGTAGATTTTTGGGGATTTTCCCTGTAAAATATCATGCTGTCTGAAAATAGTAATGCATTTTACTTATTTCCAATCTATATTTCTTTTACTTTCTTCTCTTGCCATATTTCACTGCCAGAACTTTGAGCACCATATTGAATAAGAGCAGTGAGATGGAACATTCTTGCCTTGTCCCCACAGTTATGGAGGTAGTAATTAGTCTTTCACCATTAAGTATGGTGTGAGCTGTATTTTTTTTGTAGATTCTCTTTATCAAGTTGAGAAAGTTCTCCTGTATTCCTAGTTTTGGATAATTTTTATATGAGCAGGTGTTATATATTTTCAAATAATCTTTCTACATTAATTGATTTGATCATGTAATTTTTCTACTTCAGCTTGTTAATATAGTGGATTAATTGATTGATATTCTAATATTAAACTAAACTGGCATCCCTGGAATAAACTCTGGGTTGGCCATGGTGTATAACTCTTTGCATATATTGCTAGATTTTCTTTGTTAATATTCTGTGAATGATTTTGTTGGTATATGTATTCATGAGAGATAATGGGTCTGTTTCTTTTCTGTTAGTGCTATCTGCCTGGTTTTGGTATTCAACTTATGCTGTCTTCAATAACCAAGTTGGGAAGGGTCTCTAATCCTCTATTTTCTTGGAACAAACTATACCAAATTGGTGTCAATTCTTTAAATGTTTTGTGCAATTATCCAATAAAACCATCCTGGTTTGGAGATTTGGTGGGGGTGGGGGAGTAGAGTTTTACTTTTGAATTTAATTTTATTTTCTTTAGTTTTAGGTCTCAATTTATTTTATATTTGATGAACTGTAATAGTTTGTTCTTTTTAAGGAATTGGTTCATTTCATCTAAGTTTTCTAATTTATACACATAGTGTTTTTCATAACACTTTCGTATTATCTTTTGTTTGTATGCAGAGTTTGCAGTGATATTCCTGATTCATTACTGATACTGGTAATTTGTCTTCTCTCTTTTTTCTTTGCCAGTCTTATTAGAGGTTTGTCAATTTTATTGATCTTTTAAAAGAACCAGCTCCTTAATTCATTATATTCTCTACTACTTTTCTGTTTTCTATTTTCATAATTTCCACTCTTATCTTTAGTATATTTTTTCCCTTCCACTGGCTTTTGGTTTATATTGGTCTTGTATTTCTAGGTCTTTGATGTGTAAGCTTAGATTATTGACTTGAGACTTTTTATCTTTTTAAATGCTGCCTTTACTGCTATAAATTTCTGTTGCAACATTACTTCATCTGTGCCTCACAAATTTTGATATGTCAAT
The DNA here is from genome assembly GCF_000001405.40 of Homo sapiens. Lineage (NCBI taxonomy): Eukaryota > Metazoa > Chordata > Mammalia > Primates > Hominidae > Homo > Homo sapiens. The sequence continues at coordinate 44,546,953 of NC_000010.11, forward strand.
TTGCATTTTCGTTCAGTTAAATATATACATTTTAAATTTCTCTTGAGACTTCCTCTTTGATTTATGTATTATTTAAAAGTGTGTTATTTTGTTTCCAACTATTTGGAAATTTCCTTGTAATTAAAAAAAATGACTTCTAATTTGATTTCACTGGGAGAACTTATTCAGAGAACAATCTCTGAATAAGTTCAGTTTCAAAAAATGTATTCATGGCTGGTTGCCTGTAATCCCAGCACTTTGGGAGGCCAAACCAGGAGGAATGCCTAAGGCCAGGAGTTCAAGACCAGCCTGGGCAACATAATAAGACCAGATTTCAACACCAGTAATAAAAACTAAAAAAAAAAATGTATTCAGACATGTTTTATTGCCCAGGTGTGGCCTACCTTGGTATATGTATATGTCCTACGTAAGCCCTGGAAAACAATGCATATTCTGTTGTTGTTGGGTGGCATGTTCCATATATGTCATATAGATCTGTTGGTTAATGGTGTTGCTAAGTTTTTTTTATATTATAGCTGATTTTTTTGTTTAGCAGGGTCTTATCAATTGTTGAGAGAAGGGTGTGGAAGATTCCAAGTATAATTGTAGATTCGTGTATTTATCCTTTGAGTTCTATCAGCTTTTGCTGCATATATTTTGCAGCTCTGTTGTTTGTTGCATACACCTTAGGAATGTTACATCTTCTGGTGGATTGACCTTTTTTATCACTACACAACATCCATTTCTGTGTGTAGTAATTTTCTTTGCTCTGAAGTCTACCTGATAGCAATATAGTCATTTCTGTTTTCTCTTGGTTAATATTAGCATGTTTTTAAAAATTATTTTACAGATGTTTCTTGACTTATGATGGGGCTGTGTCCCAATAAGCATTCATAAGTCAAAAGCATTGCAAGTTGAAAATAAATTTAATACCCCCCCATTATAAGATAGAAAAATCGTACGTTAAAACATCGTTAGTCATGGACTCTGTACTTTAAATCTGTCTATATCACTTCATGTGAAGTGAGTTTCTTATAGACAGAATCCAGTTAGGTGGTATATTTTAATACACTTTCCCAGTCTCTATCTTAACTGATGTGTTTAGACCATTTACATTTAATATAGTTATTGATATGTTAGGGTTTAAATCTACCATTTTTTTGTTTTCTGTTTCTTTTCTCTATTTTGCTTCTTTTTTTGCCCTCCTGTAGATTTCTTGAATACTTTTTAGAATTCCATTTTGATATCTCTATCCTGTCTATGAGTGTATACCTTTGTATAGCTGTTTTACTGGTTGCTCTAGGTATTACATTTAACATATGTTACAGCCTACTGGTTTCATATTTTATCAATTCAAGTGAAATATAGAAATTTTATCTTCCTGTATGTCTCTTTATCCTCTCCCATTTATAACTATATTAAGTATTTCTCTGCATAGAACCACATCAGATAGTATCATACTTTTTGTTTCAACCATCAATCATAATTTACAGAACTCATGAGTAGAAGGAAAACAATTGTATTTATCTACATTTTTTTTCTTATGTGTTAATTCTCCCTGGTATACTGAGGTCCCTTGTTTCCTTTCTGTTGTGAGAACTTCCTTTAGTCATTCTTTTAGGTTGGGTCTGCTGGTGACAAATTTGGAGAGTTTCTTTGTTTGTTTGTTTTTTGCTTAAGAATATCTCTATTTCCTCTCATTCCTGAATGATATTTTCATTGGGTATAGGATTCTGGGTTGATAGTTCTTTTCTTTCATTATTTAAAAAATGTATGCCACTTCCTTCTGACCTCTATGGCTTCTGATGAGAAATCTTCTGTCATCTAAATTGTTGTTCCCTATAGGTATTGTATAATTTCACTCTTGTTTCTTTCAAAATATTTTATTTGCCTTTAGTTTACAAAAGTTTAACCATGATGAGTCTTGGTATAGATTTCCATGGGGTTGTCCTGTTTAGGTTAGCTCTGCTTCTTGAATCAGTAGATTTATGTATTTTTCTTCAAATTTGGCATGTTTTCAGCCATTATTACTTTGGGTATTTTTCTGTCTTCCTCCCTTTCTCCTCTCCTTCCAGGGCTCCAATGACACAAATGTTAGACCTTTTGCTATACTCCCACACGTCTCTGCTCTATAAGTTTTTTTCAGTTTATCTTATTTCAGTTGTTCAGACTGAACAGTTTCTATTCTTTTATCTGTTCACCCTTTGAGGCAGGAGAATAGGGTCAGGAGGTAGGGAACCTAAGGCTGTTTCACGCCTACTTCTTAGAACTAAATTGAAAGGAACACCCTAACTTTCCACGCCTAAGTAACAAAGGTCCAGAGGCTTCTCCCTTTGACCTTTTCTGCCTGGCAAGATGGGAAATTGGCTGTCCACAACAAATGGACAGGAGTGTGACCTTTGTAACTTCACTTCAGCTTCTGGTTGGCTGCTTTCTGCAACCAATCAGACTGATTGCCGGCCACCACTTCATTTACATGAGGTGAGCATGAAGTGGCCAGTGGAAAACTTCTAGAGGGTATTTGGACTCAAGAAGATTATGTATCGGGGTCCTTGAGCCACTCCTTGGGTCTGCTCCCACATTGTGGAGTGTACTTTTGTTTTCAATAAATCCCTGCATTCATTCTTTTGTTGCTTCATTCTTTCTTTGCTTTGTTGAGTGTTTTGTCCAATTCTTTGTTCAAAACGCCAAGAACCTGGACAACTTGCAGTCACAACCCTCTACAGGTGACACCTTGACCCTCATGTCTGCTGTTCAGTGCATTCATTGAGGACTTTTTAAAAATTGGTGTAATTATATTTTTCAGTTTGTACATTTCCATTTGATTTTCTTTATATCTTCTATTTCTTTGCAGAGACTTACTCTTATTTCGTTTGTTCCAAACTTGTTCATAATTGTTCATTAAAGCATTTTTATGATGACTGCTTTAAAATCTTTTCCAGATAGTTCTACTGTCTTTATTTTGGCATCAATTGATTTTTCATTCAGTTTTAAATCTGATTTTTGATATAATGAGTAATTTTTTATTAAGAACGTTTCATTTTTTGGATTATGATTTGCAACTCTGCAGCTTATTGAAGCCTCCTATGTCAGCTGCCTTTTTCTGACACTGTGTCATTATGGTCAGTGGAGTTCGAAGCCCAGGTCTCCACCTGCATCCATTGGCACTCAAGGTGGGAGGAAACCTTCTCTTTATTGCTGGGCAGGAATAGGAGTTATATCCCCCCTCTAAGACTCCACTGATACCACAGATGGTACAGCCTCATTATCACAAAATAGTGGTGAAAGGCCAGACTTCCCACTAGGCCTCCTCTGATGCTGCCCCATTAGGGAGGGGAAGGATGCCTCATTACCAAGAGGTGGTGGTGGAAGTCCAGGCTCCCCATATGGTCTCACTGACACCAAGCAGGAGGAGAGAGGATTCTTTATTTTCTGGTAGGTATGAAAGTCTTGGTTTCCCACTGGGCATTCTCTGATACCACACCAGTAGGGGTGTTGGATGCCTCCTTACAAACTGGAGAGGTTGGAACACTAGGTGCCTTACTTGGACTTTGCTGGTGTGAGTGTGAGTGGAACCACAGTTTTCTCTGGGGTGTTCTTTTGTCTTGCTAGGCTGCTCCTTCATGGTCCTCAGACTCAGGAGAACAGGCTTCTGTTTGGGTTCTTTTTGTCTATTAATATTGGTATTTATAAGTAGTTGACTTCTTCACTTCTATGTTTGGAAAATATGAGGCAAAAAGAAAATCCAAAGAGCTAACAATCCTTGGTTTCTAAGGTTCCTACTAGTCTTCCTTTTCTCTGCCCTTTGGAGTCATTGAATGTTTGCTTTGTATATAATGTTGAGTGCTTTTATTTGTATTAGCATACACAATATAGGAAAGTACATCTCCTCCATCTTCCCCAAAGTGGAAGTCACTTCCCTGACTTACAGTGATTCAATTTACGATTTTTTTGACTTTATGATGGGTTTATCAGGATGTATTACCATCATAAATCAGTAAGCACCTGGACTTATGATGATTTGACTTAGGATTTTTTTTTTTTTTACTTTACAATAGGTTTACTAGGGTACTAAATGCATTTCAACTTACAATGAGTTTATGAGAATGTAGCTTCATAGCAAGTTGAGAAGAATCTGTGGGTGTATTTATCTTGTTATTTGTTAAGAAGAGGCATAATATACATACCTTCTTGCCCATTGTTTTTGTCTGTTTTGTATTGCTATAAAGGAATACCTGAGGCTGGGTAATTTATAAAGTAAAGAGAATAATTTAGCTTATGGTTCTGCAGGTTGTACAAAAAGTGTGGGACCGACATTTGCTTGGTGAGGGCTTTTGTTTGTGTCAAAATACGTCAGAGAAGGTCAAAAGGGAAGTGGGCATATGTGAAAAGAGACCAAACCCGAGGGGCGTCTTGGCTCTCAAAGGAACTGATCAATTCCCCTGAGAACAAATCCTGTCTCACAAGAGCTAAAACTTACTCACTACTTCAAGACAGGCACCAAGTCATTCAGAGGGCTCTGCCCCCTTGCCTCCACTTCCCTCCAGGCCCCATCTCCCAATACCACCACACTGGGGATCAGTCTTCTACATGACATTTGGTGGGGACAAACAACCATATCCACACCATTGCACCCATTTCTCTTGGTTCACTTCAAACTGTATCCTGGAGACCACACAATAACAATATGTTGAGTTATTCCTCATTTCTTTGTATTGTTTCAGATTACTCCATTGTGTAACTGAATCAAAGTTTATCCTAACAATCACATGGCAGTCATGAGTTGTCATTGCACTCTTTTTCTGCTACAAATAGTACCAGAGTGAATAACCTTGCATCTACACCTGCATCTTTTCATACTTTTACTATATTTGGGAAGGATAACCAAAGCATATGTAATATTGCTATGTCTTCATAGCCACTCTTTTGAAAGTCATAACTGAAATACTGAGAAAGTCTCAGACTTCAGCCTTAATACATACACTAGTTGCACTGGCAACTTATTTTCAGTGTAGTCTAGACCCAGTTAAATTAACCTTCTGGACTTCAGTTTTCTCCATATCTATTATAATAATAGCCACGTGTGTGTGTTCATTAGGTTCTGGGCATTGTTTTAATTGCTTTACTTATTTCACAACAGTCCAGTGAGGTCGTTATTGAAACTGTCATTTGGAAGGATGTAGAGTGGTTAAACAAATAAAGGGCAAAATCTGTATGAAAGCTCCAGTTTGCCTGGTGGAGAAACAATTGTCCTCTTATTCTTTGCCTTCTGTTTGAAAAGGAAATAATATTGCTTACCTCTCAGAATGTTGTGAGGATTGAATAAGCTAAGAACTCTAAAAGCATTTTTAAACCATGACTTGTTAAGTACACATTCATTATTTTATAAGCATTTTACTTTCCTTAGAGAGATACTGTGGATGCTAGTATCTATTCTCATCATGGCATTTGGTAACCTTCCTCCAGCACAATCTCTTGTGCAGGTGGTTAATATCACTAAAATCATGGTCACTCCATCAATTACTTTCTTTTCAGAGGGCATCCTCTCAATATTTTCCATTCCTCTGAGGACTTTGCCCCTGTTCTCTTCACAGCCCCTGTGTTCTGATGTTCCCCGTGAGACACACACATAATTTTTACCCATCCTCAATTAACCAGACAACAAAGGGGAAAAGATTATTGTTACTGAAGATAAAATGAAGCTGGTGAAAACATGATTCAAGTTAATTCGATATTAATTCTACATTAAGTATTGAGAACATGATTGTTCTCCAGACGTCATTTTTCAAGTATAGGAAGAATAACAAACATGAGCATTTAAGCACACAAAACATTACAATTGCAGAGGAAAAATGGGTAAAAGGTTTGTCTCAATTAAAACAATCTGTTGTTATTTTCGTTTTTCAGCGAAGCTCTTTATTTTTCAAATGTTGAAATGGAGCCTACGCAACACCATTTTGGCACTCAGTATCCCGTCCTCCCTGCTCTGCACACAGCCCTACAGATGGCCTGGTGAGTGGGCATGGCTCATTACCTCCTTATGTTGTGAGTTCATTCTCCCTGTTCACTACTTTTCTGCCAAGAGACTTATTTTTGTCGTTATTGAAGAAGATGTAAAATAAGTAAATTAGTGATCATTTTTTTGACGCTGCTCTTAGCTTTCCTTTTCCACACCGACCTCGCCCACTGGAGGGCTAGCAGGCTCAGCCTGTGCATGGAGGGTCCAGGGAGCTGCACTTCTAACACATGGAACTAAAACACCACAATTTATTGCTAGTTGTTTAAACTTCTTCTTTTCTCTTGTTCCTGCCATGTTCCAGTGACATTCTGATGGAGTAGAGGACACTCAAGGTTGTGCCTCTTGGGTAGTTCCAGAGGTTTCCTCTGATGGGTGGAAATTTGCATTTTTCCACATATACACTGTCTTTTATTATTTTTAAACACAGGTAATAAGCTCCCTGCCCTTTCATGTAAGAATTGACTGTATTTGCCAAGCATTTTTTACCTCCTTATATATGAGGCTGCTTATGCTTTTTGTTTTACCTACCATCTTTTGTTACTGTTGTTTATTCTATTTTCTTTTAGTGAGCATAGCACTGATAGTATTTGGGTGGAAAATGCCATTTTGAACCTGTAAATATATTTCAGTTTTTGCCACAGGACAAGCTTTGAATTCTCTCGTGGTTCAAGGACTAAGCCTCAGGCGACCTCAGGGAGGGCACAGTGGCCTGATGTTCACTCCATGCTGAAGGAACCAAAGGGAAAAAGGAATGGGCCTTGGAGGGCAAACTTGAATTTTGACACTGCCTCTGCAGACAGCACTTTAAAATGTGCACGCATGGTTCTGCCATGGGAAGGCAGGCCGGCGAGGATGGGAGACAGCGAGTGCTGGACAGGATTACAGCGGGGGGCTAGGCCGTGGGCACTGAGAGGGGACACAGACAGAGTCAGAGGCACTCCTTGTGCCTCAGGCCTCTCCTATTATACACATCCTGAGCACAATGTTGTCAGAAGCTCCAGAAACGTTTGTTGAATTCCTGTAGAGAATACTAGGAATAGAGGAGAGGGAGGCAGGGTCTTCCCAGGGTGCTGAGAGAGGTCAGGGTCAGGCACTTCACAGAGACTGAAGGTGGGGCCTGCTGGGTAGAGATGGGCAGTTCCACAATACCCCAGCACTGAGTCCGCTCCATGCACACCTGAGGGGAAGCCTCAAAGGGCCGAACGTCCTGCAGGAGCAGGTGGTGCCTCAGAGCTCTCAGAATGTGTGGCATCCATGTCAATGGGACCTAATTTGCACTGAGTGGCAAAATCCGGAATGTTCTCATTCTCTATTTTATGTAATTCTCAGACCTAGGAGGTGGTGGAGCTTGGATTCAAACCTATACTTAAGAGTAGGGTGAGATTTTTCTCTCCTCATTAATACTTCACTGGGAGGAAAGCAGGGAAAAGACACAGAAATAGCAAATAATATCCAGGGTAGGACAGAGGAAGCTTTTGATATTGTCATGAGAAAGATTCCTTCACTTTACACAGTGCTTACTCTAAAGGATCTGGGATAGTAAGATTTTACCCTCTAGTTTCACCAAGGAGAAAATTGGAAGAGGTAGATTGTCCAAGCTTTTCCAGAGACAGATAAGTAAAAATATCCTGGGGGTTGCAATGGAAGGGAAATAGAAATGGAGACCAAAGAAAAAATAAATTTCACACCCACTGAGGAAGAACTCTCTGTGATCTGATAGGAAAAGGGCAATTTAACATCATTTTAGGGGCTTTGTGGATTTCTGACTGTCCAACAGTGCTATTTTCTCTCTGTTAATTGCCAATGACTTTGCAGGCACTGAATCAGAACATTTTGGGGATTGTCATCTGGGATGTTAACCTGCAGTTCCTCAGTGTACCCTGGAGCTCAGTGGAGGTGAGGAACTTCCCAGCATTGCTCAATGGCACCAGCAAAAGCAGCTGCTTTCAGCAGGAGGGAACTGTGGTGGAGAAGGCCAGGATCTCTCTCCTGTGGAGGGCATTGCTTTGAGAATGCATAGTTCGGGCAGAGAGGTGGAGTCACAATGGGCCATGGGAGTTTCCATGACAGGTGAGATTTAGTGTAGGGGCCTCACACAACTGTGCACTGTAATAAAGTTGGGTTGTTCCTTTAGAAGAAAGGAAGATTTATTTTAAAAATATAACAGAGGAGGTTGATGAGAGAGTCCCAGCTGACATGATATCTTGTGCCACCACCCTACCACACACCACACACGGGCCTAAGACGGGCAGTCCATGAAAAGCACAGGAACAGGTGCTGGTCCCAGGGAGAGAAACTGAGAACAGGTGCCAGGGAAGAAGGGCTCAACCACGGGTGGGACACACTAGGGAAATGTGCAAGAACGGGGCCCTGGACAGAAACACAGGATATGAACCACGCGGAGGCCCTATAGGGTCATGTGGGGCAAGAGACCACAGAGGACTTGACTAACCGAGGGCTTTCCTTTAGGTCTTTGATGGGGTAGAATGTGATGTGATAAGAAAAACATGGCTAACTTTTTGACCTGAGTCTAAGAGGGAATAAGAAAATGAGAATGAAAAAAATCAGTTTTATGAAGATATTAAAGACATCTTTACCTAAATCAGTGGAGAGGAAATAATGGGATAAGAGGGAGACAAGAATCACACAGTGTTGGTGGAAAATGCTTTCAGCCAGTTCCCACTAGCAAATTCTGGGTGGCTGGAGTTCCCTGGGGGTGCCTAGATTTCTCTTTTTATTTCAGTTAATTTATTAGAAGAGAAGAAAGCCAAGGCTACTGAGAATCAGAAAAAAGAAACAGCATAAAGTGTAGGATGGTTGCAACTACTTTTCTGATTTAAGTCACCACCTTGACCTTGGGGTTCAATGGCAGCATTGGGAGCCTGATCTGAATGTGACTACAAAATTTAGGAGTACCAGCTAGACATAGCTTAGTGGGCCACCGTAAAAACCATAATTTTCTACGGTAGCCCCACCAGAATCCTGAACAGGGTGTTGGGTGCAACTGGAGACCACAGCCAGAGGTGTGAGGGCAACTCATACAACCACATCTTACCTTTGAGAGGACTGGCGGAGAGAGGGCCAAGCCCACGGTGGGCCACTGATGGCAGCACGGTGCCTGGAGAATGTAGAGGTGCCCCAACCAGGGTGGAAGAGGTGTTTGCATGCCCTCCCAAGAGACGAGACATAGAAATCGGGGAGTGAGGTCCTGGGACACAGAACCTCAGGCAGTATCCACCCCCATATTGGCACAAAATTGATGTATTTTCTCCAGCAGATCTTACGGTCAAAGCCTGGGACCCAGACATATGTCCGAGATGAATACATGACTCCTGGAAGCAACATGGGAGGAGCGATGAGTGCCCACCATGTGTGTGTCTGTGTGTGTGTCTGTGTGTCTCTGTGTGTGTATGCACGCATGCACATATGTATGGGCATGTGGGTGGAAGGGTGGAAATCTCAACATCTGAAGAAGCATACTGAAGAAGCCTGAAGTGCGCACCCCGATGCGGAGGCACACAGAGGAGAAAGAAAGATGTGTGCTGTGAGGTTGGGGGCTACCACTCCTATTCACACTCTGCCCCTTCTCACTCTCTAAGGTGGAGTGAGGAAAGAGTCCTTCCCTTTGCGGGTGCTGAGATTTCCACTAGGGGAGAGTGAAACACAGCATGATTCTCCCCACATCTGTGGCTGGTCCTTGGTAAATTGAGGTTAGAGACAGAAACCCTGGGAGCTTTTTTTTTTTTTTTTTTTTTTTTTTTTTGAGATGGAGTTTTGCTCTTTTTGTCCAGGCTAGAGTGCAATGATGTGATCTCACCTCACTGCAACTTCTGCCTTTCGGGTTCAAGTGATTCTCCTGCCTCAGCCTCCTGAGTAGCTGGGATTACAGGCACCCACCACCATGCCTGGCTAATTTAGTATTTTTAGTAGAGGCAGGGTTTCACCATGTTGACCAGGCTAGTCTCAAACTCCTGACCTCAGGTGATCTGCCTCGGCCTCCCAAAGTGCTGGGATTACAGTCGTGAGCCAGCACACCTGGCAAGCCTTGGGAGCTTTAAACTATCTCCACAAATCTCAAAAGGAGAGTCGCTAGTGGACAGGGACTGGGTTCCTTCTCTCCCACAGATGATCTTCCTGAAGGTGTCAATCACAGGGGAGGATGAGGTGGCACTGGATTCTGAAGGAGGAGAGAGAAACTCAGCGGGGTTTCCCTCTTAAGGACATAGGAGACCTCAGGAGACAAACAAGGAGGGGAAAACAGAGAAGTGAGCCTCTGTGCTGTACCAACGCCAGGTGGCTCATTAGAAAAAGTAAAAACCCACTTGACACTGTCTTCTGAACTTCCATAGGGTTTTCTTTTGGTGACATCTAAGCCTCAAGGCTGGAGGCTTCTCTGACTACAGAGCTGCTACTCCCTCTGCCTTGCCCAGGATGGGAAAAGGGAATATGAGCCACCTCCCCTTACCCAAAGGCACAAAGACCCAATGCATGGTGTTTATGTATACATGTGGGCCCTTTGGGGAGGGCTGGGCTTGCACATACGCCCCTTCACAAACCCTGACCTACCCCTGCTGCCTTTCCCGGGAAGACTGGATGTGTCCCCTGCACTTGCTGTTTGGACAGTCTGGAGACAGCTTGCGCTTCCCTGCACAGTTTGCTCCCTCCCACAATATTTTTTCCTTCTTCCGAAGTCAGTGTGAATTTCAAAAAATTTCAGACCTTGAAATCAGACTCGGAACTGCCATGATGTGCTATTTAGAAAGAGACATGTTACGGGAAATGTTGCTCTAAACACCATTTCCAGCTGAGACTGCAATTCTTTCCAGATGCCCGCACAGCTTGGCAGAGGCTGTAGGAGCTCTTTTGATATCCTCCCTGGTCTGTAACCCCAGTTTCCTCTCAGTGTGGACTGTCCCAGATTATTGTGTGTTGCTGGTGTGGAATGGTGGGCCCTGGGTCTGGCCCTGCTCCAGCCTTCCTTGCACAACCTCTGCTCAGCTCCTCACTTGGGAAATGAGGGAGCTGGGCCCATGTTCTCTGGACCCACTCTGGGTCCTGGTCTTCAGGTAACCTGCGCCCCGCTGTGGGTTGTGAACAGGGTCCAGGCTGGACCTTCTTGTGGAGGATGTTTTATCTAGGAAGCTCCCAAAAGGCAAATGTGGCCCGGTTTAAATGCATGCCTCTAGCCCAGAGCTTGGCCCACAGCAAGCATCCAGCACTGGCAACTGATGCCACCCCCAGATGAGTCTCTGCTGAGGCCACTCTGGACAGTTGCCTTGAGTGCCTCCTGCTCTGCCCTGGCCTTTCCTCCTGGTGGGGTCTTTCTTTGCTCCACCACTTCCTATGCTGACTGCACCCGTGTACTCTGGGGCAAACCCTAACTGCTGGCTAGCCCTATGTGCCTAGCCCTTGTGTGCGACACATCAGGGCTTGGGCCACTCAGAACAGAGCATTTAGACTGGACGTGGGGTGCTGCGCCATGCTTTGGGGGTGGCGATGACTGTGCTGTGTTTGGGGAAAGGCTGAGTATGGTGTGCACAGAACCAAGAGTCTGGCCAAGCCTCCCTAGAGAGTGGATGACACCCAGAAATGTGATATCTCCTGGACTCCCCCTGGGCATGTGTGTGACCAGCTCTGGCCTCCTCCCCAGTAGGCTCAGTTCAAGTGGGACCTAGTCCTGGACTCTGGGAAAAACTCTATCATGTCTGACCCATAACTCAGTACTCCATTATCCACCCCCAGCCCAGCAGTGCTTCTTCAAAGTGCATTCTTCAAAGAACAAGAATGCACCAATTCAGAGGTGCATGATTCATGGTTCCTCTCTAAGAGTTTATTCCTGTTGGAACTCAACAGGAATGGGGGGCCTTTGGCCACTGGGGAGTGATTCTGTCCAGGCTGGGGAGGGTGGAGTTAGGGGAGACTGACTCTGGCTGAGAACTGGAACCACAGTAATTTGGGTCAAGAATACCAGATGCTATACAAGCCCACAAAATTAGAAATTCTAACAGTATGTGATGTAACAGATGAAAATCTAAAATTTCAAACCTTGACACAAAGTCCATTTATTGTTTCCATGAAGTCCAAAATGTGTGTCCATGCTGGACATCCAGCTTACGTCTCCAAGTGACCATCAAGGACCCAGGATCCTTTGATTTTGTGCCCAACTTCCTTCCCGTACTCAACACCTGGTATCCAGGGATATCGCCTCAGCCTGCAGCAGCCAGCAGGAGAAGGACACGGGCACAGGAGGCTTATGTGTCAGCCCAGAAGAGGTGCTTTGACTGCACTGGCCAGAGCTGCCTCTTAACCACTCAGGACTGCAAGGGGGCTGGAAACGCAGTTGAGCTGTGTGCTCAGGAGGAAGACAGACTGGGTTTGAGGATCTGCAGAAACTGAGAGAAGGCTGTGAATTTGGTAATGAGGATGTCACTGGTGATTCTGGTGGGCACGACTTCTACGGACTGGTGAGGTGAAGCTGATGGCAGGGTGGTGAACAGGGCAGGGGATGATGAGTGTGGTCTATTCAGAGATACTTGCAAGTGTAGGGGCGGGAGGATCCTCTCTGCAGTGAGGAGGGGAGGCTCTGACCTGAGCCAGCCTTAGTGTGAGGAGACTCGGTGTGGTGGGGGCACAGACCAGAGGAAGCGAGGTGGGTGCTTCTTTCCAGCTGGAGGGAAGTCGGCTCTGCTCTGAAAACTAGCATCTTCCTCTGTGAGGGCGAAGAAACAGAAAATGAACACTGGCATCAGTCCCCTGGTCCCTGGCCCCCCTTCTCCTCCTGGGCCACTCTTCTTCACACTCCTGCGGCTTCATCTGCAACCCAAGTCCAGAGTGCCAGCCTCGAGCCAGATGTGCCTTGAGGGTGCACACAGGTCTTACACACCCAGAGGCCCTCCCTCCACCCCTGTGCCTTATTCTACACCCACTCTTAGGGGTGCTGACATGATTAAATCATGCACGCAGTGCAGGGAGCACACATTTCTTCCCAGTAATTATGAGGAATACCTTTTGCCCTGTCATGGATGTCACACAAAGATTCCTAACACCAGCATCCTTCCTCGAGGAGCTTGGATGTGGACAGGCCACATCCAGGTAGTACAGGTAACATGGAGAGGTGGAAGAATGTGGTGGGAGCTACCGAGCTGGGTTTTACTTTTGGGCGAGCTGGGTTTGAGTACTGTCTCATGTTGGGCAAGGTATTCACCCTCTCTGAGGGCCAGAATCCCTTCTTCTGCAGGAAAATAATGCAGACCAAATATAATTCCCAGTTTTGATATAGAGCTGATATACAGCTTCCAGTTCCAATAGACCAAATATAACTCCCAGGCTTTCCAGCACACACCATACATTCCAACCACATAGATGTACTCACTGCTCCTCATCACACCTTATGCCTCTGGGCCTTGCCCATGTTAACATCCTTCTCTCCTTGTTCTCTATTATTTTTATAATTAGTTGGGTATATGTCGATGTTCCCTGGGATGTGCCAGTGCCTTGAGGGAAGGGACTTTCCTTGTTTATCTCTGCACCAACAGGCATAGTCTAGAGACTGTCACATGGTAGGTACTTAGCACATTTGGTAAACGGTCCAACGAATCTATAATATCACTGAATGATTGACTATAATATCACTGAATATTGCACGTAAGAATCAATTCAGTTAATATTTTGGTTTAATTCTTGATATGGGTGCTTCTAAAATAATTTTGATATTTTGCAGGACTCTGTGACTTAATTATGACATACCAAAGGCAAATGCCCAGAACAAGGTGAACATTGGCTCAGCTTCCTAATGCCTGTAGCTGTCTTTCTGGTATTCTTTGGGAAGGCAATGAATTCTGCCTCCTTGGAGGGATTGAACAGGACTTGGATGGGTAGTGACGAGCTGCAGACACTGAACTGGCAGGTGCAGAGAGCAAAGGGTAGTTAGAAGGTCTTCAGGGTCACTTCCAACTCTGAGAACTCTTAACCCCTCATAGTGGTGCACAAGGCAGATGGAGCCCAGATTCATGAGATGGTGTCTTCAAGAGCAGGAGTTCCTATTTGGTACAAAATCCAGAGTGTAGCCTCAGACTTTGCTCTTCCTGTGGATTCAGGGGTCCTACCTTAATTCCAGTGCTGGCCTGATACTGTCTGGCTCTGCATCTGTCTACCTGAGGGACAGTGACATTGTCCTGGAGGGCTGACCTTCCTTCTCACCCACCTCCTTCCACTGGGAGTTCCCACCACCTGGCAATGCTCTCCGAGCCTGCGGCCAGTGCATTTCCCAAAGTAAAGTCTCAAGCAGAAAGCATTTGGAAACCCTGCCTAGTGCTCGTTATCATCTTCATAGCAGAAATTGAAGTTGACGTGTTGAGGGCAAACCCAGAATGAGCCTTAGATTCCCCTAATCCCCTCACTGAAGAAGACACTAGTTGCCACCCCACAGCCAACTTCCCTCTAGCTGGAGGAGCTGGAAGGGCTCCCCTCGCTTCCTTTGGTCTATGCCTCCCACCGCACTGAGTCTCCTTTCACTGAGGCCGGCTCAGTCAGAGCCTTCCCTCCTAAATGTAGAGAGGATCCGCCTGCCCCATACTTTCAAGTCTCTCTGCATAGACCACACTCATCATCCCCTGCCCTGTTCACCTCCCTGCCATCAGCTTCAGCCCACCAGGCCCTAGAAGTCGTGCCCACCAGAATCATCAGTGTCATCCTCATTACCAAATCCACAGCCTTCTCTCAGTTTCTGCAGATCCAGAAACCAACTCTCTTTTCCTCCTGGATACACAGCTCAACCGCATTTCCAGCCCACTTGCAGTCCTGAGTAGCCAAGAGGCAGCTGCGGCCAGTGCAGTCCAAGTGTCTCTTCTGGGTTGACACACAAGCCTCCCTTCCCCTGCTGACTGCTGCAGGCTGGACACCAGGTATTGAGTAGGGGAGACAAAGCAGGCACAAGATCAAAAAAGCTCAGGTCCTTAATGGCCACTTGGAGATGTCAGCAGACTGCCCAGCATGGACACACATTTTGAACTTCATGTGAGCGAGAAATGGACTTCGTGTCAAGGTATTGAAATTTTAGGTTTCCATCCATAACATCACATACCGTTAGAATTTCATATTTTGTGTTTTTCTGCAGATCTGATATTCCCCAGTCACTTCCTATCCCAGGACTCTTCTAGTGATGAAGATTATGAAAATTCAGACTCTCCCTGCCATAAGTAAAACTGGCTGGTATTTTATCTTCAAAGAGAAAGCCTTAAAAGAGGCATTCAAGAAAATCCTCTTTAGGAAAAGGAGATGGGGATGTTTTTGGTGAAAGCAAGGTACTTCTCCAGCAGCAAAAATGGGAGCTGCCCGACCACCTTATTCTGCTGTTGAGATGTCAGCATCATCTCTGTTATCTGCCAGCACCACTCATCCAGGTTACGGGCAGAGTGGACTGCACCTGAGAACAATGCACACCTAAAGAGGCGGGGCCTGCCTTCTGCTTACAATGGCTCCCTGGGCAGGTAGTTGGGATTGTGGCCACCCTCATCCCTTTCCCGCTAGAACACAGAAAGCATGGATAAAAAAGACAATCAAGACACGTCCCAGAAAACACAGAGTAGCTAGCAGGCTGCTGGAGGCTCAGCTCAGGGAGGCGGTCAGAGAAAACAGTGGAAGCCCAAGTGAAACCAGGATTTCCATGCAAGGCTGCCTGTTAAAAACCACCTGGCCAGCATCAAAACCAAACCAAACAAGAACAAAACAAACGTGAAGCCTGGGCTCCACTCCAGACCAATTAAAAGAGATTTTCCGGAAGTAGGACCTGGGCATAGGAGTTTTTTGCAAATAAATTCCATAAGTGATTCTAATGTGTGGCTGGAACTGCTTGGCTGAGTTGCATATAAAATGCATAGGAGCCAGAAGACCTGGGTTTGGTTATGTGGTAACTCCCATGGTGAAAGTCCTTCAGTGGCCTCATGTTGTCTTAAGAATTAAATTTGGTGGTAACATACCATATATACTTTTCTCGATTTTTTTCACTTAATAAATACAGAAGATCATTCACAGAATAGTATAGAGACAGATTTCTCATTTTGAGTAGCTGTATAGTATTTTACCATGTGGATGTATAATAGTTTGTTAAACTATTTCCATAGTAATAGACATTTGGGTTGTTTCTAGTTTTTTAAATTACATACAGTAATAAAATGAAGATCTCTGTGAACAACAATTTTTGCGTTTCTGCTGGCATGTTATTGGAGTAGATGTCTAAAAGTGGAATTGCAGAGTCAACCGGTAAATGCATACGCAGTTTTGCTAGAGATTTTCAAGTTCCTCTCCATAGGATTATGTTGTTTTACATTCTCACTATGTATCTTAGCCTGCTTAGGCTGTTCACCCATAGTCTGGGTCGCTTAAACAGCAGACATTTATTTCTCACCCTTCTGTAGGCTGGGAAGTCCCAGATCAAGCAGACTTGTTTCCTGGTGAAGGCTTTCTTTCTGGCATGTAGATGGCCACCTTCTTGCTGTGTCTTCCCACGGCAGAGAGGGGAGGAGAAAGTAAGCTCTTCAGTGTCTCCTCTTATAAGGGCACTAATTTCATCATGTGGGCTTCGCCCCCATGACTTCATCTAAATCTAATTACCTCCCAAAGGCCCCACCTCCTAGTACCATCACATTGAGGGTTAGGGCTTCAACATATAAATGTGGGAGGCAGAGACACAAACGTTCAGCCAATAACACAAGGAATGCGTGAGAGGCTTTCATTCTTCAAAACCCCACCAAGGGAATATGCTGTCAAACTCTGGAATTTTTGCTCATCTCAGTACACTTTTAATTTTCATTTCTCTCATTATAAGGGAGATTGAAGAGCCATTTGAATTTATTTTATCTGTGAATTGTGCTATTCATATCTGCAGCCCATGAATCCTTTTCTTCTGTTTTTAGTGGCTCCTTAAACATTAAGAACATTAACCCTTTGTTATATGTACATATATTTTTTAGCTTATCTTTTATCTTCGTATGATGTTGTTTCCTATTTTTGCAAAGTTTTATATAGTTAGATTTATAGAAATGTTTTCTCCACTTTAAAGTTATAAAAAACTTTACGCTTTTTAATATTTATAGCTTTGCTTCTTGAAAGAGCTATCTGTGCAAATTCTCTCAGTTTCCTCAGTTTACACATACTGCTCATGTCATTTTAGTCCAGGTTTCTGGCTCCCTCTCCCCACCCTCCACCCCTGGGATAGAGCTTTCCCCACTGTGCCTTAGTTGCACCATAGCTTGCCACTACTACACATTACTGCCTTATTTTATTACCTGTTTATTTTTCCCTATTCTTCCTTCATAACAGGATTCTGCTTTGCTCTTTTGAATCCCTGGTGCCTTGTGCTATGTTTAGTTTGTAGTATGTGTTCAATAAATGCCTTTGAATGCATGGCTTAACAAATGGTGATTACTTATTCATTGAAAAGTGCTGAGAGCTTGAAACTGCTTTTTTAAAGCTATTCCAAACATTATGAGTTCTATTTCTACTTCTGTCAGGAGCTATGCATTTGACCCAAAACCTTGGACATTTAACTTCTCTTTACACATGCATAAGTACCTTCAGATGTAGAATGAAGTCATGGTCATGGGGCTAGGGGACATTTTTGAGTCCTAAAAATCTGTTATTCTGGGCTCTATGTCAAAGGATGTAAACTCTTCCGATATAGAAAATACATTTCAGCTCATTTCTATGGAAGGAAAAAACTTGACTTTCCTATTTACATTTTGAAATATTTTTCTTCATGAGTTGGGTCAAGAACATCAACCTGGAGTGAATCAGGCCTGGGCAAGGAGCAACTCTCCATGCTTCTCCAGTCGCTTGATTGTCTTTGTCCACAGGACTTTTGTTCTGCAGCCTCATTCAGGCAGGGCACAGCAGCCATGCTACAAACGTATTTACTGGCCTCTGCAGATGTCAGTTTCTTTTGCAAATCACTGAATCTGACATCATGTCTCATGACCTGAAGGGAAAAGTTTAACTGCCCAACCCAAGTTTTGGAGGCTTGGCCTACAATGCTTCAGGGTATGAGAGAAAGCAATGCGAGCCCAGCCAGCTCTCTGGGGCCCTTTACCCCATGGATGCTAATTGTTTGGGCTGAAGCACATTGCAGAAGGGAGCGTGGTGCTGATCTGAGAGGGGTCTAGCTGCCTCTGCAGGGGTGGTGAGCTTCCCCTCTCCTCAGAGGTGAGTTGCCTATGCATCTGGTGAGTTTCACAGACCCCATGACTTAAGGTTTTTCAGAAAGATAGTGATAAATTTCTCTGCTTGCCCCATTCAGGTGGTAAGTATTGATGGATTTACTATGTGTGCAGCTCTGTTTTGGAACTGGGAATACAATGGTGGACATATAGACTTGGTAGCTTAAAACAATGGTTCTCAAACTTGGCTATACGTGGGAATCATCTGGGAGCTTTTAAATATTCCAAAGCCCAGGCTGCCCCTGATACCATTTAGTCAGAAAAAAATCTGGTGGCAGGCCAAGACGTCAATATTTTTAAAATCCCCCAAGTGATTTCTATGTGTAGCCAAGGTTGAGACTCTTGGCTCTGGAACCTACCTTCTAGAGGGGAAACAGAACAGTGAGATGCACTGTGACAGTGCCATCACTGTGATGCACGGGTGCGTTGGTGGCATGTGGAGGAATATCCAGGCCAGGTGTGGTGGGGAGAAAAGATGCATGAGCTGAGATCCACAAGGTAAGTGGGAGATACAGAGATGGAAGTCCATGGTTGAGGAGGGAGGGAGAGAGTTAGAAATAAAAAAAAAAGCATGTCTGGCACAGGGAAAGGGTGGTTAGAACCTAGGTGAGAGGCATAAGACAGGAAAGATTCCTAGAGGAGGTGACTGAAGGGAAAGCGGTGCCATCAATTAATTTAGAGAAAAAATGGGTGGAAGAGAAACTTTGGGGCAAAGATGAGCTCCATTTATGGATATCTTAAGTCTGGGATGTTTATCTATTTGGATGGAAATAGTAGGCCCCTTGATGCATTTACTCTAAGAGGAGACAGGCCTGGGAAGAAGAAATAGAAGAAATAGAAGTGGCTTACAGCAGAGACCTTTGATTGCTTACCTGGCATCCGTGCTCCTTCGCTCCTGGATGTTGGAGCCCTGGCTTTGCATGGTCATTGCTATGGGAGGTGACTGAATCCCAGGTCAGGGCCAAATCCTGAATACTCTGAGTGAAGTGTGGCTGATTCCTGGTTTATGTGTTAGTTCATTCTCACATTGTTAGAAATAAATTCCTGAGACTGAATAATTTATAAAGAAAAGAGGTTTAATTAGCTCATGGTCCTATAGGCCGTACAGGAAGCGTAGTGGCTTCTGCTTCTGGGGAGGCCTCAGGAAACTTAAAATCATGGTGGAAGGCAAGGAGAAACAGGCTTCTTACATGCCCAGAGAAGGAGGAAGAAAGAGAGAGAGGGGAGTGGGAGGGTGCCACACACTTTTAAACAACCAGATCTCGTGATTATAGTAAGATCACTTACTATAATGAGGACAGCACGGGGGGAATTTGCTAACCCATTCAGGAAGGATCCACCCCATGAAATCACCTCCCACCAGCCTCCATCTCCAACACTGGGGAAATATTGCAGAGAGAAATAAACTGTATGCTCTTCACCCATGCTCCCCAATGGTAGCATCTTGCAAAATCATAGTACAACATCAAAATTAGGATACCGACATTGATACAGTGCATCCATATATTCACATTTCTCAGCTTTACTTGTGTGTGTGTGTGTGTGTGTGTGTGTGTGTGTTGTATTTATTTCTATACAATTTTATCCACCTATGTGGATTCTCATATCCACCATGACAGTTTAGAGATTAGTTCTATGAGCCCAAGGTTCTCTCAAATTATACTTTTATAACCATACTCAAACCCTCCTGTCCCTGCCACCAACTGATCTGCCTGGCAATCACCGATCTGTTCTGCAACTCTACAATGTTGTCATTTTAACAATTATATGTAAATGGAATCATATAGTATGTTCTCTTCTGTGATTGGTTTTTGTCTCACTCAGCATAATTCCCTTCAGACTCACCCAAGCTATTCTGTGTAATAGTTCTTTACCTTCATTTCAGGGCAGTCTTCTATGGTGTGATGGTTAATTTGTGTCAGCTTGACTGGGCCACAGGTTACTCAGACATTTGGTCAAACATTATTCTGGGTGTTTCTGTGAGGGCATTTCTGGATGAAATTAACATTTAAATTGGTGGATTGAGGAAAGCAGGTGGTCCTCCCTAATGTGGGTGGGCCTCGTCCAATCAATTGAGGACATGAATAGAACAAAAAGGCTGACCCTCCCCAAAAAGAGAATACTTGCCACCTGACGGCCTTGAACAAAAACATGGGCTTTTTTCCTGCCTTCAGCTACAGACTGAAATATCTACTGGGTCTTGAGCCTATCAGCCTTCAAAGTGGAACTATATCATCAGCTCTCCTTACTCTGTGACTTTCTCTCTCTCACTCTTTTCTATTGGTGCTGTTTCTCTGGAGCTTGGAGAACTCTGATAATATACCCCGTATGAGAATGCTACAGTTTGTGTAACAACTCACTCATTGAAGAGCTTCTGGTCTGTTTCCAGTTTAGGGCTTCTATGAACAATACTGCTATAAGCATTATGTGCAGATATTCATATGCAGTTAGCTTTTCATTTCTCAGGGAAAAATGTTCAAGAGTGCAACTGCTAAAGGGGTATGATAGGCACATGTTTAGTTTTGTAAGAAACTTTTATGCTCCTTTTCAGAGTGGCTGTATCATATTACATTCCCACTAGCAATGTATGAGTGAAGCAGCTTCACCACATCCTTATGAGCATTAGGTAATATCACTATTTTTTATTTAAGCCATTATGATAGGTATGTAGTGTTTCTCATTTTGACTTTTATTTGCATTTCTTTAATGGCTAATGACGTTGAACACCTTTTCATGTGCTTATCTGCTGTCTATATATTCTCTTGCATGAAATATATGTTTATGTTTTTTGTCTATTTCCTAATTAGATTGTTTTTAATGTTGAGTTTTGAGAATTCTTTCTATATTATAGGTACTTTGTCAGACGTGTGGTTTGCAAATGTTTTCTTTCAGTTTTAGTTTGTCTTTCTATACTTTTAACAGAGTCTTTTGAACAGCAAAAGGTTTTAATTTGCTGAGGTTCAGTTTATCAAACTTTCCTATTACTGATTTTGCTTTTGGTGTCAAGTTTAAAAACTTTTCGTCTAGCCCTAGGTCCAGAAGATATTCTCCAATGTTGTTTTCTGAAAGTTTTACACTTAAATATTTTACATGTATGTCTGTGATCCATTTTGAGTAAAATTTAATATAAGGTGTGAGGTCTATGTGGAAGTTTATTTATTTAATTTTTCTTACAGAATGTCTAACTTCTTCAGAACCATTTGTTTAAAAGTCTTATTTTTCTATATTGAACTGTTTTTGTATCTTTATAAAAAATAAGTAGGAAATATTTGTTAACAAATCAGTTGGGATTTTTTTCTGCATTCTCTGTTTTGTCCCATTGATTTATGTGCCATTTATCAACTAATAGTCCACTTCTGGAATTACTGTAGCTCTATGGTAAACCTTAGCATCAAGCAGAATGATTACATCTATTTTATTCTTCTTAGCTTCTATATGCTGTGCCTGCCCATTTAAATTTTAGGATAAGCTTTTCGACATTTACCAAAAAAGACTTTGCAGGAATTTTGTTACAAATCGGACTAAATTAATTTGAGAAGGATTAACATCGTTGTTTGGTTTAGTTGTCCAACACATGGACATCATGTGTCTCTTTTTGTCTTCTTCGATTTCTTTCAATCAGCACTTTGTAATTTTTAGCATTCAGATACCACACATATTTTGTTAGATTTACACCTATTTCATTTTCTTTGGGGCAATTGTAAATGGTATTAAAATTTAAATTTCTGTTTCCACAAGTTCATTTTTAGTATATACAAATCCAATGGATACTTTTGTATTGATTTTTGTCTTATTCAACCTTGTTGGACTTACTTCTTAGTTCTAGTTTTTAATTTTATTTGTAGAATCTGGGATTTTATATGTAAACAATTACGTCTTCTGTTACAAGGTCAGGGGTCAGGATACATGGAGCCTTGGTTCCTTTTTCTGTTGGATTGAAGCTTAACAAGCTGTGTCCAGCTGTGTTGTTTTTCTAGTCCCAGGGTCCCTAATTAGTGTACTGTTCTCTTCCCACCTTTCATAGTCCTCCTTTGGTTGCCTCTTGTTTTATTTCTAGGGTTCACAGTTGAATTTAGTGGGGAGAAGCAGAGAGAGGCAATCTACCCCATCTTCTAAGCAGAGCAGTAACAAGGTTAGACTGGTGTTTTAAAAACGAGTGGTGATGGTCTGGAGTGAGTCAGGTCTGCATTCAATACCAGCCTTTCCACTTACTCAATATGACCTGGCATATTACCAAAGCATCCCTAAATGTGTTTCCTATCTGTAAACTGGGGAGAATTGGAGGGTCTTCCTGGTAGGATCTTTTTGAGGACTGAATGACGTCACAGGTCTAAAGCGCTCATTGCTGTGTCTGACCTGCCAGTTATTGTTAACACATTTACAATTCTAGAACAATGTGGGAAGGACAGACTGAAGCAAGATAAGATTTAAAACAGAGAAATTATTAAGAAATTTGCAATTGCCCACGCAGAAATGAAGAATGCCTGAATTAGGCCAATGAAAACAGGAAATGTCCTCCCTTAAATGGCATATGCTGAGAATACTGACTTGGCCAAGTCATATTTGCAGGAATCCTAGGCAATCAAGAATTCTGAGCAGACATTCCTCCCCTGTGAAAAACACAGCACTGGGGACAAATGATCAGGAAATGCCTGGTCCCTGCTCACTTGATGAGGAGCCACCCTGAGAGCACTGTGGGAGCGGCTGAGCTGGAATCCAGAACTAAGACTACGGAATAGCAATGTGGAGCTGCAGCAGCAGAGGTGGCCCTGCTTCAAGGCCCTGATTGTCCCCGACTCTGCAGCGGAGCTTGATGTTGGAAGTCAGCCCGCCCTTCACTCCCAGGCTGGGCTAAGGCTCTTGAGGCTGCCAGGATTTCAGTAGAAAGCCTGGGGCCAGATCCTTCGCAGAAGACTGAAGAAGACAGGACAGGGTGAATTTGCAGTGCCGAGTCTCCATTCCCTTCAGGACAAACCAGCCATAGGCAGGAATGCATGCAGCATGCCTAGCACAGTGCCTGACAGAGTGATAAATGTCCATCCCCTCGCATTCCACCACCTGGTCTTCTTCCTTTAGCATGTGAGGTGGCCAGCAGGGTCACACATTTACAGAGGAACTCTGCTATCCAGGGAAAACCATTTGGCATGGGCTCCTGGAGTGTCTTGTAATTCCTAGAAACCAGTGATGAAGCTGTGCATGAGATCCAGGTACCAAGACACATCCGGTACATTCTGTGAAGATGAGGAATCTTGCAGGAAAAAAAGACTTGGTGGTCCAGGGCCTCTCTGTCTGGCATCCCAGTTGGAAGAAGTGAGCCTGCACATTGCTCCTTGGGTTCTCCATGAAGAAGCTATTCTGGCTAAGGAAGGGTCTCTGGGCTCTTGGGACTTCCTGAGACTGGGTAATTTATAAAGAAAGGAGTTTATTTAGCTCATGGTCTGCAGGCTGTACAAGGAGTGTGGTGCCAGGATCTGCTTCTGAGGAGGGCCTCAGGAAGCTTACAGTCACGGCAGAAGGCAAAAGGGGAACAGACATGTCACAAGATGACAGGGAGCAAGAGACAGAGAAGGGGGAGGTCCCAACCTCTTTTAAACAACCAGATCTCCTGTGAACCAACTGAGCGAGAGCTCACTCATCACCAATGGGATAGTTTGACTCCTTCAAACAGATCATGTCCTGACTCCAGAGGAAGCTCCGCAGGCAGCCTTTCTGGCTGCTGGTGCCATAAACCCTCGCAGGAGTGAATTTAATATCTATTCTGTTCCCAAGTGACCCTGAAGTTCCATGGTACATAATAAATTTTGTCAGTGTGGTGAGAAGTTCCCAACTGGGAGCAAGAACTATAGACAGAAAGCTGCCTGCACAGGGTTCATTAACGCCTCTGCTCATCGTTGGGCTCTGTGCTAATGGTCTGGACAAGAGGAAGGTCCTCAGGTGGGAGGTGAAGCATCTGTGAACTTTGCATTTCATGTCTGTGGCCTTGAAAAGAGGCTCGTGCCTCTTCAGAAACCATGGAGCCGGCATGGACATGAGCCGGTAGCTTCACGTCAGTAGCTTCTCCACACATTTCTGTCATCTCAAGAGTGAGTAGCTGTTAGGATCTAACTGCTTCTTGAGGGCTGGTTGACTAACAGGCCTTCCCCACCCATGGTGCCTGAATGGATCAAGGCAGGAGAGGGTGTGGACAGAGGAAAGAATGCTTTATTTGTCCCTCTATTCACCAAAACAAGCCACATTGGCACCTGAAAATGCTATACGTTAAACATATTGAATTCGGCAAATCCATGGGAGAGGCTGCAACACCCTGGGCATTGGGGAAGCAGAAGCAAGGGGGACATGGTTCCAGCTCCAGTGTAATTCATGGTCCTGTGTATTGCGTTTTCTCAAATAAGGCCAAAGTCTGTAAATGCCAGTAAGAGCTGGAAGCAAAGTGCTAAGGAAGGAAAAGATGAAGTTTTGACTCTGAAAGGGCAGGATGTTGAAGGGCAGGGCTCCAGGTCCAGGTCTCAGTCTGTGGCAGGACATGAATTGCCAGCATCCATATGGTGACCAATTGTTTCAGCTGCCTAAAGCCAATCTCCCCTCTTTCAGTCGCAGCATCTTGGTTTTCCACTGAGGAAATTTTTTTTTCCTAATCCCTGTCCACATGGGCATCTTGCCGCATGTCCCTCCCCTTTTACCGGAGCTCCAGCTGGAGGGATCGTAATCAGTACAGCCCATCCCTCTGGCCACACTGACTTTCTCAGAGATGGGCATGACTACATTCGTTTGATGAGACTTAGTCATAGCTGATGTGGTTTGGATGTTTGTCCCCTCTGAATCTCATGTTGAAATGTGATTTCCAATGTTGGAGGTGGGTGTTAGGTTTAGAAGGGAAGGTGACAGTTAAAGAAAGACACACACAGACACACACGAGAGAGAGAGAGAGAGAGAGAGAGAGAAGGTGGCTCTACAGCAACACAGGTATATTGCAAAAACCTGCAGACATGGGAGACCAGCTTAATGCCAGAGCTCATCACCACTTACAGGCTGGGGTACTTAAAGGTATGGGTGGGCGGGGTCTGGGCCATATGACTTGCTGTCCAGCAGGATATTGATAAGATGTACCTATGATCAGGCGGTTTGGCCCTTTTTCTGGTGGGATGTGATAGGATGTTCCTTGAACCTTTGCCCAGCAGGATATGATAGGAATGTTCCTTCAGGTGGGCCTTTGCCCGGCAGGATATAAGGATGTTCCCTTGGTTGGGCCGTTGCTGGGCAGGGTATGAGAAGGATGTTCCCGTGCCTTGTGTTCAGGTGGTTGGGCAGGCTGTTTCTCACAGCTCAACCCCCTGTGGAATGTTTCACTTTGACCAAGATTTGCGAATTGGCAGGGGGCTTATGAAATGGTGCAGTTTGGACTAACAGTCGGGCCTGGTGGGAGGTGCTTGGATCATAGTGGATGAATGTCTCATGAATGGTTTAGCATCATCCTCTTGGTGATGAATGAGTTCTCGCTCAGTTAGTTCACATGAGATCTGGTTGTTTAAAAGAGTGTGGCCCTTCCCCCCCTTCTCTCTCTTTCTCCCTTTCTCTCATCATGTGACATGTCTACTCCCTTTTTGCCTTCCACTATGATTGAAAGTTTCTTAAGGCCCTCATCAGAAGCAGATGCAAGCACCACACGTCCTGAACAACCTGCAGAACCATGAGCCAAATTAAGCCTCTTGTCTTTATCAATTACCCAGCCTCAGATATTTATAGCAATGCAAAAACAGCCTGTCACAATGGCACTTTTGTAAGAATTCTTTAAAAAGAGAGTCTACCATTGTCTATTGCTTCTAAATCAGTGAGACGTAAGTCTAAAGCTGTTGATAATTCTGACATCATAGGGAGTGAAAGAACTGTTGAGGGATAGATTCATGATGATGTTTTTGAGTACCTGGATCCAGCTATGCCTGCAGTCCACCCTTTTACATTACAAGAGACAATACTTTCCCTTTGTGGTTAAGCCATTTTGACTTTGAATTCTGTAACTCACAAGCAAAAGAATCCTAAGGGAACTTGCTCTGATTCAAAGAGGAGACACATCATAATGGTAAGTCTCTTCTTCAGGGAAGGGTGGCAGAAAGTGTGGCCTCTTAAGTAGCATTGCCTCCAGTCTCCAAGAAACGACCTGGCTGCTTAGGAAAGGAATATCCTCCAGGTCTGATGATCTATTTGGAGATTCCAGTTATTTCACCAAAAGACACCTCCAGTTGTTTTCAGAGAAGGTCAGCAGATATAGAATTTTCACATAGCCCATATCTCCACTGAGCAACTCCCAAGGTGGAGAAAAGGTGTCCATGTCAAGGTCAGGCTCTGTTAAGGATGAATGGCATGTGTGACTCTCTGAATGAGCAGGAAATATCAGTGTTCCCTTGACACCACTGAACCACGGCACCAGACTTGTAAGTGCACCTGTGGCTGGCCCGCACTTCCCTCCACAAGGTGTCACTTCTGCAGATTTGTAGTCCAGATGATCTTTCCAAACAGGAGATGTATGCAGGCAGCTTCTCTTTGTAAAAGTCTCTGGTGCTGTCTATTGGCAAGCAGGGGAGTTTGAACTCTTATTGCAGCCTTCTCCACTGCCTGGATGAGCATCCCGCCCCCAATCCCTCTCAGAGCACCCCAGCACTCATGACCACACCTCCCCTTCTTGCTCCCTTGCTGCACTGTCTGACCCTCACTTATCACCAGCCTTCAGGGCAGCCTCACCACGGACATCCAGAAAAATTGTGCCAGAGGCCTTCATGAGCTGTGCCATGCATAGAAGCAATTCCTAGGTTACTGCTGGGTTGGGTAAGGTGGCAGCTCTTTCCAGGCAGCTCCAGGGTCAGCAGATGCCCATCTTCCAAAGGGAAGGTCAATCTGGGTTTATCACTGACTCCAGGACAGCATGCTTTCCAGGGACCCAGGCTCTCTTGGGTGTCTGGACTTGGGAAACACCACAGCATCTGGGAATTCTCCTTCATTCAGCTGTTTAGAGATGTCACTTTCCAGACTTGGGAGAGGCAGAAGGGTGGCAGCTATGGTATCTTTCTGGGCCAGGTGCTTTGCATGCAGAACTTTCTGGTTTGATAGACAGGCATGAGGGAGCCAGGGTGTCTCTTCCAAGCCCAGGACTGGAGGGGAGACAGCAAGCTCTTGAGCATGGCCTTCAACATTTTGAGAGTGAAGAGCAAAGAAGCACCCCTTTCTCTCCCCTGTCCTTTAGTTCTTTTTCCTCTAGACCAAGAATTCTGTTCTTTCTTAAGGTTCTAGACAAACTTTCATTTAAAGACACCTATGTTGGGCCAGGGACCCTCTCACAGACCCTGAGATGGAGGTATGCGTGCAGGAGGGTTTGGGGAGTAACTGTGGGAGTGAGAGGAGCAGGGTTGGGCAGAGATGCTACCTGTGATGCAGCTGAAACAGAGGCTTTGCTGAGCCCATGGGGGAGGTGTGGCCATTACACACCTTGTGAGTTTTCCCCAACTGAAACCTGGGAGCTGAGGCTTTATACCCTGCTCCTTCAACCAAGTAGAGGATGTGGCATGCCCCGCCCAGGGAGAGAGTGTGACCTGGGAGCCAGAAGTTGCTTTCATCTGAATGCAGCTCCTAGAGCTGGAGCTGTGAGCCTGGAGGCCAGCACTCCTGGATCTGGGGAGTGGGCACCTCCTTCCTGAAGGTGCATCTGGGTAGGGCACCAGTGCACACACCAAGAGGCCTCTGCACGTGCAGAACAGCTGAGGAAGGAGACAGAACTGGCCTGGTTCATGGCATCTAGAAATCCATTTTCCCTGCAGGAGGGTCATGCCAGCTCCCAGACAGCGACAGGGACTATCGTGTTAATAACAGACACTGCCTGCTGCCTGCATGTTCTGTGTCAGGCCTGGCAAGCGCACTTTTTATACACATAGCTCCTTTCCTCTCCCCAGCTGCCAGTGAGGTTGATATTGATGTAGGAAACTGATAGTCAGATGGAGTTTAGGTGACTTGCTCAAGTCACAGGGGCAGACAGGAATGGGGAGCAAGGACTGCCGTGTCGGATGTCCGAGCCTGGTGCTGGCAGCTGTCCCTTGCTGCCTCCCTGCGTCTGACCACAGCAGGCTGGCAGGGGATGCAGGAGCATCGTCCATGGCTGTCTCAGGTGTGCTGCATTAGGGATGGTGGCCAAGGCTGTGGCCATCTGGGGACCCTCCTGGGTCTGGGAGGGTGTCAGGGTATGCATGCCTCAGTGACAATGTGGAGGGCCAGCTTGGATGGTGATGCCCATAGTGCTGGTTCTCTGCCCAGAAATCTGCAAAGAGGCCCTAGAGCCCGAAATGGCTCCCCTAGAAGTCCTGTGTAAACAGAGCACCCGACATGTAAAGGGCCACCCCTACCCTGGACTGTGCTTGATGCCCACAGGTAGTGTCCCACCTTCTGCCTGCAAGACCACAGGGCTCTCAGCTTTGCTGTGGAGGAGCCTAACCCCAGCCATCTCCCAAGCAGGGTGGCTGAGCAGGGAGTTGCCTCAACAGGCCCTGGGAGGCACCCAAGGAGAGGAGCTGGAGCCCCCTCGTCATTGTAGACTGGCTTTGTTCTACCCTCTATGCCCTGGGCAGTCATTAGCAAACAGCCCTGGCCATGCACCCAACTTCTGACATGGCAGTCAGAAGTGGCAGGGACACAAGCCTTCCAGAAAGGGACGGCAGCTTCGCCCCAGGGCAGGCCCAGGAGGCCCCAAGCAGCTTGTCACTAGAGTACGAGGTCTCCAGATGGCAGGGTGCCCACCCGGCCTATGCTTCCTGCTGTGAGGCCATCACACCTGAGCCAACCGCTCATGGAGACATCAAGGGAGGAAACACATACAGATGGGAGAGACTGGACAACACGCGGTTCAAAGGACGTCCCAGACAGTAAGAAGCAAAGCAGCCTGGGCCTGGCCTGCCCAGGATGGGTGCCGCAAAGAGAGCAGCTCCTGTCCCTATGATGTCCTCATTTCACTATGGACACATGGTCGGCCCCGTGGCGCCCAGGGCAGCACAGGCGCAATGAAGACAGCCAGAGGGGATGGAGGTGTCACCACGCTCACATGGGCCACACCTCGCCCTGCTCAGGTCCTCTGACCCCTTGCGTCTGCATTTCCCAAGTGCTCCCTGGCCCTGAGAGGCTCACAGCATCAAGCTCTGTCCTTCCTCCACCAGGCCCACCCTGGGTCCCTGTGCTGACGTCCCTCTACCCGACAGGGACGTCCCTTTTTACTTGCCCAATCAATCTCTACTTTTCTTTCTTAACGTTCCAGCCTGTGTCACCTCCCTATAAACCCTTCTCTAACACCCCAGCTAAGCAAGGTCTTCCTTCCTGGCGCATACAGCAGGTCTGTGTTGATTTTACACCAGGACACTTCACATTGTATTAGTTAGATGGTTACAAGGGCCTGTTACAAGGCTGTTGATTCCAACCCTTATTCCTGGTAAGTGCCTGGAAGTGAGGCCCACAGTCAGGGTACAGCAGGTGGCTCGTGTGTGAGCGGCTGCAGAAGTAAAAGAGAGAAGTAAGACATCTGCCCAGTTATTGGATCCATGATGAGGACACTTTGCATCCTGGAAGCCTTTTGTGGGGATTGCTGGGCAGGGTGTTCATGGTAACTGCAGAATTTCCAGTCACCATGGAAACTTCTAGAAACACTGAGTGAGTGCCTGGCTTAGATTCCTGGAGTGGGGAGGATGTCTGCCTCAGCTTGAGGAGCACTGAGGAAGCTTCTGTTATGTCCTTTCTGGTGGTGACCCTGAGAAGCGTCCAACACATGTGTGCCACAGGAAGACAGGTGGCTGGGCGGTCCTGAGCTTCCCTCCACAACCCAGAGACCATGGAGTGAAACAGTGCTGAGGGCCCCAGGCCCAGGGACAGGCAGCTCTGTGGCTCGCACCCTCATCCGCTGACTCCTCTGGGAGAGACAACGTGATGGTCCCACCCTTTTTCTGATCCGCATGAATTTGTGAGCCCTGACCTACTTTCAGAATCAGTTAAAGGCCTATGAGCAAGGAGAAAAACAAGAGATGAGGTGGTTACAAGTACACAGAGAAGCCAAAAGAGATCTGAGGACATTTTGAGAAGGAGAAACAGAGCTGAACGCAGACACTGGGCCTGGGGTCAGCTGTATTCACAAGGTCACTCAGGGGCAAAGGAGCAGGGTTTCCTGCTGGGTGACCCCAGGCCAGTCGCTTGACCACCCTGAGACTTAGTCCCTTTTCCCATAAGAGGGGCTACTATTTCATGTAATTATAATACAAATCCTTGCCCAGGTTCTTTCCAGGATTGTGAAAGGAGATGATCAATGTGAAATGGGATGCTTTTCTAAACAAAGGAGAGCTCAGAAAGTCGCAAAAGATGGTCACTTTTAATAAGAAAAGGCTAGAGTATTATAAAATTGTGAGGTTTGGCCTAAATGTTAAATTCTAAAACTCTCTTTCTAAAATTTCCCTTTAAAGCAGATAGAAACACAATTTTTTTAAGCAGGGGAGTGACAAAAAAAAGTATGGAGAAAGCACGTCTGCCTACTCATCCCTGCCTGTCCTCTGGAGACCCACAGGCATCCCAACAGTTTCGAACTAAGTGTGGACTGTTTCTGCACTCATCCCTGTTCAGCAAATTCAACTTGGAAACAGATTTCATTCAGACAGTGATTGTTAATGTGCTCATTTGATTTAGGGGCTAATGCTTTCCTTTGTGGCATAACTGGAAGAACCATTACAGGAAAAAGTATTCAGCGATACTTGTTAAAGCATGGTAAGGCCGACTGCACTCAGGATCCTCGCAACAGGTATCCGGACAATGGGATTTTGCAGTGGCGAAAAGAAATTGACCTCAACTCCCAGTACAGCACCAGCAGGTGGGGACTGACAGCCAAGGAGCAGGGTGAAGGTCAGTGGGTGGAAAATTCCCTGGAAGAAGTCAGGGGTCAGGGACAGTCTGGATAAACTGATCTCACAGGATTCTTGCTGAAGGCAGACCAGGGTGATCAGATGTAACCTGGTGGATGGTTGAGGATGAGGAACCTGATCAGATATTGAGTGGCAGGTTCTGGCTAAATGGGCTGAGCAGTGTTCTTGCTGACACTGAATTTTGTAAGGAAATGCACAGATGGGTCCAGGAGAAGGTTTGGGAGCATGACTAAAGCTTGGTCAAGCAGAGAGTCTTCATCAGGATGTGCCAGTGTGCAGTGCCCTGAGCATTGCTTTCCTTTGTGTAAAAGGAAAAGGGGCTAATGCTTCCCTTTGTGGCATAACTGTGGCTTTGCTTTGTGGCATCCTGGCTGAACCTGGGTTCAGCCAGGATAAGAGAAGCCCCTCTATTTCCAGGAAACAGGGCAGCTGCTGTGAGTGTGGCATTGACAAGCAGATTCCACTGTGATATTTTTAGGAAAAGAATTGTGGAAAAGGTTGACAAGTCCTAGGACTCTCTGAGCACCTTTATTCATATAGACAGGGGCCTTGCAAACCAATCTTTGCCAGGCCCCCACGTACCCGGGCTACCCTGCCAGTTTCCTGGAGCCAGCTCCCCAAATGGGCCATCCCTTGGTTTGGCTGCAAGGTGTCAGTTCATGTCCCTCTTTTCTGTGTGCTGGGGGAGGAAGGATCCCTCTTCTCAGGGGACATTTCTTTATTATTATTATTATTATACTTTAAGTTCTGGGATACATGTGCAGAACGTGCAGGTTTGTTACATAGGTATACACATGCCATGGTGGTTTGCTGCACCCATCAACCCATCATCTACATTGGGTATTTCTCCTAATGCTATCCCTCCCCCAGCCCCCCACCCACAGACAGGCCCCGATGTGTGATGTTCCCCTCCCTGTGTCCATGTGTTCTCATTGTTCAACTGTAACTTATGAGTGAGGACATGCAGTATTTGGTTTTCTGTTCTGGTGTTAGTTTGCTGAGAATGATGGTTTCCAGCTTCATCCATGTCTCTGCAAAGGACATGAACTCATCCTTTTTTATGGCTGCATAGTATTCCATAATGTATATGTGCTATATTTTCTTTATCCAGTCTATGACTGATGGACATTTGGGTTGGTTTAAAGTCTTTGCTATGGTGAATAGTGCTGCAATAAACATACATGTGCATGTGTCTTTATAGTAGAATGATTTATAATCCTTTGGGTATATACCAGTAATGGGGTTGCTGGGTCAAATGGTATTTCTGGTTCTAAATCCTTGAGTAATTGCCACACTGTCTTCCACAATGGTTGACCAAATTTATACTCCCACCAACAGTGTAAAAGCGTTCCTATTTCTCCACATCCTCTCCAGCATCTGTTGTTTCCTGATTTTTTAATGATCACCATTCTAACCCATGTGAAATGTTATCTCATTTTGGTTTTGATTTGCATTTCTCTAATGACCAGTAATGATGAGCTTTTTTTTGTACATTTGTTGGCCACATAAATGTCTTCTTTTGAGAAGTGTCTGTTCATATCTTTCACTCACTTTTTGATGGGGTTGTTTTTTTTTTCTTGTAAACTTGTTTAAGTTCCTTGTAGATTCTGGATATTAGCCCTTTGTCAGATGAATAGATTGCAAAAATTTTCTCTCATTCTGTAGGTTGCCTGTTCACTCTGATGATAGTTTCTTTTGCTGTGCAGAAGCTCTTTAGTTTAATTAGATACCATTTGTCAATTTTGGCTTTTGTTGCCATTGCTTTTGGTGTTTTAGTCATGAAGTCTTTGCCCATGCCTATGTCCTGAATGGTATTGCCTATCCAAATCATGAGTGAACTCCCATTCACAATTGCTGCAAAGGGAATAGAATACCTAGGAATACAGCTTACAAGGGATATGAAGGACCTCTTCAAGGAGAACTACAAACCACTGCTCAGGGAAGTAAGAGAGGACACAAACAAATGGAAAAACATTCCATGCTCATGGATAGGAAGAATCAATATTGTGAAAATGCCCATACTGCCCAAAGTAATTTCTACATTCAGTGCTATCCCCATCAAGCTACCATTGACATTCTTAACAGAATTAGAAAAAGCTACTTTAAATTTCATACGGAACCAAAGAAGAGCCCATATAGCCAAGGCAATCCTAAACAAAAAGAACAAAGCTGGAAACATCATGCTACCTGACTTCAAAGTATACTACAAGGCTACAGTAACCATAACTGCATGGTACTGGTACCAAAACAGATATATAGACCAATGTAACAGAACAGAGGCCTCAGAAATAACACTACACATCTACAATCATCTGATCTTTGGCAAACCTGACAAAAGCAAACAATGGGGAAAAGATCCCTATTTAATAAATGGTGTTGGGAAAACTGGCTAGCCATATGCAAAAAACTGAAACTGGACCCCTTCTGTACACCTTATTAAAAATTAACTCAAGATGGATTAAAGACTTAAATGTAAGACCTAAAACCATAAAAACTTTAGGGGACATTTCTTGTGATGAGTATTTAAATACCCTACCAGAGGCACACTGGCTTTCCCAGATCTGACCTCCAGGGCTACACTTCTTTGGGGGTAGTTTTTTCTTTGATCAGTCAAACAAATAGTATAACATTATCTAATATTTTATTTAGTCTTAAGTATATTTAATTTATGTGAAACATGCTAGCTTTGCCTCTCAAAGGTTTGCTGGCATTTTCAATGTCTGTGTCTCAGAGTATCAGCTGAGAATAGTGTGGCCACAGTCTAAAGCACTGGTGACAATAATTCTTTTACTCATTCTTTTATTTACTCTTTAGGCTGCAAAAATTATTGAATGCTTCTATGTTCCAGGCTCTGTTTTAGGTATTGAGGTTTCAGCAGTGACCCAAACTAGCAAAAACTCTAGCTACATGGAGGTCACATTCTAGGAAGGGCCAACACACCCCAAGTGGGTAAAACATGGAGGGTGTCAGATGGTGGTGAGTGCTATGGAAAAAAATGAAGCTGAGAAAACAGGGATGGTTTAGAGTGGGGTTTGCTATTCTAGAAGGATGGTCAGTGAAAGTCTTCCTGAGAAGCTGATATTTAAACAAAGACCCAGAGCTGAGGGATGGAGCCCTGCAGGTCTTTGGATGGGCTAATCTGTTTCAGGAGCTCATTGAATGATACTCCGTGTGTGTCAAACATTGCTCTAGCAAGTGGGATCTAAAGACTGAGGAGCCAGAGCCTGTACCTTTCTTCTGCTCATGTGCAAAAGGCCATAACGTGTGATCATGTAATGATTCTATGATGACACACTGGGTCAAAGCAGGGCTGACTGGTACCCAGAGGTGATGCCTGGGCAGCATCTTTTACATTTCCCAGACTTCAAGGGGCTTCAGTGAAGGAGGAGTGTCTCCCTGCAGCTCTGGGACATCCTGGCATGACTCAAAAGTCTCAACTATTAAATTTTCAGCTTATTTCATTACCAAGTAATGTAAGTTACAAAAGCATCATTCTCTTTCCTAATATTTTTTGGATTTTTCACCCCATCCCAGAGGACAGGGTGGAGTCAGAGGTGAGGTGAAAGGTGGGTGCATCTGAGGTGAGGCTCAGCACTGCAGGGGTCTGGGGTGGGCAGCACCAGGGCCTCAGCACTAAGGAATGGCTTGCTCCAGATGTGCTCTTGGGGACAAAGGCTAGACCCTGACCCAGGTCTCTGGAGGAAAGGAGGGCTGTTTTAAAGACACCATGGTGGCATGCAAAGCAGCAAAGTGTCAGGAATGGAGTCACTCCAATAAACTGGTTCCTTTCTCTGTTAAAGTTTCTATTCATGTTCATCATTGACCTGAACAGCTTCGCCATACAGTCTGTAGATAATTCAGCAGGAGCTAGTTGGGGGAATGTTTAATGTGTACTTTCACTGGGGCCAAGATCTCTTGTAAGATGGGAGATTGAAGTTTTTAAAAGCTACCTCAGGAATGCTGGTTGTAGCAGCTGCTTTGACACCACACCACATCTCCTGCGTTCAGCTGCAGCTGTGGGAATGGCCCATGCCAGCTGCTGGTTCCCATCTAACAGTGAGACTTTGCCCTGGGGCCTGCTCTGCTGTCCCGGCTCTGGGCACTCACTCACTCAGCCTTAGGGAACGCGGAACAGAAAAGCTGCTGCATTCAAGCAGTGAGCACCCGGAGGTCAGCATCCACACCCTCTCCTCCGTCTCTGAAGGACCATGCTGGGGTATGTTCCACAGGCTTCTCAGCCAGGACCTGGCCGAATCGAGCCCTGGTTATCTGCAGAGAAAGCTAGCTGTGAATTCACCCTTCCCTGGCTTTCCTGCTTTTCTTGCTCCCTCCTCTACTCTGGCTCCTGCTTCCTGGGATCCTGCCTCAAATGCCTGCCTGTAGCCAAATCCTCCTCACAGGGCCTGCTTACAGGGGAATTCAAAAATGACCATGACCACGTCTGCATTATAAGGACACACTCCCAAGGAGCAAACACTAGAAGACTCATGTATGATTCATGAGAAAGTGAAGAAGTCCTACTAACATTACTGATAACTAATAGATGAGGAAGGCTTATATGTGTCTTTTTGCTATGCTTTTTGGGAAATCTGGGGATTTATGATGGTCTTCAGACACATCTCATGACTTTCAAATGTTGACTATAGATGAAAACACATCTCAGCAAAAAGCAAGGTAACAACTTGAATCCTACAGTACATGAAATTATCATTCACCAGGACCCAAAATGATGTATCCCAGGGAATAAAAGGTTAATATTAAGAAATGTAAAAAATAGAACGTAAGTAAAGCAGAAAAGACACTGAAGTAATTTGATAAAAATCAACATTCATTCTTTCATTCTAGGAAAAGAAACCCTAGAAAGGTAAGAAAAAAATGTATCCTTTTGGGCCAGGTGCGGTGGCTTATGCCTGTAATCCCAGTACTTTGAGAGGCCGAGGGGCGGGGGGGATCACAAGGTCAAGGGATCGAGACCATCCTGGCCAACATGGTGAAACCTCATCTCTACTGAAAATACAAAAATTAGCTGGGAGTGGTGGTGTGTGCCTGTAGTCCTAGCTACTCGGGAGGCTGAGGCAGGAGAATTGCTTGAACCTGGGAGGAGGAGGTTGCAGTAAGCCAAGAGCGCACCACTGCACTCCAGCATGGTGACAGAGTAAGACTCCATCTCAAAAAAAAAAAAAAGTATCCTTTTTGCCATTTATTTATACTTTTACAACCAAATCATCATATAGCTTCTAAAACAAAAATCAGCAAAGAGACTAGGGTTAGCTACCTACCACCATTATGATTTTACATTGTCTGGAAGTCAACTAAACAAGATATGAATTATAAATTAAAAGACAATTTGGGGGAAGAACACTTTAATTTTTATCTTAATGATGCTCAAGACTATCAAATCTCCGAGAATAAAAAAGTTTAATAAAATGACCCAAATTGTTTAAAAAGATAGCTTTTCAAGCAGTAATTACAAGCAGCAATGAAGGAATACAGTACTTTTACACTGTTGGTGGGACTGTAAACTAGTTCAACCATTGTGGAAGTCAGTGTGGCGATTCCTCAGGGATCTAGAACTAGAAATACCATTTGACCCAGTCATCCCATTACTGGGTATACACCCAAAGGATTACAAATCATGCTGCTGTAAAGACACATGCACACGTATGTTTATTGCGGCACTATTCACAATAGCAAAGACTTGGAACCAACCCAAATGTCCAACAATGATAGACTGGATTAAGAAAATGTGGCACATATATGCCATGGAATGCTATGCAGCCATAAAAAATGATGAGTTCATGTCCTTTGTAGGGACATGGATGAAACTGGAAACCATCATTCTCAGCAAACTATCACAAGGACAAAAAACCAAACACCGCATGTTCTCACTCACAGGTAGGAACTGAACAATGAGAACACATGGACACAGGAAGGGGAACATCACACACCGGGGCCTGTTGTGGGGTGGGGAGAGGGGGGAGGGATAGCATTAGGAGATATACCTAATGCTAAATGACCAGCTAATGGGTGCAGTGTACCAACATGGCACATGTATACATATGTAACAAACCTGCACGTTGTGCACATGTACCCTAAAACTTAAAGTATAATAATAATAAAATTTTAAAAAAAAGAAATGGAGATGTCATTTATCATATAAAAGCACCCTAAATCTCTAGTGATAAGTCTGATGAGGTATGCACAGGATCTAAATGATGAAAACTAGAAACCCATTTCTCCAGAGATGTGAAAGAGTGTTTGGACAAATGCGGAAGCATCAAGGCTCTCTAAATACTTCAACAATGACTTCTTTCCAAATCAATTCTTAATTTTCATGCAATTCCCTTGAAAGCATCCATAGTAAAAGTTTTTGGAAAGTCAATCATTATAAAGCATCCATATCTATAATCTAGAGAGCTGCAAGAAGAGGAGGAGGTCCAACTCAGATGGTCCATGTGGTGAGAGCTGAGCATGGCCTCTTTGGGAATACAGAGGCCCTGCCAACCTCAGCAAGAGCAGTTTTTGGGGGTTAGGGTGGATGCCAAATATAGAGGCAGGGAGAGGTCAAGGGCAGAAATCCATGTCCCTCAGCCCCCTCTCCTCTTTTCCCACATATACATCTATCTCTATATATGTATATATGTATATATACGTGTGTGTGTATAAATATATATACACATATGTGTGTGTGTGTATAAATATATATATACACAGAGAGAAAGAGAGACGTATAGATTCATGTGTGACTTAACAGCAGGGATACTTCTGAGAAATGCATACTTAGGTGATTTCATCATTGTATGAACCCCACACAGTGACACATAAACCTAGATGGTGCATCTGCTACACCCCGAGGCTCTATGCTACAGCCTATTATTGCGCCTAGGCTACAAACCTGTACAGCATGTGATTGTACTCAGTACTGCAGGCAGTTATAACACAGTGGTGAGTATGTGTGTATCTAAATATATCTAAACATAGAAAAGGTACAGTAAAAATATGGCATCAAAGATTTAAAAAATGGCACACCCCTATGGAGCACTCACCATGAATGCAGCTTGCAGGACTGGAAGTTGCTCTGGGTAAGTCACTGGGTGAGTGGTGAATGAATGTGAAGGCCTAGGACATTACTGTACACTACTGTAGGCTACACTAAATTTATTTTTAAAATTCCTTTGTTCAATAGTAAATTAACTTTAGTTATTGTAACTTTTTTACTTTATAAATTTTTAAACTTTTAATTTTTTTAACTTTTTTACTTTGTTGTAATAACACTTAGCTTAAAACACAAACACATTATATAGCTGTACAAAAATATTTTCTTTCTCTATATCCTTATTCTATAAATTTTTTTCTATTTTTTTTTTTTTTTTACTCTTTAAACTTTTTTTTGGTTAAAAACTAAGAAATGAACACACACATTAACTTAGGCCTACACATGGTCAGGATCATCAATATCACTGTCTTCCTCCTCCACATCTTGTCCCACTGGAAGGTCTTCAGGGGAAATAACACTCATGGAGCTGTCATCTCCTATGGTAACAATGCCTTCTTCTAGAATCCCTCCTGAAGGACCTGCCTGAGGCTGTTTTATAGTTAACTTTAAAATAGAAGAAGCACACTCTAAAATAACAATAAAATGTAAAGCATAGTAAATACATAAGCCAGTAACAGAGTCATTTATTATCAAGCATTATACATTGTACATAATTGCATGTGCTCTACTTTATATGTCTGGCATCTCAGTAGGTTCATTTACACTAGCACATACATGTGTATGTTTATATATGCACACATATTATACATATAAAGACACACACACAAATACACACACATATGTAAAACTTATTCAAGTTAGACAATAACACAGAAGAAATAAAAGTTCCTCTTGACCCTGTCACCATCCTAGACTTCTGCCTGGAGATGGTCAACTCTTTTAATCGGCTATATATCTCTTATGTTTTATCTATAAATTAACACAGACTATAAAAGTACATATTTCT
The DNA here is from genome assembly GCF_000001405.40 of Homo sapiens. NCBI lineage: Eukaryota > Metazoa > Chordata > Mammalia > Primates > Hominidae > Homo > Homo sapiens. Next base: position 44,586,095 of record NC_000010.11, read on the forward strand.
GTGCTCTGTTTTTCTTTTTTTAATTTTATATTCTGCAGATGTGTGATTCAGAGCCTATTCAATCATTTACCTGTGGGTAGACAGATAGCATGTTTCCAGCTGTTTTCTTCTGCAGTGTTGTAAGCAACGATCTTGCACGTGTCTCCGAGCGTCCTGTGCAGTTACTTTTCTGGAGAGTGAATTGGAGACTGGGTTTTCTAGGCAAGCAGGAGGTAGGAGTCTCTGCAGGTGAAGGGAGGATGGGGGAGAAGTAAGTGTTGCTGGGGAGGCACTGGACCAGTTCTGAGGAGCAGTGGATGGGCAACTGAAGCAAGCAAAAGGGCTGCTGAGACCAGTTCCTAGGCTTGTCCACAGCCGGGCAAGGCGTGTGGCAAGGGAGGGAGGGTGGTGGCTATAGGTCCTGACTAGGAGCAGCCCTTCGTCCTGAATCCAGCTCCTCTGAGGCCCAGGAGCTATCTCACTTCTTTCCCCAGGCAGGCAGACAAGGGCTGCTGTTCTCAAAGTGAGGCCTCTAGACCAGCAGCCTCAGTAGTGCTGGAGAACTTATTAGAATGCACATTCTCAGGTCCCACCCTCAAGTCAGGAGCTCTTGGAGTGGGCCCACCCATGTGCCCTTTGAAGAGCCCTCTAGGTGATGTTAATGCACACTAATGTCTGAGAACCCCTGCTTAAAAGCTCCATGGAGACTCAGCAGCACACACCTGTAGACACCGTGATTATTCCTTCCTCTGGGTGCCTTTTCCCAACCTTCTCCTTAGTTTCTAACATGTTTTGATGTTTACCTGACACTGCTCAGATACATGCTCTTGATCAGGGCACCGGTACCAGTCCGTGGCCTGTTAGGAACTGGGCTGCACAGCAGGAGGTGAGCTGTGGGCGAGGGAGCATTACAGCCTAAGCTCTGCCTCCTGACAGATCAGTGGCAGCATCAGATCCTCATAGGAGAGCGAACTCTGTTGTGACCTGTGCGTGCAAGGGATCTAGATCGTGCGCTCCTTATGAGAATCTAATGCCCAATAATCTGAGGTAGAACAGTTTTATCCCAAAACCCTAAGCCTGTGCCCCCTCCCATGCACCCCCATCCATGGAAAAATTGTTGTCCACAAAACCAGTCCCTGGTGCCAAAAAGGTTGAGGAGCACTACTCTCGGTTGCCACCCACACTATTATTTCCAGGAAGGAATAATTATGCCCAGCTGGGGATCCTGGAGATTAAGCAGCTGCCCAAGAGGCCACAGCTCATTGGCAAGTGCAGGGCTGTCTCTGTGTCCTGGCCGGCAGACCCTAAACATTATGGGGACCTGGGGACAGCTGGGTCCCCAGTCACAGACTAGTTCACACAGCCCGGTCCCCCGCTGACCCTCCCTGACCAGACCAGGCTGGGCTAAGAGGATAAAGACCCGAATCTCTTTCCCTATCCTACTGTGAACTTGCAAAGAAAAACTCTCCTCTGTTTTGTCCAGTTGACGCTTGGTCAGCTCTTGGAGTGACCAGGGATAGGACAGGGCCTGGAAAGCAGGGTCACTTCCAGGGAATAGGGATGAGGTAGGGACAGTGACCATCCCCATGTGTCCACCCAGCTGTGCCATCCCTGTGGGCTGCTCCCCTCTCAGGACTGGCACACTGGGCTGAGGCAGCTTGAGAGGTGTCCCTTGGCTCTTCAGACTCATGGTCAGCCCCCTGCTATGGCAAGGCTGGGGAGGGGCTGTTTTACACAGACCCTTCCTTACACTCAGTGCCCCACTCCACTTGCCCATGCATTCTAGAATCGGCTCTACAGTGAGGGCTTGTTGTGCTTCAACTCTGTGAGACGAGAGAGTCCTGGTACTGGGACCACTGCTGCCTCCCCGCCCTCCCTGGGCCCTCCTCAGGATAGGGTTCTGGGTGAGAAGCACATGTGCAGAACAGCCCCCAAGACAGCCTGCTGGAGCATCAGAACCTCTCACCCATAGAACCATCTCACAGGCTGCTGTCAGGGCCAGAGGGCGGACACTGCAGAGGCATCAGTGGGGGCTGCTCCACGGAAGCACTAGTGGCAGAGCTGCTGGACTTCCTGAGCAGCTTCGGTCTGCTCTGTGATCTCTGCAAATCCCTGGACAGACATTTTTCTGGCGCTGCTGCTGAGATTTGCTTAGCAGAGACGGCCCTGGCTGACAGCTGGAGATACGCAGGTAACAAATCACCTGCTGCAAGAACACTCAGAAAAATAAGAGTGAAGGAGGGGAAATAAAGTTCATCATCTTCTTACAAAATATGTGGAAATGTTTGAATGTGGAAAGTGATACCAGGAACTGGATCCAGGCTGGTAAGTGTCCTGGAGTCTACACATCATGGAGAACTTCCACAAGCCAAAGGATCCGGGTGGTGCTGGGTCGTTTCTCTGGCTCACTGACTGTGGGGAATGAAAGAGCACCCGGACCTGTCTGGAGGGAAGTCCAGCAGTACAAAGAGGCCTGGGAACTGCATTCTTCTCAAATCTCCATCCTGGTTGCTAAAATGAGGCCCACCAACTAGACTTCTCTTTCTCAAAGAAAAAGAGTTTTCAAAATCTCAAATATGGAAAGGAGAGCAAAAGGCAAGACATATTCCATAGTGAGGACAATCGATTCTAAAGTTCTTACTGACTCAACTTTGAAGCCATCCAGAATAGGCAGGTTGTAAGCGTCTATAACCAAATGCATTAGTTGAATTTAATTTAAACAGGAGAAAGAAGAAAAGAGTATTTTGCCCTTACGATGCAATTTAAAAATATTTATCTGGAATTTTTTGGCAATTGCTTCGGTGTACCCCAACTATCCTGCTGTGTCCTTCTGCTAATGGAAAATGAAGACAGGCAGCCTCTTCTCAATAACTCCTGAGTGGCTTCCCGAGCTACTCAGACATTTCAAATGTGCTAATGTTTTTCTAAAGAGATAAAACTGGGTGGTCTGGAGGGGAAGCTAAGCTGTAGTTTATATTACTCTCCGGAGGGCAAATGACAGCCCTGCCGCCCCTGCCCTTCTCTCCCCCTTGTTGGCAATTCTGCTATCGAGGCCTTTCGTTCCTTTTCAGATTTTTTCCAGACCATGTGGTGGTTCTCCTGGTGGAATTGGGTTATTTACTTGTAGGTAAGGTTAAACCTTAAACTCAATTACCCATAGAATTCCAATGGTTTAATTTGGGCAACTGTTGGAGTCAAGTGGACGTGTGAAAACAGTTCTGGAGACAGCCCATTTATAACTGATCAGACAGCACACCAGCAGATGCCAGCCAGCCTGGCGTGGTGCTGCGCGCTCCATCCACGGCCGCACCCCCAGCACTGCGCACTTGCCTCGGAGGTGGGCTGGGGTTGGTATTAAAGCTTAGGCATACTGGGGCTTGTCACCAGAAGGACTCGGGGATGCTCGTGTTTATTTTGGTTCCTGCCTTTCAATTAAAAATAATACATTGTCCCATTTTTTCAGTCACTTGTTTAATCGTGAGATTATGGGCTATCATAAAACCTTCATTGCTCTCGTATTTCTTCTTGGCAAGGCAAAGAAAAGTTAATTTGGGATTAGCTCCAGAAGCATTTTGATCGAGCCTTGCCACTATTTATCACTCCAAAGACACTGACAGCGCTGATGAATGTCTGGGTTTGTATATCATTTTGTAAACACACAGCGCCCCCAAGGTGGTGCCAATTAAACTCCCAATGAAGGATTAAGGAGGGCCCATCTGAAAGAGGCAACGGCCCTTTTTGACAATTTCCAGGAGGCTTGGCCTGAACACAGCAGCAGTATGTGTGGCTTGCAGGAGGAATCTGCCCCTTCATGGCCCCCGCTGATGTGTGATTGGGGCTTCTGTTCCCCAAAATGACATTGATCCCAGCTGCAGCTAAGAGTGTGGTGATGCGTGCAGGGCCCCGCACAGCCCAGAGAAGAGGGCCGGTGTTGAGGCAGTCCCAGGACAGCTGGGAATAGGGGTGGAGCTGTCTGCCAAAGGAGGTGGGAGGAAAAAGATGAGGTTAACACCAGCTAGATTGCAAGAAGAGCTCTCACCTCAGCTGAGCAGGCCCAGGCTCCAGGGAGATGCGAGTGATGTGCCTTGAGCAATCAGTGAGACTGACAGGTAGGGGTTCTGTTGGCTCTAGGCAGCTGGGTGACCTGTCACTCCACTCACAGGGAGGCAGCCGGAGGAGCTGTCTGTGCAGACTGTTTATTTTCAAACCTAGATTTATGCCTTGCTATTTGTTTGTAGTTCCTCCCTGTTAAAGTAACAATCTCAGACTTTGTCTCCCCATTCAGGCACCAAAGGACAAACAGCAATGGTGTGTTGAAATGCTGCCAGGAGACTGAGAATCTGGGGGTGGGGGCACCCTAGCCCCAGAAATTGGTGTGCAGGAACCAGCTCTTCATCCCACACAGAGTCATCAGTCAACACCTCTTAAAACCATGCCCCTCAAGATCATTTTCTCTCCAATTTTAGGACAGAATGAAAAGTTGACTGAAAGTCAAGGTTCAGCTGAAAGGTCTGATTCTCCCACACATATTTTACACAGAGTCCCATGTGGGAGAGAAACAACCCAGCAGGACTGGACGGGTTGTGACCATCGCTGCCTTCCACCTTCCCTTTCCGACTCGAGGACACCAAGTCAGAGGCTCAGCCGCCTGCCGAAGTCTCCCAGCTACTGAAAGATGGCACGGGAGGTGGAGCCCTGATGCCTCCAGGTCGCTACCCCCAACTCCTGCAGGACCCCCAACAAAGGCAGTGTTCTGTCCCCCAGGCACCCCACCCTACGCCATCAGCCATGGTCTCGTCTGCATCCATCTAGAAAATATTCATTTACACAAGTGGAGCAGGAATATATTTTTGTTACAAACTAATCAAATAATATAATAAAGCAAAAACAGAATTTTCATTTTGTCTTCTACAGCCTATCTCCTAAGTCTTTTAAAAAATGTTTAATATTCACACATATCCACAAATGAGAATATAAGACAACTCTCCTTTCTCACGTACTATTATGTCTTGGAGGTTTTTTCCAAGTTAAGATATAGAGATCACTCTTATTCTTTTCAAACTGTTGGACAAATTATCACAATAGAAATATATTTTGATTTATCCATTCCCCCAGTGATGGACATCCAGATTGCTTCTGTTATTTAAGTCAATATTTTATTGAGGTATAATTTTCATAGGGAAATATGCACAAATCATAAGAGTGCAGTTCAAAGAATTTACACAAAGAGAACACTCAAAGGCACATCAAGAAGCAGATTTTACAGAACTCCAGGGGCACCTCTCCTTCCAGCCACCCCTTGCTTCTCCTTGAGTGGCCACTGTGTTGATTTGCAACTCCCATAGTGCCAAATTCCATTGTAAGGTTCAAGAGAAATGGTGACAGACAGAGCCCTTGTCTTATCCCCAACCTCAGAAGCTTTCAGTAGCATACCAGAAGTATGATATATTCTCAATCACAGTAAGGAACTTCCTTTCCGTTTGAGCTTTCTTGCAGTGTTTGTCAGGACTCAGTGTTGAACTTTATTAAATATCCTTTCTGCATCTGTGGCCTTGTGGATTCAGGATGGGTGGGCAGAGAACCTGTCTATGCTGGGCACCGCCTCGTTTGCAAACTCTGAAAGGATAATGGAAACACACTCCGTCTTCCACAAATGTCTTCGTGATGTGTGAATCCTTAGTCTCTTCCTCTCCATCCACCCTAATGGAGTTCTGTAGATGAAAGTACAAGCAAAATGAGTGTGGGAACCACAGCAATCAATCTATCAGAAAATGAGGAGAAGTCTAAGCAAAGAATTATAATTCGGGTAGGTGGTGTGATGGTCACTTTAGAGACAGTGGTCAAGGGAAGACCTAAGGAAGTGAACTTGAAGCTAAGAACTGTAGAAAGGGAAGGAGCCAACTTGCAAATATCTAGTAGAATTTTCCAGAAAGAGCAGAAAATGAAAAGACCTTGATCACGTGGGATTTGGAAGTAACAGGAAAAAGTTATCATATTGATAAGAGTACAATGGAAGGAAGTATTCAGCAAGGGAGTGAGGTCATTTCTCCTCTAAAAAAAATCTTCACAGCAACATCCAGACTGATGTTTAATCCCATACTTGGGTACCACAACATAGCCAAGCTGACAAATTAACCACATGTAGTGTGGGATCATATACTAATTTTGTGAGTTACTCTACTTTAAAAATTAAAGCCCAGCTATATTGTAGAATTCTCAAGTAATTCTCAGACAATATTACTGGCCTGCACATAATGATTTAACATTATAAAATAAACAGCCTGGACCTAGTCAGTAGTGATTCAAGTTGCTCTAGATGCCTTTGAGAGCCACAGAGAGGGCAGTATTGCTGCACACCCACCTGCTTCCCTGAGACCAGCTTCAGACCTCTGGCCAGGGAGCCTGGAATGTTTAGGAAGGAGATGACCTCCTAGGGCTTTATACCCAAAGACCACACTAGAATCAGGGTCTTCATGTTGAGTGTGTGTGCAGAGGGGGCTGACCTGGGAGTGGAGGGATAAATGTCATATGCAGAATTGAATAGTGCCGAGAAATGGCCCAGAGATGACACAGCCATGCTTTAAATTTATTTGGGCTGTCCTGTGCAGGAGTGATTTGTTTTGTTTTATGGGTCCCAGAAGGCAGAAGGCATGAAGATCATGAAGGCGGGAGGTGACTCCAGCTAACATGTATGACCCTGGGGTCCCAGCAGCAGACCGTGCCTTCCATACTCCTGCAGGAACACCTAGGGGATGTGATGGTGGGGATGAGGCCAAGTAGCCCTTGAGATCCCTTCCCCATTATGCGATTCTAGGAGACAATGGTGTGGATAAAGAATAAGGACCAGACATGTGAAACCTTTCTAAGGGAAAATGATAGAGCCAGATCCCACAGATATTGGAGAGTTGGAAGGAAAAGATAGTCAATCTGGGCATGCTGAGTTTGGTAAAATGTCATCCAAGTCGTACGGGCCTCTGTAATGTGGCATTGGAGGGACTCGAGGGGCAGGTTGGAAGATGGGTTTCATGGTCACTTCATAGAGAAGGCTATGCTAGAGGCTGGGTCAGCTCCTCCAGGGGCTGTTAGAGGGTGACAAGGGAGAGCAGAGAGCTATGGGGTCCCATTGCCCCTGAGTCCCAATTTTAACATCACCTCACCTACATCCCAGTAAAGAGAACTATATCAGATCTTACCAGAAGATGTGCTAAAGGAGATGCTACCTTGGCACAGTTCAGGAGAGGGAGAAAGAGAGAGGAAGGGAGGGAGTGAGGAAGGACGAAAGAGAGGGAGGGAAAGAAGCAGGAAGGGAGGTCTCCTTATCTTTCCTTTGACTTACTCATATATATTTAGTTATCCAAAAATATAATGAACATTTTCATAGAAATTAAACTATCTATAAAAGTAAGTTCTTACTGCTTACTGCTCACTTCTATTTTCTTCTATTCTGACTTTCCTGGGGCTTGAACCTGGAGGCCGGGCAGGTGGTGCTGGGCAGTGACCTCAATGCAGCATCGCAGGTTTTGTTTGTGGGATAGAGACAGAGCCTTGGTGTCCCTGGGCTGGTTGGTTGTGTACCCTTCTGGGCCCTGGGAACTCTGAGAATAGTTACTTCTTTCCAGGACTGTTATTTATTGCATCTTTGGGGCAGGTTTATAAATGTGTTATTTGCTTGAACATTGTTATTTATTTTACAAAATTTCAGGCATATCCTGTGTGTCAGCACCATAAAACTATAAAAAATGTTTTAAATAAACGATGCTTGGCAGGAGGGGTCAAGATGGCTGAATAGAAACAGCTCCGTTCTGTAGCTCCCAGCAAGACCAATGCAGAAGGCAGGCGATTTCTGCATTTCCAACTGAGGTACTCAGTTCATCTCATTGGGACTGGTTAGGTGGTGGGTACAACCCACAGACAGTGAGCAGAAGCAGAGTGGGACGTTGCTTCACCCAAAAGTGCACGGAGCCGGAGGATCTCCCTCCCCTAGCCAAGGGAAGCGGTGAGGGACTGTGCCACCTGCCCAGGGTACTATGCTTTTCCCATGGATTTTTGCAATCCTTGGATCAGGAGTTTCCCTCATGAGCCTACACCACCAGGGACCCGGGTTTCAAGGACAAAACTGGGCAGCTGTTTGGGCAGGCACCAAGCTGCAGGAGGTTTTTCGTAATCCAGCAGCACCTGGAACTCCAATGAGACAGGATAATTCTCCACTCCCCTGGAAAGGGGGCTGAATCCAGGAAGTCAAGTGGTCTCACTCAGCGGGTCCCACTTCCACAGAGCCCAGCAAGCTAAGAACCACTGCCTTGAAATTCTCACTGCCAGCACAGCAGTCTGGAGCTGACCTGGGATGTCTGAGCTTGGTGGGGGGAGGGGTGACAACCATTACTGTGGCTTTAGTAGGCGATTTTCCCCTGACAGTGCTAAGGAGGCTGGGAGGTTTGGACTGGGCAGAATTCACCAAAGCATGGCAAAGTGGCTGTGGCCAGACTGCTTCTCTAGATTCCTCCTCACTGGGAAGGGCATCTCTTCAGGAAATCCAGCAGCTACTCAGGGGCTTACAGATAAAACTCTCATCTCCCTGGGACAGAGAACCTGAGGTGAGGGGCAGCATGGTCTCAGGTTCTGCAGACTTAATCTTTCCTGCCTGCTGGCTCTGGAGAGTCTAGGTAATCTGGATGAGAGAGATTCCTTCAGCACAGCATGCCAGCTCCTCTAAGGAACAGTCAGACTGCTTCCTTGGGTGGGTCCCTGACCCCGTGCCTCCTGATTGGGTGAGACCTCCCAACAGGGGTCTCCAGACACCTCATATAGGAGAGTTCCAGCTGGCATCATGTCAGTGCCCTGCTGAGATGAAGCTTCCAGAGGAAGGGGCAAGGAGCAATCTTTGCTGTTCTGCAGCCTCCACTGGTGATACCCAGGCAAACGGGGTCTACTGTGGACCTCTAGCAAACTGTAGCTGACCTGTAGAAGAGGGGCCTGACTGTTAGAAGACAAAATAACAAACAGAAAGCAACAACATCAACATCAACAAAAAAGACCCCCACACAAAAGCCCCATCCAAAGGTCATCAGCCTCAAAGATCAAAGGTAGATAAATCCATGAAGATGAGGAAAAACCAACGCAAAAATGCTGAAAATTCCAAAAGCCGGAATGCCTCTTCTCCTCCAAATGATTGCAACTCCTCTCCAGCAAGGACACAAAACTGGATGGAGAACAAGATTGACAAATTGACAGAAGTAGGCTTCAGAAGGTGGGTAATAAAAGACTCCTCCTAGCTAAAGGAGCATGTTCTAACCCAATGCAAGGAAGCTAAGAACCTCGATAAAGGGTTACAGAAAGTGCTAACTAGAATAACCAGTTTAGAGAGGAACATAAATGACCTGATGGGGCTGAAAAACACGGCATAAGAACTTCCTGAAGCATACACAAGTATCAATAGCTGAATTGATCAAGTGGAAGAAAGGATATAAGAGATTGAAGACCACCTTGCTGACATAAGACACGCAGACAAGATTAGAGAAAAAAATAAAAAGGAATGAACAAGCTACCAGGAAATATGGGTCTATGTGAAAAGAACAAACCTATAATTGACTGGTGTACCTGAAAGTGATGGGGAGAGTGGAACCAAGTTGGAAAACACACTTCAGGATATTATCGAGGAGAACTTCCCCAACCTAGCAACACAAGCTGACATTCAAATTCAAATTCAACATTCAAATTCGGAACACCGCTAAGATACTCCACAAGAAGATCAACCCCAAAACACATAATCATCAGATTCCCCAAGGTTGAAATGAAAGAAAAAATGTTAAGGACAGCCAGAGAAAAAGGTAAGGTCACCTACAAAGAGAAGCCCATCAGACTATCTCTGCAGATCTCTCTGCAGAAACCCTACGAGTGGATCTCTCTGCAGAAACCCTATGAGCCAGAAGAGAGCGGAGGGCCAATATTCAACATTCTTAAAGAAAAGAATTTTCAACCCAGAATTTCATATCCAGCCAAACTAAGCTTCATAAGCAAAGAAGGAATAAAATACTTTACAGATAAGCAAATGCTAAGGGATTTTGTCACCACCAGGCCTGCCTTACAAGAGATCCTGAAGGAAGCACTAAATATGGAAAGAAAAAACATACTGGACATTGCAAAAACACATCAAAATATAAAGATCAGTGACACTATGAAGAAACTGCATCAACTCGTGTGCAAAATAACCAGTAGCATCATAATGATAGGATCAAATTCACACATAACAATATTAACCTTAAAAGTAAATGGGCTAAATGCCCCAATTAAAAGACACAGACTGGTAAATTGGATAAAGAGTCAAGACCCATCAGTGTGCTGTATTCAGGAGATCCATCTCATGTGCAAAGACACACATAAGCTCAAAATAAAGGGATGAAAGAATATTTACCAAGCGAATGGAAAGCAAAAAAAAAAGCAGGGCTTGCAATTCTACTCTCTAACAAAACAGACTTTAAACCAACAAAGATCGAAAAAAGACAAAGAAGGGCATTACATAATGGTAAAGAGATCAATGCAACAAGAAGAGCTAACTATGCTAAATATATATGCACCCAATGCAGGAGCACCAAGATTCATAAAACAAGTTCTTAGAGACCTACAAAGAGGCAGACTCCCACACAATAATAATGGGAGATTTTAACACCCCACTGTCAATATTAGACAGATCAATGAGACAGAAAATTAATAAGGATATTCAATACTTGAACTCAGCTCTGGATCAAGTGGACCTAATAGATATCTGCAGAACTGTCCACCTCAGATAAATAGAGTATACATTCTTCTCAGTGCCACATGGCACTTATTCTAAAACTGGCCACATAGTTGGAAGTAAAACACTCCTCAGCAAACACAAAAGAACTGAAATAATAATAAACAGTCTCTCCAATGACACTGCAATTAAATTAGAACTCAGGATAAAGAAACTCACTCAAAACTGCACAACTACAGGGAAATTAAACAAACTGCTCCTGAATGACTCCTGGGTAAATGACAAAATCAAGGCAGAAATCAAGAAGTTCTTTGAAACCAATGAGAACAAAGAGACAATGTACCAGCATCTTGGGGACACAGCTAAAGCAGTGTGAAGGGGGAAATTTATAGCACTAAATGCCCACATCAGAAAGCTGGAAAAATCTCAAATCGACACCCTAACATCACAATGAAAAGAACTAGAGGAGGAAGAGCAAACAAATTCAAAAGCTAGCAGAAGACAAGAAATAACTAAGGTCAGAGCAGGACTGAAAGAGATAGAGACATGAAAATCCCTTCAAAATATTAATGAAATCAGGAGCTCGTTTTTTGAAAAAATTAACAAAATACATAGACTACTAGCTAGAATAATAAAGAAGAAAAAAGAGAAGAATCAAATAGACACAATAAAAAATGATAAAAGGGATATCACCACTGATCCCACAGAAATACAAACTACCATCAGAGAATACTATAAACACCTCTACACAAATAAAATAGAAAATCTAGAAGAAATGGATAAATTCCTGGACACATACACCCTCCCGAGACTAAACCAGGAAGAAATCGAATCCCTGAATAGACCAATAGCAAGTTCTAAAATTCAGGCAATAATTAATAGCCTACCAACCAATAAAAACCCAGGAGCAGATGGATTCACAGCCAAATTCTACCAGAGGTACAAAGAGGAGCTGGTATCATTCCTTATGAAACTATTTTAAACAACTGAAAAGGGTGGACTCCTCCCTAACTTATTTTATGAAGCCAGCATCATCCTGATACCAAAACCTGGCAGAGAAACCACTGAAAGGAAAACTTTAGGTCAATATCCCTGCTGAACTTCAATATGAAAATCCTCAATAAAATACTGGCAAACCAAATCCAGCAGTATATCAAATAGCTTATCCACCACAATCAAGTCAGCTTCATCCCTGGGATTCAAAGCTGGTTCAAAATACACAAATTAATAAATTTAACCTATCATATAAAGAGAACCAATGACAAAAACCACATGATTATCTCAATAGATGCAGAAAAGGCCTTCAGTAGAATTCAAAATCCCTTCATGCGAAAAACTCTTAATAAACTAGGTATTGATGGAACATATCTCAAAATAATAAGAGCTATGTATGACAAACCTATAGCCAGTATCACACTGAATGGGCAAATGCTGGAAGCATTCCCTTTGAAAACCGGCACAAGACAAGGATGCCCTCTCTCACCACTTCTATTTAACATAGTATTGGAAGTCTTGGCCAGGGCAATCAGGCAAAAGAAAGAAATAAAGCATATTCAAATATGAAGAGAGAAAGTAAAAATGTCTCTGTTTGCAGATGACAAGATTCTATATTTAGAAAACCCCATTTTCTCAGCCCTAAAATTCCTTAAGCTGATAAGCAACTTCAGCAAAGTCTCAGGATACAAAATTAATGTGCAAAAATCACAAGCATTCCCACAGACAAGCAGAGAGCCAAATCATGAATGAACTCCTATTCACAATTGCTACAAAGACAATAAAATACCTAGGAATACAGCTTACAAGGGATATGAAGGACCTCTTCAAGGAGCACTATAAACCACTGTTCAAGGAAATAAGAGAGGACACAAACAAATGGAAAAACATTTCATGCTCATGGATAGGAAGAATCAATATCGTGAAAACGGTCATACTGCCCAAAGTAATTTATAGATTCAGTGCTATTCCCACCAAACTACCATTGACATTTTCACAAAATTAGAAGAAACTACTTTAAATTTCATATGGAACCAAAAAAGAGCCCGTATAGCCAAGACAATCCTAAGCAAAAAGAACAAAGCTGGAGGCATCACACTACCTGACTTCAAACAATTCTACAAGGCTGTAGTAACCAAAACAGCATGGTACTGGTACCAAAACAGATATATAGACCAATGGAATGGAAGGGAGACCTCAGATATAACACCACACATCTACAACAATCTTATCTTTGACAAACCTGACAAAAGCAAGCAATGGGGAAAGATTCCCTATTTAATAAATGGTGCTGGGAAAGCTTCCTAGCCATATGCAGAAAACTGAAACTGGACCCCTTCCTTATACCTTACATAGAAATTAATTCAAGATGGATTAAAGACTTAAATGTAAAACCCAAAACTATAAAAGTCCTAGAAGAAAACCTAGGCTATACCATTCAGGACATAGGCATGGGCATATACTTCATGAGTAAAACACCAAAGGCAATTGCAACAGAAGCCAAAATTGACAAATGGGATCTAATTAAACTAAAGAGCTTCTGCACAGCAAAAGAAACTACCATCAGAGTGAACAGGCAACCTACGGAGTGGGAGAAAATGTTTGCAATCTACCCATCTGACAAAGGTCTAATATCCAGAATCTGCAAGGAACTTAAACAAATGTACAAGAAAAAAACAACCCCATCAAAAAGTGGGCAAAATATATGAAGAGATACTTCTCAAAAGAAGACATTTATGTGACTAAAAAACATATGAAAAAAGCTCATCATCACTGATCATTAGAGAAATGCAAATCAAAACCACAATGAGATACCATTTCACGCTAGTCAGAGTGACGATTATTAAAAAGTTAGGAAAAAATAGATGCTGGTGAGGCTTTGGAGAAATTGGAACACTTACGATGTTGGTAGGAATATAAATTAGTTCAAACATTGTGGAAGACGGCGTGGTGATTCCTCAAGGATCTAGAACCAGAAATATCATTTGATCCAGCAATCCCATTACTGGGTATATACCCAAAGGAATATAAATCAGTCTACTGTAAAGACACAGGTGCACCTATGTTTACTACAGCACTATTTACAATAGCAATGACATGGAATCAACCCAAATGCTCATCAATAATAGACTGGATAAAGAAAATCTGGTACATATATATCATGCAATACTATGCAGTCGTAAAAAGAATGAGAACATGTCCTTTTCCAGGACACGAATGAAGCTGGAAGCCATCATCCTCAGCAAACTAACACAGGAGCAGATAACCAAATACTGCATGTTCTCACTCATAAATGGGAATTGAACAATGAGAACACATGGACACAGGTAGGGGAACAACACACACGGGGGCCTGTCAAGGGGTGTGGGGCGAGGGGAGGGAGAGCATTGGGACAATATCTAATGCATTCGGGGCTTAAAATCTAGATGACGGGTTGATAGATGCAGCAAACCACCATGGCACATGTATACCTATGTAACACACCTGCACATTCTGCACATGTATCTCTGAACTTAAAGTAAAATTTAAAAAAATGCTTATGGTTCCTTCCTAGGACTCTGATTCATAGAAAGATACATATTGAAGGAGAATTCATAAACTTCTAAGATCCTTCTAATATTTACATTTTTGTAGAGGTCGAAAATGAGGCCAACAGACTGGAAATGTTCACCATTGCATGAATGTAGCATGGCCAGGTCACTACTCAGTTCTGTGTTTTCTGGCATTAGAAATGCCGCTTATTATTCATATAATGATCATGGCATATTATTCTCACAGTATAGTAAGGGCCCCGATCCACAGGGGTGTGAAACGTCAAAGGCAAGGGCCTAGAGCTCACGGTGAGTGCCGAAGGATGGCGCACAGCCTGGGACAGTGTAGCTTTTACTCCATGCCAGCCTGTCCTTGCTTATTCCTTTCACACTCAATCAAAGGTGGCCTCCCACTAACAGACGTCTTTCCTGTTAGGAGTCGGGTGATATTGTGATGAGATTAGATGGTGTTTTAACTGAACAGAAATGCTCAAACTCTGTCCCATAGCACAGCTACGCCTGTCTGGAAAATTCTAGAGGGCAATACACACTGAAGGATGTACCTTCAGGAAGTATGTTGGCTCACAGGCTCTTGTGCAGGATTGCCTGGACAAGGGAGACCGAGCGTCCTCCTCCTCCATGGAGCCCAAAGACCCTGGAGAACCACGAGAAATGGAAGAAAGCCCTGAGAAAGCCATAAGAAGGCAGAAGGTACCTGAGACACTGGATAATGACATGTGGGCTGGCAAAGAGTTAGGGCACCTGCAGGGAGAGGAGGGAAAAAGGGTGGGGCAGAGGGAAGGATGAAGCAAGGGAGGTAAGGGCAATACCAGGCACTGCAGAGACTGCCAAAAGCACGTGGTACATACGGCGTGAGGCCTAAGCTGGCACAAATCAGAGATGACACATTGATATTAGGTTTTTTATTTTTTTGTGACGGAGTCTCCACCCAGGCCGGAGGTGCAATGGCGCGATCTCGGTTCACTGCAAGCTCCGCCTCCCGGGTTCATGCCATTCTCCTGCCTCAGCCTCCCGAGTAGCTGGGACTACAGGCGCCCACCACCACGCCTGGCTAATTTTTTGTATTTTTTAGTAGAGACGGGGTTTCACCATGTTAGCCAGGATGGTCTACGATCTCCTGCCCTCGTGATCCGCCCGCCTCAGCCTCCCAAAGTGCTGGGATTACAGGCGTGAGCCACCGCGCCCGGCCTGATATTAGGTTCTTTAAAAGGACCGTGAGGAAGAGGCAAAATTGGAGAATCTCAGGAAGAAGCAATTGAGCACTAATTGAAGACAGGTTCACCTGTCTGCACAAATTTGGGTCAGAAGTTCATCTCCCAAACCTCTTTTAAAACATTGACATGACTTGCTTGTGAAAAGCAAAGAGGAACATCTTGATGTGACTTGACCTCTTCCTTCCAGAGGTGGCCCTGGGAAAGCACATTTATTAGCCGCCTCCTCTTTAACTTGTCCGAGTTGGCCGACATCTGTCCTGTATGCCTTGCTTACTGGAAGTTCTCACCTGCTTAGAGGGCTCTTACACACAAACACACACACGCACGCACACAGGCCTCTCTGGACAGGGAAGTGAGGGAATTGGTGCCAGATGTGCACACGCACCACAGGACGGATGTGTTGGGATACTAGCTTGTCTCTGCACACCTCGTAACCAGCGGCTCTTTCCTTCCGGGCTGGCCATCTGTGACTCTGTGACAGTGGACTGGTTCTGCCTCGTCAGGCTTACCTTCATTGGACCAAGTCATACACTCAGTTACCTGGCTGGGTTTTCTCCTCTGTGCGTTAAACAGGGATGCCCTCAGACTGTATCCTAGAAGGAAGGGATGGACATTAGAAATGTGGGCAGATGGGAAGTGACTTCCTCCTTTTATTCTCAGAAATTGGCAACAAATTTGTTTTGGCCTTCTCATTCCTATGTATTTGGATTTGGAAATTTAAAGCTCTCTTTGGAAAAAAAATTGACAGGGAGCAGGTGGAAGTGGAGTTGCATAACTGGATGGAGGCAGCCCCTATTAAGTAGACTATCTTTATCATTACTTTGCTATCTTTATCATTATTATATGGACAATCATTTATTCTTATTTTTTAAGATTAATAAATGTGGTGTCATTTTCCTTCTAAAAATATTTTTGTTGTAGTGAAAAATTGACTACAACCTAAGTTTCTAGCAATGGAAATTTAGGAATCCATGTAAGCACTTTGGTCGCATTCATGCATTTGCTTGTTTTTGTTCCTTCTCCTTAAGTGAGGTCTAACATACATACATTTCAATGAGTAAAGGGAAATGATCCTAAAAGTACAGCTCAATAAATTCATATATATATAAGTATATATATATCCACATATATATCCACATATATATGTGGATATATATATCCACATATATATCCACATATATATGTGAATATATATATCCACATATATATCCACATATATATCCACATATATATGTGAATATATATATATATATCCACTTCCCAGACCTCTTAGAACATTTATCCTCTAACTTTTCATTGTGCATTTTCATTGTGCATTCCCCAGACCATATACTCCTTCCTTCAGAGATAACACCTATTCTAATTTCAATCACCATTGATTAGTTTTAACTCTTGTTAACCATCATATAAATAAAATTATAGAAGATGTACATTGCTTTGCCTAGTTCCATTTTCTCAATATGGTGCCTGTGAGATTTATTCACGTATTGCATGTAGCAGTGATATGTTCTGAGTCATTTCCAGATTTAGACTACTTTATGTATTTAAAGCTGCTGCAAACATTCTTATGCAAGTCCTCTGATTGATATATGCAATAATTTTCCTTGGGCCGTTTAATTTTAACCTATCTGTCTCTCATATTTAAAAAATGCCTCTTTTAAAGGGCGTATACTTGTTTTTTTTTTTTTTAAATCCAGTCTGAAAATTTCTGCCTTTTAATTGAAGTGCATAGATCATTTACATTTAACATCATCACTGATATAATTGGGTGTAGGGCTTTCGTTTTGGCATTTGCTTTCTAATTATTGTATCCATACTTTTTTATTTGACTCTACTTTCCAGACTTCTATTGGATGAATCAAGTTTTTTCATATTTTATTTCATCTCCTTTACCAGATTTCTAGTTTTATATTTGTTGCTTTGCTCTTTTAGTGATTATTATGAATATTTTAATACACATCCTTGAAATATTGTAATCTACCTTAAATTGGTAATTTTATTGTGTTGAAAATAACGCACAACTTTATAACTGTTATATATATATATTTCCTCCACTCTTTGTGCTATTGTTGTCATGTATTTTACTTCACAAATGTGATGGACCCCACAGGACACTGTTATTGTCATTATTTTAGTCAGTATTCTTTTGTGTTTTCCCCCATTTTACTATTTCTGGCAACCTTTATCCTTTTTAGCACTTCCATCTGAGACCATTTTCCTCCAGACTGAAATATTTTCTTTAATATTTCACTTATTACAGATTTCATGGTAACAAATTCTGCCAGGTTTTGTTCACATGGAAATATCTTTATTTACCTTTCATTTGTGGAGCTTGTTTTCACTGAGTATACCTGTCTTACTTAGTAGTCACCTCCCCCCATACACACCCCGCATTCTTTTAAAGATGGTTTTCCCCTGTCTTGTGGCAAATGCATTCACTTGAAAATATTAGGATTTGCCAATCTTAATATTGGCCCTTTGCAAGTAATAAATGTAACCTTTCTCCTGGCTGCTTAAAATTTTTTGTTTCACCCTGTATCTGTGGTTATCCAAAGCTTGACTATTTTTTCGCCCTGTATCTGGGAAAGCTTGATTTACCTAGTTGTTGGCTTTCTTTTTTCCTTTTCCTTTTTGAAACTGCTTACGCTTTGTCTTAAATGTCTTAAATCTGTAGTCTGATATCTTATACCAGATTTTGAAAATTTTAGTTCGTGTCTTGTTTTTGCCTGTTCTCTCTCCACACCTTCTGAACTTAAATTAAATACATATTAGACCACCTGAAAGCTTTCCTAATGTCTCTTATATTCTGTTCTCTATTTTCAATCTTTTTTCTTCTTTCTATTTCAGTGTGGATGTTTTCTATTTACGTGTTTTTTACTTCATTATTTCTGTCTTCTGCTCTGCCCAGCCTGCTCTGACATGGACTCAATGAATTCTTAAGTTTAGATATTATGTCTTGAATTTTTATAATGACAATTTGATTATCTTATATATTAAAATGTTCTTTTAGACTTCCCATCTTTCATCCATTTTGTTCAATTTTATTTTCTTTTTATATTTATAATAGCTATTTCATTGTTCTTGATTTTTATTATGATTATCAGTCATATTTTTCTCCTATTCATCTGTCTCCTTTTAAAAAAATTTATGCCAGAAGTTGTATATAAAATAATGTTAGAGAATAAAATTGATCATTTTCCTCAGAATGTTCATTTTTTCCTCAGTTAGACAGACAATATGAACAAATGATCACTTCACTCTAATCATAAATTGTGCTGTGTCAGGGCAAGACTGCAGTTTTAGTGAGAATAGGTCAACCTCTATTTTCTTTTTAGTTAATCTAATTGAGATATATTTTACATATCATATAATTCATCAATTTCAAGTGTACATTTTAATAATACAGGGATTTATTGATACACTTTTAATTTTTGTCTATTGATCTATATTCCTAGCCTTATGCCAGTATCACACTGTCTTGATAACTGTACCAGTAAGTTTGCAAATCAAGAAGTGATTACTATCACTTCAACTTCATTATCTTTCAAAATTATTTCGGGTATTCTAGGTTTTCACATTGTTATATACATTTCAAGATCTAATTGTAAGTTTCTGCCAAAGCCTGCTGGAATTTTGATATGAATTTCCTGTAGATCAATTTGTGAAGAATTGCCATCTTAACAATATTGACTCTTCCTATCTATAAACATGGGATATTTTTCTATTTATTTGGTTCTTCTATAATTTTCCTTAAAAATAAGTTGCAATTTTTAAATGTAAAAATATAATATAATATTCTTTTGGTAAGCAGATTTTTAAGTATTTTATTCTTTTTTATTTTATTGTGAAACAAATTATATTCTTTTGTTTTTGAATTTTGACTGCACTTATTTAGTGAACCTAGAGATGAGCCAAGAAATAATGCAAGTCAACATTACAAATTGTATTCTTAATTTTATATTTACTTATGTATTGGAGGAATACAGCTAATTTTTGTAAATTGATATTGTATCTTTCAACCATGCTTTCCTTGTAAAAGTACAGTTCTACATGTTTCTGTATGTGTATGTGTGTGTTTGTGAATTTCTTAGGATTTTTCTACATACATACATCATCTTGTATGTAGAAGAACATTATTAGTTCTTCCTTTCCAATACGAATGCCTTCTGTTTCTTTTCCCTGCGTAATTCCCCTGTATAGAAACTCCAGTACATTGTTGAATAGAAGAGGTGAGAGTTGCCAACCTGTCTTTGTTCCTAGTATCAGAGTGAAAGCTTTCAGTCTTTCACCATTAAGTATAATGTCCTCTTTAGGTTTTGCACAGATGCCCTTTATCAGGTTGAGAAAGTTTTCTTCTTTTCCAAGTTTGTTGAGGGTTTTGGTCATAAATCAGTGTTGCATAATGTCAAATGTGTTTTCTGCGACTATTGAGATAATCAGGTGTGGTTTTTCCTTCCATTCTATTAATACAGTTTATAACATTACTTAATGTTTGGATGTTCGATCAGTCTTGCCATTTGGGATACATCCTTCATGGCCATGGTGTATAATGGTCTTTTGTATGTCCTCAATTTGGCTTGCTAATATTTTTCAAGAAGTTTTGTGCTGTGTTCATGAGGGAATTGGTATGCAACATTCTTTTCTTGTGATATCTTTGTCCAGCTTTTGTAAAAGGATAATAATAGTCTCATAAAATAAGTTGGGAAGTGTTCCTGCCTCCTCTATTTTGTAGAGGAATTTGTGTGTTGAGTAAAACATTATTTCTTATTTAAATACGTGTTTGATTTGCCATTGAAGCCCTCTGGATACTCACCTATCCCTCTCCCAGGACCGTTGTTATTGCTTATCTGTTTAGTGACTTGGTTGTTTCAGTAAAGTCTATGTTCCTCACAGTGTGAAACCTATGATGTTTCTTAGAGAGTGAAGTCTGGGGATACACACAGACCCTGTGGGATAATAGATTTTAGTAGGGCTCCTGTTGGCTCCTGTGTGCTAAGTTGTCTGCCTCTGTTAGTATCACACTCAGCAGTTAGCCTTCACTAATTGCAGGTTAATTTCTCTATTGTTCTCAACAATGTCTGGGGTATAAATCGCTTCATAGTCTGATTTAATTATTTTGGGCCCCTTTACAGGGGTAGTTTTTGAGGTTTCTTTTGACTCCTGGGGGCCTTCTCTTGTCTGCCTGTTTCCCAGTTTGATGAACTAGTTGGTGTATGGTTTAGCTTGTTGCTGTATGGAGCCATCACCCTCTACTCAATTGCCTTAGCTTCTCCACACTCAGCTCCAAAATAATTTCATTTCCTTTGAAGAAAGCTTCAGAGATCTCTGTTCTTATGGTCTACCATCCCCTGGAAAACCATTTTTGAATCAATGCCCTGGAGCTGGGAACAAGCACAATGTCACCCTTCTCTCTGAATGACACCCTGCTTCAGAGGCAGGGCGCTGGGTACTGGTTTCTGGTCTTCTCAGTTTTGCCTCTCCCAGTGTGAAAGTGTTGCCTTTGAGCCTGCTGGATGAGTGTAGTATGGGACTCCAGTGTTCATCTCCTCTGCCTGGGATAGGGCCTCTATCTTGTGAGTGCAGTCTTGGTGGAGGAAGGGAGCTATCACCCTCTCAGTCACACACACATGGAATTTATTCTCTACAACACAAATGGGGGTGGGGTAATAAAAAATGCTGGCAACTTGCTCTTTCCAGGGAGATACAGTAGCCTACTGTAGCCTTTGATTGGAAGCTGGGGTAAAGGGAGCCCCATCTTCTTGGCCACAGCTTCCCATAGAGGACTGAGCTAAGGGGAAGGAGCGAGTGTTGGCTCAAATGTCACAGACTCTCACTGTTCTAGCTGAGATTTAGTAAATCTGCTTCAATAAGTGTTTCTTCATTTGCTGTATGCTCTAAGAACAATTTCAAAAGACTTTAGATGGTTGCTTTTTAAAAAGCTCTCAACAGTTGTAACTATTTCACTGGAAGGCATATTTACAGAGCTTCTCACACCACCATTCTGGAAGAGAGATAATACCTCGGAAAATGTCTAACTAGAACAGCAGAGCTTTGAATACATTCTTGGTATAAATAATACATACATTTCTAGAGAGTATTAAAAAATTGAAGAGTAAACTTTTCTGAAGTATCTTCCTGTATGTCCTCTCCTTTAATCATCACTGCCCTGAGATAGGTATGGCTAATAGCATTTTTCACCTTTTTGCAAATAAGACAATGACAGAAATAGGCATGAAGAAATAACTCAATGTAGAGGTAGATTATAACTCAGTCCTTTGAGATCTCACCTTCCCAGTCGTTCCTCAGTGAATACCATACACCCACATCACAAAACAGCACCCTACATTCTAAGTCAGGCTAACGGAGCCAGGACATGGATTCTTGGACACACATTACAGACGCGTATCCTCTATGTCTATTCTGAGTCCTAAGCATGTAATAAGACTGTATAGAGAAATAATTACTGAGGTTACAGTTCTCATTACTGGGTTCAAAGGAGGCAATAGAGAAAAGGGATAGGAAATTATCCTGGATTATGGGTTCAAAAGGTCAGAAAAGAAACAATGCATTTGACATTTTAAAAAATGATATAATTCTTGGAATAATGAAATGTTTCTATTATTATTCCTCTAGGAAAACTTGAAACTTTTATGATAAGAATCCCCAAGAGTAGATGGGAAAGGTGCAATCTCACCATGGTGGGTTCATTTTCATTGTGTAATTTTATTTACCTGCTCAGAAATCCTCCCTCAACACTTCCACAGAAGCTCAATTAAGATGATCTGGAAGTGAACTTAGTTTCCTGATGCCAAAGCTCAATGAGTTGACAGCATGCATAGTTAGAGATGGCTCCCGCAGTGCAGGTGCCATCAAGGGAGAAAAGTTCAGGAATTTCTTCTCCCTTTTGCCAAAGATGAGACTTTATGTGGGGCTTACATGAAATTGGATACAGAATATGTGCTATATTGGAATAAGGAATTTCTACACTGTTGTCAGAAATAATGGCAAAAGCAAGAGCAGAGAGCTCCTGCAGCTATAGTTTGATCATTGAGCTTTGAGGACATGGATGACCATATTCCAGGCCCATCACCAGGGAGACTGACCTAGAGTTTTTGTGAAGATGTACAGGCTAGAGCTGGCTCAAGAGCAGGACCAAGCATGTGTGGAAGGGTCTGGATATTGTTAGAGAGCACACAGTCACAGCCTGCCCATTCTAGAGCTCTTCCTTGGCCTTCTAAGGAAGACTTCATGGCTGCTCACTTAACCCTTAGGAACTAAAGCTAGGCAGAATGGAGGGGGAGGGTGGTAAAAGTTATACTGGAGGAGATTCTTCAACAGGGATAAAAAATAATATAAACTGGGAGGCAGGGAGTTGGGATTGATTCAAGAATCATTTAGGCTGGATTTAAGAGAGTCAATTTTTAGAGGGCTTGAATTTGAGGATACAGTTGCCTTCTAAGGGGATGATTTTGAGACTAGCGAAAATGAGAAGATTCTAAGTAGATTTTATTATGATTCTTTGTAAAAAACAGTAGGATTGCTCCAATTATTTTTAAAAAATATTTTGGATTGTTGTTCTTTGACTTGACATTGAACCTTATCTTGGCAATAGGGACTCAAAATTATAGCTGGGTTATCTGTGGTTTTGGTATATGTGGCTACGTATTATTCTTCTTTGAGAAAAATTAGCCCAATAAAATCCTTGTCAATGGTGCCACATAATATTGAGAAAAAATATAATAAACACTAAGTAATTAACCAAGGAATTTTTAAAATGCGAATGATTTGTGATGAAATGACATATCTGAAAACTGACTTGCACTTGAGAAGGCACTGTCAAATTTATTGTCATGTTATGTCTTCCTAGAAAGTTGGTGAGAATGCAGCAGATAATATGGTAAGAGTGCTGAGAACAAGGCAGGCACTGTATTAGAGCTTCAAAAATCATGTTGGTTTCTCAAATTCTATGTCTAAGCAAAAAATAAAATCTTGACATGGCAGTTAATTATCATGTGGTGGGATGTAATATCAGACAGTATTAAATTTTAGTGAAAATCTCAAGTACAGCAGAATTAAACAGAATACTACAAACTAATTCCCTTAATTTAAAAGTGAGGTTTTCACCATGTGCACAGACCCTCATACAAATAAAGTATATGATTCCAAACTACCTTCTCAAGAGATGACATCAGCAAAATGGCAGAGTAGGCATTGCTGAGCCTTCATGTCCCCATGGGAACATTAAAAACAAGCAGAAGCGGGTTGGGCACATTGGCTCATGCCGGTAATCCCAGCACTCTGGGAGGCCAAGGCGGGCGGATACCTGAGGTCGGGAATTCAAGACCAGCCTAACCAACATGGAGAAACCCCGTCTCTATTAAAAATACAAAATTAGCTGGGCATGGTGGCACATACCTGTAATCCCAGCTACTTGGGAGGCTGAGGCAGGAGAATCCCTTGAACCCAGGAGGCAGAGGTTGTGGTGAGCTGAGATTGCGCCATTGAACTCCAGCCTGAGCAAAAAGAGTGAAACTCTGTCTCGAAAACAAAAACAAAAACAAAAAAACAAGCAGAAGCTTCCATAACCAACTTTTTTGTTTTTTTTTTCTTTTCTCTTTTTAATTGGGCAATAATTGTACATATTCATGGGGTACATAGTGATATATTGATACATATAATGTGTAGTGATCAATCAGGGCAATTAGCATATCCATCAACTGAAACATTTATCATTTATTTGTGTTGGGAACATTCACTATCCTCCTAGCTATTTAAAACTATATATTATTGATAACTAGAGTCATCCTACAGTGCTATAGCACACCGGAACTTATTCCTTCTGTGTAGCTGTAATTTTGTATTCTTTAACAACCTCTGCTTCTGCCTCCTTTTTCACCACCCTTCCCAGCCTCTGGCATCCTCTGCTCTACTTTTTACTTCTATGAGATCAACTTTTTAAAGCATCCACATATGAGTGAGTACATGTGCTGTTTAACTTTCTGTTCCTGGCTTATTTCACATAACATAATGTCCTCCGGTCTTATCCATGTTTACATGAATGACAGGATTTCATTCTTTGTTTTGGCTGAATAGTATTCTATGATGTATGTATACCATATATTCTTTATCCATACATCTGTCGTTGGACAACTAGGTTGATTTCGTATCTTCGCTGTTACTTGTTGGAACTCTGGAAAAAAATCAAAGGCTTACAGCAACCAATAGAATGCTGATCTAAGGAAAAAAAGCAACTTAAAAATGTTAGGAAAGCTGTGTGATAGGAAACTCCATCTCCTTCCCAGTATGGCAGTGGTGATGAAGTGGCAGCAGCATGTATTTCCAGTGTGAGATCCTGGTCTCTGATTCCAAAGAAAGAACATATCTTATTAACAAATTATTGTGTATGTCTGTTCTACCATGACTGGAGATACCTAAAATACCAGTGCAAGGTGCTTGTCTCTGTTTTGCCTAACTCAGAACTCAGGCCAGAAAAGTGGTGGGCATCGCTCAAAAACAGTGCAAGCTAAATTAATACTCATCATGTGCTTGGGGCAAAAAAATTATGGTTGAAACATAAAATAGACTACCTAAGCCCTAAGAAAAAAGCTGGGGAGAGTTTCTTTGGGAAATTAAGACATTAAAAAGTAGCTGCGTATATAGGGGGGTTTCAAAAGCCATTTGCATGCACAGGAAAAGGTGAAGGGTCACAAAAGACCTATGGCAACCCTAAAGTTTTACCCCAGTGTGATCCCTAGGCATGGAGTAAGCTAGCCAAGTGTAGAAGAAGTTGCCTGACACAGAGACAGTCTTTGAAAAGGGTGGGAAATTTTAGCTTGTTGTAGCTCCTAACATTCAAGGAAATCTCTGAAAATGTGCAAGGTGAACGCAAGCTAAGAAATACAGACTTCAGTGACCACACACAAGAAATAAAATCTTTGCAAAAGTAGTTTTGTAAAGTCACTAAACAAATGGAATACTACAACCTTTAACAACAACAACAAAAAGATAGACAGCCCTGGAGAAAGGGAAGAATCTGATTTCCAGTGAGAACACATTGTAATATTAAAATATCCACTTGTCAACAAAAAAAAATCACAAGTCAAGGAAACAAGAAGGTATGGCCAATTTAAAGAAATAAAATAAATCAACATAAACTATCCTTGAAAAAGCTCAGACATTGGACTTACTTGATGTACACTTTAAAGCAATGCTTTAAATACACTGACAGAGCTAGGGGAAAACATAGAAAAAGAATTAAAGAAAACATGAAAACCAACATATAAACAGAATGAGAATATCAATAGATAGAAATTATTTTAAAAAACCAAACAGCAAGTCTGCAGCTGAAAAGCACTATCTATAAAATGTACACTAGAGGAGTCCAAGAACAGATTTGAGCTGGCAGAAGAAATAACAAAGATAGGACAATCAAAATGATTAAATCTGAGAAGAGAAAATAAGAAAGAATGAAGAAAAATGAACAGAGCATAAGTGAACTGTGCACCATCAAGGGAAACAACACATGCATTATTAGTGTTCTAGAAGAGAAAGGGGCCAAAAAGGTTGAATTATTTTATGGCTGAAAACGTCCCAAATTTGACAAAATACATGAATTTACAAATTCAAGACACTCAATGAACGCCAAGTAGGATAAACTCAAAGTTATCCACAGTGAGACACATTATAATCAAATAGTCAAAAAAACAAAAAACAAAAGGAATTTTGAAAGCCATAAAAGGGAAGTGACTCATACATATCAATGACCGTACAGGGCTCATTGATAAGATTAAAAGATCATTTTTTATCAGAAACCATACAGTCCAGAAGCACTGGGATGACACATTTAAAGAGCTAAAATAAAATCACCCTGACAATCAAGAATTTCTGCGCCCAACCCAGAAATCACTGTGAAATGTCACGATTGGCTTAAAGTGAAGGAAGTAAAAGTAAAATCACTTCAGATCTCTAAAAAATAAATATATAAATGAAGATATCCAGTAAAGGTAACTTAATGGGTAAATATAAATGCCAGTATTATTATTTTTTGACTGATAATTCCACTTTGTGTTTGTTACATGATTTAAATACAAATGTGTAAAATATGAATCTATGTTATGGCTACACAGTGTATAAAGATGTAATTTGTGGCAACAATAACATAAAAGGAGAAGACGGAGATGTACGTGAACAGAGTTTTTGTATGAAATTAAAGTTAAGTTGGTATCAATTCAAAGTATATTGTTGCAAATTAAGGATGTTAAATGTGATCCCCATAGTAACAAAAAATAAAATATCTCAAGAATATACACAAAAGTAAAGGAGAGGAAGATCAAATTGGTTTACTAAAATTGAAAAATTAAAAATGTAACTAACCCTAAAATGAGGCAATAATGGAATAATGGAACCAATGTATAAGACATACAGGAAACAACAAATAGCAGATATCCTTCCTTATTAGTAAATGTAAATGCATTAAACCCTCTAATCGAAAGGTGGATATTAGCAGAATGAATTTTGTAAAAAATGATACAATTATATGCTATCTACAAAATACTCAGTTTAGAACTAAAAACACAAATAGGTTAAAATGAAAACTGGGAAAGTATATCCCACACAAATAATAACCAAAAGAGAGCTGGAAGCCTGTAATACAGACACTCTAGATTTATAAGAGACAAAGGAGATAAAACAATCGGCTAACAAAGGGGATAAAAAATTATAGGCATATATACACCAAACAAGAGCGCTTATGTATATATAAGGGCTTTCAAAGGGCTGTGGGGTGAGTGTGTGTGTGTATGTGTGTGTGTGTGTGGAGAGAGAGAGAGGTAATACTGACAGAATTAAAAGGAAAAATAGTTCTATAATATTAGTTGGAAATTTCAATACCCCACTTTCAATAATGTATAGAACATCTGGACAGAAGATCAATTATAATATGGAAGACCTGAAAGATATTATAAACCAACTAGTCCTAACAGACATAGAGAACACCTTACTCAACAACAGAAAAATATGCATATGTCTCAAGTACACATAGACTATTCTCCAGGATAGATCATATGGTAGGTCACAAAACAAGGATTAAGATGTGTTAAAACATTGATATAATACAAAGTATTTTCTCTAGCCACAGTGGAATGAAGCCAGGAATTAATAACAGAAGGAAAACTTAGAAAGTCACAAATATGAAGAAATTAAGCAACACTCTATTAAACAACCAATGGGTCAATGAAGATATAACAAGGTAAATTAGAAAATACTTAGAGATGAATGAAAATGAAAATAACAACATACCAAAACTTATGGGATGCAATAAACGCAGTGCTCAGAGGAAAACCTAAAACCATAAATTCTTACATTTAAACAGATTTCAATTTGACAACCTAACTTATACTTTGAGGAATAAGAAAAAGAAGAGAAAATTAATTGAAGTCTAGGAGAAGAAATGTAATAATAAAGATTAGAGTGGAGATAAATAAAATAAAGAATAGAAAAAAATACAGAGAATCAATGAAAACAATAGTTGGTTCTTGGAAAAATATCAACAATATTGACAAATTTTACCAAGACTGACAACAAAAAATAGAGAGGAGGCACAAATAACAGTGCTGAACTTACATAAATTAAAAGGAATATATAAGAATACTATGAATATTTGTACACAAAAATTAGGTAATCTAAATAAATTCTCAGAAGCATAAAATTAATTGAACTCCAGAAAAAAAGAGGCATCTGAAGACATATATAACACAATTAGATACATTGAATTAGTTACCAAAAACCTTCAAAAAGGTCAGGCGCGGTGGCTCACGCCTGTAATCCCAGCACTTTGGGAGGCTGAGGTGGGCAGATCACTTGAGGTTAGGAGTTTGAGACCAGCCTAGCCAACATGGCGGAACTCCATCTCTACTAAAAATACAAAAATTAGCCAGTGTGGTGGCGAATGCCTGTAATCCCAGCTACTCAGGAGGCTGAGGCATAAGAATCACTTGAACCTGGGAGGCAGAGGCTGCAGTGAGCCGAGACTGTGCCACTGCACTCCAGCCTGGACGACAGTGCAAGACTGGGTCTCAAAAAAAAAATTTTTTTTTCAAAAAAAGAAGTCCAAGACCAGATGGCTCAATTAGTGAATTCTACAACTATTTAAAAAAGAATTAAAATCAATCCTTCTCATAGTACTTAAAAAACTAGAAGAGGAAAGAAACATTTCTTAATATATAAAGCCAGCTTTACCCTGATTACAAAGCTTTGCCCTGATTACAAAACACCATAAAAGAGTAAAGATCAATACCCTTTGTAAATACAGATGCAAGGCCGGGCGCGGTGGCTCACACCTGTAATCCCAGCACTTTGGGAAGCCGAGGAGGGCGGATCACCAAGTCAGGAAATCGAGACCATCCTGGCTAACACAATGAAACCCCGTCTCTACTGAAAATACAAAAAATTAGCTGGGCGTTGTGGCGGGCGCCTGTAGTCCCAGCTACGCGGGGAGGCTGAGGCAGGAGAATGGCGTGAACCCGGAAGGCGGAGCTTGCAGTGAGCCGAGATCGCGCCACTGCATTCCAGCCTGGGCGACAGAGCAAGACTCCGTCTCAAAAAAAAAAAAAAGAAAAGTAAAATAAATAAGTAAATAAAGATGCAAAAACCCTCAAGAAAATACTAGCAAACCAAATCCAACAACATATTAAAAGAATGGTACACCATGGCCAAATAGGATTTATTTCTACAATGCCAAGATTGCTCAACACATGAAAATCAGTCACTATAACACCTTCATTAAAAGAATCAAGGGAAAAACGCCACACAAACTTCTCAATCGATGTGGGAAAAAAAGGATTTAACATAATTTAACATCCTTTCATAATAAAAATACAATAAATTTTGAATAGAAGAAAATTATCTCAACATAATAAGAGGCACAGATGAAAAATACACAGTCAACATCATACTAAATTGTGAAAGACTGAAAGCTTTTCCTCTAGAACACGACAAGGATGCTCACTTTCACCATAGTTCTGAAAGTCTTAGCCAGAGCAATTAGTCATGAAAAAGATATAAAAGGCATAATGCCCAGGTGCGGTGGCTCACACCTATAATCCCAGCATTTTGGGATGCCAAGGCAGGTGGATTGCTTGAGGTCAGGAGTTTGAGATCAGCCTGGCCAACATGGTGAAACCCCATCTCTACTAAATATACAAAAATTAGCTGGGCATGGTGGTGCATGCCTGTAATTCCAGCTACTCAGGAGGCTGAGGCAGGAGAATCTCTTGAACCTGGGAGACGGAGGTTGCAGTGAGCCGAGATCGCACCA
Source organism: Homo sapiens (assembly GCF_000001405.40). NCBI lineage: Eukaryota > Metazoa > Chordata > Mammalia > Primates > Hominidae > Homo > Homo sapiens. Next base: position 44,615,879 of record NC_000010.11, read on the forward strand.
CTGCACTCCAGCCTGGGTGACAGAGTGAGATAAATTAAATAAATAAATAAATAAAAATGTTTTAAAAGATATAAAAGGCATACAAATTGGACAGAAATAAGTAAAATTATCTCTGTTGCAGTTGACATTATCTTATATGTAGAAGACTACATTTTTTCTCAAAATAGAATTAATTGAATTAAGTAAAGTTGCAGGATTCAAAATCAGCACACCAAAAAAAAAAAAAGTTGTATTTTAATACACTAACAATGAATGATCTTCAAAAGAAATTCAGCAAACAATTCCATTTGCAATAGCATCGAAAAGACTAAAACCCTTAGGAATATATTTAACCAAGAAGGTAAAAGACTTGTACACTGAAAACTATAAAATATGCTGAAAGAAATTAAAGACACAAATTAATAGAAATCCCATGTTCATGAATTGGAAAATTTAATATTAGTAAGATATCAATATGACCCAAGATGATATAGAGATTCTGTGCAACCCCTATCAAAATCCCAATGATGTTTTTTTTGCTTAAACAGAAAAATCCATCATGAAATTCATATGGAATTTCAAGGGACAAAGAGCACCAAACAATCTTGAAAAAGAAGAACAAGTCAGAGGTTTTACACTTCCTGATTTCAAAAGTACTACAAAATTATGGTAATCAAAACAGTGTTTGACTTTCATAAAGGCTAACATGCTGACCAATCAGATGGAATAGACAGACCTTTAAAACATCCTTGCATATGTGATCAAATTATTTCCAACAAAGGTACCAAGGCTATGCATTGGGGAAAAGCCATTATTTTCAACAAATGGTGGTGCTGGGAGAAGCAAATATACACACATGTAAAGATAAAGTTGAATTCTTACCTTATACCAAATGATTAAAATGGATCAAATATCCAAATGTAAGAGCTAAAACTATAACACTCTTGGAAGAAAACAAAGGAGGAGGCCTCATGACATTGGATTTGGCAATTATTTCTTGAATATGACTCCAAAAGTACAGTCAATAAAAAATAGTTAAATTGGGCTTCCTCAAAATTAAAAACCTTTGTGCATCAAAGTACACTATCAACAGAGTAAAAAGGCATCCCACAGAATGAGAGAAAATATTTGCAGTCATATATCTGATAAGGGATGAATGCACAGAATATCTAAAGAGCTCCCACAACTCGACAACAAACAAACAAATAGATTAAAACATGGACAAATGACTTGAAGAGGTATTTATCCAAAGATGATGCACACATGGCTAATAAGCAGTTTTTAAAAGATTCTCAATATCATTAGTTATTGGGGAAATGCAGAACAAAAACATAATGAGGTGCTACATCACACCTGCTATTATGACTATTTAGAGAAACAGAAAATAACAAATAGATGTGGAGAAACTGGAACCCCCATACATTGCTGCCTGGACTGTAAAATGGTGCAGCCACCATGGGAAAGAGTTGTCTGGTTCCTCAAAAAGCTAAACACATAATTTCCTCGTGACTGAGCAATTTCACTGCTGCATATATACCCAAAATAATTAAAAACAGGGACTCAAATGCTTATATGCCATTGTTCATTGCAGCATTATACACAATATCTAAAAGGTGAAGCAACCTAAGCGTCCATCAGATGAGCATAAAATGGTATATACATTCAGTGGAATATTATTTAGCCATAAAAACTGAAGAAAGTTCTTATACTTGTTAAACTATGGATGAACTTTGAAACACGACGCTAACTGAAATAAGCCTGACATGAAAGAACAAATAGTTTATGGTTTCTGTCAGTCCATCTGTGTTGCCATAAGGGAATACTTGCGGCTGCTGGGTAATTTATAAAGAAGAGATGTATTTGGCTCAGAGTTCTGCAGAGTTCTGCAAGAAGCATGGCACCAGCATCTGCATCTGGTGAGGGCCTCAGAAAGCTTCCATTCTTGGTAGAAGGGAAAGAGGAGCTGGCATATAAAGATCACACGGAGGATCGGAGGAGGTTCTAGGCTCTTTCTAATAATCAGCTCTCACAGCTGTCACAGGAACCATTGCAGCAAGAACTTACTTATATCAAGCGCAGCACCAAGCCATTCATGAGGGATCTTCAGCCATGACCCAAACACCTCCCATTAGGCCCCACCTCCAACACTGGGGGGTAAAATTTTAACATGAAGTTTGGAGGGTCAAGTATGCAAACAATAGCAGTTCCCTTATGTGAAATATCTAGAATAAGAAAATGCATAGTGGAAAAAGTAGGTTAGAGGTTATCAGGGGATGGGTGAAGGGGCAATATGGGGAGTCGTTGCTTAATGGTTACAGAGTTTCTGTTTTGAGCTAATGAAAAATTTTGAAAATAGGTAGTGGTAATAGTTGCACATCACTGTGAAAGTCATTAATGCCACTGAATTGTACATTAAAATGGCAAATTTTATGTTACATATATTTTACCAAACTAAAAATAATTTTAAAAAACATTTCACAATGAAAATGGTGCTTAGAATCTGGAAGAAATTACGCCACAAGGAACATTGGGTTTTGCTTCCAGACCCTTCAGCCTACTAACCACGTGAACCTGGTCATATCACTTACATTTTCTGAGTCTTAGCTTTATTAGACACAAATTGTGTTTCATGATGATTTGTAGAGAACTAAATGTTCAAGTGTTCACTGGGTTCTTTTTAATATAAGATACACTATTTGCCATGCTTACTGTCGCAAATACAGGGAGAAAGGATGGAGTATGATGATAACCACCCTCCCATTCTTGTTTCCTGTTTTAGACTAAGTACTTCTTAATCCAGCCTTTTTTTGTCCAAACCTATATGTAACCCAGCTTACAATGGAGCAGCCTTATTGCCAAGATCATTTTTTTCTCACTGATATCATTAAATGCAGTATTTTTCATTGCCTCTCTGAGGGCCTTTTCATTTCCTCTATGTCTCCAAAATGGTCCCAGAACATTAGCTGGTCCTAACTTCTACTAGGGACACTGAAGGAATTCCTTCTTGTAATGTTGCTAGTGAAGATTTATTTCTAGTTTCTGAACGGAGGTTAGGTAAATCGACCTCCAACATATCCTTTAGCCACGTGATTCAATGATTCTTGGATTCTATAATCTATTGAAGGAATGAGATATGATCCCCTTCCCTCCCCATCTGTCCACCAATAAAATGAAGCTGACAGGGGCCCCAGGGGATCTCACATTTCCTTTCGTGGAAAATGGAATTCAGGTTTTTGTAGATACTGATCTTTATGACTCTTTTTATGGAGCCTGAAAGGGTCTGACCTATTATTTGGACCAAAATCTCCTGTCAACCACCTTGCATTTGATTTACATCTAGCTCAGATATGTGGTGCTGTTGCTTAACCATGCTCTGCTGGGAGAAAGTGAAAATCTGAACTGTAACATGTTAGAACTGCCTTCTGCTAGACTTGCCAACTACAAGGAAGGCATTCAGGGCCAAGGTGACCATGTATCATCCCAGGTACCACGTCTTTTCATCCCTCTTAGACTCCCAATCTTGGGTTCTAGGCGAGTCCTAAATGTAACCCACCTCAGCAAGAGTTTTCCCTACAGCGCTCTCCCACTGCCCAGCAGCAATCCAATTTAGAATCTCCATGGTGGCTGTGCTCATACTCAGGCCTGACTCAATGCTTGCCTTCTTGCTCACCTACCAAGTGTTGTTTCTTAGGCCCCTCAAGTGCCACATATCCAGAAATGAGCTCTCCATTTTATCTCTAACTTATTCTTCTCAACCTTCCTTCTGATCTCTTTCAAACTATTCTACACATGGCCTCCATAATATTAATTGGGTAATTCAAATCAGATTATGTCACTCTTCAGCATCAGCTCTTTGGATGGCGTCCCAGGATTTGATCAAATGAGGTTGTTTTTGCTGTTTTTATTCATTTGTCTCAGTGTCTTTTCCATATTGTCCCTTCTGTCTAGAATGCTGTTCCTGTCTTCTTTACCTGTTTAATTTGTATGAATTGCCTAATGTTCAACTCAGAGCCTTCCTCAAATCTCTACTCTCAGCTTTTTCCCTTCCTCATTAGATTACATATTGTTCTATTTCTATAATATTCTTTGGATGATTTTATCACTGGATTTACCACATTGTGTTGCAACTTTCTTCTTAAGTGTATGTCTCAATTAACTGAGAGTCTTTGAGGGATGAGCAATCTTATATTTATCATGTTGTCCCCAGAGTCCAGCATGATATTGACACATGAAAGGTCTTGATGAAGGTTAGTTAAATGAATGAATGAATCAGTGAGTGATTACCTAACTTGGCACTGCTTTTTCCCTTGTGGCTCTTCCTTGCCTCCCCCACACTCTGCTGAGTTTCTTTGCAGATGGACCTGGGCCTCATTCAACTCTGTGCTTCCCCACCCCTCTCCCAGCAACGGCACACAGTAGCACATCAGCAAATGTCTGCTGAATCAACAAATCAACAAGGCTACTGCTTAGATTCCGTGACTACTGGAGTAAAGGAGACATAAATGAAAGCCGAGCAACCTTTCCGTGCCTAGTAGAGGGAAGGCAGTAAGATTTTTCCCATGAACCTAATGGTTGGACTCATTCACATTAGATTTGCTATGAAATAGACTCAATGCTCTCTTGAAACTTTAATTGGTCCTCCTCAGAAACCATGCAAGCAAGAAGAGAGTGAGTTAAATATTTAATGTTGAAAGAAAAAACCACACCAACCTAGAATTACGTACTCTGTGAAATCATCCTTCAAAAGTGGATGAGAAATAAAGACTTTCTCGGTGAAATATAAATTTAGGAAATTTGTCTCCAGTAGGCCTGCCTTGCAAGAAATGTTAAAAGAAGTTCCTTAGAGAAAAGGACAATAATATAGGTTGGAAACTCAGATATACTTAAAGAAGAGTAGTGAAGAAAGAATAAGTGAAAATAAAATTAAAATGTTATTTTTCTTATTCTCAATTGATCCATCAGATAGCAGTTTATTCAAAATGATAATAGCAAAATTGTACTTGAATATATAGATACATATAATATACATGTGTGACAATATATAAGCAAAATAAATGACAGAAATGATACAATGAACAGGAAGGAGGATTTAGAATTATTTTATTATTATAAGGTACATGCACTACCCATGAAGCAGTATAGTGCTGTTTGAAAGTGGTCTTGCTTAGTTGTAAACATATATTGTAAACTCTAGGTCAACCACTAAAAAGAGTAAAAAAAAAATATATTGCAACTGATATGCTAAGAGAGGTAAGAAAATGGAATCATATAAAATGCCCAATTAAAGCCACAAAGGCAAAAAAAAAAAAAAAGGAGTAAAAGAAGAAACAGGAAGAACAAGGGCAACAAATAGAAAAATATGGCAGATATTATTATTATTATTATTATTATTATTATTATTATTATGTCAGAGTCTCACTCTGTCACCCAGGCTGGAGTGCAGTGGCGCCATTTCAGCTCACTGCAAACTCCACCTTCCGGGTTGAAGCGATTCTCCTGCCTCAGCCTCCTGAGTGCTGGGATTACAGGCACCCCCACTACACCTGGCTAATTTTTGTATTTTTGGTAGACACAGGGTTTTGCCATGTTGGCCAGGCTGGTCTCAAACTCCTGACCTCAAGTGATCTATCCACCTCAGTCTCTCAAACTGCTGGGATTACAGGTGTAAGCCACCATGCCCAGCCAAAATATGGTAGATATTAAACCAACCACATCAATAGTTGCTTTGAATGTCAGTGGTCTAAAGGCATCAAAGAAAAGAGAGATTGTTAGAGTGAATCAAAAAACAAACCCAGCTATAAGCTGTGTACAGGAACACACTTTAAATATAAAGATACATATATAGATTAAAAGCAAATGGATGGAAAGAGATTACTGTAGTAACACTAATCAAGCTGGAGTTGCTGTAATTATTTTAAATAGAGCATACTTCACAGCAAGGAAAGTGTCAGAAATAAAGAGGGGTATTAGATAATAAGAAAGAGGTCAAATCTTCAGGAAGACATAACAATCCTTAAAATGTATGTGCCTAACAACAGACAATCAAAATATGTGAGGCAAAAAACTGATAGAACTGCAAGGAGAAACAGATTAATCTACTATTACAGTTGGAGAGTTCAACACCCCTGTATTGGAAATGGACAGATCGAGCAGGCAAATTGTCAGTGAAGACAGAGTTGAACTCAACAACACTATCAATTAACTGGATGTAATGGATATCTATAGACCACTTCATCCAACAACAGCAGAATACACATTCTTCTCAAGCTCACAAGGAACATTCATTCACAAGAATAGATCATACTCTGGGCCATAAAACATACCTTAACAAATTTAAAAGAATGGAAATTATACAATGTCCACTCTCAGACCACAATGGAATTAAACTAGAAGTCAGTAAAGATAGCTGGAAAATCCCCCCAAATAATGGCAGATTAAACAACATGCCTTTAAATAACACATGGATCAAAGAAGAAATGTCAACAGAAATTTTAAAATATTTTTAAGTAAATGAAAATGAAGATAAAACTTAAAAAAATGAAATGCAGTAAAAGCAGTGCTTAGAAATTTACAGTACTCAATGAATACATTAGAAAAGAAGGAAGAGCTAAAATAAATAAAATAAGCTTCCACCTTGGAAAACTAGTAAAACAAGAACAAATTAAATTGAGAGTAAGCAGAAGAAAATAAATAATAAAAATCAGAGCAGAAATCCATTAAATTGAAAACAGAAAATCAATAGAGAAAAGCAACAAAATCAAAAGCTGGTTATTTGAAAATATCAATAAAGTTGATAAACCCCTTGTCAGGTTAACTAAAAAAAATAGATCACAAATTATTAATATCATAAGTAAAACGTAGGAATTTACCTCAGATCCCATAGTCATTAAAAGTAGAATCAAGGAATACTATGAACAAATCTGTGCTCACGAATGGGATAATCTAGATAAAATGTACCAGTTCCCTGAAAGACACTATCTGCCAAAATTAATACAAGAAGGAATAGACAATCTGAATGGACCTATATCTATTAAAGAAATAGATTCAATAATTAATAATATTCCGCAACAGAAAGCACCAGGCCCAGATGGGTTAACTGGTAAATTCTACCAATTCAAATTGAGGGCTATAGACTTTCACTAAAATTCATCAATATTACATCAATATATTCTTGTACTCAAGACAGAAATCCTGAATACCAATGAACTAAGATAATTATTCATTTGCTTTATCTCACCATGTATGGTGGACACAAGTCTTCAGATAACAGACAGCAACACTACCACAAACAATGTTTCCTAAAATCTGTTTAAGATTTTTGTTTGCATCTTTTTGTCCTTAGAGTTTATCCCACTAAAGTTAAATGACTGTGTTTTAAAGTTTTTGAAATAGTTTCTCTATGCACAGGTAGGCCACCAGTGCAATACATAGCTAAGTACAGTTGTTTTATTTTGCTTTCACTTTTCAGGGCTTTTTTTTTTCCAAATATAATTTTGTTTTGTAATTATGCAAAACATTTACATGGTGTCAAAGGCAAATTTATAAAACCAGAGACTTTCTTTTTTTTTACAATTTTACTTTAAGATCTGGGATGCTTGTGTGGAACGTGCAGGTTTGTTACATAGGTATACACGTGTCATGGTGAAAACCAGAGACTTCCAGGCAGGTAGATTTTAACCTTGTCTCCTGCACCTTGTTTCTTCTCTCCCTCACAGTAAATTGTACTTTTTTTATGTTTTAAAAATTATTGGCCGGGCATGGTGGCTCAAGCCTGTAATCCCAGCACTTTGGGAGGCCAAGGTGGGTGGATCACTTGAGGTCAGGAGTTCAAGACCAGCCTGGCCAACATGGTGAAACCCTGTCTCTACTAAAAGTACAAAAATTAGCCAGCCATGGTGGTCCGCACCTGTAGTTCCAGCTACTCAGGAGGCTGAGGCAGGATAATCGATTGAACCTGGAAGGTGGAGGTTACAGTTAGCCGAGATCACACCATTGCACTCTAGCCTGGGTGACAGAGCAAGACCCCATCTCAAAAAAAAAAAAATTTCTTCTAATTTTAATATGGGAAAATATATGCATTTATTTATATACTCCTATTTCTTTGGGAAATAGTAGCATACTACACGTAATTTTTTAAATTTTCTTTTTCTCTCAACTATCTACCCTGACATTTGCTCTGTAGCAGTATATAGGGGTATTATATTTTTTCAACTGCAGAATCTGTGTGAAATATAGTTCATTCAATCAACAAACTACTGATGGATATTTGTGTCTTTTTAAAAACAAGATGCTACAACAAAGACCTTTGTGCATACATCTTTTAGAATATTTACTAGAATTTTAGAATTTAGTTTTTGTAATAAATGAGTTTCAAATTTTGTCAAATGCCTTTCTGCATAGTGGAGATATTTACTGACTTTTTTTTTTCTTAGCTTTGATAGTATGATGGGTTATATAAATGCTTTTCCAACAGTGAATCCATCACATATGTAGACTATATCATTATTTGCTACCATGATTTTAAAAAATATGCTATTAGATTCTGTTTGATTTTGTTTTATTTAGGATTTTTGTATCTACATCCATAAGCGAGACTGGTCCGTGGTTTCCTATTTTGGTTCAACCTTGGTCAGGTTTGGGGATAAATGTTAGACCCATGTTCTAGTTTTAGTTGTCATCCGTAAACTGAGCTCTCACAAATGTTTACCAGACCTCTGCCCCCGCTTCCAGACCCCTCTGTCCAGCCATCTTTTTCACATCCTTCCCCGGATATGTGACAAGCACTTCAAACCCAGCACGTCCAAAACTGAGCTTGCCCTTCTCCCCACACTTGTTCCTCCACAGTCTCAGCATCTCCTGAAATGTCAACTCCATCATATTAGTTGCCCGGGGCATAAGCCTTGGAGCTCTCCCTGGCCTTTCCTTAATTCCACAACAGTTCCATTGGCAACTCTTGTCAATTCCACCTGAATGTATCCGGAAGATGATCTCATCACAGCTGTTGTGCCATTGAATCCTTCCTCACAATCCTCTGTCTCCTCCTCCTTGGATAATTGTGCTCCTCATTTTTCTCTCTGCTTCTGTCCAGACTATTCTCAACACAGCAGGAGGGTGATCCTTTTTAAATCAAGTTGCATGATGTCTTTTTAAAATTTCAACTCTGCAGTGGCTTCCCAACTGATACACTCACTCTTTGCATTGGCCTGCAAGGCCCTATGTGACCTGTTCTTTGTCACCTCAAGATCTTTTCCTGGAGGTCTCATATCCACTTACTCAGCTCCAAATGCACTGCCTTACTGCTACTGCTCAAACACACCAACTCCTCTGCCCAGAAGGCTCTTTCCTCTTCTATCAACGCAAGCTCTGTTCCTCACACTCTTAAGATGTTTGATCAGATGCTGCTCTCTCAGTGGGGTCGTCTCCGGCCAATCCTTCCCTTGCAGGGTCATCTCAGGCCAACCCTTCCCTGTCTCCCCTGTTTCATTATTCTCCAGAGCATTTACCCTGCAGGGCTGGACTATGGATTGTATTTATTGGTTCATGGTCTGCCTTAGCTCCATGTAGGCAAGGGTGTTCATTTTGTTCACTGCAACATTTCCGGGCACCTAGGACAATATTACTTACGGCAGCATTCAGTAAATATTGATTGAACTTGCTTTCCAGGGATTAATCCATGTGAGTCATTATTTCATTTATAATAATTATTCAATTAGGTTTGCTAACACTTTAAGAATATTGTTTCTATGCTCATGAGTGGAATCAGTCTATACAATCTCTCCTTATGTGGTTCTTGTTTTGTTGTCAAAAGGAATTTGAGAAATATTTCCTCTTTATCTACTCTTTTTGAACATTTTGTGTAATATTGGAATTGAAAGTGAAACACTTGGGCCCGGTCTTGCTTCTCTAGGAAGATTTTTAAATAAAGATATACTTTAAATCTTTCTCTTTTTATGAGTAGTTTAGCAAATATATTTCTCTACAAATGTGTTTTTAATTAAGGTTTTATATTTATTGACATACTCATATGACTAAATTTAAATTAATTAAAATTAAACAAAAATTAACAACTTAGTTTCTCAGTCACACGAGCCACATTTCAAGTGTTTGACAGCCACATGTAGTTAGTAGTGACCACATCAGACAACACAAACATAGAAGATTCCTTCATCACAGAAGTTCTACTGGCCAGAACTGGCTTATAATATTCTCCCTAGATATTTTCCTAGATGGATCTCTTTTGCCCATAATAACCTAGCACAGACATCTCCACCTGAGAGACAGTCTTCTGACTACTCAGTTTGAGGTAGCCCCCATAATCCACAATGACATTACTCTTTTTTATTTTCTTCCTGGCCTCCCACTTTCCGAAAGGATCTTACCTCTGTCTCCCCTTTATTGATATATACAATCCATAAGAACAGGGACCTTTCTGACTTGCTCACCAGGAATCTCTGAAGTATAGAACAGTGCCTTGAGGTATTCAAAAAATATATATTAAATGAATAAAGTAGATAGAGTAATTGGAAAATCTTCCTAAAGAAACAAACAACACTACGCCCATGTTTTACTTTCAATTCCAGTCTTATACAAAATGTTTACAAAGAGTACATAAAGAAGAAATACTTCTTAAATTCCTCAAATAAAGTAGATTGAGCAATTGGGAAACTTCATCAATGGCAAACTAAGCTTAAAAAGGTAATAAAATGGTACATAATATTATAATATTTTCCATCTCAAGTGTCTCCTCATTTTATTTTTCATTTGTTTTCTTACTCTCTTATTTTTCTCATATTAATCAGTTTCATCAAAGGCTTGCTTATTTCATTAGTTTGTTAAAAAACACAATTTTGATTTAATTAATGATACCTATTGTATATTTGCTTTTTCTGTCATTAACATTTGCTTTTTTGTTATTTATTTTCTTCTGCTGTCTTTGGCTTTATTCTACTGATCTGATGCTAATTTTTAAAAACTTGGCCAGGAAGGGTGGCTCACGCCTGTAATCCCAGCATTTTGGGAGGCCGAGGCAGGCAGATCACCTGAGGTTGGGAGTTCGAGATCAGCCTGACCAACATGGAGAAACCCCATCTCTACTAAAAATACAAAAAATTAGCCAGGCATGGTGGTGCATGCCTGTAATTCCAGCTACTCAGGAGGCTGAGGCAGGAGAATCGCTTGAACTAGGTAAGCGAGGTTGCAGTGAGCCCAGATCATGCCATTGCACTCCAGCCTGGGCAACAAGAGAGAAACTCTGTCCCAAAAATAAATAAATTAATAAATAAATAAATTAATTAATTAAAAGCTCAATAACATAAGGCTTTTTGGTTTTAATATAAACAATATAATTTATATCTCTTTTGAGGTAATGCTTCACTGGATAGTATGTTTAGATATGTTATTTTATTTTTACTAATTTTCAGTCTTTAAAAAATTTCCATATCTTCTTTGACCCATGAAGCAGTTAAAAGTTTTTTTGGGGGGTGCAGATATTATTTTTCTTACAAAATGTATGAAGTTGCTTCTGATTGTCCTGCATCAGATGATTTTTTTCTGAAGTTACAAACTCTGGAATTTGCTAGAACTTGCTTTAAAACCTGACACTTGGTCAACTTAAATATATGTACATACATGTATATATATATGTATATTTTTCCATGTATGCTTAAGAAAAAATGTTGATTCCATAATCATTGGGTAGAGTGTTCCATACATCCATTGAATATTTAATTGGGAATTTATTATCACTGCTCTCCTAGAAATGAGACTGGGATGACCCTGATAGGAAAAGAAGCAGCAGGCAGGAGGAAGAGCATCCTCTTTTCCAGCTCTACAGCCTTCCTGAAGCTCCATCTATTGGCAGAGCCCAACAGGAAGCTGCCGGCCAAGGAACAATGCAGTTTCTAAGTCCCTGCCCCAGCCTTGCAAAGATAGACGGGTGGGTTTATCCGCACCATAAGACAGGGTGAGAAAAAAAAAAAAGAGGGTGGGTTCAGAGCCAAGAGACAATGTCTCAGTAATTGTCATACTTGCCAAGAAATAAAAATTGTAATTAGCTTATGTGCATCTGAGGTTCTAAAATATTGCTACAGATAGCATCAAGCCATGATAAATCCATAGTAGTAGGGCCAAATCTCTAATCTGGATTTGTTAAAACAGTGCCTGAAGGAAATGATGGTGTGGTGACTCAATAATTCTTTTGGAAATATTTTTCTTTTCTCATGTTTTATCTTCCCAAGTATCTCTGTTAGCCTACAACTATCTGAAGTACAGTCATGTGCTACTCAACAACAGGGATCCATTCCGAGAAATGTGTCCTTAGATGATTTCTTTGTTGTGTGCACATCACAGAGTGCACTTACACAGTCCTAGAGGATAGAAGCTACTACACATGTCAGCTGTAGGGCATAGCCTATTGCTCCTAGGCTACAACTTGTACAGCCTGTGACTGTACGGAATACTGCAGGCAGTTGTAACACGTGGTAAGTATTTGTGTATCTAAACATACCCAGACAGAGGAGAGATACAGGAATAGATAGAACAGGAATTTTTCAGTTCCATTATAATCTTATAGGACTACTGTCCTATATGCAGTCTATCATCGAGCTAAACGTCATTATGAGCTGCATGACTCTATTTCACAGTCAGTAATAAAAAACCCTTGATCCAAAAAATATATAGGATTTCCTCAAGAGGGAAGAGTCACCAACACAGTGGGTTTGGATTTGTCTGTGGGGTCTGCACCATCCTGTCCACATGGCATTTCTTGGATCTCATTGATGGATGTTACTAATCTCAGGCACTCATGGCTAATGAACAGAGCCATTGCCACACTTTATGAACTACAACAAGAGATGTTTCCATTATACTCTGTTAGGTGCACTGTGCCAGGCATAAGGAGCGGCAGAGACAAAACAGAACCTGCCTTTAGGGGTCCTACAATCAAACAAATGAGACAAGACATGCTCAGCGTTGTCTACAATAGAATAACTTCCATTGCTTTCCAAGGTAACATCATATTTCCTTGTTAGTTTGGCCGGAGATTTCCGAGTTACCCAGCTCTCCTGCTGTCTCTGTAGTCAGCTAGTCATCAGATGTAGCTTATTTTCATTACAGCATCTTCAGGAAGCCCCAGATATTTTGTTGCCAACCACCCCTTTAGAAAGCCTCATCCACCCAACCCTAGTTCTGTCTTTATTTTCCAGCTCCTTACTCCTCAGCAACCCCCGGAACACCACTTTCTGATTAATCTGCATGACTCAGCACTTTCATAATGTTCCTTCTTGCAACAGAAAGCCTCGGGAGCTTTTCCTTGACTTGAGTAGCTGACCCTCCCATCAGCATAGCCAGAGAAGAAAAAAAAATGCTGATTATTAATTTAGACATCTTTCAGAATACATATTTTTAGGAAAATAGTCCCTTGGGATCCTTGCATTCACAAAGGACTTATCCTGATGATCTTATCCAATGCTTTGATTTTTGACTTCTAGAATGATTTCTACATGAAAGAACTTGCTTTTTCATTCTCTGGAACAAAATGCATAGTCATTATTACCCACAATTCCAAAAATAAATACCCATATATCTGAGAAATGCTTCCTTGGATATTTTATATCTTTTTCAAGAACACTTGCATAATTTTCAGGGTCCAGAGCAAAATAAAAATGCAAGACCTCGGGTTCAAAAATTATTAAGAATTTCAAGATGGCAACAACAGAGCATTAGGATTTCTGAGTTTGGTGCCTGAGACAGCTGCGCACGTTGTATGCCCATGAAGCCAGCCCTGATCCCTCTATTATGTTTAGAGTTTATTCCTTGGAGAATAAGAAAAAATGAACTAAATGCAATTTTGAAGCACATGAACTATATTACCTAAGGCTTCTGATATCTCTGACAGTAGCAGACAACCCTCTTGGTGAAGGGAACAACCTGGAAACAAGATTATGTGCACATAATTTTGATGTCACCACTTCCCAGAAGGTTACTTAATTTCTCTTTGACTCAGGTTCCTCATCTGTAAAGTTGAGATAGTAATAATAACACCCACACCGTAACATAGGGTTCTTATATGGATTTAATGAAATAATACAGGTAAAGTACTTAGGACAGTGCCTGGACAGAGAATGCTCTATCACAGTTTGGGCTATTAAAATTATCTCTTTCTTTACAAAGTTTTCTGATTTCTGTTTTTATTCTTAAATTATCTCAGTATGTAGCTACATTTTATTATAAGGCATGAAAGTATGACTTAGAAAAAAACCATGCAAATTACAAGAAACATAAATCTACTTAGGGTACTAGGATTGGGGCATAAACAAAAAGAAGCATGTAAACCTTGGTGCCAAGCTTAATCAATTGATTGGTTGATTCGAGTATTCATTCTTTCAAAAAGCATTCACCTTTGCCCATTAGTTTCCAAGGAGTTGGAAAGGCACAGATTAACAGATTATAGTCCCAACTCATATTACAGGGTCATGCAGTACCACAAGAAAAGTAAGAAAATACAGTTTGAGTTGCCCAAAGGAAGGAAACTTGATTAGGTCCTGGATCAGGGTATGGTGGAGAGAATTTGGGAATTTGTTTTAGAGAAAGTGATGGTTATCTCTAGAAAGATGAATAGGCAGTTCCTAAGGTAGATTCCTTCAGGATGAAAGTATATTCAAAAGGCTGATGATACAAAAGAATAAGGCATGACTGGGATTCTCTGGAAGTTTAGTGTAGTGGAAGTTTAAGCTACAGGTAGGGTGGGGGCAAAGAAGTGAGACACAAAGTTGTCAGCTAAGTGGTTTCCAGACCTCAGGAATAGCTTCACACTCCACATTCAGGAATCTGTCTGCCATCTCATGCACCATGTGGAGCCTGAAAGGTGTGGAGCAAGAAGGAAGGGGGTGCAGGATTGGCAGTGGGATACAGCAATGTGATTGCTTAGAAGGCAATGAGCTCTCCTTGTCTAACAGTATCTTGAGACTCTGGGACCCTGTCCACTGCAGGTGACCCTGCTTCCCTCCTCTAAACAAGTGCTCTTGTTTGGTGGATTTGATTTAATTTTTGCAATAGAGGAGACACTTATTGCACTAGATCCAGTACCATATAAAATTTTGAATTAAAATAACCATTATAATTGATGTTACCATAGTATAAAAACTAAATTAATAAAATTATTTTTAGTAGACTGTACATGATATTTTCTTTTTTGATCATAGAATTTGAACAGGAATTTTGGCCTGGAATAGTAGAAAAGGATGTTGTGTGATGTATATTTGCACTGAAAACAGGTAAGTTTGTTTTTTTCATCAAATGTCAACTATTTGACTGTAAGTGTGCATTGAGTGTTCTGCTTCAAAAAATTAATTTGTAAAAAAAAAAATAGAAAGAATGCATAGAAGAAATCCAATCTACTTGCCAAGGATGGATGATTTCTACTGTGGATTTGTACTCTTGCTCTCAACTCCCTGAGAGCTTCCACGCTGGCTGTAGACCCCATCAATTCAGTTTTCAGTGGACAATTCAATACAAGGCTGCCTTTTGAGTTTTGGAATGGTTTCCAGTCCACATCGTGGTGATTTCTGTTGGTAGAATATCACTGAATACTGCTCTCAGAATCAGGCGAAACATACAGCAGGGCCAAGAACTTATGGGGAATTAGGTACCTGTAACATAGGTGATCCTGCGTATCATGATCTCAGAGCAGATGAAAAGGGAGTTGGGGGTGAATTATGGGTGCTGAGTTCTTTTCAGTGTGATTACCAAAGCCCCCTGCCAAAGTCTGCAATATCAAGGCCTTGCTAATGTCAGGTTTTATACGCTTTGGAAGTCACAGATTAGTTGGAAATTGCCATTTCTTATCAAATCAATTTGGATATTAGTTGGGAAAAGTCCTTTACGAAGTGCCTTTGTACTGGTCATGCCAAATGCCCATGGGATTAAACAGTTGCACATATATCTGGCTATATAGATATATGGATCCTGTATGTATAAACAAGAGATAAGGATCCTATATGTATAAACACAAATCCAGTTTTCAATTATCTTTGACAGAGTTGTGGCATAGCTAATACAAGTTATTTATCTTTGCACATAGTTCATATTAGATTAACTTCTGCATTCGTGGAGAAGGAAAAGCCTGCATTTGAATGCCAACACCTATATTGGTTCACTTGCTTTACTACTTCCCAGCTTTGTGATCTAAATGTCTTCATGTTAGAATTTCATCTGTGAAATATGATGTTTTGAAGGTTAAAAGTCATTAGGAAATTTTTTATTTTAATGAAACCTAATTTATTAGATTTTTCTTGTGTTGTGCTTTTGTGTTCTAAGACATTTTTGCCTAAACCAAGATCACAAAGATTTTTCTCCTAAATTTTATTCCAGAATTTTGCAGTTTTAGGTTTTAGGTCTATAATTCATTCCAAGTTCATTTCTGTATGTGGCACGAGGCAAGAATTAAGGTTTTAGTTTTGCTTTGTTTTGTTTCATGAAGTTGGTCATCTTTTCTGGCACCATTTATTGAAAATACTATCATTTCTCAATTAATTACCTTAAATTTTTTGTTGAAAATCAATCGACTGTCTATTCTATATCATTCGTCTATTCATTTATCTAATTTTACCTTGTCTAGATTACTGTAACTTATAGTAAGACCTGAAATTGGGTAGCATGAGTCAACTTGGCTCTTTAAAAAAATATTACTGGGTGGGTGTGGTGGCTCACGCCTGTAATCCCAGCACTTTGGGAGGCTGAGGTGTGTGGATCACCGAGGTCAGGAGTTCGAGATCAGCCTAACTCTACTAAAAATACAAAATTAACCAGGCGTGGTGGTGCAAGCCTATAATCCCAGCTACCAGGGAGGCTGAGGCTGGAGAATCACTTGAACCCGGGAGGCGCGGTGAGCCGAGATTGCGCCATTGCACTCCAGCCTGGGCAACAAGAGTGAAACTCCGTCTCAGAAACCAAAACCAAAACCAAAACCAAAACCAAAAACAAAATAGTATTAAGAAAATGAAAAGGGCTGGGAGGTGGCTTACACTTGAAATCCCAGCACTTTGGGAGGCCAAGGTCAGTGGATCGCTTTGAGCTCAGGAGTTCGAAACCAGCCTGCCCAACATGGTAAAACCCCATCTCTACAAAAAAAACAAAAAAAAACAAAAATTAGCTGGACCTTGGTGGCACGTGCCTGTAGTTCCAGCTACTTGAGAGGTTGAGGCTGAAGAATCACATGAGCCTAGGAGGTGGAGGCTGCAGTGAGCCGAAATCACACCACTGCAGTCCAGCCTGGGTGATTTAGTGAGACCCTGTCAAACAAAAAGAAAAAGAAAGGAAAAAGAAAAGATAAGCCACAGACAAGGAGAAAATATTTTCAAAGCACTCATACGATAAAGGGCTTGTAACCAGATTATCCAAACAATTCAGAACTCAGTAAGACAAACAGCCCAATTAAAAATGAGGAAAATATTTGTATAGAAGAGATAACAGATGGCAAACAAACATATGAGATGCTCACTATCATTGAACATTACAGAAATGCAAAAAAAATTATAAAATGAGATACCTCTACATACATGAATACCTAAAATTTAAAAAGACTGGCAATACCAAGTGCTGTCAAAGACACAGAGCAACTGCTGGAATGTTCATATATTGCAGGTGGGAATGTATGTATGCTTATATAAGATAAATGTTTTTCTCTCTTTTAATGCTTGGGGAAATTCTGTTTTGAACCCATTTGAGTCTAGAGTTTTCCTGTAGGTTCAATGTCTTTACAAATGTTCAATCAATCATATTTCCTATTTCTTCTTGTTAATTTGTTGATCTGTTTTTTTGTGTGCTTTTTTTTTTTTTTTTGAGACAAAGTCTCACTCTGTTTCCCAGGCTGGAGTGCAGCGGCACGATCTCAGCTCACTACAAGCTCCACCTCCCCAGTTCACACCATTCTCCTGCCTCAGTCTCCTGAGTAGCTGGGACTACAGGTGCCCGCCACCACATCTGGCTAATTTTTTGTATTTTTAGTAGAGATGGGGTTCCATTGTGTTAGCCAGGATGGTCTCGATCTCCTGACCTCATGATCCACCCACCTCGGCCTCCCAAATTGCTGGGATTACAGGCATGAGCCACCACTCCCAGCCATTTTTGTAGTTCTTTAGTAACTTGTCTACTTTATCTAAATTTTCAAATTTACTGGAATAACATTTTTACAATAGTCTCCTATTTTTATGAACTTATGAACTAATGATATCCAATTTTTTACTCTTGATATTAGAAATTTGTGCCTTACCTCTTTTTCTTTTTAAGAATTTTCAGATGGTTATCAATTTTATTTTCCTAATACCAAATTTTGGCTTGGTTAATTCTCTCTGTATTTGTTTTCTAATTAGTGTATTTCTGCTATTATTTATTTTATTTCTTTCCTTTTACTTTAATTAGGTTTATTTTGGAGTTCTTTCTAACTTCATAATATTTTTTCTTAGATTGTTAATGTTTGACTTTTAACCCTACCTTTTAAATAAATGCTTTTATATTGCTTTAATTGGATACAATGTTTTGTAATAGTGTTCATTCATTATTAAATTTAACATTTTCTAATTTTTCTCATTAATCTTTCCTTGACATATGAATTACCTAAAAATGTACTGCTTAAATTTCAAACATTTAAGAATTTTCTTTTTGTTGTTATGTTGCTTAATCTCACTCTGGTCTGTATAATTTCAACATTGAAATTTGTGAAATCTCACCTTATAATTCAGCATATAATCATTTTTTTAGGAAGTGTCACGTACACTTGAAAATAATTTGCATTCTGTATGTGCTGGGTGTAGTGTTCTACATACCTTAATCAGGTCATGTTTGACAATCATTTGTTTATGCATTATTTGTCTTTAACTGAGTTATTTTTTTCTGCAAGTTTCTCAAAGACGTATAGCCAACTCCCACATAGTCAAAAATCCACCTATAACTTCTAACTCTTCCCAAAGTTTAACTACTAATAACTTACTGTTGACTGGAAGCCTTATTGATAATATAAACAGTCGATTAACACACATTTTTTATGTTATTTGTATTACATATTGTAGTCTTACAAGAAAGCAAGCTAGAGAAAAGGAAATGCTATTAAGAAAATTATAAGGAAGAGGAAATATTCACTACTCGTAAAGTGAAATTGGATCCTCAAAAAGGTCTTCGTTCTCCTCATCTTTACAGTTGAGTAGGCTGAAGAGGAGGAGGACAAGGAAGGGTTGATCTTGGTGTCTCAGGGGTGGCAGAGGGGAAGAGGTGAGGAGATGAGGCAGGAGAGGCTGGGAAACTCCATGTCACTTTATGGAAATACATAATAATTTCTGTCTTTTTTGCTTTTTCATTTTTTTAAAAAATGTTTTTATACAGCACCATGGTTTACTTTAGTTTCACTGCCTGTATCATAGAAAGGTCTGTGTCATAAAAGAAGTCAAAAGCAGTCTTGACTCATTGGAATGCTCCTGCTGGATTGTCTAAGATCAGCTTGTTTCCTAGAATTGCTTCTGTTTTGTGGTCTTCTTCATCATCTGGCACCAAGTTGTCTTCTGTTAATTCCTCTGGTGTGGTGTGTATTAGCTCTTGACTTTCTCCAAGAAATCTTGAAATCTTTCACCCCATCCCCCCCAACCCTTTTTGCCATATCCACAATCTCTTTCATGATTTCCTTGATTGGCTCTCTCGTAAATCCTGTGAAGTCATGTGTAACATCTGGACACAGTTTTCTCCGGCAAGAATTTATTATTTCAGGCTTGATGGCTTTCACAGATTTTTCTATAACAACAATGACATCTTCAATGGTGTCATCTTTCCATACTTTCTTGATGTTCTCTCTCTCTAGGTTCTCTCCCATAGCTTTGACCATCCTTTCCATAGAGTACCATGTGTAATGAGAGTTAGAGGTCCTTTTTACTCCCTGATCTAGAGACTGAATTAGAGACATTAGGTTTGGGGACAAGTAGTCCACTTTGATGCCTTCAGTGTCAAAATCATGGGGTCCTGGGTGGTTGGGGCATTGCTCAATATCAAAATAACTTTAAGAGGAGTCCCTTACTGGCCAGGTACTTCCTGTCTTCAGGGACAAAGCATCAATGTAATAAATTCAGAAAAAGGGTTCTCATTGCCCAGGCCTTCCTGTATACAATCAAAAGACTGGCAGCTGGTGTTTCTTTTCCCTTCAAGACTCAAGGGTTAGCAACTTTATGGATAAGGGCAGTCCTAACCATAGGCCTGATTGCATTTGAACAAAACAGTAGAGTTAGCCCATCCCTTCCTGCCTCAAATCCTGGTGCTCGCTTCTCATCCTCACCAATAAATGGGTTTTTTTTGTGGCATTTTTTTCCCAAGAATGGAGCACTTTCACTGGTATTCAAATTCTGTTTAGGCAGATATCCTTTCTCCTCAATGATTTTCTTAATAATGTCTAGGAACTTGTCTGTTTCCTCTTAGCAAAAGCTACTTCTTTTGCTATCTTGACATTTTTTAAGCCAAACTTTTTTTTCCATAATTATTTAACCCTCCTTTTTCTGGCATTAAATTCTCCAGAATTAGATTGTTCACCTGCCTTTTGCTTTAAGTTGTCATATGATCTCTTCACTTTTTCTTAAATCATATGAGAGTCTACAGGTATGGCTTTCTTATAGCAATCCTGCACTCACATTAAAGCTGATTTTCAATACTAGATAAAAAGTTATTACACAAAAAAGTGCAACATTTTTGCATGTGCTGGTGTAGCTGCAGTGATGGCTTCACAAACCTCCTTTTCTTTTTTTTACAGTGATCCTTATGCTCAATTCATTTATCTTGAAATGGTGGGCAACCACAGCCGCAGACTTCAACCTATGGTACATAACAAGCAATTCAACCTTTTCTTGTGATGTCATGACTTTTCCCTGCTTTCTGGGAGCACTTCCAGTATCACCAGTGGCACTTTGCATAGGTCTCATGGTATTATTCAAGGTTTATGACGTTGCACTAAACACGATGAAAAGTACACAAGAACTGCAATAAATCACTATTTACTGTGATACCTGATTTACTGGAAAGACAAACTGCTCATATGGAAGTGATTTAATGTCACTGGGCATTTAAGCAGGTACTTGCAACACTGCTCAGTGCAATAGCAACAGAAGATGTGTACAAAATTATTATAGTAGTGCAATATGTACTACAATTAATTTCTGCAGTTATTATTTAATACTGACTGCCTCTTTACACTTGTTTATATTCCCTTGACTGCAAACAGTTTTGTGTATAATCTGTGTTTGTGTGTGTGTATGTTTTGATAAATTTTAACTTTTATACTAGATTTGTGTATATTTTATAATAATAAATGGTAAACTGATATCTACATATATATACATATATTTTATTATGACATACTTAACTTCTTCTTAATATTTTTATAGTTTTAGGCTATGTAGTTCATCTGTGAATTTTTTCGAATAGTCACAAATCTCCAAAAAATGTTCCAATATATTTACTGAAAAAAATTTGCATGTAAGCAGATCTGTGCAGTTCAAACCCATGTTGTTTAAGTCAAGTGTATTTTAAAACCTCCCACTATATTGCTTGATTGGTCTATTGCTTCTTTTAGTCCAGTTAACTTTTGGTTTATATATTTTGAGGCTATGCTATTAGATCCATAAATGTCTTGAATTTTTATATTTTTTTACTTTTTTAAATGTTTTAAAATCACCTTTAAGTATATTATCTGCAGTAGTGCTTCTTGCCTTAAAGTCTACATTATCTGATACACTGGCTCTCTTTTGGTTAGTGTTTTTATATGTCTATTCTTTATTTTCCAATTTTTTGTTTCATTATATTTAAACTGTTTTTGAGCACTGTGCCATTGGATATTATTTTTTCCTAGCCTGACAATCTTGGACTTAAATTGTAGTTTTCAGTCAATTTACACTTAATTCCTGAAATATGTGTAGTAAAGCCTATTGTTTTAATACTTGTTTTCTACTCCCTCTGTTCTGTTACCTGTCTACTCCCTTTATTCTATTTCCCTCTCTCCTTCTCTCTTCTTATAGATTAAGCAAGCATTCTTTTATTATTTCATTTTCCCCCTACATTAGCTTGTCAGTTCTGTATTTTTCTAATGGCTTTAATGTATTTTTTCTAGAGATTAAAATATAAATTTCTAGAGTCTAAAATAACTTAGTACTTTTATACTATTTACCAGAAAATTGCAGAGGAGGAATCTTAAAGCCCTTTAACCCCTTTAACTGCGTTTACTTTCCTGGTCTCCAGTATTACTGTTGTGTATTGTATTCTTTAAATATAGTTTAATTTCTATATGACATGAATTTATATATTCAACATTAATTTATAAATATTATAATTCCTTTATTCTTCTTTTTCTCCTGCATTGCTATATCCTTATCTAGGATCATTTCACTTCTTTCTGAGTAACTCCCTTTAGTCCATATTTTTAAGTGCAAATCTGCTGGTGACTACTTCTCTTTAGTTTTGTTTTCTGAAAATGTCTTAATTTTATCTTCATTTTTAAAGGTTATGGCTGATGATTTAAAAATTCTAGGCAGACAGTTATTTTCTTTATCCTCAAATATATCATTTCATTGTCTTCTGGCTTCTTTAGTCTTTGTTGAGAAATCTTTGTCAGGCTTACTGTTGCTGCTCTGTAGGTAAAATGTTTTCCCACTTCTGGCTTATTTTAAAATTTTCAGTTAATTATAATGTTTCAGTAGTGTTACTATGATGTGCCTAGTGATTGTTCTGTTTATGTTTAATCCTTATTTGTGCCCTTTGTCATTCTCAAATCTGTAACTTAATGCCTTTAATTGTTTTAGAATATTCTTGGTCAGTATTTTTCAAATAGGGTTATTATACCATGTTCTTTCTTCTTTCTGGTCCTCAATTGCTGTGTGGTAATTCATACCTTAATCCTATATTTCATTTGCGCTTTTCTTTGGATTACACCTTTCGAGATCTACCAGGCTTTAATGTGTATATTTCCCTCTGACTTATCTTCCATTTAACTAATTGTCTGCTTAGCTATTTCTAAAATACTGTTAAATCCATTCCTTGAGTTTTAATTTCTGATATTTTATTTTTCATTCTAGAATATCAAAAGTAACTATTTGTAGTTTTCAATTCTCCAGGTTGTTACTTAATTCCTTGATCATAGTAGTCACATTTATCTTAAGTTTTGTATATAATAACCATGAAATTTCCATCTCCTCTGGCTTTCTATTTTCTAATTTATTTTCTTTTTTATCTGCTCTTGTCTGTTTGTAAGCATCAGCATTTTAGACTTAATATTTGTCTTTGAATATTCTAGAGACAATTCAAAGCTCTAGAGATTACTACCATCATCTAGAGAGGATTGCTTTTGCTTCTTTGGACAGCTAGGTAAAGGTTTGATTATCTTAATGATGATTGCAAATGCATGTTTTCATCTTTTTAAGTTAACCTCAGTGTAGTTCATCCATGAGCTATCTGGCTGTCACTGGAAATGTTATTCCCCTCTTCAGTGTCTTTTTTTGTGCTCAATTCTTAGCTCACTTATTTTTCAGGCTTTTTCCTAATATAATATTTAAAGATAAAAATTTCCTCTCTATTATGCTTTCTGTGCACTAATATTTTCTGATATCCTATATGAGTTCTTCTTTTACTCCCATTTTTAAAGATATGTTTATGTTTTACAAATACATGAAGTTTTTGGTTATCTTTCTGTCATTGACATCTAAACTCATTTTATTGTAATTAGAACATGTACTCTAAGTGGTAACAATCCTTTAAAAATGTATTGAGAATTTCTTTCTTGTTTTTAAATTTTATTTTAGATAAAGAGTCTCACTCTGTCATCTATCCTGAAGTGGTGCTGTGGCATGACTATAGCTCACTGCAGAGTTGAACCCCTGGGCTCAAGTGATCCTCCTATCTTAGCCCCTTGAGTACTTCTGGCTTCACAGGATCCTCCTGCCTTGGCCTCCCAAAGTGCTAAGATTACAGACATGAGCCACCATGCCTGGCCAGGAATCAATTTAGTGGTCTGGCACATTGTCATTTTTTAAAGTTATTCTTACATTATTGAAAGGAATATAAATTCTCCAATTTGGGGGTGTAATAAGTCTTTTAGGTCAATTATCTGTGTTTTTGAAATCTTCTATATGTTCAATATATACCAGTAGATGTTCAACATTATTAATGATCAAGACAAAAAATCATGCATACAATGAAGTATTATTTTAACTTTATTCCATGCTAAATTATTAGAAAGTCTGGATAGGGTATTGTTCTCCAGAATCTCTTCTGCATTGATGGCCATGTAAGTGCATGAACCCACTTTGAAAAACAGTCCCTCATTAACTTACAGAGTTAAATATTCATATAACTTCTTACACACAATTTCACTCTTTGTTTATCTTTAAGCAAAACTTTCACACAAGAAAATTCATAGCAGTACTATTTACAGAAATTATAAAAACAACACAAATGCTTATCAACAGGAGAGTGCAGGAATCAACTCTGGTATGTTTACATAAAAAATGTAAACAAACTAGACAGCCATGCTACATACAATATGAATAAAGCTCAGCTATATCCAGTTAAATGTAAAAATAAGCCCAGGAGATTATATATAGCATCATACAACTTTTATAACGTTTAAAAAATGTAAATACAAAATATAACTTCATGGCACACATAGGGATGCAATAAAACCATACAAAAAGGAAATCACACAAGCAACGTCCCTCGGCAGTGGGTGCAGGGGGCAGCCAGGGAGTTCAGGCACCTGCTTCCTGCTCACGTGGTTCCCACAGCAGTGGTACCAGTGCACAGCCACTGTGGGCTCGGGAAGCTCCATGTGCATTTGCTTCTCCAGCTTCATGACTGAAATAATCTCATGCAGTTTTAACATCGGGATTAACGTGCTTTTCTCCTTTTGCTACTCTATGTCCTCTATCATATTTGTAGCCAGTTCTCTGTATTAAAATTCCTTCCTCAGAAGTGCCTAGGAAAGTTTTTGCTTTCTGGATTAGACATTTTCTACACAAAGAATGTAAAAAGATATTTCAGGAAAATTCTAACTGAAAGAAAGCTTATGCTGAAAAATGGACTTAAAGTAATAAAAATTATTAGGCATCAAGAGAGTCACTATGCAGTGATGAAGTGTTCGTGTCAAGATGACATAAGAATTTTAAATATGTCTACACCTAGTGTAATGGTCTCGAAACGTGGAAGGCAAATATTGATAGAATTCTAGGGAGATTTGAAAAATCATCCATATATTATTAACTTCAAAATGCTTCTCTTAATTATAAATATGTAAAGCAGACAAAAAATAAGCAAGAATATTGAAAATAAAAACAACTTAATTGAGCTTACATTCAATATTTAGAGAATGTACATTATTTTCAAGCACACAAGGAATATTAGAAATTTGATCAGGCACTATCTGATAAAGCAAACAGCAATAAAATCCACAGCATATGCATTACAGACTTCATGTTTGTTCGACATAACTAAATTGAAGCTAAAATAAAATATCTAAACTTAGAAACCCTGCATATTTTGAAATTTTAAAAAACTAAAAACTTATGGTTTAAATAATAAACTATAATAGAAACAAAATTCCTAGAATTATATAATAAGTACACTACATATCAACATTTAGAGATGTGCCAGACCATTAAAGAAGCAAAAGATGGAAAAATCTGTTTTATTTTCATTTTTTTGAGACAGGGTCTCATGATGTTGCCAAGGCTGGAGTGCAGTGGCACAATCATAACTTTTTGCAACCTTGAACTCTTGGGCTCAAGGGATCCTCCCACCTCAGCTTCTCAAGTAGCTAGGACAACAGGCCCACGCCATCATGCCCAGTTAGTTTTATTTTTTTCACTTTTTGTAGACATGGGGGTCTCATTATGTTGCCCAGGCTGGTCTCAAACTCATGGCCTCAAGCAATCCTCCTGCCTTGACTTCTCAAAATGTTGGGATTATAGGCATAAGCCACAGAGCCTGGTTTAGGTTTTATTTAACAGTCAGCAAGATTTATCAAGAAAAATAAAAATAAAACAAATAATATTTTAAATATAAAGAGAACATAAATAATCTGAATTGAATAATATGACAGAGCTATCAACAAGCAGATAGCAAAAATTTAAAAAACATTTCAAAAGTCATAAAAATATAACATTAAAACTGCCACTAGAAGAAATAAAGCATAGCAAAATTGAAGCAAGTTATAAATCTTCTGAAGAAAAAAATATATACTGAGATAATTTTGGCCATAAGTCCTACCAAGCTTTTCAGGTACAAATTGTCTCAATCTTTTACCAATGATCCAAGACATGGATGGGAGGAGTCTTTGTCAGCTCACTTTTTAAGGTTAGCATGACCTTTATACCAAATCCAAACACTGGCAGTTGGAAAGAGGACAGTTAACATACTGCTTGCTCATTAATACAGATTCAAGAACATTAAATAAAATATTAGCAAAATGAATCACACCTTATAAAAAGACAACCAAATGAGATAACCAAATGACACACCACTTGTGTGTAAAGCACATATTTCACCATATTAATACATTAAAAATCATAAAACCATCTCAATAGATTGAGGAAACCCTAAAATACTATCCGACATACTTTCATGATTATAAACTTTAGTAAACTAGGAGTAGAAGGAAATTTTTTAAATCTGATAAAAGGTACCTATAAAAATACTCTAATATATTTTTATCATATCAAATGAGGGAAAATTATTAGTCTTCTCATTATTCTTACTTCCACTTGGCATGGATTTTCTCAATAGCACAATAATTAATCAATATATTAATTGTTTTTAGTAATATTATAATTAATAATAATTAAGTGAAAAATATTAGGAAAGAGGAAATTAACCAGCCCTTATTTCCAAATGATGAAATCTTTTACATAGACAAATCAAAAGATCATATAAATGAATTAGAAATGATGGACAAAATTCATTTATCCATTTATTTTATTATTTGTGTTTAAATTGCAAATGTCTATCAACTACCAAAAAATAATAAAAAAAAATTTAAATGCCATTTAATAGACACAATAATAAATGAAAAAGGGGATATCATCACTGACCCCACAGAAATACAAACTATCATCAGAGAATACTATAAACACCCCTATGCAAATAAACTAGAAAATCTAGAAGAAATGGATAAATTCCTGGACACATACACCCTCCCAAGACTAAACCAGGCAGAAGTCAAATCCCTGAATAGACCAATAAGAAGTTCTAAAATTGAGGCAGTAATTAATAGCCTACCAACCAAGAAAAGCCCAGGACCAGACAGATTCACAGCCGAATTCTACCGGAGTTTCAAAAAGGAGCTGGTACCATTCGTTCTGAAACTATTCCAAACAATTGAAAAGGAGGGACTCCTTCCTAACTCATTTTATGAGGCCAGCTTCATCCTGATACCAAAACCTGGCAGAGACACAGTGAAAAGAAAACTTCAGGCCAATATCCATAATGAACATCAATGCGAAAATCCTCAATAAAATACTGGCAAACCGAATCCAGCAGCACATCAAAAAGCTTATCCACCATGATCAAGTCAACTTTATCCCTGGGATGGAAGGCTGGTTCAGTGTATGCAAATCAATAAACATAATCCATCTCATAAACAGAACCGATGACAAAAACCACATGATTATCCCAATAGATGCAGAAAAGGCCTTTGATAAAATTCAACATCCCTTCATGTTAAAAACTCTCAATAAACTAGGTATTGATGGAACATATATCAAAATAATAAGAGCTATTTATGACAAACCCATAGCCAATATCATACTGAATGGGCAAAAGCTGGAAGCATTCCCTTTGAAAACCAGCACAAGACAAGGATGCCCTCTCTCACCACTCCTATTCAACATAATATTGGAAGTTTTGGCCAAGGCAATCAGGCAAGAGAAAGAAATAAAGGGCATTCAGATAGGCAGAGAGGAAATCAAATTGTGTCTGTTTGCAGACGACATGATTCTACATTTAGAAAACACCACCGTCTCAGCCCAAAACCTCCTTAAGCTGATAAGCAACTTCAGCAAAGTCTCAGGATACAAAATCAATGTACAAAAAGCACAAGCATTCCTATACTCCAACAATAGACAAGCAGAGAGCCAAATCATGAATGAACTCCCATTCACAATTGCTACAAACAGAATAAAATGCCTAGGAATACAGCTTACAAGGGATGTGAAGGACCTCTTCAAAGAGAACTGCAAACCACTGCTCTAGGAAATAAGAGAAGACACAAACAAATGGGAAAATACTTCATGCTTATGGATAGGAAGAGTCAATATCATGAAAATGGCCATACTGCCCAAAGTAATTTATAGATTCAATGCTATTCCCATCAAACTACCATTGACATTTTTCATAGAATTAGAAAAAACTACTTTAAATTTCATATGGAACCAAAAAAGAGCCTGTATAGCCAAGACAATCCTAAGCAAAAAGAACAAAGCTGGAGGCCTCACACTACCTGACTTCAAACTATACTACAAGGCTACAGTAACCAAAACAGCATGGTACTGTTATCAAAACAGATATATAGACCAATGGAACAGAACAGAGACCTCAGAAGTAACACCACACCTCTACAATCATCTGATCTTTGACAAACCTGTCAAAATCAAGCAATGGGAAAAGGACTCCCTATTTAATAAATGGTGCTGGGAAAACTGCCTAGCCATATGCAGAAAACTGAAACTGGACCCCTTCCTTGCACCTTATACAAAAATTAACTCAAGATGGATTAAAGACTTAAATGTAAAACCCAAAACGATAAAAATCCTAGAAGAAAACCTAGGCCATGCCATTCAGGACATAGGCATGGGCAAAGACTTCATGAATAAAACGTGAAAAGCAATTGCAACAAAAGCCAAAATTGACAAATGGGATCTAATTAAACTAAAGAGCTTCTGCACAGCAAAATAAATTAGCATCAGAGTGAACAGGCAACCTACAGAATGGGAGAAAATTTTTGCAATCTACCCATCTGACAAAGGTCTAATATCCAGAATGTACAAGGAACTTAAGCAAATTTACAAGAAAAAAACAAACAACCCCAGCATAAAGTGGGTAAAGGATATGAACAGAAATTTCTCAAAAGAAGACATTTATGTGGTCAACAAACATATGAAAAAAAGCTCATCATTACTAATCATTAGAGAAATGCAAATCAAAACCACAATGAGACACCATCTCATGCCAGTCAGAATGGTGATAATTAAGAAGTCAAGAAACAATAGATGCTGGTGAGCTGTGGAGAAACAGGAGCCCTTTTACACTATTGGCGGGAATGTAAATTAATTCAACCATTGTGGAAGACAGTGTGGTGATTCCTCAAGGATCTAGAAACAGAAATACCATTTGACACAGCAATCCCATTACTGGGTATATACCCAAAGGAATATAAATCATTTTACTATACAGACACATGCACACATTTGTTTATTGCACCACTATTTACAATAGCAAAGACATGGAACCAACCCAAATGCCCACCAATGATAGACTGGATAAAGAAAATGTGGTATATATACACCATGGACTACTATGCAGCCATAAAAAAGAATGAGATCATGTCCTTTGCAGGGACCTGGATGAAGCTGGAAGCAATCATCTTCAGCAAACTAACACAGGAACAGAAAACCAAACACCACATGTTCTGTCTCATAAGTGGGAGTTGAACAATGAGAACACATGGACAAAGGGAGGAGAATATCACACACCCAGGGCCTGTCGTGGGGTGGGGGAAAGGGGAGGGAGAGTATTAGGACAAATACCTAATGCATGCGGGGCTTAAAACCTAGACGATGGGTTGATAGGTACAGCAAACCACCATGGCACATGTATACCTATGTAACAAACCTGCACATTCTGCACATGTATCCTGGAACTTAAAGTAAAATTTAAAAAGTAATAAAAAACAAACAAACAAAAAACCTTCATGTTTATCATTGCCTGTAAATGTTGGAATTTGAAGTAAAGGCAAATATGTGTATCAATGGAAATTCAACATGAATAGAAAGTTGTGAATCCTTGTCTTATTTGTAAGAAATTCCTTGCTTTATCAACTAAGTTAATATAATTTCAAATTGGGATACTCACCAAATCAAATAATAAATCCACGTCAATAAAAAAAATTTAAATGCCATTTAAAGTGGTAGAAATAAGAGTAGCAGGACCTAATAATAATTCTAACAAGAAGTGTAATCTTCCACAAGAAGATTCTAGATGGCAGAGACATTAGAGATGGCCTAAGTAACTAGAGATACACATGGTGATCATAACAATGAAACAACTCCTTGACTATCACCTGTTTAAAAGTTAATCTATAGATTCACTATGACTCCAATCCAAGTCCCAACAGGATTTTTTTTTTTTAAACTTGACAAACTGATCCTGAAATTTAGGTGAAAAAATAAAGTTCCAAGAATAACCAGCGTATTTCAAAAAATAGTGAAAGGAATCCTGTCCTCATCAGTATCAATCCCATAATAACTGAGGCAGTGTGGAATTGGCCCCAAAATATATTATCAAGAAGAAAAAAATTAAAAACTCACAAGGAGATCTGTGCATATTGGAACTTTGGTATGGGAGACACGTAGTGAGCAAACCAGGCCAACGAAGGAGAGAAAGGGGGCTGAAAAATAGTTATCCAAATAAACGAAAGTAAAATTGCATCCTGATCTCACGTCACTTCTGTACATAAAAATATATTTCAGATTAATACTTTAAATGTCTAAAAAGGAAACAAAATTTTAGTAGAAAATATAGTTGAGAAATTTGTGGACATCAAAGTTTAAACAAGAACCAAAACATACTATTATACAAAAAATGACTGAAATTTGACTAAATTTTAAAATTAGAAGTTTTTGATCATCAAAGGACACCTTGTGAGGTAGTTTTAAACAGGGAAACAATATTTGTCATATGCACAACCGACAGTATCAACATAGATACGTAATGTGTAGGAACGCCTTTAAATCTATAAGAAAAGTCCGTATCACCGTATTTTTCTTAAAGGAGAAAAAAAATCATGAATATGCTCTTCACAGAGCAGAAGGCTCTTCTGGTAAAAAGCTCATATGAACAGATATTTACATTCATTAATGACCAGGAATACATAAAGGAAGATGAAGTAAAATACCCTGTTACACCGCACAAATTCACAAACTCCCAAGTGCAGGGGTTCGAAGCCAAAAGCCTCTTTAGGGATAAAACTTGACGGAAGAATCATATTTTCCTAAAAAGTTACCTTGTTTGTTTAATGGTGGTTAACGTTAAAATCATCCTGTGTCCAACTGCCTGTGTGTCCCCTGACGGGAAGGTCCTTTCTCAAGGCACCCTGCTCTGCCATGTACAGTTCCCTGGATCCGTTCTAGGCCACCACTCCCTCCCTCCACTAGCACCTCTGGCTCCCACCAGGCTCCCAGCAAACCACGCCCACCGGCCTCCCACCCCATCCTGCCCACCCCCACCTCTCCTCTCCTTGCCCCCAGGCTCTCGTCCCTGCCTCACCTTGTCCATTCTCCACCCACCCTCTTCGCCCAGGCTCTCGCCCGTCCCACCCTCCCCATCCCCACCCCATCTCCCCATACTCCCAGCACCCAGGCTCTTTCCCCTACCTCCCCACCCGTTCCACTGCCTCCCCTCTTCCCCAGTGCCCCTCCACACCCAGTTCTCTCCCCTGCCCTACCCTGCCCATCCCCCACCCATCCCCCTCACCCAGGCTCTTGCCCTTGTCCCAACCTGCCCATGCCCCCACCCACAGACCTCCCTGCCCATCCCTGCCTTGCCCAGGCTCTCGCCCCTGCACTGTGTTGCCCATTCCACTTGCCCATCTCCCATGCCCAGGCCTCAAAGCCCCTGCCAATGCCTCTCTTAGGCTGTTATTCCTGCCTCACTTTCCACAAGGACATATATCTTTGGGGAACCAAGACTAATAAATTTGGACTTAGCAGAGGGAGCAAGGAGAATCTGGGGCTTGACCACTCTCCTGCTCATGGGTGCTCCTATCAGGGCCATTGTGCTTTCGATTTTCAGCTTGTGTCTATTTCAACAAAGTCAGCGTTTCCTGGGTCAAACTTGGCAGATTTACATTTTTGTCAAAAGATTTTATTTTTCTATCACTTTTTAATTAGTAACATATTACGCCACGGGTGGTAACATATTATACCATGTTTCAATTAGTAACATATTATACCTATTAGCAGCTGGGGCTTTTACTTAACGGGGGTGGATTTTTCTAACAGTATTCATTATTAATTACTTAAAAATTAACTTAGTTTATGTTACTTCTTAACAAACCCAAGTGTCAGACTGAGCAATTCTGCCGTAGACAGACACAGAAAGGCTCAGTAAGAGATCACAAAGGCAGAGAAGCTGCAGATGTTCTGAGAGTCCTTGTTGCTAAACCCTTGAATGCTTGGCAGGGTCCCAGTGTGGCCTACATACTTCCCTTTGCATGAAAACGTGCTCCTTCCGTAGCCATGCCCAGTAAGCTGCAGTCAGGGTGCATCTGTCTGGTGTGGCTTAGTCTCCTCCCCTAGGAAGCCCTGCTGCCAGCCTCAAACAGAAGGAGACAGGAGGCTCCCTGGCGCCTCTATCAGAGGCCCGTGGGCCAGCCTCAACTTGCAAGGGCTCTGAGTGATTGTGCTACTCTTGAGGATCTGTGAAGCCTGCGGCCAAAACCAATCTCAGTGCAAAAACCATACTGGAACCCTTCCATTCATGCATTCATTCATTCACTCCTGTGTGATGCATTCTGACCATCACTCAACAAGCCTGTAGTGAGTTTTACAGTGTGCTGTTGTCAAATGTGGCAAATGGAGTGGATATGCCATAATACCAAACTTCACCATGCTTAATTCATCAAACCAAGAAGCAGTAAATCTATTGAATTCCCAAGAAGCCACGGAGAGCAGAGCAGCCACCAGGATTCTCCTTGTATTAAACTCTCCAAGAGCCTGTGATCAAAGTGACTCAGGGGACAGAGAGCTCACTGCTCAGCACAGGAAGCCCACAGCATTGAGTGGTTACCTTCAGTGAACTAGAGAAACTCCAATCACCTCCCCTTCTCCTCCTCTCACAGCCAGGATACCCAGGGGCGGGAGGTGCCAGGCCTAAATGCCTTTTGATGCTTAGAAAAATTCCTTATAAAGCTATTCACACGTGTGTGTGTGTGTGTGTGTGTGTGTGTGTGTGTGTGTGTAGGTCAGGGTTTAATAAAAGTCTGTACAACAGCCAAATTTCCAAAATGTTAGGAACCCACAAATAAGTGGCTTACCTCCTAGAGTCTTTCTTCTGTTTTTCATGTCACTGACAATTGAGATGTTAGAATCGCCAAGTTAAATGTGAGAGACAGCCATGGTATAGCCACTCCCGCTCCCCAACTCCCCTGGTTCTCCTACACTCCCCACAGAAAAGGGCTCTTCCAGGTCCTGAGCAGGGCCCCACACCCAGGACATGTCCTTCGAGGTTCAAGTGCATTTATTTACTAAGTAGGATCCACCTCTACCCACTAATTAGAGTCAACACGAGACTCAGACGCGGGTGGTTGGGGCAGCTCCTTCTCCCGCCCCCTCCCACACATCACTCCTGGTTCCTGGTGCTTGTGTCTCATCCTGGCCAAGGCCATGATCAGCTCTCTTTTTCTCATTTCAGCCTCGACTTGCCCAGGCCTTGGCCCACTGATCCCAAGTCTTTTCTGGTGCCTTACCCCCCTTTCTAGTTTCTTCTTGCACTTCTATTATTTTTGTCTAAAACCAACTATACTCCCTTTTTCAGGGAGCTCCTCTTGTCTCTCCCTGCTTTTTAAAAGGAGTGGTGAGCCTTACAGGTAGGATCCTGAAGGATTTGTTCACTCCAATTCCAAAGCTGTGGATGGGGCTGGAGATGGCTGTGCCTGGCAGGAGGATCACAGGTGGGGAGCACAGACTTCTGGGGAGCCCAGTGTGTGTCAGCAAGGAAATGGCACAGTGGAGACAGGACTCTACAAGAAGATGGGGGAGAGCTACTCAGCAGGTGTTTGGATGTAAAACTTTAGGGAGAAAAAGAGTTTTCTCAAGAGAATTTTGGTAAAGGTTTTCTGTGCATTGTGCTATGTAAAATCTACGCTGTCCGTTCTAGATAACTTATGATAAAAAGCTTGATCGTTCTCATGGTTTGGAGGAAATCAGATACCTCTTTGGTAGACACAGCAGACTATATAGTCTTCCTTTCCTCTCCCATTCTCTCCCCTCCCTCCCTTCCTCCCTCCCTCCCTTCCTTCCATCCTTCCTTCCTTCCTTCCTTCCTTCCTTCCTTCCTTCCTTCCTTCTTCCTTCCTTATTCCTTATTATTCCTTCTTCCACTCTTTCTTGTAGGATTACTGCATTTTCTTGCAATCTTAAGAAAGCAGCAGTGGAGAGTTGGGGTTGGGGTGATATAGCTGAGACCTTTCGTAACATAAATCCTGAGATCTTGGCAAACCAGAGACTGTAAAACAACTGTTTTCAGTTCTAGCCCTGCACCTTGCTTGCTCTGTTTTTGTTTTTTTTTAACAAATCACTCAACTTCTCTAAGCCTCAGTGTCTTCAATTTAAGTGAGGATAATAAATGTCTCTTTATATTGTCACTGTGAGGGTTAAATAATACAATAATGAGTTTGTTTATTTAAATTACAAAGTGATTATATTTTAACCGATTCTTATAATTCGTCAGAACGCCTTTTCTGAAATCCACTGATGTAATTTGCAGAACACGTTTTTTAAAAGAGCCACCATTACTCCAATGTTTTATTCTAGCCTCAGTGAATCTGTGTCAAGGCATCAGCCCAGCCTGCCTTCCTTGTCTTGGCCCTTGGTGCTGCTGCTGTGTCTCTGGCACATCGGGAGGACCAGGGGAAGGAGGAGAGCTCTGGAGCCTGGTGTGGAGGCAGGGAGCATTGCCAAAGCAATATGCTCAGGGAAGCCAGAGGCAACAGAGAAATGTGGTTTTACTTTTTTGAGCTAAGAAGTTTTAGAAAATAATTTCCCCATTTTTTTGATGTGATGCCTGAAGGAAAATAATAATAAAACAAAACTGGAGGAGGGCAGATTATCTGCCAAATGACATTTTCCCCTATTCTTTCTGCTTCTATTCCTAGAAAAAAAGAAATTGAAAACTGCAGGGAAAGTGTTGGCAGCATCCCAGACTTTCTTGTTTTGCTGCTAATCACTCTGACAGCGGATTTCTTTTTCAGAGGATGAAAGGCCAATGCCTCCACCCTGCTGTTGTCTTTAGACAATAAGGAAATATGATGATGGTGACATTTATTAGTTGCTTGCTACGTGCAGGCAGCATGCAGAATACCTTGCCATAGTGATGGTGATTTGTCCTTGCAACAGTACCATGGGGCTGGCCTAAAGTGAAGACCCCAGGCTCAGCATGGAAGTGATACAGCTAGGATGCGGACTCATGCCTGGCCACACTGAGTCATTCTGAAGCATGATGCTGCCTTCCTGATTTGGAAACTACAAACAATTTTAAATCTTCAGATTCAGAATTTCAAAATGCGCAACCCCAAACCATAGATACAAAAGAACTGGAAGCCACAACAAAAGCCCTTCAGTTCACCTTCTTACTTTACTGCAATCACCCAGCACTGTGAAGCTAGTCATATTTGAGCACAGGAAGCTAATCCAAATCACGAAAACCCCTCTGAAGATCTGGTTTCTAATGAATAAAAATAGCTTATGCTGAAGATCCAGTAGCACTCCTCCGGACTACTTCAGTAATACCTTGCATACTTAAACAGTCTTCCTACTCTTTCTGGTTTTTGAAGGAATGGAATAAGAAGTGATTTGGGGATAGGATTTGTTAATGGTCCAAACTCATTGAAACAGGCCAAGGAAAACTAGAATTCTCTGCCCAAGGGCAGCTACCTGATACTGACCCTTCGGCCACCCTGCCTGCCTGAGGATTTCCTAGTGCAGCCTGTAAAAGAGATGGCTTACATGGCTCCACATGGAGGAAAGCCATGATTAAGTATTATAATAAGAATGTGTGCTGCACTTCACAGTTTATAATGATTGTGGATATCATGGAAACTCTCCACCATGTCCATTAGGCCCCTTCCAGATGGACACACTCTCCCTTCTCCACAGCGCATCCTGGCTGCCGCCCAGGGCAGGGGAGCGCTGCCAGCATGACTCCTCTCATGACTGTCTCCCTTCCTCGCCAATTCTGTATGTCTTTCCAAGGGCCAGCTGTCTTCTTCCCCACACTTGATTATGCCAGTTGTACTTACATTAATTATAGAATGTAATACTTTGTAAACTGATGAAGTAGGGGGTAAATGAAATGCATGTGTGGAAAGAGATATTTATCAAATCTAAGACATTGTCAGTTTTGAGGCAACCAACGATTTTATGTATCACTCAGAAAAATTACCAACAATTAAACCATGAGATGTCATTGATTTCAAGAATATTCCTATTACAGAGAACTTAAAATGTGGGTAAAAAGTGCATGTTAGAATTAATGAAATATGAGGCCAGGCACGGTGGTTCACACCTGTAATCCCAGCACTTTGAGAGGCCGAGGCGGGTGAATCATGAGGTCAGGAGTTCGAGACCAGCCTGGCCAACATGGTGAAAACCCATCTATACTAAAAATACAAAAAATTAGCTGGGCGTGTTGGCGGGTGCCTGTAATCCCAGCTACTCAGGAGGCTGAGGCAGGAGAATCACTTGAACCCGGCAAGCAGAGGTTGCAGTGAGCCATGATCATACAGCCCAGGCAACAGTGTGAGACTCTGTCTCAAAAAAAAAAAAAAAAAAGAATTAATGAAATATGGTATGTCGAATACTTTGGAAAAACTGCAAAAAACAGAAAACTGTTAAATGTAAAACAAACATACAGTTGACTATTCACATACACTGTGACCACCAATTAAACCACAGGACACATCCCCAGAGGAATACTTATATATACACCAGAGGAGACACATACAAGAATGTTCGTAACAACACTGTTTATAATAGCAAAAACCTGGAAGCAATCCAGCATCCATAAGAGGAAACAAGATGAACAAAATGTGGCACATTCACAAAGTAGAATATTATGTAGCAGTCAAAATTAATAAACAATGACAACAGTGTGAGTGAATCTTAAGAATATAATATTAGGCCGGGTATGGTGGCTCACGCCTGTAATCCTAGCACTTTGGGAGGCCGAGGCAGGAGGATTGCCTGGGGTCAGGAGTTCGAGACTAGTCTGGCCAACATGGTGAAACCCTGTCTCTACTAGAAATACAAAAAAATTAGCTGGTCATGGTGGCATGCGCCTGTAATCCCAGCTACGTGGGAGGCTGAGGCAGGGGAATTGCTTGAACCAGAGAGGTGGGGGTTGCAGTGAGCCAAGATCATGCCACTGCACTCCAGCCTGGGCGACAGAGTGAGACTCTGTCTCAAAAAAAAAAAAAAAAAAAAAAAAAAAATATATATATATATATATATATATATACAAAATATTAAATGATAAAAGTTACCTCCAAAATTATTTACAACATGATAATCTTCTCATGAAATTAAAAATAATTAAATCAAAAATAAACACACACTTTTGGAATATGTATTGATGCTATCAAACCAAAGAAAAAGAAAACTAAGAAAAAAAGAACATGGTATTTGGGATGATGGCTAACCAGTTGGAGGAAGCAGGGAGACGGGAAGGGGGAAGAAACTATGGTTATGCATAGGTAGGTTAAAGTCAAAGTTATAAATGAGTAGTTGTATGAATGTATTACATTATCTGGTGTAATGATGTATTACATTATGAAATACATGAAAAATTAACTGAATAAAGGAAAGTCATGCATTGATCAATGATGACAGTGTGTTTTGGAGCAGAGACTATGAGAGATGTAATTCTGCACAACTGAGGTTCAGTGAAAAGAATCAGCATATAGGTCAAGTGGACTTTTAAGTGCCCTCATTTGGAAATTGAATTTAAAATGTCTTTGTTATTAATTTATAGAGTTTTAAAAATATATTTTGGGTACAAGTCCTCTGTTGACTATATGGGTTGTAAGTATCTCATCCTACTCTGAAGGTTGCCTTGGATGAACAAAATTCTTAAATTTTAGTAAAGATTGATTTATCACATTTTTGTCCTTTTATGGACAGTGGTATTTGTGTCTATTTTTAGGGGGAAATTTTTTCTCCCTATCCCAAGATCTCAAGTACATATTATTATGTTCTCCTCCAAATAGTTTTACTTTTTACATGTCGCATTTAGATCTGAAGTCCATCTGGAATTGATATTTGTGTTTAGTGAAAGAGCATGGTCTAGTTCCATTATTTTTGCCAATACCAATAGTTATTCTATGCCCAGGACATTTTTTGAAAAGACCATTGTTTCCTCCAAGGAACTTCAGTGTCACCTTTGCCATAAATATATGTGAGTTTGATTCTGGACTCTTATGCATTCTACTGTTTCACTCAGATCTGCTCTACTGTACTTCCTGATATCTGGTAGTATACTACATTCGGCAGTAGAATGTTTTCCAATTTTATTTTTCTTCTTCAAGATTGTTGTAATTATTCTAGACTTTTTGCATTTCTGGATGATTTTTAGAATTGGTTTGTCAATTTACTCTCCCCACTTGGTAATAATAATTTTTTTTATGAAACCTGACTCTTGACAATAAGTGTGATATATTCTTTCATTAATTTAGGTCTAATTTAATTCTTCAGTAAAGTTCTTACTTTTGGTATAGAAATCCTTTGCATCTTTGTAAGTATTTCATATTTTTGATGTTATTATAAATTACATCTAAAATTTAATTTTGGATTTTTGTTGTTGTTGGTATAGACAGACAATTGACTTCCATAGATTAACTTTATCTCCAAAGATCTTACTAAAGTCACTTACTAATGCTAATATAATTAATCAAATAATTCTAACAGATTTTCTCTACAATCTCTTGAATTTTCTAGGTAAACAAGATCATATTATCTGCAAATAATAATTTGATTTATTCCTTTTCAATTCTTAAACTCTTTATTTATTTTTCTTGCTTTATTGCACTGCCTCCAGTACAATGTTGAATAAAAGTGATGTAGCAGCACCGCTTGTTTCTAATTGCAAGAATAAATTTTCCATTATTTTGCAATGGAGTATAATTTTAACCAGAGATTTTGTAGATTCTTTATCTGATTAAGCAAATTCCCATCTATTTCTAATTTGCTAGGAATTTTTTAACTCATTAGTGGACATTGAATTTAATACATACTTTTTCTGCAACTATCAAGGTGATCATATAATTTTTCTCCTTTTTCTATTAAAGCAATTGGTTGCATTTTTTGATTTTGTGTTGGCAAAGCATGCATGCATACCCAGAATTGTTCATCTAGTCATAAAGTATTATCTTGTTTATGTTGTTGGA
Source organism: Homo sapiens (assembly GCF_000001405.40). Lineage (NCBI taxonomy): Eukaryota > Metazoa > Chordata > Mammalia > Primates > Hominidae > Homo > Homo sapiens. The sequence goes on from NC_000010.11 coordinate 44,655,297, forward strand.
CTGTACTTGCTAATATTTAGTTCAGAATATTTGAATCTATATTCGTAAGAGTGATTGGCCTGTAGTTTCCCTGTTTCCTAATATCCTTGTCAGACTTCAGAATCAATAGTATGCTGACTTCATAAAAAGCATTAGGACATGTTCCCATCTGTTACCGCACTTCTATGGAAGAGTTTGTTGCAAAACTGTTATATTTCTACCTTCAATGTATGTAAGTATTCACAGGTGAAGCCATCTGTTGCCAGGGATTTCTTTCCGGAAAGAAAGATTCAATTTTATGTATATCAGAATATTCATATATCAGCATATTCAGAACTTATGTATGTCATAATTTACAGATATCTATAATATGTATAAGGATGATCCTTTTTATTCTGCAACTTGTGTTTCCCTCTCTTTTTATCTTTATCAGTTTTCCGAGGTTTAGTCAGTTTTATTAATCTTAAATCGCTCTTAGGTTTGTTGATTGTTTTTCCACAGTATGCTTGTTTTTTTTTTTGATATATGCTCTTATATTTATTATTTATTTCCTTTTCCTTTCCATGGGCTTGCCTTATGCTTTTTCACTTTTTGAAATACAATTTTAAATAATGGATTTCAGGATTTTTCTTTTCTATTATGTGCATTTAATGCTATATATTTTTATGTAAGTACTTATTTTCATCCCATAAATATTGGTAAGTAGCCTTCATTATAATTTAGATTAAAACATTTTCTAATGTCCCTTCTGGATTTTTTTCTTGGATCCATAGAATATTTAGAATTGTATTAACTTCCATATATTTGGGGTTTTTATAATTATCTTTCTGTTGTCAATTTCTAGCTTAATTCCATCGTTGTTTAAAAACATACCATAATTAATTTCAACCTTTTGTCAGAGCATATAGCCATTATGTAAAGTACTTTTACCCTTTTAACCTTCATTTAGTCTAAGTTCTGCCTGAAAACTTATATTTAATGTTCACCCCCAATCTCATTGTCAATTTATATCCAGGCATTTTGTATCATGGGATCTTGTTTTGATTTGCATCTCCCTAATGAAAAATACTGTTGATCTCTTTTCATATGCTTATTTACCATTTGTGCATCTTCTTTGGTGAGATGTCTCTTCAGTTCTTTTGCTCAGTTTTTATTTATGTTGCTTTCTCGTTGTTGAGTTTCAAGAGTTTCTTCTGCATTTTGACTCTCAGTTCTTTATCAGATATGAATATTTTACAAATATTTTCTTTCGATCTGTGGCTTGTCTTTTCATTTTATTAACAGTCTCTTTGACAGAGGATAGGTTTTTAAATTTAATAAAGTCCAACTTAAGTTTTTCTTTCTTTCATGAATCATGCTTTCGGTATTTTATCTAAAAACTCATCACCAAACCAAGGTTCCTAGATTTTTCTCCTATATTTACATCTGGATATTTATAATTTTGTATTTTACATTTAGATATATGATCCGTTTTGAATTAATTTTTGTGAATGGGGCTAAGGTTCATGCCTAGGTTTACATCTTTCTTACAGATGTTAGTTGTCCAAGCCTTTTGTTGAGTAAATCTTTTCTCCATCAAATTGTCTTTGCTCCTTTGCCAAAGAACAGTTGATTACATTTGCATGAGTCTATTTCTGGGTTTTCTATTCTGTTCCATTGATCCATGTGTCTATCTATTCTTCCACTAATCCCATGCTTTCTTGATTAGTACAGCTTCATTGTAAATCTTGAATTCAGATAGTATGGATCTTTCAAGTTTGTTCTTCTTCAGTATTGTGTTAGCTGCCCTAGGTATTTTGCCTTTCAATATAAGCTTTAAAGTCAGTTTGTCAACAACTACAATGTAATTTCCTGAAATTTTTAATGGGATTGCATTTATAGGCCAAAACGGGAAGTATTGCTATGTTAAGAATATCGTATGTTCCAATCTATGAACATAGAACATTTCCTTATTTATTTAGATATTCTTTTATTTCTTTTGTCAGAGGGAAATTGTCAGCTTATCTCAGAGATTTTCTCCCATCTGGAATTTTGGCTCATATACTTTCTCTTATTTCCATAGCTCTCTGACAGGTATTTAAATATTATTGATAAGAATTTATCTGTTTTTTTTCTAGTTGCTGCAGCTGGAGTGTTGATCAACCCAGAAGCAGGTTAAGGAGCCATTTGTATTTACTTTGGGGACTTATATTTCCATTTAAAAACATATACACAAATATATATACATATATATGTGTGTGTATATATATTTACCTACCTACCCCTTTCTTCAGTAAACAATGGCACACTATATGCATTTTTTCTGCAAATTGTTTCTTCCCCACTTTGTAGTAATTCCTGGAGTTCATTTCACATTATATGTAAATATTCCTCACTTCTTTTTACAAGTGGATGTACCATAGTGTGTTCACTAGTTGTTTCCAGTCTTTTGATAGAGAGTACAACTTTGAAAACCTTGTTTAAAGGTTTTAATTTCCTGGCAATAAAAACCATTACATTTTTAAAATAAATCTATTTTTATTGCTCAAGAAATTTTGTTTGTATTTTTTCTGTTCTTTGAAATGTATAGAAGTATTCTTGTGGCCTACCATATGGTCAATTTTCATGTGTACTTGAAAAATTGGAATATTGTCTGTTTTAAGAGTTCAGAGTCAGTGATCGATCAATAAATTCTAGTTTATTAAGTGTTTTTTTGATTAGATCTGTTTTGAAGTGGCAAAGTAAGTTAAAATATCTACTATTCATGTGATCCTGTTTTCTTTTGCATCTACTGAAGTTTCTGCTTTTTTAACATTGCTATTTTGTTGTAAGATTCAAGAATATGAGTAACCATTATGTATTCATTGTGAATTACATGGCCATTACATAAGATATCCTTTGTTGTTTCTTTTAATCCTTTTTATATGAATTTTACTTCATCAGGTATCAGGATTGTGACTTTTATTTTCTTTTTGTTTACATTTGGCTAATATGTTTTTGCCCATTAATTTTGTTGTTGTTGTTGTTAACACTCAGAATTTCTTTGTTTTAGGTGTGTCCTTTGTATACAACTCATTATTTGATTTAGTTTTGTTAGCCAACCTAAAAATCTGTAACTTATGTCATTCTACATTTGTGTAAGATATATGTCATATTATTTATTTCATGTCCCATACTGTTGATTGTATATGTGTTTATGACTTTTATTATCTGGCCAGTTTCTTACCCCTTTTCTCCTTGACTAATACAATACTGATACTCAGGGGTATTTTTCCATTTTTTAATTTTACTGCTTTGGTTTTCTTCTTTGGAGACTCCTATCAGCATAGATCACATTTTTGTTGCTTATCTTCTGTATCTGTCACTTTCTCTCACATAATTTTTATACATTCATTTCTTCCCATCTTCTTCTCCTAAGGCATAACCTATGATAGTTCCTTATCCTTGTGTTTCTTCTAGTTTTGTATTTGTTTCTGAAATAAAATTAGTATTTAATTCTGAAACAAAACATTTGTTTTATTTCTAATTATTTCCTGACTTCTGGTAGCTGTCTTTTAAAATCTTTTTTTGAATTATCTAATATCTAAGTTTTCCTTAATCTTGACTTATACTATTATTTTATATCATCTATCATTTTCTTAATATTTTTAGCAAAATTGTATTATTAAGTTGGATCATTTACCTATTTTATGGAGTTGTTAATTATCTGTGAAGACATTATTTGGTTTCTTATTTCCTTTTCTAAAAATATAACTTTCTGTGTAAGATTTGACACCACTTCTTTTCTACTTCTTCTATTTAAGTGAGATGAGTTTTACTCTTACAAGGAAAGGTAGGCACTGGGATGATTTCTTTAAGTCCTTAATACAAAAGCTCTTTCATCTACAGTTTCTGCCAACAGTTTGAAACTTTGCACGACTTTCTGGTTTTCTTCCCCTGTCCCGCTCTTCTATTTGAATCTTGTCTTTCCTTTGACCCTTTTGTCCCTTTTCTCCTTGATTTTGATTGTACTCCTTGGTTCAAGCTCATCTTGGAAGGGAATATTTTCATTGATCTGAGACTGCACAGGACCCAGAGCCCTTCATCAGCCATGTGACGTTCCTATGGCCTCTTAACTCATCCTTGGATTAGAACCTGCAAAGGACCCTTCCCACTTTTGTTGGATGGCTTCAGAATACCCTATGACTCATCCAGTAACATCTGTTTATAATTGAGGGAGTTTCTAGTTGTAAAAGTTATTAGAAGTCCCTTTGCCCTCCTTCTACTATCACAAATGCTGCTCTAATGACAGAAGAATCTTGCCGCATTTGGCAGTTTGTCCTGACCCACTAGTATTCTGAGACATGTGGGGATATCTTCTCACAAAATATTGGGATAGAAGCTGTCTGAGGCATTTTGGTTTTTCTGTCCTGGGCGTCCAATGGCTATTCAGATGAATGACCCAATACACTGCACTCACAAAGTCCTAACCTCTACAGTTCTCTAGGAGTCTCAGCTCCATCCCACTTCAGGTGTTTACACCAATGGCAAAACCTGTTTAACATCCAGAAAGTCTCTGTGGCTGAAGTTGCAAATTAGATGTGATATTTGCATCTTTCTCACTCTCTAGCATCCGCACTCCCTCCACAGCTGTGGTTTAAGCTTTCAGAGACCACCAGGCTGCTGTTCTTTCCATGTTCTCCTAGTTAGTCTTCTTTCTCTCTCCCTCTCTCCCGCCCCTCCTTCCTTTCCTTCATTCTTGCTCTCAATCTCTCTTTTAAACTGGCTTAATTTATTATTTTTCCAACTTGAGCCTTCATGATCCTCATGATCACCTGATTTTTTTAATCACCATTGTCCCCATGTCTCTTGTATGACTGTCCTATTGATGAATTAATTCATCCAGTATCAGTCCTATCTGGATCAATCCCTATCTCATCTGTAGCTTTACACTGAGGCTACAGATCAAGGTTAGGCTGGAAATTCCATGAAAGATATAGCTACCTTTTGTCCCCAATAACTGACATAAAGCTGGACACATCAAGGATGCTAAACAATTATCCGCTGGATGATGAAGACTATTTCACAGCATAGATAAAGGCCATCGTGCAGATGTGGCCTCCACCTCAGCTGGTGTCTCACATCTGTACTGTTATTGCTTTTTGTTTGCTTTTGGTCTGTTTCATCTTTTGTTTTTCTCAGTAGTTATTTTAAACTTTCAGTTTTAAAGTAAGTCTCTTACCAATGACTCATTATCAAGCAATCTTATTTATTTATTTTTCTACTTATTAATTCTACCAAGTGCCAGAAACTATGTTTGGCACTGGGGGCCCAGTGGTGAGCCAAGGCAGACATGGTTTACACCTTCATGGAGTTACAATTTAATGGGGGAGACAAACCTTAATCAATTAATCAAGTGAAAATTGCAATTACAGTAAGTGCTCTGAAGGAAAGAGACTTAGCGTTATGAGACCAACAAACAAGCTGACCTAGGTAGGAACATTCCAGAAGCCTTCTCTGCAGAGCTCCAACAGGTATGTTGAAATTAACCAGAGGGAGGCGGGAGAGTAGCAGAGAGCATTGCATCTAAGTCAAGTAGCACTATCAAGGCCCTGGAGATTTTCTTCCATTCACATGCCTAACGGAGATTAAAATATGCAGTCCAAGGATGCCAGTTACCTCTTTCCCTGGTCTATCCATTAGTCTCTCCTAGCCTTGGTGATAGGAATCTGTCCTGAGAGATGGGTACTTCTCCAAGCCTGTTTGCCTCACCTTATCCCCTCTGATTTCACCACACCTTTTTTCCCTAACATCTATAGTAACTAAACAGATTTGGCTTTGTAAAACTCCATGTACCTCTCCAGGCCTCAGTTTTCCCACTTATCACATGCAAGGTTTAGATGAAGGGGGCTCCATGGCCATTCTCAGCCTCCACAGCCTCTGAAGGAGTTCTCTTCACTGGTTGGAAGGCCATGCCCATTTACATAATAGCCCACAGAGAAGGGGCGTCACTGTCTCATGCAGATCTGCCACCAAAGCCCTTTGCATTGCATCATGGGTCTCCTCTGGGCCTACAGCCCCAAAGTCCTCATGACACCTCATTCTTTCCTAGAAGTACAGGACAAATCTGGTATCAACCGAAATCTGCCAAATATATGCCCTTTTGGGCAGTGGGAAGTGAAAGAGGCCTCTTGGGTACAACTTACTAAACTGAGGGACACACTGGAGTCAGGCAGAAGAAGACAAACAAAGAAAGGAGTTGTGAGACTCTCCCCCGGGGCCTATGAAGGCACATCCAGGGCTGGCCTTGTCCATCAGCTTCTTGGGTTTTCACGATTAATCCCCCGGTTAAAACACCACCATCTATGTTAAAACAAACAGCACTATTGCCAGGTATCATTTGCCCGGCAACAAAAGCAAAGCAGCTACTGCTGTGTGTTAATTGATTCCAGGGAACAAACATTGTACCCACTTTTCCTTAGGATTGAGGACTGAGGTCACAGGCAACTGGGAAAACCTTTTTTGGCACCATGGAGTTTAACCAGGAGGAAAAGCTTTGCATTTCTGAGTGTTCAAGACCCTTTGTCCCCAGGTCCCTTTTCCATCCCCACTTCCCCTCATGTGCTCCCCGGTCCCCATCATGCACATGTACGTCGTGGCTTGGCCCTCAGGTGCCCAGTCCCTTCCTCATGCTAGTCCATGCTCCATGCATTTCCTCCCACTCTCTCTCTCTCTCAGTGACCATCTTTATGTCTCTTTCCCTGATCTTACCCAGGCCTCCAATCACTCTTAGACCTCACGTCTCTCTCACTTTTTACTTCTACCACATTTTATTCATCACACAAAAAAAGCCTCGCCTTTTTATGTAGTGGTTCACTGTTTACGCATCTGTCTCCCCGACCAGACATTGATCTTGTCAAGGGCAGGAATCATACCATGTCTTTTCTCCTCCACACTTAGCGCTAGACCCAGGACGTCATGATCAGAGTTGAATATTTGCTGAATTGGATCATTCTTACTCCTTCAGCCTGGGAAATGGTTCAGGAGCAGCTGCTCCCTTAGTGCATAGATGGTGTTTTGGAAAAGATCAGCCGACAGGCCTGCTGCACTGTGTCCAGCTATAGGCTCTTTGGGACCCCCTGACCCAAATGTGGAGCCAGAGCCCACAACTCAAGGCCCAGCTCTCACCCAGGATGCAGCTCAAATCCTAGCATGGGCCCCTCTGAGGCTACTAGGCTTATTCCTGAATCTCTGGTTCTCAAAGAGCATCTCAATGCTGCTTCAAACGGAATGGCCTCTGCAGATGGAGCGGCAGGACAAGAAGTGAAGGAGGTTTTCCAAGCCCTAGACAGAGTCGTTATTGTAGAGGAAGGAGCCTACCTTCAGTCCCTGCTCAGGTGCCAAGAGGCTGATTGTTGGGAGGGGGCTGTGTCGTGGAGGGTGAGGATGGGGGGAGGGTCGTGGGGTCCTAGGCGGCTGTGTCATGGAGGGTGAGGACAGGGGGAGGGTCGGGGGGTCCTAGGCGGCTGTGTCATGGAGGGTGAGGACAGGGGGAGGGTCGGGGGGTCCTAGGCGGCTGTGTCATGGAGGGTGAGGACAGGGGGAGGGTCGTGGGGTCCTAGGCGGCTGTGTCATGGAGGGTGAGGACAGGGGGAGGGTCGTGGGGTCCTAGGCGGCTGTGTCATGGAGGGTGAGGATGGGGGGAGGGTCGTGGGGTCCTAGGCGGCTGTGTCATGGAGGGTGAGGATGGGGGGAGGGTCGTGGGGTCCTAGGGGGCTGTGTCATGGAGGGTGAGGACGGGGGGAGGGTCGGGGGGTCCTAGGCGGCTGTGTCGTGGAGGGTGAGGATGGGGGGAGTGTTGTGGGGTCCTCATGCAAGTTATTCTGCTCCCCTGGACTCCAGATCTGTCATCTGTAAAAGAACAGTCTTGCTTCCTAAAATTCTAAGATTCTAAATGAAATAATTATATTTTCATATGTAAAGCTGAGATAACTTCTGTCCTGATCCACTTATTGTAAGATGACGTTTTCTTGGACCAGAAAGCATATCCAAAATAAACCCACTCACAGGCTTGCAGTCCATATTGCCAGAAGCAGGTGAGAGAGCACCCTGTCTCCCAGGTGTAGAAAGTCCAGAGCCTCCCGGGCCTGGATTTTCAGCAGTGTTAAAATCTTTAGGGCTTAAGCCCACTTATTTGCATCTAAAAATGGAGACTTCCTGTTCTGCAGCATCCTGAATTTCTGATAGACTCCCACAAAAGACAGTGAGATAAATTTATTAAAAAGAGCCCAAAGTTCACAGATTCAATCTCCCTATAGGCATGCACACCTGTTCATAACCTTGAAGGAGAGCCAATATAAAGGAAATTCTAGTCAGAATTTATGAAAGCAAAACTTTTAAGAACTATTTTTGAAACATTTGTTGAATTCAAAGCTGTAAATATATTGACCCCAGTGCACTCTTTACTTGTATCTTTTTCTGAAAACAAAAGGTTTACGGAGGTTGTTCTCTATTTAAGCCCTAAATGTTATGTAAATTTTCAATCAACACATATTTATGAAGCATCTACCCTAGGCTAGGCCCTCTGTTGGGTGCAGGGGATACAGAAATACTCAGGAAACCTGTAGAATGGGGAAGGATAAAGCAGGGAAGACTAAGAGGTCGAGAGTGCCATCCTAGGGGTATGTCTAGGGGCAGGAGCCAGGGTCAGAGGCAGCAAAGCTTCTGGAAAGAACTCACAATGGCTTTAAAGGATAAAGGCAAAGGAGTAGGGGTTTGCCAGGTAGAGAAACAGAACAGCATCTCAAGGAGAATAAACAGACCAGACAAGGCACAGAAATATGAAGTAGTGAGTGTCTTCAGAGAAGATTGAACAGGCTGGGAGAGAAGAGAGATGAAATGAACCACTGAAAAGGCCAAAATAGGAAGGGTTGAAAATCCTAGACTAATGTGTTAGGAACAGATCCTCTGGACAATGGGGAGACAAGCCAGGATTTTAAGCGATTACACGTTCAGACTTGCCTGTGGAAAGGTCTCTCTGCAGCTGTGCAGGAGATGAATGAGAAGGCAAGATGTCCATTGCACAAAACCAAAGAGGAAGCTTCTGCAATCATTGGGTGGAACAGGGTGAAGGTAACAGTAATGGACTAGAGAGAAAAAGATGAAGCAAGAAACACATAGGAGTAAGGATGCCCATGCCCTGAGGGATGGAGAGTGAGGAATAGGATGGATTCAAAAATATTTTACAAAGCTTCATTTGAATGATGGAGTTTATAATGGTAATAATATAAGCAGTTGACCAATATTTATAGTATTTACTATGTACCAACTATAATTTTAAGAACTTTACACATATAAACTCACTTAAGCTTCACCAAACTTATAAGTAGGTACCATATTACTATTTTACAGATGAGAAAGCTGAGGCACAGAGGGATAAGTAACTTGTCCTTGTTCACACAGTAAGTGGTAGACCCAGGATTCAAACCCAGGCAGTGTGGCTCCAAAAGCTATAGGTTATTCATTTTCCATGCATTGGATTGAACAGGATATACATTACAGGAGGAGATGCAAGCTGAGGACAAAGTATGAGTTCAGCTTTGGGTAAGTGAGATCGAGGTGCTTTTTCACCTAGGAGTACATGTGTTGGGGCTACTGGGAATGCCACAGAGCTTCCATGGCTGCAGAGATACCGGTGCATGGGAGCCTGGCAGTTCCACAGAGGCAGTACAGTATGGCCCAGCAAAACCAGCCCAGCTCCCACTCTGCCAGTTACTATCTGGGTCAAATCAACTCATGTTCCTGGACCAGTTTCCTCATCTATGAAGTGGTCATAATCATACTACTTCATGATACAGTGAAGATTAAATAAGACAACTTATATAAAGCTCTAGGGCTTGGTACATAAATGTGACATATTTTAAATCCCTTCCTAGACCCTGTCCCTGCCTAATGTGGTACTTTACAGAAAGTGACAGGAAAAACCTCACCACCCTATGTGACTTCTCTGTAGTTAAGAAATGTGTGTGGTCACAACTATCTCCTCAAAGCCAGGAGAAGCTAGAGTTTGCTTTAGAAATAATTCAAAGCCTGCACTTTCTGCTTCCTAACACTAGACCAATGCACAGGGTGGCCTGCTCTGTAATGGCTTCATTTCCTGACGTTCACAGGGGACCTACATGCCTGCCTGGCATCACCACCAGGCCCTGAGGCCATAAAGATGACCCTGGGGAGAGAGAGGACATTTCCATCTATGGCAGGTAAAGGACCAAAAGCATGCAAGAACGGGTGCCTCAGAAACAGCTCTTTAGCAGGTGTGTGTCGAGCTAGAGCAAGCTCGACAGATACTTTCTATAGAATAGAAAGTCTCATGCTCCACTGTCTCCCACAGAAAGGTCAACCAGCTACTACCTACAAATGGGAACATCCTTTTACAAACCTCAGAACTTAGAGACAAGCCTGAGACACTTAATGGTCCACAGAACTGAATGAAATCTGAATTAAAAGGGTAGAAAGAACCGTCTTACTCTGATCGTGCCACCCTCCACCTGAAATCAGCACAGAGAGGAGATGGATGTCAAATGGAGATGATTCCCCTGGGGCCAAGTTTCTACATGGGGGGAAGAGAATGAGAGGCAGTCATCCAGCTTCCCTAGCATTCTGAGACAGTTCCAGGAAGCCCACTTCAATCTCAACTCACAATAACACTGGGAGTAATGGCATAGCTAGACCACTTAGGGTCAGGCAGAAACAAAGAAAGGAGGCAGAGGTTATAGTGATGTTGGTGATACCTCTGTGTTCCTGATGTCACAGGATCCTTAGGGTGTTGCTTCTCCAGCCAGAAACCTCTGTGGCCAGGGGAGCCTCTGCTTGAGCTTTGCTTGTGCCCACTGGGCTCGTTCCACCCACTCAGCCCAGCAGGCTTCACTCAGCTCAAACTACTGGCTTGGATCTCATGCCTGCCAAGGGCAAGCCAGGAGCAGAGCAGCAAGGAGTGTGTAAGCGAGCAAGTGTGGGATCTGGCCACTGCACATAGCCAGGCACACTGGCTGCTGTGGCAGGGTGGGCAGCTCCAGGTGCCAGCAGAGATGCTGCTCCATGTAAGACTGTGGCTGGACTAATGTACCACAAGTGGCTTCTGCTGAGGACACCCACAGCTGGACAAAGGGAATGCAGTGGTGTCTGAAAGCTTAGAGATGCCAGGAACCACAGAGTCTCAAAGAGAGTGTTATAGCATGTCACAGTCCTGGCTCAGGGAGCCCTAAGGTCTGGGTCCCCAGAAGGGCCATGGCTCTTCTCTCCTTCTTGTCATCCACAGCATGGTGAGTGGGGGGTGGGGAGGGGGAGTGGTGGGAGAGGGAGAGGGAGGGGGAGAGAGAGGGGGAGAGGGAGGGTGTGTTTCAGGGAAGGTGTGTTTCACCCTGTTTGTGTTACAGCTCTTTCAGTCCCACCACCCTGCTCTGGCCTGTGGCTCCTGGGCTGGCCTGGCCCCACTGCTACTTCCTGTCACATGGGGTGGCTGCCTGGCACCAGCAGAGGGCAAGAGGGCTATAGTGTTACAGTAGCTCTGGCTCAGGGAATCCTAAGCTCTGAGCCCCCAGAAGGGTCTCCACTCTTCACTCCTGCAGTCTGGGAGCATGCCACTGCCTGCAGCTTGGTGAGCTGGCCAGGAACATGCTACAGCTTCTTTCACTCCCACCACTTGTCGAGTCCCAAGTTCTTGTCCTGTGTCCAGGAAGAATGAGGTTACACTGACAACTGGAAGGTGAGGAAAGAGGAGACGAACTTTATTGAGCAACAGAACAGCTCTCAGGAGACCCGAAGTGGGTAGCCCTTTTGCAGGCAGGTTGTCCCCACAGGTGTATGAGTCTGGCTGAGTCTGGGGTTTTATGTGCTCAGAATGGAGGAAGTGCATGCTGATTGGTCCATGGGCAGCCATGGGTGGGCCTGGGAAAAGCACCATCCAGTTGGCGAAAAGGCATCAAAGAAGTTCTCAATCCAGGTTGAAGGTTCCACCCAGAACTGGCAGCCTGGCCCCCAGGCTTCAAGCCATTCCTGGCTTGAAGGTGGGGTTTCACCAGGGACCTGACTCTTCCCACCTAGGAACCTGTCTGCCTTCCATCAACAAGTCATCTGTGGTGCCCAGGCTGTCTGTGCTGTTGGGCACTCATGGGCCCACTAAAAGATGCCCTCAGCCCCTGGTCTCCCTCCCATGCTTGTCAGTGCCCAAAGTCCAGAGGGAGTAGAGGCAGCAGAAGGCTGATGTGTTAGTGCCACCATGAGTGCATGCACACCTGGCCAGGTCACAACAGTGCCTGGGCTAGGCCACAGCTTTGCTCCATACCTGAGCAGATGCGAGGAGTAGGGAGAGGCCAAGGAGTGGGAGCAGGCATTTCCAAGCCTGTGGGACCATGGGGCTTCTCAGGCCTCCAAAAGCACAGGGATGCCCAGGTCTGGAGCCATAGCTGGGCAGCTGCAGCTGCACCTGGGAGCATGGATTCCCACCCTGCCAACTTGGTAGGGTGTGGGGCTCCAGCTGGGATCATCTGTTCCCATCCCTACCAGCTCCACAGAACACTCATCCCCGGCTGTGCCTCCCCCACTGCAGCTTGAGTCCTCTCAGTGGCTGCTCCAGACAGGCTTCTGCTGCCATCACTGACAGCCATGATGCCACATTGGGGATATCAGTCAACTTCATAGCCCACCTGTGGAGCTAAGTTGGTTGTCTTCAAAGCACGGTGGGGAAGTTCAACCTAGCCTGAGTCCCTAAATGGCTAATTTCCATGTCCAGCTTCACAGCCCACCCCAATGACCCTTCCGAGGAAGGGAGAAGCCCACCTCCATCAATGTCAAAACATAGAGGCTAGACCTGCTTGACACAGAAAGTTAAGCAGTGGCTCCACTCACAAAAAGCCCATCTGATAAACTCTACCCAGGCAGGAAAACTCCCACAACCATGCATTTTAGGGAAATGTAGGAACAAGACTTGCTTGACCCAGGAAGTCAAATAGCCCCTCAACTCAGAGAAAAGCCCACCTCAAAACTCCACCTTGACAAGGAGGCAATCCAAAATGGCCCATTTCTAAGGAGCATATCCTCTGGTTTGCCCATCCCAAACATTGGCTATGCCTAATCTTTAAGCCTAGCCTGAGGCCCTGCAAACTGCAGATCCCAAATAGCAGAACTGCATGGCCAGGAAATACATCTTATAAGTAGCCTGACCAGAAGACATTGCAGTACACAGCCAGCAGCTCTTTGCAGTAGCACAACACAGCCAGAGGCCTTGACAGAGAGTGAAACCCAGCCAGCAGCCCCACTTGACAACAGACAAAAGGCAGAGTACCAAGCAATTAGAAAACCCACATGCTCTGCCTGTCAGGGATTGTCACCAGCTGGCCCTTCCAGAATCACAGGTTACACTAAATAGTGAAGGTCTATTCCTGACAATGAACATCTGTAAAGGCTAGAAAAGAGGACTTTCTCTTCACATGCATAGACAACAATGCAAGGACACAAGTATCATAAAGAATCAGGTAATCATGATACCTCCAAAAGAAACTAATAAAGCTCCAATAATTGACCCTGAAGAAACGAAGATCTATGAAATGACTGACAAAGAATTCAGAATAAATTCTTTTAAAGAAGTTCAGTGAACTGCAAGAACATATGTATAGAAAATTCAATGAATTTTGAAAAACCACAAACAAAATAAGAAGTAGAAACAATAAAAACAAACCAAGTGGAAATCCTAGAGATGAAGAATCCAGTGCCTGAACTGAAAAATTCGATAAAAGCATCAACAGCAGGCTCAACCAAGCAGAAGAATTAGTTGAAAAACACTATTTGAAATTATCCAGTCATAGGAACAAAGAGACAAAATAATAAAAAAGAATCAAGAAAGCCCACAGGAATTTTGGGACACCATCAGGAAACCAAACATTCACATAATAGTAGTTTAGAAAGAAAAGAAACAGGGGTTTAGAATAAATATTTAAGGAAATAATGGCTAAAAAATTCGCTAATCCTGAAGTAGTTGCCCACATCCAGGTATAGAAAATGCAGAGCTTCCCAATCAAATTCAACCTCAAAAGAAGTTCACCAAAACACATAATAATAAAACTTTCAAAAATCAAAAATGAAATTTTGAGATTAGCAAGAGATAAGAAATACATCACATAGAAAGGAATACCAATACAACTATCCAATTTCTTGGCAGAGACTCTGTAGGTCTGGAGAGAGTGGAATCATATATTCAAAGTGTTAGAGGAAAAAACTGCCAATCAAAAACACTTTATCTAACAAAGCTGCTGTTTAGAAATGAGAGAAAAATGAAAACTTTTCTGGACAAACAAAAACTAAGGGAATTTATCATCACCAGACCTGCCGTACGGGAATTATTAAAGGGAGTTATTAAAAGTGAAATAAAAATCCACTAATTAATAACAAACATGAAACATATGAAAGCACAAAACTCAGTGGCATAAGTAAAACAGAGCTATATTCAGAATGCTCTAGGACTATAATGATGATGTGTAAGCAGTTTTATTTCTAGTACAAGACATAGAAGACAAAGATATAAATAATAACTGTAGCTAAAATAAATTTTCAAGGGAAACACATTAAAAAATGATGCAAATTCTGCCATCAAAAACATAAAAGGTGTGGGGAGAGTAAAAGTGCAAAGTTGCATGCAATTAAAGTTAAGTTGCAATCAGCTTTAAATAGGATACTATAAGATGTTCTATGTAAACCACATGTAACCACATAGCAAAAATCTTTAGTAGAAGCACAAAACAAAATTAGAAAGGATCCAAAATATATCACTACAGAAACCCTTCAAACTGCAACAGAAGACAGCAAGAGAGGAGGAAAGAAACAAAGTATTTATTAAAAAAACAAAAACAAACAACAACAACAACAAAAAAAAACAGAAAATAACTGGCAAAATGGCAATAGTCCTTACCCATTAAAAACTACCTCGAATGTAAATGGATTAAATTCTCCAATGAAAAGACACAGAATGATTGAATGGGTTGTTTTAAAAGACCCAACAATATTTTGTCTGTAAGATGCTCACCTCATTTTTGGCCAGGCATGGTGGCTCATGCCTATAATCCTAGCACTTTGGTGGGCTGAGGTGAAAGGATCCCTCAAAGTCAGGAGTTTGAGACCAGCCTAGCCTAGGCAACAAAGCAAGACCCTGTCTCTACCAAAGAGAGGGAGAGAGAGAGAGAGAGAGGCTTACCTCGCTTTTGGTGATGCATTTATATAGAAAGTGAAGGGATGGAGAATGAGATTTCATCCAAATAGAAACCAAAAGACAGCAGCATTAGCTATATTTATGTCAGAAAAAATAGATTTTAAGTCAAAAACTGTACAAAGAGACAAAGAAGGACATCATATAATGATAAAAGGGTCAATTTATCAAAAGGATATAACAATTATATATGTACCAAACATTGGATCATCTAAATATATAGAACAAATATTAAAGGATCTGAAGGAAGAGATAGACTGCAATAGAGTAATAATAGGGATCTTCAATACTTCACTTTTCACAATGTCAAGAGATTATCCAGGGAGAAAACTAATAAAGAAACAATGGATTTGAACAACACTTTAGACCAAAGGAGCCTAACAGATATATACAAAACATTATATTCAATAGCAACAGAATACACATTTTTCTCAAGCATGCACAGAATATTCTTCAGAAAAGGTCACATCTTAGGGCACAAAACAAGCCTTGGCAAATTTCAAAAGACTAAAATTTTGTCAAGTATCTTTTCGAACCACAATTGCTACAAAATTAGAACTTAACAGAAGAAATTTTGGAAAATTTCACATGTACATGGAAATTAAACAATATACTTCAAAACAAAAAAAAACTGGTCACTAAGAAAAAAAGAGAGAGTCCTCAAATATACAAAATCAGAAATGAAAGAGGAAACATTATAAGCCAATACCACAGAAATACAAAGGATATCAAGAGAATACTATGAACAATTATACACCAACAAATTGGATAACCTAGAAAAAATGTATAACTTCCTAGACACATGCAACCGAGATCAAATCATGAAGAAACAGAAAACCTGAACAAACAAATAATAAGTAAGGAGATTGAATCAGCAACAAAAGGTCTCTCATCAAAGTAAAGGCCAGGACCCAATGGTTTCACTGGTAATTTCTACCAAATGTTTAAATAAATACTAATACTAATCTTTATCAAACTCTCTCAAAAAATTGAAGACAAAGGAATACTTCCAACCTCTTTTTACAAGGTCAGCATTATCTTGATAGCAAAGCCAGACAAGGGCATTACAAGAAAACAAAATTATAGGCCAATATCTTAGATGAACATAGATGCAAACATTCTGAATAAAATACAAGTAAGCCAAATTAAACAACACATTAAAAGGATCATCCACTGTGATCAAGTGCTATTTAACTCTGGATGCAAGGATGGTTCAACTAAGAAAATCAACAAATGTGATACATCACATTAACAGAATGAAAGAAAAAAAGAATATGATCACCTCATTAGGGATATAAAATACATTTCACAAATTCAACATTCTTTCATGATAAAAGCTCTTCACAGATTAAGAATAGAAGGGATGTACTTCAACATAAAAAAAGGCAATATATGAGAAGCTCACAGCTAACATCTACTTAATGGTGAAAAATGAATGAAATTAGATTCTTATCTCATACCATATATAAAAATCAATTCAAATTGATTAAGGACTTAAACGTAAGACCAGAAACAGTAAAAATACTAAAGGAAAGCATAGGAAAAAACCTACATGACAATTGGTGTGAGCAATGAGTTTTTGGTTTTGACTCCAAAAGCACAGGCAACAAAATCAAAAATAGAAAATGGGAATATGTCAAACTAAACAGCTTTGCATAGCAAAAAAAAAAAATTAACAACATACAAAGACAATCTATGGATTGGAAGAAAATATTTGCAAGCCATACATCTGATAAGGGGTTAATATCCAAAATATGTAAGAAATTCAAACAACTCAATAGTAAGAAAACAAAGAGGGTACCCAATTTAAAAATGGGCAAGGGACCTGAATAGACATTTCTCAAAAGAAGACATACAAATGGCTAACAGATATATGAAAACTTGCTATATATGATTTATAATATATGAAAAAATCAATCACTATAGAAATACAAATTAAAACCACATTGATATATTATTTAATACTCGTCAGAATGACTATTATTAAAAAGACAAAAGAAAACAAGTATTGGCAAGGATGTGGAGAAACGGGAACTTTTGTACACTGTTGGTGAGAACGTAAATTGGTACAGCCATTATGGAGAATGGTCTGGAAGTTCCTCAAAAATTAAAAATAGAACTACCATAAGATCCAGCTATCCCACTTCTGAGAATTTCCCCAAAATATCTGAAATCAGTTTGTCAAAAAGATATCTTTGTTCCCATGTTCACTGCAGCACTATTCACAGTAGCAAGTTATAGAATCGTTCTAAGTGTCCATCAGCAAGTGAATGGATAATGAAATGTGGTATATATATATACACTGAAATACTACTCAGCCTCAAGAGAGGAGGAAATTCTGTCACTTGCTACAATATGGATGGAATTGGAGAACATTATTCTAAATGAAACAAGCTAGAAATGATGAGACAAATAGCACATATTCTCACTTATAGTGAAATCTAAAACAATAGAACTCATAGAAGCAGAGAGTAGAATGGTGATCACAGAGGCTGGGGCTCAGGGAATGGCGAGATGATGGTCAATGGGTACAAAGTCTCAGACAGGGGAATATGGGTTTTTTTGGAAATCTGTTGCACAGTGTGCCAAATAGAGTTAATAATAGAATATTGTACATTTCAAAATTGTTAAGAGAGCACATTTCAAATAGTCTTACCACAAAAAAGTATTAAGTATATGAGGTTATATGTTAAGTAGCTTGGTTTAATTATTCCATATTGTATTCATAAATAATAATTACTTCATACTCCAAAAATACATACAATTATAAATTTTCAGTTTACATTTTTTGAAAAATGAAAAAAAAGTGTGTTGAGCAAGTTAGAGTTAATGCACATCTTGCTGATGTGGGTCATGAAGAAGGAAAGACCCTGTCAACTTCTGTTAGCACAATGGATGCTTTTCAAATGAAGCATAGCATGACAGTGTAAATAAAGTGCTATCTCTTGAAACACTGCAGACATTGTTTTTAGAAATGTCTTCAGTGCTTACATCCCAGGGGTCACCCATACAAGGATTTAAATAATTGAAACTGAATAGGAGAAATGGCCTTCAAAAATCTAGATGGAATGTCCAGCTCAAAGGGCCAGCCACTTTACATAGAAGTAACAGCATTCATGGTTGTTATACAGAAGTTAAGAGAAGATTAAATAGAAAAATTCACTGTCTTGGCAAGAGTCAGTATGAGTGAGAGAGGAAGAGCCGGTCTTGACCCCAGGTCCCCTCCCCTGCTGTGTATGCACCTGCTCCACCTCATTTATGGGCCCTGGGACACTCTGTGACCAAGGGCTTTATGAGTATTTCAGAGAACAATCAGATCAGGCTGCCCGGTTTATGCCTTGGCTTGGCTGCGGGTCAGCTCTAGAAGGGGGTGTGGCCTTCCTTCTTGGCTGGGGACTGCCTTTCAGGTGCCCCTTGAGAGGTCATGTAGAACACCTGCTCCTTCCTGCCAGTGATCTGCTCCAACCCTCCCAGAGATACTTTGGAAATATTTTAATTTTCATTCCTTGGATGCTATACTGTTATGACTTTTTGAATGAATTTATATAGGAGAATTAAGTTACTCTTGTAATATATGTCTATTCTGAATCATTACATGGGTACATGGGTAGGGCATTTATACTGGGCAATGATATTATTTTGTTAACATCATTTTAGCATTACTGTTATAACACACTGATTTTCTTTAAAAGATGCTTTTCATGAGTTTTGCTATTCTTTTCCTGGCAATGTTCACCTTACCCATCAAATCCCAGGCATAAATACTCTCATCATCTCTAGGAAATCTCCCAAATGTTGTTATCGAAAACCAATTGCTTCCCTCTGTTCAACAGCACTTTGTTCAGACCACTCTATAGGACTGAGATAGTAATGATTAGTAGTTAATATAACCTTCCCCTAGGAAATTAGGCTGTGAGCTTGCTGAGCATAGGAAGACTGCCTTTAACCATCATAGTCTTAGGGCTGATCTCAGTAGTTGGTGCTAAGTACAACCACATTCTTGCTAGAATTGACTGCATGATGGTGTTCTACAAGCAAGTGTACTGCTGTTGTTATCTACATTAACCGCCATGCTGAAATCTTTTCCTCTTTTTGAGGCTGGCTTAAAAAGCACAAACCCAATATCTGACTTTTTACTTGAGTTCTTTCATTTACAGGAAAATGAAAATTTTCCAACTTAAGCAAGCAAGTATGGAATCCAGTGTCCAAGAAATAGTTTCTATTAACAGCCTGGAAACACGGGGCTGGCAAGACATACCAAGTGCAGCTTCAGGAATGTGCTCCTACTTGTAAAAAAAAAAAAATCCTAAGCACACAATGGGTGGTCCTTTACACATGTAACAACTTAGACTTTAAGATACCCAGCAATATTTGGAACCTTCTTTTAAAAGAACTGTAAAATGAATGGCTGGCCAGTATACTTCACGGGCCACTTGGGCAAGAGCCAACTGTCAGCCATAAATGGGTCCTGTTATTTCAGTGCATGTTGAGGGTCAACTGCACCCTAACAGCCACTCCAATCCCTGGCTAATGGCTTCCCATCGAGGGAGTTGGGGGAGAAAGCTTTCTTTGGGAAGCTCCATATTCCTAATTCTCAAAAAGACCTATGTTCAGGAAGTTGTTGCTTATCCCTGAAATGTTTGCAGAGGAATGCAATTATATTCAGTTTACTTGGCAGTAAATTTGATTTTGGCAGTACAAGAGGTGTTTCCATATCATTTCACTACTTATATTAGTGCTATTACTACCATTGTAACTATAATAATAATAATAATTACCATCACTGGATTGCGAACCATCTGCCAAGTCCTATGCGGTTTGTTGCAAATGAAGGAAGATATTCTTATCATCTGTGGTTTATAGATAGGGAAACTGAAGTTTAAAAAAGTTAAACACTTTAACAGAAGTCAAACAGCAAGCAAGAGTGACAGCTAGTGTTACAGACTAAATATTTGTGTTCCTTCAAAATGTGTATATTGAAACCTAATCCCCAAAGTGATGGCATTTGGGGATAGTGCCTTTGGGAGGTGATGAGGTCATGGTCGTGAAACCCTCATGAATGGGATTAGTGTCCATATAAAGGGGACCCTTATGAAGACAGCTTTCTCACCTCTTCCATCATGAAGGGCACAGTGATAAGCATGACCTCACTAGATACCAAATCTGTCTGCACCTTGATCTTGGACTTCCCAGCCTCCAGAGCTGTGAGAAATAAATGACTGTTGTTTAAGCCACACAGTCTATGATATTCTGTTATAGCTGCCAGAACTGGCCAAGACAGCTAGTGTTTGGATGAAGGCTATTTACTCTAAATATCACACTCCTGACTATTATGCCACACTCCTTAAAGGCGTGACAGCTTCAGGGACAATTTGAGGGGCACAGTGCTACAAAGGTGTGAGTTATATCCACCAGATAGCAAGACACCACATTCTACCCCATAGTCCTAGCCTGTGTCATCTGCTGCTCACTAAATATATGATATCATTTGTCATAAAAGAAACCAGACAACAGAATACTCAACAAATGCACTACTGGAAAAAATAATCTTTCTGATAGTATGAGCAAATGTCATCTTTTTAGACAAAAGGCAAAATCCGTTGATGAATAAAATGGTAATTTACTGCATTTATACAAGGCTTTACAGTTTGTTATATAAATTTGGATTTGTAGAGAAGATGACAATGTAAACTGTGTTACTGAAACCCACCACTTCCAGATTTCGGTAGAAAGGATTAGCAGAACATAAAAATAGAAAGACTCTACCACTGACAATGAAATGGATGCCATTTATGCATGGAAATTTCTGCTAGAAGTAGGACAGACGGGTCTGGCTTGAAAAAATCAGACAGTAAACAATTTCCCTCCTCTAAAAGAAGACATCATGGATAGGCTTCTAATATATCCCATCTCAGAGGGGTTGGCTAGAAGGAAAAGGGCAGAAAACCTACTCTGTGAGGGTAGAAATCCTCCAGAACAAAGGGGAGAAATCCAGAAAGCAAAGCCTCTTTTTCAATGAGTAGTTTGGGGGATATGAACCCAATATGTATTTCATGGTTACTTGGACTCTCCAAAATCCTCAGGGAAGAAAGTTATGAGAAAGATTAGATGAGATCAGATATTAAAATAAAGAAGATAAATTTTGTTTTAAATTTGTGCAGGGTTGTATGGGAAAATGTAAGACCCTGATACAAACAAAAATCATTGAACCTATGAAAGCGGCCTTAGATGAAAAAGTGCATCCCTCCCTGAAGAGTTAGAAACACTGCCTCTCCAATTAGGGAAAAAGAAATACACTTCTCAGTCGTATTCTTAACAAGAACTGAAAAGGTACTGAACCTATAGAACTAGATTTAGTATTCCTGAAGGAATACTAAATCCATGTAAAATTTAAATTGGTTAAATTAAATTAAATTAAATGAGAAGTATACAACAATCCTTTCATTTCCACATTCAGAGAGAACTTAGTAGCCTAAGATAGAATTAATTTGAGAAATGTATCCAGAACTCAGAGAGGAATAACACATGAAACTTTTACTAAATATGAGGGGTTTTGGAGTAGAAGATGCAGTTGTCTCTCCTGGGGCAGCCAGTTGGTTTGGATGGCATGGACCCACCGCTAGTCTCATTCTTTATTCCATAAAGATTACTTCTGGGCTGAGTATGTGACACAAGTTCACCTGAATGGAGGTATCAGGACTTGTTAAATGATTGTGGGAAGAGATGTACCTGGACGTGAATGAGGAAGACTATACCTATAAATGAGCCCAGAAGCCATCTTGGTGCAATGAAAGAATCAGCCTGAGATGAAGGCAACACAAGGAAGTGTCTAGAGTCAAGGGAAGTTACAGAAACATTGCCAGAGACCCTTCTTGTTCTTTGCCTAAAGTATGAGCTCTCTATCTTTATATTTAAAACCAGAAAATTCTCACCCTCACCAGAAACACTGAAGTGACACAAGAGCAGGAAATAAGCCTTTTTTGTGTTTAGCCACTGAGAATTTGGAGTTTTCATCAAAGAAAGTAGCTTACCCTGACTAATAAAAGCATTTATCCCAACATTGTAAGGATGGCTTAATATAGAGGGGGAAATATATATAGGACATCACAGCATTAAATTAAAGAGAAAGAAAAAAGTCACAAAATTATTTCAATAGATGCAAAAAAACTGATAAAATTTAATATTCATTACTGATTTAAAGCTGTTTTTAAAAATTCAGAGAAACTAAATAAATGGATGCATCCTTCAAATTGGTAGCAAATACTTGATTAAAAGCTATATTCAAACCAATTGTTTAATACAATGGTACAATTCTAGAGATATTTCAATTAAAGACAAGATAATGATGACTGAAAAATTCTTGTCATTACATATGACAAGAAGCATAAAGGTTGTAATCATTGGAAAGAAAAAGATGAATGCATCATTCACATATGCTGAAAACCTGTAATTAACTGATGTATTTGCGTTAATAATAAATTCAGCCTGGTGGTTAAATACAAAACAAATATACAAACTTCCTGAAGTTTCTTATGCATCAGAAATGATCAATGAGAAAAATCCTATATTAAAGGTCCACTTTAGGAAAGGGAAGAGATAAAAAAGAAGGCAGAAGGAACTTGAGATGAATACAGAGAGGCAAGGGCAGGATCTACATAAGAAAAATGTAAATCATTAGTGAGTTACACAAAAGAAAAATAGACTATGTCAAGAAACATGGCATGCTCAATTCTAGTTAAGCACAAGAGTACATAATTTCCAAATCTCCTCAAAGAATATTCATAATACCATATGCCAAATTTTCTCTCTGAATGGTAGGATTATTGCTGATTATATTTTCTTCTAATGCTTTTTACTTTTTTCCCAAATAATTTTTACTGAAGATACATTTTTAATTTATTTTTTAATTTTTAATTTTTTATAGATTTAGGGGCACAAGTGCAGTTTTGTTACATGAAAAATGTATTTTTTATCAGAAAAATTACACAGATCAGAAAGAAAAGTTTAGAAGAATAACTAATATCACGTAGATATAAAAGCTTTTGGGAAAATACTGTTTTTGATCTGGCTAACTTAAGGGATATTGCTCTGACTCCACTCCATGTCCAAGCAACAGCACCCCAATGTCCGAAGAAACCTCGCAGGCCAGTGGGTGTTCCCCTTAGGAGTATGGCCCATTGACTTTGTTATCATTTCCTGGGTTTTTTAATTCCATTTTGCTAATCAAAGGGAACTCAGTGCGCTGTTCCCTAAGAGCTTTTTGAATTCTGACATGTCCTTAATTCCACATTGCATGAGTCTGTCACACCAATCCCACTGCATCAGGTCAGGCATTGTCTGTCCTTCCAATAGTCTCTGCCTTTCATTAGAAAGCAGATGGGTTACAAGAAGAGAAAGAGCAGCCATGGAACAGGGAGTCTCCACTCCTGCCCAGGTCTCAGGAAAGTTGCACATTTGGCAACAGAAGGATCCTGAATATATGCTTTGGCCAAAATCAGCTTTTACTCTCAACATCCTAAACTTCTTTCAGAGGAGTGTTCCAAGATGGATTATTCTGATTTCTGGGAAAAATCCACCATGGTCCCTTCACATACCTACCCTGCTGTCAACTTCAGTATGTGTTCCCTTCATCCTGGCCCAGGAAAGTATACCCAAAATAAGCAATGACTTCATTATGAGTTGAACCGAATGGCCTCATGGTATAGATTCTTAGCTAAACTTCACAATGTGAATTGCCTGGATTACTTAAATGCTCTGTTGAGACTAGGTGATCCAAAAAGCAACTAGACTTTGCATCCAGAATAAACTCCATTGTGACTTAGTATTATATTTTAGTTAAGTTCTGTATGAATAGATGTTTTTGGCATGCTAATGTGCTTGAATGGTCCTTTCATAGAATTAGAGGCATTTTAGGGCTGCAGGGGGAATACAATTTTTGGTCCATCCTCCGCGTTTTCCAAATGAGTTGACTGTGGCTTGGAGAGGTTAAGTGGCTTTTCCAGAGCCACACGATGAGTGTCAAGCCCCACTCTGTAACATCAAAGGGCTGTCCCATTCATGTGGAGGGGACTTCATAAGTCATGGACAAGAGGAACATCATGGCCACCACGGTCATGATATTGTCCTAGATGCAGGCTGAGCAGTTTATATATTTCTCCATCTTTGCTTGGCCTGGATGTAACCCTCATTTTTTCGCTCCCACTTTCCCATGGATATGACCTGTCCAGGATGGAGTGGTTTTTCTTGGAACATTACCAGTGTCTCAGTTCCCTGGTCTTGGCTTGTCTCCTTTTTCTGGCGTGCTGCTTGCTTTAGTCTCTAATCTTTGTAAGTCACCCGTTCCACATGGCTTGGACCCCCCTCCCTATAGCTTTGAGCTTGGGGCTGGGCACTAGATTTCTGCAAAATTTCAGGCTGAGATTAGACCCTAGGCCTCTTAATTTTTAAAGCACCGTTATCTGTTTACATCATACTATTATCTTCAATAAAACCAGTTACAGACTTGACTCTCTGGAATGAGACTTTCCAAAGACCAGTATTTTGCTGAGTTAGAAATAATTTAAAAATAGTCTTCCCTGACTGCTAATCTAGGGATTCCTTTCTTCTTACAGCTGCAACTACTATTAAATTATAGTGTCGTCTATTAGGATTGGTTGCTTTGGGTTCACAAAGGTGATGACTATCAGTCACTAGCACAGTAGCCCATAAAGGATGTTCCTCAAGGAGGGGTGGGAATCCTGCAATACCTAGTACTAAGTTCCAGGGGCTAGTAGATGAGCATGGAGCCATGCTCAATTACTGGGCAATCACAGATAGGGTGTGGGTGAACCCATCACAACATCATCATGCCAAAGAACAGAAGTCCATTCAGGGCAGGACTCTGGCAAATGAAGTGACGTTGAAGAGAGTTCTAAGATATCCCTGCCAACCCTGCCCCATGCACACACATACACGGAGCTTGGACACTGAGAGTCAGTCAATGATGACTTGGAAGGACCAGCTCACTGAGGAGCATCTAGCTGATAAGAAATAGAGGAGCAGTTGGAGACCAATGAGACCACCAGGATTCACCTCACAACCCTGAAATGTCCACTCACTGCTCACAAGACATGTTGCAGTGGCCTGTTGGGACTTGGAACTCTGCATGTAAGTGCTCCTGGCTGCTCCTAACCAGCTGAGTGATCCACCCAACTCAGTCCCTTCACTAGTCTCACTACCTTTCATTTCTTGTGCTGCTGCCTAAAATAAGTGTGAGGACCTCCGGAGTCTTTTATCAAAATGCAAAGACCACAGGAGGGTTATAATTTACAAAGACATTGGCTGGAGTCTTAAGTTGGAGGTAGTTAAGAGTGTAAGAGTGGTGTAAAAGGCATATTGTGAGGAAAGTGTGCTGATGGAAAGCCCAGAAGATAAACCCGGCAACTTCTCAGCGTTTTGGATGAGACATTGACACCAGGCTGAACATATTCACAGATGTGTCAAAGCAGGAAGTGGGGAGAATGCAACAGATGACAGAACCGAATGCAAGATGGAGTCTGAGGCCCGGATAGAGAAATAAAAGTAAGATGATAAAATTCCACAGGGTAGAGGGATGCCCCCAAAACAGAGACAAGTGTCGAACAGTATGGGTCGGGACTGTCCTAAGAAAAGGAAGATAATACAGCTCCTGTTTACCTGCACTAGTCAGACCTAGGCTGAGATTGACATTGCTAAAAATACCCCCAAAATAAAAAATAAACTGAAGAATGCACAGAAAGGGGGCGTGAAGAAGATGGTGTCTAATTTTGAAAATAAAATACTCACAAAACATGAGAGGAGATAGCTGAGGGTTAGACTCTGTGGTCAGCCAATGAGTCAGTGGTGTGTGCTGCACCCTCCTTGCCCCTGTGGCCAGAGGTGGCCGGTGGGCCCCACGGTTCCTCTCAGGGAGTCCTTGTGGCCAGTCATGGCCTGTGGACCCCAGTCCTCCTCCCATTGAGCCCCAAAGTGGCCTCCTTGCCTTCATCACCATACTCCAGATGACCATTGCCAGATCAACAGAAACTGAGACTTATCTGCCATTCCATGATGGGCATCATCTTTGACAGTAAGTAGAAAGAACTAGGATCAAAGGAGAGATTCTATGGTGGGCAGATTTTGCTCAAAATGAAGAACTTTTTTAAAAAAACAAAACAAAACAAAACAAAAAAACAGGTAAATTTCCCAACAGCAGAATGAGTTTATTTTGTGAAGTGAGGAGTCTCTGACTTTCTACATTTTCAAGGAAAGGCTGTTTGGTCATTTGGCAGAGGGATTCCTATTTGGGCAGGATACTGAAATACAGGTGACTTTGAATAATATGGGGCTTAAGGGTGTCGACTCTCCTCACCACAGTCAAAAATCTATTTATAATTTTGACTCCCTCAAAACTTAACTACTGATAGCCTCTTGTTGATTGGAAGTCTTACTGATAAGATAAACAGTCTATTAACATGTATTTTATATGTCATAAGTATTAATACTGTAGTCTTACAGTAAACTAGCAAAAGGAAAATGTTACTAAGAAAATTATAAGGAAGAGAAAATATGTTTACCATTCATTAAGTGAATGCAAGGGATCATCATAAAGGTTCACACTGAGGAGGAGGAGAAGGAAGAGGAGGAGGAGAAGAAGGAGTTGGTTTTGCTGTATTGGGGTGGCAGAGGCAGAAGGAAATCCACATACATCAGTGTACTCGCTCAATTCAACCCCCTGTTGTTCCAGGGTCAACTCTGTCACCATCAAGGTTCCTTCCAGACTATAAAATGTCCCTATCTCTCTGATAAAAAAGAAGAAAATATACTCTGCTTGCAATTCCAGCACTCAGAGGTCCAAGCCTCTGGACTTCAAACAATGTGTTTCCAGATCCACGTGCCCAGAGACCTGACAGATGTTCCCATCCAAGAGGGCTTGACCCTCTTGAAAGAGGACCCCTTATGGATCCTACATGCCTTAAAGCAGAGAAGGCCAAATTATAGAGAAGAAAGATGAATCAGTGTGTCCTATATTCTTCTGAGCTACAGGAGAATAAGGTTATTTAAATGCAAGATGCACAATTAAAATTAGCTGACATTCATTGAGTGTTTTTCTATTTACTGGCACTGTACTGAAACTTAATTCTTGGCGGAGGCCCAAATGCAGATGCTAGCACTGCTGTAATTTACTAAGGCCGCAGAGTCAACTGCTGGGCCCAGATCCAGCTGACACTTGAGCACCTTCCGGTGGTAGGACCAGAGAGGGCAACACCACACAGCTTGGATTCTAGAACAGCGCAGACACTTGATTCAGCAGGCCCTGGATTTGGAAGTGCAGATTCGAAAAGTCACCTTAACTATCTCTCTCTGTCCCATGAGCCACGCCCTCTGCTCGGTTGCAGTTCCCTTGCAGTAACCACCTGCGATTCACATCTCTGTCCTTGGTATGCACCACAGGCCTCAGCCTTCTCAGCAAAGGGGAGAAGTCAGAAGGGGTTTCCAGTGACTTACTGCATGTGCCTAAGTCCAGTTTTGCATTTTGGAGCAGACAGTGCTGGAACAGAGATGGCGGGGAGAAGGGCTTCCTCTGCACTGAAATGGGCGTTTCCCCAGTGAAGAGGGCAAATGTGCACCTCTGGTCTGGTGACTGTCCACACTGACTGCATGTGAAATTCACTGGGGTGAGCTTTTGAAGATATCCATTCCAGATCGCTCCTACGAGGTAGATTCCAAGCATGGTTATCTTTTTTATACCCATGCCAGAGACTTTTAAAGCACAGAACTACTGGAAGGCCAGCTGTACCAAGGAGAGCAGACTTCTAGCCCCGGCTCGCTTGCTTCAGCCCTGGAGCACATCTGACTTTGCATACAAAGAAGGAAGGAAGAACACACGAATCAAACAAATGAAAGAAAAAAGGTCGCATGATTTTAGCAAGTATCATTAACATTACTTGTTATGACTTCAAATTCAGGAAGAACTTTGATATTTACTGTTCTTTACTCACATTCCTATTATTAACAGAGTCTGTCTGGTCTTGGAACCCTAAACTGGCCAGCAATATTTAATTTCCTGTAAGATTTTTTTTAAAATTACTAGAGAAAAGCACAAAATTTAACATTCTCTTTAATAATCTCAGTGGATCTTCAAGATGTCTGAATGTCAAATGCCTGTTGCAAACTGATATTCTTATCACTTTGGAGAAACAAACGTTTCCCTAAAGGAATAGGGTTTTGGCAGCTTTGACTTAATTATATTTTTCCACAAAATAAAAGTTAAGATGAATATGAGTGGGGATGCCTGAAATAAGTCAGAAACGAGAACTCTGGGGTCCTGGGGAGGCATTATGGTCATTTTTCTGTTGTTCACTTTCTCTGTGAACTTGTCCAAGCCACATGAACTCTTGGGACTTTAGACCCCTTTAAAAAACGAGGGAAATCTGGGAGGAGATGATGTCAGAACCTTCCAGCTTTGACATTATGAGATCATGAATCTCCATTTCTGAAGAACTCATGTGAGTAATCAGGGGCAATATTTGAGGCATGTTGCAAAGTAGGGGAAAAAACCCACTGGATTTGAAGACAAAATAACTGTTTCTGGCCATGGCTAGATGACCTTGAGCCAACATTTGCTTCTACTTCACACATTAATTCAATCATGTACATGAGGGTGTGTGAGAGTGAGAAACTGACTACGAGATTTTTTGAATCTTAAGTGAATATAGACTAGAAATGCCATTAAGATATTGAAGTCACTCCCTGCTTCCTAAATGACCGTGTGGGAGTTTACTCCATTATTTGAGAAAGTCCTTGGTTTGGAACAAAACTAGAATTATCCTTAACCTGAAAGCAGCTGTTTTGACAGAAAGGCTCAGGGCCCTATCTGGCAGAACAGATCAGATGCTGCATTTCTGTAAACCTTTTTGCTTTTTGGGGTGGGGAAATTATATATGTATTTTTATATGGATCTAGATGGTGCTGGATTATTGCTTATTTTTGGAGAGGGGCAAGCATGTGTATGTGTATGTGCAAGTGCTTGAGGAATCACATATTTATGTTTACATGGGCAGTCTCAGAAAACTCATGCAAATGAAGCTGCACGATGGGATGTCCATGCCAGGTCCCCACTCCCCGATTACCCAAAGTGGAGGGCAGACCGTAAACAAGTGTGCAGGCTTGCCACGCTTCAGACTGGACTACTCTGTCTCCAGATAAAGGTGTTTTAACTCAGTTATTCTTATACACTGTTTTAGGACTATTATGGTCTTAGTATAAAGTGTACCAGGTTACATTCCTGTGGTTAATAAAATAAGTTTCTCTTCCAAAGTGCAGATATTTCCCAGGCCAATCACCTTAACCAATCTGTGCTCCTTTGTCAAGGGCATAGGAGGCCATGCATATTTAATAGGAGAGACTTTAGACCATGATACCAAGGAAGGTACTTAGGAAGTGGCTGTAGCACCACAGAAGTCAGCTGGTACCAGAAAATCTAAAACTGAGCTCAGCCCTGTTATGCCTTATGTCAATACCAGCTGACTTCCTCAGGAGACCAAGACGCTGCCAGATGCATGGATAGACAACTTATTTTCTCCCAAGTCCAGCATGCCCACATGGAACCAGGTGAACCAGAGTTGGGGGTTTTGTTTTAAAATGCCTTTTCCTAAAGCTGTCCATGGCCAAAACTCCTCATTTGCCCTGTGCAAGAGGAGGCACGAATCCACAGGAAAGACTTGCACAAACAGCGGGCCTGTACCTTCATCGTCCATGTCAGAAAATGGGCTGTGCTTCTCTCGTGCTCCCGGAGGCTGCTGAATTTAGGACCCTGGGGAAACATGTTAAAAACCATCTCCTGAAGCCAATTTTCCTCCTGGAGTCTAGAGCATGGGAAACAACACAATTTGAAAAATGTGATTATTTTCAAACCTAGTTGGGTTATCTCAGCCTTAATATAGAGATGATTTTTAAAACATCTGTGCTTCACATAGACAAAGCCAGAGAAAATATTCAACTAGAAGCTACATTCATTCCACATTTGCAACTAAAATGCTCTACTATTATGCTCCCTTGGGAAGAATCCATCCACGTGGCCACACGGGAGAGCTGAATAAAATCTATTGCACCTTCTTTTCCTATTATGCACTTTATTTTCATTAAGTCTCCATATAACTCATGATTTGTTGAATGGCCTCCATAGTCCTGAAAAAGCAGACAGCACTGTGGTGTATTTTGTCCTCTTAGTCAGATAGATAAGGAAACTGAGACATACAGACTAACAATTACCTCTCTCAACATGATTCCAGTGATCTGAGGCAAAACCCTAAAGGAGCTTCTTGCTGTCAGGACAGTTGTTCCATCCATTTCAATGTCAAATGCAATCTCATGTTCCTGGAATCAAACAGTAGAGAACGTGGGTTCATACTACATAATAAATTTGTGAGTTTCCTAGCAGGGCCCTGGCTCAGCAGTTATGATTGAATGCGCATGTGCTTAAATGAGCTTAATGCAAAACCAGTTTTATTGCATGCATTAACCCTTGTCATAAATCTACATGAAACAGGTATTTTTTCAAAACCATCACAAAATGCAGGATCCAGTTGCTTAGAGACATTCCAACTGTGTTAAATATCCAGAGGACAAAGTTCTGAGATGGCTCTCTCAAATCTTCACACACAACCAGCTGCCTATAATTTATAGAGTTTATTGGGGAATATTTCCACATAATTCATCAACTTTCTTTCATGGAACAGTTTCAAGAAGAAAGTTTATCAATATTCACATTTGCATTTAGTGCTAGAATAACAGTTGGTATGTACTCAGTACTTCCATTTTTTCATTAATAACCTTATTTCTTCATCATGGCAACCATATGGGGGAGGGGGTAGGTTGCACTCAGGAAGTAATTTGCATAAGATCCTAGAGCTAGAGAAGCCAGGATTTGAATCTAGACCTATCTGACTTACTTAAATTCTATACCTGCAGTCCTCAATACCATAGCTACTGGCCCCATGGAGTTATTTACATTCAAATTTAACTAAAAATTCATTTTCTCAGCCATGCTAGCTACACTTTGGAAATAAATACATTAGCACATCCCAAATCCTTCCTGTCCTCTAAGGCAACATCCTCTATGATATTTCCCCGAATTCCCCCCACTCTGACCAGATAAGGATAGAAGAGATGAGAAATGGACACTAATATGTATTGATCCAAGATGGGCACACACAATCTCCTTTAATTTCTTCAACGGTGTCTATGAGTAATATTCTTATCCCCAATTACAATGAGAAAAAGAACTTGAGTTACTTGTACAAATTCCCAAACATACCCCAAAATACCTCAGAGCACATTGAGTATTATTTCCTATCATAAAACCCAGTGTTCTTAATCCATCCCACTTTTCAATGCACACAACTAGCATTCACTATGTGAGAGCTCATCCCAGGAGTTTGTGCAGGCTGATTGCTTAGAAATATAGGGGATAAATTTGCTTTTTCTTACCACTCAGGAAAGTACATTGAAACACTGATGAGTTGAAATACCATTACTATAGGATCCACTATGCTAATACGTTAAAAAGGTAAATTATTTATCAACTCTCTCTTATTTACTGTATGATCTGGACAAGGAGCCACAAACTGAATGTCAAGAAAGATAGTGTAGGAAAGGAAGATGAAAGGCAGGAAAGGTAGATGAGTGTAAAAGACTGCTATGAGCAATTGCTCACAAGGACGAGCAGCACCTGGGAACGTGTTAGAAATACCAGTTCTCAAGCTCTGTCCCTGGCCTATTGAAACAAAAATCTGGGGTGGGATCCCACAATCTGTGTTTTAACAAGCTCTACAGGAAATTCTCATTGAAGCTGAAGTTCAAGATTCCCTGATAAGCAGTAGAAATTGGTAGACAGCATGATGAATGAATGCATACCTCATCCAAAGGGCTCAGCCCCCACGCTTCTTCGTCCACTTTTTGCTTTATTGGAATGAAGGTCTGGGGTTGCCACATCTTTTATGCCCCAAATGTCATCAACGTGTGTGTGTGTCACGGGGTGCCAGGGAGGGATAGCCACATGACTTAAGGTATATATTGTAACTTAATGATTCTGTGCTATTCTATTTAGTAAACTGAATGATACATTTATGCTAGTGTTTATTTTCTCATTATCTCTAATATTTGAGGCATACCATCTTAATAGTATCACTGCAATTCTTAATCTCCTTAATAAATTACAGTTAGATTCTATTCCAAATTTACTATTTTTTAGCACATTGTTTTCAAGACTTCAATAGTACCACTGGTTAATAAAATGACAAATGATATTGTTACAGGATATAGAAAATATTTCGTAGTGTAACAGTGAATGTTTAAATAAAAACACCAATATCCCTACAGTCTCTCACAGAAGTTCTGGGAAGTGATGTCCTGAAAGAGAATGACGGGAATTTCTGTTTATCAGCTGAAGCCCCTATGCTATGAAATAACAAAGTAAAAAGATAGTCCTGTGTTTGGCCCTATGTTAACACCCCTATGTTAGAAATTATTTATTTTTTGATGTTCATTAAGACTTTGGGGTTCTCGGTACTTTCAATGTTATACATAAACTGTAGCTTTATTAATATTTTTAGTAACATTGTTTCAAATTGGCCTAGTGATTGGACTGAATAAGAGTTTTCTTTTATAAAAATTTTATAAAGTGTTTCAGGCTTGCAAAACATGTAAAGATTAACAAAAATAAACATTTATATATTAATCATTCAGGTTAAAAAATAAAACTGCTATTATTATTGAGTCCTTTTGTGAAAACATCCTTGTCTTCTCCCAGAGGTGACTGCTGCTCTGAATATAGCATTTATCCTTCATTTTATTCTTTTACATTTTACCGCATATGTGTATTTGTCTCCAGAATGTATAATCTTGTTTCGTATATTTTTAAACAGAATCATTCTATACATACATTTTTGCAACCTGCTTTTATTACTCCCTAGAATGATTATGAGATTTATGGTTGTTGATAATCATAGATCTAAATCATTTGTTTTCATTGCTGGGAACCATTGTATTTAAGAGTCCACCAAAATTTAATTATAATTTATCTTGTTGATGTGCCAGTCTTTTTTGTTTCAATTAAATATGTATACAGATGTTTTTCCAAGTTATGTAAACAGCAGAGGAATTGGTAAGCTGACAGCCATGAGTTAGCTTTCTCATTTATTAGATATTGCCATATTGTTTTCCAAATTGTTATAATCGTTTATAGTTCTATATTAGGGTGTGACTGTTCCCTTCTACACTTATTTGCCAATACTTGGCATTGTCAGGCTTTGAAATATTTTTGTCATTCTTATAGGTGTGAAATGGTGGGTTTTTAAAATAAACAATGCTATTCTTTACATTCAAGTGAAACTCCCATCTGGGGACTAAAGAATTTTACCATAACAAACTTTGTAATAAAGTTAGTTTGGTGCTTTCTTACATGACATGATAGAAAAAATATTCCCTATTTTAGAAAAAACCTTAAGCTCTGTTATAATGCTACTTGCACAATAATCCAATATGTTCTACCTAAAAAATAAATATTATCCATTTTATGTTGAGTAACAAAACTTGTATATTTTTAAATATTTTAATTCTCTGAATAT
The DNA here is from genome assembly GCF_000001405.40 of Homo sapiens. NCBI lineage: Eukaryota > Metazoa > Chordata > Mammalia > Primates > Hominidae > Homo > Homo sapiens. The sequence goes on from NC_000010.11 coordinate 44,689,116, forward strand.
TTTATTCTCTGCTGGTGATCTAAGAGCTTAGAAAAGTAAGCCCTATAGTAAAACAGAAAAGCTGCATTTATCTTAAGAAAGGAAGAGAAAAAGCAGTTTATTTTCCCTCATGGGAGTCCTTTCCCAATCATTGCCATTTCAGACCTGCTCATAGATGGCTTTATGGTAAAGTGGCCTTTTCTTTCCACCCTCTTTTCTTAAAGCACCGGGAAAGGACAGATCAATGGCAAATACCCAATAAAAAACACACAATGCTTTAGTACACCTCATCTTGCCTAACCTAGGGCAAAGAAAAGGGAATAGAAGTAGGTAAATACCCTTGAAAAGGATTCCCACAGAATGTTCCTTTATATAAAGTTCAACACTGCAGTTTGTGATTCATGAGAAACCGCCTGCTACACCCACAAAAGGATGGAGGAATTGCAGTAGGATTGGTCTGGAAGGCATTAGCCACCCCTGGTGGATGCCACTACCATAGGCAGGGAGAGGGCCTCCTTTCAGGAGTGCTGAGGAGGGTCCTGGGCGTACCTGGAGGGAGTGTTTGACACTGTCCCACAGTTTCTGAATCTCTGTCCATGTTTCTTCTGTATTTTTCTCTTCACTTTTTACATCAGATAATTTCTATTTACCAATCATGAAGTTCACTTCAAATATTCTTTTGAAACCATTTAGTGAGTTTCTCATGTCAGCTACTAGAATTTCCATTTGCTTCTTTTTTCTTTTTCCATAATTTATACTTTTACAGAGATACCCTGTTTAAAGAGTTTGTGAATTTTCATGTCAGTTATTAGAATTTCCACTTGCTTCTTTTTTATAATTTGTCTTTCTTTATGGAGATGTCAAATTTATACAGTTATTATTATCATATTTTCCATTAATTATGTAAACATAAATTTATTTTGTCTTTTATCATATAGCAGCTGAAAGTCTGCCTGCCCAAAGCAATATGGGGGACCACTTGGAGTCAGTTGCTAATGACTGCTTTTGTTTTTTTTTTAATTTTTCCTCAGCATGGGACACACTTTCTTGTTTTTTCACATCTTATAATTTTGTTGTTGTTGAAAATTGGAGCTTTTACATAATATATTGTAGCAATTCTGGATTCTGAAAGTTTTTGGTCTGAGAGTTTTCCGTTTTTTTTTTTTTTTGTTTATTATTAATTACTTGCCTGGACTTACCTATAGATCCGACTCCTTGACAATGTGTGACCAATGATGGCTTCCTATGGGTTGCCTGAATAACTTAAGGATCAGCAATGATTAAGAAGAGACTGTGCTCAAATGCCTAGAGACATGTAGAGTGTAACGCTTCCAACCTCTGTACATGGGTCTGTGGGTGGGAAGGGCAGCACATTCAAAGCTCAGGCAGTTCTCAGGCTTTTGCCCCAGTTTTTACATCCTCCTGGACCCTCTAGGGTCTCCCATGTGCATGCATAGTTTTCTAGTCTTTCAAGGATGTGTATAGAGCTTATCTAACCCTTCTATGACTCTCTAATTTTTAAGGTATTCCCCTTAAATTTCAGGCTGGTTTGACACTCATTGCAACCAAGAGTAACAACCTTAGGCTAGCAGAGTTACAAGTTTTCCCCCACTTTTTTCCTAGTTAGTTTTCTAATTTTACCGAAAACACCATCAGCCATGAGTTTTCACCCTCTACTCCAAATTTAGTGAGCTGCCTCTGGCAGCGAAATTGCTGGTTTCCATGGCCAACCCTACCCTGGTAAAACTGCTGCAACTGAGCTAGGGGTAGAGGGAATGGGAGCAGACCCTGGCAAGCAGCCTCAGACTCCCACTCGGTTTTTTGGTTTGTTTGTTTTGTTTTTTTCCAGACAGAGTCTTGCTCTGTTGCCCAGGCTGGAGTGCAGTGTCACGATCTCAGCTCACTGCAACCTCCACCTCCCAGGTTCAAGTGATTATCCTGCCTCAGCCTCCTGAGTAGCTGGGATTACAGGCACCCACCACCAGGTCTGGCTAATTTGTGTATTTTTAGTAGAGACGGGGTTTCACCATGTTGGTCAGGCTGATCTCGAACTCTTGACCTCAAGCAATCCACCGCCTCGGCCTCCTAAAGTGCTGGGATTACAGGTGTGAGCCATTGCATCCAACCCTCCCACCACTTTTAGCAGAAGTTCCAGCACATCTTCATTTAAAAATATCTTTCCATTTGTTTTTTGCTTTGGTCACCCTCCAGAGGCCTGAAATGTTTGTTTCTGACAATTTTGTTCAGTTGTAAACTTGGTTTTGGGGGCAAAACATTTGCCATTCTCTTTGCCATAGCAAGAAGTCTCACCTGTTTTCAATTACAACATAGGCAAATTTACTAAATTTCCCTTGATGGCTTGTAACTTCGTGGTTTTCTAAAAGAAATCCTTCCCCCTCTACCTCAGGTGTTAAATATAGTCACCCATATTTTCTTCCAAATTGAAACTACTTTTAAACAAATTATTTAAGTTTTAATCCACTTGGAAGTGACTACTGCATACAGCATGACGTGGGTTCTAGTTTTATTTCTTCCTTACGGATAAGTCATTCTGTGTTTGTGTATAAAATTCTGGACCAAATTGGCATGGTCTCTATTTTGCTAAATTCTTTAGAAGTCTTACAAACCCACAGCCAATATCATACTGAATGGGCAAAAACTGGAAGCATTCCCTTTGAAAACTGGCACAAGACAGGGATGCCCTCTCTCACCACTCCTATTCAACACAGTGTTGGAAGTTCTGGCCAGGGCAATCAGGCAGGAGAAGGAAATAAAGGGTATTCAATTAGGAAAAGAGGAAGTCAAATTGTCCCTGTTTGCAGATGATATGATTGTATATCTAGAAAACCCCATTGTCTCAGCCCAAAATCTCCTTAAGCTGATAGGCAACTTCAGCAAAGTCTCAGGATACAAAATCAATGTACAAAAATCACAAGCATTCTTATACACCAATAACAGACAAACAGAGAGCCAAATCATGAGTGAACTCCCATTTACAATTGCTTCAAAGAAAATAAAATACCTAGGAATCCAACTTACAAGGGACGTGAAGGACCTCTTCAAGGAGAAATACAAACCACTGCTCAATGAAATAAAAGAGGATACAAACAAATGGAAGAACATTCCATGCTCATGGGTAGGAAGAATAAATATCGTGAAAATGGCCATACTGCCTTAGGTCATTTATAGATTTAATGCCATCCCCATCAAGCTACCAATGACTTTCGTCACGGAACTGGAAAAAACTACTTTAAATTTCACATGGAACCAAAAAAGAGCCCACATTGCCAAGTCAATCCTAAGCCAAAAGAACAAAGCTGGAGGCATCATGCTACCTGACTTCAAACTATACTACAAGGCTACAGTAACCAAAACAGCATGATACTGGTACCAAAACAGAGATATAGACCAATGGAACAGAACAGAGGCCTCAGAAATAATGCCACATATCTACAACCATCTGATCTTTGACAAACCTGACAACAACAAGAAATGGGGAAATGATTCCCTATTTCATAAATGGTGCTGGGAAAACTGGCTAGCCATATGTAGAAAGCTGAAACTGGATCCCTTCCTTACACCTTATACAAAAATTAATTCAAAATGGATTAAAGACTTAAATGTTAGACCTAAAACCATAAAAACCCTAGAAGAAAACCTAGGCATTAGCATTCAGGACATAGGCATGGGCAAGGACTTCATGTCTAAAGCACCAAAAGCAATGGCAACAAAAGCCAAAATTGACAAATGGGATCTAATTAAACTAAAGAGCTTATGCACAGCAAAAGAAACTACCATCAGAGTGAACAGGCAACCTACAGAATAGGAGAAAATTTTTGCAATCTACTCATCTGACAAAGGGCTAATATCCAGAATCTACAATGAACTCAAACAAATTTACAAGAAAAAAACAAACAACCCTATCAAAAAGTGGGCAAAGGATACGAACAGATACTTCTCAAAAGAAGACATTTATGCAGCCAACAGACATATGAAAAAATTCTCATCATCACTGGCCATCAGAGAAATGCAAATCAAAACCACAATGAGATACCATCTCACCCCAGTTAGAATGGCGATCATTGAAAAGTCAGGAAACAAAAAGTGCTGGAGAGGATGTGGAGAAATAGGAACACTTTTACACTGTTGGTGGGACTGTAAACTAGTTCAACCATTGTGGAAGTCAGTGTGGCGATTCCTCAGGGATCTAGAACTAGAAATACCATGGGGCTGACCCAGCAATCCCATTACTGGGTATATACCCAAAGGATTATAAATCATGCTGCTATAAAGACACATGCACACGTATGTTTATTGCGGCACTATTCCCAATAGCAAAGACTTGGAACCAACCCAAATGTCCAACAATGATAGACTGGATTAAGAAAATGTGGCACATATACACTATGGAATACTATGCAGCCATAAAAAATGATGGGTTCATGTCCTTTGTAGGGACATGGATGAAGCTGGAAACCATCATTCTCAGCAAACTATTGCAAGGACAGAAAACCAAACACCGCATGTTCTCACTCATAGGTGGGAATTGAACAATGAGAACACATAGACACAGAAACGGGAACATCACACACTGGGGCCTGTTGTGGGGTGGGAGCAGGGGGGAGGGATAGCATTAGGAGATATACCTAATGTTAAATGACGAGTTAATGGGTGCAGCACACCAACATGGCACATGTATACATATGTCACTAACCTGCACGTTGTGCACATGTACCCTAAAATTTAAAGTATAATTAAAAAAAAGAAGTCTTTATTTTTGGTAAAGTACATTTTTTACTTTATTCTCTTCACTATATGCTCTTGTCTATAAATTTCAGAAGGAGCTTATCAAATCTGTAATAAATTCTGTTTGGGCTTTTTAACAAAATTGCATTAAATCTCAGATTAATCTATATTTTCATAATTAATATATTTAAAGTATTTTTAAATTTTTATTTTATCTTTTAATTGACAATAATTGCACATGTTCATGGGGTACATAATGATGTTTTAATACATAATAATGTACAGTTGTTAGATCAGGGTAATTAACATACGTATCATCTCAAACCTTTATCATTTCTTTGTGCTAGGAACATCACTATCCTCTTTCTAGCTATTTGAAGCTTTATAGTGTACTATTGATAAGTCTAGTCATCCTACAGTGGTATAAAACACTAGAACGTATTCCTCTTACATAACTGTATTTTTGTATCATTTAATAAATCTCTCCCTGTCTCCCTCTCCTTCCCAGCCTCTAGTATGCTCTGTTCTACTTTTTGCTTCTATGAAATCTACTTTTTTTAACTGCCACATCTGAGTGAGAACATGCGAAGTTTAATTTTTTTGTTCCTGGTTTTTTTTTACCCAACATAATGTCCTCCCATTCCATCCATGTTGCCTCAAATGTCAGGATTTTATTTTTAATGGCTGAATAGTATTCCATAGTGTATATACATCTCATTTTCTTTATCAATTCATCTGTTGTTGGACACCTAGGTTGATTCCATATCTTGACTATTGTGAATAATGAGGCAATAAACTTGGGGGTGCAGATGCCTCTCAGATATAACGATTTCCCTCCTTCAGATAAATTCTCAGTAGTGGGATTGCTGGATCATGTGGTAGTTCTATTTGTAGTTTTTTGAAGGACTTCCATACTGTTTTCTGTGGTAGGGGCTGTATGAGTTTAGGCTCCCACCAGTAGTGTATAGGGGTCCCCTTTCTCTGTATTCTCACCAGCATTTGTTATTTTTTGTGTTTTTGATAATAGCCATTTTGGGGTAACTATTGTAAGTGGGATTACCCTCTTGATTTCTTTTTCATGAAAGAAATTGTTATTTGGGTATGGAAATGATACTGATTTTTGTACGTTAATGTTGTGTCCTGCAACTTTACTGAATTCGTTTATGAGTCCTTAGAGTTTTTCGGTAGTCTTTAGGCTTTTCAATATGTAAGATTATGTTATCTGCAAACAGGGACATTTTGACTTCTCCTTTTTCATTTATTTATTTATCTTGACTAATTGCTCTGGCTTTAACTTTTATATCAGTGTTATAAAATCCTATCTATACAGCTAATTTAGATTGATAGCTTATCAGTATCTAGTTTGTATAAGAAAAGGACATTAATGAAATTCATCAAACTTTGATAACAATACTGTCTCTGTGTGGGATTTTGCATGATGCATTTTTTAACATTTATTTTTGTGCTTTTAAGTTTATTTTAGTTTTATTTTTACAATGGGTACATGTCAGAGTTATTTTTTTAAGATATTTGTTAATTTTTAAAATGCATTCAAAGGAAAGCAGCTTAGGAGGTAGACCAAATCAGTTTTGGTATCTTCTATAATGTGGACAAACTACACACATGTGGTCATGTCTCTTCCAATGCGGCAATTTTCCCAACCAATAAAGTAGGTAGTTTGGTGGCTCTGGTGAGTCATAAATTTTCTAATGAAAAATAATTGGATTCAAATACTGATTCTCCCACTTACTCTATTTTCTTTTACTCTTTTAATCTTCAGTTTCTTAATAACATAGGACTAATAATCTCTAACCCCATTTATTGTTTATTGCCACATTACTCACAATAGTCAAGATATGTATTTTTGTCAATTTTAATGAAATAAAATATGTCAGCTTTATTCTACTTAATTTAAAACCTCAATTCCACAGCCTGTGGAAGTCAAATCCCTCCCCACAATTTCTGCCAATGCCATAAATACAAACTGTTATGCTGCTACATTCAGTTCCCATTATGCTATCTCTGTTTTGTCGCTACATCAATCAATCCAGAAACAAAATTGCATTTACTTATGAGTTTTCAAGCAATTGAGCCATAATTAATTTTATGAAGATTTAGGAGTCTCAGAGTGCACTGTCTTCTGTCATTTTTGTTTATTTCCTAGGCTCTAAACCCTGTTTACCTCCAAACCAGTAGGATTGGCCCCAGAGCTCAACAGTATTTTGGTGCCTGCAAAAAAAAAAAAAAAGCTGAAAACAAAAAAACAAATAAAATGGAAAACAAACAAACAAAAACCCTCTATTGCCTGAATTTACCCTAATGGGAAGGAGGTTGACATTACAAAATTGGGGATATGTGTGTGTGTGTGAGAGATTGGAGAGAGGTTGACATGACAAAATTGTGTGTGTGTGTGATTGGAAGGAGGTTGACATTATAAAATTTTTGTTTGTTTTGTTTGTGTGTGTGTGTTTGTGTGTGTGAAATCTAGCACAGTGAGTATTTAGACACTAGCTTAGTAAGTGTTCCCTTTCTTTCTCATTGGGTCATCACCTTGTAGCAGAAGTGATTTCAAGAGCCCACCCCACAGAGATACCTCTTAGATTAGTTTCAAAGGCCGTGTCCTGGCCCTCTTTCTCTTCTCATACATCTCATTTTTATCTTGCTGGGGGCAGCTAGTGGAAATAACTTAGTTTTGCAGAAGCATAAACACATTCCCTGGTCATGCTCTGTTTCCTTTCAGCCATCTTCCTCGGTCCCAGCTCACACTCACAGAAACTGGAGAGTAAAGTGAAAACAGAATTCAGGGTTTACAAAACCTAACTACATTTTTGGAGACAGTGTTTTGTGGTCTTTGCCTTGCCAGACCATCTGTTAGCCATTAGCCTCCATTCAAATGAAGTCGTCATGTTTTCTTCCTAATGAAGCACTGTGGGCCGAACAAAGCTTTGCGGGTTTCGTCATTCTAAATAGGCTTGCTCACCACAGAGGACATCCCTCAGCGGGTGTCAATGTTAACAGTCCCCAGGTTCACTTAGAATCCCCTTCTGTGGCTTCACAGAGACCCAGGCCCTGGATGCATCGCAGATCCTCTTCTTTGACTACATGTAATGACTGAGCTCTACAATGGTCCGACTGACAACCAAGAGCTACCAACTCTTTCTGGAAAAAATAAAATTAGAAAACTATCCCTGCTCCTGGCTTCAAGTTACAAAACAACTACTTTCTATAAGGCTATTTAATGAGTGTGTACTGGGTCCCAACTGCTGTAAAGCATTGTTTATAATATTTATAGCAGACTAATAAGATTGTATTATTAGAGCCCTTTACAGCTGAGGAAACAGAATCTCTGAAATTTTGAAAAATGTGCTGAAAAGTGCATGGTTAATAAGTGACAGAGCTAAGATTCCACACCACCAAAGCTTGCTCTCTGACCACTTCCCATGTTCCCTGCTGTGGACACGTTGTAAACAAGTAAGCACTTTGCCTGCCCTTTCTAATGGAAGGGATATGCTGGACCCAAACTCACAGAGCAAATCAGTGGGCTTGTTTGGACTCAAGCCCACAGCCTTTTGATGAATGCTGAACTGAAGCCTTAAGTAGGAGATGGTTATTTTCTGCATTTGTTTAGCAGGTTTGGAAAGCAACTGGATTTGGTTTCAAACCTCAGCATTTACGAGCTGTTTGATTTTGGATAAGTCACTTTGCCTGAGTGTCAGAATTCTCACTTGTAAAATGAGAATAAAAATGAGAACTCTAGGTACTTACCTGATCGTTCTCAGGATCCAGCTTCTCCCCCATTAAGATGACAGGCACTCCCTGACTGCAAGGAAGCCAGCTATGTTTGAGATCAAATGAAATAACATGGGTCAAAAGTCTTGGTAAAACAGCCGGGTGTAGTGGCTCACACCTGTAATCCTAGCACTTTGGGAGGCCAAGGTGGGTGGATCACTTGAGGTCAGGAGTTCGAAACCAGCCTGGCCAACATGGTGAAACCCTGTCTCTACTAAAAACACAAAAAAGTTAGCCAGGCATGGTGGCCGGGCATCCCAGCTACTCGGGAGGCTGAGGCAGGAGAATCGCTTGAGCCTGGGAGGCGGAGGTTGCAGTGAGCAGAGATCACACCACTGCACTCCAGCCTGGGCAACAGAGTGAGACTCTGTCTAAAAATAATTAAATAAAATAAAAGTATTGGCAAAATGCTGGGAATGGTTTTGTGGTTTTATGTGATGAACCATAGGAATTGCTGTCTGACACTTAGCCATAAGAAACCATAATTTTTGTATAATTGCCTATGTCCAGTTGAATCTGGGAGATCCCTTAGTCTTGGTCATTTTGTTGGTAAGATCACTCTATCCTCCCTGGCATTGTTTGGGGATGGACCTCTACTTTCTGGTCAACCATTCATTCCTCTGCCATAGAGATGCTCATGTCTGGTTCTCCGGTGTAGATCCCCTTCACTGGTCACCTGCCAGGCCAGCCTCAGTGGCTGCTCTCTTAACAACACTGCAGGGCTCAGTGTCCAGACATCTAAGTTCCTGGCCCTGATATTTTGAACTGGCAGTCCCTTTGTCCTTCATCTTTTGGAGTCCAACTCCCTCCCATGGTTTGCCACATCTATCTTTTATCCTTGAAGCACAAAATCTTTCATTTTTTCCACTTTTGAGACCATTCAGACACATTCTTTTGGGTAAGCAGCCACTGATCCAAATGCTTACACAGATCGAACAGAAAATGTAACGGACTGAAACCGCAGGGTGGGAGCACATGGAGCTTGCCTGCAGAACCAGCGAGAAGTTGGATGTTTGGGGAGGCATCCAGCCTTGGAAGCAGCTCGTCTATTTCTTGGGGGAATGTGGCCCCATGTTCCCACATCTTCCAAGTGCAAAAACTGCTAACTTGGATTGGGGAAAAGGAGTCCAGGACCTGAATTCAAAGCCTCACTGAACATCCCATGGGAAGAAGAGGAAAATTAACTTTCACTCTTTCATTACTTAAGACCCTGCATTCAAAAGGAAAAAAAATTCAACCCAAACAATAAAAAGATATTTAAAAACATCAATTGCATATGGCAATTCATTTTCTTACAAAGATTGTTTGGGGTAGAAAGAAAATTATTTTCCTGAGCTTTCACTAGTTCTTATACCCAGTAACTGTGTGAGAGGGGAGCTCTGGGGCCCAGTCACTGTTACTGCCTATCACTTCTGCCAGGAAAGAGAGATCCAGAGGAGGCGGGCGTGCAGGTACTGGCAGGCTTCCCTCCATGAGAGCCCTGGGGTGAACACTCTCTCTGTGTGATGTTCAAGGGCTACCTGCATATGCAGGCAGAGGTGTCTTCACCAGAAGTACCTGTCTCTGCTGCACATCTAGATTCCCAGCATGGAACATTCTAGTATATGGATAAACTACTGTAGGTGTTCTTTTTTTTGTTTTCATCTACCTTGATGATTCTAATGAGCAAGTGTTGCAGAATTATTATTTTATGATAAGGCTGTCTGATCCAATGTCTCTCTCGTACATGCCCTGCCTCAGGCTTAAAATTGACACTTCTTCTTTCTGCAGGTATACAGGAAAGGGAATAGAGTTAGGGGCCAGTAGAGTTGAGTTTTGTCCTGGTTCTGTCACTAACCGGTTGTGTGATTTAGAGAGATGGCCTGAGTTCTCTGGGCCACGGTTTCCTCCCCTATAAAATAGCGACATTCATCCCTACTCTGTTTCCTTACAGCTCAGGGCTCCTGGGAGAATACAGTGGGATGCTCGGTATAAAAAAGGAGAGGACTGAGTCAAAGAGACTCCCATCCAGACAGCAGGAAGCTGTTGACAAACTTTGTCTGCCCTGCACTGTCCTGTAGGTGGAATGGTTGCTCCCTCCTCGGATTCCTGTCTCCACCTGAACAATAAAGGAGTTACCTAGATGAACCCTGCGTAACTCCTTCCAGCTCGTACATTTCATGACCCCAAGATTCCCAGCCCAATGTCCAGGCTGCCTAGGAAAGGCTGGAGTAGGCAGGTCTGGGGGAATAGATCAGGGGAATAGAGGTGGCTGTGATGCAGAGTGGGGGGTGAGGTAACGGGAGGCACCCCAAGTGCCTTCATGAATGGGGTGCTTCACATATACTTACTCATTTCATCACCAGACAACACAAGGAGGTCAACAGTAACATTATTACTCTACAGAGGGGGAAACAGACTCAGGAACATGCTGCTGCTGAGGGGTGCTGAGGGAATTGAACCCAGGTTAGTCTGACAGTAAAGCCGCCAGTGCTCTTCACCTGGGGGCAATCTTGCCCCCAAGGAAACATGTGTTCATGTCTGGAGACCTTTTTGGTTGTCACAATGGGGAATTTGGGTGCTGCTAGAAAGTAGTGGGTAAAGACCATGGATGATGCTAACTATCCTGCAATGCACAGGCAAGACCTCCTGCAACAAATAATTATCTTGCCTAGATGCCAATAGTGCCAAGGCTGCAAAACCCTGAAGGAAGTCCAGAGAAAGGTTCTAGATAGCTGGGCTGCCCTTAACTGTGCCCAGCACCTGTCTCCCCATCTCCCACCCCCATTCTGAGCTAGATTTGCATCAGTTAGCTACAGAAAAGGCACATTGTTTCCCATTGATAACAGAAGATGTAACTTGACTTGAGAAAAGCCAACAAAGTTGTACATTTGTATGAAATTAAAGGCAGGAGAAGTCATACATGAGCTCAGGTTGGTGGCTTAGAAGAGACTCTTTACAGAGCCAGCCCCAGGGGAGGAGGCAGGAGGAAGTATGGTAGGAGCCGGGTTACCTGCCTACCACTTCCACAGGGATGGTTTTGCTGTGTGCAAACTTCTCCTGAAGTCCTGTTCCTGTTCCTCTCTTTCCACCATTTTTCTGAAGACAGCTCTTTGCACAAACCAGGAACATGTGCAGTTGCCCAGTATGAGCCCCAGGGAGACCCCTTTCTGTTCTATTCTGATGCATTTGCTTTCCTGGGGTAAGACCTGTTTCCCATTCCTCCATTGAGCCTTTAAAGGATTCCTCTCATTGGACAAGGATTTACCAACTTACCAGCTCAGGGCTTTTCTAACTTCCTTTGTGACTTATTTGACAAACTGGTTATTTTGAGAGTGTGCTGTTTAATCCTACATGTTATAAAATTTCCCAAATTTCCTTCTCTTGTTGATTTCTAATTTTATTTCACTACAGTCTGAGAGAATGCTTTGCATGATCTCAATTTTTTTAACTTATCGAGGCTGATTTTATGGCTCCACATGCAGGAGAATGGTCCATGAGAGCTTGAGAAGAAAGTGTATTCTGCTCTCATCAGGTAGAGGGTTTTATACATGTCTGCAGGACCTAGTTGTTTTATAGTTGTTCAAGTCTTCTGTACCCTTGTTTATCATCACTAGTTGTTCTATTCATTATTCAAAGTGGGATATTAAAGTTTCAAATTATTATGGTTGAATTTTTTATTTTTCCATAAATTCTGCCGAGTTTTGCTTCATGTATTTTGTAGATCTTTTGTTGGGTGTGTATATATTTATATTATATGTATCTTCCTGAGGGATTGAACTTTTGTCAGTATCCCTGCCATGCTGTATCTCTAGTAACTTTTTAATTTTAAGGTCTATCCTCTCTGATATTATTATAACCACTCTGGCTCTTTCATGTTTGCTATTTGCATTCTACATACTCTTCTATCCTTTTACTTTAACTTGTTTGTATTATTGAATCTAAGTGCCTCTCTGTAGACAGCATATACTTGTGTCTTGGTTTAATTTTTTTAATCCAGTGTCAAAATCTCTTCCTTTTTGTTGGATTGTTTAATCCATTCATATTTAATATTGTATTAGTGATATGGTTGGATTTACCTCTGCCATTTAGCTTTTCATTTTCTATATGTCACATGAATTGCTTCTTGACCTTTTGACTACCATCAAGTGTAGCATATGCCACATGATTTTTAAAGACCCCTGTTTTTCATTTACCACCTTCTTTTTGTAGTATCTATTATAACTAATTCCAATAATGAGATTTTATTATATCTTTCAGTTATTTTCTTAATAGTTGCTCTAGGGCCTACAATATACATCTTAACTTATCAGAGTCTGCTTCAAATATGTATTAGCTTAATTCCAGTAATATATAAAAGTTGTATTCATATGTAGCCACATCCCCCTCCGCTACTATTTTTGGTTATGATTACTGCACATCTAACATCTATACAGGTAACAAACACAAAAATACACTGCCATAATTGTTACTTTATGTAATCTTATGTCTTTTAAATAAGCTGAAAGAAAACAAGGAGATAAAGTATACATTTAGAAAGTTTGTTTTATTAAATTTTAATTGCATTTTTGGCTCTCTTAAATTATTTCTGTGGATTTGAGTTACCATCTAGTATCGTTTCCTTTCTCCATACAGTTTTGCTCCCACTGTCTTCTTTGGGCTGTTACCATCAATATATTATAGGAAGAACTATATAAATTTATACATATTATTTGATGCAATTACTTTTAAAATCAGTTTTTAAAAAGGAAATATATCCTTATATTGTCTTTATATTTACCTTTATCAGCATTCATTTTTTAAAATGTGAAATTTATTTACTGTCTGGTGTCACTTATATTCAGTCTGAAGAATTACGCTTAAGAAAAGCCTGCTAGCAATGAATTATCTCACTTTTGGTTTATTGTAGAATGTCTATTTGGACATCATTTTTGAAAGATAGCTTTTGGTTTTGCTGGGTATAAGACAGAGGGAATTTTTGTTGTTTATGTTGTTTTTCCTTTAGACACTTTGAATATATCACCCCACTGTTTTCTGCTCTTTGTTATTTCTGATAAGAAGTCAGCTGTTAATCTTACTGGGGTACCTTTGTGCATGATGAGTCATTTTTCTCTTGATGCCTTTGAGGTTTTCTCTTCATATATGGCTTTCAGATTTCAACTATGATATGTCTGGGCAAATATATCTGCGTGTATCCAACTTTTTGTTTGTTGAACTTCTTAGATGTGCTGATTAATGTTTTCCACCAAACTTGAAAAGTTTTCAGCCATTATGTTTTTAATTTCTATAATTCTATTTCTCCTTTCCTTATGGTAATTTCATTACACATATATTGCTGTGCCTAATGGTGTCAGATTTATTTGAGACTCTGTTTTTCTTTATCCTTTTTCCTTTGTGTTCTTCAGATTGCATAATCTTTATTGCTCTATCTTCAAATTCACTTATTCCTGATTGTACCAGTTTAAAATGTACTGATGAGTTCCTCTCGTAAATTTCTCATTTCAATTATTTTATTTTTCAATTTCAGAAAGCCCATTTGATTCTTTTTTCATAACTTCTATTTCTTTGTTGATATTCTCTGTGTGATGAGATATCGTCACCATAATTTTCTTTATTTTTTTCTAAACAATTTATTTTGGTGCTTTGAATATATTATAATAGCTAGTTTACGTCTTTGTATACTAAGCCCAACACTTGTGTTCCCTCAAAACAATTTTTACTTTATTTTATTTAGTTCCCTCTACTGACTATTTTTTTTTTTTTTACTATGAGTCACACATTCCTGTTTCTTTGCATATCTTGTAAATTTTTTGTTTCCAACTGGACATTTTAGACAATACATTGTAGAAATTCCAACTGATTACATTCCTGTCACACCCACACCCAGGCTTGTTCCCTCTCCCACTAGTCATTTGTTGATTTTTAGTGATTTGTCTAAATTAAACCTGTGAAGTTTATTCTTCCTCTAGCCTTACATTATGCAGCCTCTGTTGTCTATCCTCATAAATTTTTCCCTAGTTTTTTCATTTAGCCTAGTGGTCACCCCTGGGTCCACATTAAGCTGCTTATTGGTCAAAGGTTGTGCTCAAGCCCCCATTAGTCATTAAATTTTTACCCATTGCCGTGGATGTATATTTAGCTTGGAAATTGCTTTCACGGTTCAGGAAAGTTACAATTTTTTCCCAAGGTCAAGTAGGAACTAATAGTTTAAAATATTCCTCCTCAATTAATCCTGAGAGGACATGGCCTTGGAATGCACAGAGTCTTCCAGACTTCAAAAGGTAAATGTGATTTTCTGTTTAAGGTTGGCTTTATAGGAGTCTCCTCTGGAACAGAAGAGCTTTTTCTTAAGTCAGTTTTTGGTCAGAGTATGTGCTTACGTGTCATGTGCCAGGGAAGCATCCGCCCCTTTTTGATGAATTTGTGTGTGACTTGGGTACTGTTTCTGTCCCATTCCCTACTCTAATTTTTTCCAACTGAATGCAGACTAATCTACAGGAATAGCCTTGCCAACACCTAGATTTGACCTCGATCCCAGGAGGATCTTTCTACACTCTTTCTTTTCCGGGTTCTCTCTGTTAGACTCTTGGCTGTTCTGCTTTTTCACTTGTTACAAGTCTCATGGAACTACCAGTCCCCTCTTAGTGGCTCTCCACAAAGATCTCCATTGTTTTTGACAACACCCTTAGGCATAAAATTCTCTGCACTCTTTTCCAAACAAAATCAGTCCTCTCAGGAACAACTGTGTAGCTATCCATGCTTGAGGCTTGCCTCTTCTGCTCTATGGAATCCCTGTGTCACCGGTGGGACATACGGGCAAGAACAATAGTCCATTTTTCCCAAAGGAATATCCTGCTCTGCGAGTGGTCACTGGTCAGAGATGGTAGCCCATGGTCTTCTAGGATTGCCCCTACTGCTGTGGAATCTTCATCCATTGAAAGGTCATGGACAAAAGTAGTCCCAACATTTTGACTTGCCATACCTAGGGTAGAGCTTCTTTTATATGAATGGGAACTGGGTGAAAGAAGTGAATGCTAGTCCTTTTAGCCACATCCACCCAAAGTAGACCTCCTGCAAGAAGAGGGGTATGAGGAAAGCTGGTATTCTGCCTCTCTCTGCATGAAGTCAAAGCCATAGACTGGAAACTGGAAGAAGAGGGATCCTATGCCTTCTTGGCTAAACACATCTGGAGTAAAGTCCCTAGGGTAGAGCTTTTTTCACAAGAAGCTGAGTGCGGGCTGGACATGGGAGCAGTTCATGGCTCAAATGTCAGTCTCTTGCTATTTTTATCAAGATGTATTAGATTTTCTCAAGTAAATGTTTTTCCATTTGCTGCATGCCATTGAGACAATTTTTAGAGATGAAATTGTTTTTTGTTTTGATTTGTTTTGTTTTTTGAGATAGAGTTTTGCTCTTGTCACCCAGGCTGGAGAGCAATGGTGCAATCTTTCCTCACTGCAACCTCTGTCTCCCAGGTTCAAGCGATTCTCCTGCCTCAGCCTCCCAAGTAGCTGCAATTACAGGCGCCTACCACCATGCCCATATAATTTTTTTATTTTTAGTAGAGATGGGGTTTCACCACATTAATTATTTTGTTTTTATAATTTTCACCAGTTAAATTTCAATGAGGAGAAGGTTGGCAGAGCTCCTCTTACCACACACCATTCATTCATATACAGTGCACTATGTACAGAGAAACACTTAAGCCAAACTGAAAAATGTAAAGAGGCAGCTTCAGACTAAACTTAATTTAATAGTTTCCTACTTTTGATCAACCTCCCAATTTTAAGAGGTTGACCAAAACTTTAGGCATTGAAATCACTCTGTCTCCATTGTAAATGTACTTATTTGGTCCTAAATCCTACTAGGAAATTGAAGAGGAGTATGTTTTGTAAGGTGGGAACGAGGAATTCAGGCTTTTTTCTTTTCTTCTTTTTTTGGTTACAGTAGAGGGGGCCTCCTTGTGCTGGAATCTCCTGTGTACACGAAAAATACAAAACCTGGTCTGTTTTAGGACCTATCTGCTTTCTTAAAGTTTCCATTTGATTATGTGGCATTTAGCATGAAACTTTGTTTTGACTTTCTCTGGTCTGTTGGGGCTTAGTGTACAAGCTCAGTTCAAAACAATGGCATCCCATAATTTTGTTTAAACGTTCCCCTCTTTTGATCAGGTTCTTACTTAGGTGAGAATGAGACCAAAACTTAGGGCTTCAGCACCACTCTCAGTTACCATAATTTGCTACCCACCATTCTTGATACACACATTTTAAGGCAAAACTTTTGTATTTTATTCTACATTATAATTTTCACATTTGGGCATTGTAGCCTGACTTTCAGATTCACGTATCTCCTACTGCTCAGCAAACTAAACTGATGGGACCAACAGAAGTTTATTTCCATGGGAGCAAAAAAGGATCCTTGAACTATAATAGAACCCATGTCGGTTATGAAGGTGCAACATGTCTTGCATAAGTTGGGATGACTTAATGTTTTCTGTAAGGGGAAAGAATCCTGGAAGAGAACTTTTCCAAAGTTGACCCAGGGACAGGTCAGGAGCTCCTTTTTGAACACAGGGGAGAAGCGATGCTACATAAAACACAGGTCTGTTGCCAGAGTGTCACAGCCCGGTGCCTGCCATACCCCTGCACGCACAGAGAAATGCACCTCTGTAGTCCAGGCCTCCACAGCTTGGTGATTCTTGGCATAGTCTTAACATCCCTGGGAGGAAATTATTATACCAGATAGAGCAGGAGGACTATGGTGACCCAAGGAGAAGTGGGAGCATCATGTCAAAGTCTCAGGGAACGCTAAGCTCCAAAGAGCCAGAGTTTTCTCCTCGAGGCAGGAGCTTTTTGGTACTCAACTAGTGGCAGCTGAGAAATGAGGTACCGGAGAAGCAGCGGTCTCACCCAGAGGGAGGGAACTTGGTCATGAGCTTATCAGAAACATCTCCAAGATACTCCCAGCAATGTTGAGGAGGGAAAATGTAGAAGGCTGGCAACCCCCATCAGTGGTTCAGATGATGTGTCAGTGGACTGGGAGAGATAGGTTTCAATAGGACCTCATCAGGACATCTAGGGTGGTGGGTCCTGTGGAAATTCTGTTGATGGACCAGGTTTCTTAAAGCAAGACTGACCTATACCTATGCTGGAAAATGAAATTTATGTACCACACCCACCCACACAAACACAACTTAAGCTCTGTCCCCTGTTTCCAAGAATAAATGGAAAACATGAGTCCTGATCCCTTTATTGCCTCAGATTAATCCCTCTTGGCCATGGAACAAATCACAGTGCCATGGCTGTGGCTCACATTAGACCTGACCAGCATGGAGTGATTCAACACTTAGTCACCATTTGTGCAGATTCTTCTCAACCCCCTCAGACTCTCTGGGAGATTCTCCTTGGAAACCAGTGAATAAAAGCCCATCTGATGCCACATCAGCAGTGATTCTAGGACTAACAAATTGGGATGGCCAGAGAAGGCCTGCCATGATAGAGTTGTTTCACCTTGTTTGCCAACTTCACTCAGTGGCTGGGAGATGACAAAGACCTACTCAGGGCCTGGAAGGAAAAACTAATGCAATGACCAATTAATGGCAATAACCTTATGCATGAGAGGAGACAGAGGTGGCACCTGTCCCACTTATCTGCTGTGCCCATTTAAAACAATCTTTTAATGTTTGTATCTAGAGGTAATCAGAGAAAGCCTCCGTTAGACCCTAAGGAGGAAAGCTTTAGGGCACAACCAGGGACGGGCGACTTCTCCCGATTCGCTGGAATCTGTGAAGATAGGACTAGATGAGTAGTTAGGACAACAGTTCAAGCAGAGAAGGGTGGCATCAACCTTTGTGTCCCCACTCTAAGGCCTGGGCTCTGATAGGGTGGCTATTTTTCTCCTTCACCTATACCAGGCAACTCCAGTGCCCAGGGGACACCTAGACCAAGGTTCGGGCTGTCTGAGAACCTCATTTAAAGTTCTCTCTCTAATCGTCAGCTCAGCCACTAGAGCTGACAGGCATAAGCATAAAGTGAGCTTGAGAGGTGTTTATCCTGGCGTCGAGGGGCTGCCATGTTCTCATCGTAGCTCTCACTTCTCCTTTGCTGTATCAGAGAGGTCGCCCTTTTATAGCCTGGTGAGCATTTATGGCACCTCTGCGAATTGATTAGGTTCAGCTGGTTCTGTTTTACCTCTTCAAAAAGATACATAGAGATTTTCACAAGATTTTTTTAAAAAATCTTTCAACCAGAAGACAAAGCAAACTGGAGAAAAAAAATGTGGTCCTGGAAAAAATCAAAGGATGTTCTCTTGTGCTGAGGAATGCTCTCATGATTCAGTATGCCCTGGGGATGTCTCTTTATGGCATCTCACTTCCAGAGAGTGAGGAAGGGGCTGCACGAGGAAAGAGAGATGAAGGACTTGACTTGTGCCCAAGCCCATAAAAAGGCTGAAGGAAAAGAATGGGTTACACTACAAAGATATAACTGGCCGCCTGAGTCCTGCACTGGGGGAGCCTGCAAAGTCCTCTATGAGGTGTCTGCATTGAAGCCTGGCTGGGGCCCTGACTTATTTTGGGGGATTGGAGGGGTTCGTGCCCTGACTTGGGGAAAGCTCACCTCTCCAGAGAGACGTGCTGTAGAAACACAGTGGAAGACATTTCTAGGGTTAGTGAGCCAAGGAAAAAAAAACAATAATAACAGCATAGTGATAATTGTAGTACTAATTGTAGGTAACAAGTGCTTACTATGTGCTTGATGATCTGATAAGCCCTTTACTTACATGATCTTATGTAATCTTCATGATAATATTATGACATAGTAGGTATTAATATTATGTTTATTGTATGAATAAAAAAATGAGAATCTGAGTCATTAAGTAACTTGCTCAAGGTCATCAATTTTTGTCCTAGCAAAAGCAGGACTGGAAGTCAAGCCATGTAATTTCAGAACCAGAGGCCTCAAGCACCACACTGCAGTGCTGCTAATTAATCAGTACCACTAATTTGTGAGATGTGCAAAGCCTGTAGTCGACTGCAAAGTTCTCACCAGGCCAGGAGTGGGTGCAGCAACATCCGTGGGAGTCTGCTTGCCAGCTGCAGGCCCACTCCTCTGGCCAGCCCAGCTCATGGCCAAAGCCACTCTCCTTGTCTCCTTCTGGTACTGGAATGGTTCCAGGCTCTGCTTCCCATTTTTTTTCTTTGAATTCGCTCTATCCTCAGCCCCCATCCTGCCACATCTGAGATCTGACTCTTCTCTGCCTGGGGTATAGCCCACCTCATGCCCAAGGCTTCTGGGTCCCCTCCACGGAAACCATGGTGCCAGGGGACTCTGGGGAGGCCAGTTGTAGAAGAGATTACATGCAAAAGTGCAGACCCAGGGACCCCTTGGTCTTGCATGTGATCTCTTCTCCACCTGAAACACTACCTGCTCTTGAATGAATTTTTATTTGTTTTCAACCTCAGCTTCTGAGCCTGTGAACTGGGTTGTTTGGCCTTGTGTGAGAGTCCTACACTCACCTCTACTGGCTCACTTCTACTTTCACTTGTCACGCTCTATGAAGGAGCAATAGAGGACCTCCTTGCAGACAGGGTTCAGATTTTAGTGCCTCAAATACTAGCATAGGCCTGGACCACAGTGGGTACTAGATGGATCATTGTTTAACAAATGAACAAAGATAAAGCATGAACTAATTCTGTACTCCACATCAAGCCTCAGAGCCAAGAGCCTCTACTGGGCTGAGTTGTCGCCAAGAGCTGCACTCCTTCGTTCATTCACAGTCTTCCCCAGAGGATGGGGGAGACTCAAAGGTAAGGCAGCCCCTGCTGGCAGGCAGCCTACTGCGTTCTGTAATCTCAGCACTTTGGGAGGCCAAGGCAGGCGGATCACAAGGTCAGGAGATTGAGACCATCCTGGCTAACAGAGTGAAACCTCATCTCTACTAAAAATACAAAAAAATTAGCCAGACCTGCTGGCGGGCACCTGTAGTCCCAGCTACTCAGGAGGCTGAGGCAGGAGAATCACTTGAACCCGGGAGGCGGAGGTTGCAGTGAGCCAAGATTGTGCCACTGCATTCCAGCCTGGGCAGCAGAGCGAGACTCCTCATCAAAAAAAAAAAAAAAAAAAAAAAAAATCAAAAACAAGCAAACAAACAACAATAACAACAAAAAACAAGGAGTCTAAGTTCATGGTCATGGTCTACATCTACTGGATTTTTAAAAACTTTTTAATTTTAAAGTAATTATAGAATCACAGGAAGTTGCAAAAAATGTGTGGGAAAGTTTTGTGTGTCCCTCACCCAGTTTTGTTCAGTGTTAACATCTTGCCCAACTACAAAACAACATAGAAACCAGGAAACTGACTGTGATAGAGGCCACAGATGTTATTTGAATTTCACCGTTTTGCACACATTCATTTCTAGGTGTTCATGTGTTCTCTGCCATTCTGCCACATCTGCACATTTGTGTACCCACCACCACCATACATAGGACCATTTCACTGCCACAATATAAAGAGTGCATCATCTCTTTAAAGTCACATTCACCCTTCTCCCCCAGCCTCAATCCCTGGCAAATTAGATCACAATTTAGTGAAATTGTTCTCCATCGCCATAATTTTTTTTTTTATTTTGAGACCATCATGTAAATGGAATCATACAATATGTAACCATGTGAGATTTACCTTTATCACTCAACTTAATTCCCTTGAGATCATCCAAGTTGTGGCATGTGTGAAGAGTTCATTCCTTTCTATTGCTAAGCTGTAGTCCACCACGTGGAGGTACCCAAGTTTGTTTAACCACTCACTGCACATAGGACATCTGGGTTGTCTCATTTTGGCTACTACAAGTAAAACTGCTATAAACACTCATATGCATGCCTGTGTGGAAGCATAAGATTTCATTTCTTTGGGATAAAAAATCAAGAATGTAATTGCTAAGCCATATGATAGTTACATGATTAGTGTTAAGAAACTGTCAAACTTTTCCAGAATGACTAGATCATTTTACATTCCCACCAATAACGAGTGCGTGATCCGGGTTCTCTACATCCTCACCAGCATTTGGTGTTATCACTATTTCTGATTTCAGCCATTCTGATAGGGGTGTGGTGGTATCTCATTGTAGTTTTAATCTGCATTTCCCTGATGATTAATAATGTTGAACATAATTTCATGTATTTATTTACTCTCTATGTATCCTCTTCAGTAAAATGTATGTTCTCCCTTTTTTCCATTTTCTAATTAGATTTTTTTTACTGTTGAATTTTGAGATTTCTTTATGTATTCTAAAACATTGTATGTCAGATGTGTGGTTTGCAAATATTTTCTCCCAACTTGTAGCTTGCTTTTTGTTTATTTTTTTTTTCATTTTCTTCATGGGGTCTTTCATTGAACAAGTTTAAAAAATTTTTATTATATATAGTTTATCAATTTTTCCCTGTATAGGTTGTACTTTTAGTGTCAAGTTTAAAAACTCTTAACCTAGCTTTAGGTCCAGAAGATTTTCTCCTAAGTTTCTTTTTCTGAAATATTGATAAGTTTACCTTCTGTATCCGTGATTCATTTGAGTTAACTTATACAAAAGTTGTGAGGTTTAGGTTGAGATTCTTTTTTTTATTTTGCTAACGGATGTCCAATTGCACCAACACCAGTGATGGAAAAGCCTACGTTTTCTCCATTGAACTGCTTTTGCACCTCTTTTAAAAATCAGTTGGCCTTTTTAGTGTGATTATTTATGGATTCTCTATCCCATCGATCTATGTGTCTATTCATCTGCCAATACTATGCTATCTTAATTACTGAATTATTTTTGCACTTCAGTCTTTTCAAGATTGTTGTAGCTCTTCTAGGTCCTCTGACTTTCCATATAAAAGGTAGAAGAAGCTTGTCTGTCTCTGCAAAAAATATTGCTGGGATTCTAGTAAGAATTACATTAAGTTTATACATCAATTTGGAGGAGGGCTGTTATTTTGCTCCATTTTCCTTCAGGTCCTTTTATCCATCCTTCAAAAGCAAGGAGTTGGGGCCATGTGGGCAAAAGGAGAAAAACCTGTTCCCCTCTTGAGGATGTTCTGCTGCTGCTCATTCTGTGCTGGGAGCGGACTGGCCACAGCACCCCAGACCCTAAAGGTGGCAGCATCACTGCCCTGTAATCCACCCCATGTCTCCCTGGGCTTGTGCCTGGGAGTGAACTGCATCTGTATTGGTGTATTAGTCCATATTGGCATTGCTATAAAGAAATACCTGAGACTGGGTAATTATAAAGAGGTTTAATTGGCTCACGGTTCTGTAGGCTGTATAGGAATTATAATGGCTTCTGCTTCTGAGGAGGCTTAAGAAATTTCCAATCATGGCAGAAGGTAAAGAAGGGCCAGGTGTTTCACATGGCAGGAGCGGAAGAGAGAGAGAGAGAGAGGAAATGCCACACAATTTTAAATAACCAAGTCTCATGAGAACTTACTATGGCGAAGACAGTATTGAGAGGAATGGTGCTAAACCATTCGTAAGAAATGCACCTCCTTGATCCAGTCACCTCCCACCAGGCCCTACCTCCAACACTGGGGATTAGTACTGAAGATGGAGTTTGGGCAGAACACAGATCCAAACCATATCAGTTGGCATCACCTCACCTGTGCCCACCACTCATAGTCCTAGGCTGAAGTGGGTAGTGACCACAATCCTTTTGTCCCTTACTCCCCTGAGCAGGTAGAACTTCTGACCCCTAAGTACTGTGTGGGATTAACAAAGGATTGCAAACACTAGACCATGAATGAATCTGTGGCCACCATGACAGAGTGACATGGAAAGGGCCCTTGTCTCATTTCTCTGTCATGTTGTAAGTCTTTCCCACCTTGTGAGCCCAGAGGACACAATTAGGCAGGTAATACACTGGGGTATGTAATGTAACTAATTCCTAAATGAACCAGGCTCCACTCAACAAAGATATCTTTGTTGCTCCCAGAAAATTGGATGTGGATCTGTGTTGGCCTGCTTCTATGGCCACCACTGTCTGGAAAGCATGGTTTTGAAGCTTGCTGGGACAGGAAAGAGATTGTTGGAGGGCAGAGCCAAGACTTCATACTATCTCAGCCCAGAAATGGTGCACAGCACTGTTGCTTGTGGTTTGGTGGCCCCTCTGGTCACATGGCCCCAGTTATGAGAAGAATGAAAACGCTATTGCAGGGAGCACTAAGCATCTCTGCCAATGAGAATGAAGATTGACTCTCTTCCACCTGAAGGTTAAGGTGAGTTTGTTTAATGGAAATAAAGTAATCTGATAATGCTTATGCACACATTTATGGGGTGATTGCATACCCTGTCATATGTTGTAGACTGGGCTGCTCTAAGCTGATGGATGTGAATGATGCCACTTGAGCTGCTTAATGCATGCATCAACACAACACTCGCCTCCACTCTTCACACTAACACTTCTGCTTTGTCTTCTCTAAGGCCTTCAGAAGAGGGATCCATGGCCACAAGGAGGATCAGCCCCCACATAAAAGTCCAGTTTCAGGTGCTGACTGTTCTCTGGAAAGTGTAAATATTATATTCCAAGACTGCCAGGCTGGTGTCTCCTCTACTTCATTACAAACTGAACCAGATTCTGAAACGTTGTACATTAACCTCGGTTGCTGGATTCTAGCCCATAAATTCATATTTCTGCAAAACCCTCAATGAATGTATTTAAGGCTATGTTAGTGTCTTTAAAGAACTGGATATGATCACTGCAATCTCACTCAATTATTTTAGCAATATTTTTGCATTACTTTCAGAGTTGCTTTTGCCTAATTTCTCTGGAGATAATTGGCTGGGCAAATAGGGGGAAGGCTCAGGGGAGAAGTGAAGCTTACATACATGAATACTTTCCTCGGTGCCAGGAACTCAGAGGATGATAAATTGCACGCACCGTGGGTGCCCGTGGTCTTGGCTGCTGGCAGTCATTCTGTTCCAGAAGGCAAAGATTGGCAGACTGCACAAACTCCAGGTTACCTCCAAATATCATTTCCAGTTTTAAACAAATTTCACTTGTTTGGAAGGCATCTGATTTTTTTCCTTTTCTTAAACCTACTTTTTATTGTGATTATTCCTCAATGTGTTATACAAAGTCTCTGACTGTGGAGCTCATCATTTTGACAGGTGAACGTGCATCACTGCTGGGGCAGGAAGGAAGCAGGGAGCACTTTCTTGGGGCTCCCCCCGTGACCCTCTCCTGGGATCTGTTTCCTTTCAGGGACAGCATTTGAATGGCAATAGTTGGAGGTTTCAAATAAAAATGTGTCTAATAATGAAGCACAACAGTTTATTTCAGGGTCAGCACAGCACTCGCCATGAGGGGCCGGGACTTGGCCTGCTTCACTCAAACCTCCAGGCCCCAGGCTGGCCAGGGCATTGCCCTCTGCTCAGGAGGCTTCATTCTTTCTCGGCACAGTCTCTCTCATGCAACACAACAAACGTCTCTACCACAGGCTGGCTCTGAAGCTGTTGGATCTTCATTGCCCAAATCTCAAAGCCAAGCAGTCACACCAGGAGGAACTGGAGCTGGTGAACTTTGTGTTCAGGTTTCAGTATGCTTCAGCCATTGTCAGTGAGTCCATAGAGAGCCTGAAATAGGTAGTGAGTGTGTGCATGGGTACATACATTTGCATGTATGTGTATATATGCATGTATGTGTGTACATGTGTGCATGTGTAGGCATGAACAGTATGTGTATAATCTATGCATGTGCATAATTGCATGTGTGTATATATAAATAGGTGTATGCATGTGTGTAGGTATATACACATGTGTGTAGGTGTGTATGTATAGATTCAATATATGTGCATATATATATGTACAGGCATATATATATATATGTATATATACTTAACAGAAACCACATGGCAGTTTGGCATATTTCTGTTTCCTTTGGATTTCAAGTCTGAAAAGAGCATATTTCCAATCATGTGCAGAGGGGCTCCGTGGAGCTTATGAACATAGAACTCGGAGGCAAGTGAGTCAGATTGAGAAAACAGGTTGGCCTCTTGTGATCAGTTCCTTTGAGCCCTGAGGGTACCACATTCCACCAGTGAAACACAAACCCCAAAAGTCCTGTCCTGTGGCTGGAGACCATCCCCACATCCCTACTCTGGGAAGGCGATTGTGCGAAGCACAGCAGGAGTATGGAGGCCTCCTATGGAGATCTGGAAAGGGTTACCAAGCTTACATTGATTCTCTTCCCCTCCACAACTAAAACCTCAGAAGGAAATCCATACAAGGAAATCTCCGGATGTGTTATCTTTGGAGCCCAGGCTCCAGCTAGATCCTAGGGTGGGATGTGAAGGATCACACCCAACTGCGGGACCAGTCAGTCCCAGGGTCCCTGGGAACTCTGGAGCTATACTGGGGTGCAGAGGAAGATGGCCCCCACAGCCCACTTCCAATCCTAGTTTTTCAAAGACACATAAACTACTTTTCTTTGAATTACCTTCACATATTTGCTGTTTGCAATTGCAAGGGTCCTAGCCCTATTATTTGTGCAATTTGGCTGGAAAAAGAGGACTCAGCCCTTCAGGGTCAGCTCCATGTGAGTGCTGTGCTGCATACCTCACTTCTTACTGGTTTTCATAAATTCCATTGCTGTCAGCTCAGGTTTTATGTTGGGGAGCTAATACAGGCAGTGGCCAGGAAGGAGCCAAGCCAGCCAAATTGTTCATCCGAATCTATTTAGCATCGAATACCGAGAAGTGAAGAAACAGACAGGGGGAAGGAAGATGAGATGCTCTGGTGGAAAACTGTTAAACATTGAGAGTACTTGGCAGGAGAACCTCAAATAAATCACGAGTGGTCTGCACCTCACAGGGAGACCCTTTGGTCCCTAGAAACCTCGGTGGGGGGTGAGACATGAGAGAGAGAAGCCAGTCAGTTCTCAGAGAATGTGGTGAAAAGACAGGCATCTCCAAGGTCCTTCCACAAACTTCCATCCTCCGCACCACTCAGGTCAGCAAGCCACAAAACTCTCATCTGTAACCCTGCCTACCAGTACTGAGTTACTGGGTTCACACAGGGTGTCACTGCTAGCTTCCACGGACCCAAGCTGATGCTCCACAGTTCTGCTGCTGGCCAGGCTGCCTCTGGAACCAGCAGTTCCAGGAGCCGTTTTCCCTGAGTGCAGAGCACGCCACTGAGTCTAGGAACATGTCAGCGGTGTGTGCAAGTGAGATGATTCTCCCTCCTGAGGCACAGAGAATCCTACAGCCTCCCACTTAATACAGAGATAGTAACAGTAACAAAACTAGCAAACTTTTACTGAATTCTATATGCTCACCCCTGTGTAATTGAATATAAGTTGTGTCCCTAAATACTCATAGAAATCTTGTGTCTTCCTAGAACTTTTCCTTGAGATTCTAAACAGATTGAGAGGTCCTTACCCGCAGTGTGTAGCACAGAGTTGACCCCGCGGTAGAGCTGATTACTTAAGAAGTGGACACTAGATGAGGACTGTCCCATAAAAACAACAGGGAGACACATATGTAATTCTAAACTTTCTAGTAGCTGCAATAAAAAACTAAAAATAACAGTGAATTAACTTTAATTATATATTCTATTTAACCCCATATGTAAAACAGTATTATTTCATCATGTAATATCAAATTATGAATAAGTAGTTTACATTCCTTTTCTGTACAGTATTTTATACTCACAGTGCACCTCTATTTAGATGAGCCTCATTTCAATGGCTGGGTAGCCACCTTTGGCTGCTGGCTACAGTATGCCCCGGGTTAAGTGTCTCTGGGCCCCACATGCACAGCAAACTCCTGACTCTCTAGAGTTTACTGGTAACAGAAAGAAAATCTGGAAGAACTCACACTAAAGGTTCTTCTTATTTATCCATTAGTGAGAATAACAGTAACAAAAACAATAGCTACTTTTAGGGTGTGTGTCTTATTCTAGATACTCTGCTAAGAGCTTTACACGACAGCAATGAATTCCCGCTGTGGGAGACCTCCACTATTGTAATGTCCTTTATTGCTGAACAAGTTCAGACTTGGAGTAGTTCTGTAACTTCCTCAAGTTTTGTAGTTAGTACCTGGCCAGACCAGCTCTGAATCCAGACCATCTGATTCACACCCCCCTACAAACAGGGACACAGGAAGGAAGGCACGGGGGTGATTCCATAGGTCTTCATGCTGCTACGCTGGATTTGGGGAAGCAGAATGCCAGGGGAACAAGAGTGTGGCTTAATGAGGTGCTGAAGAGATGAGGACCTGCTGGCCTGGAAATACTAAAACTGGAAAGAAAAATCTAAAATATTTACACCACTAAAAGAAGGAAAGCTAAGGAGAGCCTGGACACTCATTATGAATCCTTGCCTAGCAGAACTGGGGGTGGGGAAGGAAATTTGACAGCATTTGCAATCTAGAAGTAAAGATATATGACTTCATTTATGCCGTGTGAGCACTATAAAAACAGGAATCAGGCATTCAATCAACCTGAACCTCAGTTTCCATATCTGAAACATCTAATAAGACAGAATATGCAGGAATATTACTTATGTTTCTATTAAAAGTCTTAAACATAGCAAATAGTAAAATTATAGACATTATTTCTCCATTTTGTAGTATTGGCTAACATTATCAATATATTCAAAAGAAACCATATATAATTTACAAATAATTAAATCAGAAGGTTTATCAACAATACATAGGTTACTTAGATCCACTCCTAGCCTTTTGAGGAGGACATTACAGAAAATAGCCATTTATAAAATGAGATTTGAATTGAATGTAATGATTTTTATCCCTATATTATTTGAGAACTGAACCCTCATACACTCTCAACCTCAATCTCCAACACTGTGTGTGCATTTTTAATTAAATTAGTGCTATAGTTATTATATTTTACTTAAACAGTGTTTGTCAGATTCTTAGTTATTATATTATCTTTATGAGTTTTGCCTTATCTTCTCACCTGTGTATCACCAATTTAATATTTTTATGTAAATTGATTTGATAATCTCTGCCTGTTACTGAGTTTT
The DNA here is from genome assembly GCF_000001405.40 of Homo sapiens. Classification (NCBI taxonomy): domain Eukaryota; kingdom Metazoa; phylum Chordata; class Mammalia; order Primates; family Hominidae; genus Homo; species Homo sapiens. The sequence goes on from NC_000010.11 coordinate 44,717,619, forward strand.
CAGACCGGTTACATCTAATGGCATTACATTAAAATAATAATGGTAATAACAATTATTATTATAGACATTACTAGATTGAATCTGCTATTTTGTTTCTATTTGTTTTCTTCTTTGTTCTTTTTTTTCTTTTTTTTTTTTTTTTTGCTTTCTTCTGGATTAATTGAATAGTTTTCAAGATTCAGTTGTATTTCTATCATTGCCTAATTAACTATACCATCTTTTAATTTTCTTAATAGCTGCTCTAGGTTTTGCAATATACATCTTTAACTTACTGAAGCTTTCCTTCAAATAATATCATACATATTTTTTCACATATAATGTAACAATCTTATAACGGTATACTTCCACTTCTCCTATCCTTTGTGCTATTGCTTTTATATCATTCACTTTCACATATATTATAAACCCCACCATACATTCTCATCTTCTTATTTTTTGCTTTAAACAGTAAATTTTCAAAAGAAGCTTTAACAATAAGAATAAAGTCTTTTATATTTACCTACATAGTTATTATTCCTAATGCTCTTTATTTCTTTGTATAGATCCAAGTTTTTATCTGATATCATTTTCCTTTGCCTAATTAACTTTCTTTAACATTTCTTGAAGTGCAGGTCTATTGGCAATAATTCCTCCCAGCAATTTTTTATCTGGAAATGTTTATATTTCACATTTACACTTGAAATATATATATACTGGGTATAGTATTCTAGATTAACAGTTCTATTTTACTTTCAGTACACTAAAAATGTTGCTTCATTGTATTTTGGCTTATATAACTTCTGACTAGAAATATGCTATTTGTATGTTGGTCTTGTGCATATAATGTCTTTTTTCTTGCTAGCTGCTCTTAGGAATTTCTCTTTATACTTAGTTATGTGCAATTTGATTATGATGTGCTTTGGTGTTATTTTCTTTATGTATGTCCTGTTTAGGGTTCATAGATTTTATTAGATCTCTGATAAATGGTTTTCATAATTTTGCAAATTTATGAAATGGTTTTCATAAATTTGCAAAATTTATATTTTATTTATATTTTTATATTTATATTTTCAAATATCTTTCTGTTCCTCCCTCTACCTCTTCCCCTTTTATGATTCCTACTATACGTTAGACTGCTTGATACCACAGCTCATGGAATCTCTTTTATTTATCAGTAATTTATCAGTATTTATAACCTCTGTATGATTCAGTATGTAGTTTTACGTTGTTTGTTTTCAAATCTACTGATATTATATTCTGCAATGTCTGTCACCATTTCTCATGAAAGATAGATAAGACAGATAGATACAGATAGATAGGTAGATAGATAGATAGGTAGGCAGATAGATAGATTTTTCTTCTAGTTATGGGCCACATTTTCTGTTTCTATATATATCTGGCAATTTTTTATTGAGTATCAGACATAGTAGGTTTTGTTTTTTAGTTCTCTGGATCTTGTTGTATTCCTCTAATGAGTGTTACTTTTTTCTGTAAGGCAGTAAACTACTTACAGTGTAGCTTAATCCTTTCGAGTCTTATTTTTAACCTTTTCTAGGGCAGGTCTTGGGCTACTTTATTCCCACTACTATGGGATGATGTTTCTGGGATCATCACTAAATGCCCCCTGTATCCAACCAGTCTCTTTCACACTGGATAGTGAAATATTGAATGATTTCAAACTGTGCAAAATTTAGGAATTGTTCATCTTACAGGTCCACTGTCTATGTTATTTTCCTAGCAGTGTTCTTTGTCTGGTCTTGTAAAGTTTTGCCATATGCATATTAAAATTGGTATTCAGGCTGGGCACACTGGCTTATGCCTGTAATCCCAGCACTTTGGTAGGCTGAGGCAGGAGGATTGCTTGAACCCAGGAGTTTGATACCAACCTGGGCAATATATGAAGATCCAATCTCTATAAAAATTTAGAAATTAGCCAAGGGTAGTTGCACATGCCTGTAGTCTGAGCTGCTTGGGAGGCTGAGGTGGACGGATCACTTGAGCCTGGGAGGCAGAGGTTACAGTGAGCTGAGATTGTGTCACTGCACTCCAGCCTGGGTGACAGTGACACCCTGTCTCAAAAAAAAAAAAAAAGATTAGTATTCAGCCAAAGACTCAATTCAGCTTTTTGGAGCTTTTCCACTGTGTAATTAAGTCCTTACTTTATGGTACTTTGTCCCACCAATTCTAACTGCCTCATCCTTCTTGAACTCTGATCTATGACATGTGAACTCAGAGAGATCCCAGGCTCTGTTTGAGTTTCTGCTCCCTGTGTCGTGGTCCAGAACTTACTCCCAGGTAGAATAGCAGGGTGACCATGGGATTACCTCCTTTGCTTCCATTTACTCACATGTCATAGTCTGGTCCTGTCTATTGCCCAGTGTTTGAAAGCAGATGTTTCATCTATTTTGCCCAGTTTTCTAGTTGTTATTGTTGTTGTTATTTTACTGTCATTACCTTCATAAGAGTCACTTCTTCATGGATGAATGCAAAAGTCGTTTTTATTTAAATTAAACTCCTTTTAAAAGTTATTCAAGTCAGTTAAATTATCATTTTAGGCACTAGTTACAATTTTATCACGCATATTAAAATAACTATACATTTTAAATAATGACATAATTATTAAAATAAAAGTATGGATTTGTATACCATTTTAAATCATCTTGAGGCTTTCTAGGGACACAAATATCATACTTTGGGAAACTTTGTATAAATATTTTGGGTGGATGTGTATGAAACAAGATCAGCATTTTATATAATAGCAGGATCTAAATCAAAGGATGAAATGACACCTGAAATCATTCATTTAGGAAAAAAATGTATTTCTTTTGTTGTTTAGAAACAGAGTGACTCTGTTGCCCAGGCTGGAGTGCAGTGGCATGATCATGGCTCACTGCAGCCTCGACCTCCTGGGCTCAAGGGATTCTCTTGCCTCAGCCACCCAAGTAGCTGGGACTATAGGCACACACCACCACACCTGGCTGATTATTTAATTTTTTGTAGAAACAGGCTCTTACTATGTTTCTCAAGCTGGTCTGAAACTGTTAGTCTGAAACTCCTGGCCTGGGATGATCCTCTTGCTTCAGCCTCTCAAAGTGCTAGCATTACAGGCATGAGACAGTGTGCCCAGCCAGGAAAGAAAAAAAAAAAAAAGTCTTAGGACAGATAATCAAGAGGTGAGAGATGGGATCTGTCTTCTATTATTTTCAAGGAAAAAGTTAAGATCCCTCTTCAGCTGCTCCCGAGTTTTATTATGTGAATTAGACCATGTATTAGGACATAAACCAAGACACAAGGCCTGTCACTGAGGGGAGAGAGCAGGCCTCTCTTGGGACAGCAGCGGTAGGGGCATGAACTGTATCTAGTAGAAACCAAATGTTTGGCTTTCCAGGAGAAATACCCGCATTTCTCCTGTGGTTTGTATTTATCCCCTGGGTTGTCTTTTAGTGTTTTGGAAAGACATTTTAATGAACCAGTCTTCCTCAGCTATTTTTAGAAAATCCCAGGTGTGGGCTTGCTTACAGGTAAAAAGGTAATATGGGCCAGCTGTAAGAATAAGTAAGGACTCCAATGATCCAATCAGGCCAAGAGATACAATTGGAAAAATGCAGTCACCTATCCCTCCCCACCTGGAGCTCTTCCAGGTTTAGCGAACCTCAAAGGTTCTGAGTTAAATTATTAAGCCCCCTAAATATTTCAAGCATGGGAGAAATAGAGCGATAAACTGGTCACACCATGAACTTTGGAGTCAGGAACACCCGGTTTTAGTGTTGTGTTATTTCCTAGTTTTCCACTCTGAACCTGTCTTTACATTCATAAATGGGAACAATAATGCATGGCTCACTGAGTTATTTAGAGTTTTAAAAAATAAAATAAAATAGTGTATGGATCATAGGAGATATCCAAATGTTAATTCTCTTCCTCAGAACTCCCTGCTTCCTCAGGGAACATCTTCTATTTTTGGATAAGGTATTAGTTTTCTGTTGCTGTCATAAGAAATCACCAAAAATTTACTAGTATTAAACTAAATTAATGTGCATTATTAAAATATACATTAATTATATTACAGTTCTGTACAGATGAGAGTCCAGCACAGGACTCACCAAACTAGAACCAAGGTATCAGCAAGCTGCATTCCTTTCTGGAGGTAGAATTTCTTTTCCGTTTCTCCAGGCTGTTGGGAGAGTTCAGCTCCTGTGGTCATGAGACTAAGGTCTCTATTTTCTTGCTGGTTATAAACTAACAGGCATTCGCACTTCTGGAGACCACTGCATTCCCGGACTTTTGGTCTCTTTCCTCCATCTCCAAAGCCAACAACGCTGGCAGGTTGAGTCTTTCTCACATTCCATCTTTCTGAACCATTCTTCTGCCTCCCTCTTCCACTATTAATCGTGTAATTAGATTGGGCCCAACCAGATAATCCCAAGTTATCTCCTCATCATGAGATCCATTATCTTCATCATATCTTCAGAGTCCCTCTTGCCATATAACATAACATATACACAGGTTTCAGGGATGTGGGTGTGGCATCCTTTTCAGGAATTATTCTGCCTACCACAGATACTGATCTGAGAGTTTCATCCATTGATTTTACCTAAATTCTTTGCTGTTGCTTCTGTTGCAAGGCAATGTTTTTTGTGTGTGTTTGTTTGTTTTGTTTTGTTTTTGAGACAGAGTCTCACTCTGTCACCCAGGCTGGAGTGCAGTGGCATGATCTCGGCTCACTGCAACCTCCACCTCCCAGGTTCAAGTGATTCTCCCACCTCAGCCTGCCAAGTAGCTGGGACCACAGGCACATACCACCACACCCAGCTAATTTTTTGTGTGTTTATAGTAGAGACAGGGTTTCACCATGTTGGCCAGGCTGGTCTTGAACTCCTGACCTCAAGTGATCTGCTGGCCTTGGCCTCCCAAAGTGCTGGGATTACAGGCATGAGCCACCGCACCTGGCCAGCAACGTTTTTTAAAAGCAAGGTGTGCCTGACGCAGTCTCTTCATTTCCTCCCCTCCCCCACCAGTGACATGGCCTCTTTTTGCAACATTTATTCTCTACGTTATCAATGTGCCTCTTGGAGTAACACATTTTATTTTCAGAAATGAAATATGTAATGGCAATGGTGACAATAATAGCGACAATGATAAGTGCAACTTATTGTGTGTTTTATTTTGCATCTTGCATGCTGCCAAGCATCACGTATGTATAGATGTAACACATGGCACACATGACCTAACCCAATCTTCATGACAGCCCCGTCAGGTAGGGTCTAATCATTGTCTTATGGATGAAGAGACAGCCAAAGAAAGGTGACACCAATTTCTCAAGGTTTTATGGAACCTGCACTCTTATCTTACAAGCACTGGAGCCTTTGGTCTCTTCCTTGCTCAGCATTCTGACTTATCCTCTGCCTGACGCTCTTCTTCTTGGACCTTCCCCTTTTCCTTGGGATTTTCTATTTTAGCTTCACTTCAGCTGCCCCTCTTCCCCAGTCACCTCAACCACCTTGCAATCTTTATTAGTGACAATTACCTAAAAGGATTCTCTTTCCCTCCCCTATCTGTGGCCTTGTGAGGGCAGAGTAAATTTTAATAATTGATGATCATGGAGGAAAATAAACTTTCCCAGAATAAGCACTGTTGTGGACGACAAGGTCTAATACCCTTGATTTGTGGTTTGCACAGACTTTTCTCTTACTTCTCTTTTTCTACCACAGGTCATAAGCATTAGCGTTTTGTTGCTTGAAAATGTTGGACTTCCCTTGAAATACCATACAATGAAACATCGCAGATTTTCCTATCATTTCACATTTCATTTTACATCTTAGGAAGAGCTTTCATTTTTTTTTTTTTTTTTTTTTTTTTTGGCTTGTGAAGACCTTGGCCTGCAACTCAAGGAATGGAGTTGTTTTTGTACAATTTAAATAATGTTTCTCCACCACTTGAGACAGCAAAATTCAAAGGAGAGACATGCTATGGAAATAAACTTGGTATTGCAATGTGAGAGTAGTCAACATATATCAAAAGGTATTCCAACTGGACGATGCTGGGACCAATGTGGAGCCACTGGAGCAAAACCTTCACCTCTTCTGCAGGCCGGTAGGTCAAGGGAAGTGTGTCAGGAGGTGCAGCCCAGAGCCCTTTTACTCATTTCTCTTTTCCCTGAAGCTTTCCCCAGACACCTCATCTATTTCAAACTGAGCTCTCTGGGCCAGAAATCACAGTCACGGTGTCCTTCTTGGAAAACGGCTTATGACTCAATGGCTGCCAAACTCAGCTCTTGGGCTGGAAGTGTTCTCACAGAAAGCCCTGGGGCCGTGGGGAGGATGGGAAGGAGTAAGTATCAGCAGGGTGATGGGAGTTCTCTGGGCTATTTGTGTGACTCATAAGGTATTAAAAATTAGGATAGTTCAGCTTTAACTTTTATAATAATATTTTTTATAAAAACAAGCAGGAATTGATTTGAGGCACCCTGGACGTGGCCACAGTGATTCCAGGCATGGGGCCTCAATTACTGTGCATTTGCATCAGGGTCCCCAGGGTTCTGAGTCAGGGAACCAATGCACACAACCAAACTCCCAGGAGACTGACTTTTCACAAACTTGCCAGTTTATTAATGTATGGAGGTGAATATTTCTTAACAGAGAACCTGGAACACAAATACAATATAAACGTGGAGGAATTTAGACCTCCACATTTATACAATATAAATATGAGTGGTATTTCATATAGGTCTTAGTGAGGTCCAATCATTTCTGTCCCAAATGAGCAAGCATACGCCTAGCCACTTAGTCTTTTTGTTTGAATGACTGTCTCCCTTGAAAAGTGTAGCAGTTTTAAAACATGGCTACAAATTCTTTATCCTCTCCACAAAGATGAGATGACCTTTGTTCTATCTCCTTGAATTTCACTGAGTTTGTGACTTCTTCAAACAATAGAAACTAGAGGAAACACGTTATATTATACCTTCTGAAGCTAGGGCACTGCTGAAACATTCAGTCTTGCAGCCCTGAAACTCCATGCTGGAAGGATGCCCAAGCCACGTGGAGATGCCGCATGAGGTCCTCCAACCAACAGTCCCAGTGCGAAGTTCAGCTTTCAAGTCTTCCCAGCCCAGGAACCAGACATGTCTATAAAGAGGCTTCCAGATGATTACAGCCTTTGGTTATTGAAGTCACCTCCAGCCTTTTGAATCTACCCAGCTGAAGCCCTGGGCACTGTGGAGCAGAGAAAAGCCATTTCCACAATACTCTAAATTCTTCACCCACGAAATCTGTAAGTCTAGGTATTTGGTTAGTGTGTATGCCTCTAAATCAGAGTTAGATTGTTATCCAGCAAGAACCAACCAGGACAAAGCATTTGGGGTGTTAGCTGTCTGATTGGCTGTTATGCTTCTTTCTAGTCACAGTCTTTCTAGATAGGATCTGCTCAGAACTCAGATTAGCAAAGTTGACTCATTTCTGCTGTTTCCTGTGTGAAGTTATTTGAGGCCATGTGGATTCTAATTTGAGTTTTTCCAAAACTGTCAAATGTATAAATAATCTCATTTGCTCCCGAAGATCACAAGTCATATTAATTCTATATGTGTGCTGTTAATTTAAATTGGAAACGTAAACTCTATTTCTCTCACTTGCCACTGCTTGGACTGCACCTCCCTGTGACTTTCAGATTTCTAACAAGCCTGAAAAATTAAAAGGAGACAGCAGTTAACAGGAGAGCAAATAGAACTCAGCCCCAAAATAAAATCTCAACTCAAGGGACAAGTCATTATTACTTCTGAAAATCAACAACAGTAAGGATATGACTTGTACTTTATAGAATCAGTCTGCTTGTTTTCAAGGTTTTATTCCCATGAAGTCTCTTTTATTTTGTGCAGCCTTATTGAGATATATTTTACAGATGAAATCCACCCAATTAAAGTGTGGACTTTAGTGCTTTCTAACTGTATTCATAGAGTTGTGCAACTATCACCACAGTCTAATTTTAGAATATTTTCAGTTCTCCAAAAATAAACCCTGTGCATATTAGTAGTACTTCCTCATTCCTGATCCCTCCCTTCACTCACCACCCCACACTCAGGCAATCAATAATCTACCTTCTGTTTCTATGGATTATGGGTGCCTTATGTTAATGGAAACATATATTGTTAGTCTTTTGTGACCAGCTTTTTGCATTTAGCGTGTTTTCAAGGTTCGTTCATGTTGTAGCATCTGTCGACACTTCATTCCCTTGTATGGCTGAATAACATTCCATTTAATGTATATAACACACTTTATGTATGCGTTTATCAGTTGATAAACATTTAGGTTATTCTCACTCATTAGCTATTATGAATAATCATGTACAAGTTTTTTTGCAGACATATGTTTTCATTGCTCTTTAGCATACACCTAGGAGTAGAAATGCCAAGTCTTATGATAACTCAATGTATAAAGAGTCCTATTTCTCCATGTCCTTATCAACACAGCGTATTGTCTGTCTTTTTATTGTATTATTTTTAGCCATCATAGTGAGTGTAATGTGGTATCTCCTTGCGGTTTTGATTTGCATTTCTTTAATGCACATTAATGCTAATTATATTAAGCAACTTTTCATGTGTTTATTGACATTTGCATATTTTCTTTGGAGAAATATTTATTCAAACCACGATTACTTTTTAAATTAATTGATTGTATTTTTATTGTTCAATTGTAAGAGTTCTTTAGATATTATGGATACAAGTCCCTTATCAGATATCTGATTTCCAACCATACTATCTCATTGTGTGAGTTATATTTTCACTGTTTTAATCACATCCTTTGATGAACAAAAGTGTTTTGTAGTTTTGATGAATTCCAATTTATCTATTTTCTCATTTGCCTCTTGTGCTTGTAGAGTCACATAAACTATTGTCTAACCCAAGGCCGTGAAGATGTACTCCTGTTTTTATCAAGTTTTATAGTTTCAGCTCTTGCATATAGTTATATGATCCACTTTGGGTTGATTTATATGTATGGTATGAGGTAAGGGTAAAAATTCAATTTTACATGTGGATATACAGTTGTCCAGCACCACTCGTTGAAAAGGATATTCTTTCCCCCATTAAGTTGTCTTAACGTCCTTATAGCATATCAATTGACCATAAAAGCAAGGGCTAATTTCTGGACTCTCATTTCTATTACAACAAACTATATGTGAATCTTTATACCAAAAAAACACATCATTATTATAGCTTTACAGTATATTATTATAGCTTTAAAGTGTATTGTTTTTAAAATGGGACAAGTGAGTCCTTCTTCTTTGTTCTTCTCCAAGATTGCTTTGGATATTCTGGGTCCTTTGCATTTCTATAAGGTTTTTGGAACCAGCTTATCAATTTCTATAACAAAAAAAGAAACTCTGGGATTTTGACAGGGATAATCTTGAATCTGTAGATCAATGTAGGGAGTGTGCAATCTTAACAACATTAAGTCTTCTAATCCATAAACTTGGGATGTTTTTCTATTTATTTAGAACTTTAATTTCTTTTAATTATATCTCATAGTTTTCAGTGTGAGTCTTGAACTTTTATTACATTTATTCTTAAATACTTATTGTTTTTCTTGCTATTTAAATGGGATTGCTCTTTAATATCATTTTGAATTATTTATTGTTAGTGCATAGAAATGCAATTGATTTTTGTATATGAATCATTTATTCTGCCACATTGCTGAACCTCTTTTTTTTGTTCTAAGTTTCCCTTTATTTTGTTCATGGTTATTATTGTTTTTAATTCCATGGAATCTTCTACCTATAAGATCATGTCATCTGTCCTCTGGAAATAGAAATAGTTTTACTTCTTCCTTTCCAATCTGAATGTCTTTGACTTTTTCTCTTGCCTAATTTCCCTGGACTGAATCTTCAATACAATGATTAATAGTGTTATGAGAGTGGACATCCTTGTCTTGTTCCTCATAAGAAGAAAAAAGCAACCAATCTTTCACATTAAGTATGATATTAACAGTGGGTTTTTCATAGATGTCCTTTATCACATTGAGGAGATTCTCTTCAATTCTTAGTTTGTTGAGCTTTCTTTTTATCATAAAGATGTGTCAGATTTTTTTCACATGCTATTTCTACATCTGTTGAGATGATCATGTGGTTTTATAGTTTATTCTATTAATATAGTGTATTGAGTTGGTTGACCCAACCTTGCATTCCTGATATAAATTCCAGGTAGTCATGGTGTATAATCCTTTCTATATGGTGGTAAATTTGCTTTGCTGATATTTTCCTGAAGATTTTTGATTCTAAATTCATAAGGATATTGGTCTGTAGTTTGCTCATAATGTCTTTGTCTAGTTTTAGTATTATAGAATGAATTTTAAAATGTTACTCATCTTCTCTTCCTTGGAAGAACTTAAATATTGCTTAATTCTTCTTTAAATTTTTGGTAACACTCACCTGTGAAGGCATCTGAGTTCAAACTTTCCTTTGTTGAAAGTTTTTAAATTACTAATTTAATGCCTTTTCTTTTTTTTTTTTTTTTTGAGACAGAGTCTCACTGTCGCCCAGGCTGGAGTGCAGTGGCGCGATCTTGGCTCACTGCAAGCTCTGCCTCATGGGTTCATGCCATTCTGCCTCAGCCTCCCAAGTAGCTGGGACTACAGGTGCCTGCCACCACGCCCAGCTAATTTTTTGTATTTTTAGTAGAGACAGGTTTTCACAGTGTTAGCCAGGATGGTCTCGATCTCCTGACCTCGTGATCTGCCTGCTTCGGCCTCCCAAAGTGCTGGGATTACAGGCGTGAGCCACCCCGCCTAGTCAATTTAATCTCTTTTCTTATTATTTAGGTCTATTCAGAGTTTCTGTTTCTTCTTGAGTTAGTTTCAGTTGCTTCCATATTTAAATTATCTAATTTAGCATACATTTGGTCATATTCCCTATTATCTTTTTTATTTCTGTAAGGTCAATAGTGATGACCATCTTTCATTCTCCTTCATAATAATTTAAGTCTTTTTTCTTGATAAGCCTTTCTAGAAGTTTGTCAATTCCTTTTATCATTATTTATTTCTACATCAATTTTCTTTTCTCTATTTTATTTATTTTCATTATATCTTTATTATTTTCTTAAACCTTTGCTTTGGGTTTAGTTTGTTGTTCTGTTTCTAACTTCCTTAGGTGGAAAATTAGATTATTAATTTGTGACCACTCTTTACATTTAAAGTAGATGTTTATAGTTATAGATTCTTCTTTAAGTATTGCTATAACTGTATCCCATGTCTTGTTTTTATTTTTATTTAAAGCATATTCTAGTTTCCCTTGTGATTTCTTCTTTGACCTATTAGTTATTTAAGGGAGTGCTTGTTTAATTTCCACATGTTAGTGGAAATTTTTTTTCTTTTTTAATTTCTAATTTTATTCCATTTTGGCCAAAGAAGATACTTTGTATGCTTTCAGTCTTTGCAAATGTATTGAAACTTGTTTTGTGGCCTACCATATGGTTTGTTTTGGAGAATGTTTCATACGCACTTGAGAAAAATATATATTTTTGCTGTCGTTGCAGGGTGTGTTCTATAGATATCTGTTAGGTCATTTAGTTCATAGTGCTAAGTCTTCTATTTCCTCTTTTATCTTCTACCTGATTCTCCTACCCACTATTAAAAATGGGCTATTGGCATCCCCAGCTGTTATTGATGAATTGCCCATGTCTCCATTCAATTTAATTTAGGGCTCTGTTATTAGGTACACATATGTTTCTAATCACTGCAACTTCCATGGAATGACCCTCTTATTATTATAAAATATCCTTCTGTCTCTAGTATCAATTTTGCCATAAATTTTATTTTGTATGGTATTAATATAGGCACTTCATTTCTGTTTTGGTTACTCCTTACATTGTATGTTTTTTTCTATCCTTTTATTGTTGGCCTGTTTGTGTTTTTTTACTCTGAATTGTGCCTCCTGAAAAGAGCATATAGCATTATTTATCTATTCTGTCCATCTCTGCCTTTCGATTTAGGTGTTAAAATTATTTACATTTCACATGATTACTAATAAAGTAGAATTTAGATCTGCTGCTTTGCTATTTGTTTTCTATATGTTATGGGGTTTTTTGCTTGTTTGTTTCGTTGTTTTCCTGTTCCTTGATTATGATCTTATTTAGTTAAATAAAAATGTTCACTGTAGTCTTTGAACTCTCATGGTTTGTTTGTTAGTTAGCTATTTGTTAGTATATTCTTAGATATTGCCCTAGGGATTATAATTGGCATCTTAATTTATATAAATCTCATTTTAATTAATACCAAATTAGTTGTAATAGTATACAAAAACTGCTTCAAGAAACTGTTCCCTTCCTCTCTTTTTTATTATTATCTCAGAGATTATTTCTTTTTATGTTTATAAGCCCACCAACACAGGTTTTTTTTTTTAAATAATTGTTCTGGGCAGTTATCTTTTTAAACTGATAGGTGAAGAAGAGTTATATACAGAAAAATATTTATATTGTTTTTGGTCACATATATGTAAATAACATTACCAATGTTTTTTATTTCTTCATTTAGATTCAAGTTAATGTTCAGTTTTCTTTCATTTCAACCTGAAGTATTCATTTTAGATTTCTTATAGGGTAGCTCTGATAGTGGCAATTTCAGTTTTTCTTTATCTGGAAATGTTCTAAATTTTCCTTCATTGCTGAAGAAGAATTTAGATGGATGTACATTCTTGCTTGATAGTCATTTCCTTTCAACATTTTGTACACATCACCCTCAAATTTCTAGCCTCCATGTTTTTCATGAGAATCATCTGTTACTTTTATTGATGTTTACTTGTTCATAAGTTGCTTTCTCTTGCTGCTTTTGAAATTTTCTTTTTGTCTTTAACTTTTGTCAGTTTGACTATGATTTGTCTACTGGAGTTCATGAATGTTCAAGATTCTTGAATGTATAGATTAATATTGTTCATTAAATCTGGACATTTTTGGTAACAATTTTTTCAAATATTCTTTCTTCCCCTTTATCTTTCTCATCTTCTAAGGCTCTCGTTGTGTTTTTATTGTTACTCTTGATGATGTCCTGCAGGCTGTGTTCACTTTTCTTCATTCTTTTCTTTTCTTTTCTTTTTTTTGCTATCCAAACTGGATAATCCCTACTGACCTATCTTCAGGTTTATTGATTGTTTTTTTCCTTTTGTTAGCTCAAATCTGTTGTTGAGACTGTCTAGTGAATTTATCATTTCAGTTATAGTAACTTTCAATTCTAGGATTTCTACCACTTTTTAATTATGATTTCTATATCTTTATTGGTATTTGTATTAGGTGAGACTTTATCGTTCTATTTTTGTTTAATTATTTAAATATGATTTTCTTTAATTTTAAAAAATATTTCTAATCACTAATTTGAAGTCTACATCTACTAAAAATATTTTCTGATGGCTACTTTTTCTTTTTTACTGTGTATGTGACACACCTCTTTCTTTGTATGTCTTATAAAAAAATTTTGTTGAAAATTGAGCATTAGTTAATATATGATGACAATTCTGGTGCCACATTCTTCTACTCTGTTCCTCAACATTTGTTGCTGTGGCTGATTTGTTACTGGTTTTTTATTGCTGTGGTTCTTTTTTCTTGTTGAGTATTTATTTTGTGACATTCCTGGCCTAAATCTGCATACCCAGGAGTGCGTAGCCTCTGAATTTGTACCTACTTTTTTTAAAAAAAAACATAAATTCTTGATTTTAGTTTTCAGCCTGGCTTCCTAGAACTCACACCTGGATCAGCACTGTATAATTTAGTGGTCAGCCCAATGATCGCTCCAAAGAGTTTTTTTATAAAATGCTTTGCTTGTATGTCTTTCACCCATTGCCAAAGCTATTTGTGAGAAGGCATGCCTTAAAAGTTCAGGCAATTTACAAGACAGCCTTAGCTTTCACTTTTACTTCAGTGAGGCTTCAAGGTCACCCAGCGGGCATGTTACCTTCTTTCCCTGGTCTTTTCCTGGTCATGCACATAGCCTTACATAAATGCACAGTATTTTATGTCCCCAGGAACATGTTAGAGCTTTTCAGAGTTCCCTAGGGCTGTCTTATTGTCCAGAATTTCCTTTTAAATTCTCATCCTGGCTCTAGTTTACCTCAAATGAGATCACAACTTTAGATAGCTGAGATGTTGACAGCAGTTTGTTCTTATTTAGGTAATGTCCTGGGGGTAGGTCCCCCACCAATTTCCCTGAGCTCAGTTCTGAGTTAAACCATTTAACGCCCCGTTCTGAAAATGCAGACTTCCCAGGAAACTGCAACTTTAGACAAAATCTTGACTGTTTTCTGTGGATAATACATTTAGTAATCCTCCAGATGCTGTCAAATATTTTTTGTTGTCAGCAAAGCTGCCAGATTTTGGTTCCTGTGCCTCTGAGAAGAGTAGCGAGTCCAGATGAGAATAACCCAAGTTAACTGTCACAGGCTTCACTGTCTACCTAGGTTCAGCTGTGACTTCACTGTCTTACCAAGACATAGTAGTCTCTATTGGAAATACAACTTTGAGCCTCATCAATGATTTTGGTTAACTCCCTGAGTCTGAAATGGTTGATTTTAGTTGTGTTGACTTAATTCTTATTATTTTAGAGGGAAGATGAGTTCACCTAGATTCTCACTCCACTGTTCGGGAAGTCAAGACCTCAACCTACTTTTTTAAAGAGAGATATTTTTGATCTACAATATGAATTTGATTTTTAATCACATAGATCGCATAGTTTTCCGAAAAGCTGTGTGATGTGATTTGGGGATTGGGAAATTGGTAAGGCAAGTTCTTGTTAAATATTAAATTATAAAAGACAAGCTGTAGTTTGTCTTTGGACAGGAAAATAGAGGATCTTTCTTTACTTCTTAAGTATTTATTGAGAGCTCAGAATAAGCCTAACAAGGAGAAATTACAAAGATACAATGTCTGGTTTCTTAAGAGCTTGTTATTTTGGTGAGTATAGAAAATCATGGAAGGATGATATGTTAAACATCCAGTTAATTATAACACAAAGAACAACAATCTCAAGGCCATAAGAAAGGTATAAAACATAACTAATTAAAGGACAGTTATAATAAAATAATAATTATTTAAATAAAGATTTCACAAAGTAGAATCCGTGCCATAACAAAGGTAAAGAAAATAATCCTATCAACAAATTTAGATTAAATACAGGAGAGGTATTTTGCCAAAATAATATTTTCAAATTAAGGATAACTTTCTTTTTGATTAGCCACTAAATGTTACCAATATTTGAAATTATATTTAGTTAGGTAGAGTAAGATATCCTGCAGAACAGACTTTTGGAAGAGTCTGGAAAATTATATACACTGGGCAATCGCTGTACATGACTGTTTTACAGCTGCCTCTGCAAGGAAAATTTGTTCTTTCTTCTGGCCACCTCTCATTCTGTCAATGCCTCATAAAATATAGACATGAAACGTAAATATCCCACACCATTATGTGGTGATTCCTCAGAAAATGGAATATGGTGAAATTGTATTTTGGCATTTCTGCCTTGATTCCAAAAGTGGTCCACACTTACAGGCACATCTGCCTTGGCACCATGGACCACATTTCCTTTCTAATCCCTCATCAACAACTAATGACAATTAAAATTTACCATGAAGAAGGCATTTTCCAAAACAGATTGACTTCAAATTAGGCATTAATGTGCATGTAGGTGGTATAAAAATGCAATGATCCAGAAGGCAATTTATATATTTAATGAATTCCAGCATGTATAATGAATTCTATGCATTGGCACACTTTAATGTAAGGTTTTTGAAAAGAAGATATTCAAGAATGTCACATCAAAACTACTGAGCAGCTGTGATGGAATCCTTGAAGACTACTTTAAAGATGATACTAGTACTCCCAGTTCTAACCTCCTGCAGACAATTTAACATACAACTCAAGCGCTATGCATGAAAATCCTTCCCTCTCCTTCTCCAGCCAAACTCATTTGAAAGAATATGGAACTAGCCCAGGATATTTCTTTAGGGGCAAAAGAAAAACATGTGTAACTATTTTTTCATCACCTTAGTCATCTGAGACTCCCACTGAGAATGCTTGTAGGGGGAAAGAGAAAAGAACAATTACTATCTCCAAGGACAAGAAAAGAGCACGTCAAGATGGGTGCCTTCTTTCCAATTCACTCCTGGAGACCTTAGCTTTATGAAAAATGCTGCCAGACATCTATTCCATTAAGGAAATCTAGATGAGGCTGTTTCCATCAATCTCTCCACTGACTTTCTTCTGTAATACATACACATAAACATGCACACACACACACACACACGCACCGACACACTGATTAAACATGACATTTTGTGTATTGGCTATTTTTCCCAAAAACTGTGATGTGGGGATTGGGAAACTAGTATGGCAAGTTCTTGTTAAATATTAAAGTATAAAAGATAAGCTGTGGTTTGTCTTTGGACAGGAAGATAAAGGATCTTTCTTTACTTGTTAAGTATTTGAGAGCCCAGAATGAGTCTGACACAGTGAAATTACAAAGACATAATGTCTGGTTTCCTAAGAGCTTGTTATTTCGGTGGGTATAGAAAATCATGGAAGGATGATCTGTTAAACATCCATTTAATTGTAACACAAAGAACGAATAAGACAGGGAGAGAGTTGTCAGAGTCTTTGTTCTTCTTTTTGCCACAATCTTTCTAAGCTTTGCACCCAGCATCCTCCTGCCAGTAATCTTCC
Organism: Homo sapiens; assembly: GCF_000001405.40. NCBI lineage: Eukaryota > Metazoa > Chordata > Mammalia > Primates > Hominidae > Homo > Homo sapiens. The sequence continues at coordinate 44,734,279 of NC_000010.11, forward strand.
CTGACCACCAGGTGGACACTCCTTGCTTGCAAGGGTGGCTTTACCAGTTAGAGTGAGCTTTTTCACCCTCCTGTTTTGTCTTTGGATAAATAAGGACAAATATTTTGAGTTATCTCTTTGGCCTTAAAATAGGTTCTGTCATTGGCCAGAGAAGCAGGAATTCCCAGTTTATAAATCTCATTGCATATGGGTCAATCAGACAACTTTGTGAACATTGCTCCAGCAATGTCCAGGCAGGCTTTGGGGCTTTAACATGGTGAGAAAGACCTGCCTGAGGTTGGACAACAGGAACCAGAATTGCTCTGGGACTTCCTTTCTGGCCCACGAAAGCCTTGCATATGCAGTCTTCTCTGACTGCTTTGGGTGAAGCTGTAGTCCTTGAGTGTGAGACTCTCCTTACACTCACAGGTTTCTGAGAACCCATCGTAACCATTATGGGATACCACCATAACATATTATATGCCTTGTCTTATATTATTTTTTCATCCACTAGACTATGAGTCCATCAAAAGTAGGGATTTGTCTGTAATTCAGGTTAATACAATAATGAAAGCAATAACAACAGCTTGTATTGAATTCTTACTGTGAATCTGCACTGTGTCAAGTGAACTACACACATTGTTTCTGACATATTGTAATTTCTGAAGATGGTCACAATATATTCCCCCATCTTACATGCACGTTATCAGTGTGCTATCGCCATTAACCCATCAAGGCTGGGATCAATGTCCTTTCTTTTCAATCTGAATTGGCCTTAGTGACAGACTTGCAACCAATTGATTGTGGCAGCATGGATGCTCGTGTCTTCTGAGGCTGGCCCTGAAGATTTATAACTTTGGTCTTGGTCTCCTTAAATATTCCCTGTTGGGGTGCCCCCTCTTAGAATCCAACTCCCATTCAATGGGAAGTCCAAGCCACATGGGGACACCACATGTAGACACTCTAGTGCAGCAGTTCCCAACATTTTGGTACCAGGGACCGGTTTTGTGAACAATTTTTTCATGGATGAGAGGGATGGTTTCAGGATGAAACTGCTCCACCGCAGATCATCAGGCATTAGTTAGATTCTCATAAGGAGTGCACAACCTAGTTCACTTGCATGTGCAGTTCCCTTTGGGTTCCTGCTCCTATGAGAATCTGATGCCGCCACTGATCTGACAGGAGGCAGAGCTCAGGTGGTAACGCTTGTTTACCTGACGCTCACCTCCTGCTGCGCAGCCCGGCTCCTAACAGATTGGTACTGGTTCGTGGCCTGGGGGCTGGGGACCCCAACTGTAGTGGACAGCTGAATCTGAGCCCACCCTCTGAGTAAACCAAGTGTAGGTGCCAGTCCTGTGAGCAAAGATACCTTCAGAATTTTCCAGCCCCAGCCATTTAAGTGTCCCTAGCTGAGGCCCTGTCTGCTGTGCCTTTTCTGAATTCCTGACCCACATCTCTTGGGAGCACTAAAACTGCTGTACATTTTATAACACTAAGCTGGGGTGGGCTTGCTACTCAGCAATAGATAACCAAAACCCTTCCCAGTGCTATGAGGCAGGTACTATTATTATTCCCAACTTATGTGTAAGTATGTCGAGGCTGTTAATGGTTGATAAAAATAATAATGACAAAAGATATTTTTTGATCCCTTCTATGTGTCAGGGACTTTATGTAGATGATCTCATTTAAGGAACATGAAGCTCTGTGAAGTAAGCAATTTTTTAAAATATTGAATTTCTGTGGGTACATAGTAAGTGTATATATTTACAGGGTACATGGGATGTTTTGATACAGGCATGCAGTGTATAATAATCACATGATGGAGAATGAGGTATCCATCCCCTCATACATTTATCCTTCATGTTACAAACAATCCAATTACACTCTTTTACTTATTTTAAATTGTACAATTAAGTTATTATTGACTATATTCACCCTGTTGTGCTATCAGATAGTAGGTCTTATTCATTCTTTCTATTTTTTGTACCTATTAACCATCTCCACCTTCCCCCACCACAGCCCCTCACTACCCTCCCAGCCTCTGGTAACCATCCTTGTAACTCTTTATCTCCATTTGTTCAATTACTTTGATTTTGATTTTTTTGTTTTTGTTTGAGATGGAGTCTCTCTCTGTAGCCCCGGCTGGAGTACAGTGGTGTGATCGCGGCTCACTGCAACTTCCACCTCCCGGGTTCAAGTGATTCTCCTGCGTCAGCCCCCTGAGTAGCTGAAATTACAAGCGCCTCCCACCACCCTGGCTAATTTTTGTATTTTTAATAGAGATGGGGTTTCACCATGTTAGCAAGACTGGTCTTGAACTCCTGACCTCAGGTGATCTGCCCGCCTCGGCCTCCCAAAGTGCTGGGATTATAGGCGTGAGCCACCATGCCTGGCCTATTTTGATTTTTAGATCCCACAAATAAGTGAGAACATGTGATGTTTCTGTGCCTGGCTTATTTCACTTAACATAATGATCTCCAGTTCCATCCAAGTTGTTGCAAATGACAAGCTCTCATTATTTTTATGATTGAATAGTAGTCCACTGTGTATATGCACCATCTTTTCTTTATCCACTTATCTGTTGATGGATACTGAGATTGCTTCCAAATCTTAGCTATTGTGAACAGAGCTTCAACAAACATGGGAGTCCAGATATCTCTTCTGTATACTCATTTCCTTTCTTTTGGATATATTCCCAGTAGTGGGACTGCTGGATCCCTCCAAACTGTTCTCCACAGTGATTGTACTAATTTACATTCCCACCAACAATATACAAGGGTTCCCTTTTCTCCAAATACTCACCAGCATTTGTTATTGCTGTCTTTTTGATAAGCCATTTTAACTGGGGTGAGATGTTATCTCATTGTAGTTTTGATTTGCGTTTCTTTCATGATCAATTATATTGAGCACCTTTTCATAAGCCTGTTTTCCATTTGTATGTCTTCTTCTGGGAAATGTCTATTCAAATATTTTGCCCATTTTTTGATTGGATTATTAGATTTTTTCCTATAGAGTTGTTTGAGCTCCTTATATATTCTGGTTATTAATCCCTTATCAGATGGGTAATTTGCAAATATTTTCTCTCATTCTGTGGGTTGTCTCTTTACTTTGCTGATTGTTTTCTATGCCGTGCAGAAGCTTTTTAACTTGATGTTATCCCATTTGCCCATTTTTGCTTTGGTTGCCTGTGCTCAAGAAATTTTTGCCCAGACCAATGTTCTGGAGATTTTTCTTAATGTTTTCTTGCAGTAGTTCCATAGTTGGAGGTCTTAGGTTTAAGTCCTTAATCTATTTTGATGTGATTTTTGTATATGGCAAGACATAGGGGTCTAGTTTCATTCTTCTGAAGTAAGGAAATTTTAAGTCTCATATTTTACATGTGAGGGAATTGATGCTGAAAGAGATTCTTAACTGACCCAAAAATACACATCTAGCCATGAGAAGGTCAAGATTTGAACCCAAGCATTCCTTTCCAAAGAGTGAGGCATTTAACCATGATACCACAAATATATGCTGTAATTAACTGGATAAATAAAATAGTTGCTGTGTGGTAGAGTTTGAGCAGGAGCACAGGCCTGTCTGACTCTATCACCATATGTGACATGGTGACTGAACTGAAGAGTGATCCCTTAACATATCTGGGCATGAATATCATAAGAAGACAAAGAAAATGGGTGTTTTTATTTGTTTGATTGTTTGTTTGTTTGTTTTTTCCTTATTTTTTGTCATTGCAGATTATATACAAAAAAAATACTTAGCCATATGACCTCATAAAAAAGATAGCATTGTCAGAATATGTCTGATAGCAAATATCTCTGTAGTATTTTAGGGGGCAAAGAGAAATGCTTCCTGTTTATGCATGAATCTTGAAAAAATTAATCAACCTGATACCAAAGGGTAATTTCAAATAATAATTATATCCAACAGGTTAACAGTCTTCTCATTACAAATAACCAAATTTTATGGAGATGAGGAAACAAGTATTATAATTAAGAGCAAGTGTAATCAGTGAAACCGATCAAATTTTGCTTAGACTGACTGACCAAGAGAAAAAGAAAGAAAATGCAAATCACTAAAATCAGAAAAGAAAGTGGTGACACTGCTACTGACTTTACAGAAATAAAAAGGAATTATAAGAGAAGACCAAAACAAATGGACATCAAATTAGGTACCCTAGATAGAAGGCAAATTGCTAGAAACATACAATTACCAAAAGAAACTTGAGAAGAAATAATAATCAAAAATCTCCTAATAAAGAAAAGTCTAGGCTGGGTGCGGTGGCTCACGCCTGTAATCCCAGCACTTTGGGAGGCCGAGGTGGGCGGATCATGAGGTCAGGAGATCAAGACCATCCTGGCTAACACAGTGAAACCCCGTCTCTACTAAAAATACAAAAAATTAGCCAGTCATGGTGGCAGGCGCCTGTAGTCCCAGCTACTCGGGAGGCTGAGGCAGGAGAATGGCATGAACCCGGGACTTGGAGCTTGCATTGAGCCAAGACCGTGCCACTGCACTCCAGCCTGGGCGACAGAGCGAGACTCTGTCTCAAAAAAAAAAAAAAAAAAGAAAAGAAAAAGAAAAGTCTAGAACCAGATGACTTAACGGTGAGTTCTACCAACCACTTAAAGGAGAATTAACACCAGTTTTTCTCAAACTATTCAAAAAAGTTGAAGAGGAGGGAATAACCCTAATTCATTCTGTAAGGCAAAAATTACCCACAAAGCTAAGCAAAGATACCACAAGAAAAGCAAACTATAGACCAAAATACCTTATGAATATAGATGCAGAAATCCTCAACCAAATACTAGCAAACTAAATACAAGAGCATGAAAGGATTATACACCATGACCAAATGGGAATTATCCCAGGAACACAAGGTTGATTAACATTAAAAAATCAATGTACTACAGTACACTAATAGATAAAAACAAACAAGAAAACACGATAGTCTCAACTGACATAGAAAAAGCATTTCACAAAATCCAAAACTTTTTATGATGAGAACATGCATAAAACTAGGAATACAAGGGAACTTCCTTGACAAGATAAAGAGCATTTACGAAAAACCCACAGGTAACAACATACTCAATGGTAAAAGACTGAAAGTTTCCCTGCTAAGACCAAGAATACAACAAGGATGCCTGCTTTCACAGCTGCTTCTCAGCTTTGTACAGAAAGCTCTACCCAGCATGCTTAAGCAAGAAAAAGAAATAAAAAGCATCTATATTGGAAAAGAAGTAACACTTTCTCTACTTGAAGATGGCATGTTTCTATATATAGAAAATCTCAAAGAATCCACAAAAATTTACTAAAGCTAAGAAACAAATTTAGCAAAATTGCAGGTTGCAAGATCAACACACACAAAAATCAGTTGTGTTGATTTCTGTCCACACCAGCAATGGACTATCCAAAAAACAAATTAAGAAAACAATACCATTTGTTATATATCAAAAATAATGAAATTTTTATGAATAAATTTAACAAAAGAGCCCTGAAACTTATAACCTGAAATCTACAAAACATTACTGAAAGAACTTAAAGAAGACTTAAATGGAAAGACCACCCACCACGTTCATGAACTGGAAGATAGTATCTTTAAGATAGCAACACTACCCAAAGTGATCTACAGATTCAGTGCAATTCCCGTTAAAATTTCAATGGCCTTTTTTGGCGGGGTAGAAATGGAAAATTCAATCCTCAAATTCATATAAAATTATAAGAAGCCCCTAGTAGTCAAAACATTGAAAAAGAAGATCAAAGTTGAACAACTCACATGTTTTTACTATAAAACTTACCACAAAACTACAGTAATCTAAGCAGTGTGGTAAAGGCATAAGGCTATACATGTAGACCAATAGATTTAAGAGTTCAAAAATAAATTTATACATCTGTGGTCAATTGATTTTCAACAACAGTACCAAGACCATTGAGGGGAGAGAAAAACAGTCTTTTCAACTAGTGGTGCTAGGACAACTGGATATTTACATGAAAAAGAATGAAGTTGAACCTTTACCTCACATTATACACAAAAATTAATTCCAAATGCATTAAGGACCTAAATGTAAGAGCTAGAACCATAAAACTCTTAGAAGAAACAACAAGGTTAAATGTTTATCACATTAGATTTGACAATAAATTCCTTGATAGGACACCAAAAGCACAAACAACAGAAGAAAAAATAAATCAGACTCTGTCAAAATTGAAAAGATTTAATGACATTGTCAAAAAAGTGAAAAGACAATCTATAGAATGGAAAGAAGATATTTGCAAATCATACTTCTGATAAGAGTTTAGTATCCAGAATATATGAAGAATACTTAGAACTAAATATTAGAGAGATAGCTGGAAAATCTCAAAATACTTGGAGATTAATCAACATACTTCTAAATAACAGTTTAATCAAAGAAAAAATCTCAGGAGAAATTTTAAAATATTTTGAACTAAATGAAAATGAAAATAGAACTTATCAAAATGTGTGAAACACAGCAAAAGCAGTGCTTAGATGGAAATGTATAACATTGAATGCATGCATTAGAAAAGATTTCAATTCATAAATCTAAGATTTCACTTTAGAAAACTTAAAGAAAATAAAATCCAAAGTAAGCATAAGAAAAGTAAATTTAAAGCAGAAATCAATGAAATTGAGAATATGAAATTAACAAAGAAAATCAATGAAAGCAAAGGTTGGTTATTTGAAAAGATCAATAAATTTGATAAATATCTTTCCAGGCCAACTAAGAAAAGAAGAGAAAAGACACAAATTTCTAATATCTGAAATGAAAGAGGGACCATCACTACAGATTCCTCTAGATATTAAAAAGCTAATAAAAGAATACTATGAAAAACTCTATGTCTCAAAGTTTGATAACTTAGATGAAATGGACCAATTCCCTGAAAGGCACAATCTGCAAAACTCATATAAAAAAGAAATAGACACTCTGAATAAGTGTATATACATTAAAGCAATTGAAGCAATAATTAATAATCTTCCAAAAAGGAAAGCACAAGACACAGATGGGTTAAATTCTAGCAAGCATTTAGGGAATAAATTATACCAGCTCTCTGAAATCTCTTCCACAATATGGCAGCAGAGGGAACACTTTCTAATTCATTTTATGAGGTCAACATTGTGCTAATATGAAAACCAAGCAGACATTACAAGAAAGAAGAAAATTGCATAGAACATAATGTAATGTTCATCTTATGAACATGGATGCATAAAAAATCCCCAACTAAACAACAAAAGAACAAAAGACTCGGTTAAAAAGTGGCTAAAGGACTTGAGTAGACATATCTTCAAAGAAGAAAAACAAGTGGCCAAAAAGTAACACAAAGATGTTCACCATCATTAGTCATCAGGGAAATGCATACTGAAAGTATAACATGACACCATTTCATACCCACTAGAATGGCTATCATTTTAAAAGTGAAGAAAAATATTGATGAGGATGTGAAGAAAATGGAACTCTTGTACACTGGTGGTGAGAATGTAAAACATTCAGTTACTATGAAAAGCACTTGGCAATACCTCTAAGTATTAAACCTGGAATTACTATAAGACCCAGCAATTCCACTTTTGGGTATGTGCTCAAAAAGAATTGAAAACATGTACTCAAACAAATAATTGTACGTGAATGTTCATACTAGCACTATACACGATAGTCACAAGTAGAAACAATGAAAACATCCCAAATGTCCATCAACAAATGAATGGATTTTTTAAAATCCTGTAATATGATACATAGATATAAATATGAGTATTATTCTGCTATAAAAAGGAATGAAGTTCTGATATATGCTATGACATGGATCAACTTCAAAAGCTAAACAAAAGAGGCCAGACAAAAAGGTCACATCTTTTATGATTCCATTTATATTAGATGACATATCCAGCCTAGGTAATTCCTCACTGACACAAAGCAGGTTGGTGGTTTCCAACAGCTGGGAAGAGGAGGGAATATGGAGTAACTGCCTCATGGGTCTGGGGTTTCATTTTGGAGTGATGAAAATGTTTTGGAACTAGATAGAGGTGGTGGTTTCACAACATGCAAATGTATTAAATGTCAGTGAGATATTTACTTTAAAATGATTAATTTTATGTTGTGTGAATTTCACTTTAAAAAGAGCAACGTGGCAGTTGCTGTGATTTACAATACCACATGAGTTGCAGGGTTTTCAGCTTCATATACCTGTCAGGACGCAGGTGGGGAAGGAAAGTGGAAACTCCTAACACTACCATCAAACACTGAAACTGACAGCTTGTGGCCAGAATCTGGGAGGAGCTAACTTTAAATACAAGGAGGTTGAGGTTAGACCGAGAAGAAGGATCTGTAGTCCACCGATAACTTACCTCATAAATTAGAGCAGTCCTGCCCCTCTTCAAGAAGGTAATGAAATACTTGTTGGAAAACAGAATCTCTAACAACTTGTAACACTTAAAGGAGCAAAAGAGAATTTTCACTTAAGAAAATGACTATTTTAAGTAAATAAGTTGAGAAACTTTAGAAGATTTTCTTAAAATGCAAAAATAAAATAAAGAATGAAGAACAACAATGAACTGATGACTAAAATGGAGCATAGAAAACAGGTCTAATATAAGAATGATAAGAATTCTCCAGGAACAAAACAAATGAACAATAAAGAATAAAAGAATATAATTGTAATACAAAAATAAAATCAGAAACAAAATCACTGTTATTTTTGCTGAAAAATAGAACTATCTCTTAGACACAATTGAATTGATAAAAAGCAAAATTTTGCATATAAGATTAAATTTAAAATCCCACTTATATCCAGAAATTAAAATAAGTTAATATAAAAGAAACAATAGTAATAATAAAATCCACAGAATCCTCAGATGACTACTCTACAACAGCAAATTGAAGTAAACAATAAAGTTTTAAGTACTGAGCTTAGAGGAGAAAATAATTTGACTCAGGAATGCAATACACAGTCAAGCTGTTTACTCATATATTACAGACCAAAAGGTATTTTCAAATATATATAATTAACAAAGCATACAACTCATGGATTCTTTCTAAAATTCATTGAAAGATGAGTTAAGAGTCAAAATAATGAAACGAAGCCAATTTGAAGTCAGTTAAACCAAAAAAAATTTAAATAACTGAAATTTAAATAACTTAAATTTGAATAAAATCAGCTTTATAAACCTGATTAGTAGTAATCATACTTTCAAAATCATGAACGTAAAAGTGACTACCCAATATGCAAATAGTAATTAATGACAATAATTTGGAGTTAAAGTACTAGATTGTAATAACAAATAGAGTGGGTCATTGGTGTATCACATAGTGGTAAAGACAGAAAGCCTTACAGTCAGATTGACTGGATTAAAGTTATTGAGGTAGGAGATGGGGCTCAATTCCGGAGGTGGGGCTCAGACACTGAACCAAATTGAGGACTAGCTAAGACAGGGAGGGGTTGGATGCAGCTTTCTGTAAGACACACCCACCAGTGTGCTGTGTCAGTTTACCATTGCCACAGCAACATTCAGAAGTTACCACCCCTTTCCATGGCAAAAACCAGAAAACCCAGAAGTTACCACCATTTTCTAGAAATTTCTGCATAGTCCACCCCTTATGTATGTAACAAAAGTGGGTATAAATATGACTGAAGGACTGCCTCTGAGCTGCTGCTCTGGGCACACTGCCCATGGGGTAGCCCTGCTCCACAAGGAGCAGTGCCTCTGCTGCTGCTGTGCACTGCTGCTTCAATAAAAGTTGCTGTCTAATACCACTGGCTTAAGTATTAAAATTAAAGTATTAAAATAATAGATGAATATATTGAACTGATCTTATTTCAGAATGGAAAAAACTTTCTAAATATGAAATAAAAAATTACAACATGAGAAATATAGATGGGATTTGACCAATAAAAACTGAAAATCTGCAAGATTGAAATGCAAATGATATAGCAAAACAAAATGATACATAAAGTGTTATTCTTTTTTTCCAACTTTTATTTTAGGTTCGGGGGTACCTGCGCAGTTTGTCATATGGGTAAATTATGTGTCACGTGGGTTTGGTGTACAGATTATTTGGTCATGCTGGTAATGAGCACAGTTCCCAATAGGTAGTTTTTCGATCCTCACCCTCCTTCCGCCCTCCACCCTCAGGTAGGCGTCCATTATGTTTCTTGTTCCATTCTCATAAAGTGTTACTCTAAACATAGAAAGGGATTAGACAATTTAATGAAATGAGAAATCTCATTAAACAAGTAAGTAAGGAACATGAATAATAGTTATTATCACACACACAGGAAAACTTAGTAAACCAAGCAGTGGAAATTAAAACTGCAACCTGATTCTATTTTCTCAAATCAAATTACCCAGAATTATACATTAAAAGTTAGCCTGGAAGTGTTAATTAATATAACTTTTTCACAATAAAAATTATCATCTATATTATGAGTTTTAAAACCATTCACTTTTTAATACAGTAGCTTTGTTTTTAGTAATTTGTCTTAAGAAAGATTATTATTACAGACATAGATACGTATTTGTAAGGATATTTTTATCATATAATTGATTATAGTGTAAAAGTATCGGCCGGGCGCAGTGACACATGCCTGTAACCCTAACACTTTGGGAGGCTGAGGCGGGCGGATTGCCTGAGCTCAGGAGTTGGAGACCAGCCTGGGCAACATGGTGAAATCCCAAATAATACAAAAAAAAATAGCCGGGGGCAGCAGCGGGTGCACCTGTAGTCCTAGCTATTCCAGAGGCTGAGGCAGGAGAATGGCTTGAACCCAGGAGGCGGAAGTGGCAGTGAGCAGAGATCACGCCATTGCACTCCACCCTGGGCGACAAAGCGAGACTCCGTCTCCAAAAAAAAAGAGGCGTGGGGGCTCACACCTGTAATCCCAGCACTGGCCAACATGGTGAAACTAAGTTTCTACTAAAAATACAAAAATTAGTCGGGCGTGGTGGCAGGTGCCTGTAATCCCAGCTACTCGGGAGGCTGAGACAGGCGAATCGCTTGAACCTGGGAGGTGGAGGTTGCATTGAGCAGAGATCCAACCACTGCACTCCAGCCTGGGCAACTGCAAGTGAGACTCTGTCTCAAAAAACAAAACAAAACAAACAAAAACAAACAGAAATTATCCATTTAAATTTGTCAACAAGGCTAGGCGCGGTGGCTCACGCCTGTAATCCCAGCACTTTGGGAGGCCGAGGCGGGCGGATCACGAGGTCAGGAGATCGAGACCATCCTGGCTAACACAGTGAAACCCCGTCTCCACTAAAAATACAAAAACTTAGGTGTGGTGGCGGGCGCCCGTAGTCCCAGCTACTTGGGAGGCTGAGGCAGGAGAATGGCGTGAACCCGGGAGGCGGAGCTTGCAGTGAGCCGAGATCATGCCACTGCACTCCAGCCTGGATGACGGAGCGAGACTCCGTCTAAAAAAAAAAAATTGTCAATGAAAAGAGTCAAACTCTGTGAGAAGAGATTTATTCTGAGACAGATGAGTGACCAAGGCCTGTGACACAGTTCTCAGGAGGTCCTGAGAACATGTGCCCAAGGTGGTTGGGGTGCAGCTTGGTTTTATACACTTTAGAGAGACATGAGACTTCAATCAAATACAAATATATTTAAGAAATACATTGGTTTGATCCAGAAAGGCAGGAAAACTCAAAGATCAAGGGGGCTGTGGGGTGGGTGCTTCCAGCTTATGGGTAGATTTTAAAATTTTCTGGTTGACAGTTGGTTGAGTTTATCTAAAGCCCTGGGATCAATAGAAAGGAGTGTTTGGGTTAAGATAAGAGGTTGTAGAAACCAAAGTTCTTATTTGCAGATGAAGCCTCCAGGTAGCAGGCTTCAAAGAGAATTGGTTGTTACATGTTTCTTATCAGACTTGAAGTCTGTGTTGATGTTAATGCCAGGGAGGTGTAATGAGGCATGTCTGACTCCCACTTCCCGTCATGGTCTGAAACAGTCTCGCAGGTTAAATTTAAAAGAGCCCTGGCTGAGAAGGAAGTCCATTTAGATGGCTGGGAGTCCTTAGAATTTTATTTTGGTTTAGAAATTTTAAACAGTAGTGGAATAAGTAATGAAATCTATAATAGAATACTTTATGAAACATAATGAAATGTTAAACAGCCCTTAAAGATCATATTCTCAATAAAAACTTAAGTTTAAAAATATAGTAAGGCATAAACTAACATAAAAAATAGGCTGGGTGTGGTGGCTTATGCCTGTGATTCCCAGCACTTTGGGAGGCGGAGGCAGGCACATCACCTGAGGTCAGTAGTTCGAGACCAGCCTGACCAACATAGTGAAACCCCATCTCTACTACAAATACAAAAATTAGCCAGGCGTGGTGTCATACACCTGTAATCCCAGCTACTCGGGAGGCTGAGGCAGGAAAATCGCTTGAACCTGAGAGACGGGGGTTGCAGTGAACCAAGATCATGCCACTGCATTCCAGCCTGGGTGACAGAAGGAGACCCTGTCTCAAAAGAAAAAAAAAAAAAAAGCATAAAAAATAGCACCAACAAAATGTATGAAGTCAATATAGTTTCCTGGATAATATTATCACAAATTTTTATATCCCTTACTTTTTTCTGCATTTTACGAAACAAGAATATATCAATTTAAGGAACAGAACCACAAAGCACATAAGAAAAAGGAGACAGAAGCATGTTTTGAGATGAACCATCTACTATTTACCAAAGAGTTAATTTAAGCATGAATATGTTCCCAAAACTGTAATAAAATACATATTATATACACAAATTATGATTCTGGTGTTAACTATTTACTTCCTTAAAACATTAACAAAGCACTGAGCTAAAGAGGCCCCAGGGAGTATCTGAATTCCAGTCTGGTTCCAGGTCCCCCTCTTCTTATGCATCAATTCTCTTTCTGATTACAACCCACCCAGTGCACAAAGAATCATGAACTGATCTCTTCTTTAAATCAGAGCTGTACAACCAATTAAGAAAGCTTCAGACTGCTACTGCGCAAACCCTCCATTCTCAAAATAAATACTGCATTTCTCAACCATAAATATATATGGGAAGAAAAGTATCCTTTAATATCCAACAGCAGAATTTTTCCCAGGGACAGATTGTGTTACTGAGGAATACACTTTAGTGGATGTGTTTTGAGAGGTAAGCATTTGACAAAGAAACAAGCAGTGATTGCCTACGGTGGGGAAGCACATTAAATCCCTGGATGGCTGCATCTGAATATGGTTGCAGGCAGAGAGTTTAGACAGATTGGTCCATGTAATGAACAAGGCTCTTTGGAGCCAAAAGCAACCAACAAGGGACACAGATAAGGAGGTCTTGGAGACCAAGCACAGTATTTAGAGTATCAGTATAGTGGGCAGCAGAGCCTAGGAGACCACTCAAAACTTCTCAGAGAAAAATGTCTGCAGGACTGCTAATAACAGGGAAGTCTAGTGTTCAAGTTTCCATTGCTCAATGTGCTTTTGTCTGCTGTAATCTTTACTATCGCCCCTCCTTTGGTAAAGTCACTTCACATACAGCCTGGATGTGGTGGCACTGGGGAAATAAAAGTATTTTATTGGTGCAGGATTTTTCTCAGCCCCTTCATTGGATTCGCAACAGGGTGCCCCATTTACTCAGCCCACCGCACTTAACCACTTGCAGGAGGAAGCATGTAAAGCGAGTGAGTGCAAGATCCAGCCAGCTGCTCCAGGCACCAGTGGAAACAAGCTCCATGCAGGGCCCACGGCCGCACCCAGGTGGGGGTGCCTGTGACCCCAAAGCCCCAGAGAGAGTGTTGCAGTGCTCTCTTAGCTCCTCCATCTGCAGATGGCTGTGTGTTAACAGCTTAGTTGGCCCGTTGCCTCATTGCACCAGGGGGCTTCCCTCTGCCAGTGAGAGCAAAGGGCCGATGTGACAGCCTTTTGTGTACCCGCCCTCAGTGGGTCCTGAGCTCTTGTCCAGCATCCAAGAAGAATGAGGTCATGCAGACACCTGAAGGATGGTGAAGGTAGATAATTTTATTAAATGATGGAAATGGCTTTCAGCAAAGAGGGGAGCTGGAAAGGGGATGGGAAGGGCAGATTGTCTTCCCCAAAGTCAGGTCTCTTCTCCCTGAAGTCCGACTGTCTTTTCCCTGAAGTAAAGCCATCTCTCTTCCCCAAAGTGAGGCCATCTCTCCTCTCTATCTACTGAGTCTGGGGTCTTTATAGGCACAGGATGGGGGCAGGGTGGGCTGTAGGTAGTTTTGGAAAAGGCAACATTTGACTGGTAAAAAGACATTATTCAGAAAGAACCAATCAGGAGAGAGCAGGCAAACAAAAATAGAAGTTCTCACTTTGGGCTATGGGTTTCAGGCTACTTTTGCTTGAAGATGGGGTTTCACTGGGGACCCACCCATGTCTGCCTAGAATTCCTTTGCCTCCTGCCTCTATGAACATGATGTGAGAAAAGGAGAACAGAGGCTGGAACTCAGGGCCAGTTGTGAGAGAGGAGGTAGAGTAGCCCTGAATACCTTGAGATGTTGAAATAGACATAAATGGTGTGTGGGAGCCCAGGGTGAGTGAGTTTTACTTAAGAATGGAGAGTGGGGTTACTTTGGTAGCTGAAAAACTTGGTTTTGCCCAGTAGCTAGTATCTGGGTTGTCTTCCCAGATATAGTTTTTTTTTTTTATTAAATTATGTTCACTCACTCAGGAGATATATGTTTTAAGAACACGACTACAAAACCCATGAAGCCACCACTTAGGTTAAGAAATAGAACATTATGAGTACCTTAGAAGCCCCCAGTGTGCCAGTGGTATCCCTTTTCCCAACAAGGCATAAGCACTATCTTGACTTGTGTATTAATCATTTCTTCACTTTTCTGTATTGTATCTTTAAATAACATATTATCCAGGTGTGAAAACTGAGTAGCAACCTCTGGCCAGCTATTTAAGGACACATGGCCCCCAGCAGCTGAAGGCTCTTAGGAAGAGCTAAGATGAACAGTTTCCACTCAGTGAATGACTGCTCTTCCCCTAAGCATTCACTGGAATGCCTCTCGGGACAGACTCCTCCGGCTATGGTCATGGACCGCGTCCTTGACCATCTGAGAGAAGTGCAATAGTCGGAAATGCAGGAGCCACAGCTCTTCTGATTGTAAATGCGCTGAGAGGACATTCCACAAAACTGTCCAAGTGGGGCCAGCCTTTAATCCAGGCTGAGGTCCTAGGAACCGAGGCTGAGGCTGGGCTACTGTTCACTGTGGATGTGAGGCCAAGGAAGCCACAAGAGAGAACGGGGATCTGGAAAGGAAAGAGGCTGCCTGAAAGGAAGTGGCTCCACAGGAGACCTCAAGGCAGGGTGGCACAGGGCAGGGTTCCACAGCAGCTAACGGAACAAGTGTGGCAACATGGACATGTAAGCACATGATTTACTACTTAGACTGACTGAGCAGAGTCCACAGAATGGAATGTCCAGGCACCTTTAAACAAAACTGGAGGCCCCTGCCTGCTCTCCTTCCCATCCAAGATGGTCGGTGTGGTCTTACTACTCACCTTGTTTCCTAGGCCCGTATTTAGTTCCCTCCAAAATGTCATAATAGTAAATGGGCTAATGTGTTGCCTTTCCATGATATTTTATGGCAATAGGTGGAGTTAAGCTGACTTATCTGCTTCACGTTTTTGCTTCACAGCAGAGGTCTCTTCATTTGATTCTCTTTTATGTGTCTACTTCTTTATAAATACTGTGAAATGTGAGACCTATATTTTTATAGTACTTTTTCTCTATATGCAATGCAATTCTTGAAATATTTGGATTATTAACAAATTTTTAATTGTTTTCTAATAACTGTATTTGTGCTTTCTTTCCCCCAATTTTTCTGCTTTCTCTGGTTTTAATTGGCCATTTTATATAATTCCATTTTATATCCTCTCAGTGTGTGAATTATAATTCTATTTTTTATTTTATAGTAATTGCCATAGGTTTTCCAATATTCATCTATATCTAATCTAAGTTTACCTTCAGATCACACTATAGAGCTTCATATGCAGTGCAAGTACCAGAATATTTCTAATTTCTCCCTCCCACAAGTTATCACATTACTGCCATTCATTGGTCACTGCCAAGGGCTGGAGGGAGGGGTGACAGCTAATGGATATGGGGTATCTAAATATTTTGTAATTATTAATAGATAGTGGTAATTTGTTAATATCCAAATATTTCAAGAATCACATTGCATATAGATAAAAAAGTAATATAAAAATATAGGTCTCACATTTTACAGTATTTTAGAAACAAGTCAATAACCTGGTTTCATGTGAATACACAAAAAACCTCTGAATCACACACTTTAAATGGTTAAATTTTGTAGTGAATTATATCTCAATAAAGGTATTATTAACAAAAGCTCACATATTGTATGATCCTGTGTATATAATATTTTGAAATGACATTATAGAAATGGAAAACAAATGAGTGGTTCCCAGGTATTATGAATGGGGGGAGGGAAAGGGGACACAGGTGGGTGTGGTTATAAAAGGGCCACAAGGTGATCTTCGTGGTGCCAGAGATGTCCAGGAGTTTCTGTGACAGTGGATACATGTGATTACAAATGTAATAAAATTAGATACAACTAAGTACATCCACAAATGAGCACAAGGAAAACTGGAGACATTTGAATAAAATCAGTGGGTCGTATCAATGTCAATAACCTGATTGTGACATTATACTATAATTTTGCAAGTGGTCACCACTGGGGGAAACTGTGGGGGTACATGGGATCTCTCTGTTATTTCTAACAACTGAGTGTGAATTTACAATTATCTTAAAATAAAATTTTAATTTAAAAAAGGTATAAATCAACCAAGATGTCCTAGGTGAATAGATAAATATGCTGTGGTACGTTTATATGATGGGCTATTATTGAGGACTAAAAAGAAATGAGCTATCCAGCCACAAAAGACATGGAAGAAGTGTAAAGGCATATTATGAAGTGAAAGTAGACAATCTGAAAAGGCTTCATACACTATGATTCCAACTATCTGACATTCTGGAAAAGGCAAAACCATAGAGGCACTAAAAAGATCAGGTACTGCCAGGGCTGGGCAGACAAAAGGATGACTAGGTAGAGCATATGGGATTTAGGGAAATAAAACTATCCTGGTATATTCATACTATAGTGGTAGATAAATCACATTCTGTGTTGTTAAAACCCATAGAATGTACACCAGTGAAGTCTAATGGACTCTGGGTGACAATGGTGCATTGATGTTGGTTCACCAATTGTCATGAGTGAGCCCTCTGGAAGAGAATGCTGATGGTGAGGGAGGCTGGAGGGTTGCCGGGGGTAATGTGTGTGGGAACTCTCTGTACTTGCCAGTCAACTTTGCTGTGAAGCTAAAACTACTCTAAAAAATAAATGCTATTAATTTTTTTAAGCAAAGAGTGAAAAGCAGTCCACCCAGTTTCTTTTTCTTTCTTTCTTTCTTTCTTTCTTTCTTTCTTTCTTTCTTTCTTTCTTTCTTTCTTTCTCTCTCTCTCTCTTTCTTTCTTTCATGAACACTACCATAGTGGAAGCTACCTTACTCATGCTTGAGTCAACCTGCTGAATTGATTAATGTTTCCCATTCTCTCTTCAAATATATTGAACAACGTATACGGCAATGCAGAAAACTTGGGACTAGAAAACCATTCATTAGCATGTGTACAAATTTCTGCACCTTCCAGAAGAGTTTGCCTCAATTATATGTTATTATGTGATAATCAAGTATTATTAAATTGATATACCAGTATGAAAAGAGAGCTGTTGAATATAATGAAATTAAGCTGGATATTTTGGAAGAACTCTATACAGCCAAGTTTTAAGGAAATTCTTCTCAAATTGGGAATGAGAGAAACAACAGCAAAGTATTGAAAAAAGTTTATTTCAAAAACTTCAGCAAAATTCTGTACCTACATTGCTTTGCAAGAGTTCTGCTTTAAATAATTGCACATTATTATAGGTATGGTTTATGCAAGAAAGATGATGCAGCACAACTTGGTCTCATTTACCTGTCTGAAGTTGAAAGAAAATGGTTATGGTTAACATGTTAAACTTTATAATTTCAGCATTACCTCTGTATTCTGATGAGACAGCCCTAGTCATGATAACTGTGAGAATTTGTGCTTGACATTTTCTACATGGTTCAGGTACATGGGGGTCTAATTGTGCTGAAATGCAGATGTGCCATACCCACAGATGATGCCTTTAGAACTCTGTCAACCTGTGTCGAACCCTTCTGAGGAGAATCTGAACAATGTCATCTGAACCTTGGGTAATTCGCAGTCTATAAATTCCAGACCATTTTCAATGTAGGGCCCTCATTACAAGACAGGGCATCAGGCCTCAAAAACATCTGTGAGTCAGGTCCTGTGGGCTTTGCCACTGTCTCCAGCACACAATTCAAAGATGAGATGATATATGCCTATGTAGACACAGAAGGGGCAGTCATGGAGGGACAAGAAAGGCTTTTTTCATGGCTTTGTAACACTATTGAAGTTTTTTTTTAACAAAATCTACCTACAGGTTTCAGAGCCATGGAAACATGATCCATGGTTCCTTTCGATGTTCTTTTCATTGTGCTTTCCAAGGACTATTGACATTTCATCCATAACAGCAGGGTATGTTTTTAATGGGTTGGTAGAAAACATACTTATCCAAATATAGGCCTCGTGGTATATTTGTCATGCAACTTGGCCTTGCAGTTGGAGTTGAAAGCTGCTGCTGTCAAAGGAAATATTTGGGTGACTCAGCCAAGAAAGCAGTTTATTGGTTTTGGCAGCAGACAATAGGTGAATATTTCATGGAGGAGAGAGGTTTTAATAGTTGTTTATACAATCTGCCCAGCCATGGCCAAGGTTGTTTAGATTGGTGAATTGAACAATATTTCATTCCTCATGAGCCTGCTGACTTCTGTTGATGGGTTGATGATGCCACTATTTGCTTTACATGATTGGGGTAAATTTCTCACTTCACCAATATAGTCTCCAGCTCCCTGGAGGAGCAACATCTAGGGTTTGGGGCATCTGTGCTAGACAAGCTCCTTTAGTCCTCTGCCAATTTGGCAGGAGCCTACAGAAAATTCCTGCTGCACCTTTTTAATGATTGTGGAAGTCTACATAGCTCAGTGACTCTGGTTAGAGTGCATTTTATCACAAGAGCTTGCCTGTGTGTGTGAGTAGATTACAGCATGTCGGCTACCCACTTTCCCAGGGAGGCTGGATGCACTGGATATGCACAGTAAGGACACCCTGGTCTACGGTGCTGGGAAGGTCAGATAAATTGGTATGACATGTCAGAAGCCATAGCATTTACAATTATAGTATGCAAAACATGCTCACACACACACAGACACAGAAATGAGTCAATGGGTCTGAGAAGCCATGGGGTATATTTTAAAGGGCATTTCCTTAAAACACAGACGGTCAGGATTCTACTATCAATATTTACCACCTTTGTGACTTTGAGTAGCTCCCTGTGTAGGAAGGAACCTCAGTTTCCAGCGTATGTTAGGGGGTTTGGAGAGTTGGCTTTTAAGCCATCATCCAGATTTGACATTCTATGATGAAAAGAAAAACTCTGAAGCAAAGTGCTTTGATCATAGGACTAAGAAGAGTAAGATTTAGATGGAGAAGACTTTAGTGAAATATCAGAGGACAACAGGCATTTGTGTTCTACAGAATGAGCATAGGCTGAGGAGAAGGAACCAGCCCCACCTTTGCTGGCCATATGGCCAAGTGCAGGTCTGGGTCAATGAAACCAGAACAACAATGCCTGCCTCACCTGGACACAGGGGACTGGTGGAGCTCGAGTGAAGACACACTCTGTAGAGGAGAAAACACTGTACATATGTGAGAGGAATGTATCTGCGTATTTGCAGCACTAAAATGGCTTGCCCAGTGCAGTCCATGGTGATTCATGTACCTTTTACCATCTTTTTTAAAATTATTATTATACATTAAGTTCTGGGATTCATGTGCAGAACGTGCAGATTTGTTACATAGGTATACATATGCCATTGTGGTTTGCTGCACCCATCAACCCGTCATCTAGGTTTTAAGCCCTGCATGCATTAGGTATCTGTCTTAATGCTCTCCCTCCCCTTGCCCCCCACCCCCTGACAGGTCCCAGTCTGTGATGTTCCCCTCCCTGTGTCCATGTGTTCTTATTGTTCAACTCCCACTTATGAGTGAGAACATGCGGTGTTTGCTTTTCTGTTCCTGTGTTAGTTTGCTGAGAATAATAGTTTTCAGCTTCATCTACGTCCCTGCAAAAGACATGAATTCATTCTTTTTTATGGCTGCATAGTATTCCATGGTGTATATGTACCAAATTTACAAGAAAAAAACAAACAACCCCATCAAAAAGTGGGCAAAGGATATGAACAGACACTTCTCAAAAGAAGACATTTATGCAGCCAATAAACATATGAAAAAAAGCTCATCATCACTGGTCATTAGAGATATGCAAATCAAAACCACAATGAGATACAATCTCACACCAATTACTATGGCAATCATTAAAAAGTCAGGAAACAACAGATGCTGGAGAGGATGTGGAGAAATAGGAACCCTTTTACACTGTTGGTGGGAGTGTAAATTAGTTCAACCATTGTGGAAGACAGTGTGCGATTCCTCAAGGATCTAGAACCAGAAATACTATTTGACCCAGCAATCCTATTACTGGGTATATACCCAAAGAATTATAAATCATTCTGCTATGAAGACACATGCACATGTATGTTTATTGCAGCACTATTTACAATAGTGAAGACTTGGAACCAACCCAAATGCCCATCAATGATACACTGGATAAAGAAAATTTGGCACATATACCATCTTTTTCTTTTTATTTCTTTGAAACAGAGTCTCGCTCTATTGCCCAGGCCGGAGGGCAGTGGCCCAATCTTGGCTCACTGCAACCTCCACCTCCTGGGTTCAAGCAATTCTCCCACCTCAGCCCTCCTGAGTAGCTGGGATTATAGGTGCACGCCACCACCAAGCCTGGCTAATTTTTGTAGTTTTAGTAGAAACAGGGTTTCACCACGTTGGCCAGGCTGATCTCAAATTCCTGACCTCAGGTGATATGCCTGCCTTGGCCTCTGACAGTACTGGGACTACAGGTGTGAGCCACTGCACCTGACCCTATTACCATCTTTATTGGGGGTCATTATATGGAATACTGGCACTTCTAATAATAATAATCTAATTATCTTCTAGGAACGATTTTCTAATAATAATTCTCTTCCTGTAATACTGGTACTTCTAATAGCTCCATTTATTGTTGCCTGACATGTGCTAAGCACCTGCCAAGCATTAAAGTTCATTATTTCATTTAATCCTCACAAGCCAACAAAGAATGTATCATCTACCGCATTTTGCATTTGAGGAAATGAAGACTTAGGAAGGCTAAGATACTTATGTAAGGTTTTTCCCCTAACT
This sequence comes from Homo sapiens, assembly GCF_000001405.40. Lineage (NCBI taxonomy): Eukaryota > Metazoa > Chordata > Mammalia > Primates > Hominidae > Homo > Homo sapiens. The sequence goes on from NC_000010.11 coordinate 44,755,688, forward strand.
GGACTCAGCAGCTTAACTCCCACATGGGTCTTTACGAAGCTCATGAAGCTGAACATATTCTCCGTATTGAAAAGAGTGACTCCAGAGTAAGAAAAGCATTCATACTCTTGGATTAGGCTCCTTTTCATTGCTTCCCATATCATTTTAATAGCGGATCCCATTTTCTCAGGACCCCACAGTTATTGAAGTTTTGTGAAGAACTGCTACGAGGCCGTCTCTCCCTCACCTTCCCTTCTCCTCTATCTCCCCAACTCTTCCCATCCTCCCTCACCTCCCGTCTCCTCCCATCCCCCCTCACCTCCCCACTGCCCCCAATCTCTCCTCTCACCTCCCATCTCCCCCTCGGCCCCCGTCTCCCGAGACACCTCTGGCAATGGTGCGTGGGCTGTGGACAGGTGGTGCAGGGCAGGGGAGCCCTGAATTAGTTTGACTCTCATTTGCTCTCCAGAGCAACCCTGTGACATGAGCAGGGTACAATTTTTAATCCTATTTTTAGGAATGGAAAATTGGAATTCAGAGAGTTTTCTTTTGATATCTCATTTCTCCCTCCTGAACGGAGTCAGCTCCCGCCAATTTTTGTTCTGTGGGAAACAGCTTTGTCTTGCGGGTGTGGAAGAATAAGTCATCCAATGGTCCCCGCTGACTCACCCACTGCGCCCACTGCAGTCACTCCCAGGGACCCTTTAGAGGGGGAAAATGCAATTTTGTAATGAGCCAGATTAATTTAGTGATTTCCATTATTCATTTTCAGTTTAGATTAGTCATTCCCATTATTCATTTTCAAAACATCCTAGAGCTCTGGACTTTTCCTGAACTTACAGTGTAAATTTCAGCTCTGAAGACAGTTGTCTAAGTGGTCAAGATAGGAGGAAGTCAATCCTTCTCTGTCTCAAGCACTGGCTTGCCCTGTAAGTACCTGCCTACGAAGGGTCGCCTGGCTGCACCCTTGCTCACCTGAGTGACTTGGCTCCCTGTGTAGGCACCCCCTGTACACACTCTATGACACTGCCATGTGCCATACACACACACACACATACATGTGTTTGGAAGACTACTTGACCATGAGTTCAACAATATTTTCAATCATAATCATGTTTTTTGTATATGTGCATGCATGTGTATGTGTGGGGTGTGTGTGTGTGTATATATATATGTGTGTGTATGTGTGTGTGTATTACAACCATGGCACCCTTGCATACATCCACATAAGCCACACACACAGGTAAGGTTTGAACTGCTGAACTAAGTCTTGGCAGAACACCTTGTCATCTCCCTATCTCCCCTGTGTCTCTTCTCACTTCGCCATCTCTCCCATCCCCTTCTCACCTCCCCATTTCTCCCATCCCCCTCTCACCTCCCCATCTCCCCAATCCCACTCACCTCCCATCTCCCTATCCCCTCCATCCCCATCTCTCCCATCCCCTTCTCACCTCCTCATCTCCCCCCATTCCCTCTCACCTCCCATCTCTCCCATCCCCTCTAACCTCCATCTTTCCCGTTTCTCCTCTCACCCTCATCTCTCCCGTCCCCCCTCAACTCCCATCTCTCCCATCCCCCTCTCACCTCCATCTCCCCCATTTCTCCTCTCACCCCCATGTCCCCCATCCTCCTTTCACCCCCATCTCCCCCACCCCCCGTCACCTCCATCTCTCCCATCCCCCTCTCACTCCCATTTCCCCATCCCCTCTCACCTCCCATCTCTCCCATCCCCTCAACTCCATCTCTCCCATCTCCCCTAAGCTCCATCTTTCCCGTTTCTCCTCTCACCCCCCATCTCTCCCAACCCCCTCTCACCTCCATCTCCCCCATCCCCCTCTCACCTCCATCTCCCCCATCCCCCTCTCACCTCCTTCTCCTCCTGTCTCTCCTCTCACCTCCACATCTCCCCTCCCCATCTCCCCTCATCCCCCTCTCACCTTCCTGTCTTCCCTGGAGGCTGCCATGAGACTGTTTCTTGTCCTCTCCCTAGTTCTGATGAAGTGGGAGGCCTTAGCCCCCACCCCCTCAGGGCACAGCTGCAGCCTGGAAGCCCTCAGCTGTAGTCTGGGCCTGGCTCCTCAGCCAAGGAATCTGGTCATTCAGGCTGCTGTCATCTGATCACTTCTGTCTCAGTGTCTCCTGGGTTAGGCACAAGGAACTGACACCTTTGGCTGCTCTTCCTTCTGCTGTTCATGCGAGTAATGAGCAGTCTTTACCTGAAAACAATTCCTTGTCCTTAGGGGTTAAATCTGCCAGGCCTTGGTCCTGGCCTTTGCCTGGTGCTTGTCAATGTGTATGTGCATGTGTGTGTATGTGTGTGTGGGTGTGTGTGCATGTGTATACGTGTGTGTGCATGTGTATATATGTGTGTATGTGTGTGTGCATATGTATATGTGTGTGTACGTGTGTGTGTGTGTGTATGTTTTAAACAAAAAAGAGACAGTCTCACACCCCATCCCGTCCCCCTGCCCAGTCCTTTTTCTTAAGGCTGTCGTCTTTAGCTTTTTCTGTGCTTAGTGTATCTCTTCATAAATCTAAGAACATGAAAATATTTCCATGCCTCGTTCCCCAGCTCCAGGCCAGTGCCTACGAGGTGTGTGAGGACTCAGCTCCCTGAACACAGCACTCCTGACTCTCCCGGCGCAAGCCTTTTCCAAAATGTCACAGCTTATTTATCAGCCACTTACGTAGTGCTCACGATTGCAAGCCCTATCTGAGAACTTTACAAATGTTAACTCATTTCATCTTCGTAACAACCTCGAGGTAGATGCTATTGCTAATTATCCTTTATAGATGAGGAGGAAAAGCAACAGAGAGCTTAATTAAGTTGCTCAAGGCAATGAAGCAAGTAGGTGCCAGGGCTGGGATTTGAACCCACGCTGGCTGGCACCAGAGTATGGGCTTGGAACCACTCACCTACAGATGATCTCTTCCTTGTTCTATGGTTTTATTCGTTAATTTAAAGGACATATGGCTACCTCCACTCCTTGTATTTTCATTAGGTTTCCCTCATGAAAGATGAAAATATTTCTCTCTCTCATTTCTACCTTTTGCCTTCTGTCAGTTTTACTTTTTGTTGTGGTTTTAACAATCTTAGTCTGTTTTGCAATCATAATTATGTCTTCCATACTTTCTCTATGGTTGGATTCAAAATTTTAAAAGTTAAGTAATAATATTAACATTGTTATGACTGAAAATATTGTACATTTCATGGTAAAGTAGTCTGCCAGAATTATATCTCTGTATGGGTGCATGATATAATCCCTGGATGACAAATGTTCATAGTGTTCAGATAAAATATATTGTTTTCTCATTCTGCATCAATTGCTTAAAATAAGGTGTTGCTTTTATTTGGGCCACTGTTTTCAGCACTTTCTTGGAGTTTTAATTGCCTTTCTTGTTGCTATTGTCAAAAAAAAATACTGTGCCTTCAATACATCCTCGAGTTCCTCCAAAACCTCAATATAACAGCAATGGCATGAAATGCTGTTTTTCCCCCCGAGATTTCCTTCTTGGAGTCTTCTGATTCGCTGCTACAATCTCAAAGGTTGTTCTCTTGATAAGCTGCAGAGCTGTCATCCTCAGATTTACTTACAGCCTCTCTGGGTTTGACTTCCTGTTTTCAGGATCTCGTTTCTTTTTATGTTTCTGGCTACTTACTTTCTTGGAGTATCCTCCAGTGGCGCTGGCCACCAAGGGTGTCTTCAGTCCTCTCAGTATGGAGCTGCGGTTCAGATGCCTCCTCTGGATCCCCTGTTGCTCTGCACAATTGACAGTATTTACTTTTTTCCTCCAATGAGTTGCTCTTCCACCTTTATCAGAAGTCAGCTGGGCATATTTGTGTGAGTCTATTTCTGAATTCTCTATTCTGTTCCATTTGTCTATTTCAGAGTGCGTCCTCACTCACAGTCTCCATCAGTCCTTCATGTTAGGCTGAAATCAGTGCTGTGATTTCAATTGCACAGACATAGACAGCAAGGCTGAAAGGGCTTCAGTGACGTGCACTTCACCACACGGCCAGTCTTGACACACAGCAAGTCAACAGGGCATATTTTGTTCCTCATTCCCATGCTCATCCCATGTTCATTCTGCAGCATGCAAATGTCAGTTGTCCTCTGATATTTCAATAACTCTTTCTTTAATAATGAACACACAATGTTAACAGCTAGAACAGAAGATACAAGGAGACAGGATAACATCCCACAGTCAACTTTGAATGCTGAACTGTGCATAATTGCAGATAGCATTTGCTACAGAGAGTTTGAACAGCAGCAGACACAAAATTCTCATTCTAATTGCTGGTGTGCATAGACCCAAAGCACATTCTGATATTTTGACCAATTCGGAGACATCGGCATGCTCATTTTAATGAAACTGGTGTCTAGAATTCTGTTGCTATAAGTGGGCAATAAGTGGTATGGAGGGACAAGACAAAGTGCTCAGCCCAACATCCTTTCCCAGCTTCCATAGAGAAGCCCTAGAAGCCAAGGGCTCCAGCAAGCATGGGAGTGCCATGCAAGTCAGCTCTTTCAGCAGTGATCAATACTGACGACGCAGGCAGCTGGAAGGAAGAGCTCCTCTGGCTGAGGTTTATTTTCTTCTGTTATCTCCCTTGGTAAAGTCTAAAAACAAAACACAGGCTAGTTTCACTGTAGGGAAGAAGAGAGAATACATGAGAGTATTTTCCTTTTAATCACTCAATTTCAGTGGCAGTTGGCGCAAATTATACTTTTCCTTTGATTAATGTTATTTTCCATTTGGAAGGATTGGCTTAACTTTGTCCTCTTGATTAAATAGAAGATGTGAAGTTTGAACAATTTCTTAAATAGCTTTGAAATTGTGTTATAAATAGATACAGAATCTAAAACCAAGAAACTTATTGTTAAGAAACCCTCTGTTTTACCTGAATTATAAATGGAAAAGCAAATAGTGACATACAGATTGTTTTAATCTAGACATTAGCCAGTGTTCTCTGGTTTACTTATACTTTTAAGTTTCTCAAAGCAAGACATGTAAAACAAATGTGAATCATATATTATGCATTCTAACCATGGAATGTTTTTATATTTGTGCATAATAGAAGCTTTATGTGTGTATTTTTTGCAGTCTGGAAAGTTTTAATATATTAACCATTTGATACTAGTTCAGTTAAAAACGATGTATGTATTACAATTCAGAAATTTCTGCAAGATTCCTTCTTGAATTACCTGACAGTCCCTAATTCACACCTTGAGGCCAGATGATTCTAAGCTGGGCAGGGTGGTGAATCCATCCCACAGCCAAACCATGAAGCGTAGCTCAGTACCATTAATGAACCCTATACCTCAATGTCTCATGCCACTATGAAATTCTCTGCAAGTCCAATTTTATGATCAGAGATATATCCCAGATTTTTGCTTTTGAAGTAAACTTCCTTATAGATTTACAGAGAACACTGCCAAGAAACTGAGTTCTAATGCATTGTCATCCTTAGGGGCCAGCCTTGCTTTGGGAAATGTCTACTAAAGGATGCGCTTAGAGGAATTCAGACATCTTTAGATCTCTGGATCCCATCCAAGTTGCACACGGGCCCATTTGGCACTGGTCTGCTCCGGCTTTCCCACAGGGCTCTGGAAGTGCTCCAGGAGCTCATTTAGGCTCTACCTCGACACAAGAGTTTGCACCAGAAAGGAATCACGAAAGAGACCAGCCTCAGGCACCAGAGTTGCAGAAGAGAGCTAGAGAAGATGGACAGGGATGAGTATGTCTGCCCTGGAGTTTGACCCAGCCACTTGGGAAGCACACTGGGGCAGGGAGCCTCAGTTCTTGACCACAAGGAGGGAAGGGCCAGGCATTCAGCAGGGGCTCCCAGGTGTGGGTGTTTAGGGTCTGCTGAACACCTAGCTTCCAGAGCACTCCGTAAACTGATCAGGATTGCCACAGAAAACAAGAAACATAATGTGTGTTCATCTATGTGCACACACACAAAAGAAATGCATAGAAAGAGGTGATTTCTCTCAACAGCCAGTGAGGGAACAGATAGAAGGAAACCTGAATTGTAATTCCCTGACACCAATTTATGGTGCATAACCCTTTGCAAGTCTCTGATATCCTCTGTGCCTCAGTTTCCTCATCTGTGCAGTGAGGTTATGGATGAGGAAGTACCTTAAGTCTCATCTAGATCTTCCATTTATCTGGACTTAAGAACACTGGGAGGAAGTCACACTTCTGACTGCCATGCCAGTTACAAAGCATTGGTGACTAATATATCATTGGAAGTAGAAATAAGTGGTAGGGATATGTATCCAAAACATACATGCACTTTCCTTTTAAGGAAGGTAAATTGTGACTCTCAAGCCTTTTCTGCCCCTAGACTACAAGCCTTCCTTCACAGAACATTAGCACCTGCAAAATGTAGGTTAAAAATAAGGAACTCAATAAAGTCAATCATTTGAAAACAAAATTACTAGCAAGTCATTAAGAAAAAGTTGAATGTCCAAGACAATGATCAAAAGATCTGAACCAGGAATTTACCAAAGGTGCAAATGGCCAATTAGCATGCAAATATTTACTCTTAATAGCTATTATGTCAATGCTAATTAATAGCATATTATATCCTTAGGTTGTCAGTGAAATGAATAAGCCAAGTACTGTAGAACTGTAAATTACTTCTTTTTCAATTTTCAGAGAGAAACTAGGCATTATAAAACAAGAGCTTTAAATGTTTTAAAGCCCTTTGACTTGGAAATTCTGTTTTCCAAAATGTATTCTGAGGACACATTCACACATGTGTATTAAATTTATGTGATAATGTTCATAATAATAAAAACAAAACAATTGAAATAATTACATTTATTTTGACACACCCAAATGATGTCATTAACACTTTTGCTTTTGAAAAACATTCAATAATATTGGAAATGCTACAATGTAAAATGAGAATAGAAAGATATAGATATATCATATATATATACATAGTATGATCCCAATTCTGCAATTATAAAGACTAATATGGCATGTGGTTTTATTTTATTTTACTTTACTCTGTTTTCCAAATTCCAAACAATAAATATATATTTCTATCATAACAATAAGTATTATTTTTAAATGGATCAACATTGGAAAACCCTTTGGCTGTATCTCCTCCATCTTAACATCCACCCCATCTAGGACTGAGCAATTCTACTCCTAGGCATATGCTCAACAAAAGTGCATACATATGCTCACCAAATCTCATATTCTAAAACATTCACAGCAGTGTTATTTATAATACCCTAAGGCTGAAAACTATACAAATGTCCATTAGTAATAAATTAATAAATGGTGATCTATTCCCACAACAGGGTACATACGGCAATGAGAGTGAGTGACGTGCAACTGTATGGAACGACACAGATCAGCTCACCAATAGCATGTAAAGCTCAGTGACAGAAGCCAGATAGAAAAGACATGTGCTTTATCATTCCATTTATATAAATTACAAAAACTGGCCTAGTTAAGTTGCTAGTTACTCTCAGGAGATGGAGACTGCAAGAAATTGCGGGGGCTTATGGGGCATCATGTACAGTGTCTCCATCTGGGTGTGTGTAGTTTGTAAAAATCCATGCAAATGTGCATCTCTGTGCCCTTTTCTGTGTGCTTATCATACCTCCACAAGATGTTTTAAAATGAATTAATGAAATGCTCAGCTTACATGAAGAGGGCAATGGGGAAAGAAAGGAGGAAGGGGAAAGGACCAGGGATGAGGCCCAGCATGTTGCCTGGGACCTGAGAGCACACCTCTTACAGGTGAAGAAGGGAGAGGTTGGGGCAGCTCACTATCTGCCTGGGGTGGAGGCAGAGGAAGAAGACCCCAGCAGCAGGATGCTGCAGTTGGCACAGAGCCCTGGCTCCTGGCCTGGCCCCACTGCCACACGCTTGCCTGAGCTCATTCACCTTGAGAAACCTTATCTCTGCGCTTTTACCCCACCATTCCCTGTATCTGGAAGACTTCTTTTTCCCAAATCTGTACGTGGCTCACTCCATTCAGGCCTTTGTTCAAGTATCATCTTCTCCAAAGTGCCATTCACTGATTGCTTATTTAAAATAAAGAACCTGCCACCAACCTCACACTCATGCACTAATTCCTAAACCTTCTTTATTTTTGTTCATAAGAATTATTGCTGTATGTAAAGTGTGGACACACAGATACATATATACATACACATATGTGTATATGTGTAGGTGTATATATGCCTATGTATATGTACTTATATATGGTAGAGCAGATGTAAAAAGAGTAGACATATGTATACATAAATATGTATACACACATATATACATAGATGTAGACATAGGTATGAGTGAGGTATTATAGGCAAAGGAGTAGAGAGAGAGAGAGATAATAGTTATAGAGATACATATATATATATGCCTTCCTAGAATGTAAGTTTCACAGGGACAGACATTTTATCTTCTTCCACCATCCTTTACCTAATGCCTTGAATAGTTTCCAAAACATCAAAGTGCTCATTAAATCCTTGTTGAAGGAATATTGTTACCCTTGTCCCCATTATTCCTAAGCCACACTGGTGAAAATGTTGATGGCCTCATAAATGTAAATGCGCTCTCTTGGTGACTCTTGCGTGCGCTTGCTCTCTCTCTCTCTCTCTCTCTCTCTCTCTCTCTCTCTCTCTCTCTCTCTCTCTCTCTCTCCAGGACAGTCCAACAGCCCAACAGCATTCTGAGCAAAGGGTGAGGGCACAGTTGTAGCTTCCCAGGATAATTGGAAGCAGACGCAGCCATAGCACACTCTAAAGTTGAGAAAGTGGTTGTTTGGAGAATGGTTGAGCCCCAAGTGCCCTTGTATTTTTGTTGAGCAATCTGAGCTGCTGGGCACATTTTTACACAAAGGGTCAGATCCACACTTTTCAAAAACTCCACTTGAGAAATAGTAGGTGAACAAGGGTCACGATAATTTGAGTCCATATGGACCTCTTCAGTATGCGGAACTGGTATAAAATGTTGTGAAGCATTCTCACGGCCTTATGTGTAGTCAAGATTCAGAAATTCCCAGTGTTTGGTTCACATGTGATTTCCTTACTTATACTGAATTACCAAAGCTCAGAGGCAGCATTCGGAAGACCTGGTTGCAGCTGGCTGAGCTGGTCTGTCCCAGTTCTAGGAGATAATGTTAAAAATTCACCTATGTATTGGCTTTGTGGCTCCAATAACTGCCTGATTTGGCTTTACCACAACCCACTGAGTTGGACAGGGAGGGCTCTTTGAGCTTCCCTTCTGTCACTGTGGAGCTGAAGTTCACAAGTGAGGGATGTCATTTGCCCATTTGTGTCCCTGTTAGGACGGTTGCCCCATATGGCCAGATACATTCTTGGTCCTCACCTGTTGAGCTCAGAGGACAAATGAATGGTGTAGTTGAGCCTCAAATCTTTCCATTTTAACATAACAAGGAAATCTTTAATATTCTGCATGTTTTTCCTTTTCTCACTCACTCTGTCCTTCCACTTAACAATCCATTCCTAGACTCTGCACGACTATGCTTTAAGAGTTCCTACCATTTCCATGAGTCTGCGTCTCTTTAAGACAAAACCCAGGCTGAGAAGGGCAGAGAATCTCACTTCTTAGTAAGATTCCAGCCTTATTCTTAATGGGTATATCTGGGCACCATTTATTTTTGTGGCTCTGCCAAACAGCTCTGTAGTTAATAAATAAATGTGTAAATGCCCTCTCTTGGTGACTCTCTCACGTGTTCTCTCTCTCTCTCTCTCTCTCTCTCTTCTCTCTCTCTTTCTCTCCTCTCTCTCTCTCTCTCCTCTCTCCTCTTCTCTTCCTCTCTCTCTTCTCTTCCTCTGCTCTCTCTCTCTCCTCTCTCTCTCTCCTCTCTCTCCTCTCTCTCTCTCTCCTCTCTCCTCTCTTCTCTTCCTCTCTCTCTCTTCTCTCCCTCTCCCTCTCTCTCTCTCTCCTCTCTTCTTTTCTCTTCTCTTCCTCTCTCTCTCTCTCTCTCCTCTCTCCTCTCTTCTCTTCTCTTCCTCTCTCTCTCTTCTCTTCCTCTCTCTCTCTCCTCTCTCTCTCCTCTCTCTCTCTCTCCTCTCTCTCTCTCCTCTCTTCTCTTCCTCTCCCTCTCTCTCTCTCTCTCTGTCTCTCTCCTCTCTCTTCTCTTCTCTTCCTCTCTCTCTCTCTCTCTCTCTCTCTGTCTATCTCTCTCTCTCTCTCTCTCTCTCTCTCTCTCTCTCCAGGACAGTCCAACAGCCCAACAGCATTCTGAGCAAACACTGAGGGCACAGTTGGAGCTTTGGTAGCTGCAACTTGTGGAGGAGTCGATGAAGTTTACCAAAGTCCCTAAAAGCTTCACTAGTTCCTATACATTTGGGGTGTGTTCGACTTGATCATGCACATGGGTTCCTAGACTGTGTCTATAGAGGCTTTCAACATTTCAATAATCAATTTCCTTAAAAGGTCAATTCTTTTTTTTCTTATTCCCCAGGCAGGCTTCGCTGCTCACCAACCCCTCCCGCCCACCCCTACCTGCCCCACCCAACCCCCGGTTTTATCTTCGTCTCCAGCTCACTGCTCTGCACTCCTGAGGCTGTGTCCCTGTATGGAGTCTGGCTCCAGGAGATGGCCTGTGCCTCCCCCTCACTCCTACTGCCTACCAGACCAGGCCTGGTTTCTCCACAGCCCATTTGGACTCTGTCTGGGCTCGGGGGCTCCCTGGCTTCTATTCCTCTTTGCCCAGGTTTCTGTTCGTGACAGCCTCACCTACCCTTGCAGCATCCCCGAACACGGTCCAGTGAGTTATGCAGGCTGAGCATGCGGCGAGAAGTCAGTGCACTGGGCAAAGAACCAGTGTGGACACTTTCACTTACCACCTGCAGCATTTGTTCATTCCTAGTCACAGCACTTTCCTCATTACCATTTTTGTCATCTACTCACATATCCAGCACCTAGCACTTTGTACAAAATTTTCTGGTGAAGAATATTCAGCTTTTAAGTTTATTCCCAAAGGCCAGATCCTGTGCTTTAGAAAGATGATGAATTCAGGATGTTGTTATCTATGGGCTTTGGCCCATTAAATATGATCTTTTTATTATCCTTAAGAAGGCAGAAATAAATAAACAAACACATGTCTGCTCCTACTTAGAGCTGGATGGCAAGTCTCTATAAAACAGCCCAATGCAATCCTTCTTTTACTACGCAGTACTCAGGAAGCGCTGAGGCATTTCTCTATCATTAAATCCAACTGCCTGATTCCTCCCACTGGTCTGCAGGGCACAATAGAGGCTCTGAAGGGGAAACTCTCTTCTCAGTCCTAATTCTATGCTCAGCCCGTCTCTACCGCATGCATACAGATAGGCCATCCATAGGGAACATGGTCTCCTGATACGAAGCGTGGGTGAACGGATGCCACTCATTCAAATAAATGCAATAATGGACTGTCACTGTGACTGAGTGCTTCAGCTAGCATGACCCACCCTCGGACTAAGATACCTGTGGCTTTGGAGATAAGAGGGTGCCAATGATGCCCACATGTGTTGTTCCCCAACCCCCCCACCCCATACTGACTCACACATACAGGCCCAGCTATTTCAGAATTCTGACTCTGTGACCTACTTACCCTCCTGTTTTCGGCCCTATTTCTGCTCTTTCATTTGGCTCCTCACGTAGGTCTTTCCAGTTCAGCCCGGAGTCTACAGATGCCTCCACCTTCTCTACTTTGCTGGCCAGAATAAGCGCCCAGCTCGGGTTGGCAGTACTAGCCTTCTTTAGCCATGCCTTTGTAAGGTAGGGGTTGGCCAGCTGGCCACTCGCCCATATTTCCAGGGGCATCCCATTACAAAGGAAAGGTGATTCCAGTAATAATGGCTTTTTTTTGCAACAGACCTGATACATCTTTTGGAAGCTGTTTATTGTATTTTGCTTTGTAAACATTCCTTTTCCACTGATACAAGTAGTACAGGAATACACTCACGTGACACATTTCAATACCTCGACACAGTCCTCCATCCATCAGTGACTTAATATGGGTATATGCACATCTTCAGCTGTGCTCTTCATTGTGGGAACCACTAGCCACATGCAGCTATTTAAATGATTTAAAATTAAATAAAGTTTGAAATTCAACTCCTTACTCACACCTGACACATTTCAAGTACCCAAAGCCACACAAGGCTAGTGGCTCCCATATTGGACAGCATAGATTATAGGACGTTTGCATCATCTTAGAAGGTTCTGTTGGACATCACTAATCTATAGAAATACACTGCCCTGTGCTTGTGTGATGTGAAAGCCTATTTTTGTTTTGCATAAGTTTACTACATTGCATAAATCATATTGTAACTTTTTTGTCTCTGAATTATGTGTCTTGAAGATCTTTTAATGCCACTGCATGTGTATCACCCACATTCTTTTAGCATCTGCCATTTTTACACAAATTGAGTTTAGGTTATTTACTTTTTAATTTTATGTTTATTATTAAAAATAATATTATAATTAATATCCTTGCACATCCCTGTATCAGCCTTTTCATGAAGCTGAGTGGTTATTTTCCTAATAAAACTAGCAAGAAGTATAATTTCTAAGGCAAAGTGTATGCTAATTTTTAGTTATTACAGTTATTGCAAAGCCCTTATGTACCCTATGTATATCAATGTACCTTCCCACTAAACCACCCTGCTATCACTAATTTAATCAAACTTTGAAAATGTTGTCATTCTTGTGGTTTATAAATCATGTAATTGATCTTTTAAATGGGGTTCACAAAATGAAAAATTATCTTCTGTTTAAACATGTCTTATGTATTGAGAAACAGTCTTAGGTTAACCAGCAATTTGTATTATCTGTACTGTACTGTAAACAGCCTTCTCAAATGCTTTGCCCATTTTTCTATTTCTTGTTTGTCTTTGATTGAATAAAGGAAGTCTTTATATACTTAAAATATTGATCTTTTATCTATTACATATGTTATAAATATGTGTTTCTTGCATATATTAAACATTTTAAGGTAATAAGTCTATTACTATTTTTAACTTTTTAGAAATGTTTTTGATCTTACAGAGTTTTAAATTTTGATGTCATATTTGTCAATCTTAATGAGTTTAAAATGCACTTCTTATTTTTGGCCTTTCCTACTTCTGAGTCATAAACATTCTGCCTTCTAATATTATTTTAGGTTTTTAAAAATTGTAGTTGTTTAACTGTGTAACCCATCTGGAATTTGTTTTTATGAATGATATTTGAAGTAGAGATTTAATTTATTTCCCAAATATACAGCTAAAAATTCCTACACTATTAGACTTGGTAGTCCACTTTTTCCCCACGGATTTTAAACAGTATTGCCATCATTTACTAACCACACACTTATATATAAATATGCTTGCACTTTCTATTTTTTATATATTTATCTATTCTTACCTATTGTTTTAAATTGCTTGCCTTTGTAATAAATGTTGATAGGTAGCAAGGACAATGGGTGTTTCTTTTCCTTTTTCAAATTGTCTCAGGAAAATGAATTTCAGAATGAGAATTTCACATTCCATAAAAAACATTGTAATGATCAATGAATTGCAATTATAGATCCCTCAGGAAGGTATTGATATATTTATAGTATTGAGTTTTCTCATGCATGAAAATGATTTTTCATTTATTTAACTCTAATTTATGTTCTTCAGTGCAATTTTTTAATTTAGGAAGTATTTTTTTCTTAAATATCTGGCTTTTCCTATTAGGGTTGGCTATTTCTAGATATTGGCTTATTTAATAAAGATAATAACAGGTTCAGGGCTATTGTTCACCAATTCAAAGCAAAATGTGGAAGCTAGTATGTGTGCCTTATCAAATTAAGAGGGGCAGACAGAGTAGAGGTTCCTATTTAGGACTTAATTGTAAGAGCAGACTTTCAGAAAAGTTAATCATCACCCCTGCTGGGCCTCCTGCTTTACAATCTCAGCCCTGACAGGGCAGGATGAGGAACCTGAGACTTGGAAGTGGGGTGTCTTGGTAAGTGCCGGTGAGAACCTTGACCTGCATGATTTTCCTGAACCTGTTGGCCCACAGTCCATTCTCCCTTGTTAGAACATGGTGGTGGCTCCTTGCTTAAGATTGTGCTGGGGATTCCATGTGATAGATGCTTTAACAGACAATAGTTATCCCCTCAGACTGTCTGGACCTCCCCTTTGCACTCCAGTCTAAAGACTAGGATGAAATCTCATCACAGCCCACTGGGGATTGCTGGCCCTGTGAAGGGTAGTAGGTGCCAAAGGATCTCCAAACCTGGCTCACAGGCACTGGCAGGAGCCAGAGCGTGGACAGAGAGACTGGATCCTGAATGTGCTGGATCAAGAGAACTGGACCTGAAGTTGGATAAGAGAGAGTTTATTGGAACGAAAGTACCATTCTCTGATACATGATTTAACTTCATGGTACAGATCCAAGAAGAAGTGTTTATAAGCTGCTAGGATGGAGCTTGGAAACTTGGAAAAAGCAATGGGCCACACTAAATGAAGTATAAATGCCAGAACTGGCATGGCAAATAGGTGAAAGGGATCAACAGGCTCAGAGAACTGGAAATGCCAGCCTTTATTAAATGAATCAATTGTGCTCAGAAACAGCCGCCCAACTTCTTAGGATTAACAGTTATCATTTCATCATGTTTCTTAAATGCCAGGGAAGTTGCACTAGCGGTGCACTGCCTTGCACAAGTATCCCATCCCAGTTCACCACAGGTGAGAGCTTTCAAAATTGCTCTACCACTGTGTGCCCCGCTATCAGCACCACACCTACCACCAGATGGGATTCTTGTTGCCAACCAACCAGTGAGTGACCCAGCTTCCAAATCCCTTTTTAAGGTCTCATTTCTAGGACCACTCACAGTACCAACAATCTTACGGTGAATCCCCAGGAAACTGATGCTGAGATGAGATCTGCATGCAGAATGTTCGTTGGGGACAGCTTTCAGGAGATACACCTGGAGTGAAGTCAATAAAGGAGAAATAAGGGATGGAGAGGTTGAACTCAATAGAGCAGCAACTGATGTTTCCACTGTTCCCGTGGGCAGTTCAGAGCCAAGATGGCCCTTCAGAGTCACCTAAATGTACGCAAGGCAGCCATGCCTTTGATCCTCCACCATGACCAATCATTGGCCAGGGTTGCCCCCACCGTCCCCAGAGCAGACAAGACCATCCCTGAGATTAGGCGCAATTCCCAGTGAGAGAACACAACCCAGGATCCTGGACAAGCAAAAAGAGAAGAGTCAAAACGTGGTAAAATCCAAATAAGCTCTGAACTTTAGTTAATAGTATTGCTCCAGTTAATCTTTTAGTTTCTACAAATGTTCCATGGTTATATAAGATGTTAACATAATAAGAAGATGGGTGAAGAGGATACACCAACATCACATAGTACTATTTTTGCAACTCTTCTGGAAGTCTAAAATTATTTCAAAATTCTAAAAAATTGTTGTAAAAATACATTGAAAATAGAATTGAATAAATGAGAGAATGGAGTGATAAATTGTTATGCAATATTAGGAAAGACTTAAGAGGAATGTTTCCAATGTCAGTGTAGTCCTCAAACATACTAATAAAGTAGTTTCAGTGGTTCAATTTTTAGTGGGTTGTGAAGTGAAAGGAGGTTAAAGAGGCCTAGATCTCTCTTTCTGAGAACTACATTTACAAGAGAAGATACGTGATATAGTTAAATGAAACAGTGTGTGCAGGCTGAAAGAGTTCTAGAGCACATGGTAAGGGTGGGAAATGATGTGCAAACCTCCTGACAGAGATAAAGAAGGCAATTGTAGCATTTGTCCTCAAAATTCACTTACAATTCAAATGTTTCAGGGGAATTTCCTTATGTTAATGTATCTCTTGTAATGTGGCTGAATGTACAAGGAAATTTGGATTTCCTCTACATAAATTTGATAAGAACATTCTATAGCTAACCTGTGTTTTTGACAAGTTCTATAATTAAGCTAATTATAATAATAGCTTGATGGTAATCACTACAATAATAGCTAACATTTATTGAGTACTTGCTGTGTGTCAGCACTGTGTTAAATTACTTTAATTGTGCTCTTTCAGGGAAATTAAGAGACTTGCAGAATGAAAGAGCCACAGCAGGATAAACAATTGCCAGTCTCCCTTGTTGGGGACTGGCTGACTTTATAAAGCAAACAAGGCATTCTGTAGTCACTCCAATGAGTGGGAGATTAGAATGAGAACGGCATTAGAAAGCACAGATCACATCTGGTCATGAGAAAGCTTCTCAAGACCTGTGTCCTCTGGAAGGCTAATTTATTTCCATTTATTAAATGCAGCTTTTCTTTCTGGAGAGGCAGTGCAAGGAATCTCTATACCTGAAATTTCCGTTTTTCTGTCCACTTATTATAAACAGTGTCTTTGTTTTTGACCTTTCCACGAGTTCTGGCAAACAAGGGTGTGTCTAGAATGGTGTGCCTAAATTGCAAGTGAGGTGGTGCATCTGAAATTCAGAGAGGCTCTGGGCACGTTAAAACCAGGTCAGGAGGCTGAGCGCAGTGGCTCACACCAGTAATCCTAGTGCTTTGGGAGGCCGAGGCAGGCGGATCACTTGAGGTCAGGAGTTTGAGACCAGCCTGGCCAACATGGTGAAACCCCATTCTCCACTAAAAATACAAAAATTAACTGGGCATGCTGGAACCTGCCTGTAATCCCAGCTATTTGGGAGGCTGAGGCAGGAGAATCACATGAACCCGGGAGGCGGAGGTTGCAGTGAGCCAAGATCACGCCACTGCACTCTAGCCTGGGCAACAGAGCGAGACTCCATCTTAAAAGAAAAAAAAAAAAAAACCGGGTCAGGAGAGTCCCAGGTAACTGACAAGCCAGAGAAGGCCAGAGGCAGAGGAAACAGAGCCCAGGGTGAGGAGTAGGCTGAGTTTTTCAATATTAGTTAATATCTCTCCTGAGCAATGCTGGGTAAACGAGCTGTTTGGGATAGATAATTCCGAAATCGTATTTCCCACCTGGCTCTGTTCTCTCAAAATAAAAGGAGATTTCAACTCCTGGAGAAAGGAAGATAAGGAAATCTTTTTACAATAATATATCCTCTATACATTGATGCTGCCTAATTGGCTAAGAAAAGTGAGAGAGTGAGTCCCTCTTCATTGGAGGGAGGGCCTTTCAAAAAGTCATCCACCTGCCCGGGTTAGGGACAAGCTGAAAGACAAATGCATGCCGCGAGTTTGGGAATGCAGAAAGGAAATGAACAGAAGGAGCATGCTTCCGCAGTAGAGAGTCAGCTTTTATGTAAAAACTAGCACAGAAGAGACCAGGCTGAGCCTAGAGAATGATACCTGGTTCCATCTCACCTGGATTAGATGGACTGCTGTAAAAAAAATCACACAAATTTAGTGCAGAACTAACACAGGGTTCTGTAAACGCAAAGCCTGACAAGGGTCTCCGTGGGCTAGAATTAAGGTGTTAGTAGGGATTTATTACTTCTGGGGGCTCTAGGGGTAGGTGCATTTCCCTGCCTTTCCAGCATCTAAAGGTGGCCATACCTCCTGGTCCCTTCCTGCACCCTCCAGGGCAGTAGGGTTGCACCCCTGACCCTACTCCTGGCTGCATATCGCTTTCTCTGACAACAGCTGGCAAAGATTCTTTGATTTTAAGGACTCATGTGGCTACATGGGGCCCACCCAGGGAGTCCAGGATAATTTCCTCACCTCAAGGGCTTTAACTTAACTCTGCAAAGTCCCCTCTCCCACTTAAAATGACCTGTTTACATACAGGTTCCAAGGATTAGGGTGTGCAAGTCTTGGTGGGGCCATTATTCTGTCTGTCGCCTTGCCCAGTGTGAGTGCCATGCGGAGGTGATGGTGAGAATGAAAAGTGAGATAATTACATGTTGAAGACAAATAACTATGGTCTCTTGGTTTCATTACACCTGAGCCGAAGATGTCCTCTGAGTGCTCCAGGTTCATGCAGTGTATCTTACAGGACAACACAGTCCAGATCCATCTGTCTGCGGAGGGTTCCTCTGGATTCTCCTGCAAACAGCCGCTGCTGGAAGGTGCCGCTGGGACGCAGGTCCGGAGCTGGAGCGTGGGACGTCAGCCTTGCTGCAGTGGCTCAGCTCAGAGCCTCCCAGCGCGGAGGGTGCAGGGACGAGGGTGAGAACCTAACAGCCGTGAGCGGGGAGCCTAGGGCGCTACCTCTCCCCTCCTGCCCTGCTGCAGGGCTCTGAGCTTTAGCAACTTCAGCGGTGTACCTATGCCTTCTGAGACTTGCTTCCTTCTGAGGCGCCTTCCCCAGGCCCTCGGGCCGTCTCCCTCGATGTTGAGAGAAATTTGTTACTTCCATTAGTTCTGGGCAAACAAGGGCCCACTAGTAGCTTATGTTTGTTTCTCTCTAGAGACAAAGCAGTCCAGGCCTATTTGCCCCTAAATAGATGTTTCAAACATGATTCGAATATTTTTTTAAAATTAATTCCTCTGAGTAACTTGATATTTCATACCCTAAAGACTTTAGTGTAAATATCTACAAACAAAGAACATTTTCCTACAGAACAAAATCTACATTTTCCACCCAATAGAATTAATGATGATTCCTTTGTATGGACTAGTACTCAAATTCAAATTTCCTCATTGTCCAAAAATACCGTTATTGGTGTGTTCGACTAAACCAGATTTCCCAGTTCAGGATTTCATTACTGCATTGGGCCATGATACAGCTTAAGCGAAAGACCCTGGGTTGTGTGGGATAGCGGAAGAGTTGCTGGCCTTGTTTGCACAGCACCAGGCTTCACAGAAATGCTCTTCGGGGTTTCCCAGAAGCTGTGCTTTAATCCCTAAGACAGTGGAAGAGGCTTATATGTAGGACCTGAGTCTGTTTTAAAAAACAATGAAGAAATGACACAACCCTGGTGGGTTGATCACCAATGGACAGTGAATTCTGAACATTATTGTTAACTCTTCAAACCCTCCTGCAGTGAGTGTACTTCCCGAAAGCCACCCAATCTCAGGGTGGCAGGTGTTCTGTCTGGAGAAAAACTCTAAGGTGTCCATGTTTGTGTGGGAAGTGGGGGTGTCCTGAGGTGGCTCCTGGGGGCGCTCTGGGTAACTTTAGAAGAAACCAGCTGGTCTAAGGTCCTGGAGCAGCCTGTGGTGTGCACTGAGAGGTCAGGCCAGGCAGCATGGGGTTTGAGCAGAACTCCTGAGCACCTGGCGGGAGTTTGAAGGCAGGAGCAAATCGAGCAGGGGATGGTGCTAGAGGGCAAGTTCATTCCAGGGTCAGAGGTGCTAAGAGATCTGCATTAAAAACCTTCTCTGAAGCAGTCTGAGAGGTACTTTGCCATGCCCATTGCAAAGAAATAAGGTGTTCCTGCATTGTTTTCTGGTCAACTCTTTCCCACAATGCTATTTCCAACCATAGAATGTGGAACTGATCTGAGAATTTGTTTTGCCAGAGATAAGGTTTCTGGGTGGAAGTTCAAGGCCCACTGAAAACATGCCAACCTTTGCTTCTTAGTCAGTGGTTTCTTGTTTATGGTGCCCAGCTGGCTGCTGAGATGAAAGCCAGGAACCAGTTTGCTCACAGGCAAGGCTGGAATGGACCTGAATGGATACTACTTAACCAAGCTCATCCACAGAAAGGGTTACTCTGTGGTTGAATCTTCCCCCAGAACCGTCCCTACAGAGCCAGTTACAGCAGGACCTACAAGGCTGTCTGAGGCTCATGTCTCTGGGCCTTTGGGCAATTCCTTCTACACCCAGATCTCATTAGTCAGCCACAGCTGTGAGCGTGGTGGGAGAGTTGCTGCAGGGACACAAAGAAGACCAGGTCCTGAGCGAGGAGCTCCGCCCCAGGGAGGACAGCCTATCTGCCAGAGCATCCTGTGAGAGGATGGCCCATAAGCTCCTTGTGGACCAGAGGCGCAGGGGAAGAGTGACCAGAAGGCTGAGCTCCAGACATGGTGACACAGACCTAAGGGCACCAATCACAGAGCGGCAGGTCGAATGCAGGGAGTGTGTCCAAATGAAGCAGTGGCTTGGAAGGGAGGGGCCAGACCCCCCTGTCCTGGCCCATACCTGCAGGATTCAGTTACTGCCTTGGGAGGAAGAGGAGTGGGGACCACCAGAGGCCAAGGCAGCAACTTGGAAGGGAAAGAACACTGTCTAGGAACCGAAGATGAGACCATCTGCATCTCTCCCACCTCCAGCTGAGGGCCTTGGGTGCAAGCCTCTGACTCCCCCAACCTCCAGCTTTGGAAGAATACCCCTTGTCAGCCTATCCCACAGGGATGCTTTAGAGCATCAGTCGGAGGAAGGGCAGGCCAGCTCCCAGGCCCTATGATGGCCACACTGCAAATCTAAGCCTTACTATGGGATGCAGTACCAGCGGGATCAGATGAACACCCCAGATATCTTTATCAGCCGTAACCTTCCCTGTCCTTCACCCCAAGAATAAACATAGGCACACACGCAACACATGCACACACACATGCATACCATTTGCACAGATATATGCACAACTTACATGTGTATCCCTTTAGCATGCACTAAGTTTGACTATCTCAATGTGCTTTTGTATGAGTGAAAGACACAACACTAGGTTTGGTTGTGATTATAACATCAACGTGTGTGTGTATGCACCTAAACATAAGAGAAAGGTTTTACAAAGTAAGGATGTAGCCAAAAGTAAATACTTGAGGCATGCATTCTACTGTGAATAATGAAAGGAAAAATAGTGCCAAAAATAATTCTAAGTGCAGCTCATTTTCAACGGACAGAAGAAGCCAGGAATAAAGAGATTACAGATAAAGTGATACTCTCCACTGGAATTGGATGGTGCCCATAAAATCTGTTTCTTATACGCTCTCAAGCTATGATACCTAGAATCTTTACTTTCTGTTTTTGACATTTGTAAATGAATTGTTTACAGCTATGAAGGCTTCAAATGCTTATAATTTGAATTAATAAGGTGTTTACTTTTCAATAGAATCTCTACTGCTCTTTCATGGGCTTTGGAGCAAAAGTTCCTTCTGAGTGCCAACTAAGACTGAAGAGACAACAGTTTCAACAGTTAAATTAAAAACGAATGTACATTTAGATAGTCCTTGAATCCTGCTAGCAGGAGTATGGATAAGTATTATCTTTCTGGAAAATAATCTGAAATAGCCATCCAGAGACTTAAAATCTCTATTTCTTTTTTTTTTTTTTTCAAGACGGAGTTTCGCTCTTAAGCTCAGCATAGAGTGAAGTGGTGGGATCTCGGCTCACTGCAACCTCCCCACCGCCGCTGGGTTCAAGAGATTCTCCTGCCTCAGCTGGGATTGCAGGGGTGCGCCACCATGCCCAGCTAATTTTTGTATTTTCAGTAGAGACGAGGTTTCACTATGTTGGCCAGGCTGGTCTCGAACTGGTCCAGGCTGGTCCTGACCTAAGGCGATCCACCCACCTTGGCCTCACGAAGTGCTAGGATTACAGGTGTGAGCCACTGCGCCCGGCCTTAAATTTCTATTTCTTTTAACACATTAATTCTACTTCTAGTGGCCCAGAAGCTTGAACCAATATGTATGAATAATGCATTACATTTCCATAAAATCCAGACTAACCAGTTCATTAAAATAAGTTACATCCATCTTTATTCAAAGGCAATGATGTCTGTGATATTTTGACCAATGAAAAACAGGACAATAGAAAAACTGCAAATCCTGCAGCCCTAACTTACACTATGGGTATATGTGTGGTTTATAAGAATATCTCCTTTTATAGAATTTGTAAGAATCTTCATTTCTTAGACATCTTCATTTATAAGAATGTCTCCTTCATATGTGTAAGTACAATGAAAGCAAACTGGAAAAATAAAATCCCACCGATGTGTCTACTGAAATTGTGGGTGATTCCACTTATTTTGAGTATTTTGATTTTTTGAGATTTCAGAATATTTATTGCAATTAGAAAAAAAGCTATTGTCATTTGGAATAAATTCATTGTTGAAAATTCAGATAATAAGTAAGAAATATAAAAATTAAAACACCATTGTAGTACCAAAGTAGAAATTAACATTTGTGTTGCATTTTCAGAGTTTAATTCCAGAATCAGATGGATTGGAAATAAATGTAAATGTGCATGTGGGTAGAGCTACAGACACAGATATGGATGCACATTTGAGCATATATCATTCTCTTTTCTACTTTTTTATTCTGTATTTTATCTTATTTTAGATGCAGGGGACACATGTTCAGGTTTGTTACATGGGTATATTGTGTGATGCTGAGGTTTTGGTCTCTAATAATCCTGCAGCCCAAATGGGGAACGTAGTACCTGGAAGGTAGTTTTTCAACCCTTGCTCCCATCCCTCCCACCTTTTGGAGTCCCCAGGTTTTGTTGTTCCCATCTTTGTGTTTATGTGTACTTGATGTTTGGCTCCTACTTATAAGTGGGAACAGGTGCTATTTGGTTTTCTGTTTCTGTGTTAATTTGCTTAGGTATATCATTCTTTTTAATTTTAATTGATGCATAATAGTTCATCATACTGACATTACATAACATTCATGCAAAGAAGCTCTTAATGTTAAAATTTCAACTTGTCTGCCAATGTTTTGCTACTATGAAAACACAGTGATAAATATCTTTGCACACAATTCCTCATGTACTCTCTGGTTAACACTTTTGGATAAAATAATAGAAAAAATCAATAAGCTGAAGTGCATGCATATTTTATACATATTGCCAGATTTTTTTAAGTTTATGTTCCCATAGGTAACATGTTGAGAATAACAACAGTAATAATTATAATAAGATGAGTGAATGCTTGTGTAGCACTTACCACATGCCAGGCACTATTCTAAGCACTTTGCATGTTGACGCTTTTAATCTTCCCAGCAATCCTTTGAGGCATTATTAGCTGATGATGCTAAGGCACAGAGAAGGCAAGTGGCAGCCAGCAAGCAGTGGAGCTGAAGTTCAACCCAGCTGGAAAGGCGTGTGTCTGTGCCCTGACTCCTCTGCTCTGATGCTGGCATTTCCCCTCCTCCCACCCCTACTGGTGCTGCCAGTCTCCATCATCTTTACTGACCTGACAAGTAGGAGAAAATACTCATGATTTTTGTTTATATTTATTATATTTTATTATAAAATTGGCTAAATATATTTATATCTCCATTGTCCATTTATACATATCCTTTGCCCATTTTTTTTCTACTATCATTAAGCAGATTCTGTTTTTTTAACTGGCTTTCAAGTAAGAGCTCTGTAGATCAAAAGCGATAACTCCTCCTTGACTGCTGTGTTATCTTTCTCTTGGTTGATCCTTTGTGTCTAAACTTCATGGATACTGTATTCTATGTACTCTGCAGACATTTTACTTTTTTGTGCAGTCTTGTTTATCAATCTTTTCATTTGCAATTTCTGCTCAGATAATAGTCTACATTTTACCCTGTACATATTTTATTCTAATACAGATTTTTTTTAAAAAAACAGTCATTTTAATCCATCTGGAATTTAAAAGTAAGGTGTGAGTTATACCTGTTTTTTCCCCAAATGTCAGTCATGATCCCAACTATCATTTTATAAATAAAAAAATAAAATTTCATGTAAATTGAAAGACAAAAAGCAGCCAGAGGAGTGTGAGAAGCAAAAACAGAAGAGAAATTGTAAGGAAACCGCCCCTCTATAAAATCTGAACCCCATGCTCCTAGTGGTGCTAGGAGTGCCCATTCTAGCACACGGAATCAGCTTGCTGGGGACTTACCAGGAGTTGCCTCTCTGCTCCCTGAATCTTTCTTCTCCTGCATCTTCATCTGTCTCCTGACGCAGCCCCGGCCGCTCACCCTCCACTGCACAGTGATGTCCCTTTAGCTTTTCACAGCAGACTCTTACCTTTGTTTGGCTTGTGCCACAAATTTGACCAGCATTTTTCACTGAGAACTTCTTGAAAACCAGAAAAGAAAATGTGGACAGAATAAAATAGCATGCTTCCAAAGAGGTGTTCCTGCTCGCAAGAGGCCTCGCTCATGCCCTCGAGGAGGCCTGGCATCCTGGCAGTGGCTCCTGACCTGGAAACATTGCCCACATCTGCCATCTTAGCGTGGCTTGGCTCTTGGCCACATGGCTGCCAGCCCTCTTCTTCTTGTCCCTGGGCTACTTTCCTGTCCTCCTTGCTCTGTCCCTCAATCTGGACATTCAAAGGACCGGGAGGAGGTTCCTCTGTCTGTGTGGCTCATCACCTTAGCTGAGCGTGGAGACCAGTAGGGTTCTGCATAGCACAGAGGCTGCACCTCCCGTAGGAGGAGGTCAGCAATCGGGGCCCATTATGACTGCCCGACTCTCTCTTTGGTAGTGTCACATCCCATGATGATTTCTAAGTTTACTTTCTCTGTGTTCCCCACATTCTTTGTGCATTTGTCTCATATCATTTTCCCCTTGCTGACCTGTTTCAACTTACGACAACAAAAGCAACAGCCCACCTGCTTTTGTCTTATACTGGTATATCCAGCATGTCCAGACCCTTTATTGTAGTTTGCAAGTGCCCAGGAATATGCCACCACATGATGTATCATCTGTAAGCATTTTAGACCAAAGCCCCAGTGACCTAGGAAAACACTGTCTCTTGAAAAATGAATGAAACAACCCAGAACTTTTTCTTAGTCAAAGGCTGCCTATATTCCATGTGTTTAACATATTATTTCATTTAATTTAGCATGCTATTTCTCCAAGGTGGCTATTGTTTCCATTTTACAGATGATGAACACTGAGTTCAGAGAGGCTAGGTAACTTACCCAAGGTCATTCAGCTTGTAAGTGGTGGAGCAGAGACGTAAACCAGGCAAACTCCTTTCCCAAGTGAATGGAATCTAATTCTCTCCATTCATTAGGCAATTTATGGTTGTTTCATGTCTTCAAAGCTGAGTGAGAGGTTTTAATCACTCCAATTAGAATTTTAAACAAAGAACTTCTGTTAAAGACACTTAAGAGGGGATCCACAGGGAGGGAAGACTGATTCTTGCCAGAAGTTGCTCAATGGAATGCAGAGTGAATTAAATTGGACATTAGGAGACCAGGCTCCAGTCCAGGCTCTGCTACAAGAAGTCTTTGTAAATTCCACCTCCCTAGACCTCAGTAGCCCTCTCTGTAAAGTGGAGAGGGACTGACCATCAAGAGCATGACAAGTAGGTTGCGATCCCCACACAAATTCTAGGGATACTGTGTTGAAATTAGCCTCATTCACAGACAACGTGATCTTATATTCAGAAAAAACTAAAGACTGCACCAAAAAACTCTTACAACTGACAAATAAATTTAGTAAAGTTGCAGGATACAAGATCAATATACAAAAATCAGTAGCATTTCTATATGCCAATAGCAATTGATCTGAAAAACAAAGAAAGCAATCTCATTTACAATAGCTACAAAAAATGCCTAGAAATCAATTTAATCAAAGAAGTGAAATATCTCTATGAGGAAAACTATAAAACACTGATAAAAGAAATTAAAGAGGACACAGACAAATGGAAAGATATCTCATACTCATGGATTGGAATAATAAACATTGTTAGAATGACCAAACTACCCAAAGCAATGTACAGATTCAACACAATCTTTATCAAAATGCCAATGACATTCTTCACAGAAATAGAAAAAAAATCTGAAAATTTGTACATAACCACAAAAGATTTAGAATAGCTTAAGCAATCCTGAGCAAAAGAACAAAGCTGACAGCATCACACAACCTGATTTCAATTACACTGCAAAGCTGTAGAAATCAAAACACCATGGTACTGGCATAAAAACATATGCATAGACCAATGGAATGGGATAGAGAACCCAGAAATAAATCTATGATTTTACAGCCAACTCATTTTTGACAAAGTCATCAAGGACATACACTGGGGCAAGGACAGTCTCTTCAATAAATAGTGATGGGAAAACTTGATATCTATATGCCAAAAAAAATGAAACTAGATCCCCATCTCTCACCATATACAAAAATTAACTCAAATTGGATTAAAGACTTAAATGTAAGACCTGAGGCTATGAAACTAATAGAAGAAAACAAAAAACAAAGGCTGCAGGACATAGATCTGGGCAAAGATTTTGGGCATAAGACCTAAAAAGCAGAGGCAACAAAAGCAAAAACAGACAAATGGGATTACTTTACTTTAGCTAAAAAGCTTCTGCACAACAAAGAAAACCATTAACAAAGTAAAGAGACAACCTATGGAATGAGAGAAAATATTGGCAAATTATCCATCCAACAAGAGATCAATAACCAGAATATATAAGGAACTCAAACAACTCAATAGCAATATAATAATAATAATTAATAATAATCTGACTTTAAAAATGGGCAAAAACCTGAATAGACACTTCTCAAAAGAAGACATACAAATAAGCAACAGGTATATGAAAAATGCTCAGTATCACTAAGCACCATGGAAATGCAAATCAAAACCAAAATGAGATCTCATAATAGCGATTTAGAATGGCTATTATCAAAAAGACAAAAAATAACAAATGCTGATGGGCATGCAGAGAAAGGGATACGTTTATACACTTTTGGTGGGAGTGTAAATTAGTACAGTCACTATGGAAAACCATATGGAGGTTCCTCAAAAAACTAAAAATATAACTACCATATGAGGTAGCAATCCCACTGCCAGGTATATATCCAAAATAAAGAAAAACAATACATCAAAGAGATGTCTGTACTTCCATGTTTATTGCAACACTATTCACAATGGCCAAGATATGGAATCAACCTGAGTGTCCATCAATAGATGAATGGACCAAGAAAACATAGCATATATACACAGTGGAATATTATTCAGCCATAAAAAAGAGTGAAATTCTGCAATTTGCAGCATTCTGGATAAAACTGGAGGTCACTATATTAAGTGAAATAAGCCAGGCATGGAAAGACAAATATTGCATATTTGTACTTCTATGTGGGAACTAAAAAAGTGGATCTAGTAAAGGTAGAGAGTAGATTGCTGGTTACCAGAAGCTGGAAAGGAAAGCAGGGGATAAGGGGCAGTTAATAAAGAAAACTTGGTTAATAGGTGCCAAAAAACAGTAGAAAGAAGAAATAAGTTCTAGTATTTGATAACACAGTAGGGAAATTATAAACAATATTTTATTGTATATTTCAAAGTATCTAGAAGAATTGTAATGTTTTCAACACAAAGAAAATATAAATTTTTGAGGTGGTGAATATCTCAATTACCCTGATTTGATCATTGCACATTGTATGCTTGTATCAAAATATCACATGCACTTCCAAAATATGTATAATTATAATATATATCAGTTATATATCAATTTAAAAAGAAATCCTGGGCTCTAAGTCCCAAAGGGAAGGGCTCCATGTTAATGACAGAAATCTGCTTTGCACACGGAGGATCAGAGTAGTAGTACATGTGGCATGCTTCTTCTAGTCCTTATATCAGGAAACCACTGAGATCCCTCTAAGAAATGATATTTGTGGCCACACAGATCTTTCCTTTTGGCCTTGTCTAAACTGAACAGCCTCATAAATGTAAGTCCACCTGGACTCCTCCTGATCTGAAATGTTGTAGAACATGAAAATAGTGAGATGGTTGAGCTGTTCTGCAGTGGGAGTGCAGGAGATTTCACAGGATAAATGCTTTCGGACTTTCTTCTCAAACTGCAGGCTGGGCTGGAAGAATGATGCCATGTTTGATGCTATAGAATACACATGTGTCAGGAATGTTCATCTTCAGAGGTCAAAAAATTCAAAGTAAAACATACTCACATGATTTATAAAAATAAGATGGAGCTTCAAAGAAATTTAGTGTTTGTCCAACCTGCTCTGCTCCTGAAACCCTACATGAGCTTCCTTTTTTTGCCATTAGTGCAATTCCATGGAAAACTTGGAAAGCACCAGGAAGACAGCACCAAGAATGTGATGACCAAATAGAAGTTCAACAGGGAAAAGAGATATTGATGGAGGCCTCAGGAACTTGTGTCTACAGAGGAACAGCAACACTTAGCACTAAGAGCCATGCTGTGACCCCAGAGGAGCTCTAGAAAAGAGTAAGGGACCCCAGAGGGACCTGTGGGACATGTTAGCATGAACCCTGTTGAGTCATCTGCCTGAAAGGGCACCATTAGTGCTGGTGGAGATGGCAGGGCGGGAAACCTCTTTTGTTTCTCTCCTGTATTCTCTCCTTGATCCAACCATAGCTATTCACTTGCTACTATTGCTATTATTCACTTGCTATTCATTCTGTCTTCCAAATTTCTTATGGGCCAATTTATTCATTTGACAAGTATTTATTGAACATCTGCTATGTGACAAGCATGGTCTAAATTCAACAATATATTTAATATCCCATGAGCATCTCAAACCCAGTTTTCCCATGGCTCCCTCAAGCCTGGTCCTCCTCTTGTATATCCCATCTTAGTAAATGCATCATTGTCACCCAGTGATCCATGCCATAAGCTGGGCATCATTCTCTTCCCCTCTCTGGCTCACTCTTCAGCACCTATTTCATCTCTGAGTCCTGTTCAACCCAGGGATCCAATATGGGACCAACCCACATCCTGGTCAGAAGAGGAGCCTGAGCGTCTCCTCCTGTAGCTCCCTTAGTTCCCAGTGACTTTACTAGGATCACCCCAACCCGCTTGCTCCTCAATTCTCAGTGAGTCCCAGGCCTCTAAATCTTCTGCGCGCTCTCTCTTTCTGTCCCGGTCACCTGGACCACCTAGGCTTCATCTCCTTCTCGACCTGGAATATGGCAACTATTTTGCTAAATGATATTCATGTCTTGCCTGGACCTTCCCTCCTGTCCTGGAGGAGCTGAGCTGTAGCCACCTTCCAATTCTCATCCTTGGCCAGTCCCCACCAGCCTATATTCATGCTCCCAACCTACCCATCCCTCTCTGTCTAGCTCCTGCCCACCTATTCCCACCTCCCTAGATCATTTTTTCTGAACAAGTATATGACCTCCCTTCTTTCACCAATGTTTTAGACAAAATAGTAGAGGGAATATGGAAAGTTGATTTTGTTTTCTTTTTTGTTTTTGTTTTGTTAAGAATTCTAGTGATGCTATTCAAAGAGGTGACAGCAATGTCCAGCCTGCTCCCAGAATTCCCAGCTTTATGGCCACAGATAACTAATTATCCTGACCAATTCCATTAGCACAGGGTGCAGGCTGCAAATGCATATTAGGAGAAAGCAGGAGGGAAATTCCTAAGTCACTGTGCTGACAGCCTCAGTTACAGTTACTCTGGCCCTCAGACACAGGGAAGCTTTTTGCACACCATTCCCTCTGCATGGGAAGCTTTTTCTAGTTAAACCCCACTCATCATTTACTTTCTCAGGGAGGCTCCTCTTGACCCAAACTGGGGTCCTGGCCATAGCTGCTGTCTTATATCTGCTTGTGTGGTGACTTCAGTGGTGGTGGTCTCTCCCATTGGACAGAGTTGCCAGGGAAGCCATGTCTGTGTTGACTCCCCACTGCGTCTTCAGTGAAAGCCACAAAGCAAGCGCCCAATCATATTTGCTGAGTTAATGTCTAAGACTGGAAAAATCAACTGTTACAATAACAACTATGGGCATATGTGGCTTAACAACAAACATACATTATGAGATGTGCATCTTTAGGTGGTTTTGTCATTGTGTGATCATAGAGTGTACTCACACAAACCTACATGGTGTAGCCTACTACACACCTAGGCTACATGGGACCACCTATTGCTCTTAGGCTACAACCTATACAGCCTGTGACTGTACTGAATGATGTGGGCAACTGTAACACAAGGATGAGAATTTGTGTATTAACACATCTAAACATAGAAAAGGCACAGCAAAAATACCATACACTGTCGTACCTACTCTGTCGTTAACAGAAATATCATCATGCAGCACATAACTGTAGAATAGTCTGAAGATGCCATCCTCACAACTCAGTGATGTGATCATTCTTGCCCCTGCCTCGCAGTTGAGAAGTCTCACAATGATGAGACAGTATCCTTAGCCCAAGGTCACGTGCCCTTGACCCAAGTCTATCATCACCCTCGTTCCACAGCCTCCTGCCTGCCTGTGCACTGGGATGTAATATAATGCAGGGGGGCCCAAGACTTGTATTCAGTACCCATCTTTCTACTCATTTGCCTTTAGCGAAGTCTCTCCCCAGCTCATGTGCTAATCCACAGCCTAGGAAGCTAGACTGGAGTGGGGAGGGGTAGGGGTGAGGCTGGTGGCAGAGGCTGTCCACAGTCCTGTTTTGTTTGGTTAGGGTGTCATTTTAGTTGAATTTGAAAGCCCCAGAGTTAACAAGAGTGCTACAATTTCAAGCTGCTTGTACCACCCAATCTCCATTTTCAATTCTCAGGATCCAATTAAGCTTTAAAGCTACCTGCTTGGAGTTTGTAAGCTGTTGAGACTTGGACGAGCTGCCTCTGCACCCTAATTACTCAGGATTCCCAAACATTCTTGCTTCTTTCCTTCTCCCCACACTTCTCAATGAACCCAGTGTCTGCTAGGACCCAGGTCTGCAACCTCAGCAAGACCCATGTTACCATGTGATGTCTCACTTGCTGTGCCAGTACATGTAGTGGTTATTTGGAGTATTTTTAGGATAAGCGCTCAAAGAAGCGTGGAGACCCTCAGGAAAAAAGAAAAAAAAGACATCTACAACAATACCTTGCAGAATTCAGAGGAATTTGAACCATATGTTTCTACTTCTTTTACTGATTCTTTTACAAGTAAACCATTAAAATGCACTCCTCTAAGAGCTGTTTGATGTCCCAAGAGCTCCCAAATATTTTACGAGCAGTTTTCCTTAGAATCAAAAGGACGTGTATAACTTACCTAAGAGGGGTGGAAGGCCCCCAGATCCGAAGAATTTTTTGGTAACTCTTGAATTGTACACAACAAATTGCCTGCCTCTAACTCTTCATGTTGGATTAGATTTGTAGTTGTCATGGTGAAACCAGCCCAATTTGTTTTCTGGGAGCATTAGAAGGAATGTTCCTGGAAGGAACCAGGACTGCGGGAAAATTGCGAAGTCTGTAAACGTAGTTCTTCTGCTGCTGGGCCCCATTCTCTCAGCTGAAAGTTGCTATGGAGCAGGCAAAACGCAATTCAAGGCCAGCATGAATCATTTGCTTATCTCAAGGACTCCCTCTCATATTTTCTCTTACAAATGTGGTTTTTTACACATAAATGGCATTTCTTTTTCCATTCTAATCAACAGAGAATAATTATCTCACTTCTTCAAGCAGACGTGAGTCCAGCAGAAAGCCAAGACATTCTACATCTTCACAAGCCTGCTCTATCTTGTTGAGAGTCCATTTATGATTTCAACTTTGCCCATTCAAAACAGCTGTGATTCTCCCATCTCCAATTTATGGGACTCTTAACGGACATGTTTTCCCTCCATGATATTATTTTTTATTATGAAAAATAAATAAATACAATAGTAGGTGGAATATCTCAATTTGTACAGTGGTTTACTCTTTACAAGTTCCCCATGAATTATCTTACTTAATTCTTGCTTATTATTCTTACAAAATCCCTGGGACAACCTTCTCACCATCCCCATCCTCAGAGGT
Source organism: Homo sapiens (assembly GCF_000001405.40). NCBI lineage: Eukaryota > Metazoa > Chordata > Mammalia > Primates > Hominidae > Homo > Homo sapiens. Next base: position 44,787,197 of record NC_000010.11, read on the forward strand.
TAGTGACCCCCCAGGTGAGAAGTTTCATAAGGGCAAAGCTGACAGTCAGTTTTCTTGATAAAAAAATTAATGCACTTTCTGTTTTGGGGTTTTCAGGTGAAAAATACTTAACTGATTGTTGTAGCACAGTGAATCCACCCCAAGAATATTTGTGATTGAATTAGTGAGTGAGCAAGTGACCATTGGGCACTCAGGAAGCCAGGGAAGGGTGGGGAGCTACCTGAGACATAGGCTTCCAGCCAGCCTATTGTGAGGCCAGCCCAATGGCAGAACCAGCCTTTGGGCCAGTGGATAAGAACCCGTAGAGGCTAGAGAGACATTACAAGTAGGGCTGACCAGGTTCATCGTACTTCAAGAAAAATAAACTAGTTACATTAGGAGACTTCTAGAACTGTTAAATTATCCAGGGTAAAAAACATCCTTGGGTACCTGGTTCTTTTCATGGTGAAAGAGCTGTTGAGACAAAAGCCAGTGCTTTGCTGTAATTACTGGTTATCCAATACTTTGCAAAAGGCCTCGAAGTATGCAGTGTCAGGGTGATTCGACACGGACTGTAACTTAGGTCCTTTGTACAGTGTGATAATGAACATGGGTGCTGTCTCTGGCTCCAGCCACAGTCCTACCTTCCTCCATGCCCAGAGCACAGGCAGAGGGTGACTCAGTGGACTCAGACATTCCCCAGGTCCTTGAAGGTCTGGGAGTGTGTCCTTCCAGGCCCGGGGGCAAGTATTCCCATAGGGCAGTACTGAGCCCTTGACAGATGTTCCACCCGACCTAGCTGCAGCTGAATTGTCACCCAGCCTTTCCAGCCTAACCTCTCTCCACAAAGAAGGAGATGCATTCCAGGAGGTGAGGAGTTCTGCTTTCTGTCTGTCATTCATCAAAATTGCCCTAGTAACCTCCAGACACAGCCTGCTGAAATAGCTTCCTTGAAATTATTGTACAGAATGATGCTTTAGAAAAAATAGGAAGGACTTTTTGACATCCTTAACATGGTCACAGTCTCAGATTTATCAGGGGCCCAATATTATAGGCACTGTTTTGTCTGGTCATGGTTCACATCACACCCACCTCGTGGTCAGCCTGGCTTGGAAGGGAGTCTCGGATGCTCCATATTTGCCCAAGGCCTCAGCATTGAATCCCAAGCCTGCTCCATCTGGCACTGTGCTTTTCTACCAGACGCCCAATCTGTGGTCATCCAGCCTTAGAAAGTGTTCTTATGGAGGGCCTCACCTGTACCTTCCTACCTCACGCCACACACACACACACACACACATGCACACATACACAGACACACATGCACACATACACAGACACACACACAGGCACACATGCACACACACATACACACACAGACATGCACTCATACACACACATACACACAGACACATGCACACACACACACACACACACACACACACACACAACCTTGGAAGCTCTGTGGATGCATCCCCCATGAATCATTATGTTGATATCTGTTGCAGAGAGAGCGCTCACTGCCTCTTCCTGGCATCAGGTGCAGATCCCAGCTGCCAAGACCTCTTTCTCTCGGTCATGCTCCCTGGTGTTTCCCACCCCCACCCCACCATGACTGGGCCCCGCACTGTCCTGCACGAATGCTAATTACAAGTGTGAGAATCAGAGGGACCTGCCTTCCAATCACCTCTCCAATGCATAATTATCTGACAGACCTTGAGCAATTGCTTGGTCACCTGATCCTATTTTAACTTAACATGAAAACATCTTATCTTGAGGGATTATGGACAAGGGTTACATGAAACGATCCACACCAGAGCCTGACATTGTTGCACCTCCATGCATCATCTGTCCCTTGTTGTGTGGTCATCGTGACGTTGCACTTCCCTCCTGTCTCACCAGAAGGGAGTTTAAACGTCAGAACTGGGCTGCTCTGGTTTCTCACAAACAAGGCAATTCACTGGAGTGTTGAATCACGTCAGAACTTTCCAGACCCATGGAATCTGCTTCCCTGCCCAGGTCCTATCCCACAGAACCTGGGATGCACTCTCTGTCCTCACAGCAGGCCTCCTCAGCCCTGTCTGGCTGGAGGTCATGGCATCTTGGCCCCCTGGGTCCGGCCTCCCCAGTGTGGTTCGGTTCTTCCCAACCCACCCTCAGCACAGCACTGCCAGCTTTAACTCTCATGTCTGGGGACACAGAAAGGGTTATTTCTAAGAAGGCTGGAAAAGGGACTCCTACAGATGGTGTCCAAGACGAAGAAGACTATTGAATCCTGCTGATTTGATTAAACTCTGCCCATATATTCCCCGAGAAGTGACAGAGGAGGAAGCCTACCTTTAATTTACCAATTATTACTTACTATATCTCTAATTACCCGCTCCCCCATCCTCCCCTCTCTGTATCAGTGTGCTAGGGCTGTGTAACGAACACCAGGCTGAGTGGCTTACACACAGAAATTTGTGTTACACAGTTGTGGAGGATGGAAGTCCAAGATCAAGACGTTGCCAGGGCTGTTTTCCTGAAGCCTGTCTCCATGACTTGCAGAGGCTGTCTCCTCCCTGCAGCTTCACATCGTCTTCCCTCTACAACTGTCTGTCTCTGTGTCCATATTTCTCCTTTTCATGAGGACACCAGTTATATTGGATTAGGACCCACCCAACGACCTCATCTTTTTTTTTTTTCTTTTTTTTTTTTTTAATTATACTTTAAGTTCTGGGATACATGTGCAGAACGTGCATCTTAACTTAACAATGTAAACACATTATTTCTGAATAAGGTCACATTCTGAGGTGTTGGGGGTGAGGATTCCACCGTATCTCTTCTGGAGACACAGTGCAACCCAAAACACCACGCTCCCCACCGGAAAGGCTGATGCTGGCCCTGATGCTCACTTCCCCACCTACATTCTCCCTGATCTCCAGTCATTTCCCAGCTCCCAACCCTTTAATAGATCCTCAAAATGCCTCCTAATCAAAATTTTTAGTTTTAAAAACCACCTAGCCAGTGTTTGATGGGCTGAACCAATTCCCTGCATGACGACCCAGGGCAAAGCAGTGCTGGGATCTGATCTCTGGCTTGGGTGACTGGGAAGGAAGCCCAGGGCAAGTATGAGGGTGAAAGCCATGCTCAAACCTAGAAGGACTCAGGGGCACTGAGCTTGGCGGACACAGGGTGTGTCTAGAGAGGGTCTCAATGGGTCAGAAGTTATGTGGCTGGTAGCCAGAAAACACAAGACAGGGAGAGAGGTTGCACTGCAGCACGCAGGTCCTCTATTTCCCTGTGTGGTGAAATATCATGGTGCACCACACACACATGGATTTCTGGGTTCTGCAGCACGCTAAACACTTTTCTATAATGTGAATAAAAGACCCCAGAGCTATTGCCACTTCATCTTTTGCTCATGGTGCCAGAGCCACGGTGATATGGACAGGCCACCTGGCTGAGAAGATGGAGCTCACAGGTCCCTTCCCATGGCAGGATGGTGGCTTTCCTTTCCTCTGTAACTATGCAAACCATGTGCCTCAGTCCTCTGGGCTCCTCTGCCCTTGCTCCAGAAGGCTGGCCTCTTCTTCTGCTCTGTAGAGAACAGGGAAACCACTGGGAGGGAACTTCGTTAACTTCCTGACAGACTTTCCAACCTCTGTGTCCATCTCAGGCCTCCCATTCAGCTTCAAAACCCGTCCTCTACATCTTCTCAGAAACAATACCTTAATGAATATCCTTTCTCCCTCCTTATCTAAACCTCTTCCTCTCAACTGAATCTTTCCAATGCATTAGCCTGTGAGCACTCTCACATCTCTCTCTAAACTGCAACCAGAACCCCCACCCAGCAATTCCTCCCAAACGATCCATCTACCCCTCTCCATTTTTCATTTCCCACAATCAAATTTATTACATAGCACCTACCTTTGCTGTCTGTTCTCATTTCTTACAAGAAATATGACTAAATAGGAATTATTGTCTATGAGCGTGATGTCACAGAGGGAGACTTCTAGACCAATCTCAGCCTTCAGAACCTTGTCCAGAGAGAGGGGTCCTGGGTGGCCCTCCTCCTTCCCCCTTGCTCTCTTTCCAAATGTGATGTGATCCTGGCAAGGCCACACACTGGATGAAGCACAGAGGCCCCCAAGTCCTCTGTGGTGCTTGTGGACTCCTGTCTTTGATCTTGCTCTCCTACTCCTCACCATGGAGTAGCCCCGGCTACATTTTAGTTTAAAGGGAGGTGCTCTGTTCTGTGGGAAGCCAACAGTCGTGAATTGGCTTTCCTGAGCAATCCTGAGTGGGTTGGATGCTTCAGAATCCCCTGGACCCAGCAAAACTGATCAATCTACAGGGAAATTAAAAAGCCAGCATCCCCAGACAGAAACCCACACCTGAGGAGCATCAGGGTTTGGGGAGGTCTGGGAAACCAAGCCAAAGATGAACCCTTAGCCATGGCTGCATTTTCCAGTGGGAAGCCCCTTCCTCTGAAATGAGAGAAGAGGAAGTTGGAAGCTCATCCATGGACATGTGCCTGGTCCTGACTGACTTTGAGAAACACTGGAGAGAACAGACTCACCATGACTTTCCTATCCAGGCGAGCCCATAAGCCTATTTCTCTCAATATTCACTCAGATTCATTGCAGCTGGAGGTTTATGCTCCAAGTTAGGGCTTCAGAAAACAAATATCACAAGCATTTGCCCTGTTGTTCTTTTCTTTTCTTTATTCTTGAGTCTCACCCCCAGAAGCCCAGTATCAGCTCAGCAATAGAGACTTTAAAGCAGACTCACTCTTAAACCAGGCCAAAGGATGGATATTGGTCCCAGTTTTAAAGACCTTACCTGTTGCCTGCATGCCTCAGGCCTCCTATGTCCCCAGCCAAACCATGCAGCCCATAGTAGAATCCCTGGGGAAGGGAACACTATGTTTTAACTCTGAGTTTTCTTAAGGGCACAAAGTAACTTTACCCACGGTCTCCAGTGAAGTCCCACAAACCTTCTTGATTTTTCTTCTAGGCTTGATATTTCCAGCCCCTTAATCATTTCTGGGTCCATTCCCAAGGCTTCCCCTGGCTTCTCTCAATCTCTCCTAAAAGCCTTCCTTTTGCACTAAATAAAAGGCAAGTGAAACATTCCCTGGACCCAGAAGGCTCTGGCTTTGTATGGCCTGCAATTTTTCAAGATTGAAAAAATAATGATAATAAAAAGCCAAAAACTTTCTGTGAGAAATGAGTCACAGGCATTAAAGTAACTCCCCACGCAGTGATTTTGTCTCCATGGGCTTGATACTTTGAATCTGCTTTAGACATTTCATATACTGAGGAAAGGTCTGAAATGTTAATGCCTCTGGATCCTGCTATGGTTTACAGAAAGCACCTTTGCTTTCAAAAGCTTCTGTGTTAATCAAAGGTGATTAAAACCAGGTCCCTGCCGAGGGCGTTCTTTCACAGCTCTGAAGAAGTAAGGAAAAGCAGAGATGATTATCTGGCCAGCTCGTCAGAGATGTGCTCCTTTCTATAAAAATATACATGCTGACAAAACAAGGGCTGTGGATTTACAATTTGTCTGATTTGATCACCTTTCAGCACAGGAAAACCTGGCTTGTATATCCCATTAGAGGGGCTGCCATGAGATCTGTCCATGGAAGACAAGGCTCAGCCTGGGACTCAGGACCAGAGATCAAACTACAGTGTCATTTTGAATGTCATCTTCAAAATCCACCTTGAATGTTCCAGCCCCCCAGGCAGAAGTGGTCCCCCATTCTCTGTACTACTGCAACCCCTTGGTTGGCCTTTTTTCAGGATGGAGTCTGTTGTGATATATGTGTGTGTCCTAGACCGTGAGTTCCTTGTATCATCAGTTAAGAGTCCATGCAACCTTTTCAGATTTGCTACCCACTTCTCCCTGGACAGCCAGGAGGCTGCTCTTTGTTTTAAAGACACATGAAATGGAAAGAATCAGTATCTTCATTTCTGTATAAACACAGCCATACTCTTCCAGGCTATTAAAAAGGCAATTAATTGTAAGACAGATGCAAGGGGCACCTTTCTTCATGGGTAGGGCTCAATTAAAGAAGCCTTATGGAGCCAGAAGACTCATGGAAGCCAGAGAGGTGGGGATATGCTTATGGCCGCAGCTTCAGCTTTCTTATCACACTCACACTCTTTCCTGGAAAGACCTTAGGAAAGAATGTTTTCAACCCTATTAGAGATCAAAAACATGCAAATTAACATAACGAGATGCTATTTGCTTCCTATAAAATTAGCAAAAGTTTTTTTCAGAACAATGAACAATTGTGATGAGGCCAAGATCTGATGGTTATTCTCATACAGTACTTTGTGTGTGGCAGAGAGGGGGGTGCATGCATTGGTACACATTTTCCCAAAAGCAGGATGTTTTTGAGGAAAGTAGTCAGAGATATAAACAAAGATTATGCTTTAATATGTGTACTGAAGCTCTATTTTTAAAATATAAATTGAAAACAAACCCAAAGATGTAACTAGAGTGATGACATGTTAGTGTATGCTAAGCAATCCAGCAGTAACAAGTAAACGTCGAAATTTCGGTACTCAGCACACAAAGGTTCATTTCTCACTTAATGTCTGATGTAGTCTGGACATGTCTAAGCAGAGTTCTCCCAAGCAGTGATTCTTTAGATCCAGGCTGCTCCCAATCTGTGGTTCTGTCACCAACAGTTGCTGATGAGGGGACAGATACTCCAGGCACAGAAGTGGCATCCATAACTTCTGTCCACAACCATTGTCCAGAACTCAAAACTGCAGGGGAGATTTGGAAATGAAGGCTTACCAAGTGCTCAGAGAGAGGAAATGGTATGGAGAACCTGTGGCATTGACTCTACCACCAATGGCTGAGTGAAACATCACACGTTCATACAAGGCAGCATTGTGCAGCCATTAAAAGTATGATCCCGGCTGGGCGCGGTGGCTCACGCCTGTAATCCCAGCACCTTAGGAGGCCGAGGCGGGAGGATTACGAGGTCAGGAGATCAAGACCATCCTGGCTAACACAGCAAAACCCCATCTCTACTAAAAATACAAAAAATTAGCCGGGCGTGGTGGTGGGCACCTGTAGTCCCAGCTACTCAGGAGGCTGAGGCAGGCGAATGGCGTGAATCCGGGAGGCGGAGTTTGCAGCGAGCTGAGATCGCGCCACTGCACTCCAGCCTGGGTGACAGAGCGAGACTCCATCTCAAAAAAAAAAAAAAAAAGTATGATCCCAAAGAGTGTTTAATGATATGTAAACATCTTCACAACCTATCATGGCAAGAAAAACAGGAAGGTCATGATAAATAACTATAACTGTGCATTTTTGTTACAGTTCCAAAACTGTAACAAACATGCATATTGTTTCAAATTGTTCCCAAAACATGCAAACATGTATATGTGTATGTACACCCTTGACACCAGCATGTTCACTGGGCTATTTCTAGGTTGAAGTGAATTTTTCTTCTTCATTATTTACCAACTTTTTCCCCAATTTTTCTTTAATGAGCATATATCATTCTCCAAATAAAAAATAAGTAAAAGTTATTGGTTAAAGGTGTAGTTGATATGTATGCTACATATCACACATGTAACCAGTAATAACAATAAAGCATCTGTGAGGCAACTCCCAATTCCTAGACCAGGGCTGGGGGACTTTGCAAAGAACTCCTGCAGCTCCATGAGAAGGCCTGCTGAAGTGAGGCATTGTCATGATGAGAGTATTTGCACTGGGGACAGGAGAGTTTTAGAAAGAACTGATAGGATGGTATCCTGGCAAGAACACCAGCCTTGGAGGTGGAGGATGAGGGCTCTTTTCCACACTTTCACATTTATTATGGCCTCTCGGAGAGGGAACTTTACCTCTAAGTTTTTTCTCCAGGGTTGCCACGAATATATAAAAGTTTTCCCAAAATGCGTTCTGAAGGTATTCAGTGACAAAAGCATTCCATAATGTAGGGATAAGCTGGAATAAGTCATGCGGCAGACTACTGCAGGGCTTCCGAATGCACTAATGTGTTTCCAAAGTCTCCTAGAATCATATACACTATGAGCATTTTCCAAATTCCTTGACCAAGAAACCTTTACTTAGAAACATCTTATGGAGTCAGAAGTCTGCTACTAAGCACTACAGAAAATTGTTTCTTTACTGAGACACTTATATAATAAATATGTGTATCTATATCAGGTTCTGGGAGGGTTTGTCAATTCTGCATTGTTGAAGGGTATTTCATAGAACTAGGAGGTCACATGGCAGGGTCTCAGCTTGAGCCTGTGCTGTGTTTGCTCCATGATTCAGCCTTGGCACGTCTGGAGGATGACAGAGATGGGCTGTTGGGACTGTCTTCATAAAGCATCATGGATCCTCCTGGGATGAGCCTTGTCCTAAGGAAAAGATGGGGAAAATAAATAGGCTCAGGGTGATTCAGAAGACAACATGATATCTTTCACTAGGATTATCGTCTAGTCCCTGGAATCCACCTAAATCTTAGAACAAAGATTTGCAATAAAGCCATGTGCCAACTGAATGGGAGGAGACATGGTAAGCAGGAGGCATGAGCGACATTGATTCCAGCTGTTTCACATGGTGGGACAGATCACAGGCATCAGGAGAGACAGGGAAGAGCAGATACTACACAGTGGCCCAGAAAATGCATGAGTCACACCTGGGGCTCCCAGACTGTAAGGGAGTGGATGGAGGAGGATAGGAACTTCTGTATAATGGGAAAGAGCAGAACCTTGGACACATGGTTTTCTGACTCTCTTCATCACTTACAGCCACCTCTGCTGGGGTGGCTCTAGGAACACAGTGAGAGTCAGAGAGAGTCAGAAGAAAGAACTCTTCTCTTTCTCTTCATATGTTCTTAAGTATAACATATGGAAACGTCTAGTATAGCATCTGGAACACAACAGCTATAAAATAAAATGACTGCCGGGACCTGGCAGCAACATGAGCACAGCGGAGGGGATGGGGTGGGGGGAGATTGTGGCAAATTGAAAGGCATTTGTGCTCTTCTGAAAGAAAGCATGGACTCACCTCTAGCAAATTGCTGTTATGCAATAATTTGGGCCCATTGATGTCAGGTCTTCCAATTGTTCAAGAAATTCAGAAATTTGATTTTTTTAATGAAAGTGTATCTGTGGCCTGAATTTCATCAGTTTCCTCTGTGAGTTTCTACTTGCTTGGCCAAACACCCAGAGTTATGTTTGACTTTTCTGTTTCACACGCCACAAAGTCCATCAGCAGAGGCTTCCATTTTCTATTTCCAAACGCTTCCCAAACCTGACCACTCATTGTCGCTTGTACCCTGGTCCAATCCTGTCACCTCTCCCAGGATTTCTGCAGTAACCTCCTCCCTGGTGTCTTTGATTCCACACTTGGCCCCGTAAACTCTACACTCTACAGAACCCCAGACTAAACTTAATACAAAAAATGGGTCACATCACCTGTTACACAAAAGTCTCAGTGGTTTCTCATTAGATGCACAAAGTCAATGTACTTACAGCTTTCATTAAGGTCTCCATCTCAGTCTGCCCTCCCTACTCCACCCCAGGTACCCATCCCACCACCTCCCTCACTCATTTTCTACCACTCTGCTCCTTGCACACTTTGCTTCAGCCAATGGTCTCCTTCCTGAACCTCTGACACCCCAGGAATGCCCCAGCCATCCACGGGGCTTCCTCCCCCACCTCCTTCAGATCCTTGCTCAATGCCCTTTTCTCAGTGAGGAGTTCTCTGAGCAACCTATTTAAAGCTTCAGCCTCCTCCAACCTCCTCCATATCTCCTTTCCTGACTTGCTTTTCTCTTAACACTTATCATCGCCTGATATACTTTACATTTATCTAATTTATTTCTTTATACTGTGACTCCTAAAAATAAGAATGCCACCTATAGTTCCAGGTACCTAGGAACTGAGGCAGAAGGATAGCTTGAGCCCAGGATTTTGAGATCAGCCTGGGCAACATAGCAAGAACCTATCTCTAAAATAAAATAAATTCTTGAGGGGAATATTGAGGCATAGAAAGGCTAAGCAAGTGTTCAGAGTTCGATGGGACACACATAAGGTTCATCTTCCCATGTCCTGACCTAATTTGAATGAATATCTGAACTTGTGAGGCCTTTCAGGATATGTTTCTGCTTCAGAAATAAATAAATAAATGATTTCCACAACTCTTTGCTTTTCTGCACCAACTAGGGCTAAAACATAAGGGGACTTTAGAAGCTAATAGTAAGGATGGACAAGTCCCAGGTGGAGACAATTAACCCAAAATCCTGTCAGTCCAGGTGGCTCCAGGCCAAGGCACTTCATCTTCATTCACCAAAATAGTATGATGGATAAGGAGGGCCTTTGCCCAAAATACAGACAGTTGAGATGCTTTGAGATTCTAGGTCATGCCCTCATGTCACCTTTTAAGAAGAACCAGCTGAAGACTAGAGGAACTTCTTTGAAATTATTTTCCCTACCCAAAGTGGACTCTCCAGGCCCCCTTTGGGCTGTGGCCAGTGGATTCATTTAATGTGGAACAGAATCAGATGATGACAATGTGAGGCTTTAGGGCTGTAACTTCCTTGGGATTGTCATCTTGCCCAGAGAAGACAGCTGCATTCAGATAGCTCTAAAGTCAGTGTGATCCCTACCTCTGGGTCCTACCTCTACAACTTAGTTTTCTGATGCTCTTTTAGAGAAGTATAAGCATGTAAACTTGCTCCAAAGAACAGATTGAGAAGCCACAGCTTTTGTGTTCCCACTGAATACCCTCCCAGAACCTCAAAATATGGACAGAGGATCAATGGAGCTCTATGCTTAGTAGCTGTGGGCCACCTAGGAGGCCACTCAAAGTGCAATCAGGAAGCATAATAGATCATCCAAGTTAAAGGCTTTGGGGCACAGGGAAGAAAGATAAAATTTTACTTGATTAAATCAGCAAACTAAAAAAGAAAAGGTAATCACTGCAAAGCACAAAGGTAGTAAACAAAATGGAAGAAATTCATTGTTTTGTAGCAGGATTTGAAGTCATTGTGAATGGGCTGAATTTCCTCACTCAAAAGTAAAGAAATTCAGTTAGGGTAAAAGCAAAGCTGAGCAGTAAACTATTTTAAAAAAAAACACACACATTAAAAACAAAATGATAGAGGCTCCACCAAGGGGAAGTAGCTGTATATATTAAACTATTCCTCCTGTTGAGTATAGTTAAAAATCTGGACTTTATTTTTTAAAAAATTAGAAGAGTGAAAAGTAAATAGAAAAAAAAGCAGACCAATTAGGGACCTCAGAATCCAACAAATGATATAATGGTGAGTTCTGTGAATTTTCTTCTGGCCTCATATATTCCAGACTAGGTATTAGAGAAGCTAATGACCCAGAAATGCCAACAGATATAGGCAAAAATAGCACTCCCCTACCCTCCACAAGAGAAAGCTGTTTACTTTAGCCAAAGGACCAGGAATTGTATAGCCTCACAAGACAGAAAAGTTTTAGATAATAACCATTTTACTCCAGCAGAACACCACAGGAAAAAACCTGCAGCCCCACTTTTATCCCACCAGCAAAGGCTGAGTGGAAAGCCTGCACTTCCAGTCTTGCCAGAGAGTAAAGGGACTCCCTCAAACCTGCCCAAGTTTTCCCAAGCCAAGAAGACTAAGTGTGGAGGCTGGAATCTCATCTTTGCTGAGCAGTAATGAGTTCCTTCCCACCTCCCACAGTGTCTCTGGACACCTTGTCAAGAGCCTCAACTTCAATGCTCTCCCAGGAGTAAAGAGACACCCTTTCCACCCATGGCTAAGATGTCATCAGAGGAGACCTGCTAAAACACAAGATTTCATCACTATCCAAAGTCTTGCAGCATAATAGCTAGTGTCCAGGATTCAATTAAATATCTGAGGATCCAAGAAGATCTCAATTTGAATGAGAAAAGACAATCAACAGATGACAACATCAAGATGACACAGATGTTGGAAATTTCCGACAAGGATTTCAGAGCAGGCACCTCAAAAATGTTTCAAGGAGCAATGATGAAGATGTCTGGAAAAGAATAGAAAATTATAGCAAAGAGGCTGGGTGTGGTGGCTCACCCCTGTAATCCCGGCACTTTGGGAGGCCAAGGTGGACGGATCACAAGGTCAGGAGTTCAAGACCAGCCTGGCCAATATGGTGAAACCCCGTCTCTACTAAAAATGCAGAAAAATTAGCCAGGCATGGTGGTGCATGCCTGTAATCCCAGCTACTTGGGAGGCTGAGGCAGGAGGATTGCTTGAATCCAGGAGGCAGAGGTTGCATTGAGCCAAGATCTCACCACTGCAATCCAGCCTGGGCTACAGAGCAAGACTGTCCCCCCTCCCCCCAAAAAAAGAAACGAAAATTATAACAAAGAAATAAAAAACATAAGAACAAAATAGGAATTTTAGAATTAAAAAATGCAAAAGCAGAAAGAAAAACTCAATGGATGAATTCAACAGCAGAATGAAGAAAACAGAGGAAAGAATCTGTAAACTTGAAAATAAAATAGAATATACCCAATAAAAGAAAGAACAACAGAAAGAAGAGACATTAAATATATATATTTATATTTAACGTATATATATACCTGATGTCTTTTATGTATAAACTTAGGGGCATGTGGAACTATAACTAAGGGTCTAACATTTGTGTCACCGAAGTCCCCAAAGGAAAGGAGAACAGGAGTGGGGGCTGAAAAAGTATTCAAAATATAATGTCAGAAAATTTACAAATTTGGAAAATATATAAATTTACGTATTCAAGAGGCTGAGCAAACCGTAAACAGAATAAAACCAAAGAAATTTATACTAAAATACATCATAGTCAAATTTCTGGAAACTAAAGACAAGGAAAAATTTTTGAAAGTAGTCAGAGGGAAAGAATAACTTAACCACAGGGTAAAAACATCTCAAAGAACAGAAGATTTTTCTTCAGAAACCACGGGGGCAAGAAGGAAGAGGAACATTTTTCAAGTGCTGAAAGAAAAGAGCTGTCAGCTCAGAATTCTACATCCAGTGAAAAATATCATTCAGGGGATAAGGGGAAATCAAGACATTCTCTGATGAAGTAAAACCAAGATAATCTGTCACCAGCAGACCTACTGTAAAAGAATGTCTGAAGGAAGTTCATTAAACAGAAAAGAATTCATAAAAGAAGGACACAGGAACATCAGGAAGAAAGAATGACAGAAAAAGCAAAAATACGGGTAAATATTTTTTTACCACAGACTTCACTCCTCTTGAATTTCCAAATGTATGTTTGACCGCTGGAGCAAAACTTGTAATAATGTCTGTATAGCTCCCAACACATGTAGAGGAAATATTTAAGATGATTGTATTAAGAATGGGGGAGGGTAAAGGGGCATAAGAATAGGTAAGTGTTCTAACTCACTCAGGCTGCTACAATGCCAACCCAAATGGACTGTGATAAGATATGTACATATAATTTACCTAAGCAATCACTAAAATAAATGCAAGGAGATATATCAGAAAACACTAAAGATAAGTCAAAATGGAATTCTAAAAATATTCAAGTCACCCACAGGAAGTGAATAAAAAGAAAACATGAAGATAAACAATCAGAATAATCAGAAAATGAAAAATGAAATGGTAGATAACCTCAACATTATATTATATTGATCGAATAATAGATCAATAACTATTGTGCATGTAAATGGTCTAAATATACCAAATGAAAAGCAGAAACAGAAATTGACAGGGTGAATTAAATCAAAAATATGACCCAACTATACACAGTCTAAAAAACAAACAGACAAAAATACTTCAGATATAACTATTAAAAGAAAAACCTTAGATAAATTAAATTTAACAGTTTAATTGAGCAAAAAAAAATGATTCATGGATAGGGGACCACTGAGGACTAGAAGTTTAGAAATAAAGAACAACTACAAAATATCCATAGCTATTATACTTAACAGTGAAAGGACAAGTGCTTGCACCTAAGCTCTAGAACAAGAAAAGGATGTCCACTCTCACCACTATCATTCAGCACAGTACTGGAAAATCCAGCCAGCACAATGAGGAATGAAAAGAAAGTAAAAGGCACATAGGATGGAAAGAAAAACTTTCAATACTGGGAGATGACATAATAGTCTACATAGAAAGTTCTGAGAAATTTTTCAAACAAACAAACCTAGAATAAGTAAGTTCAGCAAGGTCACAGGATAAAAGATCAATACACAAAAATAAATATGTATACATATGTACACACGTGTATATGTGTGTATGTGTGAGAGAGAGAGAGAGTGCTCTATATATGTTTTAAAATATAAAGGTTGGTTCTAGAATACTAACGATGTTAAAATAATTAAATGGGGAGGCCATTAGACTGAGGTGGCTCCAATGCCCTTTGTTCCTACATAAACAAACCCCTGAAACCCAACTCAGACTCATTTCCTATATATGACTAATTTTTTAAAAATTAAACTTAAGCTCAGCCCACCACCAGCCAACTGGACATTATTAGTTATATCACTTTGAACTTCCCACCTACATAGTCCAAATGAGGCCATTGTTCAAATTTTAACCAATTAATTTATTTGCTCTGCTTCCATATTCACCCTTTTAAAGCTTTTCATCTACCTCTGGGGAGTTCCAAACCACTCTAGTTTGGAGCTGCCCAATTCATGAATTACTGCTTAAATAAACTCCGAAATTTCAGTGCATCAAAGCTTATTTTTTTTAACAATGGAGATTGTCTTAAAATAGTGGAAATTCAGGTGATGAATTTTCTTTATAGAAAATCAGAACCAGGTCTCTCAGGTTGTCCCTGTGTCCTCTGGACAGTGGCACCTGCAGTTGTCCAACATGGGAGGGCAATACTCCCTGGACAGGAAGCACAGTCTTCTATTAGGGCCACTTGAATGACACTGAACTTGACACTGAGAACTTGTCTCTGAGAAATGACGCATTTTATTTTCCCACAGCTGGGGCCATGCCAGAGGCATTCATGCTGCGCTTTCTAAATACCTCAAAGACAGGCTGGGGCTGCAGCCAAGTCAGGCAATGAGCTGGCTGGGTGCCAGTCTCCCTGGGGTGATCCTGAGGCCTCTGGCTGAGTGCTCAGAGCCGGGTGTCTCCTGTGGCCCAGAATAAGGGAGGCACAATGGCCTTCCCACCTGTGCACCATCAGAACCAGGGGTTATGCAGAGGCTGAGTAAAAGAGGGTAATGACATGGCAGCCGAGATCCAGTCCCCTTTAAACTTAGAAGAAAATCCAAGCATCTTTCCACAGGCCCCTGAGGTCCAGCCTCCACCCAGAGGCCTCCAGTGACACAATATGGACATTACTTAAATTATGTGGTCAATCAAACATTTATGTATCAAACCAGGCTCAACGGAGTGCAAACATCCCACAGACAATCTATAGATTCTATTGGGAGGCTATAGTCAACTTATCAAGAAAATTGGCTGCAGGCACACACATGGAACTGTCCTGGAAGGGAAATCAGGGTTTGAGATGCACAGTCAGGGGACTGGAGGTTTCTTCCCCAAAGCATGACCACCAGGAAATCAGAATCAGCCAGTCCCTCAGAATCAGGAACAAGATCATTGCATGAGAGGAGAAATAAGACAGTACCCATAAGAGAAAGTCCAGTTCCGAATCTGAACCCTGAGTTCGTTTGGTTGTAAATCCCTTCAGGGATGTGCGTGTGTGTGTGTGTGTGTGTGTGTGTGTGCATGTTTGTTTGTGCATGCATGTGTGTACTATATGGAAATATAATTTTTGTGACTCATGTTTTCACTCAATAGTAAATTTTGATCAACTTCCCTCATCCATACAAACTTAGCTCATCCTGCCTCAGCTGCCAGAAGAATTAGGGTTTCACTGCAGGGCCGAGTAATTGGGGTTGGTGTTTCCTGGGTGTATTGTGCAGCTCTGCGCCAGCTGAGACACCCTGTGCTTCTGCCCACTGGTATTCAGAGCCTACAGGCACATCTTCCTTTTCCCTGGCTTGCAGGCTGAGCCAAGTGAAGCTTGGGCAGCGTCTTAGTGTGGTCCTCCAAATCATTCCCTCCAACTTGCTTCCTACCTGGCCTCAGCGCTCCCAGCCCTACTATTCCAAGCTGGGGTGGTTCACACTCTCTGGGGAAGCCCATCCATTTCTATCCCATCTCAGTGCTGAATCCTGGAAACCACTGGTTCCAATGCCATTGACTTCCTTTCATCAAAAATTTCCTTTATGCCTCAGACTATTTATGCCACCATTTTCCACTTTTCAACCCTTTTGCAGATTTTCAATTGATTCCTTTCAAAGGTAAACACACATGGACTCAGCATCAGGAAACTGGAAAATGGGTGCTCTTAAGGCAAGATGGGCAGACAGAACAGCTTGTTCTTGTTCAGACTCAAACCCAGGAAGGGCCACGATGTGACCCAAGAACCTTGAGAACTTTGGTAGCAGAGGGAGCAGAGGTGAGAGGTGAAAATGCTCATTCCATAAGCATTCGCAGAGTGCTCATTTGACACCAGGCCTCTATCAAGTGGCAGGAGACAAGATGAAGGGACCTCAAGTGCCAGAAGATGCAGGACTTGGCCCACATGGCGATTCCTCTGGGGGAGTTAGGGTGTTCTGGAACTGCATTGAGTGGCCCTAGCCACATGACAATCATGCCCCTGTTTGGGGTTGCAGCACCTCTGGCAGTAGGTGCCACCCTGGCCAGTTTCACAGGGTAAGAGAGGCAGCTACAGAGATGAAGAGCTTGGCCAAAAGAAAGAGCTCAGACAAGGATGAAATTCCCGCAAAACTCAGTTTTTAAATAGAGTTATCAGATCAGAAATCCAACCAGTGAGCAATTAGGAGGGAGGAGGTGTGTAAAGTAAGAAAGTGCTGTGCTCAGCACTTTTTGGATGGGTGAGAGTTATGGCTGTTGTTCTTTTAGTGCCTGGAAAGTGTTATTAATAGCTATGGGAAAGGGATTTTCCCATCTGTTCTTTCAAACACACACATGCATACTTTAACGTTATCTTGTATTTTCAGATGCTTCTAAAATCTACAGTCAATGAGTTACTTGTATGGAGAGGTTAAACATGCCAAGGTTTCACCAGCCATGAGCTTCACCAGCAGTGGGGAGAGGGGAGTCTGGAAAGCCGGGAGATTATTCCTTGTTTCTCAGCCAGGCTCATCTTCGGGCTCTGCAGGGGCAGCCTTACTTTACAGTCAGTCTTGGGAGGAGTGTTCTCCAAGGGAGGGTAAGGATAGCCAGGTTTAAAGAGCAAGGAAAGGGAGACAAAAGGCAAGCCCAGAGGCAGGTGCCAGTGGCTGTTGTAGCAAGTCCCTTTGCCTCTTCTTCAGGCCATTTTCACTGCCACTTGTGTCAGCTCTGGAAGACCACAGGAGCTTCCAGGTGGTCCTAGCCCCAGACTCTAATTTTGCTTGAAATCCACTAATTCAGATTCTCCAATGGCTGTGCCCTTCCTGGCATGGCCCACCTCCTCTGCACTTTCCCCCTGGAGTAAATGTACAGGAATGGGAGAGCTAGCCAGAGAGGTGACCAGAAGGTCAGAGATTCACTTTTGTTTCCATCCAAATCATAGATGTGTAAAATCAGAACTTTCTCATTTAGGGCCCCACATCCACAGGTGCTTCCTTGGTGAAAAAAAATCAATCTGGGAGATATTTTAGAATTCCAGAGTCATGATCTTTTCCACCCACACAAGATGAATTCTTGTCCTGCAAATGATCAAAGGAAATCTGGTTATAAACAATGCTGCTGCATGAACATGACTGGGAGGAAAAAATGGAGAAGAGATGCTTTCACACCCAGGAGCTGCCTTGCATGTCGGGGGCATTTGCAGCAGGATTTACAACAGAATTACACCATTATTGATCCATTAATCTATTTCCTTTTCATTCAGTAGCTATTTCCTGACCACACTGGACACAGAAGGCTAAGGAAAGAATCTAATTAATTCATTTAACAAAAGTGTATTGGGCACCTACTATGTCCCAGGCTCCATGCTAGGGCTGGGGAGCAATGGTGAGAAAGACTTCTCTCCTCCCCTCACTGAGCCAGCATTCTGCCTGGGAAGACAGACAATGGGCCAGTCAACACATGACCAGGCAACGTAGTAACAGGGCAATGAGGTAGACATGACCTGGGAGAGGCTACTTCAGAAAGTAGCATCTGAAGGTTAAGAAGGAAGCCATCACATAAGGACCCAGGACAAGGCTTTCACGCCTAGGGCACCTAGGGGACAATGCAGAGCTCCCAGGTCGGAGGGGCCTGTGCTCACCAGAGGGGGACTGGCTGGGGATCCAGCAGGGGAAAGGTGCTCAGCCTGAGACTGGGAAGCAGGAGTGACAGGTGTGTGGGGAATGGCAGGCGTGGGAAGCTACTGTAGGTGCCATGAGTGGTGTTCTAGGGCCTTGAACAGGGAGATGGATGGAATTACTTCTTGGAGGATCATGCTGCTGTTATGCAGTGAATAAAGTGAGAAAGGGAAAGCAAGCAGAGAGAGCACTGCAGAGGCCATGGAGGAGGGGAGGTGGGGAGGAAGTATCGCTGTGACACAGCCATGGCAGTAAGAGCAGCCATGCATGGTGGAGTATGAGGTGTGTTTGGATCTGACTGTGAACTCTTTGTGGACAGGGAGTGATAGAGATTTGAGCCAATTGCTTAGGTTATTGGATTGAGCAAGTAAAGGATGGTGGTGACCCTTTCTGAGATGAGGATATCAGAAGAATCAGGCTGTAAGGCAGGGAAGGAGGGATGTCAGTCCCTGCCCTGCCAGAGCGCAGGTTCTGTGGACGACACAGTTGTGGAATGTGAGTCAGGTGCCAGATGGCCTTGGTGCTGAGTGTGAACTGATAGGAGCCTATGAAGGGACCACAGTTTATTTCCTTCCTCCCGCTCTGGTTCATTTGGACCCCACTGAAGACTGGGGAGGTTTCTGCAGCCAACATCAATAAAGTGGTGACAGAGAGCACCAATTGCAATCCAAAATCCTACTGCTGAGGATTCATCACGAGCTTATTCATATGGCCAAAGAGAAACTGCAAGAGCAAAGGCTGTGTGCCTGGAGAATTCACACATTTCCCATTACTTTCCAGCAGGGAGTGGAGGACACATATACAGACCTCCCCTAAGTTAGTCAAGTAAGAGACCCAGCAGCAGTATAACAGTTCATGACAAGAAGGGGGATTGGAAAGAAAGGTAACTGTTTTCCAGGAGAAGGTGGGGCTGTCCATGCCACTCCTGGAAGATGTGGCTACAGACTCAGAGATAATGATGCTTCTAGTTCCCACAGTCAGTATATGAACCCAGCTGAGGATCAGAAGGACTCTGTGTGGTGAATGCACCACCATGTTTTGCAGAAAGCATAGTGTTTCCAAGGAAATCTCAGGAAAATTACAAAATCTGTAACTTTAGCAACAGTTGGAGCTTCATTTGCTGGGGCAAAGGAAAAAAATTATAAATATTATCAGTGTCACTAACATGAGTTTACTACACCTCTTCCACCTCCAAAGGCACTTTTTTCTGAATTCTTACCAAAAACCCATGTCCTGGTAATACAGCAGCCTTACACTTCCCTACACATGGCACTCCTGGGAGACTCAACCTGCAACTCCATCGTGTGAGAGTGGGATGTGCTTGAAGTCTTTCATCAAGGAAAAAATGTAAATTGGTATCCATCTGGTCAGATGATGAAACTGTTTTGTGTCCAAAATGTTAACAATAAAGTTCACTTCTTTGTAAACGATGATTTTATAAAATTGCAAGTAAATTGTCTTTGCAGAAAATTAATTGTGGGTTATCACTTGGACTCCAGTCACACAAGGGGGCTGTCTATGTTTCAGGGAGTGAGGGTGTACTTTCATTTGTTGTATTATACTCATACCCCAACTTTTTTGGACCTCATGCAGCTTTAGCCAACAGCAGTTTCTCTAAGCCGATGAGGTTACAACGCTGTGGAATGAAAAAGCCACTGCTGGCTTGTAATAGCGAGAACAGATGTTGACAAGAGAAGAACTTCCTGCTATGGGGAACAAAGGCTGCATTGCACTGCAACAAATGGAGAAAGTGCTGTCATTTGTTCAATTACTAAAACATAGCCCCATTTATGATATAATTTGGAATTCTGGTTCTACTGAGTTTTATGCTATTTATGGTTTTATGCCTGCCAAAGCTATGATTTTCAACTTGAAATGTGATCTTGTGTTTGACCTTGGAACTGGTGCTCTAAGGCAGCCTATTCGGTCCTTGTGGCCATATATTAATACTAACTGGATTTGGAAATCTGAGGAACAAACGTGAGTGTGGGATATTAAAAGCTACAAACTTATTTCCAAACAAGTATCCTCTGATCATACATATTTTGCTAGGTACCTAGATGGGAGCACCTTTTACTATCACACATGCTCCCAGGTTGTGTGTTAATAATGGATACAAGCTTTGACATTATACCAGCCCTATCCTGCATGAGTAAGATGTGTCACCAAATGTAGAAATATGGCAGGCTTCTTGGCAGACATTTCTGGATGAACTATTTCCAGCAAAAGCAGTAACTTATCAAGCAGTTCCAAGTGAAGTACCCAACTAGGAACCTAAATTTGCAATGACTGATAGACTCCCAGCTTTAAGAAATAAAACAATCACCAATTCTAAGCTGTATGAAGAGAAATCACCCCAGAATAAGAAATCCCAACCAGGAAATGATAAACCATTAACAAAAGCAGCCCTGAAAAATCAAAGGAAATATAAAGCTAAGAAAGCTACAAAGCAGGAAGTAAGAAGTGACAAGAGTCCAGATTTGACACCTACCCCTGTCCCCCAGAGCACACCCTGAAATACAGTGTCTCAGTTAACATCTGGAAACCCTGAGATAGATGAAAAATTCAAGAACCTAAAAAGCCAAAAGCAACTGACTCTCAGTTAACATCTGGAAATCCTGAGATAGACGAAAAATTCAAGAACCTAAAAAGCCAAAAGCAGCTGAACCTTGAAAGAACACAGCAACTGAAACACAGCTAGAAAAACAGTGAGTTAGAAAAATAAAAGATAGTTCCCTTCTCCAAGAGCTGGAAGATTTGAAAATGGTTACTTAAAGATTCACAGAGAGCAGATTTATTAGTATAAATCCATAGAAACACATCTGGGTTAAATCCAGGAGAGCACCCTGAATATCCATGTACCCACACTTAATGCTCAAACATTATATTAACCATTTACCTAAGCTTTTGCACATTTGGGAAATTATGTATTAATGACCACTAAGTTAACATCTTTCAATGCAAGTTATAGAAAAGACACATACAAATTTCTTAGGTAAGTTTGATAGACTAAAAGAGGAATATCAATGACATTCAGTAGAGACCAGTATTTACCATATAAATGAATATGGGTATTTTAAACTAAAACAAATAAATGTAACTCACTAGACTGTAATCCAAAAGAAGTCGATGAAAACAAGGCGAACAAAAGTTTGTTTCTGTAACTTTAGAATGAATATATGTTTCTTTCTCTTCAATCTATATTCACTCACTGATATGCTTTGGATGTTCATCGCTTCCAAATCTCATGTCGAAATGTGATCCCCAGTGTTGGAGGTGGGGCCTAATGGAAGGTGTTTGGATCATGGGGGTAGATCCCTCATTAATGGCTTGGTGCTGTTCTCATGATAGTGAGTGAGTTCTCACAAGACCGGGTTGTTTCCACCGTGAGTGGAAGCTTCTGAGGCCTCAACAGAAGCAGATGTCAGCACTGCACTTCTTGTACTATCTTCAGAATCATAAGCCAATTAAAAGTGTGTGGCATGTCCCCCTGCCCTCTTGCTCCCACTGTCACCATGTGACATGCATGCTCCCCCATTCACCTTCCACCATGATTGTAAGCTTCCTGAGGCCCTCACCAAAAGCAGATGCCAGCACCACACTTCCTGTACTCTCTGTAGAACTATGAGCCAATTAAACTTCTTCTTTTCTTTATAAATTGCCCAGCCTCAGGTATTTCTTTACAGCAATGCAAAAATGGCCTAATACAGAAAATTGGTACTGGGGAGTAGGGCACTGCTATAAAGATACCTGAAAATGTGGAAGCAACTTTAGAACTAGATAACTGACAGAGGTGGGAAGAGTTTGGAGGGCTCAGAGGAAGACAAGAAGATAAGGGAAAGTTTGGAACTTCTTGGAGACTAATTAAATGGTTGTGACCAAAATAGTGATAGAAATATGGATAGTGAAGGCTAGGCTGATAAGGTATCAGATGGAAATGAGGAATTTATTGGGAACTGGAGCAAAGGTCACCCATGTTACACTCTCCCAAATAATTTGGTGGTATTGTATTCATGTCCTAAGGATCTAGGGAAGCCCGATCTTAAGAGTGATGACTTGGGGTATTTGGCAGAAGAAATTTCTAAGCAACAAAGTGTTCAAGAAGTGACCTGGCTGCTTCCAACAACCTATAATCAGATAAGGGAGCAAAGGAATGACTTAAAGTTGGAATTTATATTTAAGAGGGAAGCAGAGCATAAAAGTTTAGAAAATTTGCAGCCTGGCCATGTAGCAGAGAATTTAACCAGGCTGCAGAGAAACCACTTGCTAGAGAGATTAGCATGACTACAACAGAGCCAAGTGCTAATATCCAAGACAATGGGGAAAAGACCTCAAAGGCATTTCAGAGATCTTGAAAGCAGTACTCCCCATTATAGGCCCAGAAGCCTAGGAGGAAAACAATGGTTTCAGGAGCCAGACCTGGGACACCACTGCCCTCCACAGGCTTGGGATGCTGCTCCCTGCATCCTGCCTGCTCCAGCTCCAGCTGCAGCTCAAAAGTCCCCAGGTATAGCTCAGGCCACCACTCCAGAGGCTGCAATCCATATGCCTTGGTGGCTTATGTGGTGTTAAACCTGAAGGTGCACATAATGCAAGAATGAAGGAGGCTTGACAACTTCTACCTAGATATTAAAGGCTATATGAGAAAGCCTGGGTGCCCAGTTAGAGGCCTGCTGCAGGGGCAGAGCCCCCACAGAGAACCTCTACTAGGGCAATGCTGAAGGGAAATGTGGGGTTGGAGTCCACATGCCAAGTCCCCACTGGGGCACTGCCTAGTGATGAGCTTCAGATGAGACTTAGTACTTTTAGCTTGATGCTGGAATGAGTTAAGACAGAAGAGTTGGCAGCGGGGGGATCGTATTTTGCAATGTGAGAAGAACATGAGATTTAAGTGGCCAGGGGAGGAGTTATAGAGTTTGGATGTTTGTCCCCTTCAAATCTCAAGTTGAAATGTAATACCCAATGTTGGAGGTAGGACCTAGTGGGAGGTTTCTGGGTCATGGGACAGATCCCTCATGAAGTCCTTGGTGCTGTCCTCTTGATAATAAGTGAATTCTCACAAACTCTGGTTGTTTAAGTGTGTGACACCTCTTCCCTCTCTCTCTTGCTCCCACTCTCACCATGTGAGATGCCTGCTCCCCCTTCACCTTCCACAATGAGTGGAAGCTTCCGAGGCCTCACCAGAAGCAGATGCCAGCACCACACTTCTTTTCCTATCTTCAGAACCATAAGCCAATTAAACCTCTTTTATTTGTCAATTACCCAGTCTCACATAGTTCCTTACAGCTGTTCAAAATGGCTTAATACACTCACCGAATTGCTCGGCATAAACTGAAGCAGTAAATTTGGGGAAAACTGAATTTCTTTCTAGTCTACTACCTTAGGAAGGCCTTAAAATTCCATTAGTGAATTTTTAAGCCAGGATTCAGGCCTTGCTCTATTCAATGAGTGTGTATATTTGAGGAGCCTCAGAAGAGTCTGAATACGCAGTCAAGTGTTGTCATTCTCCTCAAAAGAGGAATTCGGGCAATCTCTTTGATGGAACAGTCAATGATGGAGCTGGACACACAATTCTGGTGTGCTGAGCCACTCATTTATTTATGCATACTTATTTTGTGTTTCCTGCAAGCTAATCTTTGTGTAAATATAGCCAAGATATCATGAAAATTCCCATGTGGAGTCTGTTTGGAAGGACATTAGTAATACATTTGAAAGTTTCCAGCAGATAAAGTACCAGAATGAGAAAAAAAAGAATACTAAGTGACAAGAAAGGCATCCAGAGGGTAGAGGCTCCATTCAGCTGCTGACCTGTGGTTCCACTGTGGAGAGCACGTGAGAAGTCCCATTTCCTGCAGCTCTCTCTAAGGCCGCAGTGGCTGACACAGAGCTGCTCTGCAGCAGCAGGTCTCTCTCTGGGCAGCGTCCAGCAGAGGCAGTTGATGGCTGCAGATTGTGGAGAGGGCACTATCTGCCTGGAGAGTGGTAGGTCTGCTGTGGATTTTCTCTGCTTTTAGTTTTATTTTGAATACAGATTTGAATTGTGGACAGTGTTGCAGGACATGGAATCTCTCTCTTAAGCTTTTTACCTAGCCAATTCTAGGTCTGATCACAATCCACACCTGGTTCTGGAGAATGACACCACTTTCCTCCTGTGGAGAGGCAGGATGCTGTAATCAAACTGCAGTATGTGGGAGGCAGACTGTGACTTGGGGAGCATGTTCCTGCCTCCTGGTTCTTAACTCTACATTGATGGTGGCCAGGCAAAAGACAAACAGGTATGAGTGACGAGAAACTGACCTTAGGTGGAGTCCTGGAGAAAGTCTTGGAATGCCACCTTCTACTGCTGTTGCTCTATGACCCCATCCTTTTCTTAATCCCTTGGCTGGAGAAACTGTAGGAAAAACCTTTCCTTCCCTCAGCTCCTGGAAACCCATTTGAAGTCTGGTTCCTATCATCCTTGCAGCCTAACCTTTTCTCTGGGAGAAACTGATTGAAGAATGTGACCAAGAGATTTATTCTCAGGGCTGCCACCAGAGATAAAAGAAGGGTCTGGGAGTGCAATGAAGAATTAGAAGCCTCAAAATCAAGCCATATTTCACAGGTTCCATTTGCACTTGGGGAGGGGAGGGGAGAAGAGAAAAGAAGGATGTTTCCACGCTTGCTCCTGCTGCGCTCCAGCTGAGAAACCACACAGCGTCCATCCTGCTGGACTCCTCGCTTTGCCCATGACACTCGCTGTGGGAATAGGGACCCAGGTAGCATATTTGTCATTCACACTTTCTTGAAATCAGCATCATACAATCACCAGCTTCCTTGGCATCTGCTCTCTATCCATTCCATAATAAATACCTCTCATTTCGTTCACATCGATATACAGTTTACTGAGTCCTTTCACATTAGTTCACTCAAATCAATTTCCTGAGGAAAGCACCAAGTGAGGTTTTTGGGGGTGTAACAGTGAACAAGACTTGGAAGGCCCTTGTCCTCAGGGAGCTTACAGCCCACTAGGGAGACAGGCATGGCCAATATAAGAAATCAATGACAGTATAGTAATTGCACATTGTTGTAAGTGTTGTAAAGCAAACAAATAGGACCTGAGATAATGCATATACTATTAAGAATTATATTAAATGCAAATCAATACAATTCTCAAGTTAAAAGGCAGGAGAGGAAGTGGGAGTGACTGCTTGATGAATACAGGGTCTCCTTTGGAAGTAATGAAAATGTTTTGGAACTAGATAGCAATGATGGTTGCACAACACTGTGAATGCACTAAATGCCACTGAATTGTTCAATTTAAAATGCTTCTATTTCATGTTATGTGAATTTCACCTCAATAAAAAATAAAGAAACAATAATCTGTACTTATCTGCTCATATATCTGATATCACTCATCATAATCATATCCAACTTTATTTGCTGGAAAACTACAAGTTTATGTTTTATACCACAATACCCATTCATATTTGATATAGACTTAAAATCTTCTACTATCTTATATATAAGTATATATGTTACATAGTACATGTTACATATATAGCATGATATGTGTTATATATAAATCATATATTTTATATATATAAAACATATACTTTTTTATGTATATAACTTTTCTATATGTACAGTGTTAAATTTGACCCAAGGCTATCTCCATACTTTGAGTTCCTACATAACAAACTGCAACTTAGCGTATAAACAAACCGAAACCTAATTTAGGAGTATAATTTTTAAGTTTGTTGTAACAAACAGCCAGATATCAGCCAACATAAGCAGTCAAGCAGTCAAGCTTCAGCCAATCACAGGCAGCCAACTGATAAGGCCACGCCCTAATAAGGCAATGGCTAACTAATCGAACTATTTCTGTGCTTTACTTCCAGGTTCTGTCTATAAATGCTCACTTCTCATATAGAGTGGAGCTCTCTGAACCTCTTCTGGTTCTGAACGCTGCCTAATTCATGAATCATTCTTTGCTCAAATACAATCTGTTAAATTTATTTTGTCCAAAGTTTTTCTTTTAAGAATAAATAATTGAATTGCTTTTTGCTATTAACATAGATCCATTTCCCTTCATAGAAGGGTAGCAGCCATCTTGTGTGAAATTCCTGTATCTCATTGTCTGTAGTAAACTTTTCCTTAGTCTTTTCCTCCAGGCTGAACTATCCCAGGACTCTACATTTTCTTCCTGATCAAGTTTCCCATCCCTTCAAGTCTTACCGTGATTATCTTTGAAGCCCATCCTATGGTCTTCATATTCTTTCCTCAGTGACGTTACCTTATGGGGCTCTTCGCAAGTGTCCTCTCCTACAAGGGTACACCTGGATCATGCCAGATATGCACCTGCACTGAACACAGAGGCTGCACATGCTGGAATATGTTGTCCTGGCTCCATCTTTCATAACTCTTACCCTTTCTGCACTCAGCCAGCTCTCCTGAGCTTTGGTTTCACCTTTCCATTCTGCCTTTCTGGGCCAGCTCCACACTGGTCTGCACACTAGTCTCTTATAAATATATTTCTGATCTCTTCTCTAATTGAATAAAGTGACCGAATTGTTCAAATATCATGGAGATGAATGCCTTACTCAAAGATAGCAGACTGTATTCATATGCTCCAGCCTTTACATAAGAAAGATCATGCATGCATTGCACTGCATAGACATGTGCCCCTGGCAAGAGCCCCTGGCTTGAACATTTATCCTGAACAGCCATCCTGCATTCCTCCTATACTTGATATCCCTCTTCTCTCCCTGGTTCCTCATCTTCCTAGTTATTCTTCACCTGGTTTCATGCCTTTAGTCTTCTTTTTTGCTCTTCCTCTTTGTTTTAATAACTTGTTGGGAACTCTTTTCCTGGGTTGAAAAATTATGTTTTCTACTCTGTTTGGCTCTTAACTTTATATGGCTTGAACACACCCTCTGGCTGCTTTGGTACATGAGAATTACATGCACAGGAGTTTTGTCCCCACTGAACAATTTCTTCAGCTGAAGAGAGGAAGTATGTGGCATACACAGTATGTGCCATATTCCAAACACGTATCTGTTTTCCAAAGTAAAATGAGTTACTTAAGGACAAGAAACTCACAATATGCAAACAAAAATCACAAAGGAAATGCTCAGAAAATGGTTTCCAAGGTGGATTTTCTCTAACTGAACAAGGGCCCAGGCATCATTCCCTTCCACCTCTTGAAACTGATGACTTCTCCAGGTTCCCACAAAACAGATTCTGTACTACACTGACACTTGATATGGGTCCAGTTAATTCTAAAACTCTGTGAAGTAAATGGGACAGCATGGTTATCCTTTCCTAGCAAAGGAATAAAAGAAAAGACCTGTAAGGTGAAAGGATTTACCCTCTGTTATACAGGAATTTATTGTGGTTTGAATCTTTGCTTGTCTGAAAATATCTGTATTTTCCCAAGCTTGTAGAAGCATTGCTTTCCACTGCCCTCCAACTTCCAACATTGCTATCAAGTCAGCACCTCTCATCCTAATCCTGTGCATGTTAGCTGTGTTTATTTTCTCTCTTTCTCTCTCACCTTTCTCAGTTTTAGTATCATGTTTTGTTTCTGAAATTTCACAATGGTATCACTGGTAGATTTTTTTTTGTTCATTTATGTGAATTTATGATACTGCATACACAAAGGTTTTTCAATCTGAAATCTCAAGCCTACTGGTTCTGGGCGTTTGTCCAGTATTATTTTTCCAATAATTTCCTTCTGATTGTTTTCTCTGTTCTCTGGAATACTTCTTAGTTAGATACTGTTCTTCTGAATTGAATCTCTAATTATTTTTTTTCTTTTTTATTTTTTCTTTTTTTTTTTTAGATGGAGTCTCTCTGTGTCGCCCAGGCTGGAGTGCAGTGGTGAGATCTTGGCTCATTGCAACCTCTGCCTCCCAGGTTCAAGCGATTCTCCTGCCTCAACCTCCTGAGTAGCTGGGATTACAGGAGCATGCCACCACACCCAGCTATTTTATGTATTTTTTAGTAGAGACGGGGTTTCACCATGTTGGTCAGACTGGTCTTAAACTCCTGACCTCATGATCTGCCCGCCTCAGCCTCCCAAAGTGCTGGGATTACAGGTGTGAGCCACCATGCCCAGCCTCTAATTTTGCATCTAGCTATTTTCCATTAATCACTACTATGCCTTTTTGTCTGCCTTCTGTGTTTTTTACCTCTTTACCTACCACTTCTTTATAGATTTAGTCTCGATCTGTTGCCCAGGCTGGAGTGCAGTGGCATGACCTCAGCTCACTGCAACCTCCACCTCCCTGGTTCAAGAGATTCTCCTGCCTCAGCCTCCCAAGTAGCTGGGATTACAGGTGCACACCACCAAGCCTGGCTAGTTTTTGTACTTTTAGTAGAGATGGGGTTTGACCATATTGGCCAAGCTGGTTTCAAGCTCCTGACCTCAAGTGATCCACCTGCCTCAGCCTCCCAAAGTGCAGGGATTACTGACGTGAGTCGCCGCGCCTGGCCTAATGTTTTTAAATCAAAATCTTTTTTTTTTTTAATTTCTAAGAGATCTTTCTTGTTTTCTTATTGAATTTGTTTTTAGCATCTCAGTTGAGATAAAAGGCAAGATCGTGACTGAAGGGAAGAAGCCTGCTCTGAGTTTCAAATACAAAATTGGTCTTTTTGTCAGAACAAACAGCTTGAGAAAAAGGAGTCACTAAAACTAATTGTTTTTCGTTATCAAAAACATTCAGTGCTCATGGAGAACAATATTTGAGACTCCATTCTATTATGAAATAATTGGGGATTATGTATTCCAGGTTTTATCACAATTATCTTAAAAATCAATACTTTTTTAGAATCAGTAATTAACTGTTTATTTAGCTAACCACTACTTCCAACATCCCAAGTCTTCCTCAGTTTAACTATTGATATTTTTGTTTTAGTTTGCTTGAATAGATTTGCCAGAAATTTCTGATAATAGGGCTTATGATTAGTAAACTTCGGGTCCTTAAAAAAAAAGGGCTCAAAGTTGCTTAAAACAACTATTTTTAACCTTGTAATTTTGGGGGCTTGGATTAGAATTCTAGCTCAAAATAACACATTACAAAATTTTAAAGATACTGATCTATTGCTTTCAGAAATTTCTTGCTTTTAAGAACCCTGATTCCAATCTGGTATGCATTTCTTTATAGACAACCTGTAGTATTTTTTGTTTGCCTCGTTAGCTCTTAGAACTTCTTTTTCATTCTTGGTTTTCTGAAATGTCACCACACGGTGTGCTTATGGTTTGTCTGTTACAGTTATCCTATTTAACACCCAGTGAGCTATTTCTATTTGAGGATTCATGTCTTCATTTATGAAAAAAGAAAAAAGTCTTCTGTTATTTATTTTCTCCCTTCAATTCTCATTTCTTTTTCTTTTTCAAGTCCTATTAGATGGAATTTGGAACTCTCTGATAAATCCACTTTGTCTCACAATGTTTCTTTAATATTTTCTATTTCTTTGTCCTTTGGGGATACATTTTACGACAATTCTTTGTTGTCATTTCCCAGTTTACAAATTCAGTTTTCAGCTATGTTTATTCTGTTCCTTAATCCACTATTTTTACTTCATTTATCTTTTTTCCCTCCAGATCTCAAAGTTTTTGCTTTAATTTATATATAAAATACTCCAATCCATTTCTGTGATGTTATACATGTTAATATTAACTACGCTTATTCTTAATTTCTTGATTTTCTAAACTTCCTTTACTATTGCGATATCTTCTTCATGTAATTTGAAATTTTAATGTATTCAACATGTCCTTTTAATGATGTTGATTTCTTGCCAGTGTTTGGAGATTCTTGATTGTATGGCCATCTTTGCTTTTGTTTCTTTGACTGAGAGGGGAATTGAACATACATTTCTGCTGAGTAAGGTTTGCTCTGTGTGTGTGTGTGTGTGTGTGTGTGTGTGTGTATACATACATGCTTCTACTAATATTTATATGTATTAAATTAATGAAAAACAAGTCTCTGTCTTCACAGGTTAGTCATAACCTATGGCATCAGTCTGCCCAGAAAGGCAGTCTATCCTGGAATTTAAGTAATTTTTGGTGGTAGACAAACCAGTAATGCCAATTACTAACTCTACGACTTTGGATAAATTATTATTCTCTGAGCCTCAACTTTCTTAGCAAAGTGAATATAGCTCAAGAGTAATGGGAGGATTAAGTGTGCTCTTGCAAATCTGTACACTAGTGCCTGGCACTAGCAAACAATAACACAAGTGTTAACTGTTATTTTGGTTGTCTCCAATCAGAACCTATTAATGGAGAAATTGACACGGAAAGGAAGGAATCATTTAGTAGAATTGGTAATGTGATGTTGGGTGAAATACTTTGATCCAAGAAATGTCCCTGTCCTTGTTTCCTCACTCACTGTCCCCTCATAGAAATCCTCGGTCCCCCTATGTCTCATGTCCTGAAACGTCGGGTGGGAGAGGCCCTGAGACACATCCACACAGCCCTGCAGCACAGAGGTGAGCACACTAGGCCAAGCCTGGGCATGAGGAGAAGAGAACACTGTACCCGCCAGAGGTTTGCAGCTTTCTCTGAGGATGGGAACCCACGTCCCCCCTCAGGGTTTCATCCTGCGGGCCCATCTGTTCTGTGTTTTTGCTTTTGATTTCCACTGGTAGCTCTTGTAGACAGCTGAGCATCTTTTCTCCCAAGAAGTGAGCAAGAAAACCTTAGCCAAAATCAGCAGCTGTTGGTGTGCTTAATAGAGAAAATATCTCCCAGAGCTGCCAAGGCCACATGATACAATGGGATCCGCGAAGCCCAAGGTTCTTTTCCCAAGGCACAAAGCAAATTTTAGCACAAAGAATCTTCACTTGGCTCACTTCCGCCCTTGGGTCATAAGTGCGGGACCCCAGACTCATTCTTCAGAGGTGCTGCCCAGCCATTTGGAATGGACTGTGGTGGTCCATGGATGTCTGGGAAGTGGTTTGCTTCTTGTCTGTGTTCCTTCTCTGTGGCTGCAAGCTTGCTGGGGCTGGATTCCCAGGCTCTCCGACAGCAGGAGTGCACACACCCTGACCCAGCCTGGATTATGTCCCTCTATAGACTGGCCATCATTCCCACCTCTCAGGTCTCAAATCAGGCTATGAGTGCAGATTTCGTACCAATCTGTGGACTGTGGGTTTGCTCAGCTGGGACCTCTGGGGCCTCCAGAAGAGTGGAGAAGAGACAGAGTGCTGATAGGTTGGGCAGATGACCTTCAAGATCAATTAACACTCCCTGATTGCAGCCAACTCCTCAGTTCTAATCCTAGCAGATGAGCAACAGGGCCTATCACTTGCCCCAGGTCTCACATTCCAAGTCCTGCACTCTCTCCTCTGCTCTTACCGCCCCATCCTGGAGGAGTCAGGAAAGCCACACTGCCCTTGGCTGCCTGGACTTCCCCCACCAGCTGAGCTGCTGAGAGGCTGGTGGACTGAGGGGCGGAGCAGACTTCTGACTCTCTGAGGAAGAATCCAGCTGAGAGCCCCTCTTCTTAAGTGCTTCCAACCCAGCCAGTCCGAGTAAAGCAGGTCTGCAAACAGGGTGAGCAGGGGTCAGAAGGGAAGAGACAGCCTCTATAAACATCAACACCATGCCCTAGAACTAGGCCCCAGCTGGAGCCTCGCCAGCAGCCTCCCAGTCAATCAAGAAAAAGATCCGGAATTGGGGAAAAGGAAGATGCATCAGGGCCAAGCCTCGCGCCAGATCTGGCCTGACGCTTCTTGGTGCCATTGACTGTCCTGGCTGCATTCTGTTCGCCCAAGGTCAGTCCTGCCACCAGGCCAGGGCTGGCGTAACTGCCCTCCCTGCCAGGCCTTAATCCCATTCCCTGGAATTAGGCCTCATCTTCCTATTTCTTCTTGCGGGGCTTGTAGGGAAGGGCTTTTCCTGATGATGGACAGGGCTTTTTCTGGTGCCAGTGACAACTCCAGGGTTGCAACCTCCATCCAGACATTCTCTCACCTCATCCATGGATTTCAACAGTTGCTCAGACTAGACTTGAGTTTTCATTTGATATCAGGGGCATAGAACAGGGGAAGAAACAGGCGCTTTAGTTTTAGATCTCTGTCAAAGTCCTGGCTCTGCACTTACTACCTGTGTGGCTTTGAGCAAGTCGCTTACCCTCTCAGAGCCCCCACTTCCCCCATAGAGAAATGGGAGAATGGAAGCTATC
This sequence comes from Homo sapiens, assembly GCF_000001405.40. Classification (NCBI taxonomy): domain Eukaryota; kingdom Metazoa; phylum Chordata; class Mammalia; order Primates; family Hominidae; genus Homo; species Homo sapiens. The sequence continues at coordinate 44,819,617 of NC_000010.11, forward strand.
AGAGTGGCTTCCATTTAGAAGGAGCTCCTCCCAGCCCTTCTCTAACAGGTCAGAGGAATGGATGTGCTTCCACCACTCCCTGGCATTTGGAATCCCAGCCAAGTGCCGGTTCTGGCTTGGCCATCTGCTCCATCGCTGTCAGCACACTGCTCTGCATGGTGGGACAGTTCCCCATCTATGGTGCTCTCCTGAGCCATCACTGACCAGGCTTGGGTCTCCTTGGGCAACCTTTATTATGTGGTCTGCCCATAGTGGGTGGCCCTGGCTGCTCCCAGGGCAGGGACCATGGCACTCAGCCTGCATCTCAGGAGTACCTGTCTGCATTTTACTAGTTTCTCCATGAAGACTTGCTGGGTTGAAAAGAGTTGAGAACATGGCATAAGCTGTGGGATGGGGACCAAGAGAACCTCAGCTTCATGCTCTAACTTTACTCAAATTACCCAAACACTTCAGTGCAAACGCATCCTCAAAACTATTCCTCCCATGTGTCTTCTGCCTTAGAGAATGACACCAGCTTCCACTCAGTGCCAAAGCCTGGGCTTCACTTCTCACTGTGCCCCTCACCCACCCTCCCCACTCCACCACCCTTCTCTATCACCCTCTCCACCACCCTCTCCATTGCCCTCTCCACCACCCTCTCCATCATCCTCTCCAACACCCTCTCCATCACCCTCTCCACCATCCCTCCGCAACCATCTCTATCATCCTCTCTACTACCCTCTCCATCATCACCCTCTCCATCGCCCTATGCTTCACCCTCTCCCTCCTACCAATCTCCAAAACCTGTGGCTTCTGCTTCCTCTGTCTTATATCTCATGTTTAGTCTCTAGAATGCACGTTAGTTTAGTGACCAGAGAAGAGGTCCCATGCCACTGGGCTTTCACTAATGTCATTGCCACCACCTGCATGATTTCACGCCAGCAAAATCTTTCTCCCAGCCTGAATAACTCTTACTCATCCCAAAGACCTCAACTCCAATATTGCCTCTTCTAAGTATCCATTCCTGCCTCTTTCCAAATTGGATTAGGTGTTTGCCCTCCCAGCCTATATGGATTAGATGTCCCCCTGCTCAACCTATATGCTCCCTTCTCACCCCCATAGAGTAATTGTCATTCTTTGTGAATACTGCTAGTTTGCTTGTCTGTGTTCAACACTAGATGGAGTGCCCTCCAATGGCAGGGATGGTGTCAGTACTTTTCAATGTGATGTTCATTCCTAGCAGGCTACAGACAGGGTTTAGTAAACACTCGGCATTTCTTGAATGGATAAGTTCTCCTTCTGTAGAAATGAACTTGCCAAAGGTGTAGGTAAGACTCTCCCAGATTAAAGGCTAAGGAGCATGACCACTAAATTCATCTTGTAAACCTGGGTTGGATCCTGGATCAGGAAAGGGCCATTCATGGGACAATTGGTAAAATCTGCATAAAGTCTATGGATTAGATGAATGTTCTATCAATGTTAATTTCCTGATGTTGTTCCCTGTACTCAGATGGCCTGAGAAATTGACATCTAGGAAATCTGAACCGAAAAGTATATGGGAATTCTTTATGCTTTTTTTCACCTTTTTCGTAAAGTATAAAATTATATAAAATCGAAAGTTAAAAATGCAGACAAAATAAAGGTGTATATTAATTGAAAAGAATGAAAACTAACTTCAGGATTCCCTCGGAACTTGATTTTTTCATTAGTAAATTTATCACCAGTTTTCTTTTCCTTCTGCTTCCCCTTTTCCTATAAAAAGCAGTACCTGTATGACAGGGCGTGGGAGGGACTCACTGCTGAAAGCTTACATGACAGGCACGTGTGTGATGAGTAGGCCCCTGAACCCTGCTGGGTGCCACCAACCAGCCTAGCAGGTGATTGCAGAGCCCCCAGTGGTCAAGGTGGACCCGGCCAGCCCAACACACCGGCCCAATGCACCGGCCCAAGCGCTTCCTGCTGGACTGGCTGGGCAAATGACTCATCTGGACTCTAAACACTAGAGCTGCTTCCTACCATGCTGAGGACAGCACCCGTTCATGGGAATGGGCTTCACAAACAGAAAAGACCCCCAGGAAGGAGAGCGCCTAGCCCAATCCCTAGCTCCACCCTGTCTTTCATCCTCAAGCCAAGACGGCTCGTCCTCCGCCTCGTCCTCAGGGTGTGGACAGACTGTCTGAGTCTCAGGGTTGGGGCCTTCCCTTCAGATGTCAGGAGTGCAGGAGAGGTTGCAGGTGAAACCCCAGGCCTACTTCATCAGCTTGAGCCCCAAAGCTGGACAAACATCCCCTGTGGCAGCTGGCAGGCCTGTGCCCTCCAGGAGTACAGCTGGTCCAGGCCGCCCTTCCCATCCAAGACTTGCAGACGTGGGAGCCATGCCACTGCCTCCTCCTACAGCTGCAGAGCCCCTGCACTCAGAGGCAGGACACCCCACATTTATCCACCCAAGCTCCAGAAGAAGGGCAGTCAGCCTTGGCTTGGGCATCTGGGGCAACATGGTAAGCACTTTCCCACAGGGCTGCCCCCAGGGCTGTTCAAAAGCTACTCTTTGGAATGAAATAAAATCTGCCCCCAGCAACATCCACCTACAGATCAAAGTCCTACCCTATGGTGATTACACAGAATCGGTTTGTTTTCTCTGCCTTGTTGCAGTCCTTTAAACATCTGGAGACAGTAACCGTTTTCCTCCAGTCTTTTTTTAGACAGCGCTGTGGGATTAGACAGTTCTTCCACTCGTCTTCAAACAGCATGGTTTCTAGATCCCTCAAGATGTTACCACTGTCTCATATACTCACTTTTAAGGTTCTTTCTATAATGCAATGGACAATGAGACTACAAAGTTCCAGACAAACTAGCCAGCACAGAGGACAATAGGACCATCGCCTCCTGTGATCGACACCCCATTTTTGCATTAATGCATCCCATCATGGCCTTGTTAGCAATGTGTGACGTCATTGCTCCCACTGAAGCTGCAAGACAGCCACAAACTCCAAAACATTCACTCTCTCATATTTGCACAATTAACTTTTGAATACCAAATAAATGTTCTATGTTAATCACTGCTAATATTATATCTGTTAGTTTTGTCTCTATAGTTAACACAATTTCATAACTATTCCTGGGCCTCCCAAGAGCATGGGAAGTCCCTCCTAATGACGTGCATGGTGGCTCCAAGCATGTCACCTGGGATGGGAGAGTGTGCAAAAAGACAAAGCTCTGCAGGGCCCTGCCCATCTGATAATGCTCCCTTACTCCTGGGGAAGCCAAGCAGAGAAGACTCCAATGCTTTAAACCATGGATGTGAGGCATTGTGAAGGGACTGTGTGCTCTAGAGAGGGTGTGAGGGGATGCAAGGGATGCTGGAGGCAAGGTGCACCTCTGAACATGTGCGCATTTGGAATCCAGTCAGGAACCAGCAGGCCTATGGGCCTGGAGGGAGGGTCCTGGCAGCCCAGACACCCCTCCCCACACCGACAGGAGTTAAGACAAAGGCATCACTCTGCTTCATCACTTCTAGAAGAAAGAGAGGCAAGCAGACTGAATGTACGCCTCACAAAGGGTGTGATTTACTGCTCCTGAAAAAAAGTGCTGAACCTTTTTCATTCTGATGATATCCAGACTCCAGAGGGGCAGCAGTTCACTTCAGCGGTAGACAGTAATGTGCATCTCTGCTCTGGAACTTCAAGCCACAGTCTGCAAGAAGAAACCCCACCTAGGAAAGTGGCACCAAGAAAATGCTTCCTGCCAAGACAATGCATTAAATTTATTCCTTACAAACACATCTCAACTGGGGCTATTTCTGCCTCAGTGAACTCTCAGAAAGGGAGGCAATGTGGTGGTTTTTCTTTCATCACATAAAGGAAGTCAGTAAAGTGGAGCACTAGGATTGTACTAGCAAATGCATCAACAACGGACACAAAGTAGCCTTGACCTCATGCAGGATTCCACAGATGTTAAAGTGTCTGTACAGATGAGTGGGGTCACCTGCGGCCAAGTGGTTCCATCATTAAACCATCCAAGGATTAGACCATGTCTAGTCTAGGGTTCATTGAAAGCAACTTCTGGGTGGTCACAGCAACAATTGGGAGGTTTGGGGTACTTACTGTGTTCCCAGGAGGTGTATGTGGTCTCTGGGCATGGATGATACTCATTCATTTCATGTTGGTCGAAAGACATGGTATTTAGTGAACGTTTTACATCATTTCTGCTTTGAAGTTGTGGCAAACTGTTGTTTCATTTAAGATGTTCATTTTCTCCCTCTCCATTCTCTACTAGTTTTGGTTTATGTTTTCAGTAGTATTCAAAGCAACTTTAACCATAAATCTCAGTGCCTTGAAATTATTTTTAATTAAACAAAAAACTCATTTAATATAAAACAAATATATATTAATTAAAACTCTGAGGACAGCCTTAGTAGAGGTATAAATTTCAAATCAAACCAATCAGAAAAAAGAACCAACAGAAATTTAATAAATGGAAAAATTTGGGAAGAAAGTAAACAGTAATAGCTGATGGTGCATTTACTTGGTGCCATGCACTATTCTGAACACTTTATAAATATCAAAGAATTCTTTCACTATCCTATGAGTTGTGCATCTTAAAGACAAAAAGCCTTAGATGCAGAAAGATTAAGCGGTTTTCTTATGATGGCCTTTCTAGTAACTTTAAGAACTAGAATTTGAATGCAAAACCCCCACCCTTAACTATTATACTGCTTCTTTCTTGATATAAAGTCTATTAAATAGAAGTCAAAAAATTAGAGCGATTGTATAAATAATTCCAAATATATCACTGATTATAATAACTATTACTGGGCTAAGTTTTCCCTTCAAAAGGCAAATTATGTCAACTTAAATGTATTGTTAATACAAAAATCTTACACACAAACACATACAGGATTGAAATTAAGAAAGACAACAGTATCAGAGTTGTCACAGAGGCCTGCTAATCGCCTGCTTCTCACATTTCTAGAGAGGTAAGCACACCACTCCAGCCATTGGCTGGAGACTCCCTCACGTGCAGGTCTCTATCCAGAAGGGAATTCTCTGACCCGGAAAACACAGGGAAGGTGACTTCTATTGGATTCTCGTGACCACGTTACTGAGTTCCCCACATTAAAAGGTGAGCAGGGAGGGCATGTTCTACTTTCTCCTGCAGCTTCCAGGACCTGCCTGTGCTTTGTCATTGCAGGGCTGGGCACATTGCTGCCTCTGGGAGGCCAAGCTGGTGCTCTTCTCATGCTCCTCACTCCCAGGCTTTGGCTGGTTGAGCACCTTAGTCATCCAGTCTGCAGGACCAAGAATCTCCAATTTGGGGAAGAAGGAAAAGGAAAAGGAAATTCCATTTTTCCCTTAAGCACAAGACTACTTTTCCATAATAAAACCACCTCTGTTCTTAGGACTCATCCAGCTGTGCTCCCAGTGGACTAAGAACCCAAAAGAGATGTGCAAGTATTTATCTCCCTCCAAAAACTGGATGGGATTTTAACAAACATGTCAGAAATTGAAAGAAGCAAGAGCACAAAAGACCGAGGGTGTAAATAATAAAACTAACAAACTTGATTGTATAGCTAGAAATAGAAAACAGACAAAGATATGGAGACATTGTTTCTACCAAAAACAATAAATAATAAATAAAAATTTTATAAAATTCTACAGTGTACAGTACCCCCTCCTTATCCCCAGGAGATTTGTTCCAAGACCCCCAGCAGATGCCTGAAACCTTGGATAGCACCAAACCCTATATACTGCTTTTTCCTGTACATACACACCTATGATAAAATTTAATGTACAAATTTGGCACAGTAAGAGATTAACAATAATAGTAAAGCAGAATAATTATAACAATATACTCATGAAAGTTATGTGAATGTGGTCTCTCAAAATATCTTACTGTACTGTACTCACCCTTCTTGTGATCTGTCGATCTTATCATCAGAACAATGAGTGAGTGACCAACGGGCAGGTAGCAGAGGCAGTGTGGATACCTGCACAAAGAGATGATTCACCTCCCCAGTGAGACACAGCAAGATGGCACCAGATTTCATCGTATTACTCAGAACGCATGCAATTTAAACGCATAATTTTGAAAGAGGAAAAATTATAACAACTCCATATGTAGAATAACCCAGAAACAAAGAAGAAAGGAATAGCCTCTCTCCCCAAAATAAGGTTAACATTTAAAAATATAAAAAACTTCAAAATAATATTTAGATTTAAAAAGAAATCAAAGGTAAAAAGGCTCTTTAAAAGGAAATGTAATTCAGAACATTATTTATCGAAACCTATAAGATATGGCCAAAAAATACTCTAAGGAGCATTTATAGCCTCAAAAGCATTGGCTTTAAAATATACTGAAAATAAATTAAAATATTGTACTGAAGTAACATTCAATTTAAGAAGAACTCCAAAGTAAACAAAAAACAATTTTAACAGAGGAAAAAATACATTTAGTTAAAATACAAGTTAATGAAATAAGAATGATTATTAAATAAGAATGAAATAAAAGAAGGTAAAAAATGCAGAGAGTTCTCTCTGAATGGAGGGCTCACACCTACCTGACCCTTTGCTGGAGTAATCTCTGAGCTGCAGTCTCGGATTACCTGGTGCCCCACAGGCACTCTCTCTGAAGCCAGAGGGTTCAGACCCACCTAACACATCACAGTGCCTCAGTGATGGTGAACACATGACCTCAGAAGCCTCTTAGCCCATCTTTCCCCACCTCTACTCAGAAAGTTGTTTCTCAGTTGAGCCACACTCTGACAGTTCCTAACCCTAGACAAGGGAGGAGAGAAGATATATGTGTCAGGCAGAAGTGGCCTCTCTCTCCTTGGTGCAAATGCACCACCAGGGCCCTCAGACTGCACCCACTGCAGGGAGACAAAAGAGGAGAGCAGGGCCAGAGGAGGGAGCTGCCCTTAGAGACTTCCAGGTGCTTGATCAGCTCCCCTGGCATGGATCAGTGAGAGCCAACCCCAGGAGACATCTTGGGCTGAGCTACTAACACTCAACTCCTCCTGCCTGCACCTTGTGGAGGGAGTAGCTGGTCAAGCACTGAGTCCAAGGAGAAGGTCTGGCCTCCTCCCCTGAGAGGAGGAAGGATGGGGACAACCAGGAACAGGGAAGACTGGGGCTTCTCTAGGAGACCAGGCCCTCGCAGGAAAGAGAAGCCCCACAGACATGGAGGCTGGCCAAGCTTTGCCCATTGGGCAGTGCTATGGACTGAGCTGTGTCTCCCCCAAAATCTAAGTGTTGAAGCCATAATCCCCAGTATGACAGGATTTAGAGGCAGGGCCTTTAAGGAAGTAAATAAGGTTAAATGCAGTCACAAGGGTGAGGCCCTGATCCAACAGGACTGCTATCCTATAGGAAAAGGAAAGCACATGAGAAGTACACACACACAAGGAAAAATCCACATGAGGACACAGTGAGAAGGCAGCCATTGCAAGTTCGGAAGAGTCCTCACCAGAAACCAACCCTGCTGACACTTTGTTCTTGGACTTCAGGACCGTGAGAAAATGAGTTTCTGTTGTTTAAGCCACCCAGTCCGTGGTACTTTGCTATGGCAGCCCAAGCAGACTAATACAGTGAGGAGAAAAAATAAATTAATAAATAAATAAATAGCAAAACAAAACACAGCCACTTCCTCTATTGGAATAGCCAAGATTTTTCTTTTTACATACTATATGTTAGAAAGAGAGAGAGTAAAAATGTAAAGAAAAGTGTTGGCTTTTTTATTTTAACTAGTGCTTAGCAAGTTTAAAACAATATAAATGGTGAAGGCCATCACACACGCATCCCTTCATTTGACACTTCAGGTCACGGCATCTGTCTGAACCTCCATGGCTCATCCCATTCAACAAATGTTTGACTGAGCAAATATTTGACGGCAGGTCTTGCGGAACATATGTGTGACAGGGAAGGACTGACAGGGTGATGCCACAGAGATGAGCAGCAGGGACCCAGCTCAGCACTCTCCCTTCCGGGCAGAGCTGTGTCCTCCCGCGAGTGCGTCGGGGCAGAAGCCACAGAGTCCACGTGGGGTCCCTCTAGAGTCTGCACCTGTGAAAACAACTGCACCTCCCTCATCCTCCATGTGCGTGCCTGACAGGGCCTGGCTCTCTGGCCAGGGGCCAGGGGGAGCTGCCCAGAGACGGCCCTTCAACACAAGAGCAGCAGGAGTCAAGCAGGAAACCCGGAGAGCCACTCCCTGAGGAGGAGCAGCCCCAAGGGATTGTGGGGGGCCAGTGTCAGCTTGGCCTCAGACATCCCAGCACGGGTGCAGAGGAGCACAGCACTGTAGTCCCCCCAGCTCAGTCGCTGTCCCTGCTGCCTGACCCAGCTGCCCAGCCTCTTTGTCACTGGTCACATGATTCTTTCACAAAACAAGTAGAACAAGGCATGGTTGTATGAATTTCTAGCTCCCTACCCTCCAGCCTGGGTAGGTCAGGGCACCTGTCTGAACCTCCATTGCTCATCCCATTCAACAAATGTTTGAGCAATCATTTGATGGCAGGTCTTGCGGAAGATATGGCTTATAGAACACGAAGCACATGTTTCTTTTGCAATTGCAGCACATCTTACATGTATGTAAAAAGTAGCTCAATTAAACAGATGAGTGTTAATATTCAAAGATGAGGAAACACATTCTCTACATTGCTGATGGTGTTTATGTCTGCAAAGGGAATTCGGATTGGGAGGATGGATGGAAATTAGAGCTTGGAATCCACAATCAGACCAACACAGGCCTTTGGCGGCTGGGAAGAGGGTCGGGTGCCCTGATCTTCAGGGCCTCCAGCGCTGGGTTCGGGGTTCCTGACCAGGATCCTGAAGCTCCACCAGCTCGACAGCCTTGCAGAAAACAACAAGGGGGGCTCGGGCCTCTGTAAATATCTGTTCTTTTTCTGCTCACAGTCTCCACAGGAGGGGATGGGGCTGCATTTAGCTGCTAAAGCCTCTTCCTCTGTAAGTAGGATATTAAGGGATGGAGTCCAGCTAGATAAATAAACCAAGTCCCTGAGGCGAGACCCTTGCTGCCCCCGTAGACCGGAGAAAGTTCCCATAGTCGGACTCCGAGCCAGCAGCTGAAGGGCCTCCTCATGTTTCAGGATTCGGGAGAGGAGGGGCCACGAGGGATCAGCTGTGGATCACATCCCAAACGCCGCTCCTCTCTGGGCTAACACCGCTGGGCCTGGGGATCCTCGTGTGCGGAGGAGGACGAAAGTGTGCCGGCAGCTGGCTGGATCCTGGAAAATGCAGAGGGGAGGGGAGGGCCTGTGGGGACCCTAAAGGCCCCAAGGAGAGGCTGCGGGAAGGCCAAAGGCTGGCGCTCTTATTCCCAGGCATGCCAAGCCCCTGGCTCACACAGGCCTGTGGGGCTCAGTAAAGGACACAACACAACCCTTCTCTGGGCTCCTGGCTGTCTGGCGGGGGAAAAGAGTTGGAAAAAGAAGGCCCATATATCTTAAAATGATAAAAAGTGATGGCCACATACATTGTCAGATGCCTATGTCATTGTCACTTAAGGCATTATGGGGACAGATGGCAAGACAAGCACCATGCAATAATGAGTTCCAACCTGAGTTCTCCTGCTCTGCTAAGGGGTCCTGCGCGCTGGGTAGAGGCCAGGGAGACAGTGTTGATCCACAGACCTGGGAGGAAGAAGTCACCAGGCTCTGTGAGGATCAGCAGAAACCAAGCAGACATCCCACTGCACTGCCCAGGAACCTGGTGGGCATCACACATTTGGAAATACTTTTAGGGAAAGGGGGCAGAAGACAAAGGGGAGCAGTAAAGCAAGTAAGAGTGTCTGTCCAAAAGTCACCAAGAGCAGCTTACAAATCCTGTTCACAGGCGCTCTTGCCTAGACGCCCCTTCCCGGGTCCCAGCGCTTCAGCGCAGCCAGTGTCTTTCCTGTCTTTCCACTCTGAGTCCTCAGGCCAGGCCAGCTCCATGTCCGGGTGCCTTAGCACAGCCTTTGCCCCCAGCCGTGGGGTTGGGAGGCTTCACACCACTCGCTCCAGCCTGCTCCGGGTGTGAAGGCAGCACCTACATGCAGTCCTAACCCTCACCCTGCCTGGAGCACAGAGCCCCAGGTGAATGCTGGCTGGAAGGATTAGTACACTCATCATGTAGGACAAGAATACTATCCCCATTTTTGGACAAATAAACTGAGGTTTTGATTTTTTTGTGTATGTAATTATAAGAGTAAACTGGGAGTAGTTCCAGAGCTGCTTATTCTAAATCTCTCACACACTACCTTCTCAAAGTTAAGTGGAGGCACTGCCTTGATTGTTTCAGCAGGCCCACTCGAAAGTTGCCGGTGAAGGGATGTTCTGGTACTGAATTGAAAGGGAGACAACAAAAGGAGCCAGTGGCCAGTGAGAACACCTCAGAGGGTGTCCACACACCAGCCCCCCTGCTCTCTCCACCACAGGAGCGTTTAGCATTTGCAAATGTGAGTGGAGAGCCTCAAGATTTCGCCGAACTTGGAAAGCATCAGAGAAGAACTACTAATATCTCCATTCACTATGTGCTAAGCACCCTTTGATACACATTGCAGGGTTAAAAAGGTAAACCAAAGCACAGTAAAATTTTTAAAGAGTTTGAGCAAACAGGGATTCATGAATTAGGCAGCTCCAAAGAGGAAGTGGTTTGTGAGTTCCATCAAAGGAATGCAAGAAGGAGATTTCTATAATACAAACAGGGAAGTCAAACAAAAGAAAATATTTAATTGATTATGGATATGCAATTGGCTTATTGAGTCTATCCCACTGAAAAAACCTCTAGTTACATACAAGCATACCTTGGAGACATTGCGGGTTCAGTGACAAACTACTGTCTGCAAATACTGCAAATATCACAATCAAGTGTGTCACATGTTTTTTGTTTCCCACTGAATACCAGTTATGTTTATAGTATACTATAGTCTATGAAGTGTACAATAGCATTATGTCTAAAAAAGCAGTGCACATACCCTAATTCAAAAATACTTCATTGCTGAGAAATACTAATGATTATCCGAGCCTTCGGAGACTTGTAATCTTTTTCTGGTGGAGGGTCTAGGCTTGATGTTGACATGTTGACGGCTGTTGATTAATCAGGGCAGTGGTTGCTGAAGGTTGGGGTGGCCATGGCAATTTCATAAAATAAGACAACAATGAGGTTTACTACATCCATTGACTCTTTCATGAAAGATTTCCCTGTAGCATGTGATGCTGTTTGATAGTATTTTACCCACATTAGAACATCTTTCAAAATTGGAGTCAATCCCCTCAAGCACTCCCACTACTTTATTGTAATCTACATTTATATAAAATTATTCATCCTTTGTTGTCATTTCACAATGTTCACAGCACTTTCACCTGAAATAGATCCCATCTCAAGAAAGCACTTTCTTTACTCACCTGTAAGAAGCAACTCCTCATCTGTTCAAGTTTTATCATGAGATTGCAGCAATTCAGTTTAATCTTCAGGCTCCACTTCTGATTCTATTTCTTTTGCTGTTTCCACCATATCTGTAGGTGCATTCTCCACTGAAGCCTTGAATCTCTCATAGTCATCCACAAGGGTTGAAATCAACTTCTTTCAAACTCCTGTTTATGTTGATATTTTGATCTCCTCTCATGAATCATGAATGTTCTTAATGGCATCTAGAATGGTAAATTATTTCCAGAAGATTTTTAATTTACTTTACCCAGATCCATCAGAGGAATCACTATCTATAGGAACAATAGTCTTACAAAATTTGTTCCTTAAATAATAAGACTTGAAAGTCAAAATTACTCCTTGATTCATGGGCTGCAGAATGGATGTTGTGTTAGCAGGCATGAAACATTAATCTCTTTGTATATGTCCATCTTGGGTGACCAGGTGCATTGGCAATGAGCAGTAATGTTTTGAAAATAATCTTTTTTCTGAGCACTAGGTTTCACTTATGTGTTTAAAATATTCAGTAAACCATGCTGTAAACAGATGTGCCATCATCAAGGCTTTGTTTTTTCAGAAAGAGGAAATTTAGCATAATTCTTAAGGGCTCTAAGTTTTTTTGGAATAATAAACGAGCATTGGTTTCAACTTCAAGTCGCCAGCTGCATTAGCCCCTAACAAGCCTGTCATTTGAAGCTTTGAAGCTTTGAAGCTTTAAAGCTAGACATTGACTTCTCTCTACGTACAAAAGTCCTAGATGGTATCTTCTTTCGACAGAGGACTGTTTTATCTACACTGAAAATCTGTTGTTTAGTGTAACCACCTTCATCAATGATCTTAGCTAGATCTTCTGGAGAACTTACTGCAGCTCCTCCATCAGCTCTTGCTGCTTTACCTTGTACTTTTATGTTATGGAGACAGCATCTCTCCTTTAACCTCATGAACCAACCTCTGCTAGCTTCCAACTTTTCTTCTGCAACTTTCTCACCTCTCTCATCCTCTATAGAACTGAAGAGTTAGGGCCTTGCTGTGGATTAGGCTTTGGCTTAAGGAAGACTGTGGCTGTTTTGATCTTCTACTTGGACCACTTAAACTTTCTCTGTATCAGCAATAAGGCTATTTCACTTTCTTATCGTTCATGTGTTCATTGAATACATGAATGATGATTTTCTCTAAGAAATTAACTTTCTCAAGAATGTTTCCTTTGCATTCACAACTTGGCTAACTCTTTGGTGCACAAGACTTAGCTCTCAGCCTGTCTCCACTTTTGACACGCCTTCCTCACTAAGCTTAATTGTTTCTAGCTGTTGATTGAAAGTGGGAGATGTGGACCCTTCCTTTCACTTGAACACTTAGAAGTCATTGAAGAACTATTAATTGTCCTAGTCTCAACATTGGTATGTCTCAGGGAAAGGGAGGCCTGCGGAGAGGGAAAGAGAGGGAAACAGTCTCTCTTTTCAGTAGAGCGGTCAGAACACACACAACCTTTATCTACTAAGTTCGCCATCTTATATGGGTATAGTTTGTACCCCCTGCAAAAAATTACAACAGCAACATCAAAGATCACTGATGACAGATCACTATATATAATAATAATGAAAAGGTTTGAAATATTGTGGGAATTACCAAAATGTGACAACAAAGTGAGCATATGCTGTTGGAAAAATGGTGCCGATGGACTTGCACAACACAGAGTTGCCACAAACCTTCAATTTTTAAAAAAGCACAATATCTGTCAAGTTCAATAAAGTGACGTGCAATAAAACACGGTATGCTTTCAATTATGAGTGAGTTGGCTGCTTCTGATTGGTTGAGATTACGTTCTGCTTTTCTTTAAGATAGATATTTACAAGAAATAGCTCAAGTTAAGTCTCTGTAATGTTTGCAAAGCAAGTGAGGTTAAAGTCACTTAGGAGGCTTAACAAGCTTTATCTGCTCAGGGCTTCTTCAGGCCTGGCCTCAGTGTTAACTATGGCAGCTGCCTCTGAGATGGCCCCCAAGGATGCTCATTCAGTGTGAGAGTGAGTGGCTTCTGAGGCTACAGAATCACAGCCATTGCAGCTTTCCCCACTCTCACGGTGGCTCGCTCTTGGGGAAGCCAACTGCTGTGCTGGGAGGACACTCATGCAGCCCATGTAGGGGCCACTGGACCACCTGCCAGCCATGTGACTGAGCCACTGTGGAAGAGAAGGCCACATGGCTGCAACCACAGAGACACCAAGCAAGAACTGCACAGCCCAGCCTTGCCCAAATCTCTGACCCACAGAAACCATGAAATGTCATCAATTGCTCCTGGTGTTTTAAAGCCACAACATTTGAAGTGATTTGTCATGTAGCAATAGATAACCAAAGCAGATTAATAATTTAATCACCACAAAAAACAAGAGTACATATACTATTACCTTTAATAAATGAGGAAATGGGACATGAGGCAAACAGCCAGTATACATTTGCTAGAGACAGGTTTTGAATCCATATGGTTTGCTTCTCACTGCACTATCCAAGACAGTGGCCAAAATCCATTAAAAATTTTTAAAAATAAGACATTCAGTTTCTCAGTTTGTACTATTCACAATTCAAGTGCCCAGTGTGGCCAGAGGAAGCTATGTTGGAGAGTGAATATCGGATGTTTCCATTATTGAAGGAAGTTTGGTTGGACTGTGCTGGTGTGGGGCATATTCAATTAACCACTACATCTAACATCTAAAAATAAATTGGAGATCCTTGCTTGAATTCACCAAGGGAATTACCAGTTGTGGGTTGCTCCTGGAGTGTAACTGGATGGTACAGACAGCAGGCTCTAGGCATTTGAAGATTCATTCCCCACTCCGGATACGCCAGGTTGGAAGAAACTCACACCTCATAGAGACCCTCCACCTCCTTCCCATCTTCTCTCAAGTTCCCTGGCATTTTTTTTGTCACTCAGCTTGTTAAAACTCAGTATATCAAGACACCCCCAGCACGCCAGGGTGCTCATCTCTCAGGCCCATCACTGCTTGGTTTTCTTGTCCATTGATCACTCAGCACACACATAGAAGACTTACCTGGCCTGGGCCCACTGCTGGGCCAGACACCAAGGAGAATAAGATGCAGCCCCTTGCTTCATGGTCCTCACAGTCCTCTGGGAGGTTTCCTGCAAGGTGGTGCTGTGCTCTGCAATAGAGGAATCTTGGAGGAGCTGTGGAAAGGCAGAGGCTGAAACAGGAACATGCAGCTGCTAGAGGTGCTCAGGAAGGACACATGAAAAGATGCATTTGAAGTGGTAGGACAGGAAGGGATGCCTGGCAACAGCGAAGAAATGCTGGGGTACTTCCCACACAGGCAGTGGCTTCAGAGAGCACAGCTCGCTCCAGGAAGAAGAAAGAGTCTGAGGATGCCACGATGATGAAGACAGATGCCAGGCTCTGCAGGGCCTCACATGGAAGGAGAATGAAAAGAGGATATGTGGCCTTTCCATTTGCCTCTATGCTGTGGGGCTGCATTTGGGTCTAATGGCTGCCTGGTCGTCAATGCACACTGGAGGGTGACTGAGGTGGACACACTGTTTTGATGTGGCTCCTCCACTTCCCCACTGACTCTAGCTGGGCTCAGGTGGGTGGCAGAGAACAGCATGTAGAAGCATGGCAGGCACCATCAGCCTGGATGCAGAGGGACGCTAACAAACCTGTAGAAGGGCTCCAGCCAATTCACAATAGACATCAGATGAGTATCTTCAACAGCAAGAGGGAGGTTGCTGCAACTGCTTTGCAGACAGAGGCCAGGGCAGGGGCAGGGGGCCTGGGAAAAGGCAGCACCACATACAGGGTCAGGATAGAGATGCACAAAAAGGGCATGACAGCAAACTGCCCACCCATTCACATATGAAATGGCAGCCACAAATGCAGAGGGAAGTAGACCTTGGAATAAAATCTTCAATAAATCAATGAGCAGGTCATTCGGTGACTTAGAGTTTTGGTCACTTGCTTCTCAATGAACTAGTCATTTGCAAATTGTTTTTCAGTGAATTGATCTGGTTTCCAGAAAGAGGCCCCAAGCAGAGGACTCCACTGTGGCTTCCAGAGTGTTCACTCCGGTCACCTGCTCAGATGTAAGAAATGCAAAGGAAACTGAACTGCTTAACTCTCTGAAGTCCCTCTCTTTCCTTATCTCCAAGTGCAAATCCTCCACACAGAAGGCTGAGGTCATTCTCCATGGTATGTTTTAAGCCTTTCCATCTTCACTAAAACTTCTTTTCTTCAGGTTTCTTTCTTGTTCTCTTGCTGTCGTCTTGCCCTCCTGCCTGCTCTTGCTCTTTCTTTCTATAAACAATGATATAAATTACCACTTAGCCTGAGCTGCTTAGCTTATTCCCTGTTCTTTATGGAGACAGCATGTTCCATAATGGATCGCCTTTGTGCAAAGAAGCAATCCCAGTAATTAGGCACACTTTCATGGAGAACCCAAGCACCATAACTCAGGAGATCATAAGCATTTCTACCCTGGTGAAGTTCAGTTTAATGCAAAATAAACATGTGTTTCCTGTCCCTTATTCTAAATCGATTGGGCCATTTGTCTAATTTAAACACTCTATAAATTATACACATCCTCCAAAGATAGGGATGAGGTAGAGGCCCTTGATGTATGCTTTTTCCTATGGCTTGAATCCATCACTGTCTCCTGCAAGGCCCCTTAGCTTTCTCCTGAGTGGATGGAGGCCCCATAACTCTCTGATCTGCTTCATTTTCTCTGACACCCCTTAGGATCCTTTTTCAGACAATTTGGCTAGAGAATTATGGCTGACTTTCAGAAGAAAGGGAATGAAGTTTAAACTTGAACTGAGTCTTGCAATATCTTATGTTTTGCTAGCACAACATTCAAATTCTCTCCAATTTCTCTTCTCTGTCCATTATAAGATTTTACAAGGGAAAAGTCAAAGAAAGTAAGGCAGGTTGGGTATGGATACTTGTGGTGTACAATTATGCACCATTTTTAGCCAATTTAGCACAACTGAATACTGGGGGGGAAAAAACTCTCTTGATCAAATCATTAGTTTCTCTGGCATATGAGCTTTCAAGAAGGGTGAAGACCTCTCTTGGGATTTACATCTCCAACTGGTGGGTTTTCTTAACTTTTCAAATCTTGTAGGTAAATTGTAACCTGGTTATCAAATAGATTCCATTTTATTATAAATAAATTAGGCCCTATTTTGTTCCCATTTTCACATTTAAAAGCTAATCTTTGTTGTCATGCCTATCTGTTAAATCACATAATACATGAACTGGAAGGAAAATAAGAGCTCAGAGAATTCAATTTCCTTATTTTATAAATACACTGAAACTAACAAAGAGCGGCAACTGAGATGGAACTAGAACTAAGATTCTTGAATATTGGTTCAGTTTGTAGGGGTTAGAAAATATGACAAAGTCAGGCATAAGATAATTCTGTAATCACTGCTACTGTGTGGCATTGCACAGAGGTTTCATATAATAGAGTAAGTTAAGAAAAATAAAGCAAAGCTATGATTTTGAAAACAAAAGAGAAAATTCTATGTTTTCAACTGAAAGGATTATATACCTAGAATACCAAGACAAATAACTTACTAAATAAAACTGTAATAGAATTCAGGGAGATGGGTGATTAATAAGAATGCCATACAGAAATTAATATTTTGTAGTAAAAAATAAATAGAAAAAAAGTCCTCCTTTACAAATTTCATAAGCCCATAAGACTCCTAAAAACTAATAAGAAATGTTTATGGCATATATAAATAAAACAATCATACATTCTTGAAAAACTATAAAATACCTGAATCAATGAGAAACAAATCGTTTCTGGCTGAGAATCCCCCATACTGTAAAATTATCAGTTCTACCAAATCAGTTAGGAGATTTATTACACTCAAACCAAGATTCTCAAAGGATGATTTATAAAATGTGACAAGGTGATTCTAAAGTTCTTCTAGGAAACACATAAGTATAACCAATAAAATTCTGAGAAAGAATAATTATGAAAACAGGCTTGCTGTTTCAGATATCAGAATATATTTTGAAACAATACTGATGGAGGAATTGTTAAGTAACCGATGAAGCAGAAAAGCAGTAGAAATGAGTCCATATATACTGTGTTTTTAAAATGGTATATCAAAACGGTATATCAAAACTGTGGGGAAAGGGTGAGTTATGATTAATAAATAAATAAACTGCTGTAAGCCAGCAATACAATTACAAGAGAAAATAAAGTCAGTTCCCTCTTTGACCAATATGCAAATATGAATTCTAGCTAGAATAAAAGGATAAATATAAAACTTCCAGTGGAATAAAAGTACATATAGGAATTTTTTAAATACAAACTTATAAAGGTGGAAGAATCCTTGCTGAACAAGGCACGTTGTTGATGAATTATAAATAAAAAGAAGGAAATGGCCGGGTGTGGTGGCTCATGCCTATAGTCCCAGCACTTTGGGAGGCCAAGGCAGGTAGATTACTTGAGGTCAGGAGTTAAAGACCAGCCTGGCCAACATGGCAAAACCCCATTTCTACTAAAAACACAAAAATTAGCCAGGCATGGTGGCGCATGCCTGTAATCCCAGCTACCCGGGAGGCTGAGGCATGAGAATCACTTGAACCCAGATAAAACTTAAGAGTTCTGTATGACAGAAGACACCATGAACAAAGTATAAAGATAAGTGGCAGAGTTACAGGCAGGGAAAATGTTTACAACAAGAATGAACAGTAATAATTCCCAGAATATATATGGAAATCCTACCAAAAAAATAAGACAAACAATATAAACATATAAGCAAAATGTATGAACATTAGATTCATAGTAAAAGGTACTGATGGCTAATAAATATATAAAGATACAGTACTTGAGTAAGTTTTCATATAAATAATGACCTATAAGAAGAAACCAGGAGAAGCAGCACTGGATTAGCACTGAGACAAAATAACATCCACTGATTTGGGAGAACCAATGTCTTCACTATTGAGTCTTCCCATTCAGGAACATGCTTGGTCTATTCATTTATTCAGATCTGTATCCTTCAATTAGTGTAATTGCTTCATTTATAAGGACATAGATTTTTCATTGACTTTGGGAGGTTTTTTTGACATTACCTTTCAAACTTTTCTCATTTCTGTGTCACTCCTTTGTTCCCTAGTCCTTCATTGCCCTCCTATAAGACATTCTGTTAATATATCACATTAAATAAGAAATGAATAAAAACTCTAGCAACATTCAAGCAGCATTCTCTGAAGACACAGAAAATCTTGTAGAAAGAATTGTTTAAAGAACGCATGGCATATAAGAAAATGTGGAGGTGGGAAGCAAAGGAGATGATGGCTGTTCGTGTGCTCCCGGACCAGCTGGGGTCCTAGTGCAGAGACGCTGGGATCTGATTCAGAGCAAGGAGTTATCCTCATGCCAGATAAGGGTACATTCCAGGATGGCCAGGGCTAAGAAGGCTTTCAGCACACACTCCCTCTCCCCTTTTCATTTCCCTCCACCATAAGCTGAGGGCCCTCAAGTTTTTCCCTTGTCTTTTTTTTTTTTTGAGACGGAGTTCCCCTCTTGTTGCCCAGGCTGGAGTCCAGTGGTGCAATCTCGGCTCACTGCAACTACTGCCTCCCAGATTCCAATGATTCTCCTGCCTCAGACTCCCTAGTAGCTGGGATTACAGGCATGCGCCACCATGCCTGGCTAAATTTGTATTATTGGTAGAGACGGGGTTTCACCATGTTGGTCAGGCCGGTTTCGAACTCCTGACCTCAGGTGATCCACCCGCCTCGGCCTCCCAAAGTGCTGGGATTACAGCACTGTGCCCGGCCTTCCCTTGTCTTTTCCACACTTTCCTTCTTTCCCCAGGTTGACACTTCAGACCTCCAGGCTGCTTGACTGGCATAAGTCTTGAACCCAGCTTCCCTGTGCAGGAAAACATGCTGCTGCCTCTTGTTTTTCTATGGATCCCATCAGGTTTACCTGGATGGATGGATGGATGGATGGATGGATGGATGGATGGACGGGCTTCACCTCTGGCATTGGTTCTTCTGGATTTAGACATCTCTTATCCAAGAGATTACACACTAGTAACTAAGTTCTAACCATTTGATGTGGCTTTCAACTCCACTAGCCGATTCTCTAGCCCTCCTGTGGCTTTCCTGGTTATCCTATTGAGTGCTGCTTTAGATATCTCATTCATGTCTTCCCGGGTGTGAGGACAGATCATGCCTCTAAAGACGCATGTTAATTTTCCAGAAACAGAGAAAATTCGACTTTCAGATCCATGTGCATCAGTTCCATTTAAATCTGTCATTAGCACCATGAAGTCAAACTGCGTCAGAACTTTTCAGCATTAAATATGACCTGATGGATGTTTCCTGTGTTTCTTTTCCTTTGCCTCAGAAAAAAATAAGCTGCCCTTAGCCATATGAGAATTTAAACACAGCTAAAATATCAGTCCCCTAAAACCCATGTCTATGGACACTTACACAGAATAGCTCCGACGGTTTAACCAATAGCAAGTCCAAATAAAGAGACCACTGCAGTGAAAGCCACCTCAAAATAAGGAAGCTCATCCTGGATTCACCACACTCCACAAACTCCCAGGAGGACGGAGTTGTGACTAGCACATAAGAATGAGAACAACAGTGCCAGGAATTGAGGTGAGCGAGGAGTCCCTCAGCAGGAAGTAGATCATTTCTAAGAGATGAGTAAACACCTCATGCAGCTGCTGTTTTAATTTCTCATGTGCTTGACTGAAAAGCAGTTTGGAAAGTTGAGATGAGCTTTTTTTTTTTTTTTTTGAGACAGAGTCTCACTCTGTAGCCCAAGCTGGAGTGCGATGGCATGGTCTCGGCTCACTGCAACCTCTGCCTCTGGGGCTCAAGCGATTCTCGTGCCTCAGCCTCCTGAGTAGCTGGTACTACAGGCATGCACCACCATGCCCAGCTAATTTTTTGCATTTTAGTAGAGACAGGGTTTCACAATGTTGCCCAGGGTGGTCTTGAACTCCTGAGCTCAGGAGACCCACCTGCCTCAGCCACCCAAAGTGCTGGGATTATAGGCATGAGCCACCACACCCCACCTGAAATGAGCTTGCTTTCTTTTCTTTTTTTTTTTCCTTTTTTGAGATGGAGTCTAGCTCCTTCACCCAGGCTGGAGTGCAGTGGCATGATTGTGGCTTACTGCAACCTCTGCCTCTGGGGCTCAAGCAATTCTTGTGTCTCAGCCTCCTGAGTAGCTGGTACTACAGGCATGCACCACCATACCTAGCTAATTTTTGTATTTTTAGTAGAGACAGGGTTTCACTGTGTTGGCCAGGCTGGTCTCAAACTCCTGACCTCGTGATCCGCCCACCTTGGCCTTCCAAAGTGCTGGGATTACATCAAATGAGCTTTCTTAACCTCTCATGAACTCAGGATACTGGATGATTTATTTTCTGTCTATCAGATAGCATTCACAAGACTTTAATTTGGAATAGAATTAAGTACTCCATGAATGCACTAAAGAGGCCAAATAAAAGGTAGAGGTTGGCAGAGAACACTCTTTAAATGGCCCAAATATATGTTGTTTATAAGAAACTCACTTCAAGTATAACAATATAGGCAAGTAGAAAGTAAATGGATAGAAGAAAAATATATATATATATATAATGCAAACACTAATCAAAAAAATGAGTAACAATGTTCATATCAGATAAAGTAGACTTCAGAGCAAAAGCAATTACCAGAGACGTTATTTAATGATAAAAGAGTCAATCCATTTAGAAGGCATAGAAATGCTAAACGTGTATGCACCAACCAACAGAGCGACAAAATATGTGACGTGAAAACAGATAGAACTAAAAGGAAAAATAGACAAGTCAACGGTTATCATTGGAAACTTTAACACCCCCTCTCAACCATTGGTAAAAAAAAACTAGACAAAAAATAATCAAGGATACCATCAAACAGCAAGAGCTCATTGACATTTATAGAACACTCCACTCAACAGCAGAATGAACATTCTTTTCAAGTGCCCACCAAACCTATGCCAAGATAGACAGTGCTATGATTTGAGTGTTTGTCCCCTTCAAAACTCATTGTAAAATTTAATCCCCAATGTGGCAGTATTGAGAGGTGGGACCTTTAAGAGGTGATTGGGTCATAAAGGCTCTGTCATCATGAATGGACTAGTTCATTCATGGATTAATTGGTTAATAAGTTGTCATAGAGGTGGGACTGGTGGCTTTACAAGAAAAGGAAGGGAGACCTAAACTAGGACATGAGCATGTTAAGCCCCCTTTCTATGTGATGCCCTGCACCATCTCAGGACTCTGCAGCAAGTCCGCCCCAGCAAGAAGGTCCTTACACGATGCAGCCCTCAACCTTGGGCTTCCCAGCCTCTATAACCATAAAAAAAAAAAAATCCTTTTCTTTATCAATCGCCCAGTTTTGAGTATTCTGTTATAAGCAACAGAAAACAAAGACAGACACTATCTTAGGCTATAAATCTAGCCTCAGCAAATGTAAAAGAATTGAAATCAGAGAGAGTATGTTCTCTAATCACAATAAAATCAACTAGAAATCAGTAAGAGAAAGATAACAGGAAAAATTTCAAGCACTTGTAAACTCACAAGCACATTTCTAAATAGTCTGAGTCAAAGAGGCTATCTCAAGGAAAATTTGTAAATGCATCGAGCTAAATAAAAATTAAAACATAACATTAAAATTTGTGGGACACAGTTAAAAGCAGTGCTAAGAGGGAAATTTATAGCACTGAATGTACACAATAGAAAACAAAAGTTTCAAATCATTTATTTATGTACCTCTGTCAAGAACCTAGAAAGAGAAGACAAAAATAAATCCAAAGCAAGCTTCCAGAAATAACAAAGATAAATCAGTGAAATTCAAAAGAGAAAAACAATAGGTTATCAATGAAACTGACAAACCTCTAATAAGATTGGCAAAGGGAAAAGAGAGAAGATACAAATTACTAATATCAGAAATAAAACAAGGAAAACCAATACAGACCCTTCAGACAGCAAAAGGGTGACGAGGGAAAGCCATAAACAACTTAGCACACATAACTACAAAAACTTAGATTTAATGGACCAAGTCCTTGAAAAGGACAAATTACCACAGCTCATCCAATATAAATAAATAGTTTGAATAGCCAATAACTATTAGGGAAATTTAATTTGTAATTTTAAAACCCCCTAAAAGAAATATTTATGCCCAGATGGAAATATTTATCTCCAGGATTCCACTGGAGATTCCTACCAAATCTAAAGAAGAATTAACACCAATTCTGTACATCTTTTCCAGGAAATAGAAGGGGAGGGAATGCTTTATCAAAGTTTAAAACTTTTGTGTTATTACTTTAAAGAGACAGGGGCTTGCCATGTTGCCCAGGCTGTTCTCAAACTCCTGAGCTCAAGCAATCCACCACCTCAGCCTGCTGAAGTGCTGGGATTACAGGTGTAAGCCACTGTGCCTGGCCTAAAAACTTTCGTTGAAAGAATGATAAGATGAGTTACAGAGTGTAAGAAAATATTTGCAGATCATATATCCAACAAAGCACTAATATCTAGAATATATAAAGAAGCTTCAAAACTAACAATTAAAAAAATCGAATTAGAAAATGCACAAAAGACACAAAGACAAAGTGGATATACAGATGGAAAATAAGCCCATGAAATATTTTACATCATTAGCCTTTAGGGAAATGCAAATTAAAAACACAATGAGATACCACCAATATACCTACATTAATAGCTAAAATAAAAAATAGTAAGGCCGGGCGCGGTGGCTCACGCCTGTAATCCCAGCACTTTGGGAGGCCGAGGCGGGTGGATCACGAGGTCAGGAGATCGAGACCACGGTGAAACCCCGTCTCTACTAAAAATACAAAAAATTAGCCGGGCGCAGTGGCGGGCGCCTGTAGTCCCAGCTACTCGGGAGGCTGAGGCAGGAGAATGGTGTGAACCCGGAAGGCGGAGCTTGCAGTGAGCGGAGATCGCGCCACAGCACTCCAGCCTGGGCGATAAAACGAGACTCCGTCTCAAAAAAAAAAAAAAAAAATAGTAACAACACCCAATGTTGGGTGCAACAACCAATGTTGGGTGCAACACCCAATGCATGGATGCAGAGAAATTGGATGACTCGTACATTGCAAGTAGGAATGTAGAATCATTCAGCCACATTGGAAAACAGTTTGGCAATTTTTTAAAAAAATAAACATGCAAATAACATATGACCCAGTGATTATACTCTTGGACATTTGTCCTAGAGCAATGAAGGCTTACATTCACACAAAAACTTGTTCACAAATATTTATAGCAATTTATTTACAACAGTTAAAAACTGGAAACAACTAGATGTCCTTCAGCAGGTAGATGGTTAAACAATTGGGTACTATTAATATATATCCATACTATGGAATACTACTCAGCAGTAAGAAGAAACTATAGATAAATACATCAAACAGATGAATATCCAGAGAATGATGCTAGTGAGAAAAAGCCAGTTCCAAAAGACTGGCTTACACACTATCAGATACACACTATCTGATTCAATTTACATAATATTCTCAAAAATGACAGAATTATAGATGTGGAGCACAGAGTCGTGGTATCCAGGGTCTAAGGAGGGGTGGAGATAGGAAAGAAAGTGGGTATGACTATAAATAGACCACATGAGGAATCCTTGCGGCAGTGGAATGCCCTGTAGCTTGGCTGTTCTGATGTCAATATCCTGGTGGTGATATTGTACTGTAATTCATGGTACCATGGATATACCAGGATTTGTTTAACCACTGAAAGCAACTGGGTAAAGAGCACATGGGGTCTCTGTGTAATATTTCTAGCAACTGCATGAGAATCTACAGTGATCTCAAAATAAAACTTTGATTTCAAAAAGAAAAAAATGTTTTTAATCCAAATATTTTTAATCCTAAAGGCATATGGAAACAGAAAATAAATAAATACTACGTTAATTCTTTTCACTACAAACGGTCTTTCATAAACTCTTCAGAGTTTTTCTGAATGGAGAATTGTAATTCTAACTAAAAGATCTACTACTTATCCTGAATGTGGAGTCAAGGTAGAGTTATCACCATCCCAATAAACTGCACATTTCACCTCTGCCTACGCCAAGGATCAATCAGTGTGTCATCTCCAAAACTCTACATCAGCTTATGGCCTGAAGCAGCCTGGCTTACGACATAATCATTTCACTATTGGTCACTAAAATAATCTAATTACATTCCATGAAAATGTAACTGGAAACAAGACATTGTTTGACAGTGTTTGTTGAAAACCTTTATCACAATATTACCCAGAGGGAAGTGGGAAGAAACAGTTTCCAAACAACTCAGTTTCCAAACCTGAACTCAGTAATAACCCCTTCTCTTTCACTTACATCTAAATATCTGATCCAGGTCTTAGACAAACTGTATGTGTGTGCTCATGAGCCGCAGCACACAGGAAGAGGAGCCCCACCATACTCTCTGCTGATGATGAGGTTTACTATTGAGAACCAGGAGGGACCTTCAGAGGCAGCCAGCCTTGTGGGCTCACCATACTCAGAAAGAAGAGTGAACACTAATTTAGCTGGTGTGGCCCTACTGCTCTAGTCAGACTTCCCACAACATTCTATTCAGTGAATCCATGGACTCCATGACATCACTCAGGGAACATTTGGAGTCCCCATAGCCTGTCAGTCTCAGCCAGAGACAAAAATCCAAAATTCTACTCAGCTAGCCAGTGGATGCAACCAAAGCTTCAAGCTCCAGATATCAGAGCTTCTACATTCTGTGGATCTAAAGCCTTGATCACCACCCTAGGACTTGAGCAGCCCCTGGAGTTAACGTCAGTGTTCTTTCCTCAGGAGCCATCTTTCATCTGCCTGGAGACCTGCTTCCATGCAGAGTAGGACAGCTCTCCATTTGGAGATGACTCCATCGAGCTTTGTAATTTCCATAACAGGAAATTAGACCAAAGACAATGAAGGCCTTAATGGGTAGGCTGCCCCCACTGTGTCCGGAGTCACTGAGAACTAGGCATGGCAGGTGTTAGCATGCCCCTACCAGATGGAAGGGTGCTGTCCTGTGGTGATAATGTTAGGCCCCCATGCCCCAGTGCCCAACCAAGCCAGCGCCTTGCTCCTGGTCATCACCACCAAATAGATCCAGTCGCTAAGACTGGGTTTCTGCTCTGTCTCTAATTTTCTATTCTAGTTAACTAGAATAGAAATAGAATAGGCTGTAACCCTATTCTTCTGGCCTGTCCCCGCCTCCTTTTCTCCAAGGGCTGAAACCTAATTCCTTTATCTCCCAGCTACTGACAAGATGTTATCACTCACCTGACTTTGGGTTTTGCCAATTCTCAAAGATTCAAAGAGGCCATAAGATAGAAACTCTTGTGATTTTTCTTCAAACAACCAGACCCACAAAAAAAAGGCAGAAAGAGAAAAAAGAATCTTGAATTAGACTCATCTTGGATAACCCTGGACAACAGGGATATTTAATTCAATTCAACTCAACAAAAACATCTCAAGTTTCCATGTGTGTCTGGCATTTTTTCAGCTTTTGGAATAGTAGAGATTAATACAACACAGCTCTTGCCTGCCCCAAGTGTGTTGCTAATTGGGAAAACATACATATAAACATAACTCCTTAATTTAATATAGCACATAATGTGGCTGGAGGGTTTCATAAAATATGAATTTTTGTTTCATCAAGAGTAGTGTATGGGTCCCACAGAGGAGGACAAAGGGAAAGCAGGGGAGAAAGGACTGGGCAAGAGCCAAAAGAGGGAGAAAGAGAGTCCCCAGCACTAAAAAGGACACATTAGATGGGGTTGTGTGAGCAGCAGGCACCTGCACTGCTCCGGGGGGTGGCAGGACCTCCGAGGGAGCTCCCTGGGGGTTGGCTGCAGGGAGACTGCCCGCAGGTCCCAGCAAAGAGCCCCACACGCAAGCCTCGGATGGGATCCTGGCACTGTCTGCTTACCAGGAGCCAGGCCAGACAAAGGGGAACCAAGGTGTGGAGCACTGGACAAGGAGTGAACCAAAGGTGGCCAGTTCGGCCATGAATAGAGTCCTCCCAGATGCCCTCCTCAAACTAAGTTCCCCTTCATAGACTTTTGGGATGAGTGGAACAAACCCCAGTTGTAGAGATGAGGGAGATTTCTGCCAGCCCTGGCAGAAGTGGGGCAGAGAACTGATTATAATCGATTGCATAAAAATAAAGCTCTATGACTATTGTGCGTGTGTGTGTGTGTGTGTGTGTGTGTGAAGTTTTTTTTTTTTTTTTTTGAGACAGTCTTGCTCTGTTGCCCAGGCTGGAGTGCGTTGGCACGATCTTGGCTCACCTCCCAAATTTTCCCACCTCTGCCTCCTGGGTTCAAGCAATTATCCTGCCTCAGCCTCCCGAGTAGCTGGGACTACAGGCATGCACCACCACACCCAGCTAATTTTTGTATTTTTAGTAGAGATGGGGTTTCACCATGTTGGCCAGGCTGGTCTCGAACTCCTGACCTCAGGTGATCCACTTGCCTCAGCCTCCCAAAGTGCTGGGATTACAGGTGTGAGCCACCACGCCTGGCTGTGAAGATTTAAAACCACTCTACAGTGATAAGCACAGGGTATAGAAGAAATATGGTGGAGGGCACCAGACCCAGATGTGGACTCCTATGAAATCTGCATGGAGAAGCTGATGGGAAGACTGAGTCTTGAAGCATGAGTTAGAGAGAATCTGGTAAGGAAGGGGCATAGAGGGAGATCCAAGTGAGATGACGTGTGTGGGGGTGGGGGAGACTGAAGGGAAATCTCAACAGAGGGCCCCCCCCCAACGGATCTGCCTCTGGATCCACCTCCACAATGCTCTTAGGTTTGGCACACTGCTGCTTCCTACCTTCTATTTGCAAGCAGCCCGTGATACCTGGCAACATGTTTGCATGGCCCACTCTGACCCTCTGTCTCTTGCTCAGGAAATACCCTAGAACCACAACCATAAGAGCATCTCATTTACTTTGCAGCTAATTTAGGATTCATAATCTTTCATCAATATTAGGATGATAGAACATTTGAACTGAAGATTTAACAACTTTGTTCAAAATTGTTCTTTTGCAGATGGCGAAATTTATTTAAGACCAGAAATGAGAAATAACCTGTCACTTGTCATGCATCCAGAAAGGGGTGGAGTTGAAATCTGCATCCATGTCTCCTGATGGCTAATCCTTTGCTGGAGGGTCAGCAGCTGCTTTGTAGAACTGCAAGGGGCAATATTCAGCTTGTGTTCTATGAGGTTGGCTCCCCAGGTGCCCCTCAGAGTTGTGTGATGCCAAGCCCTGAGGCCATGCTGCACTGCCTCCAACAAAGGGCAGCCGACACTGGCCAGATGCTCACAGCTTCACCAGCTTCACAGCTTCACCTGGGCATCAGCTTCTCTGCAGTGTCCATGCCCAACACATTGGGAGTTAGCAATGGTGTGAAGAAATGGCAGGAAATTGTACCAGGCGTTCCCACCTTCGGGCATGAAAGGGCCCAGTGTCAGGGAAAAGCATAGTGCCTTCTTCTGCCACAGAAATGAGCTAGGCAGGGAGAGGAATCAGAGATGACTCTGTTTCCCTTCTTGTTCTATCAACCACCTCCCAAATTATCCCACCTCCAATTCTCTGCCACTGCCATCAAGAAGCCAAAAGACAAGCATTTGAAGGAGATGTCCCAGGACGTAAGTGGAGGGCAGAAAATGTGCTCTTGTCACTGGAGCAGCAGAGGCCAAGGAGATCCTTTAACTCCCCTCACCCTGGACACCAGCCTCCAGCCCCAGGTGGCATGCATCCTGAGGGTGCAGTGGTGGGCTGAAGAACTGTCTTTAAAAACGCACTTTTCCTAGGAAGGGGGAACTTGAGAAGCTCAGAGCATTGGAAAGTAATGAAAGCCTTCTTGATGGAGAAGCTAATAAAAAGGAGAGACCCACGGACAGCATGGAGGGGGCCAGGCCCAGAGCCCAGGCAGGCAAGAGCTTTCCAGCCAAGGGTGACTCCCAACTGGCTGGAGAAGGGAACTTTGTGACAACTGGCTTGTGTTTGGGCTAGAGCCACTCGGAGGAGTCTTCAAAGAAAAGTAAAAAGTGGGAGAGCCAGCCGACTGGAGATTTCTGGAAATGGGACTTTCAGATACTCCCCAATTCAGATTTTTATGTACTGGACTAGTTTTACGCTAAAGTTACTCAAAACAACAACAAAAAAGACAGAGAGGGAGAGAGAGGGAGAAGTTAGACTATCCTGCCCCTTCTTAGATGGTTACAATTTCCTGTTCTAACCTAGTGTGCAGGTTCAACTGGGAGGTGAGTGAACTTTAGGGAGCAGGACTGGCAGAGCAGGGCTCCACGAAGCCAGGGCCTCACAGCACTGCCACACGCCATGGCCCGGGCCTGTGGCCTCCTTAGAGGTGGAAGGGGCTTGGAAGGCGGTAGTATCAAAGCTTGTACACAAGGATTATTTGACACTTCTTCTGTCCAAAAGTGGAGTCTACTCCCCCTCTCAACTATGGGCCAGTCTTAGTGACTTGCTCCTAACTAATAGAATGCATCACAAGTAGTTTGCAAGACTAGATCATAAAAGGTGATAGATGATGCACTTTCCATATGATGTTCTCCCGCCTCCCCTCCCTCTCCCTCTCACTCTCTCCATCAAGATCTCTCCCTCTCTATGGGGATGCTGGCACTGGGAACCCAGCCACCATCTTGTGAGGAAGCCAGATCACCCCTTGAAAAAGCCACACAGCCACACATAGGCATGAGGGAGACTTCAGATGACTGCAGCCCCAGCCCGTGACTGGGAGCTGCCCCAGATGGTGCCAAGTGGGACAGAGATGAGCCGCCTCTACCTGCATTGCAGATTCCCAAGCAAATTAAATGTTGTTATTGATCTCAGCTACCATGTTTTGGGGGAATGTTTTATTACATATTAGTCAATGACCTTACTAGAAAGCTTCTTGCTCAAGCTTTTTCTTGGTATTTGGAAACTGAGACCTCAGAGCTCAGGAAGAACAACACACAGTGAAGGCTGCTCTGAGGTGAGGTCGAGCTGCTGCTTAGACTCCAGCTTTTGGCCTCCCTTTTGGCCAACCTAGTGGTTGATTTTGAGTGTTAACTGGACTGGATTAAGGGATGCCCAGATAGCTGGTAAAGCATTATTTATTTTCAGTTGCTGCATTAATTATTCTCAATGCTTCAGTAGGCAGTTTAACATTTGATGAAAGTAACTGGGTTGCCCCAGGTGTGTCTGTGAGTTTATTTATAGAGGAGATTGGTGTGTGAGTCAGTGGACCCAGTGGGAAAGAACCACCCTCAATGTGGGTGGGCACCATCAAATCAGCTGGGGGCCCAGACGGAACAAAAGGTGGAGGAAAGGGAATTCCTTGCTCATTCACTCTCTGCTGAAGTTGGGACACCCTTTTTCTCCTGCCTTGGACATCTTAACTCCAGTTTCTCCAGGCTTTGGACTCCGGGACTCACCCCAACTGCCCCTACACCCTGACTCTATGTTCTCAAGCCTCTGGCCTCAAGCTGAGCCATCAACTCCTCAGGTTTTGAGGCTTTGAGACTTGGACTGAGCCAAGCTGCCAGCTTCCCTGGGCCTCCAGCTTGTAGACAACCTGCCATGTGACTTAGCCTTTATAATCATATGAGCCAATTCCGCTAATGAACTCTTCATATCTCTCTCTCTCTCTCTATTGCATATAGATTATATATGTATATATAAATACATATATATAAATACATCATATATATATATACATATATATATATATATCAGTCCTATCTCTGAAGAACCCTGACTAAAACACCAGCCTGTGCCCCTCCCTCTGTCCCACAGGTGGACACATGGACTGTGTTTGCCACCTGAGTACTCCCAGCAGAGAGGGGAAAAGGAAGCAGCCCCATCCCACTGGGTGCTCCCCCACCAAAACAATCTTTATCTTCTCATGCAGATGTCAGTCCCTGGGCTGGGTTGCTCCCCACACCCAGGATCCTGGGAATGGTACGTCTTGCATGTCACCTGCTCCTGTTTGTATGAAAGAGCCTGGACACCAGGCAGGGGTTGGGGGGACAACTACAATGCCCTTTGCAGGGCTCTACACACTGAGGCTGCAGCCCCACACAGAGGTGGGGAGAGCAAAGCTGTTCCCAGCCCTGGCGTAGCTGCCTGGACACACCAAGGGCCTTGTCTGAAGTCTGGGTAGCCCAGATCCTGGAGTTAACAGGAGAAACATGAGAGCAGCCTCTTTCACAGGCTCTCCTCCAGTCATAAATGTGCCATCCAGTTCCCCACAAATAAAGCACAGGCCATCTTACAGAGAACTTGTCATCAGAAGAAAGAAGTGCCGGACTCCTTGCTGGGCTCTGGGGAGCTCACTGCTGGGATGGATGGAGTAGAGTCTGCAGGCAGCAGCCTCACAAAGCCCAGAGGCAGGGTCACTAAGAGCCAGGAGAAAGGCCCCAGGCCCTGTGATGACTCCCATTCTTTAACGCATGTGCTTCATTGTGCATCTTGGATGGCAGCCCTGGCATCCAACAAGATCCAATCAGTCAGTAAAAACGTGCTCAGCAATTTCCGGGAGCCCAGGTGACTCTGGAATGCCTCGAGGAAATGAGACCCTTCCCCTGCAGTTCCTACCAAAGGAAAAAAAATCTGAACACATTGTGCAATGGGAGCTGAGGGCATGCTGCCCAGGTGGGGCAGGAAAATGACAGGAAGGCACAGAGGTGGGAGGAGAGGCAGGCCCGAAGGTGGAGCCTCAGGAGCTCAGTGAGAAGTTGTTGAGCTTCCTCAGTTAGCCCTGGTCTGGACCCACTGTTCTCCCACAGGCCCGATGCTCTTCCCCTGAAAAGACGATCCCCAGATCTGATCCCACCACCTTTCCAGCACCCACCCTCTCTGTCCTGCTGCACCATCCATGCACCTCCAGGTCAGAACAACTTAGAGCGAGGCACAGGCACCCTCTTCTGGACACCCCTGCGAGCACCCACCACCCACCCCAGCTCCTTCTCACCCTAAGTGCACCTCCCCATCACCCTTACTTCATGAAACTTCTGAATCTGTCTCCCACTCTGTGGTGGGATTTCAGGTCTAGCACAGAATAAGTTCTTCATAATCTCTGGGTGACAGGAGGCTCAGAGACCCATGGGAAGCTCCCGTTTGATAAAGTAAGACAGACCCACAGTCCTTTTCCGTGCAGGGCTCTATCAACATAATCAGGCTGTAAGTGAAGGCCACACACAAATGCTGTTGAGCCCAACAGAGGGAAAGAACACGTCTTAGGAGGCTTCAGGAAGACTTTCTGGAGGAAGGGGCATGGGGCACATTCCCTGCAGAATCTAGAAGATTGGAAGGGTTGAAAAACAAGAAGTGGAGAGGAGAGGAGGTTGCTAATCTAGGCAAATCAGTTCTAAGCAAGATAAGGTAGTGAGAGACCGAATGACATAATTCAATCAGGGAAGAGCGCACTGCCCCCGGATGGGAAGAGAGGATTCTTGTCTGCCGCAGTGGGCTGGGGCTGCCATAACAAAGTACCACGGACTGGGCGGCCTAAGCAACAGAATTGCATCTGCTCCCAGTCTGTAGGCTGGAAGTCTGAGATCAGGGTGTCGGCAGGGCTGGCTTCGACCGAGGCCTCGCTACTTGGCTTGCAGATGCCATCTTCTCCCTGTGTCTTCAATGGTTTTCCTGTGTGCATGTCTGTGTCCTTATCTCCTCTTCTTACAAGGCCATGAGTCCTGTTGAATTAAGGCCCACCCTAATGGCCTCATTTTAGCTTAATTAACCTCTTAAAGATCTCATCTCCAAATACAGCCACATTCTGAGGTGTTAGGGATTAAGGCTTCAACATAGGAATTTGGGGGGCACACAATGCCCCCCATACCAATGCTGTCATGATGCCCCCGCACAGTGGGCCAAGGTGGATGGTAGGGGCCTGGAGAAGGGGCCACCCAGGGCAGGGAGAATGCAGCCGGGCCCAGGATGGGCCCAGGATGGCACACATGAAAAGCAGGCACAGGAGGGTGAGGCAGTGCCTCTGAGCAGCCCTGAGCCCCAGGCACACCAGCAGGGCCGGAGTACAGGGAAGGCTAGGAAGCATGTCCTGGGCCCAGCCTCGCATCCCACTCCTGCCGTGACCGCCAGCGTGGGGGAGGCTGACTCCGCCCAGGAGAGCTGCACCTTGTCTCTAGTTGGGCTCCCCAGAAGCAGACTCTGAGATGAGGACCCACACACAACTGAATCACTAAAGATGTGCTTCCCAAAGACAAGTAGGGGCCTGGGTGAGGAGAGGAGGAAGACAGCTGGGTTGTGGCCTTGGACCAAGGGCCCTGTCTCCCACAGGCACAGACAGGGAAGGGGGTGCAAAATCCCCCAGGCACTTCTGCTCCTTGCAGGTAAAGCAGCTCCTATAACCCAGGAATCCTGCAAGGACCAGCCCAGGCCCCAGTGCCAGCACTGCCCTCAAGTGAGAGTGGGAGGGAAACAATAAGGAGAGATCTGAGGGGATCTCAGCCAAGCACCGAGATGATCTGAGACACACTTAAAGAGAGGCTATACCTGCATGGGTGCTTTCAGCAGCATAAAGCGAAAACGCAACCACAATGGCTTACACCACATGGACATTGATTAGTTTACAGAATAAGAAATCCGAGCTATGGTGGCTATGAGGTTGGCTCAAAGATGTCTTGAACAATTCAAGTTCGTTCCACTTCTTTGCATTAATCCTCCCAGCCTATTGACTTCATCCTTAAACTTGTTGCTTCATGATTATAAAACAGTTGCCACAGTCCCAGGCATCACAGGCAGACATGAAGAGATT
Source organism: Homo sapiens (assembly GCF_000001405.40). NCBI lineage: Eukaryota > Metazoa > Chordata > Mammalia > Primates > Hominidae > Homo > Homo sapiens. The sequence goes on from NC_000010.11 coordinate 44,852,846, forward strand.
CAGCCAAAGCAGAAATGGGAGTTCTCACCCACACCCTTTTGAGAACATTCCAGGTAAACATCCCATCAAGCCTCAATAACCAAGTTAATGTACCTGCCCCTTAGTAAAGCAATCACTAGCCACAAAAACTGAATGACCATGATTATTAGGCTGGGGTTAGCCCTTGAGCCTTCAGCCTTGGAGGGGCCCAGCATATATATATATATATATCAGCTAACAAGATGGGGGAGGGAATGGCCTTGGGCAGGATCTACCATAGAGGTAGTACCTTAAGCCAAAGAAAAGCAACTGCTCTGCTGAAATTCTCAACATCTGTGGACCTGGAGGTGAATTTTTTATGGTCTTCAGGCCTTCCTTGTGATCCTGAACCAGCACTATGCATTTCTTTGGCAGCCTCTGCTTCCTTGCCAGGCCCATTCAGCCTAGGCTCACAGACCTTCTCTGTCCCCACCTTCACTCCCTGTGCACACGGTGCCCTCTCCTGCACAGCAGTTGCCAAAGCCTGGCACATCAGCTCATGGTGCCTCTAGTGTCCACACACACTGTAGCAAGCACACATCCAGCCCCATTTTCCCAGCTTTGTACCTCATGTCAGCACCTCACCCAGAGCCAGGGGGTGGGGTTAGGTGGGGACCAGAGGGGCCCAGGGAGCTGGACAGCCTGCCCCAGCCATTCCCACACTCCATGCATGGCCTCTGCCACCTGATCTTTTCAAAGCAGCTTGTAAAGAGTGAAGAGGAGTTGGGGGTTCCCTGGAGATGCCTCCTCTGGCAGCACAAAGGGTTTCTGAAGACTCCAGCTGGAGGACAGCATGGGCTGGCAAGAGGCTGTCTAATGCTTTCCCCAGCCCCTTCCTCAGCTGGGGTTTCTGATTCATAGCATTGGACCTGCTCTCTGACTCCTCTCCTCATGGCTCCAGGAGGGCCCCTGGCATCAGTGTGCCCCTGAGCACTAGACTCTCCCCTCCAAAGGCAGTGAGGGCACCGCCCAGTTCTCCCCAGGAGCTGGCATCAAGTTAAGGTGGCAGCTTCCCACGGCACCCTAAGAAAGTCCACAGTCACCAAGTGTTGAGGGCTGGCCTCATGGGGGTGGTGGGACAGGGTGTCCTGGGGCTGGACTTGGCCAATTTAAGGCTTGCTGCCCACTCTGGGTCTTTGGACGAGCTCTTCCCCAGGGCCAGCGGAAGCCCCGTGAAGGAACACAGTTTTGCTCTGCTGTGCACTGCTGCCTGCTGCTCAGGTCCCTAACATCAGGACTCCCACCTCCTCTGCATGCCCACTGCCTCTCTGTGGTTTGCTGTCAGCTCAGACCAGGGGACAGAGAGCAACCGTCTTTCCATTATGTCAAGCTTTGCACTGGCTCAGTACATCTGGGCAGCCAGCTGGCTGTGCTTCCAGGGCTGCAGCACTTCAGGTAAGCTCTCTGCGCAGCTCAAATGCCCAACTCTCCGTGAAATTTTTGCCTTTTTAATTTAAATCCTTGCTTTGTCACTTAAACTTAATGGCACTGTGATAGCAGGCAGGGGTGGGGAGGGGCAGCCTGGACAGAGCACCGAGGTGGCTCAAGTCATTCATTCCTGAGTTTACTTCTAGGTGTCCTGGGACTCACAGCAACCCACAGAGCTGGGAGAGGCATGAGACCCTGCTAACAGATAAGGAAGTCAAAGTCAGAAAAGAGAGACCACTTGTTTAAGTCTCATACCAAAGTGAAAGACTTCTCCAGTTAAATCATATGACTCCAAAGTTGGATTTTATCAGGCTTGGTGTACCCACCTGGAGAGTAAGAGAATAAAGGTGGTTTCTTTTAAAATGCTTTTGTGCAATCTCTCTCTCTCTCTTTCTCTCTCCATTTCTCTCCTTGAATCTAAATGCTACAGCTGAAAGCACAGAACTCTTCCCCAGTCTACCCCTTCCCTCCCTCCAGTGTGGATCCTGCAGGAAAGCCAAGATCTACAGACAGGAATCTCCTGTGGAGGGAGAGAGCAGGTCCCGGTGGCCCCAGGAGTCCACCTGCTTTGGGAAACTTTCCTGTGTCACTCAGGGCATCCACCCAGAAAAGGCGGGAGAGGGAGCTGGAGCCGGGTCACCAGCAGCCACCTGCCCAGAATGAGGAGGGTGACCAGAAACCAGGAGTTCTGGGCCTGAGGGTACAGAAAATAGGAAGGAGCTGCTCAGCTCCCCACCCATGGGGGCCTGCAGGAGGGGAGAAGAGGGAGAGAGGGCCAGAGCCCCCAGCGCTGCAGCTGCCGCCACAATAGAGGCATTGAAGCTGGTGCGGCAGAAGCGTGCAGGGGCTGGAAGAGGAGTGCAGAGGGGAGGGGCTGCCAGGAGAGCCCCAGATGAGAGGGTCTGACGTCCTCCTGACCTTTAAGTCTGGCCTCAGTGCCAAGAAGGAGGGCAGACTGGACCGCAAACAGCCCCCTGGGCTCATGCCTGCATCTCATTATCTGCCCTGCCCCCAGAGGCATCAAATGCCTGGTTGTTCTCAGATTCCCCACCCTGCTGCCTGTCGCATCCTTTGCTGAAAGATGTGCTGTAGGCGCCATGAAAGAAGGGACAGGGCCTGAGCAGAGGCCCCACTCCATGCTTGCTCCTATACTCTTCCTCACTCCCCGGGTCCCCTGGTAAGCAGATGTCTCTGGAGGCTGGAGACCTGGATCCTATCCTTTCCTCTCCCTGATGGGGTAATGGGGCTTGCTCCAGGGAGAGGAAAGGAGAGGACCCAGGTATCCCTAGGGAGAGGCCTAGAGAGGACCTCATCCAGCACTGGGCTTTGTTGTGAGTCCCCAGTGTGGTTCCCATGCGTTTACACCAGTCTCGGCCCTGGCTCTGCATCTCACTTGCTGTGGGCCCCCAGAAGTTCCTTTGCCCTCAGACCTACAAACTATCTCTTGTACAACAAGGAGGTTGAAACACAGGATCCCAGGACCAGTATGTAATCCATTGAGTTGATTTTGCCATTGGTTGAACAGATACTCTGGCGGGAGCAGGTTACACTTTTAGCTTCTTAAACATCTCTCAAATCTGTTCACTCTTTCCATCTCCACCCTCACTGCCTTATTCCTGTGTGCCACCATCCTTGCCTGGACCAATATTCTCCAGGCCTCCAGATCTGGAAGCCTCCATCCAACTCATCTACTTAATAGTGAAATGCAAACCTGATTGTATTACTCGCCTCCTAAAATCCCTTCAAACACTTCACATTGCTTTTGAGCTAAAGATGCAAATCCTTCACATAGCCCAGAAGGCCTTACATGGCCCAGCCTCACCTCTCAGCCTCCTATTCCCTTCTTTGCTTCCCTGCTCTCCATCAGACAACAAAGGGCAAGGTTGGGAGCCATGTCTTGTTCTGTTCATCAAGCTGTCTCCAGCGTGTGGTGTCATTCCAGGTTCAGCCAGCAGAATTAAGTGGACAAATGAATGATGAACACCAAAGATGGCAATTATCTCTCACAGAGATGAAGAGAACAAGCCCCCTTGCCCAAAGTGCCTTGTCACGTTGATGCCCGATGTTCCACCATCAGAAGTCAAAACTAGATCCCTCCCACGTCCCTTCAAACTCTACAGAGCCTTTGTTGCGAGAGATCCAATGTATATTTATAAGACATGCAACCCATGCTGACACCATGAGGCAGCTTCCTTTCACTGATTGCCTGTAATGTGACAAGCACTTTGCATTTGCGGCAGACCTCCTGGATGGGCCTGTGCTCTCATTCAGATGCACAGAATTAGGCAATCCTCCTGTTCAACCTTCCATGCAATGACCAGTATGGAACCAGGAGCTGCCTGAGGAAAACAGGAACCATGTGTTTTTCTGTCTGGAGATAAACCAGATTCCAAGGGGACACAGGTGCCCTGGGAAAGATGTTAATGAATGAAGTTTCTCAGGCCAAGAGCTAGTCAGCAGCATATGTATGTGCAAGGGGTCAGTGGTGCTACAGCATCTATAGGGTTGGTTCTGCAAGAGGCCTCCTTCCCCAAGCCTGCACCAGCCGTGGGCATTATCAGGAGGCCACACGTTCTTTTGTGGCCCCGTGAAAGAACAGTTCTGCGGCCAAACATTTACAGTCATTGTCATATTTTCCAAGGCAAGGCCATGGGGGCTCAAGTCAGCACCAGCTCTGGGGAGGAAGAGATAAGCTGAGGCTGAAGAACCAAAGTCAGAAGGAGAGGAACCAGCACACGAGGAAGGTGAGGAATGGTATCTTCTGAGAGGTGTGGCCGACCTGGGAGGCATTACGGGACCAGGTGCACCCTTGAGCCACCAGAGGCATGACAGTGGGCCTGACTAGAGCCCCCAGCTGCAGGGGTCAGCTGGGATGTCCCCAGGCCTGGGCACTGAAACACACCAGGGTGAACATTTGCAGGAAAAATAAATCCATGAATGAACTGAGCTACTCTCATCTTGAAGCTACTTGTGTTCTCTTGTGCAGCCATTTTTTCCATTTGAAACCCACCTCCCTCACCTACCCCATCCTACGGCTGTTCTAGAAGAGTGAGCAGGTATACCGACACCTCACACAGGGCTTGCACGCTGCAGGTGATCAGGAAATGCTCATTCCCTCCCTGCCTCTTTTGGGTTCTCAGGCACAGTTTACCCCTGTCAAATTCCCATTAGACTAGATGCTCTGCCCAGCCCTTTCAATGCTGACGTTTCACACATCTTGTAAGAAAGCCCTTGGGTCTGGCCAGGCCCGGGTGTGGACAGGGATGCTCACATTGAGCCTGTGGACACAGAAGAGTCTTTATTCGGGCAGACTCTTGAGCCCTTGTTCTGACTGAGCCTATTGGTGCATTTGAGGGGGGTTGGGGGGAGTGAGGATTTAAAAAAAAAAAAAAAGGTCTTGAGGGATGCTGGGGAAGGAAGAGAAGCCAAGTGTCTGGATGGTGTGACCCCAGACTGCAACGCTAGAATGACTCTCAAAACATTCTCCTTTATCAAGGAAACAAGAATGTGAGTCACTCTCTTCCCGCACCCCAGGGGTTTCTTTGCTGAGCAGGGCTGCAAACTGTTCAGCTAATTAGGCTGCATCCTGACCTTAGCCTCCATCCGCAGCAGGCCTCCCTTGAGGGGAGCCGAGGTGCTGCTGCCACCTAGGGTCAGGAGAGTGCACTGCAGGGGGACCGCAGGGCCAGGAAGGAAAAGTCAGGACCCTGAATAAAAGGGCAAGTGGTCCCAGCATGGTTCCGTTTACAAAGAACTTCCCATCTACCACTGCTGGGCTCTTAAAAGAATCCCATGAATTCAGCAGGGCAAGGTTTTACTATCTTCTCTTTACATATAAAGACGCTAGTGATTGCATGGCTGAGGACGGGGGTCTGGGACATTACGAACTCTGCGGCAGAGGTTATGGGTAGACTGTGGGAATTCTTCATGAGGGTTTTTAAAAGCTATTGCTGGTGTAAGTTGGTCTGTAAACATCCTTAGGAAGAATTGGAGAGCAAATGAGTCATGGGGTCCTGATAACTGCACTGAGCTTCACTAAAGGCCACAGGGTCAAGGGCTTAAGAGACAGAGTGAGGGCCACTGGGTCTCTTAGCCCATCATCAGGGCCCCCATTGTCTGCCGGAAGATGCCAGCAAACCCACCATCCTCGAGGTGCTGGCCAGCCCAGCTAACAGTCAAAAAGGAGGAGGATGGTGATAGATAGAAATGTTATTTTGTGTATTTATTTCATCACAACCTCAGGTACATGACTGCTATGGGCTGAATGTTTGCATCCTCCTGGAGTAGGCATGTTGAAGCCTAACCACGATGTGATGGTATTTGGAGGTGAGGACTCCAGGAGGTGATGAGGTCATGTGCCTGGAGCTCTCATGATGGGATTAGTGCTCCTATAAGAGACCTGAGGGCCAGGTGTGGTGGCTCACGCCTGTAATCCCAGCACTTTGTGGGGCCAAGGCAGGTGGATCAGGAGGTCAGGAGATCAAGACCATCCTGGCTAACATGGTGAAACCACATCTCTACTAAATATACAAAAATTAGCCGGGCGTGGTGGCACAAGCCTGTAGTCCCAGCTAGTCGGGAGGCTGAAGCAGAAGAATCACTTGAACCCAGGAGGCAGAGGTTGCAGTGAACCAAGATCACACCACTGCATTCCAGCCTGGGTGACAGAGCAAGATTCTTGTCTCAAAAAAAAAAAAAAAAAAAAAAAAGAGAGAGAGAGACCTGAGCTAGCTTGCTCCCTACCTCCCTGCTCTCCCTTATGTGAGACCACAGCAAGGTGCCATCCCAAACCTGAAAAGGGCCCCCTACATACCACATCTCCCAGTGCCTTGATCCTGGACTTCCCAGCTCCAGAACTCTGAGAAGTAAATGTCTGCTGTTTAAGCTTCCCAGCCTAGGGTGTATTTGTTACAGCAACTCAAGCTGACTGAGACAGTGACTCACCCTCTAGCCTGTTCTGCAAGAAGGAGAATCAGGAGTTATGTAGCAGGAACACAAGGGAATAAAATCCTCAATATTCAGTTCTTCAACTTCCAAGCTGGGTCTTGAAATTCAAATATTAAACAACAGAGAGAAAAGTCAAAACTTGGAATTTACCAGAGCCAAGTTGTGGTAAAACAATTTGGAATTCTAAAGGTAAAGCCCCAGGGAAGTGGGGACTACTTTTTCTTTCACAGATTAGAAAGAGAAAAGAGGGTTGGGGAGAAGAGATGAGTGTCAGTTGCTAGAACTGGGAGAAGTGGGGAGGCTGGGGCCTGAGGCCACGCAGAGAGAAGGGTCGTCACTGAAGGACTCCCCAGGCCCTTCCATCCCAGCGCCCTGAGCCACTAAATCAATCGCCTTTTGTGAGTGGCCTTGCAGGTCTCCTGTGTGGGAAGCCAAGTGAGCTGAGGCTGTCACAGCCATCAAGTGAGGTCCACGCAGACATCGTTCTCTGTGTGCTGCACAGGGACCAACCCGCAGATGTGACTCCCCCCAGTACCCATCCACACAATGCCATCTACCAAGCACCACTTCCAACTCTCACAGATGCCTTGGGACAGAGGCTGCTGTCTCTAACACCTAGAGGGACTGTTCTTGCAGTGTCTGTGTCGCAGGTACTGGACAACTTAACATGAGTGTGACTTAGTCCCATCACTGTCATCACCATACTTCGTTTTATGGGTGAGCAACAAGACCCTAACCTTCGTGACTTCCACTTGGTATGGAGCTTAGAGGAAAGTGACAGGGATGAAGGTCTCTCCTGTCCAGCCCCACCATCTTCAGGAATTGGGGGCTTTCCCTCTAGCCCGCCTTTGCCCCTCTAAGTGATTGACACACTGCACTTGCCTTCCCATCCAGGGGACCCCGCTGGGCCAGGTGCCATTGTCTGCTGTGACCCTCCCCGTGTGTGTGTGTGTATGTGTGTGTGTGTGTGTGCAGGGTGTGTGTGTGTGTGTGAGCATGTAGCTGTAAATAGTACTTTCCTGATTTAAAAATGCCAGGAAAATCCCAAAACACAGAGATTTAATGTCCGTTTATTCCCTTGGGGCAATGTTGCCTCCACTAAAATGGTAAAGAAAAAAATGAATGATAGAAAGAACTCATTGTGTCAGAGGGGTACTCGCATGTTTGCATTTTTACCCTCTATTCTTTGCCACAGTAGGAACTTGCTTTTTTCTGAGTGTACACACAAACACACACACACACACACACACACACACATACTCAGTGCTGTACTAGGCTCCTGCTGACTGTCCTATCATAGTGTTTCCTACAGAACCATCTCACGTCTCTCTGGGCTGATTGTCTTCTACAATCAATAAATGGTTCAAAGACTCACAAATTCTGTAGATGGGCCTTTGAAGAGGGCTGCACAGTCTCCCAGCTGACCTCAGGATGAGCTTCAGGCCATGTGAATGAGAAAGTGCACAGAGGCCCCTGCAGGGACCCTGGTGCCTGACGCTTCCCCCAGAGCCAGGCTGCCCAGGTCCCAGCCTTGTAGCTCACAAGCTGTGCGACCTTGGGCAGGTGCCTTTCTCTTTCTGAATCTCAGTTTCTTCCTTGGTAACTGGAGATGATATTAAATAGCACCTGCCTCCTAGAGTTGGCGTGGGATTAAACAGTTAGAACCAGAACAGTGTTTACAGCAGCACCTTTGGTATAGCAGGGCAGGAGCTCCAGATCTTGGTCCTGAAGGCTCAGGCCCTGGGGCCTGGAGACTAAAGCAGCATTCAGAGCTTTATGACCACAAGTAGCTACGCTCCCGCCTGAGCCTGTTGTCTGGGCCTTTGGTGTCTCTGTGGTTATGTCCCTCGGTCCTGATTCCTTTTTTAGGTTTCCAAGAGGAAGCTTCTTGTTGAGCCTGTGAACCCTGACCTTGGACCCCTGCTCATCTGGCCCACCCGGACGCCACGCCTGCTCTGTTTGGGGGTTCTCTCCCATCCCCACCCTTGCTTGGCAGCTGCTCCCATCAGACAGGTCCTCCTGTTCATCCCCAGACTGGGAGTGCAAACCCTGCTCAGGGCTCCTGTGGCCACAGGCACCCCCAAGGCAGAGAAGGAAGCCAGGAAGGAGAAGGCTCTGCAAACTCCTGGAAACAGTTAAGAGATGAAGAAAATTACACCACTTGAACTCTACTGGCCAGAGTCCTGGGAAAGGCAAACTCTCCTTGGGCCAAAGTGGAGGGAACCACCCCACCCCTCCACAGGCATCATGAACATGGCCCATTGGAATGCGCTGAGATTCACAATGACTTGATAAGGATCTGGGGGCTGAAAGCTCAGCAGGATGACTCTGAGCTGGACCCAGCCCCACCCTGGCGGTCCCTGCCACACAGCAGTCAGTTTGGAGCCACGTGGCTGCCATTCCTGGTGACTTCCCAAAGCTACTGCAACTTTTTAAAAAGATAAGCACATTTCCATGGTGTTTTTAACATCCTTTAATGGTTTTCAGCTTTCTTTTCAATATATAATTACTGAAAAAATCACTATGAATAATAACCAGAAACCACCAAAACCTACATGCAAAGTAGTATGCTAAAAACTTTACTCATTATCTTGTCTAATGTTTCATAATCTGCATGAAGCAGGTAGTACTGTCATCCCCACTTTACAGAGGAGGAAACTGAGGCCTAGAAACAGGCACACAGCCAGTAAGTGGCAGAGGCAAGACAGGAGCCCAGCTCCTTCTCCACCAACTATTTTGCTGGATCATCGTCATCATCAGCATTTTCTGGTGCCTGCTACACCATCCTCTGCTTCTCAGGGACATGTCTGAAGCCACAGAATCACTGTCCCTGCCGGAGGCCAGATTAGATTCAGCCCGTGCGTAGCTCACATTCTAGGGTGTCAGAGGGAGTGTCTTTCTCCGTCCTGCAGCCACAGCCATCAGCAGCACTCTCTCTCTGGCCTCCCAGGGCTTCCTCTAAGAAGCCCCCACGGGCACTGCAGGTGGCTGGCCTCCAGGAGCACACAGCTCTCGGAGTTCCAGGTGTTCCCCTGAGAGCAACCTGCTTGGGCACTGCAGGCTGCTGGGGTTGCCGGTGATGACTTCCTTTCCATTTCTGTTCTCGATGTCGTGAGGCAGTCTTCCTGATCTCTGCTCCCCAACTCCCTCCCATGGTTGAGAAGGCCCTGGCTCTCCATATTAAATCTCTCTCTACTTGAAATAGCTGGAGCACTTCTGCTTTCCCACGAACCCTGACCAAAGCCTCCCAGCCCCAGCTACAGCTGACAGGCTCAAGAGCACCACAGGCTCTCAAGGCTGGCCTGGCTCCTCCACACACAACCCCTGCAGATCTCTACTCACTCCAGACTCCCCCTGCCTCTGGCCAAGGCCCTGCCTTCCTGCCTTCAAGCTGGGCGCCCATTTCTCCAGGAAGGCTTTTGTGACCGGGCTTCATGTCCCTTGCACCCTGTGTATTGATCTTCCTGCTTGATGCCAAGCCCTATGAACACAGCAATTCTATCTGGCTTTGTACACTATTGTACCCAGCACAGGGTCTAAAAATACTTTTTGCATAAATGAATGAGTAAATGAAAAATTATTGAGTAGTCTTTGAGATCCTGATGCCATGAGTATAGAGAAAGAGAATATATGCATCTTAAATCCATTAAAGTTTGATTTAAAATGCACATTGGCACTGGCTGAAAGCTGGGTGGGCTCCATGGGGTACAAAGACAAGCCCACCAGGAGCCGAGAGTTGAGGAGTATGAACAGGCACAGGTCTCCGTGCAGCTGCAGTATGTTACAGCTTCTGGTGACTTCTGCCACCCTTTGTCCCTCTAGGGTCTGTGTTCCTGCCAAGAGAAAAGGCAGTGGCAGGAAGGAGGCTGCTCCAGATGTCAGAAAGGCTTAGCGAATGGTTTACTGTAGTTCACGAAATTTCTACAAGAGTAACCAATTGGCATCAGCTCCCTGAGCTGCCTGCTTAGAGAAGGAGCTTATGGCACTAAACCATTTTTGTATATTCCATCAAGATCTAGGAAAGCAGATTTCCTTTTTCAAAAAGCAGAGAAACTGTCCCACCCTGCAGTCATTGTGAGTGCAGAGGGACGGGGAGCCAGCGATCCATGAATTGCCAAGCCAGATTGCAGCTATAACCAGATTTTAGTTTGTGAAGGTCTTTTACAGACCTTTTTATACCCTATCCAGTGAGTATGAGTTAGGCTGGAGAGCAAAGGAATTGGAGCTTTTCCACACCACACACGGTTTGCGGTTGGCCCCCACCAGGTGGCTCCCCTGGCGGAGGACTCTGCGCTGCCTGCACCTGAGCGTAGCTGGGGCTTGCGGTGTGCGTCAAAGTGGCTGCGGAGTTCTTGTCTATAGAAACTGTTCAAAGTAACCACCTGAATTACTCCTACCATACTCTTTCTTTGACCTTTTATTTCTTTTAAGCATAACGTCAGCACTGATTTGAAATCATCAAGTAACTTCAACCAACGTAAAAATCCTGAGTTGCTTAAAAAGGAAAGAAAGGCTGCCCCCAAAGTGACAGGCTTTCTAACTTGCCTGTGTCTTTGCACCTATTTCCCTAGGACGCGGGAACGCCCCTTTCCCACACCCACTTCATTCTCCTCCCTGTGCCTCACGTTCTGGGAACATCCTCCTCTTGACTGCATTTCTTAGCCTCCCCGGGCTAGGGAAAGTGTGGTCTCCCTTTCAGCAACCTCAGTTCCATATACATTTCTTTCTCTCAGAATGTCTGATGCTATACTGCATTTATTGGTTTTCTTGTTTCTCTCCCTAGTAAACAGGACATTTTTTGAAGTCCTGCTGGCACATATGCAGTCCTCACACAACGCCTGGTGGATGATTGATTCATTTTAAGAGAGCAGATGAGCTAGGCTGTCTACAAATGTGTCGGATCCAGCTCCCGCCATCCTTCCTTCGCAAAGCAGAGCTTGCCAAGCCTGCGCACCCACGGGCTGCCTCTCTTCAAAGGGCGGAGCCTGTGCAGTGAGCGTTTGGCCACCTGGTCGCACACCGAGTGCTCGTCAGCGCGCATGGCCTGAGCGTTCTGCCCTGACACTCGCTGGCCTCTGGGCGCTTCTGTCTTTGACAACGTCCTGAACACTGTGGGAAGGCTCACTAGCATTCCACTCCTTCCCTAATGTGGAGTGGGTGTGATTTGAGGGGTTTGGCCCCCACCCCAGCTGCAGGGGTAAGTCACACTAGTTTGGGCTAATTAGCAGAATCTCATCTCCTTAGCGCAAACAACATTGATTCAAGAATGATCAGGGATCCCAGCCCAAACCAAGCCTTGCTGCAGCAATCAGCCGCTCTTGGGTTTGGGGGGAGGATACGGCGTGTGTCCCAAGGTGGGTCCACCCAGCGAAGCCAGTATTCCTCCTTGATGACTTTGGAAAGAGTCTCTCTCTCGTTCCGGAGGGTGTGATGTGTGAGGTTGGAACCACGAGGGACACCAGCTTGAGAACAAAGCCAAACTAAGGGGCGGGCGGAGCCAAGACGGAGGAGGCGAGTCCGGAGCAAACATACCGGATCTCAGGAGCCCCGTGACTGCTGCTCTTGGCTGACTCGTCACAAAGCATCCAGACGCGTCTCGGCCCTGCGTCCAAGACGCAAAGTTGTGCGGCAACCAAGCCTAGAGCTAAGCAGTCACCAGGAGTGGAGACAAAAGCAGTGAAAGGATGGGAGCGAAAACACGGATCCCGAGAACGAAGCCACGAGTGCAAAGCCGGGCGTTGTGCAAACTATCCCGGGCCTCTGCTGCCCCCTGGCGGACGCCGCGCGGGAGCCCAGAACCGGAGCGCTCTGAGCGAAGCCGACTCCATCCGACACCGCCGCCTCCCAGAGGGCTGCCCTGGGAAGTCACTGAAAACAGCCTGCGGAAGATTTCTCCTGTGTCACGTGGGGGGAAGAACAGCCGCTACCTGTTAGATTGCCATGAGGTTGAATGGCCAAAATGGATAACCGGGACCAGAGTTATCCTCCCACCTGAAAGAAGCAGGAGGAAACCAACAAAACTATAGAAACAACCGTTTTCAAAACCCAGCACACCAGATGCAGAGGACAGTGATCCTACTACCCAGACAGTTTCCGGGCCACAGCACAGGAGGTGCGGGAACCCGGACAGGGCTTGACCCCATGAGCTCACCCTCACGAGTTGAGGGACTAAGCCGAGTCCTCAGGGCAGGCACGGCGTCCCTGGAGGAAGAGGGGGCTGCACAGACACAACTCCAGTGATCCACAAAGGCTGCGGCCAGGGTGCAGCAGGGCGGCTCAGCACGTGCAGGCGAGGAAGCTGCCAGAGGCCCAGAAAGATCCCCGTGGGGCTGGAGGGAAGATCCGCCTGTGTTTGCACAGGGCGGGAACAGCGCCTCCCCCATCAGCCAGACTGCAGGCTCACCACTCAGGAGGCACGGGACAGCCCTGCTTCAGGGGTGGGAGCAGTTATTACTAAACGCAGCTCTATCCCCATCTGAGAAACGTCAAAGGCAGGACCGGAAAGCATCAGACTGTTACAAAGTAACTTAACCGTACCCCAGAACAAAGCCTGAAAATACACACAGGAAAACAAAGACATCCAGCACACAACAAGAAAAAAGTGGCAATGTCTACCACCCAGTAAGAAATGACCATGCATGAAGTGAGGGAGAAAAAAATTACCCATAATGAAGAGAAAATGCAATCAGTGGACGAAGTGCCAGGACACAACCTGTCAAAATGGGTGGGATTTGGCTAAAGCAATACTTAGAGGGAAAATGATAGCACTACACTAGGTTAGAAAGGAAGAGGGATCTCAAATCTCAGCTTCCGCCTTAAGAGCGAATTAAACCCAAAGTAAGAAGAAAGGAAACAAGAAAATTCAGAGCATAGGCCAGGTGCAGTGGCTCAAGCCTGTAATCCCAGCACTTTGGGAGGCCGAGATGGGCAGACTATTTGAGGTCAGAAGTTTGAGACCACCCTGGCCAACATGGTGAAACCCCGTCTCTACTAAAAATACGAAATTTAGCTGGGCGTGGGGGCGTGCACCTATAATCCCAGCTACTCGGGAGGCTGAGGCAGGAGAGTAGCTAAAGCCCGAGACGTGGAAGTTGCAGTGAGCAGAGATCGCACCACTGCACTCCAGCCTGGGTGACAGAGACTCTGTCTCAAGAAAGAAAGAAGAAAGGAAAGGGAAAGGGAAAAGGAGAGAGAAAGAGAGAAAGAAAGATCAGAGCACGAAAGGAAAAGAAAGAGAGAGAAAGAAAGAAGAAAGGAAAGGGAAAGGGAAAAGGAGAGAGAAAGAGAGAAAGAAAGATCAGAGCACGAAAGGAAAAGAAAGAGAGAGAAAGAAAGATTACAGCAGGAAAGGAAGAGAAAGAGAGAGAGAAAGGAAGATCATATCATAAATCAGTGGAATAGAAAGGAGAAAAACAAAAGGGACAAATCAATGAAATTAAAAGCTGGAGTTTTTTGTTTGTTTTTAGAAGATCAATAAAATTGATAAACTCCTGGTCAGGTTGATCCCCCCAAAAAAGAGAAAAGACTCAAATTACTAAAATCAGAAATGGGAATTGTGATATCTATCACTATAGATTCTACAGATGTTAAAAAGAAAATTAAGAGCATATTATGATAAACTTAAGACCAATATATATGACAAATTAAATATAATAGACAAATTCCTTGAAAGACACTATCGGCACTTAAGAGTAAACAGATAATCTGAATTAGTCTTATGTCTATTTTTTACATTAAACTTGTACTTTAAAACCTTCCCACACAGAAACCTCCAGGCCCAGATAACTTTATTATCCAACTTAGGAAGAATGAACATCAATTCCATACACACTCCTGGAAAATTGTAAAAGACAGAACACTTCTCAAATTGTTTTACTCTGGTACCATGACCAAAGACATTACAAAGAACGAAAACTATAGACTATTATCTCTATGAATATGAATGCAAATTTTGTGTGTGTGTGTATATACACACATATATATATATTATTTTATTTTGTTTTATTTGAGACGGAGTTTTGCTCTTGTCCCCCAGGCTGGAATGCAGTGGCATGATCTCGGCTCACTGCAACCTCTGCCTCCCAGGTTCAAGCGATTCACTTGCCTCAGCCTCCTGAGTAGCTGGGATTACAGGCACGCCACCACACCCAGCTAATTTTTGTATTTTTAGTAGAGACAGGATTTCACCACGTTGCCAGGCTGGTCTCAAACTCCTGACCTCAAGTGATCTGCCCACCTTGGCCTCCCAAAGTGCTAGGACTACAGGTGTGAGCCACCGCACCTGGGTCTATATATACACTTTATACCAAAATACACTTTAAACAAAATTTCGGCAAATGAAATCAAATCCAACAGTATGAAAGATCATAACCAAATGAGTTACATGCCAGAAATGCAAGGTTGATTTATAATTTGAAAATCAATTAATGTGATTCAGCATATTTTGAAATTAAAAAAGAGAAACCACAGAAGTGTCACAATAGACATAGTAAAAGCATTTTCAAAAATCTAACATGCATTCTGGACATAAACTCTCTCAACAAACTAGGAGTAGAAGGAGCTTCCTCAACCTGGTACACGGCCTCTACAAAACCTTCTGTCCACATTACCATTAATACTAAAAGACTTAATGCTTTTCCCCTAAGATGAAGAACAAGACAAAACTATGTACTCTTACAACTTCTTTTCAACATTTTTCAACATTTTCTAGCAAATACAATACAGCAAGAGAAAGAAATAAAAGGCATTGAGATTAGAAGGGAGAAGTAAAACTGTCTTTATTCATAGATAACAGGATTTTCTATATTGAAAATTCAACGTGGCCTACACAAAAAGATATTAGAATTAACAAGTGAGTTTAATAAGGTTGCAGGATAGAGGATCAATATACAAAAACCAATTGTTTTATATTTTCACTAGCAATGACAATCAGAAATTAAAATTTAAATCTAGTATCATTTAAAATAGCATCAAAAATATGAAATACTTAGAGATACATTTAACAAATGATATGAATGAACTGTACACTAAAAACCATAAAACATTGCTCAGAAAAAAATTTTAAAGAGCTCAAAAAATGGAAGATACGTTGCATTCATGGATCAGAAAATATAATACCACTAAGATGTCAATTTGCCCTCAAATTGATATAAAGATCAAAAGACCCCCTCCCTGTACCCTAGATTCCTCTCTACCTCCTGGCATCTCCACTTGAATATCTAATACCACTAATATGTCACTTTGCCCCCAAAATGCAAAAAAAAAAAAAAAATGAAACTTCTAGAAGAAAATATAGAGAGAACTATTTGTGAGAAGCTTACTGAGGCGATTCATTCAATGAAATGCCACTCAGCAGTAAAAAGAAATGATCAGTCCCCATATAAGCCCCCAAAGCAGGGAGTAGGGGGGTTTGTAGAAACTGACAAAGTTATTCTGAAAGACAAATGTCCCTAAATAAGAAAAGCTACACATGGCCCAGACACATAAGAGCAACTGAGATTTGACAAAGGTGCAAAGGTAATCCAACGTGGGAAAGATAGTCTATTCCAGTCTATCAAATGGAAACAATTTGATATCCATATGAATCAAAATGAATTAAATTCATATTTTGCAGCACCTACCAAAATTCACTCAAAACAAAACAATGAATCTTCTATAAGCATATATAGGAGGAACTATTTGTGATAAGCTAATGTGGTGATTCATTCAGTGGAATGCTACTCAGCAGTAAAGAGGAATGAACCATCGATACAAGCAACATGGAAAAAAGTCATAATCATTATGCTGACTGAAAGCAGCCAGACAAAAAAAAGGGTTTTTGTTAGATGCTATTTATATAAAATTCGAGCAGACTAAGCTATACTGATGGAAAGCAGATATTTTGTGGAGAGGCTCCCCATGTGCAGAGACGCAATGGGGAGGGCAGAATGGAGGACTAGAAGGGACAGGAGGCAATGTGTGGGGTGACGGATAGGGCCACTATAGTGATTGTGGTGGTGATTTCATAGATGTAGACATATGTCGGAACTTAGATCGTGCACTTTAAACATGTGCAATTTATTCTGTGTTGTTTATACCTAAACAAAGCTGTAAACATTCATAAAGAAGGAAGACAGGAAGGAAGGAGGGAAAGAAGGAAGGAAGGAAGGGAGGGAGGGAGGGAGGGAGGAAGGGAGGGAGGGAGGGGAGACGGAGAGGCAGGGAGGAAGGAAAGGGAGGGACAGAGGAATTTACACCCTTGTGGAAGGAAGGAAGGAGGTAGAAAGGGAGGAAGGGAAGGAGAAAAGGATTCACTCCCTTTTGTCACGTGTTCAGACTCTCAGAAAATATCACTGAGCGTTTTCTCTACAGAAGCTTTCTCCACCTGTCCTTTGGGACACCGTGTGCCTGTAGTTTTCCTCATACTTTCCTGGATGGTCTTTCTCCTTCCCCCAACATTGCCCCAACCTCTCAACTGGCAGCGCCCTAAAACTCAGTCTTCTTTTCTCTAACTCGCCTCCTTTGGTGAGCTCACTGGATTTCATAGCTCTGAATCTCATCTCTACACTGACCACCCTCAAATGTCTCCCTGTAGCTCAGACCTCCTCCCTGAACCCTAGAGTCCTCTCTACCTCTTGGCATCGTTGCTTAAATATCTAGTAGAGATCTCAAACTTGGCATTTTCAAAATTCCCACAAACTATGCTTCCCACTGTCTCCCCATCTTAGTAATTCCCACTGCTCGAGTTAAAAATAGCACACACACAACAAAACCAAAAAAACACAGAATTACCCTTGGCCCCTCTCTTTTTCTCGTTCCCCACTTTCAAATCCTTTGACAAATTTGTCAAGCACATCTTCAAAATTTACCCAAAATCCAACCACTTCTCACCACCTATATAGCTACAGACCCAGCTCAAGCCGGAGTGATTTAGTGTCTGGTCCGATCCCCGCCGCCTTCACCCCTGCCCGTCACTGGCCCTCAATAGAGCAGCTAGAATCTCTCTCACACACCAACTCTTCCAGCTTTTTTTTTTTCCTCTTTTTACAACATTGGCCAGAACCTCAAACACTGTGCCAAACGGAAACAGTTAGAATGGATGTCTTAGTCCATTTGGGCTGCTATAAAAAATACCCTAAATTGGGTGGCTTATAAACAACAGAAATTTATTGTTCACAGTTCTGGAGGCTGGGAATTCCAACATCAAGACACTAAAATATTTGGTGTCTAGTGAGGGCATGCTTTCTGCACACAGTCTCACTGTGTCCTCATACAGTAGAAGGGATGAGGGGGTCTCAGGCCCTAACCCCATTCCTGAGGATTCTGCCCCCATGACCTAATCATCTTCCAAAGGCCGCACCTTTTAATACCATTATCTTGAAATTTTCAATATATGAATTTGGGGAGGCCTCAGACATTCAGACCATAGCATTGGACATCCTTATTTTGTTTGTAATTTCAAAGGAAATGGGTCTTATGTTTCTCCATTAAATATTAGGTTTGTGGTAGGTTTTTTTGAATATAACTTTTGCCAAGTTAGGGAAATTTCCTCCTGTTCCTAGTTTTCTATGCTTTTTTAATCATAAAAGTTGTTGAATTTCATAAAGTACTATTTCTGTATTAATTTTAATTGCCATGTAATTTTTCTTCAGTAGTCTTTTAATATGGCAATATTTTTAACAAAAGATTTTATGACAATTTTTCCAATGATGAGTCACTCTTGTATTCCTAGGTGGCATCCTACTTAATTATAATATATTCTTAACAAAAGATTTGATTCACTTAGCCAAGATTTAGTTTTTCCTTCAATGTTGATATACTAATCAATTGAAGTCTTCTTCTCTTTGTATTTATTGTTCTTATCTGATACTTGAGTTATGAATTACATTAGACTCATAAAATGAGCTACACAACTTTCTCTTCCCATCTTACGGAACCACTTATAAAGATTAGCAATTAACTGTTCCTGAAAATTTAGTAAGATTCATCTATAACCCATCCGGGCTTGGGGATTTGAGGAGGGGAAATCTTTGAATACCACCTTACTTTTCTTAGTAGTTATTAGTTTGTATAACTTTTCTAATATCTTCATCATTAAGCTTTGCCTCTTAGTCTTCCAAAACTGTTTCTATTGAATTCAGTTTTTCAAGTTCATTAAAATATAATTGAATGCACTGTGAGTGTTCAAGTAACAGGAAAATGCTGATCCTTTTAGCTATGTTCACACATTAATCTGGGCTTACTTGAATAGGCCACTCTTCCTCTCAGTTGAAACAGAAAATCGTGTTGTTTGATAACATTGTTTCCCTACATCATTCATGTCCCTAGAATTATGTAGGACAAATAACATTTCCAATAGATTGTGTACCCCACATCCCCCCTTAAAAGTCTATATTGTTTTAATAGAAATTCCCAGAGCCCATGGCTTGCCTGGCTTCTTTCTATGATGAAATGTGGGTGCATCCTTGACAGCCTTCATCATAGCCTTAGTACTGCTCATCACCAAGGGCTGCTGCTATGGCTCCCACATTCTTGGGATGCATCCCTCCCCAGTCAGTGCCTACTGCATTGCTCAAATAATAATGTTGCTATATTGATTACAATTAAACATGTTATCTCTACTGTGTTACAGTAAATCACAGATTCACCAGAGAGAACAGTTACCTAGGACTCCCAGTTAACAGTAATATCTTTCTGGCATACCTCCAGTTTGGGGAATGGCAAGCTGAAACCATAATAACTATTATTCACCGAGCGCCTACAATAAGCCTGACATAAATTGGCACCTGAGATGTGCTACCTAGAAGCTTTATTAAAACCACAGAAGGAAAGCCTTAGTACCTTTGGTTCATTTCTTTTTCTTTTAAAGACAGGGTCTCATTCTGTTGCCCAGGCTGGAGTGCAGTGGTGCAATCATAGCTCCCTGCAGCCTCAACCTCCTGGGCTAAAGCGATCCTCCCACCTCAGCCTCCTGGGTAGCTGGGACCACAGGTGTATGCCACCATGCCCAACATTTTTTTGTATTTTTTGTAGAGATAGGGGTTTCACCATCTTGCCCAGGCTGGTCTTGAACTCCTGGCCTCAAGCCATCTTTCCACCTCAACCTCCCAAAGCATTGGGGTTGCAGGCATGAGCTACCACTCCCGGCTTGCTTCATTGATGAAGAAAATATTGATCACATGGGTTAAGTGACTTGCCTGAGGCCACTTAGAGAGTAAGTTAGAGCAGGGATTCAAATTCGGATCCATCCATTTTTTAACTTCCCACTGAAATCTAGATATTTTTCAATAAAGAATTTTCTAAAGAATAGCCTAAAATCAAATGGTTTCTGCCAAATCAGGTATACCTACAAATTTTTCGGCCCCCAGTTACCATCTTAAGTCCTGGACAGCTATTAAGTGGCATGCCTATGCTGGCTCCTGCCTATTGAAAGCAGTTGTCTGGAGTCTTGCACTGAGAAGGATTGTGCAGCTGAGCTTGGGCTAAATGAGAAATTGCTGAGATTGGATTCTAATGCTGTTTGTATTTATCAGAGTTCTCCAGAAAAACAGAGCCATACGGTATATGTATACATACATATATATATATATATATATATATATATATATATATATATATATATATGAGAAGAGATTAGGAATTGGCTCACACAATCATGGGGGCTGGCAATTTTCAAAGTAAGCTGGCAGGCTGGAAAAGCTGGCAGGAGTTGATGTTGCAGTCTTGAGTTCCAGGACAGTCTGGAGGCAGAATTCCTTCCTCCCCATGGGACCTCGGTCATTTCTCTTAATGCCTTCAGCTGATTAGATGAGGCCTACCCAAATGATGAAGGGTAATCTGCTTCTCTCAAAGTCTACTGATTTAAATGTTTAAAAAATACCTTCACAGCAACTTCTAGACTAGTGTTTGACCAATCAACTGGGCAGCATATCCTAGCCACATTGACACATAAAATTTACCATCACACTATCAAGATCAGGAAGACAATATTCCGTAACAGTGGGTCTCAGACTTCAGCATGAATAGGAAGCCCCTGACGGGCTTGTTAAAGCATGGATTGCTGGGTCCCAGCCCCAGAGCTTCTGATCCAGTAGAGCAGGGCTGTCCCTGTGAGAGTTTCCTGAGATGCCGATGGTGCTGGCCCAAGGCCACACTTTGAAAACGCCCCTGAATGGCGTCATTGCTACATTGCTGAAGTGATTACGCTGAAGCATCATGAACAATCATCATACAATATGTTTCTAATCTACAGTTTCTATATAATAAAAACAATTTGAAAATTTTCTGAATGTCTAAGTTTTCAACAAGAAAAACTTTACTTTTAACCCAGGAAAATATCCACCCAGTCCTTAGCTTCTCATAAGATTATAATAAAAAATTGTCTCAGAATATTATAATAAAAAGTTGTAATCACATACCTTCAATCAATATTCCAAAGTAACAGAGACATGTCACTCACAGAATTAGGAGTTGGGCCACTTGGGTTGGACAAGGTCAGGTCACAATTCTCAATTTGTACAGCTGATCAGAGCCAGATCTCCTGATTCCTGGTGCGTCTCTCCCTCAGGCCTCGGTTTCCACGTCCATAAAATGGGATAGTTTGCTTGTGCTCCCTCCAGACCTGATAATTCTTCTACCCAGGGTTCACATATCTTGACTCAGTTTGAAGCAGAACATTCAGACAGGTAGTACTGTCAGAGAGGAAATGGTCTGCCCTGTAAGGCAGGACTGTGGGTGCGAGAATCTGCGCTGGAGGGCACCAGGTGGAAATTTCATAGGGAAGATTCAGATTGCAGATTGGACACTTCATTCCTCTCACACTGTGAACTTCTACAGGTCCCTGAATTACAGACCCCATTCCTGGGACAAAGCTTAAAAGAAAGAAACAAACTTTAAAGAAATATAGGAAGGTGCCTTTGTTACTATAATGATTATGGATATCTGTTGTAAAAATAATACTTATTGAGCCCATACATCTCACTTGCAGAAATCCAAAGCTATGTTATTAAAGCTGTTTCAGGGTTTCAGAAGATAAATAAATTGAAGGTCTCTAAACCTTCAGCAAAACTGTTCCAACTTGGATTAATCTGGAACTGAATGTCACATTGAATCCTGCCAAGGCTTGGCAGGGCCCCAGGTAGGAATGATTTACATTCCATCCAGAAAAGCGGCTTTGGGTCCTGGAGGAACCAGTGGTTTCAATGCAGCCCTGACCAGGATAGCTGGATGGGAGTGTTCCCCTGGGTGGGCTCAGGTGGCACAAGGGAGATGAGGGTCACCCAGTTAGAGTGCCAAAGCACTGCTCATCTCTCAGTCACTATGACTGGTAGAAATGCCACCAGTTTGTGCAATGAAACAAGTCTACATTTATTCCCTGTGAAGCTGTGATTCCTGGTGTAGCACGCACAATCCAAAGGTCAGAGTTGAGACTCAGTTCTTGCTCTGGGAGTTTGTGGACATGACCTTCAACTCGAAGCCAGAAGAACTGAGTTTAAGACCAGACTGTGCCCCCTTAAGAGCTCTGTGATCTGGGCAAGTCAAATCGCCCCTCTGACTCTTCAGTTCCTCATCAGTAAGTGAGGCTAAATTCCCATGCCTGGTGGACTCCACAGGGGACCCCTCACCAAGAGTTATTAAGGTGCAGCTTCCCCCACTGTTAATACCTACAGTTCATGCAAATCAAAGAAGACTTTAGACCCAACTTGAGTGGCTTTTATAGAGTATGTCACAAAGGCAACAATATGGCATAAAGTACTCAGCACCTTTCCCCACCTGTCAGTGGAAGCCTGGTCCTGAATTGTTTGTGGTGTTGAAGGATGCCAAGGAGGCTCACCCTGTGCTAAGGTGTCACTTCAGGGCACCAGGAGAGCTATAAGAAGAGGTAGATGGGAAGTGGTCATGAAAGAGGGCCTGCCAGAGCTTTTAGGGGAGGCCAGAAGAGGGACTGTGGCCCATGAAAGGGTGAGGAGAAGGCCATGCTGACAAGGACAGTGGCGCACATGTGTGAGGATTTTTGGAAATCTTCTGCTGTGTGTCGCACCCCTGATATGCCAGCCCTCCAAAGACTTAATTAAAGTCTTATGTTATCTTTTTTTTTTCTTTTTTTTTTTGAGACAGAGTCTCACTCTGTCACCCAGGCTGGAATGCAGTGGTGCGATCTCGGCTCACTGCAAGTTCCGCCTCCCAAGTTCACGCCATTCTCCTGCCTCAGCCTCCTGAGTAGCTGGGACTACAGGTTCCTGCCACCATGCCCGGCTAATTTTTTTTTTTTTTTTTTTGTATTTTTAGTAGAGACAGAGTTTCATCATGTTAGCCAGGATGGTCTCGATCTCCTGACCTCGTTATCCTCCTGCCTCTGCCTCCCAAAGTGCTGGGATTACAGGCGTGAGCCACTGCGCTCGGCCAATCTTATGTTATCTTAAAACACTTTTGGAGTAGAAATTACATTTCTCTTCATGCATCACAGTGCTAAGACTAGAGCTTAAGGCTGAGGCTGACAGGCCTAGATAACTTTGGGTTGCATATACTTAAATTAAGAGTCAGCACATTTTAGGATGAAGCTTCAGGTAATGATCATGAAAACAATTCCTAGCATCTCTACAGACTCCATCATTTTCGAAATGCTTTCTCACATTAATGCAATTCCATTCTATGTGTTAAGCAAAGCATAGGCTTTGCTCCCCTACAGAGCTTGGCATTTAATGCAGAGGCTACTTTTCCTAAGCAGAATAACCAAAAGAATTCCATGTCCAACTACAGCAGGATAAGGAAAGCTGTGAGGTATTTTATTAATTAGAAAATGCTGGATCCTCCTGTCTAGCTGAGGTAAGGATGAACTTTGACCTCAGAGCCTGCATATGGTAGTGTTTATGCAGAGATGTAGTCCCATATAGACAAATAAATATGGTTGTCTTTATACATATATGTGTATACACACACACACACACACACACACACACACACACATCTCACTTAGCTAGACACAGCCCCATCTTGAGGGCAGAGAGTGGTCTTGTCTTTCCAGTTCACCTCTTCCTTCCAGTATCCAGAGGTGACCAGTAAGTGTTGGTGGTGGAGAGAATGGTGCTAAGGAGAATGGGCTCATCTGTGTTACTAGACTGTTAGCGGGAAACAGAAGCCATCTGATGACAGGTCACCTATCTTTGTGACTGGGTGAATGAGTTGGGGTGGGGGCAGCTTTCGAGCTTTCATACAGCTCTAAAGACAAGGCTGGTCCACCTCTAGTCTGAGCTCCATACCAGGCTCTTGCCAGCACCTTCCTCCCCACTCGCCAGTGAATGAGGTTCTTCTCATTACTCTCCCTTCTCATACGCATGTATTTCTGACGCGTCTATACAACAGCTCTGGGCCTTGATCCACCCATATCAGCCCAGTTCGTCTACAGGTCACCCTTGTGTTTCTCACTGTGCCTGGCAAGGGCACCACAGCAGGGCTCATGGGTGTAAAGGCAACATGGTTACCAGGGGAGGGGTGCGTGAGTGTACAGGAAGGAGGACATGGAAGGCACAGGTGGTGGGCCAAGGCCTGACCTGACAGGGGAACCAGTGCAAAAGGCGGCCTTGTCCTCCTGGCCAGGACAGTGCCTAGAAGATGCCCACTGTGTGGCCAGTTCTGGTCACTCCCCTTACAGTAAGGGTACCATGAAACAAGAGGAAGAGAATCAACGGGCAGAACTAACCCCACACATTGGGCAGACCATGCATGAATTGTGGTAAGTATAAAAACACAATGGCCTCCCAGGTCTACCAAGCCAAGTCACTGCTACAGTATGGGCCAGCAGAGCAACAACCTACTGGGTCTGGGCACCCACCTCGTCTTTCCAGGCCTGCTGAGGGGGCTGGTTCCTTTCACTCCCCCTGTATCCCCCACCCTGCTCCAGCAGCACAGTGTCCAAAAGCTCGGTACCTATCAGCTCAGTCCACAACAGTGCACAGTCCGCTTCTCAGTGGAAAGACTTCTGCCCTAATCGCCCCCTCCAGCAGGGCTGGCAGGTATACGACCATCGGGGTGCTGCCCCTGTCTCCGGTCTCCAGGCTCCAGCACCCTGCACCTAGCAGGGACTGCAGGATAAATGCTCCTCACCAGCTTCTTTGTATCCAGTCCAGATTCCTTTCTCCTTCAAGGGCAGGTGGGAAGTTTGCATTTCCCAGCCTCCTTCCAAAAGTAAGGAAAAGCTAGCAATTCTCATTAATCAAGACAGCAATAAATCCAAGCAGACAGGACTTCACTCCTCTCTCACTGTGAGGTTCTACAAGTCCCTGAATTACAGCCCAAATTCCTGGGATGGAGCTTAAAAGGAAAAAACAAACTTTAAAGAAATATAGAAAGATGGCTTTGTTACTATAATTATTATGGATATCTGTTGTAAAGATAATACACACTGTGCTCATATATCTTACTTGAAGAAATCCAAAACTATGTTCACCTAAGCCACATTGAGAGCTGAATTATCATTTGTAAGAGACCAAATTCTTTTATCAAAGTAACAGGATAACTTTCAAATGTGTATTTATTTGTGGGGCTGGGCCAACAGCCAGAAAATATCTAAATGAGAACTCAGATTCATCTAAACTTGACATTTTCAGTTGATCTAATGGTTAATTTGTATTCAGTCCACTGACTCTTCAATGGCTTCTAATTAGGAGACAAGCAGAGAATTCCGAGTCCTGTGGTTTGCGATCTGGGTGCCTTATCTCTTAGATGGTTCTAGGCTATCCACATGGAATATTGGAAAGTGGGACAAATGGAGTCAGGCCTGGAAAGGAGATGAAAGGAAAGACAGTGGCATTGAGTGACTATAGTTAATGACAATGTATTGTATATTTCTTTTTTTTTTTTTTTTCTTGAGATGGAGTCTCGCTCTTTTTCCCAGGCTGGAGTGCAGTGGTGCAATCTCTGCTCACTGCAACCTCCACCTCCCAGGCTGAAGCAATTCTCCTGCCTCAGCCTCCCCAGTAGCTGGGACCACAGGTGTGCACCACCATGCCCGGCTCATTTTTATATATTTTTTTAGTAGAGATGAGGCTTCACCATGTTAGCCAGGCTGGTCTCGAACTCCTGACCTCAGGCAATCCGCCCGCCTCAGCCTCCCAAAGTGCTGGGATTATAGGCATGAACCACCACGCCAGGCCTGTATATTTCAAAATAGCTGAGAGAGGACTTTTAATGTTCCTAACATAGAGAAATGATAAATGCTCCAGGTGATGGACACCCCAATACTCTGGCCTGAACATTACATGTTACACGCATGTAACAAAATTTCACGTGTACCTCATAGATATGTACAAATATGTATCCATTTTCTTAATTTAATTTTTTTTTTTAAAGAAGGGTGTCAGAAAGCCAAAATTAGATGCTGCACAGCAAGGTTTGAGTTAAGGGCAGTGCTGGAAAACAGAACAAACCCTTGTGATCATGCCTCTCAGCCAGGTCAGGGACCCATTCCTGCAGTCAACAGCTGGGAAGGCGTGGAACCTGGGAGGGGGCAGCCTGGGGAGGGGAAAAGGCCGCTTGGAGGTGGAGGGGAGGCCTCCTCGCTCACCACCCAATGGCAGAGATGAGGCGTTGGAGGAGCAGAGAGGAAAAGTCCCTGTGCCGCAGCAGCTCTCTGCCAGTGCGCATGCGCACATGTCCGTGAAGCACCGCGCTGGGGTTGGATCCGCCTGCCTCAGCCTGGCTGAGCTGCAGGAAGATCGGTATTCAGGCAGACAGCATACGCAGTTTGGAAGAAAGCAAAGTGCTTTGCAAGTGAAGGGGAGCGGAACATGCCACCTTAAAATCTGTCACTTTGGCATAAGGATTAAGTGGAGCTGCCGGCAATTGAGAAGAAGCAGATACAAGAGAAACTCTCCGCCCTCACCTATTTACCAAAAAGCTGGACATAAATTTGTCAAGGTGTGCCCCCAACCCTCTCTACCGGGAAGGATGGAGTTAATCACCAGACACAACCCGAGCCCCTCCTCAGCCTGGAGAGGGCACCAGAGGAATCTGCACAGCACGTCCTGGTCCCACTGAAGCCCTTCCCTTCCCTCAGCTCCCCGTAGGGTGGCCTTCCCGCCCTGCGCCTCCCCAGAAACTCAAGCCCTTCTCCTCTGTCTTGTCACTTCTCTAAACAAGCATTCTCTTGTGAGGTGCTATGAAAGCTCGAGCTCTGGCCGCCCCTTGGAGTTACTCACTGCGGACGTTCCCATGGGTGTGCGTGATGCACGTGGTAATAAACTCGTGTCTGTTTTTCTCTCGTTAATCTGCCTTTGTCAGTCTCTTTCAGAGCCCCAGCCAGAGAACCTAGAGGGGTAGAGGAAAGAAGATTTTCTCCTCCCTACAGAATCAGACAGGCCTGCACTCGAATCCCAGGCATGCCGGGTGCTCGCTGGGTGCTGCTGGTGGAGCCCCTTCTTCCCTGTGTCCGACTGTCCTCATTGGCAAGGCGAAGGCAGCAACACCGCCTGGAAACGAGCCGGCTCTCCACAGTCTCAGCTGTTTGCATCCTCCCTCGTCCCTGTCACTCCCTATGTCTGAGGGTGTCCCGGGGACGCTGCTGCCCTGTGGGCACCTGGGACAGTTCTGCCTCATTCCCCCCACTCCTCATGTCCAGGGTTGCTCTAGGGGGCGTCCTTAGAGAATCTTTTCCCGTCCACACCCGAGCCCTCAAATTCCCCAGGCGAAGCTTCCTCAGCTCAAGGGATTTCCCCAGGACTACCTCCCACCCAGAACCCCTTCCCACCCTCCACTTTAGACTTTCTCATGCCTGCTGGGTTTCCTGGGGTCTAGCCACGACCTCAAATCTAAAGTCTCCCCTTTTCTCCATTTTACTCCCTTCTTTCTTTCCTCCCTCCCTCTCTCTTTTCCTTCTTTCCTTTTTTATTTACCTTACTTCCCCTCCAACCCGGCCTTCCCTCTCCCAGTTGAACACTCACTCATGAGCAGGACCTTCCTAGCTCTGATTGTGTCTTACTAGCAAAGACCCTGTCCATTGCCTGGTTCTCCTCTCAAATCCTTTGCCCTGGATCCTGGGAGGTCATACCCTGGGGCAGGCTCCACCTCCTTACCTCCGGACACTGTCACAGTTGGCAACTCTAGTGGACACCTGGTGTGACACAGCGAAGTGGGGGAGATGGGTTCGTCTTTTCCAGGGAGCCCCTCACGCCTGCCAGCTCCAGGCCTGGCTCGCCAGCCCTCTGCAAATCCACCGGCAAACTCACACACTCCGGTGCACTCCCATCGCTCACGTTACCAGAATAGGTTCCTAAGACTGGGAGTGAGAGAGGGCAAGGCACCCAGGGCCACGTGGAGCGGGGATGCCACAGCGGGGGACCCGTCCGAGATAGTTTCAATGGTCATGGTAAGAAACGATCAGTGCCTGAGGCGTGGCAAGAGTGAAGAGAAGGGAGGGATGAGAGCTGGGAGGAAGGAGAGGCCACTGGAAGGCAGGTGTGTGGATAAGCTCAGCAGCAGGCTCTGATCAGGGTGTTGGGTTAGAGGTGGGGGTCTAATAAAGGGAAGAGCTGTTGATGGGGGAGATGGTGGGGTCCCTTTTGGGCAGGGAAGGACAGACATGCCTGTGGGACACCTGGGTGAGGACATCAGGAGGTAGGGGATGGTGTCGTTCTGGAAATCACTCCAAATGTACCCCAAGAACAGAAGATTTCCCAAGGGTGCTAAGGAAACCTTCCTGCTTGGTCTCCTGGTAGAGAGCAGGTGTCTAATGGGGAAATCGGGGATGAGGCTAGACGAGGAGTCAGGGTGAGGTGGGCGGAAAGCCCAGAGCCGTGATCTAAAGACCTGGCTCCAGCTAGGCCCCCCACCTCCCTTGTGTCCTCAAAAGCAAGCCACAGATGCTCAAGCCTCAGTCTGCCTGTCTGCAGAAGGTGGGAAGAGCTCCTCCCTCACACCTCTATCTGGGGGAATGAGGAACCGGGAGGCCTGACAGACCATGGGTTCTGAAGGCAAGGCAGGCCTTAGGATAGAAGGGACAGCTTCAGACCAGGGTGGAGGCTCCCGGATGAAGAGGAGGAAGCTGAAGTTTCAAGACATGGGGCATTGTCATATCATTTTATTCAGCGTAGCTGCCTTAAGCAGCCAGACCAGTCCATCCCGGAACATGGGACAGGCTTCTTTCTCTTCTTAATCACATGTGACAGCTTCACTGGACACTTGCTGTAGCCTCTGAGTCCTTGTGGACCTGCTCCTTTCCTCTTAAGCAATTCAGACTTAAATCCCAGCTGAGGAAAGTCTCATGAGAGGCAGGTGTGCTCTGGGCCCTGGGACCCGGAAGGTCATAGGATGCGGCAAGGACTCACTGATGGGTTGGGGATGTTTCCTTCCAAGGCTGGCAGGCTGAGACATGCCCTGTCTGGGTGACCATGCAGCTCCCAGGCCCAAGTGTGACCAGGGGAGTCTGCAGAAAGCACAGAACATGCAAAACAGAGCATCACCTGCTCCTTCAGCCACTGGAAAACAGTGCCATCAGCGAGACCAAGATGAGCTGCCCATGCTCCAGGTGCACAGAAGGCCAGATTGAACGCCATCAGCCCAGAATAGTAGTGTTTGGTGTTCACACCTTTTCAGAGCTCCAGCGAAGACCAGAGGAAGTGGAAGTGCGTGATTCAGGGCCACCCTTCACATCCCCCACAAGGGCAAAGGGGAAGTGGTCTTTGGTGATAAGGGACCAACAAAAACCAGAGCTGCCGACACACACTGGAAATCTGGCACCAGAAAAGACCCCCGAATCCAGTCATCGTCTGGACAGTGAGAGTATGCCCAGCCACCTGGATCCAATGGTGGACAGCACTTGCAGTCAGAGCCCCCAGTTCACACTGCACATGCCCCCTCGCTTCACCTCCAACCTTAGAGAGAGAGCTCACTTCACGGACCCAGGCTCCATGCCCTTGTCCCTCAGGGCTGTGGCTGACATCAAGCACTGACAGGTGTTGGCCCGTGGTCAGTGCTCAGTAACTTGCAGTTTTTTCTTTTCCTAAGGCATCACTGCTCTCTTCCTGTCCTCTCTTTCTAGAGGCAAGGCTTCTCCACAACCTTCACCCAGCACAGCAACAAAGGCCCAAGGGAGCAGGTTCCCCCTCCCCTGCCTGTGGCCAGCCAACAACTTTACCTCTCCAGGCTCAGCTTTCCACCTGCCCATGAGTGGTGAAACAGACAATGTGTGCAGCTGCTTCTTTCAAAAATCTTCGGACTGCCTGTCCCACACTGCACAGCTCTCTAGCAATAGATGCTCACGTTCCCGTGTGGTCTCAATGCCCAGGAATTCCCTGGCTGCTTTCCTGGGCAGGTGACCCTGAGCAGCTCAGTATTCTGGCTGAGACACCTCGTGACAAATTTGGCTTCAGACTCTAACCTGCAGCAGACTCCAAGCTCAACAACTCAGTATGAGAGAGGAAGTCCTAGACATTCTGGGAAAACATCATTTCTGGAAAAATTCAGACTAGCAAGTGGTCTAAATAACGATAATGGATATGCTTATTATGTACAAATAATGAGAGACCAGAATTGTGATAGGGTCCCTCTCTTCCTGTTACCAGTATTTTCAAATGCACAAAACATCATAAAATGCATAAAACGCCTCTAAGCAACACTCCACTGCCATTTAGTCTCCCTCACTGATGCCATTTACATATCCATTAAAGGGTTCTTACACGACTTCTCCACGCCACTTTCCTCTGCTCACACGGGTGGTTTATGCTTTCTGCCTGCCCTCCTGGGCTCTGTGACATAGTCAGGAATGCAGTCTTTGTAAGAGTCTGTGCTGAGAAGATTGGTAAATTGCGTCTGGCAAATCCACGGAGATGCCTGCTCACACCCTGATTCTGTTGTTTTCACTGGAGCATCACACATGCCCCAGGCCTCCGAGGAGGTCTTTCTCACCACTCTTCTGTCCCAACACAAGCAGGTCCTGTCATTCAAAGGGCAGCTCAGAAAACAACGGGCACAGAAAAAAATGGACAGTGGAAGGGTGCTAAGAATGAGCCCATGTGGTTTTCATAACGCCATTACATCTTTCCAATACCAATTCTCTGACACCAACTGCATGTCAAACAATTCAATTCCATTCTGACACTGAACACCTAGAGTTACTCAGCCCCCACAGGGTGAGGCTCCATCCCACAAGACTGCCCCCATTCAGACCCAACTGCAAATGCAATCCCCAGGACACCCACACTTCTGCCTGGCCAACTACAAATTTGGGGGTGCCCATGACTCCCCCTTAGGTTTAACAATGCACTTGAATGACTCACAGGACTCAGGAGGACACTCTTCATAATTACAGTCATATTCTAAAGACACAAATGAATGGAAGGGGGCACCGGGCAGGCTGGATGGGGAGTCAGTGCACGGAGCTCTCACACCCTCTCTGGGTGCACCTACGTGTCCCCCAGCCCTGAAGCTCCATTAGCCTCCTGCTTCCGATATTTTACTGAAGTTTTGTTATGTAGGCATCATGATTAAATCATCAGCCATTGGTGACTGCACTCCATCTCCAGATCCTCCTCCTTCCCGGAAGGTCAGCAGACAGGCTGCAAGTTCCCACCCTCTAATCCTGTGGCCAGTCCCTCTGGCAACCAGCTCCATCCTGAGGCTGTCTCGGGGCCTGCCAGGCATTGCCTCCTTGGAATAAACTTGGGTATAGTCAAAGGGGCTCATTATGAAAAACAAAAGAAAACATTCCTGTCACTCAGGAAATTCCAAGAGTTTTAGGAGCTCTCTGCCAGATCTAGGTTCAAAGACCAAATATATATTTCTCATTTTGCCACGCAGGCAGAGCTGGGTTCACCTGGCTGACTCTCAAGGCATTGGCTCTCAGTGAGCATCAGGGTCCTGCAGGGGCGCCCCCACATCAGAGCACAGCTCCTAGTTTCTGTCAAGCTAAATGTCCATCAGCCCTGTGACTCAGCAATCCCACTTGTGCGTATTCACCCCTGAAGAAATACGAGCCTGTGTCTACAAAAGAGAACTGTACCTGAATGTTTGCAGCAATTTTCTTCATAACAGCCAAAAAAGTCCTAGAAACAATGGGTGAATGGCTAAATGAATTGTGGTCTAATAAAAGGAAATGAACTACTGGTATGAAAACCTGAATGTGTGAATCTGATCCAGCAATCCCACTCCTGGGTATCTAACCAGAGGAAAAGAAGTCATTATTTGAAAAAGATACTTGCACATGCATGTTTATAGCAGCACAATTCACAAAAGCAAAATCATGGAATCAAACCAAATGCCCATCAATCAACAAGTGGATAAGGAATCTCTGGCATATATATATGATGGAATACTACTCAGACATAAAAAGGAATGAATTAACAGCATTTGCAATGACCTAGATGAGATTAGATACTATTATTCTAAGTGAAGTAACTCAGGAATGAAAACCCAAACATCATATGTTCTCACTGATATGTGGGAGCTAAGCTATTAGGTCGCAAAGGCATAAGAAATGATACAATGGAATTTGGGGACTTGGGGGGAAGAGTAGGAGACGGGCGAGGGATAAAAGAAAACAGATATGGTGCAGCGTATGCTACTCAGGTGATGGGCGCACCAGGTTCTTACAAATCTCCACTAAAGAACTTACTCATGTAACCAAATACCACCTGTACCCCAATAACTTATGGAAAAATAAAATTTAAAAAAAGAACTCAGTACATATTTGAAGATTTAAAAAAATTAAGAAGCCAGACACAAAAAGGTACATATTTTATGGTTCCTTTTATACTACATCTAGAATCATCAAAATGAATCCACAGAGACTGAAATAAAGTATGGTTGTTGGTGGCCAATTGGAAAGGGGTAGAAAGGGGCTTCTTAGAGGCTGACAATGTTTCACATTTTGTTTTGAGTGTAGTTAAACAGGTATAAATGATTATCAAAATTCTGCAAACTGAAGGCTTAAATCACGCGTGTTACTGTGTCAAAAGACAAAATTACAACAGATATAAAGATCTCAATTGGCTTTACTTACGATTCTAGAATCAAGCAACACTTCATTCTATACAACAGAATAAGTGTTCCCATGAGCTGGGCGAGGAAGTTGGTTTTGTAGACAGAGAAAGGGCTGAAAAAAGCAAAAAGAAAGAACAAAAAGCACATTGTTCATTTCAACATTACTTTTCTTATAAGATGGGACCCGGACAGAATAACAGAAAAATAACAGATTGATTAACACCAGGTTGCTTCAGGTTACTCTTTTATAAGGATTGAGGGCATGAACTTCATCATTACGCCAACTGAACATTGAAAGCGAACCTGTGTGGGAAATGTGGATGTTATCTCATCTGATTTCTCAGCCCAGATAATTACTCAGTTTCAGTTTTCTGAGCATGGCTGACTCCATTTTGATTTTTAGTCTGGCCTGTTGGGGCCTAATGCAGTTTAGTTCAAAACAATGGCCTCCTATAATTTTTGTTTAACAATCGTGTGTTGTATGTACCTCAATTTTTTAAAAGCCCTCTCAGTGGGGATCATGGGTCTAGGAACCATATGGAGGTCTGTGACTCAGTGGGAAGGGGTGGCCCTGGCCTGTGAAGACTGAAGGGGGTCCATGTCCCAATCCTACAGGCCCTGAAATCCAGAACTGAGTCAGATGTGGTGACTTGCTGAGGAAGGGTTTCGAAGCCCACACGGACACTGCTCTACCCTTGCCTCTCCCTGAATCCTCTGAAGGCAGCGTCTATGCAGTGCATTCTCGGATCACTATCCAGTGCCTGCCTCCCTCTAGTCCTGAGCTCCTAAATCAGAAACTCCTCGGACACAGGGAGTCCAGTCATTTGTTTCACCTCTGTGTCCCCCAAGCCTGGCAGGGACAGGCTGACCAAAGGCGTTCTGTGAATGCAGAATTGTTCTAAATTGCTAAATACCAACATCAGCTATGGATGACTCAGAAAACCCAACCTTACACACCAAAGTATCCAGGTAGTCAACACACTTTGACTATATTAGCCACATAATTATACCATTTCTACACCCCAACGGTGGTGGGGAGGGAAGGATTTCCTACGCCACACAACAGAGAGACAGCAGATGCAGGCCACTCACTCAGGAGTTTTGTTGTAAGGGCAGCAGAAAAATGGGGCGGGGACTACAGGGTGATGTTCTCCCTCTCTCTCTCTCTCTCTCTCTCTCTCTCTCTCTCTCTCTCTCTCTCTCTCTCTCTCTCCCCTCCCCCTTCTCTCCTGCAGGAAATTCCAATCATGTATGCATTTTATGAAGCAATTGATTAGGGAGAAAAAAAGCTACCTGAAGTCCTCTCTCATCCATT
Organism: Homo sapiens; assembly: GCF_000001405.40. NCBI lineage: Eukaryota > Metazoa > Chordata > Mammalia > Primates > Hominidae > Homo > Homo sapiens. Next base: position 44,886,504 of record NC_000010.11, read on the forward strand.
AACTTCTACTTTCTCCAACTTTCTTTTGCAATGAAGTACAGTGAGACTAGGGTTTACAACTCCTGCTTCAGACCTGTTGGCCCCAAGATAGACCTGCGTTCAGCTGGCCCTGACAAGTCCCTTAGGTAGGTCAGAGCTGAGGGTCTGCACAATTTCCAACATCACCATGTAAACATCTTGCTATGGTTTGAGTATGTCCCCTCCAAAATTCATGTGTTGGAAACTTAATCCCCAGTGCAGCAGTGTTTGGAAGGTGGGACCTTTTGGGAGGTATTTAGGTCATGAGCACTGCACCGCTATAAAAGGGCTTGCGGGAGTTTGTTCTCTGTCCTGCTCTTCTGCCATGTGAGGATGAAGCATTCAAGGTGTCACCATTCAAGGTGTCACCTTGGAAGCAAAGAGACCAGGCCCTCACCTGCCACTGCCTTGAGCTTCACCTTCCCAGCCTCGAAGAGCTGTGAGAAATAAGTTTCTGTTCTTTACAGATTACACAGTGTAAGGTATTTTGTTATAACAACAGGAACAAAGACATCCCCCTGTCATGGGGTACATATATTGAACTTTGATTATCCAAGTATACCAACCTAGGCATGTGAGTGAGACCCCAGCTGGGCAGCAGAAGCACCCACACCCCGTGGCACGCCCCGTGGCAGCAGGAGCAAGATCAGCACTGGGGCCGCTCCACAGGAAACAGCTTCTGGCCCCAGCCATGGAGTCCTCCAGTCTCAGCCCATTGGGAAGGGAGAAGAAACTGCACTAAGCTTGCAGGCCTAAGTAAGCATCCTGTGAGTGCACTACACTTATTACAGGAACACGGCCCTCCAGAGGAGAGAAGGGCCTTCTTGCAAAAGACAAAGGACTAAAGCCATTATTCAAGCAGTAAATAGAAATGAGATTGATTTTATAAAACACATGGTTACAAATCAAATGATGCAAGTTCCTTTAACAAATATTTTTAGGGGCACCTACTGTAAACCAAGCATTGTGGTAGCCACCAGATAAAGGGGACTGAGTTGTATTAAACATGGTTCCTGCCTCCCAGGAACTCACAGAAGCAGGGGTGGAGGGAGTCAGGCACACAGACAGCTGAAACTGCTCAGCCCTGTGCTTAGCATCTTGTGAGTGTTCAGAAATATTAGCAGCACATGTAATCCCAGCACTTTGGGAGGCTGAGGCAGACGGATCACCTGAGGTCAGGAGTTTGAGACCATCCTAGCCAACATGTGAAACCCCATCTCTACAAAAATACCAAAAAAAAAAAAAAAAATTAGCCGGGCGTGGTGGCAGGTGCCTGTAGTCCCAGCTACTCGGGAGGCTGAGGCAGGAGAATGGAATGAACCCGGGGGGCGGAGCTTTCAGTGAGCCAAGATTGCGCCACTGCGCTCCAGCCCGGGCGACAGAGCGAGAATCCATCTCAAAAAAAAAAAAAAAAAAAAATACAAAAATTAGCCGGGCTTGGTGGTGGATGCCTGTAATCCCAGCTACTCAGGAGGCTGAGGCAGGAAAATTGCTTGAACCCAGGAGGCAGAGGTTGCAGTGAGCCGAGATTGCGCCACTGCACTCCAGCCTGGGTGACAGAGCGAGACTGTCTCAAAAAAAAAGAAAAGAAAAGAAAAAGAAATATTAGTGGTTACAATGAGACAATGATGATGATTACAATGAGATAAGGGCAACCATAGCAAATGGATGAGATTTTCTGGCAGCATTGAAGATAAATGGCCACGTCTATTGGGGTGGTCAGGGAAGGGCTCATGGGTGCTGGGATGCTCACGCTGGTGGGCAGACAAAGAGACAAGATACAGAGGGCCAGGAGAATGTCTGGGTAGATTGCAAAGGGCCTACCAGTTCTCCTGGGTAGTCAGAAGCCCTTCGGGAGGACTGAGGAATACACCAAGGACCCAGAATCCTGGCCCAAGGACCAGGTCAGTTCACATTAAACCTTGTGCTGGCACCATTGCTATAAGCAGTCTTCAAGAGAAGCTATGTTGTTGTTTTTGCCCAAGCAAGGGTCCCTTCCCGTTTTATCATCACATATTTGAAGTGAATATCAGAGATGAAGATTAATTAATTGCAAAGAAAAATTATTATGCAATGATCTGTACAATGTCCACCATAAGTCTTACCAATTCCTTGGACTTCTCCTAATGGAAAACCATATAACAATTTCAAATGGCATTTTACCAGAGTCCAGGGCTTTTCAAATCCATCTGCACTCTGGTTCCACAAATGAAAAGCATGCAAGAATTAGAGATGAAGTGTTGGGTGTGTGATGCTTTGTATCTCAATTCCATGGATAGCTGACTCCATGCTGGTGTCCAGGATGGCCTGTCCTCCAGGTTCTCAGGCTCTGGATTGTGCCTCTAGCACTCACTTCACTGTGGATCCCAATCTGAGGATGGCTTTACCAAGCGTGCACAAGCCCCTCCATGGGAGAAAAAGAAGTGATCTCGATTCAGAGGGTGGACTCTACTTGAGCTCCTTAGGCAGGTGTGAAGGTCGCTAGGGCTTGTTCTGACTCCATAAGCAAAAGCAGCAGTTCTCTGAGAGCCTGACCTCATAAAAGGATGGGCGTGGTGGGAGACAGGGCTCTCCTTCCCTCTTCCTTCTCTTTCACTCATTAATCTTCCTGGACTTTTCCAACTTCCTGCATTCCCAGGAGACAATACACCTGATGTGCAAGCTCAGAGCTTCTTTTGTTTGATTGGGCTTTGATTTTGTTTCTAATACATTTTCCTCTGCAGGAAGAAGTCTAACTCCACTAATTTATTCTAGGGAACCATCAAGTGACATCCAACAGTGTGCATTCAGCACAGCAAGAGGGCTGCAGACACAGAGCCCAGGCCACAGGCTGTCCAGCTCACCCCACCACACTGATTACAGGACAGAGCTTCTGCCTTCCAGCTCTGCGAGAATGATGGTGCCAATGAGATGGGTGGTCAGGGAAAGCAGAGCCACATGGAGGGCATGGCCTGTGTACCCTGCAGAGGCCATGGCAGGGCCTGGTTCTGGCTGCTGCAACTATATCACAAACACATATGGGAGTAAACAGACTCCTGAAGTTGAAAGAAACTGAGAACTGCAAGACAGGACCACTTTATGGAGGACCTGAGATTCTGCTCAAGAAACTAGAGTAGGACAAGACCTACCATGCTGGACTTGGTCACTGGAAAGCAGAGAAGAGTCCATGTGCAAGCTGACTCGGCTGGACTCCCAAACCCATGGCCCTTCGCTATACCCCCAGTCAAAACGGAGACAAACTTGGTCACAGGCAGTTATGCACTGCAGTTGACTTGTGCTAGCTTGTGAGAGCTGATGGTTAAATTTTCAGCTATTTTTAGAGCTGGATGTTAAACAAAGCCATCATTAAGTTATTTTCAATTAAATAAATTAGATAAAGTGTAATAAGTACCCCAAACTCATCACATCCTAATTATTTGACTACGTTTTCCTCTTATCTCTGCTCTTGGTCATTTAGTGTCTATTGCACTACACAGGGGAGATGCTGTCTAACATTGTGATTCTAGGCATCTCTTCCCAGCCCTGCACTCAGTGACATCATGTGGGTGGCTTGAAATCAGCCACAGTAGGAGTATTTATACCACAGAAATTGGCAAATGCTATAGGTAAGGGCTTTTTCCCTGGACAGTTTTTGTTAAATACTTACCTGCCAGCACACTATTGTCCCAGAGCTTCATGAGGGCTGCCTACATGACCTGCAGGGGAACTAGAAAGCTGTTGAAATCTTACACTGGGGAATAACATGGTTATTCTGTGTTTTTGAGCCACCCCCTGGCTGTCGTGTGGCAGACAGTCAGCCAGCAGTCGATGGCACCGCATCAGAGGATAAATAGGCAGACCCTGGGGCCCCAGCAGCCGATAGGGTGGTAGCCAGGGAGGTGGAAAGGGCAGGGCTTCTGTTGAACTGGGAAGCACTAGAGGAAAACTAGAAGCAAATGCTGGCCCTGAGGTTTTAAGCCTGAGATACAGGCAGATGCCAATGGTATCAGCCAATTTAGAAGCCTCAGAAGGCTTAAAGCAAGGACCAGGACTGAGAAGAGATGAGCCGCTTTAGGCTGTTCTGAAGCAGAAGAAACTGATGGTGCCCATGAACTTGAATACAGGGTGCAGGCTAAGAAGAGATTGGAGGACAGATGCTCACATGCTTAGCTAGCAGATCATGTCTGTGCCCAGTAGTTTTTACAGTTTTACAAGCCTGTCACTCCCTGTCACTCTGAGAGCCTGACTTCATAAAAGGATGGGTGTGGTGGGAGACAGGCCTCTCCTTCCCTCTTCCTTCTCTTCCACTCATCAATCTTCCTGGCCTTTTCCACACCACACCCAGAAAGCAGGGGTGTAACTGGGTCCACCAGGGCAGCAATTGCAGGTTCAGCAAGGAGCCTCTGGATCTGTGGCCAGCGCAGACCAGACAGGCACACTGTGCCAGGGTGGGGAGAAGTGGAGATGCAATGGTGACCCCAGGCACAGGCCCCCCTGGGAGGAGGATGTGGGAGGAGAAGGCTGCACAGGTGAGGGTTGAGCCTGGGGTCAGGCTCTACCTCCCTATGAAGTGTGCCCCGCCAGCTACTGGCTCTTGGCCACCCTGGGAGGGATGAGGTCAGCTTCCCACTCTGACCCAGGACTGGGGAAGCAGAATATGCCTCGGTGCAGAGGTGAGGAGACAGGAGAAGAGGCCACACCTGTGTGGGCACACCTGCCAGCACTGGGACAAGGTCTAAGTAGGGTGGAGTGGGAGGCTGGGAGGAGTTCAAGCTAAGAAAATGGGGTGACCCCAAGGCAGAGGCCTGTTGTCCAAGTGCAGCTGTTCAGAGGCCATTTTCCCTGGTTTGTGGTAGGAAGGGCCTTCATGTGTATGCGGTTCCTGCTCGCCCTCTAGGCAGCCTGAGGCATTGGAGAATACAGAGCCAGAGCAGGAGGACCAGGCAGTGTTCTGGGCCTGCTCCTTACTAGCTCTGGGGCCAGCCTCACACAAAGTGTGCCATTCACGTCTTCATTCAGTGCAAATATCTTATATGTGCCAGGCCCTGAGAACACTGGGGTGAGCGGCCCCACCAGGTCCCTGCCCTGACAGAATGCACACCCCAGTGTAGGGAGGCAGACAATGAACAGGAATGTGAATGAGAACACACAGGTATGTCCCTGTGACTTGTTTAGTCATCTATAAAATGGGACCAGCAACGTCACCAGCCCTACCCATGCAACAGGACTGTGGGACATCACAGATGGGACCTGCTGGAACTCAGGGGAAACATCATGAACTCACCCACAGCTGCCTTTGCTCTCCTTTTTTTCTTATAATAAAATGTACATAACATAAAATTTACAATTCTAACAATTTTTAAGTGGCATTGGGGACATCTACAATGTTGTGCAATCACACCATCATCCACCTCCGGAACTGTCTTATCTTCCCCAGCAGAAACTCTGTCCCAATTAAATGGTAACTCTGCATCCTCCCCTGCCACAGGTCCCTGCAGCCTCTATCTGACTTTCTGTCCCTAAGAATCTGCCTATTCTAGGTAGCTTCATATCAGTGTAAACACATCATACTACATTTGTCCTTTTGTGTATGACTTATTTGAGTGAACTTCACCTGGAAGTGGGATTGCTGGATCCCATGGTGATTCCATTTAGTGTTTAACTTATTATTTTTAATTTGTATGGATACATCAGGGTTGTACATATTTATGTGGTACATGTACTATTTTGATATATGCGTACAATGTGTAACGACCAAATTTGGGTAACTGGGATATCCATCACCCCAAACATTTGTGTTGGGAATGTTACAGATCTTCTCTGCTCGCTATTTTGAAATACATAATAGACTGTTGTGGGGTGGGGGCAGGGGGGAGGGATAGCATTAGGAGATATACCTAATGCTAAATGATGAGTTAATGGGTGCTGCACACCAACATGGCACATGTATACATATGTAACAAACCTGCACATTGTGCACATGTACCCTAAAACTTAAAGTATAATAATAAAAAAAGAAATACATAATAAATTATGGTTCACTAAAGTCACCCTACTGTGCTATGAAACACTAGAACTTATTCCTTCCACCTCTCTGTATCATTTTAACCATTGACCGATCCCTCTTCATCTCTCCTCCCTGCTACCTTCCACAGTCTCTGGTGTCTGTCATTCTACTCTTTACCTCCGTGAGATCAATGTTTTTAGCTCCCAAGTATGAGTGAGAATGTGCAATATTTGTGTTTCTGCATCAGGCTTATTTCACTTATGTGTTTGCCTTTTGAATAACTGTCATGCTGTTTTCCACAATGGATGTGCAATTTTCCATTCCCACCAGCAATGCACAGGGCTCCAGTTTCTAAACGTCCTCGCCCACTCTTGCCTTTCCCATTCTTCTGGTAGCAGCCATCCTAATGCATGTGGACTGGCCTTTTGCTCTATTCTATGCGTATTGTCAGATTGCATCCCACACGCATCCATCTCACGCCTATGTTGGTCTAAAGCGTTCATTTGTGGTGTGCTATTTCTGGACTATGCACTGTTTCTGTACTGTACACCAGCCTGTGTACCCTATACTTTAAGGGCAATGTAAGGCATTGCCAAAGTTAATCTCAACAAATTTGTAACTGTCTCTATGTTTCTTTCCTTAGAAACAGAGGTGACAGGAGCTACTAGCCTGTCTAGAAAGCTTGGTAATATGTCACTCTCAGACTAGGGATTCTGAGGGTCAGTCCCAGTGCTATCATACTGCCAATCTCTCTTGCCCCAATCTGCCTCTCCTGTGCACCCCAGAAGAGGAAGCACAAACCAGTGCCAGGGAGGACAGCAAGGCTCAGGGCAATGCACCCAAGCTTTGCTCTCATATTTATGGACCATTGTTCATTTTCAAAATAATTGGCATCAACATGAATGGGTAAAGAACAAGAGAAAATAACCCAGGGCCCTGTAATCTGTCCCTGGCCAGACTCGCCTGGTCCACATCCAATCCTCCACATACATTAACCTCAAATAATAAATAACCTAAGCCCTAGAGCAGGACACACTCACAGTATAATTCATATCTCAAAATCCAAGCAAGTGCCAAACAGCGGCCAACACTATGAATATAAATTCCAGCTTGTTCATATGCTGACATTCTAAAGTCTGACAAGAGTGAGCAAGAAGGTGTTTTTCCTAGCTAATGAGTTGAACTCCTTCAGATCTAGAATTTTTATAGAGGTGCGCTCTTGGGAACCTTGACAAGAGCTAAGAGCTTGGGAGAGGATGCCCATGTCCTTGCTAACGGATCATTTCCCTTGCTCAGCAAGTTTTCACCTCATTTTACAATCTCAGGGTGTCTGAGGTGGAAGGATGTTTGTGATGCTCATTGAACAGATGAGATCATCAAGGCCCAGAGGGTTGATCCGAGGTGAGCAGGCCCCACACCTGTCACTCCCAGGCCTGCAAGATATATTAAGGGCAGCACCTGCCATTCCTCAAATGGGAGAGTTTAATTTGAGGTCATTGACAAATCTGTTCAAAGAAACTGACATTTGAGTCCAAGCTGACTTACTTGGCAAAAAAAAAATATATATATATATATATGTATATGCACATATACATTTTTGTGTGTGTGCCAGTGTGGGGGCTGAGACATGACACCCCTTCCATAGAAATATGAAATATATCATTGTGCCGCGGAGGACCCAGAAGGAGGGGAGTCAGGAGGGACTGGAAACTGGGAGGCATGAGAAATGGCCCTGGAAGATGGCACCATGGCCAGCTCCCAGGAGCACACAGCCTCCTGCCTCAAGCATGGGCACCCCAAGCTCCTAGGACAAGAGAGAGGGAATGACCCCCAGGGAGGGCACACAGCCACCCTGAGCTGCTGCTCCACCTCTGATCCATGAGTCAAGTGTTCCTGTCACTCCAGGTCCCTCTCAGTGCCCTGGGCACCTAGACTAAAAGAGGCCCTGAGAGGATGAAGAGCTGAGTCCCATGGGCTCAGGTAGTGCCGGGGCTGTCACTTCGTGCAGACTGTGCCTCATGAGGAGCAGGGTCAGAGGGGCAAAAGTCCCCCACATCTGATGGGCTTGGGCTGGGATGCAGCAAGATCCCCCCCAGGCCCCCACTCTCCCTTTGACAGGACAAGTGGGAGAGCAGCTGGCATGGGGGCAATAAATATTTTGAGCACAGGTGCCAGCTGCTTAGGCAAGGACAGAACTTGGGACACCTTCCTGAAGGAGGCAGGGTTGGGCACAGCCCCTCAAGCTGGTGGTGAGGAGTCCCTGGCCCGAGTGCATTCCTTGCCCTAGAGAGAGATTATCCTGCCTGTTCTGCAGCAGCAAGAGAGGGCAGGCCCCAGGCAACAGGAAGGCCAGAGCAAGCCTAGTGTGGACAGGGCAGCAGTGAGGTAGAAACAGCCCCACCCCACCACTTCACAGTGACCACAGGCCCAGCACCTGCACATTCCATCTTCATTTAGCAGTGACCGCGGGCCCAGCGCTGTGCCCAGCACCCACATATTCCATCTTCATTCAGCAGTGACCATGGGCCCAGCACCATGCCCAGCACCCACATTCCATCTTCATTTAATAGTGACCATGGGCCCAGTGCCGTGCCCAACACCCACACATTCCATCTTCATTTAATAGAGACCGCGGGTCCAGCACCGTGCCCAGCACCAGTATATTCCATCTTCATTTAGCAGTGACCACGGGCCTAGCGCCATGCCCAGCACCCACACATTCCATCTTCATTTAGCAGTGATCACGGGCCCAGTGCTGTGCCCAGCACCCACATATTCCATCTTCATTTAGCAGTGACTGCGGACCCAGTACCCGCACATTCCGACTTCCTTTAGCAGATACTGGCAGGTGCCACTCCTGCTTTGCCTGCAGAGATGGTCCTTTGCTTTCCGGGCTCTAGGGACTACAGAGAGAACAAGAATGGTATGATGCTGCCTCATCTAGAAAGGGAACCCACTGTGTGTTCTGACATAGCAGTCCCCTCCCAAGGGAGCTGTGGCTGTCATTCATGTTTCAGGAACAATACCTCAAGTCAAACGGTGCCCAGGAGAAGGATGCACCTGCTGCATAGGCTTTAGTTTGCTGAAAGAAGCCAAGGCTGAGAGGGAATTAGCAACACTAGGAAGGAGAGAGGTTGGGGATGGTGGGGTTCCTTTCTGTAAGTAGCAGCAGCTTGGTCTCCCTCCTTGCAGAGAACTGAGAGAGGATAAAGACTGCTCTGTCAGGGTAATAAGCCTTCTAAAGCTAATGACTTAAATGCAGCTACTTATTATCTCCCAGTACTGCAGATTGGCAATTTGAGGCAGACTCAGCTACATGGTTCTTTGTGTGCTTCTGCTGCTGGGTGGGCAGGGGCTGACTGGTCTGGGGGGCGCCTTGCAGTTGGGCCCACAGTCTCCCTGCTCCTCCAGCCAGCTAGCCAGACTTGCTCCAGAGGCAACGGGGTGGGTTCAGGGAGAGAGAGAATGCAGGGCATGGAGGTCTTGCAGCCAGATGCAGGTCCAGAGCTGGCCCCTCATCACTCCACTATTGGCCAGAGCCAGACACAGTCCAGCCCAGATTCAGAGGGGAGAGAAGCTGCTGCAAAGCCACATTATAAAGAGTGTGGACATGGGAAGGAGAGGAGGACTGTGGCCACTTGTGCACTCTGCTGCCATAGGCCTATGAGGTGACCCAGTCACCTGCCTTCAAGAAACCTCTGGATTTGCAAAGAGGATTTCAGAATTTCAGTGTGGAATGAATGCCAGAGAGCCTCTTCTGAATGCTTAGGCCTTTTTTTCTTTCTTTCTTTCTTTTTTTTTTTTTTGAGACAATGTTTTGCTCTGTTGCCCAGGCTGGAGTGCAGTGGTGCGATCACAGCTTTCTGCAGTCTCAAGCTCCTGGGCTCAAGTGATCCTCCTGCCTCAGCCTCCCAAGTAGCTGAGACCACAGGCACATGCCACCATGCCCAGCTAATTTTTTTAAACTTTTTGTAGAGACAGTGTCTCACTATGTTGCCCAGGCTGGTGTTGAACTCCTGAACTCAAGCAATCCTCCTGCCTCAGTCTCCCAAAGTGCTGGGATCATACAGGTGTGAGCCACTATGCCCAGCCATGCTTGAACCATTTAGAACTCTTGATACTTGCTCAGCTGGACAGAGTGCATTGTCTTCCACCAGCTCAGTGATTGGAAATTAGAGCAGTTATCTAATTTGGAGAATGGGACAATTTTTATACTCAAGTGTTTATAAACTAAAATGCATACCCATTAAAAACAGATAACCTGACCTAGGCTAAGAGAAGCTGAGTGACTTGACCAAGGTCATGCAGCTGGTAAATAGCTGAAACTGACCAGCCCACCCACCCTGCTTTTAACAACCACATGACATGATACTATGGGTGCCTGTATCTCAGGAAGAGTGGCCCACTGACATTGGAAGCCACAAAGTGAACCTCAGCAGCTGAGAGCTGCAGAGAGGGTATCTTGTGAGAAGTATTGGCTGCCCATCAGGAAGAGCGGCGTCCAGGAGCAGAGCCTTCAGTTTCTGCACTGGGGAGCTGCTGCTGCTACCTCACCAACCTTCCCAACCCGGGACCTGGAAGGCACATGTGGCCACTGTGTTGTCATACCTGTGTTAAAAACAAAAATTAATCGGGAGGCCATTGGGCTGAGGCAGCTGCAGTGCCTCCAACTCCTTCGTTAGCAATCCACAAGCCGACTCAGCATAAACAGTCATATTCTAGGCCTATCAGAAACTGCTGACTAACCCCTAACTGGCGACTTTCTACTAGTTAAGCTTAACCAATCAGAAACCACCAACTACTCTCTAACTGGGGACTTTCCACTGGAATGATCCGAATGAAATTACTATTCACTGTAAACAAGCATGTATTTTCTTTGCCTTGCTCCCACCTCCACCTTGTAAAAGCCTTCCTCTCGCATGCCTTCCTCAGGGCCCTAACTTCTTTCTATCTGGCACTGCCCAATTCGTGAGTTGCTCAAGAAAATCTCTTTAATATTTTAATATGTGCCTCAGTTTATCTTTGAACACCTGCAAGTGCTGAGGAGTGGTCCCTTCTTGATTCCTTTGTCTGGTTTTTCTCTGTGGGTTATACAGAACTGCAAGAGCAAAAAGATAAACTAGGAAAATCATTCTGTAAGCTATCAAAATATGTGTCCTAGATCTTTATTTTTAAAAATAATCTCTAAAGCCAACCCAGACCTACACGGGCCACCTCTGGGGCAACTCTCAGGTCTCATGTGTGGGGCTCAAGCCTTACTTCTGCCACAGGTTTCCTTGAGGCTCACAAATAAGAGCCAGTTTGCAAACAACAAAGGATGCAAAGGAAGGCTTACTGAGCACTGTCATGCCTTGGAGTTTAAAAACGACAATACCACCCTAGAGATGGTGGGGCTGAGCCCAGGGACTGTACACAGCCAGCAAGAGACAGCACCACAGCCCGTGGTGCCAGGGTTTCAACCCTGCTGTGCTTCAGTACAATCACCTGGGGACTTTTACCACCTGCAATGCTCAGGCCCCCTCCCCAGAGACTCTGGCTTATGGCACGGGGGCAGCCTGCTTTATTATTTTTTTAAATGTTTCCCAGTTGATATTAATGTGCAGCCAGGACTAAGAGCCACTTTTAGACAAGTAGTATTCAACTCAACATTGCCTGCACATTGTGTACACATTGAAATTACCTGGGGAGCCTTAGAAAAGGTACTAAGACTGGGTCCCACCTCACTCATTCTGATGGAATTGGTTTGAGGTGTGACCTGGGCATCAGGACTTTTGAAAGCTCCCAGGTGATTCCTATGGGCAGTCAAGTGTGAGGCCCAATGTCTTAAGTGACACTTAGGTGAAGAATGGATCTGGGATTCTCAGAAAAGTTTTTGTTTGCTTGTTTTTTGTTTGTTTTGAGACAGAGCCTCGCTCTGTTGCCCAGGCTGGAATGCAGTGGCATAATCGCAGCTCACTACAACTTCCACCTCCCAGGGTCAAGCAATTCTCCTGCCTCAGCCTCCCCAGTAGCTGGGACTACAGGCACACACCACCACACCCAGCTAATTTTTGTATTTTTAGTAGAGACAGAGTTTCACCATGTTGGCTAGGCTGGTCTTGAACTCCTTACCTCAAGTGATCTGCCCACCTTGGCCTTGCAAAGTGCTGGGACTACAGCAATGAGCCACTGCACAATCTGGAAGTCCCCCCGCCACCTGGGTGCTTGCTAACCCCAAGGAGTTCCATGCACGTCATCCTCCAAGGTCAAGATCTCTGGCCATGGAGACAGCCCCACATGCAGAGAAGCCCTGCAGCTGGCACCACAAAGCTCAGGCTGCCCAGGTCCTGCATGCAGCTGTCTTGAGGCTCCTCCCCTGCAGTCCTGCCTTCCTCCATCCCTGTCTGAGCCAGGAGCCAGGCAGGCTTCCCTGGAGACCCTGCCAAAGGCTTTTCACTTCCTGCTGGTCGATTTTCTGGGTCATGTTACCTTTTCAGGGCATTAGCAGCCTGGCTTCTGAGGAAATTGAGCTACCCGTCCTCTGGGGGTGGCACAAAGTGACTGGGAGGCACCAGCAGTCTAAAAAGAACTCCTTGGGCCAAGCACGATGCAGAGGGCCCTACCTGCAGTTTCCCTGATGGGCCCACCAGAACCAAAGCAAGAGAAGCAGGGTGGCTGTTCTGGAGCAAAGAATCTCATCAGAATCTCCTAGAGGGTTTGTGAAACCAAGACTGCTGGGCCCCACCCCAGAGTTTGTGATTCAGTGGGTCTGGATGGGGCCATAATTTGTCTTTCTAACAGGTTCCTGATTGGGCTGATGCCGTTGGTCCTGGGAGCCTCCTTGTAGAACCGCCGGCCTGGGCTGCTGCTTTCTACTTTCCCACAGTGTAGCTTTTTCTCTGACATGAGCATTCTCTGCAAGTCTAACCAAAGCACTCTGACTTCTTGTGCTGAACTTCCCCACCCCAATCTTCAGCAGAGGCAGAGTGTGTGGAGGAAGGATGGAGAGCAGATGGGGCAGAATAGCGTCCAGGTCCTAATCCCCGGCACCTGTGAGTGTTGTGTTGCTGTATAAAGGGAATTCAGGCTGCAGACAGAATTAAGGCTGCTAACCAGCTGACCTGAAGATACAGCAACTGACTAGCCTGGGTCATCCAGGTGGGCCCATTGTAATTACAATGGCACTCCCTTCCCAGTTGGAAGAAAGAGAGGAGCAAAGAAGTAGAGACTCACAGGTGAGAGGGACTGGGTCACATTTGCTGGTTTGAAGACAGAGAAAAGCTGCAAACAAAGGAATGTGGGCCCTTCGAGAAGCTGGGAACAGCCCTACCCTGACAGACAGCAAGGAAAACAGGGACCTCTGTCCTACAGGCACAAGGAACTATCTCTACCCACAGCCTGAATCAGCAAGGAAACAGGAAAAGCAAAAAGGCAGAGGAAAAGTGAGAGCCTGGCTTTTAAAGTTGGGAACATACAGACAGGAGCTGACTCAGTAGGGTCAGAGCTGGGCGCATCAGCCCACATGGAAGGTCATGGGGGCATGCCCTCTGCCCCAAACTCAGAATCGCTTGCCAGCAGCTCAGAGAGGTAGCCTGGCCTCTCCCAAAACCCCCAGCAGCAGGGATCTCACCATGCTCCAGGTCGTTCAGGTCATCAGTTCCCGGCTCGCACTGATGGAACTGCTGGAAACTTCTCAGCAGAGAAAGCTTTGAGTCTGCTGCTGCAAGGCTCATAATCACTAACATGGGCCCATGTTTCCAGCAAGACTCAGACAAGCACTTCAGTGGCTGTGGGTGGCACGGGCTGGCATGATCCTGGGCTGATTTCATCCTCTTGGGTGCTGAGGCCTCCCATTTGTGACTTGGGGTGATTCCTGAAAACACCTTCTCTGAGAAGCCTCCCTGGGTCAGCTCAGCCTGCTTATTTCTCCCTTATGGCACTCAATTCATGTAGCCTTTATTGCTGTGAACTGTACAGGGCCTCATTCTTTTCTGCAGTATCTGTAGTGAGACATCCAGGTATAAGCACTCTGAATATTTCTGTTGGCACACAGATGATTCCAGTATTTAGGTTAAATAAATCATTATTTAGCAACATGCATGTTAACTTTTTATGGTAAGGAAATGTTTTTCTGTATATGCATAAAAATACATCTAAAAGGATGTATTTTAGTATATTAAAATCTGGATGGGGAGGTAGTATTTTCTTAATGTTTATGCCTGTTTCTTTTTTTTAAATACTTTTTTATTTTTTTCAAAGTAATACATGCACTGAGTTTAAAAAGCCAAGAAACAGTGAGTCTTAAAAAGACAAAGAAAAACAACAGTAACACAAAGCAGTCCCATTTCACCCATTCCACCCCCAGTTCTCCCCAAAGACAAACATTGTCATTAACACTTCTAGGAAATTCTTCTCATCTTCACTTTCATATTTTTGGTACTATATTCATGTTGCAATTTTTAATTGATTAGCTGTAGGCATTAACTTTTGAATTCCCCATCACTAACCCTCTTCCCATCTTCCTAACACATAATCACTTTGAAGACTCCTTTTGTTCAGTTTTGGGAAATTTTCTTGCATTACGCTTTGAAGCTTTCCTCCCCCCGTTCTGTTTCTGGAACTCTTGTAGGTCAGGAGACTGGCCTTGAGAATAAACCCTATAATTTGTTTTATTCTTTCGCTTCTATTTCCCTTTGTCTTTTTGTTCTACTTGATTTTAGCTTCTAACCATTCTGTTGCTTTCTTGTTTTATTTTATTTGGGTTTTTTAATTTTTTGCCTGTCTTTAATTTTGAGGTTCTTGTGGTCTGGTTACTTTTCATGGTATTCTGTCCTTGTTTTATAGATGTAACATCTTCTCATATATCACTCAGTATAGTAACTGTAGGGTATATTATTTTTTTAAGTTTTCTGTATGTGTCCTACATTGGCTGCACTGCCCTCTCCAGGTCCCCTTTTTCCGTTTGTCCTGGTTTCTGTGCTTCATGTTGGATCCTTTCCTCAAATACCAGCTGACTTTGGGCTGTCCTCATACCTAGGACAATGCCCTGAAAAACTGATTGAAATTATTACACGTGAGTGTTGAAGATTTCAAAGACTTATTGGCTTCACCAGGGGGTCATAGAATTTTTGGTCCCGCAAATGTTAGTATCCCTGTATTAGTCCATTTTCACACTGCTGATGAAGACATACCCAAGACTGGGCAATTTACAAAAGAAAGAGGTTTACTGGACTTACAGTTCCACATGGCTGAGGAGGCCTCACAATCATGGCAGAAGGCAAGGAGGGGCAAGTCACATCTTATGTGCATGGCAGCAGGCAAAGAGAGAGCTTGTGCAGGGAAACTCCCATTTTTAAAACCACCAGATCTCATGAGACTCATTCACTATCATAAGAACAGCGCAGGAAAGACCCACCCCCATAATTCAATCACCTCCTGCTGGGTTCCTCTCACAACGTATGGGAATTATGGGAGTTACAATTCAAGATGCGATTTGCGTGGGGACACAGCCAAACCATATCCCTGTCTTTTCTGGGGTTACTGACACTCTCTAGGAAGAGTCCTCTAACTGCCTGGGATAGAGGTACCTGCTGCTGTTCTGGGGACGGGGACTGAAGAGCCACTAGTTGGCACAAGTCTGGCTTCAGTCCCCATCTCCATCCTCTGTGTCACCCAGCCTGCCAAGGCCTGGCCCGTCACCACTCAGTTCATCTGGAGAATAAATCTCTGGTCTGCATTGGATGGGGAAGCAGGAGAAGGGCAGGGAGGGGGCAGGGAGGAGAGGAGGGATGGGGGTCCCCAGATTGGGTGGGGTGGGAGGAGATTGGGGTCCGACTGCTCTAGAGGCAGACTTTCAGCTATCCCCTCATTTTCAGCCCCAAACCCAATCTCTGCTCCTTAATTCCTGGTGTTTCTGGGTGCAAAGCCCTTCAGGTGGGCTCAGGTGAAACACTCATTGCTCACAGGAACAGCCCACTGCAGGCAGAACCCTCCTGTGTTCCACAAGATCAGTTACCCCCCAACCCTTCACCAGAATTCCTGTCTGCTCTTATCTGTGTCCCCAGAATGAACATTTTTTAAATTCTCACTTTCTTTTTTGGTGGGGAAGAGCCAAATGCCGATCACTGAGCAGCTATATGTATCTGGAAGTCCCTGTGTTTTCAAAAATAAGCCTGTTTTTTGTTTTGTTTTTCAGTTATGCCAGGAAGTGTGTATTTTTGCTATGTGGATTGGCAATTGGTTGATGGCGGGCGAATGAACAGAGCCAAATGAATAAAACACAATTTTAACACTTAGGGAAGTTACAAATGACTTTTACTGACTAAATTCTCATTTTTCCTGATAGAACTTTAGCCATCTTTTGAGAATTAATTTAAACTGAAAAAATCAAATGTTCAGAGACATTATTATAAAAAGCACTGACACAGATGGGAGGTTGTAGCTTCCCTCCAAAGTCTACTCCAGCCCTACACCCCTTGAAGAGCACAGCCCAGCCCTCACAGAGGATCCTTTGTGCTTTCTCCTGGGCCAGCCCCTTGCCCCTGGAGGCTCTGATTAATGAGGAAACCCTTTTCTCACAGCAAGAGCAGAGGGGGACCCTGTCCACAGACACTCGGTGCCTTCGCCTGAAATATTGCTTCCTCTGCATGTTGGAATCCGTTCCTGGAGGCATTGGGGACTTAACCTCTTGAATGCTGTGTACTTAGTCCCCTGGGTCTCTGGGGAGGACTGACGTCAGACACCAATTTACAGAAATCTGCCTTCATCTAGAAGGCCAGGCCCAGGAAGGTTCAGACTCTACCGTGACCAGACATTGTAAATCTGCCTCACGACAGCTCATCCCAGGAGACAGAGCTACCCAGCAGGGCCGTGTGAAGGACGTCCAATGAGCTTGTGCAGCAAAGAGGTGATCCCTGGCCTGACCCCAGCTGGCATGGCAATCTCTCACTCTGTCAGTGCCCTGTTTCAAGGAGGCTTAGGTGAAATGGAGCTCATGGTGATAAAGATCTCAGCTTCAGTGACTCACGAGGATCTGAAGGGTTCAACTACCTCTTTGTGAACAGAAAAACCAATGCTCAAAAAGTGTGGCTGCACAAGCTCCCACTGACCCTTAGCTCCAATCAGGATTCACCCCCAGGTAATCTGGCTCAAAAACCACTGCACCATCCCCCTACCAGAAATCAGGTGGCAAATGACAGCTGCTAAGGCCCCCATATGTGCTGCAGGGGGAGCAGAGCCAACTGTTCTGCAGCCCCATTGTGGAGCAGGTATCTCACTCCATCCCGCACAGACCAATGCCCAGTGGACTAGGCAGTTCTAATGCCCTGGAAGCTAAAGATAGACTTGCTGGGCAATGGTCAGGAGAATCATGCACAATAACAGGGCCTCTCTGCTTTGCTGGGAACACAAGCCCTGCGCGTACTCTAGATACTGCCCACAGTGTGAGGCAGGAAGCAGGGACTGCATCTAACTCAGAGAAGAAGGGAGAAGTGAGGGACAAAGGTGAACCTGAAAATGTATCCACTGCACCCTGTTCCACAGTTGGGTGTGTGGCTTTACCTGCTTCATGGATGTTGGCCAATTGATTCTACAGAAAAGAATCTAAATAAAAGAGCCCCCTTGGACAAGCCTCCTGCATTCATTCCATCATCTACCACCTCTGATTTTACAAATCTTCCCAGCTGGTGGGAAATGTCAGCATTAATTTAGGGAATTCAAATACAAAGGGGCTGGGCACGGTGGCTCGTGCCTGTAATCCCAGCACTTTGTGAGGTCAAGGCGGGAGGATCATTTGAGCCCAGGAGTTTGAGACCAGTCTGGGCAACATGGCAAAACCCCGTCTCTACTAAAAATAAAAAATAAAATAGTCAGATGTGGCAGCACGCACCTGTAGTCCCAGCTACTTGGGAGGCTGAGGTGGGAGAATCACCTGAACCCAGGATGCAGGCGCTGCAGTGAGCCAAGATAGAGCCACTGCACTCCAGCCTGGGTGACAGAGAGAGACTCCATCTTAAAAAAAAAAAAATACAAAGAGATGAGTGCTGGGGGCTGGAGGGCAGGTAACTCACTCTGACTGTAAGGATCAACAACTGTCGGGGGGTGACTGATCTGGACTTTGGATAATGTGTGTAATGATGATGAGAAGAAGAGAATGTTGAGGGAAAAAAGGAGAAGGAGGAAACAAAAGAATAAGGAGAACATGACAAAGGTAAAAGGAAAGCATTTGAAGCATTTGTCTGCATGGCCTGGGAGTCAGTCTGGAGGAGAAGGAGAAGGATGGAAGGTGGAAGATAGAGAGGTGGTGCGGGGGAAGCTTGTAGAAAGCCTGGGATCTGGACAAAGGAACTCAGACTTTAGGCAATGGAAAATCTCTGGGAGTCTTAAGCAGGGCTGTAATTGTGAAGACCTGCTGTTTCCAAAGTGAATTCCAGCAGTTGGAGGACAGATTGGAGAGGGATGATGCTGGAGGCTGGGAGGCTCATTAGGAGACTGGGGCAGCATCTGTACAAGAAATGAGAGGGATGGGAGCCACAGATGAGAGATGGCAGATGTGGAGCAATGAGGATGAGGATTGGCAGAACGGAAGAGGAAGAAATATTGTCAAAACTTATTTTGTTTCCAGATTTGGTGGCAAGGGTAATAATTAAACCAGTGGCCAAGATGTAAAGTCCAGGAAGCGGAAAGGAATTGAGGTGGAAAGATGGTTTGATTTGGAATACATTGAGTGTGACAGAGAGGTGACCAATAGGCAGGTGGAAATGGAGCTCATGGCGGAGGAGAAATGCTGGTGTAAATCCTTGCTAGGAACAGTCCTTGTGCTTATGGTGCTCAGGCCACAGAGCCCCTTAGCAATAACCAGGAAGAGAGCGGAGAGTGGATGGGAGAGAGAGGGTTGCAAATGATGCCTCGGTCTATTGCTGAGTGACAGATTACCCTGACACCTGGTAACTTGAAACAACAAGCATCTATTATCTCACAGTTTCTCAGGGTACCTGGGAGCAGCTTAGCTGGGTAGCTCTGGCTCAAGGCCTTTCATGAGGTTGTAGCCATGCTGTCAGCTGGGGCTGCCATAATCTGAAGGTTCAACTGGGGCTGGGGCATCAGCCTTTAAGCTCCCTAACATGGCAGCTGCTGGCAAGAGCCCTCTGTTCCTCACTGCATGGGCCTCTCTGCAGGGCTCCCCATGGAGGCAACTGGCTTCCCCCTAAGAGAGCAACCCATGAGTGAGAGAGTGACCAAGGTCTTATCTTTTATAACTCAACACTTGGACTATTGCTACCACTTCTGCTGTGCTCAGTCCTATAGGCAAACCCAGGTATAATGTGGGAGGGGACCACATAAGGATGTGAATAACAGGAGGGTGGTTCATTGAAGGCTGCCAACCACAGATCACCAACCCAGGAAACAGCACAGAAAGGTGAGTCTGTAAAGCATGCACAGAAAAAAGAAAGAATGCAAGCCCCATTGCGTGTAGGATGTTTACCAGAGAATAATATATATGGGAGATTGTCCAGAAGGACAGGGTGGTTTCAAATGCTAAAAAGTCCAGGCAATGGGAACTGAATGAGCATGGAAATTAGGCCACTGGACTTGGTGACCAGCTTCTAGACTGGCATGGCCAGCCACAGTGCTACAAAAGCAGGTAAAAGCCACCTCTTGGCAGATGGAGAAGTGGGTGGAAAATGAAGACATAATGGAAGGTGCTGGTAAAAGTAAACCACTTTCCAGAGTGTTGGTGGTGATGTGAGGAGAGACTGAGAGTAGTTTGCAGGGGAAAGCTGTTCTGTACACAAAAGCTTTGGCTGGTGGGAAGAGGTAGAGGGGAAAATTGGAAGACATGGGACAGAGACTTAATTGATGATCTAGAGTCCCAGAGGACATATGAGGTCAGTGATTGGAAGCACAAGCTGAGATAATTAACTCCCCTTCCTCTAGTGGCAGGAAAGGACAGGTGAGGGATGGTTGAAAGGGATGCGAGAGGTATGCGGGCTGCTCGTCTGAGGGTCTCTATTTTCTTCTGCTGACGTTGAGTTGAGGGATGAGGTAGTGGAGGGGGTTCAGAAGAAATAAAAGGCTTAGGTTAGCTCTGGTGACTTGTCTCCAGGGACAGCCACTGGCGTTGAGTAATGCCCATGACCTTCCTGCTGTGTTGTGGAAATTTCCTCACCCCACAGCTGAAGAGTAACACACACCCCTGTTTCATCCTCCCCCGACTTCTCATGCTCCCCAGAGCCACCCAGGCATTTGGCATTTGTGTGCTACTGTCAATGGTGCACAATTTATGTCCATCCCCTACAGCTGGGAATGTCTACAAAGCATCTATTTATATTAATAGAAGCTCCAGTCAAGGCTGGGAGACTTGTGGTCTTGACTGCTGGGGGAGCTTATTCGCCTGGACCACCTGGAAGGAAGATGATGGGAGCCTTCCCCAAATCCATCATCAGCTCTGCAGATCTAGGAACAGTGAGATCAACACCTCTGCCTCTAGTCCTCCCAAATCATCTGCCCCGAGGCTGTGCAGACGGTCTCTTCTCACTAGGCAGCTCTAATGCCTGAGGTACCTATGAAACCAGAGTGGCAGCAGAGGGTCAAGCCTTGGGCAAGTCCACTTAACCTCACATGACCCTGCTCCCTCATCTGTAAAATGGGAAGAATAGGGTTGTTCATATATCATTTAGCGCAATACCTGGAATGCATTTAATGTTAAGCAAACACTAACTGTTTTTCACAAGCCCTGGAGGTCAGACATGACTGACTGCCAAGGGACTTGATTATAGGTTTATTGAGTCTGTCTTCCTACTGCTCCCGCACATAGACACTTTGCTTAGTGTACAGTGAAATGAAACAATATGGTGAATATGGGCTTTGGATGAGCCCATCATTCCAAAGAAAAGCTACTCCCTTTACCCCAATTTTCCATGGCCAGGGGGCCAGGCTGTGTCCCCAGTTTGGAGTGTTGGTTCAGTAGGTGGAATCCTATAACAAAACCTATGCAGGATTTGTCAGGGTGGCCAGTTTTCTTTGTTCCCTTATGATATTAGCTTCCATTTCCTGGCACCCTCTCTAGACACAGTATATCTGACCCAGTAAGACAACTTCTAGACCCATTTTACAGATGAGGAAATTAGGACCGAGAGAGTAACGAATTTCCCAGGCCACACAGCTGCTAACTGCAAAGCCGGGCTTTGCTCCCCTCCTGTCCCCTCCCCTCCCCTCCCCTCCTCTCCCCTCCCCTCGCGCCTCTTCTGGCCTCCTTCCCTTCATACATGGCTGCTCTTCCTGACCAAACACCCAAGGACCATGGACAAGAAAGAACCAGCAGAGGGGGAAGCCCCAGCTCTGGTCCTTTGTATGCTGGGTTCCAGCAGAGATTGTCTTCCAGAAGTCCTTTTCAACTTCTCAGCGCTTTCAGGGTTCTTTCAGGAATTGCGGATGCCCAGAATCACAGACTCCTGGGTCCAAATGGTTGAGTCAGTGTGTGAGAACTGTCCGGGACATCCTTCCCAACCCAGCACCCAAATGGGCTCCAGGTCGTCACTACCTCCTGCAGCAGCTCAGCCTAACACCAAGTGGCGGGTTGCTGGAGCATCTTCCCCTACTTTGAGCTAAAAGCTCCCCTACCCAGCTTCCCCTCACTAGCCCAGATTTGGACTCCTTAAGATGCAATGGCAATTGTGCTTTCTTTGTGTAATATCTACATTGCACCATTTTCCCCAGGCAGCTGGGCCCCTGTCCACTCTGCTTCATGAATGCTGTAACTTGAGACTCCCTTCTCAGAGTACTTTTCCGCACTCGGCTGGTTTCCACCTCCCTCACTGCCTTGGGGCTCTCTGTCCTTCCCTCTGTCCTCCCCCGTCTCACAGCCTGTTAGAAGCAGAGCTCCCCGGGCGTTCGCTGATTTCTCCAGGAAATGCCCCTTCTCTTTTACCTCTGGGTCCATTAGCAACTGCTGGGTCAGACATGGATGTCTGGGGCTTCACCACCTTCTCTTCCAACTTCTATTTTAGGGTGTGGCCTTTGGTTCCTGGCAACCTCTTCTCTAACTCCGGAGAGGTCTAAGGAGCACACCCGCCCAGCCAGACCTCCCCCTCCTCCGGGGGCTCCACAGATGGGCTTAGATGGTAGTAGAGGAGTTGGAAGTTCCACCAGAGCCCTCTTTGCGGGTTCTTCAAGAGGGACTTTCTCTGGGGTTCCTCCATATTTTGTTTTTTGCCACAGGCCCTACTTTCTTTCCACTGTCACCCAACACCCTCCTCTTCCCTCCCTCTTATGGGGGCAGTCCCAGGATAACCCTCGGCCTTGTTAGTTCTCAGCTCCCCTAACCTGAGCCCAGTGTACAGAAAAAAAAGCCTCCTGCGGAAAAGGACGTGGGGAGAGCACAGCTCAGACACAGTCCACCGTCAGCACAATGCTCTTAGCTCTAACTGGAAGCCGACATCACCCATTTGACAATTAAGAACAGGTAAGTTTAGCAGCTCCAAAACGTCCCCCACTGCCCAGTGCTGCTCCTGTCTCATGGGCCAGGACCTGAGCTGGTGATGGCCTTGGCTGAGCCCTGCCACAACAGGAGACAGCTGGCCACCCTGAGCAGGTGCATCCAAAGGGAGGGAGTGCAGCTGGTCCTCTCCCTCTTGTTAAAAGCAAGAGAGGCTTTCCCAGAAGCTCCTCAGCACACACCCTGTCTGGGCTATTTGACCAGAACTGGGTCACACCCTCTCATTCCTAAAGTAGTCTCTGGGAAAGGGAGACAGTAGACTAACCTGTGGACTGAACAGTCCCTGCCAAGCCAGGCCCGGAAGGAATTCGTATCTTCTGAGCAGGTGACCATCAGATACAAAAAAAAATAAGTGGCTGTTGGCCAGCAAGAAGCAAGTGAGCACTGTGGGCCAGCCAGAGCTTCCCGACCCATGCAAATCAAGGGTTCCTAAAGGACAGGGAGCTGCCATCGCTGCTGAAGCCCAGCCCCCGCAGCTCCATCTGTGCAATTCAGCATATGCCACAGAGACCGGAACACCTGCATTTGGGGGAGTGGGTGTGTGTGGTGTCAAGATATGTCAAAGTTTAAGAAGATTGAAGTTGATAGTCTGCTAATAGAAAACAACTAACCCAGGAAATAAATATGTAAATCATACACTCATAAACTTGATCTTGAAGATCACACGAGCACAGAAGTTCCTAAACTCATTCAAGGCGGAAAAATACAAAAAACGGTAATCTTTATGGAATGCCATGATTCTTGATCAAATTAATCAATCAAATTAAAATAATTTTAATAGCAAAAAATATCTATTCATTATATATGTTGAGGGTGTATCATCCTCAAGCAAGAAACATGCAAGCCAGGCATGGTGCACACCTGTGGTCCCGGCTACTCAGGAGGCTGAGGTGGAAGGATCGCCTGAGCCTGGGAGGTTGAGGCCACAAAGATTGTGCCACTGCACTCCATCCTGGGCAACAGACAAGACCTTGTCTCAAAAAAAAAAAAAAAAAGAAAAGAGGAAAGAAAGGAAGGGGAAGGGGAAGGAGAAGGGGAGGGAGGGGAGGGGAAGGGAGGGGAGGGAAGGGCCAAACTAATTGTTCTTGAGTTTTCCGTTATTATTGGCAGACCTTGGCTTTCCATGGTTCAACTTAGGATGGTGTGAAAATGATGTACATTCAGTAGAAATTGTACTTTAAATTTTGGATTTTGATGTTTTCCTGGGCTAGCAACATGCCCTACAATATATTCTTACATGAGCTACTCCACACTTTATAACATAAACCTTGTGTTAGATGATTTTGCCCAACCATAAACTAAGTGTTCTGAGCACATTTAAGTAGGCCAGGCTAAGCTCTGATGTTCAGTAGGTTGGTTGGATTAAGTGCATTTTTAACTTAAAATATTTTCAATGTCTGATGGGTTTTTTGGGACATAACCCCATCATAAGTTGAGGAGCATGTGTATTGGGTTTGCTTGGAGTTTTTTTCCTTATTTGGTTGTTTTGTTTTCTATCTTATATGAGCAAAGGGGTAAAAGATTTCAGAAAAACACCTGAGAGATAAATCTTAATACCATTCAATCTAGCACATCCGTTAGTAAATTAAGAATGAGGGAAAGCCCACCACTGTCCAAGTGTAAAGGCTGGGCTCCTTGAAACAGCTACAGGGACACTCCAAGTACATCAAAAACACCAATTCAGCCAAAACTTCACATTTATTTTCTGCAAAAGTTACCAAGGCTCACAGATGCCTTTGGGTTTCCCCAAGGTCACCCGGTTAATTATTGACATAGCAACTCCCCTCGCAAAACAAAGAATCAAAATGATTTCCCACGTCCCATGTTGGGATGCATGTTAATGAGGAAGGAAGGCCTCTGCGTGGCGGGGCCTGAGCTAAGTATGTCTAGTCAGAGTCCAAATCCGGGACAGATTTGAAAAGCTTTCTAATCCACCTATACGCAGAAGAATAAAGCTTGGAACTCATTTCAAAAGTTGTTTCTACTGGTGATTTAAAGACACACTCCTCTCTCCCATATGCACATAAGCACAGACCTGCAAGAGCACTGTCCCCTCCAGAGCCAGACACTACAGGCCCCCAGCAAGTGTGAAATCCAGGTGTGACTTTCTAGGCATGGCTTGGTGAGGAAGGGCCTGGCCCACTCCTTGGCTCCCTCCTCCCAGCCAGAAACGGTTAATTGCCAGCTCCAGACTGCCTCCAGCCCAGCCCTAATCGCCGATCTCAGGCGGCTGGGCTGCGCTGGGGCTGAGCGGCTCCAGCCCAGGCTGGGGTTGTGTGAGCAGCAGGAGCATTCTTCCAAGGTAATGATTAAGCTGAGTGCCTGGCAAGGGCACGGGCTGAGAGCACAGAAGGTGAGCCCTATTCACACCTCGGCCAGGCTGCGGTGGCCAGGACTGGTTTGGGAAGGCAGGGCCCCGGTGTGCAGCCACAGCCAGCAGCCTCCTACCTACACAAGGGTGTTCGGGAGCATCTCAGGGCCGAAGACTTTGCTGCCTGCCCTGCCAGGACTTTGTCCTCACCCCTGGCACCATGCAGCTCCAGGTGTTCTGGACTGGGCTGGAATACACCTGCCGGCTCCTGGGCATCACCACTGCTGCAGGTAAGACCCTGCCTCCTGGCTGCTGATCCTTGCACACTGGCACCACAGATAGGGCTGCCTGAGGGGTGGGAGGTGGCCAGGAGACAGCAGGCACATCTGGCCACTTCTGTGCTTCAATTTTTTTCCCAAGACCCCTAGAAACACTGCTCTGTAGAGCAGCAGCAAGTGCAGTGGGGTGAGCCTAGGGCTGGGGACCAGAGGGCTGGGTGCTGGATCTTTGCTTGGCAAGTCACCCTCCCTGTGACCTTGGGAAGCCTCAAGATCCTCATCTGCAAAATGATTCCAGGGGCCACCCCACCTACGCAGAGAGTTGTCATGAGATGGAGGTGGAGACAGAAGGTGAAGATAGAAAGGGCTGGGCTTCGCTGTGTATCTACAAAAGGTCAACTGAGCTCATCCTGCTTTACTCAAACCATAGCCCTACCTCATGGAGAGAGAACTCCCAGTCATGAGCAGCTCTGCCCTGGAGGGACAGGCTGAGCCTGGCTGGACGTGGAGATCACAGGCTTCCCTCGGGCCCATGCTGGACCCTGTTAACAGAACACCCTGTAGGAACCCAGACCCCTGTCTGAGGTCTGACTGCAGGAATGCACTGTGGTCTTAGCAGCAGAGATGCTTCCCAGAGATGCTGGGCTCCTTCCTTCACCCAGCAGAATCACAGGGCTGCTCAACTGGACAGGAGGGCAGACTGTTAGAGCAGAGCCCAGAGCCACCATCCTGAGCCCTGCCTGCTCGCTTCCCCAGGGCAGGCCTGACCCTTAGCCCCATTCCCCCTACAGAGCCAGGATCTGTTTTGGGGAAATGAACAGGCAGAATTCTGAGCCCTTAACTCTGAGCCACATTGTCCCTTGGGGACAAAGAGAGACACACCCCCTATCAAAGCCCTTCCCCACCACTGGGCAAAAGCTTACCCACGGGTCTTACCAAATGGGAAAGTTCTCCTAGGTCAAAATCACATAGTGCTTGTTCCTGCCCCAGCCTAGTCACTTGCGTGATATATGACCTTGGGGAGCCCCTGACCCCTCTGAGGCTGCACTTTCTGATCTGTATGATGGGGACCTGCTGGCCAGGTGTTTGGACAGATTAAGGATGCAGGAACTGAGCATGGCTAAGTGGAACTGAGGATGAAAACCTCTCAGCAGAAGCCCCCATGACACACTCCAGAGCTCAATGGGAAGCTGGGTCATTTCAGGAGCACTGGGCTGGGTTCAGCCGTGAGCTGGCCAGTGGGCTCTTCCAGCATCTAGGCCATGAGTTAGATCATGAAGGGCTGCTGGATGGTTTAACCCCACCCCTCCTGCTACAGGATGGGGCACCTGAGCTCAAATGCAGGTGGTGACCTTGCCCAAGGTCATGGTCAGAGGGACAGCCAGCCCGGAGCCCTGGTCCTTCAACTTTCACAAAGGCCAGGGCTCTGGCCAAAACCTTCCCTGTCTTCCAGAGTAGGCAGCAGGAAGAGGTTCAGAATTGCTCTGCTGAGGCTCTGAGTGGAGGCACTGAGGGAGGAGCCAGATCCAGCCACTTTCAGAACCACGTTGTCGTCTACACATAAGAGAATGATGGCCAAGACCCCCAACAAGCAAAAAAGCCATCCTGGGGAGAGGAAGGCCACCCTAAATAGGTTTCCATGTCTGTTGATCTGAGTCCACCCTGCTCCCTCTAGGCTTTGGTTTCCAAATCTGTAAAATGCCAAGAATCCCACAGTTCCCCCAGCCACACTCCACCCAGAGCTGAGGCCCACCTCCCGTCGAGAGGCTGTTCTAAGATGTATGTACCTATCCTTCTAATGGATTAGCTAGAGACAGTTTAACAGTCTGATTTATCTCAGTCACCGGAAGAGTCTGCAGCCCCTGACACTCCCATGTGCACGCACACACACACACACACACACACACAAACCCGTGCGCGCGCACATAGGGCTCGTCTTAACCACAGCCTTTATCTCCGCACAGGGACTGCTGTTAATGCTGAGAATGGGCCTCCCTCTTGGTTTTGATAGGAGATTCAGACTAAAAATAGCCATGAGCTCCCTTCTAATGGCCAGGCTTTCAAATGATCTTGCTCGGGCTTTCTAGAGTGCTGGGAGGGAGTGGGAGGCTAGAGAGAGGGGTTTGGTGTTCTTGGGCAAATCTCGAGTTTCTTCCAGCATCACTGAACTCCTGGCCTATTTCCAGTACATAGGATTTGCAAATTCCTTATTCTCCTAAGCCTCTCTTTTGTTGAAATCTTCTGTTGAGAAATCCAGGCTTCATTTACAAGGGCACTGCTGCTAGAGAGGAAATAAGACCGGAAATAGAGGGCCTCACTTTGCAGAAACCCTAGGGAGGTGGGGAGTGTGGATTTCTTAAAAGCTAGGAAGACATGTGACCCAAGGGCACTCAGAGTGTCACCTGCAGGGACCAGGCAGCTGCTAAGAGGCTACAGCCTCTCATTAGCAGCCTCTTCCCTGGACCCCCTGCAGACAGGATCAGGGCTGTCAAAAGCACTGACGGCACCTGGTGGGTGCCTCTGCCAGCATGTCAAGGCCCTATGACTGTGGATGAAGCCACAGCCTTTGGATGAAGCCTCCTTAGGATTCCTCGAAGTCCCGCAGACCATTCTTGCCCCACCTCAGTGTCCAGCCCCATATCATGAGGGGTTGTAGAGCACAGACGGATCATTGCCACCACCAAATTGGGATAAACAGGCCTCAGGTAGTTGCACCTGGGTGGAAGTGTTTCTAAAATTAGAAAATTCCCTCCCTCTGGAGCAGTCATGTGGTTTCCAGGACATAACAGACCACTCCCGCATTGTTTACACCGGGTTCATTTGCTTCACCTCCCTGGCTCAGGATGTGGGGTTGGGGGGCAGGCGCCCATGGGTCCATGTGCATGCATGCGCCCGTGTGATGTCTAAGTGCCTCAGTTGCTGAGACGCGGCATCCATTGCCGCCCATGGAAGCAGACACAGCTGGGAAATGGCACACAGGCTGTGAGCACTCCACATTCCCCTGTGCGGATGCCGGAGCTCCTGCCTGTCCATCCCTCAAAGCAGGTTCTCCCCGTGTCCACTAGAGACAGGGTAAAGATGTCCTGAGTGTGAGACTCAGGCCCCAGAGGAGGCTCAGCCCTGTGACAGGTTCTCAGCACAGACCAAATGGCAGGAAAGGGGTCCTGGGAAATGGATTTAACTGAGCCTGGAGCACAGCGGTCCAGGGCACTCCTCCCCTGTGAGATGAGAAAGGACCTGTCCCACAGCATTGGTCCCAGTTGCAGGCTAGGAAAGCAGGGTTGGCTTCCCTTTGAACTTCAGCCATCCTCTTACCCTTTAACCTCAGGGGAATCTTGAATAACTCCTTTGCCACTCCCCAGCCCCTGCTGAGGTGGCCAGGAAGAGCATGGGAAGAGCCCCCTTTGTGGGACAGAGGAGGCACCTCTCAGGCCGTCCAGGCTGGGCATGGAGGGAAGGGGAGACATGTCCCTGAGCCCCGCCTTGTAGTGAAAGCCCTCCCCTCAGGCTGTGTCCTCACACACAGATGTGCATGGGCTTCCCCATAAGAGGCTTGCTCAGAAAATGTCTCTGGGCACTTGAGCAAGGCCTCCCAATTTCCCTCAGAGCAAAGAGGCTCCAGCTTGAGGCCCCACTGCCCCATCTCCAGGGCTGAATTTCACTCTTCCAGCCTCTGCCCAGAGCAGAGGTTGCTGAGAATGAACATGATTATTTGAGTATTTACTCAAATAATACTCAAAGCCCAAGCTTTGCACTGTGTATTTTAAATGCAGTATCGCATTTCATCCTCCTGTCATTGGGAGCATCATCATGTTCATCCTCATACCCACTGTACAGGAAGGGAAACCGAGGCCTGATGGAGCGAAGCATCTTGCTCAGGGTCTCACACCAGGAAGCAAGAAGACAAAGTTCCACCTGATGATGGTCTGCTCCTGAGACTCCACTCCTAATCGTTATTTCCTCCACCTGAATCAGGATTAAAAAGCATGTCCCATAGTATTTTGATGACCCCAAGATGCAGGATGCAAAACACACAGAGGAGAGCAGGAGAGGCTTGATCAGAACTTCCCCATCCTCTACCCTCATGCTCCTGCCCTTGGTCAGTTCTGATCAGTCAGGTGGGGTCATGGTGAGGACACACGTACAGTGAAGCACATAGTCAAGGATCACCAAACACTTTCTAAATCTCAAGACACCGATATTCATTGCAGCTATCCATTCTCTATCTCAAGATTGCCACACATGCTTTAACCAGCACCACCGTGACCTTCTCTAGCCAAATCTGCTCCTGGAACCCATCTGGGGACAGACAAATCTGCACACATTTCCAGGGGGAACTATCACAGTAGGGCTTGCCTTGATGGGTCCAGAGGTGCAGGGCTGACTGCATGCATTATGGTCATTGTCTCGCTCCAGCCCCACAAATGCCTGAGACGCTAGAGTGCTGGGCTCAGTCCTATTTTACAAATGAGGAAACTGAAGCTCAGAACATTGAGGTAACCTGGCAGAGGTCACATGGCCAGGAGACAGAGGTCCGGTGTTAGAACTCCACTCTGCCCAAACACAGGGCTGTGTTATGGCAGCTCCAAAGCAAAGGGCATGGCAGAGCCAGCAGGGCATGAGGGGATGGAGGCAAAGCCATTCTGAGTGAACTCTGCTTGTCAGGCTGACGTGCTGTTTCTCACAAATTGAGTGCTTGGAATCAACCTGGAATCACTGAGGGGTTTTATTTTGTTCCAGGTTTTGACCCATTAACCTGTTTCTCTATATAATGGACACAGCCACATTTTCAACTGCTCCCATGCTTCCCACACAGTTAGAGCATTGGCTTATTAATGTACATTAGGAGAAAAGAAGTATTTAAAACCCAGCTGTTCTCATTATATTTTAAAGGATAGAGCAAATGCATAGTTTGACCTTAGCCCTGTTCAAAGCCTTCAGGAAAACAAATGCTTCTGAAGCAGCCATCTTGGGCCCTCCATGCTAATTTTACCCCTCTTACATGTATATCCCCATGACCACCTCCTGCTGTTTAAGAAAGTGTCATGCACTCCAACGCCTCGCAAGAGATTTATCACCCAAGTGAGCCCACATTGTATTTTCAGACCTTCCAAGTGAATGTTGACTGTTTTCCTTTTCTGTTACAATTGGCTCCACAAGTAAATGGAATCTGCCTCCCTCTGTTCCCCCCACCTACCACCAACAGGCAATAGGATTTGGTTCAAACATTTCTTTTTTCACAACTTTGTGCCTGTGCCTTGCTTCTAGATTTATAACAAGAAATCTGAAACTTCAATTAGGTTTCATTTACTTGGCAAACTGTTGCTGAGTCCCCAGTGATCTGCTCCTGAGACTCCACTCCTAATCGCTATTTCCTCCACCTGAATCAGGATTAAAAAGCATGTCCCATAGTATTTTGATGACCCCAAGATGCAGGATGCAGTCCAGTCCTGCATCCCCAGTCCTGAGTCCCCAGTCATGCAGCATAGACACATGGATTAGAATGGCAAGACCTTGCCCTGTGGGAGTGTATGGGCTGGACAGAGAAGCAAACTAGTAAGTGCACATCCGAGCACCAAGCACTGCAGCGTAGTGTTTGGGAGGTGGGTCTGTGTCCTGGGACAATCACTGTATCTACCCTCTGGAGTTGTGAGGGCTCAATGAAACAATGGCTAAAGTAGCAAGCTGCCTGGCACATAGATTCTCACTCAGCATGGGCTAATTTTAGAGGAACGTGCAGGGCATGGAACTGTGTAGCATGAGTTATCAGCTCCTTTTGTTGGAAGGAAGAAGAAGGAAGATCCGAGGAAAGGAGCAAAGCAGTATGTGACTCATGAGGCTGGAAGGAGGAAGGGGCTACACTGTAAAGAGCATTATACTGGGAAACATTTCCCATCACATTCTGAGCTTGGGTTGTGAAGATCAGCCCACAGGAACTTGGCTATTTCTACACCACATATAGTAAGCCAACCAGAGGAAAGATGGCAGCCCTGTTTTATTTTTCATGGGATGACAGCTCTTTCAAGATTGTCCTGGGTTCTATTCAGCCTTCTGAAGAGGGCTGTGAACAAAAAGAAATGTTGTCTGACATAAGTGGCTGACACTGTGAAGAAGGGGCTCAGGAAACCCCCAGGAGACCAGGTAAGGGTCAGATGAAGAAGCCTGATGTGTGTGGAATGGACAGAGAACAATGGGAGCATGGACAATGCTTTCTGGAAACCTGCCATGTGGATGAGTGAGCAGATGCATTCTCCCTGAACACTGAGAAGGAATAGGAAGTGAATACCTCGGTTCTCCCTGACATTGAGACCTAAAAGAAATTTCTCCTGTGGGCCTGTATAAGTTTGTTTTCACACTGCTGATAAAGACATGCCCAAGACTGGGCAATTTACAAAAGAAAGAGGTTTAATTGGACTTAGAGTTCCATGTGGCTGAGGAAGCCTCACAATCATGGTAGAAGGCCAGGAGGAGCAAGTCACATCCTACATGGATGGCAGCAGGCAAGGAGAGACAGCTTGTGTGGGGGAATTCCTCTTTTTAAAACCATCAGATCTCTTGAGATTTATTGACTATCACGAGAACAACACGTGAAAAACTTGCCCCCCTGATTCAATTACCTCCTGCTGGTCCCTCCCACAACAGGTGGGAATTCAAAATGAGATCTGGGTGGGAACACAGCCAAACCATACCAGGGTACTTACAAGGGAGATGCTATTCTACGTGGGAGACACTATCCTCAGTAGTGCCAATGAACCATATGGGTCTGCAGAGTCCTTCCTCATCACCAAAGAGTGGGGTATCAGCACAGATGGCCTCACAGGTGAATTCTACCAACACTTAAGGAAGAAATATCTATTCCACACAAACTCTTCCAGAAATTTGAAAGGAGGCAATACTTCTCAACTCATTCTATAAAATTAGTATTTATGTGGATACCAAAACCAAAGATATTACAAGAAAACTATAGACTAATATTCTTCTCAATATAGATGCAAAAATTCTAAGCAAAGTTTTAACAAATACAAATATATTGAAAGAATGATATATCATAATCAAGTGGAGTTCATCTCAGAAATGCAAGGTTGTTTTAATATTTGAAAAATCAATTAATGTAACTTACCATGTGTTATGGACTAAATGTTTGTGTCCCCCCAGCCAAATTCATATGTGGAAATCCTAACACCCAACATGATTGTATTAGGAGGTAGGGCCTTCTCTGAATGGAAATAATGCCCTTATAAAAGAGACCTGAGAGAGCTCCCTAGGCCCTTCTATCATACAATGTGCGGTAACAGTGAGAAGACAGTTTTCTATAAGGAAGGGGTCCCTCAGATACCAAATCTGCCAGCATCTTGATCTTGCATTTCCCAGCCTCCAGCACTGTAGGAAATAAATTTCTGTTGTCTATAAGGTACCCAGTATATGGGATTTGGTTATAGCAGCCGAAATGGACTAAGACATCATATTTAAAAACTAAAAAAGAAAAACCATATTATCATCTAAATAGACACAAAGTTTTAAACGAAATCCAACATTCTTTTATGATTAAAATAAAACTATCATCAGCAAACTAGTAACAGAAGGAAACTCCCTCAACCTTAAGAGGTCATTACAGAAAACATACATCTACTTAAATGTAAAAGACCAGGTGCTTCCTCCTAAGATTAGGAACAAGGCAAGGGTGTCCACTCTACCACGTCCAGTCAGCATTGTACTGGAGGTTCTAGCCAGTGCAAGAAACAGAAACAAAATGCATACAGATTGTCCAGGAAAAAGAAAAATTTTATTCACAGATGACGTTATCATCTGTAGAAAATCTAATAGAATCTACCCCAAAAGCTACTTGAGCTAATGGAGGGAATGGCAACATTGCAGAAGACAAGCTTAATATATAATAATCAACTGTATTTCCATACATTAGCAACAAACAATTAGAAAATGAAATCTTTAAAAATACAAATTATAATAGCATTGAAAATCCGAAATATTTAGGGATAAATCTGACAAAAGATGTAAAACAAACTACACTAGAAACTAGAAAACATTGCTGAGAGATAACAAAGAAAATCTAAATGAATGGAGATGCATCTTGTTGATGGGTCAGAAGGCTCAATATCGTTAAGACATCAGTTCTCCCCCAAATTGCTATACAGTTTCAATAGGAGCTCAATCTGAAGTCTCTTCCAACTGAATGTCCAGAAATATCTGCCATGAAATCCTTCCCTTTTCCCACACTGTCTCTGAACCCTGGCTCATGTATATCAGCTGAACTGATCTCCACACGTAGGTAAACCTCCCCACCATGCTTACTGTTTGCCACAACTTCTGAGCTAAGAAGCCTGTGGCTACTACCTTACTGTCCCAGTGAATTCACAGCAACTGTTTCCAGCAACTCCATAGTCTTGGAAATGGTACAAATCTAGCTTTTCACCTCTACCCTGGCGGTGACCACCTCTCCTGGACCATCCACGCCCATTGTCATCAGCCTGGAGCGTCTTTCCCTGAGGTGTCTTTGGACACCCTGAGTCCAGCAGGAGATGAGAATGAAAAGAAGCAATAAATATACGCGGTGGGTTCGGAGGCTGCCCTCAGCAACAGTGAGTACAAAATTCTCATCCAATGCCCAGGGCATCCAGTGCCAAGGTTAGTGTGGCCTCTGATGACTGTGAAGCGTCCCATGTTACCACCAAGGGCATCACAATAAATGCAAGACATATGTCACAATTCAACCCATGGAGTCAGAACGGATAAGCAACAGTGGATCATGAGGTCAGCCCTATGGCAAAAGCAGCAGCAGCCTGAGGCCAGGGGAATATCCCCTCAGTAGGCAGCCCCGCAGATGGCCCCAGCCTCAGGAACATGCTGGCCTGAGCCCCGTGGGGACCCTAGCAGGGTTATGGAGGGCTAATACAAGAGATGTGGAGATAGATGGGAGTTTGGGTCACTTATATCCCAACTGGGCTTTGAGAAGGGACCTCAAAGTAAATTAGTGAACAACAAGCAACACTGGTGCACAGGGAACAGCTTTTTGGCCACAAAAAAACCCACAAGTGTGTTAATGGGAGCAAAGGATGAGAATAAACCCTCTCCTTCCACTGGAGAATACTGATGGGAACCGCCTGCCTCTTATAATAGCTTTCCTAGCCATCGTCTGCATTTGTGCAGCACTCTCATTTACTTAGACTGAGCAGTGGTCGGCACCATTTTGCATGTTTTTATTTTCCCCATTTTCCAGAATAAGATGCAGACCAAAGAGTTAATCACTTTCCTGAGGATGCAGGACTCAGCTTTTCTGATGCAGGCCCCATATTCTTTCTGCTCTGGTGCAGCCCCCTCCTAGCTTTCGTCAACCCATGCTGAGACCAGAGCTCCAGGATGAGAAGGATACTCACACAGTGGCTGCCCTGCCCAGGGCTGTACCACAGGCTCTTGGCCCAGGATCTCTGATCTCTGCTAAGCCTGAACTACAACAAACAGCTCAGGAAAGCAACACAGAAGCAAGCCCTGGACCCTGAGAGAAGAAAGTTCTTGTACCAAGGTTGGATCTGGCCCACACAGGAGGGACAGAGACTGGAGGGAAGGAGCTAACAAGATGAGAGAGGCCAGGCTTGTCCATGAATGGCTCCATCAAGGTGCGATGCAAGGCACCTCCTGGGATCATGCAGGGAGTGAGACAGAGGCGTGGGGTGAGCTGTGCTGGAGTGGGCATAAGGTACCTCTGTTGGGCTGGGGTGAGAGTAGCTGGGGAGCCTGAGGTGGGATAATAGGGAGGGATGGAAGGAGTCAAAGGCCACTAATGGCCGTGTCAAGCAGTGCTGTTCAGTGTTCCCTTGCCCCTCCACCTGGGCAGGAAAGACAGCACAGCCGGACTGAAGCACATCTCAGGGCGATTATTTCTTGTAGAGAATTTGGTGTCATGAGGCTCTGATTCTGCGGGTAGCAGGGCCTTTGTCCCATTGTTTGTCTCCATTGATTGGCTCCTGATCATTGATCAGCTAATCCAAAAATCAGCTCTTCAGTCCCTGGTCCCAGCTCAGGGTAATGCCCTGGGGGTATCTGTTCCAGTGAGTTGCTGATTCAGGCCAACCACTTCCACACTGGACTAGCACCCTGTGAAGGCAGAGCTTCCAAGACACCAGCCCCACTGCCCTGTGAGAAGTATGGAAGGCCAGAGCGCAGGCTAAATTCCAAGAGGAGCTAGAAGCCCTCAGACTCTGGGCCTCCCAAATCTCTAGATGCCAGGGCCAGAGCTACCACTCTCAGGGCCCACGAAGGGCCTACACTGCGCCTGAGGGAGGGAGTACCACCTTGGGCTTAGACTGAAGGCCACATTAAATTACAATGAGGGCCCCCTTAATTTTAAGAGGAGCACCTCCTTCATTGTAGAACACCTCCTTAATTTAATGGCAAATATCTTCTTAGTCTTAGGGAGAACACCTCCTTAATGAATGAGCACCTCTGTAATTTTAGGAGGTGTGCCTCCCTAATTTTGAGCCCTGGTGTCCTTCTGGGCCCACTCTGCTCCTAGTTATCCGGGTGCCATAACTTCTTTGTGTTTAACAGAGAGCCCCGCCTAAATCTGAAACCTGGCAGAAACCTAAGGTCCAATTCCACAAAACAAGGAGTGGGCTGTCCTCATCCACAGGTTGAAGTGAGGCCTTTGAGAGGGCGGGGGCCCACCTGTGCAGTCTCCGGGAACAGACGCTCAGCAGACTGGAGAGGAGCTCCTTCTTACCTGTGACAATCCCATTCTTCATTCAAGCCCCCACTAAATTTCAGGCCACACTTCATGTTCACCTCCTGCCAATTCTGGAGAACAGTCCCCTGGAAAAAAAACTTTTGGGAAACTCCAGGCCCTGTGTGAAAACACTTTGGGGTCCTATATCTATGTCATGTGGAACTGTGATACCTTCCAAAAATATTTTGTTCCCAGTACAGTCCAGTTAGCACACCAGGCTAGGAGCTTCCACAGCCAGTCCCAACATGGCTCTCTGGGGTGAGTGTTGGATACGGTTCACAAAATTCCTGCAGCAAGGAATCTCACTTCTTGCTTTCTTTACTTTTTCTACTGGGAATGTTTGCAAAATGCAACTGTGGGAGGGACCTGCTTTGGATGATACAGGATTCTCCTCCACAGATCCTCTATGAAGTCTTAAGTTATAAAACCACCAATAGGATTCCATGACCCAGTGGAAGTCCCCAGACACCATCTGTATTCCTAGGAGCCTGAATCTCCAAGGCTATGGGGCAGGTGCTGCAGGACCCAGAAATGCTTACTCCTGAGGAGTCACAATATAATGTTTACTCTAAGGCGTCAGGCCAGACACAGAGACTTCTATGCCAAAAACCTCAGGTGGCTAGATGACTGAATTAGCTGCTTTTCCAGTTAACCTTGCATGGCTGCATAACAGCCCACTCTAAAACGTAGTGATGTAAGGCTACAATCATTTGATTATACTCAAAACTTTGTGATTCGGAAATTCTGGCAGAACTCAGTGGAGGCGGCTCACCTCTACTCCATGATAACTGGGGCCACAGATGGGGTCACAGGTAGGGTGGCTGGCATGGCTCACGTGGCTGAGGTGGCTCATCTGGTGCTTTGGTTCTGATTGTTGTCTGGGTCCATCACTTCCAGTCTATGTCACATCTGCTGGAGCTGGAATGTCAAAGATAACTTCTTCCATCATTTGTCCTGTGCAATGCTGAACCAGCTGGGGCTGTTGTGCCTCTCTCTCTCTCTCTTTTT